>NC_000006.12:125070790-127570790 GCF_000001405.40 Homo sapiens | reverse complement strand
CTATAAAAGTTAGTGATTTGTGTTCAGTACAGAGAAAACTAAAAAAAAGAGAAATTAAGCAATTATTAACTTAAGGAAGAAGAAAAAGTTTGCATGAGAAAGAAATAGGATTATGCTGTGTAGGTCCGGTGCCAATAATATTTACATAACCATAATAATTAAACAATAGATATTTATTTCACCACAAATTTTAGTTAACAATTCTAGGAATATAGGATAAAAAGAAATGTGTGAGTGTAGTGTGTAGTGAAAGAGTGTTAAATCTTTCATAGTATGAAATTCAGAGATAGCATCTAAAGAACAAATAAAATATTGATACAAGAAAACCATTAAGAAATGTAAGTGTATATGTTTATGTATATGTATATACATACACACATGCATATATCTATATTACTTAAACTGAAAATATAATTAATTTAATAAAAAATTTGGCTCTGAAAATGAGACAAGCAAGAAAGTAGCTGCTAAGGATATAGGATGAAGAATTTGTTCACATTTTAAATAAGGCATTTAAAAATATTTAAATATTTTTTAAAAGAAGACAATACCCTACATTTTTTCACATCCTCAGTAAAAATACAAACATGCCAATATCTTAAACATTCAACTTTAAAAATAAGAAATTCTCTCTTACGTATACTTAAACCTAGAGCTGTTTACCCTATGTCCTTGCCCTCCAAATGTGTTTTACTGCTCCACTTTGCAGCAAAATTCCTGAAAAAAAGTTGTATACACTTGTTGTCTCTAAATATTCCTGATGCCATTTTTCCTTAAACCCCAATCCTTTCAGGCTCTAACATCCACCCACAGATGTATGAATGTCAACAAATGTATACACAAGGATTTGATTATAATATTGCCCTTGGAATTAAGTGTAAACTCATTCAGCAGAGAAAGAAAGATGTGAGAGACGGTGAGGGAAATAAATCAGTAGGTGGTTCCTATTATGTTAAGTCCTTGCAAGACTGGACTATAAGCAAGAATGATCCATAAAGAGAGGAGATGGGCCAGGCGCGGTGGCTCACGCCTGTAGTCCCAGCACTTTGGGAGGCCGAGGTGGGCGGATCATGAGGTCAGGAGATCTAGACCATCCTGGCTAACACGGTGAAACCCAGTCTCTACTAAAAATACAAAAAAATTAGCCGGGCGTGGTGGCCAGCCCCTGTACTCCCAGCTACTCCGGGGGCTGAGGCAGGAGAAGGGCATGAACCCGGGAGGCCGAGCTTGCAGAGAGCCGAAATCCCGCCACTGCACTCCAGCCTGGGTGACAGAGCGAGACTCGGTCTCAAAAAAAAAAAAATGTTATTTGTGGTACTTGTATTGAGTAGTGTTACTTAATAATGGTTACCAAATGCTAACCATCTCTAATCCACATAGGATGTTAATATACCTAGAATTAAATTAATTGAAATCTTTTTAATTTTCTTAATTATATTTTTTATTGTTTGACTCTCAATAGATATTTAAACCATTTTCTGCTACAATTTTATTTGTTTTGTCTTCTATTGAATTCATTATATCTTCTATCCCTCAATCTATCACAATTTTCTTAAATTTACCTCAGAGAAAAATTATGCTTTTTTTTTTACAAGTATGCAATAATTATACCATAGAATTCTGCTGACACTGAAACAGAAGTGGCCTAGGGATTATTTAAAAGCATTGCTATAATCTTTTCGTACATCAATTGGTTTACTACATCTTAGACTGAAGCCTTAAAAGGGAGTCTCTTATATTAATTATAATCTGTATGATACAGTTGAATAATTTAAGAAAAAAATCCCATAGTGATGCAATCTTTCAACAAAGGGCAATATTTTAGCCAGGTAAAATCCACCGTAAATATATCTCTTATGCAAAAATCAATTATTGTTAATATACTTTGACCACCACCATCTAGCCTTAGTTTCAGGCCTACTTCTCTCACCACTACTGCCTTAAAACCCCCACCTCATCCACAACATTCCTTGAAATACTTTCTCCTCTAGGCATTTCTCTTAACTTTATTTTTTCAGTTTCCAGTGCTCTTTATTTCTTTGTGTAGATTAGGTTTCTGCCTGGTATCGTATTTCTCCCACTTGAAGAATTACCTTTAATATTTCTTTTAGTGTAGCTCTGCTGGCAATGAATTCACTCAGTACTTGTTTGCCTGAAAAAAATATGTCCCCTTAATTTTTATTACAGGTATCTTCTCTAGATACAGAATTCTGGGATTCATAGGATTCTGTTCATTTTCTTTGTCATTTCAGCATTTTAATGGTGTCATTTCATGGTCTTCTGGATTTCATAGTCTCTGGTGAGAAGTCAGCTATACTCTTTACCTTCCTTCCACTGTAGGTAAGGTAATGTGTCTTTTTTTTCCTTCTCTCTGGTTTTATTTTTTTTGTTTGTTTTGTTGTTTTTTTTTTCAGATGGAGTCTCGCTCTGTCGCCCAGGCTGGAGTGCAGTGGCGCAGTCTCGGCTCACTGCAAGCTCCGTCTCCTGGGTTCATGCCGGGTTCCTGCCATTCTTCTGCCTCAGCCTCCCGAGTAGCTGGGACTGCAGGCGCCCGCCACCATGCCCAGCTAATTTTTTGTATTTTTAGTAGAGACGGGGTTTCACCATGTTAGCCAGGGTGGTCTTGATCTCCTGACCTCATGATCCACCCACCTCAGCCTCCCAAAGTGCTGGGTTTATAGGCGTGAGCCACTGGGCCTGGCCCCTTCTCTCTACTTTTAGGATTTTCCCTGTCTTTTGCTTTCAGCAGCTTGAATATAATAACCATATCATCTTTATATATACATCTTGTTTAGTGTTCTCTGAGCTTCAGGACTTGTGATTTCATATCTGTTATTAATTTTGGAAAACTCTTAGCCATTATTTCTTCCAAAATTCTCCTGCCCCATTCTTTTATCTCTGTTATGTTTTTTATTTCTACTGTTAAAAGAAAAACTTTTGACAAATTAAATTTAGCAGAATTTATTTGAGCAAAGTATGAATCAGGCAGCACTCAGAACCAGGAGAGGTTCAGAGAGCTTCACTCAGCAACTTGGGCAGGTAATATTTACAGACAGAAAAAGGATGTGACGTACAGAAACAGCTTGATTGATTCCAGCTCAGCATTTGCCTTATTTGGGCATGTCTGATCAGTTGACAGCCTATAATTGGCTGAATTTTGGCTGTGATGATTGGCTGAGACTCAGCTACTTGTTAAAAGAATATACTCAAATTATGTTGCAGTTCGCATATACTGAGTTAGGTTGCAGTTTACTACAGAGAAATTCAAAGTACAGAGGTAATTTTAGAAGAAATCCATTTAGTTTAATACTACTCTTTATTTATCTTTGCATTTCATATTTGGTAATTTCTAGTGAACTATTTTTAAGTTCAATGACATTTTTGCCTCATCTGTGTTGAGTTTATGAATGAGCCAGTCATAGGCATTTTTTATCTCTGCTACTGTGCTTTAGATTGCTAGCATTTCTATTTAATTTCTTATAATTTCTCTCACTTTGCTGAAACTACCCATATGATCTTGTGTGTTGACCTCCTTTTCAAATGGAGCCTTTAGCATAATAAATTTAAATTCTTATGTCATATTTTGAGTCTAGTGCTAATTCATTTGTGTCTTGGGAATATGTTTCCTAGGCTTTTCATATACTTCCTAATTTTTTGTTGAACATCTACACCTTGTGTAGATAATAGAAAATGAGATAAATAGATTTTTGCTTGGATCCAGGCATATCTTTCCTTCTGTTAGATCTTTCTTTAGCACAAGGGTTTTGTGTTAATCTAATTGAGCTGGATATGAGAATTTTTGTTTCTGTGGTTATACTCTGTGAACCACAGGCCTCAAATTCCTCTCCTGGAGCTGGTTTACCAGAGAATTTTTCTTAATATCTTCTCCTTGTTCAGGCTTAGACTTTCCCACTGTGATGAAATTCAGAAATTACATCTCTTGTAGCTTGCCAGCACTATTTCATGTTTACCTTTACTGGACACTTGTTAGCCTGCTGAAGTGGAATATAGGAGTCATAGCACAAAACTCCATTAGGACCCTTTATCTCCTATTCCCAACAATTCTACAGATTCCTTTTTCCCTCATAGTGGGAATAGGGCAGGAATTCACTCTGTCAACCAGGGTGGAGTGCAGTGGTGTGATCTCAGCTCACTGGAACCTCTACTTCCCAGGCTCAAGCAATCCTCTTGCCTCAGCCTCCCAAGTAGGGAGGCACTACAGGCATGCCACCATGCCTGGCTAATATTTGGGTTTGTTTGTTTGTTTGTTTGTAGGGCAGGCTTTCACCATGTTGCCCAGGCTGGTCTCAAACTCCTAGGCTCAAGAGATCCACCCAATGCCTTGGCCTCCCACAGTGCTGGGATTACAGGTAGCATGAGCAACACACAAGGCCCCAGTATTTTTCACTAGTGAAGTTCATGTGAGGTGAAAGGAAAGAGGAAACAGGAAGATTGCTCCCTGGTGTTTGGATTGGCATAAGACTTACCTGATGTCAATTTAATTTCCACATTCACTATATATGCCTAATGGTAGGGGTGAGGTATAACTCTTCCTTGATTTGCTTTTCAGTGGCAGCTATCTCCCCCTTTCCTTTTGAACTTATGTCTTTTGATAACTTAAGTGTTTTCTTTCCTCAGAATTCAATACAACCTGTCTTTGTACAAAGGTAGATTAATATTTATTGTTCCTTTTCATGTGTTGTTAGTTCTAAGTTTCCAGTTCATTTAGTTGATATCTTGAGAAACACATACAATGATATCTTACCTGCCCTTTATTGTTCAAACAAAAATTGTTTCCAAAGTCCTCATGTTCTTTTCCTGAATCATAATCAACAGCTAGAGGCATACCATTCTGTCAGCAAAAATGATTTTTTTTCCAAATTTTCAATAAAATGGTAGTATCAAACATTCTCAATCACATATGACTTCTTTCAAATACCTGAACTTGGAGTCCCTTAGACTCACCTTTTCTTTGCTACACTGAAAATTTGTTGAGCTTCTTTAGTTGTGTCCTCTGCTCCATTTTAATTAATGGACAAATAGAGTCCTCATTGTCTTCGCAGATATTTTATCTATTTACATCTCTTTGACTTAACTCACAGTTATTATGCCTTTTCCTTGACGCACTGTCTTCCCCAGTAGGTAGCTCCTGGGCATGCTCATTCACTTACAGCTCATAAATCATGGGGCAGATTTAACAAGAAGCAAACTACTCCCATTAAATGCCCTATTCACACCATGTTATATCGCCATCACGCTATTGACTTTCACTCTACTCTTCTGGTGACTGCCAGGGATTTGTAATAATACTTTCCCTAGATTAAGTAAACAATTTGATACCTCACTCTCTAGTTTTTATTCATATCTTCTACAACTAATTATATTAAGAGAATCAAAACTAGTTCTCAAAATTACTCAGGTAGCAATAGGAACATTGTCGGTGATGGTTTTGAAATTTGCTCTCTACTGATAATGTGGATCCATAATCTTGTATGAGTAAGATCACTGTGGTAGATGCAAAGTAGCCACAAATTATTTGCAGCTCCACTCATGATAAATAACACTCATTTCTCTGCTTCTTCAGTTATAATAATTTGTGATTTGTTTTCATCAATAAAATGTGGTAAAAGTGATGTTGAGTAACTTTCAAGCCTAAGATTGAGAGGCCTTACAGTTTCTGCTCTCGCCCTCTTAGAATACAGACGCCAAGTGAACAAACTCCAGTTTGTTGAGGAAGCATTACTAGAAAACCAAGTGACAGCCAGACAACCAGAAAACATGAGACCATCCTAGGCCATCCAGCTTCAGTCTAGTCATCACGTGACTAAAGCTACATGAGTGAGCCCAGATGTAACCAATAAACCTGTCCATCTGAGTCCAATCCAAATTGCTGACCCACAGACTGCAAGCTCATAAATGTGTTTACAGGACACAAAATTTGGGGGTAGTTTGCAACAGTGGTAAATAACTCACACAAACAGCAAGGGAGTTTGAAAATCAGAAGCTTTTTAGATTTTAAAAATGTAATACAAGAATTATGTAACACCCTGAGCAGAGGCTGAAATAGGATCCTGTAATCAAACACATGAAAGTTTCTGCAATGAAATGTATGAACAGTAACACTTAAGGAGCTAAAGACTATAAATCATTATGATTTGTTTATGTAATACTGAGCTGATAAAAAAAAAGTTGTAGTCTTTTTAACTTCATTTCATGAAGAATAAAATTTGAAATTTGAAATAATCAATTAGGTCTATAGCTTATCTGAAATACATTTTGTTATCCATCATAAAAATTACATGCAAATCTCCCTTTACAACATTCACTAATTCACATGGTGGTACTGTGTATTACTCTATTATAATGGTGACAGCTGAGTAGACACTATGATTTTTATAGAATAGTGAATAGAAATTTAAGAAATTTTATTTGCTATGTCACAGATCTTTAGAGCTTATTTATTTTGCATACCTGAAACTTTGTACACTTTTACTATTATATTCCCATTTCCCTTTTCCCTCAGCCCCTGGCAAACACCATTCTACCCTCTGCTTCTGTGAGTTCAACATTATAAGATTCCATATTAAGTGAGATCATACAGTATTTGTCTTTCTGTGTCTGGCTTATTTTACTTAGCATAAAGTCCTCCAGGTTCATTCGTGTTGTCGCAAATGGCAGGATTTTCCTCAGTTTTTAAGGCTGAATAATATTCAGTTGTATGTGAATGTATTTATAAATGTGGTATGTGCACACACATATACATACCACGTTTTCTTTGTTCATTTATCTGCTAGTGGACATTTAGATTATTTCCATATCTTGACTATTATAATAATGCTGCAGTGAACATAGGATTGCAGATCTACTGTACAGTATACTGCCTACAGCTAAAAATACTGATCATACAATTGAAATTTGCTAAGAAAATTGATTTTGGTTAAGTGTTCCTACCACACATGAACAAATATAACGATAATATTTATAAATGGGGCAGGAGAAAACTTTCACTATTCACAATAGCAAAGACTTGGAACCAACCCAAATGTCCAACAATGATAGACTGGATTAAGAAAATGTGGCACATATACACCATGGAATACTATGAAGCCATAAAAAAGGATGAGTTCATGTCCTTTGCAGGGACATGGATGAAGCTGGAAAACACCATTCTCAGCAAACTATCACAAGGACAGAAAACCAAACACCGCATGTTCTCAGTCATAGGTGGGAATTGAACAATGAAATCACTTGGACATAGGGAGGGGAATCATCACACACTGGGGCCTGTCAGGGGGTGGGGGGCTGGGGGAGAGATAGCATTAGGAGAAATACCTAATATAAATGACTAGTTGATAGGTGCAGCAAACCAACAGGGCACATGTATACCTATGTATCAAACCTGCATGTTGTGCACATGTACCCTAGAACTTAAAGTATAAAAAAAAGAAAAGAAAAAGAAATTAATTCTAGACAAAGAAAAAAAAAACTGAATGTCTTAACAGAACCCAAGTCACCTCTTGAATGGTTTGCTGCTTATACATTTCTTCTGCCAGATACCTTAAATCATCTCTCTCAAGTTCAAAATTCCACAAATCTCTAGGGCAGGGGCAAAATGTCACCAGTCTCTTTGCTAAAACGTAACAAGAGTCACCTTTGCTCCAGTTCCCAACAAGTTTCTCATCTCCATCTGAGACCACCTCATCCTGGATTTCATTGTCCATATCATTGCCACAATTTTGGTCAAAGCCATTAAACCAGTCTCTAGGGAGTTCCAAGCTTTCCCACATTTTCCTGTCTTCTTCTCAGCCCTAGAAATTGTTCCAATCTCTGCCTGCTACCCAGTTCCAAAGTTGCTTCCACATTCTCAAGTATCTTTTCAGCAATACCCCGCTGTACTGGTACCAATTTACTGTATTAGTCCATTTTCACACTGTTGATAAAGACGTACCTGAGACCGGGCAATTTACAAAAGAACGAAGTTTAATGGACTTACAGTTCCACGTGGCTGGGGAAGCCTCACAATCATTGCAGAAGGGAAGGAGGAGCAAGTCATATCTTACACGGGTGGCAGCAGGCAAAGAAAGATAGCTTGTGCAGGGGAACTCCTCTTTATGAAATTCTGAGATCTTACGAGACTTGTTCGCTATCACAAGAACAGCACAGGAAAGACCTGCCCCCATGAGTCAATTACCTCCCACTGGGTCCTTCCCACAACATGTGGGAATTCAAGATGAGATTTGGGTGGGGACACAGCCATGCCACATCATCATTCAAGGAATTTGACCTTAATTCTACAAGTAATGGGAAATAATTTTGGCATTAAAAAAATATTTTTTTATTGATAAATTATAATTGCATACATTTGTCAATACAGTGTGATGTTTTGATATATGTAAGCAATGTGGAATGAGTAAGTCAAGCTAATTAACATACCCATTACCTTGCTTCCCTGTCATTTTTTGTGGTGAGACACTTGAGATTTACTCTCTTAGTTATTTTTAAAATATATAACACATTATTATCAAGTATAGTCACCCTGCCTTGTAATATATCTCAAAACCTATACCTCTTGTTTCTCTGAAACTTTGTATCCTTTGATCAATAACTCCCTATTCCCTCCCTTCCCACCACCCCCAACCTCTGCTAACCATCCTTCTACTCTCTACTTGTATGAGTTCAACATTT
Source organism: Homo sapiens (assembly GCF_000001405.40). Taxonomy (NCBI): domain Eukaryota; kingdom Metazoa; phylum Chordata; class Mammalia; order Primates; family Hominidae; genus Homo; species Homo sapiens. Next base: position 127,562,105 of record NC_000006.12, on the reverse strand, counting down.
TTAGATTCCACCTATAAGTGAAATCATGTTATCTGTCTTTCCATGCCTTGTTTAACTAACTTACCATGATGTCCTACAGTTTTATCCATGTTGTCACAAATGACAGAATTTCCCTGTTTTTTTTTAAGGCAGAATAGCATTTCATTGTGTATATATGCCACATTTTCCTTTTCCATTCATTTGCTGGTAGACAGGTGGATTCTATATCCCGGCTGGTATGACTAATGCTACAATGAACATGGGAATGCAGATATGCCTTCAAAATATTGATTTCAGTTACTTTGGATATATGCCCAGAATTGGGCTTACTAAATCACATGGTAGTTTCTATTTTTAGTTTTTTGAGGAAATCCTATATTGTTTTCCATAATGGCTATAGTTATTTACATTTCCACTAACAGTATACAAATGTTCCCTTTTCTCCACATCCTCTCCAACACTTGTTTTATCATTTTTATAAAGACCATTCTAACAGATGTGATATTTCATTGTGGTTTTAATCTGCATTTTCCTCAGATTTGTAATGCTGAGCATTTTTTCATGTACCTGTTGGCCATTTGTATATCTGAATAATGATTGTTAATGTCATTTGTTATTTTTAACTGGGTTGTTTCTTTCTTGCTGTTGAGTTATTTGAGGTTCTTATATATATTGGATATTAACCTTTAATCAGTTGTATAGTTTGCAAATATTTTCTCCCATTCTGTGGTTGTCTCTTCACTTTGTTAATGGTTTTCTTTGCTGTGCACAAGTTTTTTAGTTTGCTGCTGTTTGATTTGTCTGTTTTTGCTTTGTTGTTTATGCTTTATGTGTCATATCCCAAAAATTGTTGCCCAGACCAGTGGCATTGAGATTTCCTCTGTATTTTCTACCAGTAGTTTTACCTCTTCAGGTCTTATATTTGTCTTTAATCCATTTTGAGTTGGTTGTTGTATATGCAATAAGACAAGGATCTAGTTTCATTCTTCTGCAAATGGATATCTAATCTTCTCAGCATCATTTATTTGAGGCTATCCTTTTCTCATTGTGTATTCATAGCACTATTGTCAAAAATCAATTGACCAGAAATTCATGAGTTCATTTCTGGATTTCCTAATAGTACCATGCTGTTTTAATTACCATAGCTTTACAAATATGCTTTAAAATTAGGGAGTTTGATGCCTCCAGCGTTGTTCTTTTTGTTCAAGGTTGTTTTGTTTGGGGTAATTTGTGGCTGCATACACATTTAAGGGTTGTTTTTTATATTTCTGTGAAAAATTGTTGTGGAATTTTTTTTTTGAGACAGAGTCACGCTCTGTCCCCCAGACTGGAGTGTAGTGGCATGCAATCTCGGCTCACTGCAAATTCCATCTCCTGGGTTCAAGCGATTCTCCCGCCTCAGCCTTCCAAGTAACTGGGACTACAGGCATGTCCCGCCCGGCTAATTTTTGTATTTTTAGTAGAGATGGGGTTTCACCATGTTGGTCAGCTGGTCTCAAAAGCTTGACCTCATGATCCACCCGCCTCAGCCTCCCAAAGTGCTGGGATTACAGGCATGAGCCACTGTGCTTGGCCTTGTGGAATTTTCATAGGATTGAATCCATAGATGTCTTTGGGTAGTATAAACATTTTCACAATATTAATTCTTCCAGTCCATGAACATGGATATATTTCCATTAATTTGTGTTTGCTTCAATTTTTTTCCATCAGTGTTTTGTAGTTTTATATGAGTCTTTTACTTGTTTGGTTAAATTTACACCTAATTATTTAATTCTTTTGCCATTATTGTAAATGTGATTTTAAAATTTGTTTTAGATGGCTCATTATTAGTATATAAAAATGCAAGTAATTTTTGTATGTTGATTTTGTATGCTTCAACTTTAGTGAATTTGTCAGTTCTAACAGTTTCTTGGTGGAATCTTCAGAGTTTTCTATATACGAGACCTTGTCATCAGCAAATACAGGCAGTTGGAAAGAAAGAACTTCTTTCTCTCAATTAGGATGCATTTTATTACTTTTGCTTCCCCAATTACTCTGGCTAGAATTTCCAGTACTATATTAAAAAGGAAGTAGTGAGAGTGGGCATTCTTATCTGGTCCCTAATCTTAGTGGGAAAGCTTTCAATTTTTCACCATTGAGAATGATACTAGCTACAGGTTTGTCATATATGGCTTTATGTATGTGGAAGTACATTTCCTCTATACCTAATTTGTTGAGAATTTTGATCATAAAAGCATGTTGAGTTTTGTCAAATATTTATTCTGCATCTATTGAAATGATCGTATAATTTTTATTTTTCATTTTTTAACCTCGTGTTATTGATTTGCATGTATTGAACTACCCTTGCATCCTGGATCCTGTCTTGTAGTAGTATACTCTGTTTCTACCTCCTAATCATTTAATAATTGCTTTATGTATTTAGGTGCTCAAATGTTGAGGGCATATATATACAATTGTTATTTCCTGTTGGTGAATTAACCTCTTTTATCATCATGTAATGACCTTCTTTGTCTATTTTTATAGTTTTTGATTTAAAGTTTATTTTCTCTATATAAATATAGGTCCCTTGCTTTATTTTCATTTCCATTTTCATGGCATATCTTTTTCCATCCCTTTACTCATAGTCTATGTGTGCCCTTACTAGAAAAGGGGGTCTCTTGTAGGCAGCATATAGTTGTATTTTTTTTTACTGTATTTGGCCATTCTGTATTTTTATTGGATCATTTAATCTATTTACATTCAAGGTAATTATTGATAGGTTAGAGCTTGTGTATTAATCTGTTCTCATGCTGCTTATAAAGACATACCCGAGACTTGGTAATTTATAAAGGAAAGAGGTTAAATTGACTCACAATTCCACACTGCTGGTAGGCCTCAGGAAACACAATCATGGAGGAAGGGGAAGCAAAACTGTCCTTCTTCACATTATGGCAGCAAGGAGAAGTGCCAAGCAAAAGGAGGAAAAACCCCTTATAAAACCATCAGATCTCATGAGAACTCACTCACTATCATGAGAACAGCAACATGGGGGTAACCGCCCCCATAGTTCAATTTCTTTTCACTGGCTCCCTCCCATGATACATGGGGATTAAAGGAGCTACAATTCAAGATGAGATTTGGAGGGGGACACAACCAAACCATATCATTATGCTCCTGGCCCCTCCCAAATCTCATGTCCTAATATTTCAGAATACAATGATGCCCTTCTAAAAGTATACCAAAGTCTTAATTCATTCCAGCATTAACTCAAAAGTCCAAGTACAAAGTCTCATCTGAGACAAGGAAGTTCCTTCCACCTATGAGCCTGTAAAATCACAAGCAAGTTAGGTACCTCCTAGATACAACAGGGGTACAGGAAGTGGGTGAATACACCCTCTCCAAATGGGAGAAATTGGCCAAAACATAGGGGCAACAGACCCCATAAAAGTCCAAAACCCAATGGGGTAGTCATTAAACCTTAAAGTTCCAAAATGATCTCCTTTGACTCGCTGTCTCATATCCAGGTCACACTGAAGCAAGAGGTGGGCTCTCATGACCTTGGGAAGCTCCACCCCTGTGGCTTTGCAGTGTACTGCCCCCATGGACTGGTGATGAGTGTCTGCAGCTTTTCCAGTGTACTACCCCCACGGACTGGTGATGAGTGTCTGCAGCTTTTCCAGGTGCACGGAGCAAGCTGTCAGTGAATCTATCATTCTGGAGTCTGGAGGACAGTGACCCTCTTTTCACAGCTTCACTAGGTAGTGCCCCAGTGGGGACTCTGTATGGGTGCTCTGACCCCACATTTTCCTTCCACACTACCCTAGCAGAGGTTCTCCATGACGGCTTCACCCCTGTGGAAAACTTCTTCCTGGACATCCAGGCATTTCCATACATCCCTGGAAACCTAGACAGAGGTTCCCAAACCACAATTGTTGACTTCTGTGCACCCACAGGCTCAACACCACATGGATGCCACCAAGTCTTGGCGTCTGTGCCATCTGAAGCCATGGACTGAGGTGTACTTTGGCCCCTTTTAGCCAGACTGGAGCAGCTGGAACGCAGGGCACTAAGTCCCTAGGCTGCACACAGCAGGAAAAAATCTGAAATCTGCTGAAAGCTTTGAATGTGATCTGTTTTTTATCTTTTGCTATTGTTAGTATTTTCTTTGTCTAAATTTTCACAATTTGATTATAATGTGTCTTAGTGAACTTCTCTTTTGGTTGAATTTTACTGCCAGTTTCTGAGCTTCTATATCTGAATGTTATCATCTTTACCTAGATCTGGAGATTTTTCAGCCATTATTTTCTTAAATATGCCTTCTAGGCCTTTATATCTCTCTTCTCCTTCTGAAACTCCTATTATATGGTGGATAGTTTTTGCTTGATGGTGTCCCATAATTTATGTAGGTCTTATTTATTCTTTTTCATTCTTTTTTCTTTTTATTTCTCTGATTGGATAATTTCAAATGTCCTGTCTTTGAGATCATTACTCTTTCTTCTGCTGGATCAAGTCTGCTATTTAAACTACCTATTGGATTTTTCTCAGTTGTTATATTCTTTATCTCTAGGATTTTTATTTTTTAATTTTTACATTTCTTTGTTAAACTTCTAATTTTGTTGATGCATTGCTTTCCAAATTTTATTTATGTTTCTATTTAAATTTTCTTAGAGCTTTCTGAATTTCTTTATAGGTTGATTATTTGGAATTATTTTTTGGTCATTTTATAGATCTCCATTTCTTCCAGGTCTATTACTGGAGCTGTATTAGTTTTTTTTTTTTTTTTTTTTTGGTGGTATCATATATTTTCCTGATTTTTCATAATCTTTCTGTCCTTATAATGATACCTGTGTGTTTTAGCAGACAGCCACCTCTTCCAGCCCTTGCAGGTGTTCTTTGGTGGTGATAGAACTTTACTATATAGTCTAGCCTGGGATTCTGGAGGAATCAGCTAATAGCAACCTCAGACAGGCTAACCGTGGTTCAGGTGTCCTAGTTGGACTGGTCACTTCCTGTGCTCTGAGGTCTAATGGTACTGCTGGTTGTACTCTGTGGTTTGGTGAGACCACTAACTGGACTCTACTGTCAAATGGGGCTTCTGGCTGGACTCTATGCTTGTCTCTGAATGGGCAGGGTTGTAGATTTTCTTCCTTGGCTGGATGATTCTGTTGCTCAGAATCTGTAGTTGTGCAGGATTATACGCTGGGCTCTGAGACTGGATGAAGTGGCTGGGGTAGCTGCTCAACCACACAAGATGAGCAGGGCCAGAGGCCATGTTTCATAGATATGCATGTAGTCTTGCCTCTTGGACTATGGTGGGCTTAAGCAGAGCACCAAGGCTTTTTGGAGTCACTGCTCTTCAGTTTAGGTTGAGTGGGGCCACATGCTCTCTCTGTGAGTACCAAGGCTGTATGGAGTAGCTGGCTAGGGACTCAATCCTGGCAAACTTGTGGACTGTGTTCCTGTAGCACTATGCTGTTGGCTAGTCATGATGTAATCCTGCTGGTACTCCCAATGTTTCCCATAGGCTGACAGGAGTGAGATTTCTATGAAGGGTCCCAGAATTGTATGGAAACTGAATGTCTACCTCCAACTCATTTTTCTCACTGTAGAAACCATGGGTCCATGGGAATCCTCTGTGTGTGGCACTGTACTGCCTTGGGGTATGGGTGGTGCAGTCAAAGAGAACCATTCCTCTGATCTCCTGAACATGGTTTTTCTCGCTTTGGTGGTCCAAGTGGATCTCTCAGCCTCACTCCTGAGTTCGGGGATTTCCCACAGTTATTCTTGTCTGTGGGCAGTTGCTAGCTGGATTTCTGTGGGGAGAGAGTGGAGGTGGAGAACTTCTATTCTGCCATCTTGCTGATGTCACTCCAATTTTGGAATTTTTGACTGACTTGTTCACGTTTTACTTTAGAAGTATATTTAATGACTGATGAATGTAATTCAATCCCAACAAATCCAAAAGTTATGATTTGGGAACTTGGCCAGAGATTCTAAAATTCATGATAGAGAACAATCATGGCCAAAAATTTCTAAAATATAAAAGTTACACACCAAAAAATTGTTTTTCAGTTTCCACTGGTGAAGCTTTTCAAATATATTTTTAGAACACAAGATAGAAATATCTCTGCAGTAACAAAAATCATAGGCCAGAATGAGGCTGAGTATTGACAATGATCCATTCCATCTACTGGAGAAAAGTTAACACACATGCACACACAGAAACACACACACACACAAATGCATTCATGCAGTAAGCCATGCCTATAATTGGAGATGAATCCCTATGCAAAGTCTACCCCATTTATCATTGCTACACTGTGTTGCTCTAATCCAGAAATTTCCCACTTCCAGAAGTATACTCCACAGTCACAATAAACTAGAGCATTCTCTATAAAACTCAGTATGTTCCAGGCCCCATACTAAGTGCTTTACATACATTATCATATTGAATCTTCCCAAATAGTGACTATTCCTAAGATAACAGATGTATTTTCATCCTCACTTTATGGATGAGGAAGCAGAACTTTAGAGAGTTTAAGTCTTCGTGCAAGATTTAGGTGAGTATGTGGTTAAACATGGATTTGGAATAGCTAAACAGAAGATATATTTTCTTAATTTATAATAGAATTGCTAACAGTTGACACAATAATTTTTTACTGATGTTATATGAACATTTCAGTATCTCACTCAATGTTTTTGCTATGAACCACAAATTATTAAAGGTGATTTTTAAAAACTGCTTACCAAACCACACTCACACACTGCAAGAAAAGCAATGTAAAAGTCTCAAAGATGTTTTGTTAACATTCATGTTAAATATTTGTGCTCCAGATATTTTAAAAATGCAAATCCATAAAATTATATTTTATGAACAAATTTTAGTATTATTTTATGATGATATTAACCAGAACAGCAGCTCCAAGAAACTAATCATCAGGTGGTGAATTAGACATCATTTATTTATTCATTTCAGACAAAGTGTTAGGTTCCAAGAGAATGGTGAATATGAAAACTATGTACCATCCTGCCAATGAGCACATTCACATGGTGACAATCTGATTTCCTAAAACTGAAACAGACTGCTTTAAAATAGCTCTTCACCATTCTCCAGAAAACACATTAAACATGTTTTACTTTTCTTTTAATAAGAGAAGCAGGAGTAATTTAAGACTCAGAATTAGTAAGTGTCCTTTTCAAGAGTGTAAGTAAAAAAATATATGTAATTAATTGTGAAAAGCACTACTAGCACTAATACCAATTCTCAAGTTGTTTAATTTATATTAAGTTCTTTCTAAAAATTAAAACATTCTAAAATATGTATAATTTTCATACATGGCAATCAAAGGTAGATATTATTTTCTTCTTTGAGGTATTTTCATACAAAGGCACTATGGAGCCTCTTGATATGGTCTCAGCATAGAGGTCTCATTTAGCCATGCCTATCTGAGGACATCATACTAACCCTGGTTTTGCCTAATCGGGGCACATGCCCAGCAGGCCATGAGTAACAGTGTTCAAATGCTGCCACCATTCGGCTAAAGAAAATAGGCACCAGGTCCCAGGTAAAAGGCAGAGAGGGGAAACATAAAGAGGCTGACATAATTTTATGTTTTGAGGGAGTTTTTTTCATTTTAGATTTGCTTCATTGTAAAGACCATTGAAATAAATTACAAGAATTTTTATATGCTAGGGTCTTTCCATTAATAGTTTTCATTAATGAAGTTTTCTGCTCATGCTATTGGGGAAAAACATGTAAAGAATAATACAATTTAAAAATTAGGTAGTTAAATGTTTGATGATCTAACCTTGATTAGTTTACTTCCTTATTCATTTATTTATTGACTTAGGCAAGTGACCCTAATGATTCAAAACAAAATTAACAATTTAACAATTTAGTGGTAAAATTTTGGTAGATAACCTTCCGTATTCTTTCTATGCATATTTAAATTTATTTTACCAGAAAGGAAATATATCATACAGTTTGTCAACATTTATTTACATATAATTTAATCCTTTATATTTCATCCAGAGATATTGATAAATTTTTTAAAATGCCAGTTCTTACAGACTTACTTTGTTCTTTCAAGGTTGACACAATACTATATTGTAAGTTCGTATAACCAACCTCTTAGCATGGAAATTTTAATTGGTTGCAAATTTTTGTATTTAAAATGATCCTGTGGTAAATATTATTTGCCATTTTATTCCCAGTATCTCACATAGTGCCTGGCACATAAAAGGTGACCATGAATGTTTACTTAAGAAAACATGTGCATCTACAGTAGGAAAACTTTCTTTGGGTTAAAATATATATCACTTGAAATTGAATTTTGAGAGACTTTATCACATGGGATTCCAAGAAGGATATATTAATTTATACTACCTCTCTTATGAAATAAATTTGCACATCTTACTAACTCTCAACAATTCTATTATAAATCATTGTAATGCTTGCCTATCTGATCAAATAAAATTTTAATTGTTTTCTTTTTTATTCTTCCTTTAGTGAGATCAAGTCTTTACAAATTATTTTTAGCCAGTTTCTCTCTCTCAGATTAATTGACTGTTCACTCTGTTTAGCTATTTTTCTAAGTTATTTCTTTTTCTTAATGACTTATAAAATCCATTTACATAACATGGTCTGGATATTAAAATTTTCTCTGTAATATGAGACAAACATTTCAATTTGGATTATGTTGACTTTACAAAGATTATTAATTTTTTCTGAGGCAATTACGTCTTCATTAAATCTAACATGTAAATTTATTATATAAATAGTTTCTTAGAGAATTAAGATGGTCAAAAAATAAAAGAATAATTGTTATTTTAAAATATTAGACAAATTAAATGAGTCAACCCATTTCATAAGGATATTGGGTACTATAATTTAATTTGCTTGAACAGCTGTTGGCATGTTCATAATTGTAAAATTCTGCCAAATTAATGTTAGCCCATCTGTCTAGGCATTCCATAGTAAGTAAATTCATGCCTTGCATAAACTATACCATTATTTTAACATTATGTTTTTTGTGCTACCCTTTATGTTAATATTATTTTGAAACTATGATAAAATAAAGAAGATATTAACCCTGTCTAATGTCTAAGTATTTACCAAATTTTATTGAACTTTTGTTATATTTATATGCCACCTACTAAAATTTTTAATTTGTTCTAAAGTCCTCCAGTTCTGTTATTAGGTCTTTTTTTCTAGTGTGACATGAACTCATACATAGTAACATTGTAAGCATGGCCATTAACTTGACTCAAAGTTAAAGTCTTTCTATTTGTAAGATAAACTTTAGCAAAACAGTTTTTTCTTAAGGAATTGACATATTTTAATAATATGGAATTACATTTTCTCTAGAAATCCTTCAGTTTCCCCTTTTCAAAATGTTATCAGCAATATATTAGATTATAAACCAATAAACATAGAAGTTAGCATTATAATGAATACACCATTAGAAACTGGGATTCCCTTCAGATTGTTGACTCTTTTGAGCTCAGAGGCCCCATGTTTATCATAGGATTCAGAGGAAAGTAAGCCAAATATGACAAAGATAATGTGCTAATGTGCAAGGAATGACACAGAGCAACTTTCCACCTGAGTTTTGGTCCATATTTTGGCCAATGAAGGTCTGCGTATGGGTTAAAGAAGTTGGGAAAAGACACAAAGGACAGGTAGATGGGGTACAGGTTGAGTGAAGATCCAATTAACTATGTATTCCAAATCTTGACAACAAATACTTCTCATTTTCTGTAGAAATGTAGTGGACAAACAGACCACAAACAATGAATGGGAGCTCAATCAACCAGCTCTGGGCACAACATAGTGGCGTTGTGTACTACTCACAGAAGACTGCTGGTTACAATACAAACCAGACTAAGTGAGGACAGTAAAAACTCTGTCATCATTGAGTTACTGACCACTGGAAAAAGTAGACCCCGGGAACATAAACTCAAGAGGGCCACTCATGACCTTCAAGTCCTTTGTTGATCTAAACAACAGATTCTCAACTAGAGATAATTTTGCCTACCAGAGGACATTTGGCAATGTCTGGAAACATTTTCTACTGTCACAACTGGAAGGGAAGGTGCTACTGATGTTTAGAAGGCAGAGGCCAGGGATGAGGCTAATTATCCCACAGTGCACGTAACAGCACCCCCACCCTCAACAAAGAATTATGTAGCCTGAAACATCAATAGTGCCAAGGTTGAGAAACTTCAATCTAGATGAAGGAAAGCTAACAGGTTCATTCAGTAGGATGTCTTTTTTAAAAGAATGTCAAAGACATTCCTTCAATAATATAAACACTGAGTTTCCTTGCTTGCTCAGGCGAAACAAAGTAGCCCAGTGAAGAACTTCCCTGAGTGGCCCTCTGACGGATAGAAGAATTTATGTGATAGAAAGGCAATGTTTACTGTAGTTAGGCACATTAAAAAATTGAAATTTGTATACTGCAAAGGGGAGGATTAGTATTGCACATAACTGGGTAAAACACATCCTATTGTTCATTGACCTGTAGCTTTCTTTTTTTGATGTGTCTTAGTCTGGTTTTAGTATCAGGGTGATACTGGCCTCACAGAATGAGTTTGGAAGTGTTCCCACCTCCTCTATTTTTTGGAATAGTTGGAGTAGAATTGGTATTTGTTCTTCTTTAAAAGTTTGGTAGAATTCACAGTGAAGCCATTTGGTCCTGGACTTTTCTTTGATAGGAGGCTTTTTATTACGGCTTCAGTCTCATTACTTATTATTGGAACATGACATCACTCTTGATGTTAACTGTGATCACCTGGCTGAGATCGTGTTTGTCAGATTTCTGTAGTGTAAAATTATTATTTCTCCCCTTCCCTATTGCTCTCTGTGGAAGTTACTGTGCACAGCCTACACTGATGGTGTAGGAAGTTAGTTATTCAATGATTTATTTATATCTGTGTGGAATCATGGATATTTGTTTTGTACTTTGCATTTACTCCAACACCATGCTATTTTGCTGCTCAGATTATTCCAGCTTTGGCCATAGAGAGCTCTTTTGGTGGGCTTTCATGCCTCATGGACATACCCCATTGCAGTGTTTTATGTTTTATGAGAGGGTTTTTGTTTTTGTTCGTGTGTATGTGTGTGTGTGCATTTGTTTGATATTTTGTTTTCAGCACTTTCTTGTTTTCTGGCACCACACAATGCTCCAGGCTCATCTCCTATGCTTGTGCCCTGGTCTTAGAATCAGCCATTTCCTAAAGAGCCCTGATTCTTTGTATTGGAAAATGGTGTTGGAAACCAAGATCTGAGTACTGGGTGTGTTCATTACTACTGGGGGATCATTGCTTCTAGACCTTCTCAAATAGTATCTATACTAACCTATGTTTTTATAAATATTCCTATAAATGGCCATCTATACCTATGTTAAGCTGAACATGAGTTCATGCTGATGTCTCCAATTCTAATCTATTGCAATATAGACCATTCTAGCCTTCTTTTTGCCTGTCTGTAACCTCCCACTCCATAAATGAGAAACATGACTCATGATCTACCATCCAGTTACTTAATTATTCAATTCTGAACTCACTCCAATAGAGTGAGTTCAGAATTCCAGTAGAGTGAGTTCAGTTTGTTGATATTTTGTTAAGAACTCTTGTGTCTATATTCACAAGAAATACTGGCCTGCAGGTTATTTTCTCTAGCAATGTCTTTATCTTGTTTTGGTATTAGAGTGATTCTGGTATCATAAAATGAGTTAGGAAGTATTTACTACTATTTTGGGAAGAAATTCAAAATAATTATTATTTCTTCATTAATTGCTGGATAGAATCCACCTAAAAATCATCTTGCCCTGGTGCTTTCTTTCTTGAAAGATTTTTTAATTACTGATTTAATTTCCTTAATATATATACTGAGAGATTAAGTTTATTATTTTTCCCTTTGAGTGAATGTTGCTAGTGTGTGTCTCTCAAAAAAATCAGTCCATTTCATCATTTCATCTACTTATCAAATTTGTGGGCACACATTTATTCATAGTATTCCCTCTTTCTCCTTTGAGTGTCCATGAAATCAGTTGTAATGATCCTTCTTTCGTTTGTGAAATGGTAATTCATGTCTTTTCCCTACATTTTTGTGTGTTGGTAAGCCTTGCTGGAGGTTTCCCTATTTTACTGATCTTTTCAAATAACTACCTTTGGTGTTAGATATTTTCTATATTGTTTTTTCATTTTCTTTTCTTTTCTTTCTTTTTTTTTCTGAGACAGGGTCTTGCTCTATCAACCAGGCATGGTTATGGTTCACTGTAACCTCAAACTCCTAGGCTCAAGCAATACTCCCACTTCAGCCTTCTCTGAGTAGCTGGAACTACAGGCACCTGCCACCACACCTGAATTATTTTTTATTTTTTGTAGAAATTAGGTCTTGCTATGTTGCTCAGGCTGGCATCAAATTTCTAGCCTCAAGCAGTCACCTTTCTGTGGCATCCAGAAATGCTGTGATTACAGGTGTGAGCCACCCAACCCATCGTGTTTTCTCATTTTCATGAAGTTGAAACTTTATGAAAATGAGAAAACAAATTTATGCTTACATTTTTATTATTTCCCTACATGGCAAATTTATAGTAATAGATTTAAGACGAAGTATGCTCTCACACCACAGCGGAATTAAGCTAGAAGTAATAACAGAAAGTTGACTGGAAAATCTCCAAATATTTGGAGATTAAACAAAACATCTCTAAATAAAACTAGGGTCAAAGAATAAGCCTTGAAAAAAATTAAAATATATTTTGAATGAAATTATAGCTAGTACAAGTAGTGCTTCAAAGGAAATGTTTGGCTTTTAATACATATATTTATCAAGAAGTTAGAAAAGGTTAAAATTAATAACCTATTCCACTTTAGGAAGCTAGAAAAGATTAACAAATTAAATTTAGAAAGTAGAAGTGAAAAAAATATGAAAAATGAGAGCATGAATTTAAAACATTGAAAGTGGGAAAGCAATCTAGAAAATAAAGTTACAAAAGCTGATTCTCTGATAAGATCAATAAAATGCATAAACTTCCAGCAAGCTTAACCAAGACAAAGTAAAAGAGTGAATTCCAAGTCATACCATTAATTTATAAAGAATCTTTTATGTAATAGTTTGGGTGAAAATTATTGTAACTCTTTCTTCAAATTGATGAATTACATGGAATTTAAATGATCCCACAGATCCCGGCCTAAATTTTAGCTGTTGGCTTCCGAATAAAATTGATCTAACAAAAGTGGCCTAACAGTATTAGAAGAACTCAAATAAGAAGACTGAGTAATAGCAAAGATTCTTACTCCACTCTTTTATCCTCATCCATAATAAAAAGCCTAAGAACAACTATTATAACAAAGTGTTTTGAGCTTCAGAATTCTGAGTAGTACATCTGTTCCCTGGGACCTTATTTTATGCCACTGCCTTTTTCCAAAATTTCACCTAGGCTCCTGAACTTCCCAGCAGCTCTATAACTAGCCTACTTGTTCAGTGGTCCACAGGGGCAGCCTGAACAAATGAGAAGAAGTGGCAAAAAACAGAAACTCCACTCAGCTGTTCAAATGGGGTGTGTTCCAGACAATCGGATATTATAGTTCCCTTCTGCATACACCTTCCAGGATTTAAAAATGAATAAATAAACTTTGCCCTGCCTGTGTGTCAACTTTAAACAGATGACTCTTATTCTCTCATGCTGTCTCTGATTTTGTCAGGGATTAGTTGCCTTCAAATCTCATTACTCAAAGTAACTGTAAAAAACCAAGGCACACAAAAAATTCTTAGTCATTTGAGGCATAAAGGTCTTCAAAGCAGCTTCTAGAAACAACCTTTTAAAAATTCTTTTTCTGCCTTTCTGGTAACTCCAGCCCTTGTAATTATCATGCAGGGTGGATACAGGAGGATTGTCAGCCATCATCTTGAACCTGATGTTAAAAAACATGGCCTACATATATATACCGTGTATCATTTCCCCAAGAAAACATCATTTGGGTGTGATAAATAAAATCCCTTTTCTCTCCAAGTATGAGTTGCTATTTTAACTTTTAATCACTAGGTGGGGATAAGTTACATGGAGAAAAATAAAATGCATACTTGGGCCAGGACTTAATTTCCTAGAAACCTTGAGTTTCAGATACCCCAATTGCTTCATTACTCCTCTCAACAGCCAATGGGCCAGGACAGCAAGTCATAGACAAACAGAAAGGTAACCTTGAGATGAATGACAGTTTTAAATTTTAGGACAGGAGATGTCACTAAATATCATATAATCCAAAACACTCATTTTACTTCCTAGAATACTGAGGTCCAGCCTAGAGACAATGATTTACCCAGAATCACATATTGGATCAGGAATAGAACCAGACCTAGAATGTAGATTGTACAGTTCTTTTATCTGGCACTTTTATTTGCAAGGGTAGTGCCCTATATGTAAAAGACTGCATCAGCCAGGTGCTGGGGCGCACATCTATAGTCCCAGGTACTCAGAAGGCTAAGACCGGAGGATCACCTCAGCCCAGGAGTTTGAGTCCAGGCTGGGCAACACAGCAAAGCCAGCCCCCTACCCTCTGCCACAGTCCAGTCTTAAAAAATATAAATAAATAAATAAATAGCTTCATCAGTGTACATCAGGAGGGTGAGCAGAGGATTGTTCTGGCCATATAGAAGAAGAAACAGTTCTAAGGAACACGTGGGCCTTTCCACTAGTGGAGTGACTGCACCAGTGAGGCCACCAACCCACCAGCAGGAGGTGCACAGCTGCCTTCTTGAAAAAAATTTCAGTCAGCCCAAGAAGTTACTGGGTTGGTAAATCTTAGCATCCACAGTGTGTGTCATTGAAGACTATCTGTTCTGAGGCTTTGCAGAATTCTGAGATAACTTTCTTGAATTTGACAGCTATAGAAGAATGGCATTTGCAGACATTAAAAATATATTTAATAACACGTTACTTATATAACATCTTCAGTATGATTGAAAGTAGGGGAGTCAGGGTAATTGGCCAGGCTGTCCAGGGCAGAGTCATGTTAAACCAAGTATCCAGTTCCTGAAAAATAATGTAACCCTTCATACTATCATATCTTTAACACTGAGTCATAATAATGAGTTGATGTGAGAGTATAGCATAGAGAAAAAGACTATGGACAGATTTAGAATTGGTCTGACAGATCAGCCAGCTTTTACTTTGGTAATCAGGGAAGTGGGTCAGGGAAATCAGAGGACGAGTTGAATCAAACGATGCAAATAAGAAAAACTCCAAACATGAGGTGCTGACAAAACCGATCTGGGTTAGGGACCAAAGTGCTAATTGATGTCCGCTGAAGAAATAAAATGAGAATATAGGTGTCTGGGAAAGGAAGAAAAAAGAACAAAGATGAGGTGCAGTGGTGTAGATTGAAGGCGGCATTCATATTCGTTTTGAATTTGGAACTTAGTCTAAAAACATGTTAACAACTGAAAAAAGAGCTTCTTACAGCTTTGCCGTAAGAAACTAATTTATTTCAAAAAAGCATTACAGATTTTGTTAAATGCCCTTGTTACACACAGGGGCAAATTTCCCACGCCAAAACAAAAATTCATGAATAAGCTTTATAGATAAGATTTGTCTCCCTCCTCTCTCAGGCTCCTATGATACCCCCAAAATGTAAAAGAACACCATCCTGCCAAAAATGTGATTCAAACAATGAAGATATTTCACTGTGGAGGACACGAGGAAATCTACTACTGCAAAACATACATCAGAGTGGTAAATCTTTGAAAAATAAGTCATTAACATGCGCAAACGTACAGTGATCCAACTGGAAAAATACTTGTTATTCAGAGAGAATAATAAGGGTGCTTTTTTTTCCTAATTAGTATTCAGTGTTGATACAAAATTAAACATTGTTTCTTAGCAAGGTTCTTTTTCAATATCAAAAAAGGAAAATAATTCATAGATTAATTTGAATAAGAAGCACTTTTTCAGTATACTTGCTAGTTTTCAGTTCTTTTGTAAAAGAGCAGTTTATTTATATTCATATTTTCATTTTGAAACCACTTAATCCAATGCAGGATAACATTTTTAAGTGAGTTACCATTGCAGATATGTGATAGGAGCTGAGTTTTTAATATAGTATTTCCATCTGTCATTATTACTTAAGGGAGGATTCATTTATATTTTAACACTTGAGAATTAGAAATGATAATTTTTAAAGGAACTATTTCAAGTTGGTTGGCTGAGCTGATTTTTTTTTTTTTTTTTTACTTAGTTCTCATTGAAATTCAAAAGAACTACCAAAAAGTTAAGGGAAATCAGAGAAGAGTGACTTCAAGCAATTTCTGGAAGACATGATACTGATGAGATTAAACTTAGTGAATGGCAAACCACCCAGCAGTTTATTAGCCCACCTGGAAAGCCAAAGGACAGCTTTCAGAAAGATCTGAAAACCCAGTGAAGTTCTGCTTGGCAAGAAATACAGGCAAGCCTAGCCTAAAGAAGGGGATGATGGGTGAGAAGGGGAAAGGGAATTCTCAATCTTACCTTACACCTATCTTATGAAAGTGCATGGAGGCTTGTTCACAGGCTCTCCTCCTATCCTGCACTCGGCCCAAATAGTATATTAGTAATCAATCCAATAGCAACAACTATGTTTGATTGAAAAACAAAAGCAAAGACAAACCCCACTATTTCCATTACAGTCATGAAGAATGTGATATAAATGACACTGCACCATTACCTACTCTTTTTCAGCATTGTTTAGAAAGCTTTAACCTAGAGAAAGAGAGAGACAGAGAGAAAGAGAAAAAAAGAAACAGGGATAGAAGGAAGGGTGGGGAGGGAAGAATGGAAGGAGAAAGGAAATCAGTAGAGTATAATTATGAAAAAAGAGTCAGTCAGGCATGGTGGCTCACGCCTGTAATGCCAGCACTTTGGGAGGCCAAGGCAGGTGGATCACAAGGTCAGGAGATTGAGACCATCCTGGCCAACATGGTGAAACCCCATCTCTACTAAAAATACAAGAAAATTAGCCGGGCATGGCGGTGCGCGCTATAGTCCCAGCTATTCAGGAGACTGAGGCAGGAGAATTGCTTGAACCCGGGAGGCAGAGACTGCAGTGAGCCAAGATCATGCCACTGCACTCCAGCCTGGCGACAGAGTGAGACTCCATTAAAAAAAAAAAAAAAAAAGAAAGGCAAATTTATTATTATTTACAAGCAATAAGATTATTTATTTAGAAAATCCAAGATAATCAAATAAAGAACTGTCAGTGCCTATGAGAGAATTTAGAAACGCAAAGTGTTTCTGGAAAAAAATAGAAAATTAAAGACTTTTCTATATCTGAGAAAAATAAAGAAAGAGGAATCAGGTGTGGTGGCTCATGCCTGCAATCCCAGCTACTTGCGAGGCCAAGGCAGGAGGATCACTTGAGACCAGGAGTTTGAGACTGCAGTGAACTATAATCATGCCACTGCATTCCAGCCTGAGTGGCAGAGTGAGAGCCTGTCTCCCTAAACAAACAAACAAAAAAAGAAAGGAAAGAAACTAAAAAAGTAAACAAGACATTTGTCAATAGTTTAAAAACAAGCAGATACACAGAAGAAGAAAAAAAGACAAGAAATTGACCCAAGCATTTGAAATAATTTGGTATATGATAGAAGTATAATTTTAAATCAGTTTGACTTTCGAATAATGCATTGGGCTAAGTGACTAAACATCAAGATAGACCACTACCTCAGAGAAATATATTCTACATCATAGAAAAAATTGAAAGGTTTTTATAAAGAAAAGAAAAATCCATGTTAATGAGTTAATGAAAACATGTAAATATAAAAATGCTAGAAAAAAATATTGATGAACAATCCCAAATTGGGAGAAAACTATCCAGTTATGTAACCAAATGCAGAAACCAATAATTAATTTGTAAAGAAGATTCTTTTTCATTAAAAAAATTATTTGTTTTTTGTTTTGTTTTGGTTTGGTTTTGGTTTGAGACGATCTCAACTCACTGCAACCTCTGCCTCCTGGGTTCAAGCAATTCTCCTGCCTCAGCCTCCCGAGTAGCTGAGACTACAGGCATGTGCCACCATGCCTGGCTAATTTTTGTATTTTTAGTGGAGACGAGGTTTCACTACGTTGGCCAGGCTGGTCTCGAACTCCTGACTGCAGGTGATCCGCCCTCCTCGGCCTCCTAAAGTGCTAGGATTACAGGCGTGAGCCACCTTGCTCAGCCAAAAAAAAAAAAAATATATATATATATATATATGTGTGTGTGTATATATATGTGTGTATATATATGTGTATATATATGTGTATATATATGTGTATATATATATGTGTATATATATGTGTATATATATGTGTATATATATATGTGTATATATATGTGTATATATATGTGTATATATGTATATATATGTGTATATATATGTGTGTATATATATGTGTGTATATATATATATATATGAAGTGAAGGTGGGAAAATGGGATAGGGATAGGTAAATGTTAGTAGTGGTCTCTCATGGCCACGCATTGAGGCTGAAGAAAACGTGTTGGAAATGTAGTTATCCAATTTTCTTCTTCATGATATGCACTGGATGAGTCCCAGAGGAGACTGATGGCATGTGATTGATACGGTGTTGCATAGAGGTAGACATATAACCTGGGACTATGCACTGTAGAAAGGAGGGTAATGGAGTTCCGTGCTGAACCCACCGAAATCTAGAATTTATTGGATGTCCTTAATGTTGGGACCCTTCCCATTCAGAGTAAATGATGAAACCTGGTGTTCTGCAGGTGACCTTAGCAGATGAAATATTTCCAGGGAATTCTACTACAGGCCTCCAGATACATGTTTCTTAGCTTTGGAACAAATATGGTACTGCTATAATCAGCCCAAAAATACTTGGACCTGAGACCATACAAAACAGATTAGTGGAATATACTATGTAGGTAACTAATGATACTGGCTGTTTCACAATGTTGTGCAGATTCTAGTATGTCAGTTGTCAGAAGAAACCAGAATATAAAAGACACAAGTAGAAATTTGGGTTGTTCAGGAATCTCTGAAAATGTGTTTCTCTTCACTTATTTCTCAGATATTTATGTCCCCCAAAGCTCTGGCTTTGTGGCGATCAGGGCTAGGAAAGGACTGGTAAATGTTAGTAGTGGTCTCTCATGGCCACGCATTGAGGCTGAAGAAAACATGTTGGAAATGTAGTTATCCAATTTTCTTCTTCATGACATGCACTGGATGAGTCCCAGAGGAGACTGATGGCCCGTGATTGATACGGTGTTTCATAGAGGTAGACATATAACCTGGGACTATGCTACTGTAGAAAGGAGGGTAATGGAGTTCAGTATTGAACCTCTCTTTCCTCATCACACTCACTAGGAGGCCAGAATAATATGTAAAACAATAATATGATTTAGGTTAAATCACATCTGCTAACCTATATTAAAATATCAGAAATACTTTTTCCTGCCATATATGAATCATGTCCAAATAATCAAGGGGTCCAGGGCCTCTCAGCTAAGGCCTTAGGGCCACTACCTACCTACCCTGTGACTAGTAGGCCCCTACCCTGTGACTAGTAGGCAATAAGCAAATGTTCCCTCTTGGCCCACCATCTCTTCTCTCCTCTGCTCTCAACTTCACATGTCTCTGGATCCCTCTTGCTCCTGCCACAGGTTTATGCCTCTTCTCTTCAGTGTGCCCTGCTTCAGATTGTGAAGTGTTCTGATATCATCCATCTCCAAGGTTCTGGAGATAGGAGTGAAGCTGTGAGTAGAAAGTGAGGACCTAAGAGGGCCTCTTCCTCTCATGTCTCCTGGGGTTACTAAGCTAAAGTTGTCTCTGCCTCTTCCTGTGATTTATGTTGTATTTCCAAAAGCTGGCTTTTAATCCAAGATTTGTCTTAAACTTAGCCTCAGAAAGAAGGGTAGATACAGGAAACATGGTCATCAAGGGTTGCAAAAATCCCAATCTCAGGCTCAGGGGGTGGAAACAGCAGTTTAATAAAGAGGCTTGTCTCTCCACTGGCAACACTCCCCAGGTGAGGAAGAGGTTTGGTGGGTTCACTTCTTGGTAAATGACACATTTAGAAAGGAATCCAGATGCCAAATAAGGGGAAAGAGAGAGAAGAGGTAATAGAGTGGAATAGAAATCTGTGGTCCTGCAGAAAACTTGGATAGGTGTGTGCAAATGTATAGCAGCAAGTTCTCCAGCGGGTGTTGGTTCTGTGTGTTTTCAGCAGGAAACTAATGACTGAAGAAAATGTGGGAAATGTATGTAGAGAACATGGCAGTTTGGAGTTGATTCTCATGCAAAGTCCACAGGGTGAGGGTGGGGGATTTTGTCTGTATTAGGGGCCCCATCAGAAGGCATCCATTTGAAAAGTTCACACATTGGGATGGCCCTCCATGGAGGGGATAAAAAACTACCTGGAACCAAAGATTTCATCCATAAAATGGATTAAAGCACATCTTCTCCACCCCACTTCCCCTCTTTAAATTACTCTAGACAGGCTCTGTGAAACAAGACTGCTCTGGTTTTATCTGATTTTCATTATAAACCCAAGTCTGCTAAGGGCCAGGGTCCTGTGGGCATCGGAGATTCATCTCTCCTTTTATAGGTTACCCCTGACGTAGAAGTTTCATGGAGGCTGTTGTGCTTCCAAATAAACAAGCCCAGCCACAGCTTTCCCAGGCTCACCTGGGGAAGATGATTCCACTGCATTAGATCTTGGGGGTGGAGGACCCTTTACAGTATGGCGAAGATGAGCAGACATACCTTTGCCTTAAGTACATCTGCTTGAATAATGCTCTAACAACACTTAAGCTGATTTATCTCCTAGCATCTCTGAATAATTTGCTAAGCTGTTCCTGGTTACTGCCAAGAACAGTGTAAGTTATGTCTTGCCATGAAGAATTGGTGAATAATAGTGTTCATTCGGTTGTAATATGCAAGCCCATGTAAATATGCCTACAGGAGGCCCAGGAATCCTGCATCCTGCTTGGATGCAGGAAAACCCACCAGTACGCTTTCCTCAATCAGGGCACTATGACCAAATGCCACTCTTTCAGGCTCCCCCAGATCTTGAGCCTTGTGTATGTGAATGTTGATTCTTGCTGAATCTCAGGAGATTTCTAGGACACCTACGGATTACTCTGGAAGGAAGGAATGAGATGGAGGGGAGCAATATTGCTTTCTATATTCCAATGAAACATTCTTAGAATTGTCATTAATGTGGTACATTGTTAAATAACTGCTAAGAAGCCGGATGATTTCAATAAATATTCCAGATATATTTAAAATATATCACCCACATGGCTATACTAAAGAAAATATGTTAATGACTACACGTATACATTTTATATTTTAAGACTCCATTTAAAAAAACCTTTTACCTCAGTAAAACTGTGATTTATATTCAAAATATGTCTGATTTTAAATCTTACCACTCAACGGATTGCACTCATCAGCCCTTAGTTTACAATGTGACTAAAAACTGCTCCTATGGTGGCATTTGATACAGAAAGGGGAAATTAAACTAATTTTTTTAACAAGCTGGAGTAGCAGCTCTTTCTCACCTGAGGACGGATAGAATAATATTTCCACACACCAGGAAATATTGCTACGTCAAGGGAAGAAAATATGTTCAAATTACCTCTTTTTTCATGACTTTTTCCCTTGTTGATCATATCAAGGTTTGAAAAACTTCATCAAATAACTGAGGATTTGTAAATATTAGCCAGCTCCCAGGGATATGGGTCATGATATGATGAATTTTCTAAAGATATGTAAAAGACCTTGGTACACATCTAGTGCTCCCAGTACAAGCTTATTGATCACATACACTATGAAATATTATATCTTCTAAGTCAATGTCAGTTTATACTAAATATCATCAAATAATATTGGACTAAATATAGTCTTTAAAATATTCATGGTTGAGTGCTCAATTTTTTAATATATAAGCCTGTCAGGAATCCCTCACATTAAAATTATGTTGTGCTATGTAGACCTGATAAATGCTAGAATCCCGCTGTTGTAAATCACACATTTGTAAAAGAAAGGGGAACATGGCTACATTGTATTAAAATATTTGTTGGGTACAGAGTGAACATGTGGATTCAGAACCAAGCTGACTGCCAGCTTAGAGCCCTGTGACTCCCTATTTCCTATCCTAGTACCAAAGTGGCACAGCAGCTCTCAGGGCTGGCCCTGGAGTAAGCAAGCATGCCCTCCAGATGGTAGGCTAATGAGACCACTTATTTAACTATGTTTTGCCTCATTCTCAAGAGCACCTATTTGTCTCCTAGGAAGAAGGCTCACATACCAGGCTATCTGTTGCAAACCTTGACATCTGGTTCATTTCATACCATAAAATGAGAGCAAATGAATATTTTATGCAAGATAATTTATCCCAAATTTTCTAAATTTCAAAGTTATTGTGACATCCACCTTAAAAACGTGGGTTTTGAAAACATTAATTGAAATGATCCTTTAAATGGCTGCTATTCTCTTACTGGGCCCATAAAATATGTAAATATGTGGTTATATAGTTATTGCCAATTTATGATACATTTGTAAAGATTACATCAAGAAAAATAAAACTTCGAATATTAAATACATATTTAATGTATAATGCTGAAATTCTCTAGATTATCACTAGATGGTAGTATACAACATTAAATACAGTCTATTCCCCTGATTGTGCTGTTCTCTGCTTCAAGCTCTTTCCAAATGGCTTTTTAATGATCACAGATTTAATTATAACTAATATTTAATATCTTCTCTAGACACTGATCAAATAATATTATAGTAACTGAGTGATCTTGGACAAGTCGCTTATCCTCTCTGTGCCTCAGTTTCCTCATCTATGAATTGTAGTGCACAATCCCCCATGTAGCCTCTTGATGTTGCCTGAATATACCAAAGGTAAGCCTATAACCTAAAAAGTGACTCAGAATCTTTCCCCAGGGTTTTTCAAACTGTACTTAGGAGTAGCTAGTACATCCCTGGTAGTGGGAGCAGCACAATGTAAAATGCAGATGCTGGAGGAAGCAGGGCAGGAAGCTGCCCTTGAGTAGGAAAAAAAAAAAAAATGAAACTGAAAAGCAGAGAGGAGCACAGACAGTATACTGAGGTAGAGAGTGGGGGGTTCGGTGGGAGAGAGTCCTGATCATGTTGATTCCCTGGTTCCAGCTATTCCTGGAAGCCATGATGTCATTCTTCCAGGAGTTGATTATTCATTCATATTATTTTTCTTTCTGCCTTTCTTTCTTTCTCTTTCTTTCTTTCTTTTTCTTTTCTTTTCTTTTTTTCTTTCTTTCTTTTTTTTTTTTTTTTGGAGTCTCACTCTGTCACCCAGGCTGGAGTGCAATGGTGCAATCTCGGCTCACTGCAACCTCTGCCTCCTGGGCTCAAGCGATTCTCCTGCCTCAGACTCCCGAGTAGCTGGGATTACAGCCACACGCCACCACACCCAGCTAATTTTTGTATTTTTAGTAGAGACATGGTTTCACCATGTTGACCAGGCTAGACTTGAACTCCTGACCTCAGGTGAGACACCTGCCTTGGCCTCTCAAAGTGCTGGGATTACAGGCATGAGCCACCGTGCGCAGCCACATTCATGTACTTCTTTAATCAAACTTGATAAGAAGGCGTTTCTCCAATAAATATTCACTTTTGCCCCAGCTACTTTGACTAGGCTTAGTTACTTTAACCAATGCAATTCTTACCAATTCTTTCCCAGGTGAGAAAGAGATGCTACTCTAGCTCTTAAAAATTAGTTTAATTTCCCATTCCTGTATCAAATGCCAGCATGGGAGCAGTTTTATTCACATTGGTAAACTAAGGGCTGACAGAAGCTGCTCACTCATTCTGTCCATTGAGGAATAGTGGAGCTGTTTAAGTCCTTACCCACGTGGTCTATTTCAAGTTTAACTCCCAGCTATACATTTAACACCAAAAGAGGAAAAATGCAAAGAAGGGAGAAGACGAAATAAGGAGAAGTTCAAAGCTTTGGCTCATTAGAACTAATTAGAATCTTTTTTTTTTTTTTTTTTTTTTTTTGAGACAGAGTCTTGCTCTGTCGCCCAGGCTAGAGTGCAGTGGCAAGCTCTCAGTTCACTACAGCCTCTGATTCCTGGGCGCAAGCAATTCTGCTGCCTCGGCCTCCTGAGTAGTTGGGATTACAGAGCCCCCGCCACCACGCCCGGCTAATTTTTGTATTTTTAGTAGAGATGGGGTTTCGCCGTGTTGGCCAGGTAGTCTCCAACTCCTGACCTCAGGTGATCCGCATGCTTTGGCCTCCCAAAGTGCTGGGATTACAGGAGCGAGAATCTTAAAGAGATACACGGGCCGGGTGCAGTGGCTCACGCCTGTAATCCCAGCACTTTGGGAGGCCAAGGCGGGCGGATCACCTGAGATCAGGAGTTGGAGACCAGCCTGGCCAACATGGTGAAACCCCGTCTCTACTAAAAACACAAAAATTAGCCGGGCTTGGTGGCGCATGCCTATAATCCCAGCTACTCGTTAGTCTGAGGCAGGAGAATCGCTTGAACCCAGGAGGCGGAGGTTGCAGTGAGCCGAGATGGCACCACTGCACTCTAGCCTAGGCGACAAGGAGGAAAACTGTCTCTCAAAAAGAGAGAGAGAGAGAGAGAGAGATACACCTGCCCAAAAAACTCAAGCACTTTGAAAATAGGTATTGCCATTTAAAACCACAACTTCAATCCTAAAAATCTAGATACTTCAGTCCTCCCAGACATTTTCCTAGTGGGGATTTTAATAGTTTTGAGGGTAGGTGAGTGGTATAACTTTATTCTATTAACTTATAGAGGTCCTAATTTGATGTTTATAAACTGATGGTGTTGGCTGGGTGCAGTGGCTCACACCTGTAATCCCAGCAATTTGAGAGGCTAGGGCAGGCAGATCACTTGAGGCCAGGAGTTCAAGACCAGCCTGGCCAACATGGCAAGACCCTGTCTCTACTAAAAATACAAAAATTAGCTTGGCGTGGTGGCATGCGCCTGTGGTCCCAGTTACTTGGGAGGCTGAGGCACGAGAATCACTTAAACCTGGGAGGCAGAGGTTACACTGAGCCAAGATCATGCCATTGTACTCCAGCCTGGGCAACACATCTGGAGTGCAGTGGCATGAGACTCTGTCTCAAAAAATAATAATAATAAAAATAAAAATATGTTAATTAAACATGTTTTAAAAATACAGTAAACTGATAGTGTTAACATATATTTCCCAGGTACCTAAATTTTCAGAAATCCAAGACTAAAGTACGTAGCAGAAATTACCAGGGGTTCTAATCCAGTACAGAACCTCAAAGCAATAAGCCAATTTGGAGATATTCCTACCTCTCTCTCAATCTGTCTGTCTTCTTTCTCCCTCTCTTTCTCTCTCTTTTCCTCTCCCCCCTCCCTGTCTGTCTTCTCTCTCCCTTCCTCCCTCTATCTCTTTCTCTTAGTGTTTATATCTCTCTGTCTTTTCTCTCTCTCTCTGGAAAGATGTTGGATTTTGGAGTCCACTATGGCAATGAGCTGCTTATGAAGGCAGAATCCTAAAATGGGGACACAGCTAGCAGGGTAGGGCCACAGAGAACCTCAGGATTTATTTGTTGGTTTTATGACTCCTTTAGACCCAGCAGGAACATACCCTAAGCTAATCTGGATCTGTACAGAGCCGCTCCTCTGCTGGCTAGTATACAGATCAAATGGCAGCTGCCTGATATGTGGAGGAGAAATATGAAGTATAAAAAGTAAGAACGTGGCTTAAAAGGGACAGTCTTTTAACAGTGTGTCCATTCACCCTTCACTAAGTCATTGCAATAAAGAATACTGTGGGTTCGAAATGATTAAAGAAAAAATTATCAATAAGCCATGGCTGCCCACCCCACTCCCGTTCACAACAGTGTCATCTTCCCCAAACAAACGGAACTTTCCAAGTTCTCCTTGTTGTGAGTGGACCCACATTTTCCAGTTCTCAAAGATCTCAGTATTGGGAATGTCTATGAAATACCATTTTCATCCTCCCACTATAGTTAATCTGGCCAATTCACATTTTCTCCCACATGAAAATTATAACATTTTCTTCATTTCCATAACTATTTATGTAAACCCGATTTCAGTTTGGATTATAGCAGTCCCTTCTTTACTCTTTCTTGTCTTCCTTAGATTTATCTAGCTTTCTGACTGAAGATAATCTCTATTCCCTTCCTCAGGTATCTGCAGTGTGTTCTTGCTGATTTTCACACCAAAACAAAACTCCATTTGGAATTTGTAATCTCCATCAATGCTTTTTGTTTATTCATGCATTTATATTTTACCCATACATGCATTCATTTATTCAAATAAGTTAAAACTTTTTTAGTGTTTACTAAGATCCTCTATCCTGAGTCTTAGGGATACAGCAGTGAAAAAAACAAAGCTCCACCATCATGGAGCTCCCACTGTAAGGCGAGGAAGCAGACAAGTAACAGTATATCAGGTGGAGAATACTGCTATGAGAAAAAAAATAAAGCAATGTAAGAAGAGTAGGGATTATTGAATGGGTGGAAATTTATGTAAAGAATTAAGATTATATTCTGACAATCAGAGAAGGTGACATTTGAAACGAGACCATAAGGAAGTGTGAAAAGCAAGCAATTATTTGGGGAAAGAGAATTCTTATCAAATGGAAAACGATGCTTCAAAAATCATGAGTCATGAGTGTGCATCTAGTATTTGAGGAACAGTAAGGAGGTCAGTGTGAAAGAAGACTAGAGAAGGTCAGAGAGAGTGCAGGAGCCAGAATTGGTAGGGCTTCATGAGAAATATATATACCAATATGGAGAGCTTCCTGAGGAATATATATATACCTTGGGTTTGCTATGGGAGAGATCCCAAGCCATTGTACAGGCTGAGCTAGGAGCATCATGATCTGACTAACCTTTGAAAAGATGACTCTGGTCACCATGTAAGCTTTACTTATATGAGAAGGAGAGCAAAGTTAGAAGCGGGGAGACTCTTACAGGCACCATAAGATTCTCCCTTGGATTGTGTTGGTAACAGTGAAAGTGGTGCCAAAAGGGTCTCTTCTATTAGAGAATTATTTTGCTTATAGGTCTGACAAGATTTCCTGAATAACCAAAGTAGGATATGAGAAGAAAGAGAGGAGCCAAAGATTTTTAATTGAATAATTAGAAAGTTGGCATTTTCACTAACTGACATTGGAGAACTACAGAAGATGTCCAAGTACTCCATAATAAAAAGATTCTATGTGTTTCAGTTTGGCCTCCTTCCTGGACTTACTCTGCATCTCTCATTTCCTTTGCTAAAATTCATCTGCCCACCCACAACACTCTTATTCAATCAAGAACATTTATCAGCCACTCATAATTTGCAAAGCCCTGCATTAGAAACTGAAAAGGACATCAAAATATGTTATGTGACTCCACAAGTTTCTAAGAATTTATGTGAGAAAAATAATGTTTACCTGGAATAATATAAAAATATAATTCAAATATGCAAAATTATCTTGATAAATAACCTTTTATGAGCAAAATTAGTGAATAGCCACAGACATACAGTAGGGATATAACTATGAACAAGAAATGACTGCTCTTAGGAAGTTTGTAACATATGCTGAAAGTTCAATAAGTGACATCCATGTTTCCTGGTTGGAATGTAACAGTTTTTCAAAATGCATTAAATGAAAAAATGAAACACCAGAACTAAAGTGGGAAGAGGTCATTGTCAGCCAGGGGAATTAAATAAATAGGTCAAACCTGCAGTTCCTGCAATACCAGCTTGCATTTTACTGTTTCATGATGATTTCTCTAACTAAATGCTTCTCCAGCAAGTTTCCTCTATACTTACATACTATCAGCACTAGTCTGATTTTCACTTATGTTTATGTTTGCTTAGAAGTATACATTAGTTATGCTCTAGAATATCAATTTGATAGCAGGAGCTTCATCATATTTAATTTCCCTTGAGCTTTATAGATGCTAAATAAATATTGTGAAAAAGTTACAACATATACTTGAATATTACAAAATGTTTTACATTACTTAAAATCGCTTTCATAAAAGGGGGAGAGGGTAGGGAGTCTTTCCAAAAGTCCAGAAAACTTCCTTCTTTGGGAATATATATCTTTTGCAGCCCAAGATAGGAATCCACTCAGTGTTCAAGAGAATCCGTCAAGTACTTGTTCCCTAATTTTAGTTGTCAGATTTTAAGCCAGGAAGTGGTACTATTTCCACATATTGTGTACAATTTCAATCAATCATGAGATGTGTGATGTAAAGATCCCTTTTATCAGGAACTGCACGTTATTTTAATTTCTTCTAAAATAATTCTAATTTAAATTCCCACTGAATACTGGTTTTTCTAGCCTCTTCAGTGGGAGTGAAAACTACACTTTAATTTCTTCTAAAATATTTCTAATTTAAATTCCCACTGAATACTGATTTTTCTAAGCCTCTTCAGTGGGAGTGAAAACTTCACTTGACGTGCAGTCAGATCTATATTTTGTTCCAACTCTGTGGCTCATTCATCTCCATGCCTGGTTAACTCAGACTAGTAGATTTGCTCTCTCATCGATAACACAGAGCAACTAAACCCTGCCTTTGTCACATAGCACTGGATGGTGATGAAAATTTTAAAAATAATAATAACCATGTATGGAAACGCTATCAATCGTGAAGCATTGTACTAAAATAGAGTATTTTTGTTTACCAGTAAAACCTGCTAATATGCCAGTTCTGTCTTCTGGCAAGATGCCTTTGGTCAAAATGGGGCACTTATCTAAAATGGCGGACAGCAGTTTGTTACTTTGCTGATTTTGTTTCTCACACTTTAGGAATTGTGTGTGTGCATTTCAAACAAAATATCCTTTAGATTGTCTCAGGCCATCAGTGACATTCATAGCATGAAGTTTTTGTTTTTAAAGATGCCAAGATTGACAAAACATGATGAAAGAAATTATTGCACAATGCTGATGTTTTCCATTTGTCAGCCACACTTGAGTTTCTTAAGCAATATTTGAGATCATCATAATGTAAACTGAAATATCATTTTTATTGTACTTTTTATGCAAAAGAAAAAGAAAAAGCCAAAAAAAGATAGCAAAGAGAAAAAACATTGAACTGAAGGAAATTGCTTCAAACACAGATCAAGTAGCTGAAAATACATAAAATGTAGTTAGTTACTTTGATGGGTAGATTCAGTGAACATTATAGTTCTTTTTGCCTTCTTCCTCTGTTTATTCATTTCTGTAACCATTTTATATTCTTCATTTCTAAAGGAAGCATAAAAGGCTTTTAATATTCTTTATTTGTAAAAGAAATTTAATATGATACATGAAATAACAATTAGAATTTATAAAAGCATTCAGCTTTGTGATAGAGACAAAAATCAACTAGTTTTAGTTTCCATACATAGCAATAAATAATTGGAAAATTAAGCTGAAAAATAGTTTGCTTATAATTGAAACAAATATTCTGGAATACCTGGACATAAAACTAGAAGAAAAGTGCAACACTATAACAAAAAAACCTGAAACATTATTAAGGACCTTTTTTTAAAAGCCTAAATCAATGTATAGATTATGCAAAAATACTCTAATTTTTAAGGACATTAATTTTCCTAAACAAATGTATGAAGTCAGATAATCACAGCAAGATTTTCATGAAACTTGACAAACCAACTTTAAAGTTCATTTGAAAGATAAAATAAAAATAAACAAGAAAAGATTTAAATAAATAAGAGGGAATGCCCTACCAGATATCAACATGGTGTATGAATTCATGGTAATTAGCATACCATATATTAGCATAATAATAGATTAATCAACAGACTAGATAGTACGAAAAAGACTCGTACTAATATTGGAATTTAGAATATTAAATAATTAGTATACAGTTAAGAGCATGTATTCTGGAGCCAGAGTGCCTGTGTTCAAATTTGATCCTGACACTAACTGGCTGTGTCACCTTGAAAAAATTATTTAATCTCACTTAACCTAAATTTTGATATGTATAAAATGGAGATAATAACAGTATCTACCCATTTATAAAATTAAGCTCCTTTTTTTTATTGAGAAGAACTTTCTAAGCTAGATGCAAACCTAAGCACTATAAATATAATGATTTGAAAAGTGCCTGCATAAGAATTTAAAATTTTGTCCAAAACACTATCAAGTCAAAGAGCAAAGGACAATCTGGAGAAAAAAATATGAGTAGACTATAGAAAGGTATATTATCTAGAATATTTTAAAAATCCTAAATAGTAATAAGAAAACTTGACTCTAATTGAAAAATAAGTAAAGGAGATGAAGAGCAATTCAAATACAAATGATATATAAAAAGATGCCCAATATCATTAATAATCAGGAAAACATATATTGAATAAAAATTATATATAGTTTTTTTTTTACTTTTTCTTAACCTTAAGTTCTGGGATACATGTGCAGAATATGTAGGTTTGTTACACAGGTATACATGTGCCATGGTGGTTTGCTGTACCTATCAACTCATCATGTAGGTTTTAAGCCCTGCATGCATTAGATATTTTTACTAATGCTCTCCCTCCCCTTGCTTCACACCCCCTACATATAGTTTTTAATCAAATATATTGTAAACTATTTAAAAGATACCTAGTTTTGACAAAAAGAGGAAAAACAAGTCCTGTCATGCACTGTTAGTAGGAAAATGCATTAATAATGATGTTCTAGAAAGTAAAAGGGCAAATTCTTAAAATATTAAAGGAGCATATATTTCAATCAGTAAGTCATTTTTGAATGTCTACTCTACAGAAAAACAGAGGTGCACAAGGGCATATGTACAAAGTGGGCTTTTTATGTTTTTACCTACAATAAAAAGTCATAAACAATATAAATGTCTTAAATATATTGGAATATTTCTAGTACGGTGTACTAAGCAGCAACTAGAGAATAAGGCAAATTCGTATGACTCATAGGAGAAGATATCCAACTCATATTGTTAAGTTAAAATAAAGTATATTGCAGGACTATACAAGTGGTATGTTCGCATTTTATATTTAATTCATTTATTTCTAATACACATTCATAGGAAAGGCCAGCAAGTGCCCGCACTAAACTCTCAGCAATGATCAATTTTGTGTTGAATAACGAAACAAAAGAGATGTGAAAGTAGACTTTCAGTTTTTAGTCTATATTTCTCTATTTTAAAAATCTTTCACAGTACAATATGTAGGCATCGCTTATGTAAATAAAATAAAGAATCCATAGTAGACACCCCTATCGTACGAGGCTCCTTTTCAGTCGATTATATGATGTTTTGCTATGGTTTGAATTTTTGTCCCCTCCAAAATTCATGTTGAAGCTTAATCCCCAATGTAGCAGTACTGAGACGTGGCCCTTTTTTTTTTTTTTTTTGAGACGGAGTTTCCCTCGTCGCCCAAGCTGGAGTGCAATGGCGTGATCTTGGCCCACTGTAACCTCCGTCTCCCTGGTTCAAGCAATTCTCCTGCCTCAGCCTCCCTAGTAGCTGGGGTTACAGGCACCCACCACCATGCCCAGCTAATTTTTTGTATTTTTTGTAGAGGCAGGGTTTCACCATGTTGGTCAGGCTGGTCTTGAACCTTGCCCTCAGGTGATCCACCTGCCTCGGCCTCCCGAAGTGCTGGGATTACAGGCATGAGCCATCGTGCCTGGCCCGAGACGTGGGACCTTTAAAGGTGATTGAGTCATGAGAAGAGATTGAGTCATAAGAGTTCTGCCCTGAAGAATAAATTAATCCATTCATAGATTAATGGATTCATGGGTTATCATGGGAATGGGACTAGTGGTCTTATGAGAAAAGAGAGACCTGAACTAGCAAGCTCAGCTCCCTCACCATGTGATGTCTTGTGCATCCTTGGGACTCTGCAGAGGGTCCCCACCAGCAAGAAGGCCCTCAACCAGATGCACTCACTCAACCTTAGGCTTCTCAGCTTTCATAACTATAAGAAATAAATTCCTTTTTTTTATAAATTATCCAGTATTAGGTATTACATAATGAGCAACAGAAAATGAACTAATACACCACAGAATGCCCAGCCTTACTGATTTCTATTTCTCTAAGATTTTCTACCACCCAAGGAGCTTTAACCTCCCTCCTCTGCCAACTATAATGCAGAACAATTGAACTTTGCCCCATTTTGTACTCCAAACCCAATGTGTGGAAATACAGAGTTGTAGTATAATCCCTTGTTTAAAAGCATTTAGTTGAGATGTTTCACAACTACACTGAAGGTGTCTTGGTACCACTAACATTATAAGTTTATAATAGACTCATCTACCCGCTGAAGAACCCTCAACTCACTTCCTTTCCTTTCAGATTTTGTACTATGAGGATGTGATACTTCAAGCCAGGACAACAGTCCACTACCTCAAGATGTAAAGCCAAGAAAATATTAGAAGATGAGAATCAAAACCTTAACATTGTTGAGCTATAAAATTTTCCCTAGACTGCCTAACTCTGGAAATCTACAGGTAAAAAATATCATAATGCATATTAATATATTTGTTATATACTAGTATATAAACATATTATATATGTATATATTAATTTGTTATATAGTAATAGAAAATATATATTTCTTTACTATACAATAAATTAATATATAATAAATAATACATATTCATATCTAATATATTAATATATTATTAGTTATATTAACACATAATATGTATTAATATATGTGTTAATACAACATATTAATATAACTAATGTTTAATTATATATTCATATATTAATATAACTAATATGTGATAGAATATCCTAATATATTAATATATAATATGCTAATATATAAACATATTTTATACATTAGCATATTTTTTATCTGTAGATTTCCAGAGTTAGGCAGTCCCAGGGACAATTATATATATATGTACACACACGCACACACACACACACACACACACCACCATGACCAAAACAAATCAGCATGTGGTATTTTCACTGAACAGGTTTAAGTTAAAACATTATATTGAATGTTTTTTTTCTATCCCTGCTCTATGTGGATAAGAGAGATGGGGAAAGCTAGAAGTGTGTGTCTAAGTGGTCCCAGCTGTCTGACTGAGTCCCAGGCCCCCCATTCTGAAAGTCTCCACTCAGGACCCTTCTTATTAGCAGTGTCCACTCCTTGGGCCTATGCTTATCAGGAATTCCACTTGTAGAGGTTGTATGAGCTCCAGTTCTCCAAATATGAATTTAAAACTCAAATCTGACCCCATAATTTAGTTATGTTACCTGAGAGCATCCAATTTGGTTTCCTTTCTTACAGTAATAACTACATAAATGGTGAGAACTTGGGGGAGTCCTTTGGATCTTTAATGAAGTCTCAGCTTCCTCAGTAACAAGTTGGTGCAAATTTTACTCATAACTTGCTCCAATTGAGTCAGACCTTCCAGAGGGTATTCCACAGTGGCATGGTGTCTTGTCAAACATATCCAGAGGTCTGTCCTCCCATCTGCTAATTTCTGGTCAGAACTCAACTAGGCATCTTAGAGACTCGCCACATTATCAATCACCATTTAAAGGTTGTTTGACCCTTGATTCAGAAACTGTTATTGTTTGCCTTGAGACTGAAGTACATATCTATTGTTTGGGCATCTCAGCATCAGTATCTCATTCCTTTGATAACAAAGACTTAATTTTCCTTTGGAAGACCTGAATCTTCCATCCTGCCATATGGACTGATGAGATTTACCCTACAGCCTAGCTTAAGCATCTGACACATGGTCTAGATCTGGTAGTGATAATTACACATTCCCAACATCACTGGAGGGTGAACTTAAGACCTAACGTGGAACAAGGAGAGTGGTATCTGGAATTTCACTAAAGCTAACTGAAAAAAAAAAAAAAAAAACAGATGTTCTTATTTCTCTGAGGTTGATAAGCCTGGAAATGCGGGTGGTTCCCCACAGATGAAGAGACTGTCTGAGATTGAAGCCAATACAGAGGAAAGCAGACATACAGGGGGAAAATGACAAATTGAAGATATGCTTTGAACACTGAAATCCAGCTTTATCAGGTGTCACTAAAGCCAGTTCTACCCGGAACTACTTTTTTCTTGCACTCAAGAGTTAACTACTATTCTGAATTTTGTTATTATTTCCTTGGTTTTCATTCTAGATTCACTTCTATGCATGCATCCCTAAATAATATTGCTTAATTTGGCATGGTTGTTTTTTGTTTTTGTTTTTTGTTTTTTGTTTTGAGACAGAGTCTCGCTCCGTCTCCCAGGCTGGAGTGTAGTGGCGCCATCTCGGCTCACTGCAAGCTCCGCCTCCCGGGTTCACGCCATTCTCCTGCCTCAGCCTCCCGAGTAGCTGGGACTACAGGCGCCCGCCACCAAGCCCGGCTACTGTTTTGTATTTTTAGTAGAGGCGGGATTTCACTGTGTTAGCCAAGATCGTCTCGATTTCCTGACCTCGTGATCTGCCCACCTCGGCCTCCCAAAATGCTGGGATTACAGACATGAGCCACAGCGCCCGGCCTGATTTTGCATGTTTTAAAATTATGTGAGTAAATGTTTTGTTCATGTATTTTATGAATGTCTTCTTTTACTTAGCACTATTGAGAACTATTTACATTGTTTGTAGCTACAGTTCATTCATTTTGACTGTTATATAGCAATCCATTGAATAAATATGTCACAATTTTATTATTCATGTAATTTCTGGGTTTTTGAAATTACAAATGTCTTCATGAACACACACACACTGGAAAACATGGAAGAAATTCTATCCCTGTGATTGAAGATCCCAGATCGTAAGAATTTATTGCCTGTAATATTTCTGCATAACATTACAATATTTCCCAAAGTGATTACACAAATATGTAATCCTACCAGGCTTAATGTTGCTCCATATCCATTTCAACATTTAGTTTTATCAGACTTTTTAATATCTTGAAAATATGATGGGAATATGTTAGTTCAAGTATTTTTATTAATATTTCCTTTTTTACTAATAAGATTGAAAATATTTTCTGTATTTGTGAGACATCCATTGCTTTATTTATGTCTTTTGATAATTTTTTATTAAGCTGTTAATTTTTTTATTGATTAGTAGGGACACTGAGATTTTCTGGATATTAATCCTTTGTTGTTACAAATTTAAAGCTACTTTAAAGCTACCATATTTGCACTTTAAAAAAATTATCTTTTGATAAAGATAAATTATTATATTTAATAAAGTCTGATAGATTAATGTTCCCATTTGTGTTATACAATTTTTGAATTTTATTTTTTAAAACTTCCTTCTTTATTTGAGACCAAAAAATATTTTCTCCTAATCTTCCTTTTAACTGTTTTAAAGTTTTGCCCTTCATGTTAAGCCACAAATCCATTGTCAAATGATATTTTATGATGTAACATAGTGACTCAATTTCTTTTTTTTTATTTTCATAGATTTAACCATTTGTCTTAGCACTATTTATTGAATAATCTATCATTTCTCTGGTGATTTTAATGCGCCATGTTACTTTACCATCTCTGTTTCTTTAGGTTTTCTATCCCTGAGGCATATACATATACTAAGTGTTATAGTTTAGATATAAATGTCTGGTACAGCCTGTTAACTCACTTTGTGTTATGGCTATCATTGGTCTTCGAGACTTATGTACAAAACTAATACTCATATACTAAAGTTCAAAAAATAAACCTGTGAGATTTTGATTGGTATTCTTTGAACCTATCAATCAACTTGGAAAAAATGGACACCTTTTGGATAACAAGTTCTCTTAATAACATCTATTAACATCAATTTCTTAGTTGACTTAGGCTTGTTTAACTTTTCTGAATAAGAGTTTATTGTTTTCTTCAAAAAGATATATTTCCTGTTAGAGATTTTTATAGATACTTTAACTGTTTTGTAGTTATGATAATATATCTTTTAAAACCTTATTTTTGTTTGTTGCTGGTGTGTTGGCATGACTTATAAGTTGATTTTTTATTATATAACAATATTTCCTAACTCTAGCATCCATAACTTATCTGCAGATCCTTAAGATTTTTGATAGTTAATCATACAATATATCATCTAAAATAAAAATCAATTTTGCTTCCATTTCAATCCTTAAACTTTTATTCTCTTTGTTTCCCTGTAGAACCTTCAGCACAATATTGAATAAAAGTAGTGAGAGTATGTCTCCATGTTTGGTTCTAATTTTTAACTGAATGTTTCTAATCAATCATAAAGTATGCTGCTTACTCTGGATACTTTTAGTAGATATACTGTATTATGATAAGAAAGTTCTCATGTATTCTTAATTTAGTAATAGCCAGTGATATGATTTGGCTGTATCCTCACCCAAATTTCATCTTGAATTGTAGTTCCCATAATCCCCAAGTGTCATGGGAGGGACCCAGTGGGAAGTAATTAAATCATGGGGGTGGTTAGCCTCATGCTGTCCTCATGATAGTGAGTGAGTTCTCATGAGATCTGATGGTTTTATAACGGGCTTTCCCCCCTTTTGCTCAGCACTTCTCTTGCCTGCTGCCATGTAGGTCATGGCTTTGCTCCTCCTTCGCCTTCCACCATGATTATGAGGCCTCCTCAGCCCATGTGGAACTGTGAGTCTATTGAACCTCTCTTTCCTTTATAAATTACCCAGTCTCAGGTATGTCTTTATTAGCAGCATGAGAACAGACTAATACAGCCATTTGTCACAATTTCTATATATATGGTACCACAGAGCCTAGCCAGTACCATAAAACAAGAAACATATATTTAAGACAAAAAATTTGGAAAGGAGGAAATAGATGTCATTATTTTCACATAATTATCTACTTAAAAATTAATCTTCAAAAAAATTATCAGAAATGATCAAAGAATAAAGCAAGTTTAGTGGACATAAGATCATTGCAAAGAAGTCCATTGTGATTCTATACGCTAACAAGAAATAATTAGCAAACATGCTTTAAAAGACACCTTTGACAACAGCATAAAAATATCAAACACCTAGGAATAAATCTGGCAAAGCGTGTGCCAGATCTTTGAGAAAAAAATATTGATATTTAGAAAGGCAACCTAATTAAATAAAAAGACATATCATGTGGATATATATAGGTAAATTTAATACCATAAAATTGTAATTCTCCAATTGATTAATGTGCAGTTCCAATGAAAATACCCACATAGAAAATTCATTACCAGAATTATAAGAAATAACTCAACATACATGCTTTTACTGAAATTTTTAGATCACCACCATATATAAAAATGAGTTTGAAGGCCGGGCGCAGTGGCTCACGCCTGTAATCCCAGCACTTAGGGAGGCTGAGGTGGGCAGATCACAAGGTCAGGAGATCAAGACCATCCTGGCTAACACGGTGAAACCCCGTCTCTACTAAAAAGACAAAAAAAAATTAGCCGGGCATGGTGGCAGGCGCCTATAGTCCCAGCTACTCGGGAGGCTGAGGCAGGAGAATGGCGTGAACCCGGGAGGTGGAGCTTGCAATGAGCCGACATAGTGCCACTGCACTCCAGCCTGGGTGACAGGGCAAGACTCCATCTCAAAAAAAAAAAAGAAAAAAAATGAGTTTGTGAGGGACATTGTAAATTTAAAGACTTTGCATTATTGATCATATTGTTGCTTATTGTGCTGAATATTTTACATTTCACATCTTAAGATCTAATCTCAAACCAGGAGGTGGCCTTTATGGGCCACATCAGTTGGTTCTATAGCCTTCTGGACTTCAAGGGACCAAGCAATGGACAGCACCAGCAGGACACCAGAGACAGGGATGAAAATTGCAGTAATGATAATTGTAACACTGAATCCCTCACAGCAAGATAATCTTGGGCTAGCTATGTCATCCAATAGGAAATCACTCTTCTCAAAGTAGCATGCTCTGCACATCTTTTTCTGGGTACAGTGACCACTCTGTTCTCTCATCTTTTTAATCCCATTGTCAATAGTATCCTCTTTTCTGCATAAGTGTGGTGATAGCACCATCCTGGTACTTAACTCCAGTTTATTGAACTCTCCATTGTGGTTTCTCCGACATCTGATCCACATCTTGTAAGTAGTCCCTTTGTAAATAAACCTTTTTCAAATTATTTTACATTGAATGTGCTATGTATTTCCTTGAAGGACCCTAAAAATTACTCATGTATAATAAATATCACTGGGTGAAGAATGAATCAAGTCAAAGCAATCTAGCATCCTGTCAGAAGAAAGTACTCTGAATTTGCATAGCATATTACAATATCCAAAACTTTAATGACTACAAATTGAATTTAAATCCTACTGATATCTAAGAACAATAACAAGAAAAGCAAGATATTAAAGTATAACATATAAGTGGCAGTTTGCTTACATTTTCATAACTGGATCAACTGAATATCAAGACCTTACATTTGAAGTTTGCTTAACAGATATTCAGTATATAATAATATAAATATCTGTCAGATCCATTTACAGTTACTAGGATCTTTCTTAGATTATGTCTATGCAGAGGACTATTTGACTTTTTTTCAGACAGCATAGGGGAAGAGGGGAGCTAGAAATGTAAAGTTTGTAACTTAGGATGCCATCCTTTTCGGTCTGGCTAATGAAACTTGGTCTACTGTGCTCATTTTAAGGCATAATAATTAGTGATGAATTCTGAAACTAGCAAGATGATCCACAATAGCTAAGATAAAGGATTATTAAAATGCAGATAGAGACAATTTAATGACTCTGAGTTATTAAAGTAGAGATATTAGGGGAACTTTAATGGTGATTCTAAATATGTATAATGCATTTATATAATAAGTACCAGAGTTGTTAAAAGTTTTCACTAAGGTTAAGACTAGAATGAGAATGGGTTTAGATTGAAATCAGGAATCCAACAATATGTTGGCTATAATGAGTGGCTAGACATTGGGTTGAATTACCAAGAGTACTTACAGATGTAAAGTTACTCAAGACTACTCAATAGTCTTGAATAGAAGTCTATTCAAAGCCTAACTGCAAATATACTCAACAGTAAAGGCATGAGTAACTAAGGCAGCCATGATAAAATAGCAATTTCTGTCATTCACAAAACATCCTTCTTCCAATATATGAATTAAACTGTAAGTTATTGCTCATAAAGTTAAGTTATAACATGTGTACATGTACTCAGAGAGATTGTAGAATAGCCTTTATTGAGATGGCTGAAATTAGGCTAATCCCAATGTATAATACAGTTTGGTCACCCTGCCTAGAGATAAAAAGATGAATCATGATGTTTACACCTCAAGGACTCTACGATTCATTAATGATTATCTAAAGTGTCATCCAGAGAACAAATACAGTGTGTGACTGCATACATATGTTAATAAAGGTCAGGACAATGGCACATCTCCAAGCTAAGTTACTCTCCAAAAACAAGATGAACCCAAACACATCAGCTTTTCTCAGTTATGACTCTACTAATCAATTTGTATTGCCTAGCTTCTATGTATCCAATTCTCTGCTGGAGATAATGAGAAAAACAGAAATATTATCTTAAAATATTTACTCTCTGGATGAAAAATTATAACATAAGCCAAGACTAACCAAGTATTTTAAAATAGTGTGACATAGTTTTGTAGAAATTCAGAAATGGTAGAATTTGGTTAAATTAATGATAATAATAACAACAATAATAGTTAATTCATACTGATAGCCTACAATGCCAAGCACATGGTAATCATCACTTAACATTAGTTATGATTACTGTGTTTCATGCACTGTGATAAAAATTAACTTCACTATTTCATAATAATAATCACATAAACTAGGTATTATTAATGACAAAAAGTCAACAATATATCATACATGTATGAATAAACAAGTGAAGAAGTAAGTGAAAAAAACTGGGGCTCTGAAAGTTTAAATAACTTGCCTAAGTTCATGAGACAGAAAGATTTGAAACTTAAGCTAAACCTGAAAATATGAGCAGATTTCAGGCTAGAGAGGAAGAGGGAAATACCAAGTATGGGGACTGGAAAGAAGAAAGGTACAGAAGCAGAATAAGCCTGCATGTTCATGAGAAAAAGAGACAGTAAGTCTGACGAGGACAGAGTGATGTATTAGAGAGTACATCTTATAGAATGGGGACAGTACACTTACTTGCGGTCTAGGAAGAAGAGTCTGGATGCGATGTAACAATGTAGACATGACTGTAAACAGAATGACATGAGGAAAGTGTTGTTTAATAAAGGTGTAAACAGGCAGCATTAAGCAGTGCGGATCTGAGAGAAAAAAATCTATCATTAACAGAGGAAGCATTTGTAACAGTCTAAACTAGAATTATGAGGATCTGCATTTTGGTAGTTGATTGCAAAGGAGATAAAGAAGAAATGATGAATATAAGACATTTTGAAAGAAAATATGATTATAGAAGTGAAGGGAAAAGACAAAGCAATGAAGAAGCCCATGTTTAGTGGGAAAGTATATGACATGATAGTTTCACTAAAAGAAAAATAGATACAGAATATATTGTTTTTCTTTACTAAAAGATAAATAGAAATAGATAAGAGTTGGAAAAAAGAAAAAAATTACATGAGTTTGAGGTGATAGTGTTATCTCCAAATGTAGATATTCTATGCATTGGTGAAAAGATTGAACTAGGATACAGGTGCAAAATCTGGCTTTGAGATGCAGAGTTTTACATCATGCTATGAAAAGGAGGTGAGGCACTTAAGGCCAATATAGTAAGCACAATTGATGGAGAAGAGGAACCAAGTTTAAGTTGTGATTCTGAAATTTAACTAGAGGAAGTCACTTAACATCTCTGAAACTCAGTTATTCTGTGTTTGGTGGAGAAGATAGTATCTACTTCACACGCTTTGTTTTGAGCACACAAAATGAAAGGGCCTTGCAAAATATAAAGCTATATAAATTAAGATATTGTGATGTAAAGTCGTGAGAATAGGAGGTTGGAAATTTTAAACTACGTATTTCTTAAGGGTTTCCAAGTTGAGACTTTAGCCTTCTTCCCTTGATCGAAGGTCCACATTTTGCTGTGCTATGAAGTGGATAACTCATTATTATAAGCAAACATTAGAAGGCTGATTGGCCTGTCTGCTTCTGAAACACAGTAAAAATAATGCTGAAATCTTTCTAAATCTTGGAAAAAAAGCCTTTGAATAATCATTTTTAAGTTTTGCTTAGTTGAAGCAATATAATTTTAACCAGCAAATAAAGGAATAAATCAGGAAAATATCCAATTCAGAAGTTATTTTTCTTATGGCATACTTATGGGTAAACAAGCATGTTAAATGTTGCTTATACTTATTCTGTATTATTACAGTTTTCAACCTTGAAATTGCATAATACTAAATTATAAAATGAAACATTTAGACACATTGTTTGATTTAAGGATACATAATAATCCATTCTTAATATTTATTTTACTTTTTAAAGTTACTATTTGCACGAAATAAATGATACCGCTTTCGGAAAAAAAATCAAAACATAGATGCCTGAGCAGAGTAAAAATTCTTAGAGAAGCAGGACTATGCATATTCTGTGTCTTTAGACTGTGTTTACAGTATCAATATTTTATTGGTAAAGATTGAGCTGAAAAATATTTGTATCTACTTTATCCATTTTGATTGGATGAGACATGTGCATCTTGATATTTCTTGAGGATATTACAGCTCAAGTTTGGGTACATAATAAGAAATTGCCTAATATAAATTCAAACCAACTTGTGATTACAT
This sequence comes from Homo sapiens, assembly GCF_000001405.40. Taxonomy (NCBI): domain Eukaryota; kingdom Metazoa; phylum Chordata; class Mammalia; order Primates; family Hominidae; genus Homo; species Homo sapiens. The sequence goes on along the minus strand of NC_000006.12, from coordinate 127,520,468 downwards.
TTTCACTTGCTTTTTTTTTTTTCCTTTATTTTTGGTATGCTAGTCGAGGTGTGGGCTTTTTATTATAAATGTCACAGATGTCACTTTTCCTGTTCCCAAAGGTATTTGAAAGAAAATAAGGAAATTATCTCAGTTTTCACCAGTATGCTTGAGTGTCCCCAGCACAGGGACAATTTCTTGATTCAGCTTTGCATCCCAGTACCTTGGACAGTGCCAGGCTCAAAATTGGCTTTTAATACCTATTTTGGAACATGAATGATTTTATCGTGATATCATATTTGTTTTATGTGTCTCTAAAGATAAGAATAACCAGAGCTTGAGCATGTTTTTATTTTGCTGTAATAATTGCTTTTATGCAAACTACTCCTAAATTGTTTTTATTTCACTTTTAATGCAAGATCAACACTTGGAAAATTGAATCTCTTGAGCCAAAATTCATGTTGGCACAAAAAGCTATTATTATTTCAAGATATCTTCTTCCTTTTACTTACAAAATCACCATATAAATGTAAGACAAATTAAATTTTAAAATGCCCTTTCAAAAGCAGTACTTACTTTTATTCTCATACTCAAGCTCACAAAGGAATTCTTAGAGGTAGAAGGGAGGCTCCCATGCCCCCCGCCCACCACTGAAAGAAGAAACTGAAAAGAAAAAGAGAAAATTCCACTTAATTTTTAAAAATATTATTACTGTGAAACAGTATGGGTTAGTGTAAATTGTAAAGACATGTATATTCTGAACTCCTCTTTTTAAATGAATTCCCTTTTAGGCTGATATAATGTATTCTTCCTGGTTTCTGTTATTGTTCGCATGCACTACTATAAAGATTATGGATCCCAGCAATTACTCATTTTCACGGTAGAAACCGGCACTCAGTAGAAAACAGGAAAACGTACTGAAGGCAAACCGTTCTGTAAAGGATCTCTGTGGGCCGATATTTATTTCGGTTTGCACTAAATTAGTCGTGGCTTCGCAAGAACCCTTTGTCTGTGGGACGGTGGGTCCCATCATGGCAACCATTATCTATTCGTGGAAACGACATCTGATGACTCCGCCCGGGCTGGGGGTGGGGAGGGAGCACCGCGTGTAGAGCTCGACTGAGAATTAAAGTGAGTGAACAAAGAGAACTCCCAGCAGCCGCCAGCCAGCTGCATCAGGAGATGTTAGTCACGCCCGGAAGGCTGTTCTAGTCCGCCTCCTTGGAAAAGAAGCTCAAGTAAATAATTGATGGAGAATGACCGAACCCAGGACAAAGCTTTGCAGGAAACCAGTGCATCCGTGTTCGAGCGGTTTTGGGATCCTCTGCCAAGTACGGGATAAGAGAATAGAGCAAGGAGTTTGAGCGCTGCTGCCAATCTTCCATCTCGGGCGTGGCTCTGGCCTTTTTGTCTCTTTATCCCGCCACTCCCCACCCCCGTCCCCCGTCCCCCTCCCCGCCTTCTTCTCTTTCCTCTTGAAAGTAACCTCTCTTTGGTTACTTCTACCCTATCGTCCCTTGCAATCCCGCCTTCTCTCCTGCCCAGTTCGGTGAGGTCAGCTCATGAACATCTCTGCACTTCCTGGGGAGCGTCTGGCCCAGCTTGGTACCTCGCGTGTTAGCCTGCTGAGAGCTGCAGCTCCAGCCCAGCCGCGGACCGCCGGGAAGTCACCCGCTCTGGGGGCAGCTGAATCTTGACGTTACCGCCATTGTTTGGAGAAATCGAGTGGGTGTGGAACTGCGGCGAGCGAGCCCAAAGTCATGCTCAGCCGGAAAGTCGCATACAATAATATGAAGTTGAACTTTCCTCGGCGCAGAAAGGCACAATAATAAACCCTGAGATCCCCGGAATATCAGAAGGAAAGTGCTGTTGATTTGTTCAGCTACTTGGAAACCTCGCCTCTGCTGAGAAGTGAGCAAGTTCTGGATTTCTAAAGGGTTGGGGATGAATGATGGGGTGGGTTAGCAGGCGGATAAAACTTGAGATTAAAAGTGTTGGTCTAAGCCGTGCAGGGGTTGGTTGGGTGATAATTTTCACCGGGAAAGCCTTGAAGAGATGCAGCATCTTGTCACTTTGTGGGAACCACGTGACAGCAGCCGGATACCTTTGATTGTGGAGCCCAGTTACTGGAACACAAGCTTTCGCCTGGGTTAATGCTGTCTGAGGGCTGAGTTTAAACATTGGCTTCTCAGCTCTGGAATTATTCTGCCTGATTAAAAACAAAAATAAGTTTGCATTGGCAATATAAGTTAGTTAGATAGCCCATGTTAGTGCCACCCATGATGATAAACTAGGCCAGACATTCTAGTAGTATCGCGACTGGGAGAGAAGATGTAGAAAACAAGTTGGTGGGCAATTTTCCCCCGATGTCTTCTTTGTTCACCTTTATATTTCAAAGTGAGTTGGAAGGAGATGCCAGAAACAGAAAGGGAGGTGGATTAGGAACCCTTCGGTAATATTTCTTTATAAAATGAGGAATTACTGCATGCTAAGTTGTGATGCTAACAATAGATGTTAACAAGAATAATGCAAGTAAAATAACTGGCAGTAAAGTAATCTGCTCTCTGTATAGAACAAATATTTTTAAAGGAGAAATTTATGCCTAGTCATGCCCCTTTCAGTGCTTTAGACAGAAATAATTTTAAGGAAAAGGCAACTAATTGACTAGCTGCCTGGATCCCTAGGGAGAGGAACCCATGAGGCAGTAACTTGCTATTTTTCAGATTAAAGAAGCTAGTGACGGATTTATCTTGGAAATACACATACTGGAAATTGATCTTACCACCATGAGGGAAGATGCACCAGCCTTCTGGGTTCTGTCTCAGAATTGCTATATAGGAGGAAATGGGCACTTTAAAAAGTACAACTTTTGCCTATGATATGCGATGTAAGAAGATGGCTAAGAATGAAAATATTTTCTATCTAGCAATTACACTTAAAACTAAAGTGATTCATAAGACTACAAAACTGGGTAAGCATAGGAAAATTCATCACCAGAAACTTAGGAAACTGCAGAACTGACCACAACTTTTCCAAATGTATTTTAAAAATTATTTCCCAAAAGGGAAAAAATACGTTTTTGGGTTGCTAATAACTAACCCATATAGACAATTCTTAATGCTATTATTTTCTTGAAACTGAGATTGATTTAAAGGCATTCATTATTTATATTTTCTTTTAGTTCTATTATAAAGGAAGTTGGGTGCATTTTCCCAAAAACAACATTAAGGGTTGGAGCTGCCTGGGGAAAGTGTCATTTATCCGTAGAAAATATTCTCTAGGAACCCTACATCATAACCCTTTTCCTCTAATTGAACTTGGGAATACTAATTAAATGAAAACTTTCTCCAGTAAACTAGGCTTTACATATGGATTTGATGGTAAGGAAAGCCAAAGTTGTAAAAGCAGAGTTGACAACTCTAATATATGGATATCTTTTCTTTCTGAAGCTTCTTTTCCACTTTATCCTCTTTTCTTTTATATCTCCCTTTCCATCAATTCCTGTCTGACTCTGTATCTCACCCTTTCCAAAGCCTGCTACCATGAGAATGTAAGGTTCAGCTGCTTTCAGATCCGTCATTTTGCTGAGGTGGAGTGAGATGGAGACAGCGCCACCCTGGGCAAAATGAGAATTGACAGCCCTCCATCCTATTCCTAAAGACAGCCCTGCATCCTATTCCTAAAGTCAAAGCTTCTATTAAGCGCCATCCAAATGGAGCAATATCACCCTTTGCTCTGCAAAAATTCAGACATGTTGTCTTCTTCTCTCCTTTTGTTTCTGTCCCAGCTTAGGAAGGAAGGTTGGCGGCGGTGAAGAGGGAAGAGGATGATCTAGTAATGGGCTCTTCCAAATCGCATCTGGTAGGTTCATAGCCATGAGTCAGCCACCAATCGGGGGCGCTGCCCCTGCCACAGCAGCAGCTTCTCCCGCCGCTGCAGCCACTGAGGCTCGTCTGCACCCGGAGGGCAGCAGCAGAAAGCAGCAGCGAGCTCAGTCACCCGCTAGACCGAGGGACAGTTCGCTGCGACAGACAATCGCGGCCACCCGGTCCCCAGTGGGGGCCGGCACTAAACTCAATTCTGTTCGGCAGCAGCAGCTGCAGCAGCAGCAACAGCAGGGTAACAAGACCGGGAGCCGCACGGGGCCGCCCGCCAGCATCCGAGGAGGCGGAGGTGGGGCCGAGAAGGCGACGCCCCTGGCGCCCAAAGGGGCCGCTCCGGGAGCTGTCCAGCCTGTGGCTGGTGCTGAAGCGGCCCCCGCCGCGACCCTGGCCGCTTTGGGCGGCAGGAGGCCCGGACCGCCCGAGGAGCCGCCTCGGGAGCTAGAGTCCGTGCCCTCGAAACTCGGGGAACCCCCTCCGCTCGGAGAAGGGGGAGGAGGGGGCGGGGAAGGAGGAGGAGCCGGCGGCGGCTCCGGGGAAAGGGAGGGGGGCGCTCCGCAGCCGCCGCCGCCCAGGGGCTGGCGAGGGAAAGGCGTACGCGCTCAGCAGAGGGGCGGCAGCGGCGGGGAGGGGGCCTCCCCTTCTCCATCCTCCTCTTCTGCGGGCAAAACCCCAGGAACCGGCAGCAGAAACTCCGGAAGCGGCGTTGCGGGGGGCGGCAGCGGTGGTGGAGGGAGCTACTGGAAAGAAGGATGTCTGCAGTCTGAGCTCATCCAGTTCCATCTCAAGAAGGAGCGGGCGGCAGCGGCGGCGGCCGCGGCTCAGATGCACGCTAAGAACGGCGGCGGCAGCAGTAGCCGCAGCTCCCCGGTGTCTGGCCCCCCTGCCGTTTGCGAGACCCTGGCCGTCGCCTCCGCCTCCCCAATGGCGGCGGCGGCGGAGGGCCCCCAGCAGAGCGCAGAGGGCAGCGCGAGCGGCGGGGGCATGCAGGCGGCAGCGCCCCCTTCGTCGCAGCCGCACCCGCAGCAGCTCCAAGAGCAGGAAGAAATGCAAGAGGAGATGGAGAAGCTGCGAGAGGAAAACGAGACTCTCAAGGTGAGGAGGGTGGGGGGACCCGGCTGGGGGATGGGAAGAGTGGGCCTGGGAGGATTAGGGCGTGTACCGGCAGGGATCAGAGGCTGCTAACCTGTTAGGGAGCCTTGAAGAGGGAGGAGAACAAGAAAGGAGGGAGGGGGTTTCCTAGGCCTTGCCGGAATTTGAATCTGCTCTCAGTAACGCGAGGTTTTCATTTAAATTCAAATCTGGGCCTCCGTTTCTCTAATTATAATGGTTTGTCACACTTCTTCCTGGAGAGAGGTAGAGTAAGAGAACGAGAGAGGGCCTAAAGTGGGCCTTTTTCCCCCAGTTTCCTCTTCTGTACTCAGCTCCTTGTCACTCCTGTCTCGTGGAGAGAGAGGGCAATTAAAGCTGAGAATTTGGAATTGGAATGGGGTGTGTACGGTGTGTGTCGGAAGGGCTGGAAGCGAGTTTGATTTTGACACGCGGCCTGTCACCGCCTCAGAACGAGATCGATGAGCTGAGAACCGAGATGGACGAGATGAGGGACACTTTCTTCGAGGAGGATGCCTGTCAACTGCAGGAAATGCGCCACGAGTTGGAGAGAGCCAACAAAAACTGCCGGATCCTGCAGTACCGCCTCCGCAAAGCCGAGCGCAAAAGGCTCCGCTACGCCCAGACCGGGGAAATCGACGGGGAGCTGTTGCGCAGCCTGGAGCAGGACCTCAAGGTCTGCGGCGCGGGGGCTCAATGGCGCGCGGCAGGGGCGGTGGGTGGGGACTTTGGCCAAGGGCTCTTTAGGCTGAGAAGTCTTCAGTGGCGACTGGCAAGGAGCCTTAGGGACACAGTTTCGTAGCGCTAACCACAAAATACTAGGGTCTCAGAAGGGAGAGAACTGGCAGGTGGCTCTAAAGAGTGCAGAGTGTGTGGAGGGCCTGGCAGCAAACGAGCTAAGTGTGCTCTCCTGGGAGCAAAGGTGGCTCTTCAAGAGGTGATGAGAAGAAGGCTCCCTTCTGGGCAGAAGCAAGGGCGTGGCAGAGCGCAGGCTCTAGCCTTTGATCTGCCCTTCAGTCTGTCTACTGAGAGAAGTCCGGTGGAATCGGGCAGTCAGGAGCTGCACTAAAAGGACTCCTCTGGGGGAGTTGAAACCCAAAATAGGAACTGCACTGGGAAGATACTAGAGTTAAGATTTCTTTCAGCAAGTGTCCACTCCACTTCCTTCTTCCAGGACTTCTTCCTTTCTGCACTTGCCACTTAGGTGACTCCCTGAGGGGGAAAAAAAAAACAGATAACCAACTTGCAGCCTGTTTGGTGTGAGGTAAATGAAATAATCTCATTTTTTTAAAGTGCAATTGTTCCTTCAGAATTTCTTCCAGTGGAAAAATCTCAACCTTGAAGTGCATTTTCTAGACAGGTGTGGTCTCCAGTTCAGTTTGACTGTAGGCAGATTCATTGACTATGCAAACTAGACATTAACTTAATCTCCTTGCACAACCAAATAAGTATACGTTCATTGCATTAACTTCATTGGGATTTAAAGATCACGTGTAATCTTTGTTTTAAAGAAAGCTATGTGTAAACATTTTATGAAAGACGTATTACTTTTTTTCTTAACTTTTGTCGAGTGCTTAGTATGTACTAAGCACTGTGGCAAACACTGTTACATACATTATTATTTCATTTAATTCTCAAGGGAAAAAAAATCCTACAATGTAGGGATTATTAAGGCACCATTTTATAGGTGCAGAAGCTACACCTTTTACAGAGGTTAAGTGCCCAGGCCTGGAAAACAGCTAATAGGTGCCAGGCTGACTCTCCACTCAGTCCAAAATCACAACCTGTGTCCTAAGCCTCTACACCAGTCTGCTCCACTTTTCTTCCAAACCCTAGAATTTCCAGGATAATCTCAAAATATGAGGCAAAAATGCACAGTCATTCAAAAAATAATAATCTCAAGGACTAAAACTTTCCTAAGATTAAGCAACTGGAATTCAAGCTATAAGATTGAAATTCAAGCCCAACCCACTACTTGTAAAAACTTCAATTTTTCATTCTTTAACATAGATTATAATGGAAACATCTACCTCATAGTTTTGCTGAAGTAAAGGAAATTTGTGAAATTTCTCTACATGTGATAAAATGCAATAGAACATTTTTTACCACAGAGTAGTGCAGAAGTTAAGGGAACAAAATTTAGAGCCAGATTGCCAGGCCTCTTAGCCCAGCAGTGTCTACTCATTAGCTGTGTGACCTTGACCTCTCTGAGACTCAGTTTCCTCATCTACAAAATAGAAGTAATAATAGTACCTATCCCATGGGATTTTTGTAGGGTTAAACGATTGATATATGTGAATGGCTTATATGTATACTTTGTGGAATAATGCCTGGCACATGGTAAACACCATATAAATATTGGGTTTTAATGCTTTCAATAGGAATACAATTTTAGCCCTTATTATATTGTCATTAATTATATTTTATTGTTACAAACACCTTAATTCAGGTTGCAAAGGATGTATCTGTGAGACTTCACCATGAATTAGAAAATGTGGAAGAAAAGAGAACAACAACAGAAGATGAAAATGAGAAACTGAGGCAACAGCTCATAGAAGTTGAAATTGCAAAGCAAGCTTTACAGAATGAACTGGAAAAAATGAAAGAGGTTAGTATTTGATTATTTCATGGTGTACTATGTATTTTTAGCCCTTTAAAAAAGAATCCCAAGGACTAATATGACTGTTAAAAAATTTCTTTTATGATTGCAGGACAATTTTTTACTCTTACCCAAATAGTAAAAAATACATGATTTCATACTAATAAATGAGTAGCAACGAAAGATTCTGACCTAAACACGGTATCTAACTCGACATGTACGAGCTTTGACTGATCTCTGTGTTTCATCTCTGTGTCTTCTAAATGTATGTTAATTAAATCAATTCCACAGCATATTAAATGCAAAGAGTGTCAAGCGTGTGAAGGAATGAGACTTGTGATAGTTGAGGGGAATAATTAGCCCCATGAGATTACTTACAATTGAGTTCATAGAACCATGAATTTTTAGGATGGAAAAGACTCTAAGGTCCATTTGATCTAATCCATTCATTGCTTGAAGTCTATATATAGCAAAGCCAGCCCTTCCCGCAATGTTCTAATGCTTGCAATATCACCAGTGACTATCCCTGAAGATCTTTTACAGCAGCCAATTGTATCATATCATAGCTCTGTTTAAAGATTTTCCTTTTTTTTTTACATGATATATATTTAATTGCAACTTTAGCCAGCTCATCTTAGTTATACCCTTTAGGGTAGAAGAGTAAAGTTCTCCTTCATGTCAGCTATTTGAAGATTCCAAATGTGTTTACCATGAGTCTTCTAAAAGAACAGAATCAAGGTAAAGAAATGGAGGAGAAAAGAGACAGAAACACCTATCAAGAAATGATTAGCTTTAAGATAAACAGCAATTTAATTAGAATTAAATTATACTTCTCTTTGATAGCTACCTGAACATGTACAATGCAACTTGTGAAAACTACCATTGAGAAATAGCAAATGCACAAGTTGTCTTCCGAAAAATTTCCTCTGCTTGGATAAGCAGAATTCTAAAGAAAATTCTAATCTTTCCACAGACTGAGGTATTTACCCACCTGTCATTGCTGTGCTTATCTCAAAATGGTACAAAAATATAATGCAAATAACAGTGCAATTATCAACAGTCTGATTAAGAATATGTCTTAGGACTTTGAAGAATACAGTTTCAGTGGAGTAAACTATTTTTTGTGATCTGTTTACTTATATTATCCTGACTTTAAACATTTTTTAGCATAAGAAAATAGTAAAAAAATATTTTAATGATATAAAATCCTTGGCTACTAGCTAGGAGTCGCTCTGTGCTATAGTAGAAAAATATGGAGACTGGGAGCTGTGTGATCTATTTTCACCAGTAACTGGGTGACTTTAAAAGGCCTGTAACTTGTACTTGTCTACTTTTATCCAGTTCTACACTGAAAGATTGTTTTTGATGATTCTCAACATCTTTTTCTGGTATGTAAGACTTTCCTCATGAAATTCAGAACATTGCCATTTAAGGAATGGCAAAGATTTTTTCCCTAAAGTTAAAAGATCAAATATGAAATTAATATAGTTATAAGTATATATTTCTTCAACAATAATGTACAGTTGAAGGTATGTCAAAAATTGACTTTCATTTATAGAAAAAAAAGTAAAGTAGGTAACTGTATTAGTTCTCTAGGGTAGCTGTAACAAAATACCAAAAACTGGGTGGCTTAAACAGCAAAAAGATGTATTATCTCACAGTTCTGCAGTCTAGAAGTCTGGAATCAAGGTGTTAGTAGGGCTGGTTCTTTCTGAGGGCTGCGAAGGCAGGATATGTTCCAGGCCTCCCTCTATGGCTTGTAGATGGCCATCTTCATGGTCACATGGCATTCTCCCTGTAGCTCTCTGTTTCCAGACTTCCCCTTTTTGTAAGGATATCAGTGATATTAGATTAGGGTCTTCCCTAAGGACCTCATTTGACCTGCCTGGGCTCAAGCTATTCTCCCACCTCTGCCTCCCTAAGAGCTGGGATTACAGGCATGAGCCATCACACCCGCCCCTCATTTTAATTTGATTACCTCTGTAAATACCTCTGTCTCCAAATGAGATTTCATCCTGAGCAGCTGGGGGTTAGGACTTCAATATATGAATTTGACAGGGAGGGTAGAAGGAGAGAACAGAATTCAACCCACAGCAGCAACAATCTAATAGCTTCCTGTGAGCAAGCAAAGAGAATGTTCATTGTCAGTCTCATAGGCGCCATTCCCTATTCATACGTTACTTGTGCTCTCTCATATTCCTTGAGTGTTTTAAATTGTAAACATTCAAGTACAAACAAACTTCGCTTGATTACCAGAGATAAAAAAGAAATGCCTTGTAATTTGGTGTCATGTGAATGTTTTAAGTGGATACCTGAAAAATTGTACTTAAGAATGGCATAAGAGCTTTCTGATTTTCATTTTACTTCCATTAAAGGGGAAAATATGCATAGACTGTCTATCCATTAGCCAGAACAATGGGACCTCTCCCATCTTAAAATAAAAGCCAAAATAATCTGGCCACCAGGAAGAAAGGGTAGAGCTTGGGAATGTCCTCAGGAGATTGTAAAGATGCGTTTCCTTGATTCTTTTGCTCACACTCTTCCCTGTGACTATTTCCTCCTTCAGGGCTCTATTTCTGGGTTGGGAGAATGCTGTTCCAGCACCAAGCAGTGTGGGTATATATATTCATACCAAAGAGGCAATTTGATTGTCCTTGGAGTTACAAAAAACCAAATGTCAATGCCTGATTAGGGAATACAACAATAAAAGTAAAAATAATTTAGGAGTATATATGCAGAACATCAGCCTTTAAAGTAATCTTTTATTAGGAAAATGGCATTCACGATTTGAGAAGATGGAAGGTGGTGGGGAACAGAAATAAAAAAAAACAGGAAGGGAGAAAGAGTGGAAGATAAACATCTGGAGGATACTAAATATAATAAAGGAAAACCAAATAATATTCTGGTAGGAGTTCTCTATAATTATCCATTTGAGGTTGACCTTCATAGTGTTCAGAAAAATGTCAGAAATAGAAAAAGTAGTTTAACAATATGTTTAGAAATCAGAAATGTTTCATTCAGATAAGATTTTTGCAATGGTAATTTTATGATGCTCTAAAACGGTAAATATTAAAACTGAGCTGCAATTATAACTGGCTTACTCTGTGGATAAGGGTTGTAAGCTACTCCTTGGATGACTTGCAACAACTTCAGTTAACCATCTGCTTCATTGGTTGTAAAATGAAAACATATTCAAGCCCTTGGTGAGTGTTAACCAACTTGGTTAATTTGGTGAGTGATGAATTGTCATCCCTTCGTGTCATTTTTTTAAAGGAGAAAAGTAGAACCAGGCCAAGCTCTCCATTAAGAGAAAAGACACTAGTTATAGAGTAAAGTCAAAAAATCATAGAATATACTCTAGAGAAGCAATCCTCCAATTCCAAGTTTTTAGATCTTTACATGGAGTCATATAGATGTTGAACAGCACCGCTGGGACCAATAGACCATCTGCTACAGTTTAGAACTGTTTGCTAAAAATTTAATTAGCTTCAAGGGTATTGACCAATTGCTCTCAGGACTGGTGGCTGCACAAGGTCTTGTGCACCTCCTCACATCTATCTGTCTATCTTCTCCCCCTGAGAGGATGGAGTAGGCACCTGGGAGTAAGAAGAATTGAGTAGAGGCAGGATAGAGGTAATTAGCTGCATCTATTGCATCTCATTGCTTGTATTGAAATAGCTGATGTTTGACCAACTGCAAACAAGAGGGACCTCTTCGAATGCTGCCTTCGAATCTTAATAGCATTGTCATCCCAATTATAAAACACTGATTGCTACCAGCACTATGCTTTCTTGCTGTAGAAGAATGCCTTTACCTTTCTGTAACCTGTAGAAAATGGCATTCTATCTTTCAACATTGCAAATGATCAAAGAGACAGAGGTTTTTAATTAAAGTTATGTCATGTAAACAACAACTAGCTCTTTGAACGTCATACACAAATAGGATAAAGTGAGGTTGTGGAGGAGGCTTTGGACAATGCATTCTCTGTGAGAGGTGAGTTTTTGCTCCAGTTAAATTGAGGATCACTGCCTGTCATGAGGTTCCGCTGCTGTAGCAGTGAACTTTATTTTCAAAGCTTTGAAACTCCTTGTAATCATCAAGAGAAGAAGGGTCATCTGATGTCACTTTTAAGGTCTGGTGCTTGTTGAAGTGTTGATAAGAGACATTTGAGCAAAGAATTCACCAACAGAAGAGCAAAGAAAAAGAGTAAGATGATGATGATGAGAACTGTTTATCAGATCTTTCTTCTTTTCAGAATCTGTACTCCTTATATTGTCTCATACCTCACCCATACACAAGATTCTTAAAAGAAAATAATTTTCTTAACTTTTCCCAGTCTTTGCTCCAGAGGGTTCTTAACTGGCCTACTGAAATAGCACCATCTATCTTGGACTTTTATTTTTTGTGCACTTGGTATAATAGATCTTATCTATTACAATGAACTTTCATTCTAGAACACAAAAATAATTAGTACTATAAATTTTAACAGCGTCTCTGGTTTTCTTGTTTTTTAGAGTCCCTTGAGAGTATATCTGTATACCCAGATTCTCTTTACAAATGGAACACTTTAATAGGCAAATTCTGTACTATATATTTACAATTACCTATTTATTTTCTTATATAAAATAAAGAACTGATCATAGCTACACTTGGTTCTAATAGGGAATGTTTACCTGAATAATAAAATGTGAAAAAGAAATGTTGAGTGATAAATCAGCGAAGAAGCATTCCAAGAGACGGTTTAATGGGGCATTTCTTGCAAATATTTTCCCCTGGTTCTGGTAGTTTACTTAACATTTTAAAATAAAACAGTAGTCATTGATATTTTAAAATGAAATGGCCACACATATATTTAGATGCATCAATTACACATTATTATTTTAGTCATATCTTCTCAGAGCCAATAGTTTGTCGAATAACATGGGCAGGAATAAGAGACTAAATTTAAAAAAAGGAAGAGTGTGTCAGGTAAGCATAGAAAAGCTTTTCTTCCAGGAAGTTGCCATGTGTTATGAATGCATTTTTTTTCTTTTTTTTTTTTTTTTTTTTTTTTTTTTGAGACATAGTCTTGCTCTGTCGCCCAGGCTGGAGTGCAGTGGTGCAATCTCGGCTCACTGCAAGCTCCACTTCCTGGGTTCTCGCCATTCTACTGCCTCAGCCTCCCCAGCAGCTGGGACTACTGGCACACGCCACTATGCCCGGCTAATTTTTTGTATTTTTAGTAGAGACAGGGTTTCACTGTGTTAGCCAGGATGGTCTCAATCTCCTGATCTTGTGATCCGCCCACCTCGGCCTATGAATGCATTTTTAAAGATGTATTTATGTAGGCATTATAAATTTTATTGGATTTTTAAATGAAATTAGATATACAGTTCCATGTACTCTGAAGTGATCTTTAATATTCAGTCACATGTAAATGACTGTTTTACCCAGATGCCAAGCCCCCATTAGAAGCAAAGTAGTACACAGATCAGAAATTTGTGGATTATTTTTGTGCAATATAATGAGCTTTTATTATAAATTTCAAATTTCTTATTTACATAAAAATACAGGACAGCATGGCACACCCTCATGTTGTTGATCAGATTCCAGTTCCTTTCTTGGCTGAAATTTTGCACTTCATATTATTGAAACTATAAAGTGCTGAACAAATACAGGTTTTTACCTGATTAAGCATCTCCTGTTGAGTACATTCCCAGTTCCCATCTAAAATATCTATTGATTTTGATGTATGCAACGTAATGGGCTTCCTAAAAATTGTTTAATACATGTATATTTAAATTTTTGTTGCTTTTGCTGATGAAGCATATTCATAAGAGTTAAGTCTCCAACCCTGAACTCTTTGAGGCCAGTTTAACTTGGTCCAAGGGCTCAAGGCTGAACTTTGAGTGACTCAGCTCTGTGAGATTAGCAATTTATCCATGTTAAGTATCTCCATGGAAGTATATTACTTATATAGTTACTGAAGTGTTGTTTACTTCACTGACTTCTGTATCCAACCTACCTTAAAAGGAGATTTGAGGCCGGGCGTGGTGGCTCATGCCTGTAATCCCAGCACTTTGGGAGGCCGAGGTGGGTGGATCATGATGTCAGGAGATCGAGACCACCCTGGCTAACACGGTGAAACCCCGTTCTACTAAAAATACAAAAAATTAGCCGGGCGTGGTCGTGGGCGCCTGTAGTCCCAGCTACTCGGGAGGCTGAGGCAGGAGAATGTTATGAACCCGAGAGGCGGAGCTTGCAGTGAGCCAAGATCGCCACTGCACTCCAGCCTGAGGGACAGAGCAAGTCTCCGTATCAAACAAAATAAATAAAGACGGGGGAGGGGGAATTTGAAATGGTTCACAATAAAGCCATAAAACTATTGAAATAAGGGTTTTAAAATTAGGTAAAAACGCTGGGAAGGTGAAGAAAAACTTAATCCAAGGGATGTACATTGTTATGAAACAGCTCTGAGTTTAGTATCACTCAAGGCTGGGGACCAAATATTGAAAGAATTCATTTCCTAGCTGTGACCAGATACAGAAGCAACACTGAGTTTTATGTGAGGCCTCTGGGGCAATCATGAAGAAAATCCATATAGTACAACAAAAAGTTGCAGTTATACACAGACTCTACATGCAACCATCATGGATAAATGAGCCTTCTAAATACTTGACAGGTCTTTTCTATAGAATCTACAAATTATGAGTTAAAATTTTACAGAAAAGATAATAGTCATTTTTTCATTAGCCATGAATTTGAGTGTGATTGTTAGAAAGTACACGAATAATGGAGTCTAGAAACTAGCTTTGAGACCTCATCTGTCATTCCCTATGACCTTGAGCAAATAACTTAAAATTTATAGGCCTCAGTTTTTAATATGTAAATGCAGAAATTAAACTGAGTGCTCTCGAAGCTTCCTATAAATATATCATTTTCTACTTTGTCAGTTATCCATCTCTGTTCTCCCTGAAAGTTTCATAGGTATAAAATTCAGTTTCATTACTATTATTTAAATACTATAATTATTTTTTCATATAGTCAGTTAACAGCTATTTCTTGAATGCCTGGTGTAGTGTGGCCATGTAGATAACACAGAGGATATAAAGATATAGATGGCAAAGCGTTGCATTAAACTCCAAGTTTGCACCCACTGAAGGTCCCTACTGAAAGTTTTTTTCCAGATACACATTTTTTAATTTAAAAAAATGGACATTTGAGGAACATGTATCTTTTTTATTTTTTAACTTTTAAGTTTAGGGGTACAAGTGTAAGTTTGTTACATAGGTAAACTTGTGTCATGGGGGTTTGTTGTACAGATTATTTCATCACTCAGGTATTAAGCCTATTGCCTATTAATTATTTTTCCTGATCCTCTCCCTCCTCCCACGCTCCATCCTCTGAAAAACCCCAATGAGTGTTGTTCCCCTCCATGTGTCAAGGTATTCTCATCATTTAGCGCCCACTTGTAAGTGAGAACACGCAGTATTTGGTTTTCTGTTCCTGTGTTAGTTTGCTAAGGATAATGGCCTCCAGCTCCATTCATGTCCCTGCAAAGGATGTGATCTGTTTCTTTTTATGGCTGCATACTATTCCATGGTGAATATGTACCACATTCTTCTTTATCCAGTCTATAATTGATAGGCATTTAGGTTGATTCCATTTTTAACACAGGAAGTAAGACCCACAGTTATCTCGCCATTGCTACTCAGTACTCAGGGCCTGTGTTAGCGCTGTAGAAATTACAACTGAAGACCTGATATGTGGGAATGAGTACAAGTTGAAACTCCCTAATAATCCAGGCATGCCTTTTGATGTGGCCTTGGCTCTACACTCTAGGAAGCTACAAAGACCATGTGATAACAAAAGAATTCATCATCTATTCCAGTAAATAAACCAGGGTGTTGAATGATGGCCCCTAAACATTCTAATTTCTGCAGAAAATCTTGAGGTGGGGTTTTTAACCATATGATTCTAAGAATGAAATCTGCCCCTGCTTCCTGCCCCTGGAAGGCTGCCAGGCTCTCACCGCAGAATGTGGCCATTAACCAGCACTGATCCTCAGCTAAACATCCAAATGTTTGTATTTTGTTATTATTGAAATTTATTTTTATTCCCTATGACTTCTCTGATGTTTTTTGAAGTTGCAAGTCTTTATGTTTTCAAGAGCATAATAAAAAATTTTTTGAGATTACTTGGCCTTTGTATGTGTGACAGACATCAACCTCATGCAGAAAAGACCTCAATTAACCTCAATCCCTTCCTTAAGAGATTCTCAGGGCACAGTTGTAACTTAAATAGTCCATGTGGTGCGTTCAGGCTTTGGGACAGTAATAAACGACACTATTCTCCACCACTCCCCTCTACCATGGCCACCCTTGGCTGCCTGTGAATGGCCTTGCTCCCAGTAGTGGCAGAAATAGCATCTTATTTCTGTCTCAGCCTTTTACATAAAAATAAAAACATATAAACTTGGACCTGACTTTCACTTAGCAACTATTTATGAAGCATATATATAATATGTATAAGGAATAACAGATAATGTCACCAGGTGGATAGTCATTGCCCACAAGTTAATTATTTTCTAATAGGAAAGAGCCTCATACAGGTTGTATTTTGACTATAGCTTCACATACACATTACTATACCAAATACTTCTCATGAAGTCCTCACAAGACCAACCAGACTGTGAGTTCTAAGAGGACAAGAGCCGCTCCTGTGTTGGTCCCTGTGGCACCCTCAGCATCTAGTTCAGTACCCAGCATATAGGCAATGAGACCACCTTCTTCTGTAATATTACAATAATTATTTTTTACTTGATTTGTATATAACTTTTTCCTGCTGAAACTGTTTACAGTTTCCTGACTGTAAACTCCTTGAGACTAAAGACTGAGTCCATGTTATTAAGACCAAGTCCATGTTATTAACTGTGTCCACAACAACCAAAACAGAACAGGGCACAAAGTTGATAAACAATAAGTAATTTCAAAAAGAGAATAAATGGTAATTAAGCAAGGTGTTTCATGCCCGATTTTTGCAGAGAAAAAAAAAGTGGCTGTGAACCAGGGCTCTTTCCATGGTGCTTAGTGCAGTGCAAACATGATGAAAAGGAAGTAGATGGGTAACTCCAGCCTCACCCCACTTCCAGAAATAGAGATCTCCCAAGAACTTACTACCTTCTAGAAACTTCTAGCACTCTACTTTGCATCTCTCAAATTCCATTTATCCCCCAGAAACAACAGGTCTTCCCTGAAACAAGGTACAATTGGATTCTTGAGAAAGGGAATGGGGACAGGAACCCAAGAACAAGAAGACAACTCTGACATCTTGGGCATCAGCTCTGCAGTTTAACTTCTTTGTGCTTTGGTGAAAAAATGTAAAATGAGGGTTTAATGAATGAGAGAAGACTGCAGATCCTGTCACTCCCAAAGACTATCCATTGGAATTTGCTTGATATCTTCAATGTCTGAGACAATTGATTTAGCAGCTAATTTGGCTGGAGAGATATGGAAAATTACCCCAGGGCTGCAGTGGCTCAGTAGCCACCAATGTTGAGTGCTAATTACATGCCAGTGGCTGAACTAGATAGTTTATGTATAATTATGTTGTTAATAGCCTCATTTTAGAGATGAAGACTCTAAGGCTCAGAGAGGTTAATGTCACCAGTTAGCAGGCCAGGCCCACACCCAAGTCTGTCTGCCTCCAACGCGTGGTCTGCAGTCATCAGTGCTGCGTGGCCTCACTGCAAGGACTCAGGCTGCCCCTCCACTGCCACTTTCATGTTCTTCCTGACCCACAAATAACCTACCCCCTTTAGGGAACCTCAATACTCCTAGAATCTATAATCCTCTATAATACTCTAGGGTCTATCAGAGAATGTTTTGAGTAAACACTGAGAGAAGACTTCCAAGGTGGCTGTAGGGAAAAATCTATTTTATCTTACAGAAAGGGAATCTTTGGAGCAAAAACTAGGAACATAGGACTAGAAAAGTGTTTTCAGGTCTGTCAATTCTATCTCACTTTTTACAAATGTAATAGCTATGTTACTTCAGATAAGTCACGTAATAGCTGACTCTCAATTTAATCACCTTTTAAAGGAAAATAAATATTTTTCCTATCCTGTCTATTCACAAGGGTAACATGAGATAACATATGTGAAGGTGCTTTATAAATTGTATGGTACCATATCAGATGTTACTGTTATTAACATCACGTAGCTGTAAGTTAGCTAATAAAGACAATTCCTGGGAAGAATTTTGAAGTCTATCAGAATAAAATTTTAGAGCTGTCTAGGACCCCAACTGTTTCTACAGAACTTTGAAATGCTTTTTCTTTCCATTTTTTCATGAATGTCTATTACTCTCTGAAATTCCCCTTTAAATCTCACTTCATTATAAAGCCATGCTAACTTCTTCCATCTGACCCATTGCCTCTTCCACTAGGCCTGTATTTAGTCCTTACTGCTTCAGGATCCACTAGCTCACATTTGCAAATGTTTTGATGGACAGGGAGATAATCTGGCTGCATTACCTGCCACTGCATTCATCAACAGGGCAACAGGGCTGACTATGTTGATTTGTCCTGTTAAATATCTCTCTTCTACCTTACTGCTAGATAAATATGCTTCCTAAAAAGAAACAGAGTAGCAGAGAAAGAAGAACTGTTCTTTGATCAAAAGTGGTCAAGCACAAGATAATTTAGTTTGCATTGTAGTTTTTATTGACTCCACAGCTAAATTTAATGTTCTCTGAATTTAAGAATTATATTTCTATTTAATTCACTTACACACACAGTGATACATATAAAAAATATCAATAAATGTTTGGGCAAGAGAAGAGGTTTAGAAAGATAAGATTGCTGTCATAGGAGCTCATCTTTAGCTTCTTAAATTATAATTTACTCAGTTCTTTTGTTTTCAAATACTTGTGATGTTACTTTTGAGTAAATATAATGTGCAATTTTACTGTATATTGGAAAGTATTTTCCAAATTAAAATTTCAGTTATATGTTGAAGACCTTAGACCTGACTGAATTTGAATGGAAATACAATTATTTATTTGATGCTTCTGTCCTAATTCCATTTTTTACATTTCAGGATCAGTTAAATTGATCTTTATCCAGATGGTAAATGACATTTGAAGATGACATTTGAAGTTGTCATTTAGCCTTTCCTAACATTTTCCATTTTATACTTATATATTTCACTTAATTGGAGCATTTATATTCAGCATGATTCAACTTAGAAGCACTTAAAATTAAAAATTCAGAATATTCTACATTGATCTGCTGGCTAGCTCAGTTATTTAAATTTGTGTAGCCAATTAATCATGGGGGTAACTGGTTAATACAATTAACTGTTAATTTTTTCTTTCCTTCACAAAGTAACAGTTTCTTACCATTACATTAGCCAAGAACCTTGAATAATAGTAGAAATAATTAGACCAATTGCTTATTTATTCTGATATATAATGAGCAACTAATATGTTAGTATGTAGTTGTATCCACTGCCTCTTTGCATATGAAGAAAAGAAAAATTTTCATAGAACTTTATCAAGTGATCCAACTGTGTGTATTTAGGAATATCTGTTATATGGGAAGTATTATCTATCAAGGGTAAAATGTAGCTATTGGGTTTATTCATTTAGCGGTATGGCTAAGTTTAAATTAGAATAATTATGTTCTAGAGTCGTTCTGAAAGTAGTTATCCTATTTTTAATTCTACTAGTGTTAATTTTATTCTGTAATACATGTACAATTCTCAGTTTTCCCAATTGCCAAAATCAAAAATGAAACTTAAAAAATTCTTGGCCAGGAGCAGTGGCTCATGCCTGTAATCCCAACACTTTGGGAGGCCAAGGCAGGCAGATCACGAGGTCAGGAGATCAAGACCATCCTGGCTAACATGGTGAAACCCCGTCTCTACTAAAAATACAAAAAAATTAGCCAGGCGTGATGGCACGTGCCTGTAATCCCAGCTACTTGGGAGGCTGAGGCAGGAGAATTGCCTGAACCCAGGAGGTGGAGGTTGCAGTGAGCTGAGATCGCACCACTGCACTCCAGCCTGGCAACAGAGTGAGATCCCATCTCAAAAAAAAAAATTCTTTCAGTTAGTTTAACTCCTTACACTACAGCCTGTTCTTTGTTAATTTAATGTGAGATTATAGATAAAATTATTACTACTAAATGTTTCATTGTTATAGTATATACTTTCCATTTTAAAGCCTGTGGGAAGGTGAAAGGTGGGAGAAGGAGAAGATCAGGAAAAATAACTAATGGACACTAGGCTTAATACCTAGGTGATAAAATAATCTGTACAACAAACTGCCATGACACAAGTTTACCTATATAACAAACCTGCATATGTACAACTGAACTTAAAATAAAAGTTAAAAAAAATTATAGGTATTCAAACAATTCAATGCTATCAATGATTTTAAACCACAGCTTCTACAATTCTGAGATCATAGTTTTAACTAATCTTTCATTGATTAGATAATACTTGACATGATTTTTCAGGAAAAAGCTTATAAATATTTTCTGAACCTTTGTATTTTTGAAAATAGCCTTTGGTTGATTTCACACAGGAATGGCAGAATGAAATTATTGAGTCAAAAAAATATGTCTTATTATATATTAGCCCTGGCATTCATTTTGCAATGGAGAAGTATGAGATCAGTCTGACTTTTATTCCTTTGTAGGTCAGATTATTTTCTCTCTACGTATTTATGGATATTTTTCTTCATCATTTATATTAATCTGAGTTCCCCAGTGGGAAACAGAATTCACCCAAGATGGTTCAAATGAAAAGAGATTATTACTCACAGCAGTATGGGCAGGATTATGGGAACAAACCAGGGCTGGCAAGGCATTCAGAAAAATCTTGCTACTCTTGGAAACCATCACCACCCCGAGAAATGAAGACATAGCTGAGGAAATAGTATTATAGAGGCCAGTGAAAACTAACAGTTGAGTAGGGTCCTCCCAGTGGGATCTATCGCCTGAAGGGGACTTAGCTACTGCCTAAAAATGTGGTGTTGTAAAAGAAAGGTAGTGAGGGGAAATACTCTGAACCATCTCTTCTCCCACCTTCCACCTGTCAGCGTGCCTGCCAGTGCCTTCTATTGGCCAAACCCAAGGAGGAGTCAACCGATGGGGAGAAAGCCTGGGTAAAGTTTGCAGAAGTCAGCCTCCTGGAGCACAGAGCAGGGCAGAGAAGGAGCAAGCATGAATCTGGGTAGCTAAAGAAGAATACCCGGTTCAGAAATACCACCTGGGCATATCTAGGTGATGGTCTTTGTTTATAACATGTCCAGAACATACAGACCTTTTACTCTGAAAATTAACACTTGTGTGTTCATTATTTCAGAAAAGCTTTCTTGTATTATAGATTTGATAATCATATGTGCTCTATTTTTTCTTCTTAGCATTTTCTTTGCTTTGTATTCCTTACTATCTTCTCATCCTTTCATTTTTTAATCCTTTTCCTCTGTGGCCTTAGATAATTTTCAAGTTTGTTTTCAATATTATGGAATCAATTTTCTGCGATGTCAGTTGTGCTCCTTAAAGACATCAGTGCAAAATTTCATTCTTGTGTTGAATTTTAAAGACCTTTTTGAGTTTTCTTATTCCTGACAGCTTCCTAGTCTTCAGAGCTTCATCTCCCGTTATGACCTTCTTGTTAGTTCATAGAGGCCATCTTTGTTATCTTTTTAAGGGTACAATATTTTCTAACGCTATCTTCTGTTTCTCATAGCAAATAGTTTTCAGAAATATTTGGGGGATCTTTTTCTTTTTTTAGCTGACTTTTTAAATCATCCTGATGCATTTTACTTTTACAGCTTTGAGGTTTGATTTACATACCATAAATTCACTTAATTGTACAATTTAATGGTTTTTAGTAAATATGCAAAGTTATGCAACCATCACCATAACCCAAATTTAGGACATTTCCATCACTTCATAAAGATCTCTCATGTCCATTTGCAGTCACCTTCTGTTCTTAGCTCTAACCCCAATCAGCCACTAATCTATTTTTGGAATCTATAGCTTTTATTTTCTGAATATCTCATATAATTACAATAATAAAATATGTAACCTTTTGTACCTGGCTTCTTTCACCTAGACCAGTGTTTTTGAGGTTCATCCCTGTAGCGTGTATCAGTAATTCATTTCTTTTTATTTCCAAATAATATTCAATTGTATGTATATACCACATTTTGTTTATTCATTCAGCAGTTTTTGGACAGTGGATACTTTATAATTTTATAAATAATGCTGTTATAAACACACACATGCAAATTTTCGTGTGGATATATGTTTTCATTTCTCTTGGGTAGATAGCTAAGATTAGAATTTGGGGGTCATATGGTGAATTTGTGTTTAACTTTTTAAAGAAACTGCCAACTGTTTTCCAAAGGGGCTGCACCATTTTACATTCCCACCAGCAACGGATGAGGATTCTAATTTATCCACACCCTTTTCAATACTGATTGTATATCTTTTTTATTATTGTTAGTCCACTGGGCATCAAATGATACATCATTGTGGTTTTCATTTGTTTCCCTAATGATGTTGAGTATCTTTTCATCTGCTTATTGTGCACTCATATATCTTATTTTGTGCAATATCTATTCACAATGTTTAGCCTATTTTTAATTGGGTTTTCTACTTATTTTTGAGTTCCAATTTAAGCTCTATCTGTATTTTGGATATAAGTCTTTTATCAGATATATGATTTGAAAATGTTTTCTTCTTAGGCTTGTCTTTTTAGTTTCTTAATAGTGTCTTTTGAAGTGCAAAAGTTTGCAATTTTGATCAAGTCCAATTTGTATTCTTTTGTTTCATCACTTATGTTTTTGGTGTCGCATCTAAGAAATCTTTGCCTAACCTACAGGAAGATTCACTTCAATGTTTTTTCTTTTCCTAAGACTTTCATGGATTTAGCTCTTACATTCAGATCTACAATCCAATTTGAGTCATTTTCATGTATAGAGTGAGTCGGGAGTCTAAATTCATCTTTTTGCATGTGGATCTCGAATTGCCCCAGCACCGTTTGTCGAAAAGACTATCCTTTCCTCATTGATTTGTTTTGACTCAGTGCAATTTTATCTTCTTTTTTCCTTTTTCTTTCTCTTAGAAAATATCATCATTGAATGTCAAACATTCTTTATACATTCAATGTTGGCTTTAGATACTCACTGTGTGGCTTTTTTTCTTAGTTCCTCTCACTCTCCATTTGCTATTAGTTGCCCCTTCTCAGAGCCAAGATATAGAACAGCTTGACGTGCACAATTCCAGCTCAATTACTGATGATAGTAAACATTCAGCTAGTTCTGGCCTGTTTGAAGTAGGAAAGGCTGCTACTGCAGCACTCAGGTACACTGACTCTGAGGGAGACATATCTTAGAAATATTTGAAGAAGTTTGTAGTTGTTCTTTAACTACCTTTAATATATGAAAAAGAATAAACCTCAACATGGGTGCTCCCAAGTCTTTTCTACCTATGTTTCTTCCCCTGAATGTTTGGATAAGGAAAGAATATATCTCATAATTGATTGCACAGCTAGTCACCTAGCTCTTTTTCCTTGCCTAATTCCTACTTGTTTGAATATTTAACCACCAGAGAGCTACAGTATTGTCTGTGCAGTACTTATGCATGTACTGGGGAAAATATGATTGGGGTGCAGAAGTTTTAGCTACCTGATTGATTTTTTAAATAACTTTGTTGAATCATATTTTACATGTAATATAATTAATCCATTTCCAATGGTACAATTCAGTGATTTTGTAGTAAACTTCCACGTTGTGCAACAATGACTATAAATCAGTTTTAGTACATTTTAATTACCATAGTAGTGAGATTCTTCATGCCCATTTATTGTTAATTCCTATTTCTTCCTTCCCTTTGACTACCTCCAGGCAATTACTAATCTACTTCTTTTATCTATGAATTTACCTTTTCTAGACATTTCATATAAATGAAATTGCACTGTATGTGGTCTCTTAGGTTTGGCTTCTTTTACTTAACATAGTGTTTTTCAAGTTCATCTGTGTCATACCATGTATCCGTAGTTCATTCCTTTTGTAAATTGCCAAATAATACCCCATTGGGCAAATATCATATTTTATCTATTCATTCATCTGTGTCATATCATGTATCCATAGTTCATTCCTTTTGTAAATTGCCAAATAATATTCCATTGGGCAAATATCATATTTTATCTATTCACTCACCAGTAGGTGGAATTTTGGGTTGTTTCCAACTTTTGGTTATTATGAACAATGCTGCTAGGAATATTACTGTGAAAGTCCTTGGTGGATATATGTTTTTATTTCTCTTGAGTATGTACCTAAGATTGGAATGGCTGGGTCATATGGCAAATTTACATTTAGCCTTTTAAGAAACAGGATTTCTAGTTTTCATTGGTCTGCATGTCAAATCCTTCTGTTTCACACATTGAAGGCCATACATTCGATAGCTTATATTTCTTGTTTGAATTTCACTGATGTTATTTTTAAAAAAAAATTTTCTCAGATTCTGGTTAATGCTTGACTACCATGTTAGTTTTTGATATTACTGTGTTTACGTTTTTGTCTTGGCCTTCAGATATATTTTAATCAGAAGTAAATGATAGCTTTATACTATATTAACTCAGAATTCTGTCAATTTGAGTAACAATATGAACAGGGTAAATTTTCTTTAAAAAATATTACTTTAGGAAATAAGTCTGGTTCATCTTTGATTACTTTCCTTAACTTCATTAATATGTGGAATATTTTATTCCTGTGGCAGTGGTATCTCATGCTCTTGTGTACATGCATTTATTTCCCCCAGCTAGTTTTTTGTATTTTAGTAGAGATGGGGTTTCACCATGTTGTCCAGGCTGGTCTCAAACTCCTGAGCTCAGGCAGTCCACCCGCCTCAGCCTCCCAAAATGGTAGGATTACAGGCGTGAGCCACCATGCCCAGCCGAGAGTGTATGTCTTAATATTCAATTTAACCCAGCGTTGCCATGCCATAATCTAGACCCAACTTTACCCGTTCTTCAAGTGTTTCAAGTGAAACTGGAAATTTGGATTTTTCAAATGTAAATGGTTTACATTTTTAAATTTGGTAACTAATTCCAAAAATTTTAAAGTGTAATTGTGGGCTATCACATTTAACCCAGTCCAGGAATTACCCTCAGAAAAGTGCTTCTATATCCTTTCAGTGCATTTTGGAAATTAATGAATACTCTGACCTTTAAATTTGTATTATGAAATATCTTAAATATGTAATTGTGTAAAGAATAATTTTAAAACACTCATGTAATGCCCACCCCTTAGTGTCCTGCCATCTTGTAATGGCACATTCAAGCATATTTCTTACAAGATTCTAATCCTGATAGAACAATGTTGCTAATTTCACTGCATTAATGAGTTCGAAGCTGGTTGAGATGCAGTGTAGAATAGACTGGACAGCTCATCCTTTCACCTTATAAATGTTGGCCACAGTTTTTTTTCTTTGCCTGAATTATAAACAAAGGCCTTAAGGAACTCTGGTCACCACCCAGACATAATTTTCTAAGTGTCTTTTAATTACTCAATGCAATGATGGTTAGAACCCAATCCATTAACAAGAGTAAATTAGAATACATCTCTGCATTTGTTGTTGTCATCCATAGTTTAATAAACATATCTTTACTGTGGATCTAAGATATAAAATAATTTTTTTTTTTTTTTTGAGATGGAGTCATGCTCTGTCGCCCAGGCTGGAGTGCAGGGGCTTGATCTTGGCTCACTGCAAGCTCCGCCTCCTAGGTTCATGACATTCTCCTGCCTCCGCCTTCCTAGTAGCTGGGACTATAGGTGTCCACCACCATGCCCGGCTACTTTTTTGTATTTTTAGTAGAGACGGGGTCTCACCATGTTAGCCAGGATGGTCTTGATCTCCTGACCTCGTGGTCTGCCCGACTCGGCCTCCCAAAGTGCTGGGATTACAGGTGTGAGCCACCAGGTTCTCAGATTTTTTAAAACTCTAAGCTGAGAAATATCCCAGTCTTAAATCCATTTGCTTGGGTGGAGTTCTCTGAGGCTTTTGCATGGTGCCAACCAAGTATAATACATGATATATTAAAGAAGCACTTACCATGTTGGCTTTGATTTTTTAAAGCAAGGTGGTCTTGCTTTGTGATCAGTTTATTATTGGCAGTTTGACAGACCCTCTAATAACCCATACCCTGCTCCAAAAGAAGGTTCTACAATGATGAAAGAGTTAATTGTATCATAAACTACTTCACTGGTAGCCTTGAGTCCCTTGATGAATCCCAGAGAAGCTTAGAAAATACAGAGGCCAATTCTTCCTAAGGATCCAGGAAATATTTTGATCATATGATATGAACTACATAATGCAAGGCAGCCCATATGGAGTTCTAACCTGACTTTTAAAGGGGATGTTTTCACAAGGATCTTGTAGGCCTCAACTGTTACAGTTTTTTGTCAGTGCTATTTCCTCCAGTTCTGTTGTAACCACATCCCATTAACAAGAGAAGCCTCTATTTTTTTTTCTTCTTTCTGATATCCTATGGTTTTTAAGCTCTCTTATATTTTCTAGAGTTAAGTTCAGCATCTTACTTTCTAAGTTTCTGATGTACCTAAATTTCACTGTACACTTAAATTGGTGCAAAAGTAATTGCAGTTTTGCCATTTTAAGTTTAATGCCACTAATAGTTACAAAGCATGGGTTCCAATTTAAAGACATTTAAGCTTTATTACCAAATAATACACTAGGAAAAGGGCAGATATGTTCTAAAGTAATTCCTGGCACCAAAGAATGGCTTAAAAAGACACTGTACAACTGAAGGGCCATGCAAACCTATTTGGCCCTGTGAAGATAATTCTGATTCCCACACCAAAAAAGACTTAAAAGTTTCCTCTTTTATTGGTAGCCTGGTTCAAGGGTATGCTCTACAAATTGACTCATTAATATTCCTTAACGATAAAGAATTCACATAACTCTGTCGTCAATCTGAGCTCTGCTGTAGGTATCTACTTTATCACATGGGAAAAGAATAGAGGAACTAGGAAAAGGAAAATTTATTGGATTCTTTAATTTAAAAAAATAAAACAAAATAATACCATGATCACAGCTATTTTAGTTTGGCATTGTATCAGTTTTTAGAGCAGAAAAATAGTTTTCTCAGCTTTTAAAATTTGCTTTTATTTAGGCATTCACTGGAGATAGGATGAAATAAGTTTGGCAGCCTCATAACTCAAAAGATAGGAACGGTACCTGGCCTTATGGGATGGAGAAAGGGTTTAGCTGTCTAGCAGAAGAGGGCTGGCTGATTTATTGGCAAATTCAGGTCTCTGCCTTCATGACATAAACATCTGTATGCCAGATATACCTCCTCACCTCTGACATGTGCCTCTATGACCATCTTTAGAAGGGAGTCAAAGTGAAAAATCCAGGACTTTTAAAATTTATTATTACCTTCTGGAAACAATTTCCAGATTTAAATTGCCAATCAACTTTCCTTCCCATATCTTCCAACATTATTTATTAGAATCAATGAATTAATAATGCTTCTTTTCTTCCCTTCTCTATTCTTTTCTAAAGTCTGGCTTTTTAAACTATCACTGTAAGTTTGGAAAATCGAATCCTTAAATTAAAATTGATAATTTTCTGGGTATAGTTCACTTTGTATTTGTGCTTCAACTCTGTAAATTTACATAAGTAGGAAATTTTGGAATATTTAAAGTTATTGTTCTTCTCTTGCCTAGGAAAACTATAGAAACAGAATGATAAACAAAGTTTGCTAAAACTAAGGGTGGGATGAACAAATATAAATCAGAGGCATAGATAAAGGCATTGTGAAGATGTATATATCACTTCTTCCTAAAAATGAAGAATAAAAGCTAAGTTCAAATAGAAGAAACACTTCATATATAATAAGCTTAAATGTTAGGATGAAATTTATTAGCTTTTAACTCCTATATACCTTTGGTGCTAATTGAACACCTGCTATTAGTAAGGGCAGCATCTGCAATTTAGAACTGGAAAAGTGAACTTTAAAAATAATTTATTTAAGCTCAGTTTCATTAAAAAATTTTTCTGGGGGCTGGGCCTGGTGACTCAGGCCTGTAATCCCAGCGCTTTGGGAGGCCGAGGCGAGTGGATCACGAGGTCATGAGATTGAGACCACCCTGGCTAACACGGTGAAACCCTGCCTCTGCTAAAAAAATACAAAAAATTAGCCGGGTGTGGTGGCGGGCGCCTGTAGTCCCAGTTACTAGGGAGGCTGAGGCAGGAGAACATCGTGAACCCAGGAGGCAGAGCTTGCAGTGAGCCGAGATCGGGCCACTGCACTCCAGCCTGGGCGACAGGGTGAGACTCCGTCTTAAAAATAAAAAATTTCTGGAATCAAAATAGTGGCAAAGGCAGGGGAGAAATAAAAACAAGGAAAATACATTAAGCTTTATTTTTCTTGTGTTTGATAACCTTCTCAACTCTTCCTCTTAGCCTTTTACATTCTTTTTTTTTCGCTTTTATGGAATTTGAATACAGGATATTGTTTATAAATCTGAACTAAATTTATTAGCCTAGTGTATTTTTTAATCCCGGGGTGAAGAATGTTTGGTAGATGTGTCAGTGGATTTTTGCTGTGTAGCAAACCATCCCAAAACTTTGTGGCTTAAAACAACATTTATGTGGCTCATAATTCTGTGGTCCATTCTGGTCTCAGGTAGGTCCATGCATGTATTTATGGTCAGATAACAGCTAGAAGGCTCTGCATTGAGGATTAACTGGCTGTTCACTAGGGCAATAGGAGCATCTGGGCCACATGACTTTTCATGGAGCAGGCCAGCCCAGACTTAAAACACAGGGTAGCAGATTTCCAAGAGAGAGTGAGCAGAATTGTACAATCTCTCAAGGGTAGACTCAGAACCAGCACGCCATTTCTGCCAACAGATTTTACAGGTCAAAGCAAGTCACAAGGCCAGTTCAGTTAGAAGAGGTACGGAAGTAGAGTCCATCTTTTTTTTTTTTTTTTTTTTTTTTGAGACAGGGTCTTGCTGGAGTCTAGGGTCACCTAGGTTGGAGTATAGTGGTGGGTTTATAGTTTACTGCAGCCTCGAACTCCTGGGCTCAAGCTATCCTCCTGGCTCAGCTTCCTAAGTAGCTAGGACTAGCTGCATGCCACCATGCCTGGCTAACTTTTAAAAAATTTTTGTAGAGATAAAGTCTCACCATATTGCCCAGGCTGGTCTACTCACATATTCCCATTTATAGGCCTACCTCAGAGATATTGCAGGTTCTGTTTTAGACCACAGCAGTAAAGCAAGTCACACTATTGTTTGGTTTCCCAGTACATGTAAAAGTTATGTTTATACTATACTGTAGTCTGTTAAGTGTGCAATAACATGGTATCTAAAAAAAGTATATACCTTAATTTTAAAATACTTTATTGCTAAAACATCCTAAGGATCATCTTAGCCTTCAACAAGTCATCATCTAGTTGGATGGCGGGTCTTCCCTGGATGTTGATGGCTGCTGACTGATCAGGGTGGTGGTTGCCAAAAGTTGGAGTGGCTATGACAATTCCCTAAAATAAGGCAACAATGTGATTTGCCACGTCAGTTGGCTCTTCCTTTTATGAAAGACTGCCCTGTAGCAGGCAATGCTGTTTGACAGCATTTTACCCACAGTAGAATCTCTTAAAATATTGGAATAAATTCTTGCAAAACTTGCCACTGTTTTATGAAGGAAGTTTATGGAATATTCTAAACTTTTTGTTGTCATTTCAGCAAAGTTCATATCATCTTCACAAGGAATACAGTTCATTTCAAGAAATCACTTCCTTTGCTCATCTATAAGAAACAACTCCTCATCCATTAAAGTTGTATCAGGAGCTTTCAGCAAGTCAATCACAATCAGGCTATACTTCTAGTTCTCTTGCTATTGTCACCACATTTATTTCCTCAACTGATGTCTTGAACCCCTCAACTCATCCCTGAGGGTTGGAATCAACTTCTTCCAAACTCCTGTTAATGTTTTGACCGTCTCCAATCAATCATGAATATTCTTTTTTGTGTGTGTTTTTGTTTGTTTGTTTGTTTGTTTGAGATGGAGTCTTGCTCTGTCCCCCAGGCTGGAGTGTAATGGTGCGATCTCAGCTCACTGCAACCTCTGCATCCCGGGTTCTAGCAATTCTTCTGCCTTAGCCTCCCGAGTAGCTGGGACTACAGGCACGCATCACTACACTAGGCTAATTTTTGTATTTTTAGTAGAGACGGAGTTTCACCGTGTTGGCCAGGATTGTCTCAATCTCTTGACCTCATGATCCACCTGCCTAAGGCTCCCAAAGTGCTTGGATTACAGGCGTGAGCCACTGCGCCTGGCCCAATCATGAATATTCTTAATGGCATCTAGAATGCCATTTCTTTCCAGAAGATTTTCAATTTACTTTGTCCAGATTCATCATAAGAATCACTACCTGGCAGCTATAGCCTTATAAAGTACATTTTTAAAATAATAAGACTTGAAAGTTAAAGTTACTCCATGATCTATGGGCTGCAGAATGGATTTTGTGTTAGCAGGCATGAAAAGAACATTAGTCTCCTTGCACATCTCCATCAGAGCTCCTGTTTGACCAAGTGCATTATCAACGAGCAGTAATCTTTTGAAAGGGATCCTTTCTTCTGAGCAGTAGGTCTCAAAAGTGGGCTTAAAATATTTGGTAAACTGTGCTGTAAATTGAGATGCTGTCATAAAGGCTTTGTCCTTTCATTTATAGAACAGAGGCAGAATAGGTTTAGCATAATTCTTAATGACCCTAGGATTTTCAGAATGGTAAATGAGCATTGGTTTCAACTTAAAATTATCAGCTATTTTGGCACCCAACAAGAAAGCCTGTCTTTGAAGCTTTGAAGCTAGGCATTGACTTCTCCTTTTTAGCTATGAAAGTTCTAGATGGCATCTTCTTCCAATAGAAGGCTGTTTTATCTACATTGAAAGTCTATTATTTAGTGTAGCCACCTTCACCAATCATCTTACCTAGATCTTCCCAATAGCATGCTGCAGCTTCTACATCAGCACTTGCTGCTGAACCTTGCCCTTTTGTGCTATGGAGATGGCTTCTTTCCTTAAACCTCATGTACCAATGCCCACTAGCTTCTAACATTTCTTCTGCAGCTTCCTCACCTCTCTTCCTTCACTTTCATAGAATTGAAGAGTAAGGGCCTTGCCCTGGGTTAAGCTTTGGCTTAAGGGGATGTTGTGGGTTGTTTGATCTTTTATCCAGACCACTAAAACTTTTTGCATATCAGCAATAAGGCTGTTTTGCTTTCTTATTATTTGTGTGTTCACTAGAGTGGCACTTTTAATTTATTTCTAGAACTTTTACTTTGCATTCACAACTTGGCTAAGAGGCCTAGGTGTTTGTCACAAGAGGCCTAGCTTTTGGTTTATCTTGGCTTTGGACATGCCTACGTCACCAAGCTTAATTATTTCTAGCTTTTGATTTAAAGTGAGAGACATATGACTCTTCTTTTCACTTGAAAACTTAGAGGCCATTGTAGGGTTATTAATTGGCCTATTTCAATACTGTTGTGTCTCAGGGAATAGGCCTGAGAGGGAGAGAGATGGGAGAACAGCCAGTTGGTGGAGCAGATAGAACACACACCACATTTAAGTTAGCCAATTTATATCAGTGAAGTTAATCGTGCCCCAAAACAATTGAAAGAGTAACATCAAAGATCATTCATCCCAGATTATCATAATGGATATAATAATAATGAGAAAGTCTGAGATAATGGGAGAATTACCAAAATGTAACACAGAGACACAAAATGAGCACATGCTTTTAGAAAAATTGCACGAATAGACCTGCTCAATGCAGAGTTTCCACAAATCTTAAATTTGTAAAAATTGTGGTATCTGTGAAGTACAATACAGTGAAGCTCAATAAATCAAGGTATGCCTGTGCTTTATATCAACTCTAGATTACTTATGATACATAATACAATGTAAATGTTATGTGAATAGTGGTTTTTACTGTATCATTTTTAAGTTTGCATTATTTTTTATTGTTGTACTTAAAAAAAATTCAATCTGTGGTTGGTTGAATCCACAGATGTGAAACCTGTAGATACAGAGGGCCAGCTATATGTGATATGTCCTGTTTTAAATACTTTTCAGCTCATACAATTTTGACTCTTTAGTCTTTTTGTTGAAAAGCCTAAGACATTTTTATTTTTCCAGCTTCTTTCCATTTTATATTCCAGCTTTTTAAAGGTCTACTTTTAAAGTAGACCTTTTCAAATGGGCTTTTGTTTACCTGTTATCATTTATTGACTTTTAGTAACGCTTCCAAAACAAATCTAGGTAAGAAATAAAGCTACAGTGGCTGTTTCCTCATTGAACTGACATAGACTAAACAACTACTTTGTGTCAGGTATATTTCTAAGAGCAGGAGCTATAACAGAGACCAATTCTAGGAGCCTGCTCTTGTGGAGCTCACATTGCAGAATGAGAAAACAGACATTGAAACAAACAAATATACAAGTCAGTTGGTGAGATTAGAGGAGCTATGGGGAAAAATTAAAAAGCAGAATTAGGAAGACAAGGAATATGCAAAGGAAGAGAATGGCCGAAGGATTTGCTTTTTGATATGAAATGGCCTGGGAAGGTCTCTCTTATTAGGAACCCTGAAGAGACTATGGAAGTGGGTCATGAGAGTATATGATGGAAGAATGTTGCAGGCAGAGGAAGCCATAATCCAAAGGCCCCAAACAAGGGCATACTTGGTATGTTTGAGGAACTGCAAGGATGCCTGTGACACTAGAGCAAAGAAAGCAGTGAGGAGTGTGGTGGGAGATGAGGTTGAAGGGCTTGTTTGGGATGTGGGATTGGGGGGTGGG
Source organism: Homo sapiens (assembly GCF_000001405.40). Taxonomy (NCBI): domain Eukaryota; kingdom Metazoa; phylum Chordata; class Mammalia; order Primates; family Hominidae; genus Homo; species Homo sapiens. Next base: position 127,488,018 of record NC_000006.12, on the reverse strand, counting down.
GTGACCACATAGAGTGGGCTGGTAGTTGACAGAACCAGCTACACATTCTAGTCACTCTGGGAGCTTTGAAAAAATGTCTGGGCCCAATCCCAAAATCTGTTTTAATTGGTCTGGGTTGAAATCTGGTCAAGTCTTTATAAAACATTACCAGAATAAATCCAGTGTGTAGTCAGGGTCTGGTATACCTTAGTAAAGCATGACTCTAACTCAGTGAGATGGGAAGCCACTGAAAGATTTTGCACAGGATGATACAGCTTGATCACCCTGGCATGTGCCTCTTCTTCACCCACATTCCCCTCTGGACCTTAAGATCATGCCTTAGTATGAAGCTTGGGATCCTGCCTCACCCTTTTAGGGAAGAGAGTGAATGTGGTCCTAAGTAAGCTCTCTGGGCACTTCACCTGTTCTGCCTCTGCCAGTCTGTCTGGGTAAGTGTCAAGGATGTAATAGAAGGAAAAGAGGAAGACTTCTAGGAACAAGAGCCCATTCTGTCCCCTTCCAAGACAAGTTGGAGACAGAGCTTCTACCTTTTTCAGTTTCCTTCCAGCAGGCAATCCCTGGGCCTCCCTCCCAGTGTTACCCTATAGTCACAGTATTTACAGATTGATTTAAGAACCAGTAAGTGGTGTATGTCACTTCTGCTGATCCCTGTGTTGAAAATATTAAAACTTCTGCACATGTGTCATATATGTAACCTAGTACCCCAAACCTTGCTGTCACGCTCTGTTACCATAAAGGATATGCTCAGAAATAATATAAGCCTGCTATCTAAATTGCACCTTTTTCTGTCGAAGTAACAGTATAATGTAGTTGTTCAGAGTGGGAACTCTGAAACTGGCTAATTTGCATCCTGGTTCTAACACTAGCTAGCTGAGCGATAAATCCATTGTGTGCTTCAGACAATGGTGTCAATAAGTCTGTTGTCAGTCTGAATGAGTAGATACATATAAAGTGCTTAGAAAAGTGCATGACACATATTTAGGGCTCAAAAGATCTAAATATTAATGTCTCTATAGTTTCCTTCTTGATTTAATTACCACACAAATGAATCTCTCTTTAATTTTATCAACAGCATAGGAGACTTCTATATGCATAATATGTCTTTTGGTAGCATGTTAGGCACATTCTTCTCTGTGGTTTAATTGCTGAAAACATAAAGATGCTACATACTAAGTGGAGTAAATTTTAATTGAGAAAAGGAAGATAATCTCAAAACATTTTTAGAAAACAAACAACCCATTTTATATCATTGCTGTGAAAAAATAATTACTGGCAAAACTCTCTAATTCCTGGCCTTCTCATGATCAAAAAAAACAGCAGCCTCTTTTGGACAAGCTGAGGCTGGGAATGTAAAGAATTAAGAAGTGGACAATAAATGTTTTCAACGTATTTATCTAGAGAACCATCTAGAGAAGTGCCTGCTTTGCCAGCAAATATGAAAATCTGAGATTTCATTGTGGCCTCCCCAACTGCTCCCCTAGCAGAGGTTACAAGATTTAGTGGATGATGGTGGGGGAGGATGACAAGGGGGGAGGTTACACAGTTTCATCCTCACAGGAAAGGGACTACTTGGACTCACATTATTTCTCTAACTTTCTGTATCCATAGAAATGTCTCATCTTTGTTTCATAGGATTCAGAAAGTTAACATAAACTTACTGGAATATGAAAATATGAAATATTTATTGAAAATGCAAATGTGATACTTACACATAGTAGCAGCCCTAAAGGCACCTGAAAGCTAATGTATCTTTATTCAAGGGGAAGGCTTTACTTCAGAGCTTTATTTGAGCTTAACACTCCACCTGAGTGATATTTAAATAAAAGCAAAATAGAAAATGCCTCTTAGGAAAGAATGCCCTAATTTCAGCATTGCTCTTATATTAATTTAGAGGTCTCATTTTAACATTGCCCACAGGATAAAGTCTAAATTTCTCAGCTGCACAAGCTGACCTCAATCTTTTCTGCATCTTCTTTTACCCCATCTCTACAGTGGCCCTACCTCCATCACTTCTTTTCAGGAGTTAGTGCATCTGAAAGGCAAACTCATTCCTCTATATCTTTACTCCTACAACAGTTTGTTCAGTTTTATTTCTGTTGAAATTTTGCATATCCTTCAAAAGTCAGTTCTCTTGAATGATTTTCTCTGATTCCCCAGATCTGGAATTAGAGCTTCTTCCTTTGCCCTCTCAGTCCCTTTTTGTTCATTTATTGCCCTGAGTTAGTTCTGCCCACTGTTTTTGCTAATTGCATCCTTTTTATCATTATAAACAGTTAGCTCTTTGGGGAAAGAGTACAATATTTCTTAGTCACATGTGTTTGGCATATATACAGTACCACATATAGACCAGAAACTAAATACCTATGAAATGAATGAAACACAAAGACCAAAAAACATTTCCAGAACTAGAACATACTTTCCCTTGAAACCCCTGCATGTAACATCTTTATCTCACAGCGATTTGTACTGCCACCCTTGTGTCTTTGTATATCTCTATGACAGTCTAATTATGACATTTCTTGCTCAATAGGAGCATTTAGTGCTCCAAGTTGACCCTAGGACAATAATTTGACCTGAATAAGATAAAATTCAATCTTTATTCAATGTCCTTCAAGATCTGACTTATGCCACCAGCAAATCTCATGTCACTCCTCTCCTCTCACTCTGTAACACCCATATGGAATTTCTGTCCCAGAAATGGTTTTTCTATGTGGAATGCCTTTTTTTTTCCCTTTTCCTCCTCTTCATCTTCCATTGGCTAACTACTCATGCACCAGATTCTAGATAAGATGCTACTCATTTTGGAAATTATCCCTAGCTCCCCACACCATCTCTAGCCCTAGATTAGATAAAGTCTTTCTCCTTAGTGATCTAATAGCTAACAGTTAGATATGAGAAAGACTTGGGTCAAGGTCTGAAGTTATTGTTACCAACTAGTAACTTTAGACATTTGCAAACTTTAGCTTATTAAATCATAGATCACTGGGCCTCATCCTCAGAGTTTCTGAATCAGTGGTTCTGGGATGAATCTCAAGAATTTGCTTTTCCAACAGCTTTCTGGGTGACACTGATGATGCTGTTCTGAGGAGCACAGAGATAACTGATGCTTTTGATAATTTATTCATCTACTTCTGTTACCCCTGTAAACTTTAGTTTCAGCACCTGCAAAGTGAGGCTAAAAGGAGTGTTTAAAAATTAGCTGAGATAATGTATGTGAAGGGGTTGACATGAATTAGGGCTCAATGACAGTTAATATTGTTCTTGTATTATCATTGCTTTCATAACACTGTGTTGAATTCCAGACTGAACAGATCATGCCAAGTAAGCTGAGAACCCCCAAAAGAGCAAAGATCACATTGGTTTCATTATTATTGTGTCACAGGTATGTTATGAAGTGCATTGGTAGTCACTAAATAAACACATAATTGAGTGAATTCAAATACAAGCATTCAATAAGTATTTAGTGAAACAAATTCAACGCTTCTTGTAGGCAGCCCCTACCTAGAATGTTCCAGGTTTCTTAGTTTAGCTCACTTTATTCTTGGTATTCTTGGGACTGTTTTGTTGATTACTTCCTAAATTACTTTTTGGTTATGGTGAGTCAGTCCCCAAGCTTTCCTTTCTAAGAAGATTATACAAGCAACAGAAAGAACTTCTTCCTGTAAAGAACTAGAAATGAATAACCACGTGGGCTATTCATTTGTCTGTGTAGTTTCAGTTTCATACTGAATGAAAGCAGTTGCACCAAAGTATTCCCCTGCCTTCTGTGCTTGAACGTATGCCTTTACTTAACAGTGGATATGGGTTAGAAATTAACATGTGAAGAATTTAATTTTCATTTCTTTGCGAATTTATGAAGACTCCTGTTTGGAAAAGGCTTCCCTATTTTTACTGTCAGTCTATACCCCTGTCCTTCTCTTTGACCTCAGAACCTCGATTTGGTATTCATATATCATTAGTTCAGCAAGTATTTTTTTCACCACCTGCCATGTGGCAAGCACTATTTTTATGGTGGTGATGCCACACTAAATCAAAACCCCTGCTTCACAGAACCTAAAGCATAGCATTTATCAATTTGCACTGTAATTGTTTGCTTCTCTGTCTCCTCCCCTGCTAAGTTTCAGCTTCCTGATGGTAGATGCAGTATCTAATCAAACTTTGAGTCTCCCCCTCAATGTGTAGTATATGGTAGACAGTCATACATACGGATAATTATTGTTTACATACAGAGACCCTTCTTCTTATATTGGTGTGAGAAATGGAACTGAGCACCAGAGATCATATTACGCTTGTCCTTGAAACAGTTTGGCACTAGCTGTGTATTCTTTGACTTCCAAAGTGTTAGTTTGAATTTTAATTAGGATCAGCCAGTAAAATGTGGGAGATTTTACATAAGAATCCAGATTCCCAGCTTCTCTTGTAAAAGCCCACATTCCTGTATCACACAATGAGCTGAAGCTGTGGCTGGTCCACCTGTTTCTTGAGATGGGGCATGCCTTCTCCATTTCACTACAACCCCTACCATGCCCTATCATTTTGCACGTGTCGAGGAGGAGCAAGGGGGTGATGTGTGGTGAGGGGAGAATGAAGTGCTTCCGATTCTACATAAATTCACTGAAAGTGTGTGTTCATAAGCTTATAGCAACCTAACTCCCAACATTGGAAATAATAACTTACTTTTTTTCCTTCAGTGATGTGGAATGCTAACAAGCATTTGTTTACATTTGAACTATATATCATATTGAGTCAACAATCAATTTTGTCTGTTGTTTTTCTGCATTTTCACAGTAGGTTTCCTGTATTTCTCAAATTAAATAATTGCCAGCTACATTCTACTGTGATGTGTATCCTAGTCCAAAGTAAAAATATATCTAAATCTATCTGGTTTAGGATTTTTTTTCCTCCTTTTATGATTATTGAACTAACTCTTTTTATTTGTCTTGGTTTTGTCGTTTGAGACTAGAATACTTAAAAACATAAAATTGAATTAAAATTATAGTTTATCCAACTAAATATATTCATGCTTTGTTTCAGTTATCCTTAAAAAGAAGAGGAAGCAAAGATTTGCCAAAATCTGAAAAAAAGGCTCAACAGACTCCCACAGAGGTATGTGGAAATAAAATTTCAACTAGTACACCAAGTACCTCTAAGTGTATATAATCACAAACTACATTTATAAATAGATATAATGGCCAGATAAACTTATGCAAAACAAAGTCAAATTTGCATATCAATTATGTAGCTGTAGATACAGGTAGTATAAATCAGAATATTTACTTATAAAGCCAACCATAACATCCCTATTATAATTGCTTTACATTGTAAGCACACAGAAAAATGTCATTCGTATTTTATACGCTGCTATATTTGAGAACTATACTCATGATGCTAATCTTGTCCTTTTATAATTAATAAGGTCAATAGAAAGGCTGTTCCTATAGTGTCAGGAGAAAGTAAAGAAAGGAATGTTGCAGAGGGAAGTCAGAAAGGAGAGAAAGGCTCATTATATCTTTAGAGAGCCCTGGAATGAAGTAATTCTCCATACCAGTGATTGGAGAAGCAAAAGAAAGGAGACAAAAGAATAAAAATGAAAGTTGAAAGATGTACTCAACATGGGTTTGTTAAAAACCTTAGAAGCACAGCCACAGTAAAGACTAGCTTTGCTTTCAAGGTAAAAAGAGGTGCCAATGGTTGTAATGAAGAAGATTTTAAAATGGAAGAGGAAACATTTGGGATAAAAATGACACTATTGTTAAGGAAGGGGATCCCAATCCAGACCCCAAGAGAGGGTTCTCGGATCTCGTGCAAGAAAAAATTCAGGGCGAGCCCATAGAGTAAAGTGAAAGCAAGTTTATTAGGAAAGTAAAGGAATAAAAGAATGGCTACTCCATAAGCAGAGCAGCCCTGAGGGCTGCTGGTTACCCATTTTATGGTTATTTCTTGATATGCTAAACAAGGGGTGGATTATTCATGCCTCCCCTTTTTAGACCATATAGAGTAACTTCCTGATGTTGTCATGGCATTTGTAAACTGTCATGGCACTGGTGGGATTGTAGCAGTGAAGACGACCAGAGGTCATTCCCGGTTTTGGTGAGTTTTAGCTGGCTTTTTTACTGGAATGCGTTTCATCAGCAAGGTCTTTATGACCTGTATCTTGTGCCAACCTCTTATCTCATCCTGTGACTCAGAATCCTTAACCATCTGGGAATGCAGCCCAGTGGGTTTCAGCCTCATTTTACCCAGCTCCTATTCAAGATGTAGTTGTTCTGGGTCACACGCCTCTGACATTATAACTCTCCAAAAGCACTTGGCTAGATATTAACCTTTAAACTATGTCAGTTGGAATCTATGGTACTGTAGTATACTTTTGTGATTACAAGGTTTTTTTCACATTAGATAGATAATTTAACTAAAGTGATTTTAAATATTCAAAATTTGAAAAAGTTGATCTCAGACATTTTTTAAAGCATAACATATTAACTATATATTATTTTCCTTTTTCCTCTCTGTACCTGCTCTGTTCCTGCTCTGTTTTCTCCTGGTACTTGCACCAGAACATGTATGGACCTCAGCATTTTTAGAATCCCAGAGAGTCTCACAGCCAAGACCATGATATCATTTTTTGTACCTTTCTCTCTGTTCCCTTAGTAAGTCCAAATATACTCTGTCACTACAGCTTTTCCACTCTGTCTTTGCTGTCACTTTATCCAACTCACTCTAAATATTTTGTTGTGAATCATTTCACGTGTTGCCATGAATCTTCTTTCCTACCTTGTTTATGGAGTAGACGCTGTATCTACATTTGTCCTATTCTTACACTTCCTGTGTTAAAAGTTTATTTATTCTTTTCAACCATAGTCTCTGATGCAGGAATTCTTAACTGTTTAGTCTTGGCTTTATGGACCTCCACTCACTATGCATGTGGGCAACTTTCTGCAAAAACATCCACAACTTTAATCAGTTTCTCAGTGAGGTCAGGGACCTTAAAAAAGTCAAGATGCTATGCAATCTACCAGCTTTTATTTCATGGACAAAAACTTCCTTTTTTATAAGTATACTGTAGCATTTGAAGTTTCTGCTATCATTTCCAACACATTTATTTTCAGAGGTTATGACCTGTCACTTTTAAAAAACCCACCTCAGGAGACTGATCAGGCTATCTCTGATGGGATATCTCAATTATAAAATGGTCAATTTTTACAAAATTATAACACGATTCCAATGCTCAGTCAAGGTTGCAAACCATCGATCCACATATTTGTATTACTGAAAATATACCATTCTATTGTAATTCTTGTTTATGCATTCATCTCTCCTACTTAGCCAGGGCATTTTTGTGGACAGGAGCCATCTTATTCAGCTTTGAATCATCTGTGTCTAGTGATTGGCACTCTGCACATGTTCAATACATGCTTTTAAATACTCCCATGTCTCCTTTTTCTATGCGAAATCACACAAAATTGCCAACATGCTATTGAATTTGATCTACAGAAGTGGCAATTTCATATGGTCCAACTCTCTATTATTCATTTAGCTTTGTATTTCATTTTGTTAATTTGCTTCAGCTTCTTTGATCTCTTTCTCACATGTTCCTCCAGCAGCACAGTGACTTTATTTACAGAGAAATGATACTGCACAGCAATTAAGAACTGTAGCTCTAGGGCCAGGCTGCCTAGGTTGAAATCTCTGGCATATACCAGCTGTATGAACTTGGGCCCATTACTTATTCTTTTTAGTGCCTCTATTTCTTCATATATAAAATGGGAATCATAATAGAGAGTTGTTGTACAAACTAAATGAGTTAATATATGTAATCGATTAGAATGCAATTTAGTTTCTAGTAGTGGCTCTTAAAGTGAAAGCCAGGAGTAGCTCATTTCTTACTGGCCTTCATCATCATCATATCTTTATGTTCCCCTCTTCACATGTAATTTGTATCTTCAATTGAGTGAGTCTTTAACATACACAAAAATAAGAAATAACTTGCTTCACACCTCAGAGCATTTTAATTTTTCTTGCCTACCTTTCACTGTGGAAAATAGGAGAAAGTATTTACTGCTCAATTACTGTGGACCAGGCACTTTGCATACAATCTCCTTTTTTTATCAATAATTATGTATGATATTTCTATGCCAAGTTTCCAATGCAGCCTACAATAGTTGGGTTACAAGATCAGGATGCAAGGCATATTGGCATACAGGGTGGTAAACTCTTGGCATTGCAGAAACTAGCACATTTTGTATCTTGAAAATATTTATTTTTAAATAAATAAAATAATTACCATGACCATTAGCCCTTGATGCAGCTCTTTCCCTCCTAATGACTCTATTATATTCAGTCTATGTCCAAGTGTTAAAATAATTGTTGTTTTCATTCCTTTGGGCAGGAGCGCTTACATACACACAAATCAGATATTCTCTTTTTTATTTGCTTAATATAACCCAGTGAAGTGTTATTCTGCTTCAGTGTGTGCCTTGTATCACACCCACTGCTGTTTTGGTTAGATTCAATTTGCAGTATATGCCAACTATACTAGCAAATAAAGGCCTTGCCTTGCAATCAAGGACTTCCACCACATATGCAACCCTACCTGGCTTCCCAGTCTCATCTACTCTTGCATGTCAAATAAAACCTAGCCTATGTAAAAGCATATTTGACATTTATTTGTGCTGATAAAATGCGTTCCAGTAAAAAAGCCAGCTAAAACTCACCAAAACCAAGATGGCAACGAGAGTGACCTCTGGTCGTCTTCACTGCTACAATCCCACCAGTGCCATGACAGCTTACAAATGCCATGACAACATCAGGAAGTTACCCTACATGGTCTAAAATGGGGAGGCATGAATAATCCACCCCTTGTTTAGCATATCATTTTTGGTCATGTTTCTGTTCAAACATTGTTTCTAATTATTGGCCTACATGACCTTAGATTTCCCCTCCCAAACCTTTGACTATTTCTTACCTGTCTCCCCCTTTCTCTTTTTTTTTTTTTTTTTTTTTTTTAGATGGAGTCTCTCTCTGTCACCCAGGCTGGAGTGCAGTGGCGCAATCTCGGCTTACTGCAACCTCTGCCTCCGGGGTTCAAGCAATTCTCCTCCCTCAGCCTCCCGAGCAGCTGGGACTACAGGCGCATGCCACCATGCCCAGCTAATTTTTGTATTTTTAATAGAGATGGGGTTTCACCCTATTAGCCAGGCTGGTTTCGAGCTCCTGACCTTGTGATCCACCCACCTCAGCCTCCCAAAGTGCTAGGATTACAGGCATGAGTGACCGCGCCTGGCCATATGTCTCCCTTTCTTTTCTTCTCCTCATTGGTTGTGTCTGTGACCATTATGATAGGTTCAACCATCACCTCTACACATCTCATCCACACGTCCTCACTTCTAGACCTGAGCTCTAAGTGCCAAGCTGTAATCTTAGTAATCTAATCATGAGCCTGAGATTCTACATGACTGTTGATGGATGTTTCCACCCTGTATCCCTCCACTGGAACACCTCACAGACAGCATTCTTAAAACCTTAAACCCACATTCTTCACCCAAAACCATTTCCATTTCTCCTTTTGTACTTTTCAATTTAGTTAATGACTGGGCTTTGAGGTTGTCATGAGAATGTCGTGAGAATGTTTGAGAAGAACTTCTGTAAGTTTCATTCCACTGTCCTTTCAGCAGGCAGAACCAACTTTATCCATTTTAGATTGATGGGAGTACATCCTATTTTGAAAGCGATCTAAATGGAATGCTCCTCTTTATTCATTCTCTATCCTTGCTATTGGCCATACAATCCAATGAGACCCCTCAACTCAAAAATTCAGGGTCATCTTTGATTCCTCTGCTGATGTGATCCAAAACATTGTAACATGTCCTTGGTCTCATCCTCAAAAAATCTTCCATCAAAGCTTTCCATGACATGCCCTCTTCTCCTCTCTGGATGCTGCTAAGGCTCTCTCATCTCTTCTGGTAGTCCTTCTCTTCTTTCTTCTAAACCTCTCCTAGAGGAAAGTGTACAAGGCAACACATCTTACTTCTTTGATTTTACCACATTGCTCTATTTTTTTTTCTTTTATGCTTCTTTTCTAGAGGCAGCATGTGCAGTGGAAGGAATATGAGTTTGGGACTCAGCCAGAATATAGACTGTGCTCTGTCACTTATTAACTTGTGCACTGCAATGTTAATAAATCTCCCCTATCGGTAAAGGGGAGATAGCATCACCTATCTTGAAGGACTGATATAAGTATTTAATACTATATGGAATGTAATGTTCAGGCTCTGCACACCCAGCAGCTCTCAAACCCTTCATATTCTTCATATTCCCATTAGTAGATAGGAAGACAGAAGACCTGTGCCCTGTTCTCCATCTCTTCCATCTCAAAGGCTCTGTGTGGTATTTACTGAGCATCTCTGGCAGAAGCTCATTATTCTCCTCACCTTCTCACCAGTGGTTGCTCCTTCTTTACCAGAATGCATCTCAAACACAGATGACCGAGTACTGGATAAGGAAAGAATTTTTATTTTTGTTTTTTTAATGAAGAAACCAAAGTTCACAGAAGTTATATGATTGGCTCAAAGTACACACTTAAAAGAGAATTTTGAGAAATTGTCCTTGGGAGAAATGACCTTAGACATAATAACATGCTTCAGTAATATCCCTCAGAGAAAGATTTCCATTCCTCCTTTTGTACTTTTCAATTTAGTTAATGATTGGGCTCTGAGGTTGTCGTAAGAATGTGTGAGAAGAACTTCTATAGTTCCACTATTCTTTTGCCAGGCTTTATCCATTTCAGACTGATGGGAGTACAACCTATTTTAAATGTGATCTAGATGGAAAACTTAACAGTTTCTCCTTGGATGGACCATTCCAATGTCAAACTTTGCTGACTTACAGGCCTCTAAAACAATTTTCCTTTGAATAAAAACAGGGGGCAGATTATTTCCTAAGTGACACAGAAATCAAGAGCCTGAGCATTTGTTTCAGACAGAACTGGATTCAAATTTCACCTTTGTCCTTTGCTATTCATTAGCTGTGTAACCTTCGAACGGTTACTGAACATCTTTAAACCAGGAACTGTAATAACTACTCCTAAGTTTACTCTGAATATTAAATTAGGTTCATATTTGTAAAACACTTTTCAGCACTTGGCTCAGTGTAAGTGACAAAAAAGTGGCCGCAAATGCATATGAACCACATGCTCGTTGAACAGATTTTATATTTATTACTGCAATAATGAAACAAAAGAAACACTGCTGAAATGATCACCAAACAGTTGTATGCAGTTACAACATATAATAATCTCTGAATAGTGATGCCACAGTTATTCTCTTTTCATATTCCTTTTCCTTTTTGCTTCCAGGATGTAACATTGTTCTAATCTTTAATTTGCCAGAGAATTTAAGTGATCTGAAGAAAATACACAGTATCTGCTTCTGTTTCTCTCTGTCATTAAATCTGGATTGCAAGAAAAATTATTTATCCAGGTGTCCTCTTTTGGTTGTTTCCTTGATTTACATAAAAATGATCTCCTATCCTTTTCCCTCTTTTCCCCCAAATGAGGAGGACAATGAAGATCTGAAGTGCCAGCTGCAGTTTGTTAAGGAAGAAGCCGCTTTGATGAGAAAGAAAATGGCCAAGATTGATAAAGAAAAGGACAGATTTGAACACGAGCTCCAGAAGTACAGATCCTTTTATGGGGATCTGGACAGTCCTTTGCCCAAAGGAGAAGCCGGAGGCCCTCCCAGCACTAGGGAGGCCGAGCTCAAGCTACGGCTAAGGCTGGTGGAGGAAGAAGCCAACATCCTGGGCAGGAAAATCGTCGAACTGGAGGTGGAGAACAGAGGCCTGAAGGCGGAACTGGACGACCTTAGGGGCGATGACTTCAACGGCTCGGCCAACCCGCTCATGAGGGAGCAGAGCGAATCCCTGTCGGAGCTGCGGCAGCACCTGCAGCTGGTGGAAGACGAGACGGAGCTGCTGCGGAGGAACGTGGCCGACCTGGAGGAGCAGAACAAGCGCATCACGGCGGAGCTCAACAAGTACAAGTACAAGTCCGGCGGCCACGACAGCGCGCGGCACCACGACAACGCCAAGACCGAGGCCCTGCAGGAGGAGCTGAAGGCGGCGCGCCTGCAGATCAACGAGCTCAGCGGCAAGGTCATGCAGCTGCAGTACGAGAACCGCGTGCTTATGTCCAACATGCAGCGCTACGACCTGGCCTCGCACCTGGGCATCCGCGGCAGCCCCCGCGACAGCGACGCCGAGAGCGACGCGGGCAAGAAGGAGAGCGACGACGACTCGCGGCCTCCGCACCGCAAGCGCGAAGGGCCCATCGGCGGCGAGAGCGACTCGGAGGAGGTGCGCAACATCCGCTGCCTCACGCCCACTCGCTCCTTCTACCCGGCGCCCGGGCCCTGGCCCAAGAGCTTCTCCGATCGGCAGCAGATGAAGGACATCCGCTCGGAGGCCGAGCGCCTGGGCAAGACCATCGACCGGCTCATCGCCGACACGAGCACCATCATCACCGAGGCGCGCATCTACGTGGCCAACGGGGACCTGTTCGGACTCATGGACGAGGAGGACGACGGCAGCCGCATCCGGGAGCACGAGCTGCTCTACCGCATCAACGCTCAGATGAAGGCCTTCCGCAAGGAGCTGCAGACCTTCATCGACCGCCTCGAGGTGCCCAAGTCTGCGGACGACCGCGGCGCCGAGGAGCCCATTTCCGTGAGTCAGGTACAGTTCTGCCTATTGCGAGCCACGGCGGTGGCCAGGCTGGCCCGTGGAGCCGCGTCCCTGGGGGGCGTCTCGGCGCCCGGACTGCCGCGCCCCGCTTGAGGGAAGCCCCCGCTCAGGGCCGCGCTGGGGCCTGAAACCCCCGGCCTCGGCCCACCAGTTCTTCCACACTGTCCTTCTGCAGGGCTGAGGTTTTTGTGACTCCATCACATAGTCACCATTTCTTCCTCTGTTTTGTTTAAAAGGAAAACTGAACACCATTACCCTCAATTGTTGTGGAAAGAGTAACGGATTTTGAGGCACGTTATTATTTTAGAAGGTCAATATTTTTCTCTGTTACTCTGCTAGCAGATGAACTGCAAGATGGTCCTGGATAGGAATATTTAACTGCTGATATGTGGTTTTTGAGCCAAGATCCATATTGAGTTTAGGATTTAAAAAAAATGACTAGACTAGGAGGCCGAGGAGGGTGGATTGCTTGAGCTCAGGAGTTCGAGTCCAGCCTGGTCAGCAAGGCAAGATCCGTCTCTCCAAAACATATGAAAAATTAGCTGGGTGTGGTGGCACGCACCTGTAATCCAAGCTACTCCGGAGGCTGATGTGGGAGGATCACCTGAGCCCAGGCAGGTCGAGGCTGCAGTGAATGGTGATTGCACTACTGCACTCCAGCCTGGGCAAGAGTGAAACCCTGTCTCAAAAAAAAGAAAGAATAAAACTAAAACAGAATTGATGGCAGGGCACTGTGGCTCATGCCTGTAATCCCAGAGGCCAAAGAGGGCAGGAGGTCAGGAGTTCGAGATCAGCCTGGCCAACATGGCGAAACCCGTGTATACTAAAAATACAAAAATTAGCCTGGTGTGGTGGCGCACTCCTGTAATCCCAGCCACTCCGGAGGCTGAAGCAGGAGAATCACTTGAACCCGGGGAGAGGGAGGTTGCAGTGAGCCAAGATTACACCACTGCCCTCCAGCCTAGGCGACAGAGTGAGACTCTGTCTCAATAAAAAAAATTAATTTAATTAAATAAAACAGAACTGATGGATAACTACTGGTAAATGTAGAAACCAGTGGTAAAGAGACATGGTTTTGTGTCTACAACCCCCTGGAAAGGAACAAATGAAAGCCACTTTTTTTTTTTTACCATAAGTTGAAATAACATGATCATTATTTCCAGAGAAAATCACTCTCAGTTGTATAGTGGAGAATCTCAGGACTGGGGAAGGAGTCTATACGGTAGCTTGAAGGCAACACTAATTCAGAGAAATAGTAATAACTATTCCAGAACAGGGAAAACCAGCATTTTTCCTCCATCCTGATTTGTAGAGGCACACCGGATGAATTGGACTGAGCTGCTTTGGCCAGGTATGGTGGCCATTTAAAGACCAATGCATTTTGTCAGAGTTAACCACATGAAAGATAATTTATGAAACAAAACAGGCAATGCTGTTTCCTCTGGCAAGCCTGGTGTCCTGTATCCATTGGAGAACCCACGGAAGTACAACAGCATGCATGGCTTTTAAGACACGGAAGACATTTAAAAGCCAGTTTACGTACAGAAGCATGGTTTTAGATTAACTGCCTGTTGGTACAGCTAGAAACATTGCAGCCCTATCGCTTATTTATCTTGCATGTTGCTCTGCTTTGCTATGAAAAATATCGTTTTATGATAAAACTTGTTGAATTTTGATATGTATTCGGTTATACTCTTAGGGAAAATAATAGAAATTAGAGTGAGAGAAAGTGCTATGTATATTAGGCTTTCAGATTTTATAGATATAGGCTTAAGGGAGGGTGGAGGTTCTTTTTTAAGTTGAATGACTACTTAAATTTGTTGATGTGAATTTAAGTTTTAAAGATTATTATTAATTAACTCTTCTCTTTGTCTTTGCATTTACCTTCCCAGATGTTCCAGCCTATCATTTTACTTATTCTCATTCTTGTATTATTTTCATCACTTTCTTACACAACAATATTTAAACTTGTCTTCCTTTTTACACTGTTTTTTGTACTGTAAATCTTTCATCATTTACCATTCATTGTAGTATTTTCAGTTTGTTTATTTTGTTCACCCTTCAAGACAAGAAGTAAAAGAAGTATAATTTCTGTAGTAACCAATGCTATAAAAACACTGAAGACTGCTTATTTCTTTAAAAAGATACAACTCATCTTACCAAGACCAAATTCAATAAGAAGCCCAAACACTAAAATATTTCAGGTAAGAAAGTGTGACATTTTTCTGTATGAATTGTTTTAATTTTTACTTCTTTTTTTCATCCTGTTTGTCTCCTCTTGATAAATAATTGGCATACTGAATATAAAAATGGACTACATGTCTCATAATTATTTCTCAGTAGTTCACTATTATTATTCAAAAGCTGGACGGACATTCACAATTTGGTCACATTTCCAAAAAGTATATACATTTGTAAAGTATCTTTGCCAGGTTGCATCAAACTAACAAGATAATTTTGACATCCAATAAATATCTGAAAAAAAATATGGGAAATAAATGAAATGTGACCCTCATGAAAACTAAGTAATATGTCGTAATGCCAATGTGTTTTGTCTACAGAGATATGCTTGGAAGCATGAGATTGGATTAGGTCTTAGTTCATTTAGGAAATAATTATCCCTATCCTACTCTATTTGACCAGATTCCCACCAAACCTGCCACTCCTGCTTTTACTTATTATACTTGAAGTCGTGTATTGCTAATCGAACTTATTGCTTAGAGTCCTATCCTCTATAATAGATTGCCTCCAGAGTAGGAAATACTCTATAAATATGATATGTGAATTGTTTTGAATAGGGAAAAAATACAGTCATTCTCTAGAATTTCATTAAAGTATGGTCATTTTCTAGAATTTCATTAGATCACAATCCAAGACTGGTAGCATAGTTCAGGCAGGAGGTGCTCTCGAGATATAAACTAACTTCAATAAACCTGAGCATCCCCCTTTCTCCTCAAACCTAAAGTGGCCTGGATAGACTCCATCTACCCAAAGGACCCATTCTGTCCATCTCATTGATAGTTTATCCAGTGCCACCCAAGAGTCAGCAATCTCCGCACTTGTTGAAGTCACATACTTGTAAATATTCACAGGTTGGTTGACGGATATGAAAATCTGTGGAAAGTGAAGTATCTTGCATGTCTGCAAAAAGGATATGTGGAAAAACTTTGTTATAAAAGTTGCTATTGGTAATGGTCCTTGGAATCCCAGGAATTTAACTTTCAAGGGACTATAATTTATTTATAGTCTCATCCTCCCACACATCCGTTTGAGTATTAATTAAACAAACAAACAAACCTTCACAATAGTCTAAAACTTTAGTTTAGAATAACTGCTCTTACTCTCTATAGGATTTGTTTGGTTTTGGTTTTTGGTTCTGTTTGTTTTTTGACGGGGAGGAGAGACTTGGAGTGAGGAGTGGTTACCCAACAGTTGGAATCTGTCAATATGCACTTCTGGCTTTTCATTTTAGAGATTCTGAGAGCTAGGTAAAGCTTCATTACAAAAATGAATGAAATGAGATAAATGCCATGTTTAATCAATTATATATAATTCAGGTGTTTGCTTTTTAAAATTTTTTCATCTCAGAGATAACAAACACTTTAAAACCTAAAGTTTGTCTGTTAGATCCGTGATAAGTTTCCAGGCCACCATTTCAGGAACTGAAAGTAAATGTTTGAGGGCAGAAATGTAGCTGAAATATTTATCATCTTTGGAGCCAGTTATACCTGTTAAAAGGTTCTCAGCCACCTACAGAGCATTTGGAAGTGTGTGGAGTGTTGCAGGTTATTACAATGACTGGGAAGTTCACTGGCATTTAGGAGGAAGGGATCAGAACTTCAAGGTCCCTGAAATCCCACATCACAAATAATTGGCTTGTCCAAATTGCTGATGTTGTCTTTGTGGAGAAACGTGATATGGTATGCACTTATTCACTTCAGAAGCATCATGCATATTCACCACCCTGTGTGACTTTAAGAAACTGGCTTTACATTTTAGCTTTCTTTATCATGAGAGGAATCAAAAATGAAATAACTAGATCAGTAGTTATCAACACTAGCTGCACATCAGAATTTCTGGGATGTTTTTATTTGGGGACCTACTCCATACTAATTGAAATAAAATGTACGGACCTAGGCATTTGTATTTTTAAAAATGCCCCAGAACCACTACTCTTAGATATTTGAATTATCTAAAATACACATTCTATATAGCCTCAACAAAGCTTACAGTAAACTATGTGATACCAAGATATAGGATCATTAGTTGTCTAGGTTTGAGTAGACTTTAAAGTTTCAGCTGCTCAGTGGATGTCTGAATTCTCTCTACAGCATTTCCACTTAGTTGTACAGCCTTTGCCAGAAGGGATATCACCTCCAGTGATAAAGCAATTATATTTCTGCGCTGGTGGTCGTGCCAGAAAACTTGGCTTGCATTAATACAAGTTTTCAAAAACACAAAATCAAAGGTAAATAGGAGTAATACCTAACAGAAAAGAGAACCAAGATGAATAGTGTGTGGGCACAGGGTCACACACCCACTGAAAGAAACAGGCATGTGTGCACACTGAATTCAAGACTCAAGATGATCCCACAGTGATCTAACATGTTATTACAACAAAATCCCTAGGCATTCTTAGATGGGCTGACAGCCTAAATATATGCAAAGATGGTGCAAACACCTCAGTGATAACTTATGACCTGAATAGGAAAGGAGAGATGTCTGAGCTAACCAAAACACCAGCCTCAACTATAGATCTCATTTTAGGAACTATGGTCATGTTCCCTATGTTGCCCTTCTGGCAACAGGGGTATTAATCTTACCTATGAACTCCTAAAGCAGTGATAAGGTTTGACTCTGTGTCCCACTCAAATCTCATCTTGAATTGTAATCCTCACAGGTTGAGGGAGGGACCTGTAATCCCCACATGTAGAGGGAGGCAGGTGATTGGATCATGGGGGTGGTTTCCCCCATGCTGTTCTCATGATAGCAAGTGAGTCCTCACGAGATCTAATGGTTTTATAAATGTTTGGAAGTTCCTCCTTCACTCCTCTCCACTGCTGCCTTGTGAAAAAGGTGCCTGCTTCCCCTTCCACCATGATTGTAAGATTCCTGAGGCCTCCCTAACCATACAGAACTGTGAGTCAAAGCTCTTTCCTTTATTAATTGCCCAGTCTCAGGGAAGCTCTTTATAGCAGTGTGAAAGTGGACTAATACAGGCAGTTATTTTATAGAATTTCATGAGACTTAAACCTCATCCAGATCCTCCATATGTGAAACTCCTGTGAAATACTGGGGAGAGGAAAGTAGGCTGAAGCAGTACTGACTTGACTGCTGCTCACAGATTCTGGGGGATATGGGATCATTCCAACAGCTCCTCTGAAGTTAGTGAATCAACTTTACTGAACAGTTGAATTCCAGGGAGGCTCTTTTCCACTCTGCCCCACTCACTGCATAAACCAGCTTCCCGGTTGTGCCTGTGTGTACACACACAGCTCCATCACACTGTGGTGTATAATGAGAAATGCATCCAGGGTCAGGGCATTCAGAACTGCCTCTATCTTAGGGGACATGCTGGGGACCAGTTGGTGGAAGGTGGGGTCAGAAAATTGCCAGCAGGCACAAAGTGACCTTTTTCCTTGCCATCTTTTCCCTATAACTTCAAGCTGTTCAATGGGCGCCCAGTATCCAGGGTGCACCTATCTCTTAAAGCGTAGAACATAGACTTGGGAAGATAAGTTGACAAAGATGGTGCCCAAAACCTCAGAAAGAGAGTCCCCAGCATCTTCCCCTTTGATCCTGTTGCTTGCATTATTTTTGTTATATTAAGCTGTTTCTGAAAGAGGAACAACCAGGCTTCTTGATTCACCAAGAGAGCAAAGACTCTTAATTATTAAGACAAGGCGTCATCTTTTGTTTGGACCTTTGAAGCTGTGCTATTTAAACATCACACCAAAGTAAACTCAACAGAGCAAGCCTTATTCTAGAAAATTCCCTTGTATGCACATTCTTGGCCATAGGAAGAAGTGTCTTCTTGTTAATTTGGCCTAGATCTAAGAAAAAAGGAATTCAGTTGGCTATTTTTAGGCATAAGTAACTAAACTCATAAAACAAAGGAAAATTCAGTCCTGAGCCTGGAATGTGTTTTGGCCTGCATTCTCCAATCTTCACTTTAGTTTGTGTGATAGAATGGGATATGGTTATTTAATCAGCTGCCAACGAAGTTTGGAGTGTCAATTTGGTAGCTCAGCCCTAATTCCAAATATTCGTGCAGAGTTTGTAACTGCATTCTGATAGAACTACAGTCCAGTTCATCTAGTAGAGTCATGCTTTGGGTCAGACACCATAACTGAATGTAGAAATTGAAGAGAAGGTAGTGGAGAATATTACCAGAAAGTAAGAAAAGTCGACCATTTATTAAACTACTGGGATATGGTACAGTTAAAACACAGTATGCATGAAGACATAACTGCTTAAATCCTAGTTGTAAACCAATTAGGTCTAATGAAAGATTTCATTCTACGTTTTTAATTTTGATCTGGTTTTTGATAAGTAAAGTAATTTCATTCATATTTTGATGAAACTCACATTTCATGGGTAGGTCCTGATATTCTCAGCAGTCTACTTCTAGAATTTCAGATAGAAACTCATACAAAATAGAATGTTTCATGGCCTGGACATGGCAGAACACCTTTGTAGTTACAGTAATAAATGTGGTAATATCTTAAATGTGGTAATGCTTCTAAACTGTACTTTCGAGTTGATCAGTTGAGAGAAGGGAAAGTGGTAGTGGCTGTTTTTCATGTTTGCCATTTTGAAAATGTGTGCAAATCATAGAATCTCTAAAGGTCCTTTCCATGTAACTTAAATACATTTTCATCCATGTCTTCCCTGCTTAAAGGTGTATTTTCTGCACTTACTGGCAGTTCTAGTCTGTGTCTGTCCTAGTGAAGTTGTGGGTAATATTTTAAATATTTCTGGGGGCATCTTTTGAGTAGAGTACTGTTATAACCCACTTGATCAAAGAACAAGAGCAGCAAATATAACACTTTTTAGATGTAAAGAGAAACCTCAGAAATCTCTACCTTGCACTGCTCACTGTTAAGCCAGGCTGTGTTGTCTTTTTTTTTTTTTTTTTGAGACGGAGTCTCGCTCTGTCGCCCAGGCTGGAGTGCAGTGGTGCGAACTCGGCTCACTGCAAGCTCCGCCTCCCAGGTTCACGCCATTCTCCTGCCTTAGGCTCCTGAGTAGCTGGGACTACAGGCGCCCGCCACCACGCCCACCTAATTTTTTGTATTTTTAGTAGAGACAGGGTTTCACCATGTTAGCCAGGGTGGTCTCGATCTCCCGACTTCATGATCTGCCGACCTCGGCCTCCCAAAGTGCAGGGATTACAGTTGTGAGCCACCGCGCCCGGCCCAGGCTGTTGTCTTAAAGAGCCCCATCTGATCTTATATCCCAGATATTTATGATTAATAAACTTAAGTCTATTGACATTTCCTGATTATTCAATTTCAGTGTTACCATTATAAAACTTTTTTAGTTCAGAGTTGTATGTATTTTTCTGTAGCTATTTTTCAAAATAAGATACCAACAAAACTCAACATCTGAAGATAAAATTGCAAACATTTAGTTTAAGATGAGAATACATAATCAGTGGTTGTTAGCAGTTATTCAGCCTTTACAAAAATGTTAATAAAATTTTATTGACTTGCATATTTGAATGTTTTTCTCAATGTTTTTGAATCCAAATTCCTATTTAGCATATATTAAACTCAGATAATAAAAATTTGCGTTTGTTTTGATGATTTTTATTTAAATTATCAGCAAAGTTTTAGATATATTTTAAAAATGATTTTAAATGATTATTTTTTACTAAATAAACATTAAATAAACAGTAACAGTGTAGAGCATTACACTAATTTAAAAACTAGAACTTTTCAGAAAAGTTTAGAACATCAACTCACTTAAGAAAATGGCAAACCACCCTGAGGTATTCAGGAGTGGTGCAGTATCTTGACTATTTGAAGTGTTACAATGTCATGCGTACTCCAGATATGGAGCTGTGGAAATTACTGACTCTGAAAAAGTGTGCTTTATGCGTTTATTTTCTGTAGTCTCTTCTGAATGTTTTGAGTTGAGCTGCTTATGTTAACAAGCATATGCATAAGTGATTATTGAAGGCTGGGAAACGGCATCACTTCTTTTTGAGGTTGTCCAACATGATGTACCTTTAAAGTTAGCTCTTTAAGTTTATGTCAAAAGTACCTGCCTTAACCTGTGCATTCAAATATTAAGAGAGTATGAGGGGCAGAGAGCAGCTCATCAGTTTACTTACTTGCCTCAAGTGATTTAGTAAGGGAAGATAATTTAAGAGCTTTTTTAAAGAAATGACTTATATACTCTTATTTCTTAAAGTCAGAACACTCAGTTTAGTTTGTAGTTTATAACTCCCTTCCATCTTTCTTATAAACAGTTTTTTCACATTCTGTGTTACTCCTTTTGCATCACTGACTCCGGGACAGACAAAATAGAGTTAGACTTCTTAAATAGAACATCCTGTGTATTGGCCTAGATCAGTCATTTATAACTGGGTTTCAGCATGACAAGTTACTGAAATTAATTTTTTTCTGGACATTAGGTGACTCCTGGGAATCCAAGCAGGAAAGGAAATGTGTATCTGCTGAGCCTTTGCCCGAAAGGAAATGTGTACCTGCTGAGGCTGTCGGCCCACTGCATAGAGGGCCTTAGCGTTTGTAAATAAGCTTAGATTACATCTAGTGGAAAAAGCCGTAGTGAAGCTAGTTGAGGTAGTCAAGGAAAATGAGGACTCCCTGGCCTTGGACCTCATCTTGATATGAAAAAAACTGTCCAAGAGGGGAAACTGAAGTCTCTATTCAGCCTCCGTACTTCAGAGGGAATGTAATTGATTCAGATGCAGCTATTTGTTTGAAGATACCTGATATTTGTAGAAAGTGACTGGATTCAAAATAGTAGTGTGGATTAAAAAGAGTTGGATAAAGAAAGAGTGAGGTTGGCTGGGCACGGTGGCTCACGTCTGTAATCCCAGCACTTTGAGACGCCGAGTTGAGTGGATCACCTGAGGTCAGGAGTTCGAGACCAGCCTGGCCAACATGGCAAAACCCCGTCTCTACTAAAAATACAGAAATCAGCTGGGCCTGGTGGCGGGTGCCTGTAATCCCAGCTATTTGGGAGGCTGAAGCAAGAGAATTGCTTGAACCCGGGAGGCAGAGGTTGCAGTGAGCTGAGATCGTGACATCGCACTCCAGCCTGGGTGACAAGAGTGAAACTCTGTCTCAAAAAAAAAAAAAAAGAATAAGGTTGCAGAAATCTTATTTTGCAATATATATTGATAGCGTCAACAACATCAGAATACAGTGGAAGGGTCAGACACAGCTGCTTTTGAGGATGTACTAAATACCTACTGTTTCCTTCCTGCACTTGAAATAGCTTTTGCCCTACATGATACCACCATTTTGTAACTCTCTCTTCCTAACCCCTTTTCCTTTATGAATTTTTG
Organism: Homo sapiens; assembly: GCF_000001405.40. Taxonomy (NCBI): domain Eukaryota; kingdom Metazoa; phylum Chordata; class Mammalia; order Primates; family Hominidae; genus Homo; species Homo sapiens. The sequence continues at coordinate 127,465,742 of NC_000006.12, read as the reverse complement.
AGATGTTCATGGGCAAATTACCCATCAAGGTATTGTGCTTATAGGCTAATATGGACTTACTGAGGGACCTTGGCCATGGAAAATGGGTCTGCATGGTTCTGCAGAAGACCCTGAAAATGGGTCTGGCTGATTCTGCAGAGTGGGCCTAGGAGCTACACTGAAGTGTGACTTTAGGCCTCCCGTTCTGTAACTTTACCTCCAGATCCTTTACTGTATCCCTCTCATATCATGATGCCATATTCCTTTTGACCTGAACTCCAGGGGCTCAAAATCTAACACCCACCTATGCAGTTCCCCATTCAGATCTTCCACCTGTTTCCCCACTCCATGCCCTGTGAATGAAACAGATGGCTTTCCTGACCTCTAATCAAAGCCTACCCATATTGATCTGTTCCTTCTAGTCCTTAGTATGTGCTACCTCTTCTTTTCTGTGCCGAAGTGGTGAGTAGCCAATAGTTATTTCCTCTACCAGTGGTATTTTACTAGGCAATTATTGGAAATAGAATGCTGCCACCCGGTAGTGATAAATCTAACATTTCTCGTAGAAGATATAGGTGGATTAGTTACTCCCTGGGGCAATATGGATTAGTTCCTGTGTCCTTCAAATTGCACTCACCAAGCCTGAGCCATGCTTTACTGCTGAAACATCCTAGCAGAGAGAAGTAAGTGGCTCAGGGTGGCCCTCTTGTGGTGGACAAGCATTCCCAGGACTCTGCTGGTCACTAAAGAAAAGGTAGCCCTCAAACAGTCCTTTTTATTATTTTTGATTTTATTGTCATCATTATCAGTATCCTCCAAGTCAAGAATCTGTAAATAATACAATGAGATGCTAAAAACAAGTTTGAAAAATGTGAGCAAGGTCTGTTTCTAGTTTTAAAATAGCCCACATTTCTCAAATATGTTACTGTTTGGTTCAGAATTTGGACCACTACCTAAAAAGAACAGATCATTCAAACGTGTCTTTTGAATATTTCTGTCATCTGGAAATGCCTGCGCATAAGCCCCATGACGGATGTGCTTGGCTAAAAAACCTGTTGACGTGTCCTCAGCCTTCAGAATAGAAGAGACAGCCAGTTTCCCATGATTCTAAGGATAAACATCCCCCACTGGAAAAATATTACATTAGCTGGCAAGTAATAATCCAAACATGTACATGGATAGTAAATATTCTGTGTGTGATCCTCATAATTTTATACTCCAAAACAGTATTTTAGGAGGATCAAAATTATATTTATTAACACACAGTTGAAATTGCCATTCTAGAACTCAAATAACACAGGACCAAATTTGACAGAATCAGCTGTGGAACTTTATCAAAAGTCTGAAGCCAGGACCTCACCACTGGATGGTCTGAGTCAGAAGTCTGGGGAGAGTTCCAGCATTACTATTTTTCTTTTTCATTCTCTGTGTGATTATAGTATGCAGCTAGGACTGAGTGAGAGTAACACTAAACCGTGATCTCCTTGGTGGAATGCTGTGGGTACTCCTAGGAGAGACTCTCCAAATTTGTGAATTTATACCAGTGTAGTGGGCTACTCAGAATGCAAACAGTCACGCTACATGTCACATTTCAGGGAATCTTCAGAGCTGACCAGACCTGTTGAAGACAAGGATTTCTTCCTCTTCTTTGAGTCCTCTTGGTCTAACCTGGCACAGAATTGGTATTCACAAATATTTGTTAAATGGAATGTTAATTGAAGTACCCAAGACCTTAGGAATTGAAGATAATTTAAGATTTAAGAGTTCTGCTAAACAACTGAGATCTCATGATCTTAAAGTACTTTGAAAATTGCAAGGGGCAGACATTATTCAAGAAGGAAGGATTTCTTAAAATACGTCCTTTATAGTAGCCTTTGAACTTTAACATGCAGAAGAATGAGTTTAGGCGGGGCACAGTGTTTCAGGCCTATAATCTCAGCACTTTGGGAGGCAAAGGAGGGAGGATCATTTGAGCTCAGAAGTTCAAAACCAGCCTGAGCAACATAGCAAGACCTTATCTCAAAAAAAAAAAATAAATAAAATTAAAAAATTACCTGGGCATGGTGGCAAGTGCCTGTGGTCCCCTACTCAGGAGTCTGAGGCTGGAAGACTGCTTGAGCCCCAGAGGTTGAGGTTGTAGTGAGCCATGATCACACCACTGCACTCCAGCCTGGGTAACAGAACAAGACCATCTCAAAAACAAAACTAAACTAAAACAAACAAAAAAGAACAAGTTTAGTTTTTTTAAAAGTTGTTCTCTTTTTCAATCTTTTCTATCTTCTTTCCAATGAAAATAGAAACACAGTACCCCTTTTATTGTTAAATATGTTTAAAGGGTAAAAGAATAAGCAATGGAAAAACGTTATAAACAAGAAATCAGAAGCTCTCCAGTCTCATAACAACCAGGTTGTCATACCATAAAGAGAACAAATGAGTAACTGCTTTGTAACACTTCAGGATCATTCTGCAAACAAAACCATAGATTAAATATGTACTGGCACTAGCATGCTTAAGGCCATGTTGCCATGTTTATCTTCAGATTTTTTAACTGCTAAGATAAAATCCATTTGCCTTTTTATTTTGACCCAGTGTTTACAATTAGCTAAGGACACGAGCCTCTTTAGATAGTAATAAATACTCAGCTGGCTGGGCACAGTGGCTCATGTCTGTAATCCCAGCACTTTGGGACGCCGAGGCGGGTGGATCACGAGATCAGGAGTTCAAGACCAGACTGGCCAATATGGTGACACCCTGTCTCTACTAAAAATACAAAAATTAGCCGGGCATGGTGGCATGCCCCTGTAGTTCCAGCTACTCAGGAGGCTGAGGCAGAAGGATCACTTGAACCTGGGAGGCGGAGGTTGCAGTGAGCTGAGATTGCGCCACTGCACTCCAGCCTGGGTGACAGAGCAAGACTCCCATCTCAAAAATAAATAAATAAATACTCAGCTATATGATTCTTATGTCATACTTGAAAGATAGAGTATCTTCTCTCTCATTTGGACATAGAAGAAAACTGAATTTAAAATTTGCCAAAGCCAGAAATCAACTTCTCAGTCTCCTCTCATATCCAGCATTCTTATTTCGATTTTCTTCCCTTGCACTTCTTGGAATTTTGAACTTCAAGGCACTCCACCAGGAATGAGGAGACCTGGATTCTATTCTTGGAATGGCCACTAAGTGGCTTTGTGACCTTGAGCAGATGAGTTACTCTCAGGGCCTCTTCCCTCAACTGTAAAATGAGAAGGTTAGCTAGATGATTTCAGAAGTTCTTTCTGGCTCTAAAATTCTGTAAGTCTGGAAACACCTGCTAGTGACATTTATGCACGCATTAGTTCTCTTTTACCCTTTTTAAAATGTTTTTGATTGTGCCTTAATATTATTATTAATATAGATCTTTTCCATTTCTTTTTAGAATTTTCTTTTTTGTTTCTTGACAGCAGGCAGTGTTTCTACATTTATTTTCCATTAAGTGTTATTATGTACATTTCTTTACATATCTGTTATACATTGAAATAAGATTAGTATGTCATAAGGTATGAATGATGTAATTCTTTCTAAAACATAGGGCAATCATTTGTGAATTTCATATTTGAAGATTTAAATGTTCAAATGGTTTAAAGAAAAACTGCATTACAAAACAAATTGCATTTTTTTCATAAGATTTTCAGTCATTCTGACACCTGCTTGAAAACCTCAGGCAGTTCAAGATGTCTGAATGTAACTGTAGGGCTGAGTATACCAGCATCAGTCTTTTAAATGCATTCATTTTATGTATATAATTGTGGTAAATTTTCTTTTAAAAGTTTTCTTAAAAAACAAAAAGTTTTCAAGGGAAAATATCAAAAGCTGTGCTGAACATTTCTTGACTTTGCACCGTATCACCTAATTGACTTACTTTCTGTCTTTTGGGTATGAAATATGGCCTGGAAATTATATATTTTATATAAATAACATATAATATAAATTATATATATATAAACTTCAACAGAAAAAGTTGGTAAATACTAGAATAAGTGGTAAACTTGGAGTAAACTTTTTGTCAAAGATTTTCATTATTATTTGATTCTGTGTACAATTTAAGATCAGCTTTACCATGACAAGAAGCAGATGAAGCACTTGAATCTGATATACATTGAAATAAATTAGTATGTCATCAGGTATGAATGACATAATTCTTTCTAAAACATAGGGCAATTATTTGTGATTGCCCTGGGACAATCACACTGGGACAGCCATTAAAAGAGATTGAAATGGGTACTACTGAGTGACACTTAGGAAGTATAGTCCAACCTAACATCTCTTGTAACTTAGACACATACTATCTGAATTTTCGATAGGATTTACAAAATAGTCTTAGTTTGATTTACAAGTGATACATAGAAGTTAAGAAGTTTGGAGTAGAAGAAAAGGTAAAGGAAACAATGTTTTTTGTTTTGTTTCTCTGAGACAGAGTCTTGCTCTGTCAACCAGGCTGGAGTGCAGGAATGCCATCTCTGCTTACTACAACCTCTGCCTCCCGGGTTCAAGCAATTCTCCTGCCTCAGCCTCCCTAGTAGCTGGGATTACAGGCCTGAGCCACCACAGCCGGCTAATTTTTTTATTTTTAGTAGACACAGGGTTTCACCATGTTGGCCAGGCTTGTCTCGAACTCCTGACCCCATGTGATCCACCTGCCTCCGCCTCCAGAAGTGCTGGGATTACAGGTGTGAGCAACCACACCCGGCCAGAAACAATGTTAAGACAATTCTGTATTGATGTTTTTGTGCAACTCCCTCCTCCCTTTCCCTCTCTCAAAGAATCTTCTTCCTAGCCTCATAAGCATGGAGGCAGACATGAGCTACCCTTTATTGTGTGCTTGGCGCTATATATATTCCCTCATATTCTTATGGCCTCTTAAAGTAAATATAATTATGTCTTTAAGGAAGAATCAGGGTCTGCAAGATCACACAGATAAGTGGTGGCAGCAGAATTGAAACTTAGATCTCTATGACAAAATTCCATGGTTTGCAATCAGACAAAACAGTTCAAACCCGTTTCCTCCACATGGGTGCATTTCTATGAACTTTTGCATGATGCTTTACCACAATGAGCCTTGCTTGGGTTTTATCAGTAAGATCAGATTATCAGTATCTAGAGACAGAATTGCTCTGAGGGTGAACTCAGATAAAGGTCTGTTCAAAGTACTTAGCACAGAACCTTGCAGAGGGTTGCCCCTCAGTGAATAATCACTATTATTACTATAACTATCACTGTTATTGTTGTTATTGCTGTTGAGATTATGATGTCAGGCTTTCCAGACACAGAGTATGGTTTCATTTGATTGTCCTACATGTATTAAAGTCCTACTGTGAGCAGGTTACTATTACTAAACTTTAGCTCCTCATGAAATGTTTATCTGGAAGCAGGTGAAAATAATGTGAGTGAATATGTATTACTTTAAAGACCACACCAGGGAAGCTCTTCAGACTTGAAGATAAGACCTTATTGTTTAAACTTGTGTATTTGCTAAGTTAGGCAAAAAATTGCTCTAGAGACTTTTTTGACTAAATTAAACCAAATATCATCAGATGCATGTGTGTACAAAGCCACAATAAACCTGAAAATGTCGCTGGGGAGGCAAGATCTCCTAGCATTTCAGAACAGGCTGATTTGATCATGATTTAGAGAGCTTTTCCATACACTTAGGCTGCTTTCTCTTCCTATGGCTGCAGCACACTTTAGTGGAAAATAAGCCCATAGGTATCTCATTTTTGGGGTGTGTGTGTGTGTGTGTTTTGTCCTCCCACAATAAGAAATCTCATCCTTTCCCATGGGCTCTGATTTTCTCTAACGTAAAGACATCGCTACTACTGTAGATAAAAGCAACACACTGTCAGAATCACAGAGAGCTAAGAGGTTGGACTTTATGTTCCATTTCTATTTTATTTGAAGATAGAAGTTTGATAACTTTCACAGATCTTTTGAGAGTGCATAATATATATAATTATGCTACACATATTGTTCTGCCACATCCAGATGCAAACTTCTAAAGGTGCAGCAGAGTACATCCTGCCACCAGCTGAGAAGGAGAAAGAATTATGGAAGGAGGGAGATAATTCTTGCCTATAAAAAAATGAGTTTACTTTCCTAATAAAATAAATCTAAAATTGGCCATTGTCATTGTATGATGTTAACAACCAGCTCTTTTGGCAAGTTTGAAAATACTGGGCTCCATTATAAAAGCTAAAAATGTCCTGGACCTGGAGTTGTTTACCCAGAGCATGAGCTGCTCTAAAGTTACAGAGCTCTGGTTGGAAGAGGTGGCTTGAAGGCCGCCTCCAAGTAACTGACGTCACAGTAGTCTCAGCTGCTGCTGTGACACTAAGCTGAGCAGCTTTTTGACTTGTAAAAGTGGTGAAGGTTTCAAAGGGACTTGTCAGTACTGCTCTGTGGAATGGTTGGACTTATTTTGCATCCCCTTTTCTTGTAAAGAATCGAGATTCACCGAGCTGAGACTTTTCTCTTTAAGACAGCTAGCCATCCACTTTCTTCCACTGCTAATTGACCAGTGGTCGAGCATCCATAGGATTTCTCCCCAGTGTGAAAGGTATGTTTCTTTCCGGCAAGTTTACAAGCAAGTGACTAATTATGGCAGGATACAAAGGGGCTGCTGTTGAGATGTTTTAAACTATGGATACTGTTTAAGTGGAGTGTAATTTCAACATCTGTCTCTGCTGTTGTCTGTGTCTGGGCTTAAAAACAGTGGGCGGGGTGCATAACAGATTGTACTGACTCCTAGGAAAAAGGCTGTTCAGCTGCTCAGGGTGGATTTCCCAACTGTGGACTGACAGTACCATCCGCTCTTTGAGACTGTTTTTCCAACACTGCTTCTCAGTTGTTTGAAAAGCACTTTGCCCATCATTGATTTTCACTAAGTATATTTATTCAAATGTGATTTTTTTTATTCATATAAAGACTTTTAACATTTGCAAATTAAAGGTCACAATCCTGGAGACTTGGTATTTGAAAATTGCGGTGAAAAATAAATTTTAGTTTTATCTAAGGTGGTGGTGGACTCACTGTAGAGTTAGTGTTTCTGTAATTTGAGCTGAAGTCTATGCCATTCATAATTGAATAATCTACGTTTAGGAGGGAAACTTACCACTATGTCTTTTGTTCACGATGGTTAGTTTTAGACATTTGTTTACTCAAACCAAATGTTTGCTTTTAAAGTTTGCATTTTATAAGTAAAATCAGTGTGCATACAGCTTGGATGTTTTCTAATTTGAGTAAATAACTGTAAAGAAAACAAGGAAGAAGATAATTAAATGAAACGGTAAAGTTGATTCATTCGGAATTGCATGTGGTAGTGTCTCTTTGACCTTGTTGGAGCATGAGGAATGTGCTAAATCAGCAATACACAGCAATGAAAAAAATTTCCCTTTTACTCTAACAAAATCAAATCATGGTGGTCTTTGGAAAGATTCAATTGCAAGTGAACAATAGAGAGGAATGAGATTTATTAATTCATTGAAATAATTCAAGTGATTATAATAGCCTGGAGAAAGGGATAGAGAATTTAGGAGGTAAATGGTACATTACTCTGATAGGTTATAAGCTGGGGAATTCCTAATCCATCAAAGTTAAGCAGAAGCAAAACATCTTCAGGCCAAATGAGTCTTCTAGGAATTGTGAGATTAGCAGTACCTACTGTGTGTGGCATTTCTATTGGAATATGTAACCTCTTATAAATGAAAAATCTTTAATTATGTGAAAAGTGATATGTTTAGCAAAAGGAAATAAGGACAGCAAGAAACAAGTACTCTAAACAATAATCTAAAAAGAGAGAAGTAGCAATGGAGCAGCTGCCCCTAAGGAACGCTGTTTAGTTTGTTTGGATGCAGTCCAGTTTTCAATGGGCGAGTTGGAGGTTGAAAGGGTAGTGACCCAGGTGTCCTAAGAATGGAGCACCCCTCAGAGAAAGAATTGCTGCCATGACCAAACTGAGGCTAATTTGGGGGTGAAAATAATTTCTTGTGAGACTTGTGTGTTACTCTTAAACTTTGCTTACTGGTAGGGCCGGAAGGCTAGCAGAACTATTTGCCTCCCATCACCATACTTATGCAACCCACTCACAACTCTTTATAATTCTGGCTTTCAGCCCTGGAAAGGGGAAGTAAGTTAAAAGGGATTATGCAATGCTGGTTTAGAGTTGGGGTGTGTGACTAAGTAATGCAGCTCACTCTGTCCTCTTACATTTGCTCTAATAAATTTTTATTCTGAAATGGAATTCTAGAAGGAAGAACATAAACTGGAGAGCCAAAGAGATATGGGGTAGGGGATGCAGATAGCAGAAATCCTTCCTTCTCTCCCACATAGATGCCAGTATCTGTGGGAGAAAATGAGTGACAACTAGGAACAAAAAGAACTTTTATTTTTGCCCCAGTAGAGAGCACTTAAATTGAGTTTTTGAATCTGCTGAACCACTTTACCCCATAACTTCTCATTACGAAACATTCTATCTCTACAAAGTTGCCCCTTCAGTTTGATATTTTTTGTAATATTTAAGTCAGATTTATAACAAAAGCAGTTTTACATAAGATTTGTTCACATTTTTATTAACAATAAAACTTTTTTCTTTAAATATGTGACATGTATCTTTAAAATATTTGAAAAAAGGCAAAAGAAGATCATGGAGAATATGAGAGTTCACACAATTACACTTGCTTCTATCTCGTTTTAAAATAAAGACCAAAATAATCTGTTTTTTTTCCAGAGAACAACATGGAGAGGGATAGATGGAGAAAGAGAGGAGAAAGGGAAGGAGGGAGGAAAGACAAGAAGAGGAAGGGAGGGAACAAAGGACAGAAGGAAGAAAACAAGAACCAAGTATTTTTCAGGCATTTGCTATGATCCAGAGCAGTGTTTAGGCACTTCTTTTAAGCATTTTTCCCTTTTGCTCACTTAATCTCCAAAACAATTCTATGCCCCCCCCCCACCACTTTATATTTAGAGGTGGAAGCAATATGTTTGGCTGCGTTACATCTAACATTATATTTACGACAAGACTGAGATGCTAAGAAGGCCAAATCCTTCCACAAAAAATTGGCACAGATATTGCTCTATAGAAATGTTCTTGCAAAGGCTTGTTTCTGATCCATAACTATTACATTTCTTGGCACTAGCAATTGCTCTGGGCCTGGAAAGGAAAAGCTCCATACATTGGTCCTTCTCCATATTAAGGGATGAGTTTGGCTCTTTGCAAATAGGTGCAGGATTCGGTCTGCTTCAGGACTGTTACCTGGGTTTAGATATAGTCTTGTTATCAAGAGCAAGACTGATCTAGGGTATTCCTGAATGATCTTCCGGTAGGTTAAAAAGAGAAAGGCCTGGCATCTTTCAACAGTAGCATGGAAGCGATTCAAGAAGAGTTAGGAATAGAAGGAAAAATTGGAGCCATTTGCTACATAATTGTAGAAAAGACTTTATGGTGATTTCTGAACATTTCCAATGTTTAAAGACAGTTGGGATAAAACATGGATTTATCATAGCTCCTCTTTTCCAGGTAGCTTGAAATTAGTCTGCATCCTTTTTTAGTTTCTTTGGTTAAATCTGCATTTATCTCTTATTATCTCAAACCACACCATTCTTCCTAAGAAGTTCCAGTGGCAAATACTTTCTAGTCAGCAAGGTAGTTTCACCACACAGTTAATTACGTATAGTTTTAAAGCAGTCTGCTAGTTTCAAGACAGGCACTGTCTGCATTTCCTATGAAGAATTGTTAGACGAACCTAAAAGATTACTAGGTATTCAAGATCAAGATCAATGGAAATTAGATTAGCCAAAACAAACAAAAACCAAAACTCTGTATGTTCTTTACCATCTTTATTTTATTTGTTCTTCACTGACATTTATTATGGCAAGTACTTGTGGTTACTGGTTTATATGTGGGAAAGATAGCAAAGAAAGGGGTGACAGAGGAGGTGGAGAAATGAGGTCAGAAATTGAGCATGGCCAAATGGATAAAATGAGATATGATAGCACCTTTAATAGCCAGATATGAAATTATGTATTTTTCGTGACTGAATTAATCATAATAGTGCTAGTGCCAAAGACATAGGAAAAAATTATCAAAATATCTTTAGTAAATAGTTTGAGAGTAAAGTAACAATATAGATCCCAAAATTATTAGGGTGTTTTGAAGGTAGAACCCTGCATATATAGCTAACATTTTTCATTTCTTATTCTATTCTAATTCATTGATCGTGACTCAAAAAATACAGATTCAAAACTGTTTACTAGTCAGATATGTATGTTCACAACAGTCTGACAAAAATAAAATTAGTGTTCGATATTTAGCTGATATTTAGGATTTGAAATATGCAGTTATCTTCTGTGAATACAAAATTGGCACTTGCTGCTTGGGTATGTGGCCTTAATTCGGCAGTGCCAGCACCCACAAAGCTATTGACTGTTGGGATCTTTGTCCGTAATTAGCATTAGCTGCCACCAGTAAGTTATAGCATTTTGATAATGGCTTAGTGACTGAAGAGTTAGACATCTTATAGGCATAATTATCTTAAACAGAGATTCAAACATTTTAAACATGCTTTTCTACCCCCTAAAAAGGCACATGACTTATTTAATACAAAATTATTTTTAATTGAAGTCACAATGAAATTTTGTAAAGCAAAAAATAGAAAACTTTCTTAAATTTCTCAAACTACTTTGCATTCAGTATGCCATTTAATCTTTTTAACAGTTCTATGACTATCCCCATTTTAATGCAAAAAACTAAATCCCAGAAATTTTAGACTTATACCAGTTACATAGCTGGTATTTTAAATTCTGACTTCAAACCTTAAGTACACGTCCCTGAAGGCTAGAAAGTTAATTATTTCAGTCACTACTTAATGTAATAGAGGATTCCCTGAAAACTGAGCAAAATGTTTTCTTCAGTTCCCTGTATTCAATATCCTAAGCAGTTTATGGTATATAGCCTATTCAAAGGAAAAGAGAGCATGGATAAATTTTAACGTATATTTCACAGGATAGTTTTGATGCTTCTAGATTTTCCTTGATGAAGTGACATAATGAATATATTTTTTATAATTTAGATTAGTTTCTGGATGATACATCAGTCCTAAGTTGACTACCAACTTTGGGGTCTTCATAAGTAACACAGTAATGACATTTGGCACAGGCTTGATCTCTGAATATAGAATTAAGACTGCAAACCAGCTCTGTTTCAGGAATTTAAGTCATAAGAATATATAATCAGGTTGCATCAGAACAGAAAGAATAATTTTATTGCAGCAGAATCTGTCACAGTGTGTAGATGTGAGCATACATTTGAATTGTATACTTACACTCTTATTCATGAAAAAATCTATTTTTAGAGTAAGTGGTTAAAGGGATGATTACATCTCACATGCGCATTTAATCATCTTGTCCACTATAATTTTGCTGTCTGGTCTCAGAAAGGGAAAAAAACTTTGGACAATACTTATTACTTTATTGACTGTGTTAGTTTCTTCTTCTTAAGTAGACTGTTGTCATCTCTTTTCTTTTGAGTCCAATTTTCCTATAGTTTGTTTATGTCAATGGCTCGACAAAATGATAAAATATATTTCCAGAAAGCACATGGATTTGGAACTCTCTCTTGTTATGTTTATATTAGGCTTTATTTTAAAGGCAAGTGAGACTGCTTCAAATAAAACAACTTCAAGCTTCCAAGAAACAGTTAAGAGGAGGCAGAGAAGAGCAGAAACACTTCTTTGCTGACACTTACACTGTTGCCATGGACCTACATAAGCAGTGGGAGAACACAGAGACTAACTGGCATAAGGAAAAGATGGAATTACTGGACCAGTTTGACAATGAAAGAAAGGAATGGGAAAGTCAATGGAAGATTATGCAGAAGAAAATAGAAGAGGTACACTTTAATTTGTTTTGGATATACTGTAATGTTTAAGTGCAGGATGAAAATTCTGTGGGCTGTTTTGTATTGGAAACTGTTTTTGATTTCCTTATTCGACCTAAGAGGTACATTTCTCAGTGACATTTACTAGAACAAAAATAGCATAATCTTATCCAATGGTATTGTAAGGATTATTTTATATCATTGCATGAAAATTAAGCATTTGAAATGTCACTCTATAATGTTTCAACTTATTATTTTCTGGCTAGAGAGCTTTTTTATCAAAAGTGAGGTATGTATTTTGCATGAATTTTCAAATACCAGGTCCAGGAGTAAAATGCAAGAAAGATATACTTGGTGGGACATAGATTAGCAAAATTATAGTTGGGCATTAGAACATAGATCTTTCCTAAGAAGATTTATGAGTAATGTCTATTAAAGGAAATTACATGTTAGATAATGCAGTATAATCAAAAGGAGTATCATATATCAAACAGAAAATGGCAGTAGACATGAGATTTATTCTATCAAGGTGTGCACATTTAGTGGCATATTTATTGGAAAAGGAGTTATGAAAAATGACATATCACGACTCTGACACAGTCATTTTGTTCCCGTTAACCCTCCCTCAGTCCGTTGACCCTGAAATATTTCCTTCAAGCATTTGCATTGATGTATATTCAAGCTTTTGCACCAATTGGAAATAATTTATGCTTATCTTGCTTTCTTTTGGTAACATCCTTAGTATTGACTTTATATGGTTTTATGCACATTACCAAAGTTGTTATTTTAAGACTTCTTGGCCTTTTTTGCAGGCAAAGTAAGTGCTTTATGTGTTTATAGTACAGTCATGTTTCTTATTAACAGCCATGTAATTGACTGTGAATAAAATATGAATTGGCATAGTAGGAAGAAAGCTGAAGAAAAGTAACTATTAAGCCCTTCCTCTAAAATAGAGCTGAGAAGGCAGGCATGTGGTGTATGATTAGGGATTAAAGGAGAATATATACTTCTTGTCCCTCTATAGTTTAGAAAATGTGTCCTGCTTGCTCCTTTAACCCCTCTACCCATACTCGGATTGGATCAACAAAGAGATTCCCTGGTCAAATCAGAATCCAAAACTCCAGCGCAATCAGAAACTGACCTGTAGTCCTAGGTCATTGCCTTCCAAATGTTTGGGAAGTTCAGTTCATAACAGTCTCAGACAATTCTAGCATCCAAGCAAAATAACTAAGGGATGCAGGATTAGTCTAGCCAATTTTTTAAAGCCATGTAGTTAAAAGAAGCTGCTGTCTGATTAAATTTATTACTGTCCAATAATTATTCTGACAATTCTATAGAGTTCATCTATGGTAAATATTAGCTTTATCAATTAGCAGGCATGAAATATGCTTTAAACATCAAATTATACCTCATAGAGATAACATCCCTTTCTGTATCAGAGAGACAAACGGGCTGTCATATTTTTTTATCTTGGAGAGTAGCTGTACTGCTGTTTATGTTTTGCTGCCTGTGCTATACAGCTCCATAACTAAACTAAAATTAAGAAATCAACACTTGGAAAAATAATCTCATGCCACAAGCATAAAAGATTGTATTTGTTTAACATTTATCACAAAGTTCTGTATGTTAAATCAGATGTAAATTATTAAGCCATGTACTAGAGAACTGTAGATTCCCAGGTATGCACATATATCTTCAGTGACTTTAAGTGATAATATCTAATGAGAGGATGCAGTGTTGGCTATTAAGATGCTCGTAGTTCCCTGTTCAGCCACTATCCACAGTCATTGCATTTGCTATGGCAAAACCAAGATGTTCATACTTGGATCATTTGAAATTTGAAATAATCCAGATAGAAATTCTGGATAGAACTTATAGACGTCTGGGGTTTTGTTTTGTTTTTTTCCACACTGTAGTCTCCTGCCTGTATCCTTTGGTAGAATAATCAGATAACCATTGACAAGGGCTGAGTACCAAGTAACATAGTACCTTTGTACAAAATAGTTTTCCATCAATAACATTGTTATTTGTTGATTCATACCTCACCTAAATCAAGAAAATTTAAGATGGCATAAAATTAGGTATGATATAAAATATGCAAAAACAAAAATGGAAAGATGAGCTGAAGACAGGAGGAAGGATCATATATGAAATGTACCAGTGAGTCTTTCTAGTAACTAACAAAAATTATCAGGTGCATATACCTTCAAATTCAAATGATAAGGCAAACTTATTTCCCAGGAATAGCACATTTTTCCCGGTTTTGCAACTAAAGCAATTTTGTTTTCACTCATGACTTCGCAAAAACAGGACAGTGTCACCAAGAGCATCCTTAGATTTAACATGTCACTTTTTAGGGTTCCTTCTTATATCCCTCAAGGTCAGCTCAAACCATAATGCCCGCAGAAGTTCAGTACAAATAATTTGGCAGGGACCAAACAATCAATTCATGGCTGCAGTTTGATGCTATCCTGACTTCATACAATAAATACTAATACATTTGTAAGCATTAGAAAAATAAATACACTGTATATTTTTCAGGCATCAACTCTAGTGCTTCTCTCAACTGAGTTATCGGTATGTATTAAGCAGCAATAAATCTATTATATTACTTGAATAATACATGTAGTGTAGATATTGATTGCGGCTGTTAAACATAGAGTCATTTGCTTTGATAGTCATCTGACAGTCTCTTTTGAAGTTTGACAAGCTTTTACATGACCCAAGCCTAAAGAGAAAGCCATTTCTTTCCTCTATTCAGAAGTGAACTGAATGAGTGTGTGCAGGTTCAACTAAGATCTCATAAAGAAGTAATCTGGATTCTACCTTAATACAGACTAATAGATGATCAAAGCCTTGCAGTTCTATTATATCACGTAGGGTATTGTCATATTTGTTTTAATCTGGATGAGAAATATTTTAAAAATGTGTATCACTTTGAGATTTTTTAAAAATCTCAGTAATATCTAGCCCTCACAATGTAATTGACCAACCAAAGGAAACATCTTTTGACTGACAAGTGACTGTTTAGGGAACAAGAATAAGTTGACTTACTATCTGAGATTGTCAAGCATTTAGACAGTTAAATGTTAGTGTACAAGTAGGACCAGACATTTGAAAACTATGACTTTAATGTTAAATTCTTGCATCTCTCTGAAAGCAATTATATAATATGGCCAGTAATTGATTCAGGTCATTCTAATTTTGTGACAGTGTTTCTGTATTTATATACAGATACAGATTTATTTTATTTTTGAATGATTGATTGCTAGTCAAAAGAATTAGCATCCATGTGTTGCCCTACTAAAAGTAGCCTTTATGTTTCATCAAACTTGTTCCAGCTAATCCATATTTTAGAGGCACTATTTGGAGGCCGAAGCATTAATACCCAGGAAGTATATTTTAATATGGCAAAGAGAACTCAAAGCGGTTTGCTTAGTATCAAGAATATTAGCAAAGTGAATTAGGGGAAAAGAAGTTTTAATTTTGTTTTGTTTTTCTTACAGCTTTGCCGGGAAGTAAAGCTTTGGAGGAAAATCAATATCAATGAAAGTGCTAAGATCATTGATCTTTACCATGAGAAGACCATTCCAGAGAAAGTGATAGAATCTTCCCCAAATTACCCCGATTTAGGACAAAGTGAATTTATAAGGACGAATCACAAAGATGGTCTGAGAAAAGAAAATAAAAGAGAGCAGAGCTTAGTCAGTGGAGGAAATCAAATGTGTAAGGAACAAAAAGCAACAAAAAAATCAAAAGTAGGGTTTTTGGATCCTTTGGCTACAGACAACCAAAAGGAATGTGAGGCCTGGCCTGACCTGAGGACTTCTGAGGAAGACAGCAAGAGCTGTTCTGGCGCCCTCAGTACAGTAAGTAAGATGTGATTGGCCTAGAACTGTTTCTAAAGAAATATTTACATTTCAAAGTGCTAACGGGCTGTTGCTTATATGTGTAAAGGCTCTTGAAGAACTTGCGAAGGTGAGTGAAGAATTATGCAGCTTTCAAGAGGAAATTCGAAAGCGGTCTAACCATAGAAGGTAGGCTGGTACATCTGATTATTTTAGATGGGTAAATAAAAAATAATATTGTTTTTAGTTAATGACTCCAAACTGCCTCCTCCTTACATGTAAGAACTAATGAGTTATTAAAATGTACTATCTAGGGTGGGAGATAGAAACTTTAATTTTTTGTTTGCTCGTTTGTTTTTGAGATGTTATCTTGCTCTGTCTCCAAGGCTGGAAAGCAGTGGCATGATCTTGGCTCACTGCAGCCTCTGCCTCCCAGGTTCAAGCGATTCTCCTACCTCAGTCTCCCAAGTAGCTGGGACTACAGGCACACACCACCACGCCCAGCTAGTTTTTTTGTATTTTTAGTAGAGACGGGATTTCACCATGTTGGCCAGCATGGTCTCGAACTCCTGACCTCAAATAATCCCCCTGCCTCAGCCTCCCAAAGTGCTGGGATTACAGGCGTGAGCCACCACGCCAGGCCAGAAACTGTAATTGTATATTTCTCTGTTCACTAATTCTTAAAGCAAATCTTCCAATTCTCTTTGTAATCTATTAGTAATACTTTACTCTTTTTCGTGTCTAATTAAGGTAGACCCTCCATAAAAAATCAGTAAGTAACCTCTAAAGTAGTTCTTTCTCATTCTGAGCATTTGGACAATGAAAGTGTACAACTGGGCTAATTCAGTTAAACGTATCATTAAACGATGTCAGAATTAACAGTGTGGCGTTTTGCTTATATAATCATGTTCTACTAAAATATTTAATGCTTAAGAGCACTTTATTTTGCTTCAATTCGTGTTTATGTAATGGAGGCCTACATACTTTTCAGAACAACATATTGTAAATATGTACACATGTACGCGTGCCACAAAAAATGCTGTTTCCATTTGGAAACAGTATATACTTAATAACAGTAAGTTTTAGCCAAATTAACAAATATATTGGAATTCTCTACAAGTTTAGTAAAGATGGATTATTCTAGGATCAACATTTATCTCTCCTCGTGGGTCAGTAGGCTTCCTACATTCCCTTATTTTTCATTAGTTGTTAGGAAGCTCAGAAAGAATTTTTGTGCTGACTTGCAATAGATTTTCTTAGCCAATCATGTTTTAAACATAACTTTGTCCTCTATTTGCCTATTTAGCTTTTCTATTCTCTGTTAATAGGTATTTATCCACATTTTATTGTAAGCTATCCCATAATCTTTTATAATTTGAAGAGGTATAAATATGATTTATATTTATCAGTGTGATTAAGTTTGAATTGCGATATTTAGTTTTTTATTTAATATAACTCAGAAAAGACTTACTTGCCAATTTTCTTTTACAAATCACACCTAATATAATGTTCTTATTGTCACCCCATGGACTTTAGAACAAGGTTCAAGATATTTGTAATTCAAAGACATTACAATTTGACATAACCTAATGTTTCTCTCTCATTTTTCATTATCCTCCCCACTCTGCTTTATAATTAATCCATATCAAAGTACTCATTTTCCTTCGAGTAGCCATAGTATTTAATCCTTTTGCCTTTTACTTCAATCCTATATGCCTTTTACTCAAGTCATCCAAAAAATTTTTACTTTTTTTCAAGACCAAATGACACTTTCCATTTGGAATTACTCATATCTCATTGCACTTTTATTCAGATTTGTATCTGACTACTTAAAATGTTATTTCAAATTCAAGGAGAAGAACTTGAGCTCACATTACATAATGAATAAGAATTCAGCAGGCAGAGAGAAGGTAAGGGAATGGCAAGATAAAAGCTACAGAGAGAGAAATGCCAGTAGCAGAAACCCAGGAGACTACATAGTTTAATCTGAGGGTAGGTGAAGTCTCAGGTAATAGTGAAAATGAGAGACAAGTTTGGAAAGAGTTTGAGTCAGAGTGTGTAGAGCATTGAATATAACACTGAGAGGTAGACTTCATTCCACCATAAAAGGACTTGAAGTTTTTGACTGGGAGATTTATGTAAAAATGATGTATGAGGCAGTTGTGAATCCTTTTCTTATAGCAGAAACTCATTGCTTTAGCTATGTTTGCTTTTGAGAGCTTATTCTAAATAAAGTTATAACCAATACACCATGTTTTATCATTGTTTAGGATGAAGTCAGATTCTTTTCTCCAGGAAATGCCAAATGTAACTAATATACCTCATGGGGACCCCATGATCAACAATGACCAGTGCATTCTTCCAATCAGTTTAGAAAAAGAAAAACAGAAAAACAGGAAGAATCTGAGCTGTACCAATGTGCTCCAGAGCAATTCTACGAAAAAATGTGGAATTGATACAATCGATTTAAAAAGAAATGAAACTCCACCAGTTCCTCCTCCAAGAAGCACCTCTCGAAATTTTCCCAGCTCGGATTCTGAACAAGCCTATGAAAGATGGAAGGAAAGGTTAGACCACAACAGCTGGGTGCCCCATGAGGGTCGAAGTAAAAGGAATTACAACCCTCACTTCCCTTTGAGACAACAAGAGATGTCTATGTTGTATCCAAATGAAGGGAAAACTTCGAAAGATGGTATCATCTTTTCCTCTTTGGTACCAGAAGTCAAAATAGATAGCAAGCCTCCAAGTAATGAAGATGTTGGACTTAGCATGTGGTCATGTGACATTGGGATAGGTGCAAAAAGGAGCCCCTCTACTTCGTGGTTTCAGAAAACCTGCTCTACCCCCAGTAATCCAAAATATGAAATGGTGATCCCAGATCACCCTGCTAAATCTCATCCTGATCTTCATGTAAGTAATGACTGTAGCTCCTCAGTAGCAGAGAGCAGTAGCCCACTTAGAAATTTCAGTTGTGGCTTTGAAAGGACTACAAGGAATGAGAAGCTGGCAGCAAAGACTGATGAATTTAACAGAACTGTATTTAGAACAGATAGAAATTGTCAGGCAATACAGCAAAATCACAGCTGCTCAAAATCATCGGAGGATCTCAAGCCCTGTGATACCTCATCTACTCACACAGGTAGCATATCACAAAGTAACGATGTGTCCGGTATTTGGAAAACCAATGCCCACATGCCTGTGCCCATGGAAAATGTGCCTGATAATCCCACCAAGAAATCCACAACAGGCCTAGTAAGACAAATGCAGGGACACCTAAGTCCTCGCAGTTATCGAAATATGCTCCACGAGCATGACTGGAGACCGAGTAATTTGTCTGGCCGTCCGAGGTCAGCTGATCCCAGGTCAAATTATGGTGTTGTGGAAAAGCTGCTGAAAACCTATGAGACAGCAACAGAGTCTGCATTGCAAAATTCTAAGTGCTTCCAGGATAATTGGACCAAATGTAATTCTGATGTCAGTGGTGGTGCCACATTAAGTCAGCATTTAGAAATGCTCCAAATGGAACAACAGTTTCAGCAAAAGACAGCTGTGTGGGGGGGACAGGAAGTGAAGCAAGGAATAGATCCGAAAAAGATAACAGAGGTGAGAAAGCAAATATAACATAATTTGGTAGCATCCATATTAGCAATGGCTCTGAATCATGTTTATATGTCCAATTCATATAAATAGAATGAGGGCACAAGTTTTGGACTCTTCTTAGCCTCTTGACCCTGTTTGTAAATAAATATAACTCAACATGAACCTTGAAGGTGTAGTTTTTAACACTGAGAATAGTACATTGTAACTTTTGAAAAATTCTGAAATGGGATAACATAAATACAGTAAGTGGATTTAGGAACCTGAAGAAGATCAAATGTTTGCTCTTTCTTGAAAAAATACTCAGAATGGACATTACTCAATTTATAGAATTTCATTATTTTAAAGGTTCTTTTTTAAGTGTATGGAAAATATTTTTAAAATCGTTTTCATTTTTCAGTTATTAACTATGATTGGTTCAGTCATTCTCAGCATTTGACTCATGTTCTTTCTCATAGGATTAATCACATTAATATGAATATGGGAAATACACATCATTTAAAACAGTGCCTAATAGAGTCCTTTTATCTGTGGAACTAAAAGATAGTATATATAAATAAGGTTATTCTTATTTGTATGTATTCTTAGCATAGAAATTGACCAAAAAAACCCCACTCAAATGGACATTTTAAGTAAACTGTTATCTTTTTTTGTTCCTGTCTATTTATGAAAGAGTTTAATCTTCATTAGTTATAAGAGAAAAAGAGGTCAAAGAAATTGGTATTTACAAAGAAGAGTTATACAACACTCTCTTTTACTCATATAATTTTTAAGAAGCTAACAAAAATTACAAGGTGACATATTGTTGTTATTAACCAATACTTCAGAACTCCTAGTTTCATAGAATGCAGTGAGTACGCAGCATGGTTTTAAACTATTATGCAAGTTGCTTCCTTCTGGTGTAAAAAACTACTATGTGGATTTCAAACCCTGCAAAAATATCAGTTTTCATCCATCTTATGAGAAATCTTGCCTGTTTTTATAAGGTGCAGAAAGTATCCTGCTTTTGTATTTCTCTGCTTTTTAATTGAGCCCATCAATGCCCACAAGGTCCTATAGCTAAAGATGGGAAATAGATATATCTGTACAATAACCAAACAAAATTCTTGTTAACTAACAAGAAATAATACTGAGTGATTTCCCTTTTTGCATTCATTGGGAGTTTGGCAGGGAGGTTCTCTACTATAGATCCTCAGGAGCAGTTTTTGTTTTTGTTTTTTGTTCTTCCTCCTGTGGGAACAAATCTAGAAAATAAGTCTCCAAAAAGAAAAAGAAACTGCAGTTTACTGTCAGACCATGGCTAAAATAGTAGAAATAGGAGGCCATCCTCACTGCCTAGCTCAGATGAAAGAGCACAGGCTTTGTGGGGTCTAAGAAGGGTCAATAAGAACCAAGTGTATAAAGTGTGTCATGGAAGCTTTGTACTTTTGTTTTAATTTTAAGGACCAAGGAATGCTTTTTTTCCATTAAAATAAAAGGAAAGAAGGAAGAAAATAAAAGAAAGAGAAGAAAAGTGAAGGAAAAGGTTTTCTCTCATCAGAACATGCCCAAGAGATAGCAATTTTGTATTAGTAATTAGAATGAAGATGTATTTAAAAGTATTTTAATGATAATTTTAAGGTTTTGATAGATAGTGCCAGTGATAGTGAAAAAAAAAAGCATCAGATTAATCATTTGGTTTGTGTGCCTTTTGCGTATCACCTCTAAAAGTGTCAATGAATTTGACATAAATGAACAGTTTCTTCTATAAATTATCTTTTTATTTTTAAATAACACTGTAACATACTAACAGCGCACTAAGAAACATCTGTATTTCCATGATATTCAAGTTATTTAACTTGAAATTTTAAATCCTGAGCTCATCATTAGTTCTACAGAGAGATTAACTGTATTAAAATTTGTCAGTGTAAGGAAAGGTACAAAATTATCAAATATCATATTCCATATTAAAATTGAATTGCTTTAAAACATTCAAAACCACAAATATTAGACAACTACCTTCTTTAGTTTTCAATGCTTTTTCTTTCTTGTAAATTTACTAACGGACTAATCTTATAGTTGAGACCCATCATATATTAAGCCTATTGTTGGTACCCAGAGAGTGAGAGGAATGTTTTTACTTGTGTCCTAGGAATCCATGTCAGTGAACGCCTCACATGGAAAAGGATTTTCCCGACCTGCTAGACCAGCAAATCGTCGTCTCCCCTCCAGATGGGCATCCAGATCTCCATCTGCACCCCCTGCCTTGCGGAGAACTACCCACAACTATACCATTTCTCTGCGATCCGAAGCATTGATGGTTTAAGTCTTTGGCCTGGATTGCTATATTACAGAAGTTCTAGTCCCACTTGTCAAACAGAGCATTCTGAGTGTTTACAGGCGGACCTGTTCTCTTCCGACAAGCAATTTGAATCTTAACTTTCCATCAGTCTTCAGTGTTTTTAATCTAAGGAATAATTATCTTCCTGCATTTTGATTTCTTAGATCAGAATTTTTTAATGCCATCCTCATTAGTTTTCCAATACAATATAAGTTGAAACAATGTACAATATTGTATATTCTTTGTTGCAAGTGGCAGAAAGTAAGGTTATGTGCATGGCCATGTGTTTGTAGGTGCATGTGTTGAAATAGGAAGTATCCTAGTATGTATTTAGATATGAAAAACTTATGTGCTAGTGTTGACTTTGAAATTATAACATGTATACCTATATATTCTTTGTGTTTATTTAAAAGTTTTGAAAATATGCAGTACTGTTTATATTTTGTATACCTTTTAATAGGTATCCACTTAAGGCATTTGCAGTACAAATATTAATTGACCACTTCCTTGGCCCCCAGCTACAATGAAAAAGAAGAATTATGCACACATCTAACATTGGTAGATTTCTAAAGACAACTCATAAATAATTTCTTAACCCATATAAGGATAAAATAATACCATTGATATTCTTGTTTATTCTTTTTAAATAAAAATGTCACAAGTTTAATAGATCAGCCTTGTAAAGCAAGCATAAAATGTTCATAAATGTTTTATATATTATTTGGTAGTCTAGTATGGCTTTAACTGAATATTTGATCCTCAGAGACAGTATCATGAGACTGCATTATAAATGACATGATTAAATGATGAATTTATTTTGTCAGCCTCAGCAACAAACATTTCCTAAATGGGATGCAAAAAGAAACTGAATGATGTTGAATTTTAGTTTTTCTTTAAGTTGTGGTAAGCTTTTAGTTTAGCTGCTTTAACATGGAGTCATACATACTTAGAGGTAAGTCATTTATTATTTTTTTCCTTTTTCTAATCTTTTCCTTAAAATTAATAGATAACAAACTAAGTTACTTTTTTACTAACAAGGAAGATCAGGAATAATATTTCTTTGAAAGCTGAAATTATACTTCTCACAGTTTGCTACCGAAAAAAGGCTTAAACTAAACCTTGACATCCACAGTAGCATCAGGAATAGAAATGTGTATTTTGGCTACAGTTTGCATACAGTGAACACATAAAATCTATATTGAAAACTGACAGAAATATGAATGTCGAGGGGCTTGGAATTCTAAATGGAAGATTTTAGAAGGAACTTTGCTCTCTACTGTCACTATATAAAACCAATTATGTTATGTTATTAGATATTAACTCTATTTAAGCTTTTCTTTTACTAAGAAATTCTTATGCCAAATGTATTCCAAGAGCCATCTCCTTATGATGTATTTGAACCATTTAGAGAAATTCACTTCATTGTACCCCATGACCTGAGGTAAAGAAAATAATTTTCAAATTGCAGACTTCCTTGAAAGGCTCAAGACTGTAGCATGGTGATGTCTAGATTCATACTTTACTGTAAGGACAGTTTCGGTAGTTAAGTGGAATTAAAGGTCTAGAGTGATTTGTATTGGATGGTAACTAAGGTCTATACATCTACTCTTTTAATTCTTATTTCCTTCAGGAAGATCCTTTTCCACAGGAAGCTATCAAAGAAAAGTAAACTAGACACCAAGTAATATCACTCTCATAATATGCTTTCCAGCTAGAGGGGAGAAAACACCAGGAAAGAGGAACCCTGGGTCATAAAATGACGGACCTGTTAGGAAAATGCTGTTGTGTGACAATGGAGAGCCTGCCCAAGGACTGTGCAACCTATCTGTTCCTCTCCACCAGTGTATCCCAAGTAGTCTGGTATGATCTGTGGTTCCTTAGAATATTGAGGATCTCTTTAAAAAATGAAATTTCTGATCTCACCCCATATTACTAAAGCAAAATTTCCAGGGGTAGGGACTGGGACTCCAGAACCATTAATAAAACAAAACAAAACAAAGCAAAATATTGATGATCAGGCAGATTTGAAAACAGTGACATTGCTTGATCTCTGAATGGATGGATGCCCTTGGGTGGTCACTTTTCTTCCTAGGACTTGCCTTTGTTATCTGTAAATTAGAATGGCTATACTTTCAGACTTCACAATTTTAAGCCACTTTTTTCTATTAACAGTTGAATGAACCAGTGGGACACATTTTAACGTCTTCTTATGTTGACTAAAATTATAGTTAGAGCTGAGAAAAAAAAAATAGCATCTAGTCCAACTCCTTGATTGTAAAACTGAAAAACTAAGGTTATTTGAATGTTCTGTTTTCTCTTTTTAAATATTTTATAACTTTTAAATGGAAAAACCTATTAGGTAAATGGAAATAATCCTTGAAAATAGTTTTTGATGTTTTGTGATTTTTAACTGGTAAATTTCTACTTTAGGTGGGCATTTTCTTCCCTAGAATATGCCCTTTATTATGCTATCATTGCTAGATTTAAAGGGACTTGTAAGCATTTCTGGAAATATTTGATTTAAAAACATATATTAATAGATGTTTTCCCTAGCAGACTTTTGGAGCAAAAATATTATTTTAGTTCAGCAGAGGATTACTGATATTATGGGCTGATCTCAGAAAGGAATAAGGATGAGGCAGAGAGGAGTACTTGAGTTTGTGTGTGTGTGTGTGTGTGTGTGTTTGTGTCAGTGTCACATAAGTTCTCCATATTGCCTTATGTCCCAAAGCCAAATATAAAAATATAAATGATGCTTTGTATAATTCATTTTATCAAAAATTACCCATAACTTTCATTTGTTTTTATATCGACAATGAAGATGATCATATTTCATTTTGCAGATGTGGCCATAAAATATTATTTACTTCTATATAGGTGATTTTACCAGGTTTAGTTATCCTGAGAAAACATCTGGACTTAAGAGTTTCTGCTTCCCTACAAAGATCTTTAAAGTTATTTTTAGGCACATTTGTGACAAACAACTACTTGATATTGAAATCTCCTTCAGCCATTAGAAGCTATCAAATAAAGTAGGTGTAAAAACAACTGTCTGTGGCATTTGTATACATCGAGAACATTTTTCTTTCCCTCATTTTCTGCAGTGAACTCCAGTAAAGCTAAGTGTCTTATGAAATCTAAACTCATATATGTACACAGTTCACTCTAGCTTCTTCCAAAATATCTCTAGGTAGTACAACTGAAGCCAAACCTGCCTGACTTCCTGCTCCTGGCCACCCAAAACTCCATATGGCTTCTCGTACACTGACATCCTCTCTCTACCCATTTAACTGCTAATTGAGTCTGATAAAAGTCTTCTTTGAAAAAAGTTTTTACTTCTAAGATTTGCATTTACATCATAAAATTAAACCATTTTCAGGAAAATCAGATTTTTTTATTACAGTACTATTTGCTTTAAATTCGGCATGTTTTTCTTAAGTAGCAAGTACATGTATCGGAACTTAGAACTGGTGGGCGCGGTGGCTCTTGCCTGTAATCCCAGCACTTTGGGAGGCCAAGGTGGGGGGATCACGAGGTCAGGAGATGGAGACCATCCTGGTTTCATCACGGTGAAACCCCCTCTCTGCTAAAAATACAAAAAATTAGCCAGGCATTGTGGTGGTCACCTGTAGTCCCAGCTGCTCGGGAGGCTGAGGCAGGAGAATGGCATGAACCCGGGAGGCAGAGCTTGCAGTGAGCAGAGATCGCGCCACTGCACTCCAGCCTGGGTGACAGAGTGAGACTCTGTCTCAAAAAAAAAAAAAAAAAAGAACTTATAACTATGACTTGTTCATCTCACCCTGAAAATATGTTCCTACAAGAAAATGTGCTTTGCAAAGCAAAAAAGGCAAAAATTGGGGATGAGTTCTTCAGACAAGTACCAAAAATGATTTCTCGTCATTTTTATTGTATGCATATTCATCATAGAAAATAATTTTTTGTTTTATTGGGAATAAAATCATGATACTTAAAATCTGATACACATTTCAATGATAGTATTAATCCAATAGGTTAAATTAACAAATTCTTAGGAAAAAAATCTGTTTATATGAAGCTATGGAGAAATCTAGAAAGTAGGTAACGGTTTAGATTTTGAGGGACCTATGAACTCAGAACAAGTTCATTTAGAGGTGGGAAACCTGAGATTCAAAGAGGTCTGCATGGCTGCCAAGATTGCAGGGACAGAATCCAAGCCTGGGCTCACTCATGATCTGCTCTCCTGTATAAATGTCCCATGTGCATCTATGACCTTATTGTTTGCAAAGCAAATTCATATTCCACGACTTGTCTGCTTCTTACAACAAACTACAAGGCAGGCATTGTGATTTCTAAGTAAGAAGGAAAAATTAAGTAGTCAAGATAATATTTAGAATAAATATTTTTGAAGATGATAGTTAAATAGATGGCTCTTCAGACTCCTAGCTCAGGCTATTTTTCCAGCCTTCTTTTCCCAAGGAAGAGAAGACAAAAAAAAAAAAAGATTGAACAGCTCTTTTTCATTTTTGTTTTGTTCATTTTATACATGACACAAATTGTTTATCTTGCTCTCATTGGGAGTTTCTGTTGATTCCCTCTTTCAATGATCATCAAAAGTCATCACCCCTGACTTAAATGGTTTTATGAAATTCAAGAAGTTGTGAACAAGGCTTTAACAAAATATTTCCACTTTTAATGCCTATGCTCTGATTTTATATAAATTTTGTATGTAGGACATGATGTTGAAGTAAAACCAATAAATAGCCAATCAGTATTCATCTCTAGCGTCAACTGAATCCTGACCTCAATCTTCAAAAGAATCAGAATAGTTTCACACTTCATAAGTTACATATACTCCAGAATAAATAAAAGCAGTTTGCTTGAAGTATTATCTTGGCTCATTTGTGCTGCTATAACAAAACACACTTGAGACTGGGTTATTTATAAAGAACAGAAATTTATTTCTCTACAGTTCTGGAGGCTGGGAAGTCCAAGATCAAGCTGCAAGCAGATTCGGTGTCTGGTGAGGGCTGCTGTGTGCTTTCAAGGTGGTGCCTTATTGCTGTGTCTTTATATGGCAGAAGGGGCCAACAATGGAGAAACAGCAGAATAGCAAGAAGCAGCTGAATGCTATGTGATGCTTCTTTTATAAGGGCCTTAAATCCCATTCATGAAAGAGAAGCCTTCATAATCCAATCACCTCCTAAAGGCCCTACCTCTTAATATTGAAGATTAAGTTTCAACATGAATTTTGGAGGTACGTATTCAAACCATAGCAAGCATACAGTAATTTCCAATATAAACCTCACTCAAAATTACAGTCACATGCTGCACAAACCAGTTCAATGCACATATATGATGATAAGATTATAATACAATATTTTTGCTATACTTTTTCTATGTTTACATATACAGATATCATTGTGTTACAATTGCCTTTAGTATTCAGTACAGTAACATGCTGTACAGGTTTGTAGCCTAGGAGCAATAGATCATACTTTCAAGCCTACCATCTAGATTTATATAATTACACTCTGTGATGTTCGCTCAGTGATGAAATCACCTGAGAACACGTTTCTCAGATCATATCCCTGTTGTTAAGCAATGTGACTGCAATTGTGCTCTGCTGCCAGTTTATTTTTGAAGCTTTATTTTTCAATTACTTACTCATGGCAATTTTATAAGAATCATTAAACAAATTTAATCCAGCTATTTGGGATCTGCAGATTTTTTCTTACATAATGCTGACCAGTCTCAACACCAAATTGTCTAACCTGAATTATATATTTGTTTATTTGAATATTTTCTTAAAATTTTCTGTTTAAAATTAACCCAGTAAAGGGTTTTTTGAGTTAATGATATCTGTAGTAAAATAGTTCATTTGCAATGAAAGCCAGAGAAGCACCCACAATATTCTTTAGAGGAAGCTACATGTAGGAGTAATAGGGGGCAAAAGTCTCCATCTGTGAAAACTCAGGAGGTAAATGATTGGGAATAAAGATTCTTCCTAGAAAAGCAGAGGTAAGGAGAGAGATACTGAGACCTGGCATGCCACCTAGTTAAAGATGGTGGCCATGTAGCCCACAGAGCCAGAGCTAAGTGAATTTATGAGGTATTCTACTTAGCAAAAGCAAGCATCTAGGCTTTCCAGACAGATCCAGGGGCTGGGAAAAGCACTACATCGAGGACTCCAGGGTGGACAGTGCTCACAGGTCAGATAGGCAGTCCATCCTCAAGGAGATCTCTTCCTAAAACAGCAGAGACCTGACTCTGGGCCAGGGTAGAATAAAGTGTCCAGGGGGGAAAAAAAAGTTGGCAAATGCAAGATCTGAGATCAAGAATCCCAGTCCTGGGGACCAGCATGTAGGAAAGTTAAGAGATACAGCCTGAGGTAGGGAGGCAGGCCCATTGGAAATAGGAATTGAGAGGTCTTTACCAGCACATCACATCTTTACTAAAGTTGGAACCTAAAAAGACTACAGTGGCAAATGAGGACCCATTTGCAGGCAACTAGGACAGTAATCACCACTAAGCTGAAATAAATGGAGGCTCCATGCAGCTTGAGCCCTCATCTGGGATATTTTCAGAAAAAAAAAAATTATAGGAAACCATCAGAAGACCTCACTGTGAGAAACTGAAAAAGACACAAAGATGATGAGGTGCGGACTGAGCCTCTCTTTTCTCTCCACTTTCCATTTATTGTCATTTTCTTGTGACTCTATCCCTAGAACCTAAAACTTTACCTGTTAATGTAATAAATAAAATAAACCATCTATACTTTCATATAATTGACAATAAGAACAGAAATTAGGAAATATATTTTTCTTCAATTAAAATCAAAAATAGGCACATAATTAAAGAGTAGGACCATTTTTATAACTTATAAAATTACTTAAAATTGTCTATATAAATATGAAGTAGATGAGCATAGGGAACACCTGTACTGCATTGGTAAGAATAAATACAGTCTCATGGAGAAAGAAATGCCACGTGAGTATAAGCAAAGGCAGTGAAACTGAATGGACCAGTCCTGAGCTCCATCTACGGTGGGGTGATGGGCTGCATGGAGCGCAGGAAAAGGGACCCCAAGAGCAAGAATATCCAGTGTTGACCCACTACTGTCCAGTGAGAAAGGCCAGGCTCCGAGAACAGAAACTTTCTGCCACAGGGCTACTTCCTTCTGTTGTGGGAACAGGAGATGCCTCCAGATGGATCTGTGCCAGACAGATATCCCTGGAGGTCACCCAATTCTATCAACTGACTTCTTTCACACTCATCCTAAGAGCCTTCTGATTCTCAGATTAACTACCTAGGTCCTTAGAGAAATTAAAGAGCATCTAAATCAGTGTTTCTTGACTGTTTCCAGTAAGTTTTCTCTAATTGGAGAGAAAAGAAATAGTCCTTCAAAGGTCCCTGACAGTATCTAAAGAAGCCCATTGTTAAGAGAAAATTCTTTAACTTTGAAGGGTTTTAACTTGAAAATGTTTATAAACAAACCAGGATTCTATCTGCTTCATTCACTGATTATGCCAAGCACTTAGAAAAATGCCAGCAGAGATTACGTTGAATAAATTAAGATTTCAGCCGGGCACGGTGGCTCACGCCTGTAATCTGAGCACTTTGGAAGGCAGAGGCGGACGGATCAGTTGAGGTCGGGAGTTCGGGACCAGCCTGGCCACAATGGAGAAACCCTGTCTCTACTAAAAATACAAAAATTAGTCAAGTGTGGTGGCACACACCTGTAATCCCAGCTACTCGGAAGGTTGAGGCATGAGAATCACTTGAACCCAGGAGATGGAGGTTGCTGTGAGCCGAGATCACGCCACTGCACTCCAGCCTGGGAGGCAGAATGAAACTGTGTCTCAAAAAACAAAAAAAGAATTAACAAGATTTTTTTTTTAACTTTTGTTTGCATGTATTTTATTTTATTATTCTCACACCATAAGTTTTTGTTTCTTCAGTTTCTTCTGGGATCTCTTTTTCTCCGGTGGATCCACCTCTTCCGGTTTAGGAACAATCTGTTTCTTTTGTGTAAGGATTATCTCAGTGTGGCAGGGGAGTTAAGGTATGGATTTAATCAGACCATGAGCTCTGTAAGTCCAGCGGCGCATCCTGAGTGCTTTGTTCACCTGGATATGCTCGATGACCAGAGAATCTCTGTCTACAACCTTAAGTTCACTCAGCATAATTCTGCATTTTTAAGCACATGCAGCAAAAATTCAGCACTCTTTTTGGACCACTGACCCTGTGTCCAACCCCACTGTTTGTCCTGGACACACTTATCAACTCCACCCTTGTAACATTAGAATAGTGAACACTGTTTCTATAAAGTGACATATTTAGTGGCTTTTTGTATGTGCATACCCTTGATGGCCTGGGCAGACTCACGAGTGTTCTTAAAATGAACACAAAGATTTGAACCTGTTGGTTGGCATGATTTTGTGGAGTTTTCTGGGTCAAGTGAATAGCAAACCGTTTTCATAGATCACCTCAGGCTGCTTAGGAGAACAGTGAATTCATTAAATTTGTAAATATTTTAATTACTTGTTATCAGCAAAAAAAAAAAAAGTTTTTCTTCTCTGACTCCTCGTTTAGTCACAGCTGGATTAAGAGTGCAGACTTTTTGCTGCACATGCCTAATTTTTGCTGCACTAAATTTACTTATTTCAAAAACTTGAGCTGACCTGAATATATATGGTACAGTAATTTCTGTTCTGGTGTCAGCATATTTTGAGAATCTGAATCCACTGAAAAATGTGCATACAAATTGAACTGTTTTCTTGTTGTTTTGAAAATTTTATAATACAATCACTAAGACAAGATGACCAGAATACTACTAAAGAGATAGCATACTGTAATATTTCAGATGACCGCTGGTAGAAATTCTCTTATTTAACAGAATTAAAGAAGAATTAAAGATTTTAATCCTGTTAAATAAATATTTAAGAGGCTTAAAATTAATTTTATTATTAATTAAATTAATAACAAAAGGTCAAAGGACTTGCATCATGTGAAATATCATAAGGCTGTCTCTTCCATTGTCTTAGGAAAACAATAGTTGAAGGGCCTTTTTGAAGGAGGAAAAATAACAAATTACCTAGACTTTAATTTTATGTAGTTGAATTAAGTGTTCAAAATTTTATTGTCAATAAAACTCTTCACAGCTCTCACACTTTAATTCTGTTGCAATCTTATTGCACAGAATTAAAAGTGAAATGTAATTCACCAATGAAAGCTTTCACAATTTCACTTTCACAGAGAAGTTACCCTTAAAATATCTTGGCTGAATAAGCCAACTTTGAGAACCAGTTTACCATTAGGCAAAACAATAATTAGTCATTTTAACCTATGTTTCAGGCATTGTCATGAAAAGTTTTTCAGTTCTCCACTTTAAAAAGAGTAATTCCAATAATTGAAAATCTGATCAGTATTTTTCTCTGCCTAAGCCAACAAATACATATGTCAAAGAGCAAGTTTTCAAACTCATCTCCCACCATTTCTTTTCTTTTCTTTCTTTTTTTTTTTTTTTTTTTTTTTTTTGAGACAGAGTCTTGCTCTGTCGCCCGGGCTGGAGTGCAGTGGCCAGATTTCAGTTCACTGCAACCTCCACCTCCCAGATTCAAGCAATTCTCCCACCTCAGCCTCCTGAGTAACTGGGATTACAGGCGCCAGCCACCACATCTGGCTAATCTTTTGTATTTTTAGTAGAGATGGGGTTTCACCGTGTCAGCCAGGCTGGTCCTGAACTCCTGACCTCAAGTGATCCACCCGCCTTGGCCTCCCAAAGTGCTGGGATTACAGGCATGAGCCACCACACCTGGCCTCATCTCCCATTTCCTTATGGATTAATCTAAAAAGATAAGCATCTAAATTTTTTTCTACTAATATTAAACAAAATCCAGCATTTCTTTCCAGCTCAGTAAAGCACAAAGAAAACCAAGAGATGTTCATGACTAGCCTAACTAACATGGTGAAACCCAGTCTTTACTAAAAATACAAAAATTAGCCGGATGTAGTGGCAGGCACCTGTAATCCCAGGATACAGGTGGAGGGTAAGGCAGGATAATCACTTGACCCTGGGAGGTGGAGGTTGTAGCAGTGAGCTGAGATCATGCCATCGCACTCCAGCCTGGGTGACAGAGCAAGACTCTGTCCCAAAAAAAAAAAAAAAAAGAAAAAGAAAACCAAGAGACAAACTCTTTGAGAGGAGATATTATTAGTGAGTGACTGCAGGGCTGCTGATTCACGCAGGATACAGAAATGCTACCTTTCCCGCCAATGTCAGCATCACAGATTTGTTTCCATGCATACACCCATCTATATGTGTTATTACATTCATTTTTTTAATCTCAAATATCTTTAAAAATTATCTTTACCAGTTATTTCAGTATAAATTATCCTTTTAAAATTAGTAGACAAAGATCAATAACTACATTCCTAAATTATTATTGTCCATTATTTCCAATGTAAACTAAATAGCAAGGTTATGATTCATCTCTCAGCCAATCATTCCAGGTTATCCTTCTTCAATGTTAGAATTGTTTCCTTGGGTATCATTTAATAGGTATGGCTTTTTCACTTTACCAGTTTATTTTTTATTTTCTATTTTTTTATTTTTTTGAGATGGACTCTAGCTCTGTCGCCCAGGCTGGAGTGCCGTGGCGCGGTCTCTGCTCACTGAAAGCTCCGCTTCCCGGGTTCACGCCATTCTCCTGCCTCAGCCTCCCGAGTAGCCAGGACTACAGGCGCCTGCCACCACGCCTGGCTAATTTTTTTTTTTTTTTTTTTGTACTTTTAGTACAGACGGGGTTTCACCGTGTTAGCCAGGATGGTCTCGATCTCCTGACCTCGTGATCCGCCCCGCCTCGGCCTCCCAAAGTGCTGAGATAACAGGCGTGAGCCACCGCGCCTGGCCTTTACCAGTTTATTGTTAAGCTCCACACAAGTTTGACCTTAACTTCAGTGTGGAATTTACCAATTTTTTTTGACTGGGGTTTGTTGTTGTTGTTGTTGTTATTGTAAATAGACTTTAATTATCAAGTAATTTTGGCTTTTCAATTGTGGTTTTCATTCCTAGCGAATATTTTTTTCTTTTGTTAATACAATGTTTTCTCGTTGTTTGAACAGTTTATTTTTATGTTACCCACAAAAAACAATGAAGATTTATGTAATTATTCTCAGGATTTTATCCACTGAAAGATATAAAGGATCAAACCTTTGGCAGTTACACAGTATTAAAGCTATCTTAAATATGCCTCTGAGTATATCTACTATTTTTAGATGGCATCCACCTACTACCAGTAGTAAAGAGAATTGTCTGTGATATTTTTCGCCATCAATTTCTTTGGGAAAGTCTCATCTCTCCAATCTTTGCGGATTTCTAATTGTACTAAAATTTTTAAATTGTCTTTCCTATTTTACCCAATATCAAATTTATGATTCAAACTTTCTGTATTAAATCACAATATGTGTTTCCCGTTGGAAATATAATTTTAAAATTATTACACTTTAAATGTGTAAATGGAAAAAATGGTAACTATACACACAAAACAGAATATTTAGTGGGTGGCACGGGTGATACTTATCTGCTATTAGTAGGATGTAGAGCTAATTGGAATCACTTGCTTGTAAACAAAGTTTACAATGAGAGTAACTTAGAAACTTTTAAGCTCTTTTGGAATCAATGACTTCTGGTGGGGTGTAATCTAAAACAGTGATTCCTGCAGTAGCAAAATAATTTATCAAAATACTGGCTGTATGGGTCTCTGAGTTTACATGAAGACATCACAATTTTCAGCTCTTTTACTTTGGTAGCCAGTGCCATGAGCAACCTCAGCACACACTGTTCTTCCTCTAGCAGCTTGCCCAAATCAACTGTTTGGGAGGCAATGTTAATGCCACTTTATTCTCCAAGTACAGAAGTGCCAAATTTTCTAATCAGCAATTGCACATAAAAATTTATGCTTTCCAGGCTTAAATAAAAGCAACACAATATTCACCAACAAAGAAAATAACATTTTCTTAGGTTCATTGAGTTGGCATATTCCAAACACATTTTTTAAACTTTTTGTTATGAACTGAGAATAAACTCATGGGAGGTTGTAAAAATAGAAAAGTCCCATGCAACCTTCACTCAGCTTCCTCTGATGATGACATCTTATATCACTGTAGTACAAAATCAAAACTGGGAAATAAAGGTTAACATATTAGTGGTTAAAAATCTGCATTCATTGTGTGCGTGTGTGCGTGTGTCTCTGTGCACCCTTCTCCATGCAAAATTTGTGTAATCACCACTATAGTCAAAATACAGATTTCTTTAGCACCACAAAAGAACTCCCTTCTACTACCTCTTTGTGTCCCCCTTCCCCACTACACCTGTTCCTGTGTCCTGGCAGCCACTGATCTGTTCTCCGTCTCTGTAGTTTTGTCTTTTTGAGGGTATTATATGAATAGAATCATACAGTATGTAATATTTTGAAATTAACTTTTTTCAGTAACCAAAATGCCCTTGGAGTTCATTCAGATCATTACATAGTATCAATAGTTCATTACTTTTTATTGCTGAGTAGTATTCTACTGCATGGATGTACCAGAGCTTTTTCATCCATATACTCATTTAAAGACATTTGTGTAATTTCCAGTATTTTACTATATAAACTGTTCTTAACATTCAAATGTTTTGTGTGAACATGTTTTAATTTCTCTGGGATAAATGCCCAAAAAATAATTCCTGGTTGTACTATAACTACATGTTTAGGTTTGTAAAATCTGGCAGACTATTTTTCAGAGTGACTGCACCATTTTCCATTCCCAACAGCAATGTAGGAGAAATCCAGTTTCTCCACATCCTCACTAATATTTGTTATGACAGTCTGCCTTTCCTATTCACAGAAGATTGTTTCCAGGACTCCTCCTCTGACTGATACCATATCCACTGATGTTCAAGTCCCTTACATAAAATGAGAAATCTCGCTTATGGAGGGCCAACTATATAATTATTTTGTGTTTTAGATGTTCTGACAGATATATAGTATTATCTCATTGTGGTTTTAATTTGCATTTTCTAATGGCTAATGATGTTGAACATCTTTAAATGTGCTCATTTGCATGCAATTCATGTGTCATTTTTGACAAAATGCTTTTACATTTCTTTTGCCAATTTCCAAACGGGATTTTTTTTAATGTTGAGCTTTGAGAGTTCTTTATAGATTCTTGATAGAAGGCCTTTGTCAGATATGTGACCTGCAGTTATTTTATTCCAAACTGTAGTCTGTCTTTTCTTTTCTTTTTTCTTTTTTTTTTTGAGACGGAGTCTTTCTCTGTCGCCCAGGCTGGAGTGTAGTGGCGCAATCTCCGCTCACTGCCAAGTTCCGCCCCCCGGGTTCACGCCATTCTCCTGCCTCAGCCTCCTGAGTAGCTGGGACTACAGGCGCCCGCCACCACGCCCAGCTAATTTTTTGTATTTTTAGTAGAGACGGGGTTTCACCGTGTTAGCCAGGATGGTCTCAATCTCCTGACCTGGTGATCCGCCCTCCTCGGCCTCCCAAAGTGCTGGGATTACAGGTGTGAGCCACCGTGCCCGGCCTGTAGTTTGTCTTTTCAATCTCTTCACACAGTGTTTTGTGGGGAAAAAGTTTTTAATTTAATGAAGTCCAATTTATTAATTTTTTTCACTTATGAATCATGTTTCTTGTGTCAAATCTGAGAACCTTTCACCTTGCCCTAGGTCCCAAAGATTTTCTCCTATATCATATTCTAAAAGTTTTATGGCTTTATATTTTACACTTAAATCTATGATCCATTTTGAGTTAATTTCTTTAAGTTGTGAAGTTTAGGTTGAGTTTCATTTTTTTCTCATTCTTATTCCTCTTTTTCCCATTTCTTATTCTCTTCAAATATTTTAGAACACTACTTTGGTTTATCGAGAGTGTTTCTCAATGTATCTCTTTGTATAGTTTTTAATGGATGCTCTCATTACAATGTTCAGACATTGCATGTTACAGTCTACTAGTATCAACATCTTATCACTTTGAGGGAAATGTAGGAACCATAGCTTTATTTAGATCCTTTTACTCACCATGCTTTTAAATATAAATGTTTTCAATATTTTCTCTACGTATTTTAAGCACCATATCAGATGATGTTATAATTCTCATTTCAACTTCAAACACGGTTTAAAAACTCATGAGACAAAAATATTGTCTATTATTTTTACCCCTATTTTTACCCATTTCCTTTTTAAATTCCTTCCTCCTGAAATCCCAGCCTCCTTCTGTTATTGTTTCCTTTCTCCTTAGAAAACATACTTTTAGACTTTTTTTTCTTTTCTTTTTTCTTTTTTTTTTTTTTTTTTTTGAGACGGAGTCTCCCTCTGTCCCCCAGGCTGGAGTGCAGTGGCGCGATCTTGGCTCACTGCAAGCTCCGCCTCCCGGGTTCACGCCATTCTCCTGCCTCAGCCTCCTGAGTAGCTGGGACTACAGGCGTCCACCACCACACCTGGCTAATTTTTTGTCTTTTTAGTAGAGACCCAGTTTCACCGTGTTAGCCAGGATGGTCTGGATATCCTGACCTTGTGATCTGCCCACCTCAGCCTCCCAAAGTGCTGGAATTACAGGTGTGAGCCACCGTGCCTGGCCCCTTTTAGACATTTTTTAAGGGTAGTTCTTCTGGCAAGAAATTTCTTAGGTTACTTTCATCTGAGAATGTCTTTATTTCTACTTCCTTCCAGTGGATATTTTTACTGAGGTTGAAACCAGAACACCATTGTACCACTTTCTCCTTGCTTTCATAGGTTCAGATAAAAAAACACTTTAATAATTTCCCTCCATAGATAATGTAGTGCTTCTCTACAGTGTGTTCTAAGATTTTATTTCATTTTGTTTTGTTTTTATTTAGCTCTCAGAAGTTTCATTATGATATGTCTTGGCATAGATTTCTTTAATAAGTTTATCTTGTTTGAGTTTCACTCAATATTTTGAACTGGTAGGTTTATTTCTTTCACTAACTTTGGGAAGTTTTCAGCCATTATTTCTTTGAATAATCTTTAGTACCCAGGCTTATTTTCTAGGACTCTAGTTGAGAGGTGAAGTTGGCTGGGCTTCTGGGTCTGGTGAGGACTTGGAGAACTTTTCTGCCTAGCTAAAGGATTGTAAACACACCAATCAGCACTCTGTGCCTAGCTAAAGGTTTGTAAATGCTCCAATCAGCACTCTGTAAAAACGCACCAATCAGCACTCTTTGTCTAGCTAAAGGTTTGTAAACGCACCAATCAGCACTCTGTAAAAACGCACCAATCAGTGCTCTGTGTCTAGCTAAAGGTTTGTAAACGCACAATCAGCACGCTGTAAAAACGGACCAATCAGCACTCTGTAAAAATGCACCAATCAGTGCTCTGTGTCTAGCTAAAGGTTTGTAAATGCACCAATCAGCACTCTGTAAAAACGGACCAATCATCACTCTGTAAAATGGACCAATCAGCACTCTGTAAAATGGACCAATCAGCAGGACGTGGGCAGAGCCAAATAAGGGAATAAAAGCTGGCTACCGGGGCCAGCAGCCTCAACCTGGTTGGGTCACCTTCCACATTGTGGAAACTGTGTTCTTTCGGTCTTCACAATAAATCTTGCTGCTGCTCACTGTTTGGGTCCACACTACTTTTATAAGCTGTAACGCTCACTGCTAAGGTCTGCAGCTTCTCTCCTGAAGTCAGGGAGACCATGAACCCACCATGAAGAACAAACAACTGTGAGTGCACCACCTTTAAGAGCTGTAACGCTCACTGCGAAGGTCTGCGGCTTCACTCCTGAAGTCAAGCGAGACCACAAACCCACGGGAAGGAAGAAACTCCAGACACATCTGAACATCTGAAGGAACAAACTCTGGACACACCATCTTTAAGAACTGTAACACTCACCGCGAGAGTCTGCAGCTTCATTCTTGAAGTCAGCGAGACCAAGAACCCACCGGAAGGAACCAATTCCGGACACATAGTGATATAAATGGATCTTTTGTTATTATCTTACAGATATATTTATTAACTTTTAATATTGAACCAGCCTTGTATTTCTGGAACAAATCCTACTTGGTCATTTTACATATATATTAATTATATATATTAATATGTATAAAATATCATTTATATATAATATCATATATATACACACACCACTAGATTCAGTGTGCTAGTATGTAGTTGAGGATTATTGTGTCTAAATTCTTGAGAAGTTGAGAGATAATGATCATTTGGTTGTTTTCCTTCTTTGTGCTATGTGGTTTTGGCATTAGGATACTACTGGCCTCATAAAATGAGTTGGGGCAGAAAGCAGTGTTCATG
The DNA here is from genome assembly GCF_000001405.40 of Homo sapiens. NCBI lineage: Eukaryota > Metazoa > Chordata > Mammalia > Primates > Hominidae > Homo > Homo sapiens. Next base: position 127,427,784 of record NC_000006.12, on the reverse strand, counting down.
CCTGTAATCCCAGCACCTTGGTAGGCTAAGGTAGGAGGATCTCTTGAGCCCAGGACTTTGAGACCAGCCTGGGCAACATGGCAAAACCCCAAGTGTACAAAAAAATACAAAAATTGGCTAGGCATGGTGGGGCACACCTGTAGTCCCAGCTACATGGGAGGCTGAAATGGGAGGATTGCTTGAGCTCAGAAGGCAGAGGGTGTAGTGAGCCCAAATCATGCCACTGCACTACAGCCTGGGCAACAAAGTGAGACCCTGTCTCAAAAAAAAAAAAAAAAGGGGTTGGGAAGTGTTTCCTCCACTTCTGTTTTCTCAAAGAGATTATGTAGAATTGGAATTAATACTAATTCTTACTTAAATATTTGGTAGTATTCTCCAGTGAAATAATATGAACCTGGAGATGTCTTTTTAAAATATTTTTAGACTATAGATTCAATTTTTTTGGAATTGTTAGGTTAATTAGATCATGACATTCAGGTTGGATGTTTGGTAGTTTGACTTTTCAGAGGATTTGGTCCATTTCATCTAAATTGCTGTATTTGTATATGCAGAGCTGTTTATAGTGCTTCCTTTATATCATTTTAACAGCTGCATAATGTGTAAAGATATTGCTTGTTTTGTTTTTTATATTGCTAATTTGTGTCTTCTACTTTTTAATATTCATCAGTCTTGCTAGAAGTTTATTCATTTCGTTGATCTTTCCAAATAACCAGCTTTTTGTTTCATTGATTTTCTCTACTTTCTGTTTTCAATTCCAGTGATCTCTGCTCTTTATTATTTCATTTCTTCAATTTGCTTTGGGCCAATTTTGCTAATTTTTCTTCTAGTTTCTTGGGATATAATCTGTATCAATGAATGTTTCATGAGCACTTGAAAAGAATGTGTTTTTCCTTTTCGATGTGTAGTGTTCTGTATATTTCTATTAGATCCTGTTCGTTGGTTGTGTAGTTCTGTCTTCTATATCTTTGATGATCTTCTATCTAGTCCTGCTATCAACTGTTGAGAGAGTGGTGTTAACATCCTCAAATATAATTTTGGATTAGGTTCTATCAATTTTTGCTTCATGTATTTTGAAGTCAGTTTCTATGTCTCCTTTGTGTATTGACCTTTTATCATTATATAATCTCCCTTTGTGCTTGGTAACTTTCTTTTCTCTGACTTCTAGTTTATCTCACATTAATATATCCACTTCTGCTCTTTTTAAATTAATGTGTACATACCTTTTTCCATCTGTTTACTTTCAACCTACTTACATTGTTGTATTTGAAGTTAGTTTGTTGTAGACAACATAAACTTGGCTCATTTTTTAAACCCATAGTGCCAATCTCTTTTAATTGGTGTAATTACATCATTTACATTTAAAGTAATTGTTGATATGTTAGTACTTTAAGTCTTTTTAATTTTTTTTTTTTTTTTTTTTTGAGACACGTTCTTGCTCTGTCACCCAGGCTGGAGTACAGTGGTGCTATCCTGCCTCACTGCAACCTCTGCCTGCCAGGCTCAAGCAATTCTCCTGCCTCAGCCTCCCGAGTAGCTGGGACTACAGGCATGCACCACCATGCCTGGCTAATTTTTTGTATTTTTAGTAGAGACGGGGTTTCACTATGCTGGCCAGGCTGGTCTCGAACTCCTGTCCTGATGTTCGCCCACCTCGGCCTAACAAAGTGCTGGGATTATGGGCATGAGCCATCATGCCCAGCCTATCTTTTTAAATTTTATATGCTGGATATAAATCCCATATCAGATATATAATTTGCAAATATTCTCTCTCATTCTGTATGTTCTCTTTTCATTTTCTTTATTGTGTCCTTTGAAGCACAGAAGTTTTTAATTATGTTGGGAGGCCGAGGTGGGCGGATCACCAGGTCAGGAGATCGAGACCATCCTGGCTAACACAGTGAAACCCCATCTCTACTTAAAATACAAAAAATTAGCTGGGCATGGTGGTGGACACCTGTAGTCCCAGCTACTCAGAAGGATGAGGCAGGAAAATGGCGTGCACCCGGGAGGCGGAGCTTGCAGTGAACCAATATTGGGTCACTGTACTCCAGGCTGGGCGACAGAGCGAGACTCCATCTCAAAAAAAAAAAAAAGTTTTTAATTATGATGCAGTGCAATTGATGTTTTTTTTTCCTTTTATCACTTGTACATTTAATGTCATATCTTAAAAAATCCATTTCCTAAAGCAAGGTCATAAAGAATAACTTCTATACTTTCTTATAAGCATTTCATTGTTTTAGCTCTTACATTTAGGCCTATGATCCATTTTTAGTTAATTTTGCATATGCTGTGAGGTACAGGTCTAACTACGTGATTTTGGATGTGGATACACAATATCCCCAGAATCACTGATAAAATGTAATTGATCTGGCTGGGTGTGGTGGCTTACGCCGGTAATCCCAGCACTTTGGGAGGCTGAGGTGGACAGATCACTTGAGGTCAGGAGTTTGAGATCAGCCTGCCCAACGTGGTGAAATCCCATCTCTACTAAAAACACAAAAGTTAGCTAGGCATGGTGGTGGGTGCCAGTAATCTCAGCTACTGAGGAAGCTGAGGCACGAGAATCGCTTGAACCCAGGAGGCAGAGGTTGCAGTCAGCCAAGATCGCACCACTGCACTCCAGCTTGGGCGACAGAGTGAGGCTCTCAAAAAAGAAAAGAAAAGAAAAAAAAATCCTAAGTATTTAATTTGCTGATGCTATTATAAGTTGAATATTTTTCTTGATTTCATATTACAATGTATTTTGTATATTGACTTTGTCGCCTGCAGTCTTGCTGAATTAACTCATTTGTGCTAATATTTTTCTGTGCAGGGTTCCTTAGGATCTTTTACATACGACAATATGACATCTGCAAATAGAGTTTTACTAGTTTCCATCTAATCTGGGTACCTTTTCTTCATTTTCTGCACTAATTGACATAGAACATCTAGCACAAAGTTGAATAGAAGTAGCAAGAGTGGATATCCTTGTCTTATTCCTAATATTAGGGGGAAGAATTCAGTCTTCCACCATTAGTTATGAAGTTTACTGTAGGTTTTTCATGGATCTTTATCAGTTTGAAAATGTTTCCTTGTATTTCTGGTTAGTTGAGTATTTTAAACATAAAAGGGGGTTGGATTTTACCAAAATCTTATTTTGCATCTGTTGAGGTGATCATGTTAATTTTGTCTTTTATTCTACTGATACAGTGTATTACATGGAATGATTTCATGTATTAAACCAATGTTGCATTCCTGTGATAAATCCCACTTGGTTATGGTATAATCCTTTGTATATGTTGATGGCTTCAGTTTGATAATGTTTTGTTGACATTTTTTACATATATATGAATATATATGTACTGTCTCTAGTTTTATTTTTTGTGATGTCTTTGTCTGGCTTTGTTATGAGGGTAATATTGACCTCACAGAATGAGATGTGAAGTGTTCCCCCCTCCTATTTTTTGAAGAGTTTGTAAAGGATTTTAAACTAGTAAAATTATCAACTTTTCTTTAAATCTTTGGTAGAATTCACTAGTAAAATCATCTGCCCCAAAAATTTCAAGATTGAAATAAATATTGTCCTTTAAATACAAATTTTCAAGTAAAATTTACATTCCAGGAAGTTGTGTTGAGCTTAAAATATGACACACCACTCCCATTTTCATTTCAGAAACATGAATGTAGTTCCTCATTCTTTTGTGAAACGCTATACGTTCTTAGAAAAGGAGCATCATTTTTGAGGTGCCTCTTTCTTCTGGTGTCAAAGACATATGTTCTATTTGTAGTGTAGGATTTCTAGTGGCTTTTCATCAGTACTTTTATCAGTCAAAGTCCAGTTAGGAAAACAGAGAAACACTAAGAATTTAAACACATTACAACAGGAAATTGGAAACAAAGGTACTAAAATATCTAGAAGAACAAAATGATGATGGGAGACAGGGGAGCAAGAAGGAAGTGGAAATAATACCTAGAGATTAGAAACTGCTAATGATCCTGGCCTGGAACACACACCTGATGCTGCACTGTTGGCTGATTCTGGAACACTGAATAAGAACCATTTCACATGGAAAAGTTCTGCTTCAATTTGAAAGTGTGAAATCAGCCGGGTGCGGTGGTTCACACTTGTAATCCCAGCACTTTGGGAGGCCGAGGCGGGCGGATCACGAGGTCAGGAGATCGAGACCATCCTGGCTAACATGGTGAAACCCCGTCTCTACTAAAAATACAAAAAAATTAGCTGGGCATGGTAGAGGGCGCCTGTAGTCCCAGCTGCTTGAGAGGCTGAGGCAGGAGAATGGCGTGAACCCGGGACAGAGAGCTTGCAGTGAGCCGAGATCACGCCATTGCACTCCAGCCTGGGCGAGAGCAAGACTCTGTCTCAAAAAAAAAAAAAAAAAAAAAGTGTGAAATCATCTGACTTCCAATGCCATAACAACAACTACCAGTATTTCCCACTGGTATATGCTAGAAACCAGAAGCTTCTCTTTTCCTTTATTCTTCTGATCTTCTGCCAGTACCAAAGGAGCCAAGGAAATAGAATTTGTAATGTCCCAGCCCTGATCACACACAGCAAAGTATGTAAAGGCAAGTGGGGAAAATCCAAGTGTTTCTGCAGAACATATTCGAAAATAACATTTGATTTTAAAATGCCTTAAACTATAGGAAAAATGATAGAAGATAGTGTCTGTTGGGTGATTTTCTGTTTATTTCAATATTTTAAAGCAAAATAAAATTATCCCCCAAATATAGAAGTATCATTTACTTACAGCTCTCAGTAAAATCAACACAGAGGATTTATAGCTCAACTTGGCAGAGGGTACTACACAGAAATGTCAAACTGCCAGAGCAGAGAATAAACAGGTTTGGTTTGCTTTTTTTTAATATTATGCTCAGGATATTAATTTGTCATATGAAGGAAAAGAGCAAGGAATAAGACTTTCACCATAAAAGTACTCAACCCATTCCAAAGAGGAAAGGGGAAGGATAGGAGATTCATGAAGCATTGAGGGCTATTCCTTAAGTTTTATTTCACATATGTGCCTTAAGCAACTGCCTGTAACCCAGGTCCTCCTAAAATAATTTACAAGACCAGTAAATATGTTCACTTACCTAATATTTCTTTTCTAACTCTGAAATTTACATTCTAAAATTTTCATGCTTATTTAACAAAGATTCCATAATTATTTAAATCTTAGGCCAGGCTCGGTGGCTCATGCCTGTAATCCCAGCACCTTGGGAGGCTGAGGCAGGTGGATCACGAGGTCAGGAGATCGAGACCATCCTGGCTAACATGGTGAAACCCCATCTCTACTAAAAATACCAAAAATTAGGCCGGGCACAGTGGCTCACACCTGTAATCCCAGCACTTTGGGAGGCCGATGCGGGCAGATCACATGAGGTCGGGAGTTCAAGACCAGCCTGACCAGCATGCAGAAATCCCGTCTCTATTAAAAATACAAAATTAGCCAGATGTGTTGGCACATGCCTGTAATCCCGGCTACTTGGGAGGCTGAGGCAGGAGAATCGCTTGAACCCAGGAGGCAGAGGTTGCAGTGAGCTGAGATTTCGCCATAACACTCCAGCCTGGGCAATAAGAGCAAAACTCTGTCTCAAAAAAAAAAAAAAAAAAAATTAGCCGGGCGTAGTGGCATGTGCCTGTAATCCCAGCTGCTCGGGAGGCTGAGGCAGGAGAATCACTTGAACCCGGGAGAAGGAGGTTGCAGTGAGTCGAGATCACGCCACTGCATTCCAGCCTGGGTGACAGAGTGAGACTCCGTCGAAAAAAAACCCAAAAAACTCTTGAATTCATTTTAAGAGGGAAATACATATTATTTTCCTTGGTCAAGCACAGTGGATAACACCTGTAATCCCAGTACTTTGAAAGGCCCAGGTGGGAGGATTGCTTGAGCCCAGGAATTTTAGACCAGCCTGGGCAACACAGAGAGACCCTGTATCTAGAAAAAAAAATTTTTTGAACTTAGCCGGGCATGGGGACATGCACCTATATATAGTCCCAGCTACTCAGGAAGCTGAGATGAGAGGATCACTTGAGCCTGGTAGGTCAAGGCTACAGTGAGCTGTAATTGTGCCACTGCACTCCAGCCTGGGTGACAAAGTGAGATCCTATCTCAAAATACATATATTCTTAAGTAAAATATATATATATATATTTTAGATAAATATGTATGTTTTTCCTTAACAGTTCAACTCTCTGGGCCGGGCCTGGTGGCTCACGCCTATAATCCCAGCATTTTAGGAGGCTGAGGCAGGCGGATCCCAAGGTCAGGAGTTCAAGACCAGCCTGGTGAAACCCCATCTCTACTAAAAAATACAAAAAATTAGCTGGGCATGGTGGCATGTGTCTGTAATTCCAGCTACTCGGTAGGCTGAAGCAGAAGAATTACTTGAACCAGGACCTGGGAGGCAGAGGTTACAGTGAGCCAAGATCACGCCACTGCATTCCAGCCTGGGCTACTGAGCAAGACTCCATCTCAAAAACAAACAAACAAAGAAATGAAAACAGTTCTACTTTCTGAAATGTTATAAAGTGCAAAGGGAGATTTTTCAGAATGAAAAGAATGACTTACAAATTATTGTAATGAAGTGATTGAATTTTTTTATTTCAGTCTGGACATGGGGTAAAAAGCCCTTTGTGTCTCATAAAAGTCCAATTAAAAGGCAGCTCTGGTCTGAAATTACACCACTGCCATCTTCACCTAATTCAGACAGTATATGTCATGTAATGGGAGCACAACACAAACACACACACACAAAATTAGCAATCATAGGCATAAAAGTAAAGTGGGTGTCCTGGGGAATATAGCAAATATATCGGCAGTGAAAACAGCAAAGCACACAGCATCCCATTGGCTTGTGTTATCTTGCAGAGAGACATGCTGAAGAAGGGGGATCTGGATGCTTCCTGGAAGGAGTTCTAGGAATGCCTCACCTGGTACTACCACTCTACATATTGATAGAGTAAGAGGGGTAGGCTACTTCATTGTGACAATGTAACAAGGAGAGCTTTCTTTAACAATGCCATGGGACACTGAAAACAGCCTTGTGACAAAGGGGGAGCCCCAGAACTCAGGCACTGTATCTGCTTGTTTGTTCTTTGGTTAAGCTGACTCAGACGGGTGTCTAGCTAAACTACCAAAAGGGGGAGGAAGTGAGTCACCAACGCCAGCCATCTGACTTAGTCTTTCATTGTACTTGTGAACTGTTACAGCCAAGAGAAAGAGAAAGAAAATTTTGAGAATTCTAGAAGACTTACTGGCAAATAGGCATCTTTTGACTGTAGTGGAAAAAGTTACTATATTGTAGAATGCCAAAAAAGTAATGAGATCACTTTTATATGGTAATAATATTTTTGTATTTTCTATTCAAAATGTTTATGAGAACAGATATATGAAAAGAGAAAAAAAAATTTTAAAGATATAGACAATATGATTTATTTTATTTAGCCATTCAAATTATGTTTATCCTTTAGAGTCCTAATTAGATTAGCTTAATTTTCCCCTAAAAATAAGAAATTATGTTTTTTATGGTATAAATATATTTCTTTCTAGTCATTTAAATTAATAAGCCTTATTTGTTAGTTTTATGGTGTTTAGCCTATTAACTTATGTTAAATAATATACTGTAAATGCTGAGCTATTCACCCTACTGATGAATAAGAAATTGCCATCCTTGAGGAAAACAGTTTCAATAAACATATTTATGATGACCATGCATCTGGGGTTACTAGATTTAACAAATATGAATATGGAATCTTCAGTTAAATTTTAATTTCAGATAAACAACAAAAATATTTTAAAATAAATATACTCCAATACTCCAAATATTGCATTTATCTATCTCTTTACCTACCTATCTTTGTGTTAACAATCAGTTCATAACCACTTGATTGGTTTATTACACTAAATCACTACTTTGAGTCAAAGGTACTCCCAACCTCAGATTCTTTTGCCTACATACATCCAGTTTTGCCTAGGACAGTCTTGGTTACGGCATAACTTCCCAGTAATTATTTACCCCACCTTTTCACTCTCAAAAGTGTCCCAGTTTGAATATTAAATTATATAACAAAATCTATGCACATTAAGTATAAAATGCAGCTCAAAGCACTCAAGGGAGAATTAAAGGATAAACAAAAGAAAAAAAAGGAATAGTTTAAAACCAGAAAGCAGAAACCAAAGGAAGGGCTAACTAGAACTAGTGATAAAGTCCTTGTTTTGAAAATAGGGAAGGCTGGCCGGGTTCAATGGCTCACAGCTGGAATCCCAGCACTTTGGGAGGCCAAGGCGGTGCATCACCTGAGGTCAGGAGTTCGAGACGAGCCTGGCCAACATGGTGAAACTCTGTCTCTACTAAATATACAAAAATTAGCCAGGCATAGTGGCGTGCACCTGTAATCTCAGCTACTCGGGAGGCTGAGGCAGGAGAATTGCTGGAATCAGGGAGGCGGAGGTTGCAATGAGCCAAGATCACGCCATTGCACTCCAGCTAGGGCGACAACTGCGAGACTCCATCTCAAAAAAAAGAAAGAAAATAGGGAAGGCTTTCAGTTGACTTACATGGGACACTAGCAGGGTTCCTAGTTGTACAAGATAGTACAGATGTGTTTCCCGGACTTAAAAACTATGTTGTGAAGCTGAGAAGAAACTGGAACAGACAGTCTGTGAGTCAAAAGAATTGGAAGTGGAAGGGAGCTTAGAGCTTAGAGTAGAATAAACCAATAAAGTGGTGATAGTTATTGCTAACGAAAAGGTAAAGAAATCATCAAATAGGAAAAAAGGCAATAATTATAAAGTATATTTCCCATTGTAAGCATAATAAAGCTCATTATATCAATGTGAACTTATTTGATTATAAATATAATTAGAACGATAATCTTCTCCCAACCCAGAAATTCTCTCCATAAAGGTAGTAAAGAAAGCACTTTTATTATTGAATAAACATTAAGCCAGAATGTGAGGTACATCACAGGTAATCCATTAAGAGATTCCAAAAACAGAAAGTAATCATACCCCCTTATATCGCCCAGCAGATACAACGCATTACATACGTGTTTTCAAGATAAATAACAATTTCTCAGGTAAGACAACATGACAGCCCTATTTGCAAACATCATTCATCCTAACTTTACCTGGAAATTGAGGAGATCGTTCCTGTTAGCTAATTGACCTTGTCCGGGGAAAAACAAACTTCTCGTATTTTTATGACAGAAGGTAGTTCTGGAGCCTGGCTTCCACTGAAGTTAGATTCCTGTCCTCCCACAGAAACTGGGAGATTAAGGATGCTATCTCCCTCGTTGTGTACATTTCAATGGCATTGTTCCTAGATTATTGAGAGAGACCTTCCTGGGCTGACAAAGGGCCTATCTAGTCTTCAAAATGATTTATACACATTTTAATGAACCAAGAGAGTACAGTGGGCTCTCTGTATCCAGGAGTGTGCATCTGTGGATTCAATCAACCATGGATCAAATATATTTGGGGGGAAAAAAAACATTCCACAAAGCTTCAAAAAGCAAAACTTCAGTTTGCCATATACCAAGTACTACATTCAGTCCATGCAAAGGAAGTGATATGTAGACATTGTATTAGGTATTATAAGTAATCTAGAGATGCCTTAAAGTCTTCAGGAGGATGTGTGTAAGTTACATGCATATACTATGCCATTTTATAGAAGAGACTTGAGCGTCTTTGGATTTTGGTATCCCAGGGGTCATGGGGAGCCTGGAACCAATCGCTCACAGATACTGAGGATAATTATGTTTAAAATTAGAAGCTTTCTAGAATAAATTCTCTGATAAAAAGAAGAGAAGGAAAATCTTTTATTTTCAGCAGGGAGAATTATGCTTCTTATTTTAAAATTTTAATTGTCCTTACAAAACCTACAAAAAAAGTTGAGAAAATTCAATATTACCTATATCTGGATTAGCATTTTTGTATATTTTCTTACATTTTATGTATTATGTTGGTTTTTTTAGCTTTTAACATACAACATATACAAAATTTTATGTCTCACTTTTTTTCTTAACATTACCCCATGTTATTAGTTTAATATCACTTTAATGGCAGTATTTTAATGATTGTGCTATATTTCATGTTATATGATAGATGACATCTTGGTAAATAACATATTTTCTTTTTCTTTTTTTTTTTTTTTTTTTTGAGACAGAGTCTCACTCTGTCACCCAGGCTTGGAGTGCAATGGCACGGTCTCGGCTCACTGCATCCTCCACCTCCCCGGTTCAAGCGATTCTCCTGCCTCAGCCTCCCGAGTAGCTGGGACTACAGGCGCATCCCACCACACCCGGCTAATTTTTGGGTTTTTTTGCTTTTTTTTTTTGAGACGGAGTCTTGCTCTGTTGCCCAGGCTGGAATGCAACAGCGCGATCTCCGCTCACTGCAAGCTCCGCCCTGCAGGGTTCATGCCATTCTCCTGCCTCAGCCTCCCGAGTAGTTGGGACTACAGGCACCTGCCACCACACCCGGCTAATTTTTTTTTGTATTTTTAGTAGAGACGGGGTTTCACAGTGTTCGCCAGGATGGTCTCGATCTCCTGACCTCCTGATCCGCCTGCCTCAGCCTCCCAGAGTGCTGGGATTACAGGCGGGAGCCATCGCGCCCAGCCAGTTTTTGTATTTTTAGTAGAGACGGGGTTTCATCATGCTGGTCAGGCTGGTCTTGAATTCCTGACCTCGTGGTTCGCCCACCTCAGCCTCCCAAAGTGCTGGGATTACAGGCGTGAGCCACAATGCCCAGCCTTTTCTACTGTTTTCTTTTGAAACATTATCAGGAATAGGATGTGTGAGTAAATAAACATTTTAAAGCTTTTGATAGGTAGAGGAAGAGGACATGGTCTTTGTCTTCTTTCTCCTCAGTTGCAGACTCATTTTTCTCTCAGTCTTCATAATTACATTGTCTGATTTAGAGTGTGATTACATTAATGCTAGATCATGTTGCTCAAAATTAAACAAGTGGGTAATTTCCAAGATTGATTGGCCATACTATTGTCACTGTATTATGCGCATTTTGTTGCATTGGTTCATATTCCTTCTCAACTTACCTCTTGCCACTTGGAATATATATTGATTCATTATGGTGCCAAGCAGTAACATAGGAGTGTTTGATCCAACAGAAATACACAATCAAGGATAGCAAAAGTAACACATGAAAGACCATAATCAAGCTTAATTTCCACTTGCTCTGTTTTTTCACGTATCTTTAAACTATGGTTTTAGCTTCGATAAATGACTGAAGCTGGAGAAGCCATGGTTGAAATCAACCTACACTTCAGTGCACAGTTGAGGAGCCAGAGACTAAAATCATCTACAGAACCACAACAATGGCAGTATATCTTTTCTTCTTTGAACAAAAATCTATTTTTGCTGTCTTTTTACCGTATAAAGTTTTTTTGTTTTGCTTTGGTTTTTTTGTTTGTTTTGTTCATTGGTTGGTTATTTATTTATTTATTTATTTATTTTGAGACAGAGTTTCGCTTTTGTTTCCCAGGCTGGAGTGCAATGATGCGATCTCAGCCCACCGCAACCTCTGCCTCCTGGGTTCAAGCAATTATACTGCCTCAGCCTCCTGAGTAGCTGGGATTACAGGCGTGTGCCACCATGCCCAGCTAATTTTTGTATTTTTAGTATATAGGGGGTTTCTCCATGTTGGTCAGGCTTGTCTCGAACTCCCAACCTTAAGGGATCCACCCGCCTCGGCCTCCCAAAGTTCTGGGATTACAGGCCTGAGCCACTACGCCCAGCCTAAAGTATTTTTTAAACATGAAAATAATAAAGATTTTGATAGATGTTGCTGAATTGCTAAACCTTATTTAAATAACTGTATGTTTTATCCAATAGTTTTTCTCCTCCTTGTTAATCAAGCAATTGTAGAGTTTTAAAGTAACTTTAACAATTCCTTCTTCTTCCAATTAAATAGCCTAAAACATTCAAAACCAGTAGGCAGCATGAAACAAATATATATCCTTGTTGTTCTTTTTTCTCCCTGTTTAGGAGGAGCCCAACACCCTCTGCCCTCACTGGAAGCACAGTGAGCCATCACTAATAATTCAGTAGCAGATATAAAACGTAAGGGAAGAAAGAATACTGAGTGATTCTCAGGTTGCCTTCAACTCTGCTTTAAAGCCTTGAACATTGGTGATAAATTTTATACTCATATAGAGAAACAATTTCCTCAACCCCATAAGAATAACAGAAAGGTGGCTTTTTAAATAATCTAGTTGACTGTATTACATATTTTTCTTGCTCTACTCCAGACTGTCAGGTTTGCCCTAGATACAGAGTAAAGTAAACCCTGGAGACTACTAACCCAAGTCCCTGAAGCAGCCACTGATGTCCTGTGATCAATGGATACAAAAAAATAAATAAATAAAACAGGTCCCTAAAACAAAGTATCCTTTCTCTTTTTCCACTCCATCCTCAGCTTTTTCACTTTTGTAGCTGTTTAAAAGATCTGAGTAAAGCCACTGTGTTTTGATACACACCCAGCCTCTGGTAGGTTAAATTACAAGTTGGTCTGCGGTCAGAGAGACTCAAAGCTGTGTCCTAACTTTCAAAGATGAAAGTGCATACGAGCTGGCATTTGATCCAATTCAGTATTGATTTTACAGCAGACAGATGAAAAAGAGAACTGTACATTTTTTTAAATTAATATACAGAATATATAGCTCTTGTAACAATGGTTATGTTTTAAATTACCTAAAATCTGTAATTAACAACAACAAAAATAATTAAGCCCTATCTTCACATATTACTAACCAATGAATAAGATGTCAAATATGAAATAATCTGAAAGCATTTCATCACTGTTTCAAATCTAGTTCATCAATTGACAAATATTTTTGTTCATATAGAATAGAAAGGACACTTGGCCAAGCATACTGGGGAAACAAATTATAAGAAGTATACAGCACTCTCAAAAACTTTAGAATAATGGATGGAGAAATAAGGTAATATAAATAATACATGGTATTGAACAGGAATTATAATGATACACCTAATATTTCCATAACTTTCTAGAGTTTACAAAGTTTAACATTCACATCAGCTCTGCAAATTTGGCATTCTTGTCACAATTCAATGGATGACTAAATTGGTATTTAAGAAAACTGCACAAGCCAGTTGTGGTGGCTCATACCTGTAATCCCAGAACTTTGGAAGGCCAAGGTGGGCAGATCACCTGAGGTAAGGAGTTCAAGACAAGCCTGGCCAACATGGTGAAACCCTGTCTCTACAAAAATACAAAAATTAGCCAGGCATGATGGCAGGTGCCTGTAATCCCAGCTACTCAGGAGGCTGAGGCAGAAGAATCACTTGAACCTGGGAGGCAGAGGTTGCAGTGAGCCGAGATCATGCCATTGCGCTCCAGCCTGGGTGACAGAGCGAGACTCTGTCTCAAAAGAAAAAAAAAAAACTGCACTTGCTCAAGATTTCACTCCTTCACTTCTGATCTTCTAGACATTTAATTTTTTGGAATTTGATCTTGGTATCAAATTCATTATTTTGAATGTTCCAAGAAATTAAATGTCTAGAAGATCAGAATTGAAGCATGACTATACCAAGGGAGCATTCCTGACAGATGCTGGATTTGTCTCGGCCTAGGGGCATAGATCATGCCAAGTGCAGAAGTTTGTTGGCAAAGGCATGGCAGTGGGAATTCCTGAGGCCTCTCTTGAAATCTGGAAGACAGTGAGTGGACCATCTTGCCTGGAGGGGAGGCTTCCAATGAGGCTGGGATAGTAAATATAAAGTTATATACTTTATTCAGTACCCCAGTGGGTACCTAATGAAATTTGGAAAAAGGGAATGATATTATGTCTTTGAAGAAAATGACAGTAGGTTTCAACAGGTAGATGAGTCAGAAGTGTTCTTCATATTTTTAAATAATTTATGCCTGGGAACCTAGGACTGCCTCACCATGAGACCATAAATGTTCAGACCACTAATCTTGGCAAGATTGTTATAGGTATCTTCAGCTGTCAAAATTCACTCATGGATGCTCAGTAGCTAAAAGATATACACTTATGGAGGAGGGGCGTTCCAAGATGGCCGAATAGGAACAGCTCTGGTCTGCAGCTCCCAGCGTGATCAACACAGAAGATGGGTGATTTCTGCATTTCCAACTGAGGTAGCTGGTTCATCTAATTGGGACTGGTTGGACAGTGGGTGCAGCCCACGGAGGATGAGCTGAAGCAGGGCAGGGCATTCCCTCACCCGGGAAGCACAAGGGGTTTGGGGATTTCCCTTTCCTAGCCAAGGGAAGCCGTGACAGACTACCTGGAAAAACGGGACATTCCCACACAAATACTGTGCTTTTCCCAAGGTCTTAGCAACCAGCAGACAAGGTGATTCTCTAACATGCCTGGCTTGGCAGCTCCCACACCCACAGAACCTTGCTCACTGCTAGTGCAGCAGTCTGAGATCAATCTGCAGGATGGCAGCCTGACTGGGGGAGGGGCATCTGCCATTGCTGAGGCTTGAGTAGGTAAACAAAGTGGCCGGGAAGCTGGAACTGGGCGGAGCCCACCACAGCTCAACAAGGCCTATTGCCTCTAGACTCCCTCCACCTCTGAGGGCAGGGCACAGCTGAACTAAAGGCAGCAGACAACTTCTGCAGACTTAAATGTCCCTGTCTGACAGCTCTGAAGAGAGCAGTGGTTCTCCCAGCACAGTGTTTGAGCTCTGAGAACGAACAGACTGCCTCCTCAAGTGGGTCCCTGACCCCCATGTAGCCTAAATGGGAGACACCTCCCAGTAGGGGCCAACAGACACCTCATATAGGTGGCTGCCCATCTTGGACGAAGCTTCCAGAGGAAGGAGCTGGCAGCAATATTTGCTGTTCTGCAGCCTCCGCTGGTGATATCCAGGCAAACAGCATCTGGAGTGGAACTCCAGCAAACTCCAACAGAACTGCAGCTGAGGGACCTGACTGTTAGAAGGAAAACTGGCCAGGCGCAGTGGCTCAGGCCTGGCATGGTGGCTCATGCCTGTAATCCCAGAACTTTCGGAGGCCAAGGCAGGCAGATCACGAGGTCAGGAGATTAAGACCATCCTGACTAACACAGTGAAACCCTGTCTCTACTAAAAATACAAAACATTAGTCAGGTGTGGTGGCAGGTGCTTGTAGTCCCAGCTACTAGAGAGGCCGAGGCAGGAGAATGGCGTGAACCTGGGAGGCGGAGCTTGCAGCGAGCCGAGATCGCGCCAGGGCACTCCAGCCTGGGTGACAGAGCGAGACTCCAACTAAAAAAAAAAAAAAGAAGGAAAACTAACAAACAGAAAGGAATAGCATCAACCTCAACAAAAAGGTCACCTACACAAAAACCCCATCTGTAGGTCACCAACATACCAACATCAAAGACCAAAGGTAGATAATACCACAAAGATGGGGAGAAACCAGAGCACAAAAGCTGAAAATTCTAAAACTCAGAGTGCCTCTTCTCCTCCAAAGGATTGCAGCTCCTCGCCAGCAACGGAACAAAGCTGGACGGAGAATGACTTTGATGAGGTGACAGAAGTAGGCTTCAGAAGGTTGGTAATAACAAACTTCCCCCAGCTAAAGGAGGATGCTTGAACCCATCACAAGGAAGCTAAAACCCTTGAAAAAAGATTAGACGAATGGCTAACTAGAATCAACAGCATAGAGAAGACGATAAATGACCTGATGGAGCTGAAAACTATGGCACGAGAACTTCGTGACACATGCATAAACTTCAGTAGCCGATTTGATCAAGTGGAAGAAAGGCTATCAGTGATTGAAGATCAAATTAATAAAATACAGCGAGAAGACAAGGTTAGAGAAAAAAGAGTAAAAAGAAGTGAACAAATCCTCCAAGAAATATGGGACTATGTGAAAAGACCAAATTTACGTTTGATTACTGTAACTGCGAGTGATGGGGAGAATGGAATCAAGTTGGAAAACACTCTTCAGGATATTATCCAGGAGAACTTCCCCAACCTAGCAAGGCAGGCCAACATTCAAATTCAGGAAATACAGAGAACACCACAAAGATACTCCTCAAGAAGAGCAACCCCAAGACACATAATTGCCAGATTCACCAAGGTTGAAATGAAGGATAGTGTTAAGGGCAGCCAGAGAGAAAGGTCGAGTTACCCACAAAGGGAAGCCCATCAGACTAACAGCGGATCTCTCGGCAGAAATCCTACAAACCAGAAGAGAGTACAGCCAATATTCAACATTCTTTTTTTTTTTTTTTTTTTTTTTTGAGATGGAGTCTTGCCCTATCACCCAGGCTGGAGTGCAGTGGTGAGATCTCAGCTCACTGAAAGCTCTGCCTCCTGGGTTCACACCATTCTCCTTCCTCAGCCTCCTGAGTAGCTGGAACTACAGGAACCTGCCACCACGCCTGGCAATTTTTTTTTTTTTTTTTTGTATTTTTAGTAGAGACAGGGTTTCGCTGTGTTAGCCAGGATGGTCTCAATCTCCTGAACTCGTGATCCACCCGCCTTAGCCTCCCAGAGTGCTGGGATTACAGGTGTGAGCCACCACACCTGGCCTTAATATTCTAAAAGAAACGAATTTTCAACCCAGAATTTCATATCCAGCCAAACAAAGCTTCATAAGTGAAGGAGAAATAAAATCCTTTACAGACAAGCAAATGCTGAGAGATTTTGTCACCACCAGGCCTACCTCACAAGAGCTCCTGAAGGAAGCACTAAACATGGGAAGAAACAACCGGTACCAGCCATCGCAAAAACAGGCCATATTGTAAACACCATTGATGCTATGAAGAAACTGCATTAATTGATGGGCAAAGTCACCAGCTAACATCATAATGACAGGGGCAAATTCACACATAACAATATTAACCTTAAATGTAAATGAGCTAAATGCCCCAATTAAAAGACACAAACTGGCAAATTGGATAAAGAGGCAAGATCCATCAGTGTGCTGTATTCAGGAGACCCATCTCATGTGCAGAGATGCACATAGGCTCAAAGTAAAGGGATGGAAGAAGATCTACCAAGCAAATGGAAAGTAAAAAAAGCAGGGGTTGCAATCCTGGTCTCTGATAAAACAGACTTTAAACCAAAAAAGATCAAAAGAGACAAAGAAGGCCATTACATAACGGTAAAGGCATCAATGCAACAAGAAGAGCTAACTATCCTAAATATATATGCACCCAATACAGGAGCACCCAGCTTCATAAAGCAAGTCCTTAGTGACCTACAAAAAGACTTAGACTCCCAAACAATAAGAATGGGAGACTTCGGCACAGTGGCTCTCGCCTGTAATCCCAGCACTTTGGGAGGCCCAGGTGGGCGGATCACGATGTCAAGAGATCAAGACCATCCTGGCTAACACGGTGAAACCGCGTCTCTACTAAAAATACAAAAAATTAGCCGTGCGTGGTGGCGGGCACCTGTAGTCCCAGCTACTCGGAAGGCTGAGGCAGGAGAATGGCATAAACCCGGGAGGCAGAGCTTGCAGTGAGCCGAGATTACGCCACTGCACTCCAGCCTGGGTCACAGAGCGAGACTCCATCTCAAAGAAAAATAATAATAATAATAATAATAATAATAATAATAATGGGAGACTTTAACACCCCACTGTCAATATTAGACAGATCAACAAGACAGAAGGTTAACAAGGATATCCAGGACCTGAACTCAGCTCTGCAACAAGCAGACCTAATAGACATCTACAGAACTCTCCACCCGAAATAAACAGAATATACAATCTTATCAGCACCACATTGCGCTTATTCTAAAACTGACCACATAATTGGAAGTAAGGCACTCCTCAGCAAATGTAAAAGAACAGAAATCACAACAAACTGTCTTTCAGACCACAGTGCAATGAAATTAGAACTCAGAATTAAGAAACTCACTCAAAACCACACAACTACATGGAAACTAAACAACTTGCTCCTGAATGACTACTGGGTACATAACTAAATGAAGGCAGAAATAAAGAGGTTCTTTGAAACCAATGAGAACAAAGATAAAATGTACCAGAATCTCTGGGACACAGTTAAAGCAGTGTGTAGGGGGAAATTTATAGCACTAAATGCCCACAAGAGAAAGCAGGAAAGATCTAAAATTGACACCGTAAAATCACAATTAAAAGAACTAGAGAAGCAAGAACAAACACATTCAAAAGCTAGCAGAAGGCAAGAAATAAAAACTAAGATGAGAGCAGAACTGAAAGAGATAGAGACACAAAAACACACTTCAAAAATTCAACAAATCCAGGAGCTGTTTTTTTGAAAAGATTAACAAAATGGATAGACCACTATCAAGACCAATAAAGAAGAAAATAGAGAAGAATCAAATAGATGCAATAAAAAAATGATAAAGGGGGAATATCACCACCGATCCCACAGAAATACAGACTACCATCAGATAATACTGTAAACACCTCTATGCAAATAAACTAGAAAATCTAGAATAAATGGATAAATTCCTGGATACATACACCCTCCCAAGACTAAACCAGGAAGAAGTTGAATCTCTGAATAGACCAATAACAGCCTCTGAAATTGAGGTAATAATTAATAGCTTACCAACCAAAAAAAAGTCCAGGACCAGATGAATTCACAGCCAAATTCTACCAGAGGTACAAAGAGGAGCTGGTACTGCTCCATCTGAAACTATTCCAATCAATAGAAAAACAAGGAATCCTCCCTAACTTATTTTATGAGGCCAGCATCATCCTGATACCAAAGCCTGGTAGACACATAACAAAAAAAAAGAATTTTAGACCAGTATCACTGATGAACATCGAAGTGAAAATCCTCAATAAAATACTGGCAAACTGAATCCAGCAGCACATCAAAAAGCTTATTCACCATGATCAATTTGGCTTCATTCCTGGGATGCAAGGCTGGTTCAACATATGCAAATCAATAAATGTAATCCATCACATAAACAGAACCAACAACAAAAACCACATGATTATCTCAATAGATGCAGAAAAGGGCTTCCACACAATTCAACAGCACTTCTTGCTAAAAACTCTCAATAAACTAGGTATTGATGGAACGTATCTCAAAATAATAAGAACTATTTACCCACAGCCAATAGCATACTGTATGGGCAAAAACTGGAAGCATTCCCTTTGAAAACTGGCACAAGATAAGGATGCCCTCTCTCACCAATACTATTCAACACAGTGTTGGAAGTTCTGGCCCAGGCAATCAGGCAAGAGAAAGAAATAAAGGATATTCAATTAGGAAATGAGGAAGTCACATTGTACCTGTTTGCAGATGACATGATTGTATATTTAGAAAACCCCATCATCTCAGCCCCAAATCTCCTTAAGCTGATAAGCAACTTCAGTAAGTCTCAGGATACAAAATCAGTGTGCAAAAATCACTCCTATACACCATTAACAGACAAACAGAGAGCCAAAGCATCAGTGAACTCCCATTCACAATTGCTACAAAGAGAATAAAATACCTAGGAATCCTACTTACAAGGGATGTGAAGGAACTCTTCAAGGAGAACTACAAACCACTGCTCAACAAAGTAAATTAGGACACAAACAAATGGAAGAATATTCCATGCTCACGAATAGGAAGAATCAATATCATGAAAATGGCCATACTGCCCAAAGTAATTTATCGATTCAATGCCATTCCCATCAAGCTACCAATGACTTTCTTCACAGAACTGGAAAAAACTACTTTAAAGTTCATATGGAACCAAAAAAGAGCCCTCATTGAGAAGACAATCCTAAGCAAAAAGAACAAAGCTGGAGGCATCATGCTACCTGACTTCAAACTATACTACAAGGCTACAGTAACCAAAACAGCATAGTACTGGTACCAAAACAGATATATAGACCAACGGAACAGAACAGAGGCCTCAGAAATAACACCACATATCTACAACCATCTGATCTTTGACAAACCTGACAAAAATAATAAATAGGGAAAGGGTTCCCTATATAATATATGGTGCTGGGAAAACTGGCTAGCCATATGTAGAAAGCTGAAACTGGATCCCTTCCTCATACTTTATACAAAAATTAATTCAAGATGGATTAGAGACTTAAATGTTAGACCTAAATCCATAAAAACCCTAGAAGAAAACCTAGGCAATACCATTCAGGACATAAGTATGGGCAAGGACTTCACGAGTAAAACACCAAAAGCAATGGCAACAAAAGCCAAAATAGACAAATGGGGTCTAATTAAACTAAAGAGCTTCTGCAAGGCAAAAGAAACTACCATCAGCGTGAACATGCAACCTACAGAATGGGAGAAAATTTTTGCAATCTACCCATCTCGCAAAGGGCTAATAACCAGAATCTACAAAGAACTTAAACAAATTTACAAGAAAAAATCAAACAACCCCATCAAAAAGTCGACAAAGGATATGAACAGACACTTCTCTAAAGAAGACATTTATGCAGCCAACAGACATGTGAAAAAATGCTCATCATCACTGGTCATCAGAGAAATGCAAATCAAAACCACAATGAGATACCATCTCATGCCAGTTAGAATGGCAATCATTAAAAAGTCAGGAAACAACAGATGCTGGAGAGGATATGGAGAAATAGGAAAGCTTTCACATTGTTGGTGGGAGTGTAAATTAGTTCAACCATTGTGGAAGACAGTGTGGAGATTCCTCAAGGATCTAGAACTAGAATTACCATTTGACCCAGCCATCATCCCATTACTGGGTATATACCCAAAGGATTATAAATCATGCTACTATAAAGACACATGCACATGTATGTTTATTGTGTCACTATTCACAATAGCGAAGACTTGGAACCAACCTAAATGTCCATCAATGATAGACTGGATTAAGAAAATGTGGCACATATACACCATGGAATACTATGCAGCCATAAAAAAGGATGAGTTCATGTCATTTGCAGGGACATGGACGAAGCTGGACACCATCATTCTCAGCAAACTATCACAAGGACAGAAAACCAAACACCACATGTTCTCACTCATAGGTGGGAATTGAACAATGAGATCACTTGGACACAAGGCGGGGAACATCACACACTGGGGCCTGTCACGGAGTGGGGGTTGGGGGAGGGATAGCATTAAGAGAAACACGTATTGTAAATGATGAGTTGACGGGTGCAGCAAACCAACATGGCACATGTGTACCTATGTATCAATCCTGCATGTTGTGCACATGTACCCTAGAACTTAGAGTATATTTTAAAACAAAGATATACACTTATGTCAACTCTTTCTTTGTAGCAGTGCCCAGAAATTCAAAGAATTGTTGTTGTTGTTGTTGTTGTTGTTTTTAATATAAGAAACTTGGGTCATTATCATCTCTAGTAAATAGTCTCTGTATTCAAGGACCTCAAACATTTTCTGAAGAACAGTCTTGTTTCCCAAAGGCCTTGAGATAACCAAGAAACCGGGAAGAAGCATGGCAGAGAGGAAATGAATGAGATAGCAGTAACAACTGGTTCATACTCTGTTAGGGTGGGGCTTTAAGACTTACCAATAGGTGAGATCTTGTGTTAGAAAACATTGCCTCTTTATCTTTATAGATCAGGGCTGAAATCGTTATCTTCAACCTTGCTGAGACAACATAATAAAGGCCACGTCACTAGTATTTTCTTCAACAGACCTTGGTCCTACTTCTAAAATTCTCTGGCACTGAAGTGTAAGGAGAATCTATGGATTTGAAGAGATCACTAAAATGGTTTTGATGAATATTATACCAATTACTTTTATAAAATATATGAAAGCAAAACACATTAGGATAATCTGCATTCTGAAATGTTTTCAATGCTTAAATAATTAGATATAAACATTGAAGCCATATAATATAAAATGACTCTTAATTATTCCTTTCCTTCCATTTTCTGATTCCATATTTCTTGATATTTTTCAGGACATAAAAAATTTATTTCTTCTTGTATGGATCTTATATAGCTTGGTATGATTGATACCCATGTGTTATGACAATAATTTCTGTGGCATTAAAAGACAGTAGTCACTGCACCAAGTCAACCTACATTTATTGAGCCTCTGTACACACTATCATTTTGAACATCATAGAAAACTGGTCCTTTGCCTTCAAGTATAAAAACTGGCTACAGACAGAAAATATACATGCTTTGAATCCTTTCCAAAGTTAGGAGGTTGGTGAGCATAAAACAATATTGTAATAGCACAAATTAAATACATACAGGTAAGATATAATCAGAGTGAAAATGACAGACTAGACAGAATGAGTAATAATATATCTGATCACAGACAGTATCCATATCCCAGCCAGCAGATAGAGATTTCACAAGGTCCCATTGTCTTGGGATCCCACAGATAAACTAGGATTCCAGTAGCAGAGTGGCTAGCAACCCTGCCCCACTGGCAGCCCTGCTAAGATAAATGAGGGGGAGTTGGACGTGGGTCTTTCACCTAGCAAAGAGCATAATGTCTAGTTGTTTGACCAATGACAAGGGGTTCCTCACATGGAAAACTTATTTATACTGGAAGACACTCTTGTGGCTCTTATCTGACCTGTGTTTAGTGTATGCCTACCTAACCATCATTCTGGGGCTGAGAGGTCAACTGTGTGTTAGTCCTGACATCCCAGGGAAAACCCAGCCTGCAGTTTGGTTCTTGAGAATGGAAGGAGCAAATTCAAACCACCACCAAAATAGGAAGTTCAAGGATTTTTACTTTCAGAATCTGGGCAAGAAGGGTGCGATGAATCTGGAGGGCAATCTTCCATCCCCTGGCACAAGAGGAGAACATGAAGAGTTAGGTATTGAGAAAGAGTGTGTGTGGCAACTAGCAGGATAGACAACGGACTAGGCTGTAGGTTACTAAGTTCACAGGCAAATGCCTATATGGTCTGTTTAAAGGAAGCAGTGGGAAAGCAGGGAGTACAATCTGCTAGCGGGGGAGACATCCAGAAGTTCTTAGCTTTGGCCATTGGCTTGAGCCATTTGGGCATGGTATAGAACTGCAAACTGTTTCAAGGGTGACTAACCCCTGATTCTAGTATGAGGAAGTTAAACTTATACTCAAAATGGATGCCAAGGCAACATAAAATTATAAAAATTCACTACACCCAGGCTTTGACATGCCCCAGTCTCTGATCTAGAAGAAAACAGCTCATCTTTAGTCACACTAATTAAAACCCTGGTGACATTGCCAACCCCAGGAAAAAAAATAAAAATAAAACATCTAATTCAGAAACCCAAAATAATCAGGAGGATGAAGAAATTTCTCTAGATTCACTGAAATGAATAAGAAGATTAGCAATTTCTTTAATAAACTAAGATGTTCAAAAAGATGTTATGCCCAACCATCAGGAAGTAAAAGGCCTCATTTATTTTGACAACTATTTATCAAGCACCTGTATGTGTCAGGCACTGTTCTAAGGTCTTGAGAGACATGACCATGAACAAAACTGCTCAGATACCTTCCCTTGGTGCTTATTTTCTACCAGAAGAGGTACTGAAAACAATACATAAATAAAAGATACAGAATGTCAGATGGTATGTTGGAAAATGAAACAGAAAGAGATAGGGTATGCTGGGGTGAGGATTCCATTTAAAGAGTGATTAGAGAGGACTCCCTCACTGAGAAGAGGATATTTGGGCAAAAACCAGGAGGAGGTGAGGAAGTAAACTCTTTTGGTATCTGTGGAAGAGTGCCCTAGGCCAAGGGTGTCTAATCTTTTGGTTTCCCTGGGCCACACTGGAAGAACTGTCTTGGGCCACAGAAAATACACGAACACTAATGATAGCTGATGAGCTAAAAATAAAAGTCACCAAAAAAAATCTCATAATGTTTTAAGAAAGTTTATGAATTTGTGTTGGGCTGCATTGAAAGTCATCCTGGGCCACATGCAGCCCACGGACCATGGGTTAGACAAGCTTGTTTTAGACAGAGGAAATAGCAAGTTAAAACAACCTGAGACAGCAATGTGCCTAGTGTGTCAGAGGCACAGCAAAGACTCCAGTGTGGCAAAGGGTGAGCAAGAGAGACAGAAATAGAAGCGAAACTTGAAAGGTAATAAGGAACCAAGTTGTGTAGGGCCTTGTAGGATGTTTTAAGGACTTATGCTTGCACCCTGAGTAAAATAGCCATTTCAGGGTTTTAAGCAAAGACATGGCATGATCTCACACAGGGTTTAAAGTGATTACTCTGCCATGTTGATAATTTTTTAAAAAAATCTAAACATATAATTTTTGTCTGCCTCTTAAGCCAGAAGTTTATAAAAATACTATATATCAGTTGAAAAAATAAATGCCTTGTCCTTAGTGTGCAAAAATGTGACTAATTCATCCTCATTTGGGCATGTGGCAAAAAAATGGTACAAGTTGGAACTGACCCATCTATCCTCTGTAACCCTGCCACCCGTACAACCAGTTGTACACACTAAGGAAACAGCTGGTCAGGATTAGGAAGGTAGAACAATAGGAAGGTGTGGGTGGCAGATGCTTCTCATCTCAAGTGCAAGTTCAACTACTGATCTGTCCTCCTTCTCCTACTCAGATGAATACCAGCTTCCTCTCGAGTACATTGATGACATTTTTATCAATAAAAAATAAAACTTCTTTATTTCAATTACTTTCTCTAAAAAATATTGCTTCAGTCATCAGAATAAAATGCAAAATCCCAACTTTGACATCCAAGGCTTCATCAATACAGCTCTGTTCTTTCCCACATTTTTTATCTTTCCTTAACACAGACCACGGGCTTCGGCCCAACTGAACTGCTATTTTCTACTTCTTTGCTCATGCTTTTGCTCCACTTAAAAGGCTTCCTGGCTCCCATTTCCTCTGGTCTAAATCACACCCAAAATGAGGAAACAAAATACATTTGAAAGAGCAAGAACTTAGAATGAGAAGCCCTGAGATACTAATTGTTTGGGATGTTTGTTTGTTTGTTTGTTTGTTTTGAGATGGAGTTTCACTCTTGTTGCCCAGGCTGGAGTGCAATGGCGCCATCTCGGCTCACTGCAATCTCTGCCTCCTGGGTTCAAGCGATTCTCCTGCCTCAGCCTCCTGAGTAGCTGGGACTACAGGCATGCGCCATCACGCCCGGCTGATTTTGTATTTTTAATAGAGACAGGGTTTCTCCATGTTGTTCAGGCTGGTCTCGAACTCCTGACCTCAGGTGATTTACCAGCCACCTTGGCCTCTCAAAGTGCTGGGATTACAGGTGTGAGCCACTGCACCCGGCAGAGATACTAACTGTTAAGTGTGAGTCACATCACTTGAACTTTCTCAGCCTCTTTCCTTATGTGCTACTACCTACCTTGTGGAATTCGTTATACATCAAATAGATGATATAAGTGAAAGAACCCATAGATTGAAAAAAGACACTACACTAGTTTAAATATTTATTCATTAAAAGGGAAAAGGTTGAAAATAATTATAGGTTATGTCAGACAATATTCAGGAATAAGAAGGCATGGTGATAAGTGTTGTCAGGAAAGAGGATGAGGGCTCCTGGAGTCTCTTATCCAATTGTACTTGGTTGTAGGGTGGAAAGAAAGAAATCAGGCCTGCCCCTAACATTTGTGGGGCTTAGGGCAATAGTACAAAAAGAGACCCATAATCTATATGTCACCATCATAGCAACAAAATTGCAAAATATGTGTAAACACTATGGTTTTTATATGACTGAAAGTATGCAAAATACCAAATTTGACTGAATTCAATTACTGTTACACATATCAGGGTGTTTTGTTGATAGACAGGTGATGTGATGAGTAACACAATAAAGATAAATTTAATGAATAAATTATCATACATTTTATAACATTTATTTTTTATATCTTTAGCAAAACCACTAATGATGTGCTATACATGTAAAATACACACAAATTTTTGAAGACTCACTACCAATAAATGAGAATGTAAATTATCTCATTAATCACTTCTGTATTGTTTAGATATTGATATAATTTTTTGTATATATTACATTAAATACAATATATTATTTAAATTATATATATATAGCCCTCATTTACTTTCATATTTTAGATAAAACTACTCAGCAAGCAGTCTAAAGCCAATTTTAGCTATTACCCCTTCTCATTTTATTTCTGAGTCAGGACACATAATAGAACATTTCTTGTAATCATTGTTCTTTCCATCCTTTTTTTGACTGGACATTAGAACATGTCAGGGGCGAGGGCTGTAGCTCAAGAACCTGCATAGGCCTAGGTTCAGTTGAAGTTCACCATTGGCTATGCTGTCTTCTGATTTCTGCCTTTTTCTTTAGAGTCACTATGAGGCAGATTTTTAGACTGGGCAGGCTGATTGGTGGGGAGGACTCTGAATTGAAATGGGCTCTGTGAACAGGAAGAGAGTGCAGCACCTTGAACCAGGCACAATCTCAGAGACCCCAGAAAATCACACCCAGAAAAATCTTCCTCCGGAAACTTGGAATACTGGAAAGAATTTTCTCCTAAAATAATGTCACATTAGGTAATGGACAGCAGCATTCAAATCACTTCCCATAAAACCATATTGCATGTTTTATGGAAGTCCTTGAGTATATTATAAAATCAGGGACATCAGAGCTCCCAGAAACAATCTTGAAACTGAAGAGGAAGCAGGACGCAGTGGCTCACGCCTGTAATCCCAGCACTTTGGGAGGCCGAGGCAGGGAGTTCAAGACCGGCCTGGCCAAGATGGTGAAACCCTGTCTCTACTAAAAATACAAAAATTAGCTGGGCTTGGTGGCGGGCGCCTGTATCCCAGCTACTCGGGAGGCTGAGGCAAGAGAATCACTGGAACCCAGGAGGTGGAGGTGCAGTGAGCCGAGATTACGCCACTACACTCTAGCCTGGGCAACAGAGCGAGACTCCATCTCAAAAAAAAAAAAAAAAAAAAAGAAAGAAAGAAATTGAAGAGGAATTGTAAATGGCTCATATTCTATCAGACAGAGCCTGATAGAATCATACCACTGGTATGAATTATTGTCTGGTCAACTCAAGCAGAGGAAGTGAGATGGTTTAAATCTGTGTCCTTGTCCAAATCTCATGTCAAATTGTTATCCCCAATATTGGAGGTGGGGCCGGGTGAGACGTGATTGGATCATTGAGGTGGATCCTTCCTGAATGGTTTAGCACCATTCTCTTGGTGCTGTTCTCATGATAGAGTTCTTGAGAGAGATGGTTGTTTAAAAGTGTGTAGCACCACCCCACTGTCTCTCTTCCTCCTGCTCCAGCCATGTAAGATGTGCCTGCTTCCCCACTCACCTTCTGCCATGATTGTAAGTTTTCTGAGGCCTCCACAGAAGCCAAGCAGAAGCTGCTATGTTTCTTGTACAGCCTGCAGAATGGTGAGCCAATTAAACCTCTTTTCTTTATAAATTACCTAGTCTCGGGTATTTATAGCAATGTAAGAATGAACTAATACAGGTAACAAATTCAGATAAGAATGGCTTAAAAATTCTGAATCTTTGTCTTTTTAATATGAATTATTTAGACTGAGGAAATAACCCAAGGATTTAGAACACTCAGGATGTTTGGGCATAGGATAGGGGTTGGGGGTTGATCACAGGGGCGGGTAAAGTAAATTTCCTTCCTGCTAGAAGGAGAGTTTGAAGAAAGGTATTGAGGCATCTGTACAGGGTGTTCCCTTCTCAAGGAACAGGCTGGGAAGCAGGGAGAGTCAGGGTCAGCAGATGCTTCTCAGCATGGCCTGGAGTAGAACAAGCATAACACTGAGTGGGTGAAATGAAAATGGTAACAGGAGAAAAGAAGGCAGGAAACCCTCTTGCTTTTTTTGTCTCCCTCCTCTTCCATTTTACCCCATAACACACACACTCTGTGGGGGAGGTATGTCCTGATAAAGAGTTTAAACACCAGGGTTGTACCCAGGATACAGTGTTGTTCTCATCCACAGAGATAAACAGGTGAGAGGACCTCCATTGTCCTTAAGAAAGCAGTAATGAGATACTTGACAGAAAGCTGATGGTAGAATGCATAAACACCCTCACAGAGGATGACCAAAAACATGTAAAGCTGAGGTGCAAAAAGGCAAGAAGTATTAATAAGCCATGAGGCCAAGCAGCCAAAGATATAACAGATACAGGAAAAAAAAAAGAAAATCAACTTTGTAAAAGAATATTGTTTGGCCAAGTGGGGAGAAACAAATAAACAATATAATTGGTCTTCTAACAGATGGGATGCAACACTCCCCTTTCTGAGCTATTAAATTTGATTTGTAGCTCTAGGCAGGTAGAAATAAAAATGAGAGGAAAAGGATCAGATCTGGAAGTCCTTTAGAACCTCATCCCAATTGGGGTTAAATGTAACAAAAACATTATTATTGGTATCAGGACCCAAATTGATGTGAACTTAGAGAAAGGCAGGGCAGTCTTCCTCCTTAAAATATTTTATATTTTAAAATTCGTGTTATACTGTCTATAACAGTCAAAGTTAGGCTGGGCACAGTGGCTCATGCCTGTAATCCCAGCACTTTGGGAGGCAGAGGCAGGAGGATCATCTGAGGTTGGGAGTTCGAGACCAGCCTGACCAACGTGGAGAAACCCCGTGTCTTCTAAAAATACAAAATTAGCTGGGCATGGTGGCGGGAACCTGTAATCCAAGCTACTCAGGAGGCTGAGGCAGGAGAATCTCTTGAACCCGGGAGGTGGAGGTTGTATTGAGCCGAGATTGTGCCATTGCACTCCAGCCTGGGCAACAAGAGTGAAAAAAAAGGCCAGGCACGGTGGCTCATGCCTGTAATCCCAGCACTTTGGGAGGCCAAGGCGGGTGGATTGCCTGAGGTCAAGAGTTCGAGATTAGTCTGGCCAACATGGTGAAACACTCTCTCTACTAAAAATACAAAAAAATTAGCCAGGCATGGTGGCATGCACCTGTAATCCCAGCTACTCGAGAGACTGAGGCAGGGGAATTGCTTGAACCAAGGAGGTAGAGGTTGCAGTGAGCCGAGATCGTGCCACTGCACTCCAGTCTGAGAGACAGAGCGAGAACCCATCTCAAAAAAAATGAAAACAAAATAAAAAACAAACAAAAAAACAGTCAAAGTTAGCCTGTTCATTACCCTTCTTTCTGTAGGGCAAAGATGCAGAAATACGTTATTTGCCTTTTTTTATTATTTATTCAACCAATATTCGTTGGCCTTTTTCTTCTAGTTAGATCACCATGAAAAATTAGAACAAAACTTTTTTAACCTTTGAACTCATCTTTTTAAATCACATAATATAAAAATAATTCATCTAATTAAACATATTTAAAAGAGATATTTGTATGAGCTAGTAACTTTTGGATATGGAGAATGTTTATTTTGGTTTTGGTTTTGTTTTTGTCCAGTCCAACAGAGCAATTTGGAAAGCTATGCTATAAGCACTTACAAGATCATGTTTTGGAAAAAAAGTTACTTGATAATAGACAAACTGTTTGTGAAAGTGTTACCAGAAAGAGGTCCCAATCCAGACCTCAAGAGAGGGTTCTTGGACCTCGCACAAGAAAGAATTCAGGGCATGCTCGTAGAGTAAAGGGAAAACAAGTTGTTTAAGAAGGCAAAGGAATAAATGAGTGGCTGTTCCATAGGCAGAGCAGTGGCAAGAGCTCCTCAGCTGCCTATACCTATTGTTACTTCTTGATTATATGCTTAAAAAAGGGTGGATTATTCATGAGTTTTCCGGGAAAGGGATGGGCAATTCCTGGAACTAAGGGTTCCTCCCCTTTTAGATCATATAGGGTAACTTCCTGACTGTTGCCATGGCATTTGTAAGCTGTAATGGTGCTAGTGGGAGTGTCTTTTAGCATGCTAATGCGTTATAATTAGCACATAATGAGCAGTGAATATAAGCAGAAGTCACTTTCTCTCCATCTTGGTATTGGTTGGATGTGGTCAGCTTCTTTACCACATGCTGTTTTATCAGCAAGGTCTTTGTGATCTACATATTGTGCTGACCTCTATTGGGATGATCAGGCCCAACACCAGGCCTTGTGGGCTACGAAGTCTGTTGGAGTCAAAGGAATGAGACAAGACAAGTTAAGAATGTGTAAAGTGGGTCCAGGGGGCCAACACTAGTATAGAGGCTGCGAAGGCTTGGAGCTCTAGAAGCCCACACTATTTATTGGTGATCAAACAAAGAAGCAGGTGGTGAGGATGTGAGGATGTGGGGGTAAACAGGTGAGGACGTGAGGACGTGGGGGTAGAAAGGTAGCAGTGCATCAAGCACAGTTGTGACTGTTTAGTATTTTCTTTGACACAAATGTAATATGTTCTGCTACCTGAGATAATGGAGAACATGTTTATGAGCCTGGGAGAGCAAGAAGCAAGGAACGAGCAAGTCTGTGCACATTCCAGTGGCCACAAGGGGTTTTATGCCCTGAGCCTTGGATTCCATCCAAGCCATGAGAGGTTTTATGCCCTGGGCTTAGATTGTAGTGCAGCAGGGCAGCCTTCCACCCTTTGGCACAGAACTTGGTGTTCCAAAGGCCACGAGGGGGTTTAGACCCTGGACCCAGGACGTGTTCCAAGACTCTTTTACATTATGACGGACAAGCTAGTCCCGCCTCAGCTCTTCTACCAACAACCTCCTATCTTATCTTGTGACTAAGAATGCCTTAACCTCCTGGGAATATAGCCCAGCAGGTCAAGATGGATTTGCTTTGGTTCCAACACCTCTAACAAAAGAAGTATAAGATGAAGCAATTAGGCCATCTGGACATCACCAGAAGGAGGTCAGAGTTTCATCATTTTGAATAAAGTATTTTGAATCTGTATTCAAAAGTAAAGTATTTTGAATCTGAATTTTCTACCTGACTGAGATATAACTTTATAACTATAAAAGATTATTTTTAATTTGAAGAAACTATACCTCATTATATAGTCATTGATTTTCATTACACAAAAAATAAAAACATGTATTAAAAATATGTAAATAATTGGCCGGGCGCGGTGGCTCACACTTGTAATCCCAATACTTTGGGAGGATGAGGCGGGCGGATCACGAGGTCAGGAGATCAAGACCATCCTGGCTAACATGGTGAAACCGTGTCTCTACTAAAAATACAAAAATTTAGCCAGGCGTGGTGGTGGACACCTTTAGTCCCAGCTACTTGGGAGGCTGAGGCAGGAGAATGGTGTGAACCCGGGAGGCGGAGCTTGCAGTGAGCCGAGATCGCGCCACAGCACTCCAGCCTGGGTGACAGAGAGAGACTCCGTCTCAAAAAAATAAATAAATAAAAATAAAAATATGTAAATAATTATACCAAATTGCTATTATACCAAATTGCTATTGGTGTGTGTGCGTTTATGTGATGAGGTATGTTCCTTCTTCTTTCCTCTGTTTTCTAAGTTTTTTTTTATATATTTATTTATTTATGAAACAAGAGTCTCACTTGGATGCCCAGGCTGGAGTGCAGTGGCACGATCTTGGCTTGCTGCAACCTCCACCTCCTGGGTTCAAGAGATTCTCCTGCCTCAGCCTCCTGAGTAGCTGGGATTACAGGTATCTGCCACCACACCAAGCTAATTTTTGTATTTTTAGTAGAGATGGGATTTCACTATATTGACCAGGCTGGTCTTGAACTGCTGACTGCAGGCGATCCGCCTGCCTCAGCCTCCCAAAGTACTGAGATTACAGGCATGAGCCCCCACACCTGGACTGTTTTCTAAGTTTATTTAAAATTTCTTATATGATATAAATAAATTAATTTTAAAAATAAATAAATAAATAAATAATAACCCTAAGGCTATTAAAATCTCCTTGCTTGTAGTAATTTTGAAAGTTATAAAATCATTTTCAACTTCTGCAGCACTGAAGGCACTGACTTTGTGTCTTGAAAGATTCTCTTTTCTTGGCCCCCATCCCCTGCAATCTATTTTCTTTCCTTAACTTTGGTTGCTCCCATCAGGGTGCTTTTTACCTTCCTCTGATGGCCCCTTAAATGTAGGTGGCCCACAGCTTTCAGTTCTCTCTCTTCTTTCACCAAAAAAATCTCATTCATTACTGTTGCTTTTTAAACACTTTTATTCTAGTTTTTGATTTTTGATTGCCCCTTGCATGTATCCTAGACAACTTATCCTAAAGATATTTCTTCGCACTCCAGAAGCACAGGATGAAACAGTAGATCCTACAACTCAGCAAGTGCCTGACTTGAGAGTAAAGAGGATGGCAGAGGAGGAGACATGCTAGTCTTCCCATGAGAAGGGACAGGTGAAAAGAGAATTTTCACTGGTACACCAAGAAAGCAATCTCTTTCCCAGTCTCTAACTTGCCCTTAACAAGGGAGACTGAAGAGGTTGTACTCTTTGCTGCAAAGTCTTTTGTTGCCAAATCCCACCATGAGGATATCTAGTGCCATTTGTTCCTGGACATGAGCAGTCCCTATAGTAAACAATAATTAGAGCAAGAAAGGGTCTCCATAGGTACGACACCTTCATGTTTCTCATTTATCTATTTAACAAATGCTGACTGTCCTCAAAATTGTCTACAGATCCTTCAGGAAGACACATATTAAACTGGCAATTATATAGATCATTATTTAATTATGGTCAATTAAATGCTATGAAGGAAAAATATGGGATGTTGAGAGTATTTAACAGAGAACCTTACCTAATTTAGGGCACCAGGAAAGGCTTCCCTGAGAAAATGTCCTTTAATTAAAAGGTAGAGGACAAGTAGGAGTTAGGCAAAGAGATGGGAAAAGAGTCTTCT
Organism: Homo sapiens; assembly: GCF_000001405.40. Taxonomy (NCBI): domain Eukaryota; kingdom Metazoa; phylum Chordata; class Mammalia; order Primates; family Hominidae; genus Homo; species Homo sapiens. Next base: position 127,395,147 of record NC_000006.12, on the reverse strand, counting down.
GTGGAAAGCAATTGTAAAACCCAGGGTCTATGTTAGTGAGAAGCTTGATAAGCTATAAGAACTGAAGGCATATCAGTGTGTCTGGAATTGATCAAGAAGAGGGGCTATTTTATATTATAAAATATAAGAGGGGCTATTTATATTAAGGGGGCTTATGGGTGTGCTGAGACCAGATCTTGGTAAATCCTGCTAAGAATGTTAGTCAGACTGCAATTTCATTTTGTTGTGTAGTAGCTTGCCTTAGAATCATGTTCTATGAATTTTTCCAAACGTACCCATCTTTGTATTCTAATGCAACTTAACTAAGATATTTTTGGCTGGGTGCAGTGGCTCAGGCCTGTAATCCTAGCACCTGGGAAGGCCAAGGCAGGCAGATCACCTGCAGTCAGCTCAGGACCAGCCTGGCCAACATGGCGAAACCCATCTCCACTAAAAATACAAAAATTAGCAGGCATGGTGGCATGCACCTGTAATCCCAGCTACTTAGGAGGCTGAGGCAGGAGATTTGCTTGAATCTGGGAGGCAGAGGTTGCAGTGAGCCAAGATCGCATCACTGACTTCAGCCTGGGTGACAGAGCAAGACTTGGTCTCAAAAAAAAAAAAAAGATATTTTTGATCAACAAATATACAATATTTCATTTTGAGAAGGAGAAAGCCAAAAGAAATCATGTGATGAAAATATCAGATTAAAAAAATAACATTTTGCCCGGGCGCAGTGGCTCAAGCCTGTAATCCTAGCACTTTGGGAGGCCGAGGTGGGTGGATCACCTGAGGTCAGGAGTTCGAGAGAGCCTGGCCAACATGGTGAAACCCCATCCCTACTAAAAATACAAAAATATTGAGAAAAAAGAGGCTGGGCACGTTGGTCCACACCTGTAATTCTAACACTGTAAGAGGTCCAGATGGGAGGTTCACTTGAATCCAGAAGTTTAAGACCAGCCTGGGCAACATAGCGAAACCCTGTCTCTATAAAAAAGAAATGCCAAAAATTGGCCAGGCATGGTGGCATGCAACTGTGGTCCCACTACTCGGGAGGCTGAGGTGGGAGGATCGTCTGTGCTTGGGAAATTGAGCCTGCAGTGAGCCACGATTGCACCTCTACACTCCAGCCTAGGCAACAGAGCGAGACCCTGTCTCAAAAAAAAAAAAAAAAAAAAAAAAAGGAAAAAAAAGTATAAGAAATATATGGTATTATTCTATTTCAAAACTACATGATAGTTTATAATAGATTATGTAATACATCTATGAACTTATAGACAATTGCACCAAATTAGCAAAAAACCAAATTTACTGAGGTAATTAAACTATTTTTTAATTAATGGCTTTATTTCCCTCTATTTATGATCTGATTTTTTTAAACATTAGTCTCTTTCAGCCTTGTTCAGGCCCCATCTGTCTGCATCTATTCTAATGTCAATTGTTTTAATAACTAATATTTTGAAGTTATGTGCTGTAATTGTTTCAATTACTTTAAAAATGAACAACACTGGAAAGCTAGACCATGTTTCTAAGTAAGGCTGCTGGTTTAACAAACTAAGTACAGCAGTTAAACTTAGTACTGTCCAGCTTTCCAGTTTCAGGATGAAATAAGGCCATTATCTTTTTAACAAGTTAGTATCTGTCACTGCATTTATCTATTATTTTATAATCTGATTGTTAAGAATGCAAAGGAAGGCCACCAATGATGGTAAAAATGTTCACAGAAAAAGTAGAACAATCATTGACCTCTACAGATGACTTCATGGTTTTTATATTCTCATATGTCCCAAATTGAACTCTATGCTATATCCTTGGGCTTGCTCAGAGATGTTTCTACTATATGCACTATTTATTCACACTGTTTCCTAAGCTAGAAGTCTTAGAGTTTCTTTTTCCAGAAACTCAAACTAGGTAAACAACTTCTAATGATGAGGCTATTAGGCCCATCTCTTTATTCTGCCCACATTAACCCACTCATTATTATCCAAACATGGCCTTTATACATGCCATTACTTGCAAGGAAGAATCTTTATTCTTTATATCTGACCAGCTTCTTTCATCCTTCAAGTTTCATCTTTGATGTTCAGTTCCTCCAAGAAGGTAGCATCCTGTCCTATGCTCGATCAGTGGCTCTGTCATTCTTGTGGTATTGGAATTTATTTGCATGTATGTCTGACACACTAAACTGTGAAATCCTTCAGAACAGGGAGCATATCTTCTACACATCTTTCTATCTCATCCAGCACATGAAATGTGCATCTTATAAGGCAAATATTCAAGAAATGTGAAATGAAAAAAAGAGTGAAGAAAATGCAAACAAATGGATGAATAGCAACAGAATGAAATTAAACCACTAACCTTCATGGGAGGACAGGTAAGAATTTTTAAGAGATAGGAGGTAAGAACATTTACCCATTTGAAATCTATAGAATATCTATATACATACACATATTATCTTTTTTTATAGAAATACACTAGGTCCAAAGAAGAGTTCTTATATTTAGGAACAACTCAGGTCAATGGCAGAAAGAAGACCTGAGAGTCTTGCTTTACCAGGTGAAATCAGCCAGCCAGGTCCTGCAGGAAAGATCTTCCTCCCAAAGAGGACACACCCCTTGTGCAGCAACTCAGCTGGCTTTTGGCCTGCGATAATCCTTTGTTTTTATACATTGTTGTAATGCAGACTACCTTTCTCTATCTTTTAGCACTCTTTGCCTATACTCTGAATCATGTACCTAAGAATTGCCTGGACTTGTTCTGTATAAAACTCTGCAACTCTCATTTACCCAGGTTTAGACTCTCTGAGGTTGATACTGCCTGATTTGGAAAAATAAATTTCAATTGGTTACTGGGAGAACCTGTATCTCTACCAACACCTAGCCTGGCCTCTGTTTCCTCCTATCTAAAATAAGGCAGAATAACTCTGATGACCCAGAAGTTTCCTTCTAGCTCTAAAATTTTGTGATTCTAATGTTAATAATGATAAAGATAAATGACAGATGATCTGTCAACTAAAATCACTAGTCTATATAATAAATAAAGGTCTCTCAGGTTGACAATGACAAAATAAGTCAAAGTGACTGTGTGAGAGAAGCCACATTGTCCTAGTGAGCCACCTAGCTTACTTAAGTGGGCAGCCATCTCAATGAGCCAGGCTTCACTGCAGAAGACTGGGCCTTTCAAATGTCTTTGAGTCAAAGTGGCAGGCAGAGCTGAAATATCCTAAATAGCTCCTGAGTCTCCTAGTCTCAGTTCTTGCAGATATAAAAATAGAATAACATTGTGTATTAGGTCTTTTATAAACCATAAACTGGAAATACCAAAACATGAGCCTCCTCCAGAGAGAAGGGGTAGGAGTTTGTCTTCCGCCTTGTGTGAGGGAGGCAGCAAGGTAACTGATACACTCATTATTTATAGCAAGGCTGTGATACCATGCTGGTAATCTGAACTGTAGGGAGGTTTTTAAAATTTCTGAATAAGTGCTGAACTATATTTAAATGATGTCAAGCATTCGAATGAGAAACAAAAACTTTATGTGATAAATGAATGGAAAAATACCTATTGGCTTGATATTATGTAGGCAAGACAGCTATATATATGATGGAATGTTACACATCCACAGAGACAACTCTTGACATGACACAGATGTAGCCTCAGGCTTTGTCAGAGGGTAACCACTAATGGGAAATTATAAGCTTTGGGAGGCAGGAAGGTGAATGGGTTGTCTGTGGATTGAGTTGCGTTGCCCTTACTCTATTGCTGTGAAGTTTCCATCTCACCTGCTAGCATGCAGTCGCTCCAATGTAGCACACGCTTGTCCTGCCAATTATTCTGCATGTGAGGGGTTCTGAGACATTATATTCTTAGTCATGGAAATAGCTGCAACATTGCAAAAATTTGTTATACTCTCTACCCCACACTATAGTTCATGCCTCTGTTCCTTATTCAGTCACAGTAGAGTGTCCAGAGATTTCTTGGCCCTATAAACTATGTGTTCTCATTCAAAGACAATTTCTGGCTTGTCTCTGTCCTCATTTCACAAACAGTATTTTGAGTTCATTTATTTTATTAGTTCTGGAGGAGAATAGGATATAAAAATCTGATATGTTAAATGAAACTCTAGAGGAAGTTTTGTTAGTACAGATTTTTAAATAATGGAAATATTACATAAGTTAGGAATAGGTTCTCCCATATATATATTTTATTAACTTCACTCTTTCTTTTACATCCTTTAAAAAATGATATGTTCAAGCTTTCCTCCCCTTTTTAATAATGCATGCCACCAACAACTTCAGAATGCAACTCATAAATATTGCTTTATTAATTTTCATTTGCCTCATATGGGAATATATTGGTTAATTGGTAACTTATAAACCCTGAAGATTAATGGTGAGTTTTTTAGTTTTTGAAAAAAACTAAAACCAAAACAAAGACAGAAATCTTATAAGAAATGCACATGGTGGAAAGAGCATGATTTTCAAAATCAGACTTTTCTAGCTTTGATCCTAATTTTGCTACTTACAAGTTCTGTGCAATAGGAATAACGACTTCACTTCTATGAATTTATTTATCATCTTTAAAATAGGAAAATACTTATAATGGAAAAATATCTTTTTGAAAATTTAAAGTGATTACATATATAGCTCATAGCACAGTGAGCCCAGACAAAGCATCAGTAAATCTTAGTTTTCCATCTACTCCTCCTTCCTTCTTCTTAGTAATAGCCTTAGATTTTGTTAAATCTTCCTTCTGCCTCGTTTATTTCTACATGAAGTAGAACAGTAACTGTTTGTAGGCTTTACCCAAGCTGGTTTAGAGCAAGGTGCAAGCAGTTGAGCCTAGAGAATATTGGGTCACCATTCTGTCAAGAACCTACCCTGTACCAGTTCACAAATAGAACTGAAGCTATTGGTTCTCACACTTGCACAGTATTGATGTGTAGCTGTACAATAAGGAAAATGAAGGTGAGCTAGATTCTCTTTACTGGGAAAATTCTCAGAGGCATTCCTCGAAAAATTGTTGTTATTCTGGTTTTCTGGGCAAGAGTTCTGCAAAGCCAGCTTATTAAAAAATTACTTAATTATCTTGGTAAGTTAGAATCTCTTTAAAAAGTTATTTATGCAGCTTTTCTTACAATGTGCTTTTTATACAAGTTTGCCTTCAATCCAGCTTTGATCTGGAGAAGATAGACTATGAAGGGTATATTGTTTTTGCCCAAACTGATGTAACCGGCTCTGCAAGAAAAGATCAGCGTGACCATTTGGGCAGTATGTGGTGATAGCAGTAGAAAGACAGACTATTATATTAACTCCTCCTGCTCTTACCACTTTTCTTCCTGCAAGTTGGAGGGCAAGACAGGCCCAGCTTGTGTGGAAACTCAAGTAAATTCAGGAAGCAAGAGCTCCCTCTCTAACGTCACAATAAACCCCCAAATTTTCTGATTGCCTCCTAAACAATAGGGAGGAGCTCTAACTAGATTTATTACATTTTTAAAATGTATTTACATCCATTTAATGAGCATAAAAAAGAAAATTATATGAATCCCAAAATATGCACGTGCAATATAAAATACATGGAGACATGATTATTTCATACTTCTCTGGTCAAATCACAGCTAACATGTGCCTAAAGGACAAGGCGTTGTAACAAGCCAGCATAAATACAAATAAACTATAAACTGGATAAAACTGGAAGACATTATGCTAAGTGAAATAAGCCAGGCACAGAAAGATAAGTACTGCATGATCTCACTTATATATTGGATCTAAAAATGTTGAACTTGCAAAAGCAGAGTGGAATGGTGGTTACTAGAGGCTGGGGGTGCAGGGGTGCAGAGATGTTGGTCAAAGGATACCAAATTTCAATTAGGAGGAATAAGTTCAAGAGATCTATTGTACAACATGTTGACTATATTAATAACAAGATATTGTATTCTTTTTTTTTTTTTTTTTAGATGTTGTCTCGCTCTGTTGCCCAGGCTGGAGTGCAGTGGCACGATCTCAGCTCACTGCAAGCTCCGCCTCCTGGGTTCACGCCATTCTCCTGCCTCAGCCTCCCGAGTAGCTGGGACTACAGGCGCCCGCCACCATGCCCGGCTAATTTTTTGTATTTTTTAATAGAGACAAGGTTTTATTGTGTTAGCCAGGATGGTCTTGATCTCCTGACCTCGTGATCCACCCACCTTAGCCTCCCAAAGTGCTGGGATTACAGGCGTGAGCCACTGCACCAGGCCAAGATATTGTATTCTTGAAAATTGCTAAGGGAATAGATTTTATGTGCTCTTATCACAAAATATACATATGAGTTAATGCATATGTTAATTAGCTTGATTTAGCCATTCCACAATGTATAAAAATCTCAAAACATCATCTTGTACATGATAATTTTTGTTTATCAATAAATAAATTGTTTAAATTGCACTGCAAAAAAAAAAAAATAAAGAAATTGATTTAAAAATAAGAGGCTGAAAATGGAGCCTTGGGAACACTGTTTTTAGTGGCAAGCAATGGAAGAAGAAGTCCCAAAGGAAACTTAGCAAGGACAGGTTTCAATGGAGAAATAAGAACGGAAGCCAATTTCCATTGAAAGAATATAGGTAATATTAGGAGGCAAGGAGTTCGAAAAGAAGGAGAGATAAAGCTTTACACTACAGCAGGTTATCTGGAGAATGTTTCTGACCCTTAGCACAATGCAGAAGAAGGGGATTGGGCATTAGGTGAGTGGTCACTAGCTGACCCACTGCACTAGCCAGAGTGACAGCACAGTGCTAAGAGCTTTATAACAGATTCTGAGTTCATACCCCAGGGTCTATTGGGTTTAATACTATTAATTTCCAAAAGATTGATGTCTTTATTACTTTCTTCTCTTCAAGTTGTTTTTGTGTGTGTGTGGGGTTTTTTGGTGTGAAGCATACTATTGTATACAAAAGACTTGAGAGAATGAGTAGAGTTAGTCTAAAAAATTCAACTACTATTGAAGAAAAGGCATGGAATGGACTTTGTAAGTTTGTGCCACTCCCTGCTGCAGAAAAGTGGCTTCAGAAAGTAAAGCCTGAGTGACAGACCCCTTGACTGTGGCTAATTACTAGAGTCTTCTGGGTGAATCAGGAGAGAGTGCTGGCCATGGAGCCGTCTACTTTTATCCTGGCTGCTTCCACCCCTCTTATCTGCTTATCGTATGTTATCAGCTTTTTTGCTACATACACTTTAATAACTTCAGTACTTTTGGCACTTTCTGAGGTGATTACCAGTGTTAAAGAACAAATTATCAATGCTACTTGTTAAAGCATGGTGTGGAAGGCTTCATTCGGAACCATCAAAATAGGTACAAGGACCACTGCAATGTGATTTTGCAGTGGGGGAGAGAAATTGAGTTCCACTCTGAATATAGCATGGGCAAGGGGGAACTTATGACCAGGGAACAGGGTGGAGGTCAGTGGATAGAAAATTACTGACAGGAAACATCAGGGGTAACGTGGATTCTGACTAAATGAATCTAAGAGGATTCTTGCTGAAAACAGACCAGGATGATCAGACAAAGTCTGGAGGATGGTGAAAGATGAGAAACCTAATTAGATAACAAGAGTGATCAGATAAAAAATGGGGGATATTTCCTTAACTGACTTAGTGTCCTTTGCTAAAAGTGGGTTGTATAATAAAGTGCATAGATGGGCCTAGAAGAAGCTTCAGCAGCCTGACTAAAGTTTGGCCAAGCAAGGAATCTTTGTCACCAGACTCACAAGTACCCTTTTCCTGAGAGCCAATCCCAACACTGGGAAGTAAGGGTATCTAAGAGCCATGTCTGTAGGAAAGGTCCTTATTGATATCACCATAGTCATTTGATCCAATGATGAATTCCAGAGCCAAACTGGTCAATCAGAAGAGGGGATATGGAGCCTCGGAGTTAGCTGAACTGAGTTCCTTAAGTGACAAGGAGAATCCAGACAAAAATGCTCAGTGTCTTGCTTTTGGGTTTCTGGTTCTGCCTTGTTCCTTCCTTTTTTTTTTTTTTTTTTTGTTCCTTCTTAAATTCTGATTTTTTCTTCTGACTTTGTGAGATGTGTCCATAGTCTTCCAACAAATTCTTGGGTTTTATCTAGACTAGTCAGAATTGCTTTCCACTGCCCCAAACCAAAAGAATTTAATGAATGCTCTTACAATTGAGATGACTTGAAGTTAAAGAAAGGTACCTTCCTTGGAGGTTGCATGACAGGATTAGTCTTCTCTGTTTCTTGGTGCAAGTTTGAACCAGTGATTATGTACCATTGCATCAGAGCATCTGTTTCCCTGTCAGATCCCCACTAGACAGTAAGCTCCATGAATCCTATGCACCTAGGCCTTGAACTTAGTAGATGTACCAATATTGTTGAATGAAACAATGAAGTAGACATAGACACCTTGTCATATATACCATGGTACATTTGGCAAAATCGGCTAAGCTCACTTTGTAATGCTACAGTATAACTACTAATACTCTTTTCTTTTTATCTATTTTAGGGCTTCCATTTATATTGCCTTATAATTTTCTTCTACTGAATCTTGAGGCTCAGTTAATTCCTTTGTTTTGAAGGACAATTCATTCTGAACCCATATTATGAGTGTAAGATCATGACTTTACTCAGATACTGACTTTTAAACATAAAAAATGAAATGAAGTGCAGACTAACAAAAATATAATAAATTAAATAACTTGCAAGAAACTACAAACAGCTGACCCAAAAAACAATTCTTTTTGGTTATTTTTACTGTGTAAGAAAGAGGGGAGAACGCTCTCATCTGAACCTCTCAGTTAGTGGAAAATCAGGCATCTGTTTGTAGGTATCCGGTGTAGCTAATGCAGTTTGCAAGGCATTACAATCTGTAACCTCACATCCTGAACTTGGTTGGAAGAAGAGGAAGGTTGTTGTCTGGTGAATGATCTGCTTGTTATCTGGTAAATATTAAAACAGCTGTGGAGCAGCTGAATCCAGCCTTGGCTGTTCACAAATTTTTTCTTCCTTCTAAGATATAACATGTGTAAACATCTGACCTAAGGACAAGGTTCTGATCACAGGGTGCTTGTAAATGTTTTACAACTGGCTTTCTGGGAAGGAAAAGCAAAAATAAAAAATAAAAACAAAAACAAAAAACCTGGTTGTATGATAGCAACATATATTGCAGCAATACATTTTTGTATATATTGTTTCTATCATGGCCAATTTCCAGTTGCCAATGTGATGTCAACCAGCTCACAAAACTCCCGAGAAGTTATTAATTGGCTCTCATGAGCTGGCATCAGGAAACTGCAGCACACTACTGATTCTCCACTTTGAGAGTGCCTATCACATACCTCAGCCTGTTCTGGAGTTTGGTTTCATTTACTAGTGTGTGCATACTTATGTTCATTTGCTAAATTAATATCTATGAAGTGTTGTGTAACAGGAATTGGAGAAAAAAAAGGTTAACCCTAATCTCTAAGGGTTAATAATCTAAAAGAGACAAACTTCTTAACAAGTACATGTAACATTAGAGGTATGTACAAGCTATATGAGAGCACAAACATGCAAGTACATAAATCCACCTGAGGAGGTAAAGGGGCATGACATTAACAATATGGTCATTTAATGAGTATGCTTTTAGCAACTACTATGTTCCAGAAACTGCTCAGTATTTGATAATACAAAGGGAAATTAGATACCCCTAGTGAGGGCGTCAGACTATAATAGGAAGGGTCGTAGGTAAATGATCAGAATTTAGTGTAAGCATAATCATAGAAGGGAACATTAGAAACAGTGATGGCACATAAGAAACATGAAATCAGGACAGGTGCAGTGGTTCATGTCTTTAATCCTAGCACTTTGGGAGGCCGAGGCAGGCAGATTGCCTGAGCTCAGTTCGAGACCAGCCTGGGCAACACGGTGAAACCCCGTGTCTACTAAAATACAAAAAATTAGCCGGGCATGGCGGTGGGCGCCTGTAGTCCCAGCTACTCTGGAGGCTGAGGCAGGAGAATTGCTTGAACCCAGGAGGTGGAAGTTGCAGTGAGCCTAGGTTGCGCCACTGCACTCCAGCCCAGGTGACAGAGTGAGACTCTGCCTCCAAAATAAATAGATAGATAGATAGATAGATAGATAGATAGATAGATAGATAGATAGATCGATAGATAGATAATAAAAACATGAAATCCACACTGCTCAGCACAGCTCATAAGTCCCCTTCATGTCTCTCTGGACCCATTTCTGCTATGCTCTGCAATCCATGTTCCAATCTAACTAAGCTTGTTGAAGCTCCTTTAAAATGCCTATTCCCCATCCCTGAAATTGAGGCTTTCCTTTCCTGGAATCAAGTGTTTCCGAACATTTTCATATAATTTTTTTTGAAGAGAGACACACTAAAGTAGATTTTCTTTAGTGCCTCTCTTCAAAGGTTACTGGATGGTAACTTTCTGTATACTTTCTTCTTTTCTTTGCCTTTTGAAAAGGTAACATTGATTTCCATAATTTTTACATAACATAATAAAATCTGTTTTATTTGTTCAGCAGTCTTTTCCTATCTCAGACTACCTGAGATCATTTTACTTCTTCTAAAGGATGTCTTTAAATGCTGCTTTATGCTGCACTATTGGAAGCAAACTTTTTTATTCGTAAATATTTTTTTCTCTCATCCTTAAAAGGTTTTGCTGAGCATGTGATTCTAAGATGAGGGTTATTTTCTCTCAATAATTTGAAGATATTATTCCACCATTTTCTAGCTTTCATTGTTGAGAAGTCTGCTATAGTTCTATTGTTGTTGATATTGCTCTGTAGTTTGGAGTGGAAAGAACGAGTCTGTAAACCATTCTTCTCTCCATAGGGATAACAAAGGCAAGCTTGACCCTCCTTGAAATCACTGACTGGTGAAATTTACTGGCTAAGAAATACAGAAGGGTCATGCAGGGGTTTCCATGTACTGATTACAGAGCTAGGGATGCTTTTAGCATGATGTATCTGTTCCCTTGAGACTGGTCACTGTAAAAAACCATCAATTTATGTACTGCTGTTGTGCTGAAAAAGCAGAAGGTATGTACAGTTGCTTTCCAGTTCAAACTTGGCCCTTATTCAGCTCTCAAGACTCTAAAACCAAATATATACTGGTGAGGCAAAGGGATTCTGGAAATGGCATCTGAGAGTTTGAGGCCTCCTGTGTATTGACTTTGAAAACACTTGATAGAGTTTGGCCGTTTGTCCCCTCCAAATCTCATGTTGAAACATAATCCCCAATGATAGAGACAGGGCCTGGTAACTGGATCATGGGGGTGGATTCCTCATGAATGGCTTAGCTCCATCTCCTTGGTGATAAGTAAGCTCTTGTTCAGTTAGTTCACAAGAGATCTGGTTATTTAAGAGTATTGGACCTCCTCCTGCCCTCTTGCTACCTCTCTCACCAAGTAACATGCCAGCTTCCTCCTTTGCCTTCCACCATGATTGTAAACTTCCTGAGGCCCTCACCAGAAGCCAAGTAGATGTTGGTGCCGTCCTCCTACAGCCTGCTGAAGTGTGAGCCAATTCAACTTCTTTTCTTTATAAATTACCCAGTCCCAGGTATGCCTCTATAGCAATGCAATAATAGACTAATACACCACCTCAGTGTTTTATGTTAGTCTAATTTAAGCTTTTGTGATCATATATAGGTTTCTGTCCTTCCTTTTCAACTAATTTTAAGAGTTTGTGTTTTGACTTTAATATCAAATAGTTTCACAATTCTTTGTCTATGTATGGATTTATTTGTAATATATTTTTAATGTATTTTCCTTCTTGGATCTGTGGATTTGTTTTTAAATAGTTCCATAATATTTTCCATCACTAGCTCCTCTAGTCCCTCAATTCTCTTTTCTGGGTCTTTGGTTAGATTTAATTTTTTTTTTTTTTTTTTTTTGAGACAGAGTCTCGCTCTGTCACCCAGGCTGGAGTGCAGTGGCGCCATCTTCGCTCACTGCTCCTCACCTTTCCGGGTTCGAGTGAGTCTCCTGCCTCAGCCTCCCTGCAAAGCGTCACCACGCCAGCTAATATTTGTTTAGTAGAGACGGTTTCACCATGTTGGCCAGGCTGGTCTCACTCCTGACCTCAAGTGATCCGCCCGCCTCGGCCTTCCAAAGTGCTGGGATTACAGGCAAAAGCCATAATGCCTGGCCTCCATTGTGTTCACTCTGGGGTCTCAGCAAAAGAAACAGCAGCTACCAAGGGAAGCTTTCTGCATAAGAAGAGCAGAGGTACAAGAGGGCAAGCCCTCCTCCTCAAATACATTTCAAGTGTATGATATGCCTTAAATCTACTCACATCCCATTGACCAAAGTAAAGCTGCTGGGATAGACACTTTGTTTTAGAGTGGCAAAGGGCAAAGCAGCAGATACAGGGAGAGGGAAAGAATGCAGTCAATAATTTAATCCACCACACTCGAAAATCCCCAATAATTATAGTCAAGAAAAATGGAGACAGGCAGGCAGCTTAGTAGGCATTTGAGGTGTTTGTGTGTTTCCCCTTACTTCAACTAGTCAGCTATACTTTCAGTTCTCTGAATGAACCATGCTGTTGCATACTTCCGTATATTTGCACAGGCTGTTCCCTATATGAAATGCCTTTCCCTTCACTCTTTTGCCTAGAAAAATACTGCTAATCTTTCAAGACTCAGTTCACATGATTCCCCTAATTTTAAGTCTTCCATGGTTTCCTACCTTGGTATAATTGTGTTATTATAAATCTACTTGCCTTACTAAATTCGTAATTCCTTAAAAGCAAGGACTGTACATTGTAAATCCTGTTGGTTGCTTTGTATCTAACAAGGTGCCTGAAAAAGCAACAACAATGACAAAATGTTTAATGAGAGCTTTTGAAATTATTAAATGGCCATTATATCCCACTATTCACTTTGGCTCTGGGTGTCAGTTGGTTAGTCCCGAAACTGTTGAATTTTGGAACAGCCTTTTCATTTATGTGACAAATATTTATTGGGCTCTCAACATTCCCAGATTTAATAGGAGAAATAGCCATTAGAATACTGTATGCACCTGAAAAGAAGGATGGAAAAAATGCTACATGAGTTTAGAGGAGGGGACATCCTGCTACCTAGTGGGTCAGGGGAGGAATATATGCTATCATTTAAAAATAAGGTATTTATTTATTTATTTATTTATTTATTTTTGAGACAGAGTTTCGCTTTTGTCGCCCAGGCTGGAGCACAATGGCGTGATCTCGGCTCACTGCAACCTCCGCCTCCCAGGTTCAAGCGATTCTCCTGCCTCAGCCTCCCTAGTACTGTTGTCTAGGGATTGTTGCATTTTACTTTTTTTTTTTTTGAGATGGAATCTCGCTCTGTTGCTCAGGCTGAAGTGCAGTGGTGTGATCTCGGCTCACTGAAATCTCCACCTCCCAGGTTCAAGTGATTCTCCTGCTTCAGCCTCCCAAGTAGCTGGGATTACAGGCACACACCACCACACCCAGCTAATTTTTGTATTTTTAATAGAGATGAGGTTTCACCATGTTGTCCAGGCAAAAATAAAGCCTTATTGCTCTTCTCCCTTTTCCACACTGTGTACACCACTACCACTACCCAACCACAAACGTGTCACACATCTTTCTTCCTCTTTCTAGAAGTAATTCAATGCCCAGGCAATCCAGAGATACGCTGCAGTCATTAGATTGAGGTAGACAGAGGTTAAATAGTTTAAACCACACTGAATCCTGAAGGAGAAGAGGCGCCACTTCTGATGGACAGTGTGTATGGTCATGACTCCTCTTACCTCTCAGTGATTGAGTATTCATAGCACCTGGAAAGAAGCTTCCGGCTCACAAGGAGCTTTTACATACATTTTTCCATTGATTTTCATAATCATCCTGTGAAAGGCTTAAAGGTAAAAAGGGTTGCTTTGGAAGTTAAAGCAAAGCCAGTAGTTACATTACTTTGAATCTGTCTTTAATCTAAATTTGTTCATGTCTATCTGGTTGAGTGATACCATGATAAATATGTAGTAGATGCTTTTTAAAAAAAGGCAACTTAACAAAATATAGCATTAAATAGTTTGTTTTTTATAGCCTTTCAATGACCTCATCCTTCATGGTATAAATTGAACCACTGTAGCTATGTGTCCAGAAGTGGTGGGTTCTTGGTCTCACTGACTTCAAGAATGAAGCCACGGACCCTCTCGGTGAGTGTTACAATTCTTAAATACGGCGTGTCCAGAATTTTTTCCTTCTGATGTTCAGATGTGTTCAGAGTTTCTTCCTTCTGGTGGGTTCGTGGTCTCGCTGGCTTCAGGAGTGAAGCTGCAGACCTTCACTGTGAGTGTTACAGCTCTTAAGGCCGCACGTCTGGAGTTGTTCGTTCCTCCCGGTGGGTTCGTGGTCTCGCTGACTTCAGGAGTGAAGCTGCAGACCTTCGTCGTGAGTGTTACAGCTCATAAAGGTAGTGTGGACCCAAAGAGTGAGAAGCAGCAAGCTTTATTGCAAAGAGCGAAAGAACAAACCTTCCACAGCGTAGAAGGGGACCCTAGCCAGTTCCCACTGCTGACTCGCGCAGCCTGCTTTTATTCTCTTATCTGGTCCCACCCACATCCTGCTGATTGGTCCATTTTACAGAGAGCCGATTGGTCTGTTTTACAGAGAGCTGATAGGTCCGTTTTGACGGGGGGGAGGTGAGGTGGGGTAGTGAGGGGGTAGGGAGGTAGTGGGTGGGAGGGGTGGGCGGATGGGGGGAGGGGTTGGGTGTGGGGGAGGGGGTGGGGTGGGGTGTGGAGTGGGGGATTTCCATATAGCACAGACATAGGGATGTCAAGTTGGCTGGGGTTGGGGGGTAAGGCTTCAAGTCACATTTGCACAGAAAACCAAATGCCCACTTTGTACTGCCACCAATTAGAGTTAATACGTGTTAACTACTTGGATACATAGTAGGTGCTCAATAAATACTTTTATTATATTTCTCAGTCTGCCTAGAATATGGTTTTCTAAGATGCAGAACTTCCTAAAATAGTTGTTAAAATGCAGGCTATACTTCATTAATCCTTGCTCTGTCCCCCAGGCTGGAGTACAGTGGCGCGACCTCGGCTCACTGCAAGCTCCGCCTCCTGGGTTCATACCATTCTCCTGCCTCAGCCGCCAGAGTAACTGGGACTACAGGCACCCGCTACCATGCCCGGATAATTTTTTTTTTTTTTTTTTCGATCTCCTGACCTCGTGATCCGCCCGCCTTGGCCTCCCAAAGTGCTGGAATTACAAGCGTGAGCCACTGCACCCGGCACATTAATTGATTGTTTAACTGGTAATTCTGAATAATTAAGTTGCTGAGAGCTACAATTATAAAAGATTACTTCCTTCCTAACACATCTCCTTAGACTGGATATTAAAACTACTGTTTCCATAGTGGAACAAATAATTCATGGAAATAGAATGAGTTGTGCAGTCAACTCCGATGAATTCATCAAGTGCCAGTTTAACTTTATGAATAGGAGCTTACTATAAGATTTTAATAGTTATCATTCAGATAAGCAAATTTTAGAATAATGGTTGAAACAAAAGGACTTACTTAGTTAAGTTCTTCTCTGTGAGTCAGAAAGACTAAAGCTGTGAATAACACTAAATAAAACGGATGGGCCAGGTGCGGTGGCTCACGCCTGTAATCCCAGCACTTTGGGAAGTGGAGGTGGGCAGATCACGAGGTCAAGAGATCAAGACCATCCTGGCCAATATGGTGAAACCCCGTCTCTACTAAAAATATAAAAATTACCTGGGTGTAGTGGCACACACCTGTAGTCCCATCTACTCAGAAGAATGAGGCAGGAGAATTGCTTGAACCCAGGAGGCGGAGGTTGCAGTGAGCCGAGATCATGACACTGCACTCCAACTGGAGACTCCGTCTCAAAAAAATAAAAAAAATTTTAAAAAAAGGCCAGGTGGGGTGGCTCACACCTGTAATCCCAGCACTTTGAGAGAGCGAGGCGGGCGGATCATGAGGTTAGGAGTTCAAGACCAGCCTGACAATATGGTGAAACCTCATCTCTACTAAAAATACAAAACTTAGCCAGGCATGTTGGCACGTGCCTGTAGTCCCAGCTACTCGGGAGGGTGAGGCAGGAGAATCGCTTGAACCCAGAAGGCGGAGGTTGCCGTGAGCCAAGATCGCACCACTGCACTCCAGCCTGGGTGACAGAGTGAATCTCCACCTCAAAAAAAAAAAAAAAAAAAAAAAAAAAAAAAGACTGATATCTCTATTGAATATCAAAATACTTTTGACCCGACACATAACTCTGAAAAATATGGCATCCTTTCCAAATCTTTTTTTTTAGACGAAGTCTCGCTCTGTTGCCAGGCTGGAGTGCAGTGGCGCAATTTAGGATTCAAGTGATCTCCTGCCTCAGTCTCCCGAGTAGCTGGGCCTACAGGTGCGCACCACCATGCCCAGCTAATTTTTTCTTTCTTTTCTTTTTTTTTTTTTTTTTTTTTTTTTGAGATGGAGTCTCGCTCTGTCGCCCAGGCTAGAGTGCAGTGGCACGATCTTGGCTCACTGCAAGCTCCGCCTCCCAGGTTCACGCCATTCTCCTGCCTCAGCCTCCGGAGTAGCTGGGACTACAGGCGCCTGCCACCATGCCCGGCTACTTTTTTGTAGTTTTAATAGAGACGGGGTTTCACTGTGTTAGCCAGGATGGTCTCGATCTCCTGACCTCGTGATCCTCCTCCCTCGGCCTCCCAAAGTGCTGGAATTACAGGCGTAAGCCACCGCGCCCAGCCTAAGTTTTGTGTTTTTAGTAGAAACGGGGTTTCACCATGTTGGCCAGGATGGTTTCAATCTCTTGACCTTGTGATTCACCCACTTCGGCCACCCAAAGTGCTGGGATTACATGCATGAGACATTGCACCCGGCCCCTTTCCCAGTCTTTAATGCAACATCTCCCAGTTACAAACATTCCACATCATCTCCTTTTATAATTTAATTTAGACTAAAGTCGAAATTTTTTTCTTCCATCATCTGCCATTATATATATAAATAAATAATTGGAGGCCAGGCACGGTGGCTCACGCCTGTAATCCCAGCACTTTGGGAGGCCAAGGCGGGTGGATCACCTGAGGTCAGGAGTTCGAGACTAGCCTGGCCAACATGGCAAAACCCCATCTCTACTAAAAATACGAAAATTAGCTGGGCATGGTGGCAGGCACCTGTAATCTCAGCTACTCAGGAAGCTGAGGCAGGAGAATCATTTGAACCTGGGAGGCAGAGGTTGCAGTGAGCCGAGATCGTGCTACTGCACTCCAGCCTGGTCCACAGAGCGAGATTCTGTCTCAAAAATAAATAAATTAATTAATAATTGGAAAGCCTGACCTCATAATTTCTCAATCTCTGTATTTCCAAAACCTTTTATCTCTACTTCACTTCAATCATCTGTCTTCTCTGAATTGCTCCACTTTGAAGATTAAATCTCAAGGCTTTACCTCTGTCTAGTGCTTTCTACCTGCTCTTTTTCCTCCCACATTCATGGCCATTATCATTGTCATCAGATGATCTCTTATCCCTTCTATATTCTTATTCTTATATTAGGCCCTTTGTGGCTTCTTCTACCTATTTGGCCTAATTCCATGCTTGTACATTGGAGTGCTTCCCTCCATTCCAGCACCTTTGAATCTCTAGACTGTTTAACCTTACACCAACTTACAAAATCACTTCATAAATCTTAATTCTCATACTCACAATCTTCACTTCTTTTTCTTAGAATGCCTAATGTTACTTTATGTCACAAGACAAAAAGTGCTGATTGGACTAGAAGAATTTCTGCCATTTTTACCTCTATTCCAACAATCTTTCAATTCATTTCTTATTGACCCATGACCATATTCCTCCAAGAATGCTTAGAAAGGATTTTTCTCTCCTCTCCAGTCTCCCAGTCCCACTGTGGCCTCTTTCAGGCCCAGTGGAAGCTTTTCCATTTCATTTCTACGGTCATAACCAATAAACATAGGCTATTCATCATTGGGGCATCTTTATGAAGAAAATATGTCTACTGACACCTCTTCTTTGTTCTGCTGTACATAATGGTGATCAGGACTCAGGGTCATTAGTGAGTGAGGGGAAGAGGAGGACATGGGCTGGTTTGTTTGAAAAATTCCCCAGTGTAGCAGGCACTGTTGACACACTGTCCAGAACCATACCTTCCGTGCAAGCCAGCAGGTTTTCTGACAGCTAGTTACTGCATTTGCATCAGAGAGCTGCCCTCAGACTTGGCTGGAGAACATGGCAAGCCAGAAGTACCCACAAATTGATGGTCTCCAGGAACAGACCTGAACCAGTGACTCACTTGTATGGGGTCACAACACAGCTGTCATCATGCCCTCAATAGAATCAGCCTTTTACACATGTGTTCCATGGCGTTCCAGAGCTTCACCATGGGATTAGGCTCCATTTGCCCATTGCAGTAGCTTGTTTTGTGACACTGCCTTTGCTACAGGAAAGCCTTCCTGATCCAGACCCCAAGAGAGGGTTCTTGGATATCACGCAAGAAAGAATTCAAGGTGAGTCCATAAAGTAAAGTGAAAACAAGTTTATTAAGAAAGTAAAGGAGGTCGGGCACTGTGGCTCAGGCCTGTAATCCCAGCACTTTGGGAGGCCGAGTTAGGCAGATCACCTGAGATCAGGAGTTCGAGACCAGCCTGGCCAACATGGTGAAACCCTGTCTCTACTAAAAATACAAAAATTAGCCCAAGGGCATCTTAAATTTAAAAAGGCAATCAGCCAGGAATTAAAGAAGGCTAACAGCTGGGTGTGATGAAGGAAAGAGTCAAAGAGAGCACTGCTAAAGCTGCTCTCATCTCAGCTGAATGTTCCCATGCCCAAGGTTGTGCCCTCTAAGGAGCAACATCAAAGGCTTCCCAGTAAAATAGTGCCATCAGAAGCTAAATGAAAAAACAGGCAAATAATAACAAGCACCATGAAATGAGGGACAATTATATCCACAATTGCTACAATATATTATTTAAGTGTCTAGTTTTCAGAAAGAAAAAAAAGAGACATGAAAAGCAACAAAAATGTGTGACACACACACACAGGGCCGGGCCTGGTGGCTCACGCCTGTAATCCCAGGACTTTGGGAGGCTGAGGCAGTCGGATCATGAGGTCAGGAGATCGAGACCATCCTGGCTAACACGGCGAAACCCTGTCTCTACTAAAAATACAAAAAAAAATTAGTCAGGCATGGTGGCGAGTGCCTGTAGTCCCAGTTACTTGGGCTGAGGCAGGAGAATGGCATGAACCTAGGAGGCAGAGCTTGCAGTGAGCCGAGATTGTGCCACTGCACTCCAGCCTGTGCGACAGAGCAAGACTCCATTTCAAAAAAAAAAAAAAAGAAAAGAAATGTATGATGGTAATATCTCATTAAAGAGAGAATATATTAAAAATAAATTATCTAAAAAAAAAAAAAAAAAAAAAAGGACCAGGCCAGACACAGTGGCTCATGCCTGTAATCTCAGCACTTTCAGAGGCCCAGGTGGGCAGATCACCTGAGGTCAAGAGTTCGAGACCAGCCAGACCAACACAGAGTAACTCAGTCTCTACTAAAAATATAAAATTAGCCCGGCATGGTGGCGCATGCCTGTAATCCCAGCTGCTTGGGAGGCTGGGGCAGAAGAATTGCTTGAACCTGGGAGGCGGAGTTTGCAGTGAGCCGAGATCACACCATTGTACTCCAGCCTGGGCAACAAGAGCAAAACTCCATCTCAAGAAAAAAAAAAAAAAGACCAAATAGAAATCCTGAAGTTGAAAGGTTGAAAGTACTGACTGGAATCAAAATTTAAAAATTACTATAGGGCTCAACTACAGATTTGAACTGGCAGAAGAAGAAATGAGCAAACCTGAAGCATGAAGACAGGCTAATAGAGAATAATACCCAAAAAGCAGAAAGAAAAAAAGAATAAAGAAAAATAAAAAGAGTCCCAGAGGAATGTGTGACACTAAGAAACTCACCAACATACATATAATAGGATTACCAGAAGAGTAGAAAAAAACTATTCAAAGAAATAATAACTAAAAATTTCCCAAATTTGAGGAAAAACAATATATATATATCCAAGAGGGTTAACAAGCTCCAAGTAGGAAAAGCAGAGCGCTATACATAGAAACATCATAGTTAAAGGGTTGAAAGTCAAAGACAAAAAGAACTTATTTTTATTTATTTATTTATTTATTTATTTTTTGAGATGGAGTCTTGTGCTGTCGCCTGGGCTGGAGTGCAATGGCGCAATCTCGGCTCACTCCAACCTCCACCTCCCGGGTTCAAGGGATTCTCCTGCCTCAGCCTCCCAAGTAGCTGGGATTACAGGTGCCCACCACCACGCCCAGCTAATTTTTTGTATTTTTAGTAGAGACGGGGTTTCACTATGTTGGACAGGCTGGTCTTGAACTCCTGACCTTGTGATCCACCCACCTCATCCTCCCAAAGTGCTGGGATTACAGGCGTGAGCCACTGCGCCTGGCCCAAAAAGAACATCTTAAAAGCGGCACAACGAAGATGAAACAAGGACAATCCCAGACAAACAAAAACTGACAGAATTGTTAGTGATCCTATCTTATAAGAAATACTAATGTAACTGCCCAAAGGGTTCCTCCTGCCTCCTGCACAAAGACAGACCATGGCATTGCAGTAAAGAAAGAGTTTAATTAGACATCAGGCCAGCCACACCACACAGAAGATGGAGTTAGTACTGCAATAATTCTCCCTAAAGCTTCTAAATTAGGGGTTTTGCATAGGCAGTTTGGGTGAAGGGGTGGAGGTCGCTAGGCTTGGTGCTGATTGGTTGGGGTGGAGATGAAATCAAAGGGGGTCAAAGCTGTCCTCTTGTACTGAATAAATTCTGGGTGGGGCCAC
Organism: Homo sapiens; assembly: GCF_000001405.40. NCBI lineage: Eukaryota > Metazoa > Chordata > Mammalia > Primates > Hominidae > Homo > Homo sapiens. The sequence goes on along the minus strand of NC_000006.12, from coordinate 127,374,315 downwards.
AGGAGCAGGGTTGGAGGGTCCAGGTAGTGTTAGACGTGAAAAAAAAACTGAAAAGATATCTCAAAAGGCCAATCGGCAATAGTAGTATTATCTGCAGGAATAGTTGGCAATCTATGTCTACACCTTAGCAGAATCAGTCTCCTCTCTGCCCCCTAGCCTGATGGCCTTCCATTAACTTTATAAAAGCAGATGATTTTGGGGGAAGGTCTGTTATTTAAACAATCTTCTGGCCAGGCACGATGGCTCACAGCTGTAATCCTAGCACTTTGGGAGGCCGAGGCGGGTGGATCATGAGGTCAGGAGTTCAAGACCACCCTGGCCAAGATGGTGAAACCCCGTCTCTACTGAAAATACAAAAATTAACTGGGCATGGTCTCAAAAACAAAACAACACAAACAAACAACCTTCCAAAGTTAGTTCAGACTAAGTTAGCTCAGACGAAGCCCAGGAATGATTGAGGCAGCTTGAAAGCAAAGGCAAGAGGACGGGTGGGCTAGATCAGGTCTTTTTCACTGTCTAATTTTGCCGCTGATATAATTTTTGCAAAGGGGGTTCACTAAGGGAACTTCCTCAGGATGAAAGCAAGTGGCCTCAAACCATATTTTATAAGAAGCAAAATAGAGGCCAGGCACAGTAGCTCATGCCTGTAATCTCAGCACTTGGGAGACTGAGGCGGGCAGATCACGAGGTCGGTAGTTCGAGACCAGCCTGGCCAATATGGTGAAACCCTGTCTCTACTAAAAATACAAAATTTAGCCGGGCATGACGGCATGTGCCGGTAGTCCCAGCTACTTGGGAGGCTGAGGCAGCATAATCGCTTGAACCCGGGAGGCAAAGGTTGCAGTGAGCCAAGATCATGCCACTGACTTCAGCCTGGGTGACAGAGCAAGACTCCATCTAAAAAAAAAAAAAAAAAAAAAAGGAAAAAAAAAGGAAGCAAAATAGAGAAAAAGAGCATGGTTAAAGGTAATTATGTAGTAGTAAAGATAGTATAAATGCATATTAATTCTTCTCTTAATTGATCTACAAAACAAATGAATAAAACAGTATGCTTATAATTTCATTGTTAGGCCTATAACACATATAAACTAATAATATTACAAAGAATATGGGTGTGAGCAAAGCAGTATTGGAGTAAGGATGTGATACCAGATGATAACCCAAATCTACAAGATAAACAAAGAGAAGAAATGCTAAATAAGATGGTTAATACGACAAAAACTATAAGCATTTGCTCTCTTCTGCTCTCTGATTCTTTAAAAGACATACAATTATATAAATTAATACTTATAACAATGTATTGCTGCATTTGTAACATGCTTAAATGCAATATATGTAATGATAACTGCAGCAAAAGGCAGAAAAAGAAAAACTATGCAGGGGTAAATTTCCATATCTTACTGGACTTGTCAGTAAAACTCTGTAGTAGGTTCTGATAAGTTAAGATGCATGTGACAAGTCTTAGAGCAACCACGAAAAAACAAAAAACTTAAAAAAATTGTTAAAGAAATAAAAAGTATAACACTAGACAATATTTATTAATACAAAAGCAAACAACAAAGGAACTAAAAGACATGAGACATAGAAAACAAAAAGTGGAAGAATTAAATCTGTTTTACCAATAATAACACTAAATGTAAGTAAATTAAATAACTCAATAAGGCTGGGCATGGTGGCTGATGCCTGTAATCCCAGCACTTTGGGAGGCCAAGGTGGGTGGATCACAAAGCCAGGAGACAGAGACCATCCTGGCCAACATGGTGAAACCCCATCTCTACTAAAAATACAAAAATTAGCCAGGTGTGGTGGCATGTGCCTGTAGTTCCGGCTACTCAGGAGGCTGAGGCAGGAGAATTGCTTGAACCCGAAGGCAGAGGTTGCAGTGAGCTGAGATTGCACCACTGCACTCCAACCTGGGCGACAAAGCAAGACTCCATCTTAAAAAAAAAAAAAAAAAAAAAAATCCTCAATAAAATGGTAGATATTATCAAACTGGATGAAAAAGCAAGAACCAACTATATGCTGTCTAGAGTTGACACACCTTAGATTTATAGATACAAATAGATTGAAAGTAAAAGGATGGAAACAATATATCATGCAAATAGCAACCATAAGGTTGCTGAAATGTCTGTATTAATATTAGACATATAGAACTTTAAAAAAATGCTACAAGAAAGAAAGAGGGACATCTTTAATAATAAAAAGATATCCTTAGGAAGATATAACATTTATAACCACATATTCACCTAAAAACAGTCTCAATATACATGAAGAAAAGTTAACAAAATTGAAGGGAGAAACAGACATAAAGAAATACATATTCAACAACAATATTCAGAGACTTCATGGTCCACTTTCAAACAATGGAGAAACAACTATGAGGATGATCAACAAGGAAACAGAAGACTTGAACAACATTATAAACCCATTATACCTAATAGATACCCATAGAACACTCTATACCTAGATGAGACACATTATTCTCAAATGAAAATGAAACATTCTCCAAGATAGACTATATGGTAGGCAACAATAAAAGCCTCAACACACTTAAAATAATTGAAATCATACAAAGTTTATTATCTGGTCACATTGGAATAAAGAAATCAATAACAGAATGAGAAAATAAATAACAAGAAATTTGAGGGATGCATAAATAGTAGACATTAAACCACACACTTCAAAATAATCAATTGGTCAAAAAAACCATGAGGCAAATTCAAAAACACTTTGAAATGAATAAAAATGAAAACACAAAATATCAAAATCTATGAAGAGCAGGTAAAGCAGTGTTTGGAGGCAAATTTATGCCTATAAACATCTATATTTGAAAATTAAGAAAGATTTGAAATTCATAATCACCTTCAGATATTAAAAAGTAAATTTAAAGCAAGCAGAAGAAAAAAAGATTGAATCAGAAATTAATTAAATAGACAATTAATGAAAATTAATGAAACCCAAATGTAGCTTTTTGAAAAGATCAACAAAATTGACAAAACTTTATCTAAACTGACCAAAAGAAAAAGAGAGAAAACTCAAGTTATCAAAATTCAGAATTGTCTTAGTTTGTTTGGGTTGCTCTAAAAAACTACCATAGACTGCATATCTTAAAAACAACAGAAATGTATTCCTCACAGTTTTGGAGACAAGGAAACCTAATATCAAGACAGGCAGATTTAGTGTTTGGTGAGGACCTATTTTCTGGTTCATGGATAGTACTTTCTTGCTGTGCCCTTATATGCTGAAAATGGGAAACCAGCTCTCTGGAACCTTTCTTATAAGTGCACTAAACCCATCCTGACCTCATGATCTAATCATCTCCCTAAGGCCTTACATCCTAACACTATTACGTTAGTGATCAGGTTTTCAACATACAAATTTTGGAAAGACACAAGCATTCAGACCACAGCAGGAATAAAAGAGATAATATTGCTAGCAACATTACAGAACTAAAAAGGATTATAAGGAAATACTACTGCAATTGACTTGATGTTTATGTTCCCCATGATTTATATGCTGAAATCCTAACCCCCAAAGTCATGGCATATACATTATTCTCAACTTTACATGGAACATTCTCCAGGGTAGGTCATATGTTAGGCCACAAAACATGTCTTAACAAATTTAGGAAGCTATAGATCATACAGAGTATCTTTTCTAGTAAAAATAGTATACAACTAGAAATCAATAATAGGAAGAACTGTGGAAACTTTACAAATACATGGATATCAAACAATGTGTCTCTGAATAACCAATGAGTCAATGAAGAAATTAAAAGTGAAATTAAAAAATTTTATGAGACAAACAAAAATAGAAACAACACACATACCAAAATCTATGGGGTACAGCGAAAGCAGTTCTAAGATAGAACTTTACAGCAATAAACACCTACATCAAAAATGAAGAATGATCTCAAATAAATGACCTAACATTGCACAGATGGAACAAGAAAAGCTAAAACCTAAAAAAGCAGAAGAAAAAGATAATAATAAAGATTGGAGCAGAAATAAATAGAGACTAAAGAAACAAACTTCAACATCCTTCAAGATAAACATAACCTCTCAACAAATTATGTGTATAGAAGTTTCATAGCTCAATGCAATAAAGGCCATATATGAAAAACCCATAGCTAACATCCTACTGAATAGAGAAAAGATAAAAGCTTTTTCTCTAAGATCTGGAGAAAGACAAGAATGCACACTTTCATCACTTCTATTCAACATAATATTGGAAGTCATAGCCATAGACATTACACAAAAGAAAAAAGTCTTCCAAATTGGAAGGGAGGAAGTCAAATTGTCTGTTTGCAGACAATATGATCTTATGTAGAGATAAACCAAAAGACTCTACCAAAAACTGTTAGAACTAATAAGAGAATTCACTAAAGTTGCAGGGTACAAAGTAAATATGCAAAAATCAATAGCATTTTTATACCTTAATAGTGAACAATCTGAAAAAGAAATAAAACAACTCCATTTATAATAGCTACAAAAATCTATAAGATACCTAGGAATAAAGTTAACCAGAGAGGTAAAAACTATAGAATACTGATGAAAGAAATTGAAGAGAACACAAATAAATAGAAAGATAGCCATGTTCATAGATTGGAAGAATTCATATTGTTAAAATGTCCATATTATACCAAAGTATGTAGAGATTCGCTGTAATCTCTGTGAAATTTCCAATGATATCCTTCACAGAAATAGAAAAGAAATCCTGAAATTCATATAGAATGACAAAAAACTCTGAATAACCAAACTAATCTTGAGCAAAAAAAGCCCCACAACAACAAAGCTGGAGGCATGATACTGCCTAACTTCAAAATATATTACAAGCCTATGGTAACCAAAACAGCATGTATTGGCAGAAAAACAGGCATTAAAAAAACAGTGGAACAGAATACAGAGCCCAGAAATAAATCCACACATCTACAGCCCACTGATTTTGGACAAAGGTGCCAAGAACACACACTGGGAAAAGGACAATCTCTTTAATAAATGGTGCTGAGGAAACTGGATATCCATATGCAGAAGAATACTGTACCCCTATCTTTCACCATACAAAAATCAACTCAAAATGAATTAAAAACTTAAATATAAGACCCAAGACTATGAAACTACAGAAGAAAACATAGAGAAAATGCTTCATGACATTGGACTAGGCAAGGATTTTTTTGATAAGACCTCAAAACACAGGCAACAAAACCAAACATAGACAAATGAGATACGCCAAACTAAAAAGCTTCTGCACAGCAAAGAAAACAATCAGCAGAGTGAAGAGGCAACCTACAGGATGGGAGAAAATATTTGATACTATACATTGACAAGGCATTACTATTCAGAATATATAATGACCTTAAATCAACAAGCAAAAAATAAACCTCATTCAAAAAATGGCCGAAAGACCTTAACAGGCATTTTCCAAAAGAAGACATACAAATGGCCAACAGACATATTAAAAAATGCTACCTATCACTTATCATCCGGGATAATGACCCTGGTCACTAATGACCATAGAAATGCAAATAAAAACAATGAGACATCCCCTCACTCCAGTTAGAATGGCTGTTATAAAAAAGACAACAGATAACAAGTGTTAGAAATTACGTGGAGAAAAGAGAACCCTTAATACACTGTTGGTGGGAATGTAAATTAGTATAGCCATTATGGGAAACAGTATGGAGCTTCCTGAAAAATTAAAAATAGAACTATCATATGATCCAACAATCCCACTATTGGCTATATATCTGAAGGAAATGAAATCAGTATGTCGAAGAGACATCTGAACTCTCATGTTTATTGCATTAATTGGCTATTCACAATAGCCAAGATATGGAATCAGTCTAAGTGTCCAACAATGGGTGAATGGATAAAGAAAATGTGGTATAATGTAATGGAATACTATTCAGCCATAAAAAGGAAGGAAATCTTGTCATTTGTTACAACATGGATAAACTTGGAGACATTATGTTCAGTGAAATAAGCCAGGCACAGAAAGACAAATACCACATGTTCTTACTCATATGCATAATCTAAATATGTTAATCTCATAGAAGTAGTGAACAGAACAATGGTCACCAGAAACTGGGGAGAGTAGAGGTAAGGGGGAAAGGGGAGAGGATGGTCAACAAGTACTAAGTTACAATTAGAAAGGAGGAAAAAGTTCCAGTGTCCTATAGCACAGTAGGGTGACTATAATCAACAAAAAAGTATTGTATATCTCAAAAGAGCAAGAAGAGAGGATTTTGCATGTTCCTACCAAAAATAAATGATAAATATTTGAGGTGATGAGTATGCTAATTACCTTTATTTGATCACTGTACAATGTATACAGGTATCAAAACATCACATTTTACCACATAAATAGGTACTATCATTATGTGTCTATTAAAAATAAAAAATTTTTTAAAGTGGTTCTGGGATGGTGAGATATCTACATGCAAAAGAGTGAATGTAGGCCCCTACATCATACCACATACAAACATGTACTCAAAATGAATCGAAGTCCTAAATGTAAGAGCTAAAGGTATAAAACTGTTAGAAGAAAATATAACAATAAATCTTCATGACCTTGTAGTAGGTAACAGTTTCTTAGATGTGACACTAAAAGCTCAAGCAACAAAAGAAAAACAGATAAATTGGACTTAATCATAATGTAAAATATTTGTGTTCCAAAAGACACCAGCAAGAAAGTAAAAAGACAACCATGTAATGTGAAAAAAATATTTACCAGTCATATATCTGAGAAGAGATTCGTATCTAGAATATAAAAAGAACCTTCACAAGTCAATAATTAAAATATAAATTACATAATTTAAAAGATAGGCAAAAGATGTAAGTAAACATGTCTCCAAATAAGATATACGAATGGCCAATAAATACATTAAAAGATGCCAAAATCAATTAACTATAAAGAAAACACAAATGAAAACCACAATGAGATACCTCTTCGCACTCCCTAACATGGCTATAGTACAAAAGACTGAAATATCAAGTGTTGGAGAAGTTGTGGACAAATTGAAACACTGTTGGTGGAAATGTAAAATGGTACAGCCACTTTGCAAAACTGTTTGGTAGTCCCTCAAAAGGTTAAATATAGAGTTACCATATGACTCAGCAATTCCACTCTTAGGTTTGTACCCAAAAGATATGAAAGCTTATGTCCACACAAAAACTTATCCACAAATGCTGATAGGAGCACTTTATTTGTAACAGCTAAAAAGTGGAACAGTGCAAATACCTATCAGTTGATAAATGGATAAATAAAATATGATTTAGCCACAAATGGGATATTATTTGCCAATTAGAAGGAATGAAGTACTGATACATGCTATGGCTTAAATGAACCTTAAAAATGAGCTAGGAGGCAGGACTCAACACAGGGCTCAGACATTGGACCAAATTGAGTACTAGCTAAAACAGGTCTGGGGCAGAAGCACCTCCCCATAAGACATGCCCACTAATGTGCCATGTCAGTTTACCATTGCCATGGCAACAAGTTAACATTCCTTTCCATAGCAATGACCTGACAACCCAGAAGTTACCTCTCTCATGGTATAAATTTCTGCATAAACCACCCCTTAATTTTAATATAATTAACAGTGGGTATAAATATGACTGCAAAACTGCCTCTGAGCTGTTATTCTGGGAGTATGGAGTAGCCCTGCTCTGCAAGGAGCAGTACTTCTGCTGCTGCTGTATGCTGCCACTTTAATAAAAGTTGCTGTTTAATACCACTGACTCACCCTTGAATTATTTCCTGGGCTAAGCCAAGAACCCTCCCGGGCTAAGACTGAATTTTGGGGCTTGCCTGTCTTGCATCATCTGGTGACCAGCGAAGGGAGGAAGACAGTGGAGACGGCAGTGATTGGTGGAAATGGCAGTGATCGATTGGTGGAGACAGTGAGACCTGGATGGTGAGACAGTACAGACAGAGAGGCAGCGACTGGAGACAGACAATGAAAGATGGCAGTCAGAGAGACTGAAATAACAAGAGACAGTAGTTGGTGAGAGGGAAACATGGCAATCTGCAATACCACAAGGAGAGAGACAGCAAAAATGTCTGATCTCGAGGCTGCAAGAGCTGTAACACCGAGGCTGTAACAATAAATAGCTTCTAACACTACAGAGCTATAACACTAACCAAAGACTCTTTTAAGAGCCATCATCTTTCCCCGGCAGGCAGCAGAGCAAAGTGGAGGATCAAGTGGCCATGGTGCTGCTGCCTTGTGTGGGACCCACTGCTCCAACCAAGCAGGTCAGTGGATTACAGGTCCCTGTGCTGTCCCTCTCACAATATGGCAGCTGAGCCCACTCAAGCTGGGGGAACCTGGAGAGACCTATACCCAAGTCCTGCGTGGGAGATTAGTTGGTGCAACGGGTGAATGTCTCCTCTCTTCTCCTCCCCAACCATAATATTAGGTAAGCTAGGAAATGAAAGCCTTTGGCTAAGTGGTCAGTTAAAAGTTACCCACGGTTTAGATGCTCTGAAGCATATCCTTGTCACCACTTTTCCCATTTTTTGTTTTTGTTTTTTCTTTTCCTCTGACTTCATTTTATTCCTCCACCATTTGTTTTATTTTCAGTCCTAAAAATGTATGTTTTGATTGCAGTTGTTTGTTTGCAGTCATGTTTGCTTTTGACTTTCTGTTAACTGTATTTGGGCAATTGTTCAAGGCAGGATACTTGGTTGTGAGAGATCCCCCATTGTGTGGACTCTAGAACACCAGAGTCAAGTTGTTCTGTGATCCCAGCTTGGTCTGGGGTTCACTCTTGGCCACCCCTGGGGTGCCCCAAGGTTTTTGGGATTTGGTGAGAGAACACTCATTGGCTGAACTTCGGACACTCCAGGTTTTCAGCATAGGTATTTTTGGTCACCCCAACAGATGCTCTGGGGTTTTCGGCATTGACATTCCTTCTAGGATTGTGGGTTATAGCCCCTTACCCTAGGGGACTATTGGTCTTGCCATTTTCTGCCCTAAAGTTGAAAGTATTATTTTCTTAATAGTCAGCTGCAAGCCCCTTCCTATGTGCTGTCCTATAACTGCCTTGCTCAAGCCCTTCTTGGTCAAATAAATTGAGATTTCCCAGACTCCTGGCCTGATGAACAGCACCTACAGTGATAGGCAAGTGGCCACCTGAATATTTTTTGGTGACTCCACTTCTGGGTAGGTTCTCCAGCAAGTCAGGGCCTCTGAAGTCTCCCCTTGGGCAATGCAGTTTACCCTTCCCTTCCTCCTTTCTACAGTCACTATTTGTTAGTCCCCCTCATATAACTCACTCTCTGTGGAATTTAGGCTCAACATCCAACTGCCATTTGTAGTTTGTAATCCATTTTTGTAACACCTTGCTATCTATAGAAAGTGTGAATTTAAAAAGGGAAAAGCAACTAGGCATTTGCTAAACTTAGGCTGACTAAAACCCCCTGTAGAGACTCTTAGTGGACATGGGGACAACAGTGAGCATCCCAGAGGATTCACAATTAGGGTGTCTTTTAGACAACTGAAGTAAGTTCAAATTAGTGCAAAGAAAACTGGCACTTTGAAACCATCAGCTCTCATGAGGACCCTGTCACCATCACAATAAAAGTATGGGGGAAACTGTCCCCCATGATCCAATCACCTCCTATCAGGTATCTCCCTCAACACATGGGGATTATAATTTGAGATGACATTTGGGTGGGGACACAGAGCCAAACCATATCATTCTGCCCCCAGACCCTCCCAAATCTCATGTCATTCTCATATTTCAAATCACAATCATGCCTTCCCAACAGTCCCCCAAAGTCTTAACTAATTATGGTATTAAACCAAAAGTCCAAGTCCAAAGTCTCATCTGAGACAAGTCAAGTCCCTTCCACCTATCAGCCTGTAAAATCAAAAGCAAGTTAGTTACTTCCAAGATACAATGGGGGTACAGGCATTGGGTAAATTTTCCTTTTCCAAATGGGAGAAATTGGCTAAAACAATAGGGCCACAGGCCCCATGCAAGTCCAAAACCTGTCAGGGCAGTCATTAAATCTTAAAGCTCCAAAATGATTTCTTTTGACTCCATCTCTCACATCCCAAGCATGCTGATACAAGGGGTGATCTCCCACAGCCCTGGGTAGCTCTGCCCCTGTGACTCTGAGGCTACAGCCCCTGTGGCTGTTTTCACAGGCTGGTGTTGAGTGCCTGCAGCTTTTCCAGGTGCATGGTGCAAGCTGTCAGTGGATCTACCTTTCTGTAGCCTGGAAGACAGTGGCCCTCTTCTCACAGCTCCACTAGGCAGTGTCCCAGTGGGGACTCTGTGTGGGAGCTCCAACCCCACATTTCCCTTCCACGCTGCTCTAGCAGAGATTCTCCATAAGGGTTCTGACCCTGCAGCAGACTTCTGCCTGGACATCCAGATGTTTCCATACATCCTCTGAAATCTAGGTGGAGGCTCCCAAACCTCAGCTCTTGTCTTCTGTGCACCTGCAGGCCCAACACCACATGGAAGCCACCAAAGCTTGGGGATAGCATCCTCTGAAGCAATGGCCCCGAACTGTACCTTGACCCCTTTTAGCCACAGCTGGAGTTGGAGTGGCTGACATACAGTGTGCCAGATCCTCAGGCTGCAGAGGAGCAGGACCCTGGGCCTAGCCCAGGAAACCATATTTCCTTCCTAGGCCTTTGGGCCTGTGATGTAAGGGTTTGCTGTGAAGATCTCTGACATGCCCTGGAGACATTTCCCCATTGTCTTGGCTATTAACATTCAGCTCCTCATTACTTATACAAATTTCTGCAGCTTGCTTAAATTCCTCCCAGAAAATGGGTTTTTCTTTTCTACCATATAGTTAGGCTGCAAGTTTTCCAAACTTTTATGCTCTGCTTCCCTTTTTTCTGTCCATAAGTTTATTCTCTTTATCTGAAAAACCCTCACAGAAAAGTGGTTTAGCTCTCAGCAGTCTGCTCCTGAGCTCTGAGGAAGTCTGCCCTCTTTTGAGCTACCCAATCTTTCTTCTGAGCAAGGGATATTTTGGGAAAGTTCTACCTCTTCTTTTTAACTTCTTTCTTGGACTTCTTTTTGTAGACTGGATTTTCTCATATAGCAGCATGAGTTTTCTTATATATTTCCATCATGTCTGGAGTTATGCTGTTCTTTACGTACTGAAAGAACTGTTTCTTGTTAGGATCTTCATCTCCTTCCATTAAGTAGTGCATGTAATCTGCAACTTTCTGGCCCATGATGTACTTCTGGTGTACTTCTGCATTAAATTCTTTGCTTTCAGAATCATAACCAGGGAATCGTTTGGTACTGTGAGGGATAGACAAGCCTTCATCCACAGTTCCCTTCAGGGCACCAAAAACTTGATTGCCAGTGGTAGTTCTGGCAAGGCTTGCATCCAAATAGTAGGTAAAGGCACCTGGCTGACCATCAATGCTTTCCACATTGTATTCATCACCAGTCTTCTCCACTTGGCTTTCATAGATCTTGTCCACTTCAAACCTATTGAGAAGCCTGCGGGCTAGCAGCAGGCCAGTACAATATGCTGCAGCATAATTTGTCAGGCCAACATTCACACCATATTTTGGCAGTTTGTGCGCATATGCTGCGCAGACTATCATATCCCCCTCTATACGGACATAAGCAATCTGACAAATGATACGTCTTTTTGTTACATGAACTATCATCCTGTATTTGGGTGTGTTGTATTTATTTTTATCCTGTATCACCAAGCATTGCTGAGAATAATAATCATTTTTACCCTCTCATCGTCTTCTAAATTTCACTTGGTATCTCTTAAAGTAGGCCTTATTGTTAACAACTTTAATAAACCCCATCCTGCAGAACAGAGACCTCTGCTTCCCTTTTAAACATAAGTTCCAACTTTTTTTTTTTCTTTTTTTTTTGAGACAGAGTCTGGCTCTGTCGCCCAGGCTGGAGTGCAGTGGCGCAATCTCGGCTCACGGCAAGCTCCGCCTCCCAGGTTCGCACCGTTCTCCTGCCTCAGCTTCCTGAGTAGCTGGGACTACAGGCGCCCACCACCACACCTGGCTAATTTTAGTAGAGACAGGTTTCACCATGTTAGCCAGGATGGTCTCGATCTCCTGACCTCGTGATCCACCTGCCTTGGCCTCCCAAAGTGCTGGGATTACAGGCATGAGCCACTGCGCCCAGCCTAAGTTCCAAGTTTGAACCACGTGTTTGTGAGTGCATATAGCTGAATGCTTTCAGAATCAGCCAGGCCACCTCTTAAATGCTTTGCTGCTTAGAAATTTCTTCCACCAGATACCCTAAATCATCTCTCTCAAGTTCAAAGTTCCACAGATCTGTAGGGCAGAGGCAAAATGCTGCCTGTATCTTTGCTAAAGCACAGCATAAGTAACCTTTGCTCCATTTCCCAAAAGGTTCCTCATCTCCATCTAAAACTGTCAGAGGCTTTTGAGCAAAGTGACTCCATTTTGAGTGAGGGCTGGGAAAATGAGGCTGAGACTTGCTGGGCTACATTTCCAGAAAATTAGACATTCCTAGCTTCTAGATGTTTATGGCTAAGGGAACACATTTATGATGTTTACTGAAACAGACCCAGACTTGGGAGTGTCCAGATATCCTGATATCTGGAGAATAAGGACATTCCCAATTTTGCTATAAAGATAACAATATTGATTCTTGCAAAATATAGTAATTAAGAAAATTAATCCTTTATCACAAACCCTTGTAGCAGAGCACATCTCCCCAAGCACTATTTTTATCCTATAAATATACAAGCATTGTACCTAGGGTGGATGCATTCCTCTTCTTACTTTCAGGAACATCCTACTCTGTCTGTGGAGTAGCTGTCCTTTCACTGCTTTACTTTCTTAATAAATGTGCTTTTACTTTGCACTGTGGAATAACCCTGAATTCTTTCTTGCATGAGATCCAAGAACCCTCTCTTGGGGTCTGGATCAGGACCCCTTTCCAGTAACAAAACCACATCAGCCTGGACTTCATTGTCTATATCACTGTCAGCACTTTGGTCAAAACCATTTAATAAGTCTCTAAGAAGTTCCAAACTTTCCCATGTCTTTCTGTCTTCTTCTGAGCCCTCCAAACTATTCCAACCTCTACCTGTTACCCAGTTCTAAAGTCACTTCAACATTTTCAGGTTATCTTTATAGCATTACCGCACTCCTAGTACCAATTCTCTGTAGTAGTCAATTTTCACACTGCTATAAAGATATTTACCTGAGACTGAGTAATTTATAAACAAAAAGAAGTTTAATTGACTCACAGTTCTGCATGGCTTTGGAGGCCTTAGGAAGCTTACGATCATGGAGAAAGGTGAAGGGGAAGCAGATGCCTTCTTCACAAGGTGGCAGGAGAGACCTGGTGAGTGCAGAAAAAACTCCCACTTTTAAAACCATCAGATCTTGTGAGAACTCCCTAACTATCACAAGAACAGCATGGGAGAAACCACCTCCATGATCCAATCACCTCCCACCAGGTCCCTCTCTTGACATGTGGGGATTACAATTTAAGATGAGATTTGGGTGGGGACATGGACCCAAACCCATATCACATCCTAATCTTGTTTATTTCCTTCCTTCTGCTTGCTTTAGATTTAGTTGACTGTTTTGTTTTCAGTGTCTTTAAATTGGAGGTCTTATTATTGATTGGAGATTTTTTTCTTTTTTTAATAGATATTTACAGCTATAAATTCCTCCTTTAACCATTGTTTTAGCCATATCCCATATTTTTTTTGTTGTGTTGGGTTTTTGTTTTCATTCATTTCAAAGACAGTCTTTTTTTCCTTCTGGCTTCTTAAGCTATAATGACAAAAATTGTATGTATTTATGGTGTACAATGTGATGTTTTAATATATGTATACACTGTGAAATGTTTAAACCAAAGTAATCAACATATTTAGCACTGCATATATTTATCACTTTTTTAGTGGTGACAGCATTTAAAATATACTCTCTTAGCAATTTTCAAGTATACATTATTAACTATGGTCACCATGCTGTACAATAGATCTCCATAACTTATTCATCCTAATTGAAATATTGTACCTTTAGACCAACATCTCTACATTTTCTTCCACCTCATCCCCACCGTAGCCCCTGGTAACTACTATTTTACTCTCTGCTTCTATGAGTTGAACTTTTTTGGATTCTGCATATAAGTAATATCATACAGTATTGTCTTTCTCTGCCAGGATTATTTCAGTTAGCATAATGTTGCCAAGTTCCCTCATGTTGTTGAAAATAACAGGATTTTCTTATTATTTAAGCCTAAATACTATTCTATTGTACATATATACCACATCTTCTTTATCCATTCATCCCTGAATGGACATTTAGGTTGATTCCATATCTTAGTTATTGTGAATGATGCTACAATGCACATGAAGGTGCAGATATCTCTTTGACATACTGATTCTATTTCCTTTGAATAAAGAAAATAAGGCCGGGTCCGGTGGCTCACGCCTGTAATCCCAGCACTTTGGGAGGCCGAGGCGGGTGGATCACCAGAGGTCAGGAGCTCGAGATCAGCCTGAACAACATGGGGAAACCCCGTCTCTACTAAAAGTACAAAAATTAGCTGGGCGTGATGGTGGGCAACTGTAGTCCCAGCTACTCGGGAAGCTGAGGCAAGAGAATCGCTTGAATCTGGGAGGCGGAGGTTGCAGTGAGCCGAGATCATGCCACTGCACTCCAGCCTGCACGATAAGAGCGAGACTCCGTCAAAAAAAAAAAAAAAGAAAATACATTTTATTTCCTTTTGTGTATATACTATAGGTTTTTTAAAACTCAGAAGTAAAAATGCTGGATCAGGTGGGGCGCAGTGGCTCACACCTGTAATCCCAGCAGTTTGGGAGGCTGAGGCAGGCGGATCACCTGAGGTCAGGAGTTCGATACCAGCCTCAACATGGAGAAACCCCATCTCTACTAGAAATACAAAATTAGCCAGGCGTGGTGGTGCATGCATGTAATCTCAGCTACTCGGGAGGCTGAGGCAGGAGAATTGCTTGAACCTGGGAAGGTGGAGGCTGCAGTGAGCTGAGATCGTGCCATTGTGTTCCAGCCTGGGCAACAAGAGCAAAACTCCATCTCAGAAAAAAAAAAAAAAAAAAGGGCTGGATCATATGATGATTCTATTTTTAATTTTTTCATGAACTTCCATATATTGTTTTTCATATGGCTGTTCTAATTTACATTCCCACCAACAGTGTATAAGAGTTTCATTTTCTCCACATCTTTGCCAACACTTGTTATTTTTTGTGTTTTTGATGATAGCCATTCTAACAGGTGTGGGGTGATAGATTCTTGTGGTTTTGATTTTCATTTCACTGATGATTAGCAATGTTGAGCATTTTTTCATATACATGTCAGCCATTTGTATGTTTTCTTTAGAGAAAAGTCTTTTCAAGACCTTAGCTCATTTTAAAATCAGATTACTTGCTATCTTGCTATTATTTGATTTCCTTATATACTAGAATTTTTTTGGGGGGTGGATTTCAGTTTCTCACCCATATCATCAAGACTCAATGCCTCCCGTCATCAATATTTATTGAGCATTTACACTGTACAAGGCACAATAGAACATACAGAAAACATTGTCCCTGCTCTTGAGAAGCTTACATTCTAAAAAGGTGGAGAAAAGAAGCTTACATTCTAAAGAGGTGTAGAAAAAATACGCCTCTTTTAAAATGGCATTTTTGTTTGGTGTTTTCTGCAAAGTACTGAGGAAATATTTTGTAAAGTGTCTTTGGGTATAACTTAGTCCCATCATTATTTAGAGAATAGAGGAAGAGAAAGAGAAAGGATTTGAAAGACAGACAATGACAGGCCATTCAGGATACACAAGGTTTTAAAGGGAGATAAACACAATCTAATCAACCAAGGAGAGATTTGTTGCAGTAAATAGGATGAGGGAAATAGTTTGTGGGATGCAAGCAAAGGAAGCAGGGTGTCTTAGACATTGAGTGGAGCCAGAAAGATCATGCGGCCTTTTTCCAAGTACATGGCCACCAAGTAGGAATGGTTGGTGACAAGACAGAAGGCTAAAAAAGGAAGGTAATCTTGTGCCACCTGACAAATAGAAAGAATAAAGGAACAAAATCGAAGGCAGGCTCTAAGAGTATGAAGAAATTCTTAAAAACCAAAAAGTGATTGGAAGCACAAAACTTATAGATAATGCTACCCCATGTCATGATGGGCCAAGAACATTGTGCCTTCCTAAGTTAGAAAATGCCATATACCAAAATTTAAACGGAACATATTACTTTTTTTTCCCAATCAATCTCCCCCTCTCCCAGTAAAAACAGGAACTCATTTTTTTCAGGGTGGGAAGGAGGAGACGGGATAATGGGACATGGTTGGAAACAGTAGTTATATTAGTAGAATTTTTGTTATTATGATAAACTTCGTGTTTAAACTTGACAAAAGCCCATTAGCTGCCAAGAAGGAATAAGGAATAAATTTCAAAAAATATACAATTTCCTTTAGAGAAGTTTCAGAACCAAAAGACTAATTTACATGAAAAGCTGTAGAGAAAGTAGTTGAAAAGTGCATTCATAAAACTTTTATTCCACTGACATGAATTTAATACACATGTTCTTAACAATTGTGCTTGGACTGTTCTTGAAAATTTCATAAGACATTAAACAAAGCTAGCCATCATCTCAAGTTATTTCCCTGTTAACTATTTTTACAGCACACGCATGTTAGGCAAGTATCAAGAAAAACCACAAAAGCAAAAAAACCTAAAAAAAGTTAAATACATGTTTTTTTTTTGTTGTTGTTGTTTTACTGCTGTGCTTGATATACATGTAGTAATGAACACCAAGCAATTCGTTTTTCCTGCATCTTTACTTTTACATTTGTTCTTAGGTTGCCTAAAACATTTAAATACAAATAAAATGAGTGTAATAAAAATGATGAAAGCTAACAGCAGGTAACTTTACAAATAATGAAATGTGAACCGTTTCTGCCCTTATTCAGAGTAAAATGGGTCACAACTTTGTCTAAAGGAACACTTCTGCAGCCGTAGTCAAAGGTGTGCACATTGAGATTGAGTATTCCACAGCTATACATGGTTTAACACGTGGTATCCATGGGATATCTGTTTCTACCACAGCCTTGTAAGTGCTCCAAACCTTAACGTACCCACAATTACTACACCTGTAACTGGAACCAATGATCTCTTTTATTCCCCACTAGGACAAACCAATATGTACGCAGTTTTCTCTGCTTAGACATGGAAGCAGTTTTAACACTGGCCCCTGTGAAGCCACAATGTACTAAAAGTACTATGCCAAACATTTATAACTTGTATAAAAATTCCACATCCCCATAGTGTCCACCTCGAGATGAAAACAGGTAACTCCCTAAATGTTAACTGGCTCTACTCCCCTAATATTAAACATAAAAACCACATGGGAAATATAGAAATTCAAATAGAAGTAACATAAACCTCTCATAAATTGTAAACAAAAAACTATCTGTGGGACAGCATAGATGACAAATGGTCTACTATGTAAATTTTAAAATGAGGCAGATAAAAGTTGGAAGGCGGGTTAATTTTCACCTCCTTCTCCTGCTTCAGCTTTGTCTCCTTGGGTATCCGATGTCCACAATGTCAAGTTGTCTGTCAGTAACTGCATTATTAGCGTGTTGTCTTTGTATGACTCTTCACTTAATATATCAAGTTCAGCAATGGCTTCATCAAAAGCTGTCTTTGCAAGAGAACAGGCTTGCCTCCCTCCCTCCCTCCCTTCCTTCCGTCCTTTCAGATGGAGTCTTGCCCTGTCACCCAGGCTGGAGTGCAATGGCATGATCTTGGCTCACTGCATCCTCCACCTCCCGGGTTCAAACAATTCTCCTGCCTCAGCCTCCCAAGTAGCTGGGATTACAGGTGCCCACCAACACGCCCCACTAATTTTTGTATTTTTAGTAGAGACGGGGTTTCACCAGGTTGGCCAGGATGGTCTCAAACTCCTGACTTCGTGATCCACCTGCCTCGGCCTCCCAAAGTGCTGGGATTACAGGCGTGAGCCACTGGTCCTGGCCAAGGGCAGGCTTTCCCTGGGGAGTTCAGAGGAGTAAATCCAGTCTGATAGCATGTGTTGGTTGCATTTCCTTTTTGCTGATTTCAAAAGCTTCTTGGTATGCTTGTTGTGACTGATCCACAATCCCTTTCTTGTCATCACCAGCAACGACCTCAGCCAAGTAACGGTAGTAATCTCCTTTCATTTTCAAATAGAAGACTTTGCTCTCTGCTTGTGAAGCACTGGGGATCAAGAACTTTTCCAAAAGAGACAGTACATCATTGCAGATATCTCTTAGCTCTGTCTGAATTTTCTCTCTGTATTCTCGAGCCATCTGCTGTTTTTTCTCAGCACCTTCCGTCTTTTGTTCAATACTTGAGACAACACTCCAAAATGACCTATAGGCGCCTACATTTTTAGAAGCAACTGAGAGAAGTTTCCTCTCCTCATTGGATAATTTCAGCTCCTTGCTCAGTTACAGATTTCATGCAGGCTGCGATGTCATCATATCTCTCAGCCTACTGGGCCAGTTCGGCCTTCTGAACCAGCTCATTTTTATCCATGACTGGATGTTCTGTTTCTGGAGTGGGTGGTGATGGCAGACCAACAAGGGCTCAGCAGTCTCTGGGCGGCAGCGGTGGTGGCAGTCAGGGGCTCGATTTCCTTATAAACTAGAATATTTACTCCTTATAAGAAGTATGGTTTGCAAATATTGTCTCCCATTCCATAGCTGGTCTATTCACTCTATTGAGCCTTTGTTGTGCAGATAGATGCTTTTTATTTTGATGCAGTCCCATTTGTCTACTTTTGCTTTTGTTGCCTGTCCTTTGGGGTTATATTTTTTAAAAACCACAACCCAGACCCATATCAAGAAGCCTTTTTTCTTTTTCTGTTTTTTTTTCTCTTAGTTTTACAGTTTCATGTCTTACATTTAAGTATTTAATCCATTTTAATTTGATTTTTGGTTATGGTATGAGATAAGGGTCCAATTTTATTTTCTGTATGTGATTATCTAGTTGTCCCAACACCATTTATTAAAGAGAGTGCCCTTTTCCCATTGTGTCTTCTTGGTATCTTTGTCAAAGATCAATTGACCAAAAATGTGTAGATTCATTTCTGGGCTCTCAATTCTGTTGTACTGGTTTACATGTGCATTTTTATATCAGCGCCATGCTGTTTTGATTATGTTAGCTTTTTAGTACATTTTGAAATAAAGTAGTGTGATGCCTCTTGCTTTATTCCTTTTTGCCTATGATTGCTTTGGCTATTTGAGGCTTTCGTGGTTCCATACAAATTTTAGGATTGTTTTTCCTATTTCTGTGAAAAAATGCCATTGGAATTTTGATATGAATTGTATTGAATCTCCTGATTACTCTGAGTAGTATGAACATTTTAACAATATTAATATCTCCAATCCATGAAAGTGAAATATGTTTCCATTTACATGTGTCTTGTTCAACAGCATCCATCAATGTTTTATCATTTTCAGTGTACAGATATTTCATTTCCTTGGTTAAACTTATTCCTAAGTATTTGATTCTTTCTGATGCTATTGCAAATGGGATTGTGTTGTTAATTTCTTTTTATTGATAGCTCATTGTTAGTGAATAAAAATGCAACTGATTGGCCAGGTGCAGTGGCTCACGCCTAAGATCCCAGCACTTTGGGAGGCCAAGGTGGGTGGATCACAAGATCAGGAGATCGAGACCATCCTGGCTAACATAGTGAAACCCTGTCTCTACTAAAAAATACAAAAAATTAGCCAGGCATGGTGGCACACACCTGTAGTCCCAGCTACTCAGGAGGCTGAGGCAGGAGAATTGCTTGAACCCAGGAGGGAGGTTGCAGTGAGCTGAGATCGCACTGCTGCACTCCAGCCTGGCAACAGAGTGAGACCCCGTCTCAAAAAAAAAAAAAAAAAAAAAAAAGAACTGATTTTTGCATGTTGATTTTTATTCTGTAACTTAATTGAATCTGTGTGTTAGTTCTAAGAGTTATTTGGTGGAGTTGTTAGGGTTTTCTATATACAAGATTATGTTATCTGCAAACAGACAATTTCTCTACTTCTTTTCCAATCTGCTTGTCTTTTTTCCCCCCATAATTGCTGTGGCTAGGACTTCCTGTATTATATTGAATAGAAGGGGCAAGAGTGGACATCCTTATCTTGTTCCTGAACTTAGAAGAAAAACTATCAGTTTTTCACTGTTTAATACGACATATTAGCTGTGAACTTGTCACATGTGGTCTTCATTATGTTGAAATACACTCCTTCTGCTATGGTTTGAATATTTTTTCCCTCCAAAACTCATGGTGAAATTTTATTTTATTTTATTTTGAGATGGAGTCTCGCTCTGTCACCCAGGCTGGAGTGCAGTGGCGTGATCTCGGCTCACTGTAAACTCCATCTCCCAGGTTCACACCATTTTTCTGGCTCAGCCTCCCAAGTAGCTGGGACTACAGGCACCTGCCACCATGCCTGGCTAATTTTTTGTATTTTTAGTAGAGACGGGGTTTCACCGTGCTAGCCAGGATGGTCTCGATCTCCTGACTTCGTGATCCACCTGCCTCAGCCTCCCAAAGTGCTGGGATTACAGGCGTGAGCCACCCCGCCCAGGCCCTCATGGTGAAATTTAACCTCACTGTGGCAGTACTGAGTGGTGGGGCAGAGCCCTCATGAATAGACTAATTCATTTATCAATTAATGGGTTAACGGATTTTCATGGGAGTAAGACTGGTGGCTTCATAAAAAAAGGAAGAGAGATCTGAGCTAGCATCTTCAGCTCCTCACCATGCGATGTTCTATGTTGGTTAATGACTCTACAGAGTTCCTATCAGCAAGAAGGCACTCACCAGATAGACCACCCTGACCTTGGACTTCTCAGCCTCCATAACTGTGAGAAATAAATTTCTTTTCTTCATAAATTACCCAGTTTCAGTTTCTGTTATAAGCAAGAGAAAACAAACCAAGACACCTTCCATACCTAATTTGTTGAGACAGTATCAGGTATATTGGCTTATACTTTTTTTCCTTCCCTGGCTTTTTTATCAAAGTAATGCTGGCCTCATAAAATGAGTTTGGAAGTCTTGTCTTCTCTTTAATTTTCTGACAGAGTAAGAGCAATTAGCATTAATTCTTCTTTAAGTGTTTGGTAGAATCACTGAAGCCATTTTGTCCCGGATTTTTCTGTTGGTAGCTTTTTGATTATAAATTTAACCTTCATTATTGTTCTGTTCAAATGTTCTCTTTCTTCATGATTTAATCTTGGTAGATTGTGTATTTCTAGAAATTTATCTATTTCTTCTAGGTTACCCAATATATTGTTGTATAATTGTTTATAATAGTCTCTTAGGATCCTTTATATTTCTATGTCCGTTATAATGCTTTCTTTCATTTATAATTCTGAGTCTTCTCTCATTTTTTTCATAGTTTAGCTAAAGGTTTGTCAATTTTTGTTTATCTTTTCAAAAAACCAATTGTTTCTTAGATTTTTTTCTGTTATTTTTATCATCTCCATTTCCTTTATTTCTGCTCTGATCTTTATTATTTCCTTTTTTCTGTAACTTTAGGCTTAGCTTCTTCTTTTTCTAGTTCCCCGTGGTGTCAAGATAGGTTGTTCGAGATCTTCCTCTTTTCTTAATATAGGCATTCATTTGTCTCTATAAACTCCCCTCTTAGAACTATGTTTGTTGTATCCCATAAATTTTTTTTTCATTTTACTTTGTCTCAATATTATTTTTTCTACTGTAAAATTTCTTTTGTAACCCATCAGTAGTGTCTTGTTTAAGTTTCATATATTTGCAAATTTTCCAATTTGCCTCATTACTGATTTCTAGTTTTATATCACTGTGTTTGAAAAAGTTACTTGACATGGCTGGGCACCGGGGCTCACGCCTGTAATCCCAGCACTTTGGGAGGCCGAGGTGGGTGGATCACCTGAGGTCAGGAGTTTGAGACCAGCCTGGCCAACATGGCGAAACCCCGTATCTACTAAAAATACAAAAATTAGCCAGGTGTGGTGGCAGACAACTGTAATCCCAGCTAACTTGGAAGGCTTAGGCAGGAGAATCACTTGAATTTGGGAGGCGGAGGTTGCAGTGAACCAAGATCACACCACTTCACTCCAGCCTGGACGGAAGAGTGAAACTGTCTCAAAAAAAAAAAAGGCCGGCACAGTGGCTCATGCCTGTAATCCCAGCACTTTGGGAGGCCGAGGCGGGCGGATCACGAGGTCAGGAGATCGAGACCATCCTGGTTAACACGATGAAAACCCGTCTCTACTAAAAATACAAAAAATTAGCCTGGCGTGGTGGCAGGCGCCTGTAGTCCCAGCTACTCGGGAGGCTGAGGCAGGAGAATGGTGTGAACCCGGGAGGCGGAGCTTGCAGTGAACCGAGACTGCGCCACTGCACTCCAGCCTGGGCGACAGAGGGAGACTCCATCTCAAAAAAAAAAAAAAAAAAAAAAAAAATATATATATATATATATATATATATACACACACACACACACACACACACACACACACACACACACACAGTCTGACATAAGTTTAGCATCCCTGTTGTCTTTTGGTTACTGATTACACAGAATGTTTTTTTCATCTCTTTATTTTCAGACTCTGTGTGTCCTTAAAGCTAAAATGAGACTCTTAAAGACTGAGTATATAGTTGAATTTTATTTGTTTTTGCATCCATTCAACCACTCTATTTTTGATTGGAGAACTTAATTTACATTTAAAGTAATTATTGATAGGTAAGGAATTACTATTTTCTTTTTGACTGTTTTGTAATTTATTTATTCCATTCTTCCTCTCTTGATGTCTTCCTATGTGATTTTTTTTGGGGGGTGGGGAGGGGGATGGAGTCTCACTCTTTCGCCCAGGCTGGAGTGCAGTGGTGGGATCTTGGCTCACTGCAATCCCTACCTCCTGGGTTCAAGCAGTTCTCCTGACTCAGCCTCCTGAATAGCTAGGATTACAAGCACATGACACCATGCCTGGCTAATTTTTGTAGTTTTAGTAAAGGTGGGGTTTCACCATGTGGGCCAGGTTGGTCTCGAACTCCTGATCTCAGGTGATCCACCCGCCTCGGCCTCCCAAAGTGCTGAGATTACAGGCGTTGAGCCACCGCACCTGGCCCTTCCTATATAATTTATTTATTTTTTTTATATGGTAGACTGCTTTTCTTTTTCTTCATATTTTGTGTATCTATTACAGTTTTTTACTTTGGAGTTATCATGAGACTTACACGAAAGATCATAGTTATAAGTCTATTTTAAG
Source organism: Homo sapiens (assembly GCF_000001405.40). NCBI lineage: Eukaryota > Metazoa > Chordata > Mammalia > Primates > Hominidae > Homo > Homo sapiens. The sequence goes on along the minus strand of NC_000006.12, from coordinate 127,351,039 downwards.
CTCGAACAATTTAACTTTTTCTGCATACAAAAGTATACACTTTAACTTCTCCTACATCTTATGCTATTGGTGTCACAATTTACAACTTTTATATATTGTGTTTCCATGAACAAATTATTATAATTACTTTTCTTTTAATTTTACACTAGAGTTAAAAGTGACTTATGCATCACTGTTATAGAATTAGAGTATTCTGAATTTAACTATGTTCTTACTTTTACACTGAGTTTTATACTTTCCTGTGTTTTCATATTGTTTTTTAGGGCCCTTTCAACCTGAAGAACACCCTTTAGCATTTCATGTAAGGCAGGTCTATGGGTAAGAATACCTTTTGTTATGTCTGGGAAACTCCCTATTTGTCCTTCATTTCTGAAGGACAGCCTTGCCAGGTATAGTAGTCCTCATTGGCAGTTTATTTCTTTCAGCACCTTGCAGGCCATTCTCTCTTGGCCTGCGAGGTCTCTGCTGAGAAATCTGTTAATAGCCTTATAGAAGTTGCTCTTCTCTTGCAGCTTTTGCATTTCTTTGTCTTTGACTTTAGAAAATTTAATTTCAGTGTGTCTTGGTGAAGATCTCTTTGTATTTAATCTATTTAGGATTTTTTGGCTTTCATGGGTCTGGATGTTTAGTTCCCTCTTCAGATTTGGAAAGCTTTCTGTCATTATGTTTTTCTGCCCCTTTCCCTTTCTCTGCCCCTTCTGGAGCTTCCATAGTGCATTAATTAGTTCACTTGATGGTGACCCTTAAGTCTTACAGATATTCTTTACTCTTTTTTATTCTTTTTCTTTTCTTTTTTCTCCTCTTACTGGGCAATTTTAAATGACCTATTTTTAGGTTAACGGATACTTTCTTCTGCTTGATTTTGTTGTTGGAGCTCTCTGTGGAATTTTTCAGTTCAGTCATTGTGTTTTTTAGCTTCGGAATTTTCCTAGTTCTTTTTATGGTTTCTATCTCTTTGTCAAATTTCTAATTTTGTCTGTTTACTGTTTTCCTAATATTATTTAGCTGCCTATTTGAGCTCTCTTGTAGGTCACTGAGCTTTTCTTTTCTTCTTTTTTTCTTTTTTTTCTGAGAATCTCACTCTGTTGCCCAGGCTGGAGTGCAGTGGTGCAATCTCAGCTCACTGCAACCTCTGCCTTCCAGGTTCAAGTGATTCTCCTGCCTCAGCCTCCCAGGTAGCTGGGACTACAGGCATGTGCCACCATGCCTGGCTAATTTTTTGTTGTTGTTGTTTGTATTTTTAGTAGAAACAGGGTTTCACTGTGTTAGCCAGGCTGGTGTTGATCTCCTGACCTTGTGATACACCTGCCTCGGCCTCCCAAAGTGCTGGGATTACAGATGTGAGCCACCACGCCCGGCAGTCACTGAGCTTTTCTAAGAATTATTTCAAATTCTTTTTCAGGATATTCATAGATCTTCATTTCTTTAGGGTTGTTTACTGGTGTTTGGTCCTTTGGTAGTATCATGTTTCCCTGATTATTCCTCTTCCTTGCATTATTGAAATGCGGGCACTCATTCCAGTCTTTATAGACTGGATTCAGCAGGGAATGCTGCTCACATCACCCTATCAAGACTTTGGGTAGGTCATCTGTGGGCTTTATGGGTGGCCTTGCTGCTGGTGCCCTCAGATAGACAGGGCTGGTGACCAGATAGGTAGGTGGGTGTGCTAGGCATCTAGGTCCACAGGGTCTGGCTTGGAGCCTGTGTTCACAGGACAGGGGCCTGCCTAGTACTGAGATGGGCCTGGTGCCTGGGTCCATGGGGACAAAAGTGGAACATCAGTCTAGCAGTCTAGTCTGGTGCTGGGGAAGACCTAAAGCCTGATTCTTCAGAGGCCATCATGGAGGCTGGGTTTGTGGGTGGTAGCTTGTAGGCTAGGCCCTCTGGGGTAGTTCTGGTGCCAGGGTCTACTGGGGTAGACCTGGACCTTGGGTTTGTTGGAGCAGGCCTGGAACCTGGGTTCACTGGAACCTGGGGCTGTAGGGACCAGCAGTCAGTGGACCTAAAGCCTATATCCACTGGTGCCAACCTGGAGACTGGGGCTGTAGGGCCCAACCTGGTGTTGGAGCCTGGTGCCTGAAACTATGGGGACTAACATGGGGAATGGAGTGGGCATAGATCTAGGCGCCATGGAGATTAGCCTAGCATTGGGGTGATCTTGTAGTCTCAGTGCATGGGTATCAGCCTAGAGTCTAGGGCCATGGTAGTCAGCCTGGTGCCAAGTTTCACTGTGGCAGGCCTGGTGCTGGAGTCTGCAGCAAAGCTGGCACTTACCTCACTCTCCTTTCCTCACACGGACCATAAGTCTCAGCTCTGTGCTACCCAGGCTTGGGAAAGGATTGACTCTTTCCTACTATCTTCAATGTGTCTTTTCTTAATTCTCTGCTACATCTAGGTGCTATAATTTCTCATCTGGATTCCTCAGTTCATGTGAAGGTGTCTTCATAAAAGGATAGTGGTTCAGGCCGGGCGTGGTGGCTCACGCTTGTAATCCCAGCACTTTGGGAGGCTGAGGCACGTGGATCACCTGAGGCCAGGAGTTCAAGACAAGCTTGGCCAACATGACAAAACCCCGTTTCTACTAAAAGTACAAAAATTGGCCGGCGTGGTAGCGTGTGCCTGTGATTCCAGCTACTCAAGAGGCTGAGGCAGAGTTGCTTGAACCCAGGAGGCGGAGGTTGCAGTGAGCCAAGATTGCGCCATTGCACTCCAGCCTGGGCAACAAGAGCAAGACTCTGTCTCAAAAAAAAAAAAGGATAGTGGTTCAAATAGATGTTTCTGTGAAGGGACAAGTACTGGGAAGTGCTATACTGCCATCTTTCTGACATCACCCTTCTTCCATTCTAGATAGCCTTTTTGAAAGTAATACTATAGTTTCAACATTTTACCATGTTATTAAGTGTTCTCATTCATTTTGAGAAATCTGAAAACCAAGTATATTTAACTAACAAAACAAACACTACATTCCCCCAAGTTACTACTGATAACTATTAACAGCATGAGATATTCATTCTAGTATTTTTTTCTATGGCATTTTTTAAGAAAAAAATTTAACTACATTCTCAAAAGAAATAAAGAGAGGAAAGAACCGAGGAGGAAAAAAAGAAAGGATGGGAAGGAGGAAAAATAAGGCTAACAAGGCATTTGAACTCAATAAGCTTACATTAATAAAAATTATCATGATAGAATATAATGCAACAATAAATGATATACATTGTGGTATAACATTTTGATATTTCTTTCTCATACCTAGAACTATAACCAATTCAGTCTAAAGCACGTGTTGTTTCAGGGGAAAGATAGCTGTGATTGGGTTACAAATGTTTTCATAAAACTCATACCAGGGACAAGTGAAGAAAATCATAATATCTGAGTCTGGTTTATCTTCTTCCCATCCCCGCTTTTTAGAGTAAAAAGGTATTTTGTGCTTCAGAGAGAAAACCCCTTAAAAACTTATTGCATTGAGTCTAGGCCACAAACAACAGATTGAAAATAGAATACATGATACTCAAAGCTGAAATATATAAAAAAAAAAAAGTAAAATCACATCACACGGTAGTGTTGAAACATTCAAGTGTGTAAATACATGTCGACATCCTTTGTTCAGAATGAGGAAATACTTGAAGTGTAAAAACTTATTACTAATCATTGTTTCTCAATTTTGACTTAAGGGCTATTTGTTCAGAATAAAATATATGGAACTAAGGCCAAGAATTTGTATGTTTACCTAATGTGACTTGTGTTTGCCAATGTTTGAGAACCTCAGTGTTTGTCAAGAGGCCTAGGAATTCATAAACATAACAAAAGTAACTGGCTTTACCTTAACCTAATATGCCAACTCCCAAAATTATGCCAAACTTGCTTTACTTGTCATCATAGCACTTAATACCCCCCAACATTATATATTTTTGTTTCATTTTTGACACATAACAATTTTACTTATTTATGGGATATGGTGATATTTTAATGTTATTTAGCAAAACCATCACCTCATGTATTTACCATTTCTTTGTAGTGAGAACAACCAAAATCTTTTCTAGCCATTTTGAAACAATGTTGTTAACCACAGTCATCCTACTGTGCAATAGACCGCCAGAATTTATTCCTCCTAACTGTAACTTTGTACCCACTGATTAATCTCTTCTCAGCCTCTGATAACCACCATTTTATTTCCCACTTCTATGAGATCAACTTCTTTGGATTCTACACCTGCATGAGATCATGTGATATTTGTCTTTCTGTGCCTGGCTTATTTCACTTAATGTTCTCCAGGTCCATCTATGTTGCCACAAATGACAGGATTTCATTCCTTTTAATGGCTGAATAGTATTCCATTGTATGTATATACCACATTTTCTTTATCCGCTCATCCACTGATGGACACTTAGGTTGATTCCATATCTCGGCTCTTATGAACAGTGCTGCAATAAACATGAGAGTGCAGATATCTCTGCAACATACTGATTTTACTTCCTTCAGATATATACCCAGGCGTGGGATTGTGGGATCATATGGCAGTTTTGTTTTTAATTTTTTGAGGAACCTCTATACTGTTTTCTATAATGGCTAGAGTAATTCAAATTCTTTTGTTTATTTATTATTTTTTTGAGACGGAGTCTCGCTGTGTCACCCAGGCTGGAGTGCAGTGGTGTGATCTCGGCTCACTGCAGCCTCTGCCTCCCAGGTTTAGCTGGGACTACAGGCATGTGCTGCCATGCCTGGCTAATTTTTTTGTATTTTTAGTAGATAAGGGGTTTCAGCATGTGGGCCAGGATGGTCTTGACCTCCTGACCTCGGGATCCGCCCACCTCAGCCTCCCAAAGTGCTGGGATTACAGGCGTGAGCCACTGCATCTGGCCAGTAATTTACATTCTTACCAACAGTGTATAAGTATTTCTCTCCACATATGCATGGGCATGTTATTTTTTGTCTTTTTGATAATAGCCATTCTAACAGGTATGAGGTGATATCTCATTGTGGTTTTGATTTGCATTTCCCCTATGATTATTTTTATTTATTTTTAATTTTTTAAAAATGTATGTATTTGTTTTTGAGAGTCTTGCTCTGTCACCCTGGCTGGAATGCAGTGGTGTGATCATGGCTCACTGCAGCCTCAAGCTCCTGGGCTCCAGTGATCCTCCCACCTCAGGCTCCTGAGTAGCTAGGACTATAGGTGTATGCCACATTGCCCAGCCAATTGTGATTTTTTGTAGAGACAGGGTTCTGCCATGTTGCCCATGGCTGGTCTTGAACTTCTGGGCTCAAGCAATCCACCTGCTTGGCCTCCCAAGGTGTGGGATTACAGGTGTGAGTCACTGTGCCTGGCTGAGCATTTTTTCATATATTTGTTAGTCATCATCATGTTTTCTTTTGAGAAATGTCCATTCAGGCCTTTTGCTCATTTTTAAATTGGATTTTTTTTTTTTTTTTTTTGGCTATTGAGTTGACTTCTTCATATACTCTGGATATTAACCCTTTGTCAGATATATAGTTTGCAAATATTTTCTCCCATTCTGCAGGCTGTCTTTTCACTCCGTTGATTATACATATTATGTATTTACTTATCTTTCATTGTCCACCTACCCCACTATATAGAGTTTAACTTGGATATTTTCCCAAAGTGTTAAAAAGAAAGATGGAAAATGGGAGCCAGAAATAGAAAGCCCACTGAGTACTACAGTTATCACTGAGAAAGAAGAATGAAAGTTATTACTGAAAAATAAAACTGAAGAAACCTCTCAGATGGGCCTGGTGCCTGGGTCCATGGGGACAAAAGTGGAACATCAGTCTAGCAGTCTAGTCTGGTGCTGGGGAAGACCTAAAGCCTGATTCTTCAGAGGCCATCATGGAGGCTGGGTTTGTGGGTGGTAGCCTGTAGGCTAGGCCCTCTGGGGTAGTTCTGGTGCCAGGGTCTACTGGGGTAGACCTGGACCTTGGGTTTGTTGGAGCAGGCCTGGAACCTGGGTTCACTGGAACCTGGGGCTGTAGGGACCAGCAGTCAGTGGACCTAAAGCCTATATCCACTGGTGCCAACCTGGAGACTGGGGCTGTAGGGCCCAACCTGGTGTTGGAGCCTGGTGCCTGAAACTATGGGGACCAACATGGGGAATGGAGTGGGCATAGATCTAGGCGCCATGGAGATTAGCCTAGCATTGGGGTGATCTTGGAGTCTCAGTGAAATGGCTCAGTGATCTTGGAGTCTCATTTTATAACAAACTAGAATTAAATACAGTACTTCTAATAATGACTTCTTCCAATTAGTCCAAACTGGGCTCCCACTTATTCCCTATCATACACATCTCCGTATCGTAAAACTATCCTCCCTGTTCGGCGCGTTGGCACATTCTGTTCCTCCGACTAGAATATTCCCTGTACTTATTCAAATCATACCTATGACCACTGCAGAACTCCAGGAACATGACCATCCCATCTAAACCCCTGCGTTCAGAGACTTGACCAAACTCTAGCAAGCTTTAGCAGCATAAGGCCCTGTGCCCAGGGCGACTGCCTCAGAAAGCTTAACTACGTGATGTAACCAGCACACAACTGATGATAGGTCTCTGACATCCCTTTCTTAGAACGTTTACTAAAGGGCTTGCAATTGTAAAGACTTATTTCTTGCCACTCAGAAGTTCTCTCTCAAGGACCAGAGAGTCATTCCTTTGAAATGTAATCGAGAAGGATAAAATCCTCCGTAGGAGGATAGAATCCTGCGGTAACTGTTAAAACGCGCGCACACACAAACACACAGCTGGCCTAATCACATTTACACTAACAACTCTGTAGGTTCACTTTCTCTACTGAGCGCCCGCATATCCCCTTTCTCCTTTTAAAACGTCCCTTTAAAAATGCCCAGATGATCTCTGCACGAATCGAAATAGAGCTCAGCTCTTTCCTGTCAGTAGTTAACTGAATGTTTTCACCGCTTTAACGTCCAGCTGCGCTTATCTTTGACATCGACTACCTAAGGTCTACCTTTAGTCCCACGACTCTGACAAAATGATCTCAATATTGGTGTAAAATCACCTCCCCTTTCAAGGGTCTTCCAAAGCACTTCCTGTCTGCGGCATACAAAATGTATTGGCACGGAATTTTAAGCTTACTGAGCTTTATAAACACGTCACATTCACACATTCAAGACACACACTGGATATTCGGATAAAAACAAACAAACAAAAAACTGGCTAAATACCCATTCCCCTCAATAACTTGGATAAGATACCTAAAAAAGGTCGACCTTCGGTACCTTTCTGTCTTCTCCCCTCTCGCTATTTGCCTACACTGGCTTCCTCACCTCCACTTTTTCTCACGTTTATCTGAGCGAAAACAAGCACGGTTCGGCAGCCTCCTTTCCCAGCCCTACCTTTGTGCTGCAAAAGCGAAAATTCAAAAGCCAAGTACAATAGGAGACCGCCCACCCTGGCTCCCTCGTGACACGAGGGAGCGCGAAGCGGAGGGCGCCTCGCGGCAGGAGCGGGATTTCCGGGGTCACGGGAACCGGCAGGGGAACGGGATAAAGTTCCCGGAGAAAGGAAAGGAGAGCGTGGGATAGTAAAAGAGAAGACGCGGAGAAGAGGAGAGGACCTACAAGAACGGAGGACAGGGGCGCACGATGGTCCCGGGGGGAGCGGAAACAAAGGCACGCAAAACGGAAAAGCGTGTGTAGGGGAGCGGAAAAGGAAGTCACCACCGTGGCCTGCGACGGTAAGTGGTCGTAAGGGTTGGTCTTAGCGCTTCAGTTTAGTGTTGTCAGTGGGAGAATCCTAAAATGTCGCCGTGGAATGGACTGTACCGCTCGCTTCTCCAAACGTGTCCCAGACGGCGAGCCTCCCCGGCTCCGCGGCTTGTCCCTTGCAAGCGCCGCGCAGGCCTGCCCCGCGCTGGACGTGGAGACGCGGTGCCGAGCGCCACGGGCCGGCTGTGCGCCGGCCGGGGAAAGAGGGCGAGGGGAAGAGATGAATCGGTCTTCCCAGAGCGCGCCGCGAGGTCGCGAGATTACACTTTAAAAAGCATGAGGAGGCTTGCTTTCTACATGCTGATTTAATTTCGGAATACATTCGAGGCCCTGTGCTAAGTTAGGTAATGTTCCCTATAATTGTCTTTTATGTATAAGTTGTCTTGCCTAACTAAAACTTTTCTTACTTGTATCGTGCAGCCAACTTTTCAAGAACGAAAGATGAGCAACTCCTTTCTGGTAGAGGTTCTTTCATTGGAGAATTTTTGAGCTACAATAATCCTTTTAACGCTGCGCACACATACAGGGATTACACGTGTAGGGGATTAAAAACACAGTTAAGTTTAGGTTGAAGGTGCTGTTAAGGACTTCAGGCAACATTAAATCAACACTCAGTTCTTTGCTCTGTTCCACATCTGGGCTCCTGTATAGCAGTTGTTGCTCTAGGTGCTAGAGGTATGCAGAGGAACTGGACAAGGGCAAGGAAAACAAAGGGCTCCTTCTTTAGAAGAGCTAGCATTCTCTTGGAACAGACAAGCTTGTGGTGAGAAGTATATTTGTGAAATCTACGAGGGGAGGGAGCAGCGCAGTAATAGAACGGGCGATCCTTTCTTGATTTTTTATTGGGTTCTGGCCTGAAAGGCGACTGTATAATCAGCTGGGATTCCTGCAATGATTAACATTCCAGGAAGGGAAGCCAGCCTGTGAAGAAGCATGGCATTGAAACAGGGTGAGTTGTGAGGATTATAAACAGGGTAGTTGGAGAGTTGATTTGTGGCCAGATTCTTAAGCCCCTGTTTAGTCTTAAGAATATTATCTTTAGGCACTGCAAATGCCCTCTTGCAGCTAAGACTAATGGGAAGAACTGGTTAAAAAACTAATTACAGCAAAGAGTGAGTGAGAGTGGTGATGAGAGATACAGATGTTCTGAGAGCAGACAATAAGGGGACTTTATGTAGTCCTATGTTAGAGGAGATGATTTGAAGTTACTCTGAGGAAGACAAAAATGTAACAGGTAGATCGCATATGCGAAAGCTTGAGATGGCGAAAAAATCAAAAGGATTTCAGGAACTGAAAGTTGTGCATTTTGGCTGTGTGAGGGAGAGAGTTGTGGGTGGCATGTAATGAACCTTGAAAGGTAGTTTATGTTATGACAGCCTACAACCGAATCAGAACTTTTACAAACAGGCGATATACAGACAGTCTGAAATCAAATGCTTCTGATTTCTATTACGTGCTCTAGGCTAATTGTTTTCTTTTTAAGTATGAGTTTGCGTTAGTCTTCTGGATTTAGTGATTACAGTATAAGGTGAAACAGGTAAAGGCTTTTAGAGAACATCTCACTTATTTCCTGTGCACTAAAGGGAAACAGATCACCTTTGCAGAACTTGAAAAAAATGGGAAGTGCGACCTTTGATCTCAGATGGACTTTCTTTCCTCTTTTCAGTGGCTTGGTAGTGAGCTTGTTCAGCTCCACTGAATCTTCTTTGTGGTGGGGCTGCAAGACATCCTGCATGGCAAGTTTTAAACATAAGTTTTACCCCGAAGAAAGCTTATAAAATTGTAAATGCTTCAGAACCTTTTCATCTTCCTGTGATTCTGGAAGAAATCCAAAAAAAACCAATCGTTTAACTACATACTTCTACAGAACCTGAATCTTAAGCTTTGTTCACTTTATACTATTAGATACTATAGTAGGTTAATAATGACTAACACCTTGTCATCTCATCACTGAGCTTTTGTCTAAGATAGTCTCTGAATTTAGAACTGGGACGAAAGTGTACATAATAGGCTATTATAAAATTTTTAGAATTGGATTTCTAAACTTGGGGTCAGTGAATCTAGCAGGCTTAAGCAGTGTTCTCAGGTTTTTCTGGCACAGACAAGGAATATAAGAGGAGGAGAGAAAAGGAGAGACAGTAGTGGGAGGGAATAGAATGAGAGAAGATAGAAAATATGGAATTAATAGAGAAAGGATACATGAAGTATTACAAGATTTTCTTGGAAAAATTGGCATTTCAGTGATGGATCAAAGATGTCTAATGAGGCAAAATACTACTATTACTTAAATATTTAATGTTTTAAAGATTTGAGGATAAAAGGATATAGATCTGATGGCGTTCATACTAATTGCTGTAGTGTTGATGTTGGAGAGAGGGGTAATGTATCAAGACAGAGCAGACAGACCCTTTACAATGAGAGCAGAAGATATGTTGTTTACTGATTCTACTTTCCCACAAAATGCTAATGCTTTTATAAGTCCCTCCTCCTTATTTTCTAGATTAACTCCTTGTTTCTTCCTCTAAACAGAGGATTATGGCAGACAGGCAAAAAAAAAAAAAACTTTTAAAGCAACTATCTAAGTCCTTACCAAGTTTCTTTAGCACTTTTATTCTAAAGTTATCAAGGTGGAAATTGGGGCCTCTGCCCCACATGTATCTGCTTCATTGGGTTGTATCTTCATACCTGATTAACGGCATATTCTAGGCAAAAGCAAGACCCTAGGCATGCTATGTTTGGCTCTGAATATGTAGGCCTCCCAGGTTTATTAGCTGAACTGGTACATGACCTTGACAGCTTATTTTCCCTAGACTAGAAGCATTCCTAAGGAACCCTGAGCTCTAGGCTATTTGGCCTTCTTAGAATGGGACACTTCCCAAATTGAAGGCAGCCCTAGGTTGCAGAGAGGAGAGAGGAGGGAGAAAGGGAGAGAGGGAGAAAGCAAGTTCCCTTCATCCTCAGTAAATAGAATGAAGAAGGGAAGGACACAGTGAGTCAAGTCTTATCTCAATACCTACTGGGTAAATTGCCTCTCATTCTGAGAAAGTTATAGAAAATGCATCAGGTTATCCTTAACTCACACCTAACAGTCTTGTGAGAAAATCTGTTCAAATAGTTAAAGTAGGAAGAATACTACTAACTAGACCCTTATACGATATGTATTATATGTAGATATGTAGAATGACTTTGTATTGTCTATTAACCTCATTTCTTAAAAAGTGTCAATATTTTTATTAGTGATCCAATAGAGATTATGTTGCATATAAACCCATTTTGTAAATATGAATAAAACCAGACAAGGAGCTCTTGCCTTCCCTTTCTGAAGAGGAGCAGAGATTCCTCAGCTAGGAGTGATGGAGAAGGTGTGGCTCTTTGGCAAGCTGACCAGAGGCCAGTGAAAGATTATTTATTTATTTGGCTGACTATGATACCCTCACTTGTAGCCACACCCCCTGGGTTTGCATTTTTTAAAAACCCCAACAGTGAAATAGTTCTTTTTTCTTTTTCTTTCTTTCTTTTTTTTTTTTTTTGAGACAGAGTCTCTCGCTCTGTCACCATGGCTGGAGTGCAGTGGTGTGATCTTGGCTCACTGCAATTTCCGTTTCCTGGGTTCAAGTTATTCTCCTGCCTCAGCCTCCTGAGTAACTAGGATTAGAGGTGTGTGCCACTACACCTGGCTGATTTTTGTATTTTTAGTAGAGATGGGGTTTCGCCATGTTGGCCAGGCTGGTCTCAAACTCCTGACCTCAGGCGATCTGCCCACTTTGGTCTCCTAGAGTGCTGGGATTACAGGCATAAGCCACCGTACCTGGCCTGAAATAGTTCTTTTTTTCTTATTTTGTAAATATAGATATTATCTTTAGTTTAGAAAATGATGACTAGGTACCATAATACCTATATAGTAATAACCACATTATGTGTCATTTAGTTCCACAAAAATTTAATGTAAAATTCTGCGTTAAGAGCTGTAAGATGCAGTCCCTGTCCTGATCACCCCTAAAATGCTACAGCTTATCTCGTATGTACCTTTCTGTTATGTTTTCTGGTTGTGCATGATTTTTTAAGAAATATCATTACCTTTAATAAGGACCTTTGCTTAGCTGCCAGACTTGTCAACAAAGAAATTTCAGATATCTATAGGCTGTAATTATTGTTAGTGGCTACTGATGCAATATGTAAAGTAGAGGTCTGAAGAAACTAGTTTTGCAACTGGCAGTTTAGGAGATTGGAAGGAATTCCTGAACAGGACATCTGTCAATATTTGGAATGATACTCTTCTATTTAAAAAGAAAAAGTTTCCTGAGAAGTAAATGTAGCACACATACCTAGAGAGTAAAATGTATAAGATGAATTTAAAGAACAACAACAAAAGAAATAACTGTGGATGCATTATCTAGGTTAAGAAATAGAACATACCCGTATTTTGAAACTTAACTTTTTCAGTACTGGTTAGGTGACTCAACTGGTATTTTTCTTCATTCATCACATCTGTGTTTCTTTTCTTTCTGGCCAAATGCAATGTAACATAAATTTCAACTCAGTGAACAAAAGTCATTTGTTATAGAAGTAATATATAGCTGTGAAACACTAGTATTGCACTGTTTCATAACCATAAAAATTCTGGTTACACATATGTAGGATAATTCTGGTTTTATATATATGTATGTGAGTATATACATTTGATATTTACTTTACTCCCTAGCAGAGCTGGTATGTTGCTTGATTTTGGTTGTGCTTCTGCTTAGAATTTTAAAAATTAGAAAGAAGGGCAATAAAGCATCATAATTCCATGCACTGATTTAATGTTATTGGATTCATTTATACCTAAAGAAAATCCTTAGACTACATGATAAAGGTTTACTGGTGGAAAAAAAAAAGATATCCTTTTATGAAGTTAAGATTATACATTAAATTTAATGGAACTCTCTAGTAGAGCTCAATAAAAGGAGATACTTTGCTCTATTTTCAATTAGATATTTGAGTTATTTTTGCTTTATGTGTGCATATTTTGTTTCTCTGACAAAACTGAAAACTTTTAAAGATGCTTTCTCTCTGAAATCGCTAACAATGGGGTGATCACTAATAGGAATTCAGTAAATAGCCATTGAATTGCTACAGAACTACCTCTTACCAAATGCTCTTAACATATGCATATATGTCTATACACTTGGATCCCATTTCTTGGCCAGAAAAGTCTACATATAAATGTAAATTTAATGGTCCATATGCCAAGAAACTAATAACTGTTTTTATTTCTGAGAATGCAGCTAAATATCTACTTACCTACTTTAAATAATCCAGTGAAGAATACCATCCTGTTTGAAAATATTTGTCTTAATTGCTAATCCAGTTACTATGTTTTTAAAAATTTGCCTTTAAAAAAGTAAAGAAAGCTTCAGAATTCATTTTGAATGATATATTTTGGTATATTTCCTATTTTTCTCATAGACTTTGACCACTGAACTTCGGTCTAAGGGTAGTGAAAGGGGAGGTGAAACAGAAAGAATAATGGTTGAGTATGGGAGGGTTATGATTATGAATGGAGATTACAAACATAAATACATCCTGTCATGAGAATATAGGTGTTGTTGATGCGAACAGTCAAACTCTGTAAAATATTTTAAGAGATTTATTCTGAGCCAAATATGAGTGACCATGGCCTGTGACACAGCCCTCAGGTCCTGAGAACATGTGCCCAAGGTGGCTGGGGTACAACTTGGTTTTACATATTTTAGGAAGGCATGAAACATCAATCAAATACATTTAAGAAATACATTGGTTTGGTTCAGAAAGGAGGGACAACTTAAAGCGGGGGTGCTTCCAGGGTATAGGTAAATTTAAACTTTCTGGTTGACATTTGGTTGAGTTTGTCTAAAGACCTGGGATCCATAGAAAGGAATGTTCAGGTTAAAGATAAAGGATTGTGGAGACCAAGTTTTTTTGTGCAGAGGAATCTCTCAGCAGACTTCAGAGAGAGCAGGTTGTAAAATGTTTCTTATCAGACCTAGAAGGGTGCTTGGCTCTTAGTTGATTATCTCCTGGATCTGGAAAGAAAGGAAGGAAAACAAAGCGGGAAGGGGAGGCTCTGTAGAATGTGGATTTTTCCCACAAGAAACTTCGCAGGGCAATTTCAGGGTATGGCAAGGAAATGTATTTAGGAATTAAATATTTTCTTCTTGTCTTAGAATGTTATGCCAGAGTCAGATTGAAAAGTAAGTCACAATATACAGGGTTAAATAAAACCCATCTGATGAGAATTTATGGTTTGTAGGGCATGACTCCCCAGACCCCTTAGGTGGGAATTTGGGCAAGATTAAAAAATCAGAGCTTAGTCCTCAGTGTGGTTAACCAATTTGTTTCAAGCCCCATTGCTTGGCATTTCTCAATAAAGTCTGAAATTTTTAGTTTAAGTTGCTTCCACTAGCTAAGAGATTTTGAGGCAACTTGATATTTACATTTGAGTGATAACTTAGAAAGTGTCTAAAATCCTTGGTGTTTTTTTCATAACCACTTCACACTTTGTAATTGGTAACATTTTATTTGTAAAACTTTTCCCCGCTTCCATTTTCCGTAGACTTGAATTTTCTATGCTTATCACTTTATTTCTCCTTCAGGGTAAAATATTTAAAAATACAGTTCTGTGTGCCTTAGAGCAAGAAAACTCTCAACCACAGAATTTGTCCTTGCCCAGGAAAGTTTTGCTTTCCAGTTAAAGAGAGAGTTTATTTGACCAGGATAGCTCATTTTCCAATAATGGTAGATAACTAATGGTAATAATTTCAGAAATACTTCCTTTCCATAGACAGAACTTTTACTTCCCTTTGGGAAAGCAGGGAAATAGGTCTTTGAACCAGACTGCAGTTTTGGGTAATGGAGCTATATAAGGGAAAGAGATAAGTTAAATATGGGGAATAATATTCAGTGAATGAAAATAATATTTGCAGGAACATTATTTCAAGTGAATCATTTGTTTAAAATTAAATAATCTATTATTTAAGTATATGGCAGTAATTTTTGGCATTTAAAAATTTTATTTAGTTTCACAGTATCCTCTCATTCTTCTACATGCCCGGTAATTTTATGTAGTACTGGTAAAGTACCTATTATTGCACTAAATTAGGTGGTGAGAACATCTGTGATATAAACTTTCATTCTGCCTTTATTGTGTCACTAAACATTTCCATGTTCTAATTAGATTCTTTTATTTTGAAGTTTATTTTAAAAATCTTGCAGGGTACCTTGAATTAACTGAAAATATCCTAGAATGTTGCAAAATCATGTTTGATCATTGTTCCCTCTAGCTTTCTAGTTCTTCAGGAGGCCTTAGATACCTTAAAATCTGTTAATACCATAGAATCAGTTAATACCGTATCATTTTCTAATTTGACAGAACAGGTGATGGGATGGAAGGATGTCTCATAAGTTATACTGTATGAGTTTTGGAAAAGGAGTATGGAATTGCCAATAGATGAAGACATTAAAGTATTGAAAATACTAAATATTTAGATATTTTGCAACTTGTAACATTTGACCACTTTCCTTATTAGTTGCTTATTAGTTTTGTATATCACATTGACCCAAACCTTATTAATCACAATTCATTAAGTAGGTCACCCAGTGCTTTCATTATTCTTTATTCGGTAACCATAGCTGCTGGCAACTGGTGACTTTTTTGGTGGGAGGGAGGGAGGATACAAAGAAAGACGATAACAGATTTGAAATTAAGGGAAAGAATAAAGTTATGACAGTTAAAAGCAGGTCCTATCAAAGATTTATGATGGCAAGTTAGAACATCTTTTTTTTCTTGGAAAAATAACATCAAGTTTTTATTCTTAGATACCATTTTTTAAGATGACAAGCACCCCGCTACTTTTTTTGTCACACTCTAAAATATAATGCATTAGGTCACAATTTATCTGAGTTACACTTCAGTCTCCTTGAGGAGATTTAAGAAAGGTCTTGGTATCTTCAATATTGTAGTTATAAGCCACCTTAGTTGGTAAAGTTTTGAAATACTGTTCTCAAGTTTTTGAAATATATGTGTTTGAGGGGATTACATCCCACTGTGTGTTCAGGTAAGTATTCATTGGAAACACTTTGGTAAAAATGTCACTTGAAGGCCATGTGACTTAAAGTGGAAACCAGATATTGTATTGTAACCTTTATATGTTCTCTGTCAGTTTCTGATACCATTTTATAACTCACATATTAGATATATTTTTAAAGCTATAAAACAAGTTTGTGGCATTCCTTTTGGCTGCGTGATGAGTTATTTTTTTTACTTGCCTACATTCTCCCTCATTAACTATTAAGTAAGTACCTTTTATGTATTAAGTACTGTAGCCACTAGTGACACAAAGTATGTACCTCAGAATACTCTCAGGAAGCATCCTTCCAACTGAGAAAAACAAATGAAAAATTGAAATGATTTGAGGAATGTGTTAAAATGGAACATTATTGCAGTATACTGAGCTGGGATAAATAAAGGGAGTGATTATCTTTACTTGGGGAATCACTTTTAGGTGGAAATATAGAAATTCAGTTTTTAAAAATGATTGGGGATTTACCAGGTTAATGAGGGAGGAAAGAACAATATAGGGGAGAAGCAATAATATAAAATAGCATGGTAAATTTGTGGGACTCTGGTTATTTGGTGTTCTGTATTGATTGTGTAGAGATATCAGACGAGAAGAGATTCAGGATTTAGGTAAGAATTTAAAAAAAGCTTTGGACTTGATCCTTTTGGTAGACAGCTACTGAGAAACCTTAAATTTGAAATGTCCTGATTGGATTATAATCATATCCACATTACTCTAAAGAACAGTATGCTACTAACTGGTGACTGTTGTATTAATTCAGATTATATGTAATGAAGTTTGAACTGTATTAGTAATAGGAGAGGGAAAGATCAGAAGGAAGTAACCATTTTGGAGGGCCATTGCATACGGACCTCCAAATAGTGGTGGAGAAGGAGACTGGGTTGATTTAGAGGTTTTCTGGCATAGATTACAGGGTTGATGATACAATGAATAGTTCAGGGAAAGAAGGAGTAATGGGTTTTACGTGAAGTATGAGTTCAGGATTAAATAATGATTTTGAGAAGCCTATGATAAATCTAGAAATGAGGGGTAAGGGATTGCATTTCTGTTAGGCAATACTAAGGAGTACAGGCATAAGGTCTGAATTAGAGATAGAAATGTGAGATTCATGTCTTGTAGGTTTTAGGAAAGTTGTGAGCAGAAGAATAAAAGATCTCTAACAAATTAATAAAAAGGCAAATAAATAGAAATAATGGGCAAAAAGCTTGCACAGGAACTTCACAAAAGATGATATGCAAATGACCAATAAGCATAAGAAAATGGGGTTTATCTTCGTTAGACATTATAGAAACACAAAATGAAACCACAGTAAGATACCATCCACTAGAATGCCTAAAATAGAAAAAACAAAGAAGAAGTGATACTTGTGGAGCAACTGGAGCTTTCACTGCCTGTGGGAATATACATTTGTACAGCTATTTTAAAAAACTGACAGTATATTCTAAGGTTGAGCAAATGCATACATTATAACTGGTGGTATACTGGTAAACTGTGTGTGTGTGTGTGTGTGTGTGTGTGTGTGTGTGTGTGTGTGTGTGTAAGAGAAAGAGAGTATGATTGATATGTCATGTAGTCCCACCATGGTCAATTTCAAGCTACTGATAGTTTAAAGAACCAACTTGCAAAATAAATGTTTAATCATCAGTGTAGACTGGGCCGCAGCACACCAACCCAACAATTTCATTCCTAGATACATACCCATCAGACATGGGTATGTATTGATCAAAAGACACATGCTAAAATGTTCATAACTACTCTATAGTCATGCCAAAAGCTAGAAATAATCCAAATGTCTATTAAGATTAGAATAGATAAATTGTGGTATATTTATATAATATGTGAAAGGAAAATAGATCTCAGGACCCCAAAATCACTAAGCCAAGGGAAAAGTCAAGCTGGGAACTACATCAGGTAAACCTAACTCCTATATTATTCCTAAATAAGATGGCTGAAAAGATAAAAGAGCTACATACCTCCTTCCCAGTTTGTCCATAAGGAAATTCCTTGTGATCCTTAAGATCTTTACCCTAAAACTAACTTCTGTTGAATTTCACTCTGACATTTAAACCGATAGCTTATGTTCATAGGTGCTGGACAGAAAGCCATCCCTCTGGGCTGGGCGTGGTGGCTCACACCTGTAATCCCAGCACTTTGGGAAGCCAAGGTGGGTGGATCACTTGAGGCCAGGAACTTGAGATCAGCCTGTCCAAAATGGCGAAACTCTGTCTTTACTAAAAATAGAAAAATTAGCTTGGCATGTTGGCATATACCTATAGTCCCAGCTACTCGGGAGGCTTAGGCACGAGAATCACTTCAACCTGGGAGGCTGAGGTTTCAGTGAGTGGAGATAGTGCCCACTGCATTACAGCCTGGGCAACAAAGGAGAGACTGTCTCAAACACCCCTCCCCTGCCCCCAAAAAGCAAGTCATCCCTCTGCTAACTTCAGACAAATGCACATCTGATTACTTCCTCTGCCCTATTGTTTATGTAAAAATGCAGATTCACTGAGCCAGACTAAATTGTGTATTCAGTAGAAGGCTGATGAGGTACTCAAAAGAATGCAACCTTTTGTCTATTATCTACCTGTGACCCGGAAGAACTCCCCTACATCCACCTCCTGCCTCCCCACCACCCTCCCCCACAGAAGTTTAGAGTTGTCCTGCCTTACCTCAGTCAGACCAGTGAACATCTTACACATATTGATTGATGTCCCATGTCTCCCCAAAATGTGTAAAAGTCAAGTCATACCCCGACCACCTTGGGCACATGTGGTCAGAACCTCCTGAGTCTGTGTCTTGAGTGCATTCCTAACCTTGGCAAAATAAATATTCTGAATTGGTTGAGACCTGTCTCAGATATTTTGGGTTCACAAATAGAATACAGCCATGAGAATAATGGACTATTTAGACTCTGATTACACATAACACTAATGGATGCTAATAAAATTGAAACCAGACACACAATATATAGTATTTATATAAAGTTCAAAAGTAATCTCGTGTATTAGAAGTCAAGAAGTTACTTTTACTTGAAGGGTTTTGACTGAAAGGTGACACAGAGGATCTTGTGAGCTTCAGGTTATGTTCTGTTTCTTGATTTGGGTTCCATTTACTAGAATGTATTCACCTTGTGAAAATTCATTGAACTGTAACTTATATTTTATATACTTTTTTGCATATAATCTTATATCAACAAGGATGTTTACATAGGGCAAGAAAAGCTTATGGGCAGAGATGAGATTACTCAGGAGGTAAAAATTAAGAGGAGAAAAGTGACAGAACCTTGGGGAACAGAAAAACCACACACACATTCCTATTTCCCTCCCCATTTTTCTTAGGACCCTTTCCAGCTTTTTGCCTGAAAGCTTTGCAGAAGGTAAGAATAATGCTAAGAATAAAACTTCTGTTAGAGAGTGGGATTGCTCTTGCAGCATTTCTGCATAGAGGCTGTTTCCAAGGGGACACTTGGACTATATTTATTCTTAGATTTTAAAAAAGTTAAGAGTTGGAGAATGAAGAAGCATGTGATGCAAAAGACTACCTAGAGGCAGGAGATGGTGCAAAATACAGAGCAGCATTTTTTCTAAGCTTTCCTATTGTATTGGAGCACAGTAAATATACTGTAATTATGCCATTGTCTCTTAGTGATATATACTGAAATGATATGCTTTGTGAATTATTTGGTTTGAGAAGGAGGGAAAAATGAAAGGAATTCCATACTGATCATTTCCTGAAAGAGTGCTTTTAGAAATGGGGAAGTGGCCAGATGGGACAGCTCACGCCTATAATCCCAGCACTTTGGGAGGCTGAGGTGGGTGGATCATTTGAGGTCAGGAGTTCGAGACCAGCCTGGTTAACATGGTGAAACCCTGCCTCTACTAAAAATATAAAAATTAGCCAGGCGTGGTCATGGGTGCCTGTAGTCTCAGGTAATTGGGAAGCTGAGATAGGAGAATCGTTTGAAGCTGGGAGGCAGAGGTTTCAGTGAGCTGAGAGCTTCACTGTACTCCAGCCTGGGCAACAGGGTGAAATTGTCTCAAAAAAAAAAAAAAAAGAAATGGGGAAGTATTCCCAACTCAACAGAAGGGTCCATTACTACAGCCTATTAACACATAATATTAGAAAAGTGAGTGCCTATTCATCTATACTACCGCATACTTATTTCTGTTTTCCAGAAATGGCGAAAAGTCTTTTGAAGACAGCCTCTCTGTCTGGAAGGACAAAATTGCTACATCAAACAGGATTGTCACTTTATAGTACATCCCATGGATTTTATGAGGAAGAAGTGAAAAAAACACTTCAGCAGTTTCCTGGTGGATCCATTGACCTTCAGAAGGAAGACAATGGCATTGGCATTCTTACTCTGAACAATCCAAGTAGAATGAATGCCTTTTCAGGTATTAGGGATCTTTTTATTCCTAAAGAATGACACTAAATCTAAACTGTTATCACAAGTTTTTTTATCCTTGCTGTGGTGACAGAATGTTTTAAAGTCCTTGTACTCTTGGTAGAACATGAGAAAAATAACAAAAACAACAACTCTGTAATATGAACTAGAAACACTTTAAGTAACTTTTAATGATTATGGATATTTGAATGTTTTCAGAAAACTCATTAATACAGATATTGATAAAAAGGAAATCTAAATTAATCTTGATTATATTTTCCACCGAAATTCATTAACTGTTTAATAACTTCATTTGTTTTCAGCTAATGCTACTAGGAAACAAGGAGAAAGAGGTTTCAAAGAGTTCCTGAAACTAAAGAGAAAAGCCTGTTAATGAAAAGAATTATTTAGCTTAATTTTTTTCTGTGAATTGAAATAAAATCATTGTTAGTTTTTAACCTTTTAATTCCATGGTTACAGAAGAAACACGGCACTTGTCCAGCTGTGGAATCTTCCCTAACTCTTAGATACTGGTGAATGCCTTCTATTTTCTAGTCAACACTCTTAGCATATAAGAATTTTATATTTAAGAGAACTGAAGATGCAGGACATGTGGTACTTTGTAATTTTTGCTGAAGCTCAAATTTGAACTACGCTACCACTGTGTTATGCAGGAGCTAATGAGTAGCCTTGTTGAATACTCACCACTCCTATTTTCAAGTTGATTTTAGTAATCTCTCCTTTTCAGTTATGCACTTCATGATTATAATCTTTAGTAGCATTTGAAATTTGAGGCTCAGAAAATCTCACAAAATTTTCATGTATCTACTTTATATACAGTTGTACTATAGACATAATTCAATAGTCTGTAAACCCTTTGTAAATTACCAGTGGTGAGTCTTTAAACCCAAGATGACTTTTCTCTCCACTTACCAGAATTCAGAGAGATTTCTCTATACCAGTGCTGACCAATGAAAACATAATGTAAGAAACAAAGGTGAGCCACATGTGCAATTTTAAATATTCTAGTAACCATAGTTTAAAAAAATTTAAAAAAGGTAAAATTAAGTTTAACAATTCACTTATAACTCAGTATATCCAAAATATTTTTTTCAATATGTCACTAATATAAACAATTATGAGGTATTTTTCTTTTTATTTTCATACTAAGTCTCTGAAATCTGGTATTTATTTTATACTTATGACACATCTTAATTTGGACTAGCCACGTATCAAGTGCTCAGTACACACAGGTGACTAGTGACTACCTTATTAGACTTTGTAGTTCTATATGTTCAGTTGGTTTAGGGAATAAAAACCAATTTAATATTAGTCCAGGAAAAATAGAAATTGAAAGGTAAAATTTCTCTAGAAGGTTAAATTGGATCAATAGTGATGATTTATTTCTGAAAAGTTACAAATAATTTTTTATTCAATTAGAAACATATTATTTTGATGCATAATATATAAAACTAATGCTTTGATTTGGGTAATGGTATTTGGTGGAGTTGGATTGGGAGAGGATGAATGAGCACTCAAGGCCCTTGTTTAAAAATCATTCAGTTAGATACTCTTTAAGGTCTCTTCCATCTTTTGAGGTTTACTTTGCAAACTTGAAAAGATTAGTTTAACAGTAACTACTGGTATGGATTTTTCTTATTCTCATGGCCAGCATTTCAGCATCATAGGAAAGGTTTAAAAAAAAATCAGCACCATAGGAAAGGTTTTAAAACAAAGGCCAACATTGTTTTTTTTATTTATTTATTTTTATTTTATTTATTTTACTTTTTTTGAGATGGAGTCTCACTCTGTCGCCTAGGCTGGAGTGCAGTGGCGCGATCTCAGCTCACTGCAAGCTCTGCCTCCCGGGTTTACGCCATTCTCCTGCCTCAGCCTCCGGACTAGCTGGGACTACAGGCGCCTGCCACCACGCCCGGCTAGTTTTTTTATATTTTTAGTAGAGAAGGGGTTTCACCGTGTTGGCCAGGATGGTCTCGATCTCCTGACCTCGTGATCTGCCCGCCTTGGCCTCCCAAAGTGCTGGGATTACAGGCGTGAGCCACTGCACCCGGCCTGTTTTTTAGAACCTTAAATATTATGAGTGATTAAAGGCCCATATTAACCTATACAGATTTATTCTTATACTAAAAATATGGGTTTCTTCTTTCCCTTACTAGACTATATATCACTTGAAAGCAAAAGAACGATATTTCTAAAGGATCTAGGACATCCTTGGAAAGGGTTACAGTTTTAAGTGCAGTCATTTGTTGCTTTGTGATGGGGATGCATTCTAAGAAATATGTTAGGTGACTCTGTCATTGTGTGAACATTGTAGGGTGTACTTACACCTAGATAGTATAACCTATTACACACCTATACCATATGATACAGCTTGCTGCTCCTAGGCTACAAACCTATTCAGTGTGTTACTTCCTGAATACTATAGGCAACTGTAATACAAACATGTGAATAATTCATTGTACTACATTACAATGGCTATGATGGTTACTAGGTGATAGGAATTTTTTAGCTCTATTTTAATCTTGGGACCACCATGGTATATGTGATACATTGTTGGTGCATGACTGTAGGTCATAATTAGCCATAAGAAAGGATAGCTGCATTAGTCATTTGTGAGTTAGTATCATTAACATAACATTTACTGTGGAGCCACCTCACTCCTGGCTACTTCAGAAAATGGCAAAGAAAATAATAGTTCTTGACATTGTGGGATTTATATTCCAAAGAAGTGTACATAATTTAATGGGGCCATCTTTTGGAACCTTGTGGTACAAATTTTTTGCCAGTTTTAACCCGCTGTTATGATCTTTATACATTGGCTTCTAAAGCATTGCCTAGGCAGAGGAAATTAAAACTAGTCATGTTGAAAACCATGAACTTTGTGAACTTAGAAGATCACCAAAGATAAGCATATCTAAAAGTTATTGATTAGATCTTAAAATGCCAGTCCCAGCTGTTTCTGTGTTAAATTTGTCTATTATAAAGAAGCTCCAATAGAATTTTGGAGTAATATCAAGGTAACAATCTATAAATCATAGAATCAATGGTTGGTAGGCCTGTGAAGAACTTCCATCGTATGCCTCAAGCCCCTCAGAGGACAGTTTGTTAACCATGGAACAAGATGGTATTTATTACTCATTTCCTCAATTAACATCCTATTATACTAATTCTGATGTCAGTAGTATAGGAATTGTGTTTTGTTCTGTATACCATATGTCCAATATATCATAAGATCTCATAGTCATGTTATACCCATAAAGCTTTATTGACTGAGACATGTATTGCTGAGAAGTCAGGTCTATGTCTTATCTTTACCCTAAGAAATAATTTTTTCTTATTACCATATCGTTTTCTTATTCTTAGGACAGCATAGTATATTCTTATTCTTCTACATAATCATATATTTATGTGATTTCTTAAGATAAATGGAGAGATAGACACATAATAAATTTACATTTACAATGCAGGGCCTGCCATGTGTACCTCTTCTGTATACTCCATAGTGCCAGTGCAGTAGGCATTTGATAGACACTCAGTAAATATTTATAAAATATAGGACCTAAGAGTATGCTTGACACTTGTGATTTATAAATTATTTCTGTTTTTCCAGTCACCTTCATATATTTGTGATTTCCCACTTCCATCTCTGGCAGGTGTTATGATGCTACAACTTCTGGAAAAAGTAATTGAATTGGAAAATTGGACAGAGGGGAAAGGCCTCATTGTCCGTGGGGCAAAAAATACTTTCTCTTCAGGATCTGATCTGAATGCTGTGAAATCACTAGGAACTCCAGAGGCAAGTGTTATATGAATTATGCATTTGATTCTACATGTTTATTAGACATGTATGGCAGATACATTTATATTTTACTAATGGTTATGATGACTTTAATAACTTTCAAAGGATTATGGGGATTTTTTGGTTTGTTTTGTTTTTGGTAGGATTATAGGAGGAACAATATAACAAGCAAATGATTCTGAGGTTTTACTAGTAGTATATCTGCGAACGGCTCTTGTTAAAAGCTTTGAAATTACTGTTATTTCTAGTTTAGCAGAACACTCTCAGTTGTGTTAGATATTTTGGAGGGTGGGATTCTCTCTCTCTCTTGCTGTTAATGTTACTCCAGCCCCCTCAAATGCCCCACTTTGTCTGTTTATTTTTAAGTGTATTGATTTCTTTTTTAAAAAATATTTTTAATTTTAGAATAATTTTAAATTTACAGGAAAGTTGCAGATGGAATACAGAGTTCCTGTACACCCTGCATCCAGTTTCCCCTTTTATTAACATCTTATATTCCTATGGTACATAGATTTATTGCTACTAATGAACCGATGTGATAGTCTGTTCTCACACTGCTCTAAAGATCTACCTGAGACTGGGTAGTTTATGAAGAAAAGACATTTCATTGACTTACAGTTCTGCACGCTATACAGGAAGCATGGCTGGGAGGCCTCAGGAAACTTAGGATTATGGTGGAAGGCAAAGGTGAAGCAAGCACATCTTACCATGGTGGAGCCAGAGGGCGGGGAGAAGTACCACACACTTTCAAACAACAAGGTCTCATGAGAACTCATTCACTATCACAAGAACAGCAAGGGGGAAATCCACCCCGATGATCCAGTCACCTTCCACCAGGCCCCTCCTTCATCCTTCAACACTGGGAATTACAATTTGACATGAGATTTGGTTGGGGGACACAGAGTCAAACCATATCAACCCACATTGTTACTTTACTATTAATGAAACTCTACTGTATGATTTCATTTATATATGGAATCTAAAATAGTGAAACCTATTTTAGCATGGTGGCTCACACCTATAATATGAGTGCTTTGGTAGGCTGAGATGGGAGGATTGCTTGAGGCCAGGAGTTCAACACTAGCCTGGACAACATAGCCAGTCCTTGTCTCTACCAAAAAATTAAAAAAATTAGCCGGGTGTGCTGGCACATGCCTGTAGTCCCAGCTACTTGGGAGGCTGAGGCGGGAAGGTTGCTTGAGTCCAGGAGCTTAAGGCTTCATTGAGCCATGTTGGTGTCACTGCACTCCAGCCTGGGTGACAGAGTGAGACCCTGTCTCAAAAAAATAGTGAAACTCAGAGAAGCCAGGACTGGAATGGTGATTATCAGGGGCTTGGTGGTGGGGATGGGCAGGGATTGGTCTTGAGTGTTCTTGTTACACATACACACAAAGTTAATAATAATAATAATAAAAGGGGTGGGAGGAAACTTTGGGAGGTAGTGTATATGTCAGGGCCTTGAGAGTGGTGATGGTTTAATGGGTGTATACTTATCTACAAACTCATCAAGTTGTATACATTGAATATGTACAGCTTTTTACCTGTTAGTCATAATTCAACAAAGTGTTAAAAAGAAAAAAGAAACTCCACACTTCATTCATATTTCAGTACTTTTTCTACTGGTATCCCTTTTCTGCTTCAAGATCAAATCCGGGACACCACAGTACCTTTAGCTGTCATTGTTTCAGATTCCTCTTACCTATGATAGTTTCTCAGACTTACCTTGTTTTTCATGACCTTGGCAGTTTTGAAGAGTGCTGGTTAGATATTCTGTAGAATATCCTTCAAATGGAATTTGTCTGGTGTTTTTCTCATATTAGGCTGGGGTTATGGGATTCTGAGAGAAAGACCAGAGGTAAGCTTCTATTTTCATCACATCACATCAAGGGAATATGCTGTCAAGGTGACTTATCACTAATGATGTTAACCTTGGTCACCTGGCGAAGATAGTGTTTGCCTGGTTACTCTATTTTAAATTTACTTTCCGTACTCCACTCCTTGGAAGCAAGTTACTAAGTTTAGTCTACACTCAAGGGGGAAGGGAAAATAAATTCCATCTCCTGGAAGGGGGACATATAAGTCCATTATTCTTATGTAAGGGGGATTTGGGTCTTCTTCCCCATTTACTCACATACTTATTTATTCAGTTATTTATATCAATATGCACTCATGGATATTTATTTTATATGCATTATTCATTTTGTTGCTCAAATTGTTCCAGCTTTGGCCATTGGAAGCCCAAAGACCAAAGACCCAAAGTCCTGTCTTCTTTTGTCACTCCCCTATCCTTTTGTTTTTTGAGTACTCCCTTACTTTCTAGTATTATTAGATACTCCAAGTTAATCTTGTATTTTCCCTGCTCCAATTATATAATCGGTGATTTCTTCAAGGAGTCCTGGTTATGGAAAATGGTAGAGGATGGTGATAGAAACTAAGATCTAGGTGTTAGGTGTTTCTGTTTTTCAAGTACATTGATATAGCACATTCCTGGGTTAGTCGAGCCTACCTGTGACTAAAATAGGATAAAGAAAAGCTCTTAATGCAGAGTGAGAAGTCTTGGGTTTAGACATAGGCCTGCCACTCAACTAAATGAGAAAGTTGCTCAATTTCCTCTTAGCCTCAGCTCCATGGGATATATAAAATCTATCTCACAGGCGTTTTTGAGGATTGAGTTAGCTAATGTATTCTAAAGTGCTTTGTAAACTAGAGGGAGCTACTGTAACATTTTAAATAGGTAATATAAATTAGTAATATTAAGATGATAGATCAAATTCAATATCATCACTTTTCCTTTAGCAGTCATATGAAGTCAGTACTTTTGTTATTGTTTATTTGTTTTGCTTTTTAAAGATTAGGGTGCAGTAGTGGGAAGGGCTGAAGAAAATGAAGGACAGGAAGATTAGCAATGAACAAAAGTGGTCATCATTAAAAATCAGCAAGAATTTGAATTCCTTTAAGTGGAAGCTCTTTAGCATCTCATGATAAGTTTTACATGAGCTATGTATATAAATCACCTAGTTCTGGCACATAGTAAAGTTCAAGAAGTAGTAACAAATTTAAAAATATGCTTTTGAATTACCCTGACAGAGTAGAAATACTATCATCTTCCTTTATCAATCCTCCAAGGAACTTGTTTTCATGAATTCAGTGCTCCTTCCCCCTCTACCACATCTTCTAGGAAAAACAAAGAAAAGAAAAGAAAGGAAGGAAATGAAATTAGAAAGGGAAAAAAGTAAAGTTTTCATGATATTCCATAAGTCTCATGCCACTGTATGTAGTATATGATTATTATTTGCACATGTGAGGAAGAATCTTTTGGTTAATCAGAACACTGGCTTTGATAAACTTGGATTTGAAAGCTGGTTTCAATACTTTCTGGCTAAGTGATTGGGCAAGTCACTTAATCTTTCTAAATCTTATTTTCCTAGTCTATAAATGAGGAGTATAGTGGATATTTCGCTGAGCTATTGTGAGGATTCAAGATAATATATATAAAGTGCCTACTAGCACCGTATCTGAAAAAGGTAGCTATTATTTTTATTTCAAAGATCTTGAGATTAGTAAACATTATCATTAATGAGATGATGCATAATTTGTAGCACCCCACTAGACTTAAATTTGTGATGTATCTGAACGGTTATAGCACTAAGCTGGAAATTTGAAAAGACGGATTTTTCCCTCCAAGATCTAATAATTAGCTATGTCACCTGCAAGTCATTTGATTATACGGGTTGAGTATCCCTTATCCAAAATGCTTGGAACTAGAAGTATTTCAGATTTTACATTTTTTCAGATTTTGGAATATTTACATATATATATATAATGAGATATCCTGGGAATGGAACCCAACTCTAAACAAAAAATTCACTTATATTTCATATACACCTTAAACACACAGCCTGGAGGTAATTTTATACAGTATTTTCATTAATTTTGTACGCAAAACAAAGTTTGTGTACATGAGATCAGGTGTGGAATTTTCCACTTACAGTATCATGTCAGCACTCAAAAAGTTTTAGATTTTGGAGCGTTTAGATTTCATATTTTCATAGCTCAACCTATATATATGTATTTTTCATCTCTCAAATGGTTGTATCACTGTTCACCTTAGTTCATGAAAGACACTGTTAAAGACAGAATGATATAATAGACTGTTGTGGGTTTGATATAAGCTGGTTAGGAAAACATCTCTAAAAAGTGAGTGGTTATTTTACTTTCTAATTTTCTTTTAGTTAGAAGGTTGTTTCTGTCTCTTTAGATCATGTGACCACGATTCTTTTTCTATATATTTAGAGATGGAAGTGGAAACATGCTTATTGTTTTATATATACATCATTGTATATATATATATACACACATATATATATAGTATATATACATCATTGGTCTGGCATAAGTCATGCAGGAAAACATGGAGAGAGTTTTTATTCCAGCTTCAAATAAGGAATCACTTAGTAAAGTTCATTCTTTCTAGTACCTACATTCTCCAAGTAATCTGCTCTTTTCAGTGCCTGAAGTAAATCTTGGTTAACAGCTGAGGAGTAGTATTACTGCAAGTGTTCGTCACTTGTTGCTGTATACATCTGTCAGTCTTATCAAGGAAATGTGGAATGGTGAATCTGCTTTACAATGAGTATGCCTAGAACTCAGAATCTTATTTTATTTAAAACATTGATCTCGTTTTATTTTATTGAGACAGAGTCTTGCTCTGTCACCCAGGCTGGAGTGCAGTGGCAGCGATCTCGACTCACTGCAACCTCCGCCTCCTGGGTTCAAGTGATTCTCCTGCTTCAGCCTCCTAAGTAGCTGGGATTACAGGCGTGGGCCACCATGCCCAGCTAATTTTTGTATTTTTAGTAGAGACAGGGTTTCACCATGTTGGTCAGGCTGGTCTCAAACTCCTGACCTCAAATGATCTGCCCTCCTCGGCTTCCCAAAGTGCCAGGATTACAGGCATGAACCACCAGGCCTAGCTACTTTTTTGTTTGTTTATTTTGAGATGGAGTCTGGTTCTGTTGCCCAGGCTGGAGTACAGTGGTGTGATCTTGGCTCACTGTGACCTCCACCTCCTGGGTTCAAGCAATTTTCCTGCCTCAGCCTCCCAAGTAGCTGGGATTACAGACACCCGCCACCACACCTGGCTAGTTTTTGTATTTTTAGTAGAGATGGGGTTTCACTGTTTTGGCCAGGCTGGTCTCGAACTCCTGACCTCAGGTGATCTACCTGCCTCAGCCTCCCAAAGTGCTAGGATTACAGGCGTGAGCCACTGCACCTGGCCCGACGTCCAGCTATTTGAAAAAGCATTTTATAGGGTAGATGAATTCTTTATTATCCTTTAATGAAATCTCTGAAGTCATAGTATAAGAAATATATAGCATAAAAGTAAGCACTTTGAATATGGATAATTTTAAGAATTGTAACAATACATATAAAGTATGGAATGTGTTTATCACATTATGATTTTAAAATTAACAAGAACTAGAAATAGTTTATGTAAAGTTCCCGATATTTCCATGTTTCCTATAAACTATATTCCTATATACTTGAGAAGGAACTATAAATCTGTGTAAAGCTGAAACTTAAAATGGCCTCAGGACTTTTGAGGCTTATACATGTATTATATATGAGTTACAGCTGCAACATATAAATGCATCTACCCCTCATGGCTGAAACATTCTGAAACTTATCATGGCTTTAAGTTATAAACAGTTTGTCTGTTAGTGAGGCTCTTCTTTATCCAAATACTTACTCTTTGTTGTTACAGATGCATCACTAGCATCTACTTACTTGCTGAATTTGCTTTCTGAGGATGATGAGATAACTGAAATATATGACAATTTTAGCAATTAGATTATATTCCCTTCTAATAGTGATAAAATGCTTGGAAGTGATTAAGTGGCTTTTTTATCATAAAAATATAATTATTTTGATGTTTTTACTACTGTATTTTTTCAGTTTTAAAAAGCTTTTTATTAATGTAAACTACAAAATACAGGTAAAAGCAGAGACTAATACAGTGAAACCCTCATGTACCCATAAGAGCATCAACCCTATCAATATTTTATTATATTTCTTATCTATTATTCCACTTTTTTTTTCTTTTAAGTGTAACTGATCCCATAAGAAGTTGATCGCGTCTTGGTATGCTTTGGTTATTGTGCAGGAAAAGAGCTCCAACTGTCCCTATTAGGCAGTTAATTCTTGGTTCAGATGGTAGAGGCCAGGAGATCCACTAGGATAACACAAACATTAACCCTGCTGAAAAGTTATGTATTGGAAAGACAAAGGAATAAAATAGAAAAAAATATATTTAAATATTAAGACTTGGATTTGATGCCACAGATGTCCTGTAGGCTATAAGAAGTTTCTTTTCAGAGGGAATAAGTAATCAAAGTGCAGTTATAAGCTTCAGAATATGGAGAAATAAAAACCTGCTTAGTCTTCAATGGATCAGTATAATGCCTCAAGGAAAAGTCTGGCATTTAGAAACCTTTCTGTTCTTAATCTACCTTGAAGACTATATCCTCCTTTGTCCCTTAACTTTCCTTGTTACTTTTCTCCCAATCTATTGTTCCTTCGATCTCTGTTGCTTATGTTTCTATGGTGACCTCAAAGTTCTTGTCTGACTTCCTTGTGTTTGCTACTACTATTGTACCATACCCTGATTAATTTACAGACAAGCGGCCAAGCACGGTAGCTCACACCTGTAATCCCAGCACTTTGGGAGGCCGAGGTGGGCAGATCACCTGAGGTCAGGAGTTCGAGACCAACCTGGCCAACATGGTGAAACCCGTTTCTACTAAAAATACAAAAATTACTTGGCCATGGTGGCAGGTGCCAGTAATCCCAGCTACTCAGAAGGCTGAGGCAGGAGAATCACTTGAACCCAGGAGGTGGAGGTTGCAGTGAGCCAAGATCACGCCACTGCACTTCAGCCTGGGAGACAGAGCAATACTCTAGCAAAAAAAAAACTATTTTAATTTTCTCTAAGCTCTTCCATGTATTTTGAGGAAATTAATAAATCCATACAACAAGCACTTAAGAAAGGGCTTATTTTTGTTTCTAAATAAGATACTTCTACAGGCTGGGCATTTTTCCACTCTAAACATGGCTTAGAGTACATATGATGTTAATCATTCCTTTTGGCATTTTGGTTGAGCATTGTTCTTCTTATCCTTGTTTTATGAGAAGGAGCTAGAGGAGTAGGGTTGGATCTCAGGTATCATCCAGATAGCATGAAAATATCACTGTCTGCAGCAACTTTGAAAACCTTGTTTTAGTACTTCTCAGCTTCCAGCTTTTATACATTAGAGCAGGTCTAGCTTTTTACTGGTTCCTCACCCACAGCTTACTCTATCACAGATATCTCTTACTGGCTTATTTGCTTTCTTCAACCCAGTGAGAGGACAGAGCATTTAACCATTGTGGGCTTAATAACTTTGGAGGACAAATTTAATGAAATCTTTCTCATCTCTAGGGCATGTTGGCCATTACTGCTTAAACTTCTGTTTTATGATACACTTAAAACCAAAACATACTCATTATCTATTGCCAGTATTGTTAGTAATATTAATAATAATGATAGATAACTTTTATTCTCTTACTGTATGTCAGACACTGTTCTAACCTTATTTTGTGCCATAACTTAATCATTACTAGCTCCCTTAATAAAATATATACTACTGTTAGCACAATTTGCAGATAAGAGACTGTAGGACAGAGAGGTTAAGCAGCTTGGGCAAAGTCAAACTAATTAGAAAGTGCTAGAGCCCAGATTCAAATGTAGGCAGATTGGCTTTAGAAACTGTGCTCCTAACCGTTTACTTCATACTGCTTCTAATAGACATTTTTAGCGTGCCTTTTGTCTTTTGAATGAAAATTATAATAGTACACAGGCTAATAATTTGCTTCACCTTTATTTCTACCAATTCTAGATACTTCATTGGAATTTTATGTAATCTAAATGTAGCAAGAGCAAATATGCATATTAAAATTACTTGATATAGGTAATAGAACAGATTTTATTGGAAAGGTTTTTAGCAGAGAATAAACCAGTTTACTTTGAAAGCTTTTTAGCTCCTCGTGCCTGTGTTAATTTTCTCATCACTTCGTGAGATACACTGATCTTCCTGATAACAGCTTTGGATTAGGAAATTCCTTCCACATTGGCTTTTACTTTTTCTTGACTGCATTTGTTTTATAAATCAACATAGTTCTCCATCTAAAATTCATCTAATTTTTTTAAGTTCAACAAACACTATGTGCAAAACATTTTACTAGCGTCTGAGGAGGGGGAAGGCATACTGTCACCATCAAGGGACTTACTGTCTAGACCTAGCAAATGCCACCTTCCCTTCTCCTCTCTAAAGCCTGTCTAACTACCCCCATCCCAATTGAAATGAATAATTTCTTCTTTGACACTCTTCTGAGTTTGTTCAAGCACTTTGTATAATACCTGTACTTTGATAGTTGTATTTCTGTATCTCTGGCAAAATTATTGAGAACTTCTTAGGTTCTCTAGTCCCCATCTTGTAGAGATGATGTGTCTGATAATGCATCTAAACACATATTCATACAACACAATTTATAAGTACTATAATTAAGGCATAAAAATAAAAATACTGTTGAAACACAAAAGAGAAAATTGTTATTGTGAGATTTAGAAAATC
The DNA here is from genome assembly GCF_000001405.40 of Homo sapiens. NCBI lineage: Eukaryota > Metazoa > Chordata > Mammalia > Primates > Hominidae > Homo > Homo sapiens. The sequence goes on along the minus strand of NC_000006.12, from coordinate 127,318,329 downwards.
TTGATGGAAAAATATTATATGATCTGGGCATTCCTTGAAATAGGTAGAGAGAAGGACAGCCTATTACAACTAGTAGGAATGATAAAAGCAAAGACACAGGAGCCACAATAAGTGTAAGGTGTTAGAGGGATGGCAAATAGTTTGTGTGGTGAAATTAGGATGCTTGGAGGAGGGGTATGGTAATCAATAAAGTTGATAAGATAGTTTGGGATCAAGTGGCCTTGCCAAGAAATTTAGGTTTTATTCTATAAGACATCATCATCCTACAGGAAGGTTTATCAGGTAGCAGGATGGAAGATTATATTTAAGAGGAAAAAGAAATTAAATACAGAAATCAGTTAGGAAGCAAAGCTGTTGTCTCCAGCCATACCACCCTGAATGCACCCAATCTTGCCGATCTCAGAAGTTAATCAGTGTTGGGTCTGATTAGTCCTTGGGTGGGAGAAAGCAAAGCCATCTTACTGTACTAATCAAGGCTTGAGTAACACAGGTATGAACTAATGCAGCAGCAGCAAAAATATAAAAGAAGGGATTGATATTTGAAATATTTCTAAGGTAGATCCGAGGGGAAGTACTTGGTAACTAACTGAGTGTGGGAGAATTGTGAAACGGGAAAGTCAAACATAGTACCAAAAATCTGAGCCTTATTGACCGCTAGCTCAGAACTCTTACACTAACTTTTTCCACTAACACAGAACACTTATGCAATCTTTTATAGAGTTTCTAGGTATATTTTCATCTTTCTAAACATCCTTTAAGTCAAATAGTGCAATTTTTTTTAATTTCTCATTTCTTATGAATGAGGAAACTGAATTACGTAGTCATGACTTGCTCAATTTCATGTTGTTATTAAGTGGCAGCACTAGGATTCAAAGTCAGTTCTTTTACTTTCAGTTGGTTTTGCCGTGCTGAGTTTGAGGTGCTATCAGAATGTGAAAATGTCTAGTAGATTTTAGCACTTTATATGGAAGTAGATGAGACTTCCAAAAAAAAGAAATTATAAATAAAGAACAGAGAAAATCATGGATTAGAATTTTGAAACTGCATGGATTTAGGGGATTAGCTGGATAAGAAGAGCCAAGGAAGAAGACTGGAAAAGAACAAACAAAGAAATAAGAGAACCAGGTGTGTAAATGTTGCTAGAAAGTGAGAGCAAATATGAGAATGAAGAAACTGATTAAAGAAAGATACTACGTGTTATGGAGAGAGAAAAGGTGAATAAGGAAAAGTCATTTAATTTGACAAGTAGGAGATTATTAAAAGCTTTTGAGGAGAGATTTTGGGATAAGGCAGAGGGCCAGATTACACTGGATTGAAGAAAGTATGTGAGCTAAAAAAAAGACAAGGCAATGAGTTTGGACTACTCTTAGGAAATTTGTTTGTGAAAATTATAAGTTGTGGCAATACCAAGATAAAGCCTTAGAAATATTTTTTTAAAAATCAAAGCTTAACATAACTTTTCCCTTCTTTCCCTTCTTCTCTTATATGTTTATCATCTTAAGGATAACAGATGGGTATATCTTATGCCTTTCCCCTGTCATTACCCTGAGTAGAACTCCATAGTGATCTAGGGTATGTGATCTGTCTCTTATCCCTACATCTTTGCTAATACCTCATGCAAAGCTGAGCTCAAGGAGCCCTAGGATATCAACAGTCAAATACAGCATTATTTGCATTTCAGACAACATCAAAGAGTTTTAAATGGAAATGTCATTGTTTAAAAAAGACATATTTTTGGCTTCATTACTTTCTAAAACCTTAATTTAAAAAATTTAATGTAATATATTTGCATTATACCTTTGTGTTTCTGCTTATTTTTATTTAAAGGATGGAATGGCCGTATGCATGTTCATGCAAAACACCTTAACAAGATTTATGAGGTAATGCAGCCTTCTTTTTAAAATATGATTTCTAAAAGACCAAAAATAGCTTTTTGCTATTCCATTATTTGTACTAGTTAAGAAATAATAGCTAATTTTCAAATTACATCTATTCTAATGATGTACTATTTTTTTGTGCCGTAGAGGATAATCATTTAATTACATGTTAATGAAGTATATACATATGTATTTTAAAAATAAGAGAAATGAAAGATAAGAAAAATTTAAGACATATCCCCTAAAGAGCTTATATAACTAGCTGTATTTAGGAATAGATACTGGGAAAGTTAAATACTGGTATTAGAGCAGAATAATAAAGACACTGATCAAGACATGACACATAAAGTTTACCTAATATTCCAAATTAGTAGAATGTGTGGTGAAGTGGTCTGTATCCAGAGGAGATGAGAAAAAGAACTATGGATTGGAAAGTTTTTACAGCTTTCTGAGGAATATGAATTGACTTTGCACCTAGGTAAAGAAGCAAAGAGGAAAAATTCTTCTTGGCCTATCAAGGTATGTTTGAGGTTACAAACTGACATGTTTTGGTTGATTAGCTTTCTACTTTCACATTCCGAATGTAGACAAATTTAAAATTATGAAAAGTAAGGAAATTCTTATTTAAGCAAGGTTATTAATTGGACATTACTGTATTTTTGGTACCTATTGTATCTGAGAGTCTAGAGAGAGTAATAGAATCATAACATTACTATTCTAAAATAGTATCTTCATTGTTTAAACCCTATTCACCTCCTTTTCCTATTGCATTTGACTTTTTCATAGATAAATCTGAAGTTATTATTTTTTTAAATAATCCTTTCTACATGGGAGCAGTGTATATTAGGAAATTTTCAATTACTTTAGACCTGCACCTTTGCATTGTAGGTCAGAACCTACAAAAATTCCATCTTGGAAAACATTTTAGATTTACCTTGTATTCACACACCCCTGCAAAGTGGGTCTTTGCAAACAGGAAAGGTAAAAGATTTATTTTTACTGCAAAATCATGCCTTTATATAGGATTAGTCTGTGGATTATTTCAGGCAACAATGAGTAGATTTTTGAAGGAAACTTCATAACACAGTTTTGGAGCCCTATCTTCTGTAACACATTTCCAACCTTTGGAAATAGCCTTGATTTTCCAACTTTTAACCTGATACCAACAAAAATGGACAAAGATAATATCACATGGAATTATTCTGAAGAGCCAGCTGCTGAGAAGTTCCAGGAGCTGTAAATTAGACAAAAGCATCCATTTATTTGGGAGTAAGTTACAATATGGCTATAGCTTAAAAATATATAATGATTCAGGGAGGTATTTTAATGAACTTATGTGGCATTTATTGTGAACTATTGTATGTTTAGTATTACACTGTTTTTCTTCTCATGATGTAAAGGTTCAAGCTTCTGCTATCCTTTGATGTGTGTTTGTTTTTATGAAGACAGTGCAATAATTTTGTTTCCACTGCATTTTAAGATTTTTTAAAAAATAACATTTGTAAATGAATATTGAAATTAAAAATAGTAACATCAGTTTTTTCTTCAATATACAGACTTCCTTTAATAAGTGTTGCGCTGGTTCAAGGTTGGGCATTGGGTGGAGGAGCAGAATTTACTACAGCATGTGATTTCAGGTAGGATGAAAATTTCATTAATTTCTTGCACAAATATAATTAACTTGCTCAAATTCATTTTTGCCTTAATATCAATATTTTATATATTCTTAAATAGGATAAACCTATTTTCTTTTCTGAATGTTTTCTTTTTGTCAGTCATTAAAGTAGATAATTTTAATCTAATAAAATTTCATGATCACTTCATTACTATGCATTTTCAAAAAATTAACAAAACACATGGTTTTGAGATTTTGAATAGAGCAAATCCATATTAGCAAAACTCCTGGAAGGAAAGCTAAGGAAATATATGAAACTTAAAAATCCAAAAGAATTATACAAACAAAGGTAAGCAACATTAAAAAAGAAAAATAGAATGCAGAAAGAGAGACTGCTGTAGCTGTCTTCTCACCAATAAAAAGAGATTTTCTGAGATCCCTTTGTCTTCTTTTTGCTGTGATTTATAGCAACTTTGTGGGACTTTCAGGAAGATTAGGGACTAAAAATAGAGAAAGTTCTTTGGGACCAATAGCTCTTCACTCCCAATAATTATTCTCAGTATTTGATAGCTATATTATATAGAAATGACATTTTATAAAATCTAATGCTTTAGACATGGTTTAAACTGCTTTCTCAGTACCATTCCCAAGGCCTACTAACACAGCTAGCTATAAGGAGACCAATACAATGCTCTGTGAGTTATCTGTACAGGTTCACATACTGGAGCCTCTTTATAATGCAAAAGGTAGTAAATATAGCACAATCAGAGGTAAAATGGCAAAACAGTAAAGAGCCTGAGCACTGACGTCTAGTAGACCTAGGCTGAATCCCAGTTTGACACTTTTATCTACTTGACTTTGAGCAAGTATTTTACCTCTCTTCATCTCAGTTTCTTTATCTATAAAATGGAAGTATCTCCCTTAAATATTTATAAATAGATTTAAATAAGATAGTGAAAATATAGGTTTTAGCATAATGTTTAACCTAAAGTTTACATCAATATTCACATAATATTGTGGCTTAGAGTTTTAAGATTATCTTATACAACTGTCTCTTACCAGTGCCAATATGATAACATTGTGGCATACTTTGAAACTCATTGTCTTTTCATTTGGGATGTTTTTCAGTCTCTGGGCTAACCCTGGCCTTGCCATTTTTTTAAAAATTCATTATACACTTGACCCTAGCTAAGAAAAATACTGGATATACATTAAGAGAAGACTTCTAGTAAACTTTTTGTCTCAGTTTCAGACACTGAAGAGAAAGTGATTCTGCGCTGGCATGTAGTGCTCTACATATTTCAAAACATCATGTTGTACATTTAAAAACTTTTAAGCCTGGCGTGGTGGCTCATGCCTGTTATCCCAGCATTTTGGGGGGCTGAAATAGGCAGATCACCTGAGGTCAGGAGTTTGAGACCAGCCTGGCCAACATGGTGAAACCCTATCTCTACTCAAAATACAAAAATTAGCCAGGTGTGGTGGCACATGCCTGTAGTCCTACAACTTGGGAGTCTGAGGTGGAAGGATTGCTTGAACCTGGGAGGTGGAGGTTACAGTGAGCCAAGATCACACCATTGCACTCCAGCCTGGGCAACAGAGTGAGACTCTGTCTCAAATAAATAAATAAATAAATAAATTTGTTGAGCTACAAATTATATACAATAAAATGAATCCATTTTAATTGTATGCTGTAAATGGATTTTGATGAATATATACACCCATGTAACCACCTCCACAATCAAGATTGAGAACATTTTTATCACCCCTATCTATATGTTTTCATATGCCTCTTCCCAGTCAGTTCATATCTCTATTTCAAGGTAAACACTGATCACTTTCTCACTTTAAAGTAGATTTTTAAAAAAGAATTTTACATAAATACATTTTTACATAAATATATAGAGTATGTACTTTTTAATGTCTGCCTTCTTTAATTCAGTGTAATTATTTTGAGAGTCATCCATGTTGTACCATGTGTCAATACTTTGTTCCTTTTTAATGTTGAAAAGTATTTTATTGCATGGATATTCAAGTTTGTTTCTGAGATTTATCTGTGTTTTTGCATTTTCCAGTGGTTTGTTCATCTTATTGCTTAGTAGTATTGCTTTCTATGCCTATATAGCACAGTAAGTGTTATACATTAATGGGCACATGAGCTATTTCTTGTTTTGGCCTATTATAAATAAAGCTGTTGTGAACATTCATGTATAAGTATTTGTGTGGGCATATGTTGTCATATCTTTTGGGTGAAAATCTAAGAGTGGAATTGCTGGGGTGATATGGTAAGTGTATGTTTAACTTAAGCAGCAAATATATTGGTTTCTTAAATTTTCTAGGTGGGTTGTATAATTTTTATTCTCATGAGCAATGGAAGAAAGTTCCAGCTGCACCACATGAATACCAACATGTGGTACTGTCAAGCTGTTTAGATTTAGCCATTTGACGGGTGGGAACCATTGTGAGAGCTCATTGTGATTTCAGATTTGAATTTCCACAGTGACTGGTGTTGAGGACCTTGTGTTTATTGGCCATATCTTCTTTTTCTTTGTTGTTTCAAATCCTTTGACTCTTTAAAGAAATTGATTTGTCTTATTATTATTAAACTGTAGGAGTTTTTTATATATTCTGTATAAAATTCCTTGGGATAGCAATAATTATAGTAGCAGAGGTGAAGTATGCTCGTGTGTCTATGTCTATCTCTACTTTAATACTAAATACTATTATTCACAGCCTTAGGAGAAAGAATACTTTCTCCCAGCCTGTGAGTTTTTTTTTTATCAGTAGTATCTTTGGAAGAGCAGAAATTTGAATTTTTAAAATGTTTTCAACTTCTCATTTGCACTAACTATACACTTATGAAAAACTTGACGAAATCATACATATAACTCCCATATACCTTTCAATCAGTTTCCCCAAATGTTAGTATCCTATAGAGCCACAGTGCAATTATACAACTGGGAAATTAACATTGATACAATACTTGTAATTAATCTACAGACCTCATTCAGTTTTTTTCATTTATCATACTAATGTTTTTTTTTTTTTCTGGTCCAGGATTCAGTCAAGATCTGTTTTTTTTCTGATATAAATATAGCCATCCCAGTTTTCTTTCTTTCTTTCTTTCTTTTTTCTTTTCTTTTTTTTTTTTTTTTTTTTTTTTTTTTTGAGACAGAGCCTCTGTCACCCAGGCTGGAGTGCAATGGCACGATCTCAGCTCACTGCAACCTCCACCTCCCAGGTTCAAGCAATTCTCCTGCCTCAGCCTCCTAGTAGCTGCGATTACAGGCGCCTGCCACCACGCCTGGTTAATTTTTGTACTTTTAGTAGAGATGGGGTTTCACCATGTTGGCCAGGTTGGTCTCGAACTCCTGACCTCGTGATCCAGGGCCTGCCTCTGCCTCCCAAAGTGCTGGGATTACAGGCGTGAGCCACCACGCCTGGCCCCCAGTTTTCTTATGGTTAACATTTCTGTGGTGTATCTTTTTCTGTCCTTTCATTTTTAACTTGGCTGCCTTGTTCAAAGTAGATTCTAGTAGACAACATATACTACGGTTTTGCTTTTTTATTCAGAATGACAATTTCTGCCTTTTAATTGGAGTGTTTGTTCCATATACATAGTCAGTGTTGCATGGATATAATTGGGTTTAAATCTGCCATCTTGGTACAGGCATAATTCATAGATATCACAGGTTTGGTTTCCTCCAGACCACCCCTCTAAAGTTAATATCACAATAAAGTGAGTCACACGAACTGTTTGGTTTCCCAGTGCGTATATAAGTTATGTGTACACTGTACTATAGTCTGTTAAGTATGTAATAGCATTATGTTTGAAAAAACAATGCATCTATCTTAATTAAAAGGTAATTTATTGCTGAGAAATGCTACCAATCATCTGAGCCTTCACCGAGATGTAATCTGGTGGGGAATCTTGCCTCAATTTTGATGGCAGCTAACTGATCAGAGTGGTGCTTCCTGATGATTGAGGTGGATGTGACAACTTCTTAAACTAAGACAACAAAAGTTTGTTAACCGATTGACTGTTTCACAAAAGATTTCTGTGTAGCATGCAGTGCTGTTTGATAGCATTTTACCCATAGTAGAACTTCTTTCTGCCGTTGATTTATCAAATATAAATTTATGTAATATTCTAAATCCTTTGTTGTCATTTCAACAGTGTTCACAGCATCTTCACCAAAATTAAATTCCATCTTAAGAAACCACATATTTTGTTCATCCATAAGAAGCCATTCCTCATCTAGTCAGGTTTTATCATGAGATTGTAGCAATTTGGTTACATCTTCAGGTTCTACTTCTAATTCCAATTGTCTTGCTACTTCCATCACATCTGCAGTTACTTCCTCCATTGAAGTCTTGAACTCCTTAAATCTTCCTGAGGGTTGAAAGCCAACCATGAGGATTGAAAACAACTTTTTTTTTTTAATTTTTAACTTTCATGAGTACATAGTAGATGTATATATTTATGGGGTACATGAGATGTTTTGCTACAGGCATGCAATATGTAATAATCACATTATGGAAAATGGGGTTTCCATCCCCTCAAGCATTTACCCTTTGTGTTACAAAAAATCCAATTATACTCTTTTAGTTGTTTTTAAATGTATAATTAGGTTATTATTATATTATTAACTATAGTCACCCTGTTCTGTACAATAGACCTTATTCATTCTTTCTATTTTTTTGTACCCATTAACTATCCCCATCCCCCTGCCAACTCCACACTACCTTTCCCAGACTCTGGTAATTATCTTTTTACTCTCTATCTCCATGAATTCAGTTGTTGATATGGTTTGGCTCTGTGTCACCACCCAAATCTCATGTTGAATTGTAATCCTCAATTTTGGAGGAAGGGTCTGGTGGGAGGTGATTGAATCATGGGGGCAGACTTCCCCCTTGCTCTTCTCATGATAAGTGCGTAAGTTCTCACAAGAACTGGTGGTTTAAAAGTGTGTAGCACTTCTCCTTTCGCTCTTTCTCTCCTGCTCTGTCATGTGAAGATATGCCTGCTTCCGCTTCGCCTTCTGCCATGATTGTAAATTTCTGGAGGCCTCCCCAGCCATGCTTCCCATACAATCTGTGGAACTATGAGTCAATTAAACCTCTTTTCTTCATAAATTACCCAGTATCAAGTAGTTCTTAATAGCAGTGTGAGAAAGGGCTTGTGGAATATTGCTCAAGAAATTTTTGCCAAGTACAGTGACCCTAAGATTTTCGCCAGTGTTTTCTGGTAGTGGTTCCAGAGTTTGAGGTCTTAAATTTGTCTTTAATCTATTTTTTCCTGTGTGTGTGTGTGTGTGTGTGTGTGTGTGTGTGTGTGTGTGTGTGTGTGTGTGTGTTTTGTTGTTTGTTTTCTGGGTTTTTTCTTTTTCTTTATTTTGATTTGATTTTTGTCTGTGGTGATAGATAGGGGTCTAATTTCATTCTTCTGCATATAAATATCCAGTTTTCCCAGCATCATTTATTGAAGAGACTGTGTTTTCTCCAGTGTATGTTCTTGGTACCTTTGTTGAAAATGAGTTGCCTGTATATGTGTAGATTTGTTTCTGGGTTCTCTATTCTGTTTCACTGGTTGTCTGTTTTTATGCTATTTTGGTTTTTGTAGCTCTGTGGTATAATTTGAAGTCAGGTAATGTGATTCCTCCAGGGCTGTTCTTTGTGCTGAGCATAGTTTTGGCTATTCTGTGTTTTTTGTGGTTCCATATAAATTTTAGGATCTTTTTTTCGATTTATGTGAAGAATGTCATTGGTATTTTGATGGGAATTACACTGAATATCTAGATTGCTTTGGGTAGAATGGACATTTTAACAATGTTGATTCTTCCAATCCACGAACATGGGATATCTTTTCATTTTTAATGTCCACTTCAATTTCTTTCATTGGTGTTTTATAGTTTTCATTATAGACATGTTTCACTTCCTTGGTTAATTCCTAGGTATTTAATTTTATGTGTGGCTATTGTAAATGGGATTACTGTTTTGATTTCTTTTTCAAATTGTTCACTGTTTACATATAGAAAAGCTACTGATTTTTGTATGTTGATTTTTTATTTTGCAACTTTAGGCTTTTTCCAGACATAGATTGTATAATCTACAAACAAGGATAATTTGATTTCTTCCTTTCCAATTTGGATGTCCTTTATATCTTTTTCTTGTCTGATTACTCTAGCTAGGACTTCCAGTACTATGTTGAATAACAGTTGTGAACGTAGGCATCCTTGTTGTGTTGTAGATCTTAGAGAGAAGGCTTTTACCTTTTCCCCATTCAGTATGATACTAACTGAAGGTCTGTCATATATGTATATGGCCTTTATTATGTTGATGTATGTTCCTTCTATACCTAGTTTCTTGGTAGTTTTTTATCATGAAGGGATATTGAATTTTATCAAATGCTTTTTCAGCATGAGTCCAAATTATTATATAGCTTTTGTCCTTCATTCTGTTGGTATGATGTTTCACATTGACTGATTTGTGTATGTTGAACCATCCTTGCATCCCAGAGATAAATTTCACTTGGTCATGTTGAATGATCTTTTTAATATATTGTTGAATTCAGTTTGCTAGTATTTTGTTGATGATTTTTGCACCAATATTCATTGGAGATATTGGCCTATAGTTTTCTTTTTTTGATGTGTCTTTATCTGGTTTGGTATCAGGGTAATACTTGCCTCACAGAATGAGTTCGGAAGTATCCCCTCCTCTATTTTTCAGAATATCGGAATAGTTTGAGTAGGATTGCCATTAGTTCTTCTTTAAATGTTTGGCAGAATTTAGCAATGAAGCCATTGCATCCTGGGCTTTTCTTTACTGGGAGACTTTTTATTACATCTTCAATCTCCTTACTAGTTATTGGTCTGTTCAGGTTTTGAATTTCTTCCTACTCAATCTTGGTAGGTTTTATGTGTCTAGGAATTTGTCCATTTCTTCTAGATTTCCCAATTTATTGACATGTAGTTGCTCATTGTAGCCACTAATAATCCTTGAATTTCTGCAGTATCAGTTATAATGTCTCCTTTTTCATGTCTGGTTTTATTTATTTGGAATTTCTCTTTTTTTTTTTCTTTGTTAGTCTGGCTAGAGATTTTTCAATTTTGTTTAACTTTTCAAAAAAAACAACTTTTTGTTTCATTGCTCTTTTGTATTATTTTCTTTCTGTCTTTTTTTTTTTTTTCTGAGACAGAGTATCACTCTGTCACCCAGGCTGGAGTGCAGTAGGCTGGAGTGCAGTGGTGTAATCTCAGCTCACTGCAACCTCCTCCACCTCCTAGGTTCAAGTGATTCTCCTGCCTCAGCCTCCTGAGTAGCTGGGATTACAGGTGCATGCCACCATGCCCAGCTAATTTTTGTATTTTTAGTAGAGATGGGCTTTCACCATGTTGGTCAGGCTGGTCTCAAACTCCTGACCTCGTGATCTGCCCGCCTTGGTCTCCCAAAGTGTTGGGATTACAGGCGTGAGCCACCATGCCCAGTCAATATTTTTTTAATTTAGATTTCATTTATTTCTGCTCTGATCTTTAGTATTTCTTCTACTAATTTTGAGTTTGGCTTGCTCTTGCTTTTCTAGTTCTTTAAGATGCATTATTAGGTTATTTGAAATTTTTCTTGTTTTTTGATGTAGGCACTTATAGCTATAAACTCCCTGTTAGTACTGCTTTTGCTGTATCCCATAGGTTTTGGTATGTTGTACTTCATTATCATTTGTTCTAAGAGAATTTTCAGTTTCCTTCTTAATTTTTTAATTGACCCATTGGCCATTCAGGAGCATATTGTCTAATTTCCATGTATTTGTGTAGTTTCCAAAATTCCTCTTGTTATTGATTTGTAGTTTCCATTGTGATCACAGAAGATGTTTATTATTTTAATTTTTTGAATATTTTAAGATTTGTCTTTTGACCAAACATATGGTCTACTTTTAAGAATGATCCATGTGCTGAGGAAAAGAATGTGTATTCTCCAGCTCTTGGAGGAAATATTGCATGAATATCTATTAGGTACATTTGTTTCTATAGTGCAGATTAAGTCTGATGTTTCTTTGTTGATTTTTTGTCTCTAAGATCTGTCCAGTGCTGTATTAGTCCATTCTTGCATTGCTATAAAGAACTACCTGAGACTGGGTAATTTATAAAGAAGAGAGGTTTAATTGGCTCATAGTCCCACAGGCTGTACAGGAAGCATGGCTGGGGAATCCTCAGGAAATGTACACTCATGGCAGAAGATGAAGGGGAAGCAGGCACGTCCTACATGGCTGGAGCAGGAGAAAGAGAGAAAAGGGGAAGGGTACTACACACTTTTAAACAAAATCTCATGAGAACTCATTCACTATCACAAGAACACCAAGGGGGAAGGCTGCCCCCATGATCCAATCACCTCCTCCTACAACATTAGGGATTACAATTCTACATGAGATTTGGGTGAGGACCCAAATCCAAACCGTATCAAATGCTGAACGTGGGGTGTTGAAGTCTCTAGCTATTATTGTATTGGGGCCTATCTCTCACTTTAGCTCTAATAATGTTTCCTGTATATATCTGGGTGCTCCAGTGATGGGTGGCATAAAAATTGTCATATCCTCTTGCTTAATTGACCCATTTATCATTATATAGTGACTTTCTTCATCTCTTCTTAACAATTTTTGTCTTGAAATCTATTTTGTCTGAAATAAATATAGATACTCATGTTTTCTTTTTGTTTTCATTGTCATGGAATATCTTTTTCCATTTCTTTATTTTCAGTCTTCGTGTGTCTTTATAGGTGAAATGTGTTTCTGGTACACAACAGATCATTTGGTCTTTTTTTTTTTTTTTTAATCTATCAACCAGTCTGTGTCTTTTGATTGGAGAGTTTAGTCCATGTACATTCAATATTATTATTGGTAGGTAAGGACTTACTCCTGCCATTTTATTTGTTTTTTGGGTTGTTTTGTGGTCTTCTCTTTCTTTTCTTCTTCCTTTTTGTGATGATGATGTTCTCAGTGATTTGATTTAGCTTCTTGCTTTTAATTGTTTTGTGTATCTTTTATGTTTTTTGGCTTGCAAATACTGCATCTTATTAGGCTTGCAAATACTATCTTATCACCCATTATTTTAAGCTGATAACAACTGAACATTGTTTGGATAAACAAGCAAACATGCAAAAAGAAAATAATAAAAACTTTATGCCTTAACTTTATCCTCTGGCTTTTTAATTTTTTGTTGTATACTGTCTATGTCATGAAAAGTTGTAGTTATTATTTTTGATTGGTTCATCATTTGGTCTTTCTACTTAAGATAAGACACAGTTACAGTGTTTTAATATTCTGTGTTTTTCTGTATGCTTACTATTATCAGTGAGTTTTTTACCTTCAGATGATTTCTTATGGCTCATTGACATCGTTTTCTTTCTGATTAGAGTGCTCCCTTTAATATTTCTTGTAGGACAGGTCTGGTGTTGATGAAATCCCTCAGCTTTTGTTTGTCTGGAAGTCTTTATTTCTCTTTCATGTTTGAAGGTATTTTTGCAGAATATACTATTCTAGCATGAAAGGATTTTTCCCTCAGCACTTGCAGTATGTCGTACCATTCTCTCCTGGCCTGTAAGGTTTTCACTGAAAAGTCTTCTCCCAGACATATTGGAGCTTAATTGTGTGTTGTTTCTTTTCTCTTGCTGCTTTTAGGATCCTTTCTTTATTACAGACCATGTTTTTATCCTTGACCTTTGGAAGTTTATTAAATGCTTTGAGGTACTTTTGTTTGGGTTCAATCTGCTTTGCTGCTCTATAACCTTCTTGTACTTGGATATTGATATCTATCTCTAGGTGTTGGAAGCTCTTTGTTATTATTCCTTTGAATAAACTTTCTAACCCTGTCTCTTGCTCTACCTCTTCTTTAAGGCCAATAACTCTTAGATTTGCCCTTTTGAGACTATTTTCTATATCCTGTAGGGATGCTTTTTTATCTTTTTTCTTTTGTCTTCTCTGACTATATTTTCAAATAGCCTGTCTTCAAGCTCACTAATTCTTTCTTCTGCTAGATCATTTCTGCCATAAAAAGTTATGCCATAAAAAGTTCTGATGCATTCTTCAATAGTATGCCAGTTGCATTTTTCAGCTCTAGAATTTCTGCTTGGTTCTTTTTATTTCAATCTTGTTCTTAAATTTATCTGATAGGATTCTGAATTCCTCCTCTGTGTTATCTTGAATTTCTTTGAGTTTTGTCAAAACAGCTACTTTGAATTCTCTGTCTGAAAAGTCACGTATCTCTTTTTCCAGTATTGGTCTGTGGTGCCTTGTTTAGTTCATTTGGTGGGTACATGTTTTCCTAGGCGGCCTTGGTACTTGTAGATGTTCTTTGGTATCTGGGCATTGAAGAATTAGGTATTTATTATAATCTTCACAGTCTGAGCTTGTTCGTAGTGGTCCTTCTTGGAAAGGCTTTCTAGATATTCAGAAGGACGTAGGTGTTGTGATCTAAGCTGTATCTGCTTTAGAGGGCACCCGAAGCCCCGTAATGCTCTGGTTCTTGCAGACTTCTGGAGATACTGCCTTGATGGTCTTGGAGAAGATCCGGAAGAATTCTCTGGATTACCAGGCAGAGACTCTTGTTCTCTTCCCTCACTTTCTCCCAAACAAATGACATCTCTCTCTCTCTCTGCTGAGCCCCGTGGAGCTGAGGGTGAAGTGAACTAAGTAACCCTATGGCCACCGCCACTAGGACTGTGCTGGGTCACATCTGAAGCTAACACAGCACTGGGTCTTGCCCAAGGCCTTCCATAACCACCCCCTGGATACTGCCTATGTTCACTTGAGGGACTAGGACTCTACAATCAGCAAGTGGCAAAGCCATCCAGGCCTGTGTTCTTCCCTGCAGGGTGGTGATTTCCACTAGACTCTGGAAAAGTCCAGAGGTGCTGTCTGGGAGCCTGACACTAGAGTCAAAAACTTTAGAAGTCTAGCTGGTGTTCTGACTTGTCTGAGCTGTAACTCAGACCACAAGACATAGACCTTTCCAGTCTTTTCTCCCCTTTCCAAAGGTGGAGGAGTGTCGCCCCATGGCCACTGTCACCACTGGCTCACAGGGAATACTGCCAAATGATCATTAATATTACAGTAAAAATCTGTTAGCTAGTGTAGCCACCTTCATCAATAACCCTAGCTAGATCTTCAGGATCACTTGCTGCAGCTTCTGTGTTACCCCTTACTGCTTCAGTTTGCACCTTTATATTATGGAGATGACTTCTTTCCTTAAACCTCATAAACCAACCTCTGCTGGCGTCAGATTTTTCTTCTGCAGCTTCCTTACCACTCTCAGCCTTTGTAGTGTTGAAGAGAGTTAGAGCCTTGTTCTGGATTAGCCTTTGGCTTAAGGAAATGCTGTGGCTGGTTTGGTCTTCTATCCAGACCACTAAAACTTTCTTCACATCGGCAATAAGACTGTTTCGCTTCCTTATTATTCATGTGTTCACTGGATTAGCACTTTGAATTTCCTTCAAGAACTTTCCTGTTGTATTCACAACTTGGCTTTTACCCTGAATTTTATGGTAATTACTTTCTTGCTTTCCTTTATAGTTTTATAAGCTAAATATTCTATAATAAATATATTTTTTATTTTTTTGACTTCATATAAATGGCATCATATAGTAGTAGAAATAGAATGAGAAAAGTTTCAGTATGCTAACTTATGAAAAACAGTAAATTTTATATTAATTTTTCTTTTTATAATTTATGACTCAGGTTTCAATTCATCAGTTAAAATATGTCACTTCATGCTCACACAAATAGAGATTTTCTAGTTTTTTTGGTATATAAGACCGTTTACAGAAATCCTAGCCTCTTGAAAACTAGTGTTCAATAATGCACAAAATTCTTATGCACAATAAAAAAAAGTTATTTTATATGACAGTGCCCTCTGCTGTCATCAGTGCAGATTGCATTAGAATGCTGCTATTATTACATTTTATTCTGCGAAGAGGAAGCAGTCATTGGCTTTATGCTTGATATGAGACTAAACAGGAAATGCTGTATGTGTGAAAGTATTAAATGCATTCCTCACTTTACACTGAATACAGGTAGTTATGAAATATATAATTTCAATACATATATAAATATAAAACGTACATCTAAGTATATAATTAAAAGAATTTTAAGGCTGGGCACAGTGGGTCAGGCCTGTAATTCCAGCACTTTGGGAGATCGAGGTGGGTGGATCACCTGAGGTCAGGAGTTCGAGACCAGCCTGGCCAACTTGGTGAAAACCCGTCTCTACTAAAAATACAAAAATTAGCCGGGCATGGTGGCAGGCGCCTGTAATTCCAGCTACTCAGGAGACTGAGGCAGGAGAATCACTTGAACCCGGGAGGCAGAGGTTGCAGTGAGCTGAGATGGCGGCACTGCACTCCAACCTGGGCAACAAGAGCGAGACTCTGTCTCAAAAAGAAAAAAAAAAAGAATCTTAAGCTACATGCAAGTGTGCATTATTACACTGAAAAATCCTCTGTGTAAAAGGAAATGAAAATTAAGACTTTTTAGATGTTATTTGGAACAAGTGAAAACCCTCTAACATAGATTCCGGTGTTCACCTTTATTAGACTTTTGTACTATTCTTCATATTGATTTCTCATCTATGTTTAAGTGTAGTTAGGGTTTAGGACAAAAAAGCACAATAGCAGGAAAAATAATCAGAGATTATTTAATCCTTTAATACTGCTAAATTGCCTAGCTGTCATTCTCTAATTGAAGAAAATGTAATGCATCCTAGAGCTTCATTAAATATTTAATTTTATTTGTTACAAGATGTCTGAGGGTACTGCCTACTCTCAGTATCTGGATATACCAGGTGCTTTTGTTGAGAAGCTTCTGATGAAAACCTATCCATTTTTGAACCAGCTTTTCTGAAAGTGGTGTCTGTTTATTAAACATATTTCAGCACCCACATGTGCTAGGCACAGCCATTCACAAACCTTGTGTCTTGGTTTTTTGTTTCATTTTTCTAGTAATATGTTTTTGTTATATTTTACAAAATTATTGGTCTGCAATCGATTAGAAAGTTTCTTTAAAAATGAAGAAGAAATTGATCCTTGACCAGAGAAATTTGACAAGCACTGTCCTAGGCTACTCAGCCCTTTTAAAACCCGCATACCAAAAGCAACTATAGTTCTTAAATGTTAGAGGCTAATAGAGAGGATTGCATACTGAATGAACTACATTACTAGCCCCAGTTTCCAGGAAGTGATAAATCAGTACAAGTTCCTCTAGCTGATTTTTTCCACTTAATTTTATCAGTACCTCATCAGTTACTTTCTATGACAGATTATTTTAATTATTTCCTAAGAATGTCTGCTTGTTCTAAAAAAACACCGAAAGCTTTCATAGCGTTTGCTAAAAAGATAAGTTCCTTCTTTATATGTGTTGGCCCTTTTCGCTTGTTTAACTTTCTTACCTTGGAGAATTGCCTGGAATTCACTCAACTGACATTTTCATCCATGCCAATGGAAGTACTTCAGCAGATGGAGATACACTTAATATGAATATATAAAAGAAATGAACTCATGTAGCATTCTAACACTGTCCCCTTCCCGCAAAACCCTGTGAGCACCAGCTGGTAATAGATGTAATGTATACGTATGTCGGAAACACTCAGTTCTACTTTGCATAGATAGACCCTCACTTGAGTCATACTTTTCATGTAAAATATTCCAAGAGAAAATGGCTTTTAAAAAACATTTTTAAAAGTAAAAGACTAACATGAATTAAAAATTGGTATTTTTCAATGGTCAGAATCTAGTCAAGCATTATGTTTCCATTTTAGTGACAAAATTAATGTGAGGAAATGAAAAGCTAGAAATGTGGTAATATAGCCTCTCATTTTTTAATCCACCTTGACAAATTAAAGATATTTAGAATGAAATATAAATTAAGAAAATGCTAATACATGTAGTTTTCTATTGCTGCTATAACAAACTACCACAAATTCTGTGGCTTAAAACAACACGTTATTATCTCACAGATGTATAGGTCTGAAGTCTAGCTGGGCTCAGCTGGTTTTTCTAAACCTTGTCTCATGAGACCAAAATCTAAGTGTCAGTTGCAGTGGGCTCTGAAGACTCTAGGGGAGGATTCATTCCCAGGCTCACCCAGGTTCCAACTGGTAGAATTTGGTTACATGCACTTGAAGGACTGAAGTCCCTGTTTCCTTGCTGCCAGATGGGGGATGAGTCTTTGCTCCTAGATGCTTTCTGAATTCTTTCTCATGCTTTCCATGTGGCTCCTCCAGCAGTGGTGAGTCAAGTTCCTCTCATACTTTGAATCTCTCTTATTTATCCTTATGCTGCATTTCTCTGACTACAGCTGGAAACATTTCTCTGCTTTTAAGTGTTCTCATGATTAGATTGGGTCCACTCAGTTAATCCAGGATAATTTTCCTATTTTAAGGATTTAACTTTAGTTACATCTGCAGTCTCTTTTGCCATGTATGGTAACACATGCACAGTTGCCAGAGATTAGGTCATCTCTTCGGGGCCAATCTACCTACCACGTATGGGCTTGGCATAGGGAATTTAATTGTCAGATTTGTTGCTAACTTTTATATTTCTGTTTGATTGCCAGTGAAAAGTGCTAACTTTGTTACTCTAAGTTAATTTTGTAAACTGTATTTTTATTTTTTTAAATGCTTGCTTAGATGCTTTTTAGAAAACAGTAATAGTACCCACATACAGTCATGTATTGCTTAATGATAGGAACACATTATGACAAATGTGTCATTACGTGATTTTGTTGTTGTGCAGACATCATAGTATGTAGCTAAACAAACCTAATGATACCATCTAGGGTGCAGCTTACTACATACCTCGGCTATATGGTATAGCTTATTGCTCCTAGGCTACAAACCTGTAAAGCCTGTTACTGTATTGAATACTATAGGCAGTTGTAACACAATGGTAAGTATTTGTGTATCTAAATGAAAAGGTACAGTAAAAATACTGTATAAAAGATAAAAAATTGAATGCTCATATAGGGTATTTATGGTGAATCGAGCTTGCAGGACTGAAAGTCTCTCTGGGTAAGTGAGTGAGTGAGTGGCAAGTGAATGTGAAGGCCTAGGACATTACTGTACACTTAGAATGTACTCCTTTTACTTTTACACATAAAAAATTAAATGTAAACAGCCTCAGGCAGGTCCTTCAGAAGAAATTCCAGAAGACAGTATTAACTGTAACTTTTGTACTATATAAGCTTTTTAATTTTAAAAAACTTTTTTATTCTTTTGTAATAGCACTTCATGTAAAACACAAACACATTTTACAGCTGAACGAAAGTATTTTCTTTTTTTATATCCTTATTCTATAAGCTTTTTCTATTTTTATTTTATTCATCTTTTTTAAAAGTTTTTTTTTTTTTTTATTAAAAGCTAAGACAAACACACACATTAGCCTAGGCCTACATAGAGTCAGGATCATCCATATCATTGTCCTACCCCTCCACATATATCATTGTCCTACCCCTCCACATCTTACCCCACTGGAACATCTTCAGGGGCAGTAACATGCATGGAGCTGTGATCTCCTATGATAATAATGCTGTCTTCTGGAATTCCTCCTGAAGGACCTGCCTGAGGCTATTTTACATTTAATTTTCTACATATAAAAGTAAAATAACACTCTAAAATAACATAAAAAGTATAGGTCAGCTGTGGTGGCTTATGCCTGCAATCCCAGCATTTTGGAAGGCCAAGGCAGGAGGATTGCTTGAGCTCAGGAGTTGGAGACCAGCCTGGGCAACATAGTGAGACACAAAAAATAAAAAAAATAGCCAGGCATGGTGGCACACGCCTGTAGTCCCATTCCTGAGGGAGGATGAGGCAGGAGGATCGCTTGAGGCCAGGAGGTCAAGGCTGCATTGAGCCATTATGGCACCACTGCACTCCAGCCTGCGGGACAGAGTGAGACCCTTTCTCAAAAAAAAAAAAAATATAGTACAGTAAATACCCGAACCATTAACATGGTCATTTATTATTATCAAGTATTATGTAACATACATAATTGTATGTGCTATACTTCTGTACAGGTAGCAGTGCAGTAAGTTTGTTTTTAACAGCATCACCACAAAAATGTGAGTAAAGCATTGTTCTATGACATTACAATGGCGATGATGTCACCAGGCTATAGAAATTTTTCAGCCCCATTATAATCTTATGGGATCATTGTCATACAGTCCATTGCTGACTAAAATGTTGTTATTCAGTGCATGACTGTATACCTTATTTATAAAGGATTCTCTGATATAGACATTATTTTAAACATAATTATACCTGTAGTATGGATGGTTAGCTTGGTTTCAAGATCAAGATTCCAGAATGTGCTTCAGGAAGTACTTAAAACACTCATTCCTTGATTCTACTTTCTAATTCCAGTTATTCTAAAAACATGGGAAAATAGAGAAAAATCTCTCAAAACTACCTTAGAAAATAGAAAATGACAAACTCAGACTGCTTGGCTTTTAGCATCAACTTTTGGCAAAAAAAAGCATGTACACATTTTTATATGTCTAATATTTAATATTTTACTATTGAATTTGGTGTGAGAGAGAAACTGGAATTGTATTTTTTAATTTTTAATTTTGAAATAATTACAAACTTGCAGGAAAGGCGTGACAGTAATACAAATAATTTCCCTGTGCCATTCATTCAGGTCCAACAATTTTTAACATTTTGCTATTGTGTTTTATCTTTGTGTATCATATATTTTTTTCACCCAGACTAAGGGTAAATAAAGTATTGTACTGTGTCCAAAAGTTACTTACATTAGTTCACTGTTGTTTTTGTTGTTTCTCCTTCTTTGATGTTGAAATGGTCTGGGGTGAATGGTCTCGTTGTCTGAGGTGTTATCCGAGCTCCTTGTCTCACAATCAAGAAAACTAAGGAGCATGGACGCAAGGGGGAGGTTGGAGTCAAAGTTTAATAAGTGAAAGAAGAAAGCTCTTTGTAGTGGAGAGGGGGCCTGAGTGGGTTGCTGTTTTTACAGTTGAATCCAAAAGCTTTTATAAGAAACTCCCCTCATCTCTGTAGCTATTTGTGTAACTCTCCTTATCTCTGCAGCTGTGGGTATGTCTTGGGTAAGCACAAAGTGAAGCTTCTCTTGTTTGTTTAACTGCAGGTCTGTTTCAGGTAAGCCCACCCCCATTCCTTTGCAGGTTCCCACAGAGCCTACCATGTATATGCCTGAAAAGGGGAGGAACCTTTTTCCTGGAAGCCCGCTAATCACACAAAGGAAAAAAGGCTTCTCTGTTGGGCCTTGCTTTCTTATTAGTGTAGTTGCAGTTTAGTTTTTCCCCAGGTTGTTCTGTTTGTGCCTGTAGCTGTGATTTTTCAGGCTATTTCTCCAAGGACTAGCCTTAGCTGTCTGCCTGATTTTTCCTTTTCTTATCCCTCAATGTGATTTCATTTGAAAATACCTTGATTTAGTTTTTGCATTCAGTTTAAATTTTTTCCCTTGTTTCCAGCCTTATTTTATGTCTTGAATATGTTAGAATGTTGTAGTGAATAACTTTATCTATACTTTTTAGTAATACTAATGGCATATCTTAAGGATAAACACTAGAAATAGGATTGCTAAATCAAAAGTTAAATAAATATTAATGAGTTAATGAATATTTATTAATTATTGCCTAATTTTCTTCCATAAGAGATAGACAAGTCTTGCATTCCCTCTAGTCTGTTTCACTTAGCCTTGTCAACAGAGCCTACTATTAAGCTTTGGAATTTGCCAATTTCATGGGTAAGGAACAATATTTCAGCATAGTTTTAATATGCATTTCTTTTTTTTCTCTTTTTTTTTCTTTTTGAGGCAAGGTCTTGCTCTGTCTCACCCAGGCTGGGGTGTATAGTGGTACGATCACTGCTCACTGCAACTTCCGCCTCTAGGACTCAAGTCATCCTCCCACCTCAGCCTCCGGAGTAACTGGGACTACAGGAGTGCACCACCACACTTGGCTAATTTGTGTATTTTTTGTAGAGACGGGGTTTTGTCATGTTGCCCAGGCTGGTCTCAAACTTGTGAGCTCAAGTGATCCACAGCCTCCCAAAGTGCTGGGATTGCAGGCATGAGCCACTGCGCACAGCCCATTTATATTAAAGTGAAGTTGATTATAGTTTCATATGTCTTAAGGACCATTAAAAAATTTTTTTTGGTGAATTATTTATTCATATTTTGCTTATTTCTCAACAGGATATTTGTTTTTTTCCTTCAATTTTTTAAAGTTCTTCAAGTATTAGGGATAATGTCATTATCTGTGAAGTGTTTTGCATATATTTGCTCAGCTTGTTTTTTGACTTTGCTTGTTTTTTGTTTTTATTCTTTTTTGCCACACAAGCCTTTTTAAAAAAACATGGTCCACTGTGGGAGGCCGAGGCAGGCGGATCACAAGATCAGGAGTTTGAGACCAGCCTGGCCAGTATGGTGAAACCCTGTCTCTACTAAAAATGTATAAAAATTTAGCCGGGTGTGATGGCGCACGTGTAGTTGCAGCTACTCTGGAGGCTGAGGCAGGAGAGTCACTTGAACCTGGGAGGCGGAGGTTGCAATGAGCCAAGATCGTGCCACTGCACTCCAGCCTGGGCAATGGAGTAATAAGACCCTGTCTAAAAAAAAACAGACACACACACACAAAAGTAGTCATATCTATCAATCTTTTTAAAAGTTGCATCTGGATTTCAAGTGGTAGTTTAAAAGCCTTTCCATATATCAAGGTTATAGAAAAGTTCATGCGTGTTTCTTCTAGTACTTGAATGGTTTTGTGTTTTACATTTATATATCTAATCCATTTTGAGCTTATTTTCATGTATGCTGTGAGTAATGGATCTTATTTCATCTTTTTTCCAAATGGCAATTTGTCCCAACACTATTTGTTTTAGAAAGCCTTCTGCCTTCTGTGTTCCAGTGATTTGAGGTAACACCTGATCGTGTACTAGATTTCCACTTGCAGTTAGGTCTGTTGTTTCCAATTTTTCTCTAAAATGATTAATGCTGTGATAATTACCTTATGCAAAAGGCTTTATCCACATTTCAGATTATTTCCTGAAAAAATCATGTAAGTAGCACAAATACTTAATGAAAGGATATGCAGTGTTCAAGGCTTTTGGTAATAGCCACGTTATCTTCTAGGAAAGATTCTACTAATTTATATTACCACCAGCAGAAAATAAGTGTCTATTTGAGAGCATCCTTTCTTACAATGAGTATAATCTTTTAAGATATCTTTTATAATTTTGATAATCAAAAATTAAATTTGCCTTTTTAGAGATTTTTGGTGATGCATAAATTTTCATATGTTGGTTGATTTATATGTGTATGAATTCTCTGCATTTTCTTTTCCCATTTCTCCTTTGGGATATTGAGCTGTTTATACACCAAATGAAAAGCACATTTTTATTCCTCCCTAGTGAAATAAAATTCTCAACTATCCAATTTAGAGCCTGCCTATCTGTTTTCAACCTCTAATGCTGTTTTCATCAATATAAATAACCCTCAGCCAAGGTATTAGCATTTCCAGCTGCTAGCCATTAGTTCAAAGTATATTATAAAGAAAGGGAGCTGTAAACGTTCTTATCCCAAGGGAACTTACAAGGTAGCCTTTTGCACTTTGGGAGGCCGAAGTGGGTGGATCACCTGATGTAAGGAGTTCAAGACCAGCCTGGCCAACATGGTGAAACCTCGTCTATACTAAAAATACAAAAATTAGCTGGGCTTGGTGGCGGGCACCTGTAATCCCAGCTACTTGGGAGGCTGAGGCAGGAGAATCACTTGAACCCAGGAGGCAGAGGTTGCAGTGAGCCAAGATTGTACCACTACACTCCAGCCTGGGCAACAGAGTGAGACTCTGTCTCAAAAAAAAAAAAAATACTGGCTTCATAAAGTACAATATTACACACACTTGCACACACAAATAAATGCATGCACACACACAATCCCGCCCCCACCCCAATTCAAAAATAACAAATCCCATTTTTGATTTGGAAGTAACTTTACTCTGAATAGGAGATGTCCACCTCAGGAAGTAGTCACACTGCCCATGATGCTTTGTTTTGTAGTTATCACATTACTTGGAAGTTCTTACTTTAGAGCTGTGACATCAAGAAAATTTACCTCTGATCATGCCAGGATTACTAAATGTTAAAATCAGACTTCAGTATCACAAAACATTTTTATATCTGCTCCCCCCCTCACAACCACACAACAAATAAAAGTTTTCACACATTCGACTATATACCTTCTTACTCAAGCAGTCTGTTTGCATATAATGAATGGAAACTCATGAAGCCAATCATCTGAGACTTGGAAATCAGAAAGGTGAGATTATAGGGAGAATTTTTGGGTTCTTTCTCTTTTCCATTGTTTTGTGATGTTATAGATGGTAGAAAACAAAAGGGAGAAAGTGCCAGGAAAATATACGTGTGAACAAGTAAGTTTATGTTCGAGGCATAATTTTAAAGTATTGTTTGTGGTCAGAGATGCTGTTGCGAATTCTATAATTTTCTATGCTATATTTCCCCATGCGAGCAAGTTTACTTTGTTGTCTTTGGCCCTTTATGCAATCAGTGTAAAAGGACTAGCCGTTTCTGGCCCTACACTAAAGCTTATTTATATTTAAATCAGTGATTCCAAACTTTAAATGTATAACATCATGTTAATTTTGTAACATCAATGGTTTTCTTTAAAATTTCAAGATATTTATCTTGTTACTTGTATTGGACAGTTCTAAGAAATCTTAGAGGGATAACTGTCTTACCTGTTTTTTAAAAAAGATCAGCTTGCAATCTTCTGCTTCAACCATATCTGTATTAGAATACAGTATTATTTCTAACTTTATTTGGCAATATAAAAATTGAATATTTCTTGTGCTCTCCATTTATAAAACCAACATCGAAGAAGAAGAGTATTTGCTGGTTATACAGTGTTGAGTATAGCTCTTTTACTCTGAATATTTTAGAGATTATGGGATTTTAGTCCAGGGGACAACTTTATACTACTTCACTAGCAGAAACACTACTGTTATTTTTACGGACCTATCAATACCACCAACTTAATAGTATTAAAAGCTAGTATACAGAGTTTATTATGTATCAGACTACAAAATATATACAACTTTTATATTTCCAAATAAAAGTAGGTAATACTGTATTCTCTTGTAGATGTGTTTGAGGCAATTTCACACAATTTTTTAAAACATACAGACACACTCTATCTATAAAAGAATTGTGGAGTACATATGTTCAAAGTATCTATCAAGAGACACAGAGATGTTAAGTAACTTCCTAAGATCTAGAGATGAATCTTCCTCTCCTCTTTGTACCATGTTTCTTTTGCCTTTGCTGTATTTTACAATGTGTGGATATGTAGCCAGTCTAGTGGCCATCCTAGGATTTCAAGCCCAGCAGTCTGGCTTCTGAGTGTATGCACTTCACATCAAAGCTGTACACTCTTCCAATTCAATTATTTATATTTCCATCCTTCATCACAGAATTTACTAGAAGTACCTTGCTTTAATAATCAACATTACAAAAAGGCTGTTTTTTTGCAACTTTTCCACTAAAAACTTCCTATTTTAGTAAAATTTGGTAATTTCTTTTTAGAATGTTCTTGAATACATTTGTTCAAGACCTGAAACTTAAGAGTTAACTCATCAAGAAGTAGTAACTCACTGAACAGTCCTTCCTGGTATCATCAACACTTGACTTTGTATCACCTGTCAAAGGTGTAACTCTTTCCCCAGTTATGAGTAGTCTTTCTTATAACATTGTTTCATCCAGACAGTAGTAACAAGAAATATATCCACATTTGATTAATCTCATCTCCTTTGCCCCAGGATGTCAGAGGAAATTTTAAACATTGCCAATGATTATGCTATTAAACAGTTAGAAGACACTTATCATTCTTTTACTTGTCAAAATAAGCAAGTTTAATATGGTTTTATAAATTGAGTCTGTCATTAGTCTTCAAAATTATAAGAGCTAAGTCTTCCATTACTCTACGTAGATTATCCCTTGCAATAATTATATTACTAGGTAACTGCATCTAAACTCTAGAAAGAATTAGTGTATAATCCTGTAGGGTCTATCAGGAAACTATTTTGGGATATATCTTGTTGTTAATATAATAATGTCCTTCTTAAATTAGGTTTTTCAGCATTTTAAATTTTATATTTAAACTTTCATTTTTAGGTTAAAAGAGTCCTGTAAAGGTTACCATCTGAATGCTCTGTTTATTAGAGGAAACTACTTGTGTTCTTTTATCACCAATGAATTTTTTGGTCATATTTATTTAATATATATTTAATGTATATCAGTACATAAGCACACCCGAGGTATACAATTTGCAAAGAATGGATGTTAGATTTTGATCACAAAAGGTATTTTTACAAAGATAACCTCAAGATTTGTTGGAGTTGTAAAATATGATTCCAAAAGACACACTTTACCTTATAAAATAAGGCAAATGGAAAAAAATCACCATAGAGATGATGATTTTTCTTTAGAAGCAAATAATTCCAAATATGAATGTGCTTACATAGGTAATAACTTTTGTTGTCATAAGCTCATCTACATTATTCCAACATCTAGGACTTTAACCAGTTTTTATGTTCAGCTGATTCTAAATGAATCTATTCCTGGCATAGTCCTTTACTCCATTATAGGCACAGCTCTGAACCAATTCTAGGATTCAATTCAGAACAGTTACATATTTAGTGTATTATGTAAAAAGCTTTATAGGATTGGGTTCAATATTGACAATATTCCTATTTCTAAGAATATTAGACATTATTTCTGTAATTTCTATTCCTTTTGATATTGTTTTAACAAGGCAGTACTCCTCTTACAATATTGTGATAAATTCAGATTTTTATAAGACTTGTTCTTTTTTCCTCCCAATTTTAAAATTATTTCTTGAAAACTATTATTTTTCATAGCTATTTGCCTCTAGAAGCAATTGTTCATAATGGAGGCATATTTTCCTTTGTAGAAATTCACAGCTGTGAAGAGAAAGTTTCCCAGTGAGTTAATAAGTTGGCATTTGTCAGAATTCTCTCGGGTCAAAGACTGAGTTTTTTGTTCTTAGTGCTAATAGAACCAAATCACCTGCATTTGAGTATTTAACACGTTGGAAAGCCAACCCAACTTAAGGTCTTCTTTTTTGTAATGAGTAATTTGAAAGTGAAAGCTTCTTGAAGCATGCAGTCAAAATAAAACGCATGGGCGTTTATTTAGTAAAGCTAAATCGTGTAGCTTTACTCAGTCTGTTGAACTGGCAAATGTTAACTCCCCTTTATTGTTATACTTTCTTATTAATCATCCTATTCATAAAAATCCCATGACTGGGGAAAATGAACCCGTTAGGGAAACTCACTGCTATCAGTCTAATCCAAGCCACTATCAATAACTTTCTTACTGGTATCCCTGCTTCCACCTCGTCTAGCTATTATGTGTACCATGAAGATAACTGAAGCCAACCTGCCTGGGTTTAAATCCTAGCTCTGCAATAGCTGTATTGCCAGTTCCTTAAAAAAAAAAAAAAAAAAAGGTATAAGAGCTTTGAAATGCTAAATAAGCTCTTCATGCACATGGCAACTAGAGCAGCCCTTGTAAAATGTCAGATGTTAATGCTTTGGTTGACCTCCTCTAAATAACTTTACACTTAAAAAATAAAATCCGAACTCCTTACTAAGGCCTGTTAAGTATGCTTCTCATTTTATCCCCCATGTTCCAGTTACACTGTACTCGTCCCCAGAGATACTAAGCAGTTCTCTACTTCAAGACTTTTGCACTTGCAATTCCTTCTTCCTGGAACATCTTTTCCCAGATTTTTGCATTGCTCATTTCCTCAGGTGGCTGCTCAAATATTCAGTGTCCTTCTTCATCGAAAATAGCACACCCCCAGCACACATATCCTCAATTCATTTGTCTCCTGCCTCATTTTCTTTTTCTCTTTTTGCTATAAAGCACTCATTGCCACTGACTTTATATGGTTTAATGCCTTTCTCTCCAAACTGAAAACAGCTCCTGAGCACAAGGGTTTTGTTTTGGTCATTCCTGTAGTCTCAGCACCTAAACCACCACCTGGCACTGGTAGTTCTTTGTAAATACTTGCTGAATAGATGCTGTATTTAAAAAGCATTTTTCCCCACTAAGGACTTTTGAGAACCTTAACTTACTATGCTTTTCGGTTTGTTTTTCTTAGTATGCACCTAACATTTCCTACTCCCATACTTTCACTTGATCCACATCCTCTCATTAGGTCACCACTCACTTAAGAAAGATCAACTTTGGGCTTTTAGAAGGTTCTTGTTTGCAAAGGGTAAACAAGCACAACAAAAAATGATACTGTTTTCAAAGGGAAGTTTTAAATACTATTAGTAAATTAAATTCTAGATGAAACAGCCATATTTTTCAAACATTGTTTTTAATATACCTACCTATAAAGATCTATGGAGAATTCACATCAGATCATGAATGGATAGTACTTTATGATTAGAGCATACAGAGAGAGTTACAATTAAGCTTTTCTTTTTTCTTTTACAGGTTAATGACTCCAGAGAGTAAGATCAGATTCGTCCACAAAGAGATGGGCATAATACCAAGCTGGGGTGGCACCACCCGGCTAGTTGAAATAATCGGAAGTAGACAAGCTCTCAAAGTGTTGAGTGGGGCCCTTAAACTGGATTCAAAAAATGCTCTAAACATAGGAATGGTTGAAGAGGTCTTGCAGTCTTCAGATGAAACTAAATCTCTAGAAGAGGCACAAGAATGGCTAAAGCAATTCATCCAAGGGCCACCGGAAGTAATTAGAGCTTTGAAAAAATCTGTTTGTTCAGGCAGAGAGCTATATTTGGAGGAAGCATTACAGAACGAAAGAGATCTTTTAGGAACAGTTTGGGGTGGGCCTGCAAATTTAGAGGCTATTGCTAAGAAAGGAAAATTTAATAAATAATTGGTTTTTCGTGTGGATGTACTCCAAGTAAAGCTCCAGTGACTAATATGTATAAATGTTAAATGATATTAAATATGAACATCAGAATTACTTTGAAGGCTACTATTAATATGCAGACTTACTTTTAATCATTTGAATATCTGAACTCATTTACCTCATTTCTTGCCAATTACTCACTTGGGTATTTACTGCGTAATCTGGAACATTTAGCTAAAATATACACTTTTGGCTTAAAAATTATTGCTGTCAATTCCAATAATAATTCTTAGCTTATAACCAAAGAGCAGTGTTTAAAAGGAGAGCTTCTATACAAAACCTATTCCTGGCGTTACTTTTCATACAATTTTTGTTCTGTTTTACCTGGAAATAATTTACCAAAATAACTGAGTGTTGCTGCTAAAGAACAAAAGTGGGGAGGTATCAGGGAACAAGAAAACAAGAAAGGGTATGATCAATCATTTTCTTCTGCTCCAAACAGCTGGAGTAAAATTCATGGGAAATGGCCCTTCATTTAAAAAAAGATGTACCTCACTACCCACTACAAATTTGGAACTTTGTTCTTTTCAATAATTAGTTTTCTATTGTAAATTACCTACTAAACAGTGGTAGCCATGACATGGAAAGTCAACTGATTCTACAATTGGACATTCATTTGTGTGCCCTGGAATTTCCAACTAGTAATAAACAACTACTGTTGATGTAGTTTTAAACCACTTGAAGGGACTCATGAAGCATCCTGCAACATAAATTTGCATTTTTACATCAGATTTCTTTTTTTTCCTGAAAAACAACTAACCTTCTAACAACTATCTTTCAAAAGTAAATGTAATAAAAATGCACAACATAAAATGTTTATGATCCCAGCAATACACTTTTTAAAAAATGTGAAAGTCAAAGAATTAAGTTCTAGTTCTGACTCATCACAAGAGGTCAAAAGTATTTGCTACTGTAACATTCAATTCACATTTGAGAATCATGGTAAAAATAACTTGCATTTGCCTTACCATCATGATCCTACTGTTGAGTTAGGAAAATATGGTTAGACAGACTCACATTACTTTTTTTCAGAGGTAAACTCTAGATTACTGTGTCAACCCAATACTATTTGGCCATAGATGTAAAAACTACCAAATAAAAGTGGATTTTGTGGTCTACAACATTTTGTGTAAAGTGAATTCATGTCTGCTAACACCGTTAAGTCTGCCATTTAATCCAGAGTGTTAGACTACTAATGAATATGGTAAGGAAAATATAAAATATTAACGGTATATGCTATTTGAGGAATTTTAAGTCTCACAGGCTTTAGTTTTATTTCCATACATGTTTATTATATACACACTGCCTATAGATTCTGTTTAAATAATCTCTAAGAAAAAAATCAAACTTTTCTGAGCAGGTGATTAAGCTGAAAACAACCAATTAAAACCACCACTTTTTAAGTGACCTTTGGTCACAAATGTCAAAATGTTTCCACACCCTTTCCACCCTCAAACAAGAGACAAACTGTTTTTGATAAACTCTAGTATTTATTAAATTATAAATTTTGTAATCAAAAAGAAAAATGCAGACCAAAAAAACCTCAAACTATAAGACTAGACAGCAAAGCCTATGGGAACACCATGAAGTGTGTTACAAACATTCTGAAACATAAGTTACTGGCTGTTTTCATTTCCATTTCAATAACTTTACTATAAAATAGTTGTTATTCATCTATTTTGAAATCCCAAATTCACATCTATTCATACATTAAATTATGTTTCCTGTTCATAATATCAAACATCTCACAGGTGCCAAATTTTAGTAATGGTCTTATGCCAATCCATGCAGAAAAATAAGACACAATGCAGGAGTCAGATGAGGACCATTAATGCACAGATAATACAAACACACTGGCCAAAAGAACTACAGAAGTTTTTAAAAAGTATAAAGTAAACAGACCTCAAGAAAACTGGGTTATTACTAAACAGCTCTCAACTATTAACACCCAAGTTCCTTACATTAAATAAATTTCTCAACAGAGACATGTTAGACATTTTAATTATGAGTCTATCCTTCCCATACCCCTTCCCACCCCAACTCCCAAAATGCACTACTAGGGATGAGTATAATGTTATGTGGGCAGAAATTTACAGGTAACCCTTTCAACCTTGAGCATGGAGCTGAAGACATTTTTATTTAAACTTCAGTTACTGTGCACTGTCCATCAGGCCTTCTAGATCTGACACTGACACTCACTGTTCCACCCCCTGCTACTGATCGATCAGTTCCCGATCGATCTGATCGATCGGGTACTGTCTGGTTTGCATTAGAAACCAAAAGTCTCTGTTGGGTCAAGGAGTGCTGTGCAACAACTGCAGATACATCCTCACTATCACTACTGGCATCTGATTCAGTTTCTTCAATGGAGGTGTCTGGTGCTGGTACCCTGCCTGAAGATGGTGATTCATGATCTTCTTCTCCTTCTCCCCTATGACTCCTTTCAGCTGTGTTGTCTCCACTGAGTTGTAAATGAGCAAAAGAGTCTTCCAGAGAAGTGCTTGCATCAGGGGATGGTGTTGCAGGGCTTGTTAACTGACCATCTACTGATGTTAGGGGCCTTACAGAAGACACTAGGGGCTGAACAGAAGCTCCACTCTGTGCTGATACACTGTCCGCTCCGTCAGCAGAGCTCTCTCTTGCTAGGTTTACGGTATTAGCATCACAGTCTAGCCTAAGTCCAGCTACTCCCTTCTTTGGTATATCTATTATATCTCGCTTAATCTTCCTGCGACGTCCATGTTCATTTCTCCTATATTGAACCATGTTTTCAAGATCAGCGACATACAGAAAGCCAGCAATTAACATTTCAGTGTTCTTTTTACCTTTGGAAAAAGCATCTTCCAGCTCTCTACTAGTGCGCTCATCGTACTGCCACCACCCATTTCTTCCTTCATAATACCATGCATATTCACCATTTCCTCTACTTGCTGCCTTGAGTTCTTCTGGTGACAACAAGGTTGGCTTGTCAAGGAAATCCTCGGGAATTTCTTGTCGACAAAGAGCACACCGCTTTCCAAGCCATGAAGCTCCTTTTACACATAGATAGCAGAAAACGTGCTTACAGGGCAGACTGACTGGATGAACACATGTTTGCAGACAAATGGCACATTCAGGGACGGTTAAAGAAGGTGCAGTATTAGAACAGGACTCGTTCGCTTTCCTGTTTGTAGGAAGCATGTTTATTGAATGATCAATTTCACCACAGCCAGCCATCCTAAGAAAAAATACATATAATATTAAAGTCATGTTTTAATTCTTGCAATATCTTAATTTAACAATTATGAAAACACTAACCACCTATGATGTGCATTATATGCAAGCCACATACTAGACAATGGGGATATGAAGATGAAAGTAGAGGAAAAACTCTCCAACCGATGAAAATTTTTTGTAAGCATCTACTTGTACATACCTTGGGAATGTATAAAAATTCCATCAGTGCACTTAACAGATCAGCCCTGGAGAAACACACTGAAGAACTATATAATGAAAAGCTGCATCCAGTGAGGGGAAAAGGATACCTTGAATCATGGCAGCTATTATACAGTGAAATGAATGCTAGACAAGAAATCTAAAAATCTGAGTTTTAGAGTCCTTTATTAATTATGTGCTCTTAGGCACTCAGTTAAACCATTAGTCTAAATTTCCTTACCTGCAAATCAGAGTTTACAAAGCTCAGGTAAAAATGGACAAAAAAAGTGCTTTGTAATCACTAAAGCTTCATAAAGGTAACAATCATATAAGACCAAAGGAGAAAATAACATGAATATTGAAGATCCCCTGAAGAGGAAGAAGAAAAAAGATTTGTCAAATTGGATGTATCTAGCTTAAACACTGACATAAAATTTATAATTTCTGCCTTATTGATTCAGATAAACATTTACTAAACACCTGCCATGTTCCAGATACAATACTAAGTACTGATGGGTCTAAAGATAAATAAGACACACAACTACTCTGTTAAATAAGGAAACATACATGCAGATAATTACAATATGGCCTGATTCCTGCGTAATCAAAATGTGTTAACATACTTACTAAAATAACAGTAAGAGAGAGATGAGAGGATGGACATAGGTTAGAAAGTTTAGTGTTCATTCAGAGGGGCTGGGCAGTGGAGCAGATTCCAGGCAGAAGCACATGCAAGACACTGAGTCAAATAGTCATACAAGCAATGGAAGAGCAGGAGATGAAGGTGTAAAGGTAATCAAAAGTTAAGTCATGAAAGCCTTATTGTGTTATTGTGCCCTGCCAAGGAAACATCTAATTTTTTTCCCCATGGTAAAAAAAAAAAAAAAAAGACATTTTAAAAGGGGAGAAAATAATGGAGTAAACCACTGATAAGTAAAAAAGACTGAGAAATAAAGATGAAGATGTCAGAGATTGAAAGCTTAAAATGAATGACAATCTCTCTGCCAGCTAATTCTGCCATTCTAAATGGGTCAGTAGTTACAAAAGATATAGTCAACAAGAATGCTTACGCTCATCAAAAATTGAAAAACAATAATCCTAGGCTATCATCACAGCACATTCAATCTTCAAACAATCCTTTTTTTTCTTTTTACTGCCTTTTCTGTGTTCTTGGTTCCTCAATAGACAAGGCTCAAAAAGATGGCAATTTTCTAGTAAAGGAAGCAACACAGTAAGTTTTTAAAAAGATGGCACATATCTAGTAAAGGAACCAACACAGTCTCAATGGAAGAACTGATCACTAAAATGTTTAATTTCCAAATTATTTTCAACTTTTAATAACATTTCCAATCAATTCCTTTACCAGAAATTCTAGGTTATAGACATCAAGAAAGTACAACTTTCTCCTAACCTATGGAAAGTTCTAAGTCAGGGGTGTCTAATCTTTTGGTTTCCCTGGGCCACACTGGAAGAAAAAGAATTGTCTTGGGCCACACATAAAATGCATTAACACTAATGATAGCTGATAAGCTAAAAAAAAAAATCACATAATGTTTTAAGAAAGCTTATGAATTTGTGTTAGGCCGCTTTCAAAGCCATCCTGGGCCACATGTGGCCCACAAGTTGGATAAGCTTGTTCTAAGTAAACCCTAATAGGACGTCTTAGTATGTTAAGCACTATAAAAGCTTTCAAATATTTTGAGATAAACACTTGCCTTCAAAGATCTTGTAACTTGAAACAACAATAAGTTACAAAAGAAGGCATATGTTTTTAAAATAGCCAATTACACATTCCCTGCCTATTTCCTCCCCTAAAAGAATTGGCTGTGCACACATTTTGTTAGGTTTTCAGAAACTTTCATCCCTTTCGATTTAGGTCAAAAAAGTTAGTTTCCATAAAATTCCTGAAAATCTTTTTGTTCCAAGTTCCATATTTATTTAAAGCTCCAATTAAGAAAAAGAAAACAAGAAAGTGATCCATTTACAAGTAATAATTTAAGAAAGATTCTACTCATGATTCTATTCATGAGACTAAATAGAAAAATGGGCTGATGACCACCATTACTTTGGAAAAACAACAGCAACATCTTCATATAAGAAGTCTACATCTTAAACCATCTAAGTACCTTATGAACAAAGGACAGGATCATAAACTGAAAACATAAATAAAAACAGAGTCTGGTAAAATGAAAACAAGACACCCAACATGTCACGTGGACCAATGCCATGCTTTTAAATACATAATTCCAAACCTATTGTATTTGCTTTAAGTAAAATGGGCCCAAGAAGTCAGTTTTCCATCACATACAGCTCGTTTATCTACAGAAAAAAAAGTTTCCAACCTAAAAACATTATCCTCCACCCTACTTAATATGATTAATATTTTGCATGACTCTTACTCTTGCATTTATGAATAAACCAAAACACATAATTTCAAAACTAAGAAAGCAATTACAATCATCCCAGGAGAAGGCATGAATTATAATAACATAATTGGAAAGGCAAAACAATCCTGTTTGTGCAGGTATTTTGGTTCCATCATCAGAATGAAGTGAAGTTGGACAAAGTTAATCTGCAAACAATGGACACCAGACAGCTAAATGGTCATTATTTCATCTGAAGCACTCTTAACTATCAATTTGCCATAGCAATTTATAAATTCTGATTCTGTTTAGCCCATCAAGTATACTGTTAGTCTATCACCAACTAACAAATGGGCAGAAAAACTTAGTGATATTTCTTATTTAATTCTGAATGAGGCACATGCAATAAGTAAGATAGAGATAAAATGTGTAACAAGATAGACACAAAGTAACCCCAAACTGCTAGTCTACCTATAAGACATACTTCAAGGCTTTTTAAAAAACCATTTTAATCTACCCTACACAGTCTCTGTTTTGCAGTTCCAATGATCTTAAAATAGGTGGGAGACTAAATGTATGCAGATGATCATACCAATATGTAAATAAGAAAGCTTTTCCCCTCCCTTTGTGTAGAGCAAGTATTAATGCTAATCAAAAGAGGTATTCCCT
This sequence comes from Homo sapiens, assembly GCF_000001405.40. NCBI lineage: Eukaryota > Metazoa > Chordata > Mammalia > Primates > Hominidae > Homo > Homo sapiens. The sequence goes on along the minus strand of NC_000006.12, from coordinate 127,283,386 downwards.
ATCTCATAAATGTCTCAGAAAATTCTAATTTTGAAAAAGGGAATTTATTTCCAGTTTACTAAACTAAGAATTTAATACACAGAAATTTGGAGTGACGTTAGTCCAATTCTATTAATAAGTATAATACATCATTTACTTTCAAAGACGTTTTTACTGAATTCTTCATGTGATATTCCAACTTTTAAGTATAAATCCCCTTCTTCCAATAGATAAACCATGTGAAATATTTCTGCCAGACTAATAAGAGTCTATTAATACTAAGTCTTCTTCTCAAGAAGACAAAATATAGAGGGGTATGGGCAGAGTTAGTGGAAATCTCCAAGAACTCAGATTTCCTTGAAACTTCTTGGACAACTAGTCAAATGAAAGGCAAAATTATTATAAGCAAAAAAGATCTTTAGTATGTGTAGTATTCAAGAAATTTTTAGCTTGCAATAAAAACTCCAAATATTAAAAATCAGATTTTTAAAGTCTGAATTTAGAATCCAATTACAGACACACAAAAAGGGAACAATCCTACATATAATTTCAAGGGGCTTAAGGATTTCTATGAAGCTGGTCCACATATGAACCACTAATGAGACAAGAGGAGTTCACTGAAAGGTTTTACGTCAGGAAATAACAGCCAGTTTAGTAGCTTCCAGACCATTTGAACAGCAGGTTGGAGGAAAGTTTGGTAATGCAGGAGGAGGTATGGCGAAAGGGAAACTAGAATATCCAGGTAGTAATGCAAGTATAAGATAATTAGAGGGAGGTTGCTGATGTAAGTTTCCAACAATAGAATAGAAGAATGCTAAGGAAAAAGAAATGAAAGCATTTGATTACTGATGGATGGTGACACATTCACCAAAATTCAGAATTTGAGGAGAGTTCTGTCTCAGACATAATGACTTTATTAAGGTCTCCAGGTGGAGATAGGTAGATGACAGCTGAATTTACTAGTTTGATACTCCAAGAATAAATCTGAGCTGAAAAAAGTCTGGTGACTCACCAACACATACATGGTCCTTGGAGCCATGAAAATGAGTAAATGCCCAAATTAAACCTGTAGAGAGAGCAGTCAAAAGGGCCAACCACAGAATCTTGAATTACTCCAATATCTGTGAGGTAAAATAGCCAGGAAGGGGTGTAAGGAATGGTCAGAGAAGAACAGGAAATAAAGATAGACCACCACCACAAAAGCCAACAAGGGAGACATTCGCAAAAAAGAATAATCAAGCAAGTTACTCTAAGTGACAAAAATTTCACCATACAATTCACTTTTGTGTGGTGCAAAAGTTGTGAACCCCACACACTTAATAGCTATTTTGATTTCCTAAACACCATCAATCCCAGTAAACTTTTACTCGGCCAAGACATCTTTCTTTCCCTATTCCCCAGAGACTATCATAAAACTTCTCCCTCCTAGTTTATCGATATACTAACACCTGTATCACTGAGAAATTAGGTAAGTCAAAAATAAATCCTGAAAATCTATCTTTACCTTTACTGTCTTATCATTATTCCTCCTGGCTCAATATGGGGTACTGCTACTTGTTTACAAAGCTAACCCCTCAACATCTAGTAAGTACTGTCCCCTAACTCCTCCAAGACTGATCAATATACTCTGTCCCTAAGTATCAAAATCAATTAAGATTGATTGTATGTTAAATAAATGTAAAATCTGGTAATATAGTAAGTACTAAATAAATGTTCACTCCCTGCACTTATTTTGAAGTCTCTTTCTCCTACCCTGCCTTCCCACATATTACTGTTCCCTGACTCCTCTAAAATGTGTTGATGATTAGGCAGCTGTTTCCCTCCTCATTCCCTTGGCTTGAAAAATATTTCCTAATTTTCTTTGACTGTTAAAATTCTACTCATTCTTTGAAGGCAAGGTGAAACTTATTCTGTTCATTCTGAACCCTTCAGATGAAATTAATCTCTTCCTCTGTTCAGTTTCAATAGCATCTGATTGTTACCTTAATATGGCATCTATTCCACTGTTTGTTAATTACATACATGTCTCATTTACTGGATCACAGTAAGTTCCTTGATGACCAGCACCTAGACTATCTGACCTATTAAGATTTTAAAAAATGTATACAGATAGATAAATGGACAGGATTAAATAAAATATATATTTTTAAAGACAAATGCTTATTAGTATCATTTTTCAATTATCAAATTTTCAATACTGAATAAAAATAATATGGTCATACTTTTAATAATAAATTAATTATTGTTAATACATATCATTACATGTAACCAGTATCATACTGGAAGAGTAGAAAGCAAGAGTTTTATGTCAAACTGGGAAAATGTGAAATAGCATCTACCAAGGTCACTCTTGCTCTAATAAGAAAAACACTGTAATTAAAAGTCAATAAAATATTCACTACATTTTTCATGAATGACATCAAGTTGCATAGGGCTTATATGAATTTAGAAAACAGAAATATATTCATAGTGAAAAATGTTTCATCAATACGGTGAAGTTAAATATGGACAAATCCAAGGTAGTGTGTAACACTTTAAAGCATATCATGCAAAGATAAATGATGAAAGCACAACTAGTAAAACTGGGGATCAGAGTGAAGTGATATGAATAAAATGCAGTGATGTATTATTACATTAAAAAAATCAATTATGTAGAAATTCCTTTAATTTAGTGAAACAAGTTTTTAGTAACTAGAGTTTTTATAACCTAGTAGTCTGTCTTATTTACAAAAGCTAGTACTACTTGCCTAGCTTAGTTATTTAAGAAAATTATTATGTAAAAAGAAGGTAGAACCCAGAGGACCTGGAGATCTATTTCAGCATTCTTTGAGCAAACTCCTGTGTCTTCAGTTTTTCTTATAGAGACTTTTCCTTTTGAGGAGACTTGGAAATCTACATTAACGATAACTTAATGTAAATAAATTGTTAATAAAGCACCTATAAGTCAAAAGAAAATGCTCATTTAATATAATTAAAACTACATATGACAGATACTCAATTTACCACACGTTAAACCAATCCATTTAATTTACTGCAGCACTGAAAAAAACCATGATGCTACACTTACATTTCTATTACAGATCCCACAGATGCCTGCCACAAAAATAAAGCATTTTCTTCACCAGCAGTCAGCCAGCTTACAGTATTTTCTCTTCCACTGCTGGTTCATTCTTTGTGCTGCAAAAGAAAAAAAGAGTAATTAAGATCAAGAGAATCAGTTAATTATGTATAATCCTTTCAAAAAATTCAGTGGAAAACTTTATCTTAAAAGTGGGAAAAATTAAAGACAAGATGCATGCTTTTACCACTGCTATTCAACATGACTGTAAGTTCTAGCAGAGCAAATTAGGGAAAAGAGATAAAGGCATACAGACGGGTAAGGAGGAAGTAAAACTATGTCTATTCTCTCTAGATAGAAGATCTCATAGAATCCCCAAGAAAGCTAATAAACAAATTCAGCAAAGTTGCAGGTTACAAGTTTGACACACAAAAAAATCAGTTGTGTTCTGATACACCAGGAGACAACAATCCAAAAAAGAAATCAAGAAAACAGTTCATTCATAAAGTAACTAAGGGAATAAAATAGCCAGGAATCAACTTAACCCAGGAGGTGAAGGACTTGTACACAGAAAACTATAAAGCATTACTGAAAGAAATTAAAGAAGAGCTAAGTAAATAGACAAGTGATGTATGGATTGGAAGACTTAACATATTAAAATGACAATACTACCCAAAGTGATCTACAGATTCAACATAATTCCTATCACAATTCCAACAACCTTTTTTGCAGAAATGGAAAAGCAATCCTCAAATTCATATGGAATTGCAAAGGACCCTAAGTAACCCAAACAATCTTGAAAAATCCAATGTCAAAACTTACTACAAAGCTAAGGTAACAAGACAGTTTGGTGCTGGCATAGGACAGATAAATACACCAATGATATAGAATTGAGAGTCCAGAAATAAACTCATACATCAATAGCCAACTGATTTTCCAAAAGGGTGTCAAGTCTACTCAATGGGGGAAAACAGGCACCTCTAACTAATGTTGTTGGGACAACTGGATTTCCACATGCAAAATAATTAAGCTGGACCTCTACCGTATACTATATATAAAAGTTAACTCAGAATGAATCAATAACCTAAATATAAGAAATAAAACCATAAAACTCTTAATAGAAAACACAGGAGCAAATCTTCATGGCCTTAGATTTGCAATGGATTCCTAGATATGACATCAAAAGCATGAGAAACATAGGAAATAAATTGGGCTTTATATAAGTTTAAAATTTTTGTGCATCAAAAGACACTGTTAAGAAAATAAAAAGACAAACTGCAGAATGGGAGAGTATCTTGGCAAATCATGTATCTGATAAAGGTTTAATATCCAGAATATGTAAAGAACTGCAGCTCAACAACAAAGACAAACCAATTAAAAAGTGAGCAAAAAATGAGTAAAGAACTTAAAGAAGATACACAAATGGCCAATAAACACACAAAAAGATCCTTAACATTATTAGTAATTAGGGAAATGTAAATCAAAATCACAATGATACATCTATAAGGAGGCTACAACTTTTTTAAAGGGAAAAATAATAAGTGTTGGTGAGGATGTAGAAAAATAGGACCTTTGAAAACTGCTGGTAGGAAGGTAAAAGGGTGTAGCTGCTGTGAATAATAATTTGTTGCTTCCTCAAAAAGCTAACACAGCAATGCCACTCCCAGGGATATAGCAATAGAATTGAAGAGGTTCTCAGACACTTGTATGCCAATATTCACTGCGGAAATATTAGGCAAAAGGTGGACACAATTCAAGTATCTACCAACAGATGAATGGATAAACAAAATGTGGTCTATAAATACAACAGTACATTATTCAGTAATAAAAAGAAATATGTGCTACAATATAGATGAACCTTGAAAACATACTAATAAGCCACATACAGAAAAGTATGATTCCACTTACATGAAATATCAAGAATAGGCAAATTCATAGAAGCAGAAGGTATCAGAAGTTACCAGAGAGTGAAGGAAGGAAAGTGGAGAGTTATTGCCTAATGGGTACAGAGTTTCTGTTTGTAATGCTAAAAAAAAGTTGTGGAAAATCTATAATGGTGATAGTTGCATAACATTGTAAATGAAATTAACTACATGGAATTGTACTCTTAAAAACCTGTACCATCTCAGTCATTAATCTTCTTTCTTCTCATTTAGTATTTCCATCTCCACCTCACCATGTCCACTACAGGACGCACATCATATTACACAGAATAATCAAGAACACATGATAACTAAAGAAATGATAGATCTCACAGTAAACACAAGATAGAGGAGACTTCAATCTTCTTTTATTTCCATGTGGCTCTCATACTATGGGCATCTATCTCCCTACGGTATCTTAAGATTCTAGTGTTTAAAGAAACATATTCTTAATGCCATTATGTGGCCCCTAAATACAAGCTGACTTATCCTACCAAATGTTTAACAGAACAAACAATTTGTTTTAAAATCAGAGAACTTTCAAAAGTAACTGACTGTGATGGTTAATACCGAGTGTCAACTTGATTGGAGTGAAGGATACAAAGTATTGATCCTGGGTGTGTCTGTGAGGGTGTTGCCAAGAGATTAACATTTGAGTCAGTGGGCTGGGCAAGGCAGACTCACCCTTAATCTGGTGGGCACAATCTAATCAGCTGCCAGTGAATATAAAGCGGGCAGAAAAATGTGAAAAAGAAAGATGGGCCTAGCCTCCCAGCCTACATCTTTCTCCTGTACTGGATGCTTCCTGCCCTCGAACATCAGACTCCAAGTTCTTCAGTTTTGGGACTCGGACTAGCTCTCCTTGCTCCTTGCAGACAGCCTGTTGTGGGACTTTGTGATCGTGTAAGCTAATACTTAATAAACTCATATATATATTCTATTAGTTCTGTCCCCCTAGAGAACACTGCCTAATATACTGACTAAACAAGGTTTCTAAGTAACCTTTTTGTTTTACTCTGACTTTAGATGAAATGGACTCCACTATTTTGACTTTCCTCTCAACCCTTTCACCAACTTCAAGGAGCCTACAACTTCAATGGCATCAAAGAAGGCTATGTTCATTTCCTTGCTGCAGCCTACGCCAAACAGAAAACTGCACATTTTCATACACTCCCTATATATAGGACAGGAGGAGACAATTTACTGCTCCAACATCATTACTTTTTCTTTCAAGTCTCTATCACACTGACTTTAACATACCCCATAATCCCCTAAAACTGCTCTCTCACCACCTGTAAGGGATTAATGTCATCTTTTCACTACTGATCATCCTCTTCATCCTAACTCCTGACATGACTATCAGCCTATTTAAATAGCCTTGAAAATGAACCATCCAACACCTATTGCACAGGTTCTTAAACTTGTCCCAACTTCTATTCATCAGAATCACTGAAATTGCTTGTTAGAAATACATATTCTCAGCCCCTTTCCTTAGAAATTCTAGGCCAGTAGACATAGGTTTAAACCTAGGAATCTCACCCCAGGTGGTACTCATGCTTTAGTCCTTCAAATACAATCTGAGAAACACCATCCTCAATTTTCAGTTCCTTAAATCCTAAATTTGAAGAAATTAATCTACTCTCCAGCAACCAAATATTATAATCACATTTAAAGCTAGTTGTCACCTAAACTGCTGCCTCTCTGAAATCTTAATCCGACTCTCAGATCACAAGCTCTGGTTCTTCCAGCCTACTCATTCCCACACCTGCTCTTCAATTTCATGGGGACCTACCATCTCTTGACCATCTCCTTTCCTTTATCCAGTTCCTGATCTCATTTCCTTTCCTGCCCATTCTGGAACCCAATCTTTTTTACTTCTTAACAGAACCCTTGGCCCCCTCATATCTTTATCTCATATACACACATTTTACAAACCCCCATTTCTGCATAATTCTTACAATATGACATCTCAGGTTTCATGTCTTAACTACTTTGTGTTCATGGAGAAAAAGAGAAAGTCCTTTCTCTCACCACACAGCCCCCTGCTCCCCCACCCCAACCAACCACACCATAAATTCTGTCAACTTTTATTCCTAATCCCTTTGGAATCTATCCTGTACTCTCTACCCATTGCTAGTGCCCTAGTTTAAACCTACATAACTCTCACCTGGACTATTGTTCAGCCTGATTATCTTGTGTCAGTATCACCCTCATTTATTAAGCCTTTGAGTGAGATTCTCTCTCTCTCACTCTCTCACACACACACACATACACTCACTCTACAGTCTGTTTCCCAGGCTAGAATGCTGTGGCATGATCATAGCTCACTAAAACCTCAAACTGCTTGGCTCAAGCGATCCTCCCATCTCAGCCTCCCAAGTAGCTAGGACTGACTGATATATTTAAAAGGCAAAATGGACCAGGTTTCTTCCATATGTGAAGCACAATATTGGGTCCTCAGCCTACACAATAAAGACAAAGCTCCTTAGGACAACATTAAAAGGTTTTAAAGATCTAAACTGTAAATAATTAGTCTCTAGTCTTTTTTATCTTCAACAACCACCCATAGATTAATAATCTAGTTGTATAAAATTACTCATAGTCCTGCAAACCTCCCTTTGTAGCTCTGTATTTCCTCCTGCCTGGTACGATCTATTCCCTTTTACAGCTTATGAATGCCTATTTGTTCTTTAATATATTACACAGAAATGGTTATCTCTACCATTTTCTCTGACTACCTCCAGAAAGTTAACTGTTCTCTCCTCTATGTTTTGTATGTTTTTCTATTACGGAATTTATCACATGCACTAATTTCAATTCATTTGTGAAGTCTGACTCTTCTGTGAAATCATGAATCCCCTGAAGATAGGGAGATTTTTATATCTTTAAATAGCTAGTAAATTGTCAATCAATTTTTGTTGAACTGATATTTTTTGGATGAATGAAAAATCAACTCCTAAAAGTAACTATTGTGAGGAACAGAATATCAAAGGATTAGATTTATTCAAATAACACAACACTTGAGTTCTAATTGTGAACTCAAGCTGGAATCTGTAAGATACATAAAAATATCTAAGTTCTAATCCTTGCTTTATATAACTTAAAATCTAAAGGAGTTCCTACATTTACAAATATAAAATTCAACCCATCTTTGTATCTTTTGGCAAGCAAATCATTTACCCAGCTATTGTTCATTGTCAATGAATTCTCCAAAATGGAGATAAAAATCTAAGCATAAACCAAGATGGGTTTCTGAACAGCCAAAACAGCTTCACAAAGCTCTTTCCCCAATAAAGCTTATGATTCTTCACTAGGATGACCACATAGGTCAGCCCAGCATCTATCCAGTTTGCCCTTGGTCTCCCAACAAGTGTTCCAGTTCAGAAAAATTATACAGACATTCTACCCTTTACCCATCACAAAGGTTTTCGGACCATCACTCAAAAGTCAATTTGCTCTTACTTTACCCACAATTCTTTTGTTTTGTTTTGTTTTAAGAGACAGCGTCTGTTAACCAGGCAGGAGTCCAGTGGTATGACTGCAGGTAACTTAAACCTCAAACTCCTGGCCTCATGTGATGCTCCTACCACAGGCTCCCAAAGTGTTGGGATTACAGGTGAGGGCCACCATGCCCAGCCTTTACCCACAATTCTAACTTGAAGTTTTTTGGTCCACAAAGTCCTGCTGAGTGTTGCTGTTGGTCATTAGCACTGCCTATCCTTCGCTATCTTACAAGTCTTTTAAGATGTACCAATCCATCCTTCTCAGAACCTAATTGATTGAATGGTAAAACCTCTAGTGTGAAGATTCAATTAAAACATTTCTTCTAAAAATTTCGTTCAATCACTATTTGTACTTTAATAATTGAGATGTGTAGAAGGTACCATTTTATTCCTAAGAAATACACAAAAAATGTCCTTGTTTCTAATTCTCCTTATCTCCTGAATGCATTTACACATTATCTGTAACCAATCTAATTTATTCCTCTCTATTCACTTACTTTACTTAGGTCTTATCCATAAATATTTTATCTCTGAAACAAAAGTTGATTCTTAAAGGAATCTAAGTTAACTGAAACAAAGCAGCTTCAAAATAAGTACAAAAAAATCCTCTAAAGAACCCATATTTGAACACCCAAATAAGCTGTGATCTTTCCTATAAAACTATTTCACATAGCTGAAATAAAGCTATAGCCACAAATATTAAAGTAAAAGCTTTGCTACATATCCACTAGAACAAAGGTACTAAAAAAAAATCTGGTTAATTCAAGGAGATGCATTCTCTCATTCTGCTTTCCTTATTTGAAGACTAATGATTAAATTCAAGTAACTTATCAATAGCAAAATTATTTGAAAAAGCCCCTTATAAAGAAAACACACACACACACAAACCCAGGAGCAGAGAACTATTTACTTAATAGTACTGAAATAACAGCAAAGTATCTATGAATAATGACTTTCCATCAATATAAACTTTCTCCTTCAACAGAAAGAACATCCTTGCCCTCATTACACTCCTCTAGTCCAGTTATGTTCAGCAGTAAACAAAAGAATGTATCAGTGACCATAACTCACATTCGAGTATCTTTCTATACATTAATGCCATTTTCAAAAGAACACAGCCAAAGACATATTTATTTAGCCTATTTCTTCAATTTTTTTTTTTCTAATTCTGGCCTGAAGTCATTTCTAGGATTCCTTTAGAAATGGCTTTCTCTAATTTTCAAAATATTGATGATGTCATTTCTTTCTTTAAAGATCTTTGACGATAACCTCATACAGCTGACCTTTCAACAACACAGGTTGGAAATGAACAAGTTGACTTATATACATACAGTTTTTTCAATAAATATGTTGGAAATTTTTTTGGAGATTTGTGACAATTTGAAAAAACTTGCAGATGAATCATGTAGTCTTGAAACATCAAAAAAAGGAAAAGAAAAAATTAGGTATATTATGAATGCATAAAACATATATAGTCTATTTTATCATTTAGTATTATAAAATATAGAGAAATTATAAGAAGTTAAAGTGTATCAAAACTTAGTAAACACAGACACATATGGTGCCACTTGAGGTGGTACAAGAAATTTAAACAAATGTAAAGATGCAGTATGAATCATAGCTGTATAAAATTAATTGTAGTACATACTGTAATAATTTCCTGTTGCTATTATGAATTTCCACTTAAAATGCTGTGGACACTAATCATCTCTGCATGTATTGGAGTAAAATGTAATCTCTTGTTCTTGTGTATTTTTCATCATGTTTAGTACAATACCATAAACCTTGAATAACACCATGGGACCCATGTGAAGTGCCACTAGTGATGCTAGAAGTGCTCCCAAGAAGCCAAGAAGTCATGCCATTACAAGAAGTTAAATTACCTGGTACACACCCTAGATGGGTCTGCAGCTGCAGTTACCCATCATTTCAGACAGACACCTTATAAACAGGTAACATAAACACAGTATCGGTAAATGCAGTACTGTAAATGTATTTTTTCTTCCTTAGGAATTTATTTTCCTTTAGCTTATTGTAAGAATATAGTATGTAATGCATATAACAAACAACGTGTTAACTGACTTTACAGTAGGCTATTAGTAGTTAAATTTTGGGGAAGTCAAAACTTATACTCAGATTTTCAATTGTGCAAGGGGTTGGCACCCTTAACCCCATGTTGCTCAAGGGTCAATTGTACTGCCCTCTTATTGTCTTTGAGCATTCTTTTATTTCACCTCTCATTATGCATTATCTTTCAAAAATACATTTGCGTAGAACAACACAACCAGGTTCTTCTTGGCTGAGATTTAGCCATCTTATGCAACCAATAAAAGTGACTCCAGATAAAAGCAGACAAAAAACTTAACAGATGTAAACAGGAATCCTACAGCAGCCCTAAGAGTCCACAGTTCATATAATTTTAGTAAATCTTGCATGCTTTGGTGACTTTTTCAATTTCTATATCCTCATGAATAATTTTTTCAAAGTGCAGACTAACTGGATAAATGCTGGGGAAGGAAAATGAATTAAAACTAACATAATGCTCTAGATCCTAGCTATACAAACAAACTGGGATTCCCAACTAGTACTATCAGCACTACCTGGGAGCTCTTCACAAATGAAAATCCTAAGTGCCACCCTAGACCTACAGAACCAGATCTCCAAGTGATTCACATATATTAGTTAGTGAAACACTACCAAATCCATATGTCACTGAATCCTCAAAACAACCCTGTGAAATATGACTATACCTATTTCACAAATGAGGAAGCCTAAGCTCAGGAAGTTAAATGACTTACCCAAAGTCAAAGCCATCAATATTGGGAGATGCGATTCAAATTCAAATTTACCTTTAAAAATGTCTTTCTACAATGTATTGTCTCTCACAGAAAAGGTCACGTATTATCTAATAGAAATATGATGCAAGCCACGTATGCAATTTCAAATTTTCTATTAGCCACATTAATAATAAAAAGAGGCAGGGCATGGTGCCTCACATCTGTAATCCTAGCACTTTGTGGGTAGTGACACAGGAGGATGGCTTGAGCCTAGGAGTTATAGACCAGCCTGGGCAAGATGGTGAGACCCCCATTTCTACAAAAATAATAATAGAAAGAAACAGGTAAAATTAATTTCAATAATATATTTTATTTAATCCAACGTTTCTACATTACTGCTTCAGTATGTTTCAATATAAATTGTTAATGTAATATTTTATGTTCTTGGGTAAGCGTATGCATACTTCTTTGAAATCCAGTGTGTATTTTACACTTACAGCACAACTTAATTCAGACTGGATACATGTCAAGTGCTCAATAACTCCATGTGGCTAGTGGCTACTTTACTGGGCAATGCTGGTCTAGAATGTCTTGCATATTAATCTTGTTAAATACAAAACTGACAAGTCACTACAGGAATTGTTTAATAGAGACAATGAATTCAATGTTAATTTACCTAGACTTTTGCCGAAGACACATTAAAAAAGAAAACTGCATATTCTGTTATAATCAAAGTTAATGGGTTTAGGTAGCCCCAATTCTGCCAAACTGACCCATCACCTATTAACTCTCAGAATTTATACAGTTGACCCTTGAACAATGTGAGGAGTTAAGAATGTCTACACCCTGCGCAGTCAAAATTCCATGTAAACTTTTGAGTTTCCAAAAACTTAACTACTAATAGTCTACTATTGCCTGGAAGCTTTACTGATAACATAAACAGTGGATTAATATATGTTTTGTATGTTGTATTATATATTGTTTTCTTGCAATAAACTAAAAAAAAGAAAACATTATTTAAAAAATCGTAAGGAGGCCAGGTGCGGTGGCTCACGCCTGTAATCTTAGCACTTTGGGAAGCTGAGGCAGGAAGATCATGAGGTCAAGAGATCAATACCATCCTGGCCAACATGGTGAAACCCCGTCTCTACTAAAAATACAAAAATTAGCTGGGCATGGTGGCGCACACCTGTAGTCCCAGCTAATTGGGAGGCTGAGGCAGGAGAATCTCTTGAATCTGGGAGGTGGAGGTTGCAGTGAGCCAAGATCGCACCACTGCACTCCAGCCTAATGACAGAGCAAGACTCCATCTCAAAAAAAAAAAAAATCATAAGGAAGAAAAATATGTTTACATTCATTAAGTAGAAATGGATCATCATAAAGGCCTTCATCTTTTTCAGGAGGACGAGAAAGAAACATTGGTTTTGCTCTCTCAGGGGTGGCAGGGGCAGAAAAAAAAAGTATTGTATAAGTGGAACTACACGGTTCAAACCTTTGTTCAATGGTCAACTATAATTTCAACTGGGCACAAAATAGGGCATACATGTAATACTTATAACAATCATGTGAAGAAGCCCTCAGAAAACTCCCACATTATTTGAAACCAAAGTTTTTTTAAAGTTGGAGGAGAAGGGATGCTTTTATTTTAACCAATAGGGGGATGTAAAACAGAACAGTATGATTTCAACTACAGGCCAGAATTAATTTGCCAAACATAAATAACTCAAACATACATAATTCCTACTGGAATGAATGACCTGTAAATTTTACACCAAACTTAATATGATGATGTATGAAGAAGGTAACATAAAAAAAAGAAAAAGTCTAAAACCAAATTAGATACTTTGCCCCTAACAATTCTGGAGGAAAAAAACAGTGACAGGTAAAACTTAAAAATACACAAAGGGGTTTAGGGATTATCAATGAATTTAAATCTTGACCCATTCAAATAAGTGAAAAATAAATACAACTAAAAATGAAGTAATATTGTACCATTTATAATTTGTAACAACTCAAAATACTCATACTCCCACTTTTCAAGTCAGTCACAAGATCAAAGTCAAGAGTTTTTTTCAGGTAATAGATTCAAGCAAGCGATTATCTTTAATCAAAGAAAAAGATGAGCATATAACATCAATATAAATACATATAAAAACAAAGACAAATATCAATTATAAATATTTGAAGACTTACTGTATTTTTCTAATTATTAACAGCTAATGTTTAATAAGATTTTTGCCATTTATTCAAAATACACAAAACAGTAAATGTTCTACATGAAATCACTCAGTGACAGAAAGAAAAAATACTTGAAATGTTCCAACTTTTGGTACACAACTCAAAAAAAATTATATATACATAAAAGGAGTAGATAAATCAGGTGTGAGTTAGCAGACACATCTTAGTATTTTTTATAAACCAGTCACAAATTGAGAGATGTAACTAAATGCCCTAATGTCTCAATTTTTAGCCCTCATCATCTCCTGCTAAAAATTAGCTAAGAAAAAGCATAGGTCATACTTGGAAACTTCAGACAAAACTCATTTCAACTAAATGGGGTCTGATACTTTAAAGAATTATTTCCCTTTAAGACGTTACTATGTGGCAGTCTACTTACTGCCTTCACAATCTTTATACTAGCCCATTAAACCCTTTAATTTTTCTCAAAACAACAAAAAAGTGAGCTTTGCATTTTATTTCAAAACATGAGATGTAAAAGTGAACGAATATTGTCTTTTAATCATATCACACACAGATGTTTCTTAGCCAGCAACCATTTCATAAATAAGAAAGCTCTTTGGCAAATTATCTGTGTGACCTTGGTCAAGTCATAACCCCCAGTCTTTTGTTATCTCATCCTACTCTATAATTCTGTAATTCTAAGTTCTAAATGCTTTAATTAGCAGTCCGTTAACAACATTTTGGATTTGAATTAACCCAAAAGGTAACACGCCATGAAAACTAAAGATAGTCCGTAAGTAAGCACAGGTGGTTGTAGCCAAGTGTTACATAAATTAGTTTCTATATCCACAAAGATGTTGTTTCACAAATTCAGATTCCTCAGGCACAAGGCAACCAAGAGAATGGAAAAGGCTCAGTACCTTCTATTACTAACACGGGAGAAAAATACGCATTCGAATTCCCAACTGTCAGTGCTGTTAGATGTTTCCTGGTAGTATATGGTTAACATATAAAATAATATTCTTTAAAAAGATCGATATTGTGAAAACAAAAGATTTAATATCCTTTTCTTCTTTTGACTCAAAATATCGTTTTGGATCCTTTAAAAAAAAAAGTCTGTTCCTTTCCTCTGACAAGTTAGGTTGGTGGAGACTGAAACAAAACACTTTGTAAGTTGACATCTCCTTTTAAAAGAAGTTATTTCTTTTTTCTTCTCTTGTCTAAAAGACCAGCTATTTGGAGAGAGTTTTCCTGATAATTATAATTCTACCAAGTTCTGAACAACCAGCGAAGAAAAAAAATATTTAAATGTATTTCCAGTCTGCCCACATGATACACTGGCTCATTTGAGACATAAATTCTAAATGAAAGATTGGGCTGAACAACATCCTCCACTTTAAGATATACAAGGCACCAAAACAAACACATCCAAAATCTATTTTTAGAGTGGTGTTCACTCTTCCGGTTTTCTCTTTAAAACGAGATTTAGTTGACCTATTTTCATGTGTTTTTAGGGCACCCAGACACTCTATACAAACAATATTTGCTAATCATAAAACAGCAAAGCCAAAATCACAAATCCTGTTATCTGTGTGGGACATTTTCTCCACGTGTCCTTACGTGCCATGTCTTTGAAAAGTCTAAATATAGATTCACTGACTAAAATGTCCTAAGTCTTCCAAATTCTATAATTATATACTGGATTGAATGCCAATATTATACGTTCACATCCCATTTGAAAAGTACACACACGAGGTGGGGGGGATGTGCCCACTACCTGAAATGCCAATCATACAAAGAACAAAGCGTACCCTATCATCTTTGGGCTTTCTTCTCTCCTCAGTTCTACACTGTTTCGATATTACAAAAATATTAAACAAAATGTTCAAAACTTGAGAAATAAGTGCTCACTAAAATGGCACTTAGAGAAAATAAATTAAAACATATACCAATATGATTAACGAGAAAAGATTCTAGTTGCCAGGATGTGTGTGTAAACTTACAGTCCTGTAGGTTTTACCTGTGGAGAGGACGGTTCCGTCTCCACTCTTAAAACAATTTTACATTCTTTAGAAGCCTTAGCAAAATAAATAGCGACAACAATGGAAGACCCACACTCCTTCAGACGGGATGGAGGGTAGGAAGAGAACTCCCCACCCAACAATCAGAACAAAGCAACAGCCTCAGCTTTTAAGATGCAGAGGGTTTGGAGGCTCAAGGGATATTCTGAGATCTCTTAATTGTTCCGATGCTTCAACAGCCGTCAAAAACAACTAAGAATATGCAGCGCTGGGCTTCACTAGGACAAGGTGCAGGGATTGCTCTCTTCGTTTTAGGCAAGACCGAGACACTGAGCAGGAGAAAAAAAAGGAGGAAGAGCGAGAGAAGAGAAAGCAGCAGCCAGAGACACTCCGGGAAAAGGCAAAAATGCAGACTGTACGCCCTGGCTTCGATCTGACCCAAGGCCCAAACTGTCTGACCCCACACGGGAAAACATGGAGCAGGCTACCGCCGAAAAACCATCGCCGCCCCTACACCTCGAGGCCAGAAGGTCCCCGGGTAAAGGCCTAAAACCACGGCCCAGAGGGGAGGAGAGGGACCCGCCTGCCACCCGAGGCAGCGAAGCGGGCTCAGGCGGAAGAGGCTGCGCAGTAATGGCCGCTGCTCCGCCCCTCGCACCCGGACCGAGACCAGCTCCGGCCGTCACCCAGGGCAGGGGCTGCGGCGCCCTCGGGCAGCGCAGGGGCTGTCACGGTCGTCTTGCCTGCCCCAGCAGCCAAGGCGGGGGTGGCGGAAAGGGCTGAACTGTCCCATCCCGCCTCTGCGCGGACAGCCGGGGCCGCGCCAGCCCAAGGGCGTCCATCTACGTACCGGCCCCTGACCCCGCCGCCGCCCCTCTCAGGCCCCGAGCGCAAGGCCGACCCGGAGTACGTTGCGGCTGGAGGTGACACCGCGAGCTATGCCTCCTCTCCCCGAGTGAGGATCCTAGAGTGGCCGGCGTTCACCCTGCTCCCCCGAGAGGGCCTCGCTCCGACTCCCACCTCTCCGGCCACAGCTGCGGCCACCTCGCAGTCTTTTCTCTCTGGCCTCGGAGCCCGCAGCTGCCGGGAACGCGCGCGGCCGTCACGTGACCACCCGGCGCGTCGCGGAGGAGGGGCCGCGACGCGCCGCGCACCCGCACCCGCACCGGCGAGCTAACTCCGGCGCCTCATCGTTCTGCCCCTGTCTCGCGCCGCTGTCTGCCGGTACTCTCTTGCCTGTGGGGAGCGGCGACTTCGCTGCTTGCATTCTTCTGGCTTCTTTAGAGTGTGCTTGCTTTGTATTAGGGCCCAGAGGCTCTGAAAGAGTGCAGTTCCAACAGAAAGAGATTTGGGGTGGAGGAAGTAAAACGTGTGTAGGACCAGCAGGTGGTGCTGCTCAAAAATCCAGCTTTGCTATCCTGAGGAAGCTCTGGGGCGCCTAGCTGAGTTTCGGCTTAAAGATCCCTTAGCAAAAGTACTGCTTGTTCCCTTTCAAGAAAAAAAATGGGGAGGGGGGGGACGGAGGGGAGAGAGTACTGTAGGACTTTCCAATTTGTTCTCCTTTTTAATGGTTGAGCAATTTAATCGGGGAAAAAATGAGTATTAGTTTTCTTTTGAAACCCCACCCTTTTTTTAAAAAAAACAGAATAGTGCCTGAGAAACTGAAGAAATTAATCTGCATGATAATCTAAAATTAAAGAGGTTATTTTGATCGCAAGCCTGTGGTTTTAAACATCAGAACTCTAGCAGTAATTCACCATTTTAGCATGTACATTTCCTTTTTCAGAACTGATTAAATTTTCCTAATTTGTAGGAAAATGAAGAGGGTGGAAGAGCAGACCTTTTATCTTTAGAAGAGTATGTATTTCAACATTCTATGACAGCGTCTTCTCATTTGCATTAGTGTTGCATTTTGGGATTTCATTAACTGTTTGATTCAGGATTGGAAGTTTTCAGTGTCCTTATAGGTATAGAAATGTATATGTTTTCTGTTATTCCTCTGAAATCAGTTTATTTCAGGGTTCTCATTCATATATATCAATATGTAACCCAATCTCTTGAAGGGTGCATCTAGTTCAGTGATGCTTGCGCGTGTATGCAATACTGTTCCATACATGTAGAAATATTGAAGTGTATATCCTTTAACTTTAAGCTTAGTTTTCTATCTTTATCTTCTTATTAGCCACTCAGTTTTGTCCCTCTATCCTACACAGCCCATGAACAGAGAATAGCTAAAATTTGATATGTACTCGAAGATTCCAGCTTGAAGAGGTAATGCTAATATTAACTAACAATGTGCCAGGTGTTGCTCTAAGTGCTTTATTCATATATACCCACTTAATTCTCATAATAAACTATGAGGTAGGCACTATTATTATTCCCATTTTACAGAGAGAGAGACACACACAGCTGAGATTTGAATCCAGGCACAGACTGTAAGATGTCAGCTAGTTCAACCCCTTCTCACTCATACCCAAGGTCTTTGTATTTCAGTAAATGGTTGCATCTTTCCTTGTTCAAACCCACCTTTAACTCCTCTCTTTTATGTCTTATATGCATTTGGCATATAACCTGTTGGCTCTTCCTTCAAAGTATATCCAACTACTTACCACCTCCGCTACAATCTGCATCATCTCTTGTTTGGATTATAGTGTTACGGTAGACCAGGAACTAGTCTTTTGACTCTATCCTTAATACAGAATCCTAAATAAATCTACTTAAAAAGAAGTGAGATCGTACCACTCCTTTGCTCAAAGTCTCCTGTGGCTTCCCAACACAAGTAAAAACCAAAGTCCTAACGATGGCTTTAAAATCCTCCCCTCATTACCTCTTTGACCCCACAGACTGTTTACCCAGCTTTGTATTCCCAGAAAGCTCTCCACAAGCTGCCAACCTCATAGTCTTTGCAGTTGTGGTTTCCTCTGCTTAGAACACTCTTCCCCATCATGCTCCCTCCATATGTGCTCAGATGTCCAACTCTTCAGTCAGTCCCTCTACTTGTCAGCATATTTTAAGTCATGATGTTTCCATTCCCAATATTTCATATTTCCTCCTTTACTTTTTAATACTTATCACAGTGTAATGGATAATTTATTTTACTTACTAATCTTCATCATATTTCTCATCACATTAGGACGCAAGACACAGGAGGCCAGGAATGTGTGTTCTGTTTTGTATCTCAACTGCCAGGAATAGTGCCTGACACACTTAAAGAGGTTCTCTGTAAATATGTGTTACATGAATGAGTAAATGAATGAATGAATGAATGAATACACACATGGCCGGGCAGTAGCTCACGCCTGTAATCCCAGGACTTTAGGAGGCCGAAGTGGGCGGATCACGAGGTCAGTAGATCAAGACCACCGTGGCTAACACAGTGAAACCCTGTCTCTACTAAAAACACAAAAAAATTAGCTGGGCATGGTGGCACGCGCCTGTAATCCCAGCTACTCGGGAGGCTGAGGCAGGAGAATCGCTTGAACCTGGGAGGCGGAAGTTGCCCGAGATCGTGTCACTGCACTCCAGCCTGCACTGCAACAGAGCAAGACTCCGTCTCAAAAAAACCCCAAAAACCACATTTGTGTATGTGAGTGTGTATATATATCCCCATTTATATATATATATGAATATATATATATCTCCATTTATATATATATATGAATATATCCCCATTTGTATATATATATGAATAAAAGTGAACTTCTCATTTTTCAGTAGTTGCATATGAAAAGCAGAATTGAATGCATGGAATACTATACACCCTACCTCCATCAGCCACTTGAAAGAAAGATAGAAGTTTATATCTTTGAATAACACAGGACAGCACCTCTCAACATTGTCAGAGTGCTGGTTTCCAGTAATTAAGAGTAACTGGTTTCCAGTAATTTTAAGTACCAAAACTTCAAATTATTTGCTTAAATAAATCAGAGCCTAACAGTTTCAATGTATTTCTGTAATAATGTTACTGTCACTGGGATTCCATTTTGCTTCATTGAATCAAAGGTAAAGAAGTTGCAGCTGACTGCTAGGAATTACCCAGTTGCCTGTTTGCTTATAGCTTATTGTCTATTTCCCACAACTTACAAAATACTTTGCTGAATACCACACATCTCCAGGCACCTACTCTTCTCCATTTATCCTTCCAACACTCAAAAATTGTCCAATGTTATTTGTTTTACTTAAGGATCAAAGCATTTTTTTTTGTTTACTTAATATCTGAAGACATCCATGAAAATGCATGAGAAAATGATGTGTTACAATAGAATGTACGTTGAAACCACTCGTGGCTAGTTTAGGGCGGCGGTGTTCCAAGTGTTATCTAGTGACCCATAGGGGTCCTTTGACTCTTGCAGAGTGTCTGAGGGAAAATTGTTCTTATAATAATACTAAGACTCTAGTTGCTTTGTTTACTTGCACTCTCAAATGTACAGTGGAGTTTTCCAGAAGCTACATGGTATGTGATGTAGCAATAGATTGATTATAGAAGCAGATATGAGAATTTGACTATATCTATTAAACCAGTCATTAAAACGATGTAAAAAAAAAAAAAAAGTAAAACTGCACTCTTCTTTCATTCAGTTAGCTTTGTTTTGGAAAATGTAGTGTTTTTTTTTTTAATAAAGTATGTTAATACAATGAGTCATTTTTAAATGAATTAGTATATATTGTAAACCATTCTCAATTTCAACTTTTAATTTGGTAAATATTGATTAGCTCATAAAAGTTTTTTGGGGTCTTCTATAAATTAGCACTGTCAAAGGGTCCTGAGACCAAATAAGAATGCTTGTCTGGGGCTATTTTGCTTACCAACTCTAAGTTAAATTTCTTCCCTTTTCACATGCCGGCAACCATCTGATAGCTGTGGACACAACTTTCTCATATGCCTGGAAACAGAACAAACCAGATTCAGGAATGTACCAGTCATTATAGCTAGCAGATGAATGGAAATCAAACCAAGAGGAAGCTTTGGAAAGCAAACTTTGTTTATTTTAATTAAAAACTTTGTTTCCAGAGCTGATACATAGGTTGGTTTCTGTCCTATCATTTGATGTTCTACTTACAGTAATCAAACAGTATATTATTTTCTAGTAGAACTCCTTTGCAAATAATAGTACACTAGCCAGTTTAGCTTGTGTTTTTCTTTTACCTACTGTGATTATCAATGCTTTCTCTTCTAATGGTTCTTAATGTTCCTGCGTTGCCCACAGACATTACAACTGAATTAGGATAATGTATGGCTAGAAAATAGCCCCAAGAGTCACTGAGTTAAACTTTATAGTTTGACTATAAAGTCAACGATGCATTTATTTCCTAACCTGGTTGTATGTATATAATATGTATTTATTAATTTTTAGATGTCTTATATTGACAGTAGTAGCTCTGATGTCTCCAAAGTCCATGCTTGTTTCATTAAATGACATAACCTTTCATTGACCATAGTATTAAAAGATAAGAATAAATGCTGTATTTTAACAGTGGAGGTTTTTTAAGCTAGCTTATTATTTTAACAAAATAGTCCCTTAAACAATGTACTCCATCACATAAAGGAAATTGCTTAAGGTCATCAAGGCAGCAACTATGTTTTGCAATGTCACATTTTCCTGTATCAGTTTAATATAATTATAACCTAAAAGTTTGAAGTATTTTCACAGAAGTTTGTCAAGCAAGATTCTCTTTGGAAAACAAAAACCACCTTAAGTATTTCAGACAGAGACTCTAATGTAGTGAAATGGTGGTGAAAGTGTTAGAAAACTGGAGGAACCAAAAAAGAAAGATGAAGATACCTTGAAATCAGTAACTGCAGAAAGTCACTGGCTCATCTAAGTTTGGAGGAGCAAAGGGTGTTCTGGGAGCTCCTGGAGGCTGCTAGAGCACTTTTTATGAACTGCTATAATAGGAAGTCAGGGTCCCATATGCACACTGAGCCTGCAGAAGTCCAGGAACTCACAGCCATAAGCAGTCACCTACCACTCCAATGTCAGAACCAGAAACGAATAGGAAAGAAATCACCTTCTCCTTTCCACTTACTTTTTCCATGTGATTGCCTTCAATTGACAAAACTAAACAAGAAACCATCTGTCAAAGGATTCTCAAAAACAACTTTTTCCAGCTCCATTAGATATAAAGCAGAACATAGAAATGCCATTGTGAGACTGGGCATCAAATATGTGGTTCAAAAAGTTTGAAAAATGATTTATTATATTGCTCAAGGTGATATATATTCTGAAATATGGAAAGAACTAGAATAATTGATTGCCTATTATTTTCTAAGCTCTTAACAAACCATTTTTTTCACCATAATGATCCAGGTCCACGAATATCTTTTCATCATTGTTCTATGAGACAACTGCAACTCATTGAGGTTACCAGTGTTCACAGGTAGCCCAGAGTAGAACCACGGTGAAGAGAGAGAGACCAGCTGAGGGGAATATGGACATGCATCAGTAAAGGTTCAGTAAAGACACGATGAGTCCTAGGATCAGGAGCGCCATAAACTAATTCGGGCATGCTACTTACTGTATCCAAATGTCAATTTTTTTATATGTAGCCATAAAACGGGTAAATTATCACCTCTATTCAGAGATTTGATAATGAAATTTAAGATAAAGTACTTGGCCAAGGTTGAAAAACCTTAGCTATTACAATTACATTATTTGACCTGTCTCAAATTCTGAGCTAGTTCCGCCAGAGCCTCTCATTCAGTCTACTAGAAAGCATAAGAATAAATACCTATAATTTCATAACTTCTATTGTCTTTTGGCAAAAACTGATAAATTATTTTCTTTTTCTGTTTTATAGAGTCTATATATATATATTTTTATACTTTAAGTTCTAGGGTGCATGTGCACAACGTGCAGGTTTGTTATATAGGTATACATGTGCCATGTTGGTTTGTTGCACCCATTAACTCGTCATTTACATTAGGTATTTCTCCTAATGCTATCCCTCCCCCAACCACCACCCTACAACAGGGCCCAGTGTGTGATGTTCCCTACCCTGTGTCCAAGTGTTCTCATTGTTCAATTCCCACCTATGAGTGAGAACATGCGGTGTTTGGTTTTCTGTCCTTGTGCTAGTTTGCTCAGAATGATGGTTTCCAGCTTCATCCATGGCCCTGCAAAGGACATGAACTCATCCTTTTTTAGGGCTGCACAGTATTCCATGGTGTATATGTGCCACATTTACTTAATGCAGACTATCATTGATGGACATTTGGGTTGGTTCCAAGTCTTTGCTATTGTGAACAGTGCTGCAGTGAACATACGTGTGCATGTCTTTATAGTAGCATGATTTATCATCCTTTGGGTATACACCCAGTAATGGGATCGCTGGGTCAAATGGTATTTCTAGTTCTAGATCCTTGAGGAATCGCCACACTCTCTTCCACAATGGTTGAACTAGTTTACACCCCACTGACAGTGTAAAAGCATTCCTATTTCTCCACATCTTCTCCAGCATCTATTGTTTCCTAAATTTTTAATGATCACCATTCTAACTGGTGTGAGATGGTATCTCATTGTGGTTTTGATATGCATTTCTCTGATGACAAGCAATGACGAGCATTTTTTCATGTGTCTGTTGGCTGAATAAATCCCTTCTTTTGAGAAGTGTCTGTTCATATCCTTTGCCCACTTTTTGATGGGGTTGTTTATTTGTTTCTTGTAAATTTGTTTAAGTGCCTTATAGATTCTGGATATTAGCCCTTTGTCAGATGAGTAGATTGCAAAAATTTTCTCCCATTCTGTAGGTTGCCTGTTCACTCTGATGGTAGTTTCTTTTGCTGTGCAGAAGCTCTTTAATTAGATCCCATTTGTCTATTTTGGCTTTTGTTGCCATTGCTTTTGGTGTTTTAGTCATGAAGTCCTTGTCCATGCCTGTGTCCTGAATGGTATTGCCTAGGTTTCTTCTACGGTTTCTATGGTTTTAGGCCTAACAGTTAAGTCTTTAATCCATCTTGAATTAATTTTTTGTATAAGGTGTAAGGAAGGAATCCAGTTTTAGCTTTCTATATATGTCTAGCCAGTTTTCCCAACACCGTTTATTAAATAGGGAATCTTTTCCCCATTTCTTGTTTTTGTCAGGTTTGTCAAAGATCAGATGGTTGTAGATGTGTGGTGTTATTTCTGAGGGCTCTTTTCTGTTCCAATGGTCTATATCTCTGTCGACTGTATATACTGTAGCCTTGTACTATAGTTTGAAGTCAGGTATGTGATGCCTCCAGCTTTGTTCTTTTTGCTTAGGATTGTCTTGGCAATGCCAGCTCTTTTTTGGTTCCATGTGAATTTTAAAGTAGTTTTTTCCAATTCTGTGAAGAAAGTCATTGGTAGCTTCAGGGAGATGGCATTGAATCTATAAATTACCTTGGGCAGTATGGCCATTTTCATGATATTGATTCTTCCTATCCATGAGCATGGAATGTTCTTCCGTTTGTTTGTGTCCTCTTTTATTTCATTGAGCAGTGATCTGTAGTTCTCCTTGAAGAGGTCCTTCATTTCCCTTGTAAGTTGGATTCCTAGGTATTTTACTCTCTTTGTAGCAATTGTGAATGGAAGTTCACTCATGATTTGGCTTTCTGTCTGTTATTGATGTATAGGAATGCTTGTGATTTTTGCACATTGATTTTGTATCCTGAGACTTTGCTGAAGTTGCTTATCAGCTTAAGGAGATTTTGGTCTGAGACGATGGAGTATTCTAAATATACAATCATGCCATCTGCAGACAGGGACAATTTGACTTCCTCTTTTCCTAATTGAATACCCTTTATTTCTTTCTCCTTCCTGATTGCCCTGGCCAGAACTTCCAACACTGTGTTGAATAGGACTGGTGAGAGAGGGCATCCCTGCCTTGTGCCAGTTTTCAAAGGGAATGCTTCCAGTTTTTGCCCATTCTGTATGATATTGGCTGTGGGTTTGTCATAAATAGCTCCTATTATTTTGAGATCTGTTCTATCAATACCTAGTTTATTGAGAGTTTTTAGCATGAAGGGCTGTTGAATTTTGTCAAAGGCCTTTTCTGCATCTATTGAGATAATCATCTGGTTTTTATCATTGGTTCTGTTTATGTGATGGCATTACATTTATTGATCTGGGTATGTTGAACCAGCCTTGCATCCCAGGGATGAAGCCCACTTGATCGTGGTGGATAAGCTTTTTGATGTGCTGCTGGATTCGGTTTGCCAGTATTTTATTGGGGATTTTGCATCGATGTTCATCAGGGTTATTGGTCTAAAGTGCTCTTTTGTTGTGTCTCCACCAGGCTTTGGTATCAGGATGATGCTGGCCTCATAAAATGAGTTAGGGAGGAGTCCCTCTTTTTCTATTGATTGGAATAGTTTCAGAAGGAATGGCACCAGCTCCTTTTTGTAGTTCTGGTAGAATTCGGCTGTGAATCCGTCTGGTCCTGATCTTTTTTTAGTTGGTAGGCTATTAATTATTTCCTCAATTTCAGAGCCTGTTATTGGTCTATTCAGAGATTCAACATCTTCCTGGTTTACTCTTGGGAGGGTGTATGTGTCCAGGAATTTATCGATTTCTTCTAGATTTTCTGGTTTATTTGTGTAGAGGTGTTTATAATATTCTCTGATGGTAGTTTGTATTTTTGTGGGATTGGTGGTGATATCCCCTTTATCATTTTTTATTGTGTCTATTTGATTCTTCTCTCTTTTCTTCATTAGTCTTGCTAGCGGTCTATCCATTTTGTTGATCTTTCCAAAAAACCAGCTCCTGGATTCATTGATTTTTTGAAGGGTTTTTTTGTGTCTCTATCTCCTTCAGTTGTGCTCTGATCTTAGTTATTTCTTACCTTCTGCTAGCTTTTGAATTTGTTTGCTCTTGCTTCTCTAGTTCTTTTAATTGTGATGTTAGGGTATCGATTTTAGATCTTTCCTGCTTTCTCTTGTGAGCATTTACTGCTTTAAATTTCCCTCTACACACTGCTTTAAATGTGGCCCAGAGATTCTGGTATGTTGTGTCTTTGTTCTCATTGGTTTCAAAGAACATCTTTATTTCTGCCTTCATTTCATTATTTACCCAGTAGTCATTCAGGAGCAGATTGTTCAGTTTCCATATAGTTGTGCAGTTTTGAGTGAGTTTCTTCATCCTGAGTTCTAATTTGATTGCACTGTGATCTGAGAGACAGTTTGTTGTGATTTCTGTTCTTTTACATTTGCTGAGGAGTGCTTTACTTCCAACTATTTGGTCAATTTTGGAATAAGTGCAATGTGGTGCTGAGAAGAAGGTGTATTCTGTTGATATGGGGTGGAGAATTCTGTAGATGTCTATTAGGTCCACTTAGTGCAGAGCTGAGTTCAAGTCCTGGGTCTCGCTGATCTGTCTAATATTGACAGTGGGGTGTTAAAGTCTCCCATTATTATTGTTTGGGAGTCTAAGTCTCTTTGTCTGTCTCTAAGGACTTGCTTTATGAATCTGGGTGCTCCTGTATTGGATGCATATATATTTAAGATAGTTAGCTCTTCTTGTTGAATTGATCCCTTTACCATTATGTAATGGCCTTCTGTGTCTGTTTTGATCTTTGTTGGTTTAGAGTCTGTTTTATCAGAGAGTAGGATTGCAACCCCTGCTTTTTTTTTTTGCTTTCCATTTGCTTGGTAGATCTTCCTCCATCCCTTTATTTTGGGCCTGTGTGTGTCTTTGCATGTGAGATGGGTCTCCTGAATACAGCAGACCAATGAGTCTTGACTCTTTATCCAACTTGCCTGTCTGTGTCTTTTAATTGGGGCATTTAGCCCTTTTACATTTAAGGTTAATATTGTTATGTGTGAATTTGATCCTGTCATTATGATGTTAGCTGATTATTTTGCCCGTTAGTTGATGCAGTTTCTTCCTAGCCTCGATGGTCTTTACAATTTGGCATGTTTTTTGCAGTGGCTGGTACCAGTTGTTCCTTTCCACGTTTAGGGCTTCCTTCAGGAGCTCTTGTAAGGCAGGCCTGGTGGTGACAGAATCTCTCAGCATTTGTTTGTCTGTAAAGGATTTTATTTCTCCTTCACTTATGAAGCTTAGTTTGGCTGGATACGAAATTCTGGGTTGAAAATTCTTTTCTTTAAGAATGTTGAATATTGGCTCCCACTCTCTTCTGGCTTGTAGAATTTCTGCTGAGAGATCTGCTGTTAGTCTGATGGGCTTCCCTTTGCGGGTAACCCGTCCTTTCTCTCTGGCTGCCCTTAACATTTTTTCCTTTATTTCTAACCTTGGTGAATCTGACAATTATGTGTCTTCGGGTGCTCTTCTCGAGGAGTGTCTTTGTGGTGTTCTCTGTATTTCCTGAATTTGAATGTTGGCCTGTCTTGCTAGGTTGGGGAAGTTTTCCTGGATAATATCCTGATGATTGTTTTCCAGCTTGGTTCCATTCTCCCCGTCACTTTCAGGTACACCAATCAGACGTAGATTTGGTCTTTTCACATAGTCCCATATTTCTTGGAGGCTTTGTTCATTTCTCTAAACTTCTCTTCTCTCTTCATTTCATTCATTTGATCTTCAATCGCTGATACCCTTTCTTCCACGTGATCGAATCGGCTATTGAAGCTTGTGCATGCATCACATAGTTCTCGTGCCATGCTTTTCAGCTCCATCAGGTCATTTAAGGTCTTCTCTATACTGTTTATTCTAGTTAGCCATTTGTCTTATCTTTTTTCAACGTTTTTAGCTTCCTTGCTTTGGGTTCGAACATCCTCCTTTAGCTTGGAGAAGTTTGTTATTACTGACCTTCTGAAGCCTACTTGTGTCAATTCATCAAAGTCATTCTCAGTCCAGCTTTGTTCCATTGCTGGCGAGGAGCTGTGATTTTTTTGGAGGAGAAGAGGAGCTCTGGTTTTTAGAATTTTCAGCTTTTCTGCTCTGGTTTCTCCCCATCTTTGTGGTTTTATCTACCTTTGGTCTTTGATGATGGTGACCTACAGATGGGGTTTTGGTGTGGATGTTCTTTTTGTTGATGTTGATGCTATTCCTTTCTGTTAGTTTTCCTTCTAACAGTCAGTTCTCTCAGCTGCAGGTCTCATGGAGTTTGCTGGAGGTCCACTTCGGACCCTGTTTGCCTGGGTATCACCACTGGAAGCTGCAGAACAGCAAATATTGCTGTCTGATCCTTCCTCTGGAAGCTCTGTCCCAGAGGGGCACCTGCCTGTGTGAGGTGTCAGTCAGCCTCTACTGGGAGATGTCTCCCAGTTAGTCTACACAAAGGTCAAGGACCCACTTGAGGAGGCAGTGTGTCCATTCTCAGAGCTCAAACACTGTGCTGGAAGAACCACTGCTCTCTTCAGAGCTGTCAGACAGGGACTTTTAAGTCTACAGAAGTTTTTGCTGCCTTTTGTTCAGCTATGCCCTGCCCCCAGAGTTGGAGTCTACAGAAGCAGCAGGCCTTGCTGAGCTGCGGTGAGTTCTGCCCAGTTCGAGCTTCCCTGGCCACTTTGTTTACCTACTCAAGCCTCAGCAATGGCGGACGCCCCTCCTCCTGCCAGGCTGCTGCCTTGCAGGTCAATCTCAGACCACTGAGCTAGCAGTGAACAAGGCTCTGTGGGTGTGGGACCCGCTGAGCCAGGCATGGGATATAATCTCCTTGTGTGCCATTTCTAAGACAGTTGGAAAAGTGCAGTATTTGGGTGGGAGTGTCCATTTTTCCACATACAGTCTGTCACGGCTTCCCTTGGCTAGGAAAGGGAAATCCCCCAACCCCTTGCACTTGCCGGGTAAGGTGATGCCCTGCCTTGCTTCGGCTCACCCTCCATGGGCTGCACCCACTGTCCAACCTGTCCCAGTGAGATGAACCAGGTACCTTAGTTAAAAATGCAGAAATCACCCGTCTTCTGTGTTGATCATGGTGGGAGCTGCGGACCAGTGCTGTTTCTATTCAGCCATCTTGGAATGGACCAATAAATTATTTTCTAAACTGAAATATAATTTCCCAAGAAATATAAATTTAAAATCTGTATCTTTTTTTTTTTGAGACAGTCTTGCCGTGTTGTCTAGGCTGGAGTGCAATGGCATAATCTTGGTTCACTGCAACCTCTGCCTCCCGAGTTCAAGTGGTTCTCCTTCCTCAGCCTCCTGTGTAGCTGGGATTACAGGTGCCCACCACCACACCTGGCTAATTTTTGTATTTTTACTAGAGACGGTGTTTTGCCATGTTGGCCAGGCTAGTCTCACTCTCCTGGCCTCAGGTGATCCACCTGACTCAGCCTCCCAAAGTGCTGGGATTACAGGCATGAGCCACCGTGCCCGGCCTTTTTCTTTTCTTTCTTTTTTTCTCTTCTTCTTTTTTTTTGAGTAAAATCCATTATCTAATTTCTTGACATTTTCAGTAATATAGGTTATACATTTTAGTTTCATAAATAAGATTTCATAAATAAGATTTAAACCTTAGTAATTACATTGTTTAGGATGCATCTTCAATATAGAAAGTTTCAATTTTAATTCTGCTAATTCCAGTTTGGGGAAGATTCTTTAGGAGTAACTAATGTCTCTCTGCAGTCAGGAAAACCTAAAAATAAACTTTATTTTGCATAATATGGAATGCTTATAAACAGAATTGTCATGGTAATCCACCCTTAAACTTTGTCATTATTATTCTTTAGACAATATTAGCTATTGTGACAGAATTAAGGAAATAATCACCTTTGATGTTGTAATCTTGGCTCATGCTAGAGATTTTCAGATTTAACTTGTGCTATTGCTATTCTAGGGCAATATTTCCTTCCCCCACCCCTCGGAAATTATCTTTTTGAAATGCATGGCTCAAGTAAATGTTGGACCTGATGCAATTATAGGACTGCACACATCCCTGTACCAGGGAAGGGAATAATGTATTATTAAATAACAAATATGGGTAACCTGCAACTTTTGCTATCTTCTTATTTTTTAAAATGCTCAAATTTTTGGATGAGTCAAGCTTTATTCCAAATTACTGCAGACTGAATATTATCAGTTTTCTTGAAGTAATAGGTAGATTTTTCTTTTGTTGTTGTTGTTTTTATTTTTTTTGAGATGGAGTCTCGCTCTGTCACCCAGGTTGGAGTGCAATGGTGTGATCTCGGCTCACAGCAGCCTCCACCTCCTGGGTTCAAGCGATTCTTCTGCCTCAGCCTCCTGAGTAGCTGGGATTACAGGCGTCTGCCACCACACCTGGCTAATTTTTGTATTTTTAGTAGTGATGGGATTTTACCATATTGGCCAGGCTGGTCTTGAACTCCTGACCTCAGGTGATCCACCCCACTCAGCCTCCCAAAGTTCTGGGATTACAGGCGTGAGCCACCATGGCTGGCCAGTAATAGGTAGATTTCATCTTGCTCAACAGAATCAGATCCTTAACAAGGAAAAAAAAAAAAAGCTTTTAAGTAGTATTGGTACTCTCTAGTTTCTGTCCTGGTCTGTTTTAGTTATGATCACCCTGCAATTTTTAATATCTATAGTATTCTAAATACGAAGCTCCTTAAAATTCACAACTGTAATGACTTTCTTCTCTATTTAACTTCAGAGGCCCATGCCCAAGGATCTAGGAATTTTTTTTTTTTTGACGGAGTCTTGCTCTGTTGCCAGGCTGGGGTGCAGTGGCACAATCTCAGCTCACGGCAACCTCCGCCTCCCGGTTTCAAGCGATTCTCCTGACTTTGCCTCCAGAGTAGCCGGGACTACAGGCCTGTGCCGCCATGTCCAGCTAATTTTTGTGTTTTTAGTAGTGACAGGGTTTCACCATGTTGGCCAGGATGGTCTTGATCTCCTGACCTCGTGATCCACCCGCCTCAGCCTCCCAGAGTGCTGGGATTACAGGCATTAGCCACCACACCCTGCCAGACCTAGGAATTTTCTATTCCACTGACTAAAATTTGGTTTTCCCCTTTTCTCTTCCCTATTGTGAAAGTTAATTTAATATGTCAACTCTACTGGCTAATGGATGACCACATAGCTGGTATAACATTATTTCTGAGTGTGTTTGTGAGGGTGTTTCCAGAAGAGATTAGCGTTTGGATCAGTAGATTGAATAAAGAAGATCACCCTCACCAATGCAGGTGGGCATCATATAATCTGTTGTGGGCTTGAACAAAAAGGTGGAAGAAGGGCAAATCCACTCTCTCCTCTTGAGTTAGGACATTAATTTTCTCCTGCCTGATGACATTAGTGATTTTGGTTCTTGGGCCTTCAGACATGACTGGGACTTACATCATTGGCTTTCCTAGTTCTCAGACTTTTGGGGTTGGATTGAAACTACACTACTGGCTTCCTAGGCCTCCAGCTTGCAGATGGCAGATGGTGGGACTTCTCAGCTTCCAAAATTGTATGAGAAACTCCTTCATAATATATCTTTTTTCTATATATGTATTTATAGCCATTTGGTTCTTTTTTCTGAAGAACACTGACTCATCACCTGTTGTCCCTGATTTCCATTGAGGGGCCATGACATTCTGGGAAACAATACTTCATTCTTGTAAGTGGAGCATGTAAAATAGATGAAGCCAGTGAGTGCATACCAACCCCTGGGCTAGTGACTATAAAGATGTGACCATTTGACCTCTGCTATCATGTGAAATTCCTGAACTTTTGTAAATAATTTGGGATACAGACTCTCTTCTCCTCTAGTTAGCAGCAAGTGCAGGTGTCACACCTGGAGCTGGCTCATTCATATTGCTGCTGTGAAGAACGCCACTTGAAGTTGAAACTGATACATGAAGAACAGCGGGAATAAGAATGGGGAGGCCTCATTAAAACAATTAAAAGCTGCCTTTTCTCTAAACTTCTCAATTATGTGAGCTTATACAATATTGTTGAAGTCAGTTTGAGTTAGCTTTTCATGTAGTATTCACAACAAGAAACATCCTTATACGTGTTGCAGGTCCTAGGTCTGGCTACAAATAGTTTCATATTGTAGCTACAAACTTTCACATTTCTGGCTCTCGTACTTTCTCATTCCTACTAGACTGTTAAAAATATAAGGCAAATTTGAAGAAAAAAATTTTGGGTAACTGATGCATCTCTCAACCTTTGTTAGAGTAAGTAGTTGAAAAAAAAGATGACAAGAAGAAATTGCGTGATAATATAAGGCTAAATCAATAGATATACGATAAGTTTTAAAGCTTTATATCCACAAGAGAAGAATATAACTTACTTAGATGCCCATGTAATACCAAAAAGAGACAGAAAAAAATAAACTCATGTACTTAGACTGAAAGGAATACTTCAATACATTTCTCAAATCAAAAATTCATATTTTCTGACCATGATAGAATTCACTGGATATTAATTTATTAGATGGGAATAAAATATCTTATCATTTAAAAGTTCAAAGTAAAATCTCCTATCTTAGCCAATGATAAAAATAATAATATAATCTGAGACAATTTTGAAACAAGAATAGAAAGAACACAAGGCATTAGCATTTTTCTTTTTTTAGTGTGGACTAAACTTACCTCACGGAATATTGGTAGTAAAAAAATGTTTATTACTAAAAAGAAGAATTTTAAATAGGAAACAAAAATAGAGGAAAAAGTCTAAATATAAAAGTCAAAGTGGAATTGATAATCCAAAAGTTTTATTTTAATTTAAAAATAAATGCATAATGTAGCAGCTATATCATAGGCACATTTTATTAAGAATGATGTCAAAGACAAACATTATTAAGGATGAAAAAGAAAAAATAAAGACATGGAGGAAGTTAATAGTATTGAATTACATTGTACTAATAAGTTTGAAAATTCCAGTCACATAGGTAACTTGGAGCATGCCAATCTTTGTATACAAATAAATTTTTCCTACACTCTGGACTAACTGTGCTTTCTATCTACATGGAATCTCTTTCCTTGGATTTTTGATGGTTCCTTCTTGTCAATGATGTCTCATCTTAAAAGTCACTTTCTCAGAGAGGTTTTTATTTTGACTACCCATAGTTTCTCAACATCCCTCAGCCTGTCACTCAGCACAATATCACACTCTTTTAATTTCACCTGGGCATTTATCATTAGCTGATATTTTAAAATTTTATGTGTTGGTTTATTATCTGTCTTCTCTTCTGAGAATATATATTCCTTTCATATATAATTACACACAGAAAGGCCCCTCTGTGTGTCTTTATTACCCAATGCACATAGAACAATGACACATAGTTGGTATCAATAAAGGTCTTAAGTAAATAGATTTTTAGGAAATAAACATGAGTAGAATCACAAAAAATATATCCAATAATCATGGTATTACCTCAAAAAAATAGTTCCAGGCACGACAGTTTGCTGTCAAACACTTTCAAGCTCTCTATAACTCAAAACTCTTCATGTTATGTAAAATGTTCGATAGCCCAGAAAATGGGCTATCAATTGACCAGCTAATGATATGCTTAGAAAACCTAAAAGAATACATTTTAAAATTCTTAAAACCAGAATATAAGTCAAATGTTCAGATACAAAATAAATAAAAAGAATATTTATATATTGGCAATAACCATTTAGGAGATAAAATTTCAATTAAAATATCAAAGGATGTTGTTGAAGATGCACAAAGTTATTCTTAAATTTACTTAAGTGTACAGGAAAGAAAAATTTGAAAAACGATACCAGTGGAGGGCTGCTGGTTTTTAAATGGATGAGGATTTTTTCATAGTTTTTAAAATGCTTCCAAAAATAATAATAGTTAAAATTGTGGAATTTATTATTATGAAAATAGTATGGAAGTGGTGGAAGAATATACTCGTTAGTAGGACAGCTGCTAGTATACAAGTATACAGTGTTTGGTGGTGGAAGGATAAGATCTTAATGAGAAAGACTGTTTCCAACAATTTCGGGGAAAAATTGCCTACTTGGAGATAAATATATGTGTGTGTGTGTATATATATATATATATACACACATACATATATATGTATAAAACATTCACCTCTTACACTATAAACCAAAGATTGCAAACTGGTGACCACCCTTGTATTATAACTGGGCCACAAATGTACATGGTTTGTTGCATGGTATTATAAAACTCAAAAAAATTTACAACAAACTATAATTTTTTTTTTGTTTTTTCTTTTTTAATATGGGAAGAAAAATTAAAACAGAAGATATAGCAACACTGGACTCACATTCCCAGATGGCAGCATTTGGCAAGAACAGAGGAGTGTCAGCTCCCCTGGTGCTCTGCAATTTGGCACAATTCTTCCCACCTCCTGTTTTATGCCAGTTTGCCTCACACATTTATGTGAATGGCTCCGCTCCTGTAGCCATTTGAGATTCAAAACTTCAGGTGGGTCAAGAGTTGGCTATAAAAGATAAAACTCAGAAATAAGTGAGAAGAAGATACAGGTGGCTATTTAACTGATTCTCACAAACTGGTGTAAGCCAATTCAATCTTGCATAACTCTTAGGTTATTTTTAAAATTTAGTAGTAGCCTCCAATGTTTAGAGGTGGATGAAGTTTAACTACTTCCCCACAACCTATCAGGTTATGAAGAAAGCAAATGCAGATCAAATTCTGCCACCCATACATCCATTGGAAAGCATGCAAAAAAATCTCAGTAGGGATCACGCCTTGGTGCCATCTTTAAGTGAGTAGGATATGACTCCCTGAATTCTTGTGGAATTGTCTCTGAAATCTTTTATTCAATGTATGTATCTCCCATACCATTAATTTCATCAATAAGTACCGATTTCATCAAAGATAAATTAGATGCAGTACTTATAGTCTTTGAAATGTAGCCTTTCTGATTAAATGCTAAATAATCGCCTTTTGTATGAGCATTCCTGATTAGGGCAAATGATCCCATATAAAGCATAGCTTAAATCAATTGTCCCGTAAATAATAGCACATTGTCTATGCCAAAGTTTAAAAAAATAAATTATAGAGACCACAGCATTGGCCTTTTGAATAGAAGTACTTTCTGAACATAGAAGAAATGGAAGAAATTACAGAGGAAAAGGATATGTTATTGATGTCACAAAATTGGAAGCTTTTTCATGTCAAAAATACCTTAAATAAAAAGGGAATAAAAAATTGTTTGAAAATATTAGTAGCAAATATTTCCAAAGCGAAATTTCTCTCTTGTTCTATTACATATAATAAAACATGATTTAAAACTTTATATATATGTGTGTGTACATATATGTGTGTATATATGTATATATGTATATACATGAACAAAAGACTGAAAACTGGCCACCACCCTTGTACTATTATTTATTTATATATATATACACACAAACACACACATATATGTATTTCTGTTTTCCTCTTAGTGTTTTTGTATGTAATAAGGTTTTGTATTACCTTATTATACAAGAATGGTTAAATGGATTTTCACTGAATATGTAGAGTTTAGAAGTTGCTCTGGAAGAAGTGCTTTCTTTCACTCTAGCACTCTCATCTTGCATCTATACTATGTTACTGTTGCTGCTGATTCTCTTGAAGTTTACTCTGCTGGCCAGATTCTCCCCTGCTCACCAGTAGTGAAACCTCATCTTGATCTTGGGCAACAAAAACTTTCTCCTGCAGTGCAAATGACTATTTTTTGTTTTGTTTTTTGATGGGGAGGGCAGTGTCGTTTTTTTTTTTCTTTTTTGGAGTGTGGGGAGCAGCATGTACCAGTTATCCACCACTCACTCAGAGGTACCTTTTCTCGACATGGGAGGATTCCACAAACACTGTCATGGATATTGGAAGCTCCAAAAAGTAGCTTATCCTTCTTCATGGTTGTTGTTGTTGCTACTTGCACAGTAAACAGAGGTACTCAGCAGCCACCGTGGTCAGGGGCAGCTTTAGAATAACATCTTGGTTTCAGCACAATGCCTCCAGCCCCAGAGAGTGAAGAAAGACCCCTCCTCCCCCAGATAAAGGCCCACCTCATTTCTTAATCTACTATTAACCACTTCCCAGAATGATTCATCTTGAGAGAATCGTTTCTTTTGTCAAAATGAGGGGTTCTGTACCAAGGTTCAACTGGTAATCATAACATTGCTCTACATGGATGCATTTCCCAAAATCTGTGTTATTCAGTCATGCAGTGGACATCTGTTGTTTATGCCTGCCAAAAATTCATTTCCCTTTCTTTTGAAATGATGCCCTGAACTTATATTGGAAAAGCTACTCCTTCACTATTGGCAGCCATAGAACTGCCGATCAAGATGTCCCCATTTCTCCTAGCCAAGGGATAGACATGTGACCCAAGTGATACCATCAGATGCTTTTCTCTCCTTGAAATTTGGAGCTCATGTGAAATGCAGAAAAAGATGGAGAAAGCAGTTTGTGATGATTAATCCCAGCTGGCCGTGACTGTCCATTAGTTTCTCCTCTCCCCAGAGATACTTTGGCTCATGACTTCTTCAGGACTGATCCTAAGACTGTGTAAAGGTGTCCTATATTCTCCAATCCTCTTATGCATTCCTATGTGCTTGATAGGCCGAGCTGATTTCTGTTTCTTGCACCTAAGGAATCCTAACTGATACAAGTTCTACCCATGATTGCACATTTAGGTAAGCATATTATTTTCCCAAATTTCCTGTTACTAGGTTTCACCTATCTACCAGGATAGAGCTGTAAAATAATTCTACCTTCTTACCAATATCAACTGTCTATCTGGTCTACTTTTCTCATGAGATGCTGCATCTAATAGCAGGGTAGGGAATAGGACAGGATCACACCTGAAATGTGGTTATTGAGGTCAAATGATTGCCATGACTCATTTTCAATTATAATGAGTAGTTTTATATTTGTATTTTATTGCATCAACTTGGAAGCACTCTGATTCTTTGAGAGAAAGAGAAGAGAATATGAATTAAAGAAAGAACCAGTGACATGGTGGTTCTCCTTTCCCCTCTTGTTGCAACCTGGAAGGAATCAATAGGCCAATGCAGTTATAAACAGAGCTAAGGTTTCTGAGTCCGGGGTGAAATATTGAATTTATCTTTGAGAAAGATACTCCTGTGTTTGGGGTTAGACTTCCTAGAAGTGTCTCTTTAAACATACAGGTCTAAGGCAAAAAACTACCCATTATTCTTGGAAAAGCAATTTTCGTATTTATATGTTACATGCCTTACTCTTCCATGTGAGTTTTAGAATTATTTTTAAATTCTACAAAAAATTATGTTGGGATTGTACTGAATTGATAGATTAATTTAGCTTAGAGTTGCCCAATAAAATACAGGATGCCCAGTTAAATTTGAAATACAAGTAAACATATTTTATATACACTCCTGTGCCACATAATGACATTTCAGTCAATGACATATTGCATACACAAGAACAGTCCCATAAGATTATAATACTGTATTTTTACTGCATCTTTTCTATGCTTAGAGACACAAATACATACCATTGTGTTACAATTGCCTGCAATATTTAATACAGTGACATGCTGTGCAGACTTGTAGCTTAGAAGCAAAAAGTTACGCTACATGGCCTACGTGTGTAGTAGGCTATACCATCTAGGTTCATGTATGATGTTCACAAGATGATGTAATCACCTAATGATGCATTTCTCAGCATGTATCCTTGTTGTTGTGTGACACATGACTGTATATCTGTATATTTATATATAACTATCTCCATCTCAATCTATTATCTATCTACGTGTCTATAAGTATCTATGTATATATGTATGTATGTATCTATCTATCTATCTGTCTATTTATCTGCCTGTTTATCCTATGCAATAATTTTTTATTCAACAGTATGCAATAATGTTTGGGACATACTTATATTGAAAAATTATTATTCATGTATTTGAACTCAAAAGTTAACTAGCTTTTCTGTATTTTTATTTGCCAAACATGGCAACTCTAATTTAGGAAGAAATAACAGCTTTCAAATATTGAGTCATCCTTTCCACAAACATGATGTACTCTCTATTTATTTAGGGCTTATATCACTAAATAATTTGGATTGTATATCTTGCTTATTTTTTTAGATTTATTCCGAAGTGACTTAACATTTCTAAAATTATTGTGAATGGGATCTATTGCTATTGCAAAGGAACCCTATTCATTTTTTATAGTGGTCTCATAGCAACTTTATTGTACTTAATTAATTTGTTCATTAGGTCTTTAAAAGTTTTGTATTCACAATAATATAACTTAAAAATAATAAGTTTATATTTCTTCCTTTCTATTCTATATTCATTTTGTCTCTTTTTATTATTTTACTATACAGATTACAACCTTTAGTACAATGCTGAATACAAGTGGTAATGGCAGACATCTTGTCTTATTCTTAACTTAAAAGGAACATTTATAATTTCCTTAAAGATATTATATTTATTAAAAGTTTTAATATATAGTTTTGGTCAGGCTAATACTTTTCTGTTTCTAGTTTGCTAAGAGTTTACAATTATTGTTATCATCATGAATGATTATTGAAACTTATCAAAAATGCTTTCTGTACCTATAGACATCATATCATTTTTCTCTTTTAATTTGTTAATGTGGAAATTACAGTAATAGATTTACCGATACAAAAAAACTTTTGATATGGATGTTTCCAACTTAGTTATGGTATACTCAGATGGAGACATATGGACAAACATTGAAGGGTTCCATTTGCTGATTTTATTTAGAGGCCTATGTGACACCGACTTAAAATTTTCCTTTCTCATAGTATTTATGTCTGATTCTGGGGTAAAGGCTATCTTGGCCTGACAAAATGAGATCACTACAGGGAAATTTCTTCTTGTTATATCCTCTTAAATTGTTTGTATAATTTGGGGTTGATCTTTTATTTCAAACAGTAATTCCAGTACAAAAAGAGAACAACAAATTAGCTGGGTGTGGTGGTGTGCAGCTGTAGTCCCAGCTACTCTGGAGGCTGAGGCAGGAGATTCGCTTGAACCCAGGAGGCGGAGGTTGCAGTGAGCTGAGAGTGCACCACTACACTCCAGTCTGGGTGACAGAGCAAGATTCCTTCTCAAAAATAAATAAATTAATTAATTAAAATAAAATAAAATTAGGTAACGCTCATTTTAAAAATCTGATGGGCCCATTTATTTTGCTTGTTTTGTTAAGTAATTGGTGTATTTTAAACTGTTAATTCACTATCTTCACTATTTAAGCTATTAATTCACCATCTTAATGATCTGGTTTTTAAAAAAGTTTTTTAAAATGGCACATGTTTATGTGCCAGTATGTAATAATTGTACATATTTATGGGTACATAGCAATGTTGTGATACATATAATAAATTGTGACCAGATCAAGGTAATTAGCCTATCCATCATCTTAAACATTTATCATTTCTTTGTGTTGAAAACATTCAATATCCTCCTCCTAGCTATTTGAAACTATATAATATATTATTCTTAACTATAGTCATTCTACAGTGCTACAGGACACTAAAACTTATTCTTCTTATCTAGCTGTAATTTTGTTTTTGTCAGGTTTCCATTGGAATCTATTTTGGTAAGTTACATTTCTCTAAGAAATTGTCCATTTTGTCCAAGTTTTCATTTATATTGACGGAGTTATTCTGAATATTCTTATAATATTTTAAATTTTTATTCCATTAGCTCCTGTTTTTCCACCCTAATTTTATTTCTTTGTGACCTTTCCAGTGGTGTGCTGGAGCTGACTTGTTCTGGCTGCCCAGAGCCATGTGTCTATGAATCTCTCCCCAGTTTGCATTCAGTGGCATCATGTTGGTAGATTAAAATCAGCATTTGTGGCAGGATCTACACTATGGAAATCAGAGACCCCTATAAATAGGAACCTATTCCCCACCCTAGAGAGAGAAGGTTTACCAGCACAACTCTACTGCTGTCTACTTCTGTCCTTCCCTTCTTCTTGCTTGTCTTCCTCTCTCTCTCTCTTTCTCATCAAACTTGTTATAGATTTTTCTATTATATTAGTTTTTTCAAAAACAATTTTTGGTTTATTTTATTCTGTGTTTTGTATCTTTGTTTTTAATATTAATTGATAATTGATTTTAGTTTTATTATTCTATTTGCTCTATTTCTAGGATTTACCCTATTATTATTTTTAGTCATTGGGTGGATTATTTATTCATTAATTCTTAGTTTTTCTTATTTTGTAATACATGCATTTTAAGACTACATTTTTCTCTAAAAACTGCCTTAATTACAGTGCACAAGTTTTGCTATATGGGAGTTTAATTGTAATTCATGACTTAATGTTTAATAATAACCACTGTCCATTATGATTTCTTCTTTGACTCATGGCCTGTCCAGAACTTTGCTCTTTTAAATGCCCAGATGTTTTCCACTAAGATGTTGGTTTGCTTGTTTTTTAAGGCTATCTTTTCATTAGTACTTTTGTTTTAGAGCCAAGTAGTTATAAAATGTGGTATATACCTTATCAGTTTTTTGGCATTCGTTGAGACTACTTTGTGGCTTAGAAACTGGTCAGCTTTAAAAAATGTCTCATTTGAGCTCAGAAAGAATCTGCATTCCCTAATTGTTCTCTAAATTATAAATTTTGTTGCTCAAAACTTCTTATCCTTAAAAAATTTACCTGCTTTGACTCTCATATTCTGAGAGAAGTGTGTGAAGATTTTTTCACTGTTTAGACACCTTGTCATACTTCAGTCAGCTTGTTTGCCTTAGAATAACAGGCCTTACTGAAATACCTGGTTGAATACTCCATGGGCTGGGATATTAGATTCATCTTCCTTCTCTATCATTGTTTCACTTCATTTATGGTTCCTAGAGTCTTTCAAGTTAAGAGTTGTATTAAGCCATTTAAAAAATTATTTCTTCCACAATTTTCTATGTTTATAGTCAGAGAGAAGCACCTGTACCAGCTCTGCTGGCTTTATTTGCTCATGCTCTTCTCATGCTTTCCAATTCTGCCATTTCATCTTTTTACTGAGATAAAAATTCCAACTTTTAGCTTTCTTAATTCCTTTCATCTGTATCTTTCTTATTTTTCTTTTTATTTATTTTCTTATTTTCCCTATGCCTTAATGCTCAGCATCTTTCTTATTTTTCATTTGCTATTCATTTTTTCTAATTTCTTAGATGTAAACCCTTATTTCCTTGTTACTTTGTATATAATATTTACTTATTTATTTATTTTTGAGATGGAGTCTTGCTCTGTCACCTGGGGTAAAGTGCAGTGGCACGATCTCGGCTTACTGCAACCTCTGCCTCCCAGGTTCAAGCGATTCTCCTGCCTCAACCTCCTGAGTAGCTGGGATTACAGGCACATGCCACCACACCTGGCTAATTTTTATATTTTTAGTAGAGACGGGATTTTGCCATGTTAGTCAGGCTGGTCTGAAACTCCTGACCTCAAATGATCTGCCCACCTCAGCTGCCCAAAGTGCTGGGATTACAGGCATGAGCCACCACACCCAGCCTTGTATTTAATTTAATAAAGACACTTAAGACTATTGATTTCTCTATAAATAATTTTTTAAGGAGGGGCATATGTTTTGAATATCATTTGCTTAGTGTCACATTATATCTATGTCTATTCTGTACCAATTTTTTCATTCTGTTAAGGTTTTGCTAATGCAAAATCCTGCATTCAAAATTTTTTTTCATATTACAAAGATGCTTGAAAAGGCAGTGTAATTTCTGCAGAATTTAGTCAATACATAGCTATTAAATGAATCTTATTTATAAAATTATTCAGGTACACCCTATACTCATAATGTTTGATCTAATTGACCATTTATGACTTAAGAATGACATGGTGCATTTATTTACTCCTTTTGTACTTCTAAAAATTTATTATTTAATTTTAACTATTTTTTGCATTATATATTTAATGGTACTTAAATAAACAGTATTTATATAAATGGTAGTTAGATATATTAGTTAAAAAGTAGAATACCATGAAATACTATGCAACCATAAAAAAAGAATGAGATTATGTCCTTTGCTGGAACATGGATGCATCTGTAAGTCATTGTCCTTAGCAAACTAATGCAGGAACAGAAAACCAAATACCACATGTTGTCACTTATAAGAGGGACCTAAATGATGAGAACACATTACACATAGAGGGGAATAACAGACACAGGGGCCAATCAGAGGGTTGGGAGAATGGAGAGGATCAGGAAAAATAGCTAACGGATACTACACTTAGTACCTGGGTGATGAAATAATCTGTACAGCAAACCCCCATGACACAAGTCTACCTATATAACAAACCTGCATATGTACCCCTAAACTTAAAAGTTAGAAAAAAGTGGTGTGGTATGTAAGAGATGCAATGGTATGTAAAGTTACATGACTATTAAGTAGTCATTGGAGCTTTTACTCTTTATCACATACATCACCCTTTTTCTACTTACTTTTTGTTGCTTGAATTATAATAGAATTTATTTATAGAATATGATTCTATAAATAAATAAAAGTTGCGTCCTTTATATTTTCTACATTACCCACTTACATATTCTATTTACATTGCCCATGCTGGTTAAGATGATCAACTCTGGAAACAGAGAAACCATATACACATCTTAAGTCCCGTGATATATTTACAGTGTATATTGGTGTATGTCTTTAATTGTCTATTTTCTCAACCATAAAATGGAGATGGATATAGAATCTACTATACAGTGTTGTATTAAAATTAACATTTTATTATATGTAAAGTACTTTAACACATATATAACCTATATTATATGTGTAATATAATATACATATGTAATATATAGTGTTATATATATTACATATGACATATACTACATATTACAAATATATATTACAGATGCATATTATAATATATGTAATATGCATATATGTTATATATGTATTATGTAGTACAGCAATTGGCAAATAATGAACATTCAATAAATGATAGATCAAAAAGCAGAAGAATTATCCCTTAAAGCAGCATTCAAATACTGATGAGTAGATGTTTAAAAATAGGGAGCTAACCATATTTTAGTTTAATACCATTAAATCTGTGGCCGTCACTACTAGCAGAAATAAGTTAGAAACACATTCTGTAGGGTTTTGAAATGTGGGCAGAATGTAATACTACTAGTAGATAACATTTGTTTTGTGGTAGAGGTTTTAAGGCAACTCAAATTTTTTAAAGTTTTGATTTAATTATGTAAGCATTAGAAAACTATCAGTTTTGAACAGGATAGTATTATGGTGAAGATAGTGATAAATAATAATCTGTTTGGCATTGATGAGCAAGAGATTGAAAATAGGGTCGAGAATGGAAATAGAAAGATTAGATAATCCAGTGATATACGATGACAAAAGATCTGCAAGATGGAATTGAGAAAAAATGGGAAGCATTGCTAAAGAATAACAAATACACTAAGAATAACAAATCTTAGTGAAAACTGAGTTTCTAGGGTTTCAAAGTAAGCCTTTAAGACGAGGTCCTTCATACATCTATAAATATCTCAGCATTCCTTCAAGGGGAATTAGCTTTTATTTCTATTTGAAAAATAAATATTTAGAAAGATTTATGAGCAAACAAATATTTGTTTAAAAATACACAAAAATTTTAAATTAGAACTTTTCTGGTGAATTTGAATTTGTTCAAGATTAACTAATAGGGACCAGATTTTACCCAATCTATTGCCTTAAACAACTACAAAAATAGATACATGGGGCACAGAAGTTTTTAGAGGTTGGACAATAAACAGCACAGTACTGTGTTCCCTGAAAGAAGGGAAATAAACAAAGTGAGCCTTATGATTTTACCAATTTATTGGTTAGAGGCAGTTTTCATGCTGTTGTACAGGTATAGACACTGAAACAGAGCCTAGTGGTCTTGCTAAATTGTAAAGAAAAAAAAAAAGGCTGGTCGTGGTGGCTCACGCCTGTAATCCCAGCACTTTGGGAGGTCGAGGCGGGTGGATCACGAAGTCAAGAGATCAAGACCATCCTGGCTAACACGGTGAAACCCCGTCTCTACTAAAAATACAAACAATTAGCCAGGTGTGGTGGCGAGTGCCTGTAGCACCAGCTACTCGGGAGGCTGAGGCAGGAGAATGGTGTGAACCCAAGAGGCGGAGCTTGCAGTGAGCCGAGATTGCGCCACTGCACTCCAGCCTGGGCGGCAGAGTGACATACTCCGTCTCAAAAATAAATAAATAAATAAATAAAAATTTAAAAAAACTTAAAAAAAAAATCTGAGCTTGGGGAAGGTGAGCTGGCTAGAATTTGCTAGTGAGATTACTAAGAGAAAACTGCACAAAAGGAGTTCCAGGGATTTTTAGAGGGGCCCCTTGAGTCTTTAGCTAAGTGATGTACACATGAGTGAAAGGAAAACTACCTGAGGATCACAGAAAGACTCGCCATTAAGGGGTAGGTAGAATAATTTCTACAATTCATACAGAATTGAGAGCTGTTCATGGTCCTAGCAGTGAATGTGTAAAGATCATGTAAAACGAAGCATCAGATAGAATTATTGAAAGGGTATCACTTTAGTGGTGCTACATTGGTCTCAGATGGAGGGCTGTTTTTGATACTGTTCTGATGACCTTCTACTCACCCCACTGGTGAAGAAGGGATTTCCCACCCTAAATAGTATAAGACGACTGAACACAGGATACCTAACAATGGACAGAAAGATCTTGGCAGCAGTTTATTGGTCACATATACTCACAGCATGGGAGTGGATCCTATGAGGCTCAAAGATATAAAGACAACACTTTAAACTTTAGTTTTTATACTACAGACACACGGTAATAAAGTTTAAAAGAAGACTCAAAATGATCCAACTTATTATAAGTAACTTACCTCTTAGATAATTTAAATTTTCCAAGTAACATGCCAAAACAAAACTCAACATTATTTAAAGGAAAATAACAAAACAGAGCAATTGATAATATAAAATCCACAATGCCCATTACCAATCAAAACTAAAATTAAAATGTTCAGCAAAAGAGCAGAAAAATAAGACCCATAAGTAACGGAAAAATCAATTAATAGAAATTGATCCAG
Organism: Homo sapiens; assembly: GCF_000001405.40. Classification (NCBI taxonomy): domain Eukaryota; kingdom Metazoa; phylum Chordata; class Mammalia; order Primates; family Hominidae; genus Homo; species Homo sapiens. The sequence goes on along the minus strand of NC_000006.12, from coordinate 127,239,103 downwards.
AAATAATAACAATGACGAAATTATCAACAATGTATAAATAGCTCTTACAAACATAATTCACATGTTTAAGGATGTAGAGCAAAACATAAAATTATGAGAAAAATACATATAAAAACATTTCACATGGAACTTTGAGAGGTGAAAAATATAACTAAAATGGAAAACACCGTATGGAATTAAGAACAGACTAAATATCATAAAAGAAAAGATTAGTTATCTTGAAGACATAGCAATAGAAACTATACACAATAAAGCAAATAGAGAAAACAAAGTACTGATTTATAAAAACCCAAAAAGAATCAAGATCTGTGGGACAATATCTACTAGTTTAATACATGTATAATTGAAATCTCAGAGGAAAGGGGGTGGAGGGAACCCACTGATCCAGGAAGTTCAATAAAAATCATTAAGAAAGCATGCCAAATCACATCATAATCAAATTACAGAAAATCAGAGAAAATCTTAATATCAGTCAGAGAAAACGTCACATTACAAGGAATAAGTTTAAGAATAACAACAGACTTCTGTTAAGCCAGCAAAGAGCAGAGCAACAGCTTCAAATCTTTGAAAGAAAATATGGTCAACATAGAATTCCTTATCCAGTGAAAAGATGTTTCAAATAACAAAGCAAAATAGAACTTTTTTTCAGACTAATAAACCTGAAAAAATTATTACCAGCAGACATATACAACAGGAAATATTAAACAAACTTCTTTTTTTATTTTTTATTTTTTTATTATTATACTTTAAGTTTTAGGGTACATGTGCACAATGTGCTGGTTAGTTACGTATGTATACATGTGACATGCTGGTGCGCTGCACCCACTAACTCGTCATCTAGCATTAGGTATATCTTCCAACGCTATCCCTCCCCCCTCCCCCGACCCCACAACAGTCCCCAGAGTGTGATGTTCCCCTTCCTGTGTCCATGTGTTCTCATTGTTCAATTCCCACCTATGAGTGAGAATATGCGGTGTTTGGTTTTTTGTTCTTGCGATGGTTTACTGAGAATGATGATTTCCAATTTCATCCATGCCCCTACAAAGGACATGAAATCATCTTTTTTTATGGCTGCATAGTATTCCATGGTGTATATGTGCCACATTTTCTTAATCCAGTCTATCATTGTTGGACATTTGGGTTGGTTCCAAGTCTTTGCTATTGTGAATAGTGCCGCAATAAACATACGTGTGCACGTGTCTTTATAGCAGCATGATTTATAGTCCTTTGGGTATATACCCAGTAATGGGATGGCTGGGTCAAATGGTATTTCTAGTTCTAGATCCCTGAGGAATTGCCACACTGACTTCCACAATGGTTGAACTAGTTTACAGTCCCACCAACAGTATAAAAGTGTTCCTATTTCTCCACATCCTCTCCAGCACCTGTTGTTTCCTGATTTTTTAATGATTGCCATTCTAACTGGTGTGAGGTGATATCTCATTGTGGTTTTGATTTGCATTTCTCTGATGGCCAGTGATGGTGAGCATTTTTTCATGTGGTTTTCGGCTGCATAAATGTCTTCTTTTGAGAAGTGTCTGTTCATGTCCTTCGCCCACTTTTTGATGGGGTTGTTTGTTTTTTTCTTGTAAATTTGTTTGAGTTCATTGTAGATTCTGGATATTAGCCCTTTGTCAGATGAGTAGGTTGTGAAAATTTTCTCCCATTTTGTGGGTTGCCTGTTCATTCTGATGGTAGTTTCTTTTGCTGTGCAGAAGCTCTTTAGTTTAATTAGGTCCCATTTGTCAATTTTGTCTTTTGTTGCCATTGCTTTTGGTGTTTTAGACATGAAGTCCTTGCCCGTGCCTATCTCCTGAATGATATTGCCTAGGTTTTCTTCTAGGGTTTTTATGGTTTTAGGTCTAACGTTTAAGTCTTTAATCCATCTTGAATTTATTTTTGTATAAGGTGTAAGGAAGGGATCCAGTTTCAGCTTTCTACATATGGCTAGCCAGTTTTCCCAGCACCATTTATTAAATAGGGAATCCTTTCCCCATTGCTTGTTTTTGTCAGGTTTGTCAAAGATCAGATAGTTGTAGATAAGCGGCGTTATTTCTGTGGGCTCTGTTCTGTTCCATTGATCTATGTCTCTGTTTTGGTACCAGTACCATGCTGTTTTGGTTACTGTAGCCTTGTAGTGTAGTTTGAAGTCAGGTAGCATGATGCCTCCATCTTTGTTCTTTTGGCTTAGGATTGTCTTGGCAATGCAACAAACTTCTTTAAGCCGATGGAAAATGATATCAGAAGGAAATTTAAATGCAAACTAATCAATGAAAGAAAAGATAGATAAAAATGGATATCAGATTTTTAACTCATTTTTAATTTTTAAAAAAGACAATGACGTTTTAAGCAAAAATAATATCAATGTGTTGTGAAGTTTAAAGTACTCCAAAAAAAATTACAAAAATAGTAGAATAAAATACATGACAAAGAACAGGAGGGAGAAATGGAGGCATATAATTATATAGTTGCTAGACTATATACGAGTTTAAAAAATATTATTTGAAGGTGGATTTTGATGTTATTGAGGTATATTGCAAACTCTAAAGCAATCATTAAACAGTGAAATAAAAAGGAGTAGATAATAAGTCAATAGTAGAAATAAAATGTAATAAAAATAATACTGAATCCAAAAGAAGGCAGAAAAAAACTAAGTTGCAGAAAAGACAATTAGAAAACAAATACCAAGATAGTAGATTTACATCAATATATACTAATGATTATATTAAATGTAAATAGCCTAACACACCACATAAAAGGCAGAGATGGTCAGATGGAATTTTTTTTTCTTCAAGGCAGACTCAACTGTATACTTAACATAAGAAATGAAGTTTAAATAGAAAAAAAAAGCAGCTAGATTAAAAGTAAAAGCATGGAAAAAGATATACCATACATTGGATAATATATACCATGCAAAGGCCAATCAAAGGAATGATGTAGAACTTTCACTTTTAGTCAGAATTAAGAAACAGGGATACCCATGCATATAAGACAAATTTAAAATGTATAGATATTATTAAATAATAATTTTTAATACATTTTACATAAGGCAAAAAGAACAGTAATTTCTGAGAGATGGTAAACAAATGAGGCAGCCCTATAATCGCTTTAGTTTAATGCCTTGAGAGAGTTTCCAGACCATAAACATTGAAAGACATTAAATATCAAAGCTCACTCAAAAAGAAATGGGTAATCTGAATATACCTATATTTGTTAAAGAACTTGAAATTGTAGTATTGTAGTTATAAAACTTCCTACAGCAGAGGGGGTAGGGAGTGGAAAAAACAAAAACAAAATGAACAAACAAAAACTTCCCACAAAGATAACTCCAGGCTGATTGCTTACCTGGTAGCTCTAACAAATATTTAATAGGAAATCAATATCAATTTCACGTAGACTGTTCCAGAAATTAATAAATAAGGAATACTTTTCACTTTGTTCTATGAGGCTACTATTAAACTAATATCAAACCCAGGCAAGGGAATTCTAAGGAAAAAAGAAACAAACAAACAAACAAAAAACCAAGAACATCTACTGATTTGTATTTCTCATAAACATCTGTATAAAAATTTCAAACATATTAGCAAATGGAACACAAAATAGATTGAATGGATAATACATCATAAGCAAGTGGGGTTTATTCCAAAAATATAGGGTTGGTTTAGCAGAAAATAAATCAATGTATTCAGAATATTACAAGCTAAAAAAGAAAAATCATATTAAAAAGTTATCACAGTGAACTTGCAAAATTATCTCATATAGCACTTCCAAAATCCTACATCTATTCCAATCAAAATTCTCAGCAAAGAAAGAACACAAGGATATCCTCTCAATCTGATAAAGGGCATCTATTAACTAATGTTTTCCCTCTAAGGTCAGGAATAAGACACATGTCTGATCTTCCCAAATTCATCATTGGCAGGAAGGACTTCATCATACCAGACTTACACATCTGGAGTGAAATTTCCCTATGTATATCTGTGTGTATGCACAATGCCTGTACGCTTACTGTTTAGTGATGGGGTGAAGAGAAATGTCATACTTTGCATGATTTCTTCCCAGCAGCCAAAGACTACAACATTTCCATTCTTCTTTTTAATTCAATAACTTTTGGTTAATTTGACAATTTGCAATACTGGTAATAACTATATTTTGGATCCCAAATTGCACCTAGTATTAACTCAAATTCCAGTTGGTATTAATTCAAAATCATTTTGTTTGGACTATTGAAGTGAAGAGAACCCAGGCTTGGGATCAAGAGTTCTGGTTGGGATCTCAGATCTGCTACGTAGACATGAACCTTATCCCTTTTTTATCTCAGTTTCTCATCCAATTGAAAAAGGACTAGACTAAAAGATCCCCAGATTTTTTCTAGCTTTGAGATTTTATATGTATCTAGGTTAATATCTCAAAATTTAGCATACATCAGAATCACCTGGTGAGTTTGTTAAAACACAGATTCCTAACTCCTGTGAGAGAGTCAGGAATTGTAGAGATTTTCATTCCATAGATCTCAGGTGGAACCAGATGATTACATTTCTAAATAGCTCCCACATCCTAATGATGCTCTGTTCCTCAGAATGTACTTGGAGTAGCACTGGTTTAAAAACTAGAGATTATACTAGTTGCAATTCTCTTTTAAGACACTAGATGATGTATTTTTGGATTAAAACTAGTTGGAAATACTCTAGTATGGCTAAATGGTTTTAAAAGCCCAATATAAGAAATATTTGTGTTTGTATAAAAAGCTAGTATTTATCATTTCATATATATATTTTATTATACTTTAAGTTCTGGGATACATGGCAGAACGTGCAGGTTTGTTACATAGGTATACAGGTGCCATGGTGGTTTGCCGCACCCATCAACCCATCATCTACATTAGGTATTTCTCCTAATGCTATCCCTCCCATAGCCTCTCACCCTCCAAGAGGCCCCAGTGTGTAATATTCCCCTCCCTGTGTCCATGTGTTCTCATTGTTCGACTCCCACTTATGAGTGAGAACATGTGTATTAGTTTGCTGAGAATGACGGTTTCCAACTTCATCCATGTCGCTGCAAAGGACATGAATTCATCCTTTTTTATGGCTGCATAGTATTCCATGGTGTATATGTGCCACATTTTCTTTATCCAGTCTATCATTGATGGGCATTTGGGTTGGTTCCAAGTCTTTGCTATTGTGAACAGTGCTGCAGTGAACATACATGTGCATGTGTCTTTATAGTAGAATTATTTTTAATCCTTTGGGTATATACCCAGTAATGGGATTGCTGGGTCAAATGGTATTTCTGGCTCTAGATCCTTGAGGAATTGCCACGCTGTCTTCTACAATGGTTGAACTAATTTACACTCCAACCAACAGTGTAAAAGTGTTCCCATTTCTCCACATCCTCTCCAGCATCTGTTTTTTCCTGACTTTTTAATGATCGCCATTCTAACTGGCATGAGATGGTATCTCATTGTGGTTTTGATTTGCATTTCTCTAATGACCAGTGGTGATGAGCTTTTTTTCATGTTTGTTGGCTGCATAAATGTCTTCTTTTCAGAAGTGTCTGTTCATATTCTTCACCCACTTTTTGGTGGGGTTGTTTGTTTTTTTTCTTGTAAATTTATTTAAGTTCCTTATGGATTCTGGATATTAGCCCTTTGTCAGATGGATAGATTGCAAAACTTTTCTCGCATTCTGTAGGTTGCCTGTTCACTCTGATGGTAGTTTCTTTTGCTGTGCAGAAGCTCTTTAGTTTAATTAGATCCCATTTGTCTATTTTGGCTTTTGTTGCCATTGCTTTTGTTGTTTTAGTCTTTGCCCATGCCTATGTCCTGAATGGTATTGCCTAGGTTTTCTTCTAGGGTTTTTATCGTTTTAGGTCTTATGTTTAAGTCTTTAATCCATCTTGAGTTAATTTTTGTATAAGGTGTAAGGAAGGGGTCCAGTTTCAGTTTTCTGCATATGGCTAGCCAGTTTTTCCGACACCATTTATAAAATAGGGAATCCTTTCCACATTGCTTGTTTTTGTCAGGTTTGTCAAAGATCAGATGGTTGTAGATGTGTGTCCTTACATCTGAGGCCTCTGTTCTGTTCCGTTGGTCTATATATCTGTTTTGGTAGAAGTACCATGCTGTTTGAGTTACTGCAGCCTTGTAGTATAGTTTGAAGTCAGGTAGCTTGATGCCTACAGCTTTGTTCTTTTTGCTTAGGACTGTCTTGGCTCCATATGAAATGTAAAGTAGTTTTTTCTAATTCTGTGAAGAAAGTCAATGGTAGCTTGATGAGGATAGCATTGAATCTATAAATTACTTTGGGTAGTATGGCCATTTTCATGATATTGATTCTTCCTATCCATGAGCATGGAATATTTTTCCACTTGTTTGTGTCCTTTCTTATTTCCTTGAGCAGTGGTTTGTAGTTCTCCTTGAAAACGTCCTTCACATACCTTGTAAGTTGTATTCCTAGGTATTTTATTCTCTTTGTAGCAACTGTGAATGAGAGTTCACTCATGCTTTGGCTCTCTGTTTGGCCATAATTGGTATATAGGAATGCTTGTGATTTTTGCATATTGATTTTGTATCCTGAGATTTACTGAAGTTGCTTATCAGCTTAAGGACATTTTGGGCTGAGATGATGGGGTTTTCTAAATATTCAATCATGTCATCTGCAAACAGAGACAATTTGGCTTTCTGTCTTCCTGTCTGAATACGCTTTATATCCTTCTCTTGCTCAATTGCCCTGGCCAGAACTTCTAATACTATGTTGAATAGGAGTGGTGAGAGAGGACATCCTTTTCTTGCACTGGTTTTCAAAGGAAATGCTTCCAGCTTTTGCCCATTCAGTATGATATTTGCTATGGGTTTGTCATAAATAGCTCTTATTATTTTGAGATATGTTCCATCAATACCTAGTTTATTGAGAGTTTTTAGCATGAAGGGGTGTTGAATTTTATCGAAGGCCTTTTCTGCATCTATTGAGATAACCATATGGTTTTTGTCATTGGTTCTGTTTATGTGATAGATTACATTTATTGATTTGGGTATGTTGAACCAGCCTTACATCCCAGGGATGAAGCCAACTTGATCGTGGTGGATAAACTTTTTGGTGTGCTGCTAGATTTGGTTTGCCAGTGTTTTACTGAGGATTTTCACATTGATGTTCATCAGTGATATTGGCCTGAAAATTTCTTTTTTTGTTGTGTCTCTGACAGGTTTTGATATCAGGGTGATGCTGGCCTCTTAAAATGAGTTAGGGGGGAGTCCCTCTTTTTCTGTTGTTTGGGATAGTTTCAGAAGGAATGGTACCAGCTCTTCTTTGTACTTCTGGTAGAATTCGGATATGAATGTGTCTGGTCCTGGGCTTTTTTTTTTGGTTGGTTAGGCTATTAATTACTGCCTCAATTTCAGAACGTGTTATTGGTCTATTCAGGGATTCGGCTTCTTCCTGATTTAGTCTTGGGAGGGTGCACGTGTCCAGGAATTTATCCATTTCTTCTAGATTTTCTAGTTTATTTGTGTAGAGGTGTTTATAGTATTCTCTGATGGTAGTTTGTATTTCTGTGGTATCAGTGGTGATATCCCCTTTATCATGTTTTATTGTGTCTATTTGATTCTTCTCTCTTTTCTTCTTTATTAATCTGGCTAGCGGTCTATTTTGTTAATCTTTTCAAAAAACCAGCTCCTGAATTCATTGATGTTTTGAAGGGTTTTTCATGTCTCCTTCATTTCTGCTCTGATCTTAGTTATTTCTTGTCTTCTGCCAGCTTTTGAATTTGTTTGCTCTTGCTTCTCTAGTTCCTTTAATTGTGATGTTAGGGTGTTGATTTTAGATCTTTCCCACTTTCTCCTGTGGGCATTTAATGCTGTAAATTTCCCTCTACACACTGCTTTAGCTGTGTCCCAGAGATTCTCGTATGTTGTGTCTTTTTTCTAATTGGTTTCAAAGAACTTATTTATTTCTGCCTTAATTTCCTTATTTACCCAGTAGTCGTTCAGTAGCAGGTTGTTCAGCTTCCATGTAGGTGTCAGGTTTTCAGTGAGTTTCTTAATCCTGAGTTCTAATTTGATTGCACTGTGGTCTGAGACACTGTCTCTTTGTGGGTCTCTAAGAACTTGCTTTATGAATCTGGGTGCTCCTGTATTGGGTGCATATATATTTAAAATAGTTAGCTCTTCTTGTTGCATTGATCCCTTTACCATTATGCAATGCCTTTCTTTGTCTTTTTTGATCTTTGTTGGTTTAAAGTCCATTTTGTGAGAGACTAGGATTGCAACCCCTGCTTACTTTTTTTTTTGCTTTCCATTTGCTTGGTAAATATTCCTCCATCCCTTTATTTTGAGCCTATGTGTGTCTTTCCACATGAGCTTGGTCTCCTGACTACAGCACACTGATGGGTCTTGACTCTTTGTCCAATTTGCCAGTCTGTGTCTTTTAATGGGGGAATTTAGCCCATTTACATTTAAGCTTAATATTGTTTTGTGTGAATTTGATCCTGTCATTATGATGCTAGCTGGTTATTTTGCCCATTAGTTGATGCAGTTTCTTTGTAGTGTCGATGATCTCTACAATTTGGTATATTTTTGCAGTGGCTGGTACCAGTTGTTACTTCCCATATTTAGTACTTCCTTCAGGAGCTCTTGTAAGGTAGACCTGGTGTTGACAAAATCTCTCAGCATTTGTTGGTCTGCAAAGAATTTTATTGCTCTTTTGCTTATAAAGCTTATTTTAGCTGGACATGAAATTCCAGGTTGAAAATTCTTTTCTTTAAGAGTGTTGGATATTGTTCCCCACTGTCTTCTGGTTTGTGGGGTTTCTGCAGAGAGATTTGCTGTTAGTCTGATGGGCTTCCCTTTGTGGGTAACCCGACCATTCTCTCTGGCTGTTCTTAACATTTTTTCCTTCTTTTCAACCTTGCTGAATCTGACAATTATGTGTCTTGGAGTTTCTCTTCTCAAGGAGCATCTTTGTGGTGTTCCCTGTATTTCCTGAATTTGAATGTTGGCCTGTCTTGCTAGGCTGGGGACGTTCTCCTGGATAATATCCTGAAGAGTGTTTTCCAACTTGGTTCCATTCTCCCCATCACTTACAGGTACACCAATCAAACGTAGATTTGGTCTTTTTACATAGTGCCATATTTCTTGGAGGCTTTGTTAGTTCCTTTTCATTCTTTTTTATCTAATCTTGTCTTCATGCTTTATTTCATTAAGTTGATCTTCAATCTCTGATATCCTTTCTTTCGCTTGATCGATTCGGCCATTGATACTTGTGTATGCTTCATAAAGTTCTCATGCTGTGTTTTTCAGCTCCATCAGGTCATTTATGTTCTTCTCTAAACTGGTTATTCTAGTTAGCAATTTCCTTAGCCTTTTTTCAAGGTTCTTAGCTTCCTTGCATTGGGTTAAAATATGCTCCTTTAGCTCTGAGGAGTTTGTTATTACCTACCTTCTGAAGCTTGCTTCTGCCAATTCGTCAAAGTCATTCTCCATCCAGTTTTGTTCTCTTGCTGGTAAGGATTTGTGATCCTTTGGAGGAGAAGAAGCATTCTGGTTTTTGGAATTTTTAGCCTTTTTGCACTGGTTTTTCCTTATCTTTGTGGATTTATCTACCTTTGGTCTTTGATGTTGGTGACCTTCGGATGAGGTTTCTGTGTGGATGTCCTTTTTGTTGATGTTGATCCTATTCCTTTCTGTTTGTTAATTTTCCTTCTAACAGTCAGGCCCCTCTGCTGCAGGTCTGCTGGAGTTTGCTGGAGGTCAACTCCAGACATTGTTTGCCTGGGTATCACCAGCGAAGGCTGCAGAACAGCAAAGATTGCTGCCTGTTCCTTCATCTGGAAGCTTCGTCCCAAAGGGGCACCCACCAGATGCCAGCTGGAGCTCTACCGTATGAGGTGTCTTTCAACCCCTGCTGAGAGGTGTCTCCCAGTCAGGAGGCACGGGGGTCGGGGACCCACTTGAAGAGGTAGTCTGCCCCTTAGCAGAGCTCAAGCACTGTGCTGGGAGATCTGCTGCTCTCTTCAGAGCTAGCAGGCAGGAACTTTTAAGTCTGCTGAAGCTGCACCCACAGCCACCCCTTCCCCCAGGTGCTCTGTCCCAGAGAGATGGTAGTTTTATCTATGAGCCCCTGACTGGGGCTGCTGCCTTTTTTTCAGTAATGCCCTGCCCAGAGGGGAGGAATCTAGGGAGACAGTCTAGCTACAGTGGCTTTGCCTAGCTGCAGTGGGCTCCACCTAGTTCGAACTTCCCGGCGGCTTTGTTCACACTGTGAGGGGAAAATCACCTACTCAATCCTCAGTAATGGTGGTTGCCGCTCCCCCTACCAAGCTCGAGCATTACAGGTCAACCAGACTGCTGTGCTGGCAGCAAGAATTTCAAGCCAGCGGATCTTAGCTTGTTGGGCTCTGTAGGGGTTGGATCCACTGAGCTAGACCACTTGGCTCTCTGGCTTCAGCCCCCCTTTCCAGGGGAGTGAATGGTTCTGTCTCGCTGGCATTCCAGGCACCACTGGGGTATGGAAAAAAAACTTCTGCAGCTAGCTTTGTGTCTGCCCAAATGGCTGTCCAGTTTTGTGCTTGATGCCCTGGGCCCTGGTGGCATAGGCACCTGAGGGAATCTCCTGGTCTGCAGGTTGCAAAGACCATGGGAAAAGTGTAGTAACTGGGTCGGAGTGCACCATTTCTCATGGCACAGTCCCTCATGGTTTCCCTTGGCTAGGGGAAGGAGTCCTTCTACCCCTTGCATTTCCTGGGTGAGGTGATACCCCACCCTGCTTCGGCTTGCCCTCCATGGGCTGCACCCACTGTCTAACCAGTCCCAGTGAGATGAGCCAGGTACCTCAGTTGGAAATGCAGAAATCACCCGCCTTCTGCATTGATCTTGCTGCTGGGAGCTGCAGACCGGAGCTGTTCCTGTTCGGCCATCTTGCCAGCCCTATTGTTTTATATTATTACCAGTGTTTGGTTGGTTAATGAAGTGCATGATTGGTTTATGTGTGTGCATTAGTAAATTTAACCTTTCTTATTGAATATCTTTTATGTATAAAGCTTTCTGGTTTGTATTTTGGGGACATGGGGTTAGTTTTCTTCTTTTCATGAGCTTATAATCAAGTATGGGAGACAGACATAAACACAAATGACTCTTAAATAAGGCATCAAATTAAAATGCCAAAATAGTTCTTAGAGAAGACTGGGTGCCTTTGGAAGGCTGAGGTGGGAGGATCACTGGAGGTCAGGAGTTCGAGACCAGCCTGATCAATATGGTTAAACCTGTCTCTTTTAAAAATACAAAAATTAGCTGGGCATGGTGGCAGGCACCTGTAATCCCAGCTACTTGGGAGGCTGAGGCAGGAGAATTGCTTGAACCCAGGAGGCGGAGGTTGCAGTGAGCTGAGATCACACCACTGCACTCCAGCCTGGGTGACCAAGCTAGACTCCATCTCAGGAAAAAAAAAAAAAGTTCTTAAAGAAAAAAACACAACATACTCCCCTTAAAAACAAGGAATTCTGAGGGAGAGGTTAATTATACTTGTGGGGTCTACATGGAGAGTCTTGAGAATACTTGGAGAGAGAGAGAAGAAAAACAGAACTGGCAACCAAATTCTGGAAATATAGCAAAGAGAAAATGCCAGAGTAAGGGAATATAAAAAAATAGATATAATGGTGTATTTTAAGTATTCTTCTGTTTTAGAAGACAACCAACTTATTGGGAACTTTCTTTTGTGGTACTACTTGCATTTTTAAGTATATTAGTTTTACGTTGTGGAGAATCATTTAAAAATAATTGTTATCTAAAGAATATGCTTAGTCACAAAAACAGTCATTGGAATCATAAAATATTTTACTTTTCAATCTATTCTATTACTGTTAAATTCTATTCACCTTTATATTCATTCTATTTCTATTAACAATAATATCTTCTAAATCTTCACGTACATGAAAAATGTGTAAGCAAACAGAAAATTTTCAAGTCAAACGCTGGTCAATTCAAATCCACAAGAGAGCAAACAGTACTTCTAAAAATAAGTTTTTTAAAAAACCATAATGTAACATGTCTTCATATTTAACGACAATACATAATCATATGAGGAACATATGGATATTATTTTATCTGTTTTAGAAATTAAAGTTCTAGAACACAGATATTTAACCAGATTCATGTGCTGTATATATGGGTTTTTGTATTTTATTGTAGTTCCTTACTTGCATCATATTATAGTTGAAATAATATTAATAATAATTATTATGATTTATTGAATGGCTCTTATGTGCTATCTACATGATATATCTTTTCTTAAATGATCCTAACAACTCTAGAAAATAAGTAGTACTAACTTCATATTAAGTATGACTTAAACAAGTCATGCACTTTGCAAATGATATGGCAGATTTCTGCTTGACCACACAGTGAATGCTTTGTCCAAACCACCTATTTTGCTTTGAACTATTCTATTTTGGCCTGGGAAGGGGAATTACTGCTGATGTGATTGGTTAATGGTTAGTCCTATTACACCAGGCTTGTATCCATTGCTACCTTTTTGTATGTCTCTGAATTATCAAACGAACAGGAGCCTCCTGACTGAGACTATGTACTATTAATGGATCATATGTATCCAGATATATTTACAGATAGAATACATTTCAGAAACATAAAGGACAATAAAAAATGGCAGAATTTACAATCTTAACAACATGGTTGCAGAAGCAGAACGGGAAAGTCATGTAGGCAGTCAAGGTAATACGCACAATGTAAACATGTCATCTAGGACATGAAGAAAACCTTTTGGGCCAAGTAGTACAGCATGTTTAGTTAGATCTAAACAAATGTGCATGACTATAACCCCAAATCTGTAATTTCATTTCTTTCCTTTTCCACAATTATCCAATCTTCAGTTTTACCAGTAGTATCAGAGACATTTTCTGCTCTTAAACTCTAGCTATCTGTGACACTTCCTTCTGGAAAGTGTCCAAAGCTTGAACCCTCCCTAGTTTCTCACACATCTGTGCATTATTAGCCTGTTTCTGGTCAAATCGTGTGGCAGATGAACAACAGCCACAAATTCTTTGACATTCTTCCTATAGGGAGGTAGGGCCTATTTGCTATCTCCTTGAATCTGGGCTGCCATTAATCTCTTTCCACTAATGGAGTGCAGTGTTAGGGATTATGACAGTTGTAGACCTTGTTTCTATGAGATTGACAGCTTCTACTTCAGTCTCCTAAAGCCCCCAGGGACAAAACAAGAAGTCAGATCACACTGCTGGAGAGACCACATGGAGAATATTGAGAATATGTGGAGAGAGACAGAAGAATCTAGCTGAGCCCAGCCTTCCAATTGTCCACAGCAAGACATAATGAATGGAAGTAAAACCACCTTGGATCAGGTGAAAACTAGTGAGTCAGCACCCTGTGGAGCAAAATAATTGCCCAGCTGAGTATGCCCAAATTCCTGACTCACAGAATGATGATATATACTAAAAGGGTTATTGTTTTAAGTCATTAAGTTTGGCATAGTTTGATATATGTATATTCTGCCTTGGTTTGCATGTTGGTCTATCTTTATAAAGTATGCATGTCCTTTTTTGCATATGGATCTCTGTCTGTAATTATGTTACAACGAGACTCTCTTTATATCAGTTTCCCATCGCCTCTGTGGAATGTGCCTGTGTTTCTCTCCGTTGATTCTTTTCTGCCTGATCTTTATGTTTATATGAGTCAGTTTTGCCTATTTAATTAACTTTCTATTTCCCTTTTCTTTCCCCTTCAGTGGCTCTTTCTACTAATTTCTCTCACTTTCTCCCAGGACAGGTAGTGAATTAGAACACAGACACTGGAGCCCAATTGCCGGGGACCAGACTTCAGCTCTGCCATTTACTGTGGGATGACCTCGAGCAAATTTTTTCACATCTTAGTGTTGTTGGGGTTTTCTCATCAGAAGTATGAGGGTATAATAGTCTTCACCTTATAGAATTGTTGTGTGTATAAGTTAATAAATATCTAGATAAATACATGTGTGTATACATGTACATGTATGTCTATGTACACACATACATATGTGTGTATTAGAATGATAGCCCTAAGCATTAAATATCATTTATAAGTTCTAATTCTCACTGTGTTTCCTTGTCTCTATTCCTTGTCTTTTTCGCTTCTACTTATCACATTTCTCTGGAAAGTAACTGACATAAAAATTTTATTATCTGAGCAAGTCAGTAGAATTCAACACTCCCATTATTAATTTTAAAAGATGAGTAGATTGTAGTACACTTCTCTCTGTTAAAAAAAATTCCTCAATTTAGGCTGGGCACGGTGGCTCACGCCTGTAATCCCAGCACTTTGGGAGACCAAGGCGGGTGGATCACCTGAAGTCAGGAGTTCAAGACCAGCCTGCCCAACATGGAGAAACCCCGTCTCTACTAAAAATACTAAATTAGCTGGGCATGGTGGTGCATGCCTGTAATCCCAGCTACTCGGGAGGCTGAGGCAGGAGAATCGCTTGAACCTGGGAGGCAGAGGTTGCGGTGAGCTGAGATCACAACACTGCACTCTAGCCTGGGCAACAAGAGCAAAACTCCATCTCAAAAAAAAAAAAAAATCCACAATTTATATAATAATCTTTAAACTTGTATAGACATTGACTTTAAAATTTTTCCCTCCTGAAGTGCAATATATGAAAAGATTCCTCATCCAGGCTTAGTATAGGGAAGGATTTCAATCCCTTTTTTTGGAATGAGACATCTCACAGATGACATTCCTAGAAGGGACAATTCTGAGTAGACTTGGGAGGTGTATTAGTCCATTCTTATGTGGCTAATAAAGACATATTAGAGTCTGGGTAACTTATAAAGGAAAGGGGTTTAATTGACTCACAGATCAGCATGGCTGGGGAAGCCTCAGGAAAGTTGCAATCATGGCAGAAGGGGAACTAAACATGTCCTTCTTCACATGATGGCAAGATGGAGAAGTACCGATCAAAAGGGGGAAAAGCCCCTTATAAAGCCATCAGATCTCGTAAGAACTCACTATCATGAAAACAGCATGGAAGTAACGGCTCCCGTGATTCAATTACCTCCCACCAAGTCCCTCCCATGACACGTGGGGATTATGAGAACTACAATTCAAGATGATATGGTTTGGACACAGCCAAAACCATATCAGGGGCTTGTGCAATTTCCGTCAGAACATCTCTAAGTTTATCATTTCTCGTCTATTCAAGACAATGTATTGCCTTAAGTAAATTTTCTCAGAAGCATATCAACCCTGAGACAAGAATGTGTGTGTGTACAAGTGATTTGTAAAGAAAGTACTTGCAGGAGATTCCAGGAAGGAAATAGGGTCAGCAGGACAGGAATACAGGAGAAGCCAGGTAAGAGCCTCAGCCTGATTTTGTGGAAATGTCAAATTCTCTGAAATGTAAAATTCACCACAGCGTTTTCCTGATTGGAGAAGGAAAAGACCAAGATTTCATACTTTTGCATCAGTAAGTAATCAGCCAAGGACTGGGGATGTGGGAGGTACATAAGCTCCCAGGAACTTTCAACTCCTTTGCTCTTAGCCTGTAGGCAAAATAGCTTCAGTTGTCTTCAGGTAGTTTTTGTAAGAGTCTGAGGTATAGGCCAGAAACTGGAGGAGGGCTGCTCAGGAATAGTAAAGGAAATCCAAAGAGATCTAGACAGAACACTGAGACTGTCCTGGCTGCACATATATCAAAATGCAAGGAATGGGAGTAATAATACTTTAGGAATAAAATTTGAATCTGTTCAAATTTACTTTTTAAAAACAAGTCACTCACAAGTGTTGGTACTTTAACATCTAGCAGGTGGTATCCTCATCTGGTGGCTACCTTTTGTGTCACAACATGGTTATATCTAACTAGCTAGAACTTAATTTCTCTTTCTTTTTAGATGAGTAACATAGCATATTTGTGCCTTAATTCAAACTCAGTTTTTGTGTGTGTTATGATTGTATTTGCAAGTTGGCACAAGTACCAGTGATGTGAGGGAAGAATAATCATTTCAAGGTGACAATCACAGGTTAATTAACCTTTTCAGGTCAGCACACTTCTAAATTAGGTGGGAAGAGTTAACTTCTTCTGATACTATTGGGCTATTTGAGGTGACCCAGGCCATCCTGAAAAAATCAAGAGAGAGACAATTTCTTATTGATTCCCTGATTTCAAAGGTGCCAAATGGACTCTTAAGCCCACTCCTAAGCCCTGCAAAGCCTTTCCCTGAAGGGTATCTAAAGCACAGAAAAGGCCAGCTGAGAGCAAGGCATGAGGCACAGAAGTAGGGAAGCTTGTATTTGGCAGCCATGGTCTCTCTTTTGTCTGAGTCTCTTTTTGCCCCCTCTAGGTGTCTTGTAAATGTTTGCCTCACCTCTGTGCTTCTTCTCTACCAAAAGAGAAGAAAACTAATATGGAGTTCTAACTATGTCCACCATAAACTCTATGGTGCTGTGTGTAAAATGGTTAAATAGATACACACTCAACTGCTGTAGTCAGTGTTGACACAGGATGTGTCATACATGATATTCCTACTTTAGTCAATGTAAAAGTTGTTATTACCCCATCCAGAGACAACTGTTCTTGCCCAAATTTGTGCAACATAATACCAATGCTCTCTTGAGAAGTTTCTTCTCTTCCTCCCCGCTTCCCTCCCTTCCTTCCTTTCTTCCACCCATCCATCCATCTTAGAAAGAAACAGATAAACAGGGGAAAGGAGGTGGGAGAGAGTAAAAGACAGAGAGAGAGAGAGTGAGAGAGTGAGAGATCGTGCACACACAAGCACACACGAACCTTTCAAGGTTAAGAAATAAGGCAGGCTGAAATTATTTTGTGGCACAAATTAGGAGAGTCAACTCTCTATAGAAATCAGATGATTAGTGAAATTTAAGCATTTGTAGATACAAAAATGAAAACTAGTCTGAAAATAGTAATGAGGGCTTTTAAATAAGAAAGACACAAATCCCAGGGTAGGTGGCCTGATAAAAACTATCAGGGCAATAGAAGTGAATATAAGAGGATTCCAGATAGGAGCAGTACAGATACCAGATATCCTCAATCAAACTGGCTAAGGGGGTCTCATAAGCTCCTTAGTAAAATATAGCTAAAAGTCTATTTTAGAGCCCTGCTATATTAGTTTATCAACTTCCATATGTATATGTACGTATTTAGTTATGATAAAATAGATGAATGTCTGAGTATGCACACATATGTACATGTGAACTGCAAGAGATTTTATGGAAAGAGATATGGCTATGGCTAGTCAGGATAGGGCATCTCAATCACCTTAATTTGATTCTTAACAGGTACCGTACCCACAAATCCAGGTAAAAAATACATATGTAGAAAACAAAACCAAATAAAATAATATTTTATTACTATCTGGGTTTGGCTCCACACTCCCATGGAGATCTCGGGTGGGCTGAGCTTGGCTTAACCATTCACTGATTCTTTCGGCTTGGTTAATTGGACCTATGTAGTCTAGGACAAAAGTTGAGTGGAAGACCTACTTGCTTTCTTTGCTTCAACTCCAAAGTTTAAATCTGAATTCTCAATGTCAACACTCATTGAGTCAAGGAAAGCACACCTCTAACGACAAGCAGTGGAGGAAAGCACTGAAGACTAAGATAGTATTTGGCTCAAAGGGTAGGGCAGAGCTGGTTGGATTCCCAGCCTCTGTGTTTTTTGGGTTGGCTGTGGGGAGACCTCAAGGGAGCTTCTTTGGCTCTTCTTATGCAGCTGGGCGGAAAAATTAGCCAGGATTATACAACATACACCAGACACAAGCTTAGCTCAGTTATATAAGGCCAGAGATATAAAGTGCCGGAAAGTTGTTTTGTTTTTTCTCTAAAACTGAACAAAACAAACCCCTTCTTTTAATCAAGAACTTCCTCGGTTCCCACAAAAGAAGTCCCTTAAATGGATTTTACCCTCAAATTATTCCTGACTAAATATAAAATTCCATAATAGTACAGGAACATAGATTTTATTTTTGCCTCTTTTCCTGCTGTTGGAACTATTGTTCAGGACTTCCAAAGTGTTAGTATGTCAACTCCAGATTTAGAAGAGCTCTGATGAATTTATTTGTTCAGTAGCTTTCCCCCTTCTTCATGTGCAGCTCTCATTCATTTGTATTTTCATCCACCTGGTTCGGATGGGAGCTGACAGTCATTTGCCCATGGATGGGAATATTCCCCAAACTGAGCAAACCAGAGTTTCTTTCCAGGAAGTGAATCTCTTTCTATTTCTTCTCTAATCAGGAGCCATGGGATGTGCTCCTTGATTAGTTAGTTAGGAGGCATTCCACATATTTACTGTATTGCAAAATTTAGGAAAATAAAGCTGTCACCATCCAGTTCCCCAAAGTAATAGAAATGATGAGAAGTAGGGGGAATGTCCCATATTTAGAAGATCTCTTCAGTATCTGGTTTATCCCTGAGGCTAGTTCAACACTTGTTCTCCCAAAGTTCTGGTTGTTTGGTAATTTTCTAAGTTCTGAAAATGAGACAAATACCTTTGCAAAAAAAAATCTTCCTTTTTTCTTAAGCTAGTCCAAGGTGGGTTGCTGTCACATATGTTGATTCCAAGACTTCCATTTGTTTTATTTTATCCCATGAATACATTGCTACACCATTTCAGCTGGGGCTTCAGCTGCAAACCCTATATTGGGAATTCTAGTTGATGAGACTGGGCCTTCAGATTGGGTTAGAATGAGTGACCTATTTACAAAACTGGCCAAAAGTTGTGGACTTTTCTTACTCCACCGAAATCTACCTCGGAGTTTTTATTGCACGGCAGGGACTGCTAGTGGTTTACTGTAGTTTGCATTCTCATTTTCTTTCTTGTAATTAAAACCCTGGATTTTAGTTGGACATTTGGTTGCCTGGAAATAAGGTTTTATTTTCTAATCTTCCTTGTGGCTAGGTATGGCCATGTGACTAAGTTCTGGTCAACAAGACATGAGCATAAGTTTTTGGATTTTTGTTTATAGTTTCACAAAACCCTCTGTAATGGTCATCTGACATACGCCTTTTGCTTCCTTGCTTTTTCAGCTGGCTGTAATGCAGTCCAGATGGAACTTGACCAGTTTTCTTGGGCCATGAGGTGGAAGTCATGAGCTAAGGTTGATGTAGCTGGGACTACTCTTCTTTGCCTCATCAATTAAAATGCTGTATATATACTATCAATTCCTAAATATGTATCTCTAGCCCAGACCTCTCTCAATGGATGGACTTTAGTATCTGAATGCCATCAACACCTCCACTTGAATGTCTAAAACATCTCAAACTGAACTCCTGATTCTTGCCCTAAATCTCTCTGTACCCATAGTTTTCTCCATCTTAGTGGATGGCTACTCCATTTTCTGGCTAGTTAGACCAAACACCTTAGAGTCACACTTCCACATTCATTCTATCAGGAAATCTTGTTGTTCCTACACTTCAAAACAAATCTGAATCTAACCACTTCTCACTGATACTGCAGCCACCATTTTAGTCTTAGCTGCAACGTCTCTTGCCTCAGTTACATGGCAGTCTTTTGAAATCTACATCAGTGCATGCCATGGCTCTACTCAAAACCCTCCAATGGTAGCCCATTGTACTCAAGGGGAGAGCCTGACATGAGCTGGCTAAACTGTGACCTCTATGACCTCATTATCCTATTCCTCTACCCCAGCTCAGCCCTGAAGCATAGCTCAGTCCCATACAAGCCCTCTAGCGCATATCTTTAGGCTTTTTTTTTTTTTTTACAAAAAACATGAGACAGAAATAAATTTCATTCTAGTTTAAGTCACTATTATTTTGTTTGTAGCCAAACTAACCATAAGTGATAAAATATTCTGGTTGGAAAAAATTCCAGTTGAGGTCACATCCAATAGCAAGAAGACCCAGAGAATAATTTAAGGGTCTTCGGTGACTAGAAAGCCGTACAATGACTGAAAGGTCTTAGCACAATTAGCAAATATTGTGCCTATTTGTTTCTTTAGTTGTTTGGGTTTTTTTGTTCTTTTATTCTTCCTACTGAATTATATGCTCTGCAAAGGCTGAGACCATGATATCTTGTCATGAGTGTCTACCACTGTGCTTGGCACAGAGTAGATGGCCAACACATATTTGTTAAGTGAATGACAAAGAGATGAATGAATTTAGGAAAAAAATCAAGAACTTGAGAAATCCTTGAGGTAATACTATTTCATAATAGTTCCTAGACTGAATTGATTATTATAGTTAAGATTCTGGTGTGCAAAAAAAGATTACACCAAGTAGCACTTCTTATAAAATCTTGTTTTAATTGTTCTATTTATAGGGAGTGGGTGGCATGGTATGCTATATACAACAGGCAGAATTCTAGGATGACTCTCAATGACCTGTGACTTTGTATTACTCCCACCCATTGAGTGTGGGTAAAACTGTGAATATGATATCACTTGCATGATTAGATTACTAATTTGTTGACTGATTAATCTCAAAATGGAAGTTATCCTCAATGAGCCTGACCTAATTAGATGAGGTCTTAAATAAGAAGTATCAGCAGATACATTCCTGCTGGCCTGGAAGAAAGCAAAGAGCTAGATTATGCACTGCCTGTGGAAGGCACATGATAAGGAACTGCAGGTGGTCTCTAGAAACTCAGAATGGTCACCAGCCAATAGTCAGAAAGAAAATGGGGACCCCAGTCCTACACTGCAAGGGACCAAATTCTTCCCATAACCTGAATAATCTTGGAAGAGAACACTGAGCTTTGAAGAAGAATGACAGTATGGCCAACACCTTGATTGCAGGTTTGTGAGACCCTGAACAGAGGATCCAGCTAAGCCATGACCAGACTGCTGACCCACAGAGATGATTAAGCCTCTAAGTTTGTGGTAGTATTGTTAAGTAGCAATAGAAAATGAATATGAACACTTTCACATACATTGTATTATTTATTCTTATCACAATATACATATTTATATTTGAATTTAGGAAGGTTAAACAACTTGCTAAAGTTTATCCACCTAGTAAGTTACCTAGAAGAATAGGGAGGCCAGGCACGGTCGCTCATGTCTGTAATCTCATCAGTTTGGAAGGCCAAAGTGGGAGGATCACTTGAGCCCAGAAATTTAAGACAAGCCTGGGTAACATAGTGAGACACTCACCTCTAAAAAAAATATAAATATTAGCCAAGGTGGCATGTGCCTGTAGTCCCAGCTACTCAGGAGGCTGAGGCAGGAGGAATTGCTTGAGCCCAGGAATTTGAAGCTGCAGTAAGTTATGATTGTGCCACTGCACTGCAGCAGCCTGGAAGACAGAACAAGATCTTTCTACTAAAAAAAAAAAAAAAAAAAAAAAAAAAAGAATGAAAGAAAAAGAAGAATAGAGATACTTTTATAAAGACCATATTACAGGGGGTATAACTGTGTTCTCATGTGGTCAAAGGATGGAATAGACCAAGAACTGAGGCTGCAAACACTTCCATAATGTGGTACCATTGCTTTCTATCCAGCTAACAGTGGTGATTGGATACTTTAATTCTAACCAAAATATGATGACCTAGGCTGAAATTTTCAACTTTTAATTGCTTAGAAATCTCTGTAGGTGCTTTTAAGCCTATGTATTTCTACTCTTGGCTTTCTACATCTACTTTTCAGGTTCTTATTGTTTTATTGGATATATTCTTATTGAAATCTCTCTCAAATCCTATGTGGCATAAGGTATAATGGAAGGAAGGGAGGAAGGAAAGAAGAAAAAGAGAGGGAATGGGAGGTGGAGGGAGGGAAAGTAGGAGAGAATGAAAGTAAAGATGAAAGGAAGGAAAATAAGATAAACAGGAAGAAAAGAAAAGCAAACACTACACAATGATGCCTTAGAAGTGAGGAAGCTATGATTCAGAGAGGTTATGTGACTTGCCCCAAATCACTCAGTTTGCAAGCTATAAAGCATAGTTTTCAAGTCTTCTGACTTTAAAATCTATGCAATTTTTCAGGCTGACATAAATATTTGATTATCTTTATCCTGAGGCTTTCTATTTTTAAAACAATGTGTGTATTTCGTTCAGGCAAATCACGAGGCAAGCACCTACTCCACCTACTCACAATGAGAGATGCACCAGTGCCCTTCTGTTACCAATTAGGCTTCATAGTAGATTTGGGTCTTTTTGCAATGCTAATAGGAAGAGGCTGATTGAAATAAAACATGATGGATTTAGATGAGCTCTACTCCACACATGCTCCAGAAAGCACACTTTAACTTCAGGATAAAACTGATGACTTAAAAATTTAATGGCCCACAGAGCAACTAAGAAAAAAATGCAGTTTTAGAAAGAAGAAAAAAAGAACAAGCAGAAGGTAATAGAAAAAGAAGGAGGAGGAAAAGGAAAAGGAGGGTTATAAAACAAAAACTAAAGAAAAATAGATTTTTCAAAAATAAACCTTAAAATCCACTCTGTTATTTTTATTGTATTTTTGCAAGTCTTAAACAGTTCCTGTTTGGGATTCATTTATTATGGATGCAGTCTGAATTGTACTATTCTTTAGACCATATGGAATATCAGAGTATCTAGAATACACTGATCCATCCAACTTGTCATCACTATATTTCATAGTACAATTTGATTGCTGGGTTCAGAATACTCTTTTCTCCAGGGATCAAGATTTTTTTTTTGAACTTTTGATGTACACTAACAATTTCTGTTCACTGAGGAGGAAGATTAAGCTTAACCAGAAATAATAAACTCTAAGACCTCACCAAAAGCCTTTCTATCACAGTTAATGGCCACTCCATCCTTTTAGTTGTTCAGACCAAAAAACACTGAAGTCATCCCTCATACTTCTCTTTTGTTCACATCCTACTCATAACCTATGAGCAAATCTGGTAGCTTTATTTTCAAAATAGTTCGAGAATCTGACCTTCTATTACCAGTTCTACTGCAACCACTCTATTCTGCAATACCACCTTTCCTCAGCTGCTTCCTTTGCTCTTTGTCCCCTAAAGTTGATTTTCAACCTGGAGGCTAGAGTGATTCTGTTAAATATTAGTCTGATCAAAGAATTCCTCTGCTCAAATTCTCTAATGGCTCCCCACTTACCCCAGAGCAAAATCTCAAACTCACTCAAGTGGCACCTCCCTAAAGTCTTCTCTGTCCACTTTATTTAAAATTGCCACAACATTTTGGGGTCTTATAACCACAAGCCTCTATCTTATTAATGGCCAGCAGATGTAGGATGAGGTTTATAATGGTGTACAAAGTAAGAAGGCTGTAAGTGGCTAAAAATCTGGGTGTTTGGGCTATTCAAAAATAATTGGATGTATAGACATTTGAGTTTGGTGCTGGGGGACTTTTGATTTAGTGGGTTTCAGCCTGCAGTGATGAAATAAACAACCTAGAGACCGAGATACAGAGGCTGTCTTTGGCTCAGTTATATAACAGCCATTATGAGCATATTTTTGCCAGTCAGAAAGTCTCTTGGCCAAATTCTGCCTTTGCTACTTCTATTCATTATTTAATCTTGGGTATCTAATTATTCTGGCCCCATTTATTTTTACTTTAAGGATTATTTTTAGATTAATGTAAATGGTATATAAAAAGTTACCATACTTGGTAAGTACTGGATAATTTTGTTTAAAGTAATGGCAAACAATGGGGAAAAATTTTGATTGGGTGGATACCTGGCAACAGTTGGGATGATGAGTATTGCTCCAATGGCTTTTAGCAGACACAAGGAGGAGGCTTTTGTAGAAAACACACAGAGAACCAAGCATGAAACAGTAATCATAGAATACTAATAACAAAAGAGTGGATTTAAGGATTATTGAGGGAAAAACATAATAGGACTCAGTCAATAGATTGAATGCAATTTTTGGCTTGAGAAAACGGCTGGGAAGTAGTACTGTTTGCCAACATAGGAAAAACAGGAGATCAGCAAATTTCAAGGTACGAAAGAGATGGTGAGTTCAATTTAGGATATAATATGTTTGAAATGTGATATTGAGAGGTGACAGCGTGCTGGCAGTTCTCACAGCCCTCGCTCCCTCTCGGCGCCTCCTCTGCCTGGGCTCCCACTTTTGGCGGCACTTGAAGAGCCCTTCAGCCCACCGCTGCACTGTGGGAGCCCCTTTCCGGGCTGGCCAAGGCCAGAGCCGGCTCCCTCAGCTTGCAGGGAGGTGTGGAGGGAGAGGCGCCAGCGGGAACCGGGGCTGTGCAAGGCGCTTGCGGGCCAGCTGGAGTTCCGGGTGGGCGTGGGCTTGGCGGGCCCTGCACTCAGAGCAGCCGGCCGGCCCTGCCGACCCCAGGCAATGAGGGGCTTAGCACCTGGGCCAGCGGCTGCGGAGGATGTACTGGGTCCCCCAGCAGTGCCAGGCCACCGGCGCTGCGCTCGATTTCTCACCGGGCCTTAGCTGCCTTCCCGCGGGGCAGGACTCGGGACCTGCAGCACGCCATGCCTGAGCCTCCCACCCCCTCCATGGGCTCCTGTGCCGCCGGAGCCTCCCCGACGAGCGCCACCCCCTGCTCCACGGCGCCCAGTCCCATCGACCACCCAAGGGCTGAGGAGTGAGGACGCACGGCGCAGGACTGGCAGGCAGCTCCACCTGCAGCCCCGGTGCCGGATCCACTGGGTGAAGCTAGCTGGGCTCCTGAGTCTGGTGGGACGTGGAGAACCTTTATGTCTAGCTCAGGGATTGTAAATACACCAATCAGCACCCTGTGTCTAGCTCAGGGTTTGTGAGTGCACCAATCGACACTCTGTATCTAGCTACTCTGGTGGGGCCTTGGAGAACCTTTGTGTCAATACTCTGTATCTAACTAATCCGATGTGGACGTGGAGGACCTTTGTGTCTAGCTCAGGGATTGTAAACGCACCAATCAGCGCCCTGTCAAAACAGACCACTCGGCTCTACCAATCAGCAGGACGTGGGTGGGGCCAGACAAGAGAATAAAAGCAGGCAGCCCGAGCCAGCAGTGGCAACCCGCTCGCGTCCGTTCCAGGCTGTGGAAGCTTTCTTCTTTTGCTCTTTGCAATAAATCTTGCTAGTGCTCACTCTTTGGGTCCACACTGCTTTTATGAGTTGTAACACTCACCGCAAAGGTCTGCAGCTTCACTCCTGAAGCCAGCGGGACCAGGAGCCCACCGGGAGGAACGAACAACTCCAGACGCGCCGCCTTAAGAGCTGTAACACTCAGGGCGAAGGTCTGCACCTTCACTCCTGAGCCAGCGAGACCACGAACCCACCAGAAGGAAGAAACTCCGAATGCATGCGAACATCAGAAGGAACAAACTCCAGACGCGCCGCCTTAAGAGCTGTAACACTCACCGCGAGGGTCCGTGGCTTCATGCTTGAAGTCAGTGAGACCAAGAACCCACCAATTCCGGACGCAATGTGACATTCAAGTCAAGAAGTAAGTTAGGTGTTGTACTATTAAGGTTACTGGTAGTTAAAAATCCTTAAATGAATGAGATTTTTCTCTATGAAAGACAGAAGAGGCCTGGCGCAGTGGCTCAAACGCCTGTAATCCCAGCACTTTGGTAGGCTGAGGTGGGCAGATCACCTGAGGCTAGGAGTTCGAGACCAGCCTGGCCAACATGGCAAAACGCCATCTCTACTAAAAATACAAAAAATTAGCTGGGTATAGTGGCGGGCGCCTGTAATCCCAGTTACTCAGGAGGCTGAGGCAGGAGAATTGCTTGAATCCAGAAGGCATAGGCTGCAGTGAGCTGAGATGGTGCCATTGCACTCCAGTCTGAGCAACAAGAGGGAAATTTCATCCCCCGTGACCCTCCCCCTGCCCAAAAAAAAGAAAGAAGAGGAAAATCAAGAGTAAATGGTGGCTTAACAGTCATAGGAGGAAAGAATCTCAATAAAGATGATAAACAACATCATGAGTAGAAGAAAGGTCATGTAAGGTAAGGACTAAAACATGTTTGTTGTTTTTAGTAATTAAAGACATTTGCAAGATTGAATTTACTGTAATAGAGATAGAAAAACACAGATATGGTGGTTGACACAGTCCTAAAAAATGGAGTCATGGAGGTAAGTACATACTGCTCTTTGGAGAAACATGGTTGTAAGGTGAACGAAAAACTAAGGTGTACACTAGAAGGAAACAGAGCGACAAAATAGGAGATGCTGAAAGAAAAAGAGAAGTTGAAATACAGAAGAGAAGAGACGCAATGTAAGCTTCCCAAAGAAATGAGAAGATGTGATTCAAAGAACAGATGGTAGGTTTAACATTTGAAATGTAGGACAACAATTTAGCTAAAATAGAAAGGGAAGAGGTAAGGCTGGCTCTGACTATATTTACACTTGTTTGTGTTTTGGGGAGAGAAAGGAAGTGGAGAACGTTCTTGCAAGATGATCTGTATTTTCTCTCTAAAGCAGAGTTCATTTGCTGAGAATGATGGAGAAAATCAGGTTAGTGAAAGTTTGAAAATATTATTGTGGTGAATGACAGAGGAAGTGGATTAGGGATAGTTAGAAGTTTTACTGTGTAGTGTTAATAGCCCAACTGATGTGGGAGACCATAAATTTGTAGTGGCATCAATCCATGTGGTTGTGGAATTTGTTTTTAGCAGTGCTTGGCAGCCAGATATGTGACTGGAAAGGGAGTGATTGGTTGATCCAGGGTTTGAGTTTTGCTAATTAGGTGCAGAAGAAGGACAAAAGGCAAGGGAACTGATGGTAATGGCAAGAGAGATCTCTAAGTAAAATGTCATGAGCTTTATGGGGATTAAGGTTGGTAACCATCACTTAATGCCTACTTTTAGCATGGAACAAGGTTATGTTTTACATAATTTATCTCTAATTCTCACATCAAATATGTAAGGTGGGTATTCCTACTCCCATTTACAAGTGAGGAAAATGAAGCCCAGCTGAAAAATTTAGTGACGCCAGGTGGAGGATGAGAGATTAAGTAAAATCGGAAGGGTGAAGGACTAGAGTCCTTAATGAGATTGAAGAATATTATCAGTGGACCAAAAAGTTGAGGAAGCAGAAAACACATGAGATTGTGGACACAGTGTGGTAATCAAGAAATTAGAAATCTGGAGCTAGATGATTTGGGATATGATATGGACTAGGGTATCCAGACAGAGATATATAAACAATAAGGTTGGAGTGTTGAATATACTGTCCACACAGAAGTGGCAGTTGTCCAAGATTAGTAGAAATAGGAATGAAAGTGGATTGATCTGCTCAAATCTTTGATGAATCTGTCAGGAGTGGTAGAAGTGAAAAAGTGGCAATGGTACAGTAAGTGTAAAGCATGATTTTGCCAGATGTTCTGAACTTTAAGAGAAGTTAAGGTTTAGAAACAGTAACATGAAGTCCCGTTCTTTTTTTTTTTGACGCGGAGTCTGGCCGTGTGGCCAGGCTGGAGTGCAGTGTCACGATCTCGGCTCACTGCAATCTCTGCCTCCCGGGTTCAAGCGATTCCCCTGCCTCAGCGTCCCAAGTAGCTGGGACTACAGGCGCGCATCACTACGCCCGGCTAATTTTTGTTTGTGTTTTAGTAGAGATGGGGTTTTCCAGTGTTGGCCAGGATGGTCTCAATCTCCTGACCTAGTGATCCGCCCACCTCGGCCTCCCAAAGTTCTGGGATTACAGGCGTGAGCCACCGCGCCCAGCCAAAGTCCCATTCTTCTGGCTCCTTCCTTCATGTACATCCTTCTCATTCTTGGTCATCCCCTACTCCCCAAATTCTATGCTTTTCCTATTTATTTTGTGCTGCTTCCAGTCTGATCTAGCCACTTCTCACATCCATCTCTCTATCCATACCTAGACTCCAACATACAGCTCTTCTAAATTGAGCTGTCCATTTCTTTCATTTAGTGGATATTTGAATAATTCCCTTAAAAACGGGGGTGGCCTTGAAAAATCCCACCTCATGTGCTAGAATTCCCTGGAGTTACACTTCCTGATAGAGCTCATGGGTGAATTTGAACATGCTGTGGTTTGAGGACATGAATGAATGGCCACTTTTCAAGGCTCCAGCTCAGTGGTATGGATATTTTATTATGGTGCCTTTGAAGAAATTCTAGCCCAAGAATGCAGACACTCAGAATAGCTTTTTCCCAGGACCTGACTTTGGGGGTTGGGGGCGGGAGTAGCAGCAGCTTCTGGGAATGGCGGGCTGTCCACAGCACCATTGCTTCCTTAGCTCCTTTAGGCACCGTTATCAGCTTCTTAGCTCCTAGTAAGCTTGTGGTCCAATAAAACCTCTGAGGGTTGACTTTTTCCGTGCCAACTGCCATTCATTTCCTTGTATTGTGTGTTTTGTTGTATTTTAACGTAAGCCTATTTTTTCTTTTCTTACTGATTTTATCATTTTGGCCCAGCCTATCATCACACCTGCTATTTTACAGTTTCGACTTTCTCCTCCAAAGTATCAGTTATTTCTGTCAGCACTGTCCTATTTTTTTTTTTTTTTCAAATTCAAGTAGGCATGCTTTCTTTAGCTTCGTCTAAGCTATTGAGATGGGGCTAACAGGGCAAGATGAAGGACAAAGAGATTGACATAGATAATTTTATCAATACTTCTTACATAGGGTTGTTCAATCAGATATGGAGCCATCTAATTGTAGCTGCTTCTCTAAATCTTATACATAAATATATTCAGGGAAGTTCTGTCAAATCTGTTATTTAATTCAATACACATTCTGTAAAACTTCCCTAATCTATTACTTTAAAAACTCTAAAAAGCAAACAAACTAAACCACAACAGAAAAATGGGATTAGTAAGGCAGAGAGCATGATACCTGAGAGGGGTTGTGATCCCATGTGTCCTGTAGTTTTCTCTGATGGTAAAGGCCGGTATTCTAGCTTCTTATCAATAGTTTAACATTATTTTTAGAATTTTATCAGATACCAACACACAACTTTGGTGCAGTCTTCAAAATCCACAATTGTTTCTCAGGGCAAGCCCTGTTATTTAGGCAAAAAGGAAATATGTTTTGAAAATAAATTTTTTTAAATGAGCAGTTTTGGAGGGGTGCTGAAACATAATTGATTTTTTTCAGAAGTATTTACAATACATGTAAGATAATTGCTTTATTTTCTGGCCTTATATAATAAATTTTATGATTTAGAATCTAACTTGAAAGCAAGCATTTCTCTTTTATTGGCTTAGGAGAAGTTGTGAAGATGTGTGATTTTTTTACAGATCATCTGAGTTTCTATAGGACAGAAAACTAGAATTCTATATTTAGTATTGGATCCATACTGTAACCATTACATTAGGTTTCTATTTTTAAGGATTAAATAGTAAGTTAATGGAAACAATATAGCCCTATTTTTGCTTAATATGCTAAGCACAAGATGCTTTATATGAGCAACTGAATACATTAATAAAAAAATCTCATTTTTAATTGAATAGCTGAAATGATGCCAATATGTGAAAGAATTATAAACTGTTACAAAAATAACTGGTTGCATTAAACAGGATTGCATATAGTAGACTGCTGCTGCATGTGTTTGAAAAAGGAAATGCAAATATGGAAATAAATATATGTATTTAATTAAATAAAATATAATTAACAGGTTTAAATTTTTTAAGGGAAATTTTGCTACTAGGCAGTGACGTCAACCTGAGCTATTTTTTTTTCTTGTCAGTGATTTATATTCATGATTCAAATATTGGCTGACAATTTGATCAAGGGGGAGATAAGGCATCCTTAAATTGATATTAATAATATTATCAGACTTGATATTTTACAGCATTTTACATTTTAAAAAGATTCTGACATCTATTTTTATTTTATTTGTAATTTATTTAAAAAATAATGTACAAAAAGTAGAAAGTAATATAGTATACACGAGTTTGGGGCACAGAGTTGAATAGCCAATATTGCCTAAAAGTTGAGAAATTTGACTTAGGTGTTAAGGAGGGCAGCAACCAAGATTGATTTTACATGAAAAAAAAAATCAGTTAAGATGAAGTAGCATTACCAAATGCATTTATATAGAAAAGGATACAGAGAAATAAAGGTGAAGGCAAAAATATCTTACTGAAAATTATGAAGTGATATGGGAAGTCAAGAGAGAAAGTTGGGAAGATGTATTGGGGAAAACAAGTTTGAATGGAAATTCTGTTAAAATTGACATTTATCCCTCACGCTTAATATTTATAGTGGAATTTTAGTTTTATCACAGGTGTGGATAGTTCTACTCTTTGTTAAATTAGAACATTTACTCTTTTTTCTCCTTTGCCTCAGTAGGTTAATGGCTGTAGTCTAATTTCTTCATAAAGCAGACCCAAATAAAACATATGTTGACTCTCTGTAGGCTGTACCTTGAGTTTCCTTCTTACCCACAGATAGAAGCCTTCTCTATTGAGTTGTCTACATTCTGCATCTTCAATTCCCTACCTCTCATTCTTTCTTGGCTCACTGAGACCTGGATTCTGTCCTCAGAACTTTGTTAAAATAAGTTCTAAAAGAACACCATATTGGCAAGTCCTGGGGACACCTGCCAGTCTTCAGATTGATTGATTTTGTTGCAATATTTGATATAATCGTGCCCCATAATGTTTCTATAATGTTGCTTTCTTTATTCTTGACCTGTTTACCTCTGAGTCCATCTTTCTCAGTTCCCTTCATAACTCCCTGTTTCTCTACTCACTCTTTAAATATTGCTAATTGTATTCAATCTTTTTTCTTCTCTTTCACTGAATTCTCCTTAGGCTCACTCACATATGCCCTGTGATTTATTTATTAGATAATTACTTCTAAATCAATATCTCTACCTTTCATACAGTTTAGCCCAGGGACAGACCTATAATATTCCAGACTCCTAGGAGATTATCTCAATTGAATATCTGTCACACACCTCAATCTCAACAAAGCAAATAAACAATCCCACTCTCAGCTGTGGGTGATTCTCTGATTAATGACACTGCTTACCGAGTGAGACATGGGACTCACTTTGCTCCCCTGCTTCTTGCTATTGGTTACATGTTTCATGGCTTCTACCTTCAAATGATCTCTGGTGTCTATTCCCTCCTCTCCTTCATCTTTTTCTGCATTAATTCAGGTTCTTTTTATTTTGAAGTTGACTATACAATTTTATACTCCTATACTTAAAACTGTTACTCATCCGAGTGTTCTTCATTCTTAAAAATCCATCTTTTCATTGTCACCAAAGGCAACTTTTAAGACAAATAGAATTATTTCATTGCTCCTCATAAAAACCTTAACAGACTCATCACTGTTTTCAAGATAAAGTATAGACTCTTTCCCATAACATATAAGGCCATTTATCATCTGTTTCCTGTTCACACTTCCCAAATCTCTTGCCAGAGAACACAGAAACTACTTGTAATTCCCCAAACTGCATATTCTCATTTATGCCAGGCTTTTCTCATGGCCTGTGATACCCAACCCGACATTCATTTCCTATTTTGTTTCACTGCCAAAGAAGTACTCATGATTGAGGAATTAGCTCACGTTACTAAACACTCATCCTCTCCTGCTCCTGCATCCAAGCCTGAGTTAGGGGCTCATTCCTCTTGACCTCCGCACCAGGAGGCACAGACTTAGGTAAAATACCCTCATAGCATTTGGGTATCTTATGTGTTTCTCCTAGTAGGAAGATTCAAAGACAAGAATTTTATTTTGTGGATTTGTATTATCTGTATCAAGCATGTTGCCTGGTGAACAGTAGATATACTGTAAATACCTATTGATTAAATTAAATATTATAGAAAGATTGATTATTGAAGGAAATATATGTGTATGTATGTGTGTTTACATGATTGTATTTATATATATTTATATATAACAGAAATATCGATATTTCTGTTTCAGAGTGACTTGGAAATTCTATTTTAAGCAAAGCACATACATTTTAATTAGTAGCAATTTACTGGGAACCCAGTACATACTTGGCATGCCACATAGTTTCCTTTAATCTTCACAACTCTATACAGTCTGTAAAAATATTATATTTATTTTATATATGAATATATGGAGAATCAAATAAATTACTTTTCCAAGAGTGCACGGTCAATAATAAAGAGATTTAAATGCAAGTCTTTCTATCTGCAAAGCCTAAAATAGACAGAACTTTTAAAATTTTTATTTGTTGAATTATTGTTTGTTGAAAGAGAGGAAATGACTAATAATGGAAGCCAAAGATGATTCTTTTAAATTTATTACAACTTGTGGCTTGGGTAAATTTGATCTTACTTTCAGCCTTTGCAATATCTGATGAAAGAGGGTCTGGAATTTAGAATATCCTTTATGTAGCCTGCCTGCAACTGGCATTTTGGCTAATCAAAATAAGAAAAAAAGGAATGTTTAGTAAAATGCCTGTTATTTTCAAAAGGAAAATTTTTTAAAAGGAAAACTGAATTCCTCATTTTGCTGGTATAGTTTAGGCCATGTGAGAAACACAATAAATATGTGCCATCAGGAGCAGCCTGTGAGCAGATGAAACTATCTCAGACATAGCTCAGCAGTTTTCCTCTGCCAGACATTACTTCCTATGGAAAGAGAGACAAGTATACTTTTAAAAAACACTTATATGAGATTAAATATCCTTACATATTTATTTGACTAAATGGAAGGCATTTACTGTTCCCCTGATAGTTAACAAGTTTATTTCATTTTATAAAAATAAAGATTTATACATTGGGAACAAGAAATAATTTAGGGTATATACATTTCAAATAATTTATTTTGTCATTATTAGTAGTAGTTATTGTAAATTAGGTATAATGGTTTTTAGGAGGTATTATAATTTACTCATAAGTTACATATATTTCTTTTCTTTTTTTTTTTTTTGAGACAGAGTTTTGCTCTTGTCTCCCAGGCTGGAGTGCAATGGCATAATCTCGACTCACTTCAACCTCCACCTCCTGGGTTCAAGTGATTCTCCTGCCTCAGCCTCCCAATTAGCTGGGCCTACAGGTGCCTGCCACCATGCTCAGCTAATTTTTTGTATTTTTAGTAGAGTTGGGGTTTCACCGTGTTGGCCAGGCTGGTCTGGAACTCCTGTACTCGGGTGATCGATCCACCCACCTCGGCCTCCCAAAGTGCTGGGATTACAGGCGTGAGCCATGGCGCCTGGCTGTAAGTTACATATATTTCTAATGAGTTTTTTTTTTTTCTTGGCATTGGAATACAATGCTTTCTATGTCACCTACAAAAAATCTTACCAGAGCATTACACAAAATAAGAGAAGTAATTCCTAGGGCAATTATCTACATAATAATATTATAGTAAAATTTACTAGGAGCAACTCAAGCATTTGATGTAATTATTTTGTACAGGTAGAGAGCTGGACCAGTTGCTGTTTGCCGATGATAAATGTTAATTGAATGGGATAACTACACATAAGTCGGATGCTGATAGGAAGTGCATGAAACATGGTCTCTGCCATTGCAATGAGAAACAATGGTTGAATGTCATAATCATTATAATATACTCTTACAATGGAAGTATTGTGTTTTTCTGGTACATTATATTGGAGAAATTGGTTTCCCAAGACAGAAAGAAGATTTTTATGTAACAGGACAGTAATAATTAGACCTAAATATAAACCATTTTCATATCTAAATTAACTGCTTGGTGACTGAGTGCTAGTTTCAAACAGTAGAAAACAAGGGAATTAAAATATAACTAAGAAGATAAGCCCAACTTGCAAAAAGCCATTATGGACAGACAGTATTCCATTCTTTGGATTTTAAAGTAAAATCAGTAAGTCTTTGATTTGTTTTTGGTTAATAATGGAAAGCATTTTCCAAACTAAAAGAAAATGAAATTAATACTTTATTAATGGTGCTAAGAAAAGCTAGCACTCCCTCTCACCCCACTCCTAGCAAAGCTTTGCCTCCAGATGTTATTTTGTATTTATTTTGCAATGTTTATTATGGCAGTCCAAGATGTTTATGTCTTAAAGATACATTGGTCAGTTTATTTACAGAGAGACAGCTTCTTGAAGTGAAGGCAGTTTACTTTGGGTGTGGGTTAAGCTACATAGCACTAGAGAGAATGGGTGTGACTGGTTTCCTCTTGTGTGTTCTCTTATTATTTCTTTCGTTTCTTTTCATTACAAGCGCTTCTCTCTCTCTTTTTTTAATCCTGTAAGGTTTTATATGATTTGTCCTGTGAGAAATAGTTGAGTTTTTCTGAGCAGTTACCCTGTACAGGAAATGAAAGAAACACAAGGCAGAATGGATGACAGGGCCTTGACACCTTTGCTTACCACCTTTGCCTCCTGTCAAAGGTGACACTGGAATAGCTGGAGACCTTCTCAAGGCACTCAGGATAGAGAGCAGTCTGTAGTATTTGACAGAATCACTGATATTTCTCAGGCAAGGCTTAGGATTGACTAACGGGAGAGAAGGGAGGCAGTAGGTGCTTGTGTTTGTGCAGTAGGACTGGACCAAGGATTTTGAAAGATTCTGTCGTTCCTTTTTTTAATGTATTGCAAACTAACACAGAATTAAATTGTAAAACCAGTATAAGAAAGTTCAACCAAGTTCTCACTTTTCTCATTATGACTATTTCAATGCCATTTCAGTAATATTGAATAACATTTATTTGAAACATTGCTTTGTAATATAAAAACAACATTTTTAAAGTTGTTTTTTCTTACTTCTGCTTTGTTGAGTTCATCAGAGTGTACTAACACTCTGATGGGAAATCCAATTTGTGGAAGTGCAAGGACATGACAAAAGAGAAGCTGGCAATGTGATATTTGGTGAAGGCTGGAGAAGGGCTGAGACATGTTTTGGTTAGGACTGGTGTGGCGTCTTCATACCCATAATGTAGTATTTTGCAGGAAGAGTGAAGCTTCATCTTGCAAATTAGAATATATAGGGAATTCCACTTTTAATTATTTTCCTCCACTTTAGCATTATTTTTCTTTCCATGCTTTAAGGAGTGATTTGGGCATAGATTTGTTTTCTGAAGTATTCTCAATACACTTTTAACTTAATATTTAAGTCTTGTATGTTTCAAGTGATACAAGGGAAAAGCAGGACCATCTGCTGCTTTTTCTTTGTGGATCTGAAATAATCTTACACCTCTTAAAGAGACATTTTGTAAACACTGCCTGTGGCTAGCCCTTATAACTGGCTACTTCAGTTAAAATGATTCTCAAAGGTATAGTTTATTTTATTTAATTTTAGTCATTTGAAAATAATGACTAAATACTGCTTGAGTGGCAGATCAAGACATTAATTTTGCTGGCCAGTTCAGTAGTTCAGTTATGATCATTGTTACAGATAAAAGAGTTTTCCTTCAAATTGATAATTAAATCACCCAATCTCGGTGAAGCTATACTTAGATAACTATCTGTATTTTCACATTTTCTGGATCTTTTTTGGTATCAAAACATACAAAGTTGCATAACTATAAAAGCACTAATATGTTTTATATCATTTTTACAGAATGGAAAACATCAATATTTATTGTGGATGCCAGGCTTGGTATATCAATTATTACAAAATCATACAAGGCTTTTAACCTCCATCTAGAAACCTGATAGAAAATTTTAGGAGAATGTTATGTCACCTATACATATGAAAATTGTCTAATCTGATAGCTCTACTGGTACAGCAAAGCACTGTTGCTAATTTCCTAATGGCAGAATCTATAGGTTGATTGATTATTTATTTAAAAGATACTTTATTAATGGATGGAAAGGGCATCTGCTGACTATTTTCATGTTTCATGTTTTATATTCCTGTCCCAAAGTGACTACATTAAACCTGAAACAAGTGATTTTTTTACACAGTCATTTCTCTTTATGCTTATTAATTTCTAATTATTCTTTGCTTGTCAATATAGTGTTAATTTATCCATTATCTAATTGACTGGTTTCTTTTGGGGGTGAAAGGGGTGGAGGCAAGGAAACTGATATAGGCCCTGAATTTCAAATTGCTTAGGCTTGCAAGGATGTTTATGGCCAAACAATCTATTTTGACAATTGTGGAAAGGATAATTCTCATAATAAATTTGAGAATTCTAGAGATACTAGAACAGCACATTCTAATGGTCTCT
Source organism: Homo sapiens (assembly GCF_000001405.40). Lineage (NCBI taxonomy): Eukaryota > Metazoa > Chordata > Mammalia > Primates > Hominidae > Homo > Homo sapiens. The sequence continues at coordinate 127,203,142 of NC_000006.12, read as the reverse complement.
TCTGTTCTAGAAATAATACCATTTTGGATTTAATTGGATCATCTGGATATTCAAATAAAACTCTATTCTCTTGACCCTTTCACATGTACATATTAAGCTATCCTTTAAATATTCCATAGTTAACAAGTGGAATTGTTGGTTTACCACAATAATTCATTTCCCCCCCTAAAATTCCAACATTAAAAGGAGACTGGCAATCAAGAAAGCTAGAACTTATTTGCATGAAACTGACTCACTTTCCTAAATTGACTCTGCATGTCTATGTCTTTTTTGGAATCATAAATTATTCTCACTGCTGGTTTGGATAAAACTAAAATCTATTTTCCTGTAGCATTTGGTGTGTTCATAAAGTGAGTCATAATCATTTTTTTTTTACTATGGGAAAAAGATCAGTAAGGGTGAACTTAGTGATAAATAGGACCTTCTTCCAAATAGTTGCCACATGAGGAAAATCCCTTGTATGTGAAACACAAAGTGTTTCTATTTTTGTTTTCTAGTTTATTTTTATTAAACTTCTTTTAAGAAGTATAAATGGGGCCGGGCGCAGTGGCTCACGCCTGTAATCCCAGCACTTTGGGAGGCCGAGGCGGGCGGATCACGAGGTTAGGAGGTCGAGACCATGCTGACTAACATGGTGAAACCCTGTCTCTACTAAAAATACAAAAAATTAGCCGGGCGTAGTGGTGGGCGCCTGTAGTCCCAGCTACTCGGGAGGCTGAGGCAGGAGAATGGGATGACCCCGGGAGGCGGAGCTTGCAGTGAGCCGTGATTGCTCCACTGCACTCCAGCCTGGGCGACGGACCGAGACTCCTTCTCAAAAAAAAAAAAAAAGAAGTATAAATAATATTCTTTCCATAGCTCTATACTTCGAGGAATTTATTAAATTATGTCTTCTCCAGTTTATTCCTAGGTTAATTTTTAAATCATTAGGTAGGGTTTTTTTTCCTTCCCAAACTAGTCAATCAAAAACCATAAATAAGCAAAGTGTAGAACAGAAGTAGGGAAGGAAGTCAAAAGGATGGACGGACTGCTGCCAGGGACAGCACAGTGCCCCAGGGCATGGCACTCGTTTTTGGCATGTCATTCTGGTGGAGGGGCAGTACATGTCACTGAGTAGTTATAAGGATGAAAATAAGGGTTCCTTTCTTTTTGGGATCAGAATTCTTTTTACTTTTTTTCAAATCTTGAGATCATCATAGCCAGATAGTTGACGGAGTTGTCACCAAATTTTCTACCTCTTGGGAGATTGGGACCAACCTGGAATGTGCGTGTTCTGGGGAGACCGTATGTGGTAGCGTTAACTGACTCAGAAATGTCTCCAGTTCAAGATTCCACATTTAGTGGTAGTTTATTTTATTGTATTTGGGTATCACACAATGTACAAAGTAAAGTTGCACCTCTAGTTCCATGTTTGATATAGCTCCATTGCCAGCAGCTACAGAAAAAAAACAATGCAGATATACTAGAAGGAAGTGAAGTATATCCTTACTCCCTTCTAGTAAGGAAGGGCTACATTGTTGCATTCTCAAATATGTGGTCTCATCACGTACTTCTATTGACTCCTTTTGGGGAAGAATATAGGTAATTCTTAGACTGAAATCTCCAGTGTGGGCGGCAGTGTGAGCAATGGGGAAAGGAATGTCAAACTGTTGCTGTAGCTAGGGACTGGCTAGCAACAGTAATAGCTTATATATTTATTGTGCTTTATAATTTCAAAGCACTTAAAATACATTTGATTGTTTTATTTATAAAGGTAGACTCCTCTTTAAAATGTTTAAGAAGTTGTTAAATTTGTTGAAGAAAATCTAGATCTTGCTTGAAATTCATTTGTGATAGAAATTCGGAGCAGCTAAAATAGTAACTGATGCTAATAGTACAAAAGTGAATACTTCCATTAAACCTGTTAGGCAGAACACTTTGGTAAAGTTATTATTTAACCTTGTTTAAAAACTTTTCTTATATGTATCTGCCAGTTTTCTTTTTTAAAATAAAACTTAATCCTTTGTAGGTGATTCAGTATGTTGGATTGCCTCCACATCATATTGAACAACAATTTTCACTGCACACAGCTATAGATATAGAAGTAACTGTAACAGTTTGCAAACTGTTTATATGTCAGATTATTTTGTGGTCATGTAATTATGTCTTTTGAAATTATTATGTAGCCAATTTTCCAATTAATGAAATATTTCCACTTGTTGGAGTTGTGTTACCACTGTATTTTAAGGACTATGAATAAAAATGATTGCTATTTTGCTTTCTTGCTTCCCCCCTCCCTCCGTCTCTCCTATGTTTCTTCCTCCCTTTCTTTCTTTCTTCCTTCATTTTTTGTACCTGTGTATGTGATGGATATGTTAGCCTCAAAATTACTTGAGAGCCAGTATGGGCAAGAAAAGGTGTGTGACAATTAAAATCCTGATATTGAATGTCTGAAAGTAGCTGGAAGAAAATGAAGTATCCTCTGAAGAAAGTTGTTTTGGTAGTTCCAACAGTGAAGAAAATCTGTTGATGTTTCTTCCTGGATCATTGCAATTCTGAACAAGGACTCAGGGGAAAGATGATCATGCTGGCAAATACCCTGCTTATACCAGAAAAGAACTGAATTGAGGGCTAATCCACAGACATAAAGGGCTATAACAATCGAGGGCTTCCCAAGGAGCCAGACTTACTGTTCTCTTTCTGAACTTTGGTCCTTTACTGATAGCACGTATTTCCCATTTCTCCTTTTTATTCCTCTTGCCTACCAATGCACTTGCCTCCCCCAATCCACTGTTCCCCACAAACCCCACATCCAGCCAGCCCATAGGCTTCCTGCAGCTCTGTGTCTCACCGCCTCACCCTACCCCGCCGCGCCACACACACACACACAGTCACATTTCGAGTTCAGATTCAGAGTTAAGTCTTATCCTGGGTTGAGGCCTCTAGAACTTGACGTCTCAGGCTTCTTAATGGGGGATAATAGTTTTAGATCATGAAGAAATACCTCACTATTATATGTCATGGGCAATCTTGGAACTAATAATAAATATGACTTTAGAAGTTATGATGAAGGAGAAGGAAAGTGGGCTTTGGAGTCAGCCAGAGCTGGGTGTCACTTCCAAACTCACATGTTGCTAGTTGTATGACTTTAGACACTTCTCTGTGCCTCAGTTTCCTCTTTTGTAAAACAAGGACATCAATGACTCACAGGGCTTTTGGGATAATTACATAATATAGTATAGTCAAAGGGTTAAGTGGCTAGCATAAAGGAGGTACAGCCATTTGTTTTGTTTTGCTTTTCTTTTTCTAAGAACATTTGAAATAAAGTTACAATAATCTACTATGTTAGTAAGATGAAATGTTATTGCTTAAATTTGGAAAAATTTCAATTGATTTGATCATGATCCTTGTTTAATTTTATTTTTTCAGTGGTGGATGAATTCCAGACAAATTATCTTTGCGTTACAAGAAGTTACACCCTGTTTGTAACAGATCAACCACAAAACAGGCCTTTTCCCCATAATTTGACCAGAAATAGTTGCAGTTGTATTGAGAAAGAATCTAGTTGGTTCCTCTGCTATGAAAATATATCCATGGAAAATATATACTGTCTGTATTTATGCCCATTTATAAAAAATGTACTTTAAGTAGTTTCCTAATTTTAAGAAGACTCAAGACAAAATTACAATTTAATTACTAGTTAATATTATTAATTTCATTTCCATGATTCTCACATATATACTTATTCCTTGAAATTATCATGCATGTACATTTTTATGAATACTATCACATATCATGAATCAAGAAATAAAATTTATATGTTTGACTTGTGGAATTAGTCATAACTTTTAATTGATATTCATTTATATACAAAATATTTATTATTATATTGAATGAAGAACCTTTTAATTCTCATAACAATCTTGCAAAAGAGATGATGCCAATTCCATTTTGCAGATTTGGGATGATATTCTGCGAGATCATACAATGTGCCCAAGGTCACACAAGCTGCAACCAGTTAGTAGCAGAATTGAGACATTAACACAAGCTGTCTAACGCTAGCACCAGTGCACTTTCCATTTTCTTTGCTGTCTCCCTTTGTGAGAATGAATATCTATTCTTGTTTTTAGCTGTATTTATATATGCTTTTTCTTCCCAGTGTTATTTCAATATTTAATAACCACTAATGTGAACAGCTTTTAATTCAATAACATTAGAGAAGCAGAGTTAAATCTGTCTCCTCTGAGAGCCTATACATTTTCACTTTTGAGAAAAGCAGGGTTGGGATAACTTCCAAAGGACGCAGTCACTAATGAGGACTCAGGGACATCACCCTGAAGTAAACAAAGTGTGAAATGTTCCCTTGTCTGGAACTAGAGTGATCATCTCCAGTTCCCCTCTTTCTTGTTGCACATGAGAAATGGGGACCCAGAGGAGTTAAGTGACTCACTAGTGGTTACACAACTGCTACTAGAACCTAAATCTGAGGATAGAAAACAGGCCTTCCCTTAATTATGAAGCTGAATTCGGAGAACAGGGCAGGAGCTTGATCAGACATTAACAGATTTATGTTGCTGCACTCTCTCGATTCTTCGAATCAATAATTTACCGACCATCTGTTGATGGGGTAAACTATCAACAGTTTACCCCATTATGGAGACAGAATCAGAGTAGAAAGTTAACACCTTCTGTGACTAGTGTAGGAACTTTACCAGAGGTTGATAGAGTTTTTGCTCAAATTTGAGAAGGCTGCTGGTTTGAATACTGTATGATTCTATTGTCTTAAGGATCTGTTACTGGTGGATGGAGAATTACAGTTAAAATTGATGTTATCTTTTTCTTCATTTATATTTCATCCAACATATGAAAATGAATGTTAGTTTTTATTTCTTTTTCCTTTGTAATAATTCTACTTTTATATAAGTTTAGCATCAAGGATTCAGACCTTCTGCCATTGTCAGAAGGACCATAGGGTAATAAGTTTGAGTCAAACACATGGGAAGACCTGATAGTCATTTGCCACCATTGTCATGTCCTGGTTTACTTAACCCTTTTTCCAGCATTGCCTATGCAGGTGTAGACCTTCCCAGTAAGTGCTTGTTGAATAAATGAAGACATGAGAAACAGAAAGATGTGCAAAAATAATTTGGCTACTTATACTTGACTGGGTAACACTCAGAAGAAAGATGGTATATGAAATCATCCGAAAGGTCTCAAACCTGGGGACATATTTCTACCTAACATCATTCTGTAGGATAAAGTTTGTTTCTTCTTGGTAATATATGTTTTAGCTGAAAATGGAATTAGAATTATTTTATACATTGGGAATAGATTTAGTGAGTTGAGACACTTATCTCATAGGGACAAGGAAAGAAACACCAGAATAAGAAACAGGAATAAATCATTTAAAATGTTTATATCTTAGAAGAGGAAGAGAGAAGTGGAAAATCAATTAAGCCAAGTAGATTACATGAACTGTACAACTGGTGGAGAACGGGTGTCCAGAGATAAGCAGCCAGAAGCCAGAGTCATTGCAAATTCTTCAGAAAGCAGTGATCTTGAGAGGGCTAGGAATCACAGTGGACAGAGCAGCCGTGCATCCTTCCATGACAACAGGAAGGTTAAGGTGGGTCATGCGATTCTGTGCTGCACACTCAGAGATACCTCCTCCTGCAAGGGGTGGGCTGTGTCCTCTGTGAAACACTGGTGAGGCCTTCAGCTAGGGTGACTTCAATCCCCTAAAGAGATCCACAGATAGAAAATATGGAGAAGAAAAGACTAAATGTTGAAGATGCAGGGGGATCTGACATACAAGAAATGATGCCCATTTCTAAGCAATGAAGGGGGAGCAGTGAAATCAGCTAGGGAGGCCCATGTGTCTATAATTAGAATGTTGATTAAAATAAGAAAATGGAATAAATATCTCCTAATACGCTATAAGTAAATCTCCATTGGCTCAGATAAAGGTGGATTCAAAAAACAAATATTACTGAGAAATGTAATATATTCTGAATTACATAGGAACCAGGTTCTCTGAGTTAGCAGAATTCTCTTTCTTAATTCATGAGTCTCTAAGAGTAAGAATTTCTCAATAAAACAAACAATAAAACAGAGTGAACAAAACTTGAAAAACTATTAACAAATATATTTATTGTGGTGGCTTTCTCCCCTACTAGATATACCTTGTTAGAAAATAGTATCCCTTTTAGTTCCAGGTGGACCATTAAGCAGGTAATAAAATTGTTTTTCCCTCATTGAGAAAGAAAACACATGACTTTGCAAACATGTTATATTCTCCTTGCTCTATTTTTTTTCTATAAAATCAGAATTTTCTTCTAATAAGTATGATTTTGTTTTTGGAAGTAAGTTACAGGCACATGTTTACAGGTTGATATATAATCCAAGGGGTAACAGAGGCTGAGCCACATAGTGCTAACATAGATTGGAGACCTGTTCCAGGTGACCACAATCCTTCACAGTTTTGTAAAGCACAAAAGTAGTCTCCAGCTCTATGATTTCTTCCACATTTGTCTTTCTCCAATCCCATATGGTATATTCAATTCTGGTATGCACTCTTGTGTTTCTTATAAAAATACAGGATGAGAGTGATGGAACTAATCTTAAAACAGTTGTTTCTGTGATGATAAATCCTGTGATTCCAAATGCCAGGCCCTAATTCTGAGCACTCTCTAGATCTCCCGGTCAAAACAACACTGTCCTTTGAAGGATGTTTCTCTTCCCTGAACTCCTATTTGTTTTGAAGGGATACTGTATCTTTGAATTTGCAGAACTATCTTTTGCTTCTTAAAACAACAGCTTGAAAACACATTTTTATAAGGAAAAGATGTTTCTTCTCCAGATGTCATCATTTCGTTGTTACATCTTATAGCCTATTGATAATATGTACAAGAATGTCTTGTCTTTTAAAAATGCAGAGAAGCACACAAGACAACCATCTGAAAGTATCCCTTCTTTGATCTTTTGGCTCTTTGTTGTTAACTATGCTTGTATGAAGAATATAGCAACTACTGGGAATGTTGTTTAGACAGAGCAATAACTGACATGTCCATTTGTGGTCCTAATGGCTAGAGCACCTGTCCTGGGCATCTGGTTGAGATAGCAGCATCATGAGTCTACAATAATCTCATGGAACCCTCTAGTGTACAGTGCTGACTGATACCGATTTCTGTTTATCTTGGACTTTTCGCTTCTTCTGCTGCTGTTTGTTTTCTCGTTGCTCTGGGATTTCTTTGCTGGATTCCAGACTTTTGCTGTCAGGTATTGCTTCTTTACTTTCTCCTTTATTAGGTTTTTTTCTTTTCCTCTCCCTTCCTTTTTTTCCTGAAATGAAAGGATACTCTTTTAAAAATTACATTCAATTATGTTCTATTTTTTAATTACATTTTAAAAAATGACTTAAATTTCTCTTAGATTATATATCATAATGATAGATACTAAATATCTACTATTTCAATCATTCAACTATTATTAAGTCTGTGGTATATTCCAAACAATGTAAATGTGAAACACGTATATGATATAATAAGGCAACTAACATATGACTGTTTGAAATCCAAATAGTTCTGTTCTTCTAAGTTTGGAACTTATTTTACATGATAGTTATTTATGCATGTTTCATGGAAAGTTTTAGATAGATTTCTTGCTGTTGAAAACATTTATTAAAATGTATATTTTGGCTGGGCCTGGTGGCTTACGCCTGTAATCCCAGCTCTGTGGGAGACTGAGGTGGGAGGACTGCTTGAGCCCAAGAGTTCAAGATCAGCTTGGGCAACATAGTGAGACCTTATCGCTATAAAAAATAAAAAAAATCAATGAGGCATGGTGATGCATGCCTGTGTCCCAGCTATGCAGAAGGCTGAGGTAGGAGGATCACTTGAGCCTGGGAAGTCAAGGCTGCAGTGAGCCCTGATAGCGCCACTGTACTCTCCAGCCTGAGCAAGAGAGGGAGATTCTATCTCCAAAAAAAAAGGAGAGATTTTTATCTGGCTCATATTTTTAAGGTACCATGTTGTATTCAATTTTTTTCGAAGTAGCAGTTACATAGTTATAATTTGTCAAGATATTTGCCTGCTATCTAAGAGAAAAGAACTGATTTGCATAACAAATGCAGAAATAATAAGGATGAATAACAAGATAATTGTATTTTAACATAAATATTTGTATGTTGAAATTAATTTTGATTATAATTTCTCTACATGCAGGGTGGTGATGACTATAACTGATCAATAACCCTCTGGTACAAGCTACCAGGGCAGGTTGAGTCTCTATCCAGCAAATGAGTAGATATTTATCACATGTATACTGGATTTCATGCAGGCCCCCGACCTGGAGCTGGGTTTGAAGCATAGATTTAACTCAGACTCACATTATGAGAGGAGACATTTTTAAAAGTGGAATCAACATGACTTTAAAGGTTTGGATGTGAAAAGGTATTATTGTAGCCAACAGGGAGCCACTTGAAGAACTGAATTTTATTCTGTCGGCATTGGAGAAATGCTGGGAGTTTTAGAAGAAGAGAATAATTTGATCGAAGTAGATAAACCTGGCACCAAATTGGATGATTATTTTTATTTATTTCTAAACAGTGAATTAACTAGATGTTTTATTATCATGTACACCTTTTATATATGTAGTCTACAGTGTAGTCTGAAGGCATGGTTTTAGTAACATCCATGAACACATATATCCCAATGAGAAATTACCTAGATTCAAATCAATATTACAGTAAACAAAAACTAGGAACCAACTGTTTCCTGAGGTATGACAAATTCTGAATGTGTATCCCACATACTGGGTCATTTAAAATTTGAAATTAGACTGTCTAAAATAAGTAACTTTTGACAAAAATATTTTGGAGAAATTGTCTGCATGAGAGAACCAAAATATTTTCATGTCCTGAAGTAGGCTGCAAATATTGAATTCAGTGGTTTGGCTTTCCTTTTCTTGGGCTCTGGTTACAGAATCCTAGGGAGTGGTATTATTAATATTGCATAGGTATACTACGCCAATACGGTCTCCTTGGATTAATGATTTTATGCCACATCTAGCTTTGTCATGAGACTGTATTTATAAAACCTTCCAGTTACTTTTTGAAAGCTTTCCTTGTTGGGCTCAGCACAACATACCTTCAAATTCTGGAATCTAAAGGGACAATTGACAAAAATCAGAATTCATTCAAGGGTGAAGCAAATTGTTTTGGACATACAGAGAGGAACAAACAACATTAGAGGCAACTATTATGCCTAAACTGAACTACTTATATTCTGATTACTCGATTCCATTATTCTTTTCACTTAAAAGAATTTTGCTGGGTTGATAAGATTTCTACAGAAGGGATCAGGGCCTTCTTTCCATGCTGGATTTAATGAGTACACATTTGATGTGCTGACTTGAATATAATAACCAAACAGGGAAAACTGAAGAGTAAGTTTCCCTTTCTGAATATGTAGCATAATTTAAATTTTATAAAACTGTACAAACAGAGAAAAATACTAGTTTTCATGCTATGTGCTTAGTTTTCACAAGGAGATGGCTGCAAAGGTTGGATTACATAATATTTCCATATTGAGGAGCATTTTGGAGGTGTTTGAGTTCAACTCGAAAAAATTGTCAGCAAAAACCATTCCAAAGTTCCATAAAAACTACTGACCCCAAGCAAAATGTTATTTTTATGGAAATCATCCAGAAGTTCAGTGTTTGACATTGTTCTCTTGATGACGGTCCAACATCTTACAGCTGTGATCCCAACCATAATGTTTTGGACACATAAGAAATGTATTGTTTCTTCCTTGGTCACAGATTGATTTATATGTTTTTTAGCCACTTGTGACAACATCCTCAACTGGCAGTGCATTTCTGCTTATTAGCAAACTGATATGATTATTTCTTAAGACAGGCCTAAACATTTTTGGAAGTAGATTGAAACTCGGTATTATAACTTTATGTCCAAGGAATAACTAGTCTGGGCAGTGAGTGAAAGGGAAGGCTCTAGTAAAGTAACAGGAAACTAACACATTGTACATTATTGCTGCTCAACAGAGGGCTATTGCACAACAGAAGAATGAGGTTGTTATTTTTTTACAGGCCATGTGTTAGTGGTTGGAAATGCTAACTACCCTTTGCATAAATATATTTTCTGCTTGTGTAAGAAATAAAATAGAAATACACAAGAGTGGCTGTAGTCCATTAAAAATCACGTGTAATTTGGGATAATTTTGTAAGGTTTTCATTAAAGGGGACTTCCTTTTTTATTCTGGTGACTTTTCATTGATGTGGTTAATATTTTTTTCAGGCTTTTTTGGCAATTTTGCAAACTAAGCATTCCAGTTATGACAATCTGACATATATACACACACATATATATATACACACACACGTGTGCTTTGCCATTCACTGAATATTCATGTTTGTGTGCATGTGTACACGCACGTACCTGCCTGAACTGGGTTTTGGAACATTCTAGTGATTAAAACAGCGTTCATCTCCCCTTGATGTTCTACCTATGAGGGTGTTTGGGTAGAAAACATCAAAGAGAATTTGCTATTAGCAGTCAAGTACAATCTGAGCCCTTGCAGAGAAGCACTATGGTGTAACATTTAAGTACACTGTCCTTAGGGCCAGAAAAATGCTGTTTTCAAATTCTAGGTCTGCCACCAACTAGTTGTGTGAACTCTGGCAAGTTGTTGATATTTCTCAGGATTAACTCTCTGATATATTTAAAATGTGAATAATCCTTACTTCTTGCTAAACTTCATAAGGATTAAATGAGATGCTGGTAGAGCATTTAGCATGGTGACTGGCATATGTTACTCATGGGACAAATGAAAACTAATATTATTAACCCCTTGCACAAACATGAACAAAGCCCCTACTCTGTGCCAAAAATGTGTGATAAAACCTGGGGATATAAGTTAGATATGGAGACTGCCAATAATTATAGTCACATGTTAATGCTAAAATAGAGGTGTGTACAAGGTCCTGTTGGGGGTACAGTGGGAAAGCATTGAACTCCATGAAGAGAGACTGAAAATGATTTCAGAGACTGAAAATAATTCCCCTGATGTAATGATGTTTGAGGTGAGCCTAAAAGAATGACTGAGAGTTTGCTAGGCTGATGAGGGAAGAAGTGCATGCCAGGCAGTGAACATGCACTAAGGCATGCAAGGACATGGTGAATCTGGGGCATTGAAAGTCAACTTCCTTGGTTTGATCAGAGTCTATATATAGAATATTACCCATAGAAGCTGGAAAGATATACGGGCTTCAATTGCCATGTTGGGAGTTTGTCCTGAGGACCAGTGTACTGAAAACTAGAGAAGGGCAAGTATTGAATTCAGATAGCAGGCCAGAGTTTGGATGTTTCTGTGATGAGTTTAGAAAAGGCCAATAGGCTATTCTTACATGTTGACCTTATTTCCTATTTCAGAAAATTGCTGTAAGTAATAAGATGCTGTAGAGGGAATGTAGTCAGTGGTTGGTATTTTTGAGCCTTAATTTTTGAAAGAGTAGCTAAAATCTCCATGTAGACCAAAAAGCCATATTTAAGATTTTGTTGCATAGTAGTATCACATAATTGAATTGATAATTGTTATTTTTAAGATTCTGAAATTATTTTCTGTTAGTATAAACACATACAGTCTTTTACATAAACATTTCCTATGGCCTTCTGCAGACAATGTTCCAAAACATATAAAAATACAGATTCCTAGATCCCACCCTTGGAGATTATGATTCAGTGGTTCTTATGAGGGGCCCAAGAACCTGTAGTCAACAACAAGTTCACACCCCTCCCCCCCAGTTTATTTTGATGTGCAACCACATTTAAAAGCCAAAGCTGCAGAGCAACAGAAGACCCAATTTCTTCAAATATATACTCTCAAAACTTACTTCAAATTGCATGGTTGCTCCTTTGTTTCTTTCATTTTTCCTAATGAATATCAAATACGTTTTTGACTTACTGTAGCTACTAATTTTAAGGCAAGTTTTCTTAATAGATAAATTTGGAATAGGCACCCAGATATAAATTAAATTAATTGCAGGTTATCTTTTTAAAACCTGTTCAAGTGCATATATGAACTAGAAAAAATAAACATGTAAAAAATGACAAAGAGAGTGATCCTGAATTATTCTTCCTAACTTGTATATATTTAAATTCCAAGTGAAAATGCAAACCATAGAACACGTTCAATATCCTTTAAACATAATGAGGTTATGAAAAAAAGAGTTGCTTTCCCTAGAATCACAACTGTAATTCACTTATTGAGAACCACTTAAATTATGAATAGCAGCTATTTTCTTGATGTTTGGATAAAATCTGTCTATAGGTCTTCATAAAAGCTGCTGCTTTGTGAATTTCTTGCGAAGTGTCACTAAGGGGAGCCATTGAGCTGTAAGTAGTTCACTTCCCAAGACAAACTAGGTTATAATTTTTACCCAAATGCTAAAAATGTATTCCACATTACAGACTGAGGACTAAATATCACGAATTATATGACTCAAACCAATTAAATAAGTATTACATTTTTCTTTTCTTTTTATTTGGTGTGGAATGAAATTCAACTGGAAGCCCATGGCTTTATGCCTTCTATAAAGCACTCACAGTGTGAAAAAGGGGTTGATCTTATTATTTTTGAATCTGGAATTGGACCTGATTATTATGTATAGAGAATGAAAATTCCAGCTTTTGTTCTTTTTTCTTTTTTGTTTTTTGTTTTTGAGACGGAGTTTTGCTCTTTTTGCCCATGCTGTACTGCAATGGCGCAGTCCTGGCTCACTGCAACCTCTGCCTCCCAGGTTCAAGTGATTCTCCTGCCTCAGCCTCCCGAGTAGCTGGAAGTACAGGTGCGTGCCACCGTGCCTGGCTAATTTTGTATTTTTAGTAGAGATGGGGTTTGGTTTTACCATGTCGGTCAGGCTGGTCTTGAACTCCTGATATCAGGTGATTTGCTTGCCTTGGCCTCCCAAAGTGCTGGGATTACAGGTGTGAGCCACTGTGCCCGGCCTGTTATTTTAAATTAAAATATCACTGGGAAAATTTGCAAGGAAGAGGAATTGCTATAGTATGACTTTTTTCTTTTGTGGGGGCAATTATAATGTATTGTGTAGATACATATTTACAGGCCTATATTATTATCAAGTAAATTGAGAAATGTCTTTTGTTTGTTTTAATAAAATAGAAAACTTCTTCTTGCTCTAAATTTAACCTAGGAATTTACAACAAATATAGTAAAAATATCAAAGAATGAATGTCTTTTGCTTTTTGATAAATAAGCACACAATTTCTCCACACTGAAATTTAAAGCTACCTGATTTACCTATGCGGTAGGTTACACACGAATTCTATTGCCTTTTCTATTTAATTTTCAAGATGCTTCTGATTAATTATTCAAAGAAAAATAATTTGATACATCATTACATACTCTACTAAATGCTATTAATTTGGGATATTACTTTGAGCCCACTTTTACAAAGATAGCTCTGACCATTAAAATATACTGAGATTGAAATAACATTTTATCATCAATTTCAAAGGACCAGTTTAAGAGAGGCACTCTATTTGTATCATGCTGTTTTGGGAATTTAGAAACAAGAACATAATGATTGGAAGGCACTGAGTATAAACTTTAGGAAATGAAAGCAGATAAACCCAAGCTTCTTAACATGGCCCTCAGGGTCCTTGTCCACTGTGATATGACCCCTGCTTACTTATCTACTTTGCTGGCCTCACACTTGTCTTTTTAGTCACCCCTGCACTTGTCCCACCATAATGTTTACTGATCCCATATATTGGATACATTTATCTAGAATGCAGTTTCTAGATCCCTTGCCCTAACTCAGACTTACTGTTGAATTATCTGGCCTTCAGGGAAACCTTCCTCACTCTCCTAACCTCTTCCTAGGCTGGACTATTTACATTTCTCCTCTCTGTGTTCTCAGCTCCCAATTAGGACCCTGCTGCAGATCAAGGTGAAGATGACCTGGATAGTTTGTTTTTAAAAATAGTAAGAATAATTATAACTACAATTCAACACACACTTTTATTAGGTTGGTGCAAAATAATTGTGGTTTGTGCCATTACTTTTAATATGTACCAGGCCAACTTCTAAGTAAGAGTACGGTGCCTAGAAGCTCTATTCAACCCCTGTTCTACAGATGAGGATAAGGAGGGTTCCTAACCACAGCACCCTTCTGCCTCCACATTATTTCTCAATAGAGCACAATGTGACATGCCATCCTTGTTTATGTCACTTCAGCTACTGAGGCAAGGAAAGAGCCCAGCTGTGGACTAACTGTTTAAAAGAGAGGAGTTTTATAAAAATCAAGATTTGGAGTGTACTTTCTTAATCTCTTGAAATTTGAATTTGCTGGGCAAGGAAAAGCTGCTTATCAGAAATTAACTCAGAACTTAATAGCATTTGGAATAAACTTTTTGAGTCAGCACCATTCAGCACTATCTCATTCTCTATTCTCTTTCTTTTTATTTTTGCTACAAGCCTATATTTTAGTATTTCCACTCCCCCAACATATAGAGGTATGATATATATATATATATATGTAACTTGAAAATTATACATCATTTATATCTAATTTAGAAATAATTTTCCATTAGACTACTACTGTTACATTTTTGAAGCTTTAATGAAATTATCACATATTTTCATATTTTGTTATACTTAATACTAAAAAAGAGAAAGAAAAATTATATAGCTTTAAAATTTTAAAATGCTACTTGAGGTTTGAATGCAGTCCTATTATAAATCATTTCACCTTATAGCAGACATCATAAATATCAGTAATCACAACTTTTTAGAATGTGTATTTTCATAGTCTGCTTTAAGCATAATAAACTCTCTTTTGCCTAATTAAATACCTTCCTTACAAATGGACCATTGCCAATAGGCCTTTACAAATTTTTTTCTCTGTTGTTTAAATAATTTTATTATCCACTAAAGACTCAGAATCTGAAATTTTGAATGTTGGCTCAATGTCGTGACAGAGGTTTCCATAACCCTTTCATTCAAGCTAACTCCATTCCACCTCATTGCTTCTGCTGCCTGGAACCCCAGCCTGGAATCCTTGCTTCCATTTAAAAGGGCCATTAGCTGGAGTCCAAAAGAAACTATTAAAGGCACTGGGTATTGCATACTAGGATGCCTTCCTGTTCTATGTTAAAAGAACAGTTAAAAGTGATCAGGGGAGAAAGTACCCAAAGATTTTTAAAAATATTGGCAATGTTTACGAATTTTACTCATTATAAAAGTAAAGGATATTCTGTATTTTATTGTATAATATTTTAAAAGCTAGCAGGGTATTATAATTTATATTAAATATTTTAGATTTTGCATTCTTTTGTATGGGTTTATTTCTCTTGTATCAACTGCTTTTTGGTTAAAAGTTCATTTACAATAAGTAATTTTTTCTTCAGAGCAGAAGTTGTTATCTTGACTTTGAAATCCTATCTATCACCTTAGGATAGATCATAAAACTCTTGGAAAGTAAATCAGATACATTGACTTACATGTAGACAATTTCTTGATCTAAGCATGTTTGCATAACACATTTTGAATTAGATCTTGGGTTTTAAATAATTGTATCTATTAAATAAGCATATAAATTTATTCTCATTCTTACTTGTTATCAAAGGGTATGTTGGCAAATTTCATCTATTAAGCACCGTCAAATATTATTCATTACTTTTGCCGTGAAATTCATGACTAGCTTGTTGGATGAATATTATTGTTCCCTTAAAAAAATGACCCTGAATAGGATACTTTGGTTGTTTTATATAATGTTTATGAGCTTATAATATGGGAATTTTATTACCTATCTTCAGAAATTTAGTCAGTGGGGCGTCCTAACACTAATATTTCAAAGACCATTAAAGCCTGCCTAACAACATTGTCGTGTTCTATCCCAAATTTTCAATTTGGACCTAGTCCTCTCAAAATATTAGTGACTATCTCAAAAACGAATTGATGTGTTCATCTTTTTTTTGTAACACTCGTACTCTACCCTGTCCCCATCTCACCACCATGCCCGCTGGCGCCCCCTGCTGCTTCAACCACCATCTTCCATCTCAAGCTGGAGAATATGCGTGAGTCTATGGAACTTATTAAATATTTATTTCATATTACCCTTTAAAAAGTTCTCTCAGCAATTTAAATATTTAAAAAAGTGGAACAGCCTCTTTGAAAAATTTCTGTTATACACACATTGCCAGACTGAAAGTACATAAATAGTATTACCTAGAAGTCTTCCTATAAAATTATTTTAAATCAGAATACACAATTATAATTCAGACCATCTATCCAGTGATTCCTTTAAGACATCTGGAAAAATTATTTCTTTAGTACTTGACTATCATTAATTTTTAAACAACTTTTCACATTATTTGCGATAAATTAGTTTGCCTAACGTGCCAATTTAAAATTTAAATGTAACAATGTTATTTAATATATCTATAATCAATGACTAAGTTTAAAGTACTGCCTATGGTACAGATTGCTTTAAAAATATGAATTTTCAAAATAATTTTTTCCCAGTAAATTTTTATTTTCTTGCTGTAGATCTTTTTGAGTTGACTCTCATGTTTCCCCAGCCCCAATAACACATATTCCAGTAACACAGTAAAGAACACTTAAATGTGTTGACTTATCTAATTCATTTGCTTCAGAAAATCAGGAACCACAGCTGTATTATCCATCTTTCATTCTCAAAATTAATGGTTTCTATTTCTATTTTCTCTTTACATATTCCTCTCATGACTGAGCATAGTGAAAGTTAGCTTTTATGTAGAGTTTAAAATAAAACTTGTATTTGAATTTTCCCTATTTTTCTTTAGTTAAATGTGTAGGCCCACAGCTCATTCATTTGTGCTTAAAATACATGTTCTGGAATCAGTATATGATAAATATTCACCAAATGCCTTTTATTTTTTCTAAGAATCACTAAGGCAAGATCACTGTCTTCATCTTTGATGGAATATAACTTTCCAATTAACAGAAAAGTCCTTCATTTCAAAAGGCTGAGCAGAATGCTACTTGAAAATTTATTCCAGCTGGTTAAATTAAAGAATTGAACGAATTCCAAAGAAAGAATATTCTCTGGGCATTTATCATTTGATTTTTATTTGGATAAATTTCCATTTGTTCTAAGAGCTTGTCTTAGAATTTTGTTCTTTTGAGACAGAAACAGAAGAAGTGTTGATAGCCACATTTGGCACTGCTATACTCATTCCCTTACCCAAATTGTCTACTGGGTTGTATGGACAGGAGCGGATGGCCTCATACTTGCTGACATGTTTGCTGTGATTGATTATACAAGAAATCTTGATAGTATTCTACTCTTTCATCATGTTATGCACTAGTTGACTGTGCTGTCTAATTCTCATTCTAACACAGCCCACTATGTCTTTCTCTGAAGCTTTTTATTGGTCTATGGGGGAAAAATGTACCTTTAATCTGGAATTGCATCATGTGGGGAAAAATGACTACCCAGTTTCTTATTTGTGCTGCTCCACGTATCATGTGTCTCACTCCATGCAATTTTAGCTACAGATAATATAAATGTTTATAGTGATGGTTTAATGTTTTCAGCTCTTTATTAGCTACATATGTAAAGATGATTTTCATGCATCTTCAAATACGTTCTTAAATGGTTTCACTATGCTTCAGGATCTTACTCATTCTTCTTTTGTTGCAGATTTTGCTTCAAACTACTGGTTTCTTAACTAGTTTGAAAAACATAGAAAACCCCACTCAACCTCTACTACATTAAAATTTGTGATAAACTTTACCCATAATATATGATAAGGGGAGTATTTCACCTATAGCAGGTAATGCAGATTGTTCTAGGTACTTTTTCTCCCATTCTATTTGTTGAAGCAATTGTCTGTTCTTAATCAGAAATACTTTCAACATCCATTTCCACAATCATCAAGATAGGTCCTTGTAATTACTTCATCAATAATGGTTACATATAGGACTTGGAGGGGAATACAACTGATTTAATCATCTTTAAAATTTGTTTGGAGGTTAAGTGTTAACTAATCTAGAAATATCCACCCTGTAATTTAGCAAGATTAGTAAGATTTTACTGTACCTATTTTACAGCTTTTCACTGTGCTTTCTCTATCATTATTGATGAGGGTAGGTTTGGAAGTATAGACCTGGGGAACAAATGTGTATGTATGTTTGTGTGTGTATATATTTTTTATATATAAATGTATATGCACATATTTATTTATAGGTCCCTTTCCACCACTGATGGAAAAGTTCTATTTTTGGGGTGAATTTTAAGTATCAATTCCAAGACAGCCGGTTTTCCAGTGTAATTTTTAATGATTCTGAAGAGAGTGTCATCCTTTCACAAGAGCTCTTTAGAAATTTGAATCTTTAAATTTAGTGATTTCTGTAACTTATATGACTTTTAACTTTTTCTTATCAACCATATTTTCCATGTAGCATATTAAGACTTGTACCCTATCTACTTTTTCTCTTCACAAACTTTCAGAATGTCCTGAGGAAAATAGAATATGGCTTTCTAATAAGCATCTGATTAATGCAGAAGAAATCAAATAATTACTTTCATTCTTTGGATAGTCAACCTCCTATGCATAGACTTTCCCTCCCAACATTAACGTTATCATTAGTAGATTTCACTCCTCTTCCTTTGCTACTAACTAGTGTGTTTCCTTCTATTGTTTGATTGGGTCCCTATGTGCAACCCAGTATATCATCTACTAATTTTAATTCATATTTCTAGGCCTTTTTGCAATTTGTCAAGGTGATATTGAATTTTGTTTCCAGTTTTCATAATATTAGGAAGAACAATTAATGTAGTAACAACTACAAATATAAAGAACTTACTCTTTATAGAAATTCAACCTTAATTTTTATTTACCTATCAAAGTATTGAAAAGGAAATGCAATTCACAGGACTGATTATTTTGGAGTAGGGTGGTTATATGGTTTGCCTGCTTCCCTACCCAAATCTTACCTTGAATTATAGTTCCTATAATCCCCATGTGTGGTGGGATGGACCCAGTGGGAGGTAATTGAATTCCAGGGGTGGTTACCCTCATGCTGTTCTCGTAATAGTGAGTGAGTTCTCATGAGATTTGATGGTTTTATAAGGGGCTTTTCCCCCTTTTTCTTGGCACTTCTCTTCCTTCCGCCATATGAAGGATGCATTTGCTTCCCTTTCCATCATGATTGTAAGTTTCTTGAGGCCATGCTGAACTGTGAGTCAATTAAACCTGTTTCCTTTATAAATTACCCAGTCTCGGTTATGTCTTTATTAATAGTGTGAGAATGCACTAATACAGGTGGGGTGGATAGTATTGGGAGATTCTAGCAGTGATTCCCTGATTTACTTGCATAATTTTGTGCACAAGGGGAGACATGTAAGGCCGATATTCCTGGTATATTAGTAAGCACTGCTACTATTGCTCTAAAGGCTGTGGTAGCTCCTTTCTCTTTGGCAAGAGCCTGAGAACTGTAGTGAGTCTATAAATATTCGTTGAATGAATTAAATGAAAAAGATAAATATTGTTCCCTTTTCTTGATTTCATGGCTGTGACTTAATTCGAGTTAGAGTTGGAGAAGGACAGGCATAGACAGAGATGCTTTGGTGTTACTCTCTCATATGCGGGCATGCTGTGATTACCCAGTGTCCCAAACAACCTGTCTTAATAAGTCCCACTTATTATAGAGTACTCAGCCAGTTAGCTACTTCTGTTCCAATATCAGCTTCAAGAGATTACAGTGAACTCCAGAGAGCTATATCATGTTTTCAGGAATATCATTTTGACTTGTCATGCTTGGTCCTTTGGGACCAAGTCAATGATGAATAACTAGAGTATCCCTAAAGCTGTTTCAAGAAATGGCATTAGGAAGTCCAGGTTGGAACAGAGAAGTTAGAAAGAATTCCATTCTCTTGTTTCCAGAAGGCATTTGAGTTCTAGGACAGTTTTAGTGATTTGAAGACTTCAGAGTTTCCCTGAGGTTGGGAGTGTGGATCAGAGTCCATCTCTCAGCCCAAAGCTGGAAAACAGTGGTCTACCAAAAAGTTTTTGCGATTGTTTGGAGAAAAAGAGGTGGTCAGGAAGAGGAACAAATAACAAGAGAAATAGAGGAAGAGAGGAAAGCACTTGGGATGGTTGTCAAAAGTTGAAAGATGACAAAATAACCTTGTCTTCCTTAATTATCTTCTATAGCAAGCATAAATGATGCTTTATTTGGTGGAGTTGAGAATGTAGTCTTCCTTTAAAGTCATGAAATATGATTCTAGCCCATCTTGCCTGATCTTGGGGCTTTTGTATCCTCTTTTGAAGTGGCACTACACAGTCTCAGAAGCCTGACTTCCCCTTGAGTTTCGAATAACTGTGGCTTTTGTTGTAATCCATTGAATTTTTCTTTCAGTGGAATGCCACCAAAATGGACCACTGGGTAGTATGATGAAACTTTCCATTTAAGAGGGTGTAGCAAGGACAGCAGATGTTATGTGCAATGCAATTAATGGGAAGAGAAAGTCTCAGGAAAGGCTTAAGCAAATGAGCTGAAAATTAAAGGAAATGTGACAATTCCTGAAAGAATGAACACTGTCTTACTCAATCTCTAAGAACACTGTCTTAATCTCTAAAATAAATATTTCTCATTTAATTGAAGTATTTAAGAACGAAATAAAGTGACCCTGGAAAAAAGAAGGCCAGATGAAATAGATAGAAAAAAGTTTTAAAGGGGTAAAGAGCTTGAAATAGCCCATATGTTTGGTTTTTATTTTCTGAGCAAAGTAAACTTCATATATACCTTAAGACCTAGTTAAGGTAATGCTATAGTTTAGATATTTGACCCTGCAAATGTCATGTTGAAATTTGAGCGCAAATGTTTGGGGTGGGGCCAAATGGGAGGTGTTTGGGAGTCATTGGAGTGGGTCCCTCATGAATGACTTGGTGCCATTCTCATGGTAATGAGTGAGTTCTCACTCTATATTAGTTCCTAGGAGAGTTTCCCAGAGAGCTGCTTGTTAAAAAGAGCCTGGCACCTTCTCTCTCTCTCCATTCTCTCACACACTCTCTCTTTTCTTCTCTAGTCATATGATCTGCACGTGCCAGTTCCCCTTTTCCTTCTGTCATGAGTGGAAGCAGCCTGAGGCCCTCACCAGAGTCAGATACTGGTGCCATGCTTCTTGTACAGCCTGCAGAACTGTTAGCCAAATAAACCTCTTTTTTTGAATGAATTACCCAGCCTTAGGTATTCTGTTATAGCAATACAAAAATGTACTGAGACAGGTAGAAACGGGGATACGTGATCAATGACTGTATATAAGCCATTCCCTTATCTCCAGAGAATATTTAGGAGAAAGAGTAGTAGTCAAGAAGTGACTTCAAATATTGGGGAGTGAAAATACTGAAGGAAAGCAGAAGTAAGGTTGGCTTACTTGTTTATCTCTTATGTCAGAATTTGGGGAGAGGAAGGTGAATCCCTTTTTTGTCCATTACATCTTGCCCACCCTTAATCAAGCACACTTTTGGATCCTGCAAGGTCTGCTGGAACTTTTAAACTGCAGAGGATTTAAGGAGTTAAGCACAAAATGTCTCTGAGGAAGCCTTCCCTGAGTATGAATGGGTCTGGGTGTGGGTGTGTGAATCAACCCTAACAAACTGAAAACAATACCGGGTGATTTCTAAAAATTAGCAACTCTTTTCAGGCATCACTGAATAACCTCACAAATGATTTGCACTACTGCTAACAACACCTGGTAAGCAGCTGTATTATCTATGTATGATAATATATTTAACATATTTATATATGGGGTACTGTATTTGTATATTTTACTGTATAGTTTTTAAGTATCTTGAAGATCACCCCTTACCTACATACATCATTCAAGATACATTTTAAAGGCTACTTCTCTATTAATTCTTCCCTGATCTTCTCCAGCAGGTGAGGAGGGATGCAGTAATGTATAGCTGCTATGACCTTGGGCTTTGAAGTTAGAAAGATCTGAGTTTGATTTTCTGTCAAGCTATTTAGTCATAGTCTATCTTTGGGGGATATTACTTAAACTCTCAAGACCTCATCTTTTAAAATGTGTGCTTAAAAAAAGTGGGACATTAAATTTTAAATATCTGAAATAGGTATCAGGAAACGTGCATTTTAAACTTGGCTATATTACTCATCAGCAATATGACCTTAAGTAAAGCACTTTCTGTGCTTTGTTTGCCTCATTTATAAAATAGAATCAATAATTCCTACTATTCTCATTATTTGGGGTAGGTATGAGAAACAAATGATATATAAGTAGTTGAAAATGAAAAGAATTCTAAAATTATAATCCCTAAAATAAAAATAATTAGTAACAATAATAAATGGTCTCTATGAAACTATAAAACAGCTGAGTGAATCAACTCACCCTTAATAATAGAACAGCCTTAATCTGGTTTGGGTAAAATCTGAGGAGCACTTAATTCCTTTAAGATGTTTGATGAAAGTTGTTAACCCACTCAAGGCCATCTGCCTTACTTCTTGCATATCTCTCAAATGTGTCATTCCTTCTTTATCCTCATTCAGTTCAAACCTCTGTCATCTCTAGAACCTCTAGAATGATTTTTGCAAAGATCTGGTGGTTTTTTTTTTTTTTTTTTTTTTTTTTTTGTTTTCTTCCAGATATTTTCCACTTTGCTGTCAGGTTACCTTCTTATAGTGCAGAGGGCTGGTCTTTTATTCCTGTTGGTTTTTTGTTTGTTTTTAAATCTGCCCAGTGCCTGTACTCCCAAAGTTCTTGGCATGGTTTAGAAGGCCCTTCTGAATCTGACTCTTGGTTATGTTATTGAACAGCACCTCCTTCCCTAATTTGCCTTTGCTCAGTCACACTACATAGTTAACTATAATTTGATCACATCATGCTCTTTCTTGCTTTTGTGATTTTATTGATGTTGCTTCTCAATGGAAAGTTCCTCTCCTTCTCTTTAGCTGGAAAATTCTACTTGGCCTTTAAGAGCCAATAATAATTTATCTCCTCTATTTCCAGAGGACACATCTGTCAATTTTGCATTTATTTGTTTACAACCAATTCTCCCATGAAATTATGAACTTCCAAAGGAGTCTCATACATATTTGCATATCTTTGTTATTTTCACTTCTAGCATCTAGCTAATCAGCTGACCATGAGATGCAGAGATTATCTGGAATTATCCAGATTGGTCCATTTAATTACATGAGTCCTTAAAAGTGGAAAGTGGAAGAAGAGGCAGAAGAGTGTGTCAGAGAGATGCTGTGTGAAAAGGACTCAACCTGCCACTTGAGGCTTTGAGGCTGGAGAAAGGGGCCATGAACCAAGGATTGTGAGCAGCCTGTAAAATCTGGAAAAGACAAGTAAGTGGATTCTACCCTAGAGTTGCCAAAAAGGAACACAGCCTTACTGATGCCTTGATTTTAGCATGGTAAAACTTGTGTCAACCTTCTCACCTACAGAATTGTAAGATAATAAATTTGTGTCATTTAGGACACTAAGTTTTTGGTAATTTATGATGACAGCAACAAAAAACTAATACAAACCCAACTTTGTAATGGTTTTCTTATATTTCAGTTCACATGTCCAAAACAGTTTTAAAGACCCTCATCCCACTATTCAAATGTTCTAGAGTAAACTAAATGAGATCGTTTTGGTTATGAGCAGCATCTAATTTGTCTACACAGAATATTAGCACATAAGAGCCTTAATTTCCTTTTTGAAAACTTTGTTCCAGCAAATTTGGATAAGGTGAATTTATTGATAAGATGCAAACTAATAAATCAAAGGAAGCGGAGCATCAGAAAGAAACCACATTCTAATTTTTATTACGAGTTTATACCTCTACTCTCAATCTAATTCTCTACTCTCAATCTAATTATTGTAAGAAGCAAAAATTTCCTTTTCCTAAAAATGATCTGATAGATTATTAGCTGAATTATGAGAAAGGTATTATGGTATGCTTGGGTATTCTCCACTGTGTTTTTACATATATGGTTGGTATATTTTTCTGTCAATTTGTGAACAAGAATTCTTATTAAGCAGAAATTCATCTGGACTATATCATCTGCAAGATCAACTTTAAGACAAATGAAAGAATGTGAAAACAGGGACATTCTTTAAGAATGAAATTATGTCTTCCTCTATGCACCCACATCACTGTGGTTACAGAACTTTGGGGAATTTATTCCCATGTTTTCTCTCCTCTGGGTGTTCACCGCTTCAGTTCTTCCTATCAGAACCTCCTGAGGTCAGAAAGGTTTGCCCTTTTCAGAGACTTTCTTTGGCTGGTAAAGCCTTCTGAGCTAACCAGAAATCAAAATGGGATGCTGTATTATGTCAGAACTGTGTGTTTAGTCTGCTTTCCTAGAAATAATCAAGAAAAGTTAGATGTGAGAAGACACAGATGGTCCTTTCTCAGCAATATTTTCATATTTTTGAAGTATAATATAAAAATATAGTTCATATCTAGAACAATATATTTTATATACACATATTTTTATTGATTCCATTTATAAAAGTTCACAAAACATGTGTGTGTTTGTGTGTGTATAATGTAATACAAAGCAATAAATGTTATATGATGTTGGCCCTTAACCCAGCATGTTTTTCTTTGAAAATTCACAGAAATTGATATTCTATTTCTGACTTATTACTGAGCATATTTATAGCATGGAGAATATTTTTATTTGCCAGATTACAAATCATTTTAGGAGAATCTTTGAAGGGATACCTAAAACCATTTTTGCACCAATATTAATCATTTTTTAACCTGACTTCTATTTTTATAATTATATAAAAAATAGGACTCAAAGCTGCTTCAAGACACATATTCTGTTATGAGTTTGGTAATTAAGAAGCTTATGTGTAGAACTTAGAGAATCTCAAGGAGTTGTCTGTGATACTATTAGCTGTTGTCCAGCCAAATAATACAATATGTTTCCCCTTACCAACTATAATATATAATCTACTATTTAAAAGTGTATACAGTGAAATATAATTAGTTACCATTTCAATATTTAAATTCAAGATGACTAGTAAAGGATCTCTCATATACTGCACAGTCCTAGACATGCATCTAAATGTACCTATTAATATTCAATGAATACCAGGCTCATTTCATGCTCATTTCTATTTCAGGAATGACTCAAAAAAGGACTGTGTTCCACTGATTATGAGACTAATACTAACGTGACAAAAGTTATTTCACCATTCTCTTTTTGTAAAAAAAAAACCAAGAGAACTATAATAACACAAACAAAACTTTAAGACCACTATTTGGCTCTCTCTGACTCCCTTCCCTGAAGAGCATTTACGACTGACTTTTGAGGAAAAACAAACACATTCATAAAAAAAAAAATTGGCTTCTTGCAAGTCCTTTTCTCCTTTGTCTTCCAACTCTTTTACTCAAGCTATGAAAATAAAGTAAACAAATATTTTCAATTTACCTATTTTAAAACTTCTATTCTTGTTTTACCATTTCAGTTTTTCACTCTGCTCTTATTCATTCCTATAGTTTGGGACATACTATGCTTATACCTTATCATTAATTCTAATAGCATACAAAATTAAGTCTTATGATCAGCACTTATTACTGGCATGGAGCATCTGGTGCTAATCTCAAATTGATTCCAGATTACATCGCAATCCTGTTGTCTTCCCAACAGGGCAATACCCTTTGCTGTCTCAGGGTCAAACATGCAACTCCTGCCTGCTTGTATGGCCAGCTGGGTTCAAGAAGGAAGGAACCTCATTGTTGACAGTTACCAGATGAATGTGCCCCTTCTGTACAGCTAAGAAATGGAATAGACATTGGTGAGTGTTGGATACAGTTTACAAGCTTGAAATGCTGGGAATTCACATTTGTGATACTTAAGCAGATTTTAGTCTCACTGGCTTATTCCCAAGAATTGGGTAACATGTTACAGTTTTTGATGATTTGTTGGTTATTTGTTATTCTTTGAAATTCCCAAGGAATGAGCAAAATATCCAGCGGGAATATTGATGTGAGCAATAGACTTAGCAGTCTCTTTCATGGGCCATCAGCTGTGGCACTTCACATCATAAACTCCAAAGGCAGGCTAATCGTGGGTGAAAATTCACCCTAGTTGGAGGAAGTCCTTGCAATAAGGAACGACCAAGTTCAAAATTATTCTTGGTTTAAAACACAAGGTTTTGAATCTCAATAAGGTGAAGGAAAAAACAAGTTGTGTTTACTAGAAATAAAAATTTGCTGCCACAGGGAATTGAGGGATTATCAAGCAAGGGTATAAAGATTCAGCTTCAAGGAATGACAGCCAAAC
This sequence comes from Homo sapiens, assembly GCF_000001405.40. Lineage (NCBI taxonomy): Eukaryota > Metazoa > Chordata > Mammalia > Primates > Hominidae > Homo > Homo sapiens. The sequence continues at coordinate 127,176,827 of NC_000006.12, read as the reverse complement.
ATTTTCCTCAATATTTTGCAACAGGTATCAGGTACCTAAGTTAAGTGAAGATGAACTTTGATTTTATTTGAATTTAAATAATTATAAAACCCTGGAGTAGAATATGTCTTCCTTAAAGTGTATCTTGAGCTTTTTCATTGTTCAAACCCTGGATTATTATACATTCATCCTAAATTACTTTCTGTTGACACATAAAATGAAGTGTCATATTGTTTTCCTAGACATGAAAACCCACTGTAGTTTTTTAAAAGCTTATTCTTTGTATTTGTTTGACCGTATCAAAAATAGTCATGGAAAATAGCTGACCTAACCAAGTGGAATTTTAGGACCCAAAGAAACCAGTAGTAAGGAATGAGTGTTTTAGGTCTATTAAAAAAAAATAAATAAATAAAAAGGAAATAACAAGTTCCTTGATGTTGGAGCCCCAGCACCTTTTGTTACGAGCTTGTATTTGGCTTCCTTTTCTGCTTAGTCATTGCTTTAACTCCCACTCTGAGATTAATTGCATGACCTCTGGAGATGAATGATCTTTTACTTAATCTTAGTCAATGCAATCTGGACAACCTCAGGTTTGGTGAGGCTCCTCTTGGGTGGTTTTCATTTGTTTTAGAACATTAAAGTATCTCATAAATCTATATTTATTATATTGGTGAGTAATCTACTGTAATTAAATATGAAATGCTGAAGACAATGTTACGGTAACATTGGGGTCAAAAACCCCTTTTTATGGTGATTCCATGGCTACAAAAATACTCTGGAATTTACTTTTGTCTTTATGTCTGGATCTGCTTAACATTACAGAGCATCCAAAGGCACATCATTTTCAAATGTTCACTTTCTAAGTGTTTTAAAATAATAGTGATTTTTAAAATGGTAAATACACAATTCTTATAAGAAAACAATTTAAGATGAATCTTAGAATTTGGCTAACAATACCCTTATTCAATATAATGTGTCCCCATTTACTGGTATTAGAAAATTTGGTGAACGAGTCTTAAATAATCCAGTCTTTAAGAATATCCAGGTTTGATATTAGATCTCTTCTTACTAGTTTTCAGGATGAGACCAGTCTTAAGATGCAGAAATGAGGCTGAGTAACAACAAAATCAGTTTAAGGCCATCAATTTGTAATTTATGAGTTAGAAGGAACTGTCACAACTGTGCTAAAATTGGCCTCTGCAATGTTGACAGGGAGAAAAAGGATTTCTTAAGCAAATTAATATTGAAACAAACTATGATTTTTAGATGCATTTAAATGATCCAAAAGTATAAAGTTTTCCAGTACTTTATGCTCATATACGAACAAAATTGATGTTACCAGGCAGTATTATTTGATAACTGAAGTAGTCACCTACCCAATTTCCACTTGGTGGTGGTAGATTAACCATATGCCACCACTGAAGAAGGTAACACAACTGCATGTTTTTCAAACATGTTCTGTAATTGAAACTAGCAAAGCTTTTACTTACTGGTTTTCAATATTCCGCAAGATGCTGAATATTGAAACACAAACTAAGTAACATGCTTTGGGACTTTATATTCAATAAAGGAATTCTATTTTCTAAGTTAGACAAATAACCAAAATAAAACAAATGGGCCAACTTAAGACAGACAAAAGGGCAAATACAGGAAAAAATATAAATGAATATTTTTAATTTGGGAAAATGTATACATTAGGAGACAAATGAATTATTGAATGTAAAGAGAATGAGCATTGAAAGCTTTTGATAAGCTGGGGAAAATCACGTTTTTGCATTGAAGTAAGGTTGAAAATCCATTCACTAAGAAGTCTTAAAATCAAATAAATTTTCATGCATCTATGCTTAAAGTCAGGGATATAAATGAAAGAAGTCTAAGAGTTCCTCACTCATATGATTCCATGGTTAGTTTAAAGTTTAAGATAAAGCTGCCCAAGGGTAGAAAGCTTCTTCATCAACCTAAACACTCTTTCTGTCAGACTTCCCTTTGAACTGCCCTAAGAAAACTTTCATGGGTACTTCAAATGAAAATCTCTTATATCACTGAAAAGAAACACAAATAGACCATAAAATACTTTAAAAAAATGTGTTGGTGACTATGTTCAGTTCTATGACTCCATACAATTACTTTCAATTATTTTATTATTGAAGTGTTAAATAATTGTGTAGCACACATACACTTAAATCTTTGAGGAAAACAGAGTAAGACTAGTTCCATTCTAGTGGCTCTAGAGAATATGGTGGCAGGGAGGTCAACTTGAAAAATTATAGTCCTCATCTTCCCATAGGACAATGGTAACAAAATAAAAGCTAGCACAGAAGCAGTTTCTTAATGTATCTATTACCCTGATTTTAAAAACATGTTTCTTTTGCTTTCTTCATACTGCTTAGTCCTCTGATCAGAACATATCCACCATTTCAAAATTATGCTAAATGAAGTGTTTGTAAAAATACTCAGGCAATGCTAAAATGCAAACACAAATTTGTTCGTTTTTCTATTAGGCCAACCTTGAATTTGCAAATCTCTAATTATGTTGCAAGTGCCTTAGAAGGCTTAATAGACTGCTAGTAGGTTTTACCACATCTTAATTCTGAAAATCTGTATACAAATTAAAGGAAACATATCCATGTGTTCCTGACTAATTTGCCATTAAGCTTATTTTGTGAGCTCAATTTCATGCCTAAAAAGTATTTCAAAGCCTCTTTAAATTTTTAAGCCTTTGCCACGAGCAAGGTATCACAAACACACATTATTAGAAATGCACTGATGTTTGACAACCCAACTAAACTGTAAATAGATATCAAATAATACTGCTAAAGGAAATCAATGTTCCCATATTTTTATAAAGAAATAGCTTAACGCCCTCTGTGCGCCCACACGAATGAGCACGCTGTACAATTTTCATGTTAGAATGAAACTCTTATTCGGTTAACAGCCAATTCCCCTTGCTTCCAAAGTTAAACTACAATATTCTAGGAGAAATTCTGTACCATTCCCTAGTCTCAATCTCACGTGCCTTCAGCAGATGTCTACAGCAATTGGGAGCAGCATGTATTTTTCCATATAGTTGTGTGTTCCCAAAGAACAAACCCAAAGTCATGCTGCATCTGCTTTCCTCGCACATGCACGTTGTGTTCCCTCTTGGAACTCTACCCACTTACAGCTTGCTTCAGGCTGAGAAGCCTCCTGGGGTGGGAAGTTTGCTTCATGTCTGGCATGTCCAATGATTCACACAGCATTTAGGAGACCATATATGCTTCATAAATTGAGTAGAAAATCCAAGCCTTTGAAATACATTTTTTTTAGTAAATTTTACTTTATGTCTTCAATATTATTTTATAGGAATTGGATTAAGTATTAATTTTAACAACCTTTTAAAAAGCCAAGTGAGATTCTTTATTAGGATTTATATTTAAGCATAATCCTGTGAAAATTGCACAAACCACTTAACAGCCTGAAGGTCACTGACTCTACTGACTGACAGCGCCTTTGTTTAGACAACATGATAGCACTAACATAACCATTTAGTGCATTTGAATACAATGTTGGCAATTTGTGAAAACTATTTGGCTTTAAAACATCAGAATGATTTGAAGCAAAAGGGGAAATCACTGGCCAATTTGCTTATTATAGTTAAGTTTGTTATTTGAATAACAAAATGGTTGTAAACAGAAAGATGAAGCAGATTTGGTGGTAAAAAGAGGTTTTCAATTTTTTCAACAATGATAATATCATTAATAAGAAATAATGGTTGATGCTAAGCCTCATGTGTGATAAGTATAGTTAGAAAAGAGCAGATGATTAGAAATAAATGATCCTCTTGAACACAGGGCAAAAGTGTTGAAAAAGACAGAATGGAAAGATCAGATTGACAAAAGATTTAGGTTCTAGTACTGACTAACTTGCTTATTAACTGACATTCTTAAGGTAGTTATATACTCTTTTCAGCCTCAAATACTTGAAATATCACTGGACTCAGAATTAGGTCTGAGTGTGAGTCCTGGTCTTTGAGTGTGAAATCTACTACTCACACTCAAAGCCTCAATTTCCTCATCTTTAAAATGCAGTCGATAATAATAATGCATATATGCCTGCAATATTTAAAGAATTTTAAATGAGATAATTATGTAAAATTGCCAACATTTAAACAAATAATATTATTATTAAATCACAGTCCAATCAGAAAGAATCTATGTTAATATGGTTATGGTAATGGATATGGTTGAATAAGGACATATAGCCCAAGCGAATACATGTTTCTGTCTTTTGGCTTTTTGTAAGGTGATTTTGAGTCCAAGTGTAATTCCCCTGGAAAACCATTTACCTTCATTGCAGTAACTGGAGGTCTCATTTCCATTTTAATCATTGTATAGGTTCCCAGATTTATATAACCAGGTAACTGAACTACTGTGCCCTAACTCCTTAGTGTCCAGAGATGAATAAATCCCTTCCAGCTGTTATATTATTTAGTGGGGCTCTATGGAACATTAGGATTTAAAGCAACTCAGCATTTGGATATTTTTTTTAATTTCTGATTATAAAAACCATATGTATTAAACAATTTGGTTTTAGACTAGGAAATTAACAGGTGTCTGTATGTGTGAGTGTGTTTGTGTATATATTATATATATATATTTATATCTGTATATCTATAATGATTAATAAGCCAATTGTCCAGATTAATATAGGCTTGTGAAACAGGCATTTCAGTGTATAGAGTTTCATGGCAATACAATATGTAATATGATGAATTAAAAGTACTTCTGTTTCCTCTGGAACTTTAGGTGCTTGTAGTTAGAAGATACTAGATCACATGTTGGTAGTTTTGTTCTTTTCATTATTCCAATACATACATTCAGGTCCTCTGGGTCTTAACTAACTTTTAAAAAATTTAATACTACACACACATTTTTAGTTAAGCAATATACATGTGTCATCTGCCATTTATTAATATTAATTATAAATGATCAGTGGTTAATGGGATCCAAGTCCAGCAGCTGAGATTTTTCTGAATTTGACCTCCTTAGAGTTTATATAAAAAGTTTTCAGAGTAGTTCTCCCAAGCTCCTAGCCAATTTGAAGCTAGTTTGCAACCTAACATTTTAGATTATGTATTTAGCAATCAAAAAGAGGAAGGATAAATGACAGAAATCCTGAAAAAAACATTATGCCAGAGGATTAGATGGGACAAATAAGAGGAAGAGATGTTGTTTAAAGTGATACAGTGTCGTGTGTTAAACATTACAACAAGCTAAAGGTTATGTATACAGTATATGTTTTAGGAATGTTACAGTTTCATCTTTGTTTTCCATAGTTTTACTATAGTCATAATGACAAATGTGGAAGGGATGTTTCTATAAGTTAGTATAAATGAATGCAAACTTGAGGAGAAAACCTAGAAAGAAAGAAATACAAAGCCCAGCATGTTAGTATATCATGAGAGCCACTTCTCAAAGTTACTTATTTCTTGCTACCCTACAACATCCTACAGCTACAGCATAATGGACTCCAAGACATCTGATATAACCTCTGCACAATGCCTTGGGGAGCACACTGATATATTTTTCCTTCTGAGAGTCAAGCAATTTTCCTAAGAAAAAAATACTGTGCTTTTCTGTGGCAAAAAGTCCACAGGAATGTCAAATACAGATTTTACCATGATTATAACTGAAAAATATAAAAGAGGTTTTAGAAAACATCTTGTTCAACAGTTTTAAAATACAGTACTTTGGTATAGAGCTACTGGTTGGCTAGACCTTACTTCAATAGAGGCACTTAGTTTATTTTTATTTTATTTTAAATTGGGGTAAAAAACACATAACTACCTTAACCATTTTTAAGTGTACAGTTCAGTGGCATTAAGTACATTCACACTGTTGTATAGCCATCACCAGCATCCATCTTCAGAACTCTTTTCATCTTCCAAAATTTGAAAAGTCTGTATCCATTAAATAATCACTCACCATTTAGCCTTCCTTACCTCCTGGCAACTATCATTTTACTTTTTATTCTATTAACTTGCTACTTTAGGTACTTCATATAAGTAAAATCATATAGTATTTGCCATTTTGTAACTCTTTGAAGTTACTTAGTATAAAGTCTTTAAGGTTTATCTATGCTGTGGCGTGAGTTAGAATTTTCTTCCTTCTTAAAGACAATAATATCTCATTGTATGTATATATCACAATTTGTTTAATCTATTCATCCATCAATGAACACTGTAGTTGCTGCCACCCCAACTTTTAGCTATTGTAAATAATGCTGCTATGAACATGGGTGTAAAACTATCTCTTTGAGATTCTATTTTCAATTCATTTGGGTATACGCTCAAATGAAATTGCTGGATTATATGGTAATTATATATATATGTATAACTTTATATATATATGTATATTTGTGTGTGTGTGTGTGTGTATGTGTGGAACCACCATGCTGTTTTCATAGTGGCTGGCTGTACTATTTTACATTCCCATCAATAGTGCATGATAGTTCCAACTTTTCCCACATCTTTGCCAACAATAAGGCACATCTATTTTTTATCCATTGTATAAATTGGGCTCTACATGCAATTTCAACAGAGCAGAGGGTTCTGTTGCTAAAATCCATTTTAAAACAATTTTTTTCTACTCCAATTTTCTCATCTTGTAAGCATCTGTAGATAGCCAAGCAATCTATTACCAGGAGGAAAGCAAGACCCAGTCAAATGCCCACTAAAAGTCTCCTCTTCCTACTCCTACTTACATTTTTTTTTAAGCCTCAACTTTTTTGGCAGACCTTCTCAGAACACCTTTCTGAGGATAACTCTCTTAGTCTAATGCTCAAATCTGCTTTACAGAATACCTGGCCCCAAGCCACATCAGACAGTGAGAACAAAGTGCTAGAATAGCCATTTTATTGAAGGGAGACTGTTTTCCATTGCAGCAGGGGAGAGTGGCTCAAGTAGGTGGCTCCCCTTGCTGCTTAAAAATAAGACCCTAAGAAGTGATTAAAAAAAACAAAAGAAGCAAGTAAGCACAGTTAGTATGGTGATATATTATTAAATATGTGGATAGCTCCACAAATTGAATTAACACCGTCAACACAGTTCATGGTAAACAATACTTCACAAAATATTGTGTCCATAAAGCCTTATGATACAGTGGAAACTATAATGCACTGGGATTCACATTTCTTTTCTGTCATTACCAGCTTTGTGATAATGTCACTTCTGCAAAGTCACTTTAACTCTTTCGTGTTGTTTATTGCAAAAAAGAATGGTGAAGTATGCATCTCCAAGGTACTTTTTGACTTATTCTGATGTTTTATGTTTTGTTATTCCTACATAAGAGGAAGAAATCTAGAATTAGTTCTAACATAAGTCTTCTTAATTACATCAGCACAGGCAGAAGAGTTTAGGAGGGATATAGGACAAGATAGCTTATACATACCTATGATCATATGTACATGCAAATATATTTACCCTAGTGTGCCTAGCACTATGTCTGGCACACAACTGTCACCTATAATGTTTGTGAATGAATACCCACACATGTAAGATTGCAGTATCTAACAATTTTTATTAAAATCAGCATCTGAGAAGGAGAAGTTGTAATTACAAAAACAAAGCAAAATAAAACAAAAAACCAAACAGAAAAAAAAAACCCAGATGCTGGTGAGGTTGTGGAGAAAAAGAAACACTTCTACATGGTTGGTGGGAGGGTAAATTAGTTCAACCATTGTGGAAGTAAGTGTGGCGATTCCTCAAAGATCTAAAGGCAGAAATACCATTTGACCCAGCAATCCCATTACTGGGTAAATACACAAAGGAATATACATCATGCTACCTGACTTCAAACTATACTACAAGGCTACAGTAACCAAAACAGCATGGTCCTCGTACCAAAACAGAGATATAGACCAATGGAACAGAACAGAGCCCTCAGAAATAATACCACACATCTATAACCATCTGATCTTTGAAAAACCTGACAAAAACAAGAAATGGGGAAAGGATTCCCTATTTAATAAATGGTGCTGGGAAAACTGGCTAGCCATATGTAGAAAGCTGAAACTGGATCCCTTTCTTACACCTTATACAAAAATTAATTCAAGATGGATTAAAGACTTAAATGTCAGACCTAAAACCATAAAAACCCTAGAAGAAAACCTAGGCAATACCATTCAGGACATAGGCATGGGCAAGGACTTCATGTCTAAAACACCAAAAGCAATGGCAACAAACCCCAAAATTGACAAATGGGATCTAATTAAACTAAAGAGCTTCTGCACAGCAAAAGAAACTACCATCAGAGTGAATAACCTACAGAATGGGAGAAAATTTTTGCAATCTACCCATTTGAAAAAGGGCTAATATCCAGAATGTACAAAGAACATAAATAAATTTACAAGAAAAAGTCAAACAACCCCATCAAAAAGTGGGCAAAAGATATAACAGACACTTCTAAAAAGAAGACATTTATGCGCCAACAGACACATGAAAAAAATGCTCATCATCACTGGCCATCAGAGAAATGCAAATCAAAACCACAATGAGAAACCATCTCACACCAGTTAGAATGGTGATCATTAATAAGTCAGGAAACAACAGGTGCTGGAGAGGATGTGGAGAAATAGGAACACTTTTACACTGTTGGTGGGACTGTAAACTAGTTCAACCATTCTGGAAGACAGTGTGGCGATTCCTCAAGGATCTAGAACTAGAAATACCATTTGACCCAGCCATCCCATTACTGGGTATATACCCAAAGGATTATACATCATGCTGCTATAAAGACATATTCACATGTATGTTTATTGCAGCACTATTCACAATTGCAAAGACTTGGAACCAACCCAATAATGACAGACTGGATTAAGAAAATGTGGCACATATACACCATGGAATACTATGCAGCCATAAAAAAGGATGAGTTCATGTCCTTTGTAGGGACATGGATGAAGCTGGAAACCATCATTCTCAGCAAACTATCATGAGGACAAAAAACCAAACACCGCATGTTCTCACTCATAGGTGGGAATTGAACAATGAGAACACTTGGACACTGGAAGGGGAACATCACACACCGGGGCCTGTTGTGGGATGGGGGGATGGGGGAGGGATAGCATTAGGAGATAAACCTAATGTAAATGACGAGTTAATGGGTGCAGCACACCAACATGGCACATGTATACATATGTAACAAACCTGCATGTTGTGCACATGTACCCTAGAACTTAAAGTATAATAATAAAAAAAATCATTCTATTATAAAGCTACATGCATTCATATGTTCACTGCAGCACTAGTCACAATAGCATAGACATGGAATCAACCCAAATGGTGATCAATGATAGACTGGATTAAGAAAATGTGGCACATATACACCATGGAATATTATGCAGCCATAAAAGGGAATCGGATCATGTCCTTTACAGGGATATGAATGGATGTGGAAGCTGTTATCCTCAGCAAACTAACACAGGACCAGAAAACAAAACACTGCATGTTCTCACAAATGGGAGCTGAACGATGAGAACGCATGGACACACGAGGGAAAACAACACACACTGGTACCTGTTGGGGCCAGGGGAAGGGAGAGCATCAGGAAGAATAATTAATGGATGCTGGGCTTAATAGGTGATGGGACGATCTGTGCAGCAAACCACCATGGCACATGTTTACCTATGTAACAAACCTGCACATCCTGCACATGTACCCCGGAACTTAAAATAAAAGTTGAGGGAAAAAAATAAACTAATTCAAGTATATCAGTAATATAAAAAAAGAAAAGCAAAACACATTATAGTCAAGTTAATACTAGAATAAGAAAAATATTTGCTATGCACATGACAAAAGGTTAATCTCTAATATACAAATAATTCCTATTAAGTGGTGTTTTACTTAATAGAAAAATTAGAAAATTGGATAAAACATATAAATAGGCATCCTGTGGAAATTCAAATAGGCTCTAAACATGAGATTAGCCTTATTAATAGGAAAATGTCAATAAAACAATAGAATACCATTTGTCAATCAGATTGGCAAGAGTTTAAAGGACTAATAACATGCAGTTAGAGTCAGGATATGAGGAAACACGTAATTTTGATATATTCCACGTGTGAACTGAAACACCTTTTTGAAAAATAATCTGGCAGAATATATTAATATTTAAAATATTCACATCTTTGGTTTATCCATCAAATGTTTGAGACTACATTTAATATTAGATCTCACAATTATTGAGTGCTTACTCTGTGCCAGGCACAAGTCTGAAAGTTTTATACATACTCATAACTCCTCACTACAACTTTGTAATGTAGTTAGTGTTATCATCCCCATTGTACAGATGAGGAAAAATGGGATATGTAAAGGCTAAAGAATTTGCTTAAAGTCATAGCGATAGTTAAAAAGCACAACTGAAATTTGAAACCACATGGTTCCAAAGCCTGTGCTCTAAATTCTAAGATGCATCACCTCCTTTTCCTCTGATAGAAAGTCAATGTATCAATTCATTAACATGATAGAGATTTTTGTTACAGTAAGAAGAGCAAAAAAATGGGAAACAATTTTACAATCCATCAATAGCAGAATGGTTGAATACATTATGTGATATTCATAGCATGTAACATTTTGCAGCTATTAAAAAGATGAATTAGAAAGACGTCCATGATATGCAAATTTTAAAATGACACAAGTAAACATGCACACACTATTGAGCTACTAAGGTGCACAATTTATTCTTTTTCTGTAGACACAGAAAGAAAAGTCAAATGCTTTTTATAAAGAAAATAATATATTCATTCTCTATGGAAATTTTTTATATGTCTATTTCTATAAGCAGAAGATTAATGTGGAAGAATATACAACCCACTTTCACATTGCTTTTCTCAGAGGAAGGACTGGACTGAGGGAGAGTGAGATTATTAATTTTTTATTTATGTATCTTTTAGGCTTTTGTGTTTTTACAAGAGCATGCACATCATTATTGATATTAAAAATACAGCTTTTGTGTAAGCCAAACAAAGAAATGAATAAAACAAATAACAAATCTGTAGCTTAACTGAGATGGTTCTGGTTTTTAAACTATTTCAATACTTTCTTAGTTCACTAGGCTGACACTGCAAATATTAAATATTAGTTTTTGAAGATGATGAACATGAGAAGAAACAGTTATTCTATGAGCAGATAATTTTAATTCAAAATTGAAGAAATCTGCTGAGATGGAAGGAAAGGGTGACAAGGTAGGAGGAAGGGCATAAAAGGTATAAAACATGGTAGAAAGCCAAGGGACTGATGGAGAGAAGTTAAATTTAAAAACTCCCTTGTCTTATACATTTCAAGACCTTGACAAACTAGACAAATGTGAAGCCACTACAGGTTTGCCAATGAAATACTTTGGTAACTGTATCTTAGCTGTTGAGACAAACCAAATTTGAAATAAAACAAAATCCCTTCATGATTTTGCTGTTGGCTGGAAAACAGATAAGCAGCATAGCAGATGTTTACAATTGTACTTATTATTCTGAGAAATATTTTACTATCATATGTACATATTCCATAAGAAATAATTAGCCATCTAAATTGTATTCTACTAATTACATTATGAAAACCTAGGTTCTTATTTCTGTGAAGACAATAATTTTTGTTCATGAGTTATAATTAATTAGATATTAACTCTTGATCCTAAGTATGCACATATTTTCTATATCTTTTATTTTTGGAATTAGCAACTATTCATATTTTCTGCATGTGAATTTAGTATATTGATATTTCCTTACCTAAAATGTGCTATTACTCAAAAAAGTGAATAGTAAGTGGCATTGTGCTTTCAGATATTACATTTTATGTAACGCAAAAGTAAAAGGAATATCTCACTTACAGATGTACATGTTTTGCATTGAGATATAAAATGTAATTAAACTTTATTCAGAAACTCTTCCCTACATCTGTTTCTTTGCAAAAATAGGAAAAGCAAGCTCTTCCAGCAGAAAAAACAAGTAAACAAAACAACCATTTGCAAGGCATATTTCTCAATTATGGCAGCTGGGGCTCACAGAGGCTAGAGTTATGACCTGGTGGTGTATACACAATATAAACACCGCAGTTCAGTAATTAGGTTAGAGTTAATTTTAACGTTTCAGTGGCCTTGTGCATAATCAAGCAAAAGGTCATTGCCCACACTGGTGCATTTCACACAGAACCCTCAGCAGCTAGAAATGGACATGGACATGTCTTTACTTAAGCCTGCACAATTCAATTCCAGAAACCATTCATATGCATAGTAGATTATTTTTTCTATTCATTTAAAGCCAGTTTACTCCCAAAAAAAAAGTTTCTAGCAAATGCAGAGAAACTAGAAAAAAATAGTTAAAATATTCTTAGCATTATCCTGAACGTGTGTTTAGTCTGAAATAGACAGAAAAAACTTTGGTTACTCTTCCTCACTTAAAATTATTTTCAAAACCAGTATTGAAAAGGGATTATCTTGTAGAAAAACATACGTTTCTAGATTTGGTAAGTTTTGTTTCTTGTTTGGTGGGGAGAGATGGGAGATGATTTACATCTGTTGTGTTTTTGTCAGTACCCTTGTTTTCTAAACAGAGCCAGCAATCAAAATGGCTCACTTGACCCTGGCTTCAACTGCAGGCATTTTACTTACACAGACCAATCTCAGGACCCCAATTCCTCTGCCACAGTGATTCAAAGTAGGGTCCATTGGAATCCTTTCGTGAGATTGGATGCAGGGATACTGAAAGAGAGAGCGAGAGCACTATCCTTTTTTATTTGGAGCAATGTGGATATATAGACTTGGAGCTGCCCAGAGCCAGCTTTCCTCCTAAATGGAGAAAGACTCTGCAGCAGAGGAGAATAAGGCCGACAAACAATGAGGAATGAAGGCAGTGTGAGCTGAAATGGTGAGAAAGGGAGAGAGCAGAAGGCGATGCAGTGATATTGTGATAAAGTGATATTGTTTGAGGACTTAGTGCAGTCTGCGTTTAAGCCAATAATTTTCTTCTTGCCTAAGATAATTTGAGATCTGTCATTTTCAACTACAATGTCCTGCAGAATACAGAGGGCAGAACAGTGAGCTTGGTGAAAAAGGACTATCATTGAGAGATAACATGCTAATATATTATTTTGCTATTAAAGTAATAAGTATGTCGTAAATAATTTTTTAGAGAAACTGAAAAACAGAAAAATTTTAGGAAAGTATTTCTAATTTGGGACCTGAGAAATGGGATGTTTTAAATGAAAGGTAAGGAACTGAGTAGGAAATTAAATAGAAAGAGAAGGGCATGTAGAAGAGAGTGAGAACAAAGTGGATTAAGAGGTTTTGAAGAATTTTCATTTCTATACATTTTGTCATGCTAATAATAGCCTACTTACTCACACCTCTTGAGAGGCCCAAGGATAAGGCATCAACTCCTTTCTGCAGACTATGACATCTACAAAGTTAGTCTGTAATGCTTCTATGAAGAAGCTGCTGGAGGATATAAAAAGCAAGATAATTATCTATGGAAAGAATAATTCTTTGTGCCTTCAAATGTGGGGTGTCCCCTATGTCAAAGAGGTTTCGGCAACACTAGCAGTTTTAAGGAGTGACTGTATTAGGGAGATGGGAAGGAGAACAGGAGCATGAAAGGAGGGAGTGTCTTTTTGCTGGAGAAATATTTACTTTGCAATTAGCAAAGGACAAGAAGCTTCTTTTGGAAACTACATTTGGGGGTCCAGAATTTAAATTTATGCTGATGCTCTCGGAGTCTCTCTCTAGGGAACCCTCCTAATTGGCAGGGATCTCAGTTGGCTAGAACAGGCTGTAAAGGAAGCCAAGGTCTTGGGGTCATTTCTCCAAAGGGCCGGTTAACTCAGCATTGTTCCACAACCACAAGCTGTACCTTTAACCCTACTTAGCCGTCTTACAAAAACATATTAGCACATCAACATGGTGGTCACAGAAAAAATACATGTATTCACATTGAGACCAAAATGAAATGTAAGCAGAGAAGTTTCATTTTTGCCAGCATTAACAAATGTCTTTGTAATGTGTTAGGAAACTCTAATGAAGACAGCAGCTACTGGTGGTACAAATCACAAAGGTGAAAACTGTTAACAAAGGTGTATGCTTACAAAAGGGCTGATACTCTATGGTCATTACCTTGTGGACTGATATAAACCATTCGGAATATAAGATCTATGATGAAAAGAATTTTGTCTTTTTGGTGTACTGCTTTATCCTCAGCACCTAAGAGTGCCCAGCACATGGTGGAAGTTTAATAAATATTTGTTGAGCGTATGAAGGTATCTTGGCCTCAGATTTTATTTATTCTTCCTGTTCTGCCCTTTACAAATTAGAAAGTACAATAGAAATAATATCCAACACAACATCTCCTGTATCAATAGTTGACTGTTTTTACAAAGGAAGGAAGGAAATTTACAAAGGAAATACAAATCTCTTACTGTATTTCAGACAATAAGAGATTGTTAAGTGAATGAGGAATCACACTAATCTAACTACAAACAAGAGAAAGACCTCTAGGGTAGAATGCAAAAATGGCTATAATTCTCCTCTCCCACCCTGTATATGCATGCCACCTTGCAAAGTAAGTTTGCACCTTCTCCTGCCAAGAGATAAAATCTGTTTCTTCAACTCTTGAATCAGGACTAGGCTTATGACTAGTATAGGCTGACAGAATGTGGTGGAAGTAAAAACTATGCCAGGTTCTGAGCCTAGCCTCAAGAGGAATGACTTCACCTTTTCTACTTTGGAAGGCTGTAGGACCTCTTGCCATCTTGATGATAATAGAAACATGGCAATTTCCTCATTCTCCAGCCATCCAACAATGTGACAGAGCCCAGCCAAGATCAAAATTGCCCAGTAGGTCTCAGCCTTAATTGCCCAGCCACAAATTGTTAAGTAAGTGGTTGTTGTTTTAAGCCTTTATGTTTTGAGGTTATTTGTTATGCAGCAAAAGCTAACTGAAACAATCCTCGTGCACCAGACCTAAACAATGGCAAGATCATTGTTTGCTTAGGAGCTGAAGAATGCTACCACTCTATTCAATAACCTGATCACTGTGTATTATGTCACACTCACCAATGGGTCACAAAGCACTAAATATTTATAAATATCACTAAGTGAAATCTCAGAGAATATAGGCATTTTCAAGGGTCATTTATTACAAAGTTTATTTTAGAATAGGAATGCTGAGGTACACACCAATTAGCAGAAAAGCCTACAAATAATTCTTATACTATCATAGGAATGAAGGGATTGCATGGATGATAATAACAATTAAGTATTTCCCACTGTGAATAATGTCCACCATGATTTTCGACCACCGTTAATAAAATCCCCAAAATCTCAGAGAGCCTACAAAAATGGTATGGAGCAAACTTGGTCTGAATTGTAAGAGGTAGTAACTGCTGGCTGAGTTCTAAAAAATGATATAATATCAAGGAATGCAAGGCATGAAATAAAGTCTTATTTTCTGCAGAGCTTTTTCTTTAATATTGAGAAGTTTAAGAACATACAATAGGATGTAAAATGTGTTAGAGGCAAGAAACTTAAAAACTGTCATTTCATTTTTTTTTCTATATCTATCAAGGTGCTGGCTGTAATTCTGCTGCTTCATTATGACACAGGGGAGTCAATTGTGCATGTCTTCAACCCAAAAACCTAGGCAACAAAGAATCCTCACATAGATCCTGCTATTATAATGTCAATGCCAGAGGAAACAATAAGAGGTGGGGCCTATCACTGAGGCATTAAATGTTTTCACCTACATGGATAATAAATTCTGATACTTGTCCACTGAATTTACAAGGTGATTTGATGTTTCAGTGATTAAATTGGAGGTGGTGGGAAAGAAAAAAAAAAGGAATAAGGGTTGAGTAATATAGCTAAGGAGAAAAAAATATCAAATAAAAACAGAGAATAAGTCATATGTGACCATGATTAAAGAGCATCTGAAGACCAAACATGTTTTTATGAGAGACTTTAAAGATGAGTAGTGAGGTAGGAGGTAGGGCTTGACTCACAAAGTGAGACTTGACTCTGGAGGCAGGGTTCAGACACCAGACCAAATTGAGGACTAATTAAAACAGGCATGGAGTGGAAGCACCTTTCTAAAAGACACACCCACCAATGTGCCATGTCAGTTTGCCATTGCCATGGCAACACCCAGAAGTTACCACCCCTTTCCATAGCAACAACCCAATGACGTAGAAGTTACCACCCTTCTCCTAGAAATTTCTGCATAATGTGCCCCTTAATTTGCATCTAATTAAAAGTGGGTATAAATGTGACTGCAGAACTTCCTCTGAGATGGTACTCAGGGCACAATGCCTATGGGGTATCCCTGCTCCATAAGGAGCAGTACCTCTGCTGCTGCTGTACACTGCTGCTTCAATAAAAGTTGCTGTTGAACACCACTGGCTTACCCTTGAATTCTTTTCTGGGCTAAGCCAAGAACCCTCCCAGCCTAAGCCCCACTTTTCAGGGTCCTCTTCACTGCATTGGTAGTGCCTACATTCTTTCAAGGACAGCTGTACAGTTTACTATTATTAAAAGCTTAATATTTAAAACAGATTGTAGTATATACAAATTGTAAACTGTCAATCCATAAGAAACATACTGTAGGTCTGGTTCTAAAACTTGATCAGTTTAGAGAGATGAAATTTTAAAGTATCAGGTTGAACCATATGAAACTGCTTACATTTGACCATTTACGACCTACAAAAAAGGCGGTTGCAAACAGTTCAACTGAATAGATAGGAGAGTATTATGAAAAAGAAATGATTATAGCCATATAATTAATTTTAGTGGAGGGAAAGCTAAATAGTGATTCAGCAACTGGAAGTCCTGTCCACTGAGGACATTAAATTGAAAACGTGGCTTAGCCTTTAAGAGAGAATACATTCAGCCAGGCATGGTGGCTCATGCCTGTAATCCCAGCACTTCGGGAGGCTGAGGCAGTTGGATTGCCTGAGCTCAGGAGTTCGAGACCAGCCTGGCCAACACAGTGAAACCCCGTGTCTACTAAAATACAAAAAATTAGCCAGGTGTGGCAGCGTGTGCCTGTAATCCCAGCTACTCAGGAGACTGAGACAGGAGAATCGCTTGAACTCAGGAGGCAGAGGTTGCAGTGAGCCGAGATCGCGCCACTGCACTCCAGCCTGGGCGACAGAGTGAGACCCCATCTCAAAAAAAAAAAAAAAAAAAAAAGGAGAATGTATGTAATGCCTTTATATAATGCCTGGTAGACTTTTACTATACTTAATTTTGAGAAAGTACATAAGGCAACCTACAGTATACTCAAATAGTACAGTAATACAATGATTCCCACATTTGTTTCTTCCCTGGAGTGTCCCTAAACATTTTATTTCTTTCTATTTTAAAGGGTTCCTTTTATATTTCTCTGGTGGAATGAATGCTAGCTTGTCTTTATACCAGGAAGATAGACCTCCACCTCACTTCTTCCAGCAACATGCTCTGCTCTTCTCTCTCCTTTCTATCCCAAGATCATACACTATCTGTGATTAATAAGAATCTTTTTTGTAAAACTAACCAAAGAACAAAATTTCTTTTATTCTTGGTGAGTTGCCTTAAAAACCATCTATAGGAAATTCTCTTTAGTTAATTAGAGGAAGGTACAAATGAATGAAAAATGTGTTTGTTGACTCTGCTTCCACCACCACATACACAAATATACCCTTTTGCATCAAATGCAGGTGCACACACATCTTCCTGAGCTGTTTCAGTTTTCCTTATCTGAGATGGTTATACACTGTATGTCAAAAAAGTCAATAAATAAAACCTGGCAACCACTGGAAATGCATTTTCTCCTTGTTTACTTCTACTTAAATATGATGTTTCAATACACATGTGATAATAGTTTATATATTAGTCTGTATAATCTCTTAAAATCTATATTTTTGATATTTCAAATATATAATTCAATTAAGTTCAAGCTAGAAAGAATTGTATTGGTAATGACCTCTTACTAAAGTTAGTAATTGATGGAGAAGTTCAGGCTGATTAAAAGGTAGCATGTCAAGTAAAGGGGAATAATCTGAAATACTGTAAACAAATACATGAGATAATTTAAATGTAAGGATACAACAATTAAATTTATCTCCTTGGGTTAACTTATTCTAACCATGAGAAAATGGTAGTAAAGAAAAATGTGTGTGTGTAAGATTTTGTAACATATACATATTAAAAAGCATCTCCCAACTAGATGAATCCACTCTGTTCCTACAAACTATTTTCTTCTATTCAACTTCTTCTTTGTGTACATTTTGAAAAGTCATTTCTGGATCTTATCATTCTTCCCTGGAGATCTTGCCTTTGGCAATTTCAACAGAGCAGAAAAAATCCTGAACACATGCTCCCTACCTTTTCCAAATATGAGTTATCTACCTCTGTCTATTGTTAACCTCTTAGGCAGGGATCATAGACCTAACTTTAAATTCATAAGAAAAGCCTTATCTTTTAGTACACTCATCTTGAAATGCTCAAGCTGTGAACCTAAAGGAATCTTCTTATTTTATTAATCCATAAACATCTGGGAGCAACTCAAATAATAGCTATCCTAAGTGTGAGGGGAAGTCATGTCTGTACCACTTTATTGTGTTTATCTTTAAAGTTGATTAAATGTTTCTAATGCTTACCCTACTTAAAATAAGAAATGCCAACTTTTATAGAAAAATATAAAGATAAAGTCCTCTACTAAATTTGCTCTGTTGATATGCTTCTCTATATGTGTATGTGGGGTTCTTATCATTTAGGTTATAAATTCAAGACAATGAGTAATTTTCAAGATATTTTTATTATATATTATACATATTATATAAATATACAGTAGAGCCTAAATGAAGACTCTGGATGTTATTATTTTGATATGATGCTTGATAGAGAGGATACGGTGGGATGTCCAGAGGTCACTATTACTTTTCTATTTGGTTTGTGTTCAAATAGGATACTTGCTAACTAAACCTTAAGAGAAGTTAAGAAAACTGGAGGATTAGAGAAATAACAAAGAGAGAAATGATTTTCTTCCTACCTGTAGTTTATAGGCTACTTAAGAAAAGTTTTTGACAAACACCTTGAAAAATAAATGAAAAAAAATAAAAGTAGGACTAAATCTGGAAATTAATTGTAAATGTGATTCATATTTGCCACTTGTTAGTCTACATTTTATGAAATTTGAAAAAATAAAACACCTACATTTTCTAGTTGTATAAACTTCTCTTTGTAAATGTAAAATGTCACTGTATCCTCAGAGGGGAAGAAAACAAATCAGAAAGACACTTTTAAGCTAAATCTTATGTCACAGGTTACTATTTCAAACTTCTTGTGATGTTGTTTATTTTATCTCTTTCTAGATGAGATAAATGCCAGTTTTAACAGTTGACATTTTCAATGTTTAAGTCAAGTGCTACCAAAATATAATCTATTGAAAGATCACATTCTCAAGTAAAAGAAATAAAATGTAATTAGAATCGTGATTTAATTCTGCTATTGGATAACTTTTCTTCATTTATATTTTAAAAGGAATGTGTACTGAATACTGATTAATAACGTACAATCTTTGTGAAAAGAATGATATGAGCAAAGACCACCTGTAAGTCATTAAATTTTAAGGAAATTTAGTAAACATAAGTAAATGTACGGCAACAGGAGCATACCAACAAGTAGAGTGATGAAATATTTGACTTCCAAATCCAACTTTTAAAATCTAAGATGTTTTAAATTAATTGGTAACAAATGCCAAAAGGCCTTTTTCACTAGCCAGCTTTCATTCCTTAAACTAAGTTTTAATCAAAACCTCCTACAAATTTACAAAAGTTTGAAGTTCTCTTTAAATAACCCATGTCTTCAAGAATTTTTTCACATTAACTACTTGATTAGAATGGCAGAAACAGGTTTTATAGCTTTTAGTGATGGCCAATTCTTTTGGCATAATGGATGTTTCTTTGCAAAGTACAGGTGACCCAAATTCTCTTTTGTATAAGCAATGTTCAAGTTTGCAGTGTCCTCTTCTGTGTTCCCTTTAAACTAGTTCACACATCTATAATCTCCCTTATTCTACGATGTTGTGATTATCTGTTTAAACATCTCAACCTTTCACTGGACTCTGGTGTACCTTCACAATAGAGAGACAGTACCCCATTCAGTTGTGAATCCTTAGGCCCTAGTACAGTGCATAGCCATAAAGTAAGAATATAATAAAACTATGTTGAATGAATAAATGAATGAAATAAGCTAGTAAATGAATGAAATAACCTAATAAAGGTCAACTATGGAGAAATAAGAAAGGTCAACTACAGAGGCAATCAAACTCCTTTGGAATTAATTGAGAAGATCATTTATAGACTCACCAGATAACTACCAATAGTTACATAAAACTACACAACATATTTGTAGGAAGTGGTGCTGAATACATTAGTGAGAAAGATAGAAAAATGATATTTTAAAGATCGG
This sequence comes from Homo sapiens, assembly GCF_000001405.40. Classification (NCBI taxonomy): domain Eukaryota; kingdom Metazoa; phylum Chordata; class Mammalia; order Primates; family Hominidae; genus Homo; species Homo sapiens. The sequence continues at coordinate 127,156,383 of NC_000006.12, read as the reverse complement.
CAACTGAGGGTCTTCTGGCTGGAAGTTTATTCACCCTAAAGGATCATATTATTAAATGCTATATTTCTCCTTGTTGATTTCACAGCAAATTCTAATAGTTAATATTGATGGAATAGGTTCTGTAATCTGGTCTATAAAGACCAGAATATGAAAAGAAATCAATATGAAAAGATATCTGGAGACAGATATGAAAAGAAATATGAAAAGAAATATGCAATATGAAAAGAAATCTGGAGACAAATGTCGTTAATGATTTTGCTATATTCATAAAATGTGGTCTTGGTCATTTCAAAATAAAGTCAGTATTAACTATACTGGCCAGGTATGGCGGCTCACGCTTGTAATCCCAGCATTTTGGGAGGCTGAGGTGGGATGATTGCTTGAGCCTGGGAGTTTGAGGTTGCAGTGAACTGCGATGGCACCACTACAATACAGCCTGGATGACAGAATGATATTCTGTCTTTAATTTTATATATATGTGTGTGTGTGTGTATATATATATATATACACTTAGCTACAAAAGCTTACCACTACATTTCACTACTTTGGTTTGCAGGCAGTGAGGAAAGGAATGTTTGATGGCGGTGTTTCTTTGTCTTGTTCTTGTAAATATCATTAGACTTTGTAATTATGAGACTTCCCAAAAGTTTTCTAAGTACTAGCAAAGCAGATTATAGTACAGATAATGCCCTGAATGCTTACAATACAGCCTAGTTCATCATAATTCAATTAGCACACTTCTATAGTAAAGTTCTGACATCAGGCTCCATATTTTGGAATTACCACATCTATATTCTGTAATTTACAAGCAGCATATTCTTGCTTGGTACACATTTTAGGATATTAGGCATGAAAGATAATGCCAAGTGTTTCATAAGAAATAAAATGAAAAATGCAACAGATTATGAGGATTCAAACAAGCACATTTTGTTATTATGATTGTACCTCGTTCTCCCTTCTGACACTTCTTCCTTTGCACTGTACACTTTCTTGTCTCATTTGTTGGGGGACACAGGTTACCCTTTGCTGAAGGATGCTGTATTATTTCTCGGACCCGTGTTTCAGTCCCTCTTTTGAAGCCACATGTTTTTCCCTTCTTCGTGCATGGACTCCAAGGATTCCATTCACTGACCTCACAGTGCACTGAAACAGAACAGAAGAAACAGACTCAGCTGGCTTACAACCACTTTCACTATTGTTGAGTTAAAAAAAGATTTGCTTCCATCAGAACTTGCCCACATTTGAGAAGAATCTTGCAGATCAAAGTCGGGCAAGATGACTTAAATATAAAACAGGAGAATGGGAAAGGCAGAAATTGAATGTTTTCAGTTTAGTACTCATTATCAGGTAAACTCATTTTTGCATTGGATTTCCTTTTTCTCTAGATTGATTAACACAGGCACTAACATTAATATAATCACTAAAATTGATCAATTCTTTATAATTTCCAGAGCACTGCTGCAATTGTTGATTGATCCTGACCAGAATTTGAAGAACAGTTGTTATACTATGTGCTAGAGAATTGATTCTCAAACTTTAGCATGCATCAGAATCACTTGGAGGGCTTGCTAAAACAAAAAATTCTGGACCTTTCTCCATTAGCCCCCACCAGAGTTTCTGATTCAGTTATCTGGGGCAGGGCTGTGAATTTGCCTAACAATACAGGTAATGCTGATTTGCAGGTACTGGGAACTCCTTTTGAGAACCTCTGTGTTAGAGAATGCTTGAGCAGAAAATGAATCCAGGTCTTTGGCCTACTATTTACTGCCTTTGCTTACGACATGTGCTGTTGTACGCTTAAATATTGATATCTGTTACTGAGTATGGTTCAGGCATAGCGGCATCTATTATATGTGAATTCTGGGTCAATTTCAGCTGATAACCTGCTTCTAAAATTAACCTGACCAAGTGATTCCTAAGATGACCTGATGTACTTTTTCTGAAGCTTCTTTTGGAGATTTGTTTCCTTTTTCTGTATTAGTTTCTTTTTTTCAATAACGGCTTTCTCAGGTTGTAACAGATTTTTGAACTTCTAAAGAAAAGAAACATCTCAAGGTGCTATTATATTTATGTCCCTAAAACTTTCTAATGTATAACAACAGCTAGCAACAGTAACTCTTTCAGATGATTTAAGACTATCTTTCCACAAAAAGAAGTTTCCAGTAACCTCCCTTATTGCCTTCTGATTTAATGATTCCTTACTTTAGAGCAGAATGCTATCTCATAACAGCAGAGGCTGAAAGATAACTTAAATGTTTTAGAAATTTAAATCCATTTATTATACATTTTTCACAGGACTTTTCAGACACTTTCAGGTCCCTGAGTGCAACACGGAATTAAATGGAATTGATTAAATACATGACTTTATGTTTCTGTGAAATGAAATGAACTTTATTGAACCATTTTAAAATAGTCTTCATGCTCAGTTATACCACTACAATTTTCATTCAAGAATAGAGTAACTAAGTCAATTAATAATATTATAATCTCTTGCTGGTTATGGATATTATCTTCCAGCATCCCATTCTGATATTAATCATTAAAAAGTAGTGTATCCTTAGGATTACAAAAAAAGGCACCTCCAAAAAAGCAAATGAGAAGAGGAAAGTCTATGTTTGTGAGCTGTCACTTTGTCCAGTATTCATTTAATTCCAGAATTAAGAGGACTGAATTAGAAAAAATGATCTGATGTGCAAGTGACCAGAACTTCGGTGCTCTTTCATAATAGCAAAAGTGGTCTAAGCAAATGTACACTTGGACATTAGAAAAACGTATTTAAAAAATTACAGCTTAGGTAATTATTAGTTTATAGTCAGAAGATGAAAGGTTTTATAAATTAAATTCTACGGACAACCTTAGATAGTTTCATTGGAGGAGGGAAAATATTCAAAACTAATGAGTTTAGGTAGTAAAAAGTTCTAATGAGACCAGAGAGTTAAAACACCATGAAATGAGGTGAATTTATCTTAGAGAAACACTGTAGAATAAACCTATAATGTTAGCATCCAAATAATATTTCCACTAAAAAAAATGAAAACTGAAAAAAAAAAGTGCTAAAGACAACACAAAGGTGATTTAGGTTCTATTCAGATCATTTAATGAACAATGTAGAATTGAGGCACTCCTTGGTTAAGAGATAGTTAAGGAAAAACAGAATATTCACCTTCTGTGTTCCTCCTAGCTTCTGTATTAAGAACCATCTTAAAACTGGAAATCTTTAGCTATTCACTAATGAAGCAAATGAAGCACATGTCTCATAAAGGTAATGAGCTCCGGTCCCTGGGAATGATTGTGCTGTGGTTGATCATCAGTGCAAGATGCTGTAAAAGGGATTCCCGAATTGGCAAGAAAGTTGAATAGGATGTCCTATTAGTAGTGACTTTACTGGTCATTTTGCTCTAATTCTTGTTGACTAGTTGCATGGTTCCATAGAGAACATAGCAAGGGAATGTCCCTTGCTACTCAGTCCTTGAAGTGAGATATATTCTCTCTGTGTTTCTTGAACAAATCCAACTAAGAGAAGCAGTGAGGGTGACAAAATGACAGTGCAGAAAGGAAGCAAATATCTGGAGCACAAAGTGAAAAGAATATGTTCTCTTATAAAATTTGGTTCAGTGGATGTTTCTGTTTCATTTCACCTGCAAACCATGGAAAGCAGATACACTGTGACATACCTCTTTCATCCCAGCTCTATATCAGGGTAGCATTTCCTCTGTTTATGACCTTTCCTCTCAATTTAAAATCTCGATAGAAAAGTAGAAATACGGTGTGGATTTTAGCAATGAGAAAGACACATTCTTTCTATTGGATGAGTAGTGGGAAGCTAAAGTCAGGCTACTAATTACAGCACTGAAAATAACTTAAAATGTTTCTTTGGGATCACCATTTTGGCTCTCCGGATCCTAGTTTTCATATTTGTTAAAGGAACAGGCTTTAATATTCCTTTGTGATATAGAAGCAGGTCATCATCTTCCCTGAAATTCTGGACTGGCCTAAAGGCATGGCAGGTGTAGTACCTGCAGGCTAGGCGCCATATGATGGGAGACATCTCTTATTGAGCAAACAACCGGAGCCAGCCCTGAATGAAAGTTGGTGATTTGTGTTACTACAGTGTCCTAGGTCATTTGCATCTGTTAAATGAACCAAACTCAGTAATTGGCCTTTGGACTGCTAACCTCTTTTCCAAAATATATAAACTTAAATGTAGTTGTGTTAAGAAATAAATAGTCTTAGTCTTACTAGCAGCATAAATTACCAGTAAGCTTTAAAGGCAAATCCAATAGTGCCAAGTGTGAAATGATCTCCCTGACAGAAAAGCATTAATACATTTAAGGTAAATAGCCTTTCCAGGACTGAATGTTACACCTTCAACAACTGAAAAAATCTAAATATGTGCCTTTTTTCTGGGTAGAGAAATGTCACAAACATTCTGCAACTCATCCTGAATTTCTGCTCTTGAATATTCCACAGACGTGTTTTCTATTTTTTCCAGTGTTTGGAACTTATTACCTCTAATCATCAGCCCTCAGGACCTATAAGAAAAAGAACTTGAAGTGCTTTCTTTTGTACTTTTTACCCTATTCCTAAGTTGCTTTTTTTTCCATGTGTTTTTACAACTAGAGAAGAAAAACTTAACCAAAATGAGCCACGAACTGTTTCAAGACTGTTGTTTTCCAGATGCTTCTAAAATTATCTTTAAAATATCTATTTATTTTATTCTATCAAGAACATTGTTTAGAAATAAAAGTGCTACGGTACACTTGAAATGGTTAAACCATCACTTTAGAGTTATTACTCCAGCCCTTTAGATTCTAAGGGACCCCTAAGATGGGGACTCCAGGGGAGTCCTGGAGACTATCTTGTACTGAATCAGGAGGGCAGTTGTGTGGATATGCCAACATCACCGCAGCATCAAAGGTTCCTGTAGTTCTTGCCCAGGGGATTTTGAGATTTCCTAGGCTATTTTACCATTTGGTTCAGCATCTGCTTCCCAAGTGTTCATCAAAGTTGTAGCTGTAGTAGCTGCACAACGTTTAAAAGATTGAAAATACAGCCTGACAGTGATCTGTTACTTAGACAAACAACTTGTCTGAGGGACCTCCCCTTCAGGAAATTTGGCCTGCAATTAATCAGCCCCAGGGACTGTCTCAATCTGTCAGTTTGAGTAAGTCCACAATCCTTTTTATTATGTATCAATACCTGTGCAAGCAGAATACTTCAGCATAGCAGTATGAGAGAAAAAGAGTGAGATTTTAACTAAATCAATTCCAGTTCTCTAGGTCTTTGATCCATTTACTGAGCATTAATGGGCTGTGTCAAGAGAATATATGTTCCCACCTTGGAAAATAACTTTGGTCATTAGTTGAGATTAGACCTAGGTGTTTTATGAAACTGTTGCTCTAAGGTAAAAATTAAGTTCAAGACATATATGTATGTCACATAACAGATCACTGTCAGATATACATATGTGTGTCTTGGCTGAATGTTTACTTAAATAAAATTCATTAAATAATTAAATAAAAATTCACTAAATAATAAAAATAAATCTATCATAAACAGAATGGTTGAAACGATTATCAATAGTCCCTAAGAAATAAGGAAGCACCTACTGTATTAAATTGTACCATAATACATACTAGATAAGGTTATGAAAAACACCTTTAAGAGAGTATCTTTGTAAAGAAGGATGGAGACAGCCTTTAAGAGATCTCAGCCCAAGAACCTTCAAGTTCTTTTGGCAAAGGACTTTGAAAAGCACCTCCATGGAGACTGACATTATCACTTACTCAAATTATTACAGGTTCTCCTTACCAATACTGACACACTCCATAGTATGGTTGTTGGCTTCCAACCCTTCTGGGCAATTGTCAAGGCACTTTCCAAGGTGTAAGTAAAATCCACTTTTACATTTTGTGCAGAAATTTTTGTTGAAACAGGTATCACAGTCAGCTTTGCATTCTGAAAGAGAAAAAAGAAAGAAATATGCTTGCATTATGTTCTCTTAACTATTGGTCCAGTTCTACATGTGTCAGACACAGCCACACACAACTTTAGTATCAAATAAACACCTGAAGTCCAAAATTATTTTGCCAGACTGAATTCACGATTCCTCCACAGTGATTTAGTTGAGGTACATTGGTTATTGATTTTAAAATCATTGTACTGATTGCCCTATGAAAAAATCTTTGTGTGTGTGTATATATATATATATATATATCTCCAAGAATATTTATAAGATGAAGTATCTGTTTATATTAAGTGATAGTGAAAATGTTTCATCAGAACCTTAAGAAAACATACAAAGGATATTATCTTTGTGTTGTTCTTGAGGGCTATTGATTCTTACAACAAATATTTGATTGCCTACTATGTGCCAGGCATTGTTTTTTATATTGGTTGACAGCAATGCACAAGAGGGGTAAGAGTCAGGCTTCAGAAAGTTTACATCCTAGGAGAGGAGATACAGTAAACAATAACAATAGTTCACCCTTATGTGGTGATTACTGTAAGCCAGGATTGCTATAATGCTTTACAATATTATTAAGTTATTTAAAGTTTACAACAATCCAATGAGGTAGTCATTGGTATAATTTCATTTTACATATAAGGAAACTGAGGCTCACAAAAGTTATAAAACTAACCCAGGACAACAGATCAGACTGCTTTTTGAAACCAGGCAGTCTAGTTCCAGAGTGATAAGTGCTCTGGAAAACAAAACAAAAAAACAACAGCAAATGGTGGGAAAAAGAGATGGAGGGTGGTTGACAAGGGGAACAGGCTGATTATTTTGGATAGGATGATCATGGAATGTCTCTCTGAGAAGGTGACATATGAGCAAAATCATCAATGATATAAGACAGCCAGCTATGCAAAGATGTGGACAAAAAGCTTTCCAACTGCTAGAACAGCCAGTGTAGAACACAATTGCAAAGGCTTGAGGTGGGAAGATCTTATGAGAAGGGAAGTGAGGCTGGTGCAAAATGGGTGAGGGGGAGTTGTAGGAGATGAGTTTGGAGGAACTACATATGGTATTTGAATAGAGTGGTATTTCCTAATTTACATTTTTGAGAAAGGTCCCTGGGTCTGCAGTGTGAAAAACAGGTTTTCAGGTTCCAGATGACAGTACTCCCAATATTTATTTCCAATTGATAAATAAATGTTTCAGTTGCTCTGGAATCTCTCTTGAAGTCAAAATAGCTGAAATGATTTGGCAAGTTAGTCAATACTTGGATTTTGTGTTGATAATGGAAACTCAGATGGAATTGAGGCTTGCAGTACTTTTCTATAGGTTCAATGAGCAATAATCATATTCCCAGCCTTTGCTTTCATAATTAAAAAGAAAACCAAAACATGAGTGCTTTTTTGTAAGTTAGTGATAAAAATTTTCTGGTTCTGAGGGTTAAGTCCAAGTATGGTTTAGCCTAATTATCAGATAAACATTATCATTTACTTAACATTGAATATCACAAATATATTAGAGGCCATTTCAATCTGGAAAAGTCACCAAAGATGAGATAAAAATACAATTTCGTGTGGGCACTTACTTGTACACTTATTTATATCTGGATATCGAGTTCCATAATATCCACTTGGACATGAAGAGAGACATACTCCAATCTGCTTCATGCCAATTCTTTCCAGAGCAAAAAATAGTCTGGGCTTACATGACAAACATCCATTGTAATCTGAGCATGTTGCACAGCCTCCTTGGCAGCCTTGACTAACGTTAGGATGCACTGTGGAGACAAATGTAGAAAGACATTACAAAGGTTAAATCACAGATAAAAAAATGACATTTTCTGGGCAGGATATATGTTCTCTTTCATTAGCTTTCAATTTGTTGGTAATGGGTGAATGAGGTGGGATTTTTTTTCCTATCTTTTTTTATGATCTTTTATTTCCCTTTAGCACATGTATTGTTTTTAATTTCAAAGTTCTTAAAATTGAGCATTTGAAAAATAAAGAATATACTGCCTCAAAGGACTTATATATGTGTGTGTATACATAGTCTCTTTATCATATAATATATATTTTTAAATTATGTATAACTAATTATATATATTCTCTTCATATATATAATATCCTCACTGAACTAGCACCCTGGGAGATTGGGGACTGGTAATTTTGTGCTCATTTACACAGTGAAATTAATACACATTTGCTTTGCTTTTCATTTATGTAATGGAGGATAAGCATATGTTTCTAATTTCTTCAGTAAGTAAAATAATGTACATTAGGGCTTAACTTGAGTAAGGACACTAAGTTTTATATCTGTTTTGAACTATGGTGTATTAGAGAACACAATTTTACTTTTTGATCCAATGCAAACTGATGCTGAAGCTATGTTAGCTGTTGAGCTCCCCAGAATTCCTTCATTAAATATTTCTTCTCACACGAGCTTAATAATTGCCAGTTCAAATAGATATAATGGTGAAAATGTGATGCTTATCTCACCAGTGTTTCCATGTGGATCATATATGACTACTTATGGTAATTTATGTTCAATATTTTCTCTTTTGGAACTGGAGTCTTACAGTTTCTGTGCCCTTATCTTCTACTTACTCGAGTGAAATGTATATTTGGTGAGAATGGACCAGTCTACCTTAAGAATCACTGTTACACATATTCCAGGGTTTCCAAGAGTTACCAGTGTGTGAGTTAAGAGTGTTCATTAGCAAGTCTGAACAAACAGAAATGAATATTTGGGAGACTCATGTTTGCTTAAGATCATCACAACTTTAAATCTTCTTTTGACTATTAAATAGTCATCATCACCTCTGCATGAGCTGGTAAAAACTACTGACTAACGGATGTTTCTCATATAGCTGGTGTTTAGGATGATTTCTTTTCCTAATGTGTTCTCCACTCAAATATATTGCTAATAGCTTTATTGTCCTTTGAAGATGCCAGAAGAAAAAAAAACCATAATCCTTAGAGAAAGAAAGATTGATGCACAGGAATCTAAAGGCATCCCAGTGTATTTCTGGCTTCTCTTGTTGGTAGTAGAAGGAGTAGGCTCTGATGGACCTTAACATTATTAAATCTGTCTTTACAGTGACGTTTGGTTATTACTAAGTTCTTTACCACAAAAACAAATCCCTCCAAGCTTAGTTAGAAGAGGTACCTATAAGACCAAACAGCCTTACCACAGGGGTGCACGGGTTAGTTACAGAGAGGTCATTCGGTTGACCAGCATCCTCTGCCTGTAGGAAACCATCCCTGAATCAGCCACAGGAACCACAAGCAGCTCATTCTCATTCCAAGACGTTTTGTAAATAAACTAAGGAAATGTGTGGGGGAAGGGAAGTCTGCTTTTCCTGTGCATGCTCCTCTGTGGGGGCGGGGTAGTCACATAAAGTGGCACAGGAGGTTTAGACATTACAGGGCCTGGGGGACTTGTAAGTGAAACTACTTTCCAAGTAACAGGGTCATTTTTCATGCCAGTAACTCAGCATTGGTGACTTACAGAAAACGTGTACATATTGTAAGCTTGCAAAGATCCTAAAAAGTAAAAGGGGCAAGAGATTTCCATGTGTTTGGAATCTATCATTATCCATTTCAAGAAGCGAGAGGTGTAGATAAAAACTTGTAAGACCTTTTCATAGAATTGTCTATAGAAGAGTGGACCTCAACTTGAAAGAAAAGTGCTTCAAACTCAGGGCACTAAGAGACTCTGGGTTTAAGAAAGATGGACCATATTGGTCCATGCCAATCCATCCCTATCTCTGAAATGTGGCTGCTGAAAGAAAACACAAAATTCTAATTTTATGTATTCTGAAACTTTTGCCAATTATGATATAATTTTAAATATATCAATTATTAATATAAACATGATTTACATATTCAGAGCTTCAAAAACTGACATTCCTTAAGATAAATTTTATTTTAAAAACTAGGTTTTGAATGTTTGGAATGTTCTTCAGGAGAGAGCTTTGAATAAGTCTCATGATTGTAACTGTATCCACTGAAATTATGAGATGTGCCAAAATACCTTGCTTGATTCCCTCTGTCTCTAAAACTTTTACTGATGAAATGGAGCACAGTCAACATTGTGCTACAATAATTCTTTTTACCTTTTTTTTTTCATATAATGACTTCCTAGGCAAGGGTTTTTAAAAATTTGATTTTTGAAAAAGCAAGAAAGACCTAGTTGTCCCAACTTGCAATAAAATTTTATGTTTTAATCAGTGAATTTTGAATATGGCAATGAATTTTGAATATCAAATGATGGCAAACCTTATTTCTTCAGGAAGGTTTAAATGCTGGCTGTGGGAAGAGAGAGAAATGAAGACTATGAAGCTCAGATTCAATGAGTCTAGATTTTTTTTATGGTTATGTAGTGTAGTGACAGCTTTCTTGAATGCCGTATAAGGATCATACAAATTACACAGTCAGTATTACACAACTAAGTACAAATTTCCCAAACTTCATTTTAAGGCAAGAGATTTTACTTTTTATATGGAAACCACAAAAAACTTTGGTCTATATTGACTGTAACAACACTTTCAGCCATAAAATCTTGTGATTCTGAGACAGAAAATAGAATTTTACTTTCTCATGTGTCTTTCTTTTTATTCCCCATTCAATATTAACTTCATTTTGAATTTCTAAATCACCTTTTTCAAACAATATTTTCCTACTATTATTTGAAGTTGTTGGTGGAGAGGTAGGGAAAGTTTCACAGAATCTCAGTGTTTGAACTTAATCTTAGAAAATGAGTTGGAGTTTATGAGTATGTAAGTGGCCATGTTTGGCTAGAGAAGGAAACACTACAGTGACCCAAGCTGGGAAGGAGACTGGCATGAGTTTGATGCAACTGGTGCATAAGTAGTGGGGAATGAAGATATAAGGAATAACAAGAAGATTGGAAGTATAAAATAGATCTAGATTACAGAAACTTTTGTGAGATAGGCCAATGAAATTCTTCTGTAAACATAGGGTGTTTCAATCACACCAGTGATTGAAATTTAAGATTTGAATTGGAAAGGAAATTTCCCTGGCAGTGTGGCAGGCATGCAAACTAGGAGAAGAATAATGTAGTAGTCAAGGTAAGAGGCTGATGATAACTTAAAGTACGGCAGAGGCAATATAATGTAGTGAGGAAGGGATGCATGTTTCAAGGATATTTAGGAGGTGGTACCAACCAAATATAGTGGCCAATGGCATGTAGGCTGAACAAGAAAGAGGATTTGAAAAGGTGGGTTTCTAGGTCCAGCCAGTGAATAGAGAGGGGAGGGGCTACCAGGGGAGTAAAAGCCTGCAGTTGGAGAGTAGGGCATGGTGCATAGAATACTGACGTTTAAAAAGATAAACCTGGCTTGGAATCATTAATTTTGCAGATTTTATGAAATATCCAGAGAGTGATGCTTAATAGATGGAGCTTACTTTGGAGTGGCTGTTGGAGATGCACACATGAGTCTCTGATGGTGGCTACTTAATTAGAAAAGCCATGGGAGCTACTGGGCCTGGCACGGTGGCTCACGCCTCTAATCCCAGCATTTTGGGAGGCCAAGGTGGGCTGATCACATGAGGCCAGGAGTTTGAGACCAGCCTGGCTAACATGGTGAAACTCCGTCTCTACTAACAATACAAAAATTAGCCCAGTGTGGTGGTGCACGTCTGTAATCCCAGCTACCGTAACTGCTTGAGCCTGGGAGTTGGAGGTTAAAGTGAGCGCAGATTGCACCATTCCACTCCAGCCTGGGTGACAGAGTGAGACTCTGTCTGAAAAAAAAAAAAACAAGGGGAAGCTACTGAAAAATTACAGAAAAAGAAGACATCATGCAAAATAGGGGACATTTGGTAAGAGAACAAAATGTATTATAAGCAGCTTTAAACAATACTTTGAATTTCTAGGTCACTCACTGTTGCTTTCAGAGCATATTCAAAAGCTAAATTAACTGTGGTAATTGCCTTATGATACAAGTAAGTAGAAGCTATCATAATCATTTATTTTGAAACTTCAAACTTGAACTCAAAGGAATAGCCTGCTGGAAAAATAGTGAGTTTAGATCAGAGGTGAAAATAGAGATCTTTGATATCTGGTAACTATATCTTTATATATAAGTAAACTTTAGATGTGTAATGGGGGTAGATATGAGTGGGAAAATGGGCAGAATTCATGGAAACTTTAAATTGGGACTTTCTACTAAAAATGTGTCACATACACAGTGAAATTAATATGTCTATCTTTAGAATTAAGAAAGAGGGAACTATTATTTCTTAACTTGTTTATTATGGTTAGTTGTACAAAAAGGGTGTACACTGATACATAACTTAAACCTACTTTCAGTGTCTGAACTGTCAACATTCCCTGAGTAAAAAACTTCAATTTCACTATCTGTTAAGAAGGCTTCCTACTATTTGATAACCTTTAACTTGTGATACATAACTGATGCAACCATTCCTAAGAGACTTGCTATTATCATAAGAGTTAATTCAACTTTGATAAAATATCCAGAATACAGAATTTTAAATGGAACCAAAACACTTGGTCAATATACAACCTTTGGCTACTTGTTTTCAATGTTTATGATGTATCAACTAATACAGTATTGGGAACTAAATTCTGTTTCTGTGACAATTTAAATGCAAGCTTCAAGCATTTGCTTTACGTTAATTCACTTCTAAAGCTCAGTTACAAATGTACTAACATCTATTGTAAGTTGTTATGTGAAAAAAATCCATTATTGCATGCTGCCAATTACTGCTGATGATCATTTATTTGTAGCTAATTTCCAGAAATGTAAATTTTAGTAGACTTTAGACTAATAAGACAGGTTTGACTGAGTTGAAAAGAAGTGCCAGATACATAAAAGTAATAATGATTTTATAATCTAATTAAAAATTAATAAATTCACAAATTTGATCTAAGTTATTTTTAACAACAATAAAAACATCATATATAAAATCTCTCCAAAGCATACTTGTCTGCACAACATTCACTGCCTGTTTTTCTGTATGCAGTGGCCTTAAGAGACAGGGTAGAGAGAAGAGACCAACTGAATTCTATAATCAAAGTTTTTTTTACATCTGTCCTTTCTTCCATGCCTTCTCTTTTTAGAAGTGTGCTCACATTGACTGTACGCTTCCTGAGGGAAGAGGTCTCATGGTTTGATAATTTCTTCTTCTTTTTTCCTCTATAGATTCAGGAATTTGAGATAATTCCCACCTTCTATTCAAGGAAGCTATTTATTGAATAGGTTCTCAATAAAGTGTTTTTGATTATTGAAGGAATGAACACAATACATATAAAAAAGCTATTTTTTTAAAAAATGATAAATATGTTGTTAGGTACAGTGGCTCACAACTGTAATCCCAGCACTTTCCTTGAGCCAAGGAGTTTGAGACTAGCCTGGGCAACACAGCAAAACCCTGTTTCTACCAAAAAAAAAAAAAAAATTAGCTGGGCACGGTGACACATGCCTGTGGTCTCAGCTACTCAGGAGGCTGAGGTGGGAGGATCCTTGAGCACAGAAGGCCCAGGCTCCAGTGAGCCAAGACTGTACCATTGCACTCCAGCCTGGATGACAGAGAGATACCTTGTCTAAAAAAAAACAAAAACAAAAACAAACAAACAAACAAACAAAAAAAACAACCAGAAAGAAAGAATAATAAAAATGTTAAAGTAGTAAATGTTTAACAGAAAGTATCTATAACAATTTAAGTGGGCTATGCCTATGAATATCTGGCAAAGAAATCATGTTGCAAATTACATAAACTTTGAATGCTTAATTATGAAATCAATCATTCAAAGTGAAGTAATAATGGTTTTCTTATGTGTCATTTACTTCAGTAATTCATTCCCTTAGAGAAAATGTGGCGATTTTTCTTGCCTAAATTAGGACAACACATTTCTACCATATCTTGGGACTTGATTAGTACGAAGTCACATTTAAGTTTGGAGTAATATTACATTTATTGAAAATTAAGAGATGTTTCCCGATTCCTCTGGTGGCAACGATCACTTTAAGAAAAGTCTAATGTTAAAAATTTGAATTATTTGGCTGTCTCTCTAAAATTCTGCCCAGTCAACCCAAGAAAATATTCAGAGTCAGTGTTTCTCATTTGTTCATGTGTTAAAGCTTGCAAGTAGAGCCGACAATGGCTAGGTCTCCACAACCATTTAGGCAACTTGAGAAAGTTAGGTATAGATAGCAAAATATGAACACAAGATTTTCTGAATAAATATAATTACTTATTTGGATACAACACTCCTTTTGGATTATCAAACTATGATATTTGGGTGAATACAGGTTTATTCATTATTATTTTTTATTGATAACTTATTGAAAGAACCACATGTTTATATGTCCAAATATATACAGACCCTGCCATTTTTGAAATACTGTTTATCATCTGATGGTTTTAGGGTTTTAATATACCAATGTTTTAACCATTAAGTAAATTAAAATTCACCTATGCTATTTAAATATACATATTTAAATATGTGCACATATGTGTTTGTATGTCTGCGCATGTGTATATGGATACACACACACATATATGTGTGTATATACATATATATATGCACGCATGCATGCCCATGCATGCACACACACACCTACATACAAATTCTATTGGTCTTTCGTCAAACTCAAAAGTACATACATTAATTGAACTTTAACAGCTAGGATAATAGAGTCTACTGTATCTTTTATCCTACTAAATCAACATCTAATCTGAAAGTCTGTGCCTACACCAGAGGTTGACAGAATTCCTAAGAGTCTCAGAGAGGAATGTCTTCACCAGCTGCTGAATACAGCCCAGTTGGTGCGCCACCATTATTATTATGTGGGGAAACATACTGTTTTTAATGGAAATGGTTTCTTTGAGAACTTGGAAAATCTTTCTTTTTCTCTTACTGAATAATAATTTCCTGAAGGGAGTCTAATATTTATATTCTATAAATACTTTAAAATAAAGCCACAGCAATAAAACAAACCTAACATTAAGCAGCAAATAGCTAGGCTTTCCACTAAAATCAAGTCAGCCCAAAATATTAAGAAAATGGCTAGCAAATGATGTTAGCTGTAGAATTCATGAAATCTAAGATATGATGAATATTTGGGAGCTCAAAGCCAACCTGGTAACTGAAGGCTATGCTTTGCCTAACCACAGCTAGTCCAAAATCAGGACTAGAAATGAAAGATAGATGCAAGTAGGCTTCACTGTATATGGATACACTGTGGAAACTATGATTAAGGTTTTCAACAAAAATTTCACCCACAGTGTGCTCAACATTTCATGTGATGCAGGAAAGGCAGGAATGAATAAGACATCCAGTTCCTGAAGACATGATGTTCATCAGTTAATAAGTAAGTAAACAAGGAATCAAATGATTAAAGATTGTAATGAGTGTTGTTAAGGCAACAAACAGATGAATAAGGCAGAGAATAACTCTGGGAAACTTCCTTAAATACATGTCAGGGAAGAACCTTTAAGTCTACTCCTTAGCCGAGGCCTGCAGAATAAGGAGGAGTCATTATGTAAACCCAGGAAGAGTATTTCAGGTAGAGCACCAGCAATGCAAACAGTATAAAGCCATGGGAGAAGCTGGGCACAAGGAGCAACATGACAGGTACCAATGAGGCTGCAATGCGTTGAGTGCTATAAAATGAGTTACAAAGGGTGGTTGGAGCCAGATCCTCCCATCCCTTGAGGGCCAGAGTAAAAAGCCTAAGTACATGTAGCCTCTGCATTTCTAAGTAAATATTAGAAGGAAAGGAAACAACACATTTTGTCTGATATAGTTACTTTAATTTGTGTTAATTTTATGGATCTTGGAACAGAACCAGCATCTTGTATTCCATGAAGATATGTTCTCTTTTTAACTTGTATATTAGATGAAAATGTTCTAACTAGCAACAAACTTGGGGATTTACATCCAGATTCCAATCTTTGAAGAGGCTGTGCATCAATCTACATGTGTTTTGCTCTTGGGACTATCTCGTTTCTCCTCTGTTCCTCCCCATCTTTCTCTAGCAGTAATTTTAGTTTGCTTTGGGATTTTAATTTTCATTCTGTGTAAGTGTGTGTGTGGGAATAAGTGGGGAGAAGTAAAAAAGTTATCAAATACATGAAAGGTCATAAGAACAAAGAAAGAATAAAAAGCAAAAAAATTACAGTCTTGCATATAATCTTTTCTTGTATTTTTCTAAATTGTTACCATTAGCAATGCATATTGAAACAGTCTAAATAACTTAGAGTAACAACACTGTGCTTTTTACTTCTAATTTAATATTTCTTTTAGTATCTTAATATTATGTTCTTTAATTCCTTAAATGAATTAAAAATCTATGGACTAATTTCAAATTGGATACTTCAAAAGTAGTAAAAACCCTATGAACTTTCCTGTGACCAACCGACTAGCTACAATTGATGCTGCTATTGAAACTGTTACAAACTACTCACAGAACCAAAAATAAAGAGGTGTTTTTTTTTCCTAATCGCAAGTAGAAAAATCCTTTGTAAAGTGAATGCACTCTGCTACGAGTGTAAAATGTAAGGTACTGAATCAACATCCCCAGCTGTTGCTAAGAGAGGGAAAGCTTCCCCTTCTCCAAGTGGCCATGTTCCCAAGTGGAGGTGAATAGAGGACAAGAGGGGGTGGATGAGGGTGATGAGACCCAGATTCTGTAGAGCCAGGACCTATTGATGAGTTAGTAGGTAATAACAGCGTTTTTCATAAGACAGATCCAACAGTGTTCATCCAACAGTGGGAATCATTATGTGCTGTGGTCTGGCTGAGAGAAGCATTCCATTTTTTTTTAAGGTTAGAAATAATTAGAAATTTTTTTTTAAGGTTAGAAATATTTTTTTTCTAACCTTAAAAAAAAGATATATTTTTTTTAAGGTTAGAAATAATTAGAAATCAACATAAACAGAAAATGTGACAGTTTAATGGTAATGAATCCGCATGAGTGCTCCATAACTACTAACTTCACATTCTTGAATGAAACAAACTTCAGTTTGTGCTAAAAACAAACTCCACTTTGTTATATTGTGAATAAACTTGGATATTTGTGCTACATAGCATGCTAAAGTAGCATATCTGATGGCTGAGGTCTTAGCATAAGTAAACAGCAAGTGAGAGACTTGTGGTATTTCAACAAGCACTAGAAGATGTACCAATAGTGAGTATACCATTTTTAAAAACTCCAGCTTTATGTATCACATACAAAATTCTGAGCAAGGAAAATAAGTGATTTTTTTCCTAGATTCACAAAATTGCTAACAGAATTGAAGAAGAATATACATGCACCTTTGTAAGTATGATGCATCTTTATACTTATGTGCATGGCTCCAATTGCTAACGGAATTGAAGAAGAATATACATGCACCTTTGTAAGTATGATGCATCTTTATACTTATGTGCATGGCTCCCTGCATTGTGACCTCATTCAGAAATGGGTCCTGCACACTTCCCAGAAGAGCACAGGGACAGGGTGAAGAGGTACTGGATCTGCACTCATTTAGAGTCTGGTTTTGAACCCTAGTTGTCATGTTTTCTAGCTGAGTTACCAATATTTATTTTTTATCCAGTTATTCATTTAAAAAATTAAATTATTCAACATCCACACAGTGTTCTAGTAGGTGAGCATACAAAGATGAATATAACCAATTATCTGTGTAAATGAATTTCCAGTCTGATTATATATTTAGACAAAAGTTGTTTAACTTTTTTGAGCCTAGGTTTCCTCATCTGTAACACCAGAATATCTGCTTGATATGTATTTGAGAGGATTAAGTGAGATGCTGTGTAAAGTGCCTAGGACTCTCTTAGGCAATCATCAAAATCATAGGTATAAGACACTTTGTTTAACTCAAGAGGCACTAAACTCATCCTGTGTTATCATCATCCATATTTGAAGCAGCTGGCAGCTTTATCCAATAATAACTCTTAGAAAAGAGGATACATACTGAGGCTTCTAATACAGGAGGTGTGAGAAGCTTGGGGAACCAGAAACTCACTAACAGTCATAGAGTGGCTACTTTTTAAGTACCATAGACACAGACTTTAATAGGAGTCACAGACATCCGGGTCAAGAAGACCTCTGAGGCACTAGCTGCTCACTGAAGATACACACCTACTTAAACAGACTGAAAAAGGTAAGATATGGCATAGAAATGATATCAATATGGTACCGAGAAACCAAAGGTCTATATGGTACAGAGAAACCAAAGGTCTAAAGATTCTAAAACTTTACTGTGTGTAAAAATGGCCTGGATTACTTGTTTACAATGATGAGGTAAGATGCCACTCCCAAATATTTTGATTTGGAAGTGAATCCAGTGGATTTAGGTAACTGCATTGATAAGAAGCATCCCAGGTGAATCTGACGAAGGTGATATAAATACCACACTTTCAGTATTACATTATTATTATCTTCACAAATAATTGTTTATTCAATGATTACTGGAAGCAGTCTTCTAGGTACTGATCATACTGAGAGACAAAAGATAGTCTCTGACTCAAGAAGCCTACAATACAATTAATAAGATAATACTTTAATATTCTAAAACCCATAAATGTATAGATTAGAAACTTTTTGCCGCAAATTAAAAGGCAGGAGCAATTATTGATAATTGAGATATCTAAAGACTACAGAGAACAGATAGGAATGATTATGGAACTTGAAGGAAAAGAAAAACTGAGACAAATGGAAAGGGGGAAGGAGGGAAAATGTTATGAACAAAATGCTTTATGTAGGAATACATACATAATATCTGAAAGGATGGTGAATTTACCTATGGAATTTAAAGGGCTCTTGAAGCTCTTCCTTCTCCCTTAAATTTGCAGATGAGAATATTGAGATCCATATAGTCAGCTTCCAGCCAATAGAATCATAAACTTTGGGAACTTTAGAGGTATCTAGTTCAAACTGCTTTCCTGTAACAGTCTACTTGATTATGTCTAGTAAAACAAATATCATGATACTTGGGGAAAGCCCATACAATTATCTTATAATGATATTTATTTATTTATTTATTGAGATGGAGTCTCTCTCTGTCACCCAGGTTGGAGTGTAGTGGCACCAACTCCGCTCACTGCAACCTCTGCCTCCCGGGTTCAAGAGATTCGCCTGCCTCAGCCTCCCAAGTAGCTGGGACTACAGGTTCACACCAACATGGCTGACTAATTTTTATATTTTTAGGAAAGACGTGGTTTCACCATTTGGCCAGTCTGGTCTTTAACTCCTGACCTCAAGTGATCCACCCGCCTCAGCCTCCCAAAGTGCTGGATTACAGGCATGAGTCACCGTGCCCAGCCCATAATGACATTTATTAATAAACATCCCATTATATCAAAACTCAACCATTTCTCTCAGAAAGTTCTACTACCATAGAGAATACCCAGCAAGTTTTCTGCTTTTTCCTGAAGACAGTTTGCCAAACAATGCTTGATGCTCTTGCTTCGGTATCTCCTTCTCCCCACAATAAGCTCATTCATGGGTATTCAAATGGGACAGGACGTTAAAGATCTGCCAGTTCACATTGTCAGCTAGTAAGACTCTCATCTATAATAAAGATTTCCTCTAATATACATGCCTTTCTTGTCAAATCCAAAGGAATTATACTAATAGTAGGAACTTCAGGGTAGATATATGAGAACTGTGGTAGTGTGGGAAAAGTCATAGAACTGTAGAAAAACAAAACAACTATCCCCCTACAAGACCTTTGAGGCTAAGTTTTGCAACTTACCAACCTTGTGATACCATACAAATCACTTACCATCTTTGAGCTTTAATTGTGAAATGAGTATGATAACACCTGTTCTGCCCATTCCAAAAGGGTGTTGAGAAAAAAATCAAATAAGACGATGAGAAAGTGTCTATATGCTGTACAAAATCATATTAATATAAGTTATTGCTGATAATGGGCAAAATGATACTTTTCCAGCTCAGGATCAGATTTGAACCTTCCTCATTCCCAGGAATAGAATATGTTTGATGAGGAAATGGATAACTGTGTTTGATGAGAGTACGGCATGTGTAATTGGTTTGTTTTTTAAAATTGTGCCTTGTCATGAGCCATCTTACTTTAGGGCAACAGGTTATTGTAACTTTTTAAAGTTTGGCATATCTTGGAGTAAGGAAATAAAGAGACTGTGAAGCAACTCCTCAGTCAATGAACAGATAATTCTCTCCAAGAAGGCCATTATTAAACACATAAGAAATCAGATTGGCAGAGGATCCATAGAGCCCTTCTCTGGAAGGTCAACCCTTGGAACCATCTGCTGTGTAGCATTTGGTATTACAGAATGGCTACAGGAGTTATTTCTACTCTTGGCTCCACTGCAAAGTGACTTCAATTAAGTCACTTACTTCTCTGGTCTCTCTTTATCTTCTTCAGTAACATGAGTGGTTTATGCTGCATATATAATTCACACAAATCTTCCTAGCTATTAAAACTATTGTACACTTAATTGACATGTGCCTTTTTTTTTTTTTTTTTGAGGCAGGGTCTCAGTTTGTTGCTTAGGCTGGAGTGCAGAGGCATGATTACTGCTTACTCCAGCCTCAAAATCCAGGGTTCAAGTGATACTCTCACTTCAGCCCCCACAGTAGCTGAGACTACAGGTTTGAGCCATCATGCCCGGCTAATTTTGGTATTTTTTGTACAGATAGGGTTTAGCCATGTTGCCCAGGCTGGTCTTGAACTCCTGGACTCAGGAGATTTGCCCTCCTTGGCCTCCCAAAATGCTGGGATTACCTGTGAGAGCCACTACATCTAATCGACATGTGCTTTTCTGTTGCAGCAAATGGCGCCATGAAGATGCTACAATCAGAAATCTAGGAGCCCTCCTTATCCTCTTCTCCAATCACCTTTCTTACAGATTCTACCTCCCTTATTAATAGAGTTCACATCTTCCCATTTCCTACTACTACTACTGCTACCATTACCAATCAGAGGGATCTTTTAAGAACAATAGTTGTAAATTTTTTTTTTTTTTTTTTTTTTTTTATGGATTCTCACTCTGTTGCCAGGCTGGAGTGCAGTGGCACGATTTCGGCTCACTGCAACCTCTGCCTCCTGGGTTCAAGCAATTCTCCTGCCTCAGCCTCCCAAGTAGCTGGGACTACAGGCATGTGCCACCACACCCGGCTAATTTTTTATATTTTTAGTAGAGACGGGGTTTCACCATGTTGGCTATGATGGTCTCGATCTCTTGACCTCGTAATCTGCCCGCCTTGGCCTCCCAAAGTGCTGGGATTACAGGCGTGAGCCACCGCACCTGGCCAATAGTTGCAATCTTATTGGGCCTCTGATTTAAAAACAGTTAAAAAACTTGGCCTGGCACTTCCTAAGTAACCATTCTGTCAAGTAGTCTGGTTTATTTTCTCACACCCTCACGTTTTGTCTAATGAGGTATTAGTAGTTCCATCTCAGTTGCAAAGATAACTATTTCTCATTTAAACCTCCTCTGGCATTCTCTTTTACAGGCTTAATGAAAAGCAGGGTGTATTGGGAAAGCTATTCATTAGGTCAGAAGATCTAGATGTACAGTTTAGGTTTACCATCTCTGACTATGTCATTTTGATCTGTTCCTTAGTTGTTTTCAGCCTCAATTTCTTTATTTATAAAATGGAATAATATCTCATGAAATTGTTGTGAAGGTTCCATGAGATAAACATGTGGAAGTAGCTGGTAGTAGCCTTTCTTTACTTAAAGACCTTTACAAGTCAGTGATCACATACCGAAAATAATTGAATCAAGTTATTTTCAAGACTCTGAATTTTGGCAACTGATATCTTTAAAGCTATCAACTGAGGTTAGGAAAGGTCATCAACAAAGTTACATAAGAATCCAAATAACTTGTTGACATATATTTGCCAAACTGGTGCTTTAAGTAGATTGACTTGTATGTTTTATGTGGTGGTCATGGGGTTACCATAAAAGGTTTGAAAATGCTTCAGAGAGATGGACAAAAAATGCACTATTTTAAAACATACAATATGTTAGTGTTTGGGAAAAGTAATTCCAGTTAATGAACTATTGTGAAAGTTCAGCTATAGAAATTAGTCAATGTGCCAAAAATGGAAATTCACTCAGCCAAGCTATGCCACACCATTACAAGGCTTACTTAAAAATGCTAACTACATTTAAAGTGGACAATAGCATACTTCCTATGATTGTCACAAACGGCATGCTAAGTAATGAGTCCTATTCATTGCTCATAAATTTTAAGACAAGAAAATACCAGAAGGCCTAATAAATTCCCATGTTTTCAGTTAATCTTCCTTCCACCTTCCTGCTTCATCCCCATATGTGGTCTTGTTCAGCTTTGTCTCTGTTTCCCAGAGAAAAATCTGGGTAGCTATTAGGTTCATTGTAAACTAATTAATTTCCAACGCTATTTAAACAAATCAAAAAAGAGGTACTATTCGGCTTAGAAATGATATCTAAAGTGCTCTAATTTATCTTTAGCCAAATATTGTTTTTTAAAATCTGAATTAATATTTTCTTTCCTTAACCACTGTGAAATACTACAAGGGTAAGTTCCAGGTGTGTTTTGCTCATTTTCGTAATTTTGGCACATAGTAATTGTTTAATAAAGAGCTATTAAATAAATAAATGAATGTATGATATTGTAGTTAGTGCTGAGTTCAATTTTGATTTTTCCATATTTTTCCCCTAACAAGATTCCTTTTTTGCCTTGTTAGCTTTTTAAAAATATGGTCTAAAACTTCCATGAATGTGCAAAAAGAAACTTAAACTTTTGAATTCTAGCCATAACTCAGCATTCTAGACATTTGGACGGGCAACTATCTAAGGTTAGAGCATGCTACAAAAATGAAAAGGGAAAGCTCATTGATCTTACTGTTGGAGGAGTGGACTTTAAGATCAGTTTTCTGCTTTCAGATAAATGAAAGATTATGAATTCATTTGTATAGTGGATACAATCAAATCACAGACTAAATGATTTGTCTAAATTATATAGCAATATATAAATTAAAATCAATGTCCCTGCCTCCTAAGGTGGGATTTTTCTCACTACAGTCAAATCAAGAAAATCTAGATTCTAAGAAGGTAATTAGAAAGACAGGATTATCTTCCAATTAAGTTTATAAAGTCTCTATTTCATATTCCATGGATCCCTTTTGATTATTTTCCTTGCTCATTTATAGCAAATACAGTATTTAAATAGGATTCAACTGGAAACTTAGCAGTGAATGACTGCCATTACGTTTGAAGCAAAACAAAAAGGAGTAAAGTTCCATTGCATATGTTTTAACATTATTTACATTGAACTTTTTCTAAAATGGTTTTTCACAAAGAAATCTTAAAATTAAAAAAATCCTATGTCTGTAATGAGGAAGTAATCTCCAGATATTAAGAAGAAATCTCATATTGTGACTTACCAACAAAGAAATGAAATTAAGATTCATGGGTTCTTAAATTTTAAGGTAGGCCTTAAATCATCAAGGGAAAGAGGAAACATTAACTAGTCTAAATGACATATGCCTTTCCTAGTCTAGTATCACAGGAATCATTAATGCTGTAGCATTAATTTGAAATTCAGTCAATGAAGTTTCTGAGGTTTTTAATTGCTTAGCTGTGTAATCCCTTAGTATATAATAAACACTTGAAAATGCTGTGCAAACAGGAAAGCACAGAAAGGGAACACTGGTTTGCTTTCACCTCTTGAGGCCTAGGGTACTACCCTGTTTTAATAAATAATATTCAATATAAGGCTTAGAGCTCAGCAGTTATCCCTTTTAGTAGTTTTTGAATCATAATAATATGGATACCAGAGCTTACATCAGATCAGATCTCAGATATGTTACTTCATTTTGGTGAGAATTTGGAGAACTAGCCAAGAATTGCATTTGAACTGGCATGTGATAAGATTTGTAATTGCCCCCACCTTTTTTTAAGCCATTAAAGCACGAGTAGTCAGTTTTTACTATTTTTCAATTTAAATGAACTCATTTCCCTTATATCCTGTGCACATTAAAAAAACTAATCTGTATAGAGATAACTTAGAATAATATTTTGCAGTTCAAATTACATACAGTTCATACTAACTCCTCTCTTGATTCTTTTTCCTTTAGCCTTTTCTCTAGTATACAGTATCAGAATCTTTGCATCAGATAGCATCAGACCTGCTGTTGCAAACACTACTAAGATCTATCATTTAGGCACAGTTACTTAAACTTTGTTTAATCTCTAGTGGAAAAGATTTCTATAAACATTTACACCAGAACAGTTTGTCAGAATGAATCCTGCAAAATTACTGGCATACTCCCAGGATCAGGGGGCTGGTGTTGGGGGAGAGGGGAGATTCCTGGTTACACAATTTTAAGCAACCCTAGAATTTCAGGGGTTTTCCTGCTAGAATATGAAGGGTTTGTATTAACAAAAAGGTATTTCAGTGCCCAGAGCAATTCAAGTAAAGTGTTTGAACAGCCACTTTAGTTTATTGCTCTTGTAAAAATGACTCTCCATTTGCTTCAGGTTTAAAGTAAAGGGATTATTTAGGTTTCAGAGACCCAGTAAATAAATTGTCTATGAGGAAAGAAATTTGTACAAGAAGTGTGTGAAGAGACACACCAAACTTATTCAGTGCAATGGTTCTCAAGGTGCTTGATACATAGGAATGACTTGATCCTCCATGAGTTGCTAAGTAGTCAGCATGAAAGAGCTAGTGGGGGGAAAACTGACATCTGCCAAGATAAATGCAGCACTGTTTTATAAATTAACTCGGCTGTCTGTGTCTTTATTTTTTCTTTGGAAGATTATAAAATTAAGACTGTTCAACTCATCTTAGTAGTGGTTTAGAATTTGTGGAGTGGATGAGGAAGTGAGTTTGAGCTAGGAAGGGTGACGAAAATATCCTGCACTGGAAAATCTTGGCAATTTTCATTTGAATGTGTTCTTATCTGATGACCTAGAGCACTTCAGCCCAACAGCTTGTGAATTAAATAGTTTGGGTAAAAACTATTACATGAAGGTTTCTTGGATCGTAGGCTCTCCTTAGAGCACATACTCAGTTCAGAGGCAAACAGTTTAAAATGAATTCCTGGAATGTCAATGGGATGTCCACATGGATACTGAAGATGGTAGTTATAGCATGAAATTGTTTGGAGGTTCTCTTGCTGCAACTCTCCCTTATTCTGTTAGAAACTAAACTTTGGGGTATGGTCACATAATGCCCACAGGTTTAAAAACACAGGCTGGATATGATAGCAAATGTTATTGATTGTACTAGGGCCAAGTATGCATCTATGTGATACTGCAAGCCTAACTGGCCTCCAAGGAAATCCCACTGATCTGTGTTAAAAGCTTGGATCTACATTAAGCTCTGGATAGAACTGGAAAGTTGGCTGGATGTCTTAGAAATGTGCTATATGAAAGAAAGACTGTCCTTTTAAAATTATATTCAGTCTTTGTGGAGGGGACTGAGAGTTACCATCTTGAGGATGGCATGAAATGAGAGTGTGTGAATTAAAGTCAGAGGGGCTAAGGATACCATGTTTGGACCTTGTTCCTTGTTACCAAACAAGCAACGAGGGTCCTTTTGGACTCCATATAAAAAAAAACTCATCATAAATTGAAAAACAAAACTAAATTCTATAAGAAACAAATATGTAGCTTCTCAGTATGTCCTCAGTTTGTGGCCAAGCAGCATTTGTCCATACCGTTTGTATTTTATGGCAGAAACTACATGACCAGTGGTACAAGTAAACACAGCAAAAAATTTTGCTAAGTTTTTCCAAAATTAGGATTCTTCTATTCTTTGGTTATCTTATTGTCAATTTAAGATGAAAGAAAATTAAATACATTGTTCCACAATATTGGCCATAGTGACAATCAGGTCATGATAACTATTAGATGTGTGCAGTGCACAAGGACAGGGTTTATTTGTCTGCCAGATGATACCTGGAGATTTCCAGTTGCCAGAAAAAGCTGGCCAGAAAAAGAGTTTGACTTCCTGTTTGTAGATTTAAAATAAGCAATATCACTCATCCACATATTTAAACTGAGAACTGGTAGTCTAAGCTCAAAAGAGTGCTGAAATATACTGAAGTCATTCTGAACCATAAAGGAATTTGAAACTTACCACTGTAAGGACAGTGTCTTTGTTCAATTAAAGATCCGTTACATAAAGTGATGGAGTATCTTTTCTGGGTATCCAAGCCAATGGTTTCAAAGGCAAATTTTTACTTTGGGTATTGAGCAAGAATACTTTTGTGCTACTTGAGTATTTTCCTAGGGAAAGGTTTAACAATCTTTTAATTTCTCAAATATTGAAAGCTTAAAATTATAGCACCACTTACTTGTTGATAATTTCTACTTAGATACTTACAACACCATGTTTCTAAAGTGAATTATTTTCAGTACAAGAAATCATAAGTTTGTTCTAGCTCCAGATATTTTAGAATTGCTTGTCTGATATAATGTACTACCATTTTCTTGTTGCCAAATGTTACTTCAATAATATGATATTTAAGTTGACCTAAGGATGTTTACAAGAATTCCTTCCCTTCCATTTCCATGCTAGTCAGACACCTTCTTTTATGAACTTAGACTAGATTCTTTGAGTTCTTTATCTACTCAGGAAGGGAGGAGGAGAACTTGTAGTGATGAATTGGGAGTTCTCTATGTGGGCACGTACATTCACACAGGCAAACAAGGTGGTTTATGAGGATAGTGACATAAACTGCACATACTGATGACGTATTTCCATCTCTTGCACGCTTATGGTAAATAACCTATTGGGAAAAAAATTAGTGAAAAAGCATTGTTTTCTGGTATATTTCCTACTCTCTGGAACTCATGATTGCTCTCCATCCTTAGGGACAATTAACTAGGTCTGACGTTGGAGCAATGGCTAAAGCTCGCTGTGATGACCTTCCTCCCAAGGAGCCTGGCTTTCTTCAGTCTAATTACTTTTGGCAACTGCGGTTATTGGGATTTGGCCTAGTGACTCATTGGAACCCATATTATCCCAAAGAGCCCCCTTAACTAGCAGGATTAAGTCTGTCAGGAAGCCCAGACTTCCACCCCACTTTTACATGGAACTTTCCCCAGTTTATGGCAAGATTTGAAAATCCTTCATGGACTAAAAAAGACTCATAAACACGATTTAATGGAGATAACTACCCAAAGAAGAGCACATTAGGAGTGAAGTAGAAATGATAAGTTCATGAATAAATGACCTACTGCAAAACAGAACCCATTAAGGTAGAGTTAAAACTGTGCTATTTATAGTCGTTTTAGTGATCACCAGTAGTCAATCTAAAGTGAGTCAGGAACTGTAGAAACTATAAAAGAAAAGGACATTTATTTCTCGTTAGGTATTTCCTAACCATTAAGTTTTCCCTAAAAACAAGGAGGACTCTAGGGCACATTACCAGTCATCTGGTAAGACATAAAAACAGTTGTTTATTATTAAGTAGCTTTGAAAAAAAGTTTGAGTATGGCTGATACCCATCTTCTAAAACTGTCCTATTTATACTCCCTCCACACAATATAGCTCAGCAGCAAAGACACTCCCCCATGGTTTGTACCTCTCCTAGTAGCTGTGTTCTTATTCTATGAAGCCAGCATCTGTTACATTCACTAGTGTGTCCTATTGTGTGCATTTTGCTCTGTTCTTTTGACTGAGATAATTCTCTATCAGACAGTCTTGTCTGTACCAATCAGTGCTACAAGTTTAATAATACTCTTGTTCAACAATACAGATCAATAGAGTATTGATCAACAGTATCAGAATACTTTATATTTTACACTACTATTTGTTCAAATGACATCTATCTCATTTGTAATCACACTCCACATACGTCTATTTTGTCTGTCTAGCCTTCCCAAAACTGGCATGGTTTTCAGTGGTTGCTTAGCTGCAATAGTCATTATTGAATTAAGGCTCTTACAATATTTCTCAGTCTTGGCTGCACATTAGAATCACCAGAACTACTTTAAACAATGTAGATATTCAGGTACCATCCCCAAAGATTGTGTTATTTGTTCAAGGGTGGAGAAGATAGTTTTATTTGTTCAAGGGTGGAGTCTGGGCATTAGTATCTTTTTAAAGATCCCCAGGAAATTCTAATGTGACCTCAGGGCGGAAAATTATTGTACCAAGACCCATAAAGCAAGAATTCAGAGTGGAGGTTACTGTTAATGCTCATGGTAAAAGTAATATAAATAACAGACTTTATGAAGTGCCATAAAGATAACTTTTTCTGGATAACAATAGCCAGTAAAATATCTATTGTGGTTGTAAATTACATAGAAGGATTCTGATTTTTAACTGCAAAATTACAGACTTTTCTAACATTCTCATGCCTACATTAATCTTTTCTTGGTTACGCGCACCATAGATGGAAATAACAATCACAGAGTCTTTCATATAAACTGTGCAATCCTATTGCTTTTAATGAAAAAATCAGCAAACTTTTATGTTTAAAACTCATCAATAAGACAGGTTTAAGGAAAGAGAGGACAAAGGGTAAGGAAAAGAAAGCGATGTAGAGGAGGGTACTTGAATACCAGAAGCAACCTTTATAGTAAATGTTTGAAAAAAGGCTTATGGTTTGTTAAATGAGGATAAAGAAAGAAGGAGGAAAGAAGAGAGAGTAAGAGAAAGAAAGAGTGGGTGGAATTTAGAAAATGCACCATGATTGCCTCAAGTACCAACCCTAATGTTAAGGTGGAGTGAAGAATCAAAGAAGGACCTTGGCTTTGGAGTCTAGCCTAGACTGGAATCTGAGGTCCACCTCAATTCCTTGAGTGATCAATGAAAGTGGGACTATTGGCACATTCCTTACAGGTGGGTATGAAGATCAAATGAGATAATTTTTGCAAAAGCATCAAGCAAAGGGTCTGGCACTTACTGGTGATTATAACATGGGAGCTATTGAGTAATAACTATTATCATAATACTCACTTTAGTAAGTATACATGCATATTTAGATAAGATGTACATAAATATAACAGTGGCTCTGAGAGCTAAAAAGCTGTTGTTTGCCATGTAGCACTTACACATACTTTGGCATATTATTTCTTGTTGGCAAAATGTGATTGATATTTGCTTTGCATATATGACAGCCTTTGTTGAGATGACAGTGTTCTTACCTTTGAAGTCTCTTTGTAGAACAGGGGAACAAAAAACAATGAGAAAGGACTGCTGTTTTTCTTACCAACTTATCGAGCATATGTTAAGAAAACAGTGTTCTAAAATAAGCAGCTCACAAATTCTGTTATTTTATATTGTGTGGTAGTGGTTTGTATTATGTGGTTATAAAATGGGGGCTGCTTTACCACTTACTGTCAGGAATGTGCTTTGTATTGGGGTATAATTATAAATATGCTTACCAGCTAGTTTTCTAAGGACAATTTTTGGGAGTGAATGTAGCACATTGCGTTACTGTGTGTTCATTTTAGAAAGGTGTTTTAAGGTAACTAGATCTAATACCATGCCCATGCCAAGTGCAAAGAAGAGGACTAGGAGAATAAACTGCTTTGGATACAGAAGCCCTAAAAATAGGAGGAAAAAGGGGGAGAGCTTAGGGGGCTGACTGTTACTGAGGCTAGACAGTTACTCAGTGGGGATGTTGTAGAAGTGATCCCACACTGTGTAGATGGACTGGATTCTTTCAAGTTTTATCCCTTCCAGAGATTCTCTTATATTAAGAGAGCATACTTTGTAGAGAAATCTACTTAAAAGTAGAACGCTACAGTGATGAACAGATACTGCACCCAATTCAATGGTTCAAAATTTTATTTTTATACCTTATGTAAACTTGCCTTTCATTATCATAGTTTTTCAGGTCTCCTTATGATCTGTGGCAAAGTTCCACAGGTAAGAAGACTTCTAAGTGCAATTTTCAGCTGCAAGATTTGGCAACAACAACTACAGCTTATGATACCAGTGACCATCCTCTTATGTAACACAGAGAGTATTATAAAAACCATAAAAAACCACAGTTGAAAATGATATATTAAACTACTTAAAATAGACAAGGTACCTTAATGTAATTAATGTTATTTTGACATTACCAAGAAGAGTGAGTCTCAATGTCATCACAGCACACATTTTTTACACCCCCGTATCAGTAGGAGAGCACACACTTTTGATAATAATAAACATCATTTTTATGTGAGTGACTCTGAAGTACTTGTGTTCAGCCCTAATACTCTAATCCCAGGTGTTTTGAGTTTTGAGTTCCTAAACGTCCTACTGGCTCCTCAAAAGAGAAACAGATTTCCAACAAGACCTGCTTCTCCTATTTTTCTTTTTGTTGATCGTCATCATTTTTCCATTCACCCAGACCTGAGTCCTTATACTCCAAAGTTTATTGCCAAATATGGGCCTCCATCTCTTTCCCTTTCATATGCAATTAATTGCCAAGAACTACTGATTTGATTAAAAGAAATTATCTGCTGTATATACTCTTTTGTGCAGTCATTCACTGTTGTAGCCTAGGGCCTTATTTTCTTAAACCTGGACTATTGTAAATCATCTCTTCCTCATAATTACAGGCCACCTCTGAAAGCCTGCCATGCTAGGGAAGCTCTGAAGTGACCCTTGAGTCAGTATTCTGATCCAGCTCCCTAACCCTGAGCCTAAGGACAAGATGGGGTAGACTGAGTATGCTGATTGTTGCTGTGACTATGGTTTTCAGACAATAAAAAATGTGAATTATGAGGTATATCATAATTAATTCATTATCCACATTGATCACTTACTCGTTAACCTTTATGTGATAAATTTACTTATAATCAATGAATGTTTATGTTTGTTTGTACTCAATCTTTATCTGTTAAATTTAGTTGAATAAGACAAGTTATTATTTAACTCCCTAGTTGTGACTTATATTCTCATACCAAAAGATTAAATGTTGAGGAAACCGTAGGGATCACTAGATCTAAGTTTTTGATCAACCTCCTCATTTTGCAGATGAAAAACTTTAGCTTGGTATAGTAAAAGGACTTTCTTGGGTTATTCAGGCATTAGCAGCAATGCTGGATCTGGAACCCAGGTCTTTAACTTCTGAGTCTACCTTCTCCCAACATACACTAAGGAGCCTTCTTTCTCAGGTCTCAGATTCTACCACAAACTTATGATACTTGCAATTAATTAAATTCTAAAGGTCAGATGAAACATTAATAAGGCGGTGTTTTGAAGAGTAGATTAGATGTTTGCATAAAACATAAGGACAGTTAAAAGCCATTAAATATTTATTTAATTGGACAATCATATTCTTTAGTACCAATGAATTTTCTCTAAAAAAATTCAAGAAAAATTTTAGCTACAGCAGATAGCACCTAGGTCCCTTGCCAAGTGACAAATAAAGCAGAAATGCTCTTATCAGATAAGAGGCACCTGCAACCCTGTTTTTTAAAAATAAAATTTAAAAATTATTCAAACAGTTCAAATGTGAAAAGAATTCAGGTATTTTGCTTAAAAGATCCATGTTATTGAAACTTTAGAGCAGAAAATGGGATTCTTAGCAATCAATGACATTTAGATATTTAGCATTCTCAGCACCCCCACAGTCTTTGAGAATGGAACACCCCATTCTTTTCAGTATTGCTGGATGACTACTTTAATCAGAATGCCAGTAATATTCCTGAATGGAAAGATCTGATGGGCAGAATTGAAGAAACAGAAAAGATGGCTAGCATCTTTTACATATGTATATGCTGTACTTCATGTGTTTAGTTATGGTTGCAAAGCATTTCAAATTTACTAGGTTGTCAGATATTAAATTTTAAGATATTCAATCATGTGAAACCCTGAGAAAAATCTCTAATTAAGAAAGCAATCTACATTTGCCCTTAAAATCAAAGGCCAAGCAAAAAAAAAAACTGTGCAATTTATGATGCAACATTTTTTCAAATTATTATTTTCAAAAAAAAAATGCCAGCACATAATGCACTGTTAGAAGAAATAGTCCTAACCAAGTCAAACATAATTTCAACACACTGTCTTGCATGATCCTTACTGTGCTCTTAAAACTGAATGATGTTTTCCTAATGGTAACCAAAGTTTTTTCTTACATTTCATGAAACACAATATCCACTCTGATGGCATTTCAAGAATTCACTACTTGGAAAATAATTTTTTTGGGGTGGGGATGGGATATGTGAGTGAATAGTGAAGAAGTAGGAAGAGAGAGATCAAGATATGTCCAAAATGAAACATTGGGATGGAGACAAAGGGGAAAAGACAATTTGGCAAATCAGTATATCTAGAATAGTTTTATTTTTTCATAGCTCATTCTTATAATTGCAGAGGTGTATTTTGGTCTTAACTCTACATAGGGCTCTGAAAACTCTACATAGTACTCTGCCAACATTGCATAGGATTCAAAAGAATTATTACAACTAAAAAAAGATTAACCATTGAACTAGAAAATATTTTAGACATTTAGTAGCAATCTGGAGATCTCTGTCCAGATTCAAATAATCTAAAATAATCAGATGTCTAATAAATTCATTTTGGAGCAATGCAGCAAGGGTTTCCCCATAATAACTGGAAAATAAAATTTTACTACACGTTGTAATTTCCATTCATTGCTTTCTGGGGACCTAATTTGTACAATATTAAATGCCAGGGAATTATTTAATGGAGAAATGACTTAGTAAAGCTTATCTATTTGCAAGTTCAAATACTCTTCATATTTCATGTTTAAAGGAATATTGAAATAACAACATTAAATCAGTTTCATACTCATTCTTACATTCTCATTACTTGAGTAACTTGGGGCTAAAAAGAAGGTATTTTAAAATTACCATTTCTAACGTTCTTGTTAAAATCCTTCTATTAAAGTAATAAACGGAATTAAAATAGTGTCACCATGGGATATTTTGAGAAACAACCCTGATAATGTAATGATGATTAAATTTGAGTTCACAAAGATGTTTTTCCTTGCATTTAGATGTTGCCACTACCGCATATGAATTTGCATTTGTCTTGATTTATACAGCTGTTACACGACGTATCAAAGAATACACTTTCTTCAGCAAATTCTATTCGTGTCTGTATCTTTAAAACACTGTTACTCTCAAAAATAAGGCAGACTGGTGAGAAACGTAGACAAGTGTGAAAAATACATTGTAGTCAATATCCAAACCAAACTTTCATTTGAAATTAATATTACAAAATGTATAGTAGAATTAAAGATTTTTCTATTTTATCAGTTAACTTGTTATTTTCCAGGATTCACAACATAATCACAAAGGGTGTGTCATAATTTCAAAGACTGGCTCAACATCTGAAACAATGTCATGAGCAATGACCAGTACATTCCAATAGTCTGTTTTTATTTTATTACCATGAAAATTATTTCCTTTTTATTCTTTCTCTCTTTCTTCAGACGTCTTTATGAAAGACTTGCGAAGTTTTATAGATTGTGCAATGAGTGCTTTTAAATTATTATGCATATAATGGCTTTTCAAAACTTGCATTTATCTAGAGTCTGAACAATTAAAACCGAGCTACTAGATGGCATCAAATAAAAAGGATGCTAAATGCCATCTGATGTTTCTAACAATAACCTTCTGGCACAGAATAATCCCATAGTATCTCCTAGATAATCAAATGATATATTCCGTTTAGAAAACTTTACTATTAGGTATTTAATTCTTTGACATTGATCACCATTATATAAAATAATGAGTTCAAAAATTTCCAGTCAAGGAGAACAGTTTATTCTCTAAACCTATTGAATAAATGATGGCCTTGAGACCATCTAATTTATTACTTAATAAACCTGATATCTTCTCTATGACCAGAATATAGAATAAAGGTGTACATAACTGTGAGATTCATGGCAGGAGACAAGTTCCACTTGCTAGATATATGGCATTATGTAGGTTACTGAGCCTCTAGTTCTCAGGCCTTTTCTTTCTAAGATGGGAAGATAAGTACCTGCTTCTTCACTTCAGTGGCTATTTCAGGGCCCAAGCAACTAATCCACGTGAAAATGTGAGGCCCCACTAAGATTCTGTGGCTATCATTATGGCAAAAAAAAAGTGCTTCTTAATGTTATTAGCACACAATCTGGAATTCAAAGGTTGAGTCATTTTTAAGAGCTGTATACCAATTCAAATAGATAAAAATTTATTGTGTATTTATTCACCCATAACTAAATAGACATTTTAAAGTACAAGGGTCTTGTCTTAAAACATTGTTTCTTTTATGAGAAGAAACACTAGTTTGTAATAACTAGGATCACTAGTTTATATCAAAGTAGAGACAAATGGAATTACAGTTGTTTTAGGGAAACAGGAGAATACTGATATGGCTTTATTTGCTATTTCTGAGGATAATGCATGATTCTTTGGACATGACAATATTTAACACTTCAAATGAATGTTCTTGTTTACAAAAAAGTTTCCTACTAAATCAAGAGAGACCATTAAATTTTTTGTAGAAGTTTTTAACACCTAATTTTCTACCTGTCATATCTTTATTGATGATTTTAAGCTTAGGAAATTGAAACTATATAACTACAGGCCAGAAGACTCCTTAAATATTCACTTAATTGTCTCTTGAAGAAACAATTAGGATAGCCAGCCTCTTTTGAAAACACGTTTGACCACATGTTTTCATTTTAAAAACTTTTCCTAGTCCTTACTTGAGAAACAGGAACTGTGAATTGAATCTTTTTGTTCGTTTTTTTCCCCCAGAGATTTCAAAACAAACGGTATATCTGAGTTTGTGCACATGCAGTTTGACCTTGAGTTTCTGGGCATTTAAAGAGGACCTCTCTACCCTCCACTCCTTCCTCCTTAAGTCATACTGCACCTGCCAAGAGTCTAGTCTGTCTCCTCCGAGGACGCAAGGGGTCGCCCCTCTACCAGGATTGCACCAGCAAACCAAGCCGCAAACGCAGACTCAAGTGCGAAGGAGCAAGAGCATCGCTGTGGGTGCTGTCTCCCAGTCCCACTCCCACAGAAAAATTGGAATTGCAACCCAGTTCCACTATTCCTTCTTTCATCCCCTCAACACAAACAGAGGTCTCCTTTGACTTGGCCTTGAGATGATTAAGGCAGGTCGAAAAGCAGTTTGCCTTTTGACTCCTCTCGGCCCAACCTAGAGGTGCATCATCCCACAGCTCCCTGAGGCAGCGCCCGGGGAAAGCTTCCTGCGCCGTGGTCCTCGCTGGGGGAGGTGGGCACAAAAGGACTACAAGCTTTCTTTCCTGTGTCTTCCTTCAGAATCAGGGGCCCCAAAACTGCAAAGCGAGACGCCTCTGACACTCAGTACCCTGTCCCTCCTTGACAAGTGTGTGGCTCCCAGCCCGGGGGTCCTCGGTGGGGGTAAAGGAGAGAGCGTGCTCTGGGACGCCCAATGGGCACGGGCTGGAAGAGCGGATGGAAAGCAGAGTGGGTTGCGCTCCAGCCCGGGCTCCCTATGCCCACTGACCCTGAGACTCAATTCCCCAGGCCAGACCCTGGGAGGAGAGGAGGCGGGGACCGCCAGGCGCGTGGACACCGCTGAACCCCAGGCCTCCCCTTCCGCGTCCGGGCCGGAATGAAAGAGTGGGTGGGGAGTTACCAGAGTACACACCATTCGGAGGCCAAGAATAATAAATCGGATGCCCTGACATATTTAGTTTGGGCTCTCCTGCCCCCTGCTAGGTGATCCTAAAGGCGGTGAGGCCCGGCCAGGGCCCCTGTCGCTCTGGCACTGCCACCTTTTTAAAAGGCAATTTTCAGGTGAATCAAACCTTGTCTGGCCGAGGCCAGCAATACAAAGGGAGCTTTCAGGGGACCCTCATGCCCAGGGGCAGGGCAGGGACAAACAGCGGCCGAGAAGCGATTACTAAATTTCCATCTCACACAAGCCGGTGTTGTGTCCTCCGCGCTGCCCCGACGTCTGCCCCGAAAGGCTTCCCGGGCGGGACGCTGGGAGAGGGATCCCCTTGGGAAACCAGGTGGGGCCGCTGGGCCTGGGCTGCACGCCGCGGAGGTGCGAGAGCCCAGAGCAGCAGCATCGCTTCCTGCCCCTCGCGAGCTCCAGGAGAAGTTTCCTCCTCCCTCTCTCCACCAGCGCCCCCAACCATAGAGCCAGGGTCGCCCCTGCTCTGAGATCTGCGAAAGGACTCCCCATGGGAACACAGACACTAGAGCAGCGAGGGCGCCAGGCTACCCTGGAGCGAGGAGAGGTGACACCTTCGCATCTGTCCCTTCATCTTGGGAAGATTCTACCTTTCAGACAGACCAACCCAGGTTGAGGCTGCCGTGGTGGTGTCCGCTTAATTCCAGCTAGGACACCGTCTTAAGAAGCCATCACAATCCAACCCTCCAAATAACAGCATTAAGGGCAGCGAGGAGGCGAATCTTTAGGGAGACCCCACTCTCTGTACGTGTGTGTCCCAGGGGACACACTTGAAAGGGCCAGAGATGGTACAGACGCTCACATGTGACAAGAGAGAACCTGGAAACTCCGCACCTCCGGCTCCCCACAGCTGGGGTTTTGCTGTCTTCAACCCTCGGGCGGGGGACGTCCGGCAGCTCTGCAAACGCGCAGACACGCGAACCCCATCGCCTCGCGCGCCCTTTGGCTCCGCTGGTGCGTGTCGGGGATGCGGCCGCGCAGGCGCTCGCTCCCTGGCTTCCTGGCCGGGTAGCGGGCGTTCGGCTACCGGAGTCCAGCCTAAGGGCCCAGCCGAGGTCTCCCCGCGCGAGGCGGTTGCGCTAGGTGAGCGGGTACCGCGGCCGCGCCTCCCTTGTCATTTACTCAGCGGTCAGAGGCATCCTGCGTCTGGGAGTCCCAAGTGCCTTCGGCTGGGTGCCCCTGTCCGATCCTCAAAAGGAAAGCACAAATCCCGGGTGCGAGTCTAACCCAGGACCGAACTTTCCCGCGAACCTGAAGTTACCATGGGGCGGGAGCCACCTTAGCGCCGCGTCCGCCCGCCCCTCGCACCGGCTAGGATGCTGCGGAAGGCAGGGGCGCCGAGAGGCAAGGGTGAAAGACGCCGTCCATACCCCCAAAGCCCGAACCTGCATCTCCTCTGCGAGGCGCAGGGCGGGAGGACCGCTGCAGTTGGGAGCCGGCTCCGGACAGGCAAAGCGACCCGACAGGTGAACGCGGCGGGAGGGAGCAAACGCGTAAAAAACCCTGCACTTACTTCTTCGCTGGCGCCTTCCCCGGGAGGCGTTTTGGCTGCCGATGTATTCCATAAAGTTCAAAATGATAAAAAGCCAAGAAATCAGTCGCAAGTGCATAGTAACCCAGTAATGCTTCCCTTCCTTTCTCCTCTTTCTTTTGATTGTTAATTATATTTAATGTTTTTAAAATATATGTAGGTGTTAGGCGTATATAGACAGTGCCCGAGCAGCGGGACTTCTCCTCTCACATCCGATAGGCGTGCTGTGATGGCAAGCGAAGTGGGGCGGGTGGACAGGGAAACCAACTATTGTACTTTCAAATTATCCAAGCACTGAACTGCGGCGGCTTCGCTGGGGTGGCTGGCATCGCCGCGAACCGGGGTTCCAGGAGCCGCCGGGGCGGCCGCAGGTAGCATGTTGTGCGGCAACTGCCGCAGGCGGGATCCGGGCGGGCGAGCGGCGGCGGCGGCGGCTGCAGCGGCGGCCCCTTGGGCTCAGAAGCTGCGGCGGCTGCGGCTGCAGCGGCGGGGGCCCCTGGAGCGCAGGGGAGCGGGCGCCGTCGGCACAGCGGCCATGGCCAAGGGGCGGCGGAGAGACCCCGAGCTGCTTCTGGCGTGCGCGAGCAGGAGACGCTCCAGTGTTGGGCTGGGCTCCCGGGAGCACCACATAGGGGAGGAGGAGGAGGAGGGCAGGGAGGGGGGAGGGAGAGGAGGGCAGGGAGGGGGAGAGGAGGGGGGATGGCTGTGGGGGGCGGGGGGGAGCTCGGGGGCGGGGAAGGAAACTGCTGGAGCAACAACCCTGAGCGACCTCAATAACTTTCAATTTCAAGAGGGAAAGAGGGAGCTGGAAAAGTACAGGCGTTGCGCTTTGGCAGAGGGACGGGAAGAGGCGCCTAAGGGGTCCCGGGTCTACAGCGCAGCATCTCTGGACACTGCAGTGACGGCCGGAGAATTCCAGCCAGAAGAATGGGGAAAGCAGTGCGTGCGAAGAGCCCCTCCAGAAGGGCAGCTCTGGCGGGGAGACTTGGGCGCACTGGGGCTGGCAGGCAGTGTTGAGGCCGAAGACCCCCCACCCATCCCAGTTCGGCTCCTCTCCGCGGCCTCAAGCTAGGCGCACCCGGCTGTCGGTGGCCGTGCGCCCCTGCGCCCTTGTGCCCCAGCGCCCCCACCCCATCCCCAGCGCCGGCGCGCAACTACCCTCTCCCCCTTGGCAGATCGCTGGAGAGTTTCTGGCTGCTGACTTGTTCCCGGCTTTCCTGACCTTCTCCTCTGTTGCCTTTCTCCCTTTTTCTTTTTCTCTCTCTTTCTTTCTTTCTTTCTTTCTTTCTTTCTTTCTTTCTTTCTTTCTTTCTTTCTTTCTTTCTTTCTTTCTTTCTCTTTCTTTCTTTTCTTTCTTTCTTCCTTCCTCTTTCTTTGTCTTTCTTTCTTTCTTTCCTTCCTTCCTTCCTTCCTTCCTTCCTTCCTTCCTTCCTTCTTCTTTCTTTCTTTCTTTCCTTTCTTTCTTTCTTTTCGGCTGCAGTTGGTCGCCAGGCGGGTGGTGGGGAGGAAACTCTGTGGGTGCTGCCGGTCAGCTACTCTGAGGTTTACCTGCTCCGAGCGGGGAGGACCCAGAAGTGTGTGCGCTCAGGACCTTCCCGTTGGAAATGCAGCTGTGCTACGGCTTTCTTCCAAACCAAGGCTTTTCTGTGGCTTTGGAAGATTCCTTTCCCGCTCAGGCAATTCCCTCTATAGTCAGCTCGCCCCCCTTGGAGTTTTCTCTCCCACCCTCGGTCTCCCAGTGTTCTTGAGAGGATCTGTTGTACATTCTAATCTCGCATCTGGAAGACTGGGAATAAGATTTGGAAAGATTTTCCCAGTCTTGGGGAAGGAAGGGGAAGGTCCACTACTTTCTTATCTTCCCAGCCCAAGTGGAGGCCCAAGGCAGCAGAGAGTAAGATGCTCTGGCCCACCCAGGGATGGGAGAACAGAGGGCCGGCACCCCTGAGTGGGGCACACCCTGGCTGTCGTTAGTAAATGGTGAGCTTTCCACGTCTTTTCTCCGGTAGCACCAGCCGATGAACTTTTCAGTAATTACTGAAGAAGTATTTAGTCGAAAGTCACAAGCCTCAAGTGATTTTAACATAAGCCTGCCCTATGTATTATATTTAACAGAATATCTGAAGGACTACACTAGCACTACAGGTTAACACAGCAGCAAACTTCTGGGAGGTCACTTTGAAAGAGTCCCTGATTCATAGGTGCTTTGCTAATTTTTGTGCTCAAATAATTCAGTGTAAGTCAATTGCTAAAGCCTTGCAGAGTAGCAAGTGACACTTGCACTTCTATCTCCTTCCTCCATTTGTAATCCCTATTACTGGATTGCCTTCAATTTATGTAAATTAGGTAAATTTACATGAATTAGAGCATTTTGTAAGTTTGCAATGCTGTGAATTGTATGTCTCTGGAGTCCTTTAGTGGTATATTTGTTATACATCCCAAAAGTAGGATAGAGGCGATAAAGTGGCCTGGATGCAAAAGGAAGGGAACTTGAAATATGCATTATTTTCAAGATGCTAAAAATTAGAATCTGAGAGATGGCCTTTTGATGTTAATTCTTTAATTAAATATCATTTATTATTTTGCATGCTCGTGTTGGAATTTCGAAAGTAGGCATAGTCTCCTTTAGGTTTGATATTATGAGGAAGATGACACCTCAACAGGATTATGATTTTTGCCTTCTTTTTAAGAGCTCCCATTTACAACATCCCTCTTTCAGTGGTAGAACTTTTTCTGTACATTGTATGCACATGTGTGTGCACACCCCCACACACAGACTTTCCATCCTTTATCTGTTGCAAAGTGTCTACTTATAAATGACTGAGTTTATCACTTTGAACCAGCGAAGTTACAGATAACAAGACAATTCCAATAATGATTATCCAAAAAAGAAGCCACTCTATTTTACTGTGCCTGTCCCCATCTGCTTTGCTTTCCTTCTTGCTAATACCTCAAATCCTGAATATCTGCACCATAAAACATGGGGGATTTAAAGACTATGGGAGGCTCCCTTTGAAAAGGACTCCAGAGACAGCCTTTCTAATCTGGGATACTTGAGCCGGATGGGATGAGATTGCAAAAGGGATGTGAAAAAGCTATTTGATGAACAACTTCAGGGAAATAAACATGAAGAAAGACATTTACTTTTCACTGTGCATTGTGCAGACACATGTTAGTTTGGATGAGAACAGGAATGGCAGTGTAAGTAAATAAACAAACCAAATGAGAAGCTACAGTTCTTGAGCCATCCCAGAAAAGAAGTGCTAGATGCAGTGGGAAGGAAAAGCTTGTCAAGGAATAAGCTCTGCTCAGAGGAAACATAAGGAAAACATTAAATAAACGAGGAGAGTATTCTTTCTCTCTTGATGCTGTGCTTTAGAATAACTTTTTCCTGATCCATATTACCGTCATATTAAATGTGTGTTTACTTGCCTGGCTGAGTTTTACGTTCCCTCAACTGTCTTAGAAGCTTATGAAAAGCATGCCATGGCATATTTTCTAAAACATAGTACCTTTTTTTTTTTCTTCAAACAAGAAAACAACACTCACAGTAGCCTGTGGCTGCCAGTGGATTTCAGAGCTCAAGCCTAAAGAAAGTTAAAAACCATAGGCTCAGCATAGAGGTCAACATTTGCTTATTTTTCTCCAAAACACATTAGTTCCAGGGAGTTTTGGATAACCAGGAGACTGGGAGACTTGGGCCAGGAGAATAGAATAGCTTTGAACAAAGATAGGAGGCTAAGCATATCCCGACTAGATACTGCAACTTCTCATCTCTCCTTCCACTTATTCCAACCAGGCAGTGACAACAGTAACAAGTTATTTTTATCCATTGCAGCAGTGGCACTCTAAGGAAAGAAAATGATTGTCATATTGTTGAATCCATACTGCAAATATGTGAAAGGGGGTGTGCTCCAGAAAGAGAGAGCAAGCCCAATAGTTTGGAAAGGGATATAACTAGTAGTGATGAGAGATGTTTGGCAAAGTTGGGGCTGACATCAGTCATTATACCACAGAGCGAATATGCAGATTCTGAAAATGCACAGCTCTCCAGTTACTCAGATCTGGATGCATCTGAGTCAGTAAGTCAAACAGGGTACTGCTGGTGGGATGTGTGTAACTGATGCAGCTAGAAGTCATCCCTGAAATACAGAGTGGGTAGCAGCATTTAAACACCATTGAAATTAGTAGATGATGGAAAACTATTTTTAGAGAGAGAAAGAAAGGAGACAGAATTATTGTAGCAATTTAAAAAGTGATTATATGGTTATATAGCATTAAGAAAATGAGAAAATCAAGACCCATGATGGATTACTTTCTGTCAACAAGAAAGAATGTTCTTCCTCCCAGATGAAGTTATGGGACATTTATGTAATTGTGGCAAGCACCATCTGGTATATGCCTAAGTTTAAAACTTATTTCACAAATCAATTGATTGCTGGGCTCACTTAAAATGTGAATATCCAATAGTACTCAATATAAAGAATTTAACAGCTCAGAAAATTTTGCATGATCATGGAGCTTTAGTACAAAGAGGCTGTATGTTGTAGTAAGAGGGCACTAAATTGTGAATCTGGGGATCAAGGTGAGTCCTTGTTTTCTACTTATATTGTTGTGTGTCAGGTTTCTTCATCTGAAAAATGAGGAAATTGAACTAAACCATTTCCAAAGTTCCTTTCAGCTCTGACAATAATGTAACTATTTCTAAGAAAGAAAGACAGACTTGTAATTGCAAATGTCAGAGCTATTTCTAGTTGTGTGACATCACAGCTTTTACTTACAGAATTGTGTTTAATTGAATAGGTCCAGATTTAGAAATCTGCTTTCAAACTTGTTGATTTTCTGGAAATGCCTAACCCATTACAAGAATCCTAGATGACTCTGGCCCAGCAAAGATAAATCCAGGACAAGTTCAATCTGTCTAGATGTCTGCAGACTTTGGGACAACCAGAAAGAACAAATTATAAACTCGAGATTCTAGGCAGAGTCCTACAGAGAGCAGGAAAAAGGACTTCTGCATCTCATAAAGAGAGCACTCATTTAGACCTGTTTGTAGGAATCACAGATGAGGGAGGAATGTGGATCTCACTAAGAGCCATTCTTTTTATCTTTATGTTATTACTTTCTTTTTTGGAATAAAAAGTTGGAAATAAAAGTCACATTTTATTTTTCCTATTCTTATCTTTGGATGAGGATTTATATCCATGTACCCTTCATCCCAGGAACCTCTTCTGAAGTTCAACAGTGAAGGTTGAGTGGTTGTGGTCACAGATTTAGGTTGAAGGGTTACTATCAAAGACATGAAAGTATAAGTTGTAGGCTGGGCACGGTAGCTCACGCCTGTAATTCCAGCACTTTGGGAGGCTGCGGTGGGCAGATCACGAGGTTAGGAGATTGAGACCATCCTGGCTAACACAGTGAAACCCCATCCCTACTAAAAATACAAAAAATTAGCCGGGTGTGGTGGCACGTGCCTGTAGTCCCAGCTACTTGGGAAGCTGAGGCAGGAGAATCGCTTGAACCCGGGAGGTGGAGGTTGCAGTGACCCAAGATTGCGCCACTGCACTCCAGCCTGGGCAACAGAGCGAGACTCTTTCTCAAAAAAAAAAAAAAAAGTATAAGATGTAGAGTGCTAGATGAGGGATAATACCAATGAGTAATTTTTGCAGCTTCTTTTACATGTATTATCTCAAAACATTGTCTCATAGATGAGACAACCGAATCCAGAAAGATAAAGTCACTTGCTTAAGCTTATAAGATTCTGGCTGTTTTGTATTACCCCAAAGTCTATTTTCTCTGTCCTCTCTGTCCCCCAAGAAGTTGACTTCCATAAACTAAATAACCAGAGCTCCTTTCCTCTGCTTTCCAGTTGAGTTCAGGCCTAGCCAGGGGTACCTGTGGGTGATCAGATCATGGGAAGGAAAAGTGATGCCACTCCTTCCCTGCTTTGGCATCATTTGCCACATCCTTCAGGAGACTACAGCCCTGTCATGCAGTCCTTTTTCTGTGGCTCTAGCACTCAAGTAGGTTTCAGAATCACCATTTACCCTCCTTGACTCCTCGGGCTTAGGGATAGAAATGGCTTCCCCCTCTTTTTAGTTCCTTGGTGCCTCAACATCTCCTCTTGATTTCTTCAACCCTGTCTGCACTATAGAAAATGGCCATTTTATAAAAATGTCTTTCAAAAATTCTTGCTGGGTCCCTAAGTGACACAAAAGTGTCAGTGCTTGGACTTGTGACCAAGTTGTCTGATTTAATGCCAGTGCCCTTCCTACTATGTCGTCCTGCCTTTCCAGAGGAATGCACTCTGATTAAAACTAAGTTGCATGAAGGGAGAGGGCCAGGGTATGTTACAAGCCAGGAAGGCTTATAAAGTAAGGAAGTGGGCACACAACAAACATCAGAGCAAGGTCATGGGCTAAATCGCCATGAATAACTAGAATCAGAATGGCAAAGAGCAAAGCAAAGTTCATGTTTAAAATTATAGCCAGGCAATCAGAAACAAGAAGTCACAGGAAAAGAAAGAACAAGGGAGTCAAGAAACAGCAGCAGCAAAAGCTGACATTGATCTTAAAGCATGGTTTGACTAAGTCACTTTTTACTTATTTTTTCCTGTTAGGTCCAAAACGAGCCTTGCACAATCCACAGTGAGTAAGGGTAGTTTATTGGAAAGCATACTGAAAGATGGCAGCTAACGTCAATGTGCCATCCATTCATCCCATGAATATTTGTTGATGGTGCCTACTATGGGTAACTCCAGGCTACACACTGAAGCAGAGTTTTGTGCATGGCCTTTAAGGCAAGAACAGTGAAGGAATTATATTAGGGGTTCTATTGGTGCTCAGATGAAAAGCAATGCTATGGTTTATGACAGAAATGAACTGGACACACCCAGCAACAAGCTTTAGGAAGTACCTCTTCAAAGCTGCCATATTCATAAACAAAACAGAATGAAAACCTCTCTCCACCTATATATGTACTATCAGTTATGGTTTATATTTGTTACTGCTGGTGCCACTTTGGGTAGCTACTTTTGGCTGTCTGGCTACTTTTATTTCAGCACTCACTGAACATGTGGCAAGCACCATGCTAGGCCCAAGAGATACAAAACTAGGGACACTAGGCCCCTGCCCTCAAGGTGAATACCCTCAGTGAGGGAAGCAGGCACATAAGCCATGTGGTAACTGCTGTGTCATAAGGGCTCTGTGGTGTGTTGTGGGGAAGGGAAGAGGAACAATACTTGGGGGGCAGTGATAGTGGTGAGGAAAGAGATAAATTCTGTGTCTAAGATAATACAGCTTTTAAAGAACGAATGGTGAATCTTAATGGGGATAAGGAAGGATTCCTTCTTTTGCTTAGGCTGGCCCTGATTCAGAGGTAGGGGGGCAAGCCCCTTTTCTGCCTTGCTTTGAGGAGGTCAGTGGTCATGGTTGGCTACATGTTTGCTAGGGAGGTAGCCAGACTCGAAGAGCGGCATCAGGCCTCCTCCTCTTCCAGCAATTCCTGTGGCTCAGTGGTGATCCTGTGGGAGTGTGGTTCACGGCTGATACCTGTGTGGGGGTTTGTGTGGGTTAATGATTTGACTGGTTTACTGTAGTGAGAATGTGGACAGATTCCTCTCATGTGAGAAAGATGACATTTCATTTCCCCTGTTCCTACAAGTGTTTGAAAATGTTTAGAGTAACTACCAA
Organism: Homo sapiens; assembly: GCF_000001405.40. Taxonomy (NCBI): domain Eukaryota; kingdom Metazoa; phylum Chordata; class Mammalia; order Primates; family Hominidae; genus Homo; species Homo sapiens. The sequence goes on along the minus strand of NC_000006.12, from coordinate 127,111,583 downwards.
AGAAATCAGGGTTGGTCTTCGTAAGTGTCTGGCTGTTCCCATTCTCTTGCCCCAACTCCATGCCCAAGCACTCTCTATACATTCTGGTATTCCTTTGTAACATGCTCTCCCCAGACAGTGTTTTGTGCACCCATCCTTATCAAAAATCCCCTGCTGAGGCTCATCCCTTCTGCTTTCCAGCTCTCCCCACCCTAAAAGTTCCCTATTCTGAAATCTAATCCTTGCTTACTCACTAGTGATAAAGGGCTGGTTTAGCTCTGCCCTTCTCTCCTTCTCTTCACCCCATATAATCTTTTCTTCCCAGAAACATATTTTGATTTCACTTTGGCCTGTGGGGTATGTCACAGGTGTAGGCGGTTTCAAGCCATTATGAAAAAGCTCCAGGTGCCTGGTGGTCATGATATTTTTCCAATTTGGCAGGTGGTATTCTATATTTGTAGATAAGATTGCCTCACTGAGAAGTATTCTGCAAGAAGATAGAGGAGAACAAAGGACTTTCTTTCCATGGAGCTTGTATCAGTTACGTATTGCTGTATAATGAACCACTTCTAAACTTAGTGGCTTAAACTATCAACTATTTATGGCTTCTCACAATTTTGTGTGTTGACTGACTCTCCTGCTGGTCTCTCCTGGGCTCTCTCATATGCTACATCCAGCTGTCAGGTCAGCTGACACAGCAGAGATAGCAGGCCTCTCTTCCCAGGTAGTATTACATCTCAAGAGCGTGGAGCTCTCTGGGTTCCAGAAGTGTGAGAGAGGAAGTTGCAAGGCCCCTTGGAAGCCCTACAAGCGTCACTTCTACTGCAGTTTTTTGACCAAAGCAAGTCAAAAGACCAGCCTAGATTCCAGAATTTACCCAATAGACTTTATCTTTTGATAGGAGGAACTGCAAAGAATTGTAGGCTATTTTAAATCCACCCCAGAGCTAATGGGCAGGTTATTAACCTCTGTATAAAGCCAAATGTGGAGCTCTTTGGCCAGTCAGAAAGTTGATACCTAATTGAAGCAAGAAAGCAAAACTGAGGTTTACCATATACCCTATCTGACCACCTATACAGAGTGTCTGGTTCTAGATCAGTTCTTTCTCTGAATTGAGTTTTAATTCTATACTTGAAGCCTCACAAAATCAAAGCAGTACAAAGGTCCAGGCCATTGGTGGGACAAATTTTCAGCTTTGGGTACATAAATAAGAAGCAATTATGGTTTGGAACTCAGAGAAAAATCTTTTCAATGTTCTCATTTTGGGGGAAGTCACAAGTGTTTTTCTTCAGCCTGTTATTTCCTTCCCTTTTCTCTTGTCTTAAGAGCTAGGATAGTATTACTTAAGGTTTGTGAATATAATATAGACATCTTCTCATTGAAAAGAATCCTGTGAAAATGCCTCCTTACCAGGAGGCCTTCCTTTTGTCTACTAAAAATGGCAGCAGAACTTATCATTTTAGTGCATAGAAACATGAAGCACTATCTCATTAAATTCCATAATTCTGAGATTTAATGACATGAGGTACAATCATTTTGCCCTACAACATAGATTTACCTTAAGTGTTTAGGAAAGGAGGCAATTTAACTAATGGATTTATTTCCTCATTGTGACTTGATTCTCTGATTTAGTTAGGAATGATATATTGGGTTTTCATGAGTTTTTGGTGAATTTTCACCATTATGATCATAAGAATCAATACTTTTTTAAAGTAACATTGTAAGTTATATACAATATGGTGTCTTTTGTGTTTTTAAAAAAATACACTGTACTATGGTTCGAATGTGCTCTCTGCCAAATTTATATATTGAAACTTAATCTCTAATGTGATTGTATTTTTTAGAGGTAGGGCCTTTGGGGAGGTGATTAAGTAATGAAGGCTCCACTCTTATAAATTGGATTCATGCCCTTATAAAAGTGGCTCCAGGAAGCTCCCTTTGCCCATTGTTCCATGTGAAGACATAGCAAGGAGGTGCCATCTTTGAAGCAGAGAGCAAGCTCTCAGCAGACAATGACTCTGCTGACACCTTGATCTTGGACTTCCCAGCCTCCAGAACTGTAACAAATACATTTATGTTGTTTTATAAATTACTCAATCTAAAGTATTTTGTTGTGGCAGCCCAAAAGAACTGGTATACTAGATATTCAAGGACAGCCTGGTTTCTAATAGACAACTAATGCCTTGAGGATTTCTTCTTCAAATAATTATGTTTGTATGTGTAGCTTGCTTTCCCTCTGTTCATGTACATTTGTATTTTTCCTCTACTTATTTTTTAGCATTGTTAAAATTATTCACATCGTTATGTATACTACTTGAAATCATCACAATTAGAAATTTATTTTAAATGCAAATATTCCCAAGAAAGTTAAGAATGGGTGAATTATTTTAGTTAGATTGTTTCCTTCTGAACACATCTCTGAAATTTGACAAGGAGAGAGGGTCTGACCTGTTCAGGGGCATTATGAAGTGTGAGTATGAGGGAGACCTGTGTCTGATAAGGACACCGAGTAACTAAGGGAGGTGGAAAAGTGAGTGCAGAAGCAGAAGCTGCAAGAAAAAGCAGCAGCAAAAGGAGCTGTGTGAGTGTGCTAGGGATGAACTTAGTAAAAGGATGCACTTAGTTTTCTAGAGATAGTTTTATGAAGTATTAAGAAAAATCTACATTTGACACATTATGGCAACCTCCTAAACATAGGAGGAGATTGCATAAAATATTATACATAAATTGTTCTCAAAACAATGACATAAATTCACCTGATATTTGACATGAGATAGGAAGGAAGAAAAATTACCCAGAACATGCCCCAAAGATGGAAAGTGGGTGAGTATATATTATGGAATGCAAGGATGTGGGGCAAAATGCATATAGTTTCTTTTTACTCATTTTCTTTGAAAAATTAACTGTTTTCAAAATTGCTCCTATACGCATACCTGTTAGTGAGGACTGTATGAAAGTATTTTCTCTGCATGACCATCTTCTAAATGCCTCTTTGAGAGAAACTTCAGTGACAACATAGACACGTTTGATTGGATACTAGTACTTATGTTACCTTCTTTTTAAAAGAGTAACCACCTAATAAAAATGTTTTATTTAATATATAGCCCTGAAGTTTAATATTCTAGATTGATTAATTTGCAGGTGTTCGTTTTTAAAATGTTAAGTGGACATATTTTTCATTCACTGAAAATTATGTTGCCTTACAGTTATTCTCTACCTATTGAATCAAGGTCATTCATTGTTTGGGGTAAGGGGAGATAACTCCTAGACCACAATTTCACTATTGTGCTTTGAGTCTCAGAGCTGCCTTCCTTGAATCCCCAGTAGTTAGTCTTGCCATGGATTTGCTGAGAGAAAGAGATTTCTAAACTCCAAGTTTCCTTTATATATACCAGCAAAGTTTTGGTTCCAAATATGCAGTTTCACTGAAAGCCACAGTGTAGTGAGGAATCAGGACTGTAAAAAGTGTCCTTGTCAGAAGGAAGAGGAAGTGAAGAACCTTTCTGGAACTGGAGGAAAGAGTGGGAGTGTTGGGCAAAGAAATCAGACTCTAGTCTACTCTTGACAATTGATCATTCATAGAAGGAGTAGAATTATTATGCACCTTTAGGGCCTTGTGTAAAGTGTTCACAGAGAACTAATAATCAAAGGTAGAAGATGAACTAAAATCACCCCTGTGCTGGTAGAAACTAATGTAATTGTTCAAAGGCAGATCTGCCAGGGGCCAGAGACATCTTGCACAACTGTCAAGTATGGGTGAAAAGTGCTCAAAAAAGTTTTCCCTGCAGTGTTGGCCCTGGCATGGCATTGTGTGGTAGCCATGGGGCTGTTCAGCAAATCGTTCTGTCTCTCCTCAATCTGTTTTCTGGACACGTGTAGAGATTGCATTTCCATGCCTCTCCTTGTCACTTTTTTTTTTTGAGATGGAGTCTTGCTCTGTTGCCCAGGCTGGAGTGCAATGGCACAATCTCGGCTCACTGCAACCTCTGCCTCCCAGGTTCAAGTGATTCTCCTGCCTCAGTCTCCCGAGTAGCTGGGATTACAGGCACGCACCACCGCACCCAGCTAATTTTTGTATTTTTAGTAGAGACAGAGTTTCACCTTGTTCCCCAGGCTGGTCTTGAACTCCTGACCTCAGGTGATACACCTGCCTCGTCCTTCCAAAGTGCCTGTTACTTTTAAAGTTAGGCATGGGATGTATAAATGGAAATAAATGAGAGAGAAGTGACATTAGTCACTTGAAGATAAAAGTTTGAAGAGCCAGGGTTGAGTTTACCACATTCTTTTTCTAGTGCTATCGTGATCATAGAAGCATAAGACAGAGTGAAGCCTTTGTCAGACAAGGTCCTTGAGTGACTATGAACAGCCCCCTCGCTCCCTGCCTGTTGCTGACCTATGCTAGACACAGCATGAACGAGAAACACAACTTTGTAGTTATCGGGCCACTGAGATTTCCCTTAAGTCAGCTTCCATATATTTCAGTCAGAATAGTCCCTTGTCTATATAAATCAGGACACGTGTGCAGAAGGAGAATAAAGAGACAAATAAACAATTTCCACCGAAATACCAAAGCAGGAAATAATGGATAATTTACAGAGTAAGTTCAATAGATCCTTATTGATAGTGGGCAAAAGTGAATGAAAAATGGAGCAGCCGAGTCCACTGCAATAAGATATATTTGCTGTTGCTGAATTCATAGATATTTAAAAGTTAAATACAGAATGAATTACTTTATGTCCATTGTTGAAGAATGATTATCTTTAACACCAAGTTGAGAAACATATAGAACTTGAAGGGTCCTTGACAAATCAGTTAATCTTTCACACTTGGCAAATATTTCAGTCTGAGGCCACAACTCCTTTCTTCCGAAGTGCACTTTATTGATGTGATCTTGGCACTCTGGACCACTGGCTCAAAGGGGTTTCAGAATCCTTTATGTAAAGGGCTGCATGCAGTCGCTGTCAATGGATGGGAACTGGAATATAGTAGAGAAATCTGTTTGCCCCCTGAACCTGAGGTAGGAGAACATTTAAAGCATCCTTGAGAGACAAAGATGTATACTCTTTGTAAAGACTTTTTAGGGAAAGAATTTTCCCTCTTCTTTAGAAGCTTTCAAAAAGGTAGAACAAATTTTATTTCACAAAATATTTTATTTCCCTCTAATGGCAGTTTATGGCAGCATAAGTTTTCTGTACTGAAGTAAAATTTCAAAAGTAAATTGGAATCTTTGTCTAGAAACTGGAAAAACTTTTGATTTTTAAGAAAAAAAATCTAGTTTAATTGACTTATGAAATTCATAGAATTCTAGATCTGGATGTACTCTCAGAGATCGTTAGTATACATTATTTTATTTTGACTGAGACCTGAAAGATTAAGTGACATGCCCAAGGCACTACTGGCAATGCTGAGACTAAAACCCACTCCTCCTCATTACTAGGATTATATTTTATTGCACCACCATTCTGAATGCTGTTTTGTTCAGCGTTCAGTGTTTAATCAGTCATTCTACTTTAGAAATCCATATCCTTGTTTCGTACCAATGGAATCTGAGAACAACTCATTTATTCACCAATTCATTCATTCATTTACTCACATTAATTTAGCATTCCCTTGGTGCCTATCTTCTTTGGACATTGTCCTTAATCCTCATTGTTATTTCAGACTAAGAACACTTGATAAAGTTTAAAACAATTGTGAATGTATCCATTTCGTAGGGCAAAACACTTTAATTCTGATTCTTTTAATAATTCTTCTTTGACTTTCATATACTTCTTATTGCAAAGTTTAGGGTCAAGTAAGTTCTGAATGTAATAGAAAGAAGACATAATTTTTCTGCATTTATTTTGATTAAAAAACCTATATTTATTATTATAACTAGAGAACTCCTTATGGATTTGTTATACAAACTGACCCTAGGTTTTTTTTTCAGTCATACTTAAGGAAAAAAATAAACTGCTTAAAGTAATAAGGCAATGCATTTATATATTATCCTATATTGGCACTGCTGAAATTTATTCATTTCTTTCCAGATTGATGCAATGTATAAAAATCCCTTGGATTCTACTCCAACACTGCCATCAGTGAGCATGCTGAGTACCTACTATGTGGGCAGTAAACATAAATGTGTTAAATGTAGTGAGAATAACACCAAAGAAATAAAGGACCCAGGTCTCCAGGAGCACATAACTAAGTCATGAAGAAGACCTAAAGAAATATATTAGTAACAAAAATGCTATTCTATTTATGCCTTTATTACCAAAAAGGAATCACTCTTAAACTACCAAGAAAAGAGAAGAACTAAGTCAGTTTAGTTAAAATACCAGTCTTTGAAGACTTGAGTCAGGTAAGCCAGGTTTTGAAGCAAGTCTAAATCTGATAGAGATATAGGGAAAGAGCAATTAATATAGGGAGGCATTACTATTTAAGGAAAGGCTTGGGTAAGAAGTCTTCCTCTCTCTTTTGAGTGACCTCTCTCAATTGAATGACCCACTCTCTGCTTAGGTTCCTTCAGAAGGTTCAGCTTCACATTCAGCAGCATTTCCTGAGACCTCGTGTTCCAGGCCCTGTGCAAGGCACTGTGGCATGTTATCACATTTGTTTAACCAGTAGCTCTTCCCTCTAGATAGGTTGGCAGGTTATTCTCAACCTTTTCTTCCATGCTGTGCATCTTATTCACCCCTGGAATCTAAAATACATAAATAGTGTGTGTGTGTGTGTGTGTGTGTGTGTGTGTGTGTGTGGTGGGGAGGGAGGGTGAGTGAGTGATCAGTAGCTTTAGCTCTGTCTCCATTCCCCAAAATATTCACTTCAATAGGCCTTGCTACTTATAGGTAGTCCAGAGAGCAGAAGCACAGAGATCATCTGGGAGCTTGTTAGAAATGCAGAACATCAGGCCGGGTGCGGTGGCTCACGCCTGTAATCCCAGCACTTTGGGAGGCCGAGGTGGGTGGATCACCTGAGGTCAGGAGTTCGAGACCAGCCTGACCAACATGGAGAAACCCCGTCTCTACTAAAAAATACAAAAATTAGCCAGGAGTGGTGGCGCATGCCTGTAATCCCAGCTACTCGGGAGGCTGAGGCAGGAGAATTGCTTGAACCCAGGAGGCAAAGGTTGCAGTGAGCCGAGATCGTGCCATGGTGCTCCAGCCTGGGCAACCACAGTGAAACTCTGTCTCAAAAAAAAAAAAAAAAAAAGAAATGCAGAACATTAGGCCCCACCTCGGACCTGCTAATCACAATCTACTCAATCATTTTAACCATTATTTATCCAGGTGACTGAATGCATATTAAAGTTTGAGAACCCTTCATGATATAATCATATGAAAGAGCTTTTAACAGGACTATTGAGTAGGCTCAATTTCAACACAATTAAGTCAGAAAGTCTAGTGACTGGGGTATCTGTGTGGTTTAAACACTCTCCAGGAGATTATAGTGTGCACCCAAGGTTGGGGCACACTGCTCTGCTCTTTCCCAAAATGACATATAGATAAAAATTTCACAAATCCCTTGTAAACAAAGTAGATTTCAGAGTCTAGATTCAGAACCTATAGAATCAGAAATCATAATTTCCAGAAAAGAAAGCTGTTCATCTGTATATTTAACAAGCAACTCAGGCTCTATTTCTTTCATCTGGTGACCTTGTGGGAACTCATTTTTTCCTGTGTCCTTACATCCTTCACCAAAGGACAAGAGGCAGTGGAGTCACAAAGTAGGGAGACAAACATGGAAAGGAAAGAAATAATGTGAGATGAGAAATAGATTCCAAAATATCCAATAGGGTGGGGGCAGAGGTGGAGGTGGGACTCAAATCAGCCTGAATCCCTTTGTCACTATCAAGAGCCACTGCTGCACTTAGATGAGTGAATGATTCCCAACAACTGTAAATCTCTTTGTTTGAGAAAGGACTGATGTTGAAAGGGCACATTTCAGAGACGATAACCATGGTTTGGGGGAAGAGAGAGATCAAATCAGAATGGGTAACTTGACTGAGAGTCTTCTGGTTCATTACAAAGGGAATGAGTCAGTATTCTGTAGGACTGTGGGAAGCTGTCCTTTGGATTCTTTCTTTGCTTATGTGATTCTCAGTTTGAGGAATACCAATTTCGAGAATGTGTAGTCTCTCTACTGGTAAATGTAACACAAAAGTCAATAACACGTTTCTAATACTGGTATTGATTATAACACATTATAATGCATTATAATACATACTCATTGCATTTGTTCAATGTATCTGCTGTCTTGATATAGAGTACCGGGTTGGTTTGAGAAATTCTTTTTCATAAAATTATGTTAAGTTGTATTTCAAGAATTTTTTAAGACCATGCATTGATTTATAGAATTATTTATAGTTTTATTTATATTTTGCAGTAGGAGAAATACCATGTGTTTTAAATATCTACTTAAAAAAATACGCGGAGTACTCTACTAGGTGCTGCAGATAGAAAATAGAGGATAGAGCCTCCGCTTCTGAAGTGCTTAAAATTTATTTGGAGTCAGAGGTGTCAGAACTTATATGCACAAAAAAATTAGTAACAATGGAGCAGAGGATATGTTGACAGACAAATGGGAGATTTGGATGGTAAGTGTTAAAGGAGTTGAGAGTGCTGTTATGCCTGTGGGCATTGTGCTTTGTGCTATCCCTAGAAAACTTGCCAGTGTGAACTAAGAGACTATTTTTGTATTTCATTACCAATTCTCACTGTAAAACTTTAATGATTATTTAACTTCTCTGAATAATAGCTGAATGCAAATGCAATTAAAAAACATATTTTTTTGAATTTCCTTTGATGCTAAACTTAAAGGAAGTTTAGAGACACAATAAGTTATCCTTTCTAGTTTGAATATCTAGAGGAATTAAAAGACCCTAAGGTAATTCGCTTTTGTAATATGGACCCAAACTGGATATTTGGTTGATAACTATTTTCTTGCCTTCTCATTCTAGCAAGGGGTTGTGATTTCCCAACAAAGACAGAGAGTTGCAAAACAGCAGGACTTTGCTAGAGTTAGTAATTAATTAGGTGCTAAAAGTACCAGAGGCTCTGAGACACAGTGTGTGACTCAAAGGGATAAGAAGCACCCAGAATTTCAAACAAGTGTCACTTAAATAAACAGAAAGTCAAGTGAGTCCTGTCTGTGGAATGGGAAATGGTCAATTGACATCAGGAGCCACTATGCAACTGTGTAATACAACGTTATAAGGATTAGTCACGATATTTTGCAACTTGTGCATGACTGGAGGTTTTTTTCTCAGTTCTGTAGAAGGTGAGCAATTATCTGCCTGGTAGAATTCACAGAAGTCAAAATGAACTCTTAATGCACCATAGTGTTCAAATAAATAACCAGTCCTTCAGAGGTTCCCACCAGCTGACTTTCCTCTACCCCTTTAATGTATATTAATCAATCAAGTTAATTATTAATATTAGTAGACAAGCCAAAGCACTTTACTAATCAACTAATAGCTGGGGACCCAAGGCCAAGCAAGAGCTTTCATGACTGGGAGGAACATTCCAGAGAGAAAATTATATAAGTGGTCATTTTGTCTAAAAGGAAATGTGTTTCTCCTATGGAGTAGAAGAATTCCTGCATAAATACAGATAAGTGTTAAGGTGTTATTCAACTTAAGATTTTATGGTTTCTTTCCCATATTATTTCCAAGTTTCTTTATGTAACTATTTAAATTTTGAAGTGGTAGGTACTAAACACTGTAATAGGGTCTATCAACATAAGATAGTGGAAGATCATCAGAGCTCACAAATAGATCTATAGGTAAACATTATGTGTGTGTGTGTGTGTGTATGTGTATGTGCGTATGTTTTTTAAAATGTGGGTTCCCTGCAAGAATGGGAAAGGAGAAAAAAGATCTGATGTAACTTGATTATCCTCGAGTGAGTATTATTCCTATGAGGGATTTCATGAACATTTTTTATTATAATTAATATATGGTACAGAATGCTTCAGTGTAACATTGAGAACATTTTTGTTATGTTGAATAAGTCTGCCTGAGGTTGAAAATGCAAAACATGTAAAACAACTCTTAAATGTATTCAAGTTTTAAGAGTTTAGAAGAATTAAGCAACTCTCTGATTTTGCGCTTTTTTTTGCAATATAAAATTAATACATGTATGTCTTGCCATAAAGAAACATGTAACTTGCATATTTGCAAGTGAATATGTGTTCGTCAGAGACATGAGAGGCCAAATTTCATTGAATTTGGTTAGTAAACTTTAAATTGTAGACATAAATGTTTCATGACAGGTTTATTTGATTTGATGGCATGTATTAAATGCTAATTCATTAAAACATTATCTGATTCATACTAAAAAAGCTATTACTGCAAATTTGGAATTTTTTTACTTTATATTACAGAACCAGTAGTTAATTACTTTCCTTTAGAGATCTCTGGTCCTGGCACTAGTAGATGAATGAGTTGGAGTTACAAATCAGTAGTTGACTTAGCAGAAACATTTTAGCTGTGTCCATTAATAAAGACTGAATATTGTTTTTTCTTTTTTTTCTTTTTAAGACAACTTGTAGTTTTTTTTTTTTTTTTTTTTTTGGAGGTTGGGACAGATAGTTTCGTAGCATGAATGCTCCACATTTTAAAATGTGTATTGAGAAAGAATTTACTGGATCAAGTCTTTCCCATCAACATACTCTAGAGGGAGTCAAATCTAAGAAAGTTATGTTTAATGCATTTCAAGTGCTGTTGGTTTTTTAAAAATAACTTCCTCTTCTTGGTGACAATCTGTTTTGGCCCTCTTAGTTAATAAGGATGCAGTCCAGGAATTGGTTAGAACCGGGATCTAATGAGGCCAAGGTAGAGACTGATTCCATGTGTGAACCATTTAGCCACTTACAGAGAAAATACCCCTTCCCTTGGTCACAGACTGCTTGGGTCAGCATGTGAACCAATGCATACTTAGGCATGAATAGGGAGAGAGTGAAAGGTAGGATGTGGAGTAAAAGAGTATTTACAGGCCAGGAAAAACTACTCCTTCCCGAATGGAATAATAAACTGCAATATGGGTCTCAATAATGCCATTAGTTAGCTGTGTGAACTTGGAAACACCTCTTAACCTCTTTGAAATTCAGTTTTTCAATTGTACTAAAACGGAATTTTGAGCTAGAAGGTCTCAGGTCTAAGTTTTATGATATTATTTCGATAGAAGAAAGTTTATGGTTTGTATAAAAGTGTATCTTGAAGATCTGGGTATGAGCCAGTAGCTCCTGTAGAAATCTTGGAAGTCTGGGCTGGGCGCGATGGCTCACGCCTGTAATCTCAGCACCTTGGGAGGCCTAGACAGGTAGATCACCTGAGGTTGGGAGTTCGAGACCAGCCTGACCAAAATGGAGAAACCCTGTCTCTACTAAAAATACAAAATTAGCTGGGCATACCTGCCTGTAATCCCAGCTACTCAGGAAGCTGAGGCAGGAGAATTGCTTGAATCTAGGAGGCAGAGGTTGTGGTGAGCCAAGATCTCGCCATTGCATTCCAGCCTGGGCAACAAGAGTGAAACTCCATCTCAAAAAAAAAATAAAAATCTTGGAAGTCTAGCATTTTGTTTTTAATATACTTTTGTTCTAAATATTCTTGTATCATGCACAACTGGATTACATGTACTTCTGCCATATATCTCCTGTACTTTTTAAAACGTTTGTTCCTTTTATTGCACTATTTCTTTCACTTGATGTTTACTGAGCTTCTATTTACAGTTATAGAAACCTCACATGCTCTTTAGACGCAACTCAGCTGATGTGAACTCCATGAAACACTCCTTGTCCCTTCTTAACACTATAAGAATGATTTCTACTTTCTCTGAACTTCACTCAAATTTTGCTGTTACTTTTCTTTTGGCACTATCACTTTCTGCCTTACCTTATAGTTGTTTCTGGAACATGTCTTACTTGTCAATGAAACTCAAACTCCTTAAGTAGGTGTAGAGATCAAGGGATCTAAACTTTACATTCTCCATTTTAAGCAATGGGATTTGCTAATAGTAAATATTCAACACAAATCTGCTGACAAAAATCAATAAAAGAATGCTGCTTAAAATATCTAGTTTTTGAAAAATTATTTAAATAGACATGTAGTTCATTTTAATGAGACCATCAATTGCAGTTCCTCAGACTTTATAGTTCTTATGTTTGTGAGGAGACACTTTTAGCAAATTTTCTTTTTAGGAAGGGAGGGAGGAAAAATGCTTGGTATTATTTCTTTCTAACTTGTACATGCAAACTAATTTTAAGAACTCATACAGCTTCAGTTTTTTCCTTTGTCAACTTTTAGGTTGGTATCTACCCGAAACAGAGTTTGAGTGAATGTTTTTTAAAGATTTTCATACAATTTTACACCGTTAATCTTCTATAGCTCTTGATGATGAGGAGCAGCCAGCATTTTTCTCATCAGGTACCAATTTCTTTGTATATCTCAAAAGGACCAAATCTCCAAATAGAGTTGGGTGTGCAATTAGAAATTCTCACATTCAGTGCAAGTATGTGTTAGGATTTTCTTCAATAGCCTCTTAGGTACTGTGTAGCTTTTATTTCTATTATGCCTTCTCCCTATCTTTCTACTTTAATTTCTACTTTTTGTTTCTTCCTTTCAGCCCACAGTCATACAAGGCATTTATATAGTAGGTGCACAATGCATAATTTATTTGGTTTAATTCTCTCTGTTCTTTTCCCTTAATCAACACATGGAATTTTATCCAGGGGAAAGAGTAACATGTGGAGTTTATCCTCTTCATCTTCTATTTTAGCTTTTCTGTATTTCTTTCTTCAAGCGGCTGCCATTTCATTTCTTTTGAGTATTAGCTTACACTGTGGAATCCCCTCGCTTGGTAATTGCAAAGGCTTAAATCTCTGATGATAAATGTCAAGTGGTGGGGTTGAAACTTTTGGAAAGGAGGGCCTTGTTCATCATCATTTCCTTCCTTTTTCCCTTCCTTCTTCCTTCCCTTTCTTTTTCTTTTAAAGTCTGGAACTGACAAGTTGATATTTCAAGACTAATATCCTGAAATAAGGAGACATTAATGCCTAAAGTTATTTTCACAATCTAAAACTGAACATATCATAGCTATTATGTTTATCTACAAAGACATATAAGGCCAGTGTCAAGATCATTCTTCGGGAAAAAAATTAATGCCGTTAAGAATATTCTTCATGTAATCTGTGGGATACTTATAGCCATGAAAAAGTTTCTGGTAGTCTTTGCTGTTTTTAACCTGGGTGTATGTTTTTTGCTCATCATATTTTATATGTTTCTGGGTGAAGTTCATACCAAAGAGAGAAATAAAGGAACAGAAAAATATTAAATAACTATCTTTCATTGTAACTGAACATTTTTCTAAAGATGAATGATATGGACTTTGAAGGAAGATGTACATTTCTAAACTGCAATGATTATCTCAAACATGTAGATAATGACTTTGGAAAATTTGCTAAAGATTCTTGACATAGAGAAGAATAAGATAAGTTTCATTTATAATAATCTAGAAAAAATAAAAATATTTGAAGAAAAAAGCTGTGTTGGTGCACATGCAGAGACAGAGAAATAAGGAACTTATGTATACACCTACAATGTGCCCACAAAAATAAAAATATTAAAAAATAAGGAACTTAATCATAGTAAATTCTCTTTAAAAGTCTTATTTGAATTATTACTGGTGAATTTGTCTTGTTGTCTTTATACTTATGTTGAGTCTTGTGTCAAGATTTTTAAAAATCAAAAACACAGAAAAGCAAAGCTCCCAATGCATCTTCTTCATCAGCACAAGGATTCACACTCTTCCTCCATTCTTCCTCTCTCCACTCCGTTGAAAAATCCCAATGTTACCATGGTTTCTGTGATTTCAAAAATGATACTTTTTGCATCTCCCCAGTACTAAAAACCAAGAAAGTAGACTAGAATTTTTACTGCTATAGATAGCTCGGATGTTGTTACAAATTATTTATTTATTTATTTATTTATTTATTTATTTATTTATTTATTTTTGAGACAGAGTTTCACTCTTGCTGCCCAGGCTGGAGTGCAGTGGCACAATCTCGACTCACTGCACCCTCCGCCTCCTGGGTTCAAGCAATTCTCCTGCCTCAGCCTTCCGAGTAGCTGGGATTACAGGCATCCTCCACCAGGCCTGGTTAATTTTTTTTTTTTTTTTTTTTTTTTTTGTATTTTTGGTAGAGATGGGGTTTCACCATGTTGGCCAGGCTGGTCTCAAACTCCTGACCTCAGGTGATCCACCCACCTCGGCCTCCCAAAGTGCTGGGATTACAGGCATGAGCCACCACGCCTGGCCACAAATAATTTAAAGGAGTATTTAGAGTCAGACTTCCAGATTGCTCAGCCCTGGCCAACAGATTTTCTGCATAGACTCTAAAATCTGAATAACAGATTTTCTGCATAGATTTATATTTATCTATGCATCTTTGGGCTCTCTATTGACAGCTAGCAATACTTTGCATTATTAGATGAAAGTAATATCTTAGTTTGTGCATTGAGAGGTCTAAGAACTGATGAGGAGTGTTTTGCCAATAAGTATTTGGATATTGGTTTATTTGTTTGCTTTAATATTATCTATGTCTCCTTGCCTCCTGATGGGGTGTTAAGCATTTAGCATAATTGAAATGTATGATCTTTCTTTTTGGTATTTTTTAATGCCTCCTAATTTTGTGCTTCCTTGCAGTCTCTTTTTATTTCTGTTATGAACTACATTTTAGTTTTTACTTGTTTAGAAATTTGGAAAGTAAGTATCCCATTTTTTAATTCTACTAGTGATAAACTTTCATTTAAGAAAACATTTTAGTTTTATTGTTTCCCTTATTAGTGAAGTTAAAAATATATTAGTAGCTTTGTTTAGTTATTCAGTTTTAATTCTGAACTTAGCATATTTACATAATTTAATAAACACATTATAGAATTAAACATTTATGCACCTTCCCAGATTCACTTGGCCCTGCCTGCTTCCCAGGGTCTTAGCCACTTTCTCAGTAGAGATCTTTGGCTATGTTACTGAGGAGTCACCTCACCCCAAATATCACTTGTTGTCTCAGGTTGTCCTGGCAAGAAGTCAAGGTTCGTTGCACCTGAAGAAGGGGGACCTGCAGCAGAATCTAAACTGGGCTCAGCTTAACTAAATGCCCGACAATTCTGTCTCTCTCCACTGGTTCTGCGTTCACATCAGCACTGAGTATTGGGCATGAGATCTGACTATTCAAAGAGGGTGACTAATACAAGCCAGAAATTCAGGCACTTGTGAGGAAGAGTTGACCAATGAAGAATAGGAGACGTGAGGACTTGTTTTCTAGTCCACTTCCCATCCAGCTCCCAACTGCTCCAACACGGAGGTGCTCCATATGGCCTGCTATGCTTCCTGTGAGGCAATGCCAGCTTCACACTGACCCACATTGTTTTTACTTTTCTGGCTTCCCTGCCTCAGTTTCCTATTTCTCTCACTCTTGCTGCCCTGGGATTGCATACCCTCCGCTCAGCCTGCTCATTCTCCCCAACAAAGCAGTAAGAGCCAAGCTTTACCTTTTTTGCTGTTACAAATAATGTCCCCCCAAAATATTTTTACAAATACTTCTGTATGCTCATGTTCAAATATTTCTTGGGGATAACGAAGTACTATGAGTGAGGTTGCTGGGGGTGAATGTTGCACACATTGCAAATTTTACTAGATATTCCTAAGCCTTGCATCTCTCATCATGTACAGGCTTTTACTGTGACTCATTTTACCTATACTTCCAACAGCACTGGATGTTATAAAAAAAAAATTTATACTTCATGCCAAGTTCACACGTGAAAAATAGCATTTTACTTTTTTTTAAATTTGTGTTTTGTTAATTCAGGAGGACAAATAGCTTTCTGTTTTTTTACTGGCCACTAAAATTTCTTCTTCTAAAAGATTCCGTTTGTATTGTTTTCTTTTGGTAGCATATATGCCACACATATGATGTAGTATATGGGATTATTTTACCCTATTTGGCCCTTTGCTACTGAGGTACTATTTTAAAAAAACATTGATTTTATAATTGATTATTATTAGCACATAATTATTTTTCTTGTATGTTCCTAGTTTTACTATCAAGTGGATGTTTCAACTTGATTCTATGTTTAATACAGCTCAGCACTTACCATCATTTTTTAATATTATCATTGTTCATTCTTAAGTTCCTAATTTTAGTTAATTCCTTGGTTGCCAAAAAACCCAAACAAAAAAACAAGAAAAAACTGACCCAAAACAAATAAACAAAAATCAAAACTTTTAAAATATCTTTACATTTGGATATATAACTTTAAAGATTTTTATGCATATTACATATTTGTAAAGATATGTAAATATATTTTAAATGGCTTAAATTATGTGTATTTTATTTTTTTTAAATTACTAATTGACAAATAATGATTGCATGTATTTATGAGGCATAATATGATATTTTAACAGCTATTGTTTTATAACCTCTGTTTCTACTTAAACTTGTAATGCAAACATTTTTTGAGTATGTCTTTTTTTTAATAAATGTTATAAGGGTGGTATATTTCTGAACCTTTGAGTATCTAAGAATGTGCTTCAGTTGGCTTCACAGATGAATAATAACTTGGCTGAGTTTTAAATTATTGGCTCAAAAAGTTTTCTCCCAACTGCTTTTGCCAATTTTTATTGCAGAAAAAAAAGCTGTGTAAGCTGTCCTGTTTCTTTACTTTTATCATGTAAAATTTTAGTGTAGTTTGTATTTATTTTTATGGATTTATTCTGATGTTCGATGTAACTTTTCTAGTTGTTTATAAGCTAAATTCTCTTTTTTCCTTTGGATTTTTTTCCCCCTAGATGTTCTTATTGAGGATCATTATATCATAGTAACTAACATTTGACTTTGGGGTCAAATGACCTTGATTATAATTGCTCTCTCCATACGAACTTTGTGACCTTGGGCTAGTCATTTTAACCTCTTCTAAGTTGGTTTTAATATGTATACCTATAGGAATGAGTTGTTGAGCAAATTAAATGTGCAGCATGTATATTTTTTTTTTGGTAAAACGCTTTGAAAGATGTTCTGATGCTATGAAAGATGTTAAGTATTGTTGCTCATTTAGACATTCATTACCTCTCCTACATATCTATCTTTTAGTTTTCTTCTTTTTCTACAATATTTCAGGAGACTGTTTTAACATGTTTACTGCATCACCAATTTGAGTTCCTACAGTGCTGATAGTGCCATTTATGCCTTCCAATGTGGATTTTATCTCTGTTATTGCGTTTTAGCTTAAGAAAGCAGTCATTCCTCATTTCATCTGTATCTCTTTCCTATGATTCTGCTGGTTTTTAATCTCACTCTTATGGCTTTCTTTTCTATTTTATAAGTGTTCTGACTTCTTTTGTTCTAATTAAGATAACAAATATGTACAGTTTAAGCCCGGCTCACGCCTGTAATCCCTGCACTTTGGTAGAACAAGGTAGGTGGACCACTTGAGGTCAGGAGTTTGAGACCAGCCTGGTCAACATGGTGAAACCCCATCTCCACTAAAAATACAAAAATTAGACAGGCATGGTGGCACGTACCTGTAGTCCCAGCTACTGGGGAGGCTGAGGCAGGAGAATCGCTTGAACCGGGTAGGTGGAGTAAGCTGATATGGCACCTCTGCGCTCCAGCCTAGGCAACAGAGCCAGACTTCATCTAGAAAAAAAAAATTATATATATACATATATATAGTTTAAATTTATGTTCTAAAGTTCTATTTCTTTACTGGAACTTAAATTTAATGTAACCTTCTCCAAGCTGTCATTCTTTTTTTTGCCCAGAAGTCCAGCTTTTTATCTTTCTTATTAGTTTTGTTTTTCTATTCACTCACTTTTGGTGTTTGTCAGCACACTGGATGTGTGCCTCTCCCTTTGGCTTCAGAGTCTGTTTATTTTAGTGATGGTTAATTCTACTTCTCTGTGGCTATAGTAACTGGTTGGTGTATGGAGTTCTTTCCCAGTTTTTACTATCTACAACTGTTTATCTAGTGTCACTCTCTAAGATGTAATTTACTTTTACATTCCACTGCCTGTAATGTACACATGTACATTAAAAACTATATTCTGCAATATATCCTTCTCCCACAAATCTTGTCTCCACCTATACCTGTAGTGACTTACTTGTATGCCTTCTAGAATTAAAGAAGTACACCTTCTAGAATTAAATGTGCCATTAATATTATGCCCACACTATATTGCCTGCACAGTTCTAAACTTGGAGGCTTAGACCAGAGTTGAACAGGGAGCTCCTAATGGTGAGGTTAGGTGGTGGAGGTGGGAAGGAGCCTCTACTGGCTTCTCAAACCTGTGCCTACTGTCAGGGATATTGTGTGCTCCCCTCTGCATAGTATATTTTTGATCCAATGAGTTGTGATTAATTTCCTATCCAAAGTATCTACTAGATTGCTTAACATACAGTAGGTACTAATAAATGTATATTCCTTTCTCCTTTCTGGTGGGCAGCCATACTTAGACTCTGGCAGTGCCCTTGACTTATTATTTCTAAATGCGTTCTGAATTCTAGTATAGTTTACTGTCCTTCTTAATTACCAGTTTTTTTAATCATCCTTTCATGTTTTTATAGATGGTAGTGAGAAGATTTATCAGAGACTTCCAGCCTTTTTATAATGAATTATTTATTTTTTAAAAAAATTTTGCTCTGATGTCCCTAGGGAAGATGCACCAATGGGGAGTGACTTTGAGGAAGCAAAAATTGTTAGTGGGCTATATTCATGATCCTAACCAAAAATGATGAAGGCTTGAACATTGGTAAGAGAAGATTACAGAGAAAAGGATATGATATTCAAGAGAGATTTGGGAAGTGCAATAGCAATGCTTAGTAACTATACTTGATGTCTGGAGGAGATCGTTGAGGAAGAGGAAAGAGCTCACGATGACTAACAGATTCTAACATGCACTATTAATTCAATAGCTTAGTGCAAAGAGCGAGTAGGCTGCAGGGCAGGAATTTAAAAAATTTAGTTTTTGATATATTAGACATTTGAAGCCTGCAGTATATCCATTTGGAAATGTTCAGGGGTAGTTCTAACTATGGATCTGTATTTCAGGAGATCAGTCAGGGCAGGAGATATGGTTTTGAGAGTTACCAGCATATGGAAGTAGGATTAGAGGGAATGAATATGCTGCATAGGAAGGAACAGATGCCAGGAAAAGGCAAGACTGTAGGCAGGGAGATCAGTTAGAAAATTGCAATAATCCAGGAAAGAAATGATAACTGACTTTACCAAAACAGTAACAAAGCAAATGGAGGGAAGGATCGATCATGTTTCAGTAAGCTTACTGTAAATGCGCAGTCAAGAACAAGGTAGGGAGGTAGGAGGAAATCATCTGCTGGGCTGTGGCAAGTGGGATAGAACATAGAGCCTAAGAAAAGTTGTGAAAATTTGGAAGGGCTAACATGAGCAAACAGGAGTGATGGGGCAGACACCAGGGTCAAGCAAAACATCATAGGTCCAGCTGAGGCCAGAAACCATAAAATTGTAGGGGGCAACAATTTTCACAATGAATGGTTTTCTCCTTGTTTCCTGAGTGTACAAAGCAAAAAGCTAGATTTCTTGCATTGAAACAAATTTGGAGGCTTTCCAAATGGGCACTGCAAAAGCACCATGGACTGTAAACTGGTAACAACATAATAAAAGTGTTACGGGGGTATAGGCTGTACACAGGAGCAACTAAAACAGTGCGTGTGAGGTGGGATAGTTAATATTCTAGGAGAGAAAAGCTGGGTAAAGGGACCAGAGACCTTAATTTGGTTGAAGATTGGGTATCTTAGCTTTTGTAAAATACGTTTGGATGAGGTATGAGTTGCAGTAAGTGATGAAAATTTCATTTACATATCCTCTTCCCATCTCAGGCTGCTCCAGATATTAAGCACAGATCACATAGGAATGAATATAAAGTGGCTTTACTCTCTGAAGCCAAGGACAATGTACTTTAGAACATGAGCTTTCCATTTTTGTCCATATGTTCTAAGATCATCTGCATAGATCTGATGCAGATATGCTAGTTGCCATTTGTCTAGGGCCTGATACTTCAATATAATACATTCCCTGTGTGTGACAATAGAGGTGGATGTCATTGGGAGGGACCCCAAAAATACATCAATAAGATGACTGTCAGATATGGTTTGAAGGTAGCAGGATGAGTCTTCAACATCTATTGTATCTTTTATCCTGGCCATGCTGTCTGAATCTTTCTTTAGATTCACTTTAAAAAAAAAATACAAACCAAACACTGCATGTTCTCACTCATAAGTGGGAGTTGAATAATGAGAATACATGGACACAGGGAGGGGAACATCACACATCGGGGCCTGTCTGGGATTGCAGAGAAAGGGGAGGGAGAGCATTAGGACAAATACCTAATGCATTCAGGGCTTAAAACCTAGATGACGGGTTGATAGGTGCAGCAAACCACCATGGCACATGTATTCCTATGTAACAAACCTGCACATTCTACACACGTATCCCAGAACTTAAAGTTAAAAAAAAAAAAAAGAAAAATACAAACCTCATGATGGTAGTGAATTTCACAAGGAAATTAGATTGACTTAGCAGCTCCTTGTTGATGCATGACTGGAGAACGGGGATTGTAGTGGTTATAGAAAAACCACAAGTTATTGTTATTGTTAATTTTTAATCTCGGGCTGATTTCTATATTTCTAGTACTTTGCAATTTAATAAAAATGAATGACAAGAATGAGCCTAGCCACTTATAATTTTGCTTCACTTTTAACTTTGCAAAAGTATAGTAACAATTGTATATACTATGCATATGTATGTCTCTATATAATATTTATAAAATGTCTTTTTAAATTTGTTCTGATAGGTCAAATCACTTAATAAATGTGGCAAGTTGAACCAACTAACAACCTAAATATTTTTGTTGGAGTGGCAATATGTGTTTGCCTCTGTGATGGTCTGTTTCCAAAGATAACTGCCCATTTTAAGTTCCTTTAGGGTAGGGATTTTGTTTTATTCATCCCTTTCTACCCATGCTGAGCACAATGCGTTAAATATAGTATATGATCAATGGCTTTTATTGCATAGCAGAGAGTGAAAAACTATAAACTAAAAGGAAAATTATAGTTTAAAACGTCATCAACTCTAGGGAAAAATTCCATTGACAGAAATAAGAACTCTGCTTACCCAGGGGGCCTGTCTTGAAGTCCTGAAAAATATCAAAACCATGAATTCCAATGTGTGGTTATTGAAATAAACAATTCCTCTTTTGTGTGACACCAAGTTGAATAAGCATGTAAATCTGGTCTTGTCCAATTAGGTGTGGCCAGAAAGCTAGCATAGATAAGTTTGGGTGGGTGCACTGTTTCCCATTGTCTCTGAAACCTCTGTCCCTTTGTTCCCTCTTGAACAGCCTTTTTCATGATAAAACCTTTGCTTTTGAGTAGGAGGATTTGTTAGACCACAAACTTCCAAACTCGATTTTTGTATATCCTGATGAAAATTCTCAAATTTCTCTACTGAATGTAAACATCTATGTGATGTATTTAAATGGAAACTTACTGAGCATTTGCAAAGATTTGCTGAAGGGACTAGGAGGCTGCATTTGCACTGATCGAGTTTTTCAGAATGTTAAAGTGATAAAAGAGAACAATCCAAGCCTGGAATGTACAACCACGTTTACCTCAGGCCCTCACCTGCAGTGTCACCTCTACCTTTGCCACTTTTGTCTTTTCCTATCATGGATTTCTTTGGAATTTATTGACCTCTTTTCCTCTTTGCCTGATATTTGGGTTTCTATGTTTTGTTGCTTCTCTAATACCTACATATTTTGATCCTTCATTGCCTCTGTCTGCACCTTTCCAAAGCTATGTTGCAGCATGACTGCCCCAATTTAGATATAATTCTGATAGCATTTTAAAAGAGAATTTCTCTAAAAATTCCAAGGAACTTCTATAAAGAATATCATATAGACATAATTCATGTTCCCTAGCACTTTTAATAAAAGACGTGCAATACTGACCTGGACAAATAAATTAAATGTTGTAGATGAGGTAACTAAAAAACAATACACCAATATAATTTAATTTTAAATTTTTAGTAGCATTTGAGGTTTGCAACATCCTGAGGACATAAATAAAAATCAGTTATAAATTGAAGCAGAAATCAAGGATAACTTAAGTGAAACTTAGAGTTAATAGGATTTCTAAGCCCAAATTTTATCAACTACGAGGATATCTGGTTTAGGAGAGAGATAATGCATTCTATGTATCTTTAGGTATGAATGAATTTACTTTTAGTAAGTATGTATAGGCTTTTTAAAGTGAAGTTATATGAAGCTAATATTTTGGTATCTAAAATATAATAGAAAACTAACACATGAAGCATAGATTGGTTAGTCCACCCTTTTAAGTTTTCCCAAGTCTATGATAAATGTAAGTATCACTTATCACTTGAAGACAACTAACAGAGATAAGTCTGTTAAGACAGTTTTTACAAGCAAGCTATTCTTTTTTTTTTTTTTTTTTTTTTGAGATGGAGTCTCACTCTGTTGCCCAGGCTGGAGTGTAGTGGTGGGATCTCGGCTCACTGCAAGCTCCGCCTCCCGGGTTCACGCCATTCTCCTGCCTCAGCCTCCCGAGTAGCTGGGACTATAGGCTCCCACCACCAGCCCGGCTAATTTTTTGTATTTTTAGTAGAGACGGGATTTTACCGTGTTAGCCAGGATGGTCTCGATCTTCTGACCTCGTGATCCGCCCGCCTCCGCCTCCCAAAGTGCTGGGATTACAGGCGTGAGCCACCGCACCCGGCCGCAAACTATTCTTAATTATTTTTAAAATCTCATTTGATATTTTACACTGCTTGTAAGCTAACAAGTTAGTCTGCCAAGTTTCATGGATGCTGGTGAAAAGCGTAAGCCTCCGGTTTCAGAGAAAAATGACCTTATTATTAGCAATAGCAATAAGCAAATTATCTGCATTTTTTTTGTGCTGGTTTCTCATGCCCCAGTTTCCAAAAGCAGCACAACGAAGAAGGCCTGCACATACCTATTAAAGGCAATGGGTCCTGAGATAGAGAACCTGAATCTTTTATCATGGGCAATAACCATTTGTGTCCTTTACTCTGAAGATAGACCTATTTTCTATCATACAAGACAGTAAGCAAACCTTCCCTTTCCTTTGGTGGAAAACACCATCTCTATTTTCCAAGGCTTTTTGTTTTACAAGCATCCTTCAAAAGATAGTCTGGAAAAGTGACAGAAAGTGCCTCTGCTCACAGATAATGGAAAAATGGAAGAGACACATGGAGAATTGTCTCCTACTAATATCCACTTCCTTTTCTGCACCATTTTGGTTTCTGTCGAATTTCCCTATGAGTAGGGAATTTGACCAGCCACTCTAATTAATATGACCAACGGAATCTAGAATCAAATCTGTTCAATTTGACTCATAAAGCATTTAATTAAATGTACTGTCAACAGGACTCCAGGTAGCAGAAAGAGGCCAATCTGTAGGTTGAGTATGGTTGGGTTTGCCATCTCTACTTTGCTAGGGAAGTTACTACCATCTATTTGCTGTGTGTTTTTAGAAAATTTGTGTGTGTGTGTGTGATTTCAGAAAGGAGGAAAGATAAATTCATGTATTCTATCCACCATATGTAGCTGGAAGACACATTTCTTCCATTTTTAGACCATATTAATGGCCTAAAAGACCAATAAAAGGCCATAAAGAAATGACTTTACCTTTCAGTAGCGTTTTACTAAGAAATATTTAACAACCGCTTCACCAAAAACTGAAACGTTAATAAAAAACCCTCTGACTCCAAAACTAAAAAGCTTTGATTTTTGGCATTTGGTATTTTTTATGCTAATACTTCCAACACAGTCAATATCAAGCAACTAATGTGATATCATTGACCAAGAAGTTGGGAAGAGGTGAAAAGCATAAGGCTCCTGTTTCAGAGAACAAGGACCTTATTATTAGCAATAGGAATAAGCAAATTATCGCATTTTCTTGTGTTGGTTTCTCATGCTCCAGCACAAGAAAATGTGCTGCCATGGATTGCTATGGATTGCCATGAGCCAGTGTGACCTGGCTGTAGCACACCACTGAATCCATGAGTTTAATATGAGAACAAAATTAAAATAACATCTACAAAAATTCTTCTCCTTTAGATATCTTACGCTTGATTTATTGAGTGATCTCAGAATGCTATTACAAGTTCTGCCCGCGCAGTGGTGCTAAGATGGCTTCAAAAGGGCCTGGGACATTTGAAGAGGGTTTGGCATTTTTCTCTTGGTGCAAGATTCTACCTACATGCCTTCTCTACTGGATAGTTGTAGGGGGAAATATCCAGCCTAATATTCCTTTAATCTGACCAGTCTACCCACCATTCAAAAAGATAAAGATTCTGGAAGACTTGCTTCATTCATTCACAGCCAAAGTAGCACTATCATAAACATTTCACTGCATGCCACCTCTCACTCTGATTTCAGACCCAGTTGTGTCATAATCTCTTTAGCGCCTGACCTTTTGCCTCATTTCCTGTCTATGTCTTAACATTTGTTTCTTGCATCTTCTGTTCAATAATATTCCTCTGATAGTCACTGGTAATCCCTGTGATTATAATAATGCTGGCTCTTTGGCTTACATTTGCTGTCCAGTGCTCTGCAAAACAAATCTGATCCATTCAGGCTGCTGGATTCTATCTCATGTCTGAGAGCTGTCCACAAGGTTGAAGTCCCACCCAGTTTTCTCCAGTTTTTACAAAAGAGGCAAGAGTCTACCCAAAGCACGAATGTCCTCTTTAAAATCCCCACCAGATGACCATCAAATTTTTACCTGATTTGTACCTTCTGGATTGGCAGTAGAATCACAGGAATCAAAAAGTAATATACACTTGGGAGGTATATACTGAAAACTATTTCAATAAAGATTGGATTTGGAATCACCTCAGTATGAATCAGACATATGCATTAAAAAGTATATGGGATATATTCTTTTCATAAGGCATGTAGAATTGCCCAGTTACAATGTTTCAAATATTATCTGCATCCTAGGAAATTTGAGGGTGTATGACAGATAGGACTTTTTCTGGATGAAATAGATATTTTGCAGGAAAAGGTCACAAATATTTGAGAACAGATGATCTTGAAAATAACTTTACTACCCCATACAACAGTTTGTGATATTTAAGCATGTAGAAAACATAGTCTGAGTACTCACATGAAGAATGATGTTAGCAACTACATAAGACCTTTCAACCTAGGCAAGTCTTTGCTCTGTCTTCCTTTATGCTTAATGTTCTTTTCTACTCAACATTCTCTTATTTTACTTTTTTGACGATTTATTTTTTCTGTATTTTAAATATTCTTATATGTTGTGAATTAAAACGGTATGAACAAATACATAAAATCTTCACTGGTTTTGTTTCTGTTTAATTGTTGAAAAAGTTTAAAATAAAACATGGCTTTAGCTAAATTTCCTGTGTATTCTAGACTTTTTCACGTCCTATCAGAGTATAAGGAGAATGTGCTCTACTTAGAAATACTACCTCAGGGTTTGGCACCATGGGAATTCCTGTGGATTGTTTGGAAGTCAGAAATTCATAAAATTTTAGAATGTATGAAAGCCTTAGAAATTAAAAATGACTTTTTTTCTTTCTGAACAATGGAGAAAACTGAGCTCCTTGGGGGTGAAAATAACATGATCAATGTCATACAATTAGTTAATGGCAAAACCAGGACCTCAATGCAAATCTTACTATATCAAATTCAACATTTTATTTGCTATAACCTGCATTATCATTTTAGCTTGATATTGAAAAATGGATCAGAATTGCACAATTCAGAAATGAAAATGAATGCTACTTAAAAGATAATACTCTTAGGGAATGTGGAGCTAATTCATCGTGAATTACTTGAGGAAATTGAACTCACAACCAGTATATAGAGACAGGTCCCCAGGTTAAAAAGTGAGTCACAGATTTTAAAAACTCAGAGTATTTTGTGACCAATAGCATTTGAAGTTATGCAAATCAGATAAAGATAATCAAATCTCATACCACAGCACAGAAATTGATTGCCCCGGGGATCCAGCGCCTCCTTCTCTTTCTCCCTTCCTCTCCCTTATGAAGTAATTTCTTGGCCCTTAGAACTGTTTTCACAATTTATTCAAAGTGTTGCTGCCAGAGACCCATCCCATTTGGCACAAAGAAGGGAACAAAGCCCCCAACAACTCCATTGCTTTCTTCAAGGGACTTGACTCCCACTGTCTCTTCATTTCTTGGCTTTGGGAAATGACAGATTGCAGAATCAGATGTTGCACAGAAGTCATGATAACAACTTAGAAAGATGATCGTTCCTTGCTTGCTTGTTCTGTCAGGTTTTCTTTCCTTCATCTTTTTTTTTTTTTTTTTTTTTTACTAGAAAGTTTATAATATGTATTTCCAAAATTGAAAGAAAGATTTTTTTTAGCCCTATCTTCACAGGTATCGAATTCTCCCTGGCAAGAGAGCAACTACTGACCCTCCAGAAGGCCAGGCTGATTATTTCTATAGGTCTATTAACTTACTTCACAAGATGCTAGTGCATTTCAATCACCTTAGAATTCACTTAGCAACTCTTTCCTACATGAACTTGATAAAATAAGAGTCACTTTTTGACTATTTTGTAAACAATTGTTTATGTATGTCAGAAACCAAGCTCAAGGGAGTTTGCTTTCTGTAGTAGGAAGAGCACATATGTACTGAGAATCAGGATTCAGGGGTTTGAGAGCAGGCCCAGCTACTTACTAGCCTAGTGGCCCTGAGAAAATCACATCTTAGCTTCAATGTCCTCACCTATAAAATGAGGATAATAATACCTACTCTGTCTACTGCATAGCAATGTGTGGTAATCAAATGGAAAAATGCAAGTGAAGGCTTTTCTATAAACCATAGAGTGCTGTGCAAATGGAGGTTATCATTATTACTATCTGAGAAATGTGAAAAGATTAAAGAATAGTTATGTCACAAACAGCCAGACTGATGAAAAATATCAACTTCAATTTGCCTCCAAATGATTGTGTATTTAATTGTCCCAGCTCTGTAATATTGCTATCTGTGATGAAGGGTTATAAGTGCATTTTTATCAGGGCATTTATCCTAATCGACCGTGCTAGGGTGGGGTTGTGGAAAGTACGTACATGGTGGTGTTTGCTGAAACAGAATTCTGGTGTTGAAAGAGGTCCGCAAGAAGAAAGCATTTTTCAAGCTGTGGTCCTGTTCAGAATCATGAACTTGAAATTCTGCAGCATGCCTTGAAACTAGAGTGAAAGTATGATGAGATAGGACTCGTGAGGCCTGGGTTCCAATGTTGCCTTTGACTAGCACTGAATAACAAGGAGGCAAATGATGATGTGGGTAATATTGATGATGATGAAGATGATAGCAGTAATAACAGTAACTTTTATTGGGTAATTATGTTGGGCCAGGCACTAGGCCAAATGCTTTATAGACATTAAATTATTGAATCCTCTCAACAACTCTGCACCATAATTATCCCCATGTTACAGATGAGGTGATTGAGAATTAGACCTGGAAATCATTGCTACTAAGAGCCAAGATTTAGTCCCGAAAGTCTCATTTCCAAACCCAAGCATTTGCTGAATACTCTATCGCCTTAATGTTTCTGTGCCTTGGTTATTTCCTCTGTAAAATGCAAAGGTTAGCACAGATTCTCATATAGGGCTCTTCAAACCTGCTGTCATTTTGTAGGTATGAATCATTTAAAAAACTTGGTTGAGCAATACAGAATTTCTAAAGCTGCACTTCAGGTGTTCTATACCTCTGAAGTAAAAGAGGAAATAGTACCACCTGAATTTCCCAACACATATTTACTGCTATCTGGTTTATTTCTTGTTTAACATCTAAACTCTGCTAATGCTTTTCAGAAAATAGGCAAAGATTCAGACATGGAATTTTTTTTTTCAAAACTAAATATGACATATTTACTAAATTAAGGATGCTCTTTTAAATTAGACAAGTATGAGAATGGGGGCAATTAGGAGTTCAAGAAGAAGAAGAGAAAGTTGGGGAAGAGCAGGCATTGTTAGTACTAGTCAAAGGGCTCATTTTGGAACCCTGCTTCATTGGTAATGAAAGAGTAGGATAACTTGCCCAATAGAGTACTGGCGCAACAGAGGTGGAAGGAATGTTAGAGTTGGAAGGAATCTTAGAGAACATCTAGTCTCAAGTATTCATTTTACAGATAGGGAAAGAGTGTAGCAGGGAAAGATCACAGGCTTTGGATTTACCCATGTCCACATTTAAATCCCTGTATTGCTACTTGCTATTCTACCTTTGGCCAATTATTAACTTCTGTGAGGCTCTTCAAAGAATAATAGTGCTACCTATCTTGCTCAAATATATGTAAAGCAGCTAGGATAATTCTGGGTGTCTAATAAGCATTCAATACAAATTAGTCTTCCTCCCACTTAAATATCTTATCCTTTGTGAAAGAGTCACAAATTTGACCTCACCAAGGGCCGTAAGGTCATCTAACTTCCACAATCAGCAGTGGTCCCATTGGAGATTTGTAGCATTCTCCTAAGAATCGCAGTGCTTGCTTTTCATCCTCTATTGCATCCTTCCACCTCAAGCTGCCATTGTGAAAAAAAATGGCATTATTTAGCAGGAAAAAAGAGAAGGAATAGGAAACTTTTAACCTAAAAAATCGTATCCTAAAAAAAATTCTTTGAGCTTATTCTTTCAGTCAGTTCCTCTTGGGAACTTTTTTCTTCAATTTCCTGTTTTCTCTGATTCCTTCTCTTTGCCTACAAGCACACTAAACAGTGACATTAAACGTAATGTAATGATATTACAACTTGTAATATCACACTAAACAATGGTATTACAACTTGTTTCATACCTCTAAAGAATCATTCAAAGCCTTTATTTAATTAGTAATTATTATTAAATATTTTAAGGTATTAAAATATTTAATCTATTTTAACCTTAAAGTATTTAATCTATTTTAATACCTTAAAATATTTAAACTTACTAAAATAACTGAAAAAGTAGTGGTAGTAATTTTACTTACTGTCCTCTCTTTCTCACCTTTCATTTATTTCTTAAGCATTAAGAAACTCCCTAAAACATAGATAGGCATATCCTATGTCTCCCTGTCTCATACAAATGAGTCAAAATTTCTTAACATTCCCATTATCAACTCTATACTCATGAAGTCAATATTTCTATTTTACCTAAACTTTACATTTATTTTTCCAAGTATCTCAATGTGATGAAACAAATCTTATTATTTTGCCAGTTCTCCTTGTTCCCTATCTTTTGGACTCTCTGATTTCTTAAGCATTTCAAATAATTTTATTTTCCCATATTCCATTTCTGTTCATCTGCATAGAAACAATATGTAATCTTAAGTACCCTTTTGGAACATCTGACTTTATTTATGTATTGATACATGATAGTTGTACGCATTTATGGGGTACATGTGATATTTTGATACAAGTATACAGTGTGAAATAATCTATTGGGATATCCATCATCTCAAACATTAATTATTTATTTGTGTTGAAAACATTTCAAATCTTCTCTTCTAGTTATTTTGAAAAATACAATAAATTATTTTTAACTATAATCACCCTATTGTGGTATCTAACATTGGAACTTATTCTGTCTATATAATTGTATTGGCATTTACCAATCCCTCTTCATCCTCAAAAAAACTGAAAATCCAGCAATTACAATGCTGGGTAGAGATTCAAAAGAAAGAAAATCAGTATATTGAAGAGATAGCTGCACTCCCATGTTTATTGCAGCATCATTCACAACAGCCAAGATGTAGAATCAATCTAAGGGTCCATCAATGGATAAATGGATAATAAATATTGCATATATACACAATGAAGTACTATTTGGCCACAGAAAAGGAAATCCTGTCATTTGCAGCAACATGGATGGAACTGGGGAATATCAAACTTTAGCAAGTCAGCTACTTGCCAACTTTATTCAGTCTTCACAAAGCATTTCAGACCTAACCTTTAGACAATATTCTAGCACAGATTGTTATCAAATAGCTTCTGAAATGTCATAGGTATTTATTATTTGATCTGTTCTTCCTCTTTCAATTCATCTGCATGGTTTTGCCAGAACAATATTTGATTTGATTTGACCCCTTCTCCCCAACTGCATGAGCTTGAGAGTGCTTTTACATTGCTTACTAAAGTTACTTTGAACATCTTTTTAAGATTGAAAATAAAATAATTTGACCCTAATTAAATCTATCTAACTGGATTTTACATCACTCCCAATAAGTCTTCTATTCCAACCCAGTTAGCTTTCTTACTGTCCACCTAATCCCCTTCCGTATACCAGGCTCATGGTGGCCTCTTGGTCTTGATTCACATCATTTCTCCCACTAAAAGCAGCTGGAGCATATTCATGGTGCTTTGTAGTTCCCAAAGCACTTCTGCAGGCATTATTTCATTTGATCCTCCTTGTAATCATAAGAGATAATCAGGATTATTTTTCCCTTTTGGTCACAGGAGAAAGTCCAGAAAGGTTAACAGGCTTGCAAAAATCGTATGACTCTCAGTGCACCCAAAGTCTTGTGATTTTGAAAAAACTGTATTTACCACAGCAGAACACTTCTTAGACTACTTCCTGAGGCCTCATTAGCTTTCTATTTATTATTCAAGCCTAATTAAATTATTTCTCTTCCTTAAATTGTCTTATGGCTCCAAAAGCCCACAGAGATCTACACAATAGATGTTTAATAAGTATATTCACTTTTATCTCTTAATATTCTGATGATGAATCCAAAGAACTAGAGTGTCATTTTAGCATGGGCAAGGATGGGGTAGTTCTGAGTGCTTATTGTGGTGTTTTGATACTCAAATTATTTTGGTTGAATGAGGGAATTCTGTTTTGTCTGTATAGGTCAGCGTTTCCTATGCCTAATGTATTCAAAGAAAGGATTTATTCTTGTCTTCAATTATTATTATTTAAAATCACTATTGAGATTAAAAATATTGTTAGAATTCAAAAACAGACAAATTTAAAAGGACAGGTTTTATTTTTCTTATGGCAATTTAGTGGTAGAATTTATATAATAACTTAATTGACTCAACAATATCCAGTGTTGTTTTTGCCTTTTGTCCAATGATTTTTTTTTTTTTTTTTTTTTAGACAGAGTCTCCACTCTGTCACCCAGGCTGGAGTTCAGAGGTGCGATCTCCACTCACTGCAACCATGCAACTTCCATCTCCCAGGTTCAAGTGATTCTCATGTCTCAGCCTCCTGAATAGCAGGAATTACAGACATGCACTGACAAGCCTGGCTACTTTTTGTATTTTTAGTAGAGACTGATTTTCACCATGCTGGCCAGTCTTGTTTCATACTCTTGGCCTCAAGTTATTTGCCTGCCTCTGCCTCCCAAAGTGCTGGGATTACAGGCGTGAGCCGGTCCCAGTGCTTTATTTTTATTATGAGAAATATTATTTGACATTTCAACCTCACTTTAGTTCTCAGTTATTAAATATTTTCTAAGAACAAGGTGTGGCTGCTTAGTTTTCTCTGAAAATGGAAGAGATGTGGATTAGCTAAGTAAAATCAGTGTTATGCCACTGTGATTAACCCCAAGACTGACAAACAAAAATTTCAATTGGCCATCCTATGTGACCTTAAATAATCTTTCTTAGCTGTCATGCTACTTTTACACTGCTAAGTTATCTCTGCTTGGCTTGGACCTATTCATATGACACAATTACACATGACAAGCCAAGAACAAATAATATCAAATGCATACTAACATTTCCTAGTCTTTTGGTATTCAACAATCTTGGGAAAAAATAATAGATGGGAAAATCTTTCATATACCAAAATTGTATTATATATTATATACACTTATTTTAAGTAAAATAAACCCACATCAAATGATATATTTAAAAAATATTTATCTATACTTATTACAGAAGTAGCCATAAAGGGCAGAAAGAATACATAGCTCATCTTGCTGAGTGGGAGAAA
The DNA here is from genome assembly GCF_000001405.40 of Homo sapiens. NCBI lineage: Eukaryota > Metazoa > Chordata > Mammalia > Primates > Hominidae > Homo > Homo sapiens. The sequence continues at coordinate 127,079,578 of NC_000006.12, read as the reverse complement.
AAGCCATCAATTGAGGGGCATACAAGTTATGCTGGATCTAATATGGCAAAGTGACCAATGGAGAAGAGGTTGAGAATACAGCATTTGTTGAGATGACAAACCCATGAGTTCCAGGGAGCACTGTGAAAAAGTTGACAAGGCATGGAAGCTTCAGTTAGACCAGTGGATGTGCAGATCCAAGTTGGGGTACAAGTTCAGTTGATGCATAAGGAGTAATGGGGCAGGTCAGAGAGGGCCTATTATGCCACTGTATGGGCTTAGGATATTACTCCAGGTAAGAGGGAGCCATTGGAGCATTTTGAGCAGAAAGTCTTTCTCTGGCCTCTTTTGAGAAAGGAAGTAAGGAAAAAGTGTGAAACAGAGATACCATTTAGGAAATTTTTGCAACAATCCGAGAGGCAGACAATGTCAATTTAGGATAAGGTGGTAGAGATGGTCATGGCTATAACGGATCAGATTCTGGAATCATTTAGAAAGTAGAACCAAGAAGATTTTCTCAAGGATTGGATATGGAATATAAGGAAAAGAGAGGAATTAAGCACGACTCGAAAGTTTTTGTCCTGAGTAACTAGAAGGAGGAACTTGTTATTAACATATATGATAAAGACTGTTCAAAGAGCAGGGTTTGGGGAAGAATATCAGAAATTCATTTTGGAGTTTTATGTTTAAGAAGTAAATTAGACATCTAAATGGAAATGCTGAGTAGGCAGTTGGATATACAATTCTGTAGAGGAGTACTTCAGGAAAGATGTATGGGCAGGAGTATAAATCTATGAATTCACTGTGTATAGGTAGTAAAAGAGAGGAAAAGATGAGCATCGTTTTCTTTTTCTGATGCTCTTCCCAGGAACAAAACTTCCTAAAATAAAAATGTAGGTTCTGGCTGGGCGTGGTGGCTCACGCCTGTAATCCCAGCACTTTGGGAGGCCGAGGCAGGCAGATCACGAGGTCAGGAGATCGAGACAATCCTGACGAACACGGTGAAACCCTGTCTCTACTAAAAATACAAAAAAATTAGCCGGGTGTGGTGGTATGCGCCTGTAGTCCCAGCTACTCGGGAGGCTGAGGCAGGAGAATGGCGTGAACCCAGGAGGCAGAGCTTGCAGTGAGCTGAGACACACCACTGCACTCCAGCCTGGGCGAAAGAGCGGGACTCCATCTCAAAAAAAAAAAAAAAAAAAAAAAAAAAAAAACAGAGGCTCTAGTAAATTTTATTTACCAAGACCTGATTTCAGGCTGGGTGAGATCTGGTGGCACGTTGGAATCTAGTTTCTTCCTACAGGTCTTCAAGACTGTGATGAGTTCAACAAAAAGTAGATTAAGCTCCTTTGAAAGGCAGGATATACATCCTAAATTAAGAAAAAACATGTACTACTGCTATTAAGACAGATTTGTTGATGGTGCTTAGAAGTTTTTCTCATCAAGAATCAGAAGCCCAGTAACATTTCCATTCATTCACTTCCTGATTGAGTCATTCATTCCTTAGCCAGAAACACTCATTAAGTACCTTCTATGAGGAACAGGATGGACAACACTTGGTGTGGAATAATGTAAGGTGTGAGGGAGAAGGAAGATTCTTGCCAAGACTTCCGAGATGTTTAGCTTGGGTAGTGCCTTTTAACCAAGATGGAAATAGCAGCAAGGAGTAGCAGGACAACTGCGTTTGTATAGGAAATTATATTTTTACCTCTTAAAATCAAGAAAATTATAGGCTACTCAAATGAACTGTCTAGTAGGCAATTGTTGGAGTGTGTTCAGAGCTCAGGAGGATATTAGGAATGGAGAGATTCCAGGCCAGAAACCCTGGACCAATTTTCTCCCAGATCATAGCTATATTGGATCTTTCTTTTTTCTAGATCTAAGCTTAAATGTCAATTCCTTAGTGACTTTCCTTTCTCCTACCTTATTCTCTTTATGTCCTGTTCTTCATGGCTCTATATCATTTAATTTTTCTTATTTATTTACTTACTTGTTTGGCGTATTTACATATTTAGTGTGTGGCTGTAGTACTCTACTTTAAGTTTCAAGATGGTGATGACCATGATTATTTTATTTCAGCTAACATAAATGTCTGGGACATAGTGATCAACAAAGCTGTGTACAATAAATGAATGGGATATACAGTTGGGAATTTATAGCATATCACTGGCAATAGAAGCCCAGGATATTAATGAAATTTCTAAGGTTAACAAAGAAGAGGACCAGTGAAATAATCTGAGGACACTTCAACATCAAAGTAAGACAATAAGGAAGTAATCATTAAGGGGATTTTAAATAACAAAAAGAGAGCAATGCCTTGAAACCAAATGAAGAAAGTGTTTCAAGCACTGCACTTTTTTTTTTTTTCCCAAAGAAAAGCAAAAGTTAAACTCCAATTCTTGGTCTTTATTTTTTTGTAGAAAAATAAAACAAACAGAAATCAAATAAAAACAATCTCTAGTCATTTATTATTTTTGCCCTTCTCCTTCTGATCAACTATGTCTATGAACTACAGATATTGAGTGTACGTTCCTGTATGTTTCTAGTTTTTCTTTGGATTTGGAACTATTATTTACTCAGTTAAAAAAAAAACCATCTAATTTTCTTATACCAGTGTCCAACGTAGTTAAACAATAAAGAAGATGCATTTGCGTGTCTCTCAGTGTGTAATATGTAGAAAGAGTGTATGTATGTGTGCTCCTGTGTGATTTTTTAGATAAAAGGAGGGTTTGAGTCAATGAAAATATTTCATGAGTCCTATCTAGGTCTATATAAGAGAGCTCTGAAAATACAAAGTGCATAGGGCCTAAATGTACTGATTAGAAGATCTAAATGTCGTCGGGAATGACCCACGGAGTGAATAATTTGTTTCTCTAGGAACATATGGAATCCACTGACTTCAGGAAATATTTTCAGAGCACACACATATTTCTTCAAGACGTTAACATCCCAGGGGAAAAGGAGGAATAAAAACATGACAGGGAGTAATTTAAAATGGCAGGTACTCCAGTTTTCTTTTCCTGTGCTGGAAACCTGATATTTGATACCAATGTAGATGATTTTCTTATGATTGCTATAAAAAGTTGATACTGTTCTTTCCAAATTCTCTAAGATTTATTTTTTCCTCCTCCTTTGTGGAATTTTGTTGTTTTTGAGTGGCTTGGATTGTGGGTACAAAGAAATCAAAACATTGCACATAATTTCTTAAAATGTAACCACAAGAAAACGCAAATGTTGAGGCTCTGATTCACAAAAGAATATTGCCTATTAGTTATGGTATGGTTCAGTGGGAAAATGGAGTCTAAAATTAAATTATATTTCACTAGACTGTAACACAATCAATCCTTGATTTTTGTGCATCAGTTATGTCATTTCTCTGTTTCATTTTAATCTTTTTAGTATTTTAAATAAGATTATAACACCTCAGGAGACTTAAATGCTGGATGGACTTCAGTACAGGCAACCTAGGTTCTAAGTCTTATTTTGCTACAAATGAGATATGTGACTTTTGGCAAATTACTTAAATTCTTTGAGTTTCAACTTCTTTTACCTATAAAAAAGGGCTGATACTGTTCATCTTAAAAATTATTGTGAGGATTAAATCTGATAATAGAAATAAATAAATGTGTTTTTCCTTTCTTTGTTTCTAAATGTTCAGTCTTTGGGTGGCTAGTGAAAATGTTAAAAGTACTGGGTACATTATTCACAAACCTTGGAGAACATAGTCTTCCACGTGAATCTAAACTTGTAAGGCAATACTTGTGGAAAAAAAATTTCAGAATTACTTAGGTGACGTGGTTGTCCTGAAATTAAGCTGTGTTATACTTTGGAAAGATGGTTCCTGAGTTTATAAATGATAGGCTTCATCTGAGGATACAGATTTTTATGACAATGGCATTTGTAATGATGACCCACAGTATGAAATACATCTTAATACTGCAACTCTGCACATCATGAATGAATGATGAATGAATGAATCCACTAATGAAGCCATCCCATAATGTGAAAACCTTTCTTTACTTTAGATATGAATATATCTGTAAGAGAGCCTTTTTTCTGATTGTATTACTACAAAGAGTATCTTTACAAGTTTCAAATTTACAAGATTCTTGGCAATCACCTTATTAGCATTTCTTTTTACAGTCTGAAAGTATTATTTTTGGGCACAAACTAATCAACAATTGGTCTTCAACCTAAGGAAAACTTAAGTCACCTGCCCTCTGATACTAAAAACTTTTACAAGACAATTTTGTTTGACCACTTAGCTTATTTAGATTGATGTGGTTGTTGTTTAAAAGACTACAGGGCTTGTTTAAAAGACAACAGCCCTTGCAGGGCTGGCTTCATGGATATAGAATCTGTTTAGGTCACACAAGTTTCTGTCCTCAGAAAGGCCCTGTACTTGGTTTAATGCTCTGTTGTTATCATCTTAAAATTCTTAATAATTTTTTTTAAACTTGTGATTTGTAACTGAAGTTTGTTGGGCTAATGGAGCATGCCTATGAGCAGAGAAGGTATGAGCAATATGTGTGTTTACAGTTCCTTGCCATCCATTTGTAAAGAGCCTTTTTGATGCCCCATCAACAGAATTGCAATGAATCCATGAGGCATGGGGTTTCAGTAAGACTCAAAGTAAATACAAGGTTAAGTGTGTTATGGAAGCTGCTATGTTATAGAAGGAAAGAGAGAGATAGGGCAAACCCACAGTTTCTTTTTCTTTCATTCCTTCATTACTCATGGGTAAACTGAAGGTAGAGAGTGTGAGTACAATGTGTGCATATCAGGAAATGAAATGAAAACAGGTGAGTTAGTTTTGTGCAGGGTTTATATTGTTCTAGTAAGAACCAAGTGCATATGCATGTATAAACTACAAAATAGGAATTGTATAATTTCAATGATTCTACTTACAATTGGATGTTTTTATATTTGCATTTAAAACTGATGTTGTACAATATAAAAATGAACAGTAAAATTCATGTTAAAATTTAAAACTTTAATTATTCTTTATTTAGAATGACATTAAATAGCAAATAAAAACACCATGATGGTTTAACAGAAAAAGCACAATATAAAAGAAAAAGCTTTGTATTTTAATAACTTTTAATGGCACTTTTTTCCTGCTTTGTGAACAAGGGACTTTATATCTTCACTTTGCATCGAATGCCATAATTTATTCAGTTGGCCTAAACTGCAAAATTTACTCTCTCTCTCTCTCTCTCTCTCTCTCTCTATATATATATATATATATATATATATAATGTGTATATATATATATGATATGTATATGAGTCAATTAAGAAAAACCAGTGGTTAGATAAAAAGTATCATGGGAATTCATGTATCAATTCATTTATTTGTTTGTCCACTCAATTATTTATTGAGCTTCTGTTAAATTGTCCTAGAAACTATAGATTCACACAAGTGAACAGGACAGAGCATCACTGCTGTCATGGATCTTGATATGTGGGGAAGGTACTCATTATCATTAAATATTTACAATGACAATTATTTAATAAAAAATATGTTAAGGGATAAGAAGAAGAAATCCAAGATGTATGAAGGTATATAATAAATGACATCTAACTGCTAATATTGGTTCAAGATCAACTTTAAACTTCCTCTTTCCTACCTAGTAGATGTCAGGCACTGTTTAAGGCAATAAAAATATAATGAACATTGGCCCCAGGAAACTCCCAATTTATTACAAGTATCATGTATTCTTTGTTAATATGTAATAATGTGCAATACTGTTATGACAGAGAGGGATTCAAGGTGAAGCAAAGATAAAGCAGTCATTTTCTGAGTGTTGGTGATGGGGATTGGGGTAGATAGCCCTTAAAGAAGCCTCCCACTAAGAGGAATGTGGGAGCAATAATTTTTGTAGGATTTGAGAAGTCAATATTTTAAATATTAGGACCTTAAATCGAATGAGTGGAAATCAGAACTAGTGAACTTTCCTATGATATGTTGCCTTTCCCTGGGCTCTAGTGAGAATGTCTCCTCCAGATCTTTATATCTGTCTCTATTGAAACAGATATTTTACTTGCTCCTGTTCTAGAAAACTCTTTGAATACCAAGTAATTTTTCATCAGTCAATATCTCCTTCTTTGCTATTTAGAACTTCGTTGCTAGGTTAATCATTCTCTGTTGCTATGTTAACAGAAGTGATAGCAGCTGTGGTTTACCTTAGTAGAGATTCTGTTTATTTGGTCAATATTGCTCATCATTGACCAAAAGATTCAATTTCAATTCCCTGTCTAACTTTCAAAATGCCCTGGCATATTTCTCTCATCTTTAGTTTAATGTCTTTTAATACATAATTTCCAAGATTAAATATTCACATTTAAATTCTTTCTAGTATTAGATTTTAACATAGCCAAGAACTCCAACCTACCTAAATCTTTAAGAACATTTGCTGGATTAAAATTTCTTTATATATCACATTGTACTGAGTAGGCTACAACATTGCAATATGAAATATTTTCCCTCTTGATTATGAAATTATCTCTAGCTACTAATGGTAACTAGTGAAACTAATGGTAATTTTCCTTGTTTAAAAAGTTGATTTTGGGGGGAATTTCTATAAATTAATGGAATCTTCATCTGAAATACTTTTTCACTCTTTCCTTGAGTGTAACATCTTGCTCTGAATTTTATTCCCTGGTTGCACTGATATACAGTTCCTGCTGTCCCTTTTCTACAGTGCTTAAATTCTCCTAAATTCCAATATTGACATGGATACCACTTAACTGTCTTTCTACAGTTTGTTTTCTGCAAATGAATACTCTATTCAGATTACTGATCTACCATGTTATCTCATTCTTATGTCTATATGGATTTATAATTGTTTTCTGGTTCTATCACATGTTTGTGTATTATCTCCCTTCTTGAGGGTGAGGGTCAGGTTACTTTGTAAATGTGCATAGTTTGACTGACATTTGGAATATATATGTCATGAGTGCATAAATTTAAACATTTCTAAAGCAGGTTTAATTTAAGGGAATTTTTTTTCTCCAAATAATGAGAGGTCTCCAGGTAAATGTAAATATAGCCATTTTTGTGTGATTTTAGGAAAGGAGAGTCATTTTTAAAAAGTCTTCAAATTGTAGGCAGTGGACTAATAGGACCTGAAGGACCAAATATAAGTACCTCAGAAGTGGTCTCTTGTCATGAATATTAATAGAAGTATCATTAAAGGTTTTTTCCAATTTCCTTCTTTCATGTGTGCATTAAGAAATCCTGGGTACAAAATTCAGACACTTAAAAAAAAGTTTAAGACCACAAAACCTCATGACTAAATTCATTTCTAATACAGCACAAAGATTCTAGTTCCGCCATTGAGGATTTCTTTCCTTTCATGATTTTAATAATTTATCTAGAATCACAAAATAAACCTCTTCCCAAACTTCATATTATATTCCAAAGCAGAAGTTGCAAGTCAAGAAGTTTATGTTGTAAATTCTAGGGTCTTCTCTCTTAGGATCTGTGCAGATCTCTGGCTGATTGCTTTATGCCTGGTTCTGGAGCCTTTGCCAGTGCATTCTAAGAAGAACAAGGGAAGACCAGCAAGCCACAGCAGAAGAAACTCAGAAGGAAATGTAATTAACTTCTAGCCTTTCACAGCTTTAGACCTTGGTTTGTGATGAGTAGAAGAATGTCCATCTTGAGAATGAAACAAGTGGAATGAAACTTTATGTTGGTACAACTGCAGTTATCAATGAGAGTAACTTCACCTTCATCCAAATGTATAAGAACAAATTATCTTACCTGACTGAGGGCAAAAAACTAAGGAATTCCCATAGTCTGACCTGTTATTGAGACATATAATACCTCCACAAGTGATGTTTCAAGTGCCCAACATACAGTGAATATCACAATGAACCCAAGACTGTCATCACTAAAGTAATATATTTAGTTACTTGGTTAATGGAACCTGAGTAAAAAGTATCTGATTGTGTTGTTCTGATCATTCTAAAATTCAAAGCATTGTCATTTCACCAGGGAGGAGAAAACAAAACAAAACTAAACTAAACTAAAGTAAGACTGAATTACTGTCTAACTTGGAAAACAAGAGGACATGCCTGGCAGAACTAGGCCCAAATAATTCAGCTCAGATATCATATTCTTCATCTTATATCCAGTTCCTAACTTAAAAGAAAGTTGTCTACTATAAGTTCACTTGGCCAACGTTGTCCTATAATAACACTATTTTAGGTGGTGGTTAGGTTTCCAAGATTAGTACAAATGCCTACTTTATTCAAGAAAACATACACCTGAAGTGTAAATATGTGCAGAACATGTTTTGTTTTTGACAATGAAATTATATGAGAAAGATTCAACAATAGTTTCCTGTAGACTGGTGCTTGAAGAAAAAGTATACTTTCATTAGACGGAGAGTTAGAAAATGGCAAGTTTGTGTGGGTTTTTAAGGAGATACACAAAGACTGATAGCATTCATAGAATTTGTGGCTAACTTTACTTAAAATGTTTAACCTTTCTCTTTTCTTATACAGGTAACCTTCCACAGGCCCACACATGTGTTATCAGCCATACCTTAGGACAGAAGGAATGAGTTTGCAGAAAGGATGGTAAGTGTTTCTGAATAAATCGAGCATACAATAGGAGATACATGAGAAGGAGTAAATGGCCAGAGCAGTATATTTATAGACAAGGAATAGTACCCAAGATGGAATTATCTCTGTTGTGATATAAATGAAAATGTAAGAACATTATTGCAGACACAAACCTTCTCAATGAAAAGAAGTAGGTTGTGGAGAAGAGATACTGAGACATGCATTGGACTTATAAAGAGGACAGGGCCAGAAAGGCCAGAGCAGACACTAGTTCAAACAAAGGAAGAAAATGAAAATGAAGACCCGACCTGGAGAAAAATTTCATGAGTAGGCAGTATAATCAGAGATTGTTTCACACCCTTGATTACAAAGGAAGACAGACTAGCCAGGAAGCTAGACTATTGAGCTAGACAGACTAGGTCAATACAGAAACAATACTCAGTTACTAAGTTATTAAGAAGCAGATATTGCGATAATCTTCACATGGGTTATTATGTCTTTTCTTCACGAGAACCTCAATGTAGATATTACAATTGTGAAGGGCCATATAGTACATTGATATCCTCAATGTGGATATTACGATTATGAAGGGCCATATAGTACATTCCAATTTTATAGATGAGAAGAACTCTATGATATAGAAATGCTGAATAATTTGTCTAGAGTCATTCAGATAGTAAGTGGGAGATGAGAGGTTTGGATTTAAGAAGTCTGATATTTGCTGTATGCAAATATCCCAAAGGAGCATTAAATGCTCCAAACCCAAAATAAGAGCGCTCAGGTGTGTGACTGTTGGAGCTGAAATTAGATTCTGCTGGGGTTTACTTATTGCTCCTGCTGTCATTGATAAACCCTATTTCCAAAGGTTTAAATCTCCCAAGTCTCTTGAAGGTGGCAGGTAGCATATATCAAATCATATAGTTCCCATCCTAGCCACTAGGTGGTAGTTAATACTATCAACTCAAGAGTGTTTCCTGATACGGACAGGGTGGAAAAGGACAAAATGTTTGCAGTTTTCAGTGGTCAAACTAGGTGCTCTTTTTGTATAGTGGTGAGATGGCTAATTGCTTTTAAAAAGAAAAAAATAATGTTGAAGGGACAGATTCTCTCATTCTTAACATACTTATTGAGTGTCTATTGTGCTCTAGGCACTGGGATAGATGCTGGAAACAAAGGTAAGCAACAGAGTACGGTGAGACATATAAACACCTAACCAAGGTTGCATATCAGTGTGATGATTGGCTAAATAGAGATATATGCCAGATATAAAATTGAAGAGAAATACTGCAAAATGAGGTGTGTGTGTGTGTGCACACCTACATCTATAGTCAAAGAAATATTACAGAAAGTTTAGGAATGAAGAGACCAAGACCTAGGATAAAGACTTTGCCACTTATGCATTGGGATGCAGTAGCATCTATAGAACAGAACAGGGTTGTATCAATGATAACTATACTATCAGAGTATGAATTATGTACAGTTTCTTTATTTTTAATGGCAATGACTCAAATTATAATTGGTTACATCTGACCACTCTGTCACTTTGGAACTATATATTTGAAGATTTTATCTACTTATTATTTTAAAATAATCATCAATTCTACACTCATATGAACGAAAGACATCAAGCTTCTAATTAGAGGTTCTGGTCAGATGATATAATTAGTGTTAGTATAACTGTTTAGTAATAAATAAATAGAATGCAGCAAACTATATGTTGAATAAATAAAAATGGACTGATATTCTTAGTTTTGTGTATATACATATGTGTGTGTCTGCTAGCGAAAGATATTAACAACAACAAAAAATTTTGAATTTCAAGCTTGAATAAACTTGATTTTTCTCAACTTGTCATTTTTGTATTTTGGAAAGCCTACATTTGTGAAGCTGAATTTTGTGAGGTCAGATACAGTTTTTGTTCTTATTATGCCAATTAATGTTAAGATTGGTTTCATGCTTGTGGCTCAGAAAAATACCAGGGTTGATATTACCACCCATATTGGCCAACGTGAGAAAGCAGAATCCTCTGAGTTGGCTCTGAACCCAGTAGCATTGGAGAACATCCATGCATGGTTAACCCACTTGCCAGAGGCCCACTGGGAATAGTTAGAGTGAGATTTGCCCTTCGTGATGCTTGAAAGCCCTAATACTGAGTTCAAGAATATCCAGAACAGTCACCTATACACATGACAGTCAGGGTATTTATAGTAGAAAACCAGACATGAGCATTCCTGCCTAAATACCATAAAATAATGAAAATTAAACCTATTTTTAAAGATAGATAATTGAATATCATATAAAGCCATGTAGGCCAAGGAAACTAGAAATTTCTCTTAATTATTAATTTATGTGATCTACTTAAATAAGAAAATTTAAGTTTTCTTTTTATATTTTTTTTTCTATTATACTTTAAGTTCTAGGGTACATGTGCACAATGTGGTTTGTTACATATGTATACATGTGCCATGTTGGTGTGCTGCACCCATGAACTCGTCATTTACATTAGGTATATCTCCTAATGCTATCCCTTCCCCCTCCCCCCACCCCACAACAGGCCTCGGTGTGTGATGTTCCCCTTCCTGTGTCCAAGTGTTCTCATTGTTCAATTCCCACCTATGAGTGAGAACATGTGGTGTTTGGTTTTTTGTCCTCGTGATAGTTTGCTGAGCATGATGGTTTCCAGCTTCATCCACGTCTCTACAAAGGACATGAACTCATCATTTTTAATGGCTGCATAGTATTCCATGGTGTATATGTGCCACATTTTCTTAATCCAGTCTATCATTGTTGGACATGTGGGTTGGTTCCAAGTCTTTGCTATTGTGAATAGTGCCACAATAAACGTACGTGTGCATGTGTCTTTATAGCAGCATGATTTATATTCCTTTGGGTATATACCCAGTAATGGGATGGCTGGGTCAAATGGTATTTCTAGTTCTAGATCCCTGAGGAATCGCCACACTGTCTTCCACAGTGGTTGAACTAGTTTACAGTCCCACCAATAGTGTAAAAGTGTTCCTATTTCTCCACATCCTCTCCAGCACCTGTTGTTTCCTGACTTTTTAATGATCGCCATTCTAACTGGTCTGAGATGATATCTCATTGTGGTTTTGATTTGCATTTCTCTACCTCTATCATTGTATTAGAAAATATGTCTGTAGTCTTCTTGAGAAAACTTAAGTATCTCTCACTAAAAAGCATGCTGTAGCAAAAGCAAAATCTCAACAAAATAACAACATGGAATGATTAAATACCTACCTATATACATGAAAATTAACCCACTACTCTTAAAGTGTAGTAATTTATTTTTCACATTAGACTTTATTTGATTTGACAAGTTGGATTTAATTCATAATAAAGAGAAAAGCCTGCAATTTCAAAGCTAGAAGGGTTCATAGAGCAACTCAATAAGGTTTTGATTGTGCCAAGGTAGAACCAGAATTTAATTAGCAGAGAAGACGGAAGGGTATAAGCAATTTCATAATAAAAATGAAAGAATTTTACATTTTTGTCAGCACAAAGAAATGAATTAATAAATGAATAAAAACAAAGAGTCTCAATAAAATAGACTTTTCTATTTCTTAATGAGGTGGCAGTGGGTAGAGACTGAAATACTTTTTTAAATGTCTAATTTATGTCATCTGCTGTGCTGTTATATTATCATCACTACATTCACTTCTCTACTACTCCTACGTAATTGTAAAAATTATAAAACAGTGATCATTCTTGTGTGCATGGTGTTTTGAAAAAGTTGGTCAACAGTGGCAGACAAAAATGGAAACCTTCTGGATAAAATTAGAAGTACACCTAAACTAAAATGTAGACTAAAAAACACTTCTTTGCCCAAGCAGAATGTAAGTTTTTTTTCCAGGCTAGACACTGAGGAACAAAGAAAACTGCATTGATTTGTGACACTACTTTGTATTATTTATAAGTTCCAGGAGTGCTCCTAGCTATAAAATTAATGAAATAAATGATCTTGAACGAGTAATACTCTTAATTTACCTGGTAGAAGTAACAGAGAGAACACTTTCACACTCCTGGCCACATGCAATTACCAATAGAGAAAATGATTTCCAGTAAGATGAACTCACAATAAAAAGTTACCAATGAGATGAGGAAAAAATCTAATATGAAAATATATAATAAAGAAAAATTAGGCACACAGAACTTTACAGAATTAGAAGTTATGGATTATAAAGCAAATATGTTTAAATTGATCATATCAACACAAAATAAATTGAAAAGTACAACGTGTTATGAAAAAAGAATAGGCATCTTTGAAAAATAACCAAATATAATCCCTAGGGAAAACAATGTAATCATTTTTTAAAGACCACTTGAAAGCAGATTAGGTGCTGCTAAAAGGAGAAGGTCTGAACTAGAATATAGGTCTGAGGAATAACCATTTTCTCTCTCTGTCTTCACATCGTCTTTCCTTTGTGCCCATCTGTCTCCAAATTTTCCCTTTTATGGGAACACTAGTCACATTGGATTAGGAGACCATGCAACTCTAGGGAGACTTCATCTTAACCAATTATATCTTTAATTATCTTATTTCGAATAAGGTCACATTCTGAAGTACTGAGAGTTAGGACTTCAACATATGAATCTGAGGGAGACACAATTTTATCTACAACATCTGGTCTTTTTCTGTCTTGAGAAGTTTAGTTGTTTTATGGGTAATGCTTTTATTTATTTATTTATTTATTTATTTATTTATTTATTTAGAGAAGTAGTCTTGCTCTGTTGCTCAGGCTGGAGTGCATTGGCGCGATCTCAGCTCACTGCAACCTCCACATCCTGGGTTCAAGCAATTCTGCCTCAGCCTCCCGAGTAGCTGGGACTACAGGTGTGTGCCACCATGCCCGGCTAATTTTTTTGTATTTTTAGAGGAGATGGGGATTCACCGTGTTAGCCAGGATGGTCTTGATCTCCTGACCTCATGATCTGTCTGCTGAGGACTCCCAAAGTGCTGAGATTACAGGCGTGAGTCACTGTGACTGGACTAGGTAATACATTTTTTATCTTTAGTTGCTTTGAAGAATTATTTTAATCTTTAGTGATTTTGCAGTTCATTACAGTATTTACAGGTACATATTTATTCTCATATGTCCTGATTGAGACTCGATGAGTTGTTGTTGTTTTTAATATAAGTGTTCTTGTCTTTCATCACTTCTGAGAAATTATCTTTGTATATTGGGCTTACCACCCTGTTTAACAAATACTGCATCTCCTCACTCTCACTCTAGGCCCTATGTGTCTAGTCTGTACTGTTTTGAATCTTGTTATGTTTATGTGCTGCATTCTGGGTAATTCCTCAGTGCTGGGATTACAAGTGTGAGCCAACCCACCCAGCCAAGAGCAAACTCTATAGTTAAAGGCAAATAATCTCAGGTATAACAAAAAGAATAAATTCAATTATAAGAATCACACCTTAAGCATAACAAAAAATAGCTAGTATTTACCTAGGAATAAGCACAGTGCTTAGAATTGTAACTTCTTCAAATCTCACAAAAGCCTTTTGACATAGTATTCAGCTGGGTTGACCTCATGCTTATGTCCAGAACTACCTGGAGTAATCACCCTTGGCCAATGTTATAATATATTTTAACTAGTGATAAATTATGTTCTATAACCATGTGGATGCATCAATTTGTCAACACTGTTTTGTAATTGATGATTTGCATCTGTGTTTGGTGCAACCTGGGTAATTTTTGTAATTTAGGATGATCACATAGCTGGAATGTGCCTATGTGACCACCTCTCTATAACAGACCCCATCATGAACAGACTTTGAGCTTGTTGGTACCAAGATGCTTTGCATACATTTTGATGGTGATTCAAAACTAGGAGAACAAGTCAATTCAGTGCAATCCATAGTGAGAAGACAAGCCTGCATCTGAGATTTCCAGACCCCTTTCAATGAATACCTTTGTTTTGCCATTGTTGCATTGTATCCTTTACCCATAATAAAGCTATTTTGTGAGTAAACACTATTTGAGTCCTTTCAGCAAACAAACACGAAGATTAATATAAAATTAAGGCAGATATATACCATGTTAATATCTCTGTTTTAAAAATGAGAACCCGGAGGCATGGAGGTGTTAAAAAACTTCCCCCCAGATAATACCATTATAAAGTGACAGAGCAGGGACTTAACAGGAAGTCTGAGAGCTCAAGACTTGCTGTCTTCCCCACTGCACTACATTGCATCTCTGGTGGAACAGAAAAATTAAAAACAAAAATGGGAAAAATATACTTGGCAAATAAATCCTAAGAGGAAACTTGTGTAGCTTTATAATTATTGGACAGAATAGATTTTGAGGCAAAAGATATTATAGAGAGAAAATTTTGCTAAGTAATTATACATAAAAATACTAATCAGAAAGATGTAACAATTTTGAACACGTGTGCACCTCTATCAAAACAATCTTGGCTGCGGGCAGTGGCTCACGCCTGTAATCCCAGCACTTTGGGAGGCCGAGGCGGGCGGATCATGAGGTCAGGAGATTGAGACCATCCTGGCTAACACGGTGAAACCCTGTCTCTACTAAAAAATAGAAAAAATTGGCCGGGAGTGGTGGCGGGTGCCTGTAGTCCCAGCTACTCGGGACACTGAGGCAGGAGAATGGCGTGAACCCAGGAGGCGGAGCTTGCAGTGAGCCAAGATCGTGCCACTGCCCTCCAGCCTGGGCAACAGAGCGAGGCTCCATCTCAAAAAAAAAAAAAAAAAAAAAAAAAAAATCTTATTATGCATAAGAAAAATTGACACAATTTCAAGAAGAAATTGACCAATCCACCATCATGATACGTAACACCATTCTTTTAATATTTGATAAGTCAAGCAGATTAAAAATAATACTGATTTTGAAAATTTGAACAACACATAAAAAAGCTTGATAATCTGGGCACATATGTAATTCTGCTCTTAAATTAGAGAACACATGTGACCACATATTATTTTAAAAGGATTATTAAGGTATGTAACAGGTATATATGGCATATAAACAAAATCCTTTTTAATTTAGGTTACATTTTCTTATCATTCAGTGACAAAATTGGAAATAAATAACAAAAATGACCAAAAAACCTGTCATATCAGAACATTTAACAATGAACTTCTTAACTCAGACTTTTGGTATAAACGGAAAAATACAAATTAGAGTATTTTTCCTTCTCTTCCTGGCACACTTAAAAAGCAACAAGTAAAAAAAAAAACCTATAAAAACTCCATCTTGAGTGAATGTAGGAGAAAATTATAATATGAATATATATTTGAGATTAAGAGCAGAGGACAGAGAAGGGCCCACTAGCAGAATATCTCAGAATGCCCCAGCAAAGGCTTGGTGTGGTGGCTCGTGCCTATAATCCCAGCACTTTGGAAGGCCAAGACAGGTGGATCACCTGAGGTCAGGAGTTTGAGACCAGCCTGGCCAACATGGTGAAACCCTGTCTCTACTAAAAATACAAAAATTAGCTGGGTGTTGTGGTGTGTGCCTTTAGTCCCAGCTATTGGGGGTGCTGAGGCAGGAGAATCACTTGAAATGGGGAGGTGGAGGTTGCAGTGAGCCGAGATTGTGCCACTGTACTCCAGCCTGGGAAACAGAGTGAGACTCCATCTCAAAAAAAAAAAAGAAAAAAAAAGAAAAAAAAGCCCCAGCGAAAGTGTTCTTGTGAAGCTGAGGGGAGTACCATAAAGTGTAAAAACTACATTCAGCATTGATGTTATTCAGTGCACATAATAGTGTTAGTTATTAAAATCCTGCAATAATTCAGAGTAGATTTGTAAATAGTTGCTGTTCCACGCTCCCTGAGTACATTCACCAACCACCTTTCAGCTGCTTTGGCTTTCTCTGCTCCCTTCCTTTCTGTACTATTTGTTAAATATTTTAAATATTACCCTGGCTAGTCACTTTTTTACAATAAGCATGGGAACTAACGAGATTAAGGTTGATGGCAGAAGGCCTCCTTGATCTGGGAAGAGGGAGTTGGAGAGGTATGGTTACAGTAAACACACACACACACACACACACACACACACACACGCACACACAATATATCCATACATGCAGGAAGCAGTTCACCTCTACAGTAGTGGTAAAAGAGAGAATTTGGTATGTAAAGTCTGTATGGCTTATCTGGCCCATTCTATCTTCACCTTCAAAGAAAACTCTTGCGAACAGTTGATCCAGAAAATTGAACTAATTCAAAGATAATAAAATTTAAAAAGAAAAAATAGAATTTATACAAAGATACTGTAAGAATAAAGAAGAAAATGAGCATTACAACATGCCAATAGATAAAAAAAATACCAGAAAAGGAACACCACGGAGTAGCTGAAAAGCATTATCAGCTATGTGAATGAAAATAATAAAATCTGAGTTAATAAATTCTGTGTTAGAAAGCTACAAGGAAGAAATGAAAAAAAAAAACCCTCTGGAAGGAGAAACCAGAGCACTAGGAGGATATTAAATAGGAACTACTTGAACCAAAGAATAAAGGAGATAAATAACAGTGATGAAATTGGAAAGACTACAAGGTATTAGAGACACTGGAGAAACCAATGGATGAGAAAAATAAGAAACCAAACACAATTAAGTGGAAATTAGAGAAAGAGTGAAAAATGAGAAAGCATGATACAGATTGAATATAGATTCAAAGAAATCCAACATAAGTGTAATTGGAGTCTCCAAAGGAAAAAAATAATGGAACATTACGAATATATAGATAATTCTAATATATCTTTAAAAAGAGCTAACAAAATCCACATATTGAAGTGTCACCATGTTTGGCAGAAAAAAATTGATCCAGAATGTTGACACTGAGATATATCTAGTAAAGTTTTAATTTTAGATATAAAAAATATATACGTTTTAGTCAGTTTAGATACTCACTTATTGTGTGTGTGTGTGTGTGTGCATGTGTGTGCATGGTGGTAGAGAATGGAGACTGTTCCAAGTTTTAATTCCACTGTGGCAATGTAAGTTCCCTGTACCTCATCACTGTAGTTCATAGCAAGTATAAACTTTGAAAAAAAATACAAAAATAATCATAACAAATGAACAAAAACCCCAAATGACCTAAAGTTTCTAAAAAGTAAAGAAAAGTAGGGAATTTATAGAGGTGAGTTAAAGCCTGAAAAAGCAAGTGGAATAGGAAGGTGATTTCTTTTCTTTCTTCCTTTGTATGGTTTTGCCCCAAGTTCAGCCTCACTCACCAGGTGTGCTGCATGGGCAGCTAAAATTTCAAAATAAATGCTGACATTTTTCTGACCTAAGCAATAAGTCCCACGGGAAACATTTGGCAATGTCTGAAGACATTTTTGGTGTAACTGGAGGTGAGAGTTTGAGATGCTACATATTGTTACAATACACAGGACAGCACCCTACAACAAAGAATTATTTGGCCCTAAAAGTCAATAGTGCCAAATCAGAAAAACCTTAAAGCATAGTAACTGCAGGAAAAAGCCTGGGCAGGTAAGAGAGTAGGGGAAAAGTCCCAGAAGAGACACAGCCAAAGAGGGGGATCCCTTAGTTCAGTGTAAAAACCCATTCGAAAAAGTGCACCCCTTTTTTTTTTTGAAATGCAACCTCACCACGTTTTTCAGGCTGGTCTCCGTTTCCTGGGCTGAAGTGATTCTCCTGCCTTAGCCTTTTGAGGAGCCAGGGCTTCAGGAATGCACTATCACACCTGGCTAGAAAAGTGCACATGTCTTAAATTTATAATATATAAGTTATTGTGAAATGATAATGCCCAGATAACAACAAGGGCAAGAAATAGAATATTACTCGAGTTCTAGAAGCCTCCTATGAAGAAGAAATAATGGTTAAGAAACCTGTTTTTATTATAGACAAATCTGCTTCAACAATTATCAGTTTAAGTTCAATCTTGTTTTATGTGTTCCCTTACCCATTTTTCCTCTCCCTATATTATTTTGAAGCAAAATCAAGAGATCTTATATCTACTTTCGCATGTATTAGTATGTGTCTCTAAAAGAAAAGAACTCATTTTAAAAAATAACTACAGTCACATTATAAACACCTAAACACTAACTATAAGTCCTGAATATCATAAAAGCTTCAAATATCTCATAAATGTTACTTAATGCTTGGTGTTTTGTTTGGATCAGATGAAAGTAACGTCTGATTGGTTGATTTGCCTTGAAGTAATTTTTAGTTTGTTTCTCCTCCGTTTCTTTTTCTTTTCTTTGCAATTTATTTCTTGAGGAAAAGGTCTTCCAGGGTTTACCAGTCTTCGATTTGCTGATTATATTCTTGTTGTGTTATTTTATGTGTCCCTATGTCCTCTGTATTTTCTATAAATTGCCCTTTAGATTTAGAAGGTTGATTAGATTGAGATTCAATTTATTAAATTATTTTGAGGGACAAGACCTGACAGAAGTGCATACTGTCTCCTTTTCACTCCATTAATTCATTAGAGGTTGCAAAATTGTGATTTTTTTTTCAAATATGATCATTTTTACTTGCTGGAATATCTATATTTAAAGTTTGCTTTTTTTCATCATTCTTTTCCTGATGTTTGTGTCTTTAAAAATGCTTTTTTATATACTTTTGTCCAGGTTTTAGGGTTGTTTTAGGATGGGAGGCTGAATCATGCCACCTTGGAGAGAATCTGAAGTTTCTTTGTTATCTATTAATAGAGCTTCACAATTTTTTACAGGTCTTGCTTATTTTGTAAAATTTATTCCTGGAGATAAATTGATTTATATAAAACTTTAGAAACTCTTGTACTGGATATTCAATTATACATTAATCCAGCAACATTAATTGTATTTAACTAACTGCAAGTCTTATTTTAGACAGTCTCCTGAATGAAATAAGTCAGAAATTGTCTCTGCCCTCAATGAGCTAATGGAAAACAACAAGCTAATGGAAATCATCTTGTTTTTCATTAGCTGTATGTATTAGTCAGGGTTCTCTTAAAAGGCCAGAACTAATAGGATATATATATATATATACATATATATATATATATATATATATATGTATATATATATATGTATATATATAGGAGTTTATTAAATATATATATTTAATATATACATATAGGGTAGTTTATTATTAACTTACACTATCACAGGGTTCCACAATAGGCTGTCTGCAAGGTGAGGGGCAAAGAGAGCCAGTCTGAGTCCCAAAACCGAAGAACTTGGAGTCCCTTGTTTGAGGGCAGAAAGCATCCAGCATGGGAGAAAGATGTAGGCTGGGAGGTTAGGCCTGTCTCTCCTTTTCATGCTTTTCTGCCTGCTTTATATTGGCTGGAAGCTGATTATATTGTCCCCACCAGATTAAGGGTGAATCTGCCTTCCCCAGCTCACTGACTCAAATGTTCATCTCTTTTGGCAACACCCTCACAGACACACCCAGGATTAACACTTCGTATCCCTCAATCAAATCAAGTTGACACTCAGTAGTAACCATCACACTGTATATATTCCATTAGCTGTAATATATATGTATTCCAATCTGTATGTGTATGTGTGTGTGTGTGTGAGTGTGTGTATATAGAAAGAGAGAGAGCTAGAGAGAGAGAGAGAGAGCATCCCTAATACAGAAATCCAAATTTTAAAATGCTCCAAAATATAAAACTTTTTGAGAGACATCATGATGCTACAAGTGGAAAATTCCACACTTGACCTTATGGGATGGGTCGTAGTCAAAATGGAGGCACATAATGCACAGTATATTCAGTGCCTCCAAAGGAAAAATTACCCTCCCAACCCCCTTCAGTTTTGATATATCTCTTCTGTGTATAGCCAGATTCCCCTTTGCAAGTATGTCAACAATGGGTAAAAAAAAAAAAGGTACATGTGTAGGCTGGATGTGCCCATGGTGGGTTACTACGATGTGCCACATGGAGCCAAGCCCTGTGTACATGACTCACTGTGGGTTTTTTGCTTATTCTCTCTTCTGGGTATAAAATGTCAAAAAGACCTGCAGCTATCATTATGGTAAAAAAGAGGTTAAAAAAAGAGGAAGCATTTATATTTATTTGTAGCACAGAAAGTCAAGCTGTTCTAGAAGTTGGACAGTGGTATAAGTGTGAAACATCGTACAAAGAGGATAGTATTAGAATTACCACCATATATGGCCTGAAGAAAAAAAGTATACATTGTTGAAGTTCTATGCTGAAAATGATGGACAAAGTTAATGAAAAATAGAAACACTGCATAAAGCTAGAAATGAAGATGTTGATCTTTTATTGGAAGAGTGAATCCATCAGTATCACGGTGAACATATACCACTTAATGTTATGCTATCATGAAACAAGCAAAGATCTGTCATGATGAACTTAAAATTGAAGGGAACTATAAATATTTAATAGAATGGTTGAAGAAATTTCAGAAGGGATGTGGCATTAAATTTTTCAGGATTTCTGGTTATAAAACGTCTGTTGATCATGAAGTAGTGGAGAAATTCACTGACGAGTTTGCAAAGGTCATTGCTGATGAAAATCTGATGCCAGACCAACTCTATAATGCTGACAAAACATAACTGTTTTGACATTATTGTCCCAGAAAGATATTGACTACAACTGATAAGACAGCCCCTATAAGACAGCCCCTATAGGAATGAAGGATGCCAAGGATAGAATAACTGTGCGGAGATGTGCTAATGCAGCAGGCATGCGTAAGTATAAACTTTTTATGATAGACAAAAGTTGGGGCCCTTGGTGTTTTCAAGAAGCAAATTTCAAACTAGTTCACTATTATGGTACCAGAAAGGCATAAATCACCAGGGACAGATTTTCTGATGGTTTAACCAACATTTTATACCAGTGACTCATGCTTAATGCAGGGAAGCTGGACTATATGACAACTGCAAGATCTTGTTAGTCCTTGACAACAGTTCTGTTCATCCTGTAGCTGAAGTTTTCATCAAAAATGTTTATTGCTGTGCACTTTTTCCCATATAGGACTTCATTAATTCAAACATGTGACAATGGTATCCTTAGATAAATAAAGAGCAAATATTAAAAAAACACTTTTTTGAACAGCCTGTTAAGAGCATGAACAGAGGCATGGGTGTGAATGTTTTCAAAAGAAGTTTAGCATGAAAGATGCTGTTGCCAGTGCTTGGAACACATGACTAAAGACACAGTTGTGCATGCCTGGCACAACCTCTGGCCTGTGACAATGTTCAGAGATGGATGATGAACAAGGTGGTGACTTTCAAGGATTCCACATGTCAAGTGAGAAAAAAAATGATATCTGACCTTCATAGCCTGTCTGTAAGATGGAAGAAGTATACATTAAATAGTTTTTAATATTGATAATGAGGCTCCAGGTCTTCATTTACTGACTGACAGTGAAGGAGGAGAAATGATTCTGAATAAAGGGGATCGTGATAATAGTGATGATGAAGGTGATGCTAACACTGCAGAAAAAGTGCCTATAGATGACATAGTGAAAATGCGTGTGTGACTTTTTGAAGGACTGGAGCAGCATATATGATATGGTTTGGTTGTGTCCCCACCCAAATCTCACCTTGAATTGTAATAATCCCCACGTGTCAAGGGTGGGGCCAGGTAAGGATAATTGAATCATGGGACGGTTTTCTCCATACTATTCTTGTGGTAGTGAATAAGTCTCATGAGATCTGATGGTTTTATAAGTGGGAGTTCCCCTCCACAAACTCTCTTGCCTGCCACCATATTAAGATGTGACTTTGCTCCTCATTTGCCTTCCGCCATGATTGTGAGGCCTCCCCAGCCATGTGGAATTGTGAGTTCCTTAAACCTTTTTCCTTTATAAATTACCCAGTCTCTAGTATGTCTTTATTAGCAGCATGAGAATAGACTAATATAATATATTATAACATAACAAGAAATCATGTCAATTTATAAAATCAAAGAGACACTTCTAAGATAAAGACCATTGTTAATGAGGCAGATGACTGTGGGAAACATTTTAAAAAGCTGTCCAGCAGAATGCCTCCTCATCCCTACAGGACTTTTTGGCACTTCTTGGTCCCTCAACTGTTTCTGGTGTTTATTTTTATCTAAAAAATAAAATGCAATGTAAACTTTTAATCAAAACACAGTATCATACACAGAGAAAGTCTGCTGTTGATTGTTGTTGCTGTTGTTTAAAAGCTGATAAAAACAATGACAGACTGTGAAGCCAAACAACCACAGATTGTCCACATGTGCGGCTGAGATGGTGTCACCTATGGTTTCTGATGGTTCAATGTGTACAAACTCTGTTTCATGCACAAAATTATTTAAAACATATAAAAATACCTTAGGCTATGTGTATAAGGTGTATATAAAACATAAATGAATTTCATGTTTAGATTTAGGTATGTAAATGCAAATATTCCAAAATCCAAAAAAAAGAAAAAAAAAGAAATCTGAAACACTTCTGGTTTCAAGCATTTTGGATAAGGGATACTCCACCTGTAATGGTCAAAGACAAGGTGATTCAAATGAACATTTTGATAATTCTCTTGAAAAATCATCAGGAAGAGTTTGAAGGACATATCATTTGAGCTAGTATCTGCAATCTAGAGATCTTTTTAGCATAAAATGATGGACAATAGATAAAATCCAGGAAAAGAGAACAGAATCAAAGCTGTGAAAAATGTGAAGTTCTTAAAAGATGTATTAAGTTTTCCAATGTGTCTAGCATTTTGGGTTATTAATGGGAAAAGCTTGGAAAGTAATATAGGAAAGGTAGTTCAGTAGCAGGTTCCAGAGAATCCTGGATATAAAACTAATTGCTTTGGCCTTCATTCTGTGGCCAATAGGAACTTACTGAAAAAATCTGAATAGGATGATGACAACTTAGATGCAGTGATGTTTAATATTGAGTGTCAACTTAATTGGATTGAAGGATGCAAAGTATTGTTCCTGGGTGTGTCTGTGAAGGTGTTGCCAAAGGAGATTAACACTTGAGTCAGTGGACTGGGAGAGGCAAACCCACCCTCAGTCTGGGTAGGCCCCATCTAATCAACTGCTAGTGCGGCTAGAATAAAGCAGGCAGAAGAAAGTGCAATGAGATTTGATTTGCTGAGTCTTCCAGCCTTCATCTTTCTTTCGTGCTGGATGCTTCCTTCCTCAAACATCAGACTCCAAGTTCTTCAGCTTTTAGACACTTAGACTTACACCAGTGGTTTGACAGGGGGTCTCAGGCCTTCGGCCACAAATTGAAGTTTGCACCACTGGCTTCCCTACTTTGAGGTTTTCGGTCTCGCACTGGCTTCCTTGCTCCTCAGCTTGCAGATGGCCTATTGTGGGACTTCACCTAGTGGTCATGTGAGTCAATTCTCCTAACAAACTCCCCTTCATATACACATATATCCTATTAAGTTCTGTCCATTTAGAGAACCCTAACTAATACAGATGCATTTCAGATAGAATAGACTGGCAGCTTCATGTGTAACAAAAATTCAGTCTGTTGTGATTGAAGAGAACAGATAAAGTATGAACAGTCTACGAAGACTTCATTGGAACTCCCTCAAACACATAACAACTAAGGCAAACTTAATCAAATGGATTCTAGGGTGGACTTAGATATGTACTGTTTAAACGAAAAATAATTATTGATACTAGAATAAAAACTACCCGAATTCCAGCCAGGTGTGGTGGCTCACACCTGTAATCCTGGCACCTTGAGAGGCCCAGGTTGGTGGATCACTTGAGGCGAGGAGTTCAGGACCAACCTGGGCAACATGGTGAAGCCCCGTCTCTACTGAAACTACAAAAATTAGCCGGGCATGGTGGCATGTACCTGTAATTCCAGCTGCTCGAGAGGCTGAGGCATGAGAATTGCTTAACCTGGGAGGCGGAGGTTGTGGTGAGTCGATTGTACCACTGCACTCCAGCCTGGATGACAGAGCAAGACTCTGTCTCAAAAACAAAAACAAAACAAAACAACAAAAACAAACAAACAAAAAAAACCTACCTAAATTCCACAATGCCAATTTCAATTTTTAAACCACATTATATTTGTTGATTTGGAGGAGGAGGCTGTTAAAATATATCATTGAATTAATTTTATCTTTTATTCATTTCTCTGCCAATGATAACTGCTGTGTGCGATTTTCCATGCTGGAAGATGATTTGTTTCACATTTTCAATATATAGTTAGTTTACTGCTCAAGACCACATCAGAAAAACAAAGTCAGTCATAAAGCAGCTTGCACTCTGTGATCATTCCTTTTAAAAATCTCATATTCAGCATCAAAACATTTATCCATTTCAGAGAAACCAAACCTCGGCACATGATTCTGCACCGTGTGATGATATTAAACATATTATACGTTAAATGATTTCAATTATTTTGCCTATTTCACAAACTTCATTTTGAATCTTATTAGCATTATATCTTTGGTTTTATTCAATAACAGTGCTTTAAAACTTAAGGAAGATGACACTCAAAATAGTACCATTCTCCATTATCTCTACTGGTTACTTCTATAGCCTCCCACCCACCATTGCCACTTTGCCAGGGTGGCAAACACTCAGAAGGTCTTAATGGAGCCTAAAGAAGAGCTTGTAAGCATGTCTTTAAATTCCCTGAGGAAATTGTAACTGAAAAGGAGATTCTAATACAAGTGTATTATATCTTAGTTTTGAAGACTCTAAAATAATACTACAGTTTGAGAGCAAGCCTCAGGTTTTAATTAATTTGTGATAAAATGATTCACCACATGAACAAGCCTAAAAGAGAAAAAAGAATCAAGTCAAAAGATGCAGAAAAAGCATTTGACAAAGTCAACATTCATTCCTCATAAAACACTCAGAAACTTGGGATTGAAGTAAACTACTTTAACCTAATAAAGATAATTTTCAAAAAGCCTACAGCTAACATTATACTTAATGGTGAAATACTGAATCCTTTTTGCCTAAGATAAGAAACAAACAAACAAAAAAAGCGTCTGTTCTTACCACTTCTATTCAACTATAGTAGAGGTTATATCTGGTACCTTCAGGCAAAGCAAAACAAAACAAAACAAAACAAGGCCTTCAGATTGGAAGGGCAGAAATATGCCTGTCATTATTTTCAGTTGACATAATTGTCTATGCAGTAAATCTGACAGAATCTACAAAAATGCTTGTAGAACTAAGTGAGTTTATCAAGGCTACAGAATATAAGATCAATATACAGAATCAGTTGTATTTTTATATTCTAGCAATGAGTAATTAGAAAATGAAATTTTAAAATATCATTTAAAATTAAAACTAAATATGGAATACTTTGGATAAATCTGACAAATGATGTCAAGGACTAGTAAGTTTCTTGAAACTACAAAATATTATTGAGAGGAAGTAAAGAAGGCTGACATAAATGAAGAGCTATTTCCTGTTGATGAGTCAGAAGATTCAATATTGTTAAGGTGGCAATTCTTTTCCAAACGTATCTTTTGATTATCCACAATTTCATTCAAAAATTTAGTAGATTTTTTTTGTAGAAATTGACAAACCAATTTAAAAGTTCACATGGGAATGTAAAGCAGCGTTACATTAGTTCTCTATTGCTACTTTACAAGCTACTACAAACACAGTTGCTTAAAACAACATCCATTTCTTAGCTCACAGTTCTGTAGGTCAGAAGTCTGGCATGGCCTGGCCAGATTCCCTAATTAGGGTGTTAAAAGGTATTTATACAGGGTATCAAAATCAAGGTGTTACTGGTCTGAGTTATTGTCTGAGGTTCTGAGGAAATACTGCCCTTCATGTTCATTATTGCTTGCAGAATATAATTCCAAGTAGTTATAGGACTACAGTTTCTGTTTCTTGCTGACTGTAAGCCAGTGGCCACACTCAGCTACTAGAGGCTACCCACATTCTTTGACACTTAGCCCTCTCCTCCAAGCCAACAATGATATGTCCAATCCTTCTTGTGCTTCAAATCTAAGCATGATCCTCTTTATGAATATTGCCTAGTGTGATACATTGAGATTCTCTAAAATCCTTGAGGAATATTTGTCTTTATGCTAAACAGTCATCCACTGCTACAAGCTAGGGCTCATGTACCAAACTGTATAGTTTTATTGTTTCTTTCTTTAGTATTTATCTGCTTTCATGTATTTTGCTAGGAAGCAGGAACTGTGCAACCAAACTTGATAAAGTTTTTATAAAATAGTGACTTAAACATATTTCTCCAAAAAAAGCACTGTGGTCCCCCCAAATAGTTGAGTACATCTATTCTGAATACTGAAAGGTTTCTTTTCCCTCTTTCTGCATTTTCTGTTTTTTTAAATCATTTAAACTTTTACTTTAGATTCAGAAGGTACAATTTGTCAGTTTGTTTCATGGGTATATTGCATGATGCTGAAGTTTGGGGTACAACTGATCCCATCACCCAGATAGTTAGCATAATACCCAATAATTAGTTTTCCAACCCTTACCCCTCTCCTTCTCTCCTCTCATTAGTAGTCCCCAGTGTCTATAGCTGCCATCTTTATGTCCATGAGTACCCAATGTTTGCCTTCCACTTGTAAGTGAGAACATGTGGCATTTGCTTTTCTGTTCTTGTGTTAATTCACTTAGGATAATGCTCTCCAGCTGCAACCATGTTGCTGCAAAGGATATGATTTAATTCCTTTTCATGGCTGCATAGTGTTCTCTGATATATATGTACCACATTGTCTTTAATCCACCATTGATGAGCACCTAGGTTGATTCCATATCTTTGCTATTGTGAATAGCTCAGTAATGAACATACAAGTGTGTGTCTTTTTGGTAGAATAATTTATTTTCTTTTGGATATATATTCAGTAGTAGGATTGCTGGGTTGAATGGTAGTTTTGTTTTAAGTTCCTTGAGAAATTTCCAAACTTCTTTCCACAGAGGCTGAACTAATTTACATTCCCACCAGCAGTTTATATGCATTCCTGTTTCTTTGCAGCCTTGCAAGCATCTTTTGTTTTTTGACATTTCAATAAAAGCCATTCTGACTACTGTGAGATGGTATCTCACTGTGGTTTTGATTTTCATTTCTCTGATGGTTGGTGATGTGGAGCATTCTTTTCATGTTTGCTGGCCACTTGTAGCTTGTATGTCTTATTTTGAGAAGTGTTAATTTATGTCTTTTGCCAATTTTTTAATGGGGTTATTTGGTTTTTGCTTGTTCAGTTGTGTAAGTTCCTGGATAGTAGACCTTTGTCATATGCATAGTTTGTGAATATTTTCTCCCATTCTGTACATTGTCTGTTTACTCTGTTGATAGTTCCTTTTGGTATGCAGAAGCTCTTTAGTTTAATTAGATCCCATTTGGCAATTTTTGTTTTTTGTTGCAATTGCTTTTGAGAACTTAGTCATAAATTCTTTCCCAAGACTGATGTCCAGAATGGTTTTTCTTAGGTTATCTTCTAGGATTCTTGTAGCTTGAAGTCTTACATTTAAATCTTTAATCCTTCTTGAGTTAATTTTTGTATATGGTGAAAGGTAGAGATCCAGATTCATTCTTCTGTATATGGCTAGCCAGCGATCACAGCATTATTTTTTGAAAAGTGAGTCCTTTCTCCATTGCTTATATTTGTCATCCTTTTCAAAGATCAGATAGCCATAGGTGTGTAGCTTTGCTTCTGGGTTCTCTATTCTGTTCCATTAGTCTATGTGTCTATTTTTGTACCAGTACCATGCTGTTTGGCTACTGTAGGCTTAAAGTGTAGTTTGAAGACAGGTAATATGATGTCTCTAGCTTTGTTCTTTTTGCTTAGGATTGCTTTGGCTATTTGGAATCCTCTGTGGTCCCGTATGAATTTTAGAATCTTTTTTTCTAATTCTGTGAAAAATGACATTTGTAGTTTCATAGGAATTATGTTGATTCTGTAGATTACTTTGAGTATCATGGTCATTTTAATGATACTGATTCTGCCAATCCAAGAGGAGCATGGAATGTTTTTCCAACTGTTTGTGTAATCTATGATTTCTTTCAGTAGTGTTTTGTAGTTCTCCTTGTAGAGATCTTTTACCTTTTTGGTTAGATGTATTCCTAAGTGTGTGTGTGTGTGTGTGTGTGTGTGTGTGTTTATGGTAAATGGGATTGCCTTCTTGATTTTGCTCTCAGCTTGAATGTTATTGATGTATAGAATTGCTATTGATTATTTTACATTGAGTTTTTATCCTGAAACTTTACAAAGAGTGGTAAGTGAGCATTTTTGTCTTGTTCCAGTTGTCACGGGTTCCAGCTTTTGCCCATTCACCATGATGTTGCCTGTGGGTGTGTCATAAATGGCTCTTATTATTTTGATATATATTCCCTCAATGCCTAGTTTGTTGAGGGTTTCATCATGAAAGGAGATTGGATTTTGTCAAAAGCTTTTTCTGAATCTATTGATGATAATGCGGCTTTTGCTTTTGATTTTGTTTATGTGGTGAATCATATTTATTGATATGTGTATGTTGAACCAACCTTGCATCCCAGGAGTAAAGCCAACTTGATCGTGGTGAATTAAACTTTTTGATGTGTTGCTGGTTTTGGTTTGCCAGTATGTTGTTGAGAATTTTTGTGTGTATGTTCTTCAGCGACATTGGTTGGTAGTTTCTTCTTCTTCTTGTGTTTTTGGCAGGTTTTGGTATCACAGTGATGCTGGCTTCACCGAATGAGTTGGGGAAAAGTTCCTCCTCCTCATTGACTAGTTTAGCAGAATTGGTACTACCTCTTCTTTTCACAACTGGTAAAATTCGGCTATGAATCTATCAGGTCCAGGTTTTTTGTTTTTTTTTTTTTATTGGTAGGTTTTTTTTTTCTTACTGTTTCAATTTCAGAACTCATTATTGAATGATTTTTGGGTTAACAATAAAGTTAAGCAGGAATTTAAAAAATCTTTGAAATAAATGAAAATAGAGTTACAACATACCCAAATCTTCAGGATGCTATAAAAATAATGTTAAGAGGAATGTTTATAGCATGAAACACCTATCTTAAAATGTTAGAAAAATCTCAAATTAATCATCTAACATTGCACATAAAAGAGCCAGAAAAACAAGAACAAAACCAACCGCAAAGATAACAGAAGAAAATAAATAACTAAAAACAGAGCCAAAATGAATGAAATTGAGATCCAAAAATTCATACAAAAATTGGCCAGGCACAGTGGCTCATGCCTGTAATGACAGCACTTTGGGAGGCCGAGGCGGGTGGATCACCTGAGTTCAGGAGTTTGAGACCAGCCTGGTCAACATGATGAAACCCCGTCTCTACTGAAAACACAAAAATTAGCCAGGCATGGTGGAGGGGGGCTGTAATCCCAGCTACTGGGAGGCTGAGGCAAGAGAATCGCTTGAACCCAGGAGGTGGAGGTTGCAGTGAGCTGAGATTGCACCACTGCACTCCAGCCTGGGTGACAGAGTGAGACTCCGTCTCAAAAAAAAAAAAAAAAAAAAAAAAAAAATTCATACAAAGAATCAATGTAATCAATAGTTGGTTGTTTGAGAAGATAAACAAAATCAATAAACCACTAGTTATATTAACAAAGTAAAACATAGGAAAGATCCAAATAAGCACAATAAAAAATGACAAAGGTGATATTGCAACCCATCTCACAGAAATACAAAAGTTCCTCAGACTTTGAACACCTCTATCAAACAAACTAGAAAATCTAGAGGAAATGGATACATTCCTTGAAACACCTGACCTCTCATGATTGAATCAAGAAGAAATTGAAAACCTTTCTGCATTTTTTAAAAATTATACTTTAAGTTCTAGGGTACATGTGCACAACGTGCAGGTTTGTTACAAGTGCAGGTTTGTTGCACCCATTAACTCGTCATTTACATTGGGTATTTCTCCTAATGATATACCTCCCCCAGTCCCCCACCCAGTGACAGGCCCCAGTGTGTGATATTCCCCTCCCTGTGTCCAAGTGTTCTTATTGTTCAATTCCAACCTATGATTGAGAACATGCGGTGTTTGGTTTTCGGTTCTTGTGATAGTTTGCTCAGAATGATGGTTTCCAGCTTCATCCATGTCCCTGCAAAGGACATGAACTCATCCTTTTTTATGGCTGCATAGTATTCCATGGTGTACATGTGCCACATTTTCTTAATCCAGTCTATCATTGATGGACATTTGGGTTGGTTCCAAGTCTTTGCTATTGTGAATAGTGTCGCAATAAACATACGTGTACATGTGTCTTTACAGTAGCATGATTTATAATCCTTTGGGTATATACCCAGTAATGGGATGGCTGGGTCAAATGGTATTTCTAGTTCTAGATCCTTGAGAATCACCACACTGTCCTCCACAATGGTTGAAATAATTTACACTTCCACCAACAGTGTGAAAGTGTTCCTATTTCTCCACATCCTCTCCAGCACCTGTTGTTTCCTGACTTTTTAATGATCGCCATTCTAACTGGTGTGAGATGGTATCTCACTGTGGTTTTGATTTGCATTTCTCTGATGGCCAGTGATGATGAGCATTTTTTCATGTGTCTTTTGGCTGCATAAATGTCTTCTTTTGAGAAGTGTCTGTTCATATCCTTTGCCCACTTTTTGATGTTTTTTTTTTTCTTGAAATTTTGTTAAAGTTCTTTGTAGATTCTGGATATTAGCCCTTTGTCAGATGAGTAGGTTGCAAAAATTTTCTCCCATTCTGTAGGTTACCTGTTCACTCTGGTGATAGTTTCTTTTGCTGTGCAGAGGCTCTTTAGTTTAATTAGATCCCATTTGTCTATTTTGGCTTTTGTGGCCATTGCTTTTGGTGTTTTAGTCATGAAGTCCTTGCCTATGCCTATGTCCTGAATGGTATTGCCTAGGTTTTCTTCTAGGGTTTTTACGGTTTTAGGTCTAACATTTAAGTCTTTAATCCATCTTGAATTAATTTTTGTATAAGGTGTAAGGAAGGGATCCAGTTTCAGCTTTCTCCATATGGCTAGCCAGTTTTTCCAGCACCATTTATTAAATAGGGAATCCTTTCCCCATTTCTTGTTTTTCTCAGGTTTGTCAAAGATTAGATGGTTGTAGATGTGTGATGTTACGTCTGAGGCCTCTGTTCTGTTCCATTGGTCTATATCTCTTTTTTGGTACCAGTACCATGCTGTTTTGGTTACTGTAGCCTTGTAGTATAGTTTGAAATCAGGTAGCGTGATGTCTCCAGCTTTGTTCTTTTTGCTTAGGATTGCCTTGGCAATGCAGGCTCTTTTTTGGTTCCATAAAAAATTTAATGTAGTTTTTTCCAATTCTGTGAAGAAAGTCATTGGTAGCTTGATGGGGATGGCATTGAATCTATAAATTACCTTGGGCGGTATGGCCATTTTCACGATGTTGATTCTTCGTATCCATGAGCATGGAATGTTTTTCCATTTGTTTGTGCCCTCTTTTATTTCGTTGAGCAGTGTTTTGAAATTCTCCTTGAGGAGTTCCTTCACATCCCTTGTAAGTTGGATTCCTAGGCATTTTATTCTCTTTGTAGCAGTTGTGAATGGGAGTTCACTCATGATTTGTCTCTCCGTTTGTCTGTTCTTGGTGTATAGGAGTGCTTGTGATTTTTGCACATTGATTTTGTATCTTGAGACCTTGCTGAAGTTGCTCATCAGCTTAAGGAGATTTTGGGCTGAGACAATGGGGTATTCTAAATATACAATCATGTCATCTGCAAACAGGGACAATTTGACTTCCTCTTTTCCTCATTGAATACCCTTTATTTCTTTCTCTTGCCTGATTGCCCTGGCCAGAACTTCCAATACTATGTTGAATAGTAGGGCATCCCTGTCTTGTGCCAGTTTTCAAAGGGAATGCTTCCAGTTTTTGCCCATTCAGTATGATAGTGGCTGTGGGTTTGTCATAAATAGCTCCTATTATTTTGAGAAACGTTTCATCAATACCTAGTTTATTGAGAGTTTATGGCATGAAGTGCTGTTGAATTTTGTTGAAGGCCTTTTCTGCATCTATTGAGATAATCCTGTGGTTTTCGTCTTTGGTTCTCTTTATCTGATGGGTTACGTTTATTGATTTGCATATGTTGAACCAGCCATGCATCCCATGGATGAAGCTGACTTGATCGTGGTGGATAAGCTTTTTGATGTGCTGCTGGATTCGGTTCACCAGTATTTCATAGAAGATTTTCGCATCGATGTTCATTTAAAATTGGTCTAAAATTCTCTTTTTTTGTTGTGTCTCTGCCAGGCTTTGGTATCAGGATGATGCTGGCCTCATAAAATCAGTTAGGGAGGATTCCCTTTGTTTCTATTGATTGGAATAGTTTCAGAAGGAATGATACCAGCTTCTCATTGTGCCTCTGGTAGAATTTGGCTGTGAATCCATCTTGTCCTGGCCTTTTTTTGGTTGGTAGCCTATTAATTATTGCCTGAATCTCAGAGCCTGTTATTGGTCTATTCAGAGATTCAACTTCTTCCTGGTTTAGTCTTGGGAGGGTGTATGTGTCCAGGAATTCATCCATATCTTCTAGATTTTTTAGTTTATTTGTATAGAGGTGTTTATAGTATTCTCTGATGGTAGTTTGTATTTCTGTGGGATCAGTGGTGATATCCCCTTTATCCTTTTTTATTGTGTCTATTTGATTCTTCTCTCTTTTCTTCTTTATTAGTCTTGCTAGCAGTCTATCAATTTTGTTGATCTTTTCAGAAAACCAGCTCCTGGATACATTGTTTTTTTGAAGGGTTTTTGTGTCTCTATCTCCTTCAGTTCTGCTCTGATCTTAATTATTTCTTGCCTTCTTCTAGCTTTTGAATGTGTTTGCTCTTGCTTCTCTAGTTCTTTTAATTGTGATGTTAGCGTGTCGATTTTAGATCTTTCCTGCTTTCTCTTGTGAGCATTTAGTGCTATAAATTTCCCTCCACACACTGCTTTAAATGTGTCCCAGAGATTCTGGTATGTTGTATCTTTGTTCTCATTGGTTTCAAAGAACATCTTTATTTCTGCCTTCATTTTGTTATGTACCCAGTAGTCATTCAGGAGCAGGTTGTTCAGTTTCCATGTAGTTGTGTGGTTTTGAGTGAGTTTCTTAATCCTGAGTTCTAGTTTTATTGCACTGTGGTCTGAGAGACAGTTTGTTGTGATTTCTGTTCTTTTACATTTGCTGAGGAGTGCTTTACTTCCAACTATGTGGTCAATTTTGGAATAAGTGCGATGTGGTGCTGAGAAGAATGTATATTCTGTTGATTTGGGGTGGAAAGTTCTGTTGATGCCTATTAGATCCACTTGGTGCAGAGCTGACTTCAAGTCCTGGGTATCCTTGTTAACCTTCTGTCTCGTTGATCTGTCTAATATTGACAGTGGGGTGTTAAAGTCTCCTATTATTATTGTTTGGAAGCCTAAGTCTCTTTGTATGTCTCTAAGGACTTGCTTTATGAATCTGGGTGCTCCTGTATTGGGTGCATATGTATTTAGGATAGTTAGCTTTTCTTTTTGAATTGATCCCTTTACCTTTGTGTAATTGCCTTCTTTGTCTCTTTTGATCTTTGTTGGTTTAAAGTCTATTTTATCAGAGACTAGGATTACAACCCCTGCTTTTTTGTTGCTTTCCATTTGCTTGGTTGATCTTCCTCCATCCCTTTATTTTGAGCCTATGTGTGTCTTTGCACATGAGATGGGTCTCCTGAATATAGCACACTGATGGGTCTTGCCTCTTTATCCAATTTGCCACTCTGTGTCTTTTAATTGGGGCATTTAGCCCACTTACATTTAAAGTTAATATTGTCATGTGTGAATTTGATCCTGTCATTTGATGTTAGCTGGTTATTTTGCCCATTAGTTGATGCAGTTTCTTCCTAGCATCAATGGGCTTTACAATTTGGCATGTTTTTTGCACTGGCTGGTACCAGTTGTTCCTTTCCATGTTCAGTGCTTCCTTCAGGAGCTCTTGTAGGGCAGGCCTGGTGGTGACAAAATCTCTCAGCATTTGCTTGTCTGTAAAGGATTTTATTTCTCCTTCACTTATGAAGCTTAGTTTGGCTGGATATGAAATTCTGGGTTGAAAATTCTTTTCTTTAAGAATGTTGAATATTGGCCCCCACTCTCTTCTGGCTTGTAGAGTTTCTCCCAAGAGATCCACTGTTAGTTTGATGGGCTTCCTTTTGTGGGTAACCAGACCTTTCTCTCTGGGTGCCCTTAACATTTTTTCCTTCATTTAAATCTTGGTGAGTCTGACAATTATGTGTCTTGGTTTTGCTCTTCTCGAGGAGTATCTTTGTGGTTTTCTCTGTATTTCCTGAATTTGAATGTTGGCCTGCCTTGCTAGGTTCAGGAAATTCTGGATAATATCCTGAAGAGTGTTTTCCACTTGATTTCATTCTCCCTATCACTTTCAGGTACACCAATCAAACGTAGAATTGGTCTTTTCACATAGTCCCATATTTCTTGGAGGCATTGTTCATTTCTTATTACTCTTTTTTCTCTAAACTTGTCTTCTCACTTTATTTCATTAGCTTGATATTCAATCACTGATACCCTTTCTTCCACTTGATCGACTCAGCTATTGAAGCTTGTGCATGCATCACATAGTTCTCATGCCATGGTTTTCAGCTCCATCAGGTCATTTAAGGTCTTCTCTACACTGTTTATTCTAGTTAGCCATTCGTCTGATCTTTTTTTCAAGGTTTTTAGCTTCCTTGTGATGGGTTCTAACATCCTCCTTTAGCTCAGAGTTTGTTATTACTGACCTTCTGAAGCCTACTTCTGTCAATTCGTCAAAGTCATTCTCTGTCCGGCTTTGTTCTGTTGCTGGTGAGGAGCTGCAATCCTTTGGAGGAGAAGAGGCGCTCTGGTTTTTAGAATTTTCAGCTTTTCTGCTCTGGTTTCTCCCCATCTTTGTGGTTTTATCTACCTTTGGTCTTTGATATTGGTGACCTACAGATGGGGTTTTGGTGTACATGTCCTTTTTGTTGATGTTGATGTTATTCCTTTCCGTTTGTTAGTTTTCCTTCTAACAGTCAGGTCCCTCAGCTACAGGTCTGTCGGAGTTTGCTGGAGGTCCACTCCAGACCCTGTTTGCCTGGGTATGACCAGCAGAGGGTACTGAACAGCAAATATTGCTGAACAGCAAATATTGCTGCCTTATCCTTCCTCTGGAAACTTTGTCCCAGAGGGGCACCCACCTGTATGAGGTGTCAGCCGGCCCTTACTAGGAGGTGTCTCCTAGTTAGGCTACATGGGGGTCAGGGACACCCTTGAGGAGGCAGTCTGTCCATTCTCAGAGCTCAAGCACTGTACTGGGAGGACCACTGCTCTCTTCAGAGCTCTCAGACAGGGATATTTAAGACTGCAGAAGTTTCTGCTGCCTTTTGTTCAGCTATGCCTTGCTCCCCGAGGTGGAGTTTATAGAGGCAGCCAGACTAACTGCGCTGCAGTGGGCTCCACCCAGTTTGAGTTTTTGGGCCAGTTTGTTTACCTACTCAAGCCTCAGCAATGGCGGACGCCCCTCCCACTGCTGGGCTGCTGCTTCACAGGTTGATTTCATACTGCTGTGCTAGCAGTGAGCAAGGCTCCATGGGTGTGGGACCCACCAAGCCAGGTGTGGGATATAATCTGCTGGTGTGCTGTTTGCTAAGACCGTTGGAAAAGTGCAGTATTTGAGTGGGAGTGTCCCGTTTTTCCAGGTACAGTGTGTCACGACTTCCCTTGGCTAGGAAACGGAAATCCCCCAAACCCTTGCACTTTCAGAGTGAGGTGGTGCCCCACCCTGCTTCGGCTTGCCCTGCATGGGCTGCACCCACTGTCCAACCAGTCTCAGTGAGATGAACTGGGTACCTCAGTTGGAAATGCAGAAACCACCCATCTTCTGCATCGATCATGCTGGGAGCTGCAGACTGGAGCTGTTCCTATTCGGCCATCTTGGGAAAACCTTTCTGCATTCTTAATAGCCTTCTAACATACATAAAATTCTGGATGAATAAGTAACAATTAGAAAAATAATAAAATTTCAAACATTTTGTGTTTACTTAAAGATTGATATTGTTCTCAGACTTGCCCTAAAGGGCAGAAATATCATGAGCTATATGAGAAATGAATTATCTGAAATAGTATGATATTTTTATTTTTCAAGGAACAGAAAATATTCAATTATGGGTTTCTTTCTCTTATGGAATACCACGTTTGCTTTTTTTAAACTTTTAAATTCAGGGTTACACATCCAGGTTTGTTATATAGGTAAACTCATGTCATGGGGGTTTGTTGTGCAAATTATTTCAGAACCCAAGTCTTAAGCCTAGTATTCATTAGTTATTTTTCCTGATCCTCATCCTCCTCCCACCCTCTATCCTCTAGTAGGCCCCAGTGTGTGTTGTTTCCCTTTTTGTGTCCGTGTGTTCTCATCATTTAGCTCCCACTTATAGATGAAAAGATACAGAATTTTCATTAATGTTAGTTTGCTAAGGATAACGGCTTCCAGCTCCATTCATGTTCCTAAAAAGAACATGATTTTATTCTTTTTTATGTCTGCATAGTATTTCATGGTCCATATGTACTACGTTTTTTTTTTAATCCACCTAGGTTAATTCCATGACTTTGCTATTGTGAATAGTGCTGCAATGAATGTATGCATGCATGTGTCTTTATGACAGAATGATTGACATTACTCTGGGTATGTGCCCAATAATGGGATTGCTGGGTTGAATGGTAGTTCCATTTTAATTTCTTTGAGGAATTATCACACTGCTTTCCACAATGGTTGAACTAATTCACACTCCCACCAAGAGTGTCTAAGCATTCCCTTTTTTCTGCAACCTCACCAGCGTCTGTTATTTTTTGACTTTTTAATAATAGCCATTCTGACTGCTGTGAGATAGTATCTCATTGTGGATTTGATTTGCATTTTTCCAGTGGTCAGTGATGTTGAGATTTTTTTCATGTGCCTGTTGAACACATGCATGTCTTCTTTTGAAAAGGGTGTGATCATGTCTTTTGCCATATTTTTAATGGGGATATTTATTCCTTTTCTTGTAAATTTGTTTAACTTCCTTAGATGCTGAATATTGAATCTTTGTCAGATGCATAGTTTGCAAAAATTTTCTCTCATCTGTAGGTTGTCTGTTTATTTGGCTGATAGTTTCTTTTGCTGGGCAGAGGCTCTTTCATTTAATTAGGTCCCATTTGTCAATTTTTGCTTTTGTTGCAACTGGTTTGGGTGTCTTTGTCATGAAATCTTTGCCTGTTCCTGTGTCCAGAATGGTATTGCCATTCTTCCATGGATTTTCTAGCTTTGAGTTTTACATTTAAGTCTTTATTTTAATTTATTTTATTTTAAGTTCCAGAATACATGTGCAGGATGTGCAGGTTTGTTACATAGGTAAACATGTGCCATGGTGATTTGCTGCATCTATCAACCCATCACCTAGGGATTAAGCCCAGAGTGCGTAAGCTATTTTTCCTGATGCTCTCCCTCCCCCTGTTCCCCCAATAGGACCCAGTGTGTCTTGTTTCCCTTCTTGTGTCCACGTGTTCTCATTGCCTAGCTCCCACTTGTAAGTGAGAACATGCAGTGTTTGGTTTTCTGTTCCTGTGTTAGTTTGCTGAGGATAACAGCTTCCAGCTTCATCCACATCCCTGCAAAGGACATCATCTCATTCCTTTTTATAAATGCACAGTATTCTATGGTGTATATGTACTGCATTTTCTTTGTCCAGTCTATAATTGATGGGCATTTGGGTTGATTCTATGTCTTTGGTATTGTGAATAGTGCTGCAGTGAACATATGTGTGCATGTATCTTTATAACAGATTGATTTATATTCCTTTGGCTATATACCCAGTGATGGGATTGCTGGGTCAAATGGTATTTCTGCCTCTAGGTATTTGAGGAATCGCTAGCCTCTCTTCCACAATGGTTGAACTAATTTACATATCCACCAACAGTGTAAAAGCATTCATATTTCTCCACAGCCTCACCAGCATTTGTTGTTTCTTGACTTTTTAATAATCACCATTATGACTAGTGTGAGATGGTATTCCATTGTGGTTTTGATTTCCATTTCTCTAATGATCAGTGATGTTGAGCTTTTTCTCATGTGTTTGTTGGTCACGTAAATGTCTTCTTTTGAGAAGGGTCTTTTCATGACCTTTGCCCACTTTTAATCCATCTTGAGTTGATTTTTGAATATGGTGTAAGGAAGGGGTCTAGTTTCAATCTTCTGCACATGGCTAGCCAATTATCCCAGTACCAGTACCATTTATTGAATAGGGAGTCTTTTTCCCTTTGCTTGTTTTTGTCAGGTTTGTCAAAGATCAGATGGTTGTACATGTGCAGCCTTTTTTCTGTGCTCTCCATTCTGTTCTATTGGTCTATGTGTCTGTTTTTGTACCCATTCCATGCTGTTTTGGTTACTCTAGCCCTGTAGTATAGTTTGATGTCAGGTAGTGTGATGCCTGTAGTTTTGTTGTTTTTGCTTAGGATTGCCATGGCTATTTGGGCTCTTATTTGTTCCATATGAAATTTAAAATAGTTTTTTCTAGTTCCATGAAGAACGTCATAGTAGTTTGACAGGAATAGCACTGAATCTGTAAATTGCTTTGGACAGCATGGTCATTTCAACAATACTGATTGTTCCTATACATGAGTGTGGAATGTTTTTATATTTGTTTGTGTCATGTCTGATTTCTTTGAACAGTGTTTTGTAGTTCTTGTTGTAGAGCTCTTTCATCTCCCTGGTTAGCTCTATTCCTTGGTATTTTATTCTTTTTGTGGCAGTTGTGAATGGGATTGCATTCCTGATTTGGCTCTTGGCTTGACTGTTGTTGATATATAGGAATGCTAGTGATTTTTATAAATTGATTTTTGTATCCTGAAGTTGCTGAAGTTGTTTATCAGGTTATGGCTCTTTTGGGCTGAGACTATGAGGTTTTCTAGATATAGCATTGTGTCATCTGCAAACAGGGATAGTTTTACTTCCTCTCTTCCTATTTGGATGCCCTTTATTCCTTTCACTTGCCTGATTGCTCAACCAGGACTTCCAATACTATATTGAATAGGAGTGGTGACAGAGGGCATCCTTGTCTTGTGCTCTTTTTTTTTCTTTTAAAGGGAATGCTTCCAGCTTTTGTCGATTTAGTATTCTGTTGACTGTAGGTTTGTCTTAGATGGGTCTTACTATTTGTTTCTTCAATAACTGATTTATTGAGAGATTTTAACAGAAGAGGTGTTGAATTTTATCAGAAGCCTTTGCTGTATCTATTGAGATAATATCATGGTTTTTGTCTTTAGTTATATTTATGTGATGAATCACATTTATTGATTTGCATATATTGACTCAACCTTGCATCCCAGGGATAAAGCCTACTTGATTGTGATCGATATGCTTTTTGATGTATGGCTGGATTTGGTTTTCCAGTATTTTGTTGAGGATTTTGCATCAACGTTCCTCAAGGATATTGGCATGAAATTTTCTTTTCTTTTTTTTTTTTTGTTGTTGTTGTTGTTCTGCCAGGTTTTGGTATCAGGATGATGCTGGACTCATAGAATGAGTTAGGGAGGAGTCCCTCCTTCTTAATTTTTTTTATCAGTTTCAGTAAGAATGGTACCAGCTCTGATAGAAATTGGCTACGAATCTGTGTGAACCTCAGATTTTTTGGTTGGTAGGCTATTTATTACTGATTCAATTTTGGAGCCTGTTATTGATCTTTTCAGGGATTCAATTTCTTCCTAGTTCAGTCTTGGGAGGGTGTATGTGTTCAGGTATTTATTCATTTCTTCTAGATTTTCCAGTTTTTGTGCATAGAGGTGTTCATAATAGTTGCTTATGGTTCTTTGTATTTCTGTGGGGTCAGTGGTAATATCCCTTTGTTGTTTCTAATTGTATTTATTTGGATTCTCTCTCTTTTATTCCTTATTAGTCTGGCGAGCAGTCTATTTTTATTAATTTTTTCCAAAAAAACAACTCTTGGATTTGTTGATCTTTTGAATGGTTTTTTGCATCTCAGTCTTATTTAGTTCAGCTCTGATTTTGGTTATTTCTTGTCTTCTTCCGGCTTTGGGGTTGGTTTGCTCTTGGTTCTCTACTTCTTTTAGTTGTGAGGTTAGGTTGTTACATTGAGATCTTTCTAACTTTTTGATGTGAGCATTTAGTGCTATAAATTTCTCTCTTAACTCTGCCTTAGCAGTGTCCCAGATATTCTGATATGTTGTATCTTGGTTCTCATTAGTTTCAAAGTTTCTTGACTTCTGCTTTAATTTCATTACTTAACCCAAAAGCCATTCAGGAGCAGTTTATTTAATTTCCATGTAATTGTATGGTTTGGGGCCACTGTCTTAGTCTTTATCTCTAGTTTTATTGTACTGTGGTCTGAGAGAGTGTTTGGTATGATTTCAGTTCTTTTCCATTTGCTGAGGATGGTTTTATGTCCAATTGTGTGGTCAATTTTAGAGTATGTGCCATATGGCAATTAGAAGAATGTATATTCTGGTGATTTTGGATGGAGAGTCCTGTAGATGTCTCTCAGGCCCATTTGGTACTGGGCTGAGTTCAGGTTCTGAATATCTTTGTAATTTTTGTCTGGATGATCTGTCTAACACTGTCAGTGGGGTGTTGAAGTCTCCCACTATTTTTGTGTGGGAGTCTAAGTCTCTTTGGAGGTCACTAAGAATTTTCTTTTTGAATCTGGTGATTTTGTGTTGGGTGCATATATATTTATGATAGTTAGACCTTCTTGTTAAATTGAACTCTTTACCATCACACAATGCCCTTCTTTTTTTAAAATTTTTATTGGTTGAAAGTCTGAAATTACACATTTTCTTTTAACAAAGAATATCTTGGCACATTAGCAGGGAATTATGAATTGTATGACATCCGACATTCAGCTTCAGTTTAAACAGAAAAGCTTGAGGATGGTAAGGAAGCTACTTTAGATTAAATGCTGATGTCCAGATATAATGCCAAACTATTTTCTATGTATTAATTGTTCAATCAGCACTCCTCCTTGAAGACACTATCATTACCCTACACTTGGGGTCCTAGCAGGACCATAGGTATTAGTGCTTTAACTGTGTTATTCCCAAAGAGTCTTATGATCCAGGTTGAATCAGT
The DNA here is from genome assembly GCF_000001405.40 of Homo sapiens. Classification (NCBI taxonomy): domain Eukaryota; kingdom Metazoa; phylum Chordata; class Mammalia; order Primates; family Hominidae; genus Homo; species Homo sapiens. The sequence continues at coordinate 127,038,076 of NC_000006.12, read as the reverse complement.
TACAGAGTACCATACTTCCCTGGAGACGAAGTTTAGTCTGGAAGAGGCATAATCCAAAAGGGCTGGTAGAACAATGTTTCTACTATCAATGTCTACTTACTGAAATAAAATATCTTTGTATTAAGATAAATTATCTAGAAGGATGTGAGTCTGAGGTCGCTGGTAGACATCTTGCTGAATGTCCATATGGCCGAATCATGTGGATTAGCGTGAATGCAGAATGAGGCCAAGCAGAAATGGGAATTGCTGACAGGTGAAAGAGAAGACAGGGCCCTAATGACACATTTAAACTCCTGGATTAAATATTCATTTATTCAAAAAATATTTATTGAACATCTTTACTACTCTAGACATTGTTCTGGAGTCAGGTATGGCAGTGAACATGACAGAAAAATTTCGTGCTTCTAGGAAAGATAGAGACAGACACAGACATGAATATATACATACATACATATGAACATGCACACATACATAACTAAGTCACGCAAACTAAGCCAAGTGTTCATAAACAAAGTGAGGAAAAAGAGGGGGAGAGTTTGTGTGTGTTTTTTAAAAGGATAATCAAGGAAAACAATACTAGAAAGGAGAAATTAGAGCAGACTTCAATGAGGTGAGGAAAGAAGTCATTTAGATATCTGGGGAAAGAAGTCTTGGCAGAGGAAATAGCAAATACAAATGTCTTGAGGTGGAGTAAGACATTCAATATGGCTGACACAGAATGAGTGGAGAGAGAATGTAGGGGATGAGAAAGATGGAAGAACAGTATGGAGGTCTTGACAGCTCATTATTTTATTCTAAATGACATGGATAACATTGAGAGGATTTTATAAAAAGTATTAAATAACCTGAATATTTGGAAAACATAAGCAAAAACAATCTAGTGCACAGTTATCCAGGAAGACAAGCAAAGAAAGTGTTTCAAGCTATAGTGACTGATCAACCATGAGAAATGGTGCTGGTCCTGATAGGTGAGATGATATAAATCCTAATGTCTGATGATTGGTTTGCAACGTGAAGGTCATCTGTGATGTGATAAAAACAATACGTGTAGAGTGGTGGAGGTGAATCCTCAAGGTAGAATGAAAGAGAAGCCTGAATACGGTCTCATCTCTGGATTTTCTAGTTAAGAAAAGATTTCTTGATATCTTGAGTTGGGCTTCTGTTTTGTGATAGCAAATAAGGCATGCGATCCAAAGGGGGCAGATAGGACAATGTTTCTACTATCAATACCTGCTTATTGAGAGAAGATGTCTTAATATTAAGATAGATTATCTAGAAGGATAAGTCTTAGGCTGCTGGTGGACATCTTGCCGATCACTTGGATAGGCATGAATGCAGAATGAGGCTGAGTGGAAATGGGAATTGGCTTTTAAAAAATTAACTTAAAAAAAAGACATCAGTCTGATTTCCAGCTTACCAGTTAAAACCAATTATATTCTATACTCATAAGACAAGTTTTATAAGACTACATCCTAGACAAAACTCTGCTCACAGAAAGAATAGCCTTTCCATCAATTTTTCTGGTCCTGATACTGGTGCCATTATTAACAGCTATGCAACTGGACATCTGAACAATTTGTCCCTGATATAGAGCTCGTTAATACTATATTATAAACCTCTCAGATTAGTCACAATCTTTTCTGTGCTTAGTTCAGTAATATATGTAGTTTAGTTTCCGCATTCTCCATGCAGTAAGTCAATCACAGATTGAAAATATGCATAATTTTGTTTCATACTATTTTATATTTCACAGCAATATCCCTATTAACATCTGTCAAGGGGGTTGCCAAGGAAACAAAAATATAACACACACTCTGTCACACATACAGATTATATTTTGCTTTATATCCTTTCTAGTGGAAGTTTGTGCACATGTTTAGTTTTATATTACTCTATATTTCTGTGTTTTAATTTTCTTTTCAATAAAAGCAGAAGTTATTTGATATACTAACACTATAATGTCATACGGAGGGAATTTCTTTAAGCTTTAAAAATTATTTCAGTAGTATGGTTTTAGAAAATAGAGTATATAGAAAAAGCTAAAACAAATCAGACTGTAGAACATACTTTCATGTATTTGGAAGTTAGAAAAAATGAGTATTAAAAATTCATAATTATCCAGAAAAATACCTGGATTATTAATAAGATTGTGTCATTGAAAAGGGGTTTGCAGTGTGGTTTAATAGGCAGGAGTGATCTTTAACCTTTAGGGTTTTACTTAAAATAGTATGTAGTGATATAGGAGGCAGGGTAGCAGCCTTTAATGTTTCACTTTAAAGTAAGAAGCAGGAAGGTCAGAGTAAGAAAACTAGATTTATTGAGCAGTAACTATAACACTATAACAACTATTTATTTTATTATTATATGGTATATTTAAAATTACAAATATCACAATTTTGCTTCAAGATATTAAATCACAATTGTTCAAACAGTAACTCCTGATTGTAAGGGAAAAAAAATTCTATTGTGTTACATTGCAGCTAAGTTTTACTTTAAACTGCTTAAGGCCTTTGTTTATTTTTCCTTAATTGTTTTATATCTATTTTTATTTTTGCTAAAGATCAATTCTTGTTCTTTAGGATGGAAACTTTGTCTTCCATGCATTCATATGACACAGATGACAATAAGCCATGTTTTCAACCTGATATTAAGTCTGCTTGCAGATTTTCTTTTTATCCAAGTGTTCTTTTTACCTGGTCTGTGTGGCTGGCCAAAATCTAAGATGGCTCTTGTAGCCCCACTTGGTGTACATGCACTACATGATTCCCCCACCAGGAATGTGGGCTGGACCCATGGATACGATGGGCTATGACTCCCTCTATTAGGCTGTGCTATATAAAACTGTTGTAACAGACTGGAGGGAGTTCTTGCTGCTGGCTTTGAAGAAGAAGCTGCCATGTTGTGATAGAGTCACAATGCTAGAACCTGAGGGTGGACTCTGGAAACAGAGAGCAGTCCCAGCCAACAGCCAGCAAGAAAATGAGGAACTCAGCTGTACAGTTGCAAGAGACTTAATTCTGCCCACACCTCAAATGAGCTTGAAAGATGACCCCAAGCTCAAGATGCAAATGCAGCCTTGGCCAACACCTTGGTTGTATCCATTTCCAACACTGAGCAGCTACACTATGCCTGGAATTTTGAACTACAGATACTGTGAGATAGTGAGAGCATGTTGTCTTGAGACACTAAATTGGTGTTAATTTGTTATGCAGCAATAGAAAACTAAAAATAATATGACCTACTTCCTTTTCTATATATTTTTCACTCTTCTTCTGCCATAGATAATATAACAATAGCAGAAGGCCTTACATGATTAATCTCAAAATGACTACAAGGACAGTAATTATAATAGTAATGTGGCAAACTGAAGCAGATTTCAGGTGTGTTAAGGCAACATTCTGTAAATGCTACTTTCCTGTGCCACTTCTACCTTTATACCTGTGTGTTTTCTCAGTTCAGATAAGTGCCTTAAAACATTCCTTAAAGTGTTCTTTTTATCCAAGAATTCCTAATGAAAACAAAGCATTCCTTAAAAAGGATTGATTTTTATGAAATGAGCTATTTGCCATCAATTAAACAACTATCCAATGTATTTGCGTATTTTCTTGGCTATAATGGGTTTTATCATGCTTGTTTCTGAAACTGGGATGCCTTAAATAGATGTCAACAAAAATTTGCTCTGATGAAGGCAAGACTGAGTTGATCTGCAGTTGTCTTTGCCTGCATATGTGCAAACTTAGCCTTCTAGGTATTTTATGTTTATACAATTTTCTGTTCATTTGAGTTATTCACATCAGAATCACATAAGCCATTGATTTCTAAAGAAAATTTATATCCTTAAATGTTACTTAAAATGTCTTCATAAAGTTGGTGTTATGAAGCAGCATTGACACGAAAAATTATTGTCTATGTGGAAGGTTACCTGTCATGAACCATGATTATTTTTGCTCACTATGTATGGCCAGCATCTAGAGCCATGTTCTAGTCTACAGTGGAGTTGTGTCTTAAGGCAGAGTTAGGTTTTCATATGATGGCATAGGCAAAAGTTACATGCTGATAATATTAGCTTTTAAAAATTGTTTAAGCCAATCTGTGTAAGATAAGTTTGATGTTACTAAGATTGAGTAATAGTTGAACTAGTTGTGGAGTCGAACTCACTCTAAATTTCTGCTTTAACTATGCTTTTTATTTTAGCTATTTTTATTTTAACTATTTCTCATTTGACTATGTTTTTAGTTTGACTATTTAAATACATTATTACCTCTCCCAGATTTAAAAAAACAACAACAAAACATTTCTTCCTTGTAAATGAGTTTCTGTATGCATAACTCCAAAGTAAATTACAAAGGTTGAAGATAAAAATAAGCAAATTTAAATCAGATAAATGCAAACAAAATAAAGCTCCAAGTTACAATATTAATATCAGGCAAGAAAGAATCCAAGGAAAAAGAGAAGCATTAAACTGGACAACGTGGCAATTTTTTTAGCAGGTGAAGGATATTATACATGATGAAGTTTTACTAAATAACATTTCCATAAACCAAATAGAGTATCAAAGTTGATGTGAAAAAAACATTATAAATCAACGGGAAAATGAGAAGAATACAATCATAAATGAGAGATTTAATACAACTTCTTGCCTTTTAAAAGCAAGTAGGCAAAAGAAAATACAGATAATCTAATATAATTAATTGCATTATTTTAAACATCTCTATATATCAGATTTTATAAGCTGCAAAAAGGGAATAAGTCTTACATTTATTTATATCAGTGAGAGGTTCGGTTGTAGGAAATAGAGGTTGTTCTAGCTATTTTAAAAGGAAAGACATTTGACATAGGTAATTTAATTCTTACAAAATGACTGGAAAGACAGGAGGAGTAGGCCCTGGGCCAATTCCCCAGGAACCATTCCCAGAATTACACAGCCAAATAGGTCTGCCAGGTTGCTGCTACCTTTTCCATAGTTAGGAAAGTGGACAATCAGATGAATACCACTAGAAAGCTGTCAATTTCAAGAACACATCCCTGGAACTGTGATTCAGAAATCAGGAAGCTGCCGTCCACGCCTCCCCTGCAAGTGTTCTTGAAGTGAAGGACTAGATGTTGGAGTGATGCTCTATATTTGTCCTTACCTGCCAGAAGCAAGAGGCAAAACAAAAAGTCATCCCCTACCTCACTTGCACTCTCCCAATATCAACGGATGGAATGGGGGCATTTTCAGTGCAATCCGATTTACATCTTGAGCTCTAATTGTCAGTAATAGATACTGACTGCCAAATTCACCATGTCCACCATCCATGATCCTGAAACTGGAACTTTTTAAGCAATGGGTATATATTGATACACAAATAATATTTATTTAAGTGTTTAATTCAGTTTAAAAACCTGAATTATGCAAATCAAAGTCTCAAATTATGAATTAATAAGACGGGTAATTAATAATATATATGTAAACAAATAACAAATTCAAAGGTTGGAAGTTAAAAGTTATCCTGAATATGAAATTGAACCTGCAGGGCCTTTATACAATAATGACAATGAAATACTGTGTAATAACATTTTCAGAATGAGGCCAAAAGTTTAGGGAGTCACAAATACAACATAAAATTCTTCACTCTTACAGAAAGACCTGAATTCAACATCTCCATGAAACCAGCTATATCTAGTAACTTTGCCTGCAAATCAAATAATAAATGAGGTAGTTTCTATATACCAAGTTTTCAGTTTTAAGAAACTATAATTTTCAGGGCCAATAGTATGGTGATGATGATGTATTATACATTCCCAGAAAAATTATAAATTGGTATAATTTTTCAAAGGGTAACTGGGCAATGTACATCAAAAGCCTTTAAAATGTAACTCAACTTTGATGCAGCATTTTTATTTTGTAGATCTTATCTTAAGAAAGTAGTTGGAAATTTGCACAAAGACATGGAATAGGTTAGTTAGTAAGCCAGTATAGCACTATTCAGCAAAATTGTCCAGTATTAGTGAAGGGCTAGATTAAATATGACACAACTTTAATACTGTATGACTATTAAAAATAATTGTTTGAAAAAAGATTTAATGATGAAAAAATATTCATAATACATAATTTGGTAAATAAAATGTTACAAAAACAGCATGTGTAGCAAGATTCAAATTTCTATACATATCTATACATAGAAAATAACACTGGATGGTTAAATATAAATATATTAACAGTTTTTTAGTGGTTGGCATATCAGTCAAGATAGGTTACAGTATGATTTGGAAACAAACACCACCAAATCCCAGTGGCTTAATACACGACAGTTTATTTATTTGCTCTCTCAAGGTCTGTTGAGGGTACAGGCAACTTTCCAAGGCAGCTGTCTTCCATGTGGGAGCTCAGAACCCCAGGCTAATTCAGTCATGTGGCACTTCCATAACAAGTGCTTCCATGATTGCTGTGTCAGGGCAAGAGAGAGCCTATTTATTAAATTGTACAGGCAGCTTTATCCCTTAAATTTGTATTTCATGAATAAGCAAGTATAAATGATGAGAAGTCTAAGTATCTCCAATTAGATAACTTCACCTACTTAAACAGTTGAATTTCTTGAATCATTTTAGTGCCTGAAAGTTACATTCCAATTCATTTCTTTCTTTCACAATGATGGGGCTAATCTTGAACTTGCCATTTATTCCTCCATAGCCTCTATTACCCCACCTAAAATGAGAAATAATTGCATCAAAGTCTTGATAAAAAGTCTATGATATCTCATCAATAAATAACCTCAAAATGAGATGTAATACAAAGCTTGTATTTGTGTTTTAGATTTCTTTGGACATTTTTTTGCTTTCTGCTTTTCATAATGTTCATAAATGTTAAACAAAATAGGCTCTGGAGTAATTTTATAGATGGAAATCATATTATATATTCCAAGTGATCTGCCTTGGTTTTCCCCAGTGGCTGCCATTATTTTGTTTTTTGTTGTTATCCTACGTTTTGCCAGGGATGTTATGGGTTCCAACTTTTAAGCAGCTTGTATTGCCCAACATTGACTGGGAGCAGGGTCATATTTTCATCATGCTTCTCATCTTGTGTATAGCCTTCTGTTATCCCAGCTGCATTCTGTATCAAGTCTTATTCTTGTGTAAAATGAAGTTGCCTTTTATCTTGAAGAACCTAACTTACTTCTACAGTAAACTTTAAAGCCAGCATCATGACTTTTTGTTAGAATTGGATTAATAGCTACTGGGCCCCATATTTAGAAGATAACTGCAGTAGGGATACAGTATAATAAAATAATAAATAATAGGTTAACATTGAGAAACACCCTAAATTACTGGACCCGCATTAGGGACAGATCTTAGGTCTTTTCCTTTAGAATTGTGTCATCTCCAGGGTAAAAATGATGTGGCCCAGGTGGGACTTTTGAAATGTGTTCTATAACTCACTGCTAATCAAACTGTTCATGTAGAGATATTACAAACAAGTGACTTATTCAGAACAGGTGAAACAGGATAAATGATGAAAAAAGGTAGATAAAATTCTTTGAAAAGAAAATTATTTGTAGTATTAGCAATATAAGATACATGTGATTTTTTTATTCCTTCTGCATGTGGTTATAATCAAATCCAACTTTTCCCATTTCACATACAAAGTGAAGTTGGAAATTGGGCTGGGAAGGGAATTTCAATTGGCTTTGACAGGTTGGAGTAATTTTCAATATGGCTCCAAGATAGTGGTTTTGCTTGGCTAATACATATTTTTCAGTTTTGTCAATTGAGACAGAAATCCCAAACATTAGAAAAGTGTTTTGTGCCAAGAAGGCACTATGACTTTGGTATACATTGTTAAGATGGTGAATTTTGCTAAATGCAATTGCAAACACATGTTCTATTGCAAAGCAGGCAATTAAGAAGAAATTTTTAAAAAAACACACAGAAATGGGTTTCAGTAAGAAACACTGAGTAACACCAGGGGTGTTTTTTAAAATTATAAAATTGTGCAACTACTACAACTATTTTTTACTTTGCGAAGTTATTAGCGAGTCATATTGATTGTGCAGTTTCTATTTTTTTAATAATTGAATCATGGAGATTGAATCATGAAAGCTTGTATCTTACAAATTTAGCCCTCTCAGTGAAGAAATTTTAAATACATAAGGAACTAATTTCAGGACTATTGAAATTTTAATTATTACAAATTATCTTTTCTAATTTTTTTTGGTCAGATCAGAATAGAATGGATTTTGAATGAAGATTATTACAAGACTAAGGAGAAAAGCGTAATTAGAATGTGATCTCCAAAATAACAAATTTTGAAAAATGCCACCACAATTCTGAATGGGAAAATGGGTGGCATTTCAAAGTTTATTTCATAAATGGGGTTATGTTTTATTCTCTATCCAATCATCTTCATCACATTACTTCTTTCTTTGAAGTAATCCAGAGTCATTCTACATGCTAAAATATGAGACCATGATATATGAAATCCTTATTTAAGAATCTTTCCATGGGCAAAGCGATGCATCCTAAATCTTGGTTCAGAATCTCTTATGTTCTAGCTTTCTAATCTTGTAATTTGCTGAGATCATTTTCTACCATTATTGGAGCAATATATGCTCAAAATCATTTCTTTGAGACCAACTGGTGTTTAAACTCCAAATTCAGAACATGCCAGGGACATGCCATTTCCCTTTCTCTCAACTTACAACTTATAAACAATAGAAAGGATTTAGTTTATTTATTCTTTCATTCACTCAATTTATGTCTTTCTTTGAGGTGCATATACTTGTCTATGCTTCTCTTACATTTGTCTTGGTTGTAGTCTGCCTTAAATCATAAGTTCCTATAGGACAGGGACCATGCCTATTTAATTTACTTTTAACACATCTAACCCAATGCAATGAAAATATGTGAACTTAACACATGAATCTTGATGATGACAGTGATTATAATAACTTATGTTGTTTCTCCTTTGCTTCTCAGTGGCACTTGCCAGTAATTCACACATGCTGATAGGTAAGTTCTGTGTATTTTTTGTGTACATTTTCATACTTCTTTCAGCCAAAATGCTACATAAAGTCATAATGCATAAAATTTAACTGCAGTATTCCTTTAATTTTATTTCATTTCTTTGGCTCTTTTCCATTTATCTGGCAGAATTATATATGAGGCCAAATCTTTAAATTCTTTGCAGTTTTCTCTTTGGATTTACAGCACAAGTCTGTTGATTATTACATATCAGTCACTATTAATATAAGACAAATATTAAAGAAATGGCAAAGGGGCAGTTAAAAGAAAAATGCTGCAGAACAATGCATGGTATTTCTCTTCCCACATTCTAACGTAATCCATCACAGCCAAGATCTTCAAAATCTGCAGGGATCTCAGAGAATTGTGGGTATTTTTTTTCTTCTCTAAGATTTTATCTTTTCTGCACAGTTGAAAAACACTTCAGTGTTTTGTTTGTTGGCTTATTTATCTTAAAGACAGGATCCACGGTACCTGATGAAATGTACAGAGTCACATTTCAATATAAATATATAATTACTAACAAACACGTTTGGTAATACCAAGCCTTCTTATTGGAAACCCACTCCAGTGCTGCTTATTACTTGGCATTTATAGACTCTCTTACATCACCTTCTAATGGCTTTATATGGGTACCCCAAATGGACTTGAATTTTAAAAGCAAATATGACATCATATGCATCTCTTATATGCCTACATCATCACATTGTACAGTTCTGGCATACAATGGATGTCAATAATATTAAAAGTACATAGTTGTTGTTACCATTATTATCAATTACTATGGCATCATTATACATTAGCTTATGAAGTTAGTGTAGGTAGCAAACAAAAGTCAAATTATAAATTCCTAAAGAGAATACATCTTAGGTCATGGATTTTTACTTACATATTTTATTTGTCAGCTATGGATCTCAAGGAACTCACTCTCTTATCTTTTCCCACTTCAATGACATTTATCTATTCTCTTATTACTAAAATACTGCATTAGTTCAGCTTTGGGTAGATTTGCTGCCTGATGCCCTCACCTATGTGAAATAAAGGAGGCAAGTGTGTTAAAGAGTTATTAGCAGGTGAACCAGGTATGGCAAAAATCATGTGTTTCATTCATGAAAGGGCCCTGTCCACTCAGATATTATTTATTCATTGTTTACACAAATATAACAAAATTAGAACCACAATAAATTCAAACTAAAGAAGGTATATATACTCTGAAAAAAGAAGTGAGGCCTGTTAGCTTTTTAGCAAAAGAAGGGACTCAGAATGAACCTGTATGAAACAGACATAACTGAAAGAGCAGTTTTGTCTTTGTTCATTTTCTAAAAACAGGCTGTACCTTTCAGCTAGCTTCCAAGGCAGCGTTGTAGTACATCACAGTTAAATAATTGAAATTTTTTTGTACAGCCTTTGAGTCTACAAGGATAAGTTAAATAATTATAATTTGTATTTCTTTAGTGATGTTGCAGGGAATAATCAGACATTCCTACTTTGTAGGTCAATGAGTTAATGAAATTTGACCTAAAGACGTTTAAAACAAATACAAGTGATCTCCAAACAACTGAAGAAATCCAACTGTTTCACAGTGAAGAGAGATTTACTAAAAGATGGTCCATCATCTCAGTGGAACATGATGTAATCATTTATGTGATAATTATGAAGACTATATAAAAACAAGGGATAATGTTAACAGTGTTAAGTAAATAATGAGTATGGATTCACATGGACATATGATTGGTTACCACAATGTAAAAGAAGCTTATTTGCTGATAAATATTGGTATGAAACAGCAGCAGCACTGGCAGAGCACAGCAGCCATGTGCACAGATTTGAAGCCACATTTCCTGAGTGTCGTTTCCAGGTTTGCTGCTTTTTAGTTGCCTTACCTTGAGCAAATTATGAAACCTATGTCTTTCTGTTTACTCATCTGACAAACAAGGATAGAGTATTTTCTTCCAATGGCTGTTGTAAGGATTTTTTTTAACATGAGATCATGTATATATTAAATACTAAGAACAATGCCTGCCACATAGTATTACTATGTGTGTTGTTAATTTTTTTAAGTAGTCATGTTATATTGGTGAGAATAAAGGAGAATTTTATGTTGTTTCTAGGTAAAGTAAATTAAAATAAAAGATTGCGTCATGTGAGAGAACTCTATTTAAAAATCCGAGGAATTACACAAATAATTCAAAAAGTATTTTTAAAGATAATGATTAAAATGAAATACTTTTGGATTCTGAAAGAGATCCAACTCACCTATATGGAAAATTCTACTAATTGATAATTTTCTAAAATATCTGGATAGTCAAGATGTTGTTATTTTTAATTATTTCACTCTTGTTTACAAATTGCCACCATGTTGTTCTTTAAATTCATTATTAGTAATATCATGTTTGTTTAGCCTTTGCAGCCAAGTTATATATTTATTTTGTATTTGCTAATATTATTTAACATAATGCTCTCTTCACACAACAGTGAAAAATAACTGACTAAGTCTCATTGGGCTTTGATGTTGTCTTGTCCACACAAAGAGATTTTTATAGGTAAAAGCTTAACTTTCCCTTTGTGCATCCACATACTTCTTTGGTGACTCATTTTGCTTTCCATTCTTAGGTAATATATTAAAGCTCCTTATCTTCCTTTAAGATCTCTCAGAAGAGACTTTCAGGGGATCCAGAAATTCTTGTGAATCAGGTAGAGGATTCCTTTATGGCTAATGTAGTCTATAAAGGACAGAGACTTCCCTGCTGCTATTACAGTTGCCAAGCATTTCCAGATTAATGACAGTCTCTATACCTAAACAAGTCCCCGTAACTAACTTCAGTTGTCTCCAACATTAACACCACCAACAGTACCTCAATATTGGCCTTGATCAGGTGCTTAAGATACTTCCAATCTACTTCAAGTAAAGGATGTGGACTGCAAGAATGGATGAATCCAGGACATGGATACTTACTTCACAAGGGGGAAGTCCTCTGCTTGGCACCTCTTTATTAGAAGATCTGTCTTCTACCAGTGTGGCTGTTAGAAAACAGGCTTGTGACCTTTCTTGATAGTGAACTGCTATGTCCTGAGCAAGCTTGTTTGCTGTTCTTTGGATTAAATTTCCTATACCAAGAGACAGAGGTATGACCTTGGCAGTTGCAGAAAGGCACGTGAATAGCTGGAGCACTGATTCTAGGCTATGGTCCAACATGTAATTCCATGTAGTTCAGCCCAAGACACCAGCTAAATTCTGGTTCTATGTTGGTATTTGGGGCCAAAGAAATAGCAGGTGATAAAAAGTCATTCCTTTAACTGGTGTTCTTATTTTTATACTTCACTTAGACTTGACTGTTTCAGGAAAGTACTGAGGACTTCAGGTTCCATTTCTCAACTTACAACCCCATAGCTTAAGGGAAGCATTCTGCAGGTTCATAGCACCTAGTATTTTTCTCACTGATGTATCAGTGAAAACTGATTCCAAATTACATTTGATTTTGGGTTATGCTCAGTAATGATCTGAACCAGAAAAAACTGGCCAACACTTGATTTCTGTGATTGAGCTTGTAGAATTCTATTACCTACAACCACCTAGGAACATCTTCTTTGAAAGATTAATAATATAGATTATAGCCGGGCGAATTGGCTCACACCTGTAATCCCAGCACTTTAGGAGGCCAAGGTGGGCAGATCACGAGGTCAGGAGATCAAGACCATCCTGGCTAACACGGTGAAACCCCATCTCTACTAAAAATACAAAAAAAATTAGCCGGGCTGGTGGTGGGCACCTGTAGTCCCAGCTACTTGGGAGGCTGAGGTAGGAGAATGGTGTGAACCCGGGAGGGGGAGCTTGCGTGAGCTGAGATTGCGCCACTGCACTCCAGCCTGGGTGACAGAGCGAGACTCCATCTCAAAAAAATAAAAGAGTTTACGAAGATCAAGTTTTATAGCAATGTCATCGCAACACAGGCAATAGTGGGTCAAAATTTAAAAACATTTTCTTTTATCTTTTAAAAATTTGTTTGTTTGCTTACATGTTTCCAGAGCCTACTCTATGATATACGTGCTCACCTGGAGCCACCATGGTTCTACAGGCTATGGCTTAAGGAAGGACTTTCACCTACGGCTGTGGTACACACTAAATCAGAAAAGTTACCAAAGCTAAGTGCTGAATGAAAAGTCAATATACCATCAGCCACTGAGATGATTCTGAATAGGCCACCAAAATTAAAGTGTTAATGGGTTTGAGGCCAGAATCTAGGAATATGATTTGTGAGAGTAAGAGCAGCAGGTTGATCCCAGAAGACTGAGACGTGTGTTTGACATAGAATTTGTTAGCTGCTGAGTTTTAATGCCTGCAGAAGCATGATACACAAGTGAGTGAGTCTTCCATGTTTACAGGGCCATAGGTAGATAAGTTACCATTATTCTTTAATTTCTAGACCAGTTCTTCCACTTCCATGGATATGAGTGTGTATGTTTGTATGTGTGTGTGTGTGAATGGTATTTTGATGCCCAAGATAAAAAGTCAAATTCTTTTTGAGGACAAGCAGAACACACTTAATATTTGCACTGATCTTTTCAGTTTACTTGAGCACCATTTAGTAAATTTATTCTTTCTGTGTTTAATGGGGTTATCCAGTTTCCCAAAATGCCTACTCCCAAGATGTAGTTCACTGGAAAACATTCCTGAGAAAAAGTCTGAGAAAAGTACTCGAGATTGTGCCCCAAATCTGTGGAGATTCACTCGTAGTTGGTGTCTTATTATATTGAAATTCTTCCACCCAAAACTGATTTTTTATATAGATTTACACTATTCCCCTTATAGCAATAGAATAAGGCCACAGACTTATGAGAGTATTAAGAAGTGGCCATTTGAATCATTCTATTATAGACACCTGTATGTGTATATTTATTGCAGCACTGTTTATAATAGCACAATAGCAAAGACATGGAATCAACCAAAATGCCCATCATCGATAGACTGGATAAAGAAAATGTGGTACATATACAACACATAATACTATGCAGCCATAAAAAAGATCAGGATCATATCCTTTGCAAGGACATGGTTGGAGCTGGGGGCCATTATCTTAGTGAACCAACACAGGAACAGAAAACCAAATACCACATGTTCTCACTTATAAGTGGGAGCTAAGTGATGAGAACACATGGACACAGAGAAGGGAACAACACACACTGGGGCCTATTGGAGGTTGGAGGTGGGGAGGAGGGAGAGGATCAGGAAGAATAACTCATGGGTACTAGGCTTAATACCTGGGTGATGAAACAATCTGCACAACAAACCACTATGATGCAAGTTTACCTATATAACAAACATGCACTTATATCCTTGAACTTAAAAGTTAAAAAAAAAAAAGAAACAGCTATTTGAATATTATGTCTTCTCAATGAAAAACAGTTTTTACCACACTTAGGTGTCCTTGTTGTATGAGTGGCCTAGCATTGTACAGTGCCTGCTCAAAGCCACCACTGACAGCTGGTTACCATTCAGTTGCTAGTGCTGGTGGCCAGTTATTTTCAATTTGGCTTCACACTGGTAGTGACTAACATCTGCTAAGTGATGGAGTGATGTGTAGGTTCAGGTCTTTAGAGTTGAAATGACCTTGAATTTACTTTAGGAGAGGGATCTAGGCCTATATGGGAGCTTCTTCAAAGCTGACCTGAATAGTTGCAAAAGACTACAAGCAGTAATGGTTTTCTGGTTTTTACACAGTCTGGACATCCTATGGAATGTTTCCTGTCCATCCTGGCCTCAGAGGACTTGGTTGCCTCATTGTCTAAGTAGAAACAGAAGGGCTATTATCAATAGTTTGGGACAAGTAGATAAGTGCTTTCAATAGTGTCTAGATTTTTGCCAAGTCAGGCACTCTGTGCTGAGAATGATATTTACATAAGATATGTCTATTGGAGATGTGAAGCACAAATATTTGCTGTGCAAATTTACTCACACTTCTACCAGGAATCAGCTAGAAATTGGAAGTTGGCTTTTGGAATGTGTTATATCTATTGCCAGGTCACAAGGTGGTGTTTGAAAGTTCAGGAGGTAAAAGGCCCAAATGGTAGCGAAAGTAAGAAAAACATCATCTATCCTGATTGAGGAACTAGCCAAGCTCAAGTAACTATAGCTTCCTTTTTGCTCATATTTATTTCTTCCATATTTATAGTTCCTAGAAGTTAGAATACTTACTTGTATTCCACTGTCTTTTTTCTTATTTTAAGACAAAGAAGTAATTTATTTTGGAAAACCAGTGGTCTTTAGTATCATTTTAATGTATATTTGAGTAAATTTTAGAGTAGGAAGAATAAATGAAACGCAGTATTTACATTTAGCTAATTTTCTTCCCTTGTTAGAAAGCCACTATTTTGCAGAAAGAGAAATATGTTAAAAATGTACGTATTTTAACTATAAAAATCAATTGTCATAAGTTGTATATATAGCAAATCACATGGGAAGTCTTTATTTCCTAATTTAAAAAAGCTGCCTCAAAGAAATGTTTCAGCACACAGAGGCACATGGGCCACTTGGCAGACGGCCTAATTGAAACCAAGGGCCCGGGAGAAGAGCTCAACTCTGCATCTGCCGTCCAGAACTGGCTGCGCTACACTTTGAACCAGTGCTGATGGCTTTGTACACAAAGATCAAAATGAGTTTGTTTTATTCAGCCGGGTTGTGGAGGTGCACGTATTTTGGCTTCTGGATGCAATAAAGCATTGAGCTCTCAGATAAACAAACTATAAATCTAATCAAGTCTGGGCACAATGATAAGTAGATTGCTTATATGGGGGTGGGGGAAGAGAAGGAGAGAGAGAGAGAGACAGAGACAGAGAGAGAGAGAGAGACTCTCACAAGATAAAATGACCCATTCTCATTTTATGCAGTGGAATACTGAGCATGAATCTTGGTATATTGCCAGTTTTAAAAACTGTTTCTTCTTTTCCTTCTCCCTCTCCTCCTCCTTCTCCTCTCCTTTCTTCTCCTTATGAGGCAGAGAGACTATAGACTTATTCTCAATTAAAGAGCTGTCTTCATAGCTACATCAGGCTCCTTGAATGGAAGCAGGTGAAGTATTGTAAAATATTTCTTCTTACATATGTTTGAGGACTGAAATATTTCTATCTCTGTTTCTCTAACAAGTAATGCAATACAGGCAAACAATATGTAAATGGTGTGTTCCTTATGTGGAATTTGTAGCCAACAATATCTCCATCATGTGCCCTTTATTTGTCCCCAGTTGCACGCTGGGAATAGAACAGAAGAACAATGAATGCCCTGTGTTAAACATGTTTAGATGTGATGACTCCTAAGCATGGCTGAGAGTTTCAGCTATGATGAAGAAATGGAAAGGGATCATTGACTTATTTCTGTATTTGGATGCTTTGGCCCACTGTACAACTTCAAGGATTGTTGGAATCAATCCATCTCCCTACTTTACTAAGTAGCTGCCAGATAAACCTCTAAATATGATAAAATATGTGTCCATTAGGAGTGACTGAATTCCACAACTAGACTTTACCTGAAATTGAAATGATAAAGTTTTCATTTAAAGTAAATATATAAAAGTTTTCATTTAAAGTTGACAGGTTTAGAAACTGCCCAATAAATAAATAACAGTGATTATGAAATTTCCTCCAGAAACAGGAGTCCTAGCTGTGGGATAAAAGAATGAATTTCTTAAAAATAGAGACTCACAATCTGAATCTCTAGTTTGTAATTCATGTAAGTATGTAAGATACTTACAGCATGGTTAATTGCTTTTTAAAAATCCTTTTTATTGAGATATAATTCACTTACCAAAAATTCATGCTTTTACAGTATACAATTTAACTAGTACATAATATATCACTATATATAGTAGTATATAGTATATTCATTAAATAGTATGTAGTATATGTACAATCATCAGTTCAATCTAATTCTAGAACATTTTCAACATTCCCCAAATAAATGCTGTGTCCATTAGTAGTGTTTTGTGGGATTTATTGCTGGAAATGTCGGGGAACTGGTACTTTCTGTCTAACTTCTAATTTGAATAAACTTTCATTTGTAGTCCTGAAAAATCAACGTGGATTTTTTTCATCTCCAATTTCCATGCTACTAAGATTCTTTTCTGTAGATAACGAAAATATTTCAAGTATGTAGTGAAATGTAGTATAGTTTAAAGAGTTCACCACTAAACTGGATAGCTTATTGTGTTAATGACCTAAGTCCCTTAAAGTCTCAATACTTTATTTCTTACTAGAGTGAGATATATAGGTCACTGCTGGGGACTACATTGTCCTGAGTGTCATGCCAGGAGCCATATTTCTTGTTCAAAACATATATAGAAAGTTCAATAATAATACCTATAATGATATTAATAATGATGAGAAAAAAGAGGAAGAAGGAAAGAAGTAGGAGGAAGAAAAAAATTTATATAATATACTGATCACCCTACTGTATTAGGAATTTTCGATATACTTCTCATTTATTAACTTGTCTATCCTCAGTGCAACTCTTGCACATAACTAGCATAACATAGCATTAAGCATAACTTGGTTCCAAGCAGCAGAAAGCAACTCTACTTATCTCCAGAAATACAAGGAATATTATTGGGAATATATCTAGAGGCTCCAGACTCAATGGGAGGCTATAGGACCAGCTAGATGCAACTGAAGAAGCTACTGAAGACTCAGTGACAGAAACTGTATCAGTACTCATGCCCCAAGTATAATATGGAAGCTACACCACTGCTACTACTGCTGCTGTGATGAATATGACCTCTTGTTTTCCTGATACCATTACATCAATTGCTTAAGATTCAACAACTAAGAAACAAGCACCCGATTTGCTGAACTTGTATCAGGTGTCCATTCTGTGGCTGAGTAAGTGAGGAAAAAGTCTCTTTGGCTTCTGTCATGGTTAATTTTGTGTGTTCACTTGTCTGGGCCAAGGTTCCCAGATATTTGGACAAACATTATTCTGAATATTTCTCTGAAGGAGTGTTTTGTATGAGATTAACATGAAAATCAGTGGATATTGAGTAAAGACAATCTCCATAATGTGGGTGGGCCACATCCCATCAGTTGAAGGACTTTCACAGAACAAAGTCTGACCCCTACCCAGAGCAAAAGAGATTTTTGTCAGAAGACTGCCCTTGGGCTTGAACTGCAACTCGTCCCTGAAACTCTAGCTTGCAGGCCTACTCCAGCAGATTTTGGACTCTAAGCCTCTATGATCAAGTGAGCCATTTTCTTAAAATAAATTTCCTTTTATATACATACATCCTATTGGTTCTATTTCTCTGGAAAACACTGAATAATACAGCTTCTTTTGTAGGAGGTGGCTAATATCTCCAAAGGTTTCTGAAAAATTATCAATTTCTCAAATAAAATTGGGTTACTAATAGTAAGGGGCTCAATGAGGAACAGTCAGAAAGCTAGAGACGTCCATTACACATAATAATATACAAAGATAGTGTTGAAGTTCTGATGGGGAAGGGCACATTAAAGATATGAAGTTAACCTGGAAAGAAGTCACAGGATATTTTCTAAAAGAAGAGAGAGAGATGGGGAGAGACATGAACTGGAGCGGGAGAAGGAAGTTATTCTAATTCAGGGGAATAAAAGTGGACACATAGTCTCTCACTGAGGCAACAATAACAACAGCATGTTAAGGAGATGATGTTGTGCCGGGCCCTTCAGCAGTCTGAAAGCCACTGCTTTCTGTCTCTTGGAAGCCAGCTGCCATGTAAGAACTGCAAGTACCCTGAAACCGCAATGCTATGAGAAGTCCAAGGCACGGGGAAAGGTGTTGGGGAGAGAGAGAGAGAGAGAGGTGGGGGAGAATGCACACAAAGAGTACCTATGTGCAATACATGTGAGTGAAGAAACCTTTTAAGAAGTTGCTCCCCAGCTGCCCTAGGAATCCAAGTTGATGTCAAAGATTAAAGATGAATCACCACGTTGAGCCCTTCTTGGACACCTTAGCTCCAAATCATAAGTCAAATAAAATGGTAGTTTTATGCTATTAAGTGGGTTTAGAGATTCATTTATTAATGCAGGAGTAAATTCCTGGCACATATATCATCTATTAATATTTGATGTATGAATGGTCAGAGAAAAAATACCCCAGATGTTAGTGAAGAAAACAAATGATCAGAGAGATAGGATTAAACTAGAAAACACATTGCCACTGAAGTCCAAGATATTATTGAAGGGGATGGTGGGAACAATATATTCAACAGAGAGAATAGTGATCCAACGAAAATGATTAATTTTGTTGAGGTCCATACTGATCTCATATAGGGCAATTTTTATGAGTGAAGAGTAAAACAAAAATGGAGCCAGAATAAGATTTGTTTTTGGCAAATTAATAATATATGATATTTTAAAATATTATGGTACTTTAGACTATTAACAACTATAAGCAAGTTCTTTTTTAAAGAAAAATAACTTACTGCTTATTTTACTAGCATAAGTTTATTTTGTAAAGGATATGATTTATAAATAAAATGTATATATCAATTTATTTGAGAAGTGATAAAATATGTGTATAAATTTATCTTATAAATTTAAATTTATAGAACTTACAAACCACACAAAAGCAATGAAGCTGTTTTAATGAAAATAAAAATTTGAAATATGACTTTACAAGTAATGGTTACTATCTAATGTCAAGTCTCAGCAGCCCATTGATTTGAATAATTTGTTTTGCATGCACAACATTGAGGTGCTCCGTGGTGCTCCCTTCATTCATCCACTGTTTCAAGAGTGAATATGCATACACCTAAAAAGAACAGTATAAAGTTATAAACTTCCTAGTGAATACCACATTTGTAAGAGTTTCAAAATATACATAGAGATGGCATAAGAAGCTTTATTCCAATATCCACTTAAAAAAAGTTAACCTAGGAGTCGAGATGAGCATCACAGTCTCTCCAGTGTGTTAAAATATACTGTATATTGTATCGTGTGTTTTTCTAGTTTTTAAAATAGTCTAAATATGTTTAGAAATTATGTTTCTATTAAACATTTGTGTGACTCTGGAAGCTTCTCTGTAGAACACTTGGAAAACTACTGGTTTAGATTAAACAAAAGGAAATCTTCAAGGAACTTTGTTTTCAGCACACTATTTTAGATACAAAGCAATTTCATCCATCTGAGTATACAAATTATATTCTCCATGCTCTAATCTGTTTTTATTTTATCTTTAATTGCAATTTTACCGGATTTCAAATAAAAGTGTTTTTTAAATTTTTTTAAATGAAACTTCTCATGAAAAGTAGGTAATTTATTTCTGGATTATCTGCTTTTTAGAACTTTTTGCCTTTTTGTATAAAGATCTTGATGACAGGCTGTATGGCTCACTAAATTCTGCCCAATACCATGCAAGGACAATGGGATAGTCTTTCAGTTTGCTTATATTATTAGCTATTATGTCAGTATTAAAGATATCAGAAAGCATTTTAGCCTCATAGATAAGGCAGACAGCAACTAAATAAGTACTGTCACACCTGTTAGTCTCAATCAAGACTTTGGGTATCGTTAGCAAAGAAGCATGTTGGGGTGTGAGTAGAGGCTCAGCCGTGTCTACTTCAAGGTTGGAATTGCCCTAACCCTGCAAATAGCTTGTAATATGGACACCTCTGTTTTGGATACAAGAGGAAGAGAACTATTCTGATGTTACAGTTTATGAAATGTAACACCATTGTCTGGTTCTGTTATTAAGTGCAGTTGTTCACACCTAACCACATATTTATCATCTTGCATTGTTATCTCAAGATATTTATTCTCTAATGAATCTCTAATAGCTTTATGCAGGAGGTCTTGTCTCCCCTATTTAGCTGTAAGCTCTTTGAAGACAATGGGCAATGTCTCATAATTTTACTCACCACTGTGCAAAGTAGTTTGGGTCACACACTAGACATGCAATAAAGGTTGATTAACTAATTAATATAATACTTATGAACTTCCCATCTCATGTCAGTGGCTATGCTAGGTACTATATGCACAATAGTGAGTATGGTTCTGTTCCCTTAAAGAATTGCAAAAGCAAAAAGGCATGTATACACACACACACACACACACACACACACACACACACACTCATATATTGCTATATGATTTTCAGGATTATAATCACATTAGAACTCAGTTGAATCTCAAACTTGTTGTATTATCAATATTATCATAGATAAACCAGAGTTTTGCCATTCATTTACCAGAGACTTTTATTCTTAAGAAGGTTTTTATTTATTTTTATTATAATTTTAAAGTCTAGGCATAATAACTTAACAAGGAATAATAATTTAGAAATTAATAACCTAGTGTGAAAATTCTTTGTATTTCAGTTCTTCATTATATTTTCTGAATGATAAATCCTGTTAGAAGTTTTGTGTTTTCTAAGAAAAACATTTAGAAAATGGTTCATGTTGAGGATTTCTCTTCATTGTGTGTTATAAATGTAAAGAAACTTAAAGTAAATCTTACTGCCACTGAAGGATCCTCTTCCAAGCTGAAACTTACCTTAAAATCTGCGTGGTCTTGAATCTCTTGAACTCTGAGCCTGCCCTGAGTCCTTTATATCCTTCTTAACCAAAGCTCTGGCCCAGGGTTTCCTATTTGTCAGCATAGAACAAAGAACATTAGGAAAAACAAGATGGAAAATAAAGAAAGAGATAACTCAAACCTGGGAAGGATGGTAAAATACAGATGGAGTTGTGTGATGAACGTTGTATTTCATCCTTCCCTTCATTTCCCAGAACCTCTCGGCTTCCAGTATGAAACAATGTCTTTGCTAGGGACTGAATTGTGTTCCCCCCACTTTATATTTTGAAGCCCCAACTTCCCATGTGGCTGTATTGGAGATAGGGCCTATAAGTAAGTAATTATTGTTAAATGAGGTCATAAGAGTGGGGCCCTGATCTGGCAGGTTTAGTGCCCTTATAAGAAGGGACACCAGAGAGCTTGCTCTCTCTCTCTCTCCCCCCCTCCCCCAACTTGTAGAAGCACAAAGGAGAGGTCACATGAGCACACAGTGAGCTGAAGGCAGCCTGAAAACCAAGAGAAGAGGCCTCAGAATGAAATCTGCCTTATCAATACCTTGATCTTGGACTGCCCAGCCTCTAGATCTGTGAGAAATAAATTTCTGTTGTTTAGGCCTGCCTGTCTGTGGTATTTCATTATGGCAGCTGGAGAAGACTAATACAGTCTTCAAGGTTCAAGCTCTGAACTTCTTATAAATGGTAAATCTCCTTCAGGATAAAACCAAATTGGAAAATTCTTGATGGAGTTCACAAAATATCTGAAATATGTGCTATTTGGAAAGAAGAGCAATTTAATCCCTCATAGTGATAAATTTGAGCATACTGTATGATCAAGCACATAGACAGATGCCTTGCTACTAGCAAACACCATTCCCCAGGAGGATTCAGGCCTGTCTGGGCTGACCTGACTATTCAAAGGGTGCTACATGCCTCAGAGATTGATGTTTGGGTATGGGGATGGATTCAGATTCAAATTGCTGGCATTTGAATTCACGCAGCTATTGGCTCTTTGATATAAAACCCTGAAACGAATTCCGAACCTGAAAAATATGTTAGAGTTAGGATGAAAAAAGTAGGAAAGGGGCTAATTGATGTACCCACTTTCACTAGTGACTATTGACTTATTGAAGAATATTGAATTTTGGAGGCAATTTTTTTATTATACTGTGATATATATAAAGTGGCTGTGATTTAGATACGTAGAGAGTTGTGTGAGCTTTCCAATGAAATTTAAACTTTTTGGTGCACAAAACAGCATTCAGCATTTTTTTTTTGAGATGGAGTCTCACTGTCTCCCAGGAGTGCAGTGACGCGATCTCAGCTCACTGCAAGCTCTGCCTCCCGGGTTCACGCCATTCTCCTGCCTCAGCCTCCCGAGTAGCTGGGACTACAGGCGCCCGCCACCCACCACGCCCAGCTAATTTTTTTGTATTTTCAGTAGAGATGGGGTTTCACCGTGTTAGCCAGGATGGTCTTGATCTCTTGACTTTGTGATCCACCCGCCTCGGCCTCCCAAAGTGCTGGGATTACAGGAGTCAGCCACTGCGCCCGGCCAGCATTCAGCATTTTATAAAAGTGATAAAAATAGTCTTACAGGAGATACTGAATTAGGGGATAACAGTGAGATAAATTTATTTTAAACTGAGAGTCAGAAATAGCTGGGGAATATCAATTGAATAAACTAATATTTTATATTCTCAAAATCACAAATAGCAGCAAATACAGTAGTTGGCTTGGGTTACAATGTGCTATGATACTTCAGTGAAAAAAGATTCAACATTTTACCATCTATATATTTTTGCGAACATTAATGACTGATTTTTTTCTGGACTGTTTACAATTGTATAGATATAGGCATTGTATCTACAAGAAAGAAAAATATTACAGATTGATCTTAACCATTCCACATGGACCCAAACTTACAAGCCAATAGCAGGAATGACAAAAACATTCCTACTTCTACAAGGAAGATCAAGTTTGAGTTTACAAAGAGACAAACAATCCATTGTTTTGGATTTGTCTTTCCCTGGTCAAAAGATCTTCTTCATGCTTAAAAATGCCTATTACATTTTTTAAATGAGGATTTCATGCTTCACACTTCAAGTCAACGAATTTTCCTATGAGAAAGAATCTTTGTATGGAAATTGAAAAGAAGCTGGTTATTATGCCATTATTATTAGCATTATCTATTTAGTCATGAAAAAGATGATATATATTGTTTAAATTTTGTAAGTGAAATTTGTGGTTATTTTCATGTCCTTTCTGAAATGTCTGAGTTTTAAGAAAAATTTTCATCTAAATCAGAGACCAACATAACTTGGAGACATGGTCTTAGAAAAGATAGTTTGGGAAAGAAAATTTTACATTTCCAGAATATCGTAATCGTCCTTTCTTATGTCCTTTAGTTTCTTTCTCTTCTGCTGAACAGGAAGCAGTTGCGTTTCTCCTTGGAAAAAATATGGCATAGTTGATCATTAACACTTTTGTCTTTTCCTTTGCCTCTGCCCTATTGCTGTAGTGACTCACATCTAAATATGCCACTGACAGTTGATACAAAAAGGCTACATTTCAGAATTCTGCATGGTGGTTCAAACACTTAACACTCAATATACAGAATTCATGGAAAAGCTTGGTATCCTTCATTTTGAGGTGTCTAAGAAGGTAGGCCCATCCTGTTCCCTATTATATTAAGTTTTGTCCTTTGTTGCCAAAGAATTGGTCCTGATATCAGTCCATCAGAGCAATTAAAAGAAAAATCTCTTCTTAGCATCAAAATCTGCCTTGTCACCCCCTACTTTTAATAAGCCTCAAGTACATAATGGATAAATTTGGTAGGCCACAGCAGATGGGTGGGTAAGCCACCTCCCCAACCCTTACAACTCAGAAGTATGCTTAAGTAGGGATGATACTACTTGAACTGCCTTCTCTTTGCCTAACTTTTATCTGTTCAATGGGATATTCAAACAGGTGATTACCTTCCTTAGGAGATAAAGGGAGGAAGAAGAAAGGAGATGAAACACCTGGTTTGGGGGAAGGGATCGTTAGATAAATAAAAGCCTGAGGAGGATTTTATGCAATTTTTACCAGATGTTTTTCCACATCATACCATGAATTCTTTAATAAAATTTGCCTTACGTGCTAATGCATTATGAGTGAAATATGTTTCTGGGGTGGGCAGAAGTGCTGGCTTCTGATCCATGTGAAGACCTCCATGAGAGGTCACTACGTGTGAGCAAAGAGATGCATCCACAGTAGGGCACAGCCAACTTCTCTCTTCTTTCTCTCCATACAAAGACTCCTGCCCTTCCTGAAAACTTGTGACTTTTGAGATAGTAGCAACTTTGGAAGAAGAATTGTTTTGAAAACTTAACCTCTCTAAGCCTCATTTTTCTCATCTGTGAAAGGGGGATAGTAAAAATACCTGTCTCATAGATCCTTTCAGTTTGCTCTAATCCACATTACTGGAACATTGAAAAACTAATAGGTTCATAGTTGAGTTAAAGAAAGAGCTCTACATCATGGTTCTATAAAATTGTCTTAGTTTGTCCAGCTTGATATTTGAATCCTAGATTCTTTGAGCTCTTATTCTGGGACTGATCCAGCTAATGTCTTAACATTTTTAATTTCATTTAATTTTCACAATCTCTCTGGATGAATTTTCAGCTCCATTTTTCAGATGAGAAAAATAACTGAAATAAAACCTTTTTTTGTTTTTATGTTTTCAGCCTTTTCTTCTCTCCCATGTCCATGTAACCAGAATTTCGAATCTTTATAAATATTTCTTGCTTTACATCAAAACAAAGTAAAATCAAAGTTGGATTTTACTGGGACAAAACAATATATGTTGAATTTCAAAGGAGATACTAGACCATATGCAAAATTTCATTTGGTAGTTAACTAAAAGTGTATTACTTCATTGTACTACTTAAAATGTGAGTCCCTCACATATTAAGAATATAAATGTATTCAGGGTAGAGATAAAGGAGGCGTTTTTTGAGACATATGTTTGAGGAGAACCATTGGAGTGCTGTGAGTCTACTTTCTACCCCCACCCATGGGAATGAGGGGTGCAACTTCTTAACCCTAGCTCTTCTAAGAGGGACTTCAAGGGGCCCACTGAAGAGCATGGCATAGGGATGTGACGCAGTAAGAGGCTGTGAGATGTATTCCTGGAGACAACAGTGGGGGGTTGGGAAAAAGCAGCCAAATGAGAGTCACTGTCTGCATCAAGGGAGTTGTAGCTGGATAATCTACCTAAGGGCCTCAACAAAGTACCCAGAAAAAGAAAGAGTCAGTGTTCAACAGAGCAGTGTGCCATAGGATAGTAGTGCCAGTCAAATCCTGCCCACAAAGGTTTAGGAGAAAAGCTGCTGTCTCATGGGGAGAAAGAGAGAAGCCAACCACCTCTGTCTTGGTCTGGGTGCCCTAAAATATAAAGCCCCATTGAAAGCTTTTGCACTAAACCTTTATTAGGAAAGACAATCTTAAGATATCAAGATCAAAGAAAAAGGGAAATGAGGCAGGGAAAGAAGGAAAGCATACACCAGACAATACATTACTGAGCACTCCACAGCTTTACAAGAACATACAGCTGGTTGCTTCTTCCTAGGGCACATCTTCTAGACAGGCCTTGTGGAATCACTGTGCCTTAGAATATTCCCTCAACAGAAGTAAGGGAGAAGCATTACTGGAGAATGGAGAAGCTGGGTTTTTCCCCATCTTTTGTCTCTCTTTGGTCCAAGTTCAACTCATGAGACATTAAGTTTCCTGTGCATCACCCTTCTCAGGTGGGTTATATTCTCAGTCTGCTGCTCCTACACCCTACCACCAAGTAACCACTAGGAAAGCCTGACCCTCTTCCTTGCAGTGCTTAGCTTCCTCATGAATGCGGAAGTAGCAAGAGAGCCAGAGTCTTCACAGGTCCAGTTAGATGGGATTAAGTGCGATGATTCCACCATGGTAGACACAGAGAGGCTGAGAGCATCACCAGTAGTGATGGTGGCTGAGGCTTGCCCTCGAGTAAGTGACCAAGATTTGGAAGGCAGGTGGAGCAAGATGAGGTGGTGCTTGATATTTGCCTCCTTTGCCTAGGGAGAAAGAACAAATTTTTAATCTTTGATTGAACATTGAAGATGTGTTTATGTTGTTCTGGACAATTTTAATTATTAAAATGATACTGGAGTTGTGACTTGAAGTGTCTGAAAGAATTTTTATGAGCTAGAAGAGTCATGAATTCTGCCCTAGTTTTTATCTGAGGACAGGGAAGGACTATACATCCCCACTGAAGTCAGGGCTTAAAGAGATGCCAAAATTAGTTTTATGAATAGATCTTAAGATTTTGGCATATTCGGTTTATTGATTATGCTCCAAGTTCTTAAAATGCACTTCAATCCATTATCTATAATTCGCCTCCATATTAATTCTTCAACAATATTTTTCTTTAGCCCAAGTCACTTCACATCAGCATCTCCGGCCAATTTTACTTCTAATGTTTACAATTATTCAAACTGATAGGCTATTTTAATTCCCAATTCCCTTGCCTCCTCTGCAGCATTTGTCTTTGTTCACCGTTATTTATTCTTTAATAGCCTCCTGTCTCATATTCTGAGATATTATGCTTCCTGGTTTACTTTCTACCTCTTGGATGAGTCCTTTGAATCACTTTCCTTTTCTCTACCTGCTATCTGCTTTAAAAAACTTGATGACCCCAGGGGCCCACCCCTCAGCTTATACTTTCTTGTCTCTAGGATGACTTTGTTCTTCTCTGCCAACCCTCAGCTATTCTGAACTCCAATCCCAGAGAACTCCTTATCTATGGGACATTTCTGTTTCAAAATCAATATGTCCCCAAACCAAATGCTTTATCTTCTACTTCCAAACTGGCTGCTTCTTCTGGCATTTACTACTGTGATTTATAGTATGACCATTAACCACCACCCCATCCTCTGCCAAAGTCAGTAACCTGGGAGTGATCCCAGACTCCTCCCAGACCTTCATTCCCACATCAAATAATTCACCAAGCCCTGGAGATAAAGCCTTGAAGAACTCATGATTCTATCTGTTCCATGTCAACCTCACTGCTACTGCAGTAAGTCAGGTCTTCATTGGATCTGACCTGGGCTATAACCTTCACCTCCTTAAGTGTGTTCATGAAACCATTTCTACTCTTTTAAGTTTCTGACCCCCTACTATCACAAGAGCTGTTTTTATAATTTTTTAAAAAATAAAAATTTAAAAATAATTTCCATCCTTTTTATTCTACAAAGGAGAGTTCAAATTCCTTAGAAGTACAATCAAGGCCCTCAAGATCTGACAATGATCTAGCTACCTCTATTGGACTGAGTGAGAGAATAATATGATGAACACAGAGCATGTGCTTTACTATCGGCCAGTCCAGGGTTCTCATCCTGGCTTTGCTACTCACTGTCTGTCTCACTGTGGGCAAAGTATTAACCCCTTGGATTCATCATAGGCAAAATGTGAGTCAGCATATGCAACCATAATGAAGATGAAATGAAATCATATATATGATGGATCTAACACATAGACAATGCTCAATACATCTTACATTCCTCCTTTCCTCACTTTATTCCCTACCCTATGTGTCAGCATTGCTGACTTGCATGAAACACCTTGCATCTCTTCTGGGATTCCATTCATATATTTCCTCTAAAAGTAACTCTCTTTCTTCTGTTGGAAAACTCTTTCTCGTTCTTGAAGCTGAAGCTGAAGGTCATGTCTTTTGTAAAGCACCCCTTCATACCCAGGACAAAGGTAAACACCCTTCTTTTTACCTCTTTCTGTATCTTGTGCATTTGCCAAGTCAACTTTTATGCCTTTGTGCTATAATAACAAGGCACTTGGATATGGAGGGCACATGAAGCTGTCATTAAAAGCTGGTGTGATGCCAATACAAATTTTAAACATGCATAAAAAGACCTCTGGAAAGATCTTCTCATCTAATGATAAAAAGGATTTTTATCATTAGAAATTGAGTATGAGATTTACTGAAAATTATTGTTTGATAAAATAAGACCTCTGGGGAAAAGCTAATCATAGTGATATTACTTGGTCTAAAGAGGAGGTAGAAATTACTGAATAACAACGCTCAGTCATGAAGCATTTTAACATAGAGGAGGTGACCAGGCATTAGTCTGCATCTTTTTACCCCCAATTATTGAGGATACTTTAAATTGTTGCAAGAAATATAGACACAGTAACAGGAAATCTTTCTGAGGGTGAAAGATTAAACAATGGTATATTTCTTCAACTGGCACCAGTGGCAGATCCTTGGCACCATCTTTCAAGGTTTGTTTGAAAGTTGTCCCTCTTGACTGCCAGGGAATGGACCAGTTGGCCCTTTAAGTTTCCTTCCACTCATATGAGCCAATGAATGCCATCAAATAATGAAGAGTTTGCTCTTGTGCAAAAGTAAGCATAATACATTTTGCACTCTTGTGCAAAAGGAAACAATCATTTGCATAATTATGCAAAAGTAAGCATAATACATTTTTCTGAAAGCTGTTAAACCTTTTTTATTATATGCAGTGCTTGCACTAGGGGAGACTAAGGTTCACAGATGGATAGCATAAACTCATATAATTATACTACATGTCTGCAAATAATTAATTTTCTTTGTGCATATAATTTGTGTGTCATTGCCCAAACATCCTCTTTCAAAAATGTAACTCAAAATGTGTTGAATGGGGCATCAAGCTTTTTAGGCTTCATGGTGACATATTTCAAGAATAAGTCATAACAGACATGAAAGTCGACAGTTGGCCTGTCTTCTGTGGGGCCCAAGAGTAGTTACTGGATACTGAGGAGTAATTGTAAAGGCTGAAGGAACTATTGGGTTCCAGACAGAAAATTGCCATATCATGAGCCAATAGCACGCAGGAAATTGGCAGCCAGCCAACAGAGCCTGCACTGGGCGGGTGGGCCTTACTACTGCTCCATTTTTTTTTTTTTTTTTTTTGAGATGGAGTCTCGCTCTGTTGCCCAGGCTGGAGTGCAGTGGCGTGATCTCAGCTCACTGCAATCTCTGCCTCCCAGGTTCAAGTGATTCTCCTGCCTCAGCCTCCTGAGTAGCTGGGATTACAGGTGCACACCACCATGCCCGGCTAATTTTTGTATTTTGAGTAGAGATGAGGTTTCACCATATTGGCCAGGCTGGTCTCGAACTCCTAACCTCGTGATCCACCCACCTCAGCCTCCTAAAGTGCTGGGATTACAGGTGTGAGCCACTGCGCCCAGCCTCACTACTGCCCCTTTCTTCCCATAAACTGGAGATGCGTACCTCCTACTGTGTTTTCTCTTTCCTTTCCTTATCACTTATGACTATAACTCGGTATGGAGACTGACCATCTTTGCACATCCATACACTCTGATTGGACTCCCTAACCTGTCTCTCTTGATCTAATATAGTTTTTGCCCCATAGCAGTGGCTTAGTCCATCCATATCTGTCTACAGCAGCATGTTATCTGCTCCTAACATTCTGGGCTAGGGCCAAAATGATGTAACACTGCGCGGAAAGTCCAGGACTGCTTCTTGCAGCAGTAGAGCAGCTTGCTGTTGACTATCGAATATCATAAGACTGGGCGAGCTCAGTGGTTCTTAGCTCAGGGCAGTATTACTGTAGGGTGGGGTTTTGTATTTGTGTGGAGGCCATTGCTATTTTGTAGGTAGTGTCCAGGGATGCAAATGTCTTGCAATGATTGGGATAGTCCAGAACTGCAAATAATTGTTTAACTTCATATGCCAATAGTGCTTCTGTTGAGAAGCATGTTTAGATTTAGAATTGTCCCAATGTTGGCCCGAACAGCCAGGTAGCAACCTTAAGTCACTATGACTCTTTGCCAAGGAGATTTCATGTAGAAGAAATGCTTGTTCTATATTATTTGCCCAAAGCACCAGGCCTTACTTATAAATGGTAACAATTTATTTCATCCACAAAGTTGTGATCCTACCAAGGGATCCAGGGCTTTGAAATTTTTCTACCATTCTAGTTAAATAAAATACACACACACACACACACGCAGACACACAAAGAAGTAACTATCATTTAGTGAAAAAATCATTTGATTTGTAGATTCAGAAATTCTTCATTTTGAACACCTCTTCAGCACTTGGTAGGATGTAACCTTGGCCAAGATACTTGCTCCATTTCTATATCTGTGGAAGAAATATCATATAGTACAACATGAATTGCTGAGAAACTGTTTAATGTTGTCCTGCCACAATGGCTTGGTGATTGAAAAATGGTCGCGAATAATCAATAATAACATTAGGAGTAGTGTAATTATTCAGAGTAAGAAAAACCTGAGCTGTAGTATCTTGAGTCCAATTGATACTCCATTCAATGTGACATAAAACATCCTCATGTAAAGTAAATATAATACTTAAGTCTTGATGGGATGATGAACAAGATAATACTCTATGGTAATAAATGCACAAAACTTCTGAAGAGGAGGAAATGTGGTAAAGAGGAAATTATTTGTTTTCTGGTACTGCTTTTTCTCCTAATTAATTATATGGCACCTTTCCAACTCAGGTTTTGTTGTCTTTAACTTTAAAAGCTGAAGACCTCTTTAACAGCTGAAGATTCAATTACTCGATAATATAATACTACCCATTAAAACCCCCTACTGTGAGTTTTGTTGCTGTGAGCTTTCATTTAGAAGAACTATTGTGTAATTAGCAGCATCTTGGTATAATTCAGTTTTGGAGGGTGAGAACATTGAAACCATAGGCTCTCACTCTATTCATCCATCATGTACATCTGTGTACAAGAAAGAGCTATACTATGTTGAAGTACAAATATCCTTAGGAAAAAAGTGCTCAACAAGATGAGTTTTTGAATTCATGTAAGACAAATAATGGTCCTATGTCATTTCTTCCTATCAATTCCAGATGCATGCAGAGTTTTACCAGACTTTCCAGTAGTTGCTTTGTTGTTCATGTCTCTAGTGAATCTACAAGAAGATCTATTGTTCTTTTAAAAGAATACTTTGTTGCTTGGCCTCCCTAGCACAGCTGAAATTTCAGGTGCAATGATTTGTGTGTTTGCCAGGGGTGGTGGTGGAGAGTTGCCTTAGTTCCCTTGAACTATAATATATTTTCAAGTTCTTTAATGGATCTTAGCAAATGCAGAATTTGTTTTTAGTTGTGCCTAAAGCAATTAGCTAGAAATTTCCGTAAGTAAAGCGAATGTTTGAGAAAGAGCAAATTTCAATTTGCCTTTTCTCATTGGGATTCTGGACTTGAGAATTTGGTCCCTTGCACTACTGCCTCATTTATAGCTTTTGTTCTTGATTTATAGGAATAGAGCATTTACTCCTTTCTCCATAAATGTGTAGTATTGGAGCCTAGTTGGTTTAATAAACCACTTATAAAGCAATGAAAATGTGTTTTTTAAAAATAGAAGTCTTTGGAGAATATTAGCTAATTAAATAAATTAACCACAAAGATTAATGTAGAAAATACAGTGTAGAAAAACACAAAATGGAATTATAGGATAAATTATTAGTATTTTACATTAAAAAGCCAGGAAACAACAGATGCTGGAGAGGATGTGGAGAAATAGGAACACTTTTACACTGTTGGTGGGAGTATAAATTAGTTCAGCCATTGTGGAAGACAGTGTGGCGACTCCTCAAGGATTTAGAACCAGAAATATCATTTGATCTAGCAATCCCATTATTGGGTATATACCCAAAGGATTATAAATCATTCTACTATAAAGACACATGCACAAATATGTTTATTGCAGCACTGTTCACAATAGCAAAGACTTGGAACCAACCCAAATGCCCCTCAATGATAGACTGGATAAAGAAAATGTGGCAAATATACACCATGGAATACCATGCAGCCATAAAAAAAGGATGAGTTCATGTCCTTTGCAGGGACATGAATGAAGCTGGAAACCATCATTCTCAGCAAACTAACACAGGAACAGAAAACCAAACACTGTATGTTCTCACTCATAAATGGGAATTGAACAATGAGAACACATGGACACAAGGAAGGGAATATCACACACCGGGGCCTGTTGGCGGGTGGGGGGCTAGGAGACGGATAACATTAGGAGAAACACCTAATGTAGATGACGGGTTGATGGGTGCAGCAAACCACCATGGCACGTGTATACCTATGTAACAAATATGCACATTCTGCACATGTATCTCAGAACTTAAAGTATAAGTAAAAAATTATTAGTATTGTAAAAAATTAATTATGTATATGTTAATACTTCATTACTATTAAGTATCACACTATAATTGTTACATGATAATGATATATTTATATTTAGTTAATAATCTTGTATAATTTATAGTTTTCATAATTTTGTGTACAGGGGAAAAGTTAGCAGTCAATGAACTCAGGTGATCAGAAAATAAAACTTTGTTATCTTCATGAACATTATTCTTTTGGAGGCAGAAACATTTACTGAGACAATGTATCCTCCACTCCTGTTCTCAAAGTTGTATTTGCATTCTGAAACATTTGGGCAGGTGTGGACACTCCTCCCCACAAGCCTTGGCTCTACATACCCAAACTGTTGTCTGTTTGTGCAAGAATACACCCATTTTCCATCTGGTGCTCAGTACTTCCAGATATCTCTGAGCTGTCTTCATTTCTGCCTGCAGGCCCCTTCAGGTCCTGGCACAACTGAAATCTGAGCAGGGCTAAAGTGATGACACCCTTTGCCAGTTCATTATAAGTGACATTATAAGTGTTGACAGTGGTATAGCTGCCACTTTCAACATAAAAGGTTACTGAAGAAATTGTGGCTGTGAGCAAGAATAAAAATGCCTGATGGTATTAGGTGCCAAAGAACAAGATCCTACCTAGGAACACTCAGAACCATTTGGGGAGAATTTTCTGAAGACTAGATTGGGCAGAAATAGAGCCAGAACGTACTGTTGGTTATGTTGTTATTAGCTTATCCTACCCAGAGGTTAGCGTAGTCTGAAAAATATGAGTTGTATTCCTCTTTCTAAAAATGTGTAAGATAATAAAATTATACATACACAATGGCTGAGAGATTTTCATCAAACTTTCAGATCTCAATTCAATTTCTTTTTTTTTACCCAGACTTATGTAATTTTCTATCACCCTTGTGTTTTCAATCCCCATGGACAGCTCTTCAGAACTCATGAAGACATAAGGTGCTTCAAAAGAGGAGACTTTCGGAACATGAGCAGGGAAATTGTCACTTGATAGATGACAAGCATTGTGAGAAACAACAGTTTGCCTTTCTTCATTCCCTTCCTGGTTATCTTTCCTGTCACATGAAGAAGAAATGAAACACCAGAGAGAATCAGGTTATCATCATCTACACCAGCCACTGTCACTGGTTAAGTATTAGTTTAATATTCCATTCTTCATATAAGATGGTACCTGACCCACCATTCCCTGTACATGCATTTTGAATTGTTTCCCACACATGGCATTGCAGGAGAAGTTTCTTGGTCACTGTGGGG
The DNA here is from genome assembly GCF_000001405.40 of Homo sapiens. NCBI lineage: Eukaryota > Metazoa > Chordata > Mammalia > Primates > Hominidae > Homo > Homo sapiens. The sequence continues at coordinate 127,004,057 of NC_000006.12, read as the reverse complement.
GCTGCTACTCTAAAGCAGGAGTTTTCAATCTTCATTGTCCTTGTTGCAGAACCCTTTGTTTAAAAGCCCAAGATGTAAAACAGATGAAAACAGAGCTGCTTTGTTAGAAACCAGGCACATGAGAGGGATCACAGTGTTTCTCTTTAGCTCCTTTGAGGACTTTGAAGACCCCTGCTCTAATGCAATTCTAACTTCTTGATTGTAACAAAATTTAGGAACACTATGAGTTTGCCCTGAAAGGAGACTCTCCAAGTGGGGAGGCACAGATGATCAAGGGGCTCTGTCTGCATCCTTTAGCTTCATATTCATCTTAGTTCTTGCACATGTTAGATCCACTCTCATCCTCATGACATACTCCTGGTAAATCATAGGCCCTGAATTTCTCATTACAGAGCTGATCGGTTGTAATTTCCTGCTACTAAAAGCCAAGTAATTACACCCCAAACTTTAAGTTCAAGGAAGGATGGAGATTAGGCTTGTTTTGTTCAGGATGTCATCCCATTGCATAATGTGCCTGGCATACACTGGGAATTCAATAAATATATGTGGACAGAATTGAATGAAGGCTCACAAATGGACAACCAATGGGGAAAAGCACAGAGACCTCAAAAAATATAAAAAGAGTGCAAAAGTTAAATGCATAGCTTTCTAGAGCAGCGATGGCACTCTTGTCACTAAGCTTATGAACTTGTTTCATCTCATTATTCGTTTTGAGTCAGATGCCCCCCAGAGGTTCTACTAGCTTTCCCTGGACTCTTATGACTTACCTCCTGGCCTGCTTTTTCTTAGTACCGTCTTAAAATTACCTTCCTGGGTATATTTTATATGCCCTTCTCTATAATGCACCTTGGCATGCCCATGATTAAGACAAAGAGAGCATGATACTTTCCCGCAGCTAATGGAGTGCTGGCCTTTGGTTTCTGGGAATTTTTGTGTGATTATTTCTTTATTCTGTCTAAGAATTATCAGAAATAGGCCAGGCGTGGTGACTTATGCCTGTAATCCCAGCACTTTGGGTGGCTGAGGTGGGCAGACCACCTGAGGTCAGGTGTTCGAGACCAGCCTGGCCAACGTGGTGAAACTTCATTTCTACTAAAAATACAAAAATTAGCTGGGTGTGGTGGTGCTACTTGGGAGGCTGAGGCAGGAGAATCGCTTGAACCTGGGAGGCAGAAGCTGCAGTGAGCCAAGACTGGGCCACTGCACTCCAGCCTGGGTGACAGAGTGAGACTCATCTCAAAAAAAAAAAAAAAAAAAAAGAATTACCAGAAATAACCTCATCTATACATAGTGAATGAGCTTTACTTGTGTAGTCCTTAATGTGTAGTCATATTTAAATAGAATTCTAATAAGAGTGATAAATGTAGAGGCATAGGAGTAAAGTGATCCCCTGAAATCTATAGAAAGCACTCAGAGTGAGAGGAGGGTGGTTGGAAGGTAGAGTAAGCTGAATAACGACCCCTAAAGGATGCCAAGTCCTAATTCCTGGGGCCCAGAAATGTTACCTTAGAAGGAAAAAAGTCTTTGTAGATGTGATTGAGTTAAAGATTTTGAGACAGAGAGAATATCCTGGATAATCACGGTAGACCCTAAATGCAATCACGTGTGTCCTAAAAGAGAGTGGTAGAGGGAGATTTGACACAGACAGTAGAGAAGAGGATACACACACAGAAAAGACAATGTGACGAGAGAGGCAGAGATTGGAGCAAAGAAGCCACAAGCCAAGAAATGTCAGCAGCCATCATAAATTGGAAGAAGCAAGGACGCAATCCTCTCCTAGAGCCTTGGGAGCGGGTACAGCACTGCTGGAGTCTTGATTTTGTCCAGGTAATACTGATGCTGGGCTTTTGGCACCCAGGACTGTGAGAGAGTAAATTTCTGTTGTTTCAAGTGACCAACTTTGCAATACTTTGTTACATGAAACAAATACATCAGGAAATGCGCCCCTTTAAGATCTAGTATTACATGTCTTCAAGCTGCTCATTGACAAGAGTTGCTAGGTTTAGGCACATCTACTGTGTGTTGGGGGGTGAGTGGGCATGTACATAGTCATGTATATCCATATATATATATGAAGAGTATCCGTATTGTTGGCTATTTCCTTATGGTTGAAATACGTAAGAGTTTTCTAAATCTTAGGGGATAAGAGAGAGAAGCTTTTGAGAGGCCAGACCACCACCATGAAAAACAATTTATTTTTATTTATTTATTTATTTTGTGACGGAGTCTCGCTCTATCGCCCAGGCTGGAGTGCAGTGGCACGATCCAAGCTTACTGCAACCTCCACCTCCTGGGTTCAAGAGATTCTCCTGCCTCAGCCTCCTGAGTAGCTGGGACTACAGGCGCCTGCCACAAAGCCTGGCTCATTTTTATATTTTTAGTAGAGATGGAGTTTCACTATGTTGGCCAGACTGGTCTCAAACTCTTGACCTCAAGTGATCCGCCCGCCTCGGTCTCCCAAAGTGCTGGGATAACAGGTGTGAAACATCATGCTTGGCCCATGAAAAACAATTCTAATCTATAAAATAGAGAGAAGAAAGGATGAGTGTGAACCTGAGATCACTCTGGGGACCAATGCTGTTATCAGACATTAGAATTACTAAGTAGACCTAGGAAGCAGACTTCTCAGTGGCTTAGGCAGTTAGTTGCTACTGGGATGATAAGGAAAATAGACTAGGGGATTTAGCTGTTAAATAAAATATGATATTTGTAAATTTATACTAGAGTCTATGTTACCTTGCTGTGCAAAGCCTCTGGCTTTAATAAGCAACAAGCTCTGCCTGCCCTCATGCAGATGAATACCTGGAGAATACCTATGTGGATCAAGACCTAGTGCAAGGAGCACTTGTTAATAAAGGGTAGTAAGTAAATGACCTCAAGGGCTGACACCCCTGGTCCAATAAACCCTCTGTTGGTGAAGCTTGAGGCACCAGCTCTTAAAGATTTCAGTTGAACTCGGGCCATACTTTTCCCTCTGAGGGGCCTTTTCATGACTGGGAACCTTCTTTCCAAGAGGCCAGGCTGAAATAAAACACCTAGCCTTGGCCTCAAAACAGAATGAATACATTGGGCTTTCTTTAAATTGTGTTCTAGTCAGGTCTTCCGCAAAAATTATAGATGTCAAAGCTCCTGTAAAAGTTCTGGGTAGTGAGAAGTACAGAATAGCTATCTACATTTTAAAGCCATCTGTGCATGAGCTTTAAATTCTCATCATGTCATGTAAAGAAAAAAAAAAAGATTGTTCACACATAAGCACTTACAATTTCAAACTGCTCCATGGTTCTGGAATTCTGAAAAATGTGTGTAAGTTCTCGAGACCAAAACTCGACATTCTGATAGATTTGCCAACATGCTCTACACTTAATTACAATATCCATAGGGCCCGCCTGCTTTTGCGGTAAGGTAGGAACCTCGAACTTGCTGTTCAACTTGCTAATTTTCTCACTCAGTTAATCATAAGCTTTTTGTAATTCTATATCCCAGAGACATGATTGTGTTGTCATCACTGTGGTGTGATGAAGGGACTTAGTCTTACCATGATCCTATAGAATGTTTGATTTCCCCTAGCTTTTGAAGTTTATAAAATTACAGCTTCCAGCAATGTTTTAATACTTTTCTAAAGAAACAGCAAAGACATAAAACTCATGTTTGCTTGATTCTGTTCCGTATTACAGGCCTTCAAAGTTCAACCTCCCTGGAACTCCAGAACTCCCCACTTTATAAGATGAATGGCTAATTGGATCCTAGTACATAAGGAAACACTGGCAAAATAGCGGTATATAACAAATGTTTCTTTTTATGATAGATCTACATCTGAAACAACGGTGAAAAAGCATGCATTAAATTAAAAAGCATAGTCTTCCATTTGTAAGTAATTTTGTTATGTGCTGCTTATGGGAGATTGTTTAGTTAAAGCTATATTACTGCAAAAGAGAGGCAAACAGAGACAGCACAGCACATTAGTAAAACACTAAAGCTTTTAATTTCCTCATTCATTCATTAAAGAAATATTTTCTTAGAGATTATGTTTGGCAATATGACACATTTTTGTAGAAAAATGCAATGAGACAATAATAAAAGTTGTCTTATAGAAACAACTTCTGCGATTAAGAAACTTATAAAATTTAAGACACAAGGTAAGGTGCTAGTTACATACTATGAAGATAATGATTATTAACATTTATTGGGCTCTGTGCCAGGTACAAGATATTAATACAAATTAATGCATCTGTTCCTCAGAATAGTCATCTAAGGAAGGTAGTGGTTTTCTAGGTAAGAAGTGTGAAACCCAAGGCTAGTAAATTGAGTAAATTATGAAGCTATGATTAAAATTTAGGTGATTTGTCTCCATGCCTATCCTATGCTATCTCACTGTGCTATAATTAAATGTATAATTAAAAGAATGCTTCTTGTTATAATGTGTAATTAAATACAAATGAAAAGCATTAAGTTAATTAAGCTTCATTTCAAGATGAAATTAGTCATGAAAAGTTTTTTTTGGAAGTGATCAGCATATAACTTCAATAAGGTTGGGTTTGAGTATAAATGAAAATGAAGGATGGTATTTATAGGTTAAAGGCACAGAGGTGACAAACAATGAGGATGTTCAAATAGACATGAACACAAGCAGAGGGTATATAGAAGGAAGTAATGGGAAGTGAGGTTCCCTCTCCCAACATTTTATTATAAAATTGTTTTAATACTCAGAAAAATGAAAGAATTGTATGTAAACATAAATATCTCGCTACCTTAATTCTGTCAGTAACATTTTAGTATATGTGTTTTGTCACATATCTATCTGTCCCTCTTTCTGTAAGCCAATCCATCTTAATTATAATTCATTTCAAAGTAAGTTGCAGACATCAGTATATTTCACCCCTAAACACTTCATCACATGTATCAGTGAGTTCAATAGTTGTTTAGTTATATTTTTGGAAGTAAAAGTTATATACAATGAATAACCAAATCTTAAATATAGCATTCAATGAGTTTGACAATTTCATATACATTTATAAAATAAACCTTCATCAAAATAAAGAACACTACCATTCCCGAAATTTATCTTTGGTTCTTATCAGTTATTTTTTGTAATTGCCACCTCAGAGGCAACCAATGCTCTGATGCTTTTCAACCATAGATTAGTTTGCCTTTTTTAAGACTTCATATAAAAAGAATTTCTTTCGTGTATTTTTTTCATTTAGTATTTTGTTTTTGAGATTTATTCATTTTGTTGTATCAGTAGTTTGTTCCTTTTTATGGGTAAGTTTCCATTGCATGAATATACTACTGTTTATCTGTCTATTAATAAACACCTGCATTGTTTTGAGTTTGAGGCTATCATGAATAACAGGTGCTACAAATATTCCTGTATACATTTTCTTTTCCTCAGAAAAATACCTAGTGGTGAAATTGTTGGAACCTAAAGTAAATATGTGTTTAGTTTTATGAGAAATTTCCATATCTTTTTTCAATTTCTATTAAAAATACATGAGACCTATGGTTACTCCATATTCTTGCCAACATTTGGTGTGTCAGACAGAAGTTAAGTGGTAAAGAGTAAATACTGACTAGATTGTGAAAAAACAGAATTTATTGCTAAAGCCTCTATCTTAAGTAGCAGATAGTCACTGGACTGTGGACTGGAAGATTGCCTGGGGAATGTGATGTTTGATAAGATTAATCTGGTGGTGGGGTACAAGATGGTGCTTGAAAATAAAGGACTATAGACAGAATCTAAGAAGGTTGTTGTAATAATTTAGGCATAATCTACTAATGACCAAAACCAAAGCAATGGGAATTTGAAAATAAGACAACATGAAAAACTTTATGAGGAAGTTATTTAAAGTATTTGGTGCCAATACATAGATAGGTAAATGAAGAGATGAAAAATTCCAAAATGGGTGCAGGGAAAACAGTATTACCATTAATAAGTATAGACAAACAAAAAGAGAGTGTTGGCTTAGTGATCATCAGGTTATTGGCTGTATGTATCCACAGACCAGCAAAATGACCATCTTTTACTGGGAGGAAAAGTAAGAGGCGGGAGGTTTAAGGAATAGAATTGGAATTAGGGAAAGGTCACCTCTGGAGATGACCTATACTGCTTACACAAATTGGCTTGGAGAAAGAAAAAATCCCTGTCAGTTGCTATAGAAGTCAGCAATTAAGAATTTAACTACAAACCACCTCAGATATAAGCTGCTCTATTCGCGATGCTCTAGATTTGCACCTTCTGTCTCTCCTGCCTGGAATATCTTTCCTTCACTTCTCCACCTGGTTACATGAACTTCAAAGACATCATCGAAATGTTGTCTTATATGTGGATTCTCCCTTGACTGCTATGGCACTTCACCCTCATATTTATCAGAGAATTTACTGTGCTGTCCTGGCATTGTAGACCTCTTATGCTTCTGTTCTTGCTGTACTGTTCTCTAGCCCAGTGTTTGATACTTAGATGCATAAAGATATTTGTAAATGAATGAAGTGCTTTAACTTCTATCCTCTCTGCTTCAAAATTTGTTTTCTTTTAAATTACTTTCTCATCCTTCCTTCTTTCTTAGAGAAAAAAAAAACAATTATTTCTTCCATTCAAAATTAAAAATCTCCTCTACCCCTTCTTATTATCTATCCACCATATGTGCTTTTATTCCTCACCCTCTATATATTATTTCTTTTGCTTCTTTAGTATTATCAAAAAATTCTGTACTTTTATGCATGATCGAGTCTTCTCCCATCCAAGAATAGTATTTTGCTACCCCTCTGAGTTATTTTCCTAGGTGTCTCCTTTTTTCATAACCAAACTTTGAGACAAAGAGTTGTTTCTGCTGCTTTTTCCAGTTCCTTACTACATACACCTTTGAAAACCATGTCTTTGTCTATTGCTCCAACTGCTCTGTGGAAACAGTCCTCCCAAAAGTCTCCAATGGTTGATAGATCCAATGCCTTTGAATCCCTTTTCAAATTCCCCAACACCTTTGTAGTATTTGACAGTGTTGAAAATCCTCACCTCATTGCTATTCTCTTCTTTGTGGTTTCCTTAACATTTTGCCATCTTTAACATCTAGTGTGACTGCCACAGTACTAGACACGTTACAAATGTTAGCACATTTGACCAAAGCACTGATTGTTCTCCAATCTCCTTCTTAAAAACAGAGTATTGTCCAAAGTCTTTAGATGGCATTCAGATTTGCTTTTAGTTATTCTCATAAAATGATATCAATCATTTTTCCTACTGTCTTTTCAGTCCTTCTAAATCCACTCTACTATTGCAGTATCCATTGCAACCTATACTCACTGAAGGCATTCCTATTAATAGTAGAAATAGTTATGGGACTATTTTTCTAGGATTATTATATATTTATGCTTCTATATTATAGGATTATCCTATAATATAGTATCCTTCGTCAAAATGTTCTTTATTTTCATGAAGGTTTATTTTATAAATGTATATGAAATTGTTAAACTCATTGAATGGTACATTTAAGATTTGCTTACCCATTATATATATGAAAGCATTAGACAATTCCAGCCTAATGTAAACTGACAACTTGTTAATTAACACCAATATTCTATAAGTAGAAATAATTATTTCTACTTATAAGAGAACTTAGTCTCACATATGTTAAATAGTAAATATTACTGGTCACGGATGAGCTGATTTGCACATTTGCTTAACTATTGGGTTGAGAATGTTACCTCTGTCTTTCATCTATCTGAATGTCCTTACTGTACATAGGATATCATATTATCCAAATCCTAACCATCTGTCAAAGTATATTTGGAATACTGTCCCTTCCAGGTAGTTTTATTTTCCCTGATTATTCTGACTGGAAGCAGTATTTCCCACTCTCAACTCACATGGCATTTAAAAAAGTATTAATAGACTATTTTTTAGAGCAGTGTTTTGTTTATAGAAAAGTTGAGCAGAAAGTACAGAGTCCCCATACACTCCCTCTTTCTCCACATACAGTTTCCTTTATTAACATCTTGCATTACTGTGGCATATTTGTTACAACTGATGAACTAATATTAGTACCTTATATTAACTAAAGTGCAGAGTTTACATTAGGGTCCATTCTCTGTACTATATAGTTCTATGGATTTTGACAAATGCATAATGTCATATATGCATCATTATAGGTTCAGGCAGAATGCTTTCACTTCCCCCAAAATCTTCTGTGCTCCTCCACCCATTCATCCCTCTCTCTCTCCCCATAAACCCCTCACAAGCACTGGTCTTTTTTATCTCTAGTTTTGTCTCTTCCAGAATGTCATGGTTGGAATCATACAGAATGTAGTTTTTTAAGATTTGCTTCATTCTTTCACTTAGCTAGCAATATGCATTTAAGTTTTCTTGCATGTTTTTTCATAGCTTGATAGATTATTCTTCTTTTTGCTGAATAATATTCTATTGTATGGATGTACCACAGTTGTTTATCCCTTTACCTATTGAAAGATGTCTTGGTGACTTCCAGTTTTTGGCAATCACAAATAATGCTGTTATAAACATTTGCATGGACATAAATTTCCAACTCCTTTGGGTAAATACCTAGAGTTTCAATTGGCAGATAGTAAGGTAAGAGTATGTTTATTTTTTAAAGAAATGGCCAAATACTCTTTCAAAGTAACTATACCATTTTGGTCTCCCACCAGCAATTAATGAGAGTTCCTTTTGCACATCTTTGTCAGCATTTGTTGTCAGTATTTGTGTTTCAGCTATTCTAATAGATGTGTAGAGTGGTATTTCATATTGTTTTAATTTGCATTTCCCTCTTGATGTATGATGTGAAGTGTCTTTTCAGGAGCTCACTTGCCATTGGTTTTTTTTCATTTATGAGGTGTCTGTTCACATCTTTTACCCATTTTTAAATTGGGTTGCTTGTTTTACTGTTGAGTTTTAAGAGTTCTTCATATATTTTGGATACAAGCTCTTTATCAGAGAAGTGTTTTGCAAATATTGTCTTCCAGTCAGTGCCTTGACTTTTCACTCTTTTAACGGGGTCTTTTGTAGAGCAGATCTTTTAATTTTAATAAAGTCCAATGTATTACATTTTTCTTTCAGAGATCATGCTTTTAGTGCTGTATGTAAGTAGTCATTACCAAACCTAATATCAGCTAGTCTCTTATGCTATAGCCTGTAAGTTGTTATAGTTTGGAGCCTTATATCTAGGTCTATGATCCATTTTGAGCTAATTTTTGTGGAAGATATAATCTGTGCTAGATTCATTTTTTAAAAACATGTGAATATTTTAGCATCATTTGGTGTAAAGACTATTCTTCCTCCACTGAATTGTCTCTGCTTTTTCATTATGTACCAGTTCACTCTATTTGCGTAGGTCTGTTTCTGGGCTGTTTATTCTGTTCCATTGGTCTATTTATCTGAGCTTTCACCAATATCACACTTTCTTGATTCCTGTGGCATTTAAAATACGTTACGTAGCAATTTCCCCATATATTGTGTTATTGTTGTAGCTGACTTATCTGACCAAATAGACTGGATGCTCTTTGAGGACAGGATGTTTATCTGATTTATTATCTTCTTTCCCATTTCTTCTAGTACAGTGGTTTGTATATAATAGGTCAAAAGAAGTATTGTATACAAAGCAATGTTTCTCTACTTTGTTCATTACAAACATTTGTGGAATTTTAGACAAATATATAGATTCTACTGAAATTTACAGAATACGAGTTCACATATTTATATGTTTAAAAGCCCAGTGGAAAAATCCAATCCTTAGCCAGGATTGGAACAGTGAGGTTAGTAGGAGTAGGAGTTTAATTTAGTAGGAGTTTAATTTAGACAAATTTGTTCAACTCTTTGTCTCTCTAATATCACCTCGGAAAAATAGAAGCCTCTCTACATCACTGTAAAATTTAAACAAGTTAACATATGAAAATGCCTTACATTGTTTCTAGCACATGGTAAGCATTTACTAGATGTTAGTTTCTCCATCTTTTAACCCTCAAAATGTAATTATTCACTGAATGTTTCTTAAGTTGAAATGTTGAATCACAGAATCATAGACCTACATGTTTCCTGTTTCCCACCCATTTGTTCCTCCTTTACTTAGGATATCTTCCAAAGCTTCCCACAGTCCTAGTCTCCATCTCTTTTTTATTCTGCTGTACCCTCTGTCATGCAGCCTCTGATACTCCATCACTAAATTAACCTGCACAACCATCACCTCTTCCCTTGGCAGAGCACCACCTTCCTTCAACTTTGTAGCTCTGTCTCTTTCCAAAGTAATTTTGAGCCAATCTTAATAAATTCCCTCCTCTCCACTGTGGTTAAATAGCAGCTTGCCAATGCCATATATTTCAGCATAGTTCCCACCATAAATGCTATCTACTAAAATATAAGAAGCAATCCCAATTTAAAAATACCCAGCCGGGTGCAGTGGCTCATGACTGTAATCCTATCACTTTGGGAGGCTGAGGCGGGTGGATCACTTCAGGTCAGGAGTTCGAGACCAGTCCGGTCAACATGGTGAAATCTTGTTTCTACTGAAAATACAAAAACTAGCCAGGCATGGTGGCAGGTGCCTGTAATCCCAACCACTCAGGGAGCTGAGATAGGAAAATCACTTGAACTGGGGAAGCAGAGGTTGCAGTGAGCTGAGATGCCACCATTGCACTCCATCCCGGGCAACAGAAAGAGACTCCACCTCAAAAAAAAAAAAAAAAAAAAATTACCCAAGCTATCTGTACCACAGTTTGGAAAAACAAAACAAAACACATTTTATTGAGATAGCTGTATAAATGCATTTAATCATAAAATGGAATTAAAATAACTTACTTCCCATCTAACAGCCTCTGAAACATCAACAAATAAAACAAACATTTATATACAAAGTTGGCCAAATACTTGTTTTATATATGCAACTAACCAGATGTAAACATTTCTTAGGCAGCTACTAGCACAAAGTCTTATGCGACATGCCGGGAACAGTTTTAGACTTTGCCCTTGAGGAGCTTATAGTTTTAGTAGAGATGGACAGATATAAATACTGTAGACCACTTTGTGTTCCACTACACATTTTGATAGATTTAATTTTGATATCAGACTAATGTGGTGTATAACTGTACGTTTCAAATATTTATATGCTTATGAATCTCCTGGGAATCTTGCCCATTATGTTGAGGGTGGGGTCTGAGATTCTGTGTCTCCCAAGTTCTCAGATAGTGCTGATAAAGCCTATTTGCGGACCACAGTGTAGTGAGGGTCTCAACAGTCTTTCAGGCTGTCATTTGAATATAAGCTCTGCCACTCATCAACTGTGTCCTCTTAGGTAAGTTACTCATCCTCTCTGGAACTCATTGGGTAAATGGAGAAAATAATACCTACCACACAAGATTTTGCAAATATTCATTTAGATAATATATAAATAATTTACTATATACTTAATAATGTGTAGCTATATACAAATTATATAAATGCACATGTAATCTGTATATGTGTGTGTATATATATATGTACTCTGTATTATATGTAGTTTTTATACAGAGACTGTATAAATGTAAGCTTCTCTTATCCCTATCTTTGATAGCATTTTCAGATTCTTAAAAAGTATTTAAAAAAAAGTGTTACTACTAGATTTAAAACTAGAAGACTTAGATTCAAGGATTAGCTCTGCCACTTATAGCTACATAACTTTAGGAAAGTTAAAATCACTCTTCTGAACTTCAATTTTGTCATTCATAAAATAAGATTAATAAAACCTTAATAAAGATGCTCCTTGATTTATGATGGGACAACTTCCAACAACCCATTCTTAAAATGGAAGATATTATTAAGTGGAAAATGTATGTAATACACCTAACTTACCAAACATCATAGCTTAGACCAACCTACCTGAACCGTGCTCAGAACACTTGTATTAACCTACAGTTGAGCAAAATAATATAACACAAAGCTTATTTTATAATAAAGTACTGAATATGTCATGTAATTTACTGAATAAATACTGTGCTGAAAATGAAAAACAGAATGGCTGTGTAGGTACTCAAAGTATTGTTTCCACTGAATGCCTATGGCTTTCACACTATCATAATGTCAAAGAATCACGTCAAACAATTGTAAGTCAGAAACCATCTGTAAAGGAATGTGGAAAGGATTAAATGAATGGAAGTACACAATTAATTTGTAAATTATAGGCATAGGATATTCTATTTGGAGCCTATCTTGATTAGTTAAAAATAATCTTTTTTTCCCTTTTTAACTTCTGGCAACATGGACTGAGAAAAATGAAAATAATTGAGGAATATTCTAGTGATACGATTTAATACGGAATGCCAAGGTGGTTGATTCTAAAAAAATTGCCTCGTGTTTTCTTCAACAGGATTTTTTTTAGTCTGAAATATCTACATGACTTTTTCCATGTTGCACTTTGTAGTGTAAACACAGCCTCAAGATGTATTGAAAGCATTAGACAATTCCAGCCTAATGCAAAGTGACAACTTGTTAATTAACACCAATATTGGGAACAGCGTGTTTACCAGCCAAATTTCATAGATAACAAGAACATCGAGCATACTTTTAATCTTGTTTCACAGCAGTGCAGTATTTTAAAGTTGTTGATGAAAATGAAGACTTTCATTCATATTTTAATTGAATAGTGGAGTTAGTTAATTTACTAAAACAGATAGAGCTGTTGTATTAGGAATATGAGCAATAATCTAGTGAATTTGTCTTTTAAAGAGTATGCAACTGAATATTCACATGCACACTTATTTTTTGAAACTAGTGTGATGACACTAACTCACATGTAACAAAACAAAACCATGTTTTTTAAAAAATTGCTGAATTGGTGTTAGTTTTGATAAAAAAATTGTCTTCACACTACTTTTGATTAAAAGCTCATGTAAATAAGTTGTATAAGAAAACCACGTTTAAGGTACTTTGGGTTAAAATCCATGTTTATGAGCTTCTCTAATGCATGATTTTAAAATAATTAATATTTAGAACTTTGCAGTGAACATATAACATGCAGATTCTGCTCTTCAGTGATGTATAGAAATGTCTTTAAGTAATCACCTTAAGATATTGTGTTCTGCCTTTGCCCTGCTACACCTGGAGCAGGTGCTGCTAATATAAATACTTTGAAAAAGAAAATCATTCTTACTGATTACATGTGGTTAAAAATGGAATCTAGGAAGATTTGTCATTCAAGGGGTGCTTGTCTCCACCCTGGTCTTTGTCTTGATTATGTGGTCTCTTCGCATAGCAGCTTCCTTCCTTGACTGGTTTGCTGCACACTGCACAGATGTTTCTCCTATTGCTGCTACATGGTGATTTTTTTCAAGCAGCTCCATAGACAGATATTTCCAGATGTGCTCTCCATTTCTCTGGATAGACCTTTTCTCCTTACAAAGAGCAGATCATACTGCTCCATAGGCTTTTGATCTATTGACTATAGAAAAAATAAATAGTACTTCATTGATGTTGTGCTTTGGGGGCTTTGACAATAGCACTCACAATAAGTCCCCTCTTCACTCTTTGAAACACTACTGGCAGATGTTTTCCATGGACTTCTCCACCCAGTAGTCCTTATTCTCATCCCAGCTTCTACTTCCAAGGAGAAGGTGAATTATTGAATCTCAGTCTCTGCTTTCTGTTTACATTTGATTTAAGGTTACCTTTACCTGCACTTTGAGATTAACAGCAAAATTTAGTTCTTATCAAATTAAGATCTAGTTAATACTTTGTTTTGGTAATAAGGTAAGTAATTTTAGGTAATGTATATTACTAACAAAAATAAATTTTAATTCTTTTTACTTAACAATTTTATTCACCCACATTTACAGAGAAAAGCATGAGCCAAGATTACCTTACTATTTAAATATTTTTTTTTCTTTCATCCACCCATTTGTCCACCTACTCATTCATTCATGCATGACTATTTAGCACCTATTAGTTGAAGACCTGCCAGGTAACTGACACTGGGGATACAGAGGCAGAAGAGATAGAATCTCTGACCTCAGGAAGCTCAGGAACCAGTTGTGGAAGCCAATATTAGATATGTAATATGAGGGTTTTTGTTGTTGTTGTTGTTGTTGTTTGTTTTTTTTGAGACAGGGTCTCGCTGTGTTCCCCAAGCTGGTGTGCAGTAAGGTAATCTTGGCTCACGGCAACCTCTGCTTCCCAGGCTCAAGCAATCCTCTAACCTCAGCCTCCTGAGTAAATGAGACTACAGGCATGTGCCACCATGCCCTGCTAATTTTTTTTTTTTTTTTTTTTTTTTTTGCATTTTTAGTAGAGATGAGCTCTCGCCATGTCACCCAGGCTGGTCTTGAAATCCTGGACTCAAGAGAGTCTGCCACCTCGGCCTCTCGAAGTGCTAGGATTACAGACATGAGCAACCGTGCCAGGCCTAAGTACTTTGATGGCAGTCTATAAAGAGTTCAGAAAGGATGAAAGGAAGGAACATTTGGATGATGCACATAGCAATGCTTTAAGCAAATATGACACTTCAACTAAAGTTATGACATATAATAAACTGTTGGTGACTTAGAAGAACTCTTTTGTGTCTTATGAACAATAGACATTTTATAAAACAATAATAGCCAAGGGCATGTTTTCATTTGCACTTTGAAATAGAATTTAAAGATATTTGGGATTATGATATTTTACAGAGAGAATACAAATAAAATAGATTATTATCCACAGAGATTTTCTGATTCTAAATGTTAGATAAGCAGAACTACTTTCCTGTTGCAAATTCTATTACCCTTTATTAGGTACTATACTAAATGGGACAATTAACGTGAAGTAAAATGTTTTTGAGAAAATGGCTTTCTACTTCCTCAAGGAAAGTGTATCTGCTTTTTAAACTTTATATTCGAGGTATCTTGATAAAATAAAGCTATGCCAATAGAATTCTGATAGATCACTCTCTTTATTAAAAATGTTAGATATGGGGGGCTACGTGTGCAGGTGTGTTACGTGGATATATTGCCTAATGATGAGGTTTGGGCTTCTAGTGAATCCATCATCCAAATAGTGAACATTGTACCAGACAGATAATTTTTCAACCCTTACCGCTCTCCCAACCTTCCCCTTTTTGGAGTCCCCATTGTCTATTATTTCCATTTTTGTATCAATTTGTACACATTGTTTAGCTCCTACTTATAAGTGAGAACATGCAATATTTTATTTTCTGTTTCTGAGTTATTTCACTTAGGATAATGGCCTCCTGTTCCACCCATTTTGCTGTGAAGGACATGATTTCATTCTGTTTTATGGCTGCATAGTATTCCATGGTGTGTATATACCACATTATCTTTTTCTTTCTTTTTTTAATGTTCAATAAAATCATAAAATATAATTATATACATCAAAATCTTCCTATATAACAAAAGGCATTTTGTATTTGTGTCTGCCATTTTTATTTTTATTTTTTATTTTACTATACTTTAAGTTCTGGGATACATGTGCGGAACCTGCAGGTTTGTTACATAGGTATACATATGCCATGGTGGTTTGCTGCACACATCAATCCATCATCTACATTAAGTATTTTTCCTAATGCTATCCCTTCCCTTGCCCCCCACTCCCGGACAGGCCCCAGTGTGTGATGTTCCCCTCCCTGTGTCCATATGTTCTCACTGTTCAACTCCCACTTATGAGTAAGAACATGTGGTGCTTGATTTTCTGTTCCTGTGTTAGTTTGCTGAAAGTGATGGTTTCCAGCTTCATCCATGTCCCTGCAAAGGACATGAACTCATCCTTTTTCATGGCTGCATAGTATTCCATGCATATGGAATATAAAAGTATTCCATGCATATGGAATATAAAGTATATGTGCCACATTTTCTTTATCCAGTCTATCATTGATGGGCATTTGGGTTGGTTCCAAGTCTTTGCTATTGTGAACATTGCTGCAATAGACTTACATGTGCATGTGTCTTTATAGTAGAATGATTTATAATCCTTTGGGTATAGCTCAGTAATAGGATTGCTGAGTCAAATGATATTTCTGGTTCTAGATCCTTGAGGAATTGCTACACTGTCTTCCACAATGGTTGAACTAATTACTCTCCTGCCAATAGTGTAAAAATGTTCCTATTTCTCCACATCCTCTCCAGCATCTGTTGTCTCTTGCCTTTTTAATGATTGCCATCCTAACTAGCATGAGATGGTATCACATTTTGGTTTTGATTTGCATTTCTCTAATGACCAGTGATGATGAGCTTTTATTCATATGTCTGTTGACTGCATAAATGTCTTCTTTTGAGAAGTGTCTGTTCATATCCTTTGCCTACTTTTTGATGTGTTCTTTGTTTTTTTCTTGTAAATTTGTTTAGGTTTCTTGTAGATTCTGGATATTAGCCCTTTGTCAGATGGAAAGATTGCAAAATTTTTCTCCCATTCTGTAGGTTTCCTGTTCACTCTGATGATAGTTTCTTTTGCTGTGCAGAAGCTCTTTAGTTTAATTAGATCCCATTTGTCAATTTTGGCTTTTGTTGCTGTTGCTTTTGGTGTTTTGGTCATGAAGTCTTTGCCCCTGCCTATGTCCTGAATGGCATTTCCTAGGTTTTCTACTAGGGTTTTTATGGTTTTAGGTGTTACTTTAAGTCTATAATATATCATGAGTTAATTTTTGTATAAGGTGTAAGGAAGGGGTCCAGTTTCAGTTTTCTGCATATGGCTAGCCAGTTTTCCCAACACCATTCATAAAATAGGGAATCCTTTCCCCATTGATTGTTTTTATCAGGTTTGTCAAAGATCAAATGGTTGTAGATGTGTGGTGTTATTTCTGAGGCCTCTGTTCTGTTCCATTGGTCTATATATCTGTTTTGGTACCAGTACCAAGCTATTTTGCTTACTGTAGCCTTCTAGTATAGTTTGAAGTCAGGTAGTGTGGTACCTCCAGCCTTGTTCTTTTTGCTTAGGATTGGCTTGGCTATACTGGCTCTTTTTTGTTCCGTATGAAATTTAAACCAATTTTTTTCTAATTCTGTGAATAAAGCCAATGGTAGCTTGATGGGAATAGCATTGAACCTATAAATTACTTTGGACAATATGGCCATTCTCACAACATTGATTCTTCTTATCCATGAGCATGGAATGTTTTTCCATCTGTTTGTGTCCTCTCTTACTTCCTTGAGCAGTGGTTTGTAGTTC
Organism: Homo sapiens; assembly: GCF_000001405.40. Lineage (NCBI taxonomy): Eukaryota > Metazoa > Chordata > Mammalia > Primates > Hominidae > Homo > Homo sapiens. The sequence goes on along the minus strand of NC_000006.12, from coordinate 126,986,935 downwards.
TCCTTGAAGACGTCCTTCACATCCCTTGTAAGTTGTATTCCTAGGTATTTTATTCTCTTTGTAGCAATTATGAATGTGAGTTCATTCATGATTTGGCTCTCTGTTTGTCTCTTATTGGTGTATAGGAATGCTTGTGATTTTTGCACATTGATTTTGTATCCTGATATTTGCTGAAGTTGCTTATCAGTTTAAGGAGTTTTGGGGGTGAGATGATGGAGTTTTCTAAATATACAATCACATCATCTGCAAACAGGGATAATTTGACTTCCTCTCTTCCTGTTTGAATACACCTTATTTCTTTCTCTTGACTAATCGGCCTGGCCAGAATTTTCAATACTATGTGAATAGGAGTGGTGAGAGAGGACATCTTTGTCTTGTGCTGGTTTTCAAAGAAAATGCTTCCAGCTTTTGCCCATTCAGTATGATATTGGCTGTGGGTTTGTCATAATACCTCTTATTATTTTGAGATATGTTCCATCAATACCTAGTTTATTGAGTGTTTTTAGCATGAAGGGATGTTGAGTTTTATTGAAGGCTTTCTCTGCATCTATTGAGATAATCATGTGGTTTTTGTCATTGGTTCTGTTTATGTGCTGGATTACATTTATTGATTTGTGTATGTTGAACCAGCCTTGCATCCCACGGATGAAGCCGATTTGATCTTGGTGGAAAAGTTTTTTGATGTGCTGCTGGATTCGGTTTGCCAGTATTTTATTGAGGATTTTTGCATTGATGTTCATCAGGGATATTGGCCTAAAATTTTCTTTTTTGTTGTGTCTCTGCCAGGTTTTGGTATCAGGATGATCCTGGCCTCATAAAATGAGTTAGGGAGGAATCCCTCTTTTTCTACTGTTTGGAGTAGTTTCAGAAGGAATGGTACCAGTTCCTCTTTGTACCTCTGGTAGAATTCGGCTGTGAATCCATCTGGCCCTGGGCTTTTTTTGATTGGTAGGCTATTAATTACTGCCTCAGTTTCAGAACTTGTTATTGGTCTATTCAGGGATTCGATTTCTTCCTGGTTTAGTTTTGGGAGGGTGTATGTGTCCAGGAATTTATCCATTTCCTATAGATTGTCTAGTTTATTTGCTTAGAGGTGTTTATAGTATTTTCTGATGATGGTTTGTATTTATGTGGGATCAGTGGTGATCCTTTATCATTTTTTATTCTGTCTATTTGATTCTTTTCTCTTTTCTTCTTTATTAGTCTAGCTAGTGGTCTATCTATTTTGTTAATCTTTTCAAAAATCCAGCTCCTGGATTCACTGTTTTTTGAATGGTTTTTCATGTCTCTTCTTCTTCAGTTCTGTGCTGATCTTAGTTATTTCTTGCCTTCTGCTTGCTTTTGAATTTTTTGCTCTTGCTTCTCTAGTTCTTTTAATTGTAATGCTAGGTTGTCCATTTTAGATCTTTCCTGCTTTCTCTTGTGGACATTTATTGCTATAAATTTCCCCCTAAACACTGCTTTACTTGTGTCCCAGAGATTCTGGTACATTGTGTCTTTGTTCTTATTGGTTTCAAAGAACTTAATTATTTCTGCCTTAAGTTTGTTATTTACCCAGTAGTCATTCAGGAGCAGGTTGTTCAGTTTCCATATATTTGTATGGTTTTCAGTGAGTTTCTTAATCCTGAGTTCTAATTTGATTGCACTGTGGTCTGAGAGACTGTTTTTATGAATTTTGTTCCTTTATATCTGCTGAGAAGTGTTTTACTTCCAATTATATGGTCAATTTTAGAATAAGTACTATGTGGTGCTGAGAAAATTGTATATTCTGTTGATTTGGGGTGGAGAGTTCTGTAGATGTCTATCAGGTCCACTTGGTCCAGAGTTAAGTTCAAGTCCTGAGTATCCTTGTTAATTTTCTGTCTTGTTGATTTGTCTAATATTGACAGGGGGGTGTTAGTGTCTCCCACTATTATTGTGTGGGAGGCTAAGTCTCTTTGTAGGTGTCTAAGAACTTGCTTTATGAATCTGGGTGCTCCTGTATTGGGTGCAGATATATTTAGGATAGTTAGCTCTTCTTGTTTCATGGATCCCTTTATCATTAAGTAATGACCTTCTCTGTCTCTTTTGATCTTTGTTGGTTTAAAGTCTGTTTTATCAGAGACTAGAATTGTAACCCCTGCTTTTTTTTTTCTTTCCATTTGCTTGGTAAATATTCCTCCATCCCTTTATTTTGAACCTATGTGTGTATTTGCACATGAGATGGGTCTCCTGATACAGCAACACCAGTGGGTCTTGACTCTATCCAATTTGCCAGTCTGTGTCTTTTAATTGGGGCATTTAGTCCATTTACATTTAAGGTTAATATTGATATCTGTGAATTTGATCCTGTCATCATGATGCTAGCTGGTTATTTTGCACATTAGTTGATGCGGTTTCTTCATAGTGTCATTGGTGTTTATATTCTGGTATGTTTTTGCAGTGGCTAGTACCGGTATTTTTTTTCTTTTCCATATTTAGTGCTTCCTTCTGGAGTCTTGTAAGGCAGGCCTGGTGGTGACAAAATCCCTCAGCATTTGCTTGTCTGTAAAGGATTTTATTTCTCCTTCACTTATGAAGCTTAGTTTGGCTGGATATGAAATTCTGGGTTCAAAATTCTTTTCTTTAAGAATGTTGAATATTGGCCCCCCACTCTTCTGGCTTGTAGGGTTTCTGCAGAAAGATCCCCTGTTAGTCTGATGGGCTTCCCTTTGTGGGTAGCCTGACCTTTCTCTCTGGCTGCCTGTTTCAAACTTGGTGAATCTGATGATTATGTACTTGGGGTTGCTCCTCTCAATGAGCTGCCTTTCTTTCAGAGATGCCCTGCCCAGAGAGGAGGAATCTAGACAGGCAGTCTGGCTACAGTGGCTTTGCTGCACTGTGGTGGGCTGCACCCAGTCCAACCTTCTTGTGGTGTTTGTTTACGCTGTGAGGGGAAAACCACCTACTGAAGCCTCAGTAATGGCGGATGCCCCTCCCCTCACCAAGCTGGAGTGTCCCAGGTCGACTTCAGACTGCTGTGAGGCAGCAAGAATTTCCTGCCAGTGGATCTTAGCTTGCTGGGCTCTATGTGGGTGGGACCTGCTGAGCAAGACCACTTGGCTCCCTGGCTTCACACCCTTTCCAGGGGAGTGAAAGGTTCTGTCTCGCTGAGGTTCCAGGTGCCACTCAGGTAAAAACAAACAAACAAACAAACAAACACCAGTAAACTCCTCAGTTGGAAATGCAGAAATCACCCGCGTTCTGCGTTGGTCTCACTGGGAGCTGCAGACCGTAGCTGTTCCTATTTGGCCATCTTGCTCGGAACCTATATACCACATTTTCTGTATCCAGTCATCTCATGAGGGATGCTTAGGTTGATTCCATGACTCTGCTATTGTGAATAGTGCTACAATAAACATATGAGTGCAGATATCTTTTTGATAAAATAATTTCTTTTCCATTGGGTAGATATCCAGTAATAGGGTTGCTAGGTTGAATAATAGTTCTATTTTTAGTTCTTTGAGAAATCTTTATACTGTTTTTCACAGGAGTTGAACTAATTTACATTCCTAACACTGTATACGTTTTCTTTTCTCCATATCCTCCTCAACATCTATTATTTTTTGACTTTTTAATGATAGCCATTCAACAATAGTGTAAGATGTCTCATAGTGGTTTTCTTTTGCATTTCTCTTATAATTAGTTTGAGCATTTTTAAAACATGTTTGTTGGCCACTTGTGTGTCTTCTTTTCAGAAGTGTCTGTTCATGTCATTTGCTCACTTTTAATGAGTTGTATTTTCTTGTTGATTTAAGTTCCTTATAGATTCTGAATATTAGTCCTTTGTCAGATGTATAGTTTGCAAATATTTTTTCCTATTCGTAAGTTGCCTGTTTACGCTGCTGACTTTCTTTTGCTGTGTAGAATCTCTTTAGTTTAATTAAGTCCCTTTTGTCCATTTGTCCAATTTGTGTATTTGTTTTTGAGGTCGTAGTCATAAATTCTTTGTCGAGGCCATTGTCCAGAAGAGTTTTTCCAAAATCTACAAGAAACTCAAACAACTCAACAAGAAAAAAACAAAGAACCAATTAAAAAGTAGGCAAAGTATATGAACAGATATTTCTCAAAAAAAGACATTCAAATGATGAACAAACATAAAATAAAATTCAATATCACTAATCATCAGAGAAATGCAAGTTAAAACCACAATAATACGCCATCTTACACCATACTAGGAAATCATACTACAAATTATATTTCCATTTGAATAATTTTTTTTGGATGAAGTCCAATTTCTATATATTTTTCTTTGGTTTCTTGAAGGTTTTTTGTGTTATATCTAAGAAACTCTTGTCTAATCCCAGGTCACAAAAATTTATACCTCTTTTCTTCTAAGTGTTTTATAATTTCAACTCTTACATTTAGGTCTTTGATGTATTTTGAGTTAAATTTTGCATGTGGTGTGAGGTAGGGGAATAAATTTATCTTTTGCATAGGGACACACAGTTGTCACAGCATCATGTATTGAAAGGATTATTCTTGTTCCCATTGACTGGTGTTGACATCCTTGTTGAAATTCACTTGGCTGCAAACACAAAGGTTTCTTTTTAGACTCTCGATTCTATTCCATTGATGTATTGTCTAGCCTTATTCCTATACCATACTTTCTTGATTGCTATAGGCTTTTGGTGGCTTTTCAAATTAAGAATTGCGAGTCTTTTAATTTTGTTCATCCTTTTTCAAGATTATTTTGGCTCTTCTGGATTCATTCCATTTCATATACATTTTGAGATCACTTTGTCCATTTTTTCTAAGAAAAGCAACTGGAAGTTTAAAAGAGATTGCAATCAATATAAAGATCAATTTGGGGAGTATTATGATCTTAAAAATATTAAATTTTCCAATCTAAGAACATAGTATGCCTTTCCATTTACTTAGGTCTTCTTTAAAATTTTTTAAACAAGGTTTTATAGTTTTTAGTCTACAAGTCTTAAACTTGTTTTGTTAGATGTATTCCTAAGTATTTTATTCTTTTGATGCTACTATAAATGTTTTTTCCTATTTTCACTTTTGGAACATTTATTAATATAGAAATACAACTGATTTTTGTATATTGATCTATCCTGAAACCAAAATTGCTGAACTCTTATTAACTCCAGCAGTTTTGAATGTTCATGTGTTTATGTGTGAATTCTTTAAAGTTTTGTATATATAAGATCATGTCATTAACAAATACAGAAAATTTTACTTCTTTTTTTCCCAGTCTGAATGCCTTTATGTCTTTTTCCTATCTAAATGTTCTAGTGTAACCTCCCATAAAATGTTAAATACCAGTGGGGAAAGTGGACGTCTTTGTCTTATGTGGAAACCCTTCAGTCTTTTATGAAGAAATCTTTTTGTCTTTAACCATTAAGTATGATGTAAACTATACATTCTCTATGAATTCCCTTTGTTACATTGAGGACGTCTTTCCCATTTGTAGCTTGTAGAGTTGAAAAGATGTTAGACCTTGCCAAATGCTTTTTATACATCTATTGAGATGATCAAGTGTTTTCTTCTTTTTTCGATTAATATAGTATATTACATTGATTAGTTTTATTGTATGAAACAACTTTGCATTCCTAGGCTAAATCGAATTTGATCATGATCCACAGCACTTTTTATATGTTGTTGGATTTAGTTTTTCATTATTTTGTTAAGGATTGTTGAACCTATATTCATGAGGGATTTAGGTCTGTGATTTTCTTTCCTTGTGATAACTGTTTGATTTTTGTGTCAGGGCAATAACGACTTCATAGAATGAGATAGTATTTCCTCCTTCTCTTCTATTTTTGGGAAAACTTTTAGAAAGATTGGTGTTAATTCTTTAAATGTTGGTATAACTAATCATTAAAGTCATCTGGTCCTGAACTTTGTTTGTGGGAAGTTTTTTAAATTTAAGATTACTGATTCAAACTCAATCTTAATAGTAATAAGTCTATTCAAATTTGCAATATTTTCTTCAATCAATTTTTGAGGTTTGTGTCTTTCTAGAATTTTGCACATTTAATCTAGGTTATGTAATTTGTTGGTATAAAAAGTTCATAGAGTTTTCTCAGAATATATTTTTAAAAATTTCTTTAAGGTCTTCTCCTTCATACATGATTTTAGTAATTTGAGTCTTGTCACTTTCTTTTTCTGTTAGTTTAGCAAAAGTTTTGTCAATTATGTTGATAGCTTCAAAAAATAACTTTTGGTTTCATTGATTTTCCGTATCATTTTTCTATTCTCTATTTTGTTTATTTCTGCTCTTTTCTTTATTTTATTTCTTCTACTTGCTTTGGGTTTAGCTTGGTCTTTTTTTTTTTCAATTTCATAAAGTAAAAGGTTAAGATTGATTTGCATCTGTCTTCTTTTTCAATGTAGGCATTTACAGGAATGCAGTTTCCTTTAGGCATTTTTTTTAATCTCATAAGTTTTGATAGGTTTTATTTTCATTTGCATACATCCTATAGTATTTTCCACTTACCCTTATGATTTCTTTTTTGACTCATTGATTATTTAGGAGCATGTTTAATTTCCACATATATTTGTAAATTTCTCAAGTTTTCTTCTGTTATTGATTCCTAATTTTATTCCATTATGGACAGAGAAGATACTGTGTATTATTCTAATCCTTTTAGATTTATTGAGACTTGTTTTATAGCCTAGCATACAGTCTATCCTGGAAAATGTTGCATATACTATCAAGAAGAATGTGTATTTTGCTGTTTGGAGTGACTTATTCTATAAATGTCTGTTAGGCCTAGTTGGTTTATAGCATTGTCCAAGTCTTCTATTTCTTTGCTGATATTCTGTTTAGTTGTTCTATCTATTATTGAAACTTGTGTAGGGGCAGAAAGGTGTGATACCTTTCCTTACCCATCATAATGGTCACTGCTGACTCTCATATAACAAAGGCAAGTTAACAAGAGAAAAGTATAGCAAATATACTTAAAGTTTTATGTGACATGAGAGCCTTCAGAGATGAAGGCTGAGGGAAAACAGTCCATTTGTATAGTTAGGTTTGTTGAAGAATCAACAGCCATGTAGAAATGTAATTGGACAAAAAAGTGAATGATCTAATAGTAACAGAGTGGGGAAATCTAGCAAGGCTTGTCTCTTCAGATTCTTTTTGACCTCTCTGTGTAGCATTTCTTCCTCCCAGGTATAGGGGAGAACTTCTTCTGGAACGAGGGTGTTATGACCTACTATTAGAAAAGGTAGGTCAGAGAATTTCATTATGGCCAGCTCTCACAGAAAGATGGGAAAAGGTTAGAGTAATATTTCTAGGTTTCCTGGCTGGCTTTGGGGAAGAGGGGTTCTAGTTTCTATGACCTGCCTTAAGGGAAGATAAACTACAGTTTTTATGACCTGTCTTGAGAGAGAAAGGGGAGCATTAGAAAGAAGGTCAGAAGGCCGGGCGCGGTGGCTCACGCCTGTAATCCCAGCACTTTGGGAGGCCAAGGCGGGTGGATCATGAGGTCAGGAGATCGAGACCATCCTGGCTAACAAGGTGAAACCCCGTCTCTACTAAAAATACAAAAAATTAGCCGGGCGCGGTGGCGGGCGCCTGTAGTCCCAGCTACTCGGGAGGCTGAGGCAGGAGAATGGCGTGAACCCGGGAAGCGGAGTTTGCAGTGAGCCGAGATTGCGCCAATGCAGTCCGCAGTCCGGCCTGGGCGACAGAGCGAGACTCCGTCTCAAAAAAAAAAAAAAAAGAAAGAAAGAAAGAAGGTCAGAAGAAGGTCAGAAAGGGACTTTGCTTCTGAAGTCCTTCTAATGTCCTTCAGTTCAATGTACTCAGCGTAGCAAAGCATGATACTTTGTGGTTACATTTTCTGAGCCCCAACAGTAACATATTTAAGTTTCCTATTCTTATTGTTGAATGGTCTATTTCTCTCTTCAATTTAGTCTGTTTTTGCTTCATGTACTTTGGAAATCTGTTGCTAGGTGCATTTATGTTTATATTAGATTGAAGCAAAAGTAATTGTGTTTTTTGTCATTAAAAGTGTTATATCGTTTTTCCCCTCAAGTTTTCATTACTGCTTTATTTTGTGTTAAGTAGATATTTTCTAGTGTACCATTTTAATTTTTTTGTTTCTCTTCCAATGTTGTTAAGATATTTTAATAATGGCTGCCTTGGAGCTTACCATAAAATTTTAATTTATAACAGTTTTATTCAGAATAATGCCAATTTAATTTTGACAGTACACAAAAACATTAAAAGTAATGGCAAAAACCTCAATTACTTTTGCAATAACCTAATAATTACCATATCTTCTTAATAGATTGACATTTTTATTATTATAAAATGTCCTTTGTCTCTGGTAACAATTCTTGCTTAAAATCTATTTTGTCTCCTATTAATGTAGTCACTTCATTTTTTACACTATTTGCAAGATGTATCTTTGCCCATCTTTTTACTTTTAATCTACTTATGAGTGAATCTAGAATGAGTCTCTTTTTGACAGAGTTGGTTTATTTATTTAGTTATTTATACCATTTTGGTAAGCTCTTCTTTTTGATTAGAGAGTTTAATCCATTTACATTTAATCTAATTACCGATAAGGTAGAATTTACATTTGCCATTTATTTTCTAAATGTGTTATATATTTTTTCTCCTCAATTCTTTATTACTACCCTCTTTTGTGTTAAGTAGATATTTTCTAGTGTACCATTTTAATTCCTTTGTTTTTCTTACAATATGTTTTTGAGATATTTTCTTAATGGCTGCCTTGGAGCTTAGTATGATTTTTTAAAAATTTGTAACAGTTTTGTTCAGATTAATGCCAATTTAATTTTGACAATACACAAAAACATTGCTTCTGTGTAGCTCTGTTTTCCTGCTCTTTTATGCTCTTATAGTTACAGTTACATATTACATATTGTGTACCCATCACCTTCGACCTATAATGATTCCATTTTGTAGTTGTTTCTAAATCAGAGGGAAAAGGCATTACAAATACAAAATACAGTTACATTGTCTTTTATATTTATCTTGTATTTGACTGTATTTGTGCCTTTTGTTTCTTCATATAAATTTGATTAGTGACCTAGTGTTCTTTCACAATTTGAAACAGAACTATAAGCAAAAGCCACGACTTCAGTACACTGAAACCTAAAATTCAATGACATGGGAAAATATTTATAATATATTTATAAATTTTTAAAAGTCAGTTATAAATCATCAATATGTGTGCTGTAATCTTATGTATATAAAAAGTAAATATATTTTATATAGACGTAGAAAAATTTAAAACAGACAAGAAATGTATATGCCAAATTATTAACAATGTTTATCTCTGTGTAGCAGAAATAATGGTAATTATTAAATTTTAAATGATTTTTTCTTTGTTTCTAAGTTTTTTCTTTGAATATATATACCTTATATAAAAAGAAAAACATCGGTGTGACTACTTCTTAATGTATTAGTCCTCAATAAGATGTTCACGGAGAGATTAAAAGAACATAGTATTGAAATAATTTGTTCAGGTCATTCAGAGTTGTATCTTAAACAGTCTCTTAACCAGAACCCAACTAGAATGTAAGCTCTTTAACACTTATTTATATAGCTTTACATCTACAGAATGTTAAGTACACATGCACATGCAATACATGTTTGTTCAGGATATGAATCAATGAATCAATAACTCGGTGAATGAATATATGAATAAACAAATGAAAATGATTATAGCCTATATATGCGTTGCTTCTTCTGAAGCTACTTGGAAGAAATTACTTGTTAGAACAACACTTGAGACTCTTTAGTTGCAATTCTGAAATGAATGATTTATTGCTTTTAAAACAGTATGAGATACTAGGTGAAAAGCTGTATGTAAATGCGAAATATTATTTTATTAATTGTGACTTGTAGAATGATCTGAAAGATTCATAACATATAGTGATTGCCAAAAGCAGCCGAGAAACCCAGTTTGCTTTTGACAAATAAAAGTGAAATTTGGAGGGGAAAAAATCATATTCAAAGTTATTCTATATAAGCTGAGACTTACCAGACTTACCATGCCAAATGAATAATATTTACTTTCATTTAAAATTTATATAATCCAACCATAGAAAGTTTACATAGCAGTATTAAATATAGCTATTATTAATTTATACCGTGGGGCCATGATTAATGTTTTTTCTGCCCTAAGACTTTATTTTTTTTCCTCTTTTTCTCAAACATGTTTGGCATTTAGAAGTTTTAACGTAATTTCCCCCTTTGGTTTCACCTGGGGTCTCTGCTGTCCCAGAACCTCCTTCTGACCTCAGTGTTGTGTTTTCATTTAAAATAGGGCATGTATATAAATGTCAGCAATACAGGGCAATTAGAAGTTTGAAAAGGGCTGTAACATAAACCAGCATTATAGTGAAATGGATATTGCCTTAAGCTGCCTGCAGTTCACTTGCTGTTGGAAAGACAATATCCTGCCATTCTCCCATGGTGGCCTTCAGTTGAACACATTTGGCTGAGGATTGACCCATTATTAAGATAAGTCTCTGCCTGGCTTGAAACAATGAAGAAACACAGAGTGAGTGAAGCCAGCAAATTGGGCTGGTAGTTAGCAAGCATTGGGCAGAAATGTGACACTGGATTAGACTTTAATAGCTGTCTGTGGTGCTATCTGTGAAATCCAATACTGTCCTGATTCCCTTGAATTGGACAGTACGTACATGCTCTTTGGGCTTGTCCAAAGTTTTCAGGTTTTTGAAGGAACTGCTATTTATTTATTTAGGCATGTGTTTATGTTATTTTTATTTTTAACACTGCCACCAATAACAAGACAAAAGAGTTTAGCACTCCTGACATTAGCTTACGTTTATTGATTTTCATTTTCTCTACTGCTAGGAATCCAGACCACGAACTGTTTTTGCAAAGTTAGAAAATGGAATATGTTTTTACACAAGGCATATCATATTGTTCCAATTTACCCACTTCCAAAGATGCTCGACCTTTTTGCACTCAAGGATGCTTTCTTTCGCTAGCTGGAGGCTTTTCGACACACTGTCAGCTGAGCTCTCGCTTGCTCCATGTGACCTCAGAGCAAATTTTCAAACAAGATAAGGTTGCTGTTGAAAGTCTCTCCTGGGCTTGCAAACTTTGTCCTGCCTGTTCTGGTGTTTCGATGAATAACAAAATGCAAAAGGGTACCACGCCTTTCCACATTCTATGTACTCTGGGTCAAGACCTTTTTTTTTTTTTAAGACCACATGAGGTTTGGTGGTAAGGAGAGAACAAAGTTTGGGGGACAATCTACGAAATTACCTGTTTTTTTGCTCTTAGGATGAGTCATTTTAATTAAATATATCTCCGGTGAGGTGTTTCCATGATCCTGACTTTTAGTTCCTTAACAACATTTCACCTTGTCAAACTCAGCTTTGTAAAACTCATATGCAAAGCTGAATTGAAATGAGGGAATCTAATTGAGTGTAGAAGGGAAACCTATATCACCGGTTTGCTTGTAAAAATCAAGGTTTCTATGCAGGCTATGAGCTATAGTTTTGGCTGTTGTAAGAAAGACTTTTAAAAATCCTTGCTGTCAACATGCTTTTGAGGTTTTCCAGACTTCAGGGAAAGTTAAATAGACCATGAAACATATAAGAAAGTATGCCTGGGCCATGAGAATTGGGAGAAACTAGAATGGTCTACAAGTGAAGTTGGTTGGATCTCTCCTGCTGGAAAAGTTTAGTGACATTTGAATTCCTGCACCATTTTGCTTGAGATGGCTTAAGTGACACAGGTGTCAGAGTGCCTATGATGGTTTAAATTCCAACTGTCCCTAGGCAAGTATGTGGATTAAACAGCTTTCCACAGTCAAATTTACCTACTCTATTTCAAATTCTATGTAAGTGCTCTTTCTTCACTTTCTTCGCATACTTTTCTATATAACTAGGTATGATTGTTTCCAAACAGATACATAACATCCTTTTACAGTAAGTACAGTGTAGAAATATTTCTCTCTAAGTGAAGAAATTGGGCCTCAGAGACAACTGGAATGGTACCTTTGATGTGCTTCATGAATCAAGATGGTTACTACATTACTAAGACCAGAGAAATCTAAAACATTAAGATTGAAGTCACTTGAATTTCATTGTTTTCATATCATCCTGTTTCCCAATATTCTCAGCCACACTTCTGCATATGCCTAGCAAAATCCTATTTTCAGACTTTGTAACAGCTATTACAACATTTTCTTAATATTTGCAAAATGCCTACTCACCCCAGCTTTCCTCCCTTTTTATCAATAGGCTCACTCATATTAACAAAGAACATGGAGCCCATTCTAAACTTCCTCAGGTAAAACTTTCTCAACATTTTGGCCTCAAACCAATCTATATCTTTATCCGTCATTTCTCTTCTCATAGAAAAGGCAGATTCCACCTCTGCAAAGCTACACTTCCACTTGTGTACTTGCATCTTTCCCATTCCTAAGTCTTGATCATCAATGGCGTTCTTTTTTTCCGGTGGCCAGAAGTGTATGTAAATTGCTGTCACTCTACTTCCTTCCCAGAACTTGGCATTTTAAATCTTTTAATTTTTAGTCACTTTGGCAAGTATATGGTGGTATCTGGTGTCTTCAATTTGCATTTTGATGATTACTCGTGAAGTGAAACTTTAAAAATATGTTTTGGCCACGTAGATACTGTGTTTTTGAACTATCTGTTCAAGTGTTGTTTCCCTGCTTTCTCTGTTTGTTTTGTCTGATATTCCAAAACCTTGTATGTAGTCCTCACTGTGTCTTCTCTACTTTTGCAAAGTCCCAAAGCAAAGTGAAGAGGATTCACTAGAGCCATCTTCCTTGGTAAGCCCTAGACTCAACTACAGTACTCCTACTCCCAAGAGGCTGTCAAAACCATAGCTCAATCTTCCAGAACCTCCCTCTTTAATTGTCAAACTCTCCTAGGGTAGAGTAACCCTAAATTCTGTTCTTATCTTCCTGGGCCTTTGTCCTTATTTTAGATTGTTGGATGGTAATGTTATGATGTCTTATTGGTTCTCTAATTTAAGGATATGATTTGTTTTATTTTAAAATATTTTATCTAGTTTGTTCAGTAGTCTTCAGTTGGAGACAAATTACCTACACTTCTATTAGTAGGAGGAGATGTCACTCTTCCTTTTTTTTATGTTGCTGTTTCTTGGTTTTAATCACCAGAAAGTTACTTGAAAGGCTGTTTTTCCTCTGCGTTGCCTCTACACTTCTCCTGACTTTGTCCTTGTCCTTCTTCTTTAAACTCTCTTTGTGTCTTTTCATCTAGTTTTATGCTTTCAACTAACAGAGCTCAAATCTGTATCTCTATCCTAATCTCTTTGTTTTGAGTGAAAGACTCCATCTCCAGGCAGCCCAATGGACATATCCATCAGTATATCCTGAGCACGGCTCAATCTTAAATGATCAAATCTACATTTTTATTAAGCTCATTCCTACCCCTGGCCGGGATTTAATCATGTTCTTATATTTCTTAATTTGTGGATGGTGTCATCAATAAGTACTGTCACTTTTTATTAATGTCGCTATTTTTCCAAATTTGAATCCTCATACTCCTTCTCTGACTCCCTGCTTCCAATCTAATCAATCATTAAATCGTGTTGATTCTTTTCATTGATACTTCTCTAACCATTCTCCATTTCTTAAAACCTTAGAGACATAAAAGTAAATTTCTTAGACAACAGACACTAAAGCTGGATTATTTGGTGAACTGTTAGCTAAATGACCTAAAGCAGATTACCTAACAACTCTGTGCTTCTGTTTACCTACCTGCAAAATAGGCATGATAACAATAATACCTAACTAAAGAAGACTGTAAACAACGCCACAATCTTTTCCTCCTCTCTCTATCCTTACCCTTTGCAAAGTGACTTTGCAGCCCTTATCATCAAGAGATGAAGTTGATTTCCCCACCTTAGAATTTGGGCTGGACTGTGCCCTGCTCTAGTTAATAGAGTGAGGAAGATATGATAGTATGTCTTTTCTCAACCTAGGTCTTGAGAGGCCTTGAGTGCTTCTGCTTGCTCAAAATTTGCCCGGTTACCATGTGAATAAGTCGGATTCAGGCTTTGGTGAATGAAAGACCATCCAGAGTAGAGACAAACCTTCCTAGCTGAAGCATTCTAGTTCAGCCAGCCCCCAGCCAACCTGGCAACTGACCAAAGATTATGTGTGATCTCAGCCAAGCCTAAAAGAACTGCCAGGATGATGTGCTAAATAAATGGTGGTTGTGTTACGGCACTATATTTGGGGTTATTACCTAGAAAATACCAACTGATAACACTACTTCATAGGGTGGTAGTGAAGATTATATGAGTTAATATGTGTACATTGTTAGGACATTGCTTGGCAAATAGGTAGCATTATTTAAATGATAGTTATTGTTATTATTATTCTTATTTTCCTCTCTATCCCTAGAGGAACTCTCATCACCAATTAATTCTTTTCTCTTTTTTTTGAGACTGATTCTTGCTTTGTCTCCCAGGCTGGAATGAAGTGGTGCCCTATTGTCTCACTGCAACCTCTGCCTCCTAGGTTCAAGCAATTCTCCTGTCTCAGCCTCCTGAATAGCTGGGATTACAGGCACACATCACTGCACTTGGCTAATTTTTGTATTTTTAGTAGAGACTGGGTTTTGCCATGTTGGCCAGACTTGTCTTGAACTCCTAACCTCAGGTGATCCTCCTTCCTCGGCCTCCCAAAGTGCTGGGATTACAGGCATGAGCCACTGAGCCCAGCCTGTTAATTCTTAAGTGTTCCCTTTGCTGTTTATCCCTTCCCCTTCAAGTCTACCATTTAGATCTGTCTTGTTAGTTATCTTCTAAAATACAAGTTCAATCATGTCAGTTTCCTGTTTACAAATGAATCTTTACTAATTACATTTGAGTCTAAACTTCTTAGTTTAGTTGTTTGAGACCTATTTAATTTTGTCTTTTTATATATTACCTTAATTTATCTATGTTTTTAGGCATGACTGCTACCCTATATTAATTATCAGTAAAATAACTAAAAGTAAGACATAAATAGTGTAGAGACAATTACTTTTAGTTGACTCAATATGGCATTTGTGTTCAATTCTGTTAATACTGAGTTGTAGATGAGGAATATAATAATAATCCCAATATTTATCATATTAAAATAAGATTTGATTTATAGCACCTTTTCTATAAACTAATCCACCATAAAATGCTATCTGTAAACTGTTCCTGTTAGATTTATTTGCTATAAATATAACTCGTAGTGCATATGCATTGTTGGATAATGAAATGCTCTACTTCAGGAATTTCCAAATGCAGGTCCCCTCATTGACACTGGATTGTTGCACAAGAAAAAAGCCAGGGAGCTTTATAAAAATATGAGTATTTCAGTGCCATTTCAAAACTTCTGAGTAAGAATTTCTAGTGATATAGCTAGGAAATCTGTATGTTTTCAAATAACTTTTGGCTCATATACCTACCTCTGTTATAGCTAAGAACATTTCTAGTTATTTAGACTAAGTTCATTGAAAATTCTCCAGGAAAGAAAAAGCTTCTGTTTAGACAATATGAAATCAGGGACTGGAATTCTCTTTAGGTGTGAATAATTGTAGGCTGTTTGTTTTTTTATTTTACCAACTGTAGATCTGCTAATAACTTAATTAACCCTAGCAGAACATGCCAGAAGTATGGTAAAAGCACATTGCTTTCTAATGTGAATTTCATTTTGATTGAACTAAGCCAAATTGTGGATATAGAAACCGACTTTTAAAAAACATTTGAATTAATTTTGGAAATTCAAAGTTGATGGAATTAGAAAGTGTTCTCCAACCAAAATAGCATTTAAAAAAATCTAGAGCCTGATTTTGTTTTATCTTATTGGAGGTCAGTCTACCTTTGCTTCATATAACCTAAAGGTTAAAATATACCTTCAGGTACGAATTCCATGTGTGTCTGAAACCCTTCTTTTCTAAAGCTGTCCAGTACTTTAATAGGAACATGATTTCTTTTATTGTTGTATTAAGTGGTAAAGTGATTACAGGCTAACTTCAGTCCTGTGTGTGATAAGCCATCAAGTTATGCAACATAATAATGATAGATATACACTCAAATTTAATCTATCTATAGCAGCCCAAGAGTAATTTTTTTTGCTCTGAAGAGTCTTCATTTTGCTATGAAGAGTATCACCCAGAAAATGCATAGATAATCACAGGGGAACCCTCTTCACCCTGTTTAGACCAAGTTTGGAATTTTGACTCTAATCCCGTCTTTCCATATGTTAAATAGAGTATCCAAAGTACCCACCTTAGGCCAGGGGTGGTGGCTCACTACTGTAATCCCAGCAGGTTGGGAGGCCAAGGTGGGCGGATCACCTGAGGTCAGGCATTCAAGACCAGCCTGGCCAATATGGTGAAACTCCTTCTCTACTAAAAACACAAAAATTACCTGGGTGTGGTGGCACATGCCTATAATTCCAACTACTTGGGAGGCTGAGGCAGGAGAATTGCTTGAACCCAGGAGGTGGAGGTTGCAGTGATCCAAGATGGTGCCATTGCACTCCAGCCTGTGTGACAAGAGTGAAACTCCATCTCAAAAACAAACGAACAAACAAAAAACAGAAAAAAACAAAGTATCCGACTTAGAGAATTACTATAAGGATTTAATGAGGTAGTATATGAAAATATTCTTAGCCCTAACTTAGTAACCTATGAATGTTAGTTACTATAATTCAAAAATTATGTCGTCACCTCTTAATTATCATCAAACATAAAATGTAATTGAGTCTTACATAAATCATGTTTAACTTATGATTTATGATTAGCTTTATAATTCTGTAATGGAACTGACATTTTACTAGAAATGAACAGACAAGAATTGAATAAAAACTGCCATGAATAAGTAAATTTAGGCAGTTGCTTCAACTTCCCCCAAGCTTAGCCTTCATCTCTTGATATGGTTTGGCTGTGTCCCCACCCAAATCTCATCTTGAATTGTAGTTCCCATAATCCCCACATGTTATGGGAGGGACCTGGTGGGAGGTAATTGAATCATGGGGGTGATGGTTTTAGAAGGGGCTTTTCCCCCTTTGCTCAGCTCCCATTCTTTCTCCTGCTGCCCTGTGAAGAGGTGCCTTCCACCATGATTGTATGTTTCCTGAGGCCTCCCCAGTCATGTGGAACATTGAATCAATTAAACCTCTTTTCTTTATAAATTACCCACTCTTGGGTATTTCTTCATAGCAGCATGAAAATGAACGAATACATCCCTCAACTAAGGTCAAACTGTAGATGCTTTGTGCTTTACATAGATAAAATATGATACGGTATGTCAAAATTGTTCTGTACACTACATTGTTTTTTAAGGATAAGGTATTATTATTATCAACAACATCTCGATGCAAGTTCTCATTACATATATAAATATTTGTAGAGTCATTGTAGAATAGTTTAGGCACTTTTCACATCAACAGTATCAATCAATTCAAATAACAGTTTGAATAGTTCTATGTAAGTAGTAAAATCAGAAGTATTTCATAGAGAAATCTGGTCCACTGTGGTTTTAGTAATCGCCTTTCCAACAATTACTGTCTAAACTTTTTTTTTTGCATCATCTCTACGTTGTTGATTGTTGCTTCTAAGATATATTGCTATTTAACTTATCGAGTATTTATGTTTGGTGTCTCTCAACTTGGGAAAGCAAAAAAAGAAAAAAAAAAAAGGAAAACAAAAAAACAACTTGTCCTGGCTGGGCACGGTGAGTCACACCTGTAATCCCAGCACTTTGGGAGGCCGAGGCGGGCGGATCATGAGGTCAGGAGATCGAGACCATCCTGGCTAACGCGGTAAAACCCCGTCTCTACTAAAAATACAAAAAATTAGCCGGGCGTAGTGGCGGGCGCCTGTAGTCCCAGCTACTCGGGAGGCTGAGGCAGGAGAATGGTGTGAACCTGGGAGGTGGAGCTTGCGGTAAGCCGAGATAATGCCACTGCAGTCCAGCCTGGGCGAAAGAGCAAGACTCCGTCTCAAAAAAAAAAAAAAAAGAAAAACAACTTGTCCCAGGTTGATAGAAAGCAACTTAAGGGTAGGCATCATAATTTAGATTTCCCGTTTCTCTATTTTTTTCCTGCTCAGCTTTTGATAAATACGGCAAAATAAAAGTGAGGGTAAATGTATTTAAAGTCAAAATATTTGATTATCTCCCTCACTCACAGAAACAGAATCTTGAATAAAATAAAAATAATGTAAATGGTGGGGGGACTACGCTCTTTTTAGTCCATTGTTTTCATATTCATAGTAGCCCTTTGAAATAAAGGTTGAAGAGTGGGGTATAGTTTATTGAAGATTGTTTGGGCTTCCATATTTTTTCTAAGAGATATAAATTCTGGAGTTATCATGTATAAATCATTATTACCTGTTAGAGAATACGTTCCAAGATAGAACATGTATAAATTCTTGATTGAGGTGCTAAACTAATTTATACCTTGAATCATCCCTATTAGGAACAACAGTTTAGTTGGTTTATCTTGGTTTTCCCTGTCACTATAATGATTATCATGGAACTCTCTTAGCAAGCACCTGCTTATGTACAGTTTTCTCGTTAAATGAATGATTTTAGAAAACACATAGGATATTTTGTAGCTAAACACTAGAAAGGATATTTTCATATAGTAACTTCTGTACAAAGTGTTGGGCTTGAGAATGTCAATAATGCAACAGTTGAATATATTTGCTTTCCAACATTAAAGTATCAAGGCACAATATAAAAATAAGATGAAATTAATTTATAATCATAAAGTCTTTCTTTTAGGAGTAACATTCTACTGCTTACAAATTCCTTCTTTTTAATAGTTATCACAATGAACTTAAAAATAATTTACAAATAGCATGGCATGTCAAGCTGTGATTATGGAGCTTAATTCTATATTAAGCACAAGAGAAGTAGATGGTGTTGAATAGCTTTTTAAAGCTCGTGATTTTCTGGAGATTTCTGGTCCTCATTGGAGGAGACAATTGTAATAAAAAATAACCTTGGTACAGTCATCTGTTGGAGTAGTAATCTGAGAATTTGTGCTTTGCATATTTTTCTTTCTTTGGATACATAAAGTAGCAGAGCATGACTCCATGTGGGTTGGTTCCACTTTGTGTTTTGGCTTTTGTATTCTAAAATGGAATAGTTTTCCTTGGCAGACTCAGCAATAGAGTAAGTCTGGGGTAGGTAGAGTGCATGTATTTTATTTTTTTAAAGGAGAATGGGGATTTGCACAGTGACCCAGATGTGTGCTCTCTGAACTCCAACTGTCTGTGTTCAAATATGCACTGTGAAGTGAACAGGGTTTAAAAGGACCCCGTTGGATACCTTGGGGGTATTTCTTGCACAGTGTTTTGGCAGCATGCTCTTCTAGCTGAATTAGATTTATTGCTGAAGCACTAAATCTTCATTATACGTGACAACCTTATTCCCCTGCCGTCCTAGTCCCTTTCCCTGCATAGTCCTTTTGTTTTATTCCAACATCTTCTTTCCCTTCCCTAGCCCTGAGATCCCCAAATATTTTACATTCCAGTCTATCTCAGAGTTAAAATTGTGTTAAATTTGTGAATGTGTCATTCACAGATGTCAGAAATTGGAAAGCACAATAAAGGTTAAAAGATGTCTCATCCAATCCATCAATATTTAGCCAAGAGTGCACTGGAGCTTTTAACATGATCTATATGGCTGGATGCCTGACATAACTCTATCAGTGAAAAGCAGTCACAAGCACTCTGGCAAAGTGTAGTTACAGGTGTGTATTGAAAAAGAATACCATTTCAGGTGTGTGGTCCTGAAGCTGTCACTTTTCTTCTATCCAGCACCATAGGCCCGGGTGAGGAGCCAGCACAAATGTTCAATGGACTTAATCTCCTGTTGAATTGCTGTGGAATTTTTAATAACTTAAGAAAGACTAGACCAGATGGACTCTGGAATAAAGGGGTAAATTTAGAAATATCAAGAAAGCTGATTTTCTTAATCCTTGCTATACAAGAAATTTCACCTATTCCCAATTGCTTAGATCTACCTAGCTTGCTTAAAAAGACATAATATTGTTATAGATTCTTTCTCTGCTTACTGCAGTAGCAGTATATTGGAGAATTACTATCAATCATTACATAAAAAGTCAAAGTATCATGCTGGCATACTTAATACAGATACTGCATGAAAGTCATTCATTCATTCATTCATTCACTCCTCTATTCATTTAATAGTATTTATTTCATGCTTACCATGTGCCAGAAACTGAGATGTATAATTGTGAACAAGACCAATCAAATACACCTCTCTCGGTGAGATTACCACAAGGTATGAGATTCAGACCAGTAAATAGGCAACTTCAATGCCAGTGTTCAACAAGGGTAGTATGTTAGCTACAGTAATACAACAGGCTTCTAACTCAGACTGTGTGTGAGTGTGGAGGAGAGAAGTTAGCAAAGAGAAGGGCAATGTGGAATCTGAAATCTGAATAGTTAGTATGGTTGGCCATTTGAAATAGGTGGTGAATGAGTCAAGACATGCAAAAAAGATTAAAGATGAGAATGGCATGTGATATGGTTTGGCTGTGTCCGCACTGGAATCTCGAATTGTAGTTTCCATAATCCCCATGTGACACTGGGGGGACCCGGTGGGAGGTAATTGAATCATGGGGGTGGTTACCCTCATACTGTTCTTGTGATAGTGAGTGAGCTCTCATGAGATCTGAATGGTTTTATAAGGGGCTTTCCCCCTTTTGCTTGACATTTCTCCTTGCTGCTGCCATGTGAAGTGGATGTGTTTACTTTCCCTTCCGCCATGATTGTAAGTTTCCTGAGGCCTCCCCAGTCATGCAGAACTGGAGGCAGTTCTGTTTTTCTGGAACCTCAAGGATGAGGCAGGAAAGCAAAAGTGGGGCCTCTTAATGGAAACAGGATACTTTTAGATGTGAACTTGGTCAGGAACTTCTGTTGCACATGTGCTGTTCATAGACCCTGCTTGTGGAGCTCTTTGCTTTAAAAATGTACCTCATCTGCCCAGAGTGCTTCAAAACATTAAATGCCACTTTCAACTATCATAATGTTTGGTTTCTAGTATATGTTAAAGAGATTGAAATAGAGAGACAAAGAAATAACTCATAAGTAAATGTGTTCCTAACCCACTGAAAAAATAGACTTCTTTTGTGATTAAGAGGCAATATTATTGTTGCATCAATGAAAAAGATATTTTTAAAAACAACACATGAGAAAAATAAAAGATGAAATAAAACAGAAAATAAACCTACTCTGAGTAGAAAGTCAAAATATAGTTTATTCTAAAACTAAAGCAGGTAAGAAATCGTGATCAAAACAAAAAAGTTAAATAGGAGAAAACATTCTCTAATAAATAGAAATATACCAACCATAGTATGGACTTTTTTTGGAAAGTACTGTGGTCCCAGTCATGAGAACACCAAGTAGATGGCTCTGCCTTCATTTATCCATATTTTTGTGGAGGGATTCCTATAGATGCAGAAAAACATTATTCATTCACAATCCCGAAATACAAGTTTTGAATTCTTACGTGGTTTAAGTCAGCTTTAAATGAATTTAACAGTAGATTTGAGGACAAGTGCTGCTCCACATCACTCAAGGTCACCTTCCACTGAAGTCTGATCCCTTTCCCTAATGTCTGTAGCAGATGTGTGTAAGAATTTGGCCCACCGTCCTAAAGATTACCCGGTTTGTTGACGTCTTTTGAGTCCAGTCTTAATCCCAGAACTTTGACACAGAATTTGAATTTTAAATTGCTGGAGAAATTTCCTGAGAATACATGTCAACAAGTTGTCCAGGTGTTAAATATGTACAAACTGTAATACATACCTCAGAACTTGAATTGGCATACATTTATGCTAAGTTCTTCGTGGTAGGTTTGTTGAAAATGTTTGGTATTTGTTCATAAACAAGAATGGATTTATTACTTTAAATTTGGCTAAGATACAAATATGGTAACCCAGATTTTTTAGTAGAATGTCTAAATAAACTTCCCCAGGCATGTTTAATTATAGGGTTAATAAATACTACCTGTAGCGATCCCTCATTTGCCAAAGATTTAACTTCATTCACAAAACACAAAATGTAAAATGTTAACCTTTTGCCATGTATCTATAAAAGAGAAAGTAAATAGCATATCTGATTTAATAGTTTATACAGTATATTTAATGATAAAGTTTCTGTTGACAACATTCTTCTAATTTTTCGGGTGCGGTGGCTCACGCCTGTAATCCCAGCACTTTGGGAGGCCGAGGCGGGCGGATCATGAGGTCAAGAGATTGAGACCATTTTGGCCAATATGGGTGAAACTCTGTCTCTACTAAAAATACAAAAATTAGCTGGCCGTGGTAGTGTGCGCCTGTAATCCCAGCTACTCTGGAGGCTGAGGCAGGAGACTTGCTTGAACCCGGGAGACAGAGGTTGCAGTGAGCCGAGATCGCGCCACTGCACTCCAGCCTGGAGACAGAGCCAGATTCCATCTCAAAAACAAAAACAAAAACAAAAAAAACCTATTTGAAATACCATCTTCTTCATGAACTCTTCTCTGATATTTGCAAATCAAATTTGATATTTACTTTATTCTAATTCCTCACTACAATCTTTAATACCCTCCCCCTGATATTTTGTCTTGTACTTATTTGTGGACTCTAATCTGCTAACTTTTAAGATAGTGTTATAGGTTTGGTGTTATTTTTTAAAAACTGTCATCAATTGTCTTGTACCTCTTATATAATAGGCCCTCAGAGGAAATAGTGTTCTAGAAGGACAAATCTAAGTTTGAATCTTGTATTTGCAGTTCTCTAGCTGAGTGGTTTTAGGAAACATACTTAATCTCTCTGTTCCTCAGTTTTTTCACCTGTGCAATAAGAACATAACACATACTTGACAGTTTTGCCATTTAAATTCAAAAAGAGAGCAGATCTAAGTGCACTTAGAAGACAGTAAAACATTGCCAACTTCTCTCTCTCCTTTAGTAGAATTTTTCAATTTTTATTTGAATGGAACATCTTGTGTCTTTTAAGGTATATGGTTTTTTTGTACATTTGCTAATTTACAAAATACAACAGTTTTCCAGTTATTATAGCCAATTAGTTTAATTGACCTTTAAAAACCATTTTGTATTATTCTTATCTGGAAGAACGGCCTTGCCTTACATGTAAAGTGCAGTGATATGTACTGTTAGAGATACTTATAGCTTTCTGTTGTGCTCCTATGGAGATCCCCTGTGTCATGAAATGGCCTGTTGTTAGAAACAGACAGGAGTCAATGAATCAACAACAGCCCAGTGAGCTGTTATTTACAGTAACATTACAGCAATGATTTATGCTTATGAGGTTCCTAGGTGACAGGGGGACTGAGATTGTAAATTAATGTAGATTTAGATTGTTGCACAGGAGGTGCGGATGGCCTTTGTTTTCTATTTTGAGGCACAACAAAGGACAGAAGGATGACGTATTAGCCCAGACATCAGCTAAGCTCACATTACATTTAGCATTCTGGCCCATCTTCTGATTTCTCTTTCGTGTGAGGGATGCTTGCTATTTTATTTTCATATTGCGATATATGTACCCTCTTCTTGCAGCCCCGAGACTAACCCTAAATGACTGAGGACCTCCTACCCTATAACTTTCCAAATCCCAAGCCACCTGCTGTCCTTGCGTAACAGACTCAATGACATGCTTTCATTGTCGTGATCATCAGGTGCCTTCTGCTACTTGTACTTGAAAGTCACCAGAAGCATTTATGCAGATTATATGCACAGTCAGGGTGACCTCTGACTGAGCAAATGTCAAAATCGCCAGAAGAGGGTTACTGACCTGATAAAATTCAAGATGCTTATACAATTTTCATTTTTGCAAATTTGTCTAGGTGAATATTTCCAAGTCAGATTCACTCTTAATGTCAAGGTTAATGTTTTGATTTCTAATTTTGTTGTTTTAGGTGATCATTTGAGAAATTAAAAAAAAAATTAGAGCTATTTCTAAAAATATATTCTAAAATATTTTCTCTTTAAAAAACTTTCACAATGTTGATGTCTTTAATGTCTTACCATAAAAGAAACAAGGAAGGCATTTTAAAAAATATTACAGAGAAGCTTAATGACATCCTTCAAAGTATTCTGGATAGTACAGTTTGAAACCAGAATAAGAACCCAAGTCTTCTGAATCTTACTCCAGTGATTTTTGTTTTTCCAATTATAGAATTGCCTCTTCAACCATGTTTACATAGGCAATGTAAAAATGTATGTTTGACAGAGAAATTTAAAAATGGTTACATGTATTTGAATATGGTATACTCTCTATGCACACATTAATCCACGTAAGTAACTATTTGTCTTATTATTCCACAATATGCCTTCTTATTCCATATTTCAAGCAGTGTTTGACAGTAAATCCAAAATAGTACAAATAAATGAAATTCCAGAGCTGGGAAAAATATAGCTTGAACAGAATATCAAAGTATAAAAGAAGGTTAAAATATACTATAAAATAGAAAACATAATATGAAGTATGAAGTCACAACTAAGAAAAAACATGTATACACTATCAGTAAATGCAAATGACCTAATCTTTCCTAATATTAAGAGAAAAGCATTATCAGATTGGATCACAAGCAAAACCAACAGTAACAGCAGACTTATTTAACACACAGTGATTCAGAAAGATTGAAAATTATAGAATAGACAATGACGTACCATAACAATTCAAATACCATTATATCAGAATGGTTACAAACAGGGCACAAGTATTAAATGGGACAAAAAAGAATCTTTAGTGATAATAAATATTGCATTCTTCAATGAAAACATGACACTTGTGAGTATCTATTAACTAAAAACATAGCATTGACATTCCTAAAGCAAAATCAAAGTCAAACACTCACAAAAATAGACATAGGGTTCTTAGTAATCTTTCTCTACTAAATCTATCAAAGGGCTAAGAGGAGTAAATAAAAATTAATTGTCAATGTATTTTATGTATTTTTGCGTATGTGTGATCTTTTAATTTACTTTTAGTGACATCTGTTGTCAGGTTTAGCCATAAAAATTAAGCAATTCAGAAGTTTGTTTTCTTCGTCTATATGCTGAAACAGTTAAATAAATTAGAGATTTCTGCTCCATACACTAAGAAATAATCTTAGGCTAGTGCTTTGGGGTGGAGGGAGAAGAAGTTAGCAAAATACAAATTCTTTCCTTGCTTTTAGGACAATGAACCGTTTACATTTGTTTATCTTCTCGAAATTGTTTTGGAAATTTATGCTTTTCTAGAAAATCTTCCATTTTATCAAGATGTGCAAAATTATTTGAATAGGGTTAAATATATCACATGATCCTTTTAGTTTTTTCTTAATCTGAAGTTGTTTCCCCCTCGTCAATTTTTATTTGTGGATTTGTACTTTCTCCTGTTTTTTTTTTATATGCTGAGACTTTCCATAAGCAATTGTTTAGCTATATTTCATAGGTTCTGAGATGTATATTTTCATGTCATATTCTAACTATTCTTCCATTTTGGTTTAAATTTTCTGTTGTCATTTAAGGAAAGTTTTTACTTTTTTATTTCAAAGGGCCAGTATTTGTTACTTTTCAATTTGGCTATTTCTGCTTGTTTTGCATTGTGATCCGAGTATGCTACCTGTATCATTTCTGTTGTTTTACACGTATCGATTTTTTTCTATGTCAATATATAATTAAATCTTGTGAATGGTCATTCTCCTGGTAAAAAGGCACATTATTTGCTTCCAAGGCACATACAGAGTTTGTCACATCAATTAGAACTATCTTATCTCTTGATTGTTTTATTTAGGTCAATTGAAAAGATATGCTTGGAATCCAGGTATTCTGTGTTGCTGATCAATAGAAATTCTATTTATTCACTAGAATAAAGTAAACGATAGAATTGATATATTCATTGTGAAAATTGAGGATCCCAACCATGACTCTTATGTAAATAGATTGCCAAGCCTCTCTGCACAGAGGTGGCCATCATAGTATCCATAGGCGGTGCCAGGATTGTGTTAAGGCATAAATAAACAAATAAAAATAGAAGTCAGCCCATTATTTTCTACAATGTGTAAGTGAATAAACAATAAATCCTCAAATGTTAACAGCTTAACACACAGTTGGGTCGATTTCAACTTGAACTTTTTTCAAAGCAGCATTCATGATATGTCATCCATGTCCATTTGAAATCTAAAAAATGTACTCACATCACATTTAGTTGGTTAAATGAGTAGACTGGAAAGTCCACCAATATGAATTGGTTGCTGTCATTATCCTAATAAATTGACCAGCTGTATGGCCAAATCGGAAGGAGAAAACTTTACAGTATGCTCAATTTGTCTGGATCTACCCAATGAAGTAGAATCAAACATGGTCACTATATTTGTTTTGAAATATGTGTTTGGTAATTCTGAAATCTCAAGATTTTGGTAGAGGGTAAGATGCTTATTGTTTCTACTGATTGTTATTTTTCATAAGTATCACTTCTAGTTTTATAATCCTCCATTTTTTTCCATAATTTTCTTTTAAATTGATCTTATTCTTATTTTTTTAATGGTCTTAATTCTATAATAGTCCTTATGAGATTGTTGTATTTTTTCTCTCATTTTGTTGTAGGAGAGTAACATCCTGAGTTTGCAGGCACTCTTTCTTAGTATTATTTAGTTCTAATAGTTTGAAATCTTAGTTTTGATGCTCATCTGGGTAAGCTAGTTCTGATATGCATATTTTATTTCTCTCTCTCTCTCTCCCTCTCTCTCTTCTCCTCTGTTTATCCCTCCCTAGTTTACAGTTCCCTCAATTTAGCTCCTCCCCCATCCTGGGACCTCTGTTCCAGCACCATGTTTTTTATTGTTGACTTTGGGTTCTCACATAGTGATTAGTTTGGCATTTTGATAATGTCATCTACGAATCATCTTCTTACAGTCTCTTTAATCCCTCCAATGAATAGGGAACACTTTTATTTGTGTAATGTGTATCACTTAAAATTCCTGTGGTTTTTGGATTCATAAACCAATGCACCTATGGCTGTACCTTTTATTCTCCCCACCACTCTCTACCACCTCATACATATCAGTCAGTACCCTGAAAATGCAATCACTCCAGTTATTTCAGAGATCACATTTGATTCAGATAACTGGTTACACAGATGAGTTGAGAAGTTGAACAGTAAATCATAACAGAAATTACCAACAGTGAGAAGATGATGTCTTTCCTATGACTGAGGAGGCATGAGAACAAGTTGCTGTTATCAGAAACAAGCCACAGGGCCATGGGAACCAGCCTGGATGGGAGTTGGGATCATGGAGGGAATAGGTCTGCAGGAGCTTGGGGCAGGATGGAGGAAGATGTAAATAGAGAGACACAGTCACTGTCAGATGCCAGTAAGGCAGAGAGAGGAGGCACGTTGCCCTAGTGTTTATTTCTCCTGCTACCCAGTTTCTTGCCATTGCTTTACACTGGCCCAAACTAGCCAAAGCCAGCTATCAAGAAACCCTGGGAAATATGGCAATCTGCAATAAGACCAAAAGAAAAGGAGGAAATGCATCTGAGTACAAACAGGCAAATGACCCTCATACCTCTTTCACACCTTCTCACCAACACACATACTCTCTCTCTCTCTCTCTCTCTCTCCCTCCTGGTTGTTTCTGTTCCCTTCAGGTTCACAGAGATGTCTGTCTCAATTTTTCTTAATTTGGTTCCACCATTTTTTTTTGTTATCCAAAAAGAGATTTCTTTTTTATAACCACTGTATTCAGAGTGGAGTAGGGGTGGAGGAATACTTTCAAAGTATGAAATCACAACATGGGCTTGACTAAAAGATATCACATTATCTCTCTAGCCCTGGAGTTTCACTTTGTAGATTTTTGTTTTTTTTTTTTCTTAGGCACGATTGCTGAGTGAAAGGGCATTGGCTCTCAGTACAATCACATCTGGATCTCCGTTTCAGCTTCACATGAATAGTGTGATTAATTTTGGATAAGCTACTTAGCAATTTTCCTTATCTGTAAAATTGGAATAATTGATACTGACCTTAAGATTTCTTTAATGATTGAATAAAAAAGAATATCTAAATTGCCATTTTCTGTGTCAGGTATTCAGTGGGTTCTTGACATATGGTTATTACTATAATGTTATTACATTATTATTGTCCTAGTTAAGTGAAAGTATTACTAACCTTGATTTGTGTTTTCTGATATGTGACTTTATGTTATATTTATGTTATGTATTTTCTGATGTGAAACTTTTACCTTGTTTGACCAGGAAGCACTGATTAGTAGGACTCACAGTAGAATAAGCCATAACTAGTCATGTATCAAGCATAATGTGGTTCTTTGGTTTTGAGTGTAATGGATGTGCTTAGGAATTAGTAAGGTGCCTATACATATCATGATTTTATCAATTGAAAGAATATATCTTGCAACATGTTAGCACAGTCAGCAAAAGTAAAACCAGAAACAGTTATAAGAGAAAAAGCAGGTTTGTTCAAAGTATATTTTAATGTAGATAAATTCCCCAAATCAAAGATTGGAATTGTAGTGCATAACATTTCATAACTCTAAGGACCCTCTTTGTTGAATTAAAATGTTAATATTTTAATATTTTAAAGGCCTTTTGCAAATATTTAACTAACACATTCATATTTTATAGCCTTTGAGCACTAAAATTTGGTGAGATTTTTTTTTTTACTCTCCAAATGTTGACTAATGCTGGCATACGCAATCTAAAGGGATTAATAGTTTTCATATACATCTCCCTTGTCTTTCATTTTAAAACCTCATCAAAAAGTTTCAGCCTCTTTTTGTTACTTTTCAAGAACAGCTCAGTTGATACTTTGACCCATGTTGCTCAATTATTCTTCTTCAGAGGGTGTCTACTTAAATGGATTGGTTTTACATAAAAAGGATTTGACTACATTCGATATTAAAATAAACATCAATTAACATACTTGTTGGGTTTTTATGCTGCCAAATCATTGGTTAGACTGACTGCTTCCCTTTCCAAGCTTGTTTTGGCATTGTCAAAACTATGTCTGAGCTACCCAGACTCTTTCCTAACTTCAGAACCCAAGTGCTTGGTTCTAATACCAGGAGGCGATGAATCATTATGGTTCCGTCAGACTTCATAGGGCCACATAAATGATGTAGAAGTTAGAAGCCTGTTTCATTGTCTAATCCCCAGCCTGTCCCATTTTATTGACATTTCCTATTTGATTAACAGCAAATTCTCACCATCTTTAACATTGCTAATGGAAATATTCCATACAAAGGCTGAATTTGTACTATGTGGTAACTTTCTGTTGTTTCCAACATGAGCAGTCTTCTATGACTAAAAAATGTTCTGAAGGGCTGAAATTTCTACCAATGCACATATAAATAATTATGGTGGTTGCAAGTATGTTCCTGGGCAATGAGAAATTCAATTTGTCCTTGTCAAAACAAAACAAAAGAACCAAACACAAATTGGTTGGAATGTTTGAGTTAGTGGAAAGCATTCATCAGAGATGTATTGGAGAGGGAGATAATCAGAAAATGGCTTAACTACATCAGTTTTGCATTGATCTGACTGTAATAAATGCCTTTTTGTGTAGCTATAAGAATGGTGGTAGTTGTCTTAAGGTCAAAATATCCACAGGGAGTTTGTTGAGAGTGGTAAGAAGAAACATCACAGAGAAGTGAAACAAAGGAAAATGATTGATGATGTATGAGGACTTCATTCTGTAAGAATAATCTAAAATTTTTAGTATTGTTTTCTGGATGTTTTAAAGTCTTTCTTTTATAAATCAGAGCTGTGTTTAGTACAATATGGATCCAAGTGTTGGACCCCACAATATTTGGTTCATTGTGTGAAATGCAACAAGTCTTAGTTGCTGTGTCAAAAACCACATAAGTACTTATTCTCAAGACATATTCTCAAAATACTGAGAAATCAACCCACATAAGAAGTGGTGAATGTAAAGATCTATCGACTTCAGAAAAGTCACTGTATTTCAAAAAATAAATTTCATCTTAGACAATCAATCACAAAGAATAACTGGAGATATAGTATGAATATAGTCAACAGCAATGGAGAACTATAGGAAATAGCTCATGTTTATTATACCAGGAAAACAAATTAAAATAATATGAGTGTGAAAAAATCAGAGGCTATACATTTTTTAACCTTAAGAAGGAATATCTTATGTTAATGACATATTAATAACTACAAAGTGGCTAAGCACCGTGGCTCATGCCTGTAATCCCAGCACTTTGGGAGGCCAAGGCAGGTGAATAACTTGAGCCCAGGAGTACAAGATATGCCTGGGCAACATGGTGAAACTGCATCTGTACAAAAAATACAAAAATTAGCAGGGTGTGGTGGTGTAAGCCTGTAGTCCCAGTTACTAGGGAGGCTGAGGCAGGAAAATAGCATGAGCCCAGGTTGAGGCTGCAGTGACCTGTGATTGTGCCATGGCAATCCAGCCTGGGCAACAGAGCCAGATCTTGTCTCAAAATAGTAAAAATAATAATAACCACAAAATATTGAGCATAGCATATATGTCACACATGGTGTTTTCTAAGCTATATTATGTTGTTATTTGATATAACCAAGCTAGGAAGAAATTAGTGGAAAAAATATAAGAAAAGAACAGATTGCATTCTTATAAATGATGGCCTATGTATTAGGGGATTCTATAAGAGGTAAATGTCATTGTTAGGCTGATCTGGAAAGTAATGAGAATATTTCTATAAGATACATGTGTGTACTGGTCTTATTCCTTTTTTTTCACTCATTTCTGAAATTAAGAAATAATCTTATACATAAATTCAATTCGTTGCAGGTAAAAGTATACCATTCAGAATAGAGAAGGAGAAGAAAAGATAGAAGGAAGTCACATTGTTCACCACACAAGGTTGTTGTGGAAATGTGAGGGAAGGGTCATTTATTATTGTTTTTATTTTGACTGGGCTCAGATTTTGTGCTCACTGAAAAGATACAATTGTGAGAACTTGCTCTAAAGTCCCAGCTGTTGATGGACAGGCATCCTCTCCCAAGGTAATAGGGAAGTTGTTTAAGCAACTCATATTTTTGGAAGAGGCAGTGTTTGTTGTAATTTGATCCTAACTGCAACCTATATCTCACCTGCATTCATCAATGCCAAGCCACAAAAATGCCTGGAAGGTCCAGAATGCTTGGAGCTTGTGCTCTGCATTAGTGGTATTGCGGCTGCTTCACTATGAAAGTATTGTGCCACAGAAAATATATTCTGATTCCTTATAGCAATTAAGTCCACAAACATGAAACTGAAGGTCAGTTCTCTTATCCTTGACTAACTTATGTTTTTTTGAGAGTAGAAAACTATACTACAGTAAATTCATGGGTTCATGTGGTTGTGCTGAGGGTGGGGAGGTAAGTTCAATATAAAGTCTTAATTTTTTCCCCTTTTCTGTAACACAAATGCTTTCTATCATATTTGATTTATTTAAAATAACTTTAGGCATTTCTCTTTTGTTTTATCAACTACTTACAATATTTTCATACAAAAATAATAGTAGCAATTCTTGTACATGTTAGTTAAAATAATAAGAAACTCAGAATATGATTCAGAAATGCCCAAATATTTTTTACCAGAAAAAGGAGGAAAATACTTCTTGGATTTACAAATGTAGGTATTCATTCATATACTCATTCAGTGCATTTTATGGTTGCAAATTGGTGGCAAACAATTTATTGGAAATCAAAGGGTTGAAAATAAATAAGCCATAATGCAAGCCATTAAAAAGGTCCATGGAGAGAAACAGACATTGATGCAAATGAAATTTCTGTAAAGGGAGGTGAATGCTCTAAAATAGTATGTGTTTTAAAGACAAAACTGCCCTTTTAAAGTCAATTATTTTTATATTAAACCATAGTTTTGTAGCTGTAGATTTGTCTTTTTGTTACAGTATCTAGATCTATTGGTATTCTTCCATATCATTTCCATTATCAGTATGTGTATAATGCCAACTATTGGAGGCTATCTAGTGTTATATAAAGCAGGCAACTTTGTGTAAGGAATTAATCTTGTCCTAGAGTTGACTTTATTATTTTGGCAACAGGCAAAATGATTGATTTTCGACACCTCTTCTCTGCTCTTTGTTGTGAACCAATTCTATCTTCATGGTAGGGGAAGTGAGTTAAATAAAACAACTGGTAACAAAAGGAGGCTTAGTTGTGTGTATACATTTTTTTAAATTTAGTTTTTATTTATTTATTTTTTGAGACAGGGGCTCAGTCTGTCGCCCAGGCTGGAGTGCAGTGGTGAGATCATGGCTCACTGCAGTCTCCACCTCCTAGGCTCAAATGATCCTCCCACCTCAGCCTCCCAAGTAGCTAGTACTACAGGCATGTGCCACCAAGCCTGGCTAATTTTTGTGTATTTTGTAGAGATGGCATTTTGCCATGTTGCCCAGGCTGGTCTCAAAGTTGTGGGGTCAAGGGATCCTCCTGTCTTGGACTCCCAAAGTGCTGGGATTACAGGTGTGAGCCACTGGAACTGGCTCATTTTTTTTTTCTAATATCAGCGAGAAATATTTCTTGTGGGGCCTCTTTCTTCTTTGTAATTCAATCGAAGAATTTCTTGACTCTCAAAACACTTTAGATCTTTGTCCTCATTTAGGAACTACTTTAATGCCGTATTTTACACATG
Organism: Homo sapiens; assembly: GCF_000001405.40. NCBI lineage: Eukaryota > Metazoa > Chordata > Mammalia > Primates > Hominidae > Homo > Homo sapiens. Next base: position 126,954,290 of record NC_000006.12, on the reverse strand, counting down.
GATATAGACCAACATAGATGTATATGTATTTATTCAAATGACTTTTTATTAAAAAATTAAAATGATTCGTTCTTTATTATGAAGCTTAGCCACATATTCAACACCTTTTTTTGCATCCCCAGAATTAATATATTGATAAATTTGTCATTTGGAGGTTCCAATGTTGGTTGTATTTATAAACCTAAAAATATATGAGAAATATATTTGAGGTGCAAGATATTTAAACTTTACCTTCACGCTTACTCACACATCCTGCACCTATCAGTAGGACAGAAATTCTGTGGGGGAAACAATCAAGAAAGTTATATTTCTCAGTCCATTTTCATGGAGGAGACAAAATATTAATTTTGAGTTTTCAGATTTATTATAGTATACAGCAGATGACCAGAGGCTGACTTAAGAATATTACTCAATACTCATATGTTCTGGTTTTCTCATCCATATTGTGGGGATAAGAGTTAGTGCATGTTTATGTTGAATAAATCTCTCACTTAGACTAGTGATAAGTGCAATGTAAATATCAACTAGGAAATTTTGTAACTCCACTGCTCACATATATTATTATAGAGCTTAAATCTACTCTAGGTTTTCTGTGTGCCCAATATTTCAGACACCAACTCAGTTCAAGCTTCTGAATGTTTTTATTTATTTTCAGTGATTAATAACATTTTTCTACTCCAACTCTTTCCCCCACTCTAAGTTGTACAAAGGACTTAAAAGAAATTCAGATTTGAATAAAAGCCACAAAATATACCTAATGAATAAATGCTATGATAAAAGTATAAAAGTGGAGACCCTGGGTTGCTATTTATTAGCTCTGTACCTTTGGTCAGTTTCTCAACTTTCTTGAGCCTGAACCTCTTCATACCTAAAATGCAGACCTATATCCCAAGATTTTTGGGTGAGGGTTAAAAGACATAAAACATGTGGAATTTTAGCAGAAATAAGATTGTCCGTGACCTATTTTTAATCCCATTTCCCTCCTCCTTACTGCATAAACTACTGCCTCTCAACATATACTGTAAACTGAATAAGTCAGGGAAAAATTACAATGAGTAGTTTGTCTTTATATGGAAGATATATGGAAAGAAGAGGAAGATAACCTCTTCTTTATATGGAAAAATTTAAGTAGCTTCTTGTTCTACAAAGAGTTTTGAAGCACATTTCTAAATTTAGTCCTTACAAAAACTTCATCAATTTAGCCCAAAATTGTCAAGTTTGTCTGGAGTAATGTTGAGTGAATTTTCTACCATTTAATGGAATGTGATTAAATTGAGTTGTAGAAAAAGATGAAAAGCCTTAAATGCTGGGCATTTAATTTGTGGATTCTTGGTATTCCATGCCCACCGTGTATAAAGGCATCAAAATTATGCTGTGATAGCGCACTAGTATTAACAATAAGGATAGAAGCGGTAATTGGAGTTGGTCTTGAAGCTACTCCACTCAAAGGGAAATGTGGATATAGGGTACATTTATTAGTTTGAATTTAGCTTTGCCCTGGGCACATAATGGTGGCAGGATGAAGGGAGGACTCAGGAATGAAGAGTGAACAAGAAAAGAAGAAAGGAGGAGAATATGAGAGAAGGGTCTTGAATATCTAGCAACAGGGGTTGAAAAGCAGCCTGATGCAAACAGTAAATTGGATTCTGATAATTTTCATGAGTGGCTTCAGGTAAGATTCTTTTCTTATTTTTTTTTTTTTTTTTTGAAAGGGCGGCAAATGGATTTTGTTTACGTGGTCCTTTTGATATTGCATTGTAACACATCAGCGTAACACTTCCTTCTCCTGCCACTGCAAATATGAACCTAGTAAGATATTTACAATGTTGTAGCCTGTTGTGTGGACAGAGAAGTCTGTGTTTTGGTATTTTTAAATTCTCAGACCCAGATATTTTTAGAATGCCTGGGTATATTTTCTGGAACACAATTCTTCTTTTGTTTATACCTTCTGTCTCATTGCTTCCAAATACAATTCTCACTGCATTTTTTTTTTCCATAGTCTTTTCTATTGGATAAGAATATGGATAAAGTTAAGGTTTCACCTCAAATCCTTTTTCTTTTCTTTAATGTGGTGATGGCATCATGCCAGACATTGACAGCCTGGTGGTCTATGTTTACTTTTTACTCAATCTTGAAGTGCTGAATAAACCTGGATCAGTTCTGCTAAAAGGCATTTAAAACCAGGTGGAAGTCTCAATCTAGGAAAAGACAAGGGCGTTCCCTGGAGAACAAAGGCCTGATCCCATCCACCATGGGATGGGTGGAGTGAGTAGCTGTAAAGGAAAAAGTAGCTATTGGAAGTATTTGTTAAATAATGACTGATTGAGTAAATATTGATTGAGAACCTCTGTGCATTGTTATGGGCACTGAGTGTTTCAGTGTTGAAAACGAAAAGATTGAACCCCTGTCCCTATGTCTCTAGGGGAGAAAAAGACCATAATCATGTAGATAATAAACAAATAATGTACTTTCAGATCAAAGTAAGAGGTGCTATGAGGAAAATAAACAGAATAAATAATTAGAGGACTATTTTAGAATGAAAGATCAGGGGAGACCTCTCTGAGATCACACTTAAGTACAGATGAAAACAAAAAGAAGGAAACAGCGATTCGAGATCTTGGGGAAAAGCATTCCAGGCAGACCAAATAGCAAACCCTAAGGATTAAGGTAGAAATCAGCTTCATGTATTTGAAGACACCCACTGTCAGGACCTGATAAGAAATGAGGTTGGGTGATACGGGGCCAGGGTATCCAGGACTTTCAGATTAGAATAAAGAATTCGGGTTTTCTTTTAAATGTTAGAGGAAGTCTCAAAACTAAGTTTTAGCAGGAAGATAATTCAATCTAATTTTTTTAAGGAGGAGATACTGGCTTCTCTTTGGAGAATGAAATGAAGTGGCATAGGAGTGGGACCAGAGAGATCATTAAAGAGGCCATGAGAATAGTAAAGGTGATAGCACTGTAGACTTGGACAGCAATTATGCAAATAGTGAGAAATTGTCTAATTTAGAAGATATTTTAAAATTCAGAGCAGCTAAGACTTTCTGATGAATTAGATGTGAGAGATGAGGGAAAGAGAGGAATCACTGATAGCTAGTGGTTTCTTGGACTAAGCAACTTTGTGAAAATATGGTACGTTTTACTGAGAAGGAGATTATAGAAGGAGCAGGTTGAGATCAATTGTAGATCAAAATTCTGTTTTAGACCTTTTAAGTTTGAAGTGCTTACTAAGCAACCAGTAGATAAGAAATAGCTGCACTTTCTCCTCCTAGGTGTTTGTAAGTGCTCTCTATATAGTAACACATTTAATCTTTATAGCAACTTTGCAATATTTGTAATATTATTATCATCATCATCTCCATTTTAAAGATAAGGAAGCTGGGACACAGAAAGGTTGAATACTTAGCTAAGAAGACACTAATATGGCAGGAAGTCTGGCTTCAGGAGTTTATGCTCTTAACCACTGAGAAATATTCTTTTTAGATGGATCTGCCAACCAGACATTGGGGCAAAGGAAATCTTATTCTTTTTAATAGAAAATAGGTGAATAAATGTAACAATTATATATACGGAAGAAATTCTCCAACAAAAATATAAAATTACCAAAGTGATGCATTAATTTAAAAATTATTATCTTATTCATTTTATGAAACATTCAATTTTGGTACCCAAACTCAGAAAGTCCAAAAAATTATATAATTTAGCTTCATTTATGAGTATTTTTGGAAAATTATATATAAAATTTTAAAATAGAACACATCTTGTTGAAATAATTATCCACTGTGAAGATACAGGATTTGTTCTAAGAAACAGACTCGTATAACATGAAGAAAACCATTAGCAAACTCTAATGCATTCACAAGAAAAATAATAAACATGTCAATCACTGATTAAAAAGCCAACAGGATCACATATTGTATATGATGTTATATGAATAGAGAATTTTCTCAACATTTAAAACCAGATACATGGAAGTCTGCTTGAGTAGGAACTATAGATGGTTCAATCTAATAAAAAGAAGGGATTCAAAATCAAGGAGATTCTCAAGTACCATGCTAAAGACTTTGGATTTTACTCTGGGAGGTAAAGTTGACTGATCAATAACAGGCTCTATTATAAGAGGAGAGGCCTAGAGAGTAAACAAATAGTCCTCAGTGAGCAGTCAAACCAAACAGATAGCAACTCACGGGAGTGGAACAGATCTGCTTAGCTGGGAAGGGGAAAGAAAAGGGGAAGGGTTTTCATCCCAAAGAAAAGTATCACAGATTGGGCTAAAGTCAATAATCTCCCAGAGATTAAGATATCCTGGCAGTTAAAAAATGCCTAAGATAAGTAAATAACTATCATGCTCTGCCCTGATGGAATTAGAAGTGTTATATCAACTTTACACTGGCTAAAAGGAATTGCTGGAATGGATTGCCAGAAAGCAGAGCATATTTAAGAAGGCACAAAAATCTTTGCTCCTGACCTCAATACTTTGATATGTATATTTTAAAACCAACTAAACTAAATATATATAAGTTTATATGTTAAACTATATTAAACTAATATTTATATGCTAACCAAATATGTATATAAAATATATATAACATATATAACTAAATACATATATAAAACATATATATTTAGTTTAGTTGTTTATAAACATATTTTGACTCAATGTATATAAATTGAGTCAAAATATGCACTGGGCTGAGAACCAACTAACTATTGATGAGCTAAACAAATTTCATTACCGATGCCAGTATCCTGCAAGTAAGGGTCGTACTTGACCATCACTGATCATGAGAAGAACGCCATGATATTCAGTATCATATGAATGTGAAACACAGACTGAAGTCTTTTGGAATAGGAATAATTTCTGACACCCAAACTGGAATTCCATCTCTGGTTTACTACTTAATTCTCCTTCTTAAGGGAGATAGAATAAATGAAGAAAATAAAGGCTCTTACCTCCCCTCCTCTGCCTTCATTACCCCTTTTCACTACACACACACACAACACAGTACACCAAGAACAAGTTAATAGATGTATAGGCAACCAAACTCTGATTTACTAAAATATTTAGTCTTTGGACAAATAGTCACCCTTTCTTAGTATAAGAAAGTTTGGAAATCTTTTACATTCAAGTTGAGCTTAACGACTTAAATCATATCTTCAACACAATGAGAAAGATATCTCAGCAAACCCTATCTGTTCTAGAGTGGTGCACTGATTTCTCAACCTTCCTTCTCTCCATTGATCTATTTCTATCTAATATAAACCACTCTTCTCTCATAAATGGAGATGAATGTATGTGTAATTGAGAAAGATCATAAAGAATTTGGAAAAATGTAAATAGATTTTGTCTTCTTTATAAACATTGGTTAAAGTTGCCTAAGTTCAAATGTTACTGGAAGAACTAGTCTTCTGTCCTGCCTCTCCCTCATTCCTTTATCTTAGGAATTTGAAGAGGGAAATAAATCCTATACTGTGACCTCCTGCTTCCGAAGATATAATGAGTTAGGGAGATGGATGCCTGCCTAATAATTTGACCTTGAATTTCAAAAATTTTGACTTTGATTCCAGCTAACTTTTATATAACTAAAAAAAATATGTAATTTTGTTATTTGTCATGGGACTTTAATGGATCCAATTTCTTTTGCTTCACTAAGGGTTGGCATTATTGTCTGGAAAGAAGACATGGAAATGGAAATGTTTTATATAATAATATAAACTGCTATAGACATTGTTCACAGATATTGGTGCATATTATATTCACAAAAAAGTGCTTCTCTCTCCTGCTATGGACCTAGGTTGCAATATTTTTGAGATTATTGTTTGTCCTTGGGAGGTGTGTGTGTCTCTGTGTGTGTGTGTCAGTGAGTATCCATATAACTTGTGTAAATAGGAAAAAATTCCAAAATATATCATTCAGGAACCTTTGGATTGTGAGTGACAGGAAATCAATTCAAATTGGCTAATGTGGAAAAAAAAATACTTTGCTCTCACACTGAAAATTTCAGCAGTACCAGCTTTGATCATGGCTGGATCCAAGGGTCTCAAATTCCATCATTAGAGCCAGTCTGTCTTCACACTTCAGCCCTGCTTTCCTCTCGGTTGTCCTCATTTTTATGCTTTTATGGTGCCTGATGGCAGTTCAGACTCACTTCATCCTCTCTGCTAGCTGTCTTAGGACAGACACACACAGACACACAGACACACACACACACACACACACACACACACACACCCCAACCTGTCTTTTCTAGTTGCTCCAAAAAAAAAATTCCTGGGATTACTTAGATTAAAGAGTGATTAACCAATCATCATGGCCAGAACACAATACCAATTGTCCAGATCTGGGTCATGAGCTCACCTCTGAGTCCAGGGGTTGGGCCAGCCCCACCTAAACCACAAGGAATGGAAATATATAGGGCTGATATCCAAGGAAATTCAAGTCACTATCACAAGTATAAGGAGAATAATTCTGGGTGTGCAAAAACAACACACATCCACCCAGTAACCTAGGCTGGCTTCTCTTCACACGGGCTGAGGGGCCTAGATGGTAATCAGACTTTAAGCTGCAGAACCCATTATAGGCTATTTTCTGCAGGCCCCTCTCCTTCCAAATCCAACTCCCACTCCCTGCTCTTATAGACTTGCCTTGGATTCTCTATCTCAGTCTTTGGGAAAGGCCCTGTGGAATGATCACTGTATCCCAGAAGTGCCCAGATTGAAAAAAGGCCATGGGTAAAACCAACCCATGAGAGTATTCAGCAAGTTTTTTTTTTTCCTAGAGCATTTTACTTGGAACAGTCTCCAAAACTGCAGCAGAATCCATAACACATAAACTTTGTGGTTGAGTATTAATGGGAGCAAAGTGACAGGTCAGTGATAGAAAGTGTGGCCCTTCCGGTACTAGTGCTATACCACCAGGGAAGACCCAAGCCCAGGTCGTAAACAGCAGTGAACAGAGTCGTGACCAAAGGCCATGCTGAAAGCAAGGCAGAGTGGAACACATGACATGGGCAGCACTGCCAAGTCAATGACTCAGGAGGAGACACGAGACAAACTTTCTTACCCTTTATTTTCCAAATAAACTAGAAGGTGACCCTTAGATGCAAGAGGCTGACATTTCAGTTACACAATAATAAAAACCAAAAAATTAGAAACAACAGCAAAAGGTACAATGTGTTATTATTTTCATATGAGAAAACTGGGATGGAATGACAATTTCACAGTGACTATTTTAAGCTGTGAAGACATAGCACAATATTGCCAAGTGATTTGGCATTTTAATAGTTTACAATCAAATGTTGATTAAAAATCAGAAGCTTGGGCCGCCTTGCATGAACATTTTTTTCATCTGCTCTTCAGATGTAACTTTTCTATTCCTGCTACCCTCATTCAATATTGTAATTATGAGTTTTCTAGACTACGCCAATTAAAATTAGTTTGGGGCCAAGTGGACAGACAATTGAAGAACTTGGTGGAAAGTATAAAAGATGTTAACAAAAACTATGGATGTAACTGTGAAATAATAGTCACTCGCATTTAAAATCCACAGAGCTCTTTATGTACACATGAGTGTATGGGGAGGTGGGATGGTGGGAGAGTTTAGGAAATCAAATTAAGCTTAACCTTGGCACTTGGGGAGTTTCTAACACTCAGATACAGATTTAAATGTAAAAGAACCTTTATGCAAATGCGTACTAAACAGAACAAGTGATGTATCAGGGAAAGCACAAATGTAAGGACATTTTTATGTTGCTTTGCAATCATCAGTTGAATTTTAATATAAAGGCTTCAGTAAATGTCTGTCTTTCTGGCAGCCTGAGGGATTATCGGTAACAGGATTATCACTTTATTTTTCTCTGTGAACTCCTTCCGGGTCAAACAAAGAGCCTCTGGGCTTCTTTCACTGGTGTATCTGTACACACCAGGAACTGATCATAGACAATCTGTTGAATCTTGGGCCTGACTAATGTGAACAAATAGAAAATAATCAAACTTCCAGAGAAATTGTTGATGATTTCCAGCCATCATTAATGTTCAGTGCTCCCTTGGATTTTGGCCACGTTCTCACCTTTAATCACTGGACACCCTGAGTATAATGCACCACACCTGGGACTGGGGATAATTTACCACTTGCAGATGGGTTAGTACTGCAGTTCAGTCAGACAGAGTTTTGCATTTATTCTGGGTCCCAGAGGTCTTCCTTTTATAAAGTGCAGTTATATCCACTAAAATTATAACTTCCAAAATTCTGTTCTGTTTTATTGCTCTCGTGAAATATTTATGACCTCTACTGCTTAAGTGGACATTTTTAGAGATTTACTGCTGAAAGCTTTCAGGAGAACTGCACAAAATTGGTGCTGCTGGTACTGACCTATTAGGCTAAGGTTCTGTAAGAACTTTTTTATAAGATGCCAACAGAAAGTATATTGAGTTTTAGTTTCTGTAACTTAAAAGCAGATCATGTTGAAATGTGGACATTTTATTTTGTGTAGCATCACTATCCAGTAGACTTCCTTAATAAGCACATCACATTATGCAAACTAAGTGTTGATATTATTTTTCTCCTAGTATAACTCAATTTTAGGTAGCCAGAGACTGAGTTACTTCCTAATATATTAGGAAATCAGTTAATTGTGCATTTCTGCATTTTTTGGTGCTTGGATTCAAATAAGACCTTTTTGGGTAATTTCTTGTCCACTTTTCATATCAGTTTCCTTTTCTGCTAAGCTATTCGGTGTTCTTATATGGCCTGGCAGATAAAGTTTCCAGGGAGTGTTACTGGGGTGAGTCCCAGGAAAACACGAGCAAAGAATTCTCTGTCTCTTTCTGCCAGATAGAAGGATTTTGCACAAGCTAGAGTGGAATATATGAGAAAAGAGTATTTGTTTCAACCATACTGCAACTCTCCGCCTGAGCAGAGACTAAGACTGGCTAGAGGAAAGCTGATCCCTTTCCACACTCTGTCACCAGAGAATAAATAACTGGCCATGTCTTGTGAGATTCTCAGCATTTCCTGGGCCATTGATACCTGGTTTGACACTTCCATGGGCACAAAAAGCCCACACCGTACTCTTGTTCTGAATACACAGATATAGGTACAACTAAGAATATTAGAAAAGCATGCTTGTTCTTCAGGGTTTGTGACCCTTTACAGGCTAAAAAAGGTGACAAACATACACACACACACACATGCATACAGGTCTGGCCATCTATACCAATGCAGTATACATGCAATTTTCAATAAAGCAACTTAAAAAAGTACATCTAACAGTAGTGTCTAAGTTATGTTTTATGTTTTACTGACACTATTAGCTATGACATGAGAAAATCCAATAACAGACCCCTATCCTCTTTAGTAACTTAGTGACACCACTAGCCACTCAGCAGTCCCAGCCTGGAGACTGAAAATGGACCTTCCAGATGCTCAGGTCACCCCAGGCCGTTCTCCATGCTGCATGGATTCTCTGCCTTCCCCGGAACCAGAAACAGGAACTTCCAAGTATCTCTCATTTAGTCACACTAGGGAGGATGGTGGGAGGAGAAGAGAGATGAAAGAGACATATTAAACCTATTTGGGCACATGATTTCTCAACGGCCCCACATCCTCCTCCACGTCTTCTGCCTTCACCCACACTCCCTCTATTACAGCCATAAGGAACTATTGCTTCCAGAACACATCATGCTTCTGCAAGCCTCAGACCCTCTGAAATATGGTTTATTTTAGGCTGAGGAGTACCTCGTTGTCCTTAGAGACTTACTGGAGTGTCAAATCCTCTGGGAAAATGTCCCCGATTACCCAGGCAGAACTAGTCATTCTTCTCTTTCAGCAACCCTAATACTTATGATCACTAACTCGATTGTAATGTTTCTGTATCCTTATAAAGTTTCTTCCACCAAACCACAAACCCTTGTGTCTTTTTTTTTTTTTTTTTTCCATCCTGGTAATCACCTTTCCCTTCTCCAGGCCCAATGTCTAATAGAATGATTGCTTTGCCCAGAGAAAGTGCTACATAGTGGCATATTGAATTAATGCATGAAGGATAAAATGACTGAAGTACTAAAGGAAGGGAAAGATTAGGGAAAGATTACACCTACTCACCAGCACCCAGCCATAAATCTGAATCGGATGAGCAGCTTTAGAATGCCTGGAGGGTGGTTGATGAGAAGTAGCTAAAAGATACTGGGGCTAGTAAAGCCCTTTCACTCTTTCACTTTCTGCTTTTTTTTTTTCCTCCTCTTACTCAACTCTTTTTTTTTTTTTTTTTTTTTTTTTGAGACAGAGTCTCGCTCTTTTGACTAGGCTGGAGTGAAGCGGTGCTATCTCGGCTCACTGCAATCTTTACCCCCGGGTTCAAACGATTCTCCTGCCTCAGCCTCCCTAGTAGCTGGGATTACTGGCGCCTGCCACCACACCTGGCTAATTTTTGTATTTTTAGTAGAGACAAGGTTTCGCCCTGTTGGCCAGGTTGGTCTCGAACTCCTGACCTCAGGTGATCTGCCCGCCTCGGCCTTCCAAAGTGTTAGGATTATAGGCATGAGCCACCGAGCCTGGCCTTCCTCTTAACTCTTAACCTTAATGCTGTCTTATTTCTAAGCCCATTTTCCCTGTATTCTTTCCCCTTTTTTCTCTGTGTGAGATCTCTAGATTCTTCCTCTGTCTTCCTGCATGTTTACATTTGCAGACAACTCCAGGAAGGAAATTGGTAGACTCAACGTCCAGGGAACCTACGAATCTGCTATCCCAAGCCTTCTGCCCCCAAACACTTCACCCTGAAATACAGCCCAGAGCATGCACTCAGTGAGTCCCACTGAAGAAGAGACGGAAGGCAGAACTGAACAAGATGTGTCCAGAAGAGGTAGCCATAGATCATGGACATGACCAAAAGAAGCTTACTTTATTTTCAAGTAAGTTCCCAAGCCATTATGTCTTAGCCTGATTTTCTTGTGGGTGCACGTAATGCTGATGATGTGAAGTTTAACCATTAAATGATCCATTATAATAGATTAAATTTAAATGACCATTAAAATGCCATGCAGTTTTAAAATAAAATCATTAATATTTATACCTAATGTTGGCCAGAAAAAAATACTAAGTGAGAAATAATAATGTAAGCTAACAATTTAGGGGAGTTTACTACGTGTCCAGCACTATTCTAGGTGTTATTATCACAATCCAGTGGGGAGGTATAGTTATTTCTCCATTTACAATAAGGGAACTGAGGTAGAGAGAGGAGTCAAGTAAGTTGCCAGAGCTCATGGAGCGAGTAGGTAGTGGAGGTGGGTTTCAAGTATCAGCAGTTTAGCTCCCGAGTCTGCCGTCTTAAATCCATGCAGCCTCTTCAAAAATTAATAAAAAGCATTTCTTTTTGAGATGGAGTCTCGCTCTGTCACCCAGGCTGCGGTGCAATGGCATGATCTCGGTTCACTACAACCTCCGCCCCCCGGGTTCAAGTGAATGGCCTGCCTCAGCCTCCTGAGTAGCTAAATTTTGATATAGTAGTATAAATGCAATGCTAGCAAATTAATTTCTTATTTATGCATAACTGCCTAGAAGCATATCATGATGTAGGTACCAAATAAGCTACTGCATTTGTAATTTTATTGAATAACAAAATCCATATTTCAATAACCAGTGTTCATGATTCGAAGTTGATGCTACACACTTTCTTAGCTCAGCCAGCCTTCATGTTTCACATTTTATAATTACTAAAATTAATGAATAAAAATCATTGGTTAATGGTTTCTTAAAAATAAAACTTAAAACTCTGGCATTTCTGATTCCAGATTTTTTCTTTCTTCATGGTCACAAAACCATGCCCTAGGACATGCTTAATATATTGTTCAGCTTCTGGACAGGGGTGAAGATCTTTCCCCTAAGTATTGAAAAACTTGTAACTTTAAATGACTGCGCAGGGGTACAGAATTATGCCTGAGGGATTCCATATAGTTTTAAGGAAGACTACTGAGGTAGCCTTAAAAATAATAGCTAAATTATATTTAGTGTTTCTTATGTACCAGGGACTGTTCTAAATTATCTTTAAATTCTCTCAAAATTCTAAGAAATAGGTACCAGTGTTATCCCCATTTTACAGATGGGGAAATTGAGGCAAGGAGAAGTAATTTGCCCAGTGTCGTATAAGAATGGCAAAGTCAGGAAAAGTATTGGAACACAGTCTTTGCTCCAACCACTGTGTGTGCTGCTTCACTATGCTGCATGACAAACTTTTTGTAGTCAGAAAAACTTTTTACCCCAAGACATTTCATTAGTTAAACAAATGGCCAAAGTTAGATCTCAGAATCTGGGAGTCTTTATTCTCTGGAGTAACTTTCAGCATCCCAGTATCATCTATTGGCAAGCAACCAGCATTTTACACAATCTTCCAGGAGACTCTGAATATTAAAACATGAAGCTTTGCATTTGGTAAAATTTTAAATGTCTAATTTCTTCCTCTCTTGGAGTGAATCACAGGTTGATAGACTACTGATATTCCGAGGTACTTTTTCATCAATTTTATTGCAATTAAGGAGTCCATGGTAAAGTGTTCAGATTCAGAAAATATCTTTAAATCAAATATCATTCGTATGGGAAATATTCGTAGGCACACATCTTTAATTTTGATAAAAAAGATGTAGGCTTCAGTGGGGTGCAGTGGGAATGAACCAGGGTAATCCATAAAGACTCCATGCTTGATACCCTAAAAGTAGCCATCCTTTCAGTGAGGAGAAGCAACTCCCCCTAACTTCTTACTTTATTCTCCCTCTCAACTTCATCTGGCTGTTAATCTCACCCTACTCCTGGTCTTTAATCTTGTTCTAGCATGGGGGTGGAAAAAGTAATCTTTGTTAGTAGAAAGTCCCAAAACCCCACAACAACAGGAGTTCTGTGGACAATGTGAGGAACTGGGAATTCTTGGAAAGATGGGGAAAAAATAGGACGTTTTTAGGATGAATAAGATGCAACCATTTACATGGTTTCAAGTTAGTGGATGAGGAGACAAAAATTTTTTTAAGCTAAAAAAGCAGATTAGTTAAAAATGGATGTAAAAAGAAAAAATGAACAGAACGATCATGAGAAAAAAAGAGGAGAAATATTGCAGGAGGACGATTAAATATAAAAACTATGGAAAAATGAGAGAAGAGGATTAAAGTACAACACAAAAGATTCAAAAGAGGAAAGATTTTCAGTCATAGGCATCTAGTGTTTCAAAGTTGATTTCTGCATGTGCAGGAGAGCTAGATGACTGAGGACTGTACGGTATGTAAGACACCCTCTGTTAGAAAGATTCTCATCCTCTTAAGTTGGCCACAGAAACAGAATTAATGGGCTTGCTGCACCTCTGAGACACCTTTTGTCTCATTCATATTTGCACAAAAGCTAGAAAAAATATATTGGCAAGGACTTCTTAGAGCTTCGTGCTTACTGTGGGTTTGTGCAGGTTAAGAAGGCTGTCTCTGGGGTCTCGCACAGAAACCTGGATGAAAGCAGCTACTGGGAATTTGGCCAAGAGCAAGGTTTATAAGGTTCCAGTGTAGGACATGGGATCTATGCTATTCTACTTGATTAGTGCAATCAGGGAGGTTACCAAGAAAGTTTGCATTTATAGATCTCTGTTGGTGTCATTTGACACTATTTTATTGGGGTTCTTATTTGAGTGTTTTTATCTGTGATGAGGTATAAAGTATGTATTTCATATATGAATTTTCATCTAGGTAAGTTCATCCTTATATAAGCAAAGCCAGCTAACCCAGAACATTTTTCTTGTCCTTGGCTAGTTTATGATACTATTTGTGTTAGTTATCTCATTCTAACTATAGACTGGGTGGGTTAAACAACAGAAATGAATTTCTTAATAGTTGTGATGGCTGGAAGTCTGAGATCAGGGTGCCAGCATGGTCAAGGGCTGGTAAGGACTCTCTTCCTGGCTTATGGATGACTGCCATCTCTCTCTGGTGTCTCTTCTTTTAAAAGCATTAATTCCATCATGAGGGCCCCCTTATGACCGCAGCTAAACCTAATTACTTCCCAAAGGCTCCATCTCCAAAAGCCATCATAGTGGCAGTTAGGGCTTCACCATGTGAATTTGGAGGAACACAATTTCAGTCCATAGCTCTACTCTTAGGAGTGTCATCTCCCTCCCTGCCCTATCATGTCCATAAAACTTACTGAATGAAGGTGCGGTAGTTATTCACTATTATATTATTTGGAATGGTAGGACTACAGACAGACTCGAGAACAATGTTTTCTTTAAACCAAGAAATATTTATAGAGTCAAAAAGTGTAAGCTCTTCCCTTGAAGAGTGAGTTCTGCCATGTCAGCAAGAGTCCAAGCAGTATATGCCTTCCAATGTATCTCAAAACATTTTTTTTCTTTTTATTCTGTGCTAGCAACAATGGTTTACACAGAACTTTGTATTTTGTCGCATTTTATTTGGAGCATTACAATGCAACATCATTGATAAATCTCTGAGGATAGTTGACCTTTGAGGTCATTGATGGGCATATTCTATGAGTCAATAAATTAATAGAATACCAGGCCAGGCATGGTGGCTCACGCTTGTAATCCTAGCACTTTGGGAGGCTAAGGCGGCAAGATCACAAGGTCGGGAGATTGAGACCATCCTGGCCAAAATGGTGAAACCCCGTCTCTACTAAAAATACAAAAAAATTAGCTGGGCACGGTGGCACACGCCTGTAGTCCCAGCTGCTCAGGAGGAGGCTGAGGTAGGAGAATCGCTTGAACTCGGGAGGCGGAGGTTGCAGTGAGCCAAGATTGCACTACTGCACTTCAGCTTGGTGACAGAGCAAGACTCCATCTCAAAAAAAAAAAAAAATTAATAGAATATCTGTTATAATGAGCTTGGTATTATGAAGTATGAATAATATTTTCCTCAATACTATTACTGCAATTAATAGTTCTAATTTTGCTATTGTACACTAGAGCAGTCTTATTCACTAAACTGCTTTTTGAAACTTTTTACCATATTATAGGCATGGATGGCAAACACAACACTTACATGTGATAACATACCATTCTATAGTTTAAAGAATAATGCTACATATCTTATAGGTAATTGAGACCTATCAATTAAATTCAATAGTTGCTCATTATTCACTTGGCTTTACTTTACAATCCTGGTTGAATATCTGTTAATATTTTTCTCTATATATATTGAAAATGATATATATACTTACATGCAGATACATAATACATATATGCATATATATGAATATATGTGTGCATGTTTATACATATATATACAAAACACCCACATATATGTATCTACATATATGCACATATGTGTAAATGTATGTGTGTATATATACATGAACATATATACATATATGCATAAATACACACATACCTGTACCTATTGTATTAGTCCATTTTCACACTGCTATAAAGAACTACTTGAGACTAAGTTGTTAATGAAGAAAAGAGGTTTAATTGACTTGCAGTTATGCAGGCTTAACAGAAAGTATGGCTGGGAGGCCTCAGGAAACTTTCAGTCATGGTGGCAGGTGAAGGGGAAGCAAGGACCTTCTTCACAGGTTGGCAGGATAGAGAAGCTGAGCGGGGAAGTGCCACACATTTTTAAACCATCAGATCTCGTGAGAACTCATTCACTATCACAATAACAGCATAGGGGAAATCTGCCCCCACGATCCAGTCACCTCCCACCAGGCCCTTTCTCCAATTCGACATGAGATTTGGGCAAGGACACAAATCCAAACTATTGTCACCTATCTCTAGTGTTTTAAAACTAAAAATAACATTGTTTATTGCATATTTCAGGGCACTAGTGACAGTTAAGATGGAAAAGTTAAATATGAATGCTTATCTTTTCTCTGTTCTTCTTCCACTGGTACAATATTAATGCTGTGAACTTAGTTTGTCCAACATCTAACACATTTCCTGAGAGCAATTAAAGAGCCACAAGGGAGTAATTAAAGAGCCACAAGGGATACAGTGTACTTAGAGAAATGGGGTTGGGCAGAAACTGAAGGATAAGCGTTGCACGTACTGTTCACTCTTCCTGGAATACTTTAGTGTATCTGGAATATTCTATATCTTCTCCCCTTTCAGTCAGAATTAATTGCTATCTTTTCTGTTCTCTGGGGCCTTATAAATTGTGAATTATTGAATTCATTTTATTTTTTAAAATACGAATTCTCTGATTTTAGTATGTAAATTTCTTTATTACCTATTAAATAAGAGTTGTTAATTGTGTCATTTAAAGCCTCTGCATTTTTATTTTTTGTATACTGTTGATTTATTATGGGCATATTATTCTCAAATTATAATACTATATTTTTTCATATATTTCTATGAGTTTGTCAACATATAGCTATGCTGTCATAGGCATAAAAGTTAATTTGTTTGTCTGCTATATACTATCTCATTGTAAATAGCATATAGCTTAATTTTAAAAACTAGATCAGCTCTGTATTTTAATGTATCACTTTAACACTTTAACATGCTTTTTTGGTGATTAAATATCACCTTTATCATCTCCCTATGTTAAAATCATTGGAATTTTTATTCCAGAATTTGATTCCTAATTGATTTCTTTAAGCTACAGTTCAGCAAGTATTTAAAATGGCTTTCTTGGTTTCTTGACTCACCACTTTTTCTGCTAGCCTGCTTCTTCCTACTCCTTGGGCTCTTTTTCTCCTGTGTTATACTTGAGTAATTTTCTCAGAGAACTATGGTTGGCAAACTTTCTGACTCATTACACATTTCTAAATGTTGCTATTTTGAATTTCAATGTAGTTAAGTATTTTAGGTTCAAAAACAGTTGTTTTTTTCTTAATGATAACATTAAAGATATAGCACCATTATCTTCTACCTCTCAGTATTGCAAAGGAGATAATTTCTTGTTCATCTGATTTGTGGGTTGCTTCTTGTAGTTAACTAATTCTTTTCCCTCCTAAATCTTGTAGGATTTTCTTTTCATCTTTGAATTTCTAAAACTTCAGTATGGTGGCCTAGGTGTTTATTTTTATTCGTCTTTCTTGGCACTCTAAGACCTTTCAGCTGTGCAATTAGATCCAAAATTTTCTTCTTTAGTTTTCATGATTTCTTTGTCATTTCTCCCATTCCATTCTCTTTGCTCTTTTTAGAACTCCTATTAAATTGATGTTGGAATTTCTTTTCTTTGTCTATTGACCTTTCTCTTATCCTCTCCACTTCTTTGCTCTTTAGTGTTATGTTCTGGGAGATGTCCGTGGTTCCATTCTCCAGCTCACAGATTTAGCATCTGGCTGCACCCATTCTCTATTTAATCAATTTATAGAGGGTTTTGTTTTTGTTTTTCCATTTCAACTACCTTAGTTTGTATTTCCACAATCTTTATTTGATATCTTATCGATACAGAATTCTATACTAAAAGTTTATTTTCTTTATTGTATCTCTTTTTCATTATTGTTTTCTTTTTTTTGTTATTTGTGTGAAGTCTCTTTGTTTTGGTTTTCATCAAATTATTAGTAATTTTGTTGTTTTATTAATATTTTTTGAGTACTCTGCCCACCTCAGTATGGGTTCTAGTTATATTTAATCATAAACTGCTTTTGTGATTTTGGGTGAAAGATAAAAATATTTCAGATTTTGTAGACAGCTTTCAGACCTCTTTCCTGTTTTTCATGAGCTACTGCAGATTCGTTATCTAAATATAAATATATTTTTTATTTCATGGCATTTTAGACAGAAGAGCAGTTGGACATACATGTTCCTTCTTCCATATTGCTCCAATCCTCTTTTCATAATTGGAAATTGTTACAATAAAGTTTATTTTATTCCTTCTCTTACTGTATTCATAGATAGATATCAATATAGAAATTGTTAGAGAGACAGATACAATTTTTCTTTGATTTCATGGTATTTTAGGCATAAGAATAGGTGGAAATGTATGTTTCTTTCTGCCATATCGATCCAATCTTCTCTTATATTTTTAAATGGTTAAAATAATGATTATCATGTTCCTTCTTGTCTGGATTACAAGCTCTTAAAAGTGTAGATGACATCTTATTCTTCTGTGCATTTTGTACATGTCTTGCCCATGATGTCTGTTTGGTAAGCTTTTGCTGAACTGAAGGGAGGTAAACAGAATGTTAAAGAAAAAAGTTTCCTAAGCACCAGAAACTTTGTTTATTAACTCCAGGCTAGGCATGAATCACCAAAGGGTCAGAAAGAAGAATTATGAAGTGTTAACATTTAATAAATAGTACAATGGTGAAATCAATCAAATACTCACTTGAATCAATCATTTTCTGTGATTTTTAAAATGTGTAAATAGGCAACTTGATCAACTGAAGTAATCACGTATTTTAATTCAAGGGTAGAATTTTTCATACTTGAATCAGATTATCTTAATATCTTTAATTTTCCTCACAGGTCCTTCTCACTAAAAGAAAATGTAAGTCACTAAAATTATGTCTCAGTTTATAATCATTTGAACTCTTTCCACTAGATCCAATCATGAATAATTTCCTCCATGGGTGAAAGAAGAAAAAAATCAAAACAAAACCTCTGTTCTCTTCTCTTTAAATCTTCTAGTTTGATTTATTGCTATACCAATCTGAATGAATTTTAGATAATTACAGGAACAATGGGAGTGACTCAACATTTACATGGAAAATTTCTTCTGAAATATAATGATAAATAAAAAGAAAGTCTCCTTTTAATTAATACCTACTCTGGGATGTCCCTCCTATATAGTAAAGTTATTTAAACTCAGAAAAGTTTACCTAACAAACATAAGGATGACTAGTATCAAAATAAAGAGAAGAAAATAGTAAGTGTTTGCAAAGAAGTGAAGAAGTTGGAGCCTTTGTGTACATGTGTTGCTGGTGGGAATGTAGAATGGTGCAGCCATTGTGGAAAATAGTACAGCGATTCCTCAGAAACTGAAAATAAAGTTACTAACACAATCCAACAATTCCACTTCTGTGTAAATGCCCCAAATAATTAAAAACAGGGACTCAAACTGATATTTATACACCCATGTTCATCACAGCATTATTTACAATAGCCAATAAGTGTTCATGGATAAACAAAATGTGGTATACACATAGAATGGAATGTTACTCAGCTTTAAAAAGTAAGAATATTGTGACACATGCTACAACATACGTGAACATTGAGAATATTTGGCTAAGTGAAATAAGCCTGTCACAAAAAGACAAATACCATGTAATTCCACTCAAGGATTGCTTGAGCCCAGGAGTTCAAGGCCAGCCAGGGAGGCATGGTGAAAAGCCTGTCTCTATAAAAAATAAAATAAATAAAATAGCCAGGTGTGGTGAAGCACACCTGTGGTCCCAGCTACTAAGGAGATTGAAGTGGGAGAATTGCTTGGGCCTAGGAGGTCGTGGCTGCAGTAAGAAGCCAAATTCATAGACAAAAAGTAGAAGTGTAATTGATAGAAGCTGAGGAGATGAGGGAATGGGAAGTTGTTGCTCAAAAGATGTGGAATTTCAGTTGGAGAAGATGAAAAAGTTCTGGATATTGATAGTGGTGATGGTTGCAGAACAAGTTATGTATTGAATGCCACAGATCTGTATGCTTAAAAATGTTGATATGGTAAATTCTATGTAATGTATATTTTGCCACAAAGGTTCAGGACATGACTTTAATCTGTGATGGTTACAGAACAAGGTATGTATTGAGTGTCACAGATCTATACACTTAAAAATTGTTAAAATGGTAAGTTCTGTGTAATGTATATTTTGCCACAATTAAAAACAAGGACCAGGAGGGTTAAATAATGTTCTTAAGTTCTTTCATTGATAAGTAGGAAAGTGAGAATTTCAACCCAGGTACATGTTCATTCATTCAATCAGCAAATTTATTAAGTTCCTACGATATGCCAGGTACCATGCTAGTGCTGGGATAGATCAGAGAACCAAAGAAAGATCCCTGGCCATGTGTAGCTTAAATTCAAGTTGAAGGAGAGAGACAATAAACCAAAATAATTAAAGTGTAAATTATGTGGTCTGTGAGAGGCTGGTAAGTTACTGATAAAAGGAAAATTGAAACAAGGTAAAAGAACTTAGGATTGCCAGTATAACTGACTTCTAAAACCAGGCTTCATCCAGAAACCTATGCTGTCAGGATATAATATTTCAGAAAAAAAATGAAATAATGTTATTTACCAGTTTTCTTTACTTTGGATGTGTTTTTGTTACAGCTGTTTTCTCTTTTCCTGCAAGTACTTTATTAAGAAAGTAAAAATTGGCATGTTTTACTTCTCTAAGAAGCAGAACCAGCCTCTTTAGAACAATGCCTGAAATAATATTTCTTCTCTAAGAACACCTCAGCATGTAGATTATTGTCCCTCTTACAAACCTGGGAAATAAAAGACACGTGGGAGCTTGGGAAGGACTCATGCACCTTAATTGGGTAGAACGATCTTGGGCAATACAAGAATTCTCAGATTTTAAAATATAGATATTAAAGTATCTTTATTTAAATTCCTGGATCAGGATTTTACCAGTTGTGTGGCCTTGAGAAAGACAGACTTTCTCATAGGCAAAATGAATACTAAAAATCAGCTCCATGGCCAGGTGCGGTAGCTTACACCTGTAATCCCAGCACTTTGGGAGGCCAAGGCAGCAGGATCAGTTTAGCCTAGGAGTTCAAGACTAGCCCCGGTAACATAGTGAAGGCCATGTCTCTACAAAAAATAAAATAAATAAATTAACCAGGTGGGTTGAAGCATGCCTGTGGTCCCCGCTACTCAGGAGGCTGAGGTGGGAGGATCGCTTGAGCCTAGGAGATTGAGGCTGCAGTGAGCTATGATCATACCACTGTAACCCAGCCTGGGTGACAGAGTGAGACTGTCACAACAACAACAGCAACAACAACAACAACAACATCAGTTCTACTCACTTTATAGGGCTGTTGTACATAGTAGTAGAGAAGCAGTTTGTTACTTCTCAAGCACTATGTAAAGAGGAATTAGTCTGTAGTAATAATATTATGACATAAGCTTCTTTTCATTGAATATGATGAACTGATTTTGGAAGACCCATAGTTGCCCTAAATGTGTACTGAGGCCTTAAACATTCTCAGGTCACAAGGGAGGAAAGAACAAACTTTTTCCTGCCCAAGTGCCAACGGATACACAGTAGCTCTCTCATGTAATCTCTGGTGTGGAGTGAAGAATTGCGAGTGGGAACATCAGAATCACAAAGTTCTTACAAGCAGCCATTTTATGCAGATGTCCTGAAATAGTCTTGATTTCAGCATTTTTTTCTCTTCTAGGAAAGTAAATCATTTTTTTCTTCCATCTTTATGGTTGTGTAAGTTCACTAAGAAGTGGAAATTGATGCATTATTTACAACCAGCTGGTGAATTCACTGCCAGTGTAACAGAGCTCTAATTTACTCACCAAGTGAAAATGTTCAAGTCAAATTTGAATTATGTCACCCAGTGATGTGTAAACGTGTACAAAAGTATGCGTTAATGCACTGCCTTGTCCCCCATGGAAACCAAGTGTGGCTACCCTAGAAGGAAGTGACTGCTGGTCTGCAAGAGTGAGAACTCAATTCATGATGCAACTTTTTAGAAAAATTAATGCAGTATGTTTATATTTTGTATCCATTACACTATGTTACAATTATATTTGTAGCTGTCTAACCTCCTCCTTCTTTTATACTGTGAGAGTCTGAAAGTCTTACGATGTGTCCCTATTGTTAAGGGAATACTTGGCACATTGATGGTGGGGTATTGCAGCTGGAATCATTTCCTGATTCAATGTTGAAAGCCTGAGTGGTCCATGATTTGTAGTGCAACCCAGGCAGCTCTCGATGAAGAAGGAGACTTGCTTGGGACACAATCTGAGAAAGGCTTGGTACTCAGCAAATGCCTGGCTCCAGGCAGGAAGACAAAGGTTCAGGACATGACTAAACTCTGCACATGGCTGGAGCACTACCTCATATCAATATTGGTTTCTCATCTAGAAAATTCTTGGTTACGTGGACCACAAATCAGAAACCAATATCAGTGAAAGGAAATTTTAGACTTAAAGGCTTACATACTATGATGCCACTAATAAGACAGGGAAAGAAATCAAAGCATGAAATTCAATGGAATGAAGCAGGAAAAAAGTGAGTATAGAAGAATTAGACAACATGTTAAGGAAGAAACTGATTCAAATAAAACAGTGCAAGCAAACACAGGAGGAGGATAAATGTCAATATGGAATTAGAACATTTCAGCACTGAAAGTACAGGAATATTCTAGGAAGTTGTCTCATAAAATAAAGGACATCATATGATTTCCCAAATGTTTACATTGAAACACAGCAGAGAGATGTGACAGCAGTCTGGGCTTAAGAGATCAATTTAGGAGTGACCAACCTCCAGGTGCTCCCCTCTGGCATCCTTCTTACATGTTTTCAGTAATCTTTCCAAAACATGGATATAATCATGCCATTGCCTATATACAAAAATCTTCAATGAAAGATATGAAAAATAAAGTTTAAATACTTCAACATAAGCATTCAAATACCAAAGTTTGGCCCTTTCTAAACTTTTCCATCCAATTTCCACACCCCGGCTTTCCACAGAGCCATGGCATCAGCCCATGTACTCATTTGACTGCAAACATGTTTGGCAAAATCCTTTGGATTTTTGCTCAGGGCATTTTCTCAGTCTAGATTGCATTTTCCCATAAATATCCATCTTCTGAAATCCAATTTATTTATAAAGGCTCTTTAAAAATCTTGGTTACTCCAAAAAAGATTTTCTACATTTTCCCAGGTGAATTTCTCCCTTAGTACAGCGTTTGTATCTACTGGTGTAACGTTGGTTAGTGTTATTTAGGCTCACGTCCATCTCTGCACCCAGACTATGGACCTCCAGAGGGCAGAAGCCCCATAGTCCTTACACTCTTAAATTTAGCAAATAGTCCTTACTCAAATAATGTTTCTGACACTAATCTCAAACATAAATTAAACATTGTTTTAACCCCTCCTTTGTATGAGTCTTTTTATTACTATTAAAATCAATTATTACTTTGATGTTTAATTTAACTTAAAAAAAACTTCTTTTCCAACCACAAAAAAAGCCCAAGAAATTTTCCTCTATACTGTCTTTAAAATTGATAATTTACCATGCAGCTATTTGCACATTAAAAAAAATTATCAACTTATTTATAAGCATTTTTGCTCAATTTCTGAAGAATCAGAAAAGCATATTGAAGATATATTCTACGCTGTTTGGTGGCTTTCAAATATTCAGAAGGAAGAGTCTAGCTTCTCTGAGAATTATTTTATGACAGTAAGGTAACGATCACCACGAGGAAGAGACTCTGAATAATAGCATGGGGGAGAATATGGTTCCAAGTTCTGTTGTGAATCTACCCACCAGAATCAGGCTGAAAGAAAGTAAAAACATTTAATGTTCATAAAATGATAAGGGATAATAACATAGATAATTACCTAATTAATTTAACAAATGACTCTAGAAACCTGAGCTGTTCTTACATAGGAGGGGAGATGGGGGCATGGGGGTGACAACCTCGTAGCTTTTCTCTTCATTGTAAAAAAACTAAAAGTACTTTTGTAAAAAAGAAACCCAAACCTAGCATTTTCAATAGGGTGGAATTGTGAGAGAACTTGTAGGTTTAGAGAAGAACCAGTATTTCCATATAGCTGCAGTGTCATGAATACAGGAAGAAGAGTTAGGCAGAGATTAAAGCTTAAGTGAATTTGTAGATCATATTAAAACCTTTGAATAATTTTGATTGCAGGATTCTGCCTAATATATCATATCATATGCCTAGGTCAACTTAATTAAAATTCTTCATAAATATTGTTTGAATGACTTTCTATCCAATTGATATGTTATTATATTATTTGTTTAAGGATAACTTGGGTGTTGGGTACTTTGGTATTTTTAAAAATTTTTTTTCACTATTATAAACATCACAATGGTAAACATCTTTGTAAATCTTTGTTTCTTCTTGTCCATCTCTGAATTTTTCCTAGAAGAAGCACTCTTAAGGTAAAACTAGAAACATATTAGAATCAAAGAAGCCAGACATAATCGTGGCCCTATTCCAGGTTCTCATTTTTCTTTAGTTAGAAAAATGTGGGATTGCAACTACAGACTATTAATTAATCTCCCAGCATCCAGTCTTGCACCCCTCCAATCCACTCCCTGTATTAAGCCAAAGTAAACTTTCTAAAATATAAATCTTATCACGTCCTCCCTACTAAACCTCATACAATAGCTCCTCAATGTGTCACATGTGAACTAGTGAACTATCCAAATTCAAGAACATGTTAAGACTTCTAATATATATTACTGAATTGCTTGCAGGAAAGTTGCAGCAATTCATTCTCCAACAAGCCGTGTACAAGATATGGATCTTATGCCATTACCAACATACAGTATTCTCATATGTCACACATATCATAGTGATTTGTTGTTGTCTGTCTCTCTCATTAATTTATAAACTACTTACGATAAGGAATGCTGCCTTATTCATCATTGAATCCTAACACCAGAGCTGAGATAGTGAACAATGAAAGAATTAATACTACTTAGCACAAGTACTTCATCTGTATGTAGGATTTAAAATTCCTTTACCCTTTGCCCTGCTGGGATTTAAGGAGAGGCAGGGTCAAGGCCAGGAGCTGAGAGGTCAAACAGAGGTTGCAGTATCAGACATGAAACCAAAGGTCAAGGTAAGTAATGCAAAAACCATAGTTCAGAGTATCTGACAAAAGTTGATCTTTTATAGATTATTTTATTATTGTTTTTAAGTTCCCTACATCCTGTATACTAAGTAATACATAGTTATTTGACTGAAAAAGCCCAGGTAGGGAGATCAGGTGAGATAGCCCCATCTCACTCAGTTATGCTCCTTTGAAGAATGCCTTTCTGTTGGAACTGACTGAACAGTTTCATATGCAAGGCAAGCCACGTGCAGGGACGGTTCATCCACTCTTCAGAGAAGTCTCATGTGTGTGTATCCTCCCTCTAGCAGAGTGCCTTTCAAACTTGAAGATGCATACAAATTACTGGAGGGTCTTGTTATTCTGATACAGAAACCCTGGCTTGGGTATTCTGCATTTCTAACAAGCTCTCAGGTGATGCTGCTGGTACACGGACCACACTTTGAGTAGGCATACTCTAGCATACTTTCTGCTTAATCTCAAAATATTGTTGGGAAACTTAAATATCAAGAATCTAGACAATGTACCTGGTTATTATTTAAGTACTTCGTGGATGCTCATTGTAGAAGCATCTTTTCGTCCCTTCCAGTGGGTCTCAAACTAGGCTACATGTTAAAAGCATCTGGGAAGACTTTAAAACATACTCATGGATGCCAGGATTCCATTCAGATGAATCAAATCAGATTATCTTGGGAAGGAGACCAGGAATGGGTATTTTTTAAAGCTTCTCAGGTGACTATTTTCTCATATAAGGAGATTGCATGGTGATGAATTGCAAGTGCACCTGAGTTCTGAGTTTGAGGCTCCAGGTCCTCCTTTTGGATGGTACACCAGAGAGACATTAGGTATTTAGGAGAAGGGCAGGCAGCACCTTGTGGGAATCCATTCTACTCTTTGGGCATATGTAGTGGTTGCCAACCCAGCAAAGCATCAGAAATCAGACTTGCCTCTGGAACTTTGTACATCTACAGATTCCCAGGCACCACCAGTGGGTAGGCAAGGCTCTGAAATCTGGATGTTGCTGTTTTAATGCTTTTAAATGTTTCTCAGTGATTCTGATGCCCCACCAAGTTTGAAACCACGGCATGCATACCAGCCAGAGAAAAGGGAAATTCATCAAATACATACTATGATAGTAACTCTGCTAACAAACGAAGGTCTAGTTATATCTTTAATGCCTCAAATAATAGCCAATTCACTGAAATACGTAAGTTCTTTGGTGTCAAATCTTCACAAAATAATTATAATTAATAGATTCATCACTTTTTACCTGATTTGGAGGGTTCTGCCAGTAGTACTTTGACCATAATTCAGCTTCTCTAAGAAACACTTAAGCCTTCCTTGATTGTGACTTTGGCTTCGCTATGCCTCGAGTTTCCCAAGCTGTGTATGTATTGACGGAACTCACAGGAAAAGACTCAATAAGAGTTCTGTTGTGCTTTAACTATAAAGCACCCTTTAAATAACTTTCTCTTCTATGGGAAAATTCGACTGAAGTGTCTTGGGATGGCCAAACACAACTATTTACAGAGGAGTATATTGCTTCAGAAAGGATAAACCACCAAAAGCAGGGTCCTTGACCTAAGAGGCTTAAGCTTTAAGATGGGGTAAACAAATGTAAGATAACTGTAAAACAGAGTCAATCTCAAGGCTGGAGAGCCAGCAGCCCTGGAGGCTGCGCAGAAACAGAGTGGTATTCACTTCTAGCACCTCACAAAATAAACTGACTTCTAGAAAACACTGGTTACTTTCAGACCCAAGAATAGTTTAGAAATTGAGGTTTTCAGTTGTAGGTTTTTATAGGGAAAGTTGGAAATAAGATATTCAATTCAAAGTGTGGTTGTTTTAGCTTCAGTTAACATTATATAGATGAGATTTATCACTATCTAGGCCAGGTTTGCTACCAATTTAGTTTTAAATATTTTACTGAGTAGATTTTTGTATGATGCCAAGACTTTTCCATTGGTCTATTTAATGGTTTTATTTCTATTTTTATTTTTTTTTGGTCAGACTAAAATATTTATTTAATTTAATTAATTTATTTTTATTAATGTAACTCAGTATAATACACTAAATAAATTTGACAGGAGCTGATCAAATGCTTGGCAGTCTCAATTTCATTTGCAATTAGTCTTTCAGAGTATTCTGCCTTTGGCTCCATAATGTTAGCATAAGAAAGAAAATGTAGTCAAATCCCTAAGTGATATTTGGTCATTAATAGTTTAATGTGTGTTTATTTTTTTCTTCCAGGTTTTTATTTCAGAAAATAAATCCTGGATTATGTTCTCAAAGGAATTATAATTATTTTGTGTATTTTTTTCTTAAAACCATGTAGGCATTTTTTTCCCCTAGTGGTTTTTATAAAGGTTTAACAACTGGCAGCCCTGGAATCTGATGACCTCTTTCTTTCCTTTGACTAGATAAGGTAGTGCAGCTGCTCGGTAACTTTTCCCATAGAGGCTGCCAATGGTGGTGGGGGGACAGGGTGTCCCTCTGTAATTTGATCTCCACATAGGATCAGACCTGGTCCTTGTCAGGGCTGAAATTGTGTGCTATATTAAGTTACGTTTAATGTTTTCTGTCCTGCTCCTTAAACTACTGTTTGCAGAGACCATCCAACCTACAGAACTTCCTTGAGTCCGTTGGGGAACCAAGTTACAGCAGTCCACATGGTCATTCAGTCGACAGGCTGTCTGGAGCCAGCTTCTTTAGAATCCACTGGTGATGTTTCTGGCAAAACGATTCACATTTCTAGTAAAATCTCATCACATAAGAAAAGTTAATAATCTTTGGTGAGAAATGACTTGGGCTATGAACCTACAGAGCAGGAAATTGAGAAGCGGTCGGGCAAAGTTTAGAGATGAGCAGTTTGGTTTTGGTGTATTGCTTTTACTTAGCCTACCCCAACCTTACACTACCTTTTGTGTCTGCATTTGTAACTTCTTGTGCCCCCACCGTTATCCTCTAGTTCACTGATGTTCAAACACAGGTGTGCATGAGACTCATTCCTGCACCTTATCCATAGACAGTCTGATTCAGAAGTTTGGTGCAAGGTCTTAGAGGCTACATTTTTAACAAACACCCGATGTTCTCCTCATTCAGGTGGTCTAAAAACTACGCTATGAGAAAAGCATCATTAACAAAATGTGCTATCACTCAGCCGACATTTGTCAAAGGAATGTATAATTCATAGATTATTCATATTTGATTGTGTCAACCTACCCTCGAAAAGTAAAATTTTATCGGGAGATATACATATAGAGAAAAATCTATTCCAAGATACCTATGCAAAACAGTCGTATAGACTTTAAATGCTTGATGAGTTAATAAAAGGGGTAGTTACTATTAGCAGCTGTGGTCATGGAAATATGCCCAATGCTTTAATTTCTTCACTTTCAGAAAAGCTGTTTTTGAAATAGCAAATTTTAAGTAGGAGGGAACCAGGGGTTTGCTTACAATCCCAGCTGATGTTAGAAATACATTTTTGGGAGACTTCATTTATGAAAGCAGCATGCATTAAGCATATGCTATGTGAAATACATATTTTGTTTGTTCATTTTTAAGGCCGCCTCATATCTATTCTGATCAGAATTTAAGTCCTCAGCATTCTTCAACTCTTCTAAAGCAATAGAACATATTTAGTAGGTTTGAAAAGGAAAAAAACATTCCTTACGATTTGACCCAAAAAAAACACCAGCGCTCTTAAAAAAGTCAATTCACTCTTACGAAATCTAATGAGGGATTTAAAACATTTTAAGATGGCTCAATTTATTACAGCCACTACTGGTGCTGCTGCTGTGGCGGAGGCTGCTGGTCTCAAGGGGCGGGGGGTGTATTTTTGCTACTAAAATGTAGAAACGTGCATTGGAACATGGTACGTTTTCTCTTATGTCAAAATAGAATAGTAGAAAGATTCAAAGACTATGTGAATCAGGTGATAATAGCTTCTAATACCAAGGCTGGCATTACCTTGACGATAAGTAAATAAATTAATCTTTCCGTGTCCCAGTCTTTTGTAAAATGGAGGTATTAATAATTCTATCTTGAGTATTTATTGGGAAGGTAAATAAAAGTAATAGAAGTCCTGGCAAATTAAGGAAGATATTTGTATATAAAGCATTATTTTAAAAATATGTACACACACATACACACATATTTTTTTTTTCCTTCCCTGCAATTCTGCAAAGCAACGTATGTAATGAAATTAAGCCTCTTGCAATGGGGCTTTGTATTCTCTGACTTTCACTGATGCACTTCTCTCCTGCCTCTGTTATCACTCTTGGCAATGCAAGAACGGAGTTCAAAATCCTAAGCCAAATTAATACAAACTTAATTGGGCTTCCATAAGTACTATATTAAAGTTGAAATATATAATTATAGCAATGGTGGACTAATAAGTGACAATGTTATCAAGGGCTTAATATTTTTCTAATGATTTCTCAACATTAAATAACATTATTATTGGTTTTAATCAAACAATAAGAAAAAAAGCTAAATTTCAAAAATACTATTTTATATCCACCAACAAATTTTGTTGAGAAACCTCTCTAAAGGAAGCATTTTAGTTTCTAGAACCTGAAATTTCTATTGCCAATTAAAGATCTGTGTTATTAGCATGGCCATTTACAGTTAAGCCATGACATTTTAAACTGAAATACAGACTTGGTTGCTTTCCACAGAAACATTGAACACCTACTATGTGCAATACTCTGTACTTGGTAACGTAGGAGACATAAAAATATTTAAATATTGTTAAAAAAAATGTACCTTGACAGAAACACTGATAAAGAGAAATAGGAGTGAAAGAAATAATGAAAGTAAATAAATAGATTGCCTAAGATTGAAAACTAGTAGAGCCAAGATGCAAAACTAACTGTAGATTTACTCTCTTTATTGTTCTGCCATGCTCCTCTGTATCATTAAGCTTAATTGCAAAGAGTGACCACGAGATATACTCGTCTATTATCTAGTTACAAGGTTGGGTTTTTTTTTTCCTGATTAGTTTCATACTTTGCACTATCAAAAGAAGAAAATAAGGTATTTGAAATGTTTCACCCCATTAAGAAATAACTTTAATGACTGAACCAACATAGTGTATTATCAGGACATATTCATGACCTTGCCCCTTTCTTTCTATGTTTGTTCATTATAGCATCATCCCACTACACTCCAGCCCTTATCATTAGCAATCCATGCAGGTAGTAGACTTACCTGTGGCTTCTAAGTAAGCTCAGTGTTTATGGAGTAAAATTGTTCCTCATCCAAGGGATTTTTTTAACTTATCTAAACCAATTATATAAGCTGCCATGTTTTCTTTCAACAGTTTGACAAATATTGTCTTTTATTGGTTAGAAAAAGAAAGTGGCCCAAAGCATTTATACCTCTTTAGCATGTACTGTTTGAAAGTTTGAGCACAACATGAGATAGGATGCTTTGGAATCCTTGATACCATTTCTTCCCCTGGAGCACATGTGATGGAGCAACAAGACAAGAGTATTATGTCCTTGCTGGAATAACATAAATCCTAGTCAGCCAAGGCAATTTCACAGTGCCTGACCCAAACACCTTGGCTGCTGCTGTCATGCAGGGAGACTTTTTGGCTGAGAATGAGGGCTTGAGTCAGTGATTGCTGAATGCCCTATATTTGGCATTCTACTGTTCATATAAACAGGGAGAACAGAGCAGACGTTCATGACTGTAGCTTTACTGACTGACATTTTGGTGAGTAAACGTCTACCTTGTTAACTCCATTGGGCTTTTTTTTTTTTTAGGTCAATATCTTTCACCTGCTTGTTTTGAAGTTCTAGTTGATGTTGACAGTTCTTTGATATTTATTGATAAAATACCACATTGACATTTCTTTCTGAATTTACTCTGTTGTGTGGATTCAGGAGTACCCCTTTAGCATGGTATTTCTCTATGATTACTTCTTGTATTTAACTTATTTTTTTTCACCCAGAGAGAATTTCTTACAATTATGCTCCAGATTCTCCAGACTCATATTCATTTAGTATTTGTTCATTGCTTAGCACAGTGCTGAATATAGAACAAACATTCATTAACTTTTTAATGGATTGATTGACTAATTGAGTTCACTTGCCATTGACTGTCGCAATGGAAGTAATGAACAGGTATTTACAGTGGACAAATTAGCTCCATTTGTAAGGGCATGGTGCTGTTACTCACAGGGAGAGGGTGGGTGTTGGTCCCTAGAAAGACCAATTTGTCTTATGAATGTTAGCTATTGTGTTCAACCAACCTCTTCTTAAAACTGTGAACCTAATTGCAAGAAAAAGCCTGTAATGAAATTAACAGCAAAAAGCAACAGCCTAAGGATATGTCCCCAAATGGTGGTTCAGTAATGATCATAACAAATTACATATTTGAAAGCAAGTAGAATAATAAAATAAATTTCTTTATCTCCCTGCTTTCTTTACCTTCACCAAATTTTTTGTTCTTTCTTCAAAAAATAATGATCGAGTCCCTACATGAGCCAGACACACACAGTACTAACAGGAAGAGCTATAAGGGCAAAAGAAGCACACCCTGACTCTGCCTGCATTTCAGTGGAAGAGTCAGACAAGCAGAATTATAATCAGGTCCCTATGCAATGCCACTGGAACATACAATCCAGGGTCAACTGACTGGAGGTGGTGGGAGGAGCTAATCAAGTTAGAGGGAATGAGTGCATTCATGCAGGGAATACCATGGGAAAGGCCCAGAGGTAGGGAAAAGAGAGACAGATTAGGAGAACCAAAATGATGTTAGCACAAAGTTGGGGTCAGGAGCAACAGGAATGAGAGTTGACATTGAAGTGTTATAAATGAACCACGTTACTGTAAAAACATTAAGACTTTACTCCAAAGTAATGAAAAAGAGTGGGGATTTTAAGCAGAAGCATGGCATGCTCAAATTTGTGTTTTTGACACTTCCCACTGATGGGGCTGGGAGCTGGGGGAAGACAGGAGGCATGGAGATAGGGGATTGACAGAGAGGATTGGAATAGCTAAATGAATTTGAATCATATCAACAGGACTGGAGTCTGGCTAAATGTAGGGGGTTTAGGGGAGAGTGAGTCAAGGGTATATATATCTGAGTCAAGGGAAGGTAGCAGCACTCACTAAAATAGGAATCAGAGAAGCAAGATCAAGTTAAGAAAAGGAAGTTCATGGATTCAATTTTAGCTTTGATAAATTTGAAATGCAGAAAAGGCATTTCGGCCAAAATGCTAAACAGATCTTTCTTGTTCATAATGACCTTGTAATTGTAATTCATATATTCATAGATGTTCATTTTTATATTGCTCTTTTTTACCTTCATTCCTATCATTATAGTCAAAGTTACCTACTCTACTTAAGCAAAGGCTATGAGGGACACCAAGGAGTATAGGCAATCTCCTTGAGGTGTTAAGAGCATGGATAGGTAGATAAGACCTACATTGAAAAACAATTAGGTAAAAAAAGCATCATGTTTAGGGAAGGGTATATATATATATATATATATATATATATATATATATATATACACACCCTGTAATGAGTGCTGTTATATATATACCTTTTCTGTATGTAATATATGTATATATAACAACATATATGCAATATGTGTATATATAACATATATGTATGTGCCTTTTCTATTTGTAATATATGTATATATAACAAATAGCACCGGTTATAGTATGTCAAATAATAGAGAGGTTGAACTGAACTAGGGAAAATTTCATGTAGAAACTAGGACTTGGTATCGGTTTCAATAAGGTAAAGACAGGGAAAGATGCTAGATAAGGGCATTTCTAATTTGGGGGCAGAAAGGAAGGGAAAATAAGCTATTTTATCTATAGTTTTAATGTAATGTATGCCTTGCAATATGGTACTACCTAAGCAAATAACTTGCTCATAATGTTTGTTGTAAAAAGAATGACAGCTTACCAGTACACACCCATCCAGGTGTATAATTTTAACTTCTAGCCCTACTGTCTTTCTCATATGTAGAATGTTTATTAAACTGGCAATGAAGGGTGTAGTTCTCTTAGGAAAAACCAGAGGAGGGAGTTGCTGTGCATAAATTTGATCTACCCCGCCTATGCCTCTAATTTCTTGAACAGCGATATGCAAACAAGTTCACTGAGGATTTGTTCTCTCTGTAGTTATTAACAAATATTTGATAAATCATTAACGTGGGACCACTGATTGAAATATTGCTATATTTATTTATTTATTTTAATTTAACTTTTAAGTTCAGGGTACTTGTGCAGGTTTGTTATATAGGTAAACTTGTGTCATGGGGGCTTGTTATACAGATTATTTCATAACCCAGGTATTAAGGCTAGTACCTATTAGTTACTTTTCCTGATCCTCTATCTTTTCCCACTTTCCACCCTCCAATGGGCCCCAGTGTCTATTGTTCCCCTCTATGTCCATGTGTTCTCATCATTTAGCTCCCACTTACAAGTGAGAACACACAATATGTGGTTTTCTGTTCCTGCCTCAGTTTGCTAAGGATAGTGGCCTCCAGCTCCATCCATGTTCCTGCAAAAGACATAATCTTGTTCTTTTTTATGGATGCATGGTATTCCATAGTGTATATGTATCACGTTTTCTTTTTCCAGTCTACCAACATTGCTATATTTAAAGTAGACAAGAAGAGTTAAAATAAAAAAACCACTTACTTGGTGGGAAAATGTGGTCTAAAGGCCAATAACTTAGAACAGTGCTATTCAATAGTAATATAAAGAGAGCCACAAATGTGAGCCACATATACAATTTTAAATTTTCTAGTAGGCACATTTAAAAAAATAAAGGAAACAGGTAAAAGTAATAATATGTTTATTTTTGTTGATAGATCTGAAATATAATTTTAACACATAATCAAAATATGTATATATACATAATCATAAAAATGTATTCGTGTGATATTTTACATTCTTTCATTTTTCATATTAACTGTAAAATTAACTATTTATTTTATACATATAGTACATCTCAATTCAAACTAGGCACATTTGAAGTCCTCAAGAGCCACAGAAGGCCACCATATTGGATAGCAGAGGCTTAGAGTGGAAAACCTCTTACGTTTGGATTGTAATGGTCAGGTTGCTTATTACTGCACACATTCAGTCTGCTCCAAAGATGAATGCTTTGACTTCTTTGTAAAAAGAATTCTCAGAAGCAGAAGAAATAAGAAAACATAAAAGAGAATTAACTACTATTAAACATCTGGGCTCCAGGCAAAGGGCTGGATATTTTATATTTATTATTTCATTAGTCACCACATCAGCTGTTTGTAGTGAGATAAGCACATGTAAATAAATCCATACACAGACAGACTTATAAGTAAATAAACAATTAAGTATTGCACAACAAACCCAATGGACAAAAAAGTGGAAATTCAGAAATTTAGTAAGTTGTTCAAGATTACATAGCTAGTAAGTGGCAGAACCATGAGTCACAGCTAGATCAGTCTGACTCTAAAGCTGATGCACTTTCTACTATGCTTTGCTGTCTCCTAAGGCATATCCCTGGTTTTTCTCAAACTTTCAGTAGTGAATCAGCACATGATTTTGCAGTGAAGAATAAGCTTTTAGCAAGATCTTGTAATAGAAACGTCATCAGGAACTGAATCATTGTAAAGACATGTTACTGGACCTGGCTCTTGGTAGACCCTAAAATTTAGTGAGAAGAAAGTAATTCTAGTGGATTACTCAGAAGAGGTAAATGGGAACTTCGTGAAGGTAAATAAAAATAATGGATTGTATCTGAACAAAGAGTAAGTACATCTCAACTTTAATCCAGGTTTTGCATTTAATTCACTAATGTACCATAACTCACTTAGAAGATTTGCTATTCCAAACATCTGAGATGTGAAAGGAGGGAGTTAACATACAGCATTATGTAAATATTATTGAAAAAGTGAATGTATTTGGTTTACCTTATTTCCTTTCTATTTCTATCCATATAGCCCTACAACCATACTGAGAATTTAGCCCTGGGGACATCTTCCGATATAATCTGGCATAGAAGAGTGGTTATCACACCTTTAGCATGGGTAAGTCACCTGAAAAACTGATAAAACACAAGCTCCAGGCCCCTATCTTCAGAGATTCTGATTCAGTGGGTCTGAGAAGAGACTTGATAATCTGTATTTCCAGTAAGCTCTAAGGAGATACTGATGCTACTGGTCCATGGACCACACTTTTGAGTGGCACTGGTTTAGACAGTGAGGGATAGCTGAGGTAGTTTAATTATAAAGTCTGTTTGTCCTTTGCTAACTGGTCAGCTGCTTCTGGATTCCCTGAACTTCCTCCTTTTGACTCTTTTTTTTCCTGAACTCCGTAGATAGATTCAGTAAGTAACACTTCAATTTATCCCAAGGAAGTGGCAGGAATGACTTCAACAGTCCTTAATTCCTATTTGGATACTGACTTAATGGCCATAGACTACCACATGACAAAGGTAGATTCAGTGCTGATCAAAGTAAGAGAAATTGCAAAGGGATGATCAAAGAGTTCTAGAATCTCCAAATTTGTGCAAGTTTCCTGATCTGGTAGAGTTATATTCTAGAACACTGACAAAATAAAATATTAAATTGATAAATATAGTGGTCTCTGAAGAATTGCAGTGAATGAGATGACAGGGAAGTAAGAAATTGTCATGTTTTGATTCTTCAGAAAGAGAGAGAGAGAGACCAGAAAGAGAATGAGAACTGTTTCCACCAATATCACAGCAGTGCCTTAATTTTGGTTTCTTCATAAGTAATTATGTGATTGTTTATTAGTAACAGTTTATGAATACCATAAGAAAAAATAGAATCCATTTAGCCTATCATGGCTTCCCTAAAAATAAGATGTCTTGTTTTCTTGTTTGAGTGGGCTTCTAAACCATGAAATAAGAAAGTGTGGTAAAAAAGTACAAGTAAATTTCAGACATCTATTTTTATCTCTTCCTATGAATATGACTAAGAAACTAACCAGATGTAAGGACAATAACAGCTGAATGTCTAATCTAATTGATTATAAGGTTTCCGTCGCTCTGGGGGTAGATGGTTATTAGAATGACATACCTTTGTTCTTAGCTTTTTATTCAGCCAAGATGTGAATAAAATATATGTGTTATGCTCATCAATTTTATGGATAGCAAATTAAAGAAAAAATGTGACTATTCTGGTTAATAATATTTTTAGGACTAAAAGAGTGAAAGACTGATTCTAATAAAATACATTTAAACAGCAATTAAATATGTAGAGAATGATAGAAATTAGGTATAGTAGGTAAATAGAAAGAATACAAAGTTGTAGAAAAAATTAAGCTGTATATGATTCAGTGTTAGTACCAAAAAAAAAAAAAAAGCCAATGCAAGGGTTGGTTACCTTAGTTAAAAATAATATATTTAGAATTAGATAATAACTTATTCTGCTTTATTTCTACTATTCACATTAGAAATATAATAGAGTTGGTCATCTGTATCTGAGGGTTCTGCACAATCCCCAATCAAAAATATTTTGTAAAAGTTGTAAAAAATAACATACAACAGTAAAGAATACACATAAAAATATGGCATAACAACTGTTACATAACATTTACTTTGTATTAGGTATTGCAAGTAATCTAGAGCTGATTTAAAGTATATGGGAGGTTGCGTGTAGGTTATATACAAATACTATATTATTTTATATAAGAGACTTAACCATTCACGGACTTTGGTATCCACAGGGATCCTAGAACCAATTTCCAAGTTGAGAAATAACTATTGAGTTGAGCTTTGGGTGACACATTTTATTAGTTTGGTGCAAAAGTAATTGCTGTTTTTACCGTTAAAAGTAATGTGCAGAACTAATTGCAGGTTTTGCCATAAAAAGCATTACTTTTAATGGCAAAAACCACAATTCTTTTTGAACCAAACTAATATAACATATACAGACAAATAGAACAAGCTCCAAGGATAGTTATTAGGGGAGGTACAGAGTGGGAAGCCACATCATATCAGGAAATGTGTATACTGTATCCCTTCCTTTACTGCATTTCAATGCTATCTAGCCACTCGTGTCTGCAATTAGATCCTCAGGAGAGATAAGTCATGGATTATTTTAGCCAAATACGTGTTTACTACTTTCTTCAAAACCTCTGTTTGCTTCCTAATCTCAGGACAATACTAAAATACATTAGGGGTGCCCTTTATTGCGATCACTTAAAGTAAAACTAGAGCCAGCCCCAAACAACCAGTTATATCTCCCTTCCCGATTGTTGTCCCTATGGCTCCTCTCATTCTCCAAATCCAAAGATTTTCTCTTAAGGACAAAGTTTTCTCAAGATGACTCTTCTAAAAGTGAAATAAAAAAAAAATAGAGCAACAGTGGGAGAAGCACCCACTCCCATCCAAAGTGGCACATTCATTCAGTGACTTGAGATATTTGAAGTAATATTGCTTGAAAAAACATATTTGATTAATTCTGAGGGTAAAACATGTACACAAATTGGAAGTAGTGGTGAAAGAGATTCTGGCTCAATATAAGAAAGAACTTGAGGGAAAGGACTCTTGTTTGCTGTATCTTTTCATGTACAGGCCTGGGACTGTACATGGCACACAGTAATTTCAACAAATATTTGGTGATGTGTTGAATGAATAATTAAATAAATAAATGACTCGGAAGAGGAAATAGGCTGTTTATGTCAATTATGGGGGATAATCAAGTAAATAATCAGATGTGATAGAGTTATATGCAACCGATTGTATATAACTCTATCACATCTGATTATTTACTTGATTATTCCCCATAATTAGCATTATATGTAGTTCAGGCATTAAATGGGCCTGAAATTATCTAAAAAATCTGAGAAAATTTGAGATTCTTCTGTAAGTTACTGTCCCTTCTTCTAACAATAACACTTCTAGCTTCTTTGTTATTTTGGTTCTGGACCAGATGTTCACTTAGATATAGTTTGCAGTCAGTTGTAAGTATTCACAGAATTTCTAATCTACAAACACCTTCCTGTGTTTTGTGTTCTGATGATGTCAGACATATAAAGCAAGTTTCCTGACTTACGCAGTTCATGATATATTTTATCAATATTTTAAGCCCAGATGCCATTTAGGTGATTAGATAGATCAAATAATAAAGCACATATTTTGCTACTTAATTCATCTGGGAAAAACCTGCCATGCCCTCTACTACTTTCCTTGCTCCAAGAAAAGTGATTGGGAAGAGAAAACATTTTGTGGTTAAACAGTCCTGGATATAAATTTCAGCTCAGCCATATTTCAGTTGTATAGCATAAGGCAAGCCACATTACTTTTCTAACTTAGTTTCCTTATCTATGAAATTGAATAAGAGTATATACCTTACATGATTTTTATGGATATTGAATGAGATGTTGCACTTTAAGTATCTATTACAATCCCTGGCCTACAGCAGACTATAGAAATGGCAAAGGCATTGCTGGTGGTGTTGATAATTATGGATAATTAAGTATTTATTTGCTTCTTCTCCTTCTGCGAAGAAGATCAATTCAATTGGTTTTATTGAAAAAAACAATCTCAAGGCATTGAGTATTTTTAGTATTTCTCCTGAGGTTTTATTAAACAGTTTAAACAAGCAGAAAAAATAGGTCATTTGCCCATAAACTGCCAAGATTTTCAGACTGTTGCCTGTTTTGGAAAGTCAGCATTCATTTCAACCATATTGAAATCATATGCTGAGCAAGTCTACAGTGAAAGGACAACCCAAAGTCATGCTAAGGAAAACAGTTTGGCCCACGTCCATCCAGCTGTAAATAAATTTGGATTTTTCTTGATAGACAGGAATCAGGTTTCTTTATTACTGTAGGGAAGAAGAGGTAGAAGCCATGAAAGAAGCTTATGTAAAATATTTACACAAGTCTTCTTTGATACGTTAATGAGCTAGATTCTTTGAAATGAAGCCTACTTTTGCCTTTACTACTTTCTTTATAAACATAATGAGCAAGAAACTTAGACCTGGAAAATCTTTCCTACTTGTCACTAATTTGGTTGCTTCAATTGAAGTATTATGCCAGTTTTAAGCAAAAGAAATGAAGACATCATTGTACAGCAATGCTTATTTTTCTGATTATCTGAAAATAATAAAGATCATGGTGCAATGGACCTGGGTAAGAAGACCATTATTGCCCATGAAGATGGCCAGAATGAATGAGGTTGGCTGGGCTGTACTCCCACTATGCTCCTAAACCTGAGCACTGGGGTTACCAGCAGGTTGGACATTTAGGTCCGTTGTCATTCAATGACACTGAGATTACATGGAATAAAAAAGCAAAAGATTTAGCTCTTTTGACTCTGAACTAAATGCTGTCCAGAGACTTTGAATGGTTGGCACTAAAAAAAATAATAATAATAATAATAAAACCTATTTTAAGTGAACTACCTTATGACATTCAATGCTGAAAAATGTAGTCAGGAGCTCAGCAAGACTCCAATAGGAGCTGTAAAACTGTAGTTATTGAAAAGTGCAAATATAGTATATCTTTCAAGTATTAAAAACAGACATTCTCCTTGGCAGCTGTCAGAAGAAATGTGTCTTAGCAAATTTCCTGACTGAACTAAAGCATTCAGCATTTACTTAAAGATTTTGAAGCTATGGCCCAAATTGTAATTAGCATACTTGTTACTGGCACTGAATTCCTTCTTTCCAGGAAACAGATGTAAGAGCAAAGCTGAAAGTGATAAAAATTTCATTCTTCATCACTATAGAAAATCATTCAATGATACTTTTTCATTTCTACTCTTGTCATTCACAGCACAATTTTTTAAACAATATTTCCTGTTCATGCACAAAAACAAGCAGCAGCTAAAGCCCTGAAAATGCATGCCTCCATACTGCTAAGATGGCAGGCAGCCCCTGATATACAATTTAATCTGTATCTTGAATGTTCTAATAACATGATCCTTTTGGCTGCAATGAACCAGCTGAAAAATTTGAATTGTTGATGTTGAGTTAACAGTCAGAGAAAACTCAACAGTGACCGACAGCCAGTGGGAAGAGTGATAAGATTTGACACTGGTCTAAGTCTAAGCAAAATATAATATTTTATTTCAGGTTCTTTAAAAAGCATAAACCTCTCAACTCAGGAGTTGTTTTGGGTTTACCCCAAGATAGACTGAGCAGCTGATGAAAGAGCCATTACATATCCAGTCACAAGAGGCTGCCTTCCTTTAACTGGCCAATGAGCGGCTGAGATCTTAGTCTGGCTGGCAGTGTTGGCTGTATTATTTGGTCAATCAACCATTACAGCTAAAGAGCTCAGTTGGCTAATTTTTTTGTTTTGATTTTATTGGACTTGATCAGCAGTTGGAATGAATGTACTAAGTCAGCTGGTTGTACCATTCGCTTTGACTCATTATCTAGGCTTCAGTGGAGTAAAAAACTACATGCAATTCATGGTAGACCAAGTAAATGTATGTGGATATCTATGCATACATAAAAGGACCTATCTCTACCTTTTAATGTTGTTTTATCTTTGAGTTGGGGTAGGAAATTTTGTAGCTTTTAAAACTTTATTTCTTTCTTACTGGCAGAGATATTTGCAATATTTTCATTCATGCATCATAACCATCATCATCACTATCATTATTCAGCTTAAACAGTCAAAAGTCCTAGAAAAAGAACAGGAAGATAAAAAATCTTTATTTGTATTTCTTCCCATATTAAGAAATCGGACAAACAGCTTTTTATCTTCCTAGCTGAATGGCATACTTTTGCTCTTGAACACATGGTATGTGTTGTTGTTAAACAGAAGAGTGTCTGGTAGCTTTCAATGAGAAATCTGTCAGCTTTTACAGTGGCTGAAATTACAGCTTGACCAAATTCTTTAGTGAATTTGTAGAAACTCCTTCTCTCTCTCTGCCTCTTTTCTCTTTTTTCCTTTTCTCTCCTCTTTCTCTGTCTTCCCCCCTCCCTTCACTTTTACTTTTAAACAAAATTCCAACATAAAAATACCATTTTCCAGATTATACTCCTATTCACAGCTTATTTCTAAATCTAGGGCAGATATCTCTAAGATATTTCTAGGAGTTGATCAAAGAGTTGGAGGATCTTTGCTGTTATGATAGACTTAAAAGTTGAAGATCATAAAGTTTGAGAGTGGAGTGATGATAGAGTCAGTATGTTATTTGATGATTAAAGCTCATAAATACTTGAGATGATTCTGTTGGGGGGAATATAGAAAAAAGATATGGTAACTCAGGGAATTAATAAAAATAAAGGTTTAAATTAAATGGAAAGGGGAATGGTTTACATTTTCATATTCACAAGTATTGGATGCGGAAATTAGTATTGAATCTGGGAATGAACAACCTGATTGGTATATTGTCTGAGCCAGCATTGGAGTCACTCATCTATGTCATAAATGACTAAGCATTGTGGGTAAGGAAAAGTATGGCATAGCAACCAATTTGGTGTTGGTGAATCCTAGAACCTGGAAAGGGGAAAGGATTACATTGGCATATCAGTCAGAGCTGCCCATATAGTATAAGGCCCATATAATTATTATAAAGAACCATGTAATCAGAAGGGACCATATAATTTAAGGGCCAAATAGGGTCTGTGAATATTGACATTTTCTTTCTAATTAATACTCCTTGTGTCAATTTAATGGTCTTGTGATTGCTTATATGATTACTGCCCTGATAATAATATATCAATAGTGAATGGGTCTCACAAATGGAAACCCAATTCAATAAACATGTATTGAACACCTAGCATGTGCCAAGCACTGGACTAGGTGCCATAAGCCAAAAGAAATGTGAGATGTCATCTTTATATCCAAAGACTTCACAATGGTTCAAAGCCACACCACAATTTTTGTAGTTAACTCACAACACTTTTTCCTTTAAGTTAACAATGTATTTTAAAAAGTAAAAGTTATCATGTAACAAAATCAACAGCATTATAGTCAAAGAAAGATGTCTCCATTTTGTCCTTGCTACCAGTGCGCATGCACACACACTTGTGCATGCACACAGATGCACACACACATGTAGACACACACGGTCCACATTTTCTTTTATTATTTTATTATTTTTTTGAAGTTTAAGAAGGATTCAACTTCTTAGGCTGTGATATTGGTTAAATATTTCTGGACATGTATCAATTTTTATATAAAAATCATAACCATCGGTAGGGATGGTACCAGGTTACAACAACAAAAAAATCATAACCAGCTACCATTAACAGAGGAATTAGATTGTAACCTCTGTTTTCCTTTGGTGAAATGACACCTCCTTATGTTATGACACAAAATGTTGATTAAAGAAGATTGCATGCCATTAATCCTTTCCTACCATCAGTTTACATATCATTAACATGGTCTTCTCTTTTTGGTTTCTCTGTCTTTTTAGGGTACATGAAACACTTTTAGCTAAAGGAGTTTTATAGTTCATGTAGCATTTTTAGTGGAAAGTTGTTTTCAGAATCATGTTTCATGCAAAGGAATATCTTATGGCACTGTTTCTATGTGTACAAACTAAAGAAGTAAATCTATAATTCTGTGGTTTCCTTTAACGACCACATTATTGTTTATTTCTATACGTACTTATATACTGGTGATGCCAACTCAAGTAGGCATTATTCGAGTATATTATAGCATCCAGATACTACAAGAACATTTAAACTGGATGAGGCTTTAGAGATCCCTTTACAGATGAGGAAATCAAGGTCCTAAAGGCCTTAGTGACTGCCTTAGTTACTAAGTCAGCTACCGGCTCAGCTGAGACTCATTTCTCTTACTCTTATTATGGAGCTTTGTTTTTTAGGCTGTGCCTCACTATATCTGCTCTGGTAAACCTTACCAGGTCTTTCATTCATTCAATAAAGGTTCACAGGGAACCATCTAAATGCATAATGCTACCATCAGCGCTGAGGCAGGGGACTACAGACTGTCATAGTTAAGTAACAGCATACAACAGACTATTACTAATGTTGACATCAAAAAGAGTATGACAATGTATTAAAGGAAAGAAGGGATAGGATCCTTTTACCTAGAGGTATTTAGGAGATATCTTGCAGAAGCTGGATTTTAGTGGGGAGCTAAATGATCATGAAGAAATTAGCCCTTCAAAATAAGAGCACAACAGGACAGTGGTTAGAGAAATTTAAGAGTTCACAGCATGATGGATCCTAATGTTTAACCAAATTAATCTGTGTAACTATTTTCAAATTTATAATAGCCACACCCTTTTTAAACGGTGCTTTGAAGTTAACTTATGACTTCAAGGGTTAGACTGTTTGCTTGCTCCCACCATCATACCCCCAAAATCACCTTGTTGGTTGTTCAATGACTTAACCTGTTATCATTTCCAATCCCCTTATGTAGTAGATTTGCCTTTTGTTTTGCTTCTACCTTTTATGACGGCACACTCTTAATTTCTCCTGTCACTTTCTGAGTACCTGCTATTAATTTGTTTACATTAGCACCGACTAATTGTGTTCGGTTTTTTTAGAGCTTAGTCTCAGAAAAAAATGGGAAAATTAAGATACTACCTTGTCTAGTACTTAAGGTGATTGGGAGTTATGAAATGGTTTTGGTGATATAAGGTGTTTTCCTTTTCATTTTCCACACAGATAGAAATGCAAAACAATATTTGTAATAGTCTGTGCTCACGCTGCTATAAGGACATACCCAAGACTAGGTAAGTTATCAAGAAAAAGAGGTTTAATTGACTCACAGTTCCATGGCTGGGGAGGCCTCACAATCATGGTGGAAGATGAAGGAGGAGCAAAGTCACATCTTACATGGCGGCAGGCAAGAGACTGCCTTTTATAAAACCATCAGATCCTGTGAGACTTATTCACTATCACAAGAACAGCCCAGGAAAAACCCATCCCCATGATTCAGCTACCTCCCACAGGGTTCCTTCCATGACACATGAAGATTGTGGGAGCTAAGATTCAAGATGAGATTTGGGTGGGGACACAGCCAAAACATATCAAAATTTAACTGCTATTTCTCCTTATGTAGTTGAGAATCTGAATAATATTATATGAGATAGAATGATAGAGTTTCTTTTGCAAATGTCGAAGTCATGCTTGTAAAAAGTATCATACATAACCTTATATTGAGGCTTGTCTAGAGATGCAAATGACAAAGATGATCTCTGGTTAACAGTTCTACCTTGGATCAACTTATGCTTCATCAATTTACCTTCTACATACTGTTCTTAAATTCGCAATATAAAGTTTCTACAGAGTTTGATTAAAAGATTGCTATGATAGTGATAAACATGGTTGTTAGAAACTATAGGAAATAATGAAAAACTTGGTGTTACTTTTTCCTCTACATAATATGAAATAATTATCTTGATGGCCTTTTTTTTTTTGAGCTGCCATTGTAATTATTGAACACAAGAACTCCACCTTTTCATAGCTGTGGTCTGATACAAATATATCATTGTTGCCCCTTGCAACTAGCTTGCTACCTTAGAAAAGTTTTATGTCTCCATCACCTTGTGAGCCAGTAGAAATAGCTGAAAGGTGTGAAAAGATGATCCCATCTCACTTTCTCTTCCATATCTTCCACAGATGCATCTAAGTGACAGAATCTAATTTTTATCCAGAATCTTAGATACAAAGCACTCTAGAAAAAGATGCTGCATTGCATGAAAGTGCATTACAGAACAATGAGCTAGAATTTGAACACAACAGTCTACAGTAGGCAGTATAGTGACAATACAAGTAAAGAAAACCAGCTAACTCAAGATTCTTAGGAGAAAATCATGTTAAAGTTAGATAGTTACTGCCTGAATAGAGGAAAGCATGTTCTGGGCAGAAGAATTCATACTTAAAAGATTCTGAGGTGAAAGGATGTAACATTGAGGAGACTGAAAGTAGTTTGGTATGCTGAGCGGGTAGAAACACTAGAAAAGGAACTGAAGATGAGGTGAGAGACATAAGCAGAGCCAGATGGCTAAAGGCCTGGTAATCATCAGCTCATTAAGAAGTGTTAACTCTTATTCGGTAAATTATGGAGGTTCAGCAGGAAGCCTGGTCATTCTGTGTTTCATCTCCACTCTCATTCTAACCAGAATGGAAATTTCCCCTCCTTCACTTTTAATTTCTTGTTTTGGAACAAAACTGGACAAATACTCGTGACACCAGGCCTAGGGCAGAGAACCCAGAGACGTGAAGCTTTTATTTTATTCCACCCACCAAGAAAAATGCAAAAAC
Source organism: Homo sapiens (assembly GCF_000001405.40). Taxonomy (NCBI): domain Eukaryota; kingdom Metazoa; phylum Chordata; class Mammalia; order Primates; family Hominidae; genus Homo; species Homo sapiens. The sequence continues at coordinate 126,909,416 of NC_000006.12, read as the reverse complement.
TATACGTATTCCTACCAATCTGAAGCAAAGGCCCTTATGTCATCAGGGAGCAAGTGATGCAGAATTGTGCTAATTTAATAATATATCAGTTTTTGCAAAATTTTAGGAGAAGAAGCATTTATAGAAATTAAGTACTTTTCGCATCCTCTGAGGCAATTGTAAAAATGTTTGGTTTTTTTGGAACACTTCAAACTGGTTGAAAGGTTATTAACAAAGTGACCGATACAACAACAGCAACATCTTATTAATATAATGGCTTCTTGGTACACTTTTAAAGAAGAGTTAAATTGAAAAAGCCCTTTAAGCATCACCAGTTACCTCCCTTCCTCTCAAGCAGAAATGTAGCTAATACACCGCAATATTATTTGCTGTAACTGAAGACAACTATGTTAGTGATTACTCTCAATTCTCTACCTTCAATGCCAGGCAGATATTTCCTATATTTAGACTAAATTCATTCTACATATCTCAAACATTCATTTAACCTAAATTCATTCTATATAACTCAAAATATGTGTGTATGTAAATAATAAATACTTGATTATTAGTGAATGTACACTAGCATTTCATGACCTAGAACTGTTATAATCATCTTAGCCTTTTTGCAGAAAACATCTTAATTTCACATCTTTCCTCAAGCCAGAAATTGTTCGCTAACATTTCTTTCTAGTTGATTTTTAAGGTTCTACTTTGCATAGATAGATATTAATACAAATAACTTCTGCTGCCCTGTCATCAAAATATATGGAGAACTGTGTATATGTTAATAAGGCCTCTTTCAAAAAATATTTCTGAGTAATGTGCTTCTTTACAAGAATGCTGGCAAATTTGAGTAGGCTGCACTTTCTCTAATATTTTATATCCATTAATAGAAGGCACATATAAGAAAACAAATATACGAAGAAGCTCAATGATTTATCTATTAGCCTTACTTTGACTATAGCCTTATCAAAAAAGTGAGTTTAGCTCTCTTTTCTTCCAGCCATGTCTTTTTCCCTAAACTCTACTATAACCGAGGGAAAAAATTGCTGACTTTTACCCTTCTGTATTCAATTCTGCAACTGAAATATGAACTTTTAAACCTAAAAATTCCACTGGAGCATTGGTAAATAGCAGGAGTAACACATATCCAAGGGTGTTCACGTTTCTGGCATGTGAAGCCTCACAGAAGAGAGCTTATTTTATATTGGTCTTTTGTATTTTTACATTTAACTGATTGAGTCAATGGAAACCAGCCCTAATTGTTGCTTTATAGGCGGACGATGTTTTCCATCACTGGCACATACTGAACTAAACCTTCGGGGAGTAAAACAGGGCTAGGCTGCTGTTTTCTGTTACTCTGCAAATCAGAAAAAGATTGGTAGTTCTGATTAATCTTTTATTTCGTTTAGTTGCCTACACAACACCCTGCCAAATTACTTTATAATAAATAATAAAAGTCACTGAGAACTATGTGTTTATTCTCACCACCAATGCAATAAAAGATTTTCTATAAATGAGTTATTTCTAATAAAGTACAAAGCTTGAAGAAAATTATTGAAAGCAAATTTGCCTTATGCTTTTATGTTAGTAGAATATCCAAAACTTAAGAATAAGTTCAACTAATGATGATGTGATTTTAAAGGTTCTAAAAAATTTAAAGCAGCAAAACAACTCCAAATGTATCTCTTCATGTTGTAAAATAGCATTTAATGAATAAAACTTACTATTAGGGTAAACAGGATGCTATTCAGGTTTTTCACAACAGTGGACTTCAGAAATCTAATTTGTTGAGTATGTTAGAATAACATTTTTTTTAAATGTGCTAAAATAAAACAAGCATTTGACTCTAAACAATAAAAGACTGCATTTAATAGCAAACAGAGCACAGTGTTGCCATACACACTTTCTCAATGGGAAAATGAGTTAATGAGGTCATCCTTATGCAAGAACATGAGGAACATCAAACTATGATTACTACTAAGCACATGTGTAGTTCTTTGCAAAACATAGAATTCCTTATATCCATTTTTGTTAATGCTTCCTCAGCACCACCAATCACTACTCCCATTTTTTACAGATGAGGACGTCAAGGTAGAAAATGAGTAAATTATTTACCCAAGATAGCAAATTAGTTTGTGTCCATGCCAAGATTTAGCTCATCAGCAGAGTGATTCTTATAACAAAGGGCCACGGCTCTGCGCCTCTCTACCTTCCTAGCTGCAGTAATACAGTAGACTTACTGAAACATGATGAAGAAAGAATTATTAGCAAATGTGACATCTGGAAGTTGTTTCAATAGTGCAGAATGTTAAAGCAAGTGTGTGGGGGTAATTAATTGATTTAGCACATTTAAGGGAAGTTTCTTCTCAATTACAATACTTGCTGGGAAACAATAGTGTACTAAAAAACAGCACTTTTTCTATGGCTAGAGTTACCATTATGCCATTTCTTTCTCCCTGAGTCGACGACATAGGCACTTAAGTTGAGGGTTTGAGCTATAAAATTTGTCTGAAAATGCTAGTCAATAGGATATTGGATAACTTTCTGGAAATTTTCAAAAGATCTGCTCCTAATACATTAAATTATATGGCTTCAGATGTATTTAGTTATTTTGCTTAACTGTTACAGTGACTTCCCTCACCTAATAATTCAAACACCTCTTAAACTACTGAACCATTAGGACATGCCCTGATTCTATAAGCTGCAGGTTACAAGAGTATTTTACACAGTCAAGACCTTTTAGAACTCAAAGCCTTCCTCTATTATATATTAAATGGCTACTTTACTGAAAGACAAAATCGTACATGAGGGTGAGCCCAGTGGTATTAATAGCAACAAACCAAACCAAACCAAAACAAAAAAATTATAGTCACATCTAGATCTATGGCAAGAACAGTTAAGTAACCATGCTATAGAGGCTGCTGTGCTTAACTGAAGCTGAAAATAATTTGAAGATAAATGAGTAGATGCAGTAAAAAGTTTCTAAAACATGTGGCTTCCAACCAAATTGTACAAGTCTTATATGATAATAGCATCAGCCTTGGTTCCCAAGAAAGCACCTTATTTCATGTTCGGTCTAATAATTAAAGAAAAATAAAGGAAAAAGAATTGGCCCAAAGACCAGGATGTGAGTTAGTTGATTAAATGAGCATTTATGAGTATCAAGTATGTGCTAGGCACAGGAGCTCACAGACACATAAACAAGTAATTGCAAGATACGGGGAGAAAAGGCAATAAGAAAGTGGTGGGAGAGTGCACCAGACAGCGACTGAGCCATGGATTGCGTGGGAGGGGAAAGATTCAGAGAAGATCACATTTCTGCTGACAGAGGACAATGTGTACACAGGCTCAGAGTGAGACAAAGGAAGTGTGACCTGGAAAGGCTATCCAAGTTCTTCATAGTATTTTATCGTTTTTTTTTCCCCCTGGTGAATTCAGTACATTTCAGAGTCTATACTCAGCCCTGCAGACTTAATCATTCAGTCTTTAGTGTTCCAGACTTGAAAGAATGGGGAAGATAAATGCAGACCAGCAAACCTCACTCACAAAACACGATATAAGGAACTAGAATTCTAATTTATTTATCTACTATGATAAATCTAATTTATTTGCACAAAACCTTTGTGTCATCCTATATAGAGAAGTCTGTCCCCATGTAGAAGACTAGAATTATCAAAAATTGCTTTGTGAGATCAGAGGAAGAGCATCTGCTTTAAATGCAGAATGCATATGAGCCTTTCATTGTGATAACATGCAGAGTATGTCCCTATGTCAGTGACATCCTGACCCACAGGACACCCTCTCCTTACAAAATGTTTATGGCCAAACTTATGTCCTCTTGCTTCCCCTCTTCCAAATAGCTCCCCACTCTCATCTCCAACCTGGGTGACAGAGCAAGACCCTGTCTCTAAAAAGAACAAAAAACAAAAGGTCATTCCATTATTCCATGAAGTTAATAATGAAATACATTTCTGGTTTTATGTTGATTTTGTATGTGTTTTCTAATTCATTTTATATTGATTTTAATATTTGAACCCTTAATTGGAAACACACTTCCAAGTTTTTAGAGAACATCTAACTGCCTTGCAGTATATTACAAGTTAGGAGTGTTCAGCATACCTGAAGTACAGAATACTTAGAGAAGAAGAGTGTTTATTGAAGGTGTAGAGATAGAACGAGCTGATAAAGGGCCACTAGTCTCTCGCTACTAAGAGAGGTCAGAACCTGTAAATAATCTGGGGGAGGAGGTGAGAAATGACAGTTTTTATGTAAAAAAGTGATTGACGTAGTCACAAGGAGAGTGAAGAGAACAGGTGGGAGTTAGCTGAGGGCATTCATGTGCATGTAGACATTGATTTTCAAACTCTGGTCAAAACATACACCTCCTGTCGGCTAAGAAATAAAAACCATAGTCACAAAACTATCAACCACAGGGAGATGAGACAGGAGGGACATAGGAGTGATGTCATGAGGGCCTTGTATAATTTGCTAAAAATCTGGAAATATTACTGAAGAAATTTACACATAGGGAGTGACCTTAGTTAGCAGATTTGCCCTTTAAAAGATATTCCTAGTGGAAATTTTTTAAAAACGTGTATTAGGATGCACGAAAAAAGGCAAGGACAAAATGTACACAGCTTCTGTGGTAATACAAGTAATAATTACTGATGGCCTGAACCTGAGGATGTCAGGGTAGAGAAGTGACAAATTAAAAAGACCCAAACAAGTACAGAGACTAGGACCTGATGTCCTAGATTGATGGGGGAGCGGGCTAGGGGAGGGAACAGAGGATAGTTTGACAAATGGAGTACACAGTGATGCTTTGCATTGTGGTAGAATGTGTAGAGAGCAGCAAGATTTGAGAAGATACTAAGTTCGTTTTGGACATGTGTTTGAGAAACCATTTAGGCATTCATTTGGAGAGATTCAGTAGAGAGCTGTAGGTTTGAATCTGGACTCCAAAAGAGAAGGTACAGACTGTAAATAGGGACTAGAAGCCACATTTAGGTAGTGGATGGAACCATGAAACTTGATGAGAGAGAATGTGTATTGAGAGAGTGTGTGCAGATTGAGAAAATGAAAGTAGCCAGTGTTTCTGGACAGCACAGTTCAACCATAATAAAGAGCTGTGTGGAAGAATAGGAATCTTTTAAAAAGAATAAGTAAGAATGGCCAAAGAGGAAGAAATAAAAGCAGAAGTGCTTGTAGTTATGGAAGTCTCAAGGAGGGAATGATCTATAGTATCAAATGCAACAAGGAAGGAAAACATCACATGGAATAAAACATCATTGGATTTTGAACAAAAAATTATTTTTGACCCTGGAAAGGGAGTTTCAGGGAATTTCTGAGGGCAGTGGAAGGAGGGATTAATGGGAGGTAAAGAATTGAGATGACAAATGGAATCTACCGTTTTTTAGAAGATAATCAATGGAGGAAAGAATAAAGACGTGACATTGACTAGAGAGGAAGACTTCCCAGATCCTTCTTTCATGAGCTCTAGTGGTACCTGAGCACAGCAACATTTTAACACTTAACCATCTTGCCCTGCAATTGATGACTTAGCTGGTTTCCTCTGAGGGAAAGATTATTGAAGGCAAGGAGTGTATTTTATCTGGTTATGACTCTTAAGCCCATCTGATGCTTTGTAAGTGGTCACTAAGTAAGTAATGAATGAGGAGGATGTGGAACTGAGGGATAACTTTTCAACAGCTGAAAGGAAATAATCAATAGAGAGAAAGAGGCTTAAGAGAAAGTTAAGAAGAAGTAACTGACAGAGCAGGGATCCTTATTTGCCTGTAGGTTGGGGTCCAAAGCATAGTTGGAAGCTTTTATTTTTGCACAAAGAAAAGACTTTTTTTCCCCCTCTGAAATGGAAATGAGGTGAGGATAGATTCATATGTGAATCAAATGTGTAGATGTGGGGTCAGGAAACTGAGGAAATTCATTCTGAGACCCTTGCTTTCTTTAGTGATGTGGAAGCCATTAATTGGGTAGCTAATAAATGCCAGGCATAAACATTTCCAAATATTGATTCATTTGTGAATCTGTATTTATAAGAGAGATCTGTATTTAGCATTTTTTTATAATGTTTGTCAGATTTTGCTGTCAGAATTATCCTTGATTCATGTAATAGATTTGATTGCTTTCCATGGTTTTTTTTCCCTATGTTCTGGAACAAATTATGTAGAACTGAATTTACTAGTTCCTTTAGAGTTTCAAACAATTCACTAGTAAAACAGTCCCTGGAGAATTTGGAGTAATTTTTTGAAAAGTTTTCCATTATGCCAATGGTTCTTATTCAATTCAGGTTATACTTTTTTTTTTTTTTTTTTTTGAGACGGAGTCTCGCTCTGTTGCCCAGGCTGGAGTGCAGTGGCGTGATCTTGGCTCACTGCAAGCTCTGCCTCCTGGGTTCACGCCATTCTCCTGCCTCAGCCTCCCGAGTAGCTGGGACTACAGGCGTCCACCACCACGCCCGGCTAATTTTTGTATTTTTAGTAGAGACGGGGTTTCACCGTGGTCTCGATCTCCCGACCTCATTATAAATATTTATTGCTAGTTTATGTCTTTCATGAACATCTTCCTTTTCACAGTTTTACATATTTATTAGCATTACATTGTCTTGCATTGTAATCTCTTATACATTTTATTCTATTTGCTGTCTCTACCCTTTCTCTTTCTAATTCTATTTATTTGTCTTCTTTTCCTTAATCAGATTTTTAAGAAACCTTTCTAATTTAATTTTATTGCCAATAATTCATGGGTTTATTTATTCTATTTTTTCTTGATTTTAATACATTAATTTTTCCTTTTAAGATATTTTTTCTTTTATTCTTATTTTATTTTATTGTTTTGTTAATTCTTGCTTAATAATGTATATCTTTAAAGTTGTGAAGTTTCCTCTGAACACAGGCTTTTTCATTGACTCCTCTAGGACTGCTTTCTATTATTTTGTTTTTGCCAGATAACTCTTTGATCTACTTTTTATTTTTATTCTTTGTCATTGCAGTTATTGGAAGTAGCATAGAGTTGAATTGTTCTATCCTAATCAGCAAAGCTTTACATATGAGTTGACAAACAAAGTTCACAAATATTGATGTTAAATTATTTTAAATTCTAACTTTTAATTACAAGAAAAGAACCTATATTTTCTCTTCTGATACAATTTAAAAACAAAATAATTAGAAAATAAAGGCAAGAAGAAACTTCTAGTAGTTAGTAGAAGTTTATTCGGGATGTGATGAAATAAAATAGGCTATTTTTTCACGCAACATTTTATTTAACCTGTTTTCACAAGTTTATGTTAACATCATAATTTTGTTACAAAGAGAAAAGTATAAAATAGGAAAAGAACAATATAAAGACTTTGTTTATCATGTAAAATAAGAAATTTAGTGATTTTATTTTATCTACCACTACTACTTAATAACCTTGAAAATAAAATCTAGGCTTACATACCTGAGTTCTTTTTGTCATTAAATTATATTTTTATGTTATGTATATTTTTAAGAATAATTTTATTTGAATTCAATAATATTTTGTTTATAAAACAATTATACTTAAGTTGAAGCATTTCATTGGAATAGAATACTGAGGAAAGTCTTCATAACGCTATTTTCTCATACTTAAATTTAAATTAGTAAATTAGTCTGTCACTCAGTGATTTTGAGTTTTTCAGGAGCAGAATATGAGTTGTATATTTTCTGACCTCTTATATAGTTGATCATACTTTACTATTGAATTCATATGGAATTCATGAATTATGATATTTTATCTCACAATATTATTTATAGTTCCACTTTCTTCCATTTTGTATAGGACAAGTCTAATTGTAATTTTGTTCCTTTGAGCATGTACAGGAATAATTTTTGAGATATTTAAGCCATATATTTTTTCCTAGATTTCTCACAGCTCTCACAGCCACTGACAGTCATCATTGCTCACGGGTAGAGAAGGGTCTAAAGGTAAAAAAAAAAGTGATTATTCAGCTTTGAGTTTTAAATTAAAAACACAGTCTGTATAATGACACACTAATTTTGAAAGGTAAGCTTCATTGCATTCCATAAATTCCAAATCTTCCTTTTAGATATCAGAGTAGATTTTGCAAATCTGATCACTGTTTTACTCTGCACCAAAATAGAGAGTGAAGTTTGCTTTGGTGTAGGAAAGTTCCAGAAAATAGGAAAGAGGAAGGTTTGAGAAGGACCAAGTTGTTGTTAGATATTTCTATTTGTTCTTTCCTCTTCATTCATCCCTACCCCATGGTCAGATCTCAAAGAGGCATGGCAATGTACATAATAAAAATAGAAAGTTAAAAAAAATTCCTAAGCAGAAAGCCTAGTGTCTCACTTTTTGAAGAGCAGACCAGAAAACTGAAAAACATAGAGAAACTCTGTGTTTGGCAATTGTCTAAAAGAAAAATGATGTCAACCAAGTGACATAGTAAAAATACCTGAGGGAGGTATCTTGACAGAGAGCCCTTAGTTAGATTCAAGATTACCATTGCCTTTGTTTGGCATCTAGGAGACTTCTGGTTGGGAAAACAGTCGGGCAAAAAGAACTGTGAACCAAAAAAGGCCTGAGGTCCAGAAAAGGAAGCTTCAGAATGCTGGGACCTCTTGAAAGCAGGCTATACCAAAGTCAGAGACTTCAGTGGGGTATTTCTGCACAATATCTCCCCAAAACCAATGAAGACAGCAGTAACTTTGTAAACACAGGTGTGGCATGTCCAATAACTGGGTGAAATAAGGAATTTACTTTCCAGGGTAGCACATGAGGATCTATGCAGCTCAGAGGCCACTCTCTGACCTCTGTCTTATCATGAGGACATGGATACTTTCTTTGTGTGTATGTCATCTGGGGAAAAAGGAGGGAAAAGAGAATCCTTGAGAATGGAGAAGAGCACCTGACAGAAAGATGCCTAAAAATATAACCCAAAGGAACATCAGACAAATCTAAAATTAGCTCATTTCAACACACCTATTTTTTAACCATTAGTGACAATAGACTTTATATCAAGATAATGAGTTATAGAAAGTTTTGTGTGTAAATTTACATTCATTTATAGCATATAAATTTTCTGCATTTGCAAATTAGTTTAAAAAAATCTGCTTGAGCTGCTTATTGACCTGTTTCTTTTATAATACTTGAAATTATCTAACATTGCTAGGAACATCTAAGTGTGAATTTTTCAATTGAATTTCAATCTACCTCCTCATATTTTTTCAAATGAGGACAATTTATTTCTACTATAGTCTTCAGTATTGCTTCTCACCTCTCAGGAATGAGATTGGAGCACTAGGCTCTGCCATTCACATCTACTATACATCCCCTCATCTTTTTCTAAGGTTTTTTTCCTCTGTATTCTCAGAGACCTACTATAACTTGTACTTTTTTCACTCTATCTATTCTTCAAATAATGCTGATTCTTTTCCTTAATGGTTTCATGTTGGATACTGTCTTTGGCAAACAGCATGCATTCCATTCACCTCTGGTCTCCTTGTATTATAAGGTCTGGAAGCATGGAAACTGAATTTCCCAAAATCCCTTGCCAGCAGAACTCTGGATACTGTTTAAGCTCTGCTGATGAGGGTTATTCACATGAGATTTGGCAGGTAGAAGCCACACTGCTTCCTTGAGTAGGGGTGGCATATATCAGCTTTGGCAGATGAGAGTGTTTGCAATGATAGATATTCATATTGATATAGACATAGAAATATATTGCAGGAATTGGCTTATGTGATTATGGAAGCCAGAGGACTCATGGTCTGTCATCTGCAATCTGATGGACAAGGAAAGCTAGTTGTGTAACTCAGTTTGAGTCCAGAGGCTCCAGGGGTGCCGATGTCCTAGGACAGGTGAAGATGGATGTTCCAGCTCCAACAGAGAAAGTGAATCCACCCTTTACCTTTTTATTCTATTCAGGTCCTCAACAGATTGGATGATGTCACACATTGGTAAGGGTAAATTTATTTACCTAGTCCACTAATTCAAATGCTAATCTCTTCTAGAAACATGCTCATGCACATACCTAGAAATAATGTTTAGGCAGCTATCTGGGCAATTCTTAGTCCAGTCTAGTTGACACATAAAGTTAATAATCACAAACTAATGCCTTGTAAACTTGACACCTGTACACATCTTCCTAAACTATACTTAATCTCTGAAAACAAGGTCATAATTCTGCCTGACATGACACAACTATCCTGCATACAATAAAAAATGTGCTAACTCCTTCCCTAGGAGGGAAGGTAAAGTACTTGAGTGATGTCTATTCTTCTCCTGATAGCCTATAACTCAAATACTATAATGTGAAATTAATGATACTTAAATACAATATAAAGTCAACACATCTCATGTTACATGATAAAAGAATTAGAAGGGAAAGAAAATGAAGATAATTGCTTTATATATATGTATATATATAGATACATACACAAATATATTCATAAAAAAGAGGAAATATTCATGAAAATTACAGTCCTTGTTGCTATAACTTGTCATGTGGTCACAGCTGGTGCCTGTAACTCCTTCTACCACTCATTCTTCTACCCATTCTATTTTCTTTACCTTCAGCAAGCGCCTCAGTGGGTCATGGGTCTTTATCTGATGGAGTGACCCAAATTTTCATTCCTGAAGAGTCTGGGCCAGTTGTTATGTTGTTATAGTTTTCCATTGACTGTAATCACAGGACATGGTAATACTAAGAGACACCCTAAGGCAGGGGTCCTCAACTCCCAGGCCCTGGACCCATACCAGTCTGTGGCCTGTTAGGAACCCAGGCCACACAACAGAACGTGAGTAGTGGGTGAGTGAGCATTGTTACCTGAGCTTGCCTTCTGTCAGATCAGCAGTGGCATTAAATTTTCATAGAAGCATGTACTATATTGTGAAATGCACATGTGAGGGATCTAGGTTGCATGCTTCTTATGAGAATCTAACAAATGCCTGATGATCTGGGGTGGAACAATTTCATTCTGAAACCATCCCCATACCCATCCATGGAAAAATTGTCTTCTACAAAACCACTCCCTGATGCCAAAAGAGTTGGGGACCACTGCCCTAAGGGATCTCCTGTATTTCAGACATACTCTTCCTTACCTCCATTGTATAGAAGTAGTCCAAGTACTCTTTCATAATCCAGATCAATCACCCCAGCCAATACCATAAATCTCTTCTTTGCCTGTTGACTCAGAGGCGTAAGGAGCCCAAAGTGACCAGGTGGAAGTCTTCATGTACAGTTCAATGGATTATTGTTGTGTTTCCTGGTGGGAGTAGTTCTCCCTCTGGAACTAAAACTTCTAGGCCAGCAGAGCATAAAGTCACAAAAACGTGGAGCAGAAATGTTGCTAGTGGGTCACTAGGGGTAAGAGCGAGTGGTCTCATTCCCATTTTCCCACCTTGATTCCTGGATCTATAAATCCCAGCTATCAGAGAAACAGCATCGTATATTAGATGCTGACTCAACATATACAGCCTTCTGGAAAACCTAGCCCCACCCTGCAAGGCATTACCACATAGCTGACTCTGTAACTGTGTCTTCAAAAGGTCATTCTGTCGCTCTATCAAGCCAGCCACTTCATGATGGTGGGGAACATGGTAAGACCAATGAATTCCATGGGCATGGGCTTATTGCTTTATCTCTTTTGCTGTGAAGTGAGTTCCTTGATCAGAAGCAATGCTGTATGGAATACTATTACAGTGCATCATTCATTCTGTAAATTCATGGATTGTATTTTTAGCAGAAGCATTTCAAGTAGGGAAAGCAAATACATATACAAAGTAAGTGCCTATTTCAGTAAGGATAATTTGCTTCCCTTTCTATGATTAAAGTGGTCAAATGTAATAAGCCTGCCACCAGATAACTGGCTGATTACTTTGAGGAATGGTGCCTTATCAGGGGTTCAGTGTTGGTCTCTGCTACTGGCATATTGGGCACTAATCAGTGGCTACAGCCAGGTTGGCCTTGCTGAATAGAAGTCCATGTTGCTGAGCCCATGCATAACATCCTTCCTGCCATCAGGGCCACTTTGCTCATGAGTCCACTGGGCAATGACAGGGGTGAGTGGGGAAGGAAGCTTACTGGTATCCATGGAATGAGTAATCCCAGACACTTGGTTATTAAAATATTCCTCTTCTAATATCATCCTTTGGTGAGTATTCACAAGGACACAAATGTCTGTATGATTTTTTCCCATTTAAAAGAGGGTTTTCCACATACCTCTTCTCCAAATGTATTTGTTACCAGTTTTCTAATCATGTTCCCTCCAAGTCCCTGATGCTCCTACTAAACCATTAGCTACAGCCTATGAGTCAGTGTATAATAACACATATAATCATTTTCCCTTCCAATAAAAGTGTATAACCAGGTGTACTACCTGGAATTCTTCCCACTGTGAAGATTAATCTTTACCACTGCCCTTCAGGGATGTCTCAGAGAGTAGCTGTAGTGCTATAGTTGTCCACTTTTGAGTGGTGCCTGCATATCACGCAGAACCATTTATAAGCCAGGCCTGAGTCTTCTCTTCCTTTATCAATGAATTGTAGGAAACTCCTCATGAGGTCCCAGGTGCAGGCTGGGAGAAAGAAGGCAGTGTAGCAGGAGTAGGAAGCATGGGCATTTGAGCCACTTCTTCATGTACTTACTTGTGCTTTCAGGGCCTATTCAGGCTCCATCACATATATACCTCTTCCATTTGACATAGACTGTTGCTGTACATGCCCAGCTTTATGGCTTGGTGGGTCAGATAATACCCGGCTCATGTTGGGCAGCTCAGATCATATGGTAACTTGGTGGCTCATGGTCAGGAATTCAGTTACTACCAAGGTCCATTATCAGGCCAAGAGCTGTCTCTCAAAATGAGAGTAGTTATTTGGGGATGATGGTAGGACCTTGCTACAAAATTCTAAAGGCCTGTGCTGCAGGTCACCTAAAAGAGCCTGTCAGAGGCTCCAAACTGCATACTTATCTGCTACTAACACTTCAAATACCACTGGATCTGCTGGACTGTATGGCTCAAGTAGCAGAGCAACATGTACAGCAGACTGGACTTGTTGCAGAGCTTTTCTCTTTTTCTGAGCACCAATCAAAACTAAAAGCTTTTCAGGTCACTCAGTAAATGGGTTGAAGTCACACACCCAATTGAGAAATATGATTTCTTCAAAATCCCAATAGGCCCAGTAGATGTTGTGCCTCATTCTTGGTTGTAAGAGGGACCAGATGCAACAATTTATATTTTATCTTAGAAGGAATATCTCAATATGTTCCACATAACTGGGGCCCTAGAAATTTCACCGAGGTAGAAGGATTCTAAATTTATTTACCATTCTCTGACATGCAAATGTCTTATCAGTTAGTGTAGAGAAGCTGCTACATCTAGCTCATTAGGTCCGATTAACATAATGTCATCAATGTAATGGACCAGTGTGGTATCTTATGGAAGGGAAAGATGATCAAGATCCTTGTGAACTTAATTATGCCATAGAGCTGGAGGGCTGTATAGACCCCCGAAGTAGGACAGTGAAGTGCTTCTTGCCTTTCCAGCTGAAAGTAAATTACTTCTAGTAGGTTTTGTGAACAGAGATGGAGAAAAACGCATTTGCCAAATCAATAGCTACATATCAGGTAGCAGGTTATGTGTTAATTTACTCAAGCAATAAATCCATATCTGGTACAGCTGATGCATTTGGAGCCACCACTTGGTTAAGTTTATGATAATCCACTGTCATTCTCCAAGATCCATCTGTCTTTTGAACAGTGACAAATAGGAGAATTGAATGGGGATGTGATGGGAATCCACACCCCTGCATTTTTCAAGTCCTTGGTGACGGCAGCAACCACTGAAATCCCTCCAGGAGTACAGTATTGCATTTGATTTACTGTTTTCCTAGGTACAGATAGTTCTAATGGCTTCCTCTTGGCCTTTCCCACAATAGTAGGCATCATCTTACAGATCAAGGAATGAATTTTGGGATTTTGCTAACTGCTAAGTAAGTCTATTCCAATTATGCAGTTGGTAGCTGGGGAAATGATCACAGGATGGGTTCAGGGACCCACTTAGTGACCACTCAGGGATGCACTTTAATTTAAGATGGACCTAAGCTAAAACTCTATTATAATCACCTGATCTTTATAAGGCCCTATTCTGACTGGAGAGCCATTGTAATGTTTTGGGTCTCCTGAAATCAGTATAAGTTTAGAGCCAGTGACCAAAAATCCCTGAAAGGTCCGATTATTTCCTTTTTCTCAATGCATAGTTACTTGGTAAAAGGCCATGGGTCTCTTTGGGGAAGGCTGGGAGAAAGACTAACAATAAACAATTTTGGTAGTATACCAGGGTCCTTTCTTGAGTGGACCTATCCTCCCCTTTATTCAAGGGATTCTGGGTCTGCAACCTGGCTCAAATCCAGAACTTGAGGTCAGTAACTCTGTCTTTATTATTCAAGTTAGACTTTTGTTCACTTGACCCAGAATTTTTCTGCTTATACAGACCAAGTAAAAATTTAGTAGGCTTCCTATCTGTTTCACTTCCAGGAACACTGTTCAATTAGCCAGTGCTATAGGTCTGTGCGTCAGTCTTCTGATTGCTGATGTGACTCTACTGAGCACTAGAGTAACTATGGTCGCCTTGTCCTTGGTGGTTGAGTGCTGCCACTTGGGCACCCCAGGATCCAATTACTCCTGTTGCATTTAGATTTTCCAGTTGAGTGGCTGGATATGGTTCTCACTCTCTAAAGTTTGGCCTACAGGGAAGCACAATCACTATCACCAAGCTCTCTAGGGATACCAGGACTCCCTTCACAAATGCATTTCACAAAGTATTGGGGGAAAGTATGTTGTCTGAACCCCCTGGTGTGGGTGAGTAGGTCTTAAATGACAACTCCACTCTTCCTGAAGCCTTTGAATTCCTTCCTCTGTAAAACTCTGTAGATATATTAAAACCATTGACTAAATTGTACATTTTAAATAGGTGAACATTGTGGTATATAAATTGCATATCAATGAAACTATTTTCTTAAAAAAACTTTTTTTTTTTTTGGGGGATTGCAGGAAAGAGCCACAGATTTGCTTCTTCCTAGCAAGGGCGTGATACTAATTCCAGATCCATCCAAATATTGTTCACTGCTTCTTAGACAGAGACCCCTTTCTCCCAGGTAAGCAGCAGAATTCCCAGACTATTGGTAATTCTCAAAAATCATCATTCGTCAGGCAGTTGATGAAAGACAACACTTTGTGAATGAGAGATAATTTAGTCGGGTCAATATAAGATGAGTAGAAGTTCAAGTTATAATAAAGTCAGTGTATGAAGGTTTAAAAGCATTTGGATAGATGTGTGGGTGAGGAAGAAATAAATCACCATGGACATCTCATAAGAGAAGAGTAGCTTCCAGGCTTTCTGGCCAGTGGTCCAGCACCTGAGTCTCTGATATTCCAGGAAATAGAGTGGATGCTTGATCTTACTCTTCATCTGCCTAGCCAGGTGTATTTGTCCACTTTCATGCTGCTATTAAAAAACTGCCTAAGACTGGTAATCTCTAAAGAAAAGAAGTTTATTTAACTCACAGTTCCACATGGCTTAGGAGGCCTCAGGAAACTTACAATCATGGCAGAAGGGGAACCAAACACATCCTTCTTCACATAATAGCAGGAAGGAGAAGTGCCAAGCAAAAAGGGGAAAAGTCTCTTATGAAACCATTAGATCTCATGAGAAATCACTCATTATCACAAGAACAGCATGAGGGTAACCTCCCGCATGATTCAATTATCTCCCACTGAGTCCCTCCCGTGACACGTGGGGATTATAGGAACTACAATTCGAGATGAGATTTTGGTGGGGACACAGTTAAACCACATCATTCCACCTGTAGTCCTTCCTAAATCTCATGCCCTCACATTTCAAAACAATTACACCCTTCCCATAGTCCCCCAAAGTCTTAACTCATTCCAGCGTTAACTCAAAAGTCCAAGTCCAAAGTCTTATCTGAGAAAAGGCAAGCCCCTTCCACCTATGAGCCTATAAAATCAAAAGCAAGTTAGTTACTTCCTGGATACAATGGGGGCAAAGGCACTGGGTAAATAAACCTATTGGGTAAATATGCCCATTCCAAATATGGCCCATTGGGATAAATTGGCCAAAAGAATTGGCTCCAGGCCCCATGCAAGTCCGAAATCCAATAGGGCAGTCATTAAACCTTAAAAGTTCCAAAAAGATCTCCTTTCACTCCATGTCTCCCATCCAGGTCATGCTGATGCAAGAGGTGGGCTCCCACAGCCTTGGGCACCTCTGCCCCTGTGGCTTTGCAAGGTACAGTCCCCTTCCTGGCTGCTTTCACGGGCTGGCATTGAGTGTCTGTGGCTTTTCCAGGTGCACAGCATAAGCTGTTGGTAAATTTACCATTCTGGGGTCTGGCGGACGGTGGCCCTCTTCTCACAGCTCCACTAGGCAGTGCGCCCATGGGGACTCTGCGTGGAGGCTCCAACCTCACATTTCCCTTCCACACTGCCCTAGCAGAGATTCTCCATGAGGGCTCTGCTCCTGCAGCAAACTTCTGCTGGACATCCAGGCATTTCGATACATCTCCTGAAATCTAGGCAAAGGTTCCCAAACCTTAATTCTTGACTTCTGCACACCTGCAGGCCCAACACCATGTGGATGCTGCCAAGGTTGGGGCTTACACCCTCTGAAGCAATGGCCTGAGCTCTACCTTGGTCCCTTTTAGCCACAGCTGGAGCTGAAGCAGCTGGGATACAGGGCACCATGTCCTGAGGCTGCACAGAGAAAGGGGGCCCTGGGCCTGGCCTCTGAAGCCATTTTTCCCTTCTGGGCCTCAGGGCCAGTGATGGGAGGGACTGCTGGGAAGGTCTCTGACATGCCCTGGAGACATATTCCCCATTGTCTTGGTGATTAATATTTGGCTTCTCATTACTTATGCAAATTTCTACAGCCAGCTTGAATTTTTCCCCCAGAAAATGGGATTTTCTTTTTCTATTGCATTGCCAGCCTGCAAATTTTCCAAACTTTTATGCTCTGCTTCCTCTTGAACACTTTGTCTCTTAGAATTTTTTTCTACCACTTACACTAAATCATCTCTCTTAAGTTCAAAGTTCCACAGATCTCTGGGACAGGGACAAATGCTGCCAGTCTCTTTGCATATGAAGAGTGACCTTTACTTCAGTTCCCAAAAAGTTTCCCATCTCTGTCTGAGACCACCTCAGCCTGGACTTCATTGTCAATATCACTACCAGCATTCTGGTCAAAGCCATTCAACAAGTCTCTAGGAAGTTCCAAACTTTCCCACATCTTCCTGTCTTCTGAGCCCTCCAAGTCTCTAGGAAGTTCCAAACTTTCCCACATTTTCCTGTCCTCTTTTGAGCCCTCCAACCTGTTCCAACCTCTGCCTGTTACCCAGTTCCAAAGTTGATTCCACATTTTTGGGTATCATCGTAGTGTCCCACTCCTTGTACCAATTTACTGTGTTAGTCTGTTCTAATGTTGCTATAAAGAACTACCTGAGACTGGGTAATTTTTAAAGAAAAGAAGTTTAATTGACTCACGGTTCCACATGTCTCATGAATGTCTCAGGAAACTAATAATCATAGTGGAAGGGGAAGCAAACACATTCTTCTTCACATGATGGCAGAAAGGAGAAGTTCCGAGCAAAAGGGAGAAAAGCCCCTTATAAAACCATCAGATCTCATGAGAAATCACTCACTATCAGAGAATAGCATGGGGGTAACCACCCCATGATTCAACTACCTCTCCCTGGGTCTCTACCATGACACATGGGGATTATGGGAACTGCAATTCAAGATGAGATTTGGGTGGGGACACAGCCTAACCACATCACCAGTTTGCTGTGTTTCTGAGGTCTAAGCTTGAGTCAGCTAATGGATGCCCATGTTGCAGGAGTTACAGATTATAATATCCAAAAATTAAAAAGATTGATCAGTAGGTTTAAATTAGAGTGCTTTTGAAATTTGGCATGTTTAAAGATTTTTCACAGATACGTTGTTAGGGTGGTGAATGCAGGAGAATCAGGAGCAGGTAGATAATCTCTTTCACAACCTATGACTCAGCTAATTTTATTTTCAATTTCTTCCATATGAACTTAATTTTCTCTTCCATGTTCTTTTCTGAAACTGATTGTGTTTTCACAAGTTCCTTCACATAATAAAAATCAGCATTCATTCTTTTGCCAAAACATTCATCCTGCTTGTTTCTAAACACTCCTTTCTCTGTTAAGAGTTTTCCCCTCCTCCTACAGAGGAATAACTAATTTACCTGCCTTTTGAATTTGGCTTCTCTCACTTTAGGATAAGTAGCCCTGGATCTCCATGTTCAGACCTCCTCACTCTCATCAGCAATCTCTGTTTATCTTCAGGATCTTTTTTTTTTTTTTGAGATGGAGTCTCGCTCTGTCGCCCAGGCTGGAGTGCAGTGGCGATATCTCGGCTCACTGCAAGCTCTGCCTCCCTGGGTTCAGGCCATCCTCCTGCCTTAGCCTCCTAAGTAGCTGGGACTACAGGTGCCCACGGCTGGCTAATTTTTTGTATTTTTGGTAGAGATGGGGTTTCACTGTGTTAGACAGGATGGTCTTGATCTCCTGACCTCGTGATCTGCCCACTTCGGCCTCCCAAAGTGCTGGGATTACATTACAGATGTAAGACAACACGTCCGGCCCTATCTTCAGGATCTTTAAATTCAGAAGTTAAGTACAAGATTTCGAACAATATCTTCCAGAATACTTTGAACCTACTCATTAAACTTCTGCATTGAAAAAAATACCTCTACTGGCTGTCTTCTACTTTACTCTACTGGAGTTAGGCAAAACGTTCCATAAAATGTTTAAAGACACTTTGTGCCTAGCCAGAATATAATATATATTCAAGATAAAAAAAATCTGGGCAGTGATTTCAAAATGGATAGGAACTTCTATTTAAATAAGAAATAAAGACTACTGGATCAGACTGACTTGGCTTTTCCATGAATCTTTGTTGCTGTTATAGGCTGTTGTTAAATACACATTAAAATGTTTGTGATAGTCATGCATACCAAAAGACACTCCTCCTGATTTGGGGGACATCTTGGATCATATGAAATCATGGCATTGCATTGCAGGGCTGGGGTCAAGACATGCTGCTGCCAGGCCAGGTTCTGCTACTCCAGGAGCCCACCTGGCAAGGTGCCAGCTGCTTTTGCAGGGCCCTGACCTTTCCATCAGGCAGCAGCAGAATCACCAGACAGTAGCTCAAAAATAAAGCAAAGTTAAACATAACTGTGTCATCCCAGAATGGTGATGTTCCCTAATAAAAGCCACACTGATGAATAAAATATAGGGTGCAATTATCCATAGCGAGTGCCAAGAACGGTCTTATAGCCTGATCTCGTATCTGTAGTATTTAACTTCATTTAAAATCACTGAAGAATTTATGTTTAGTAAGAAGTAAAATCACTTAAAATGACTTTGGTAACTTTGTTTTTGTTTAGACCCCAAAGATAAAAGAATATCTTGACAGATGCAAACCAAAAACAATAAACATTTGATTATCTCCAAGTTTAGACATTTGTATAAGAACCGTGGTAAAGATTATAATCAGTAAGGACTCCAACTTCTTTCTCTAGCCCCACCACTGACAGGCCAAGTTAGCTCAATGAAATTCCCAGGGTCAGCTTTTCTGTTTTTAGAAATATAACTAATTAGCTCTCTGTAGTTTTAAACATCATTTCTTAATGATTTTCTGTAGTAATAATTCTCTTTGATTACCTAGCAGGGTGACATTCACGAGAACTGTTCTTTGTAAATTGGTTTCTGATAATAGGGAGGACAGACCAGTTCATGAAGCACAGATAAGAGAACAATAGGGTAGTGGGCCATGAGAGAGTAAAGGATTGGGCAGGATCAGGAGAGTGAGAGGAATTTCCTTTATCACTCTAGGCGAATGAGGTCAACATATCTCTTTGAGGAGGCTTATATCACATGATAGTTATGATGTTAGTTACTTGTAATAGTAACAGTATTAGTAGTACTCTGCATATTGTCAGAATTTCAGATATTTTAAAATTTCCTTCTGAATATATTTTGATGCCATTTCCTGTCCAAAAGCTTGGTTTAATAAACGTTGCATCAAACTTTCTACTTCTGCCAATGATTTAGTATAAAATTTGAATAAATTTAGCAGATCTTCATATGTTAAGACCCAGTGCCTTATTTGGAATGTTGATGTGAGGATTAGAGACACATTTTTCTATAACAGAACTCTCTCATTTTCCATATAATAAAAGGGCAAACAAACAGGAAGAAATGATTCAGTTCCGGAATAGTGATCCTCCCCAGTAATGGAAGTTAATTGAAGAGGGATTTTAATGTAGCTCACATTTAGGAAGGAAATAGTTTTCTTATTATTCAATAAGATCCAAACGTTATGATTTCAAGGAGATATGGATCTTCTATGAGGAACTAGTGAGTTCTGGTGGCAGGAGATGAAACACCTTTTTTTTTTTTTTTTAAGACAAGAGGAATAGATGAACAAATATGCAAAGGAAAACAATAAATACCAAAATATGCAGCAAACCAAAACAGAAACCCACCCTGGTGCCTTCCCTGGTCTCTTTTATTCTCAAAGCTCTAGTTTCCCTTTCCAATTACCTGGCAGAAGAAACAGATGGGAGATAAAAATGCTATGATTCATCTCAGGGTGCCATAAGGATGTAGAAGATACAACATGAGGAAGGGGGTATGATGACTACTGGTGAAGGACCAGAGCCCAGAAAGGAAGGCAGATGAGAGCATGAATGAACCAAGGCACTGGTTCAGTTGGAGGTCAAGTGGAAGGTCAAGTGGGTAGGCATGGAGAGGGCTCCCTGGAGGAATACCCAGCTGAGGGATGCCCATAAAACGATCACACTGAAGGTCTGGGTGATGAGGCTGCAGGCTCAAGAACAACCATAGTAGGGCTGAGTTTGACTGGGAACACAGGATTATCAGTCCTCAGCCTCTCATCTCAATAGCTTGAATTTGTGCTTGGTCATTGGTAACATGGAGTAAAAAAATGATTGAAGTTTCTTCAGGGATGTGTTTCTGCCTATCCTCTGTCAGGACCCTTGAGACACCTTTGCTGTGAATAATGGAGAAGCAAAAGGAGTTACTAATGAAGACAAACTAAACCTGAGAACAGAGAGAGCCTAACTATGTGCTCCAGAAGTGCCATGTGTGTCTAAGGTAGGTCCAAAGGTATGAGTCTAGAGATATTATGTATAAAACACCTAATTGAATGTCAAAAAATCCATAGAAGCTTAATAATTGGTAGCAATTATTATTACTCATTAGTGTGGGGGCTGGGAAGATGACAACAGAGTATAACTTGGAGGGTTGGTGTAGAGCAATTAGCTAGCAACTGTAGTTTGAATTTCCATGAAGTAGTTCCCTTAATTGTGTACACACAAACACATCAAAACTGAAACCACAGCTATGTGATTTAATAATGTTGCACGTTTAGACATGATACAAGGCACTTTTGCCTACATTATCTTTCTGTGAGTTTAACATTAGACCTGGTATAATTATCCTAAATTTACTACTAGAGAATTTAGTTTGAAAAGTCATGCAACTTTTCTAAAGAATTTTTTCTGATTTAATAACACCAATCAATGAATTAATCAATCAACTGTTCTGGCCATTAAATGTGTGAGAAAAAAAAGTCAGTGTATTAATTATAATTATATACCGAGACTTGGCTCTGTGTGTTTCACAAAATAAGTATAAAGTATCAAATTTGTTATAAATGTGTGACCCATTAAAAGAAAAAAAAACTTGATAGATGTGTATTTGGTAACAGCTTTTTAGAAAATTTTTTGAACATTTATGATGTTCAGAAAAGAACAGTGATCAGTGTGCTAAATTAAATTACTTGAATAAATTATGGAGAAAAAGTTCTGATTTTTGTGCAAGGTTTGCATTCTGGATTGAGGTCCAGTTCTTTTTGAAGTATCTGAAATCAAACATATATTTCCAAACCCTGAGGACTGATTTCCTTCTGAAGACCACCCTCTCTTCTATTTGAGGAACTCCATATTCCTTCTTGTAACACTACTCTGATTCTATATCAAGCAATCTTGGCCTTGTTAAGATAAGAAAGTTGCCTTAAGCACTTTCCAAAGCTTTCCTACATTCACTGTTGGTGGATGGTGTCCCTACCCTACTTGTTCCCCTGCAGAACCTCAGATTGGAGATATAAGGGGTGAAATAACAGCCAAGTACCTCAGAGCTAAGTACTTTACATATAACTCATTTAATCCTCACAGCATTGCTATGGAACAAGTACTATTATTCATCCCAGTTTACAGATAGAAACTAAGGCAGAGAAAGGTTAAATAATCAAAGTTTACCTACTAGATAACAGAGTGGGGGTAGAAACCAAGCCATTCTGGCTTTTCCTGCTTGTAACACCAGGGTGGTAAAGGTGAAAATTTGGGTTCATTCTCACAGAGAAGAGGTTATTAAGGCTCAGACTGGACAGATAGCATGGGAATGATGAGCAAGCAGGAAATTTAAGAGTCAGATCTTAGAAAAATATGACAAAGCCTAGAGACTGGCAACTGACATGATCTGAGAAAAGTGAGGAGGCCAGTGTTCCTTGTTTGGAAACAGGAGGAATAATGGGACCACTGGTTGAAATGGAGTGCAAATGTCTTATAAGAAAAGGAAAAAAATGACACCAACTTGACCCTCAAGTATATTTTGAGTATATTCTATTTCTCTTTTCATTAGAAGAAATTTAATTTGAGAAATGAATAGAGAAAGAAAGGGGAAAGGAGAATGTTTCAAAGAATAAGGTTAAAGTCATCACAGCTTGACAGCAATCTAAAAGTCAAAAAGTATGCCAGAATAGCAGGTATTTGAGACCCACTGTTCGAAACAATTTTATTTTAAACACATGTGGTTCCTTAATGATACTGGTAGCATGGTGGTTGTGCAGCCCGCCTTTAGCAGGAAGTGCTGATTTGCTTAATTCTATTAAGCCTATAAGAAAGGTAAATCTGTCTCCTGAACTTAAGGGGCCTCTGCTCTAAAGTAAGTTTGACATTGGCCAATAATCACCCTGACATTCTTGTGGCTTTGGCTGCTCTTGAAGCTGCTGAATTGCACCAAGAGAAGAGGCTGAGTGAGAAAGCCTGGTTATAGCAATGGCCCATCCTGTCAGTGCTGGGAGTGGGTACTATACTCAAAGCAGTATAAATACAGATGCTGCACATTATGCTCTGCTATGCTGGCTGCCTTTGGGATGATTGTTGGGAAAGTTCTTGAAGCCAGTGGTGTTAGAGGGGACAGTGTGCTTCTTGAAACAAAAGAGTTGATGGTGAGAATGGTCTTTGAAAACTGTACTCTTTACAAAGGTGAACTCTGCAAACTGGGCCTACTGAAAGAAATAGGGATTCTATTTTCATTACTGTTTTATCATCAAAATACCATAAGGCCTGGCCCTTAGCAAATAGTCCTTAAATATCTGATACCATTAGAAGCTTGCTTCTATGAAGGGTGATCACCCATCCCAGTTTGCGTGGGACAGTCTTAGTTTACATTATTGTCCTTGCATCCTGTTCAGCTGGTATATATCCAAGTCTCTTAATTTTTATTCAAGTATTATTATTAATAGTTGTACAAAAATAAGTCAGAATAAGTTTGGTAGACCTCTACTTTATTTCCAGCTTCTGTCATTTTCTTCCTGGTAGTAGGTATGAGACATATATACATGGAAAGATAATCAGCAGTAGCCTATCTCTCTCCCTTTAATTTTTTAAAGAACTTTCCAGATTCAAGAATGGACAAGGCACTCAGTTATGAGCAACAAATTCCTTTTGTCTTGGAGATCATGGAAGAAGTATTAGATGCTGCTCCCCTTAGTGTAACAGCCAGTTTTGTTGCAGCCTGTGGGGCCTGCAAGCTACACAAAACCACCAGGATCCTAGAAGAGTCACTAGGAAACGTAGAGTATTATAGCTAGATAAACATCATCACATATGTGTAAAAGATAGAGACTGAACAGTCCAGTCTTAAAATGTATAGCAAAGTAGTTTGAATGCTCTTGTTACAGTGATTTTGTCATCTACCAATTTTAAGTGTGTAGTGATTTATCTATCACATTATTTGGCAATACTTTCTGAATTTTGCAATACATGCAACAATGACCTAAAAAATGAAAGTGCATGTTTAATTTAAAAATTAAAAGTAAAGCCAGGCGCAGTGGCTCACACCTGTAATCCCAGCACTTTGGGAGGCTGAGGCGGGCGGATTACCTGAGGTCGGGAGTTCAAGACCAGCCTGACCAACATGGAGAAACCCTGTCTCTACTAAAAATACAAAATTGACTGGGCGTGGTGGTGCATGCCTGTGGTCCCAGCTACTTGGGAGGCCGAAGCAGGAGAATTGCTTGAACCTGGGAGGCGGATGTTGCGGTGAGTGGAGATCGCGCCATTGCACTCCAGCCTGGGCAACAAGAGCAAAACTCTGTCTCAAAAAAAAAAAAAAAAATTAAAAGTAGGATCTTCATACATCATAAAAGCCATAATGATTTCACACACCAGCTGACAACTAGCAGACAAAAAATCTTCTGGGAAGTCAGAAGCATCAGCCTTCAAAGTTATTATTTTGGGAAGACTATGCTCAAAAGGAGAATTTTACATATGTGACCACAGAAGGTGTGCCTATATATCACTCTTTAAAGCATGAGTTTTTATTTCTATCAATTGGTTGTTAGTTTAAGTTAATTTTGCTCATTTTCACTTTCAAGTTTTTGTGTATGCATGAAGCAGGAAGCAATAGCAGAAAATGTGGCTCCATTAGTAGCAGAACTTCTCAAGCTCAAAGGATGTCCATTTTGTATTAGCAGATGCTTCAAATTGAAAATCATTAATTCCAATATACGTTTTTTTCCCCATGTGGTTTCTGTAATCAAAGTAAAGCTTTTGGAATTCATTCTCAAAGGTGAAATATCTTGAGATCATTGTCAACATTAAAAGTACAACCCTGAAATTAAAGTATCTGTTTTTGTGATGATAATACAGATATAAATTTTGATGGAACAGATCATCCTGGTAACAGTAATGTTCTTACTAAATTAAGGAATCTATGGAGGAGAAATGTATTTGGAGTTGGATGTAGTATCCTCATAATTTGTAATTTTATCCAAACAAGCTGTAACATTCTACCAAAAAAAGAGCCCGTATAGCCAAGACAATCCTAAGCAAAAAGAACAAAACTGGAGGCATCACGCTACCTGACTTCGAACTGCAAGGCTACTGATACCAACACAGATATATAGACTAATGGAACAAAACAGAGGCCTCAGAAATAACACCACACATCTACAACCATCTGATCTTTGGCAAATCTGACAAAAACAAGCAATGGGGAAAGGATTCCTTATTTAATAAACGGTATTGAGAAAACGGTCTAGCCATTTGCAGAAAACTGAAACTGGACCCCTTCCTTACACCTTATACAAAAATTAACTCAAGATGGACTAAAGATTTAAACGTAAGACCTAAAACTATAAAACCCCTAGAAGAAAACCTAGGCAATACCATTCAGGACATAGGCATGGGCAAAGACTTCATGGCTAAAACGCCAAAAGCAAGGGCAACAAAGCCAAGATTGACAAATGGGATCTAATTAAACTAAAGAGCTTCTGCACAACCAAAGAAACTATCATCAGAGTGAATAGGCAACCTACAGAATGGGAGAAAATTTTTGCAATCTAGCCATCTGACAAAGGGCTAATATCCAGAATCTATAAGGAACTTAAACAAATTTACAAGAAAAAAACAAAGAATCCCATCAAAAAGTGGGTAAAGGATATGAACAGACACTTCTCAAAAGAAGACATTTATGTGGCCAACAAGCATATGTAAAAAAGCTCATCATCACTGGTCGTTAGAGAAATGCAAATCAAAACCACAATGAGATACCTTCTTACACCAGTTAAAATGGTGATCATTAAAAAGTCAGGAAACAACAGATGCTGGAGATTTGGAGAAATAGGAATGCTTTTACACTGTTGGAGGGAGTGTAAATTAGTTCAACCAATGTGGAAAACAGTGTGGTGATTCCTCAAGGATCTAGAACTAGAAATATCATTTGACCCAGCAATCCCATTGCTGGGTATATACCCAAAGGATTAAAAATCATTCTATAAAGATACATGCACACGTATGTTTATTGCAGCACTATTCACAAGAGCAAAGACTTGGAACCAATCCAAATGCCCATCAATGATGGACTGGATAAAGAAAATGTGACACATATATACCATGGAATACTATGCAGCCATAAAAAATAATGAGTTAATGTCCTTTTCAGGGACATGGATGAAGCTGGAAACCATCATTCTCAGAAAACTAACACCGGAACAGAAAACCAAACACCCCATGTTCTCACTTAAAAGTGGGAGTTGAACAAAGAGAACACATAGACAGAGGGAGGGGAACATCACATACTGGGGCCAGTCGGGGGGTTGTGGGGAAGGGGAGGGATAGCATAGGAGAAATACCTAATGTACATGACGGGTTAATGGGTGCAGCAAATCACCATGGCACATGTATATCTATGTAACAAACCTGCACGTTCTGCACATGTATCCCAGAACTTAAGTTTAATTAAAAAAATCTACTAATTGAAATAGAAGCTAAAGATGTCAAAATCCATAAATATTTTTATATCTACACAATTGGAATAATTAAACTTTTGTGATAAAGCTAATATTGAATTTAAAAATCTCCAGCATAACGGTATGCTTTTTCTGCAGCCTCTCATCAGTAAGATTTTAGGAATGTTTGATCATTTGAATAACTACTTTCTAAATCAACCTTAATGTCCTACAATAATATTCATATTTTGATAAATGAGTTATCTAACTTTTGGTTGCACTGTATGCAAAATCGGCTGAAAAATTTTTAAACAACGCATTTAAAAATGGTGTGGCAAGAAAAAACAGCAACTTCTGGTTGAAGCTTTCTGCAAACTGAAAATATTGAAGACAATATCTTGCAGGCAGGAAAACATTTATCTCTACAAAAGCAAGGGGAAGCTGAACGAACTGCAGAATGAGCTCACAAGAGGCTCTAACATTTAGTTTTGAAATTACATAACAGCTTTGGAACATCTGACTTGTGGAAAGAATTTGTTGATTTCCTAATTTTAATTGGATAAATGGTATTTTGTATCAGACTGAAAGAAAATTGACAAAGCCTACAATGTTTCAGCGCTTTAATTTGGTGAAGTTTTCAAAAATATTATAAATAGATACAACTTTTTTGACAAGTGTTGTCTTAAAAAAAATTTGTTGGAAGAAGCTGTGCTACATGGAGGCAAAAGAGGCAGTGCCCATGAAAATATTTGGGCTGAAACATTTATGCATTTCAGCTTAAAATAAATTGAAATTGAGATAATATCACATTTAGCAGAATTTATTTGGAGATAAGCAGTTCCCTTGGGACATTTACAGATATTTTATTTTTTTGGTTCTTTTACAAAGATGTGTCTAGTGAGTAAGGATATCAGTGACTTCAAATTTTTAAATGAAGAATTTTAATTTTCAAATTTCAAATATTTCAGACAATTTTATAGGAAAAATAAAAATAATTTAAAAATATTTTTTAAAAAACACATTAGAGACAGATTCAGCTAAGGAGCAGATTAAAGCACATAAATATGTGCAGGTAATATTCTTTCTGCTTATGTAACTTTCTAATAGTTTATATAATCAATATTTCAACCTGTTTTAAAGTATACAAATATATTTGTATCTTTAAAGAATTTTTAAAGTAATTTTTGAATAGAATTGTTTTTACAGACACATGAATATAAATATACAAAATTTCATACAATAAACAATATTTTTAAGCAATAAACATTTTCCAAAAATTGTATACATTTAATTATTTTAGTGTATCCTTTCGCTCTCAAACGTCTTCCATTTGGATGATAAATTATAAAGTCATCCAGAGCAGCTTCTGAAGTCAGTAAGAGCTATAACTTTTCTTCTGAAGATTGTGGTAGTTAAACGGGAATCTAACATTCAGATGAATCATATTTATTAAAGAGAATATTATGACCATGAAGTTGTTCTTAAAACTCCCAGAGAGAAAGAGTAACCACATTAAGCCAAATTTTAGTACATGAGAAACTCAGTGGCCTCAACATTGTGATAGAGGCATATTCGTCATAGGAGATCCAAGTGAGTTGGTGTGAACTCCAGGTGGCTGTTAAATGTGGTTGGGTGAAATTTATGAGGTGGTATTTCTCCACTTCCTGTTCCTTTTTTTTTTTTTTTCTTTTGGACAGGTCACCAGTGCCTAATTTTTTGGCTTTCTATGGCTGAAGTGTAGTTTTAAGTGGCAGTGAAATTATGATGACATTGGACAGTGATATAGCGGTGAGCGTGGTGGTAATTAATCAAAGTCTGAGATTTTTTTTTCTTACTGTATCAGATTACAAATCACTTCATAGAATTTAAAGATTACTTATTCCTTGGTGGGTTTGTGTAATGCCCACAATAAGACAATCTTTTCATTTGTACAACTATTTGCAATAATTGAAACTATAATTTGATCCTCATTTCATGTTTCAAAGTAAGGAGTGAGGTAAATTTATTCTATGCAATAAAGAGCAAGTATAGGGATTTGATATCTGCATATAGGACTTAAAGGAGCCAATTATAACCCTTCTTTGTGCCTGGTGGGCCAAATATGGCATTTACTAGTTTATCTCCTACGCTCACTTGTAATTTTTCCTGAGTAAATCCAATCCCCCTTTAAATTTATGGCAATGAAACTCTCTCCGAAACCATCTCCAGATTTTGGAAGATAGCTCACCCAATACTTTTGTTTCCAGCTTTGCTGTGGAGTAGTCACAAGTATTAGTTAAGAAAATCGTCCCACCCCATGTGTAAGTACGTTCTGAAACAGTGTATCATAGGCCCAGTGATGTAGAGGTACCCAGGAGCTTCAGATTTTATGACTGGATTCAACCGCTGGTCATAAATGAATGACACTGACTGGAAGAGAAAGATTTTCTGGTCCTGCAAAAAGAAGAATATTGGAATTTGACATATTTTCATTTACATAATACAAATGATTCCTTTGCTCTTTTGATTTCCTTTACTTATATTGCTAATCCAAATAACATAAAACAACACATTGCAGCAATTGTATGCATTACTGCTTTGGGATAAAAATCTAATAAAGATGGCTCCTGATATTATGAATTAAAATAATAATAGTGATTAATCATAGTAATGATAGTAATAGCACTGATTATATACCAGGCACCCTGCTCAGCATTTTATATATCATATAATTTTCATAAGTGATTCTTTAAGATCAGTGCTATTATTATTCCTATTTTTCAGATTAAGAAACTCAGGCATAAAGAGGTGAAGTCATTTGTTCAAGGTCAGGCAGCTACTAAGTGAGAGAACAGAGAATTATATCAAGGTGCCTGGATTCCAAGGTCATGCTCATAACTGGAGACTAAACAGCCTCATATTAGATTTCCTCCCTGGAAAAAAATCCTATTTTCTTTTGGTGAACTATGTATTTAATATTTTAATTAAGTTTGTTAGCACATTATTGTTCTTCCACTGTACTAAGTGAAACTGTTCTCTTTTTTGTTTTTTTATTGTGTTTCTGTGTGCACATGATACTTTGTTTTCTTTCTTTTCTATTTTTGTCAAACTTATATTTTCTACTTTGTAAAATAACTAAGAACTTTTTCGTGTTTTCTATGTCCTATAAAATAAAAAGCAATTAACCCTTAAAAGATTGAAAAATTAAGCATATGATTCTTTGAAATTGAAACTTTTTTTTTACAGTTAATGAGTACATGGTTCTGCAAAGTATTCTCTTTCAATTTTTGAATATCCTGCATTTTCATTTATTCTATAGATATTTATAGGAGACTGTTATGCCTATAAGTTGTTAGGTTACAGATGTGCTAGTTTATAAATTAATAAAATGAACGAAACAATGCCCTGAGAATTAAGAAGCTTACTATGAATTCAGTTTTATTATGTCTTCTTTCTGATTTCTAAGGTTGTTATATTTTAATATAATATTGTGTTGTTTTTAATTTCTTCATTAGAACTTAAAAGAAATTTTGTATTTTTCAGTTTATTTGCTTCCTTCTAAGAATTAGTTCTTAGGCTTATTTATTAATTATATTTGTATTTCATTTTTACTACCTTCTAAGTAATTGATTTTGGTGTTTATGCTTACTTATCTCCTAAAACAGAAGAAAACAACATAATCCCATAAGTCCATGCAATTATTTTTTAATATAGCTTTGGTCACATGCTATATATGCGGATATTATTATTCTTAGATTTATTGAATTTAAAGTGAATTTATATTTTTCCTTTTATTGTCCTAGTTGTATACAAAAATTTTAATTATATATCCAGATAATAGGATGTTTATGTTTACAATTTTGCTACTAAATTTGGATATGTCGGTATCATGGTCAAATGTTACCTAAAAACTTGTATTATTTGGAATTTGTTGAGAATTTTCAGTGTGTTTTATGAGTGTATATAAATATGATACTTGCTTCTTAATCTATTAGCATTACTTTTATTTCTTAATCTATTAGCATTACAATAGTCAAATCCTTTATATCATTAATTTTTATCACATTTGACCTGAACTCATATAGCAATAGTAATTCATAGTACTAAAGCTTTTCTTAGTCAATTTATTATTGCATAAATCACTATTTTGCCTTAATTGTGAATTGTGTCTATGATCAAATTAGTATGATCCCTTCTTGCCCCTTTAATTTGTTTTACCATTAATTTTATTTGTTTGATTTTAATATAATCATTTCTAATATCTATTTATATTTATCTATTAAGCCATTTATGTAAAGTATACACACTATCAACCTTTTGTACCATTTTGGTTTCCAGATACCTTTTGTGAGCAGTATATAGTTAAATTTGCTTATTGAACAAATTGCCTTTCCCTTTAACAAAGGAAGTTAAATTAGTCATATTCAGGTTATTGCTAAAGTTTGTTTTTCTGACTTCTTAATAGAGTGCTTTTGTTTTGTATCGTAAACATTTATACTGTTTTCCTTGTGGTCTGTCATTTGCTACATCATCGACATTTCCTTTGTTTTTATGTTCCAGTGGGTATTTAAAATTCTGTGAGTGTTATCTTTAAGTTTTTGAAGTCAAATTAAACAAATTTTTTTTAGAACTTACAGCAGGGAAAAAATATGACTTTTTACTTTATAAGATATAGATTTGAATTTTTACTATTTTCTCCTCATATATGATTATCAATTTTTGTACATTTAATCAAAAATTATAAATTTTCACAAATATTGTAAAATGCTTTTTTATGATATTTGCACTCATTTTAAATTATAGTTATAGTACTTACACAGTCTTATCTTCTTTACTGAAATGTCTCCAATATTTACTGCTACTTTTTTTAATGCTATGAGTGTTTTGCTTTTAAGTGTATCCAGAATATATTCTTAAGAATTTTTCCAGGACATCAGCAAGATGATGAAAAGGGAGTTTTCTACTGTCATTCCCCAAAAGAAGCATCAATTTTACAACTACTCATGGACAAGAGTATCCTTGTAGGAATCTAAGAGTTTAGCAAAGAAGTTTCAGCACATTCTCAGAGCAAAAAGTTTGAGTATGCATACGGAGAAGAGAAGAGAATAAGAACAGTTGCACTTTACCTGCACTTTTTCTCCCCCAAGGTGTCACAGCTCAGTGCCAAGAGAGACCTCCTTAGCCCGTTTCTCCCATAAAGGAAAGTGAGAGTATAGTAAATAAACTGTCAGTTCCCTGGCTGTGTGAGATGCTGCCCAATAGCCCCACCTCTTTTTTGTCTTACCCAAATTACTGAGGTGATCGGCACAGGTGAGAGATTGGGAGAGGGTAGAACCAGAGAAGAGAGGCCGTGGACTCTCATAATTGCTCCAGTGGATTCCATGAGGAAGTTTGTCCATGAGGCACTCGAGATGTCTCACCTGCGGACACCACCAATGGCCCAAGGCCACTGCAAATGCATTTCATGCTTCTCCCACCGCCTGGATGAAAGAAGGATAGAAAAAAGGCACACAAACTGGAGCATCTCAAAGCACTGCTCTAATAGGTAATAGAAAAATAGGTAAGTGTCCATTGACAGATAAATAGATTAAGAAAATGTGGTGTGTATACATACACAATTCCATTGTATATTTACACAATGGCATATTATTCAGCCAAAAAAGGAAGAAAATCCTGTCATTTGTGACAACGTGGATGAATATGGACAATATTATACTCTATCATATTGTACTATATTATAATAAGAGAAATAAGCCAGACACTGAAAGACAAATACTGAATAATTTCACTTATATGTGGAATCTAAAAATGTCAAACAGAAGCGGAAAGGAGAGGAGTCAAACTCAGAAGCAGGGGTGAAGCTGTGGAAAAAATGGAAGATGTTGGTCAAATGGTACAAATTTTCAGCTATAAGACTAATAAATTCTGAAGGCCTAATATACAGTATGGTGACTATAGTTAATAATAACATATTGCATACTTGAAATTTGCTAAGAGAGTACATCTAAAGAATTCTCACCACACACACACACACACATGCACACACACATACAATAGATAACTTTGTAAGATGATGGATATGTTAATTAGCTTGATTGTGGTAATCATTTCACAATGTATACATGTACAGTAGTTCACCCTTAACCACAGTTTTGCTTTCTGTGGTTTCAGTTACCTGCAAAAAAATACAATAAGATATTTTGAGAGAGAGAGAGAGACAGAGACAGAGACAACATTCACATAGCTTTGATTACAGTATGTCGTTTTAATAGAGCTACTATATTATTAGTTATTGTTGTTAATCTCTTACTGTGCCTAATTAATGAATTAAGTTTTATCATAGGTGTGTATGCATATGAAAAGACAATATATTTAGGGTTTGGTACTATCCACGGCTTTAGGTATCTTGGAATGATATTCTGAGGTATCCACTCAGAATCTTGGAATGTATGCCCTACAGATAAGGGGGGACTATTGTATCAAAACATCACATTCTATACCTCTAAATAGATATACTTTTTATTTGTGAATTATATCTCAATAGTCTTGAAAAACGAAAACCAAAACTGAACAAAATATTTCCAGAATATTTATGAGTCACTTGTTTTCTTTTTTCTTATGGATCTGAGAATATTTTCTATGGCTTCCATTTAGTGAATGTGTATTAGGTTATTCAGATACAAATGCCATACAAATCATTTCATTTAATTCTGATGTTGTCATGGAGAATTTTTAAATCAGCTTAATTTTTGTGATTTGCTGATAATCTTTCAACTGGATTTAAAAAATTTTTTAATATTAAAATTTTTAAATGTTGCCACTGCACATCTAAAGTTGGTATGCTGTTATTATTATTATTTTTTGCCTGGTGTATATTAACACCTTTCAAAACCCTTTCTCTTCTCCAATTCAGAACATTTCTTCAATTATATGTTTGATTATTGCTTTCTGTTTTATTTGTTTCTATTCTTTCTTACATTGAATATGTTCATTCTAAATTATGTATCTTCTCCATATGTTTTTGTCTCTTTTATTTGTTATTATTTTCATGTAATTTCTATGCTATGGCTTGAATATTTTTGTCTCTTTCAGAATTCATGTTGAAACTTAATTCCCAATAGAACAGTATTAGGAGGTGTGGCCATTAGAAGGTGATTGAGTCCCTCATGACTAGGATTCGGTGTCGTTAAAATAGGGCATGATGGAGGAAGTTCATTCATTTTTGCCCTTCTATTTCTTCTGCCACATAAAAAACAACATTTCTTCCCTCTGGGGATGTAGCAACAAGACCTCATTAAGGGAGCAGCAAGAGCACCCCTCTCTGGACACAAACAAACAAACAAACAAACAAAAAACAAAACTGCCGGTGCATTAATCTTGGACTTCCCAGTCTTCTGAACTGTGAGAAAATAAATTCCTGTTTATTATAAATTACCAGCTTAGGTATCTTGTTATAGCAGCAGAGTTGTGCTAAGACACCCTATATAATGGAAAATTTTATCAAATTTACTTCTGTATTACTGGTTCAATTTTCTGCTTCCATAATTCTGTTCTTTCTTACTGTCTTCAATTATCTTTGTATTTCTGTTAATAGTCTGATACTTTTATTATTTTTTAAACTTTTAAATATTTTTCAATGAATTGGTTTGCCATTTTAGTTCAAACTGCCTGTTAACTAGCCCAAAATTAATGACTTGCTGACATATTATCATCAGTTGTTCTTGTATCTTCATCGAAACACTGTTTTATGAAAAATATAAAAGAAATAGATTATGTTTTCTTCCATTTTCATAGAGAAATTACCTTAAGAATATGACTTCCCTGAGTCCTATCTGTGTCAAAATTAGTATTTTGTTCTGGGCATACAGAGAGAATAGTAGGTATCAGAATTAATTGTAGAGCTCTTAAAAATTACCTTCTGTGTCCCTACCAACTGAACTCCTGAGAGTGTTGGCCTATGGTTGGGCCAACTATATTATTTGTTTTTATTTGTATTTACAGCTCTACAGCTAATAATTATAGTTAAATAGGTTTGAGAACCACTTGGCCAAAGAATATTAAGCTCCTCATAGAAGACAGATGCATGTGAAAATTACATTCTCTCACCTCTGTCCTGTATATAACTCTTCAAAGAAGGTTTTATGCACCTCAAGTTTTAATTTATAAATATGCTTTAGTCCACCCAATCAGACTCTTTGAAACTAAGACATAGGTTCTTCACTTCCAGAAAATAAATTAGCTGCCACCTTCCACTATATTGGACAGCCACTTTTTCTTCCACTTTAGCGCCTTTTGTGCTAC
Organism: Homo sapiens; assembly: GCF_000001405.40. Lineage (NCBI taxonomy): Eukaryota > Metazoa > Chordata > Mammalia > Primates > Hominidae > Homo > Homo sapiens. The sequence goes on along the minus strand of NC_000006.12, from coordinate 126,874,513 downwards.
ATGAATTTGAAGGCTGTAAAACTGCAGGAGCTTAACGGCTACCTTTTATTAAGCATTCACCCTTTGTATACATTCTCTTATTTAATCACCCTAACAACTTTAAAGAGATATGTAGCATCGTTTTCTTCATAAGATGAATTAGAAGGAGCATAGAAAGTAAATAATGTATATAAGATTACATAACTGGTGAAGCCAGAATAAGAAGATGGATCATTTAACTCCAAAACCTGTCCTCTTATCCACTGCTCTACATGGCTATATCATGACCTGAAGAAAAAATACAACACTACTGTCTTGGTCTGTTTTGTGTTGCTGTAACAGGATACTATAGACTGGAAATTTATAAGGAAAAGAAATGTCTTACAGTTCTGGAGACTGAGGAGTACAAGGTTGAGGGGTCTGCATCTGGTGTCATCTCATGGCAAAAGGCAGAAGGGCAAGAGAGCAAGAGCAAGAGGAGGCTGAACTTGCTTTTATAACAAGCCCACTCACATGGTAACCAACCCACCCTTGTGATAATGACATCATCAATCCATTCATGAAGGCAGAGCTCTCATAACTAATCATCACCTTACTAGACCCCACCTGCCAACACTGTTGCATTGGGGATAAACTTTGAGGAATACATTCAAACTACAGCAACTACACTACGTCTTTCAGAGTTTTCTTTTCCTTCACTGTAGCAAAACATAATCCACTGGGGCACTGGTAGTGTGAGGAGAATGCAGTGTGAAAAGAGGGCAACATTCAGTTTTGAAGAAATGGAAGAAATAGGTGCCTAGCTACATAGATGCAGATGGTCTTCAAAAAAGAAATCAATTTTCAAGAGCATATGGTTATTAAAGCATAACAAAGCTCAAAAGTTTTGGGGAGGAAAACCACTGTATGTAAATAGATTATACTCTTCATCTTTCATACAAATATCTGGCACTGGGAAAGAGGCCAAGCATAACATCTGTAAACAGTTTGGCATTGTCCATTGTATTCTCAGTCAACAGTACCATTTGAAAGTTTGTCCTATTGTTGCTCATCTCAATCTTTTAGAAGGATTTTTCTGCAGATACATAAAACTGATGAGAGGTCAGGTCAAGGTGGGAATTTTCCCTCATGAGGAAAATATTTTAAATGTCCAGTGAAACTCATGATATCAGTATGTATTGAGTGATTCTTGTATTGCTATAAGGAAATACCTGAGACAGTAATTTATAAAGAAAATAGGTTTAATTGGTTCATGTTTCCGCAGGCTGTACAGGAAGCATGGCACCAACATCTGCCCAGCTCCTAGGGAGGCCTCGGGGAGCTTTTACTCATGGTGGAGGGTGAAGCAGGAGCAAGTACATCATACGGCGAAAGCAAGAGCAAGTGAGTCGGGGGCAGGTTCCACACACTTTTAAATGACCAGATCTCATGAGAACTCACTCACTATCTTGGAGAAAGCACCAAGCCATAAGGGATCTGCCCCCATGACCCATACACTTCCCACCAGGTCCCACCTCCAACACTGGGGATTACATATCAACATGAGATTTGGGTGGCACAAATATCCAAATCATATCACAATAATTAAGGAATTTTAAATACTGAAAGAACAGAATAAACTTGGAAAATAAATATTGCTGAAGCAACTGGTTAAAAATGAAAAATTTAACCAAGCATGTTATTTGACATCATGTGCACAATATAGAATTATCTGAATTTGAGAACATTTCTATAGAATTCAATTTAAAAAACCCAGACTTCCAGGTGTAAGATTAAATCTTTTCATAAGAAAACAAAGAGAGAATGAAATTAACTTGAGGTGATTTAAATCATGGCAGTGTATCAACATCATACGTAGATATTTCTTGTTTAACAAGTAAAATGCAAAGTGGCCAAACAAACCACTGACTTTTTATTTTCATTTTTTTGATACAGAGTCTCACTCTGTCACCCAGACTGAAGTGCAGTGCCACAATCTTGGCTCACTGCAACCTCTATCTCCTGGGTTCAAGCAATTCTCCTGCCTCAGCTTCCTGAGTAGCTGGCACTACAGGCATGCCCTACTATGCCCAGCTAATTTTGTATTTTTAGTAGAGATGGGATTTCACCATGTTGGCCCGGCTGGTCTCAAACTCCCAACCTCAGGTGATCTGCCCGCCTCGGCCTCCCAAAGTGCTGGGATTATACTGCTGAGCCACTGTGCCCGGCCAAACCTCTGATGTTATATACATTTTTGTTAACCTTTTACCTAGTTGCTCTGATATTTGGTAAAAATAATTATAGTGGAAAGAAAATCTTGCTACTACAAATTTATTTTGACATGCTAAGATTTATTTTATTTTCCCTGTTATGCCCAGAGTGATACCTCTCAAAAGTTTAGGCATTAATAAACTAAAGTCAGTCATTATGTAAGTACTGTTCATAGGGATGCATAGAGGCTTTGAATGAGAATTTTGGAAGACAGAAAGGGAAAACAGGTATGAATATTTTGGGAAATGATGTGCCAGTGGGTTCTGTGGGCTCACAGATTTGAGGCATTCTGATCCAGTCTGACATCCTTACTTTACACAGAGGAAACAAAAAAACAGACAAGCTAAGTAAAATCACACAGCATGTTAGTGACAAAAGGAAGTTTTGATACAACCAATGTCCTTCCACATTTAGGTAGAGATCAGTTTCTCTGACAGATTCCCAGAGCACAGCTCAGTTCCTTCATAGTCAAAGAGCTCTTTACCCACACTGTGCTTTGAGAGGAAGTCCCACTTACCTCCAAATATGCCTATTACAAGATTAATGAATTATTCTGGGCCATCAAATCACTTCTCTGAGGTTAATGAATTAAACACTATTCCCAAAGTGAATACATGCTAGGTGCCCTTAAATTATTTCTATCTTAGTTCAAAAGAGTTTTTCAGGTTAACTGGGTATTATCCTGGGGATTCATGAAAAAAATGAATTTATACAAGGCCAGCTACGAAATAAAACAATGGCAAAGAATCAAACAGGTTAGAGGTCGTTTCAATTCAGCTTCTTATTAACTCTCCAAATTGTGAAATTTTTATCCTCTCTAAATGGAATAGTAATACATCTCAAAGTAGTTGTTATTCTTTTGGGATTCCAGATGACATCTTATCCTACTATAATCCTCTCTAGGTCTCAAAATTCCTAAAATTGTTGAGAATTTTAGGAATTCCCAACTCTCAATTAAGATTGTTAGAGATTAAATTTTTTGGATTCAGCATTGGCTTATCTATTTATAAACACTGTTTAAACCAAAGACCCCTCAGGACTCAATACATTGTGGATTACAAATTACATTAAGGATTATAAATTACAATCCTTGTCTAACTGTATCTCCTTTACATATTTCCAAGATGGGATAGAACAGAATAGCATGCCGTCTGGAGCCCATGGTGAGCCAGTGATTAGATACAGGAGAAGTGTAGAGAAAGGCAGGGAAAGGTGAAGAGCTTGGGTTGTTGTGCAGCAGGGCATCTCCGGGTATCGGCCAATAGAGGTTTAAAGGCCTTGATGGGAAACAGGATGCAGGGAAGGACAGAAGAAACAAAATGTTGGAAAGGTTTTCTAAAAAGGAATGGATAAGTGCTCAAACAAGCCACTCACTCCAGAAGAAATGGAAAAATGTTCTGATTCCTGGAATGTTTCAGCCATTCTGAGCTTCAAGTCACCCCTAAGAAGCTCTTGGGAACCCAATATCTAAACTCTCTTTAGGACTGAAACAGAAGAGCTCTTGATGGCCAAGGGGCATGAGAATTATCTTCAAATACATGGCTGTTTCTTTTGTGACCCACTATGTTTAATGTACATCCCTAGGGGAAAGTCAAGAATCAATGTGTTTACTTTGCAAGAGGCAGTTACAGTCATTTCCTCAAAACATTTCTTGAGCTGCTTCTGTGTGGAGGGTAGGAAGGCAGAACATGTGGTGGGTAAGCCCACAAGCTCAGCAGTCAAAACTGCCTGGGTTCAAAACCCAGTCCCACCACTTATTATCCTTGTGATCTTGAACACATAAATTAACCCTTTTATAACTCAGTATACTAATCTATAAGGTAGGAATAATAATAGTATCTACCTGATAGAATTTCTATGAGGATTAAATAAAATATTACCGATAAGTCTGCAATATTCAGTAAATGTTTATTTTTATTATTATTTTTTCTACATGTGAGGCTCTGTGCTACCTGTAGGGGATATTTGGATGAATAAGATGCACATACTTACTCAATTCAAATTTATCACAGATGCAGGCATGAGTCTAAGCTGTGAATTTCTGGGATTTAGACCTGACTGGTCAGTTGATTGAGAGGGGTCCTTCCAGAAGTGTATGGGCAGGAAGAACTCAGGAGCACCTAGTAGTAAAGCCTTAGAAATTGTATGAGAGGAGGTTTTCTGAGTGCAGTGTTGTATCTGCATGTTGTATTTGGTACGTAACTCCCTTTGGAGTCATATCTGCCCAGCTGTGAATGCAGATGATACTGGGCATTAAAGTAAAAACACTGAGAGGAGCAAGGCACAGTGGCTCATGCCTATAAAGCCAGCAGTTTGGGAGGCTGAGGCAGGCAGATCACTTGAGGTCACGAGTTCGAGACCAGCCTGGCCAACATGGTGAAGCCCCATCTCTACTAAAAATACAAAAATTAGGTGGGCGTGGTGGCACATGCCTGTAATCCCAGCTACTTGGGAGGCTGAGGCAGGAGAATCGCTTGACCTGGGGAGGCAGAGGTTGTAGTGAGTTGAGATGGTGCCACTGCACTCCAGCCTGGGCAAGAGTGAGAATGTCTCAAAAAAAAAAAAAAAAAAAAAGAAAGAAAAACCCTGAGAGGCATAGAGGTGGGAAGAGGTGGCATGGAGCACACAAGCAATGACAGAGGGCACCACAACAACTGGAAGGGCCAAAACATCTCTCTGGTTGCTCCACAAGCTACTGCACAGCTCAGGGCTGCCTTAGCTACTCCTATCTCAGTGAACAGAGTGGAAGGTAGCAAGTTCCCAGTGTGAGACAACCATGCCTAGCAGAAGTGGTAGGTTCTACATGACAATTGTCAATCTGACCTGTTGATCAATGCTTGTGAGATATTTTCTGGGACAACTAGAAATTCAAGGGCTTAGCAGAAGCATTGTGGAAAGATTCAGGTTACTATGTGAGCCAGTGGAATATGGATACTGCTTTAAATGGGACCCTATTTGAATCCACATACTGTTATTGTCTAGGATAACTCAGTTTACATTAAGGGACAATTTTATAATGAAAGAGGTTCCAAAATGGAATATAGCATCAATAACTGGAGTTGGTTACAGAAACTGAAGAGCCACTCAGTGGAGATATATTAGATAGAGGATTCCTTTAAAGTGTAGAAATAAACGACCTCTTAAGATTCTTTCTAACTCTGACATTCTTTGGCTCTAAAACCATTTAGAACTTTAGATAAAAGTTATTTCTACTTACAGACTGCCTACTTCTAGACATTCTGACAAGTGCTTTATCAGTTTTTTCTACAAATAGAGTTTGCTTGCATTATAAAAATAGGCTATTAGGATATGAGCTGCTCCATGATAAGAACCAGATTTTAATCACCTTTGTATCCTCAGCAAGGAAGATCAGCCTGCAGCCTGCAGAATTTAATAGAAGTGCCTTGGGTCTTATATTTTTTCTTTTAAATCATTGTTTTAATAGTTTTAACAGTTTACTATTTAAAGATACTCTGTCATTAGTTCATAAAATATTTTTTATAGTGAGATATCCATGCTAAAAAAAATAGACAAGGAGTACCTTATAGTTACTACATAAACAAAAAATCTTACCACACATCCTCTTAGTTAATCCCTGTACCTTACTTGCCCATATGGGCAATAATATATACATATATTATTTAATGTAGTTCAAATATTTAGGCAATCTGACTTATAAGTCAGTTGTATCAGATATTCTGATGGTTAAGATAATTTATTTTGAAAATTCTTCTCTTCCTCTTCTTATCTGTAGTGACTTTGTGGCATGGTATAGTTGACAGAGATTTGAATGTTAATTATTCCAGGGATTTCTTGGACGGAGGGAAGGAGCAGGCAAATATTTTAATATTGATTAAACTTTTAAGCTAAAAACATGGAGCCTTGGTAGTCAAACTTCTGGCATCATCCTGCAGGTGTGATGATTCCTTAACGTCAAAACTGGAAGATCTTGGTTCCCTATGCCTCCTCAGCTTTCTACATGGGTGAAAGGATTTTGGAGAAGGCACATTATCTTTTTAGGTTTCAGTTTCCACACTTACAAAATAAGGGTCTTGAACTCGGTGGTTGTTATCGTACTTTTTAGTGCTAGCATTTTATGGTACTTCATCAATTTTCCAACTCCATTTCATTATTTTCTAAGGGCATCTGTGACAGAATAAAATCCTTTTACATGTTTATAAGGTTTTTCTCCTGAATAATAATAACTTGGTAGTTTGTTGCCTGAAAAAAAAAATGCAACAAAAGTGAGGGAAATGTAAATATGACAGCAAATGGACAAAGGGAAGCCAGAGCACATGGAGAAGTGATAATGCCTATGGGTATGGCCTTTTTTTCTTCTGGGTTTTAAAAGAAAATTAATCATTTTCTCTTGGAATGCTCATTTCAAACACATGTGAATTGTGACTAAATTTTATCTCCTGCCACTGACTCCACTGGGGAGCTTCTGGCGATAAATCTCCTTGTCAGTATACACCGTCTCCCAGAATTGCAAGCATGCCGGAATGAAAAAAAAATCTGGGTATGCTGAAAATAACAGAGACCAGGGCCATCCCATATAAAATTGCCTTTTATTCCCCTAAAGAAAAATGGCAAGGTTTATGTAATAAAATCAGAGACAACATTTGGGGTAATATGACAATAGCCACTTGAAGCCCAAGAGCGGTATGAGGCAATCACATTGGAAAATTTTGTATATTTTAGTCTTTCTGTTTTAAATGGAAAGAAGAAGCAAGTGCAAAACCATGTGTGAAGTCCTGATATTTAGAGGAACATTAAAGAAACCTGATGCATTGGAGGGCAGAATGTCTGGTAGTGCGAGAGTTGGTAACTAAAAGATCATTATTTAATTATCTTTCTGCAATCCTGAGCAGAGAAAGTGTATTTGTCATAAATGGGTGGGTACCAGTATACTATGCAGGGCACAACGGTGACTTCTTGGCAAAGACCATTTTCTATGATGGCTTTGAGCAGCGTATTATTTATGCCTAGTTGGCAATTGTTATTAAATACTAATGATGAACTTCTTCTGAGGAGAAAGGGAAGAGAAGTGATGTCTATATGTGTTGTAGCACAGGAGAGTAAATGCATTGGGGATTGGAACTCAAAGAAACTACAGAGAGATTTGCTCCAGATTATGGGTGTAACTAGAGAACCCTATGTCATACAGTCATAGAAAAAATACGAGTTAGATTGGCTTTTGAATTTATCATAAAGCATTTAAGTCATGAAAATGTATAAAGATAATGCAATCATTGCATATGGAGCCACCCCTAGTTCAGAAATGAGATGTTACTTATGCAGGTAAAATTGATTAGTAAGTCTTTCTTTTATTCCTTTTTTTTTTCTTTTTTTGAGACACGGTTTTACTCTGTCTCCCAGCTGGAGTGCAGTGTCACAATCTTGGCTCACTGCAACCTCCACCTCTTGGGTTCATGTGATTCTCGTGCCTCAGCCTCCTGAGTAGCTGGGATTACACGCTTGTGCCAACATGCCCACCTAATTTTTTTTGTATTATTTGTAGAGACAAGGTTTTGCCATGTTTACCAGGCTGGTCTCAAACTACTGACATCAAGTAATCAGCCTGTCTTAGCCTCCCTAAGTGCTGGGATTACAGGCATGAGCCACCGCGCCTGGCTGATAAGTTTTTCCAACTATATTTTTCTCTCTACTCCCAGAGTTACCAATATCCTACAGCGGTGTATCTTTTCCCACAAATTTCATGTAAATATATATATATACATACATATATATAATATATAAACACAAATCCATGTATACACACATATATGTATACATATATACACACATATATACACACACATATATATACACATGTATACACATATATATCTTCTTCAATAAGGGCATATTCTTAAATAATATATAATGACTTTGCAAGTTTTTAAATTTTCATAGTTATAATTTTCTAATATTATTCTGCAATCTACTTTTTAAAAACTTTTTGGTCAATATAGTTTGTATAGTTTGTGAGAATTAATTCTCTAATATTATTCTGCAATCTACTTTTTAAAAACTTTTTGTTCAATATAGTTTGTGAGAATTCTTTACCTTCACCCATGTTCCTTTAATTTTTTAATCTATTTTATTTCACTGTATGATTATACAGGAGTTCATTTATCCATTCTCTTGTTGAGGGTCATTTAAGTTGTTGCCAGTTTTTTGATGTTATAAACAATGTTTCTACAGAGATTTTATAATATTTTTCTAGGTTCCTAAATATATACCTAGAAATGAGACTGAACCTAGGACACCTATGTCTACTTTGTTAGAATTTGTCAAATTTTGCTTTCCAAAATGTTTGTAGCATTTACATTTACTGCTGGTGATTTAGCTCTATTTGCCCATATTCTGGGTTTCTTGTGGATATGTTATCACCTCATTTTATTTGGATGTTGCCTGTAAGTTTTTTGTTTTACTCATTGAATTCCCCTCTAGACAGAACATTTTCATCTAATCAGTTTGAAACTTCTATTCCTTATGGTTATATATTCATGTATTTATCCAATAGAAAGTAATGTTTTGGTAGTTGTGTTCTGTAACTTACCGTAAATTTGTATTTTCTTCTTATATAGAATTTCTCACATTATGCAAGTATTCTGCCAAAAATGATGTTCTCTTTCTTCCTTGGAGATTTGCAGTGCATTAACATATTAAAGACTCTTAATAATTTCTCCAGTAAATAAACTTGATTATTCATTTTTTAATCCATCATTTCCCAAAATTAATTGGCCATGGAATTATCTATTAATATAATACCTTGTTAAACCCTGCATTGCTGTGCACCACAGAACACAGTTTGGGAAACAGTGTTCAATTAACAAGCCCTTCTGTAAAACAGCATGCTTCAATTCAGAAACACATGAGCTGAACAAATACTTGACACCAAATGACTTTACAGAATGTATTTTCACAATAAGAAAGTAGAAACTAGGTTCCAAGATGGCTGAATAGGAACAGCTCCAGTCTACAGCTTCTGGCGTGAGCGACACAGAAGATGGGTGATTTCTACATTTCCAACTGAGGTACTGGGTTCATGTCACTGGGGTAAAAACATGCCAAATTGTAAAGACCATCGATGCTAGGAAGAAACCGCATCAACTAGCGAGCAAAATAACCATCTAACATCATAATGACAGGATCGAATTCACACATAACAATATTAACCTTAAATGTAAATGGGCTAAATGCTGCAATTACAAGACACAGACTGGCAAATTGGATAAAGAGGCAAGACCCATCAGTGTGCTGTATTCAGGAGACCCATCTCACATGCAGAGACACATATAGGCTCAGAATAAAGGGATGGAGGATGATCTACCAAGCAAATGGAAAACATAAAAAACGAGGGGTTGGAATCCTAGTCTCTGATAAAACAGACTTTAAACCAACAAAGATCAGAAGAGAACTCAGGATTCAAAAACTCACTCAAAACTGCTCAACTACATGGAAACTGAACAACCTGCTCCTGAATGCTACTGGGTACATAACAAAATGAAGGCAGAAATAAAGATGTTCCTTGAAACCAATGAGAACAAAGACACAACATACCAGAATCTCTGGGACACATTTAAAGCAGGGTGTAGAGGGAAACTTATAGCACTAAATGCCCACAAGAGAAAGCAGGAAAGATCTAAAATTGACACCCTAACGTCACAATTAAAGGAACTAGAGAAGCAAGAGCAAACACATTCAAAAGCTAGAAGAAGGCAAGAAATAACTAAGATCAGAGCAGAACTGAAGGAGATAGAGACACAAAAAACCCTACAAAAAAATCAATGAATCCAGGGGCTGGTTTTGTGAAAAGATCAACAAAATTGATAGACCGCTAGCAAGACTAATAAAGAAGAAAAGAGAAGACTCAAATAGATGCAATAAAAAATGATAAAGGGGATATCACCCCAATCCCACAAAAATACAAACGACCATCAGAGAATACTATAAACACCTCTATGCAAATAAACTAGAAAATCAAGAAGAAATGGATGAATTCCTGGACACATACACCCTCCCAAGACTAAACCAGGAAGAAGTTGAATCCCTGAATAGACCAATAACAGGCTCTGAAATTGAGGCAATAATTAATAGCCTACCAACCAAAAAAAGTCCAGGACCAGATGGATTCACAGCCAAATTCTACCAGAGGTACAAAAAGGAGCTGGTACCGTTCCTTCTGAAACTAATCCAAACAATAGAAAAAGAGGGAATCTTCCCTAACTCATTTTATGAGGCCAGCATCATCCTGATACCAAAGCCTGGCAGAGACACAACAAAAAAAAGAGAATGTTGGACCAATAATCCTCATGAATATCATGGAAAAATCCTCAATAAAATACTGGCAAACCAAATCCAGCAGCACATCAAAAAGCTTATCCACCACGATCAAGTTGGCTTCATCCCTGGGATGCAAGGCTGGTTCAACATTCGCAAATCAATAAATGTAATCCAGCATATAAACAGAACCAAAGACAAAAACCACATGATTATCTCAATAGATGCAGAAAAGGCCTTCGACAAAATTCAACAGCGCTTCATGCTAAAAACTCTCAATAAACTAGGTATTGATGGGATGTATCTCAAAATAATTAGAGCTATTTATGACAAACCCACAGCCAATATCACACCGAATGGGCAAAAACTGGAAGCATTCCCTTTGAAAACTGGCACAAGACAGGGATGCCCTCTGTCACCACTCCTATTCAACATAGTGTTGGAAGTTCTGGCCAGGGCAATTAAGAAGGAGAAGGAAATAAAGCGTATTCAATTAGGAAAACAGGAAGTCAAATTGTCCCTGTTTGCAGATGACATGATTGTATATCTAGGAAACCCCATCATCTCATCCCAAAATCTCCTTAAGCTGATAAGCAACTTCAGCAAAGTCTCAGGATACAAAATCAATGTACAAAAATCACAAGCATTCTTATACACCAATAACAGACAAACAGTGAGCCAAATCATGAGTGAACACCCATTCACAATTGCTTCAAAGAGAATAAAATACTTAGGAATCCAACTTACAAGGGATGTGAAGGACCTCTTCAAGGAGAACTACAAACCACTGCTCAATGAAATAAAAGAGGACACAAACAAATGGAAGAATATTCCATGCTCATGGATAGGGAAAATCAGTATCGTGAAAATGGCCATACTGCCCAAGGTAATTTATAGATTCAATGCCATCCCCATCAAGCGACCAGTGACTTTCTTCACAGAATTGGAAAAAACTACTTTAAAGTTCATATGGAACCAAAACAGAGCCCGCATTGCCAAGGCAATCTTAAGCCAAAAGAACAAAGCTGGAGGCATCACGCTACCTGACTTCAAACTATACTACAAGGCTACAGTAACCAAAACAGCATGGTATTGGAACCAAGACAGAGATACAGACCAATGGAACAGAACAGAGCCCTCAGAAATAATACCACACGTCTACAACCATCTGATCTTTGACAAACCTGACAAAAACAAGAAATGGGGAAAGCATTCCCTATTTAATAAATGGTGCTGGGAAAACTGGCTAGCCATATATAGAAAGCTGAAACTGGATCCCTTCCTTACACCGTATACAAAAATTAATTCAAGATGGATTAAAGACTTAAGACTTAAATGTTAGACCTAAAACCATGAAAACCCTAGAAGAAAACCTAGGCAATACCATTCAGGACATTGGCATGGGCAAGGACTTCATGTCTAAAAACCAAAAGCAATGGCAACAAAAGCCAAAATTGACAAATGGGATCTAATTAAACTGAAGAGCTTCTGCACAGCAAAAGAAACTACCATCAGTGTGAATAGGCAACCTACAGAATGGGAGAAAATTTGTGCAATCTACCCATCTGATAAAGGGCTAATATCCAGAATCTACAAAGAACTCAAACAAATTTACAAGAAAAAATCAAACCGCCCCCTCAAAAAGTGGGCAAAGGATATGAACAGACACTTCTCAAAAGAAGACATTTATGCAGCCAACAGACACATGAAAAAATGCTCCTCATCACTGGCCATCAGGGAAATGCAAATCAAAACCACAATAAGATACCATCTCACACCAGTTAGAATGGCAATCATTAAAAAGTCAGGAAACAACAGGTGCTGGAGAGGATGTGGAGAAATAGGAACACTTTTATGCTGTTGGTGGGACTGTAAACTAGTTCATCCATTGTGGAAGACACTATGGCGATTCCTCAAGGATCTACAACTAGAAATACCATTTGACCCAGCCATCCCATTACTGGGTACATACCCAAAGGATTATAAATCATGCTGCTATAAAGACACATGCACACGTATGTTTATTGCGGCACTATTCACAATAGCAAAGACTTGGAACCAACCCAAGTGTCCATCAATGATAGACTGCATTAAGAAAATGTGGCACATATACACCATGGAATACTATGCAGCCATAAAAAAGGATGAGTTCATGTCCTTTGTAGGGACATAGATGAAGCTGGGAACCATCATTCTGAGCAAACTATCACAGGGACAGAAAACCAAACACTGCATGTTCTCACTCATAGGTAGGAATTGAACAATGAGAACACTTGAACACAGGATGGGGAACATCACACACCTGGGCCTGTTGTGGAGTGGGGGCATGGGGAGGGATAGCATTAGGAGATATACCTAATGTAAATGATGAGTTAATGGGTGCAGCACACCAACATGGCACATGTATACATATGTAACAAACCTGCATGTTGTGCACATGTACCCTAGAACTTTAAGTATAATAATAAAAAAAGAAAGTAGAAACTGCCTCTTCTAATTAAAAGAAATAACTATTTTTAACGTGATATCTTATTTTCTTTGTCATCTAAAAAAGGAAGATATTTTACATATTGAAAATATTTTACTATAAGATCACATGATTTTTTAAAGATATAATATGAAAGATTAACAGGAAAACATATGGTTGTCAGTTCTCTAATACAAAGGAAGTATTTTATTGTTCCTCAGGCATTTTTCTCAAAATTTGTGTAAATGATGCATCTTATTCCTTATTTAGTAAACATTTTAAGACTCCTAGAATTTATACTGTCTATTTTGAAATACCCTAAGGCATGGCAGTATATTTATAGAACTACAGGATGGAAAGGAATGGCTAAAATCCCCTATAACATTCAGCTATAACATCCAGAAGTTAAGCCCAACTAATTTCCAGGTTCTAATACATGGGCAAGCCTCAGTGTTCAATGGTGTGTGCTTTTGAAAAACAATCAGTAATATGAGACTGAAAATAAAGCAGTAGTATCTATTAGCAGGAAAGCACTATGGGACATTCATTCATTTATTCATTTAGTCATAAAATATTCACAGTCCCTGATCTCATGCACCTCATCATCTCCCACAGAAGTAAGAGGACCACAGTGCAAAGAGATGTAATCATATTTCATGGGAGCATAAGAAGGACAACTAACATGTATGGAAGTGGAGAAGCTGGGATAGTGTTTAGGGTTAGAGACGGGGTTTTTATTCTTCCTTCCACTCCTCAGCCTTACCTTGTTCTGTTCTTTTTCTCAGGAGGACTAACCTCAGGAGGCTCTGTTTTCTAGCCTCCTGAGTCAACTGATCTTATAAACGAGACCAGTCATCAGTGGTTGCCACTAATGGGACATGAGGAGGGAGGTTATTTTTGTGATTCTAGTTTCTACCAGGCAGCCCTTCTGGGATTCCAGCTTTCTGCAGTTGTTCCTAGTAATGCCATTTTCTCCTTTGGTCTTCTAAGCTTCGGGATAGTTTCCTGTTTTCCTTATTCTTAGGGTTGACCTACTCTGCCCTAGCTGGATTCTTAGACTCTTCCTCTTATGCAAAGTCAATTTCCTGTTCTAATTTCTTGTGTTTGACATACTTAGATTAGTTTGTATCTGCTTTTCTCTTTAGATCCTGATACATACAGATTTTTTAAAGTAGGTAAAATCTGAACTGAGTCTTTCAGGGATAGAAGGCATTATCTAAGCAAATAAGAGAAGCAGACAGAGCCTTTGATCAAATCTGGTGACAAGAGTCCAAATTGGAGCATGTTAACTTAGTTTCTGAAGACGTTCAACATGAAAGGGAAGGAGTTTCATCAATGACTTAACCCCTTTCCTCTCAGTAGGCTCTTAGAACTCCAACACAGATTTGTCCACTTCTCATCTGTGTTCCACTTAGCAAGAGATTAGATGTTGAGACAATGGAAAGATAATGAAAAATATTACATAATAATAGAGACCACGAAGTGTTTCATCAGAACAAATAAATTTCCAGAAACAAGGACATTGTAGTACATTTTAAGTGAAATTTAAGTAACAACCTCTTTCTAACAAATATATGTGCATCCATCTTACCATGCACACAGTTATGGCTCTTTAAGAGTAAATTACTCTGAGAAACATCCTGTGAAAGTCAGTGCAACTCTTTCAAGGAAGCCCTCCTTTCCATCAGAGCTTATAGAAAAGCAGCATTGCTATCAGGGAAAGATCATGAACTCTGGAGCCTAAAAGAACCTTCTTTAGAATTGTGGTTCCCTCGCTTTATCAATATGTGATCTTACACAACTTACTCAATTTTCATCACCCTTTTTCTTTATTTGTGAAGTAAGAATAATAATGACTAACTTTTGGAGTTATTTTGAAGAATACATAATGAAATTTGGGACTGGGCGTGGTGGCTCACGTCTGTAATCCCAGCACTTTGGGAGGCCGAGGAGGGTGGATCACTTGAGGTCAGGAGTTTGAGAGCAGCCTGGCCAACATGGCGAAACCCTGTCTCTACTAAAAATACAAAAATTAGCTGGGCGTCGTGGTGCATGCCTGTCATTCCAGCTACTCGGGAGGCTAAGGCTCTGGAGAATCGCTGGAACCCAGGAAGCAGAGCTTGCAGTGAGCCAAGATTGCAACACTGTACTCTAGCCTGGGTAACAGAATGGAACTCCCTCTCAAAAAAAAAAAAAAAAGAAAAGAAAGAAAAGAAATTTGGCATATCACTGATAATCAATAAATGCTAGTACCTTTAATTCTCCTATAACATCTGCAAGTATAGTTTTTCAACATGTTATAAATGTTTGCAAGGCCAAGTATATTTCCTGGGTAGAATGTAAATTTGTGAGAAACTTACAAAATAACAGTAGCCTATGTATATCTATGTCAGATGAAAAAGTCACCTGTCCATTGATTGATATATTCATTGATTCATTTATCTATTCATCAATATTTATTACGTATCCTTTATATGTTCCCATTAGGCTAGGTCCTAGGATTTAAAAATGAACAAGACATAATCCCCAAGGAATGAATGATCTACAGGAGGAAGATAAATAAAGAAGGAATAACAAGGGATGTACTACAATAGGAATATACACCAAATGTAATAAAAAACATAAGAAGGGCTCAGTTTTGGGAGTGCAGGGATGATTTTCTGGAGATGTTATCCATGTAGAATTAATCAGGTAAAAGACTAGATAGAAGGACATTTCACGTAAAGAAAACAGGAAATGCAAAAGCCCAAAGAGGCAATGAGTCACCATACTCAATTTTCATGGGAAGTTGGGTAAATAACTACAACTCTCTTGATAGAAATTGGTGTAACCTTTCCCTAGCCTTTCCAGACATGCTATTTTAGATTACTTTTTCTAGACATATTCTAATTGCTAAATATTCCTCTAAAACTGAAAAAATTAAGTGTATCAAATAACCTAATAACTAACTGTAATACCAATGCTTATTAGCCATAATAATAAGCATTCTCTTCACTTAAAAATCACTTTATTATTGGCACATAATCTGTATTTAGTATCATCCTTATTTGTTCTGGTTTTGTTTGGGGGGTGAGGGATGCTAAATTTTTCACACTGGTAGATGAGAAGCCTGGATCTGATTCAAAGCTGTTATTTTTTGGCCTGTACAGCTTAAAAATGGAAATAACGTTGAAAATCTAGAAAGTTGACATAAAATTGAAATAATTTTCTGTGCAAAGTCAGAACTTCTGGCAATGCTGTGTCTGTATTTCTGGCATGGTTATGAGCAAAAGCCAATAGAGGCTGCCTTCTTCAGCCTGGGCTTGAGCTGGTTTGCCGCAATCACCAGTACTCAGAAGTTGCAACCCTCGGACCCTACAGGCTTCACATACTTACAGAAACATCTGCCTGGATGTATTGTATGTAAACATCTACATTTTAGTTTATAACCCTGCCCTAAATTTCCCTAGTTTTATCTGGATTTTAAAAATCCTTTTCCATTCTTCAATTTACCATCTTGCCTTTATTCCTGATGACTTTATCCTGTTTCTTTCAGGCTCTTTTCAGTAAAAGAAAGTTATATTTGCTTTTTAATATTTAAAGATTAACTCAGCCAATAGGGTGAATAATGGATACTTTCATGTTATCAATGTATTTGTTTTAATGGGCATTTTGCCTGTATTAAAAATGCAGAATGGGGCTGGGATTACATATCAGGTAGTGCATGGACACAAATGGACTTTTTACACAGTGTGAACCTTTTCAGAAGTATCATGTTGCATGTATCCTAATTTCTTCTAAGATATATTACAGCTTACCACACACATTGAAAGCTGAAGATTTGGTTTGGATAAGCAATATCTACTAAAAAAATTTATGTATTTTAAGTTAGATATGGTCTTAGCTTAGATTCAACTGGTTGATGGAATACTTGACTCCTTGACTCTCCTAACTATATATTTAAGCACCGTGTCTGACATTTAATAACATGAGGATTTTAAGTTTCATAAAGCAGATTCAACTTAACTGAAACATTGAGTAACAAATGTAATGTACCAAGAATAAAACACACGAAAAACATGACATGAATCTAATTTTCTAATCTGTTAGCACAGTATATATACACATATGTGTGTATATATGTGTATATATCTATATACACACTTTTATAAGGGGTTGTGTAATTGCATTGTCTTATTTGATCTTAACAATCTCAGTCAGTTGGATGAATATTATGATCCCTCTCTTTAGCAGATAAGAAAACCAAGTCTCACTTAAGATAAGCAACCTGCCAAAACACAAGTAGATAATGAAAAGCAGACCTGGAACTGAAACCCAGGTTTCTGAATTTAAGTTAAATCATTTATATAATAAATATTTATTGACTATATGCTTCATGCTGGTTTTGTGCTAAATCCTAGAGCTATAATAATGAAGGAAGCAGTTGCTGCCCTCAAGGGCCTCACAGATACATAAATCAGTATCATGCAGAATAGTTGATAAAATAGTAGAGATACTTCGAGTGCATGATGGAATACTCATGAGGCCACCTAAGGTTGACTTGGGGTGAGAGGTCTGGTTAAGAAAAGGCATTTGGATAAAATGGGGATGAGGATTGGCACACTAAGGACAGAGGGGGAAAAATGAGCAAATGCCTGTATGGAGGGGAGAAGCAGGAAATCCTAAACAGTCATTTATGGCTAGGACAGAAAAAGTTTAGGTAGGGAGGGGCAGGATGTGAGGCTGACAAGATGGACAGGGATGGAAGCAGCAATGGGTACTCCTCCAAGGCCTCTCGCTTTTATCCTGTAGCTCGAGGTTTAAAAAAAAAAAATTGAATGCATTAAAAAATAGAGCGGGAAACATTAGAATGTATCACATCCATTAAGTAATTTTTTGCACTTTTCTTTCATTTGTACTTTTGTGTTGTACTGGAAACTGAGGTAATGTGTATATCTACAGGGTAGTTCTAAATATGTGCAAAAATGGACTGGGCGTGGTGGTTCACGCCTGTAATCCCAGCACTTTTGGAGGCCGAGGCAGGCGGATCACGAGGTCAGGAGATTGAGACCATCCTGGCTAACATGATGAAACCCCGTCTCCATTAAAAATACAAAAAAATTAGCTGGGCGTGGTGGTGGGCACATGTAGTCCCAGCTACTCCGGAGGCTGAGACAGGAGAATGGTGTGAACCTGGGAGGCAGAGCTTGCAGTGAGCTAAGATTGCGCCACTGCACTTGATCCTGGGTGACAGAGCGAGACTGTCTCAAAATAAATAAATAAATAAAATAAAATAAAATAAAATAAAATAAAATAAAATAAATGTGAGCAAAAATGGTATAGTGAAAAATGTTAAAAAGTTCTCTTCCTGGCAGAAATATGCTCATCCATTTACCATAAAACATATACAAGAATGCTCATAGTAACACTAATCATATTAGTTGAACATGGACAAAATGAAAACACATTTTGATATATCCATATAATTGAATTTTATGTAAAATGGGAATAAATGATTTAAAAACACATATGATGCCACTAGTAATTCTCACAAATAGTTCAAAATGTGAGAAAACTAAATTATGCTGTTGAAAATTAGGACAGTGATTGCCACGGGGATGTGGGGGCAGTTTAGGGCCATGAGAACTCTGGGATGCTGTGATGTATATATGTACATATGTATGTATGTATTGTTCTGGGTGCTTGTTACCTGAGTGTGTTTATTTTTCTTTCAGGAATTCCCCATTGTGTGAGTTTAGATGGGAATCAGGGCACCCAAAAGGACTTAACATTCTCTCTCTGCGCAAAGTAGTATGACCATTTCAGATGCGCCTGCTCAGGATTTTGAATCTGGTGTGCCAAGATGGAAGAACATTGACTGATTGCTCATAACAGTGGTAGCTGGTCCACGATGGTCCACCAATTACGGTAGCTAGTATCACATGGGACAAAATGAGCAAAGAAGTCAAACCAACTTCCTGCTGGGTGACCTTGGCCACATTCTCTGCTGCCTAGTGTCCTTCCACTCCTTCTGGTCACCGAAGCCTGCTTTTACATCCTTCCTAGCAATTTCATGACTGGGCTTTCTGAATTAGCCAATCTGTGTGTGTGTACGAGTGTGTGTGTGTGTGTGTGTGTGTGTGTCTGTTAAAGCAGAAGGATAAGATGATTCAGGGACTTTGTGTAGAGTAAGTAAAGTCATAAACTACAGAAGATGGCCGGGGATAGACTAACATTAAAACAGTGGGCAAAGGAAAATGAATCTGGAAGGGAAGTAGAGAATAAAGCCTCACAGAAGAAGTAGAGAAGTAAAAGAATGAGGAGTAAGTGATCTCTGGGAAGTGAAAGTAGTTGTAAATTTTAAGGAGATCATAGTGCCAAATGAGGAGACGGCTTCAAAAAATAGTGTTTGGAAAATATTTCCTGGATTTGGTGATTAGAAGGTAGTTGATTACTTTACAAGAACTGCTTCAGTAGATTACAGAAGGTGGTGAGATGTAAATGAGAGGTGAGGTAGAGGAGAGAGTAAATATATGCAACCCAACTGATGTTCCTTCCCATTGCTCTAGCATGGATGGAACAAGTGGAGGTTTACCCATAATTCCTCGTAAGCTGTAGATTCAGGAACTGCCCTTCTTTTGTTGCTTGGAACCACTCCTCACTTCACTGCTAGTTGTACTCAGTTCCAAAGCATGGGGAGCCAGGCTTCCCATAAATGCCTCATGACCTTATTCTCTACAATGATATCCCGTAAGTTTGCACAAATGTATCAGGTTTACTGACCTGATCAGGGTAACTAACAAGAAAAAAGTATTATATTTTGATGACTATTCTTACAGTTCACTGGCAAAGCCACAAGAAGTAAAGTTCTTTTCAGGGACTCTCTTGTGAAAATCCCAAATTTCTAACTTTGCATCCCTGTCCTCAGGTCCTTGCTCCCTGCTTCCCTTTGAAAGGTATATCCTTCTTTAAATTACCTTTCTACAGTTTTCTATCATTTTTCACAAAATCCCATTTCCTGGTTATGATGTTTAGTTCTTTCAAAAATGTACCTTCCTCCACTAGCAATTAGTCAAATCTGACATGTAAAGTTTTTCATGTGCATCCGTGTGAAGAGACCACCAAACAGGCTTTGTGTGAGCAACATGGCTGTTTATTTCACCTGGGTGCATGTGGGCTGAGTCTGAAAAGAGAGTCAGCAAAGAGTGGTGGATTATCATTGGTTCTTATAGGTTTTGGGATAGGCGGTGAAGTTAAGAGCAATGTTTTGCGGGCAGGGGTGGATCTCACAAAGTACATTCTCAAGGATGGGGAGAATTACAAAGAACCTTCTTAAGGGTGGGGGAGATTACAAAGTACATTGATCAGTTAGGGTGGGGCAGGAACAAATCACAATGGTGGAATGTCATCAGTTAAGGCTATTTTTACTTCTTTTGTGGATCTTCAGTTACTTCAGGCCATCTGGATGTATACGTGCAAGTCACAGGGGATGCCATGGCTTGGCTTGGGCTCAGAGGCCCGACATTCCTGCCTTCTTATATTCATAAAAAAAATAAAACAAAATAGTGTTGAAGTCTTGGGGCGGCAAAAATTTTTGGGAGGTGGTATGGAGAGAGAATGGGCGATGTTTCTCAGGGCTGCTTCAAGCGGGATTCGGGGCAGCGTGGGAACCTAAAGTGGGAGAGATTAAGCTGAAGGAAGATTTTGTGATAAGGGGTGATATTGTGGGGTTGTTAGAAGAAACATTTGTTATGTAGAATTATTGGTGATGGCCTGGATATGGTTTTGTATGAATTGAAAAACTAAATGGAATAAGAAAAGGAGAAAAACAGGTATAAAAGTTCTAAGAATTGGGAGGACCTAGGACATCTGATTAGAGAGTGCCTAAGGAGATTCAGCATAGTCCTGCCAGCAAAGATTATTTATTTACTTCAAGAGTTAGGAGTGGCAGTTTGGGGATAGCAGGAGGAGATATCAGCTGTGATGGCTTGGAGAAACAGTGTAAACCGGCAGTGTAAACAAGAGCAGGACATGTATGAGTAGTTGAGAACGGAGAATAGGAGTATGACTAGACAGAAAATAGTAGGGATGACCAGTTTTTTTGGGGCACAGTCTAAGTTGGTCTGGTGTCTGGAATGAGACTGGGGCCTAATAAAAAGGAGCTCAAATGGGCTGTACCTTGTAGCAGCCTGAGGACAGGCCTGAATTCTGAGAAGCGAAAGTGGTAAAAGTATTGTCAAGTCCTTTTTAAGTTGGTGGCTGAGCTTGGTGAGGTGTGTTTTTAAAAGACCTTTAGTCCATTCTACTTTTCTTGAAGATGGAGGACTGTAAGGGATATAAAGGTTTCACTGAATACTAAGAGCCTGAAAAACTGCTTGGCTGATTTGACTAACAAAGGCTGGTCTGTTTTCAGACTGTATAGAGGTGGGAAGGCTAAACTGAGGAATTATGTCTGACAGAAGGGAAGAAATGACTGCGATGGCCTTCTCAGACCCTGTAGGAAAGGCCTTTACTTATTCAGTGAAAGTGTCTATTTAGACTAAGAGGTATTTTAGTTTCCTGACTCAGGGCATGTTGAGTAAAGCTAATTTGCCAGTCCTGGGTGGGGGCAAATCCTAGAGCTTGATGTGTAGGGAAGGGAGGGGGCCTGAATAATCCCTGAGGAGTAGTAGAATAGCAGATGGAACACTGAGAAGTTATTTCCTTGAGGATAGATTTCCACGATGGAAAGGAAATGAGAGGTTCTGAGAGGCGGGCTAGTGGCTTGTACTGTAGCATAGCCTGCCTTTGCTGGTGTGTGGCGATTAGGCCTGGTGGAACTGCCATCAATAAATCAAGCGTGATCAGGGTGAGGAACAGGAAAGAAGGAAATATGGGGAAATGGGGTGAATATCAGGTGGATCAGAGAGATGCAGTCACGGGGGTCAGGTGTGGTATCAGGAATAATGTGGGACACCAGATTGAAGTCTGGGCCAGGAACAATGGTAATTGTGGGACTTAAAGAGTGAGTACAGCTGAAGGAGCCAGGAGCAGAAAGTATATGCATCAGGTATGAGGAAGAAAATAGATTTTGGAAGTTATGAGAAATGTAGAGAGTGAGTTGAGCATAGTTTGCAATTTTTAGGGCCTCTAAAAGTATTAAAGCAGCAGCAGCCGCTGCACGCAGACATGAGGGCTAGGCTAAAACAGTAAGGTCAAGTTGTTTGGACAGAAAGGCTACAGGGTGCGGTCCTGGCTCTTGTGTAAGAATTCTGACTGCACTAACCATGCCTAGGAAGGAAAGGAGTTGTTGTTTTGTAAGGGATTGAGGTTTGGGAGATTAATCGGACACGATCAGCAGGGAGAGCACGTGTGTTTTTATGAGAATTATGCCGAGATAGGTAACAGATGAGGATGAAATTTGGGCTTGACTGAAGTAATGGGGTCTGTCTGTGAAGACTTGCGGCAGTACAGCCCAGGTGATTTGCTGAGCTTGATGGGTGTCAGGGTCAGTCTAAGTGAAAGAAAATAGAGGCTGGGACGAGGGGTGCAGGGGAATAGTGAAAAAAGGCTCTTTAAGATCAAGAACAGAATAGTGAGTTGTGGAGGAAGGTATTGAGGATGGGAGAGTATATGGGTTTGGCACCATGGGGTGGGTAGGCAAAACAATTTGGTTGATAAGGCACAGATTCTGAACTAACTTGTAAGGCTTGTCTGGTTTTAGGACAGGTAAAATGGGGGAATTGTAAGGAGAGTTTATAGGCTTTAAAAGGCCATGCTGTAGCAGGCGAGTGATAACAGGCTTTAATCCTTTCAAAGCATGCTGTGGGATGAGATCTTGGCATTGAGTGGGGTAAGGGTGATTAGGTTTTAATGAGATGGTAAGGGGTGCATGATCGGTCGCCAAGGAGGGAGTAGAGGTATCTTATACTTGTGGGTTAAGGTGGGGGAATACAAGAGGAGGACGCAAAGGAGGCTTTGGATTGGGAAGAAGGGCAGCAATGAGATGTAGCTGTAATCCAGGAATAGTCAGGGAAGCAGATAATTTAGTTAAAGTGTCTCAGCCTAATAAGGGAACTGGGCAGGTGGGGATAATTAAAAAGGAGTGCTTAAAAGAGTATTGTCTAAGTTGGCACCAGAGGTGGGGAGTTTTAAGAGGTTTAGAAGCCTGGCTGTCAATACCCACAACAGTTATGGAGGCAAGGGAAACAGGCCCTTGAAAAGAAGGTAATGTGGAGTGGGTAGCCTCCGTATTGATTAAGAAGGGGACAGACTTACCTTCCACTGTGAGAGTTACCTAAACCTCGGCATCCGTGATGGTCTACAGGGCTTCCGGGGGGATCAGGCAGCGTCAGTCTTCAGCCACTAAGCCAAGAAGGAGTCAGTCAGAGAGCATTGGGCCAGAGTTCCAGGGGCTCTGGGAGTGGCTGCCAGGTGAGTTGAACAGTCCGATTTCCAGTGGGGTCCCGCACAGATGGGACATGGCTTAGGAGGAATCCTGGGCTGCAGGCATTCCTTGGCCTGGTGGTCAGATTTCTGGCACTTGTAGCAAGCTCCTGGGGGAGGAGGTTCTGGAGGAACGCCTGGCTGCTGCAGTTCAGGCGTTTGGAAGTTCTTGTGTGCTGGAGATGTGGCTGGGGTTTGTCTCACAGTGGAGGCAAGGAATTGCAACTTATTTTTTATTATTGTACACCTTGAAGGCGAGGTTAATTAAATCCTGTTGTGGGGTTTGAGGGCCGGAATTTAATTTTTGGAGTTTTATTTAATGTCGGGAGCAGATTGGGTAATAAAATGTATTTTGAGAATAAGACGGCCTTTTGACCTTTTAGGGTCTAGGGCTGTAAAGCGTCTCAGGGTTGCTGCCAAACGAGACATGAACTGGGCTGGATTTTTATATTTGATGAAAAAGAGCCTAAACGCTGTCTGATTTGGGATAAAGAAAAAGGAGCATTAACCTTGACTATGCCTTTAGCTCCAGCCACCTTTTTAAGAGTAAATTGCTGGGCAGGTGGGGGAGGGCTAATCACGGAACGAAACTGTAAGCTGGACCAGGTGTGAGGAGGGGAGGTGATAAAAAGATTATAGGGTGGAGGAGCAGAGGCTAAGGAAGAATTGGGACCTAGCTTGGCCTGGCGAGGAGGGGAGAGGTCAGATGGGTCTGTAGAAAAGGAAGATTAGAAAGACTCAGCGATGCTTGGGGTTGGGACTGAGGGGACAGGCAGGAGGGAAAGAAGGAAGATTTGGGATGAGTTGCATTGGGCGCAGAGACTAGGAAGGGACTGATGTGTAAAAGAATGCCTAGATGTCAGGCACCACAGACCATTTGCCCATTTTACGACAAGAATTATTTAGATCTTGTAGGATGGAAAAATTGAAAGTGCCGTTTTCCGGCTATTTGGAACTACTGTCAAGTTTGTATTGGGGTCAAGCAGCATTGCAGAAGAAAATAAGACACTTAGATTTTAGGTCAGGTGAGAGTTGAAGAGGTTTTAAGTTCTTAAGAACACAGGCTAAGGGAGAAGAAGGAGGAATGGAGGGTGGAAACTTGCCCATAGTGAAGGAGGCAAGCCCAGAGAAAAGAGTAGAGACATGGAGAAGGGGTGGGGGCTTCTTGCCCTCCAGAAAAGCAGAGAAAGGGTTGGGGCACGGAAATAAGGGATTGGGACACAGAGATAAGAGGTTGGGGTGTGGAAATAAGGGATTGGGGCACAGAGATAAGAGGTTGGGGTGCGGAAATAAGGGATTGGGGGTTCTTGCCCCCTAGAAAAGCGGGACTTGCCACTAAGGGTGAAGGAGAAGGGGTTGGGGGTACTCGCCCCTCCCCCAGAAAAGCGGGACTTGCCACTAAGGGTGAAGGACCAAGGCAGGTGTCCCTGCGTGGTCTGACACCTTTGAAACGTGGGTGAATAATCAGAGAGGCGTCCCTGCAATGATCAAACACCAAGGGAAGGCTGCCTTGCCAGTCCGTGAATGGCGCCGGAGTTTTGGGTCCACGGACAAAACGTGTCTCCTTTGTCTCTACCAGAAAATGAAAGGAATTGAAATTAAGAGAAGGGAGAGATTGAAGTGTGGTGCCAAGATTGAAAGGAGAAAGAGGTTGAGGGATAGCAAGGGAGGTTGGAGAAGAGAGTAAAAAGAGGCCGCTTACTGGATTTGAAATTGGTGAGATGTTTCTTGGGCTGGTTGGTCTGAGGACCTGAGGTTGTAAGTGGATCTTTCTCACGGAGCAAAGAGCAGGAGGACGGGGGATTGATCTCCCAAGGGAGGTCCCCCGATCCGAGTCACGGCACCAAATTTCATGCGCGTCCATGTGAAGAGACCACCAAACAGGCTTTGTGTGAGCAACATGGCTGTTTATTTCACCTGGGTGCAGGTGGGCTGAGTCTGAAAAGAGAGTCAGCAAAGAGTGGTGGATTATCATTGGTTCTTATAGGTTTTGGGATAGGCGGTGAAGTTAAGAGCAATGTTTTGCGGGCAGGGGTGGATCTCACAAAGTACATTCTCAAGGATGGGGAGAATTACAAAGAACCTTCTTAAGGGTGGGGGAGATTACAAAGTACATTGATCAGTTAGGGTGGGGCAGGAACAAATCACAATGGTGGAATGTCATCAGTTAAGGCTATTTTTACTTCTTTTGTGGATCTTCAGTTACTTCAGGCCATCTGGATGTATATGTGCAAGTCACAGGGGATGCCATGGCTTGGCTTGGGCTCAGAGGCCTGACAAAGTTAGAGCAGAATTTGTCAACAGAGATTCTAGAACTCTAGGATTCTAGGAAATGTCAATTGGAATTCCACAAGAGATTGTGACTGAAAGGGAAATAAAAAATGCACGCTTTTTTTTAAATTTTATGTTCTTGATTGCCATGTGATGGGAGTACTCAGAGTGATAGACATTTAATTAATAAGCATCCCATTACTAACTTTGTTAACGTGCATCAGCCTCATTTGTGAGTACACAGTAGGGCCATGTTCCAATGATTGAGTCCTCTTCCCACTTTTGATATGACATGGGGAAGGCTATTTATAATTGATGAGCATTGAATTGCATGGAAGGAAGGAAGGGAGGCTAGTAATGTCAGCTCTTCCCACCTGCCATACCTGCCTCTTATTTGCTGCCAATGAACATTCAAAAGCAAACAAAATCCTCTGCAGTAATAAACAAAATTTAAGGGTACTTCATTTGAAAGAGGACAATTTTATATGCAGTGACTTTGCTGATTTCCAGACACTTAGCTATTATTGCTAATGTTGCAAAATCTGGATTTTGTAGTTTAAAAGAGAATTGCATTGTAAAGCTTTTATATTTTTGCCATTTCATCATTTAACTTTTTAAATGCTTTTATCATTTATTTGTGGTGCCTTATATTTTAGTTATAACTAGGTTTTGTTTTATGGTCAAATGAGCCAATTCCTGAGGATGAGCAAGTACAGAAATCTTCCTATTTCAGTTGGAAATGGAATCTTTATGTAGCTATCTGAAGCTCAATCAATAATTGAGTATTTGTATAGCATGATTTTCATATTAAGGAGACACACTTTTTGTGCATCTGTAGGTCTATAAAATTGTGTCAGGCTATATTTTAATTTTTATTTCTTCGACTTATGGATTTAGTAGCTTTACTATTCAACATTGTTAATAAATTTTTATGTTGTAAATAACACTAACTAAAATCAATTTAGAACAGTTATTTAAATTAAATCTATTGAGCCTACTTTTAGAAAAATATTCCATTTGCCTTTAGCTGGTTATGTAACAAAAGTTTGCTATGTTTGCCTAACTTACAAAAAGGAAAGAAAGATTTAATTCAAGAAAGGTGAACTATGTTTAATATTTTTTTTCTAGAAAGTTGGCTAGATAGTAATTCTTAGTTTCAAATATGGAAGAAAAAACTAGTTTTGTATATACCATGTATCATGGGCTATATCTTTGGAGAATCTTGCATAGTGGAAATTTGTGGTGTGACTTTTAGAACTATTTGGATAAAGTAGTTAAATCAAGATAACAATTTTTAAAAGGTAAAACTCGGGTTTCCAATACCCGACACTACTGCCTTGTATTCAAGTCGATAATCCTTTGTGGGGAGTTGCAGCCACACAAAAGGAGTAGGCTAGGAAGATGGCCAAAATAAACATCCACTGAAAACTATCATTCTCAACTCAAGAGACCATTGACAATTATTAGTGAATTATTATGTCTACAAATGATTAATGCTAATGTACCATGAGTTGCAGATACAATAACTTATGCAGGTTTCCCTGAGCCTTGAAAGGTATTTTAAGTGTTCCTCCATAGTTAAAAGACTGAAAAAGGCTGAGTTAGTCCAATGCTCCAGAGAACTTGAGGAAGACAAATTGTGGTATCAGATAAATTCAGAGGAAGAAGAGTGTCTTAGTCTGCTCGGGCTGACATAACAAAATATCACAGACTGGGTGGCCTAAACAACAGAAATTTATGTATTTTTTCCAGTTCTGGGGGCTGGAAGTCTGAGATCAGGGTGCCAGCGAGGTTTTGTTTTGGTGAGAGGTCTTTTCCTGGCTGGCATACCCAGCGTGTATGTAGGTGGGGAAATCTCTTCCTCTTCTTATAAGGCCTCCAATCCTTTGGATTAGAGCCCATCTCATATGATGTTATTTAACCTTAATTACTTCCTAAAATCCTTATCTCTATATACAGTCACAATGAGGCTTAGAGCATCACCATATGCATTTTGGGGTGATCCAGTTCAGTCCATACAGAAAGGGATCATCTTAGCACCATAGGCCTTGTTGTGCAGGCCAGTGTAGGAACAAAATCACCAAGTAAGTTACCTCTTCAAGGTGTCTCCATCAGTGTGTGATAATGTGCTTCTCTGTCCATAGTGGCTGGTAAGTAACTGTCAAATCACACACACACACACACACACACACACACACACACACACACATACACATATTCATTCTCATAAATACTAGAGTTATACTCAAAAAAAGAAATTTTTTCTATGTCTTACAATCTGTAAGGCTGTCCCACTACAATGAGATGCATCATGTTTTTTTTGTTTTCTACTTACCACCATCTCCCACGCTATATTGTGTATGATTTCTTCTTTAGATTTAATTTTTTTGGTACTAAAACATCATTATTGAAAGCTAAATAATTGAATTAAAAAACATGTCTTTTCATGTGTATCAATATAATATTGGAAGGGACATAGTAATTTCTGTTGTTTCATGTTCTAATCTGTATATGGAAGTTTCATTGACAAGCTCATAAAATGGCAGTTCCACACAACTTTGGGAAGCAATAATTTACATTATTAAAATTATCCTGAAAATTCTTAAATTGGCTCCCAATTTATCAATTAAAATATAAATTATTTTAACAGACTATCATTGTTAATTGCTCTTTATTGTACTTTGAAAATTAAAAATTTATGTATAGTTGTAGTAACTCAAGCAAAATATTGGATTAAAAAGAAGATGCCATTTTAAATTCTGCTAGATGCAGAATTAATTCTCTGTTATAAGAGTTTCCACAATTTGCCTTATCTATCTACCTATCATCTATCTATCTACCTATCATCTATCTATCTATCCATCTACCTATCTATCTAATCTATCTCTAAGAGCATATGTGAATACATGTGAGGATATATATATCTTTATGTGTAGATTTATATACTTTCACTAATAATATTGGGAACAATGGAATGGTAAATATCAACGGAATAGCCTACATCATGTCTGCCCTTTTATCTTGATTAAAAACCATCTACTATCGGCTGGGCATGGTGGCTCACGCCTGTAATCCCAGCACTTTGGGAGGCCGAGGTGGGCGGATCATTATGTCAGGGAATCGAGACCATCCTGGCTAACACGGCGAAACCCCATCTGTACTAAAAATACAAAGTATTAGCCGGGCATTGTCGCGGGCGCCTGTAGTCCCAGCTACTCGGGAGGCTGATGCAGGAGAATGGCGTGAACCCGGGAGGCGGAGCTTGCAGTAAGCCGAGATAGCGCTACTGCACTCCAGCCTGGGCGACAGAGCAAGACTCCGTCAAAAAACAAAAAACAAACAAACAAACAAACAAAAACCATCTACTATCTTAGGGCATAATAGTCCACCTTCTTTCTTACTTCTCCTTAATGTAACCCTTTCTCTTGGGAAGTTTCCCTTTATCCCGCTATGGGCATACATGTGTATACATGGACATAGAAAATTTTAGGGGTAGAAGAGATCATTAAAATTATTGTCATGACAAGTCATCTCTACAGACGCAACATTATAGAGATGAGAAAAATGATGCCAAGAGAGGATGAATTACTTTCACAAAGACTCACGTCTATTGATGACAGTGTAGGGTAAAATCCAGCTCTCATGTATTACAGCTAGAGTTCTTTTATTGAACCCAGTCTAAGTATCACACTGTTCTCACCTCAATGCCTTTGCTCACTCTGTTCTTACCATGAGGATTTCTCACTCTATTTCTACTTTGCCCATGTAAAATTGAAACCTTTTGTCAGCTCTTGTCAAGCTTTCTGGTTTACTGCACATGTCTGCCTTGTCCTACTTCTTAATATAACTGTTGTCTATTTCATAATTTCTCAATTGTATCTACTCTATTTTACATTTGTTTCCATTTTTTTTTTTGCTGTGAGAGTTCAATGTAAAAAAGATAATAACAATAATATATGACTTAAAATTATTTTCAACTTACTATATATCTGGCACATCACTAACAGTTTTACAAGCTCCTTTCATCCCTTTGACTGAGAAACAGTTACAGGCTGAGCATCTCTAAGCTGAAAATCTGAAATCTGAAATGCTCCCAAATCCTAAACTTTTGGAATGCTGACATGGCACCACAAGTGGAAAAGTCCACACTTAACCTCCTCTGATGGCCTGCAGTCAAAATGCTGGCACACAACACATAGTTTACCAAATGACCTCAAGGAAAAAAGTGCCTATAGACAACATAGCAAAAATGTGTTATGGGCTTATTGAGGAACTAGAACACTTTGCATTCATAGAAGAACAAGAACATTTATAAAATGTTCTTTTATAAAACAAGTGCATCTATTTATAAAATCAAAGAGAGACCTCTAAGACAAAAGCGTTGTTAATGAGGCAGATGACCCTGGAGAAAATACATTAAAAAGCCATCCAGCAGAATGCTTCCTCATCTCTAGAGAACCCACTTCCTGGTCCCTCAACTGCTTCTGATATTTCTTCTCATCTAAAAAAGTAAAATACAGTGTGCAGCAACCTTTTAATCAAAACACAGTGTTGCAGGTGGAGACTGAAAGCCTGCTGTTATTTGTTGTTGCTGTTGTTTAGCAGCTGATACAAGTATTCTAGTGATGATACTGTGCTGTTTGGTTGACTGAACACATTATTTTTTCACTGTATTAATAATATATTTTTTACTATTAAGTACTTATGCGTGAATAAGTGTAAGAAAATTATTGCTTATCAGTAGCATATAAATTTGGAGTCAGGAATGATGGCAATGCCAAACAACCACAGATTGTCCTCTTGTGTAGCTGAGCGATCCCTTTGCTCTCTGATAGTTCAGTGTACACCAACTTTGTTTTGTGCACAAAATGACTGAAAAAATTGCATTCAGTCTATGTTTATAAGGTGTATATGAAACATAAATAAATGTTGTTTTTAGGTTTTGGTCCCATTCCCAAGATATCTCATTATGCATATGCAAATATTCTACTATTGGAAAAACTATCTGAAATCCAAAACATTTCTGGTTGCAAGCATTTCAGATAAGGGATACTCCATCTGTATTATATTCATCCTATAGGTAAAGCAGGTGAGGCACAAGGAGTTAAATAACTCATTCAACTTCACACTGTGATGTGCTCATTTTCCACAGAAGTCTTAATGTGAACTACCGTATTTCATTGATTTTAACCTGAACATTTTCCTACAAGTTTTTTTACCTCTTAACTCTGGATGCATATTGTAATCAATAACACTTAATAAATGTGCAATACCTTAATTTGCAATTTTTTTTCTTCTTTAGTCATATAACAGTGCATCTTGTAATTGATAATATCTTAGATTTGATAAGACCTGGTATTTTTTGTGGACCCTGTACAGTTCAAGGTCTATTCACATGCAAATATTTGTAGTCCAGAATTTAATTAACACTTTAGAAGATAGTGAGTGTGAATTAACCTTACCCAAAGAGGGTCAAGTGAATGATTCTTAGGAACAGTATAGAATAGTCGTGCATTGCTTAACAACAGGGATTTTGGAGGGCAATTTTATTGTTATACAAACATCATAGAGTGTACTTACACAGACCTACATGGTATAGCCTACTACAAGCCTAGGCTATATGTTGTAGCCTATTGCTTCTAGGCTACAAACCTGTACAGCATGTTACTGAACTGAATACTGTAAGCAACTGGAACACAATGGTAAATATTTGTGTATCCAAACACACCAAAACATAGAAAAGTTACAGCAAAAATACAGTATTATAATCAATGGGAATACTGCAGTATGTGCAGCCCATCATTGTTTGAAATGTCATTGTGCAGCACTTGGCTTTGTAGTATCAGATTATATTTGAGAAATATTTTCTTTGTTTGCTGACCTTGCATTACCAACCTATGCTCTATAATTCTGGAAGTGGAGCTAAGACGACAGTAAAGACACAATCAATCAGTGAAAGCTCTTTCCATAAGCATTCATTGGATATCCTATATTAATAAAAAATTATTACATAAAACTGTTCATGTTGAAGGTAAATGAAGAATTTAAAAACACATATGGAATTCATGTGACAAAATAAAAGGAAAAAGGTATGAAAATGATGTAGTCTTAATTTGAAAGTTGGTGTTACTTGAAAAGAGGTGAGACAACCAGTGAAAGTTAACCATTGATGGCAATCAACCATCTGTGTTTATTTATGACTTATTTTTTTCTTAGAATAGAATTAATTTGCAAATTGTCAGAATTTGTGCTGTTCCTAGAGTGGTGAGTTTAATTGTAGTTGCCAAGAACTGTCTGTTCTTAAGAACTGCTCACATTTACAGTGTCAGTGTTGTACCCTGCCTTTGCTATAAACTTTCATCTCATGTTGTGTATAATAATTCTTTAAACCCTGAACATAAATTGAATAAAAACTGATTAATTGCAGTCTATTAAGAAAGAAATGCTAACGAATAAATGTGCTATTTTTCAAATTTTGCTTTATTTCTTTTTTGTTTTCATGTTTTTATAATTATAACACTTTTTTGAAACAATAATTATCAAAATTTTCTTTTGAATCTAAAATAAATTACTGTTGTTTCAGATATTTCCAGGAAGGCATAATTCAGAGATAAGAAAGTACGACACGCCAAAAAGTTTTAATACAAAGGAACTCAGCTTTTAATCACTGTATGACCAGACCTTTTAAAAAACAAATCACTGCATTTTGGGAGAAGTAAAAAGAAATACTGCTATGAACAATGAAAAAATACAGATTTATTTAATTTGATGCAATCAAGACTATAATTTTAAAATGTGGCTTAAGTCAACTGTGATTAAAGCTGAAATGAACAGTGTGTATAACTAACTCTTTTTTAAAATATGGAGCTAAGGTAATATATTTTTTCAAATTTTTGGAAAAATAATTTATATAGCCATGTATTGCTTAATGACAGGGGTACTTTCTGAGAAATGTGTTGTTAAGTGATTTCATTATTGTGTGAACATCATAAAGTGTACTTACACAAACCTGCATGGTATAACCTACTATATACTATGTATACTGCTCCTAGGCAACACATAACAGCATGTTACTGTACTGAATACTGTCGGCAATTGTAACATAATGGTAAGTATTTGTGTATCTAAATATAGCTAAATATCTACAGTAAAAATACAATAAAAATACAGTAAAATGCAAATGAAAAAAAAGTACACCTATACAGGGTAACTCCACCATAATCTTATGGGACCACTATTGTATATGCAGTCCATCATTGACCGAAATGTGATATACACACACACATGCACACAGACAGACAGGAGGACACATACACACACACACTCACACAAGAAAGGAGAAAATGAGAGAAGAATGATGACATAAAATATTATTTTTCATAGAATTGACTGCATCTCTAGAAATTATAAATTATAAATGTTCCTCCATTAAATATGTGTAAACTGAGACTCTAAGATGTTAAATAATTCCTTCCAGCCTATATAACTAGATAGGAGCATGCTGAAGTCAAGTCTGTGTAACTGCAGAGCCAGGCTTTTAATCAGTACACTGTAATAAGTATCTGGAATGGTGGATGGGAATGCTCTACTTATCTAAATACTCCATTAGAGTGACTAAGATAAAAAGACTAATCAGTTGTTGATAAGGATGCAGAGAACCTGTAACACTCATATACATATATATAACATAGGAATATAAAATGGTATGTATAACTTATACCATTGAAGTCCATAACTATTAAAGTTATAGACTTTGGAAAATATTTTGGAAAACATGTTATAGTTTCTTAAGAAGCAATTGTAATCCAGACAATCTACTTTACTTCATTACTTTCTGTAATG
This sequence comes from Homo sapiens, assembly GCF_000001405.40. Classification (NCBI taxonomy): domain Eukaryota; kingdom Metazoa; phylum Chordata; class Mammalia; order Primates; family Hominidae; genus Homo; species Homo sapiens. Next base: position 126,841,011 of record NC_000006.12, on the reverse strand, counting down.
AAAGCATATTCTCAAACAAGACTTGTGTATTAATTTTCATAACAGCTTTAATAGTCCCAAACTGGAAAAAACCCAAATGTTCATCGTCTTGTGAATGGATAAACAAATTGTAGTACATCCGTATGATAGAATGCTATTCCGCAACAAACAGGAATGAACTATTGATAAATGCAACAAATTGGATAAATCTCAAAATAATTATGCTGATTGATTCCCACATATAAAAATTGAGAAAATAACAGTATCTTTTCAAAAAACCAGCTCCTGGATTCATTGATTTTTTGAAGGGTTTTTTGTGTCTCTAACTCCTTCAGTTCTGCTCTGATCTTAGTTATTTCTTGTCTTCTGCTAGCTTTTGAATTTCTTTGCTCTTGCTTCTCTAGGTCTTTTAATTGTGATGTTAGGGTGTGGATTTTAGATCTTTCCTGCTTTCTCTTGTGGGCATTTAGTGCTATAAATTTCCCTATACCCACTGCTTTAAATGTGTCCCAGAGATTCTGGTACGTTATGTCTTTGTTCTCATTGGTTTCAAGGAACATCTTTATTTCTGCCTTCATTTCGTTATTTACCCAGTAGTCATTCAGGAGCACGTTGTTCAGTTTCCATGTAGTTATGCGGTTTTGAGTGAGTTTCTTAATCCTGAGTTCTAATTTGATTGCACTGTGGTCAGAGAGACTGTTTGTTATGATTTCTGTTCTTTTGCATTTGCTGAGGAGTGTTTTACTTCCAATTATGTGGTCAATTTTAGAATAAGTGTGATGTGGTGCTGAGAAGAATGTATATTCTGTTGATTTGGTGTGGAGAGTTCTGTAGATGTCTATTAGGTCTCCTTGGTCCAGAGCTGAGTTCAAGTCCTGAATATCTTTGTTAATTTTCTGTCTTGCTGATCTGTCTAATATTCACAATAGGGTGTTAAAGTTTCTCGCTATTATTGTGTGGTAGTCTAAGTCTCTTTGTAGGTCTCTAAGAACTTGCTTTATGAATCTGGGTGCTCCTGTATGGGGTGCATATATATTTAAGATAGTTAGCTCTTCTTGTTGCATTGATCCCTTTATTATTATGTAATGCTCTTCTTTGTCTCTTTTAATCTTTGTTGGTGCAAAGTCTGTTTTATCAGATACTTGGATTGCAACTCCTGCTTTTTTTTGCTCGGTAAATATTCCTCCATCCCTTTATTTTGAGCCTAGGTGTGTCTTTGCACGTGAGCTGGATCTCCTTAATACAGCACACCAATGGGTCTTGACTCTTTACCCAATTTGCCAGTCTGTGTCTTTTAATTGGGGCAAAATAGATAGACTGCTAGCCAGACTAATAAAGTAGAGAAGAGAGACGAATCAAATAGATGTAATAAAAAATGATAAGGGGGATATCACCACTGATCCCACGGAAATACAAACTACCATCAGAGAATACTATGAATACCTCTATGCAAATAAACAGAAAGTCTAGAAGAAATGGATAAATTCTTGGACACGTACACCCTCCCAAGACTAAACTAGGAAGAAGTTGAATCCCAGAATAGATCAATAACAAGTTCAGAAACTGAGGCAGTAATTAATAGCCTACCAATCAAAAAAAGTCCAGGACCAGACGGATTCACAGCTGAATTCTACCAGAGATAAAAAGAGGAGCTGGTACCATTCCTTGTGAAACTATTCCAAACAATAGAAAAAAAGGGACTCCTCCCTAACTCATTTTATGAGGCCAGCATCATCCTGATAGCAAAATCTGGCAGAGACACAACAAAAAAAGAAAATTTCAGGCTAATATCCCTGATGAACATTGGTGCAAAAATCCTCAATAAAATACTGGCAAACTGAATTCAGCAGCACATCAAAAAGCTTATCCACCACAATCAAGTTGGCTTCATCCCTGGGATAGAAGGCTGGTTCCACGTACACAAATCAATAAACATAACCCATCACATAAACAGAACCCATGACGAAAACCACATGATTATGTCAATAGATGCAGAAAAGGCCTTTGATAAAATTCAACACCCTGTCATGCTAAAAACTCCCAATAAACTAGGTATTGATGGAACGTATACCAAAATAATAAGAGCTATTTATGGAGAAACCCATAGCTGATATCATAATGAATAGGCAAAACCTGGAATCATTCCCTTTGAAAACCAGCACAAGACAAGGATGACTTCTCTCACCACTCCTATTCAACATAGTATTGGAAGTTCTGGCCAGGTCAATCAGGCAAGAGAAAGAAATGGTATTCACACAGGAAGAGAGCAAGTCAAATTGTCTTTGCAGATGACTTGATTGTATATTTAGAAAACCCCATTGTCTCAGTCCAAAATCTCTTTAAGCTGATAAGCAACTTCAGCAAAGTCTCAGGATACAAAGTCAATGTGCAAAAATCACAAGCATTCCTATACACCAATAACAGACAAACAGACAGCCAAATCATGAGTGAACTCACATTCATAATTGCTACAAAGAGAATAAAATACCTAGGAATCCAACTTACAAGGGACGTGAAGGACCTCTTCAAGGAGAACTACAAACCGCTGCTCAAGAAAATAAGAGAGGACACAAACAGATGCAAAAACATTCCATGCTCATGGATAGGAAGAACCAATATTGTGAAATGGCCATACTACCCATAGTAATTTATAGATTCAATGTTATCCCCATCAAGCTACCATTGTCTTTCTTCACAGAATTAGAAAAAAAACTACTCTAAGTTTCATGTGGAACCAAAAAAGAGCCTGCGTGACCAAGACAATCCTAAGCAAAAAGAACAAAGCTGGAGGCATCATGCTACCTGACTTCAAACTATACTACAAGGCTACAGTAACCAAAACAGTGTAGTACTGGTACCAAAACAGAGATATAGACCAATAGGACAGAACAGAGGCCTCAGAAATAAAATCATACATCTACAACCATCTGATCTTTGACAAACCTTACAAAAACAAGCAATGGGGAAATGATTCCCTATTTAATAAGTGGTGTTGGGAAAACTGGCTAGCCATATGCAGAAAACTGAAACTGGACCCCTTCCTCACACCTTATACAAAAATTAACTCAAGATGGATTAAACAATATACATATGAAAAAAAGCTCATCATCACTGGTCATTAGAGAAATGCAACTCAAAACCACAATGAGATACCATCTCATACCAGTTAGAATGGCGATCATTAAAAAGTCAGGAAACAACAGATGCTGGAGAGGATGTGGAGAAATAGGAACGCTTTTACATGTTGGTGGGAGTGTAATTTAGTTCAACCATTGTGGAAGACAGTGTGATGTTTCCTCAAGGATCTAGAACCAGAAATACCATTTGACCCAGCAATCCCATAATTTGATATATACCCAAAGGATTATAAATCATTCTACTATAAAGATACATGCACACATATGTTTATTGCGGCACTGTTCACAATAGCAAAGACTTGGAACCAACTCAAATGCCCATCAGTGATAGACTGGATAAAGAAAATGTGGCACATACACACCATGGAATACTATGCAGCCATAAAAAAGGATGAGTTCATGTCCCTTGCAGGGACATGGATGAAGCTGGAAACCATCATTTTCAGCAAAGTAACACAAGAACAGAAAACCAAACACTGCATGTTCTCACTCATAAGTGGGAGTTGAACAATGAGAACACATGGACACAAGGAGGGGAACATCACACACTGGGACCTCTCAGTGGGTGGTGGGGCTAGTGGAGGGATAGCATTAGGAGAAATACCTAATGTAGATGACGGGTTGATGGGTGCAGCAAACCACCATGGTATGTGTATACCTATGTAACAAACCTGTGTGTTCTGCACATGTACCCCAGAACTTAAAGTATAATTTAAAAAAATAGAAAAATAGCAGTATCAGAAGTCAAATAAATTGCTACCTGAGGATAGGGGCACAGGGAGGTATGGATTACAGAATGGCAAAAGGAGACTTTTAGAAGTGATGGAACTGGTCATCGTCTTGATTGTGGTGATGCTCTTACAAGCTTACAAATATGTTAGAAGTTATCAAATCTGTACACTTCACTGTATGTCACATAGAACTTAATAATATTATAACAAATAAATGTGAAAATTAATACCACACAGATATTTATGGAGTCTTTGTGCAAGAATGACGAATTACTATTACCATATTTCAGAAATACATTTCCATAGGAACTATGTTCTAATGACTCTAAATAGCTCTGATTTGGTTAGCAATTTTTTTCTAATAATGTATTTACTAAAGTAGCGAGGGGCCTGTGGTTATACTTCTAGGGTTTGCTCAGGCCTCAAACATTTATTAATCACCTACAATATGCCTAGCATACTTCTGAGCCCAGGGGACAAATGGATATGAATAAAACAGATAGGTAGTTTAACCTCAGGGAGCTCATTGTTTTTAAGTAACAACAAATTAATGGTCACTAAAATAAACTAGATTGGTTTGATTGCAAGTACTTTTTTTTTTTTTTTCTTGAGACGGAGTTTTACTCTTGTTGACCAGGCTGGGGTGCAATGGCACAATTTCGGCTCACTGCAACATACACCTCCTGGATTCAAGCAATTCTTCTGCCTCAGCCTCCCAAGTAGCTGGGATTCCAGGCATGAGCCACCATGACCAGCTAGTTTTTGTATTTTTAGTAGAGATGGGGTTTCACCATGTTGACCAAGCTGGTCTCGAACTCCTGACCTCAGGTGATCAGCCCACCTTGGTCTCCCAAAGTGCTAGGATTACAGGTGTGAGCCACCACACCTGGCTGCAAGCACTTTTTAGAACTGAAATAAAATTGACTACAATGAAGTAGAATAGGTTAGGATGTCTCATAGGCAACAAAGTTACGCAGAATTACCAAATGTTTGGTAAAATTATCAGTTCTACAATAGGTATGTGTTTTGGGCTAATATATCAACTGTACTTCTTATATAGATGATGGTCCTTATATAGGAGATAGGAATATAAAAATAATAATATATAAATCAATTAAATAACTCAAACAACAGAAGTATACAGAGCAAAGAAAAATGTGATAATAATGACTGAGTGGAGGCAACCAGGAAGACAATCGTGTAGATTTTTATTCCAAGGGGAAGAGTTGAAGAAGTTAGTAGAGAAACAGATGAAAAGAGATGAAAAGATTTGCCTTTTGAATAGAATGAAGTAGCTTATATTATGTCAACCTGCTCACTGAAAATAAATATAAAGATGAATAATATAATTATTTTAACAGCTCTTTAAAGTCATGGAGAACAATCAAGGCGGCTGCCTTGATTTTCTTGGTTTTGAGGTGCTAAGATCCTGGAGAGAAGGAAAACACACTGAGGTGGGCCCAACATTCACTATTACTTCTTCCCTGTAAGCATTTGTGGCTCATAAGCTAGGATCCAAGATCCCTAGCAAAAATAAGTAATTCAGGCCTTTTAGCTGTCTAATCAGTTCAGGGAGACACAATTGGAGTTCAGGGCTACCAAGGCAGCCACGACTTTAGTGAACAAAATCCCAGAGACAAGGTAACACAGATAACGAGTCTGACATTCTGCACTCCTAATTCTTTTGAGGAATTTGCTTATATCTAAGCTCTTCCAGGCCAAGACAGCCAAGTTGAAAGGGATAGGTAAAGTATAAAAATTCAGCCTGAGGTTTTTCGGTCTTAACTGGAAAGGGACACAAAGAGGAGAGACCCTGGTAAACACTCCAGGCTGTCACTAATCTATGGTGATAAAAGTCAGAATAGTCATTATCTTTGAGAGAGTAGTGCTTGGGAAGGGGGGACAGGAAGACTTTTGGAGTGCTGGCAATGATGAATTTCTTCATTTGGTGGTAGTTACATGACCATGTTAATTTTATGAAAAGTAATAAATACACTTGTGATTTGCATAGGTTAATCTTTGATAAAATGGAAAATCAGCATTGCTTACTATAAAAAAGATGAAATATTGCTAAGATAGTAACAAAGAGGGATGTTTCATCATGTTCTTTGCTTATATGAATAAAGCAAGTATATTTGGTTGGAATTGTATGCTTACAAGGAAAGGAGTTTGAAAAGGATGAAAATTACAGATTAAAAATAATTATTGTTATATTTCTTTCCACTATAGTAATTGCACTGTGTTTATTTGTTGCATTCCACCAGGGAGTATCTAATATTAGGGAACTAATTGGAAAAAAACAGAAGGCACTAAACTGGTTATCCACTTTTAGTATTGCATTTAGATTTATACAAAAAAAATGATGTCATTTAAAGTAATTAGTGGGAGACAAGGATGGACGAAGGTCAGAAGATTAACACATTCAAAGAGGGGAAAGCCAAAGCTTGAAATGGCTGTGTGGGCCAGATCTGTGTGAGAATGTTGTATCATCCAAGAATTTTTTTTACTGCAACATATATCTTATTAGAATCCTAATTGTTTTCGGTCTCCAGCAGAGCAGTAATGGCGTAACAATGTTTTTGTATTTCTGTAAGGAATGTTTTCTATATATCTCTTGGAGTACTGTCATTAACATTTGGTTTACTTTTTTAGTGGCAATATTTTTTCCATTGTTTTGCATACTAAGACAGTAATTGATTAGTATATAATCTTTGGGCCAAGTTCTGCCCTAGAATACATATGTGATCTCCACTAACTTCAAATAGAGCTGCACGCACATGTCCTCAAGTACAATCTGGCTTTCTTCCATGGGAGGCAGTGGGAATCACCGAAGCCAATGGGAGCCATGCATGGATAACTGATGGTTGAACTTGGTCCTTAGGGATTGAAAGTCATCTGAGCCTTTCCCCTGGGAAACAAAAAATCAAAGTCTAAGAATAAAAAAATCATAATTGCTAGAACTGATTAGTTTTATCAACCCGCTCAAATTTTACAGTATGTATCTCTTGAAACAGTCTAGTGACAGAAAGTAAAGGAGGATCTTAATTTGTTATGCAATCTTTTTGTTCTTATAATAATACTTGAAACAAGAAAATAAAGAGACTTATTTTCAGGTGATTTCATAAAAAGCACATGAACTTTAGTAAGAGGGAAAGCTACTGTTTTCTAACTTCTCTAGAGAACATGTTTATATGTTTGTAGAAATATACACCTATTTGACCCTTAAAAGCTCGGGATTGAAAAAGGAATATTGGAGTCAATTTTATAAAGTTAGTTCAGAAATGAATAGACGAAAAGTTAACCTTCCTTCTCATTCTCCTGCTCTAATACTCTATGAGCAAAAGTGAGAGCTGTTTCTGTTGAGTACATGGCTATCTGTAGTGTTTATTACACCTGGGGGCGTTCTAAAAAAATACTTGGAGGAATCGATTTAATTTTGATTTGAGGTTTGTTTTCCCTAATAAACTCTCTCCTTGCAGACAAGGGCAACGTCTTCTTGAAGATAGCAGTTGTTCTGTACCAGACTTACAAGAATTATTTTTTTCTCAAATTCTCATGATGAAAAATTTCAAACATTTAAAACATAAGGAAGAATATGTAATATAAAATATACTCTCATAACTACCATCATGATTCTACACTATTCTATTTTTTTCTCTCTCTCCCCTTCTTCCTTCACTACTTCCTTCCCCTTCTTCCATTCTTTTTTCCTTCTGTCTTTTTTCTATTATTCTCTGCTGAACCATTTGAAAGTAAGATGCAGCCATATTGAGATATCACCCCTAACTACTTCATTTCCTAAGAATAAAGATAGTTTCCTGCAAAAAAGAATGCTTATACACTGTTGGTGGGAGTATAAATTAGTTCAACCATCGTGCAAAACTGTGTGGAGATTCCTCAAAGACCTAAAAACAGAAATAGCATTCCATCCAGCAATCCTATTACTAGGTATACACCCAAAGGAATATAAATCATTCTATCATAAAAATGCATGCATACAAATGTTCATTGCAGCACTATTCACAATAGTGAAGACATGCAATCAACCTAAATGTCCATCAATGGCAGACTGGATAAAGAAAATGTATGACATATGCACCACGGAATACTATGCAGCCATAAAAACACATGAGATCACCAGGCACAGTGGCTCATGCCTATAAACCCAGCACTTTGGGAGACTGAGGTGGGCAGATCACAAGGTCAGGAGTTCAAGACCAGCCTGACCAATATGGTGAAACCCCATCTCTACTAAAACTACAAAAATTAGCTGGGCATGGTGGTGTGCACCTGTAGTCCCAGCTACCTGGGAGACTGAGGCAGGAGAATTGCTTGAATCTAGGAGGCAGAGGTTGCAGTGAGACGAGATTGCACCATTGCAATCCAGCCTGGGCAACAGAGCAAGACTCCATCTCAAAAAAAAAAAAAAAAAGAAAACTCATGAGATCATGTCCTTTGCTGGAACAAGAGTGGAGCTAGAGGCCATTATCCCTAGCAGACTAAGGGAGGAACAGAAAACCAAATACCACATGTTCTCATTTATAAGTGGGAGAGAAATGAAGAGAACAATGAACACATGCATCAGTAGATACTTGGGCCTATCAGAGGTTGAAGGGTGGGAGGAGGGAAGGGATCAGGAAAAATAACTAATAGGTACTAGGCTTAATACCTGGGTTCTGAAATAATCTGTACAACAAACCCCCATGACACAAGTTTACCTGCGTAACAAACTTGCACTTTTACCCTGAACTTAAAAGTTAAAAAAAGATATTCTCCTGCCTAACCACATTATCATGTCTACAAAAGTTAACATTATTTCTCTAATATAATATACAATTGGTCAATATTCAGATTTTCCCACCTGTCCTCAAGATATCTGATGGCTATTTTTAGAATTGGCATACAATCAATATTCTTATATTGCATTTAGTTTTCATGTCTCTTTTACCATACTATAACCTTTCTTACTTTTTTTTCCCATAATGTTGACTTTTTGAAGAAACCAGATCAGTTGTTTTCCCCCATGGATGCCATGGACTCTCCCGAATGCTTGTTGTGTGTGTTGTCCAGTCTTTGTAATTGTTCTTAGGGAAAAGGGTCACTGATATCAAGTCTTATAGTAGGAAATCATAGCATGAAAATAGCATTTGTATTTTAAAGGTAGAAATTTTTAACAAATAATTCTCTAATTCATGGAATTTGATTACCTAGATTTTGAAAAAAGAAAACTTTTGGCCAAGTAGTTTTGTAGCATTTTAGTGTACCCAGTATCTCCAACCCCTTTACACACTCAAAGTCTGTTTTCCTTTGGCTAGTTTAGAATAGAGTGAAATAGATGCACTTAGCATTGGTTAGTAACATCTACCCTCACATACCATTCCTGTGTTTCAAGTGGTTCTGTATTTCCTCCATGATTTAAAAAAATAAAATAAAACTAATAAAGGAAGAAAGGAAGAAAGCCATAGTAAATACGTAGTTATTGTTAGCTTAATGTACTTTACATTTTCAAAGCTTGACTCATAGTTTTGATGAGTTTCCTTTCTAAGACTGTTCTTTTAAATCAGATTCCCTCAATTTTGACGCTACGCAAGAACCCTCTAGTCTTGCGTTCTTGGTTCAGAGATCAAAACGTATATAACTACTGTTTATTAAAGTATTGGTTTTCACCCAACACCCCCAATTGAAGAAACTTTCTTTAGTTCCAGAGGGCTATTTTTCTAGTCCTATCTTTGTCTAGGCCTTTGTTGCCTGAGCAGATAAATGGCTGCTGCCGACAGTGCTATAAAAGAATCAGAGCCTGGGGCTCTTGTTATTTTTTAAAATAACAAGTTTAAAAATAACGAGTGAATCTTGTTATTTTTTAAAAATGCCTAGAGAATTATTTCAATTTCATTTTGCAGCTATAAGGTTGGTTATATGTATAGAAAAAGAGATCTTGTAACTCAAAGGATTTGGGATCTTAAACTTTTGTATTTGATTACATTTGAATGCAATTATGGAGGCTTGTAATATAATATTTTCTTTCTACTGGATGAAAATTACAGATATGTAATATGGGTTTAGTTACCTGATTGCACATTAACTCTAATACTTTCAGATAGCCTGCGGCATGGGCAAAAATAAAAAGGCTATGTTGTTTGGCTTGGAACGCAATCAGGTATATCATTGGTTAAATACACCGCCTGTGTCCTACAAAGATGCAGCTTTAATGTAGAAATGGTGCAATACGTATGGTTTGCTTTATATCTTAGAGACCATCTAAATATCCACAATAAGGAAAAAACAACCCATAATACATTTCAGGGTCCCAGTGGTTGTTAGGAAAATTTTGATTTGTGAGAATTTGTAAGTAGTATGTGATTAGATGATATGAAAATCCAGGCCTGTGACCTTTTCAGCTAAATCTTACAAGTTAGAGGATTCCCAGAGAGTGGGAATCCCTTGACTGCATATGGAAAAGAAAAATCCTGTCCCTGAATGGTCCTAAAATCACCTTCAGGACCAAAACTTAGAAACCTTAGAATTTAGGAATCTTAAAAATTTCCATGGTGGAAAAACAGGCTGTAGGAATTATAGTACAAGTTCAAATAATAAAGAAATGATAGTTGAAAAAAAGTACCTGAATGTGGGATTTTTAAAAAATCACTGGTAATTACTACAAACAATTAGGTTAGGTTTTTCAAGAAAGTAAATATTTAAGGGAAAAAGATGTCTCCTGTCTTCCAGGTACTCCAACCTGGGGAGACATACATAGGTCCACAGAAGAGCTAGTAAATAAGGGTGTAACCAAAGGACAAACACTTGACGATGGGAACATGGGCCGTGGATGTCAATTCCTTCTATATTCTAATACATTTTGATTTTACAGAATCTTAGCGGTTTTATAGCTCATTTCCCAAACCATTGTGCAGCAGCCAAACATTGGATTGGTACATTCTTATTTCCACCAATTATGTCGAGCTGAGTTTGAATTGAAGATTGGTTTATGTAAGCAATAGCAAGATTATTTACTGAACTTCAAAATCAGAAGTAAATGTATTCCTCTGCTCTTAAGTCTTTTTTTCCTTGTTTGATATTTGTTATTGTTTATCACCTACCTACAATGACTTGAAACTTATTTCTATGTGGTTTGAGGTTCTGGAGGTTACTTTTTATGAAGAGCATAGCATGGCATCACAGTAGAACCTAGACAATAGCTTGAGTCCTAAAGAAAGAGACGGTGGCATGTTGAATGCTCGGTCAGAATCCAAGAAAGACTCCACGGAACAGGAAGCTCTGGCAGGGAAAAGGCCCCTGTCACTCATTTTTCCTTATTGTCACTTATCTTCATATTCAGTTTTGCCTCTGCATTTTTATAAATACTATCTCACAAAAATATGGTATTAGACATACATATTTATCCTTTCAGCAAAAGACCAAACTTAACCATGTGAGTATAATTTCAATCTAAAAAGTAGGAGTATTTTTGTTTTATGTGAGATCTTAGAGTCCCAACTATAATCTTCATTCTTCTAGCACTTCTCTCCAAGGCCAAACAAGATTAAATGCAAAATCAGAAAACCCACATAGATATTTCCAGAATATCTATATATTTGGTTTGGCTATAACACCTATATTTACAAAAATAATTTATTTAGGAATAATCCTAATATTCCATACTTGTGAATAACACAACAAAATATTTGAGAACATCTGTAAACTAACTTTGAGTTTAAGAAAACTAGCTTAATATTTTACATACAATAATTGAAAATTATTTTTAAGTGGTTTAGCGAATATTGGAAACAAATGAAGCTTTAAATGAAAAAAATTGTCTTCTTAGCTCACTATGAATGTTCATATATTAGCATTTATTCAACCACACATTGTGCCAGAGGAAAACTGAAGAACGCTGAGGCATTTCTCACTATGGATTCAACAAATCTGAGAGCTCCAAAAGAGAAAGACAAGAACTAAACATCCTTTCGTCTAGACATTTACCTCAATATAATTTATACCATCATTAACTTTGCAACTAAGTTGCTGGAGCTGTTTCTTGAGTTATTTGATAGAGAAAGATATATTAAAGCAAATTCACCTTAACTTCTTGCTGACTTATGCACTAAAATTGTGTTTTTATTATATGACAAGAGGACAGCAAGGTCATGGAGCAGCACATGGGTTTCAACTATGAAGTTGCCTGATGTTGCATCTCGACTTCAGGATTGCCTAGTTTGAGGGCAGCTAATAATTGGAGTAACTTGATAGCTCTTGTCATCAACTCAAGCAATAATCAGCCATGTCCCTGATGACAACAAAAGGCAATTAGTCTTCATTTTCAACCAAAAGAATGAGATTGAATGTATTTTCCTGTCTCAACTTTTAATTTCTAAAACTTAATATAAATTTTGTATCATAGTGTGTTTACTTGCAGATAATAGGTTATTTGGGGAGTGAGGGTGGGGAAGGATTCTGAAATCAGGCAGTTCCAAAGCCAATACAGTGACTCGGGCTTTTTCCATTCTTTCCTTTTACCTTTCTTGGCATGTTGGCTGTTTGTCCTTCCTGTAAATTTTCAATTCATGATCACAAGTTTATACTGCCTTTCTAAGTATCCTGGCTACACAATAGGAAGAAATAAAATAGGCAGAAAAAGGGCCAGTTTCCCAGATATTCTCTCATTTATCAAGGCAGTAAATCTTCCCTGATACCCTTAGAGCCCTGCAAAACATTTTATATTTTATTTTAAGAATGGAATCATATGACTACCCCTAGCTTATTCATGGGAAAGAGAATGTGTTTTTTTAATGACTGGTTGAGACCAAACATGATTTACCTACTGAAAACAAGGAGGGGCTTACCTTTCCAGAACACGCTGTTAACAGATCCATATCTAAATAAAAGGGCACTGTTAACAAGGTATGCACATGTGTGGGAGAAGGAATTAGAATGGTTTGACTAAGTCACTAACAGGACCTACCATAGATACCAATTAGGAAATAGAATTCTATGAGATCTTAATATGGAGAATCTTATTAAAAATAAATTAAAATGAAATATACAATTTTTATTCTCCTTGGGTCAGTTTTTTTCTGCCCTAAAGTTTTATTGCATCAAATCTTGTTTACAGGCTGCTTTTGCAAATTTTGACATAATTCATTTGGCAGGAATCTACAATGATATAAAAAGTTCCATGAGAAATTAAAATACCAATAGAGTACCAAAAGAAGTCAAGTTCATTTTATAGTGTTGGATAGATTGTAATTTTAATGTGGGGAAAAGTTGTGGATATATTAATATATTTATCTTACTAGAAATAGCAGCTCCCCAACCTTCTTTTGGCACAATACAGAGTTCTAAGTCACCTCTAAACATTAGCAGCAAAGTGGAAATTTTTCCACTCAATGAGATTGAAAAAAAAAAAACACCTATTAGTCAATTTTTACATATAGAAAGTCAAATTTATCAATAAAATACAAATGAAAATGTCAGTAGTAATAAATACATGTTATGTTTGTTCTTTGGGAGAAGGTTATTTCGAGCTATTAAGGATTCAATTGATTATTGGTTTAACATACATCAATATGTGTTGTAAATATTCTGTAGTAATTCTTGAACCATACATCTGGTAATCTGATTTGGTACTGCAGAATGTCATGCACAGAGAGAGGCTGCATAAAGTTCATTTAAGATCATTAAAGAAAACAAGATATTTGGTGATTAGCTCAGAATTTATCCCTTCAATTTTATTAAAGAGAAATTATCAGATCTTGGAAAAGACTAAATTTACCTTCATGTTTTGCGTGCATATTGCTCTACTTTGTGTTGAGACAGTTTTCAAGGCCAAAGTTTGATTGTTATACCCCCAGTGACAAAGGAGAGAAAATGTGACAGAGCTAAGCAATCCCAGGTTATTCATTCTTTATTTCTTCATTTTGAGTCTAGATTGGCAAAATGTAGTATGTAGTCTTAGGAGAATAATAGTTACAATTAGATTTAATGTATCTCCAGCGTATTTCAATTTAGAATTGGATTTTTTTTAATGTATAAACTGAGTATATCTCTATAAAACAATCACTTAAAATTTATGTTCCAGTTTAAACTAATGTTTTCATTTTTACACGAAATGTTCCATTGCATCTTAATTAAAATATATATTGATTCTGCTTATTGTTAACAATTTTATCTGGCTACGAAGTGTCAAATACCTCAAACATCAGAAAAGTGGTTCAGCAGATGGGAGAAATTCTAACCAGAGAATTTTACTATTTTATAACATAAATGTTATAAAATTTATTGTTAATTTTCATGCTCCTAGAGGGACAGCAAAGATTTGTGTTTGACTGAAAAATAATCTGTAGCTCCCTTCTAGCCTTTGATTGGCTGTGACTTTGCATTCTTACCTTTTTGGTAATTATAATATTGAATCTCAAAGATTGAATCTAAAAGATTTTCCATGCATACATATTCAGTGTACATATATTCACCCAACAAACATCATGTCCATATCACTCTTAAAAGCCAAGCATTGTGGATACAAAAACAAAGTATAGTCCCTGCTCTCATGTTGCTTACAGTTCAATAAGAACCAAAGACATAAGATAAATAATTAGAATGTAGTATAATGTCTGCTGTGATAGAAGTAAATACTCCTGCAGTGGGCCAACACAGCCAAATGAGTCAGAAAGCATTTCAAGGATTGCATTCTTGAAAAGATATTAGACAATAAGCATTAAAATAGTTAAACCATTGGCATGCAAGATGATATTTATCTAGTAATATGGGGCAGTTTATTTCTACTAGAACAAAAGTGAGAGACGTGAGTTTATTGAGTGCCATTTTCTAGGTTTCAGGGCTTATCTCCAAATAAGTACATTGCCAGAGGATTAGACATAGCATTTTCCAGAGACATAGCCATATGTGAGTTCCATATATAAACAAAATCCAAGTTAAAATACCTACAGGAATTTTGCAGCAGACTCACAGAATACATGAGTATTTCAATACAAGTTGATTCAATATGGCATACAGCTGGCCAAGCAGAGGGTTTGGGGTAGGGAAAGAAGAGGAGAGATTAATAACAAAGTGGAATCTGATTTTAAGCAGGTTGAATGTTGCTTTGAATGCAACATACGTGTATATGGCTGGTTTGTGCAATTTTTAAAATGTAACCCGTTCCTGCCAGTAAGAAGTGAATGCATACCTTGTGTTGTGAAAGTAAGTTAACTCTCAAACCATTGATTTCTTACATGCTAGAAGAGATTTACTGGTGTATTGCTGCTGTTTTCAAAATACTACATGTTAGAAACATAAGAAAACTTGACAGTGTGTTCACATATATATTTTTTACAGAATAATGAAGTTATTCAGATTTCTAAAATTAATCTTACTTTTTCATAATATTCATCTTTTGAATCACCCAATTTTTTTCTCCCTCCAACAATTAGATTTCTGTCATGAATTCTGTCTCCATCTCTTCCCCCAATCTTGCTGATACTCTTCTAGTTCCCGTTCTCCCAGTATTTGAGTCCTGTTCACACCTTGAGTTTTGAGGCATCACATTTTCTTCCTGGCCTGGGGTTCCACACTCGAGCAGTGATATCTTTTATCTGAGGATGGGGATTAAGGACTGAAGACAAACTGAGCAGTATGAGTACAGCTCTTATGTGTGATATCCCATTTGCACAAAATAAGGATATGGAAAATGCAATCATAATTGCTACCAGTGATAAAAAGCATCATTTTTAGAATTACTTGGTAATAAACTTAATATGCCTTCTTGTGGAAGAATAACAATGGAATCATTGGCTGAGGTTGGTCTCTGAACTAGTGCTTAGCAAACTGCACTAAATGGAACCTCATACCCTTACAGAGTGAATAATCCTTGAAATGTAGGTAATTTACTTTCTTCTTGCAGCTTATTCTCAAATATTTTGAGAACCAAAATTTTTTCTCATTTATTTATCCGTAATTCTGAATGATATCCTCTGCCCTCCTGTGATGCTCAGTGATCTGACAATGAGCAGGAAAATAAAATTAGGTGTGCTACTGAGATTGCATGCAAGGAAGGACACAAAAGAAAACATAATAGAGCCAGTGCCAGTCACCTATTTAGGCATGGCAGAAAGAATGAGTGAGGGACTTTGCAAAAGTGCTCGGCGGGGAGCATAGGGTATGGTAAACTGAAGAATCCAGGGCAGCTGCAGGCTAGGAAGAAGATGAACAGAGCTGTTTAGGTGAGTTCTCATGTTCCCATATGCCATATCTCTAGAACATGTCAGCAGAGTAAGGACACTTCTTCCCACAAGCAAATGGATAAAATCTATCTGTGTGGCCATTCTGAAACCAAAAGATTTTGTTTCAGCTGGGTAGAGATTATGCTGGTGGCTTTGGCCTCTACATGAATGCAGCAGAATATTCCTCAGTAGCTATCTATTTATTTTATCATTCGCCACACAGTGTATTGCCATTGTATGAGAAAATCATTTCTGGTTAAAATGAATGCTTACAAAGCAGCATTTTATATCTTTTCCCATCTGTGAGGAATTTGTCACATCTTAATATAAAATCCCTTGTTGCCTTAAAGTTTTTAAGACCAAACACATTATCGTTCTAAGGGGATGTTTGTTCTTGTCCATCATCTTTTTTTTTTTTTTACTTTTAAAACCATGTTTATTTATTTTTGTATCAGAATATGCATGACTTTGTTCTGACTTCCTTTTCTTTCTCCCAAGATAGTCTGAAGAATCAGATACTGGATCTCGAGAGGTTACCTCAAACTATTTTAGGAATGCAAGAAGAAAATGTTTGGCTAGCTCTCTTTTGTTGATTTGCCCCAGCAAGTGGGTTTAGTAGTAATTGCACCTTGTAATTCCAACTAGAAGGTCAGTCTTTAGGATTATGGAAGCTTTTATGACCAAATGTATCCTACACCAAGAACATAAACATTCTATAGGTAGGAGTTTGACAGTGCAACATAATTGCAAATTTCTTATCTTTTCCTCATTATAAATGCTTCTCTCCTAATTTTGCTTACCTGCTATACTTATATTCAGTGAAACTTCAGAATGTTACTGTCAAAAGCACTTTCATAAGGTAATATATTTATTCCATACTCTCAGAGGAAAAAGTTTCATATTTTATTTCCAGAATTTCATGTGCTGAGAAATCACAACCTTGGCTATTTTTTTCCATTATGTTCTTGGTGTCTAACAAGAACAGAAGCAAGAGCGTTGGCAAAATTGGCCGCAGTAAAAATGTGGGATCCTTTAATATATGGATTCATCCTGTATATCTAGCCTTCAAATTTATTATTAAACATTTTCCAAAAAGGCCAGGTGTGGTGGCTCACGCCTGTAATCGCAGCACTTTGGGAAGCCGAGGCAGGCAGATCACCTGAGGCCAGGAGGTCGAGACCACCCTGGCCAACATGGTGAAACCGCGTCTCTACTAAAAATACAAAAATTAGCCAGGCGTGGTGGCATGCACCTGTAATCCCAGCTACTTGGGACGCTGAGGCAGGAAGGTAACTTGAACCCGGGAGTCAGGGGTTGCAATGAACTGAGATTGTGTCACTGCACTCCAGCCTGGGCGACAGAGTGAGACTCCATCTCAAAACAAAAAAGAAAACAAACAAAAAACATTATCAAAAGAAAAGTTATAATCAAAAAGTATTTTTAAGCCATTCAGAAATATTTAAAATGTATTTAAAATTATGGAACCAATATATTTTATATTGAGAAAGATGCACTTAGCCCACCCTGCCACACAAGACAGAAGCTCCTTATATATTGAGCAGATTGAACATATGCTTAAAAGACCTGTGTCTATAAAGACAGCTCATTCCAGGTTGGATGACAGCTGATTATATAAAGGTTTTCACCAAAGGAACCAGAGCAGTTTCCCTGTAGTTTTACTTGTGGGTTCTGGCGCCCCTTTAAAAATAATGTGAAGCGGCCAGGCGTGGTGGCTCACGCCTGTAATCCCAGCACTTTGGGAGTCCGAGGCGGGCGGATCATGAGGTCAGGATATCGAGACCATCCTGGCTAACATGGTGAAACCCCGTCTCTACTAAAAAAAAAAAAAAATAGCCAGGCGTGGTGGTGGGCACCTGTAGTCCCAGCTACTCGGGAGGCTGAGGCAGGAGGATGGCGTGAACCCAGGAGGCGGAGCTTGCAGTGAGCCGAGATTGCGCCACTGCACTGCAGCCTGGGCAACAGAGCAAGACTCCATCTCAAAAACATAATAATAGTAATAGTAGTAATAATAATAATAATATGAAGCAAACTGTATGCTATCCTTTTCATAAGCTGTACCAGGATAGAAGCATCTGAATCTGTAAATTACTTTTTTATATGGCTTGTAGGTATCTAAACATTTATTTCTTATGTTGCACTCTAATGTATAAATATTCTTCATAAGATAGAATGCTCATAATTAAACATTTGCTAGGGGTTTCTGGGAATGTTTATCATTCTAATATGTAGTATTCCACTTGATAAAGCCAATTATTGCACACACTAAGTGGTAGGGCAGTAGCTTATCAGAACTACGTTGGTATAGAATGCTTTATAGCTACAATGTGAATTTTCTTTAAAATCAAAATCTTCTCATGTTAAAAAATATACTCTGCAATCAATCTTTTCTACTTCTAGAAACGTAACTAAGGAAATGATCTGAAGTATCAAAATATTATGCACAAAATATATATCTAATTTTAATATTAAGCACAAAAATATAGGGATATAAACTGTTTATTATTAAAAATAGAAAATGTTGAAATAAATCAAATCATGGAATGAAAATTTATACTACAGGTATTATGAACCATAAGAATAATTATGTAATATAAAAATTGTTATAATATAATATTTATGATATATACGTACATATATACACATACATACATATATATTTGATGAACACATACACTCTCTATTCATTCCAAACATACTGGAAAAAATTCCAAAGTTATAGTTATCTTTGTATGGTATACGATTTCATTTTTTCTTCCTTTTGTTTTTAGGCATTTTTCAAATTGCTACAATTAGCAGATGTTACTTAGAAAAACAAAATATCTCCAGTAAATTTTCATTTTTCACAATTGGATTTTTCTACATGGAATACAACTTCTTTAATATGCTTTTTGAACAATTTTATATTTTTCTTTTGTCGAACCACTAGAAAGTTTTTGGTTTCACTGCTGAATTTTTGAGGTTAATATAATAGAAGTGTGACAGCTGTACCCTCAGACAGACTTGCCCTAGCATCTCTCAGATGCAGAATCTCTTCATGACAGGAAGTGGACCTGTTTGAGCTTGCGTGGTATCTCTTAAAATTCATGTGTTCTTTCACTTTATTTTTATTTCTTGATGGAGCAAAGGAGATATGAGAGAGAGATTGATGGAGACAGGGAGAGAGAGACTGATGGAGGCAGGGAGAGAGAGATTGGGGGAAAGGCAGGAGATGGACTGAAGTAGAAAGGACAAAGAAAGAGCTGATTGCAACAGCTGCTTTGCTTATCTGAAAGTTTTAACTTGACTCTTGTTCACATCCCAGGTGACCAGCTAATAAAAATAATTTAAGCTTTAACAAAACAAGGATAATTTATACTGTGGAAACTGTAGTCTGGCACTTGTATCAGCACTAGAAACAAGATTTCTGAAAATTCCTTAGGGGAATGGAACTAGCAGGGACATAGAATTTAATAACAGCTTTCTTTTCACCCAGCCACCTCATCTCACCTCCCACCCTCTGCTGCCAACTCAACATCAACATCATCATCTTGAAGCAAATTTATACAGTTTTCCGTTTCATTGTTGGATTCTCCATGTTATTTTTAAAGCAATTCTAAAATCATTTCTTCTATACATGAAAATATTTTAAAAATTCAAACCTGAATGGTTTTCAATAAAATTATTGCTACCACAAATCTACAAGTATTCAAGAGACCTTGTTTAAGCAGAACTAATTCAATTTTTAAACTAGAATATGTATTGCATATTTTATAAAATTATACTTTTCTTGGAAAAAAGGTTAAATGTCTCACAAAAAGGGAAGATTTTATTATTTTTTCATCCCTGTTGAATTAGAGTGAAATTAATTTGCTAAATGAAAAGCTACTGTCATCTAACATATTTTACAAAATGAACATACACATGGAGATTAATCAAAAAAAGCACGGCACCAGCTTCATAACAGTGTCATGCTTAAAATGAACTTACATTTTTATTCCGCCTTGAGGATACACAGATTGTTTTGTTTTAATGGCTTCCAGCCATCTCTATTATATAGCATAAATCCTCAAAGGGGGAAAGCAGATTTTAATCCTCAAAACAACATGTATAGGGAAAGAGTTTAAAAGTGCTGATTAAGCAAATGTTGTTGGTTTAGTCTATCTATTTCACATTTGTGTTTAAGTCATTGTGGAACAAATATTTAACTATTGGAGTAATTGTCTGGACATTATTTCAAACTTGGGTGAATCTTGGGCATCTCTAAGGTTGCATTTTAAATGACAGTCATCACCGGTTTAAAGGAATTCCTTGGCAGAATTGCTAAGCGAGAAATGAACTCTGGTATTGGAAGGCTATAAGTTCAACATATTATTAAAAACTCAGAATCAGATAAAAGTTCTTGGAGGCATATGAGCTTCCGTTGGTAGGCAACTTGTCTTTCTCTGCATTCCCAACTGCTGAATTTAGAGTGAGAGACAGAAGGTGAAGCCATGTTTTGTCACATAGCTACTGTGTGACCTTCATTAAGTCAATTTATCTTTCTGATCCTCTATTTCTTTATTAGTAAAATGGAAGTTATAATAATTGTGTTGTCTAATTCATGAGGCTGGTCTAATATTAAATGAAAATAATTCATAGAAAATCATTTTATAGCAGCAAACAATAGAGAAAAATTCATTCACTATATAAAAGGTGAATAAATGTGCATTTGTGCAGTATATTTTATGGATACTTGATAAGGAAGAAGAAAGTTGGAATTCTGATTTGGAGTTACAATATCTGGGTTCGAATTCAAGCATTGAAAATAACTAGTTCTGTTATGAGGAGCATGTCAATTCATGAATTTAAGCTTCCATTTTTCTATAGTGAAGTTAATAGTAATACTTGCCTATTAGGTTATCTGGAGATCCAATGACCTCACATATATAAAAACATTGTATAATCTTACCGTTATTGTCATTTTGTTTCAAAAATTCACTTTTCATGGTAAAAGACTAAGATAATTTCTATCCCAACGTGGACCTCAGGAAAATAGATTTGGCTTCATACCTTCCCTCTTTTAAGTTTAAATTACACCTCCTTGCAAATTAATTTCCTTTGGAAGCTATAAATTTTCATCCAGAATTTCGCATTTTGTTTAATCTTCTTCTCTATATGTGGTGGCAGAATAGTTTTAGATTATTTTATTTATTTAATTCCCAAAAATAACTTAAGAAAATACAGTAACTAACAAAATTATGTTAATGGACTAAAGAATTGGCAGAGCAGAAGAATCTGTGAGAACATTGTGTGTCTCCTGGGATCCTATCCCCAAAACAGCTTGATCCAAGAGAAAGAGGCCTGGATGGAGGTAGGGGGCTGAGGTCAACTGGATTCTAGCTTTGAATTTTATGTGAAGCCTCTGAGAATTTTTTTTTTTTTTTTTTTTTTTTTAGATGAAGTTTCGCTCTTCTTGCCCAGGCTGGAGTGCAATGGCACAATCTCAGCTCACTGCAACCTCTGCCTCCTGGGTTCAAGCGATTCTCCTGCCTCAGCCCCCTGAGTAGCTGGGATTACAGGTATGCACCACCACACTCAGCTAATTTTGTATCTTTAGTAGACAGGGTTTCTCCATGTTGGTCACTCTGGTCTCGAACACCCAACGTCAGGTGATCTGCCCACCTCAAACTCAAAGTGTTGGGATTACAGGCATGAGCCACCGCTCACCTGGCGACTTTTTTTTTTTTTCCTATTTGTAAACCATGAGAATTAGAGTAAATGGCACATAAGACTTGTCTTGCTTGATGCTTGAACATTTTCTCTAGTTCTTAAAGTCTAAGCAATTTGTGGATGCTTAAGGGTAGAAGGGCTCTGATCATTACCTGTTGGTCAGTACAATTCAGCCAGAAGCCAGAGCTATTTGATTAGGAGTTAAAAGTGTTGTAGCTACTGTTTGATCATGTTTTGGTTTTGACCTTAGATAATTTACTGTTCATTTCTGCTTAGAAACGTACAGTTATTTAATAGTACCCTCATGCTAAGGAAAAGCTCATGTAGATTTCAAGGAAACTCTTCTTAGTCCTAGACAGTAACTTATGTTCTGGAAGAATGTGGTTCCGTAAGTATGAATTAGTGAAGATAAAATAGGGGTCCTCAACTTTATACCTTTTACAATGGGAAAGATTTATTTTATGGTATTTGTCTATCATAAATTATTATTATTATTATTGTTATTATTATTATTATTAGAGATGGAGTTTCACTCTTGTTGCCCAGGCTGGAGTGCAATGGCACGATTTCAGCTCACTGAAACTTCTGCCTCCCAGGTTCCAGCGATTCTTCTGCCTCAGTCTCCTGAGTAGCTGGAATTACAGGCTCCCACCACTACACCTGGCTATTTTTTTAGATTTTTAGTAGAGACGGGATTTCACTATGTTGGGCAGGCTGGTCTCGAACTCCTGACCTCATGGTCCACCTGCCTCGGCCTCCCACAGTGCTGGGATTACAGGGGTATCATAAATTATTTCGAATCTTTGAGAGCAAAATATATATGTGCCAATGTATCGAAGTTAGCGATTACTTAAAAATGTGACTGCAGGTATTCAAGAATTAAAGTTAGCAAATAACTTCTATTTCCTCTGTCATTATAAAAGGAATAGAATGCTGGATGTTTGTCGTTTTAATACCCCAAATCTTAAGTCACTTAAATCTGCCACAAATATTTTAAAATAAAATCAAAGGCAAGTTCTGTAAAATGAGCAAACATTTCTATATTTTGTAATTTATATACAAATATAAATACAGCTTATCTTAAAAATTTAAACTTTAACTCAATATCTTTTATTTTATTTATTCTGAAGCTAGTTGATGTCATCTTTAGAGATAACATGAGTTGAGCTGTAATTTTCCAAATAAATTTCAAATAATTTAGCATTTTAATCCATATATATGGAGTGTATTGTTTATGTAATATTCAACATTCAAACTCCCAGACTTTTTACTGAGAGTTGGATTATCTCATATGTAACACTATGCTATTATTTCACTTTTTGCATAGTACACAGGAAAAGACAATGATGTCCTTAGTTGCCTAATTCAGATAAACATTTCAAGTTTCTTAACTATGTATCTAATATGAGACCAAAATACTGGGTTGATACTTATGTATTAAATTTCACATCCTTGCTTCTTTTGGAAAATGTGTGTCATAGTATGGCATAGAAAAGTATTGGTCGGATGTCATGGTGAATGAATGTAGAATAGATCGTACTCTTCTGACTCTAATCCTTTTCTTAAGTTAGAAATTTAGGATAAAACCATGTTTGAGGCATGATTTAGAACATAGATATTAATCATCATGTAAGTTTCTCTTACCTATTAGTAACATCTACTCTTGTCTAAACATGTTTTACATTTGAAAATCTGATGATCTTAAATTCTTATAAATGGATAAAGAGATTTCTCAGTGCTTAAAAATATTTTGTATATTTAAATTTTTTATGTATTAAAATTATTTCAGTATGCTTTTAGAATTGCTCTCATTTACCAGATAAGAAGAAAAATAATTCTATCAACTTGGACAATCTCTCAATGTTGTTCTAATCTGCTACTTTCTAATTAGCTTCAGTCTTTGTGTCCAGGAAAGTGTGAGGCCCAGGGGGGAAAAATTCCCAAAGAATCTTGGAGAGTAAGCTGAGCTTTCTCCACCAAATAGTAAGTGTCTATACATTAAAATAATAATAATGATCCATTAGCCACTGTTCAATAAAGTTTCTGGAAAATAGTATCATGAAAAAGATTGCCTTATGTTGGGTTCCTCATAAATACTGAAAAAAATAAGAATTAAAACTTTATCAACTTAAGCAGTTATTTTTTGTGGAGTTTCTCCTTGATATGAATAATACTAGACACACACAAATGCATGCACACACACACATACATATACAGGTCTCTGGGCAAATACATTTGGCGGCAGAGACTTGAAAATTAAAGGATAGCCAGGTACAGCGGCTTATCCTGTAATCCCAGATACTCACGAGGCCGAGGCTTGATGATTCCTGGAGACCAGGAATTTGAAATCAGCCTGAGAAGCATAGCAAACCCCTTCTCTAAAAATATAAAATAAAATTATGTGGGCATGGTAGCACATGCTTGTAGTCCCAGCTACTCTGGAGGCTGAGGTGAGAGGCTATAGTGAGCTGCGATTGCGCTATTGCACTCCAGACAGGGTGACAGAGTGAGAACCTGTCTTGGAAAAAAAAGAGAGAAAGAAAGAAAGAGAAGAAAGAAAGAAAGCGAAGAGAAGAAAGAAAGAAAGAAAGAAAGAAAGAAAGAAAGAAAGAAAGAAAGAAAGGAAAGAAAGAAAGAGAAAGAAAGAAAGAAAGAAAGAAAGAAAGAAAGAAAGAAAGAAAGGAAAGAAAAGAAAAGAAAAAAGAAAGGAAAGGAAGGAAGGGGAAAGAAGGAAGGACGAAGGAGAAGGAAGGAAGGATGGAAGGAAAGAAAAAGAAGGAAGGAAGGAAGGAGAAAGAAGGAAGGAAGAGGGGGAAGGAAGGAAGGATGGAAGGAAGGAAAGAAAGAAAGAAGGAAGGAAGGAAAGAGAAAGAAAGAGAAGGAAGGAAGAAAGGGGAAAGAAGGAAGGAAGGATGGAAGGAAAGAGAAAGAAAGAAGGAAGGAAGAAGGGGAAGGAAGAAAGGAAGGGTGGAAGGAAAGAAAGAGAAGGAAGGAAAGAAAGAAAGAGAAAGAAAAAGAAAAGGAAGGAAGGGGAAAGAAGGAAGGAAGGAAGAAGGGGAAGGAAGGAAGGATGGAAGGAAAGAAAGAGGAAGGAAGGAAGGAAAGAAAGAAAGAGAAAGAAAGAAAGAAAAAGAAAATTAAAGAATAAAACCTAATTCCCAATGTGTTAACATTGGTTATAAACTCACTGAGATATAATAATAGTATTGCTGTCCAAGATTAATATCTTTATCCTGGCTTAATTGTCTTTAATTTCACTATAATAAAAGTTCTTGATTGTAACCAGGCCCACACAAATCATCTCCCAAGAGGTTTTCTGACAAAATAAAGGAAATACTTTTTGTAAGTGACCCTCATGCTCCAACAGGCCTTCTACAAGGAAGGGCAAATAGAAAGAGTGTTTTATCTTGGTGTTACACATAATGCATCTATGTCAAGACCCATGAATACATTTCAAATCTTTGCCTTTCTAGGTGTTTTATGCTGTTACATGGTCTAGAACATAATACATGTTCAGGTATTATGGGAAATGAATATGCAATAAGTCATATACTGTTCCCTCTGACACCCTTAACCTCTTGATAATTAAGATATTAAAAAAATGTTTTGAGCATGGTTAAATCAAATTCTTTATAATTTTTGAAACTGATGATTCATTACGTTAAACTGCCTCAGTGGAATAAGGAGGTTTTTTGGGTTTTTTTTACTATAATCTTCTTCAGATTACTTAATGGTATCATTTTTAAAAAATAGAACAGCATTTCCTTTAGAAAATTTATACTAAGCTTAATAATACAAGAATTAATCAGATAAACTCTTTAAGATAGTATTAAAATCATTGTGAATACAACTAAATCCATGTCAGTTGCATAATATTTATTTAATTCTAATTGAACAGGGGCTAAATATTAATTATCCCTCACTGAATTCCATTGCAGTCAATTACATTCTTCAGTTCCAGTATGATTTATTCAACTTGTCTTTATATTTGACTCTTTAATGCAGATTTAGTTCCATATTTGGTATAATAGTAATCTTGTTACTGATTTTATTTAGCCTCAGGTAATTCATCTATCAATTGATGGCTATCAAATACTACTCTCCTCTGTCCAGGGACTGGAGCTTGGTTGGGTCAGCCTAGACTCTTTGGGCTAATGCAACTAGAAGAGAGGTTTGCTCAGATCTTCTCTGAAGAGAAGATTCATATTCTCTCTCTCTCTCTCTCTCTCTCTCTCTCTCTCTCTTACTCTCTCCTTCTGTCTCCCTTGCAAGGTGTAAACAAAGAGACATATTCTCCCAGCGCCCATGGGCAGCCATACTGTCATGCTGAGGAAATCAAAACTGTAAAGCTTAGACAGCAAGTTTAATATTGTTGGAAATAAAAGCCATATAAAACAAATGGTTAATACAATGCTATAAGAAATAAGAGAAGAAATATTTAAGCATGTTTGTAATTAGTTATGCAGAAATTTTGCTTAGACGAAGGTTTGAATTGTTTTCTGAAAAATACATGTAGTTTGAATAATAGATGAAAGGAAAGCAAAGCAAATCCTATGAGAGTGGGAGATGAAAGAGAAATGCAAAATACAGGATAGGATAAGGATGATGAGTTTGAGGAATGCTAAGGAAACTGGCTTGGTCCAAACCATGCCTTTGTGTTGAAGAATTTAGATTTGTAGAGGGAGTGAAATAATGATAGATTTCTGAATTTCTAGACTTTATACTTAGTGTATATCAACTCAACTGCTAATCTTTCTGTTGTTGCAACTGGAGTGGGGTAGGTAGAAGGGGAGTGTATGTCAATTATGCTGACTGTATCACAGCCTTGGAGAAATCATCTCTCCTGCAGCTGACAGAGTTCTGGTTGGGCTATAATCATTGAAACCTGCCAACAGTCATAGGGGAGAGGATATCATTGAGGCTAGGCCAGTTATTGTTCTACATTATTTCAGACAAAATCATAGTTTCAATGAAGGAATATAGTTCAAACAGAGAGAAGCCAAGTCCTTTACAGGGATTAATACATAGTCACTGGAAGAAAGAACTGCTCTTCCTAGAAAAATAAAGGTCTGGCTCTGCCAGGGTCCTTTTCATCTTCTATGTGGAGATTCCAGCCCCCAGAGTGAAGCCAGGCAAAGCACGGAGAGCAGGGAGATAGAGAAAGGGAAAAAACCCTTGTGGCCACATTTGAGCTCCTGGTTCCCACAATGCCTGCAGGCAGCAAATTCTACTTTGACTTCCTAGTTACATGAAACAGTATATTCCCTTTCAGTCAAAGCTAATCTGACTTGGGAATCTGTCACTTACAACTGACAGCATTTTGATAAGTACCATATTCCACCACTGGCGAGAGGACTGCAATATCAACAGATGCACAACCACCAATCACACACTGATCATCACCAGACATGACTTTTATTTTTATTTACATATTATTATTGCTCCACACATCTGAATATAGGTTCTAGGTGGTTTGATAAACATTAGCTAGTTTAAGGTAATCAATTACATGTCACTTGAAATGCCTTTGATATGATGGAATAAAAATAAAGGAAATGAACTAAACATGGGTAAGGCAGGAACTCTTCATTTAACCAATCTAATAAATGAACACAGGACAAAGTGGCATATTTACATAATCGCCTTTAGTCTTCACATTGCCATGAGAAAGACTGTATTTTTAATGAAGCTTTAGGTGCTAGAATATGAAAATTGCTTTTAAAAAACAAAGATATGCCAGAAACACTGAAATTAGCCCTGTGGGTCATTATATTAAATCAAATTCTATCTCCTCACTTCTTGGCTCAGTTTCCACACTATCAACACTCCACTTCATTTCAACAAGCCCACTGAAACCATCAGTGGAAAACATCCTCCTGTTCAGCTATTTGATATCAAATAAACAAAATGATTGTTGATGAAACAAATTTTTCTCTTGAGTAGCTAGTTGTGTCACTAACCTTATAGCCAAATAATAGATGGGGCAATTTCCAATATAATAAAAAATACACAAAACTTCCAAATAGCAGGTTGAACATCTTAGAAATGGAATTTGGACTCAGAGCTGGGCTTCAGGTGCTTTGTGTATAATGTGTATGTTTGAGGAATGGTGTTTGTGAGAACAAATTTTAACCTCTATACTTCTTACTGATGTACAAACATGCACTAGATAGTCGAAGAAACACTTAAATCCGAGCTAGAAAAGAACTTCCTTGTTGCTAATGTACAATTAAAGGACTCAGTCCCAGTGTTGTAACTACAATGCAATTTGATACCAAGTGTGGAAAGATCTGCTTTGGGGGATGGGGGCTTGAGGGCTGCCAGGGGACTTGCTCTTTTGGCAGTGATTAACAGTTTGGTAATGAGGGTCTGTGGTGTAGGGGTGAGAATCCAAACACTGTGTCAAATGGTTAGCTGCTCTTTTAATGACCCCAAGTGCATGGCAGTCTGAGAGAAAGAGAGAGAGAGAGAGGAGAGAGAGAGAAAGAGAGTGAGAGTGTGTGTGTGTGAGAGAGAGAGAGAGACTATGAACATGACACAAGATTCACACTTTTACCTTTATACAAAGACAAACTATTGTTCTCTATTGTGGGCTGCCCACTACTCCACCTACTCTATTCCCCCCAGAAGAAATCATGGTATTATTATCTATTTGACTATAAGAACAAAATAATACAAATAAATTTTTAAAAAATGAAGACATTTGGGAGTGTAAGTCCATAAGTTGTTGAATCTGTTAAGGAAAAAATCTTTTTAGGTTAAAAAAAAATGTAACTTGAAAAAGAAATTCCTTATTTCTTAAGCTAAAAATGAAACTAAAAATAGCTTTACAGGAGATTCAACTGTCGTGTGAATCATCTCATTTATGTGTCAATTTTATGCCTTAAAAACTGATAACTCAGTTTTGTGTAAAAAATGTGATGCCCAAAAGAAACTAGCTCCTTGAGAAAATCAGAAGGGGGAAAAGTGAACTCTAGGCTGCGGTGTGTTTATATTTACTGGCTTGAGATCAACCTGTTATGAGATGTCTTGGAAATTGTGTCCATAATGGCTAGGTTTTTGTTTTTTTTTTTTTCTTAGCTACACATCCAGGGTTATGTTGTTCATAAGGAGACAGAAATACCCGGGCATGAATTCCACATATGTCAATTAGTGGTGACCTTGGGAAATTACTTAATCTTGGTTCCAGTAATAATATTATAATAATGCCTTCCTCTTACATTTACTGTAAAGATTGAATGAGATAACACATACAAAATCTGATACATAAGAAATCACGAATAGGTATCAATACTGTTTCTTTCTCCATTTTTGCCTTATTCAACTTAGTATAGCTTTATAATTATTATCAATTCAGTTAATTTTGAGGCAAAAATCTATGCTTGCCAAAATATATTATCCCTTCATACGATGGTGCACAGTTTAATCACTAATGTATTTCAGTGTTTTTAAATTTTAATTAAACAATGAACATGTAAGTTAATTTCAGCCTCAGCAATAACAACAACACAAAGAAAAAATAATTTGAGGGCTAAACATCTCAGTCATCAAGTTTCTTTTGTTAAAACGTCTGTTTGTAAATGAAGTTTAGTGTAAATTATAACTTAACATAAAAGTTTAATGAATAAAGTACAAGCCTCACACATGGCTCTCTAAACTCCAGAAAATGTCCAAAGTGGATTTTGGCTAACATCATCTGGACAGTTGCCTAGGTAAAACAAAGCCAAAGCAAAGAAACGGCTGGGCCAAAGGAAGCCTGAATATATAAACATGAAACTACTGAACTCGGAGGAAATAAGTAAATGAGTCAAATACTGATCCAGGAGCTCTCTGTCCATTTTTTTATCATGAAGATATTTTACTGCCTTAATCAGGCATCTGCTTTTTATGTTTTTCAGAAAGACTAAAGGCATGAAGAAGGTAAAGCAAGCACATGTATGTTCAAACATTGACCCCTTTTCCTCCTATCAAACATTATTCTATGGATTAATTAAACCTTATTACATTACATATAAATTAGACTATCTTTTAGGGAGGAGTAAACAAATCTCATATTGACAAGTTTAAATTTTATTTTGTAGTAAATAGAGGGTTTTTTTTGGTTTGTTTAAGTGGTCTAACTTAAAAATGATTCATTATTTTAACTGGGCACATGATTGTATCTATTTCTGGGGTACAATTTGACATTTCCATACATACATGTGTTGTGAGGTTAGTGTATCCATCATCTCATGCATTTAGATTTCTTTGTGATGAGAATATTCAAAGCCTCCCTTCTAGCTATTTTTAATATACCATCTTTTACTGTTAACCATTGTCAATATACTCTGCAACAGATTACCAGGACTTACTCTTCCTATCTAACTGTAACTTTGTCCTCATAAGCCAACTCTCCCCATCTTTCTCCTGCCCTACCCCTCCCCAGTCTCTAGTAACCACTGTTCTACTCTCTCTGCTTCTGCTTCTTTGATGTCAACTTCTTTGCTTTAAGATTCCACATAGGAGTGAGAACATGGCATATTTGTTTCTGTGCCTGTCTTATTTCACTTAACATGATGTCCCTAGGTTCATCCATGTTGTCACAAATGACAGGACGTCACTCATTTTTATGGCTAAATACTATTCCATTGTGTAGATATATCACATTTTCTTTATCCATTCATCTATTGTTTGACACTTAGGTTGACTCCATATCTTGGCTACAGTGAATAGTGCTGTAATCCACATGACAGGAGAGGTCTCTTCTATATACCAATTTACTTTCATAATGGCTGTACTAATTTAAAATTCCACCAACAGTGTACAAAGGTTCCCTTTTCTCCACATTCTTGCCAAAACTTGTTTTCTTTTATCTCTTTTATAATAACCATTCTAGCTGAAGTGGTATCTCTTGTGGTTTTGATTTGCATTTCTCTGATGATTATAGTAAGTAGTTTTTTGTTTGCTCTCTAATCTGATGTTTTAAATATCAGGTCCACAGAACCCTCTTCATCTGTGCATAGAATTCAGGAGATCCATGATGGGAACAAAAATACGTTTTTGTTGTTATTGTCCTGTAACTGAAATTTACTGTTTTCTTGAATTACAAATATGATGTATCACAGATACTTTATAGCATATTATTTTTGTTGCTTATGTCTTGAAATATCTCTTGTTGTAGTCACTACGTTGAAGTTATGGTAGTTATTAGATTGTCAGTGCCTACACAGCAAAAATAAGGATGAGGACCCCTGCAGGAAGGCTGCACATTTGTATCTGCTATGATTCAGGGACTCTGTGTAAAGTTAGCGGATGTATCAGGAAAATAAGACATAGGAGTTTCTCTTCCTTCCCCAGCATATTCTATAATCTATAAACATTTACTAATTCATTCATATTGTCCTCTATATGACAATGTATCTCAGTAACAAAATAAAGATCATGGGGCTAGCAGCTGCTTTTTCACTAAAGTCCCTCACAACTTCTCAAGCAATCTTAGCACAGGGTTTGATTATAGAGTAGTGGCAATAGTTTCCCTGGGCATAACTGCAACTGGTTCTGTTTCTTTAAAACTTTTCCTTTACATGCAGTGCCCTTCAGCTTGTCAATCAAAATTTGGAAAATGAGAATGTAGAAATTAGGCTGTTGTGTCAAACCTTAGTTGTCTTCATGATATCCCAGAGTTGAATAAATGAGGCATTTTTTAAGGCTAAATTTGTCAAATAGATAATATTGCATAAACGGATTATTTTTTGGAGAATATATACTGAACAAGATGTTATCTCTTAAAAATTAAAGTGGTCACCTTTCATATTAGAGAAACACTGATCCCCCCATCATTCAATAACTACTGAGTTAAGTGTGTTAAAACTTTAATCAGGAAAATGGTATACAGAGAGTTTATTTTGTAGTGCCAATAAATATATTTTCAAGTCCAACCCTTAACCAATTATAAGCTCAAATACCCATTAAATGTCCCTTTACTTATCATATTGTGGGTAATTTAAATGTTTTCAGAATTTTAGCATTGGAAAGAAGCAGCATTTTTGTCAGATAACTTCTTCGTAAAGTTTCCGTTTTAGTTCGGGTTGGTTGTTAATTGTGGAGTAAAGAGAAGTGACAGAATCTCAACATTGTCTTTATTTCCAAATATAGTAAGTTGCAAATCACTGAACTACTCATCTGTAGTGAGAAGGTTGACTCCAGTAAGCCTTATTAAAAACTCCAAAATTATATTATTTTATGACATTCAAAATAAAGATACACAAACATCTTTGTTAGAAAGTTCCATTCCCACACAGTGTTCTGATTTTTAAAAAAGATCAAAAGCAACTAAAATAGAAATTTATTTTTCAATCTTGTATAGAATACTCAGTCTTATTGAATGTCATATGACACCTTTCTTATGTCCTGGAGGGGGGTGGGGGGTGGCTGTCAGGGAAGGGATTTTCCCCTTGGAGGAAAGCTTTTCTTCATAAAAGACTGACAGGCAGTGCGGTAAAACTAATGCTATTGCTGGTCCTCCTCCTGAGACCAGTTTAGCCACGCTTTTTTTTTTTTTTCTATGAGGACCTTCGGGATTGGCCTTGGAAGCATTTTTGTTTCCTCCATTAAATGTGGAGAAAAAAATGTGGTGGAAAACACTGCTGGAATTCACATTTCTAATGCAACCCACCTAATAATATAACTTTGTATAAACAATTTTTTCCTATTTGTTCTGAGTCAATACTCTATAAAATAGAGACACATTATCAGTTAGCTAGCTCCAGGAATAAAATAGACAAGCTAAAAACAGTATTCATTTGAGCAAATGTATAACATTGAATTACTATGATGCAGCCTTTTAGGTAGTAACTTGTTGGAGTCTCTAATCCCCAAAATACTGAGTACCACAAATTGTATTTGTAGTAATATTTAGCAAATTAGGAAATCAAAGAAATGTCTTAGCTTTTTGCTTCTGCTTAGCACATCATTGTGGATATTATCTATGAAGAAAACAAACACACATAAAAAACTTACTTATGATAAAGTATATTCATAGGAACAATACACTAGGATGCATTTTCAAAAGCACTGTTTTTAGGACATAGGGATTGTGATGTCTTGAAAAAAAATCAAGTATCATTATGAAAACAGAGTATCATGAAATATCATGTGCCTTTAATAACTTCCTTATGCTGTGAAGTCATGCAACAACTCATTTATTATTTCATTCATGAGCGCTTGCCATGTGCTCTAGGCACTGGGATGAGGAGATGAACAAGATAGACAAAAGTCTCTGCCTTCATAGACTTTTTATTGTACTAGGAAGTGACAAGGATACCTTTATAAATATTCAGAATAATGACAGGTGATGATAAATGCAATGAAAAAAAGGTAAAGCATCCCAAAGGGTAGAGATTGAGCACATGTGCAGAGGAATGGAGGAAGAAGTGGACCTGGGTGGTGGAAGAGGGAACATTTGAGCAGAGAGAAGAACAAAGTGAGGGAGGGAGCCATGGGGAAAACAGGACATGAGGAAAAGGGGAATTCCAGCAAGAGGCATGAGAACATGCAGAGGTCCTGAGGTCTGTTCAAATAAGAGGCCAATGTGTTTGGAAAAGAGCTGGTTGAGTGAGTAGAGGAGCGTGGTAAGAAATAAGCCTGAAAAAAGGAGGGAATGGGAGGCTATGGAGAGCCTTCAGGCCATCTTAAATAGTTCATATTTTCCTCTATCGCTTATATTTTCAAACAGAAGTTATATGTCTGTAATTTATACTATGTTTAGGAAAAGCAATATAATGTAGCCAGCAGCATTTTTATAATCACTGAAATATTTCATAATTAAAGATCTATGATACAGCAATAGAATCAATCACTGAAATATTTCATAATTATATTAAAGATCTATGGTATAGCAATGGATTGAGACACTTTTATCATTCATCTTTTATTTCTGTTTCGTTTTCTTTACGGTCCATGATGCTTTCATGAAATAGAGTGTATTACTCTTTTATATTACAAGTGATAGCAAAGTATTGGTAGTATTTACCAATATTACAAAAGACTATGTTGAAAAGTGGCTTTATAATTATTGTAAAAATTCCAAAATTTGCCTACCTTAAATAATCTTGGAAATGTCATTGTGTAGGTAAAAAGTAAATGAAGTCAGGATATCAAATAGTAAAAAGACTTGATTTTGTTAGCTTTTCAGATCTCTTCTGACTACCCGGTATGTGCCAGACATGGTGTTAAATTTTGCAGGTTTGAATCAATTAAGATATTGTTCTTTGTTTTAAAGTACTCATAATCCATGAAAAGAATTGTAGTGGGATACATTGAATTTCAACCCTAAAATGGGATACATTTCATAAAAGTGTGCACAGAATAATAAAGTTGCCTTCCTACTCTTGTTCTGAATAATTTAAATCATCTTGCCTAACAGAACAGATGAGAGAGATGCCCTAGTCTGGCCAAGTAGCAGAAAGCAGTAGTGAGGAGCACCAGCACAAGGATGTCCAAGATGTGTTAGAGAAGCTCTCTGGTTTCAATACAGGACAATGTACAGTCAAAGAGATAGTGTGATATTATGGAAACACACAATTTTCAGAGCCATACATACATACAGGCATACAGGGAGACATACAGCTTTCTCTCAAAGAAGCATCTGAATTTGAGTATATTGAACTTTTTGACCCCTGTGTAAGATGGAGATAACAATAAATTTTTGCAAGGGTGTTTTGAGGTGTAAATCAATTCACATAGTTCACTGCACTTGCCATAGAGTAGGTTAGCTCCCCATCTGGCTGAACAATAAAAATAAACTTTCTTCTGTGGCGCAGGACTTATTTAACAGTGGACAGCTCTGTAGCTGTTCTCAATGTCACAAAATTGCAGTGAATACTAGACCTTGAGTATATAACTTACCTACCCCATAAAGGTGTTGGGAAGATGAATATTTGTAAGGTACGTTAATTACTCACGGGTCAAAAGCGCTTGTGAGTGCAAAGTCCCCTTCATAGGCATTATCACCAGCAGGTTCCACTGCTTTCCCTCAGAAACACTGTGAGAGAGAAAAGATGCCTTTTAGGAAAGCAAATTTTCTTATGTTTTCCTTCTGCCACCACTGGAAGAAAAATGCAGTATTTCAACGAGAAATATTACCACATTGCTTGTTCTTGAGGGATTTCCAGAAGAAATACCACAAAAATGCTTTTCTTTGAGGGTATTCAGACTAAAATTCTTACAGATTGAATACATATCAACATAGCTCATATGTAGTATATAGTCTGGTTTTTATTGTTGTTGTTGTTCTAGAAAGAGTGACATGTGGAAATCCAAGGAATTTCTTTATTTGATGGAGGACAGAGAGTGATTAGTCTGCTAACATGAAAAGCAAATTCCTCTGAACAATCCTGAGCAATACAGAACTCCCATTTACAAGATGAAAAAAAAGACCCCCAAATTAAGTAAAGCAATACCAATTTAATAATAAAAATACGAGTATAAATTTTGCAAAGGAATTTTTTTTAACCTTTCAATGCAGATGATGGCAGATTTTATACCTTCCTTTTAGAAGGCCTCTTTTCAATTAAAAAAAAATATTATTAGTGCTTTGGTAATTTGACAAGGAAGTAGTTACTTCCCCCATCCCTATAAATAGAAAACTACATCATTAATTTGAGCATAGATAATGGACAACTGCTGAATTAACCAGAATCATTTAGGGTAATGGCATCCTAAAATAATAGAATCCATCAGCTTGGTTCAGCACCTACTATGTGTAATTTACTTTGGCAGTGGGAACTACCAATAAGCAGGGGAATGAGAGTAAGTAAAATGAGTATTGCCTCTAAACACCAGAATTCACACCTTAGTTTTTATATGCAGTTGGACTAGTTGCTTAACTTTCCTAGTCTTTAGCTTTTTCAGTGTGAAAGATGAAGAAAGCAGTACCATCCCTTCCATTTGTTGGGAGGATTAGGATAAAGTGAATTTTACATAGTGAGTGTTCAAAAGCTGATAGCGCTGCTGCTGTGCAAGATGAACTTATGTGGTTATTCAGGAGCTTACTGTCTATGTGAGGAAATCTAACAAACCCTAAAACAGACTTTTAAAATTAGAGATTGCACAGGAGAATAGATTGTAAAATATTAAATCAATTTCACAGCTAGGAGCATATATTTATAATTTTATGATTAGTAATAATTAAATTTTGTAAACTCAAATTCGCAATACACTTTTAGTATTCTTTTTTTAAAAATGTCAACTGA
This sequence comes from Homo sapiens, assembly GCF_000001405.40. NCBI lineage: Eukaryota > Metazoa > Chordata > Mammalia > Primates > Hominidae > Homo > Homo sapiens. The sequence goes on along the minus strand of NC_000006.12, from coordinate 126,805,009 downwards.
AAATATCTACTAAATTCATTATAAAATCTGGGTATTTATTTGTTATTGGCTGAAATTTTTATTTTGTTATGTTCATTACCATTTTAGTAATCTATTAATTACTGAATAATAAGGTAATAATAACATATGAAATTATGCTGATTCCTCAGAAACTGGGTCTGAGATTCTAACTCCAGCTACTAACTTTGCCATAACTAACTTTTTTTAGTGTTCTCTGAAATAAAAGTTCTGGGATAAATTTCTCCTCTATGTTTATCTATGAGAAATGATACTTCAAGCCGAACAAACTGTGTTCGTTCTCTCCCACACACAGAACATGAAACATTCTAAGTCTCTCCAGTGCGACTGATGATGCCAAGTTAGCCAGTGTTGGTCTGTTTTCTTTAAATGAGATGGCTGTGTGTGTGTTCATTTGAATAACATGTTGGCTACTGAAAGACTTTCAGCATCTATAGTTAATTAAAAAGGAAAGCACAAGTTTTAATTTCTTCTTGTACTCTTGTTACTAAAAATTTCTCTTCAGAATCTGAAGCTAAACCTTTCTTCTCTGACCCCAGCCTTGTTAGTGCTGCCACCTACAGGAAAATATGGTAGCAAAATAATGAGGCATTCATGTGAAACCCTGTAACCGAATGGACCTCCTCCATCTGCCCCTATACTAACCTCTGTAAGCCACTGCTAACACACACAAATAATAGTTGCACACATATGCATACATGCTCTCCAAATTTACTCGCTCAGGTGTTCCATTCCTGATGGTTTACAGTGACTTAACTCTACTAAGTCAGTATACTAAATTGTAATGGTCTATTCTCTCCTTTATGCCAGTCCCTGCATTTTAAAAAGTAAAAATTGGTAGTGTTTTGTCTGTCGTATGCCTGGATTGAATTTTTATGCCCACTAATATTCATACTGAAATGTCAGGCTGGACACTTGTGTTGTAATTACATAACATGAGGAGAAAAGTTGAGTGATGTGGTGAATGAAGTGTTGGCTTTTTGCCAGAGATGCAGGTTTCAATCTGACCTATAGTTCTAGACAATATGAATAGTCTTAGCCCGGTCCCTAGGGTCAGTGGTCTATGGCAGATAAACCTTTGAATGTAATTCAACACAGTAGGCAGTCCTGTGAGGTTGAAAGCTGGGACTGTGTTTGCAAAGAGGATTAAATACTTCCCCACTTAGACAGGGAGAGAGAAAGAGCGAGAAACTTTCTTGCTAAGACTTCAATTCATTGGAAACATTCACACCTGAGTTCTTTGTACCTGTTACAGAGAAGCAATGGTGCCCATTTTCAAAGCCAAGCTAAAAATGTCTATAATGATATTTTTGCTTTCTGCAGTTAATCTGGCTATACTTTCAGTAAAGAAGTAGGGCAATTTCCTCCCAAACCTTTAGGCCAACATCACCATCAAGAACATTTCATTTCCCCAGCTGTTGCCAAGGATGGGTCAGGAAGGTAAATGTGTCAACCCCACTCCCAGTATAGTCAAATTGGTTGTTGCTTCCTGGAGAGCTGTGTTGAGAAGGTTGAGGTAAAGCCTGGACTCAGCAGGAAATTGTGCCCTGATTAAAATAATGGCTGCCAGAGGTGAGATCCCCAGAGGTGGTTCTGCGTATATAACCTATTTGGCCATCTCTGGTCTACATGCTATAAAATTCGTTTCGAAAGAGTTCTTTTTAAAAAAATATTTTCCCCACTAGAGAAAAGTCTACAGGAAATATAGAAATATTGAAAATGATAATACAAGCTTAAATATATAACACATTTCCATCATATTTAGATAGGAAGGCAACAGTTACTGGCAGGGTGTTGAGTGAAAACAGGATTGTGGGTTTTATGCATTTAGATGAGTTGGGAATACTTGTAAGTAGGGCAGTATGGAACAAGGATACAGAACCACATTACCATTTTAAGTCCCGTTAAGCAATTTGCCAGCTCTGTAACGTGGCTCATTTATGCACATTGGCAGACCCTTGTAGGGCCATAGCCTGAGACTGGCTCATATGCAACAAGATTTCCTTTCTGAGGCAGTCATCACTCGAGTCTCTATGCTGCTTTGGTATGACATCTCGTGGCTGTTGATTTGACTTCCTGCCTTACCTTTATCTAGGATCCTGATACCTGTATATCTTCCAGTTCTGGACTCCTCACTGGGTTTGAGTCCGCACTGGGGTTCTCCCAGCTTTGTCTCAGCAACATAGCCCAGTTTTTGGCATCTCTCCAATCACCCAGGTTGTGTCCATACATGATTCCTATCTTAGAATCTTTATTTTGCTGCTTTGCATGACCCTGTTTCCCTGCATAGTGTCAGTATAGCAGATAACAAACTGGGAAGAAAAAGTCACTCTAGCAAAGGAAAGAACTTAGGAAAAAGGTAGAAGCAAAAATAGAAATAGGTCTAGGAGAAATCAGATTAGTAGATTACCTTGGAGAATGGCGGGAGGACAAATTATAGGTAAGATATCAGGAGAAATGTTCTGTGTGGTCCCATAAGAAGTTCAAGCAGATGATTAATGAATGTTTTGGTCAGATTCATTATAGGAAATAAAGAATACGGAAAATCAGTTTTTCTCAAGAAACTTGGGAACTTGGAGCCTTAAAGAACTGTTGAAGGAAACTCTGGGGAACATAGTGGTCTAGTGTCAGAGGCACAGTGGAGGAAGGGGAAAGAAAGCTTGATGAGCGAGAAGGTAACACTTAGTCACTTTAGGTAATGTGCCGTGTTAATTCTTTGCTGCAATTCCCTGGGGGTCCAGTAACCCTTAATACCACCCACTCTTGAGTTTGTAGATGATTATTTTAGTGGCAATTAAAACAGAGGTGAGTGTGTCTGTGTGTGTGCGTGTGTGTGTGTGTTTTAATAAAGTAGGCTTATGTGAAATTGTTTCAGGGAAAAAAAACATCCCCAGAGCAACGTGAATTTCATTCCCAGGCCCTTTCTTTTCTTCCCCAAAAAATAAAATAAAAGACCCTGACTCTAAGATTTAGTTTTGGAATGGCTGATTTAATCCCTGCTGTTAGGACCTCACACTTTCAAAAATTAATTGGGTCAATCAACATGCCAGAAAGCAGAAAAGCAAAGCACACTTTAGTTAAATTCTAAAAGGGAAGGTGCTTCTTAAATTCACTGTTGCTTGCATACCGCATATTCACATAAAAGTACCATAGCTTACTCATTTCTCTAACCATAAATTTCTGAAGGTTGAGAAATAATGAGATATTATCCTAAAATATACAAACACTGTAGGTATGTGTTGATAGATAAAGTACCAAGTAAACAGGAGATGCTCCTAAACTAGCTCTAAAAAGATTCATTTAGTTTCTTAAAAAAATAAATAAACAAAAATAAAACAAAAAAGCATCAAGCAATTTAAATATTTCATAAATGAAGAGTATGGTATAGACGGTTTTTCCATGAAATCCACTTGCAAGAAATACTCTACTTACATTGTTATTATAGTTCATTTTTTGGTTTAAGGCTTCTTTTGAAAATGACATGAAAAATCTATGAACAAGATTATCTCCTAACAACTCACAGATCTCAACAGACTTATTATCTTTAAGAAGGGGAACAGAGAGTGCAAAAAATCACACTAATTACAGAAAAAAAAATCTTCAAAGTTGTTTGTTTACACATATTTTTAGCTAATCTAAAACTTCCTAGAATAAGATACAGAAAAAATGCTTGGAATAAAGTCTGAGGCCATCCATGGTTTGAGTGAGAAGAGAGTCCCAAAATTAGTATATTATTGTTCATCAGATTCTGTGGTCCCCAGATCAAGTGCAGAGCAACTAGAAATCACAAGGCCCAGCAGAACCTTACAGACTCTCTTATACTTATCTTGTGTCACACATATGGCAAAACTTAAATACCTTAACACTTTAATTTCTAAGAAAGAAGTCCAGTATTGACTGATTATGCCTCCATTCCTTTCAATAAACAGGCAGAGAGGAAAAAGGCCCACAGGAGCTCTGTCAGGGAAATAAGAAGCTCATAAAGTAATCTTATGAAAAGCAGAGTTGAACCATTTTTACTGAATTACATTGTTTACAAATGTCATCAAATGTATTAAGCTAGACACTTGTGACATCCTGAAGACCACATCAAGGCAAGCTCTTTGCAAAAACCAAAAAGATTGCTGCAATGGATAGGTAATAATACAGTGGGCAGCTGGCTAGATTTTTAACTGTGGCTAAATCAGAAGAGACTGGGGGTAAGGGGAAGCTTCAAAATCAGAGTAAATTCCTCTTTACTGCAAAGATCAAAGTAGAGTACAGCCAAAAAAATTTCAAGATGAAATGTCCCTCTTTATATTACCCACAAAAAAGAGATGAATTGGCTCTTGACCGACGAAAACTGATATTATTATTGCTTTGGATGGGAAGAGTTTAGCTCCTTTTTCAATCATAGTGACTTAACAATATGAAGATGAAGAGATATTTAGGCCATTCCTATGGTCAGAGAAGTCTAGCTCATCGTTGAGTGTAATTAACTACCTAACCAATGGCTCTAAATGTCTGCTGTTTTCTGTTTTGATTGCCTGGACCAAAAGCAGGAAAAGAACATCATGATCCTCAGAGGGCATCATGAGTGGAGTTTACAAGGGGTCTTGGCACCTGCTCTGTCTTGCCAACTAGAAGAGGCATGGAGTTCTTTTTTTTTAATAGTCACCATTATGTATATTGTAGCATGCCAGAACTTATTCATCTCATAAATTCATCTTATAACTGAAAGTCTGTGCCCTTTGACCAACATCTCCCCATTTCTCCTACCCTCCTGTGCCTGGCAATGACCATTCTACTCTCTGATTGTATGAATTTGACTTTTTTAGATTCCACATGTAAGCAAAATCATGTAGTATTTGTTTTTCTGTGCCCACCTTATCTTATTTCACTTGGTGTAATGTCCTGCTGGTTCACCCATGTTGCCACAAATAACAGGATTTTCTCCTTTTTTTGTTGAGTAATAATACGTGTGTGTGTATATCACATTTTCTTGATCAATTCATTTGTCAATGTATACAGGTAGTTTCTGGTTTCCATGTCTTAGCTACTGTGAATAATGCTGCAATGAGTGTGGGAGTGCAGATTTTTCTTTGGGATACTGATTTCATTTTCTTTAGATATATACCCAAAAGTGAGATAGCTGGATTGTATGGTAATTCTATTTTAATTTTTTGAGAAACCTTCATATTGTTTTCCATAATGGCTGTACTAATTTACATTCCCACCAACAGTGCACAAGGGGTGCCTTTTTTCTACATCCTCACCAACATTTATCTCTTGTCTTTTTAGTAACAGGATGAGGTGATATATCTGATTGTGGTTTTTAACTCCCCTTCCCTGAAAATTAGTAATACTGAGTACCTTTTTATATACTTGTTGGCCATTTGTATGTCTTCTTTGGAAACATGTCTATTAAGGTCTTTTGCCCATTTTTAGATTAGGTTGTATTTTTTTTGCGCTTGAGCTGGGTGAGTTTCTTATATACTTTGGTTATTAACCCTTTATCAGACACATGGTTTGCACATATTTTCTTCCATTCTATAGGTTGCCTTTTGATTTTGTTGATTATTTCCCTTGTTGTGAAGAAGCCTTTTATTTGATATAGTTCCTCTTGTTTACATTTGCTTTTGTTGCCAGCATCAAGTTCTTTTTAAGACCCTTTTGTTTCTGGCATTGTGTTTCTGTGATTCTGACTATCTCCTTAATGATAATTTTATGCCTTATATTTTACCACCTGCTTTTAACTTTTGCCATCTACTTTTCTCTCTATCTACTGGTTTCTATAAGCTCTGCTTTTCTTTGCTGACTTTTCATTCACTCAATTTCTGCCTTGATTTTGCCATTCCTACCTTCTGGCCAAGTAACCTCAGACAAAGGAAAATAAATCTTGGGGCCCCAAATCACTAAACTAAAGGAAAAAGTCAAGTTGGGAATTGCTTACGGCAAAACTGCCTTCCATTCTATTCAAAGTTACCCCTCTGCTCACTGAGATAAACGCATATCACATTGTCTCCTTTGGAAAGGCTAATCATAAACTCAAAAGAATGCAACCATTTGTCTCTTATCTACCTATGACCTGGAAGCCCCTGCCTCGCCTTTCCAGACCAAACCCATGTTCATCCTACATATGTTATGGATGTCTCACTTCTCCCTAAAATGTATAACATTAAACTGCTCTGACCACCTTGGGCACATGTTGTCAGGACCTCCTGAGGCTGTGTCATGGGTGTGTGTCCTCAACCGTGGCAAAATAAACTTCCTAAATTAACTGCGACCTGTCTCTGATATTCAGGGTTCACACCCCAATATTCTTGGCTGGGAAATTATCTCAAGCTCTCAGAATTCTTGAGATAATGGAAACGTCTATGGAAGCAATTATTCATTATTTGGTATTCATCATAAAGATGGCCCAAATTAAAAAACAACAGCTAAGACAATGAGAAAACATTCTTGTTCACAGAGAATGGGGAAAAAATTGGAATAGATTTACTGCTTAGATTTTTATTGAATATGCAAATTATGATAGAAATTTGCAAAAAGAATTTTAATATGCTGTCTCGATATAACTGAAAACTGCTTCCTCTAAAAAAGTTATCTAAAAAGAAAAAAGTGCAGATAAATGTTTGTGTATATTAGTGGTAAAATCAAGGTTAAAAGTTAAGGTATAGTCGGTAGAAAATTATTATATAATGTAGAAGAGAAAAGGAGTTATATAAAAGATTTTCATTATCCATTGTTTATCCATGTGTTGTTGAAATGTGGCTTTGATATGAAGCCAATGAAGTTTGCATTTTCCACATTTTCTTTCCAGTGAGTAATTAATCCCCACAATTTATTAGTCACTTCAGTTTCAGAGGGCCTTGTGACACTAAACCACCTTCCCTTTCGAAACAGTGAAAGATAAAAGAATCTTTTGCATTTTATGGCATATTAAACTTTAGAGTAAATATATTTTAATCTACTTGAAGTTCCTTTTCATAAAAAGTATTGTTATCTTTTCTTTTCTTTTCTTTTCTTTTCTTTTTTTTTGGGGGGACAGAGTCTCACTGTGTTGCCCAGGCTGGAGAGCAGTGGTGCTATCTCGTCTCACTGCAATCTCCGCCTCCCGGGTTCAAGAGATTCTCCTGCCTCAGCCTCCTGAGTAACTGGGATTACAGGCGCCCACCACCAAGCCCGGCTAATTTTTGTATTTTTAGTAGAAATGGGGTTTCACCATGTTGGTCAGGCAGGTCTCCAACTCCTGACCTCGTGATCCACCCGCCTCGGCCTCCCAAAGTGCTGGGATTACAGGCGTGAGCCACTGCGCCTGGCCATATTGTTATCTTTTCATACTATGACCACCATAACCTATATCTGACATTTTGAGACACATCTTAAACTATCCCATTTTATTTCTACTTCCAGTAATATGTATTACCAAAACAATATTTTTAAGGTTTATTGGAATGACTTCCAGTGGCTCTTCGGATAAAACACAAATCCCTACACACCCAACAGCCCGCATGGACATGCATTGTCACATTTGGCTCTTGCTTCAACATGGGCCTCTCTTCCCTTGCTCTCCTCACACCAGGTTCTTAGGTCTTCTTTCTGCTCCTTTTCACTGGAAGGCTATTGTCCCTGTTGTTTCCCTTGATTGTGTTCTTCTTTACCCTTCATAACATCCTTCTATTCATGATTATTTCCTACTCTTTTAAGTCAGGCTAATGGGATATTAATTAGAGAGCATAAATATCCTAATTTAAAATTACCTGACTATCTGCCTCCCCTTCTACAATGTAAGCTCCATAACTGCAGGGACCGTGTTGGTCCTGTGCAGTCCTCTATAGTCAGAGCTTAGCATGGTGCCTCCTACAGGGTAAGGACTCAAAAAATATTTATTCAATATAGACATGAACAAATACATGAAGAATGAATGGAACAATTGAAATTCATCATCTTTCTGTTAATTTATAATTTTCTTTTTTTCCCCAGTGTTTTTACTTTCTTATGCCATAGTGACGTTGGAGCTGGCTGTCATAAGATGTAGTATTTGTCAAAATGGGGTGCCAGTTGATGCTTATGGAAAAAGAATTAGAGAATGGCAAGCATGCTGATCTCGTTGTTCTTCCCCACTAAGTCCCTGAAAGAGAGATGAATGCAGAGAATAATGCCAAATAAGGGGTTTAACCCAGGTTTTAGTGAGAACTTTCAAAAGCCAGGATATAAGCAGAGGAAATTCCTTTTAAGTAGGCTAAATTGGTTTAGATGGCCTAAAATTAAAGCAAGTCAAAAGCCTTGATTTCTCTTCCCCTATCAATTCACTAGAATCTTGAATCTTATTATTCCAGTGATAAAAAGACCAGTCAAGAGTTCTCAGGCATCGAGAAGAAAGCAGATAAATGAAAGATCTTGAGCAGGCACAGTGGTCTAAGAGTATTTCTCACAAAGCCTAGATGGAAGGAAGTGGCTGGAAGGGAAGCCAGTGGTGCCAGTTGAGATATAAACTTTGAGAAACCATTGCTCTAGTTTATATATAGGATTTCAGGTGACTCAAGAACAGAGGTCTAATGAATCTCTATCTTTCATAGGACTCTTAAAAAATGTGTATGGTTGTTTTTTTTTTTTTTTTTGAGAGGTAGTCTCTTTCTGTTACCCAGGCTGGAGTGCAGTGGGGCGCTATCTTGGCTCACTGCAACCTCTGCTTCCTAGGTTCAACCAATTCTCATGCCTCTCCCTCCCAAGTAGCTGGAATTACAGGTATCTGCTACCATGCCCAGCTAATTTTTGTATTTTTAATGAAGACGGGATTTCGCTGTGTTGGCCAGGCTGGTCTTGAACTCTTGACCTCAGGTGATCTGCCCACCTCAGCCTCCCAAAGTGCTGGGATTACAGGCATGAGCCAACGGGCCTGGTTGCTTTTTAACTACACATAATATATTAGAAAATAAAAAATGTTTCTAATACATCTAAATTTTATGCAACTTTGTATTTTCTTTTTTCTATATTATAGACATTTGTATATTTCCATCAAAAGGATGGGCTTTTATTTAAGGAAGATTCTGAGTATGTTTATTGTCTCAAATAAGTGACTATCTGTGATAACTTGTCAGCAATAATTCTAATTAAGCTATTTGTTCCTTCATTCAGTGGATTTTACTGAGTTCCTCTTATGTCCTAAACATCACTGTAGGTATTGACCATGTCATTACATTGAACATTAGTTATGACTAATATAATGCCCAGCTTTGATAGCCTTATGTAGTTTACCTTTCAACAATGGAGACAGAGAGTAAACAAATAAACAAAAACATATATCAGAAAGTAATAAGTACCAAGAGAAAATAAAGAGTTGGGTAAAACATAACTAGAGGTGGGTACATGTAGGATTCTAGTAAAGCTGTTTAGGAAAAACCTCTCAAAAAAGATTATATTTGAGTAAAGACCTGACTGAAGTAAGGGAGCTAGCTGGGTGAAAATCTGAGAAAATAGCATTCCAGTGGGAGGGAACAGCAAATACAGAAGAACTGGGGCAAGATCAAGCATGGCATGTTAAGAGATAGCAAACAGACCAGCAGAGATGAAATATAGTAAGGCAGAGTATATAGGAGACAACACTGAAGAGTTAGCCAGAGATCAGATCATACACAACCCTGCAGGCTTACACATTTTATCTGCATGAGCTGGGAAGCCATGTGATAGTTTACAGCAGAAAGTAACATGCATTGAATTATACTTTTAGAAGTTTTCTCTGGCTCCATAGAGGAGAATGTACCAATGATGGGTAAAAATAGGAATACAGATCAGTTTTGAGGCTATTGCAGAGAGGAATCAAGAATGTCCCCTAGGCTTTCAACCTAAGCACCTGGTGAACAGTGGAGCTTTTGTATAAAGGCTGGGAACATTGACATTTGTTAGAGTAGGAATCCAAGGGCTCTATTCTGGATGTGTTAACTTTGGGACACCAATTAGACAGCCAAGTGGACACATCGAGTAGAGAGTTGATTATATAAGATAATGGTCCAGGTGAGAATTCAAAATAGAAAATATAAATTTAGGAATTTAGGAACCAGCAGCATATATCTGGCATTTAAAACCATGTGTCTGGATGATTGTAAAGAAAAGTTAGTTATTCGAAGAGTGAGACATGGGTATTCCAATATCAAATCTGCAACATCTACAGCTCCAAAAGCTAAGAGAAAAAAGCATTTCAAAAAAGAACAGATCAACCATGTAGATTCACTATGTCAAATATTATCTAGAAATCAAGGAAGAAAAGATTGAAAACTGACCGTTAGATTTAGTAATTGGCGATTAGCAACCTTGACAAGATTGATTATAATATAGTGCGAGGAATAAAAACCGGGTCAGCGATATATTCGAGAGAAAATGAGAGGTGAAGGAGTGTGAACACAAAGTAAAAGTAGGGTTTTAGAGGAGTTTGTTTTAAAGCGCTGCAGAGAAATAGGCCATTAGCTAGATGGAGGCCTGCAGATATGAGAGGATTGTTGTATTATCAAGATTGGAAACATTACAGCATGTACATATGCTTTATGATCCAGTAAAGAAGGAAACGTTCATAATGCAGAGAGAGAAAGAGAACACAAGAGTGAAGACCTTTAGTAAGTGAGAGGGGAGGGGATCTAGGGCACAAATTAAGAGATTGGCTTAGGATAAGAGCACAGAAACTCATCTATTGTAGCAGAAATAAGGCCCAGTATGAAAGTACTGATGCTTATAAGACCATAGATTTAGTGGTGGAAAAATGAGGAGTGTATGTTTTGGTTAATTGTATTTTCTAAGTAAAATTCAAAAGCAAGGTAATAATTTGAGAGTGAGAGTAAAGTGTAGAGGTAGAAGGCATTACATATGGAACTGAGAAGAAGAGAAGAGAAGGTATGCAGCAGTAAGAGTTGACGGTAAATGAACTGGAGACATATTCCCACTGGACAATGCAGAAGCCCATTGTTTGGGACAGACCTCACACTCACTGGGTGTACTTTTATATGCCAGACATATCTAAGCATCTAGTGTCAGTGTACTCTGACAGCACCTGCCTCAGCAGCACCACCTATATCTCATGCTGTATCCCAGGCCTCTAGTATATCCCAGGCTATATCCAATCTGCTGCTAAGAAGATTGCCTACTGAACCCCTCAGCCATAATTACACAGGTAAATCTGAAAGTATGAGGCAGTTAAAATCCCATGGCACAAACCTTGATCTTGGAGTATGAAAGTGGTAAGTAAATGTGCCCTCTTTCAGCTACTCTGGCAATTTTGAGGACGTTCTACAAGGCTCTTCAGAAGATTCCCAACAGGCAGGATAGTGTCCCAGGAGTGATAAGCTCATTAACAGGCCGAATTTGTCTTTCCCTCCTTCCCTGTCTCACTTTTCCCACTTCCCCCATCTCACCCCTGTAGATTGTTTGCCAAAATAAGCCATCTACGTCAAAGCCCTTGCCTCAGGCTCTGCTTTCTGGGGAACCCAAGCTAAGTCACCTGCCATCAGGAAGACACATACTAAGTTGCTTTCTCCAGGATGGGCAGTAATTTCCACCATGTTTTTCTCAGTTACTCTTCTAACCAACCATATGGCTTTGGATACAGTTGACCAAGTCTAGGATACAGGCTCCAGCCATATAAATACAAAGATATTTTCTGGGGAATGCTGATAGATTCTTCTATGGAATCAGTTATTTATCCTGTTTACTTAGCCACATGCTTTAACCCAGCAAGTCAGTCAAACGAAGAAATGGAAGAAAATATTTGAAAATTAAAATCAGGAGTAAAGTCCCAATGACAGCATATCTATTTCTCCTGGAATGATAGATAACTATACAGACCCTAAGAAAAGAGGGAAATTTGTTGTAGATGCCTGCATTGTCTTTCAGCTTCTCTCTCTGCCTCTCCCTGGGACAGCCTTCTGCTGTTCTTGGCCTTCTCCTCTTAAGCAGCTCCAGAGAGCAGGTCACCAGAGAGTAGGAGAAGTACTTCTTGGCTAACAACCTGTTCAGGTGGTTGGCCTTCAACCTGGTCTCTTGGGAAGGGCTCCTAGAAATGATTTTCCTGATTATTTTCCCAAACAGCTGGTCTCTTCCCACTGCCCATCTGGGGGAGTTGAGAGGAAGCAGTCAGAACAAAGGGGAGCGCCATGGAGCACTGTCAGGTGGAAGATCAGCAGACCCACTGCCAAGCGAGTATAATCTCTCTCCAGGGCTCAGCCAACTCCTTCCATCCCTTGAATCTGCCCACTAAGGTCCAAACTGTCTCCATGGCCAGCCGGCTTGCTTCATGATTCTTGGAAATGCATCTGTATCTTTCATAAAACATTACAGGGAACATCCAGAACATTCATAACATGTTCATAAATATAAATCTTTAAACGAAATGATGTTTTCCCTTGGATGAAATGAACTTGTTGAAGAAAGATGCATTTGGCATTCCTCAAACAGCTTTGGATCATGTGCTGTTTAAGTAACTGTCAGTTCACTGCTGGGTTCATTGACACTTGGTTCTTTAATGGTGCTTATAGTGAATAATGCTGTCTGCACAGAAAGGGTAAAGAAAACAGTCATACAAAATTCACACCATTGTCTGGTGGTTGCTGAGAACGAATATTCCTGATGTGCTTATTAAATATGAAGCCTAAATTCTCTTCACATATAATCAACATAAAGTCAAAATAATTATTTTACCCAAATGCTGTGTGTATAGGTTCAGTCTATTTTTATAAAAGAAAAAAAAAATCAACAGATGGCTAGAAAGAGTAGCTTAAGACATCAAAAACAGCTGAATAAACTTTCAATAGTCTGGGGTAAGAGAACAAGAGAGTGAAAGAGATCTTACTCTATACTTATATGCATTGATGGCTCATTATGTTAAAAATATATTTTAATATATACCCACTGATATTTTTATAAGAAACATAATTCAAAGGGATGATATAAAACCATATAATTACAATCATATATCATACATTCAAAATATTTAATCATATGTAGAATACATATAATAATCATGTAATTATAATAAAAATTATTTTATTTTTAAAAATACGTTTTTGTAAACAATGTATTCAACTACTTGCTAACCAAATAATGTTCTTTATTAGCGTTACCACAGGGTAGAGCAAACAATACATCCAGGGAAGTATACTTTTATATTAAAGATTATGTAATAATAAGTATGTCTTCACTGAATGTTCCCAGCAATCTGGATTTGTCAAAAATCACATGAAGAATCTGACCAGGATTAAATTTTACTGAAAATTATGACCTTGGAAAAGAAAAAAACAGCACAAATGACCTGTATAGTGCACTAGAATGTACTTCATGATGTCTGGGTCTCATCCCTGTTCAACCACAAAACTGCTTAACATCTCCAAGCCTCAGTTTCATCAACTCTAAAATGAATAGGTTAAACTACATGCTATCTCAGCTTCCTTCGGCGACAACATTTAATGATGTTAACAGAGTCAGCCTTACCCACATCATGTATTAAGGGGAAGAAAAACCTGTCCTCTCCCCCACCTTTTTCTTCCTGTTTCTCTTCTTCTAGCCCAAAATGTCTTCCCCACCACATGATTGTTATAGGAAATAATCTTGGAAAGAGCACCCATTATTAGCTTTTAACACTTTATCTGAAATTAGTAATTGGTAATCATCCCAATTACCAATTGCATGGAGAAAACACAAATTTAGTAAGAGGTGTGAGTCTCTGGCATGCCCCATCTTGTGACTCACTGCCTGAGGAGTTCAGAGCAATGTGAGGGGCCAGAGTAGTAACCTGGCACAACTAGCTAACAGGGAGATGAGGAAACTGAATGGGCACATTTACATTTTATTGTTTTCAACAACCATCATCACCATCATTAGATATTTTCAACAAAAGGTGATATATTTTGAAGGGGGCCTATAACACCCAGCCCCACTGTAACCCCCATTACCAAACACTTGGCCCGTTGTTAATTGCAAAAACAAAAATATCTTAATTGGAGTTAAGATCTTCCTTTCTTGCTCCCTCTGCCACTCAGAGAAAGCGTATTACTTTCGACTGGAAGTAGCCCAGCTACAATTGCTATTAATATTAAAAACATACCAGTTAGTTCATGCAACCTACGACTCATGAGTATTTATATTTGTTAAAAAAACCTAATTTTCTAATCATAGCAATTGCTCATTTAACACCACTAAAATGCAACTATGTTTCATTTTTAATTGTTATAGTCATTGAAGTATGTTAGCCTAATCTGACATTAATTATCCTTCCAACATTGATGTTTATTATCTCATGGCCTGTTCTCCTCTACAGGTTCATGAATTGATTTTGTTGATGTGTTACAGAGTCCTTTCAGGTATCTAAATTATTCCATATTCTTATTCAAAAATAATATTATTTTGTGGTTTTAAGCCTAAATTCTTAAATGAATGCCTTTTTTTCTTTTGCCATGACAACAGATGATTTTGTTTCCTATGAGTATCTATATCTTAAGCTGATCTAAAATATGGTTCTTTCTTCATAAATCCAATACACAAAAATTTAGATTTATCAAAAAAAGAAAAAAATTAGGAAGTAATTGGGTATGCCACAAAAGAGGCATTGAGTTTATAACAGACTTTTCTAAAAGTGTCTTTCAAATAGCAATCTGTTATTCAATTTACAGTAAGCTGACTTAATACTTTTTCATTATTATACAAAATAAGATGGTTTTCTTATATTTGAGATGCCAATGTTTCTAAGCTCAAATACTACTAATAAAAACCAAAATGGTTTTAGCCACATAGTAGGCAAAATAGTTACAATAAATCTTTATTATTTAATAGTATAACCACTGGGGATGGGAGAATCACAGGATTTTCCAAAGTATAGGAATAAAAATGTAGTCATTCCAGCTGAGTTTTTTCTAATTTTAGCATATTTATTCCACCTCTTTATTCCACCAAATCTGTTTAATTAGCACATTACTTGGCAGTTTGTTATCTTGTATGAACATTTGTTAATTTTTACTGGATTCCATATGTAAAATTCCAAATGAGAGATTAAATGTGTTAATTGTATGAAATTGTATCTATAAATCTAGCTTTCTCTACTTTCTCCACTCCTCACCTTTCTTCAGAAATATGTTAGAAAGAATAACTTCTGCAGATTGTTTTTGAAATAGAGTTCATAATGCCACATGTCACATCATGGAAGATCCTGGCCCCATAACATCTGTCTTCTTGCCTCTTCCTCATTATGCTTTGAAGGGACAAGAAACAGTAAGTTGGGAGTTACATGTGAACATGGAGTCAGCTTCTCCATGAAGGTGATAGAAGACAGACAACTCCCATATACCTTAAATATGACTAAAACCTGAAAACGAGTTTGCCTTATTGTTCCCCTCCTCCTTACACAGTGTATGCTGCAGCCTCTTAACTGGCCTGTTAAGAGGCTTATGTATGGCCACATCAAGAAACTTGTAGGGCACACATAGAGACGGCTGACTTGTAGTTCTGAAAATTCTCCTCCAACTTCCATCATGCCCCCTTTATCCTCCCCTTTGCTCAAAGCCTTCCAGACAGAGGTCCAGGGCAGGCATCCTTGTTGACCCAGTGGCACAGCCAGCCCTGGCCACGTGCAAATGAAAAATCTGCTAATTTACAAGATAATTTACTATTCTGGGTCTTCGCACTGGCACCTCTCTTTTCCTGTTTTTCCAGACAAACCGGGAAAGATATACACAGTATTACCAAGCCAAACTATTATGAAGGTTGCAAAATTTTATTTCCTGTGAAGAACTAAGGTTTAATTAGCTAAAAAGGAAGTGAATGCAAGAATGATAAGTAAAAGTTGGTCTCTGTCTCTCTAGTGAGATTATCCTCGGTACTTCTGAACTTTATTATCCAAACAATGAGGGGATGGCGTGACTTGGCGCCTCCAGTAATCTCATGCTCATTATTGCTCATGCAAAGTTGTGAAGAGGCTGTAGCTATTGCAGTGGCTTTGGAATAAGGAGAAGCAAACCTCAAAAGGTTTGTAGATTTGGAGGAAATTCAGATATGCTTCCATAATTTGGCTGCTTGTCCAAAGCTTATCCGAACTATCTGAACCTTTTAAATCTTCAGAGTTGGCCTGGAAATTTCTGGCTCTTTGTTACTGGACCTGGCTTGGAGCTACATGAGGATGGCCTTTTGTAAAGATTTTTGGCACCTCTGGCTGTGATGCTGCTTATGACAAACTGCAAATAAGAAATTAACAAAGAACAAATGAACTGTAATATTTTAAAACATCAGCAAGAGTTTAGATTTTTGTGAAAACATTTTTTTTAGCACTGAGATACTTTATTGATCTTTTTATAATAGTCTGATAGTAAATAATCATCGCAGTTTATCAAGGACTGAGATGATCAAGGAATGCTCCAGGTAAACTATGATCAGTTAGTCACTATAATATGAACATTTCAACAACAGGCCAAATTCCACCTGAAATTCACAGGAGAATGTAATTGATGACATATATATTAATTGTCTTTTAGTTTATAAATTTATCTGTGTTGATTACTATATAATTAGATCTTTGACCTTGACCAAAGACTTTAAAAGATAACCCTTTTTTTCTACTGGTTCTGTGGTATGAGATACAAACACATTTGCTTTATAAGTGGCTGTATAAAGTCATAATCTTCCATAAAACAAGTGATGATGTTTGAGAAAAAAGAGCAAATAAAAATTTTGGTTTTCATTCTATGTCATAAGCATGAACAAAAATTCCATCTTAATAAAACAAAAAAAACAAAAGAGAAATGATATTTAGACAATTACTCCATGGAGTGTTTTAACATAGCCTCCTAGGCTATGATAGAGTCTGGTAAAGAATAATGGTTGTAAGAATTATAAACTATATCACTATCACTGAACTTTAACTTGCCCCAAAGTGGTATCACTTTAATATTTTCTTAAAACATCGAATTTTCTAGAATTCATGCTTCTTTATTTTAATTTCTTAGTATTTATCAAACAGAACCATGAAATTTCTTTTAAATTGTCTTCAGCAAAAATTCTATTTTTTCTACCCCAATCTTCCTGCTCATTCCTTTCAAAGATACTTTAAATTTCTTCCCTGATGCTATGGCAATAATCTAATTTACTATCCTCACCAAGACACTTTTGAAAATGAAGAGGGTGCTATTAATAATTAAGCTGGGAAAAAGTCATAAATCTGAGACTAACCAGAGCATACACTACAAATGCTCATACAGTGTGCAGTTTACAAAGTGTATGGTCTACAAAAAATGGCTTAAAAAGTATATTGATGACAGGTTTAGAATTTGATTCTGTGTTCCCATGCATACTTTTTTTTTTTTTTTTTTGAGATTGAGTCTTACTCCGTCACCCAGGCTGGAGTGCAGTGGCGTGATCACTGCAAACTCCACCTGCCAGATTCAAATGATTCTCCTGTCTCAGCCTCCCGAGTAGCTGGGATTACAAGTGCCAGCCATGATGCCTGATTAGTTTTTGTATTTTTAGTAGAGACAGGGTTTCACCATGTTGACTAGGCTGGTCTCAAACTCTTGACCTCAGGTGATCCACCATCCTCGGCCTCCCAAAGTGTTGGGATTACAAGTGTGAGCCACCACGCCCGGCCTCCATGCATACCTTTTAAAATTACTAGTGCCCTCCTTTTTCCCATCATCCTCAACCCTCCCACACAACTATAAATTTCTTTTCCTTCCCCATGTCTCCTAAGCTGCTCTTGATACCACAGCTTCTTCAGTTAGCTGGTGTTCTCAGGGAGTGGGGCTGTTCTTCATCTTCCTTCATGGTCTCTGGTCTCTACTTGCTCACTCTCTCTGTATACCTCCCTCCCTGCTTTTTTGCTTTCTATGTGTTCTGTTTCGAAATTCCAGACTTTGGTTATGGTCATGGTACAGTGGAAGAATTATTTTTCTATAACAGTAACATTTCTTTTAATAACCTTTCATTTATCTGGTCTTTAAATACTTCACTTCTTTGTTGATACCTTGTAAATAACTTTTTTTCCCCTTTTCGTGTTCAGTCTCTTCTCTGAAGAAATTAGAATAAACTCTTCAGTTTTGAAGTAGCCTTCCTCTTCCCTCTTTACATGAGAACTACAACCCTGGAGACCTATGAGTCCTAAAGTAGACTTGGCTTTTTTCTCCCAGGGAACCTTAAAACTTACATGGAACCACAACCTGTGGTTGGTTGTCCAGTTTGTAGAGTTCTCTGAGTTAGTATATAAATTAGATTTCTTCCAGTAGCTCCATGATTTAGCAAACAAACAAACACTCCAAAAAATAAATAAATAAAAAACCTTAAAATCAACTCACAATAAAAGAGAAAAAATCATCAATATATTCACTCAAAAAATTTGTTTTTTAAGTGTAGGCATTTGAACAGGAATTTTTAAAAATTTAATTCTAATGACTCACAGCTCCATGATGGCTTTGAGATATGTCATGATTCTTTTTTATTAGCACATAATACGTTAAGAGCCTCTCTCTTTCACCTACATTCATATATGCACACACACTATATCTAAACACATAATGAATAAAACACAGCATGGTGAGTCATATTCCTAGGCCTGTATCCCAGTTCTCCCTTTAAAACATTCATTTATTTAATTTTCTCAACATATGAATCACCTGTGGACATGACAGTGGCTCTATGTTCTGTTATGTATGCCCACTAAAAGCTCCACTCTAGGGGCAACTGATACCACCAGTCCCTCAGCTTTGGGAAGTTCTGAGATGAGATGTAAATCCAGTTGCTTCTCTGCTTTCCCTACTGCTAACTTACGATATGGTTTTCTACAATCTGCCAGGTCTGTTACACTCAGCCATCTGCTTTCTAGCTTCCTAAATATTGTTGCCCTTGTTTTTTCTATTCTTCATCTTTGTGTATCTTTTCATAGTCTTTTGAGTGGGTTTTCTATTGTTAGGATAACTAAATATTTGCATTCAATCCACCATTTTAATGAAGTTTCATCTTAATCTTTGTGGATTTGGGTTTTTTCATCTCTAAATTGGGAAAGGTAGACTTTCTCTAAGGTAACTTCAAAATATCCTAATGCTATAAACTCTAACATGTTGCACAAAATATTTTAAAGCAACTAAATTAACCTCAAAATTAACATTGCATTCATTGGACCCTACATCACACTGCCCATGCAATGAAGCTTCAGTCTAACATTTAAAGCCTTGTGTAATTGGAGTCAATCTCCCTTTAAAAACAGCAGAAACAACAGCAAGAAGAAAACCAATCTTTATTTTTAATTTACTTCAATGCCAATCTTTCTAAGACAATGTAGTTATCTTAATCACTTTTATAATATTGTAAACTGCTATATCCTGAAAGCCTAGCTTAGTTATTGGTCTTTAAATATGTGTTGAATGCAATATACAATAATGAGTGAGATAGGCCACTGTTTAGGGTCATGGGTCTCACCTGATATAGAGGATTTGGTCCTAAAATGAATGATTCAGTTATCTGAAGAAATTCCTGTACCCACAAAATAAGTTATCTATTTACCAGAAGGACCTGGAAATTACTTTTTTGATAAAACTCTATATTTCCAGTTTCTGTTTCTTCATATGAAGAGTAGGAAGGAAGAAGGGGCAAAATACATTTTTTAAATGTGTAAGCTTATCTATAAGAAGAAGGGACAAAAGACATTTGATTTTTTCATAAGCTTATCTATAATTGCCTACATTTCTAGTGCCCCACTCTGTTTTGTATTCACATAGAAGGCAGGAGATGTGAGCCAGGATACAGATTGTACATTACTCTCTAGACAGGCCCCACATTGCTCTCCCTCCGTATTCCTTTGGGTCCTGAAAAGACTCAGGGTATAGAGGAAAAATGCACCAGTTTTGCTATCAGATGGGACACTGTTTGCACCCCACTCCACAACTCAGCATATGCTACTTTGAGCAGGAGTCTTTGTCAAAATGTTGCATTTTGTGTGGACTTTCCGGGGATGAGACAAACCTGGTATCATTCCTTATAGGTGTCATTTGACCTGAGGGAGAGGTAATCATTGATAAATGATCAAATTGTGTGATAACTGGCACATCATCCATGGCCTGGGCTTAGGGCTAATGGCTGTTGTCAAGCAAATTTGACCAAACCTATTATTGTGTTTAGAGTCATCCTTTAGTTAGGTATGTTACACAGACCTTATGCACCCTCAGCCATGGAGAAACGCTGCCTTTTTCCCACTGGATAAAATGGCCAGACATATCAAGTGAGCTCTCTAACCCTTAACTGATAATGGCAACAAGTTGCCCCAATCATTCAGGAACTCCTCATCCTCATCTCAAGTAACCTTGTGGATGAGGGCTGGCAGGGCCTCTGCCTTTCAAACATTTCAAATACTGTTTCTTGCTTTTTGGCGGAGACTCTCACTGATTCTGGAAGAAGACCAAGATATATCATGTTGTTGCTTTTTCAATCCTGACTTTGCTTTGCTTTAGACAAAATGCCTCTTGATTTGCTAACTGTGGGGAAAAAAATCTCTCCCTTGTTCTCATTTTCCCTTCTCATTGGGGGCTCAAGGTGATGTCAGGAATGCTATTAAGTGGCACCTTTTGAGGTGGCATGCTAGACACATGGTAGTCAGATCCATTTCACTTGCACCTTGGTTAATGGGCTTTTTATGGTACACTTGTGCACGTAGTGCACAGAATGAGCTTATGGCTCATTTCCTAAATTACCATTTGCAGGAGGGAAAAACCTCCCTGATGTCCTATTGTGTTTAAGCAGGAATATTATTTAGGAAATTTAGCACAGCATTCATTTGATACCATTCACTAAGATAGCAAAATTGAATCACTATACATTAATTTACAATTTTACACTAAGTAAAAATTCTTTAAGGGAGCATTCGCATAACAGGCTGCCCTCTCAGGTGGTTGTTTGTCACCTACAGCAATTGCTGTCACCCACTAAGACACACTGGAGACCTTAGAACCAGACTTTACACTACCACAGTAGCCTCTCTAATGACCCCCAATAGCTAATTGTGGCTTCATTTGCCTTTCTTGCGCAAACGAGATTCAATGGACTATAAGTACCAGATCAAATCATAGTTCTTTCTGCTCGTGTGATCCTATTACTCAAGGAAATAGGGATTCCTCTATGTCACTGTCTCCTCATTCCCCCAGAAAAATATTTTATTAATGGCATAGGGGAAGATAAAGGAAAAGGGTGAAGCCTCCACATACACTTTGTGAAAAAGATCAGAAACAGCTGTGTATGCTTCCTAAACAGGGGAGCTAAGGATAACGTCAGGGCTTGTACTCTGACACTAAATGAATGAATAATAAATAAATTCTGCTTCAGCCTTTCCTCATTTTCTTGGATCACTAGAGAGGACAACATCATTTTATTTTCAATGATTATCAATATGTTATGTTTGGCAGTATTTTTACAGGAGTAAAAGGATATGGTAAATATGCCTCACCTAAAATCATAGAGTAGGAGTGAAAGAACTAATGGGTTTTTAAGTAATAAAGAGGTGAATAAAATAGCAAGATCACCAGAGAAAATGAAAGAAGGAAAATCCCCAGAACTGACAGAAAACAGTGAGAGAAAGAGAAGGAGAAGGGAACAAAGCTAATGGCTGATGATCTGTTAATTGCATTTCGAAACGACAAAAATAATTTGCCTAGAACCTCTGTGTACCCAAGAAGAAATCCAAGTGTGTAACAGATGGGCTGTCTAAAGTTTGGACTGCACAGAACTTTTTAATTATTAATATTATTAATTAAATGTCAATTCAAAAGGACTGCACATATTTGTAATCATTTTCCAAATATACTAAAGTTCAGATAGAGCTGAAATCCAGATGAAAAATTGTCTTGTGTAATCTATCCATTCAGCTCTGTTGACAAATATTTATTTAAAAAAAAAAGAAAGAAAATAACCTTAATTGAGGTGGAAGTCTCTAAAAAGTCTTCTTTAGAGCTTTTGAATTTTTAAAGAAAATATCATAGTCATAAATACCATTGAGAGGTGAGTTTACCAGCTGTTCCCCAACTCCACTAAGGAAGTATAAGAAAAAAAATAAGATAATGCTCCAAGGAGATGATTTAAATGAAGTAGATGAGAGCTTTATCTTGCAGCAAGCTCTGTGAAAAACTAGAATAATATAATTAGTCAAGTGTTCAATGCCCCTCTGGTGCTCTCTAAAATTGACATTAATCTTGCTTGGCTTGCACTGATTTGCCTGGCAGTGTTAAACTATGATGGGAGATGATCTCTGTAACTTCTTGGGCTCCTTCAGTGAGAGGATTTCAAATTCTGTTTGCCGTCATGGGAAAATTGTTTCTTCCTCTTTCATATTACCTGTCATATGTCCTACTCTAGACGACTGAGTCTCGTCATTATTTCAGTCTGTCATTGGCCTTAAGTGACTCACCTGGACAGATTCTTAAGTAGGATTTTTCAACTGATATTCAAGGCAATATTGGAAGCCCAGGAGTAAATTTTACAGAACCTCTCTTCATTTTACCCTAACTGCTACCTGCCTATCCTCATATCTCCTGATGTCTGTGTCTGGTGAGATTAGTAAACAAATAGGATCCTTTTAAACTTTTATCAAGACTTTCCAGTTTTATATTTTTAGAATCAAATTTTAAAAACTATGAAAACGACTGCCATCTCAATAATGATATTGATATTTTTACTGAGACATAGCCTGAATTTTCTGTCTACAGTATGCACAAACTATAACAGCTGTTGTAATAACTGAAAAATGTCAAGCCCCTAGTTAACTAACTCCCCTAGGCAAAACCCATCCTTTTACAAAAGAATAAAACCATCCTTCTGGTTTCTGCAAATGCTTGCAAACCTCATTTACCACTACCCCATCAAATTTTCTCATGTTTCTCACTAACTTCTCTCACTGAACTAAACTCACTCAGATTATCTAATTGTTTCATTTTTACCCTGAGAAGTGGTAATTATGACTTAAAAACATATCGAGAACACAATTAACTCATCTGTAAAGCATATTCTAGTTCTAAAAGAAAAACCTAAAAAGGAAGTGCTATAAACTAATATTTGTGCTGCCCCAAAATTCCTATTTTGAAATCTGAATCCCCAAAGTGATGGTATTAGGAGGTAGGGCCTTTGGTAAGTGAGTGATTTGGTTCAGCCCTAGTGAATGGGATTAGTACCCTTATAAAAGAGACTTTGGAGTGCTTCCTCTCTCTACCATGAGAGGACACAGCGAGACAAGACTGTTTATGAACCAGGAAGTAGCCCTCACCAGGCACTAAACCTGCTGATGCCTTGATTTTTGACTTCTCACTTTCCAAAACTGTTAGAAATAAATTTCTGTTGTTTATAAGCCATCCAATCTAGAGTATTTTATTACAGCAGCCCAAACACACTAAGATAGACAGCTACCAATTAAACTAAGGACTGGGCGCTGTGGCTCACGCCTGTAATCCCAGCACTTTGGAATGCCAAAGTGGGAGAATCACTTGAGGTCAGGGTCAGGAGTTCAAAACCATCCTGGGCAGCAGGGTGAAACCCTGTCTCTACTAAGAATATAAAAATTAGCTGGGAATGGTGGCAGGTGCCTGTAATCCAAGCTACTCAGGAGGCTGAGGCAGGAGAATTGCTTGAACGTGGGAAGCGAAGGTTGCGGTGAGCTGAAATTGCACAACTGCACTCAAGCCTGGGCAACAGAGCAAGACACAGTTCATATATATATATGTGTGTGTGTGTGTGTGTGTATAATTTAAATTAACATCATTTTAATATTTCTGAACTGTGCATCAGTGCTTCCTAGTATATCATTCATATCACCTGAGGAACTTATTAAAATCACAGATTCCAGGGCACCACCACTGGGAGATCTTCATTCCAGAGGTCTAGGAGGGAACCCATAATCCTCCAGGTTTGGGAACCACAAGACTTGATTAGTCCAGCACATGCTGTGAAATGTAAGATTCTAAAATCAGTAACTAGTAATAACATAGAGAAAATACAATTAAGATACAAAGTTTCTTTAAAAAATTTTCTTCAATTTTTTTTTTCTTGAGTATACTGTCTCTTGACTGTCCTATTTTTGGCTGAACAATTTAGATCTCTAAAAAGTAAGTGAGACTTTCTTTTTGCTATGGGATTAGCCAGCGGACCAATAAACAATCAATTGACCTGTTTCCTTTCCTTCCTGTTTGCATTCCTGACATATTCCTGTGATTAAATACAATTTTAACTCTAGCTGGGAAGCAAGGTGATGACAGGACATGAGGAGAAATCAGTCACCTCCATCTAGAGCCTGTCATAGAACATAGCAGTACAGACGTTTACTTGCTTAAGTTAAGGGAAAGCACTAAACTTTTGATTCCTTCAAGCCTTCATGCAGACTAAACAGCCTTTGATCATCATGTTAATTCATGTGGGGCAAAAGTTCATATTCTGTCGATCTTCTGTGAGTTTCCAGTTTTCTATATTTTAGCAGACTCTACAATTGTACTGACTGTTACATAGGGAACTCATATTTGAGATACAATGGTTCCTAACAACAATAGGAAAATGCGAGAAGGAATAAAATCCTAAGATTTGACAAAAGATGTTATCCAATAAGTAGACAGGGCCAGAGAACTCTCCTAGCTAATCCATAGATTAGCTAGGAATGTAGTCAGATAAGAATTAGCAATAGGACTTGGGCAGGAATTACAAATGAGGTAAAATGACAAGCCGCCAAGATCCCTTAGTTCATAGGAAGCAAGGCCTTGGTCACTGGTATGGGTTCAGGAATAGAACTCTAATTTCAAGGCTGGCAGTGAGGAGTGACAGGAAGAAGAGTTGGCAAAATACATGTTGGGTTGGTGCCATTAGGGGGCACTGGATCCAGGGTATGGTTGGCAGACAAAGAGCCAAGATCAACACCAAGATCTCTGAATACCAAACTTTAGCAGAATAAAAGAAACCTGAGTTGGGAGACTTGTTTTATTGCAGAATGTACCAAGAATGAAGGATAGGATATACTATAGGTAAAATAGATCAGTGAGCCAAACTGGGAAAGACAGAGGCTGTAGAATAAATGTATTGCAGACAAGACAAGATGCCAAGTGTATCTAAACATTTTACAGAACATTATGCCAATGGTATTCCTATCCCTGTTGGGAACAGAAGTAACTTTAAATGTCAGGAAAGAATATTTAATTCAGTTTGAAATCTTAAGAGGAAGGAAGAATTCAGGGCAGACGGAATCCATATCTAAAAAAATTATCTACACTTCATCATTTAGAGCTAACATGGCAAATTACAGTTTTTTTTTTCTGATGATGAGTTTATATATAGTCCTAACAATCTCTTCTTAATGATAACTAGACACACTCCTACCCAAAATAATTTCCCATGTTCTTATAGAATTAAGTTCAGACTTTTCAGATGGCATTCAGATATCTCTAGATTGCTATTCCAACCTTATTTTATCCTTCCAATGACCCTCTGCTCTGGCCACCCAAGTGTAGTCTTTGTTCTGCGAACAGATTAAGAAATTTCACAACTCTACAGCTTTGCTTCAGCTGTTCCGTTAACCAGAAGTAATTCATTTTCTGGCTGTTTAAGGGTATTTTATGCAACTCAGCAACAGCCGTCTATGATCACCCATCAATAATTCCTGCTTTTTCTTCTGTGCACCTTGATTTGTTCACCTAATTTAGTCTTGCAGTTAATTTGTGATTATTCTTTTCATAGTTCATTTGAGACTTTGTCCAAGCCAACTAGAAACTGGGCTCCTTTGATGAGAAGATTATGTTTTATTCTTTGTTATGATCCCTGTGCTTAGTACAGAGTTTTGTACATGGCAGGGACTCAGTGGACATTTTTGAATTAAAAAGTTATCTGTTTAGCACGAATGCAAAATGTATTTCTAATTTTATTTCATGGTTAAGGAAAGGCACAGACTTGTTGATTGTAAAACAGGAGAAAGAATTTCTTCTCCAATTAATTACCTCCTTGTTCCCTAATGAAATATTTCTTATGAATTAATGCTCAATACATATTTTAATTATTACACGCTGATTATAACTTTTAAAACATTTTAAAATAATGTTGCATTTAGTCAAATAAAAAGTCCCCCACTCCAAATGTAGCAATCCATTCTAATTTTTTAACACATAGCAAGTAAATTGTGTAGACTTCAAATTAAGCTGTCGAAGATTGACAATTGAAGCAATTCTTTGCCTCTTTTTTCATGAAAGTTTCATTTTTTTCTCATTTATTTATAGTCTAACCTAGAGTAGAAGGAGAACATTCTTCCCTTCCATGCTTGAAGTCTACTTTAGATTTTTTAGGCTTCATTATCTTTGACCTTTTTGGTTAAAAGCACACTGGAAGCAGTAAGACCAAGGTCTTAGGATATAGAAAAGAGAATTTTAAATTTAACCAAAGCTATGTCTCTAGGCAACAGAGGTTCCACATTATTAAGCTCTGAGGGGATCCAGGTCTGGTCCCCAGTGGACTGTGCAGCGGGGCCTGGAGAGGGCAGCAACATCAATTGATAGAGTGTCTTGGTGACAATGGAAGTTATATACCACAGGGATTTTTTTTTAAAAAGCACAATTAAAAGCAAATAGCATCTAATTAGAATCATCTCTTCATTTGGGTTTCTTCTGAAGATGAATTTTCTTTCATTTCATAATAGATTATAGATCCATCATCTGAATTTATTTTGCAATTGCTTTGAGAGATTGAGATGAGATAGATAAGCATCCACTCAGGTTTCTTAGCCACAGGGGGCTGCACAGAAGAGTGATTTAGAGAAAGTACACACAGAGTGCTTAAAATGGTCACAAAATTATTGTATTTATGTTTTAAAAATATATTTTTTCCAGAGAACTTCTCTCAACTTAAAGGCAACAGCTGTTTCAGGGAGGTCTTACTTAATCATATTTTCCACCTGGGTTGAACAAAGTCTCGGAAAGAAAAAAAATACTTTTCTCGTGTTGGTAGACTTTGCCTGAATAACTAAGTGAAAGGAGGGTAAAAAGAGGTATTCTGCTCATTTATTTACCCCAGAGTTGAAACTGGTAGAAAGAGTAAACAATTGCTTTAAAATTTTTAGTAAATCCATCAGCTAGAAGCAGCTATATATATCACTAAACAGTTCGCAATCAAGATAATCTGAATTTCTATCAGGAAGATGCTCCTATACCGTGCAATTCTTTCAAAACAAGTCATTATTTTTAATGACTTAGGGGTCATTATGAAATATTTACAATGTGTTAGGCACTTTGCCTAATTTTTTTCATTTAATTTTCATAGTAATCCTGGGAGATAGGTGTTAACATCTCCATTTTAAGGAGGAAGGGAGTGAGCCCTGCAGGAGAAAGCAAGTGAAGCACTTGACCAAGTTCTCACCACTTCATACATCTGTGGAACCTGGGTTCACACACAAAGCTGTGAACAAGGTCTTTCTCCAAAGCCTGTATTCTTTATACTACACCACACTGTGTTTCTAGGAAAGTCAGTCTTCAGAAATATTGAGTTAGTCCATATTGCTTTTTTAATGAGAATGCAAAATTGCATTAGACCAAATCTTCTCACACTCAATCATTATTTGAAAAAGAATAAATACAAATGGTAATTCCGTGAACAGAGAATTATAAATTTCCTGTTAATCTTTTCTAACAAGCGATTTTTACAAGTGTGCAATACTTAAATAGTTAAAATGCATAATCTTGATGTTTGCTTTGAGCCAATTCCTTAACATCACATTTAATTAAAAAGCAAATGAGAAGGCAAATCCAAATAATTATTTGTTTTCTAAAATTCTTGCCTCATCTGGCTTCCAAGAGAGCACACCTTTCTCTCATTGCTATTCCTTCTCAGTGCTCTAGGTAACTTTTCCTCATCTCCCTACTTTAACACAAGCTTATTCCTCTAATTTCTATGTTTATACTCACCCTTACCACTCTCCTGAGCTAGAAGGGTTCCAAATAATTATTTCCATTCATGAAACACCAATTCCCCAATCTTAATTCTATAATCCAGCTCTCAAGATCTCCAGTTATGTGTAGGCGTCTCAAACATAAGATGTCAGAAAACAAATTTCTTAATATGCCCCCCGCCAAAGTCCCTCTATCAGGTTTATTTTTTTCTAGAAAAGGACAATGCTGTTCTAGCTTTTCAGGCCACATATCTTGTAAGTACCTTTCATTGCTTTTTTTTTTTTCTCTGACAATCCACATCAAATCTTGGTATAGATCCTCTCATCATTATTGTCAAAATATGAGCAGTTTTATGACCTCTCCTGCCCTAAGCCGTCATCATTTATGGCATGATTTTTTTTCTCAGTCACCTCCTAGCTGGTCTCCTTGTTTCCTCTATCCTTGTACCCACTTCTTTATTTTCATAAAGAAGTCAACACAGACGTTTTGAAATATAAGCTTATAAATGTACTCCTCTGTACTAACACCTTCAATGACTCCTCCTGTCACTCACCCAATGTCCTTAAAATGGCTTATGCCGCCCTCCCTGTATGTTCTGGCTCCCTGTGACCTCAAACTCCACTTCCCCCATGTTTTGCTCTACCTTGAACATGCTAAACATAATCCTACCTCGTTTTCTTCAAGGTGCTGTTCCCTCAGATGTCTCCTTCAGGTTCTCAGTAGAAGCCTACCCTGAACACTGTGTGTACAATAGCAATCTCCCTCTTCAGCACCCCCATCCCCCTCCTCAGCTTCATTTTCACCCTTTACAGTTGACACACCTGACAAGTTATAAATTGATTTCTTCAATGAACAAACACATATTATTTTAAAAAAAATAATTTAACAAATACATTATAAATTTACTTGTTCAGTGTCTCTCCCAACCATAAGCCAACTGGAGGACAGACACTTTTTCTATTTTTTTCAGTACTCTTTACCCAGCTCTTGGAACAGGGCCTGCCATAAACAAGGTGCTCAGTAACTATCATGGGATGAATAAATGAAGGACAACCAGTGAGATAAACAGACTGTCAGATTGTCTCAAAGTCTTTATTGAGAGTGGCAAGGATGCTCACATGGCCAGGAAATGTAAACATTTTAGAATATTTGGGAAACAAAAGGAATAATGTGGCAAAAGAACAGTTTAAAAACAAAAGCGGAACTTTTCTTAATGGTTTCATTTTAGAATGATAGCTTCAGGTCTAGGATCTCAACATAAGTCATAAGCAAAACAACTTAGTTCATCCATTAATAACTGTTGTGCAAAATTAGCAACAATGAAATCTTTCAGTCCACTGGAAATTATAATTTAAAACAAACCACATTAGTTTTTTAACAGGTCTTCAAGAGAATGAAATAGTGCTCGTTCCAACTGACCTTAATAGATAATACACAGATAAATTGAAATAGTGTAAGAGAGTTCTCAGTAGAAATCCCTTTTGCATGACTTTTAAAATTTTGAACAAGGCCTGGGTACCAAACCACATTTTGTCCTTAATAAGTTTTAAGACTTTAGTTAGAATGTCATGCAACTCCTTGGATCCATGTCTCCTGTTTATAAAACAAGTGTAGCTAGCAATTCCTATATCACATGGATATCATAAAGATTAAATAAAATACATCTATTAAGACAGCCTGGGGTCATGGAATAATATAATCAGTATCCCTGGACTTTAGCCTTTGGTCTCCATGTACTTACATGTGACCTTAGAGAAAACAATTGACCTTATGGGTTTCAGCTCTTATTTGTAAAATCAAGGTGTCTGGCAACTTGATCTTCAGAGTCTTCAAATTCTAAGAGGATATGCTACAAAACCTCAAAAACAATGAAGTAAACATGCAAACATGAGGTACTAGTATCTGTAACACCTGCCACAAAAATGATATTGATGTCATCTATATGTACTCCAGGACAGTTTCTGCGATGGTAAACTGAACTGATCCCCGCAAACTCTGCTTCAGATGATCTACAACAACCTGGAGATTATCTACCACAATCAAGGCTATGCCAGTCACTCATCCCCTACCAACCTAAGAACAGTAGTTACTGTGAAGAGTAAGATGGTAAAGTCATAAACCCAGCTTATCATAATTCCTAAGCTAGTCCATTTGTGTACAGCAAAGCCCTGTTAAGCTCTATCACTTTTTTTTTTCAGGCCACTTGTTTTTACTCAACAAATTACTTTGTCAGTGATAGCAGCTTTTTTAAAACTTTATAATTAAAAGGCTGTTTTAAACATAAGAGATCAAAGCATTTTGTTTAACAGTGAATTAATCCATTTATGACTCAGTTTCCTTATTTGAGCAAAACAAAAATATGAGGTAATTTGCCATGTCTTACAGCAGATTTGTAAGAAAACAAATACTTCAAAGTCACCTTTGTGTTTTGAAGAACAATAGTGTAAATGATCTTTTATCTCACATTCTGTCAACTATAAATCTCTTTGATATGTCTCCAACAAAGTGATAATTGAAGCTCATTACTACTCGGAATTATTGTATGATCCTGAAGAACACTTTAAAAATAAAAGAAATTAATTTATATTCAGCACAGCTGGCACTACAGGATTTATCCTTCTCCAATTGTTGGAAATGTGGTTCTTAAGCAAAACAAAGGACCTTTCAAATGCACCTCCAAGTTTTCATCTTAGAAACAACTTTATTGATTTAAGTCCATCTTGCACCCCAGAACAATATGAACTCAGGAGCTAATTTTAGGATTTGACTATTTAACTTGTTAAAACGATCAGTGAAGATGCTAACTTTGAAAGTACAACGAATTCTACATTATATAGTAAAGCCTTAGACATTAGTGGCTATTAAGATTGGCAGTGATTGCTATGGTTTCTGGCATCATCTGCTTTGAGATTTTACAAAGGACAGGGGGAGTAACAGACACTTGCCTTCTTATCTCACCATCATCTCTGAGAGTTCTATGACTACTAAATGTTAAGTTCTGCACTGCGACTACAGCCTTCAATAAGCAAAATAATCTAAGCACACTCTAACAACAATGGCCTCTGAAATACAATAACATTATTCTATTTTTTGTTGTCTTAAATCATTTCAGTTACAAAGGTTATTTATTTCTTTTGTAGTTACAGATTAAAATGGAACCTCCTTTTTGGTTTGGGACAAATCACATCAAATGAGACCATAACATCATAACCCTTTTGGAAGTACTCAGAATGGAAGCATGCAGGGTTTCTTTTTTTTTGCTTGTTTCTGTTCAAGAATTTAAATCTTCTTTTATTAACTGTCATGTTTATTAAGTGGCATTGTGTGGCTTGCCTTCCCGACCAGGCAGCCCCTACCTTCCCTCTTCTTCTTCATTCCCAACCCACCCCCACGACTTTCACCACTTTTCTCCTGTGTTAATTTGCACACCTCACCTGCTCCCCTGTAATTGACCGTTGCTATGTGTGTGGTATTTGGAGGGCAGGGAAAGAATAATGAGAGGAATGCACGTGTCAGCTTCCTTTGCCTGATACACAGCCACCGGAGCTGGGTTTCTGCCCTCTCCTTGGAGTTTGTGAAAATACTTAACTAATCATTCTGCAAAACATTTTGAATATTATCCAAAGAAGCCAAAGTGCTTTATAAATATGATGCCCTTGACACTGTGTGCCACTCATTATTCCCTTTCTGGAGAGGCAGAGCTATTTTCATCCCAGGGCCGCCCCTCCTCTGAGGACATTCAGTGCTAGACCCTTTGATTCGTACATCTGGGAATGTGAACTGAGAAATCGCTACCACTCAGACTCTGGAAGTATCCTGGACTCAAAAAGTCTGAGTGATTAAGCGAGTGAGCAGCAGACATCACCACCACCACCCTCCCCAGGCATTTCCCCTGATTAGCCTGAAATCCAGCCCATATTCTTAATGTGACTGTTTTGGTCTGTGGGTTCATGTTGGGTTCAGAGATGAAAATAAGCAAAATCAAGATCAAAAATTCCTTTTGGAACTAGAAAGAAGATGAATTTTAACTTTAGAATAGTCTTTGTTCTTATAATTACCAATAAGAATTACCTGGAAATTTAACTGAAATTAAGCTATTTTGGGTAAATACTGCATACAGTTCACAGAATTTAGATTAACTTCCACTTAGTAATAAGTTGTTTTCAGTTTTGTAATTTTGAGGAAAAAAATCTCAAAGTAATATAAAAAGTTATGACATATATGAGTTGGCTAATAAATAGAATGTTACCTCTGAAATTCCCAAACTGTTGTTCGTGACAACTTTTATCGTTTATTAGAAATGATCAGTCACATATACCTCAGGCAAATTATAACCGAACATTATGTACTGGGTATTTCCATTTACATTCAAAATTCAATTTCAGTGTCTATATCCTTCACCAATCATCCTTGATATTGTTTATGACATCTCAGGAATATTTGAAAATCATAGAGCTAGAATATATATTTCAAACACAGAAATACAACAGGCAGTTATGAATCAATGATGGCTAATACTTTAATTTTTTTCTCCTCATTTACTTTAGATGAGCCATTAATTAATCTAGAAAGAAAAATGACTTACAAGGAAAACATTGACATGACATAGCTACGCTGTATAGTGTGGCAAAGACTTGGAGTAAAGGGAAATAAAATAATTTTGTTTAATGTATTTGAGATTTATAAAATCTCATTGCTTTATTCCATGGGAACAGGGTCTTTTGAAAATGAATGTGATCATTAACCATCTGATTTACTATGAAGTTAACTAAAAAAGTGTCTCTCAAAGGCCAAGACTGGCTTAAACTGCTAAGGCTAGTTTATTGCTCCACTGGCACTAGCATGCCTACACTCAAGAGACGGCAGCACTGCACTACAGTGGGGCACATGAACACCTGGAATATATTCTCCAGAGTGAAAACAGCAGGGAACTGACCAGAAATAACCTCTCTCGTATTATTGCTTCAATTAGACCAAAACAACTTTCCCTTTGAAAACTTAATAATAAACACTGCAGGTCATTCACTTGTTTTGAGCCCCTTTGGGAGAGAGGAGCAGATGTATCCCCTTAGCCAGCCCCCTCGCTGTCATAGAGACAAGAGACACAAATCAGGACAGATATTGATTTTAATTGGAACCAACAGCACCTACATGCCATATTAATTTTCACATCTTCCTGCAAAAAAAAAATGAAGATTGGTTTTTGGTTCTGTTCAGTTGATTAGACAGAGTGATGTAATTATTGTATTCGTAGATTGAACAGTACCTTAAAAAACTTAGGTATCTCTAAAAGTCTTATTGTATACCAAAAGTGTAGAAAACAGCCTTAATACATTAAATTCCAGCTTATAACCAGTGGATAGGCATTTTTCTTAATAATTTTCACTGGAATCTTGTAAGATACCACAGATAGAAAGAGAGCTAGGAGTGAAAACAAACTCAGAAACCTAGATTGTTGTATTTTTCTTCTCTTGATTAGAATTGCCCAATGAAATTATTTCCACACAAAGCAAAACTGACCTTTAAACTTGACTTCTTTACCTTCACTAGATCTTTACCATCATAAAGGGAATGCCATTGTCTTCATGAAAACAGAAATGAGATTTTTTACCCCCATTTCTGCTCCCCATGCTACATTAGTTCCACACATGCTGGGAAGTGCATTGCATTCTATACTTCTTCAACTGACTGTTATACAAAATTTAGTTGGTTGCTGACCCCACCTACAAGTAGTTCTCAGACTTTCCTGGGCTTTAAATTTAATTATTCTGCCTTAGCTGGTCTAGAATGGGGCCCAGGAGTCTGTGTTTATTCCCAGTACTCCAGGAAATTCTGATCCAAGTGACCCACTTTTTGGAGAACTCTGACCTGGTCATAGGTAATAATGACACTTAAGGAGATGGAGACTAAAAGGGACCTTTTTAGTCAGTTCATTTTTTCCAATAGTGGAAAAACAAACAAGCTTGTAAAACTGCAATCACAGATTTCATGAGATGGTATTTGCATGTGATTTAAGTTCACTTGTTCAATTATTCATCTAATATTTATTAAGAACTTTTTGAGTAGCAACATGCTGGACATTGAGGGAGGAGAAAATGTGAAAAAGACAAATAAGATTGTTATTAGAATTCCAGGTTATGAATATGGGCCTTTAGTTTGTTAGGTGTGTTTTTATTTATGAGGTTTTTATCTGAGAGAAAAGAGGAAAAGAAAGTAAAAATTTAATGTGAGTTACTTGGCAAGAACAAAATAAAACTACCAAATATTTTCCAGTTTTCTACCATAAAAATTTCAAGTTTTTTGAGTTTTTGCTCAAATATATAGATTTTTTTATCACATATACAGAGGATTGTTTTAATAGACAGTGATATGTCTATACAATGATATTATTAAAATGATGCTTGTGTGCTTAACGATTGAAAAATATATGTTAAACTATAAAGAGAAAAACAGATTTCAAAATACTATCTCTATATACTGTACTACATTTTTGTGACAATAAACATATAATTTATGCTAGAACAAAGATTATAGCTAGTGAGATTAAAAATTAAAGATTATTTTTACTCATTTTCATTTCACTTGTTCATAATTTATAATAATAGATTTGCTAAACAATGAGATATTACCATTTTTAATGTATTACTTTTAAAATACATTTTAAAAAAGCAGCTTTAGGTTTACTATCTCATAAAAACTGGGAAACTTGTGAAACAGGCACGGTGCCAGAAAATCTGGCCAGATGAAGGATATGTTAGAAATTTAACTTCTTGGTCTTTTTAGTGCTCTTTTCTTCTATACTTCCAGGTTTCATGGAGGAGATTTCAGGAGAGGACTGTCTTTTAGAGACAAGACCTGAAGTTAAAAGATAAAAGATATAAATTGAGGGAAATCCTAGGTACAGTTCTGAAACAAGTTCCTCTCCACCAAGGCTATAAAGAAGCATGCAAAATCTTATTGAAAACCTGGGGCAAAGTGGATAATTTTTGTCGTGGGGTTTGAACATGAATATCTGGAAATGAAAATACACACCCCTACCTATATTATAGGTAGGAATTGGAAAAATTAGTAATTTACAAATGTGTGGGAATTTTAAGAGAAAGTTAAAGAATAGTTCTAGGAAATTGTTACTATATTTGTTTAAATTATTATATTTTTGTTATAATTTTTATTATATTAGTTTGATTTATATTTGGGATGACTAACAACAAAGAGCATACTATTCAATTAAGAAAATATGAATACAACTTGAAAAAGAGAGGAGTATGGTAAAAACAGAAAGAAGTAATGCTAAATCCAAGAGTCTTAATATTATTTGGCTTGTATAAAGGAAAAGTGGGGGAAAGTAATAACAACAAAACAACTACCGTTAACTGAGCATCTACTAAGTGCTGGACACTCTGCTGGGCAGTTTACATAAATCATCTCCAATCTTGACATAACCCTGAAAAGTAGATAACAATCTAGGTATATGTATAAGGAAACAGAGTTCAGGAAGATCAAGTAAATTGCTCAAAGCCATTCCACAGCATGTAAGTGGTAGACCCACTCCATATTACCCCAAAGTGCTTCTAAAATGTTTAGAAAACTGCTCTGTATTCATTCTTTTATTCAGCCAGTCATTGAACAAACCAGTGGAAAACTAGACAAAACTCCCTGCCATCATGCATGGGCTTTCTAATTGGAAGAGACAGCCAAAGAATCTAGGTAAAGTAGGTGATGTGTTAGATAGAATGGAGCAGGAGGAAGCCCAGGTAATGCTGAGGGAGGGTGGGGCATTTTCTGGAGGACTTTATCTTCCTAAAATTTAGGTACTTTTTAGTAACATTTTTTGAGAAGTATAGACACTACAGTACTCTCATTATTTTCAGAGAAAGCTATACACAGTATGTCTTGGTGCGGGTGGTGGGTAGGGAAAGCTGTTGTCTAGTATATAAATAGGCTACATGTGATGTGATAGTTCTTTTCCATATTTTATTCTTAAGCTATTAAACAGAGTAGGGACTCCCCCAGAGGAATTCATGGTCTTTTTTATCTTCCCTTTCTTGTATTCCTTTTTTTCCTCACTCCACTGATTTTAAGTCAGTTTTGGGAGCTTAGCAAGATTTGTCTTTCCAAAAGCTTCCTTGTTCGCTAAGCAGGTTTCCCAAGCTTGGGTATAAAAGACCCCCTGGAAAAGAAGTACAAGACAAACACTAATTACCGTAACAATTTATTAAGAAAGATCTTTGATCTTTTCTCACCTACCCAGTTGTCTAGTTCTGCTTTGTCTCCACAATTATAAAATGTGTTTACATAACTAATTAACACAACAGATTGAGTTTTACGGGGTACATGATAATAAGCGGTCCAAATGGTTTGATCTCATGATAAAGAAGGAAGTGTTTGGAATTAGCACTTTCTAAGAGATCCAAATGGGAGTAACTATTGTAGAGTTATCATAAAACAAAAGTTCTTAATGTTCCCAAATGGGGCATTCTATTATAGTAAGCTTTAGTATTTGAACTCTCACTACAGAATGTTTTATAAGAAAAATATGTAAATGTGGTAAATTCTGAGTTATTTTCAGAGATGACAAAAGCTTTAAAAAAATGTGTTTTTCCCCCCTGTAAATTCTTCTATTTGTAATTTAAACTCATTTTAGATAAAATATTCGGGGCCAAAAAACCTAGCACTTTTGCTTTGTTAAGCTCATATCTAAGGGATGAGGAGTTGTAAGTAAACCCAATTTTGACGATTATAATATTTAAAATAAGTTTTTGCTATAAAACTCTAATATTATCTGTGGTCATATTTGCTTGTAATTTTAAAGACAGAATCCTCCTGCTTCATGGGTCATTTAGCACCTTCTGCTGTATATTTTGAACTCTAAATATACTGTTCCTTGGAGAGAAGAATTGCATATTGCCAAGGGCAAGTGATGTCTACACCAAAAGGTTTAAGTCAGGGGCAAAAGCCCCAAAATATTTTTCTTTTCAAAGAACAGGTGAAATATACACATTTTTGCCCATCCCTGATTTCTGAATTTGAAATTCAATTTATTCTTCTGAGAGGTTATTGTTTATGCACACTTGGAAAACTCAACTTTCTGTGGAGAGAAAAAGATAAAGACTTGTGATTACAAAACAGTTTGACAACTTGAGTGCAAATGAATCAGAAACATGTGGATTAAATTTCCCTTGAAACACACATGACTTTTTAAAATTAAGAGGAAAAGGGCTTGGCAATAAACACTTTAGTTTTTGCCAGACCTAAAGCATTTGGAAAATAATCCAGATTGTGGTTGGGCTGTCTCCTCCGTAGTCAATTCTCAATTTCTGTACATTGATATTTGAAGTTTCAAGTCACTAATTCAATGTATAGGTTATAAATACTTGAACACATCTATTTTTACTATTTTCACTTCCACATCCTTTTTGAATCAATGGAAATGAAAACAATTGTGTACAAATTGAATCAGGAGAGTGGAGAAGGACTCCTTGGTAGGGAACTGGCATACATTCCCTCCATAAATGACAGCAAGCTTATTTTAATAAATACCAGCATATGAATATGTTATACATCAGGAGAAGCAAATGCATTCAGGAAAGATGCTGCTATATATTTTAGGATAGTCAAGAAAGTAACGGTCCTATAGGTCACTAGAAAACCTGGAAGAAGATGTAATTTCAATCTATCATATATTTTTATACTATGATCAATTTTACTCAATGAAAAAAATACCCTTAGGGATTCAAATTCTCCTCTATATTTACAGAAGAAAAATGATACTAATATTGGGCATTTATCTCTATCATTGTGGAGTATTTTTCCCATCATGCTATAATTCAGACCATATAAAATGTTCTGTTTACAGACAGTTAAATTGCAATATTATATTTTTAC
Organism: Homo sapiens; assembly: GCF_000001405.40. NCBI lineage: Eukaryota > Metazoa > Chordata > Mammalia > Primates > Hominidae > Homo > Homo sapiens. The sequence goes on along the minus strand of NC_000006.12, from coordinate 126,767,222 downwards.
ATGTCCTACTTGCAGAAGTTTTTGGATTTTCATAGAATAAATATTCAAAAATCTGTTGACTATATAGATATGCAGAAGGAAGGAGGGGAGGAAGGGAAGGAGGAAGGAAGGAAGGGAGGGAGGGAGGGAGGAAGGAAGGAGCAAAGGAAAGGCGAGACGAAGGGAAGGGAGGGAGGGAGAGAGAAGAAGTGAAGAAAAGAAAGAAGAAAGAAAGGCAATTCTTAGATTTTCTTCAAAAGTAGTTTTTAGAGAGTAGGAACAAAAAAAGTATGAAATATCTTTGGGGTATTTAGGAACCAAACTATAATATTAGCAAACTCACAGTACGGCAAAAATAAAACCATTACTCTCTCTGAGTGCTAACTCTGTTCCAGACACTATGGTAAGTGCTTCATATGCATTATCTGTTTTAATGTCCACATGGACTCACAGGAAAAAGAGAATTAATTAACTCACCTAAGGCCTTGTGACCAAATTTGGAGTTCAGTCCTTCTCATTCCAGAGCCGAAGCATTTCATCACTTTGCCTCCTCCCCTAACATGTTCAGCAGTGAGTCCCCTTCAATCCAAGACTAATTTGTTCATTCAAACCCATCATTATCAATTAGGAAACCCCTATCTAAACCACTTAGTGAGGTCAGCAATGTGTCCTTCCTGTGAGTCCAGTAGGATCCCTGAAGTGAATCTTACACACACAGGTCAACTCTCTCTCACAATTTAAATAGGGGCACACTTTCAAATTTGTCAAACTCTTTTTAAATTATTCAAGATATGTTCTAATTTCATAAACGGGCAGCTGTCTTTTAGGATATGCAAACTAATTAAATATGTAGTCTTATATTATGTTAGCATGTAACAGAATCTCTTAACAGAGAGCTTATATTTTTAAAGCCAGGTACATTTAAAAAATCAATTTGCTTAGAAACCTCAAAAAAGTTTATTATTTTCTTATACTAAAGGGTGATATATGTTATTAACCCCCAATCAGAAGATAACAGGAAATATAAATATAATTTTATTTAACTAATTTGATCAGGTCAATAAGCTTCAAATGTATCTACAAATCAGTAACACCTACCTTCTTCATAGTTAGATTGGTTTATATTAATAATTAATTATTAAGGTCAAATTTTTGATTCAACTATTTGCTAGTCTAACTTCCAAAACTGTTCTAATTTCTATGTGACTGTATTTTCACTAAAATTATTATTATTTGAGATAATATATGTTTCTCTTAAAATAAGTACTGTAGAGCAAAGTATTTTCAAATAAAATGATCTTTGTCTGGATCACATTTCTAATTCTTTCTGATCATTTTTTTTTCTTCCCTAAATATATAAGAAAGCCAAATTAGTTTATGGACCCTACACTAGAAAACTTTGTGAATAGAAAATAATCATTTAAGCTAGTGGTTCAACATTAATTAAGCATCACTATTTTGGGGATACTGAGAATTAAAATAAATGAGCTTCTATTCTGCCTTCCAGGAACCTGACACAGAGCCAACCAGTCTCAAAGTATCATGTATGGCAGAAAGATATTCTCCTCAGAATAAAAGCATTCCCTTCCCCAAATTTCATCATGTCCTCACTGAAGTGTAAAGCTTCAGTGCAACTCTTTACCACTTGAGTGTAGCTATTAACTACCTCTAGTGTCAAATGTTCCATTTGCTGCTGTTCCTCACCAAAGTTGCCTTTATATCTCCAGAATATCAGCCGTGGAAAAGAGGAGTTGGTAAGGTGATAATAGATGTCAGGGAAAGAGCCAGGAAATGTATTTGTTTGGGAGTTAAAATCATTTTGAGACATTTTCTATAATTTCAACTTAATTTATTCAGTAAATATTTACTCCAAATCTCTGTTTTAGCCTCCTGGGTATTAAAATGAGCAAGACCAACAAGTCACTACTCTGAAGGAGCTTACATTCTAGAAACCCTTAGAGAGCCTTCCTGCCTCCACTCCATTTGCCTTGGACGTTGTCATACAGACAGAAGAGAACTTGGGGTTCACCTGGAAAACCTTTGTACTGTTGCTCTCTTACATTATGAAGTGTGACATTCATGCAATATTTGACTCAACATAAAAGCACTTGAAAATAATATTAAACCATCACACTGAGTTTTCTCTGAACCCACAACAACCCAAATTCATGAAGGGCACATTCTTCCTTTTCCGGGCAATGTGAAAGATAAGCCTTCTTCAGAGTTGCCACCTGTGGGGTGTGGGATGACCGGCCCCCTTCTTCCACCCTCAGACCACAAGCCTCATTCTTGCCATAATGAAGAAGCTGATTGATGGATGTCGCCTTTCCCACTGCAGACACTCTTATCTTTCTCAGCTTAGCAGTAATAGACATGACCTGCTCCCTACCAGCTGGTCTCTGTGTGAGGGACCCGTCCATCACTCTTTTTCCCTCTTCCATCTGTTCTCCCCTCCTTCTCCAAATTTCAGCCCATATGCCCACTGGCAGCAACCAATATGTCTGTCTGTCAGTAACTCTGTAATGAGACCAATTTATAAGGTCACATAATCCTGACTCTTCAGGAAGAAAAAAAATCCCCTATCCTATTTACTGAGAGAAAGTCACCTTCACCTCTAGTTCAAATGGCTGTGGGAGGTCATGTACTAACCACCAAAAAGTAATTTAGAATCAATTTCAAATGGTCTGTTTTCTACCAAATTTATTTAAAAAGAACCCGTTCCCCTGGGTTTTCTTTTATTTGCCAATGCTCTTAGCTAGAATTTGCAAAAATGAAAATGTTGACCTTTAGGGAGGAAACTAAGGTCTAGAAACAATTTAGATTATTATGTCAAATAGTGAACACTTTACTTCATTCCAGTGGTATTATTAGCATCACCCCCGCTACTTGCATAAGCACAGGATTTCCATGGACCTGTCAGTAAGTGTTGCGTGTTTGTATAACACGGCAGAATTTTCCCCAGGAACATTTTGTGTCTTTAGCTGACTAGCGCAAATTAAATTCTGTGTCAGTTTTGGCCAGAGGCTAAGAGTACCTTATGACATTTTACTGAATTCAATAACTGCAATGAAAATATTTGTAAGCACAATGCAACCAGTGAGTCCTATTTTATGATATAAGCTGTCATGGGTAGTATATTTCTTTTCTACAAAGGGTGGTAACTTTTACTATTCCATTCGCTAGAGACTACATTCAACAACTGTTAATTAATTATAATATGTGTATGTTGTCCTATTTTTAACAGGAACAAATGAAGACCAAACACCAAAATGAATTAAAAGCTTTCCAGGACATCTAAAATTTGAGGATTGTTAGGTGTTTTTTTTTTTCTTTGTAGTAGTCATTTAGATACTCATGCTGGCTGTTCAAAAAGCCCCTGCAAGATAGTCTCCAGCTGCCTGGCAGTGAACCATCCTCTTTATCAATGGAAAAAAGTCCTTTCCCTTGGGATCCAGTTTTAAGTTACTGACAGTATTAGCCCATGAATCCTCAGCCTGGTTTTGAATTTAAGTCACTGCTCCAATTCACAGTGACCTAAGGGTTGGTTCACTCTGCACTGGGAATTATACCTGCTCTCGGCACTGATTTCGTGCCAGCTGTTTTCCTGTATGTTAGCTTCTTAAATATTGTAATGGAATTTGAATGACATTTGAATTTTACATGTCTGGCCACTTAAAACCCTCAGGACTCCCATGAACAGTTTGGAGTACAGAAAGCTGCCTTACAATTGGAGGTTCTATTTACAACTGGAGGCTTTTGAGCCTGAAGCTTGTGTGAACCAGACTGCACTCTGGAATTTATTGCTTAGTTTTGCGGGTTTGTTCAGAGTTGATTTGCTGGCTACAATCATTTGCCCCACATCCCACCCTCAACTTGCCACCCCTCCCAACCACCAATCTAACCCTGAGTTAAAGGTATGTGAGTAGAGGAGGCACTCAGTGAAATGAATGCCAAACCTTACTGTGCCTAATATTTTAAATTTAAACTCAGCTTATTATGCTTTATTTCTGTATTCCTGACTTCTCAAACCACAACTTTCTACTGGTAGAATTATAGTTACTTCTTCAATTTATTCTAGTATTAATTGAATTTTAGTCCTGGTAGTCTATAATTAATTCTGGAATTAATAGAATTAAGCTTAGTTCTACTACTAAATGTTGATTATAAGGTTGAACATAATCCTCTACACAAAAAAATAAAATATTTAGCCATGTAAAATATTTTCTCTCTCAGAGTTTCCTTTTGCAATTAGAGAACATTTGTCAATTTGCATATAATATGAAAAATCAAGAATTGATATCTTCTAAGTCATGGTTGTTTCAATAAATAACACATTTAATAAGAAAAAATTAGATGCACTTTTTTTAAAGCTAAATATCTTGTTTTCTGTGTTAAAGTATGAAGCCCAGCATACATGTATCTCTTTATTTTTGTCCATGAATATTACGAGGCTTTGAGATTTTTGTTTTAATTTAATGAAAAGAATCTATTTTTCTTCATTTTGCTTCCTCCAGCCCCAATTAAGAAAGAGGTTTGGTTTGAATTTCTGAAAAGGTGATGGGCCTACATGAATCTATCAACAGTGTTTCACCTAATTCCTCTTATCATTAGCATTTGTAGAACAGGTGGCTGGGGTTATTTTTTTTTTCTTTTTCAGATCATAGTTAAGAAACAAAATTATCAGCCTGAAATAGATTTTTTTAAATTAGCATATTCTAGTCAATGGGGTTTGGGTATAATTAGATCACTGTATTTTTAATAAAAATGAAATTTGCCTTAGACTATATTTTAAGATTATTTATCACTGTGTTGAAAAGAATTTAGAAGTAAAGCACTAGCAATAAACTTAAAAATTGTTTTGCATGTACTCTTTCATCTCTAGTTTGGAGACTGGAGAAAACCTGAAAGGTTGTGAAAAACTGACCTATTGCCTTTTGGGTCTAACACTGAATAATTGCAGTATTCAGATATATGTAGACCAAAGCTATACATGAACATGCTTTTCCATTACCATAAATGTGGTTAGTTGGTTTCACCATGGCACGGAGGACACATCAGCCTGCTTTCCTGAGCCACGGCACTACTTAAGGGCTTTGCTGGAGGAAAAAGAGGAATCTAGAGTCCAGAGCCAAAAAAAAGAGCAGAGTTCTTTTGTGAGCATGAAAGCTGTTCAATGTCTTTGGAAAGCAGAGCGCTGGGACTCTGGAAGAGTCTGGGAGAACTAAAGGTTAGACAGATTAGCAGTGTGCAGTCAGGAAGGTCCAGCTGAGCAATTTGGAGTTTCTCTTTAGGGCAACAGCTTTTAAAAAGAGAATTAACATGACAGTTATATTCTAGGAAGAAGCCTCTTATTGCAGTATCAAGAACAGGGGAAGGGGCTGAGCAGAGAATGAAGGTGGGAGAACACGGGCGAAAATGTAGTCTTGATAAGAAATGTTGAGGACCTGAAGCAGTGGGACTGGATAATAGGAGCAGATTTGACAGCTATTAAGTTGTTAGAATTATTAGGACTTGGCAATTGACTGGATTTGAGTGTTTAGAAGAAGCAGGAGGCAAGGAGGAATCAGAGATTTCTGAATTGGGTAATTGGCTTACTCTCTTTATGCATTTAATCAAGAGGAGGATCCAGTTTGGGGGAAATATGCAAAATTATTTTGGGACATTTTCATGCAGCTTGGTATGTAGCTGAGGCTCAGAAAGAGGAGTCTAGGACAAAATTTGTATTTGAAAGTTTCCAGAAGGGATAAAATTTGAAGCCATAGAAGTATATTACATTGTCCAGAATTTCTTATCTACTTACTATAAGCTAAAGCAAGACAGAAAACACATTTCCCTGAATGAGTTAAAAACACTTTCTTCGGATATCGCAGGTATAAATTGTGATCTACCAAAGAAAGGGTTCTCTGGGTTTGGGTTGAACCAAACCAAATGTCTTAAGGATCATTTCTTCAGTATGATATAGAAGGTACCATCGAGAGGACCTCTTGTTTCTGGAGGTAGACTCCTATAAAATCATGCATGCGCTCAGGAAGCTAGAAAATATCTTTGTAGTGGACTGGGTTAGACACACAGCCATAGGAAGTTTTCCTGGGCTGAGAAAATACTACCAGGCCAACTTCCTCCATTAAGTTTTCTCTGGAAGTTGTCCTTCCTTGAATCTACTCTAGAATATTTATAGACAGGCTAGCAGTCAATTTTTAATTTTTTCATGGATGCACTTTCTTACATCTCCTCAGGCAAGCAAACTACAAGACACTGGACATCAGACATCGTCAAACCCAGCTCCTTATCTCTGCCTCTTCTTTGTCTAGTTTCCCCACAGTTATTACTAAATACAGACTTGAAGCACAAAGAATTTTGGAGACTTCAGTTTCCGCTCAGAGGAACTAACCAGGTACAATCTAGGATATTCTTTGTTGGTTGCTTTAAGAGGTAGTGACCCAAGGCTGGCCTTCTGGCTCTCAAGCTGCACCTAGATCCAAACTTTTCTTGTTGATGCTCTGATTTTCAAGATCTAATTCCTGCTGGCAAGAACCCTAGTAACACCTGTCCTCATTGCCACAGTTTGCAAGGCTGGAAGTGTAATTTTGTCCATTTCCAAGTTTCTGTCCAGTCTTCTAGTTCCTCTTACAGTTGCCAGTTTCACCTCTTGGAACTGGAGCTCTGAATCTGTCCTCCAGCCCATTTGCTTCATAAATCTTTAAGCTTTGCTACTTGCAGATCTACACTCCTTTGAGGACCTTTGATTATCCTGTATTTTTTTTTAATATCAATATGGTCAACAATGTTACTACTCACCAATATCCATTCTTTCTCTACTCAGGGAGGTTTGGACTTTCCTGCCTCTAATAAGGACAGTGAAATGTGATTGGAAGTGGCAGTGGTTGTCTGATAGCGGAAGCTCCATCCACCGAGGTTCTTAAGTGAGAATGTCTTGAATAGAGTCAACATACCCTAACTTCCACCAACCTTTGATATAAATGCAGCATGAGTAAGAAATAAACATTTATTGTTTTAATCCACCCAGATTTTTGGATTGTCAATTACCATAGTGCAACTAGCCTATCCTGATGAATAAAATTACTTTCCTCACTTTGTTGTGCTTGGGCCCCCACCTCTTAATGTTAAGTGGCTACTTATTACCTCTTCTGCCTGCTAATTACTAGTGCCAGGTTAAAGGTTCTTTGGCACAGTACATATCTTGCTTTGCGTGCTTGACTACATCTCTGCACAAAGGATTTGACTTAGTGCAAAGAAGAGTTTTCTTGAAATAAGAGCTGCAAAGATGGTAATTCTAAATTTTGGAAAAAAGAAAATGGAAATTTTGTTCCCGGTGAATGCTTAAAAATAGGAAATAGAGTGAATCAATCTGGAACGACTTAAGGCAATTGTACCTAAAAAAAAAAAGTATGGACTGAGGCTATTTTCAAATTAAAATTGTGCTATCTAGCAAGGGTGCTGCTGAATAATGAATCTCTACCATAATGGCTTGCCATTGAAAAAATGGTAAATAAAAAAGTTTGGTAAACATATTAGGGAAAATAAATGGGCTATTGATAGTTAGATAACTCATGTGGTAGTACCCTTTTTAATAAAATAAATGTTAAGTGATATAATTAATTAACATCAGTGTAACAGACTGCAGCAGTATATTTTCATGCATGCCTCAAGGAATCATGGTAAACACACGTTACCCCGGGAGAGCTCACTTTACATCGACACCCCAGTGTCTTCTACATGAGGAAGGCTTCAGAAATCTTGCCAAGAACATTAGCACACTTAAATTCACATAAAACAAAGATGGGCTGATGTATCCTCTAATGTAGCTTCCTGGGAGGACAATGGTAAGAAATACTAATCCTCATTCTGATCCAATCAGTGGACTAACTGCTTTTCTTCAGGGAAAGAGAGTGGAACCACTTTCTTTTTTTTAAACAATCTGCTTTATTGATGTATAACTTATATTTTTAAAATGCACAGATTTTAAGGTCTAGTTCAAAGTATATTCTTCTGTGACCACCACCCCATTAAAGATGAGGAACTTTTCTATCACCCCAGAATGCTACCTCATACCCCTTTTAGTCCATACTCATCCACTTGTTATTTTGATTTCCATCAGTCTAGCTTAGTCTTTCCTATTCTAGACCTTTGTATGTAGTCATATGGTATGCACTAGTTTGTGTGACTTTTTCCTTTTAATATAATGTTTCTGAAAGTCATATATGTTGTTGAGCATAATACTAATTCATTCATTTGTATTGTTGGGTAGTATTCCTTATGTGAATGTGCCACAATTTGTTAATTTATTCACCTGCTGATGGACATTTGGTGCTAGGAAAACTGGATATTTACATGGAAAAGAATAAAATTGGACCCTTATCTGACCCCATACACAAAAATAAACTCAAAAAATGGATTGAAGACTTAAGTCTAAGACTTCACATCATGAAACTCCTAGAAGAAAACTTCTTGACATTGGCCTTGGCAATGATTTCCCGGATATGACACCAAACGCACAGGGAACAAATGCAAAAAAAAAAAAAAAAAAAAAAAGACAAATGGAATTACATCCAACTAAAAAGCTATGCTCAGCAAAGAAAATAAGAGAATGAAAAGGCAACTTATGGAATTTGAGAAAATATTTGCAAACCACTTATCTGATAAAGTGTTAATATCAAAAATAATAAGGAACCCCTACAACTCAATAGCTGAAAACAAATGACCTTATCAAAAAATTGGCAAAGGACTTGAATAGACATTTCACCAAAGAAGACATGCAAATGGCCTATAAAAATATGTAAAGGTGCTCAATATCACTAGCTATTAGGGGAACATGCAAATCAGAACAATGAGATACCACTCATTAGGATGGCTATTTAAAAAATAAAGTGTTGGAGCGAAACCGTGTACTGCTAGTGAAAATGTAAAATGATGCATGCAGTATGGAGTTCCTGAAAAAATTAAAAATAGAATTACTATATTATCCCATAATTTCCCTTCTGAGTATATACCCAAAAGATTTGAATGCAGTGACTTGAACAGATACTGGTACAGCCATGTTCATAGCAGCATTATTCACAATAGCCAAATGGTGGAAGCAACCCAAATATTTATCAACAGATAAATGGTAAACACATGTATATACATACATTGGAATATTATTCTGCCTTAAAAAAGAAGGAAATTCTGATACATGCTATAACATAGATGGACTTTGAAAATATTACTCGAAGTGAAATAAACCAGTCATGAAAGGACAAAAGCTGTATGATTTATCTTATATGAAATACCCAGAGCAACTCAATTCATAAAAACAGAAAGTAGAATGGTAGTTGCCAGTGACTAGGAGAAAGGAGGAGGGGTGGTAAATTATCATTTAATGTGGGTATGGAGTTTCGGTTTGGGAAAATAATAAACACACGTGAAATCTGATGGAGGCAAACAAACCATATTCAAACTCTAGCAATTTCTTTAGTCTTTTCAAGTGATTGCTCTAGGAATTATAGTGTTATGGTTTGGCTCTATGTCCCTGCCCAAATCTCATCTCAAATTGTGACCTACATGTATTGAGGGAGGAACCTGGTGGGAGGAAATTGGATCACTAAGGCAGTTTCCCCCATGCCATTCTCATAGTGAGTGAGTTCTCATAAGATCTAATGGTTTAAAAATGTGCACTTCCCTTAGCTCTCTCTCTCTCTCTCCTACCCCTATGTAAGACATGTGTTGATTTTCCTTTGCCTTCCACCATGATTGTAAGTTTCCTGAGGCCTCGCCAGCCATGCAGAACTGTGAGTCAACTAAACTTCTTTTCTTTATAAATTACCCAGTCTTAGGTAGTTCTATCTAGCAGTGTAAACAGACTAATACTGAAAATTGATACCGGGACAGTGGGGTACTGCTATGAAGATAGCCTGAAAATGTGGAAGTGATTTTGGAACTGGGTAACAAGCAGAGGTTGGAACAGTTTAAAAGGCTCAGAAGAAGACAGAAGACAGGCAGATGTGGGAAAGTTTGTAACTTCCTAGAGACTCGTTGAATGGTTTTGACCAAAATGCTGCTAGTGATATGCACAATGAAGTTCAGGCTGACGTGGTCTCAGACAGAGATGAAGAACTTATGGGGAACTGGAGTAAAGGTCACTCTTGCTATGCTTTAGCAAAGAGACTAGCAGCATTTTGCCCCTGCCCTAGAGATCTGTGGAACTTCAAACTTTGAACTTTGAACTAGGATATCTGGCAGAATAAATTTCTAAGCAGAAAAACCTTCAAGATGTGACTGTTTTTTTTTGTTTTTGTTTTTTGTTTTTGTTTTTTTTTTTCTTAAAATGTACCTCTGCATGCCCTAGGAGAGGTTCTCCATGAGGGCTCTGCCCCTGCAGCAAACTTCTGCCTGTACATCCAGGCATTTCCATATATCCTCTGAAATCTAGGTGGAGGCTCCTAAAGCCCAACTCTTGTCTTCTGCACACCACACCCAAAGGCCCAACACTAGGTGGAAACCACCATTGTTTAGGGCTTGCACACTCTGAAGCAATGGTCTACGTGGCATATTTTTTAGACATGGCTGAAGCTTGAGTGGCTGGGATGCAGAGGGACAATGTGGGGTTGAAGCCCCTACACAGTCCCCACTGGGGCACTGCCTAGTGGAGCTATGAGAAGATGGTCACCTTTTTCCATACCCCAGAATGATAGATCCACTGACAGCTTGCACCACGTACCTGGAAAAGGAACAGGCACTCAACAAAAGCTTGTGAAGGCAACCGAGAAGGATGTACCCTGCAGAGCCACAGGGGCAGAAGTGCCCAAGGCTGTAGGAGCCCACCTATTGAATCAACGTGCCCTGAATGTGAGATATGGAGTCAAAGGAAATAATTTTGGAACTTTAAGATTTAGTGAGTACCCTGCTGCATGTCAGGCTTTCATGGGACCTGTGGTCATTTGTTTTGGCCAATTTATCCCAATTGAAATGGGGTCATTTACAAAACACCTGTACCCCCATTGTATGTTGGAAGTAACTAACTTGCTTTTGATTTTACAGGCTCATAGGCAGAAGGGACTCCCATTGTCTCAGATGAGACTATGGACTTGGACTTTTGGGTTAATACTAGAATGAGTTAAGAATTTGAGGGACCGTTGGGAAGGCATAATTGTGTTTTGAAATGTGAAAAGGAAATGAGATTTGGGAGGGGCCAGGGGTGAAATGATATGGTTTGGCTCTGTGTCCTTACCCAAATCTCATCTCAAATTGTAATTCCCATATGTTGAGAGTGGGACCTAGTGGAAGGTGATTGGATCATGGGGGCATTTGCCCTCATGCTGTTTTCATGATAGTGAGTAAGTTCTCACAAGTTCTGATGGTATAAAAGTGTGGCACTTCCCCTTCATGCTCTCACTTCTGCCACCATGTAAGATGTGTCTTGCTTTGCCTTTGCCATCCACCATGACTGTAAGTTTCCAGAGGCCTCCCCAGTCATGTGGAACTGGGAGACAATTAACTTCTTTTCTTATAAATTACTCAGTCTTAAGTAGTTCTTTAGAGCAGTGTGAGAACAGACTAATACATGCAGTATGTGTTTCTACTTTATCACAGCTTATTCTCAATTAAATCAATTTTTAAATGTAAGTACTTTATTACTTTGTTGATGTGCTTTCCTTCCCTTTGTTATATGTTTATCATATATTTATCTCTACACGTATTATGAACTCCAAAATATATTATTATTTTACTTAAATACCTAGTTGACTTTAAAAAAATAAGAAAATAAGAATTTCATATTTACTCTTATATTATTATTTTAAGTGGGTTTTATTGCTTCCCATAGATCCTTATTTTCCTCTGTATCATTTCCTTTCACCTGAGAACTCTCCCTAGCATATATTATAGTTAGGTCTGCTGGCAACAAAGTCTGTCAACATTTATTGTTCAGAAATTGCTTTAATTTACTTTCATTTCTGAAAAATATTTTCACTGAATATATAATCAACAATTTTTTCCTTTTGTCTCTTTAAACACAGTGTTTCACTATTGTCTGGCTCCTATTGTATCTGATGAAAGGGCTGTTGTTATTCTTATCATTGTTCTCTTTTATGTAATACGACTTTCGGACTGTTTTTGGGATTCTATCAAGTTTACAGCAAACTGACAATTTTGTTCTTAGATGTTCTTTCTTTGGTAATTATTCTGCTTCTGGTTCATTGAACATCTTAGATCTGTTTGTGTTTTTTATCAAAGTAGAGGATTTTTAGCCAATACTTCTTCAGTTTTTCTGGCCCATTCTCTTTCCTCTTGTTCAGGAACTTCTCCTGAATACTGTCTAATGTGTCATTGAATGCTCTTTTTCTTATTGTAATCTCTTTACTTCAGCTTGGATGATTTGTATTGACCTACTTCAATAAAGTCATCCTTTTTTTGTTGTTGTATTCAATCTGCTATTAATACCATCCAGTAAGTTTTATATTTTGGCTATGATATTTCTTATTCTAGCTTTTCCAGTTGGTTATTTGTTTCTCTAAAAGCTCCCTAACATCCCCTAATTACCCATTCTTTTATCATTACATGCATCTTTTTCTGTAGATCTTTTATTATCTTTGTCATTGTCATCTTAAATTCCTTTATCATTACTGTAATATTTAGTGTATCTCTCTATTGATTCATTTTTCTCTTGACTACAAGTCATATTTTCAAACTCCTTTGCATGTCCTGTAATACTTTATTGAACGTTGTATATTACGTCTTAAAGGACAATAGATATTATAAAACTATTTAAAACAATAGATCTATTCAAAATAATAGATTTTTAAAAAGATATTATGCAACTATATACACATATTGTTATTTTTAACACATCATATTATACTCTCTCAATAAGGAATGCCTTATTCTTTATTAGAAAGATAGATTGAGAGGCTGATCAGTTTTATCTAGTCATAAATTAAGCTATTTTGGGGCAAGTTTGTTTGGCTTTAACTCCTCCAAAAAGGCCTTGGAATTCAAGTACCACAAGTCTATTGTGCTATCTTTCTGTTTTTCATTCTATCTCTAGCTTCCGGTGCCACCACTAGGTGAAATGTTATTGATGTTACCAGACATTGAATCAGATAGAATTTTGGTTGGAGATTTGGTTATACTCCATTTTTCTCTAGGATTAGCTACTTTAAAAGTGATTTCATGTCTTTCCCTCCAGGACTGCACTGGGACCAAATGCTGTCAGACCTCATATCTGTAAGACCTTGAGTCTGCTTGACCCCAAAACTGCAAGACCGCTAGACTATTAGACCTGTAGACAGATAAAAGATGACTGGATGTTAAATATGACATGTCATAAGAATGCAAGACTATGAAACAATGAGTCTCCAGAGTATGAAATTGTTGGGCTGTGAAACAATGAGACTACAGCTGGCCAGATCACAAGACTTTGCAACTTTAGGTCTGCAAGACTGCAAATATGAGAGATTGTTACTTGGCAGAGTAATTTCTGGATTTGGGGCTTCTCCAGATTTAAATTTAGTATGCAGCCCATAGGTCATAAATGCTGATTTGATTTCTCATTTGAACAAAGATCATCTTGCTTCTCTAACTGCTTTCAGACTCAGCTATCCTCTGATCTTTGTTCACCCATCTTTCTAAAGCTTCTACTAAACTTTGGTAGTTTTAGATTTCCTTGTAGCCAGAGTTCCTCATTAGTTATAGTTTTGGGCTAATCTATTGATTACTTATTGTTTTGGTGTCAGCAAAGCTATTTTATATACTTCTGTATCCTAACTGAAAAGAATTCCATTGGAGCTATTTGAAGAGCTGAAATGTTAAAGAAGTGTTTCAAATAGCTTCCATCTGTGCCTACGGATTCATTCTTCACTTTTGTTCCAGTTTGCTTTTCTTTATTTGAATTTTATGATTTTTTTTCTTCAACCTTTATTTTAAGTTCTGGGGTACATGTGCTGGATGTGCAGGTTTGTTACATAGGTAAATATATGTCGTGGTGGTTTGCTGCACAGATGAATCCAACACCTAGGTGACAAGTTCAGCATCCATTAGCTATTCTTCCTGATGTTCTCTCCACCCCCAACAGGCCTCAGTGTGTGTTGTTCCCCATCATGTGTCTATGTGCTCTCATTATTCAGCTCCCACTTCTAAGTGAGAACATGCGGTGTTTGGTTTTATGTTCTTGCATTACTTTGCTGAGGATAACAGCTTCACACTCCATCCATGTCCCTGCAAAGAACATGATCTCTTTCCTTTTTATGGCTGCATAGTATTGCATGGTATATATGTACCACATTTTCTTTAACCAATCTATCATTGATGGGCATTTGGGTTGATTCCATATCTTTGCTATTGTAAATAATGCTGCAGTAAACATATATGTGAATATATCTTTATAATAGAATAATTTATATTCCTTTGGGTATATACCCAGTAATGGGATTGCTGGGTCAACATATTTCTGCTTCCAGATCTTTGAGAAATCACTATGCTGTCTTCCACAATGGTTGAACTAATTTACATTCCCACCAAAAGTGTAAAGTGTTCTTTTTTCTCTGTAACCTTGCCAGTATCTGTTGTTTCTTGACTTTTTAATAATTGCCATTCCGACTGGCATAAGATGGTATCTCACTGTGGTTTTGATTTGCATTTCTCCAATGATCAGTGATGTTGTGTTTTTTTCGTGTATGTTGGCTGCATGAATATCTTCTTTTGAGAAGTGTCTGTTCATGTCTTTTGCCCACGTTTTAGTCATGAAATCTTTGTGTCTATGTCCTGAATGGTATTGCCTAGATTTTCTTCTAAAATTTTTATAGTTTTGGGTTTTACATTTAAGTCTGTAATCCATCTTGAGTTAATTTTTGTATAAGGTGTAAGGATGGGTTCAGTTACAATTTTTCTGCAATTTTTTCTTGCAACACCATTTATTAAATAGGGAATCCTTTCCCCATTGTTTGTTTTTGTCAGGTTTGTTGAAGATCAGATGGCTATAGATGTGTAATCTTATTTTTGAGTTCTCTATTCTGTTCCATTGGTCTCTGTGTCTGTTTTTGTACCAGGACCATGCTGTTTTGGTTACATTAGCCTTGTAGTATAGTTTGAAGTCAGGGAGCATGATGGTTCCAGCTTTGTTCTTTTTGCTTAGGATTGTCTTGGCTATGTGGGCTCTTTTTGGGTTCTATGTGAAATTTAAAATAGTTTTCTTTGTAAATTCTGTAAAGAATGTTAATGATAGTCTAATGGGAATAGCATTGATCTATAAATTAATTTGGGCAGTATAGTCATTTTCATGATGTTGATTCTTCCTATCCGTGAACATGGAATGTTTTTCCATTTGTTTGTGTACTCTCTGATATCTTTAATCAGTGATTTGTAGTTCTCCTTGAAGAGGTTCTTCATTTCTCTTGTTAGCTGTATTCCTAGGTATTTTATTGTGTTTGTAGCAATTGTGAATCAGAGTTAATTCATGATTTGGCTCTCTGCTTGCCTGTTGTCAGTATACAGAAACCCTAGTGATTTTTGCACATTGATTTTGTATCCTGAGGCTGCTGAAGTTGCTTATCAGCTTAAGAAGCTTTTGGGCTGAGACAATGGGGTTTTCTAGATATAAGATCATGTCATCCACAAACAAAGATTAGTTGACTTCCTCTCTTTCCATTTGAATATCCTTTATTTCTTTTTCTTGCCCGATCGCCCTGGCCAGACTTTTAATACTATGTTGAATATGAGTGGTGAGAGAGGGCATTCTTGTCTTGTGCTGGTTTTCAAGGAAAGTGCTTCCATCTTTTGCCCATTCAGTATGATATTGGCTCTGGGTTTGTCATATACACCTCTAATTATTTTGAGGTATGTTTCTTCAATACCTAGTTTATTGAGAAGTTTTAACATGAAAGGATGTTGAATTTTATTGAAGGCCTTTTCTGTGTCTATTGAATAATCATGCGGTTTCTGTCTTTAGTTCTATTTATGTAATGAATTACATTTATTGATTTGTGTATGTTCAACCAACCTTGCATCCTGAGGATAAAGCCAACTCGATTGTGGAGGAAGCTTTTTGATGTGGTGCTGGATTTGATTTGCCAGTATTTTATAGAGGATTTTTGTGTCGATGTTCATCAGGGATACTGGCCTGAAGTTTTCTTTTTTGTTGTTGTATCTCTGCAAGGTTTTTGTATCAGGATGATGCTGGCCTCATAAAATAAGTTAGGGAGGAGTCTCTCCTTTCCAGTTGCTTGGAAAAGGTTCAGTAGAAAAGGCACCAGTTTCTCTTTGTACCTCTGGTAGAAATAAGCTATAATTCAATCTGGTTGGACTTTTTTTGGTTGGTAGGCTATTCATTACTGCCTCAGTTTTAGAACTCATTTTTGGTTTATTCAGGGATTCAATTTCTTCCTGGTTCAGTCTTGGGAGGGTGGATATGTCCAGGAATTTATCCATTTCTTCTAGATTTTCTAGTTTATATGCATAGAGGTGTTTATAGTATTCTTTTATGGATTTTTGTATTTCTATTGGATCAGCGGTATTATCCCCCTTATCATTTCTGATTGTGTCTATTTGATTCTTCTATTTTTTATTCTTTATTAGTCTAGCTAGTAGTCTGTCTATTTTATTAATTTTTTCAAAAAACAAACTCCTGGATTAGTTGATTTTTGAGGGTATTTTTGTGTCTATCTCCTTCACTTCTGCTCTGATCTTGGTTATTTCTTGTCTTCTGCTAACTTTGGGGTTTATTTACTCTTGGTTCTCTAGTTCTTTTAGTTGTGATTTTAGGTTGTCAATTTGAGATCTTTCTAGCTTTGTGATATGGGCATTTAGTGCTATAAATTTTCCTCTTAACACTGCTTTAGCTGTGTCCCAGAGATTCTGGTATGTTTTCTCTTTGTTCTTATTAGTTTCAAAGAACTTTTTGATTTCTGCCTTAATTTCATAATTTAACCAGGAGTCTTTCAGGAACAGGTTGTTCAATTTCCATGTAGTTGTGTGGTTTTGAGTGAGTTTCTTAATCTTGAGTTAAAATTTGATTGTGCTGTGGTCTGAGAGACTGTTATAATTTCAGTACCTTTGCATTTATGGAGGAGTGTTTTACTTTCAATTATGTGATCAGTTTTAGAGTAAATGTCATATGGTGATGAGGAGAATGTGTATTTTGTTGATTTGGGGTGGACAGTTCTGTAGATAACAATCAGGTCCACTTGATCCAGAGCTAAGTTCAGGTCTTGCATTATCCACTTTTTCTATCCTGCTATGTTTCCCTGTCCATTGGCTTCTATTGGATTCAGTCAATGAGGAAAAGTTGGCTTGAGTTGAAAGGTAGGTCAGATGAGAAGAGCAACTGGAACAGAACTGTGTATACAGACCCCTACAGATGAAAAGGAAGCTCTAGTGTATAATAACTATAGGTTGGCATGATTTCCAAGAGAAGAATGATGAAAAACCCAGAGAGGAACAGTGGTACTGAGGAACTTTGCCAGTGATAGTGTGGAAAAAATTGAGGGTGTCAGGGAGCTCAAAAGGACAATTAGGTAACAAAGGGAAGGCAAACATCTTAACATTTTCATAGTTACATCTCTTACCACGAATTGCTTAGAAAGATCCATCTATGACATTTCTGTGGAGGCTGAAAATCATGTAAGCCTATTTTCTTTTCCTTTTGGCTAATAAAAAATGTATATTGTTTATATTAGTAGAAGAGCCCATTTTCTTTAGCTAAAATCTGAAAAGAAAGCCAATGTGTAAAGCATATAAAAAAGCAAAGCTCACCAGATTGAAAAGGAGCTAAAGGGAAAGAGTGCTGCCTGATGGACCCTTGCTCATACTCCTCTTTGATAGTTTCTTAGGGAGCGTCTCAGAATCTTTGTCCAGTATCACCTGGAGACAGAAAGAGTGAACCTTGTATCTTAGAGCTGGAACTTCTAAGATGCACACTTATGGAGAAAACAGGAACTTCTGAGTTGGATCTGGAGCTTGGC
Organism: Homo sapiens; assembly: GCF_000001405.40. Classification (NCBI taxonomy): domain Eukaryota; kingdom Metazoa; phylum Chordata; class Mammalia; order Primates; family Hominidae; genus Homo; species Homo sapiens. Next base: position 126,749,292 of record NC_000006.12, on the reverse strand, counting down.
AATAAATGACTTTTGAACCAAGGTTTTAGGAGTGACAAAAGCACATAAAAATCACGTCATTGTAATGCAACAAAGGTATCATTTTGGTCATCATGGGTGCCCAGCACAGTACTAAATGTTGATCCAAAAACATGCCCATTCTGAAAAAGCTCAAAATCCAAAATAAAAGACACAGTTCAAACAACTGTTACATACACCATACTGTACCAAGAAAAGGAAAAAAAAAAAGCACGTTAGAACTGATTAAATATGAGAATTACCTAAAAGTCTTTTAGAGCACAGTCCACAGAACAAACTTTGATGACTCCTGGTCTTGATAACAGTTTTCAGTGTTATTGTTTAATAATTAGAAACTATGAGGTAGAGCTGCATTTATCCTCCTTTTCTACTTGCAAATTAGGCTCAATTTAAGAGGTAAAGCAGATGGGTGAATTCCCAACTATCATACTTTAAGTCAACCTTGAAAGTAAGAATAAACAGTTCATCAGCACACACATTCATGTTTTTGACTAGTGCCTCTCTCCCAAGAGGTGCACAGGTGGGAAAATGAGTGGGGTCAGAACTCTTCTATTCACCCAGCATAAATTATTATATTCCACTGGAGAATGATTAATTGCAAGGTTGCTGTAAATCTTAAAATGAATGTTTGTAAGGCAGCAGAGAACAGGTTCTCTGATTCCCTTAAAAGAAATGGGGGAAGGGAACCTAGAAAAATCATCTCTAACTTCCCAGATGAATAGGCAGAGGAACTTCATAGCTTCAGCTCCCAAAAATAGCGGGAGAGGAAGGCAAAAAAATAGTTAGGCATGCTGATGATTGCATTGTTACAACTTAAATTGTACTCAGATGTGAACTCTGATGTGCCAAAAACAGTGAAGGCTGATCCTAAAAGATCAGAAAAGTGACATCTGGTATTGGATGCCCCAGCAGACATGACTAATACCATTGGTATTGTGTAGATTCTGCCTTTATTAATTTAATATTCAAACATGAAGGTCAGCCCCACAGTGCTCTGCAGTACCAGAAGACATAGGCTTCCCAGAAACCACCTTCTTGTCTCAGGGTTATTTAAGGGTGCTGGATGTCTATCTTGTGGGCTGAGCAGAACAAACTCTGTAATTTCCACATTTGTTAAGACCTTTTTGTTTCATGGCTCTCACACATGGTTGAGCTATAAGAGAGCCCTGAGAACTCATCCATAACTTTTAATAAATTAACCTCCCCATAGTTTGCCCCTTGGATATTTGCTTTACGCCAGAACATTTTAGTTTTACACATACACTTGCATGCAAATGTATTTCTTCACTGAAAATAAAAACCTGATATCCCTCATAACTTTTACTGCTGTCATTCAAGAATACCACATTCGCTTGAGGCTTGAGGGTGTTCTGACTAAATCAACAGAGTTATCCTGTAACCCATATGGATATTTCCAATTGTCATATTTATTAGCTAATATGGTTTGGCTGTGTCCACACCCGAATCTCATCTTGAATTTTAGTTCCCATAATCCCCACATGTCATGGGAAGGATCCAGTGGGAGGTAATTGAATCATGGTGGAGGTTACCCTCATGCTGTTCTTGTGATAGTCAGTAAGTTCTCATGAGATCTGATGGTTTTATAAGTGGCTTTCCCCACCTCCACTTCATTCAGCACTTGTGCCTCCTGAAGGACATGTTTGCTTCTCCTTCTGCCGCCATGATTGTAAGTTTCCTGAGACTTCCCCAGCCATGCAGAACTGTGAGACAATTAAATCTCTTTCCTTTATGAATTACCCATTCTTGGGCAGTTCTTTATAGCAGTGTGAGGATGAACTAGTACAATAAATTGGTACCAGGTAGTGGGGTGTTGCTATAAAGATACCCGAAAATATGGAAGCAACTTTGGAACTGGGTAATAGGAAGAGGTTGCAACAGTTTGGAGGGCTCACAAGAAGACAGGAAAATGTGGGAAAGCTTGGAACTTCCTAAAGATTTGCAGGGCTCAGAAGACAGGAAGACATGGGAAAGTTTGGAACTTCATAGAGACTTGTTGAATAGCTATGACCAAAATGCCAATAGTGATAAGGACAAAAAATCCCAAGCTAAGGTAGTCTCAGATGGAGATGAGGAACTTGTTGGGAACTAAAGCAAAGGTGTCCCTTGTTGTTATTCAGCAAAGAGTCTGGCATCTTTTTGCCCTTGCCCTAGATATCTGTGGAAATTTGAACTTGAGAGAGATGATTTGGGGCATCTGACAGAAGAAATTTCTAAGTGGCAAAGCATTCAAGAAGAAGCAGAGCAGAAAAGTTTGGAAAATTTGCAGCCTGACAATGCAATAAAAAAGAAAAACCAGTTTTCTGGGGGAAAAGTCAAGCCTATTGCAGAAATTTGCACAAGTAACAAGGAGCTGAATGTTAATCACCAAGACAATGGGAAAAATGTCTCCAGAGCATGTCAGAAACCTTCAAAGCAGCCTCTCCCATCACAGGCCCCCAGAGGCATAGGAGGAAAAAATGGTTTTGTGGGTTGGGCCCAGGGCCCCCCTGCTCTGTGCAGCGTCAGGACATGGTACCCTGTGTCACAGCTGCTTTGGCTCCAGCTATGGCTAAAAGGGGCCAAGGTACAGCTTGAGCCATTGCTTCAGAGGGTGCGAGCCCCAAGCCTTGGTGGCTTACACATGGTGTTTGGCCTGTGGGTGCACAGAAGTCAAGAATTGAGGCTTGGGATCCTGTGCCTAGATTTCAGAGGATGTATGGAAATGCCTGGATGTCTAGGCAGAAGTTTGCTGGAGGGGTGGAGCCTTCATGGAGAACCTCTGCTAGGGTACTGCAGAAAGGAAATGCAGGGTTGAAGTCCCCACACAGAGTCCCCACTGGGGCACTGCCTGTTGGAGCTGTGAGAAGAGGGCCACTCTCCTCCAGACCTCAGAATGGTAGATCCACCAACAGATGCACTGTGCATCTGGAAAAGCTGCAGACACTCAACACCGGCCATGAAAGCAGCCAGGAGGGGAGGTGTACCCTGCAAAGCCACAGGGGCAGAGCTGCCCAAGGCTGTGGGAGCCCACCTCTTACATCAGCATGTCCTGCATGTGAGACATGAAGTCAATGGAGATCATTTTAAAAGTTTAAGGTTTAATGACTGCCCTATTGCATTCCAGACTTGCATTGGGCCTGTAGCCCCTTTGTTTTGGCCAATATCTTCAATTTGGAATGGGTATATTTACCCAATGCCTGTACCCGCATTGTATCTAGGAAGTACCTAACTTGATTTTGATTTTACAGGCCCATAGGCAGAAGGGTCTTGCCATGTCTCAGATGAGACTTCGGACTTCAACTTTTCAGTTAATGCTGGAATAAGTTAAGACTTTGGGGAACTGTTGGAAGGTCATGATTATGTTTTGAAATGTGAGGACATGAGATTTGGGAGGACCAGAGGCAGAATGATATGGTTTGACTTTGTGTCCCCACCCAAATCTCATCTTGAATTGTAGTTCCCATATTCCCATGGTCATGCGAGGGACCCAGTGGAAGGTAATTGAATCTTGGGGGTAGTTACCCTCATGCTATTCTTGTGTTTGTGAGTGATAGTGAGTGACTTATCATGAGATCTGATGATTTTATAAGGGGTTTTTCTCCCTTCACTCAGCACTTGTATCTCCTGTGAAGAAGGGCCTGTTTTCTTCCCCTTCTACCATAATTATAAGTTTCCTGAGGCATCCCCAGCCATGCAGAACTGTGAGTCAATTAAAACTTTTTCTTTTATAAATTACTCAGTCTCAGGCAGTTCTTTATAGCAGCATGAGAATGGACTGACATATTAGTCTAGGAAATATTTGCTGAATACATACTGTGCTAAATTCAGGGGCAACTAGAAAAATGAATTTTTAAACAGAAAAAAATAACTGCATACAATGTCATTAAAACATGCTTTAAGATTTGAAAGACAAATCATAATTTTTTTTTTTTCGAGACAGAGTCTTGCTCTGTTGCCCAGGCTGGAGTGCAGTGGCACAATCTCGGCTCACTGCAACCTCCACCTCCTGGGTTCAAGCCGATTCTCCTGCCTCAGCCTCCCAAGTAGCTGGGATTACAGGTGTGTGCCATCACACCCAGCTGGTTTTTGTATTTTTAGTAGAGACAGGGTTTCACCATGTTGGCCAGGCTGGTCTCAAACTACTGACCTCAGGTGATTCACCCACCTTGGCCTCCCAAAGTGCTGGGATTACTGGTGTCAGCCATGGCCTGTAGCTCCTGGCCTTCCTGACAACCTCCAATTGCCATTAAACAGTAATGCAGGGTTTATTGTTAGAAATATAAATGATAATAAGAGCTGCTGTTTATTGACCATCTACTACAGGTAAAATATTGTGCTAGATATGTCACATACAATATCTCAACAGTTGTAAAAGATAGGTATGAAAAAATCCCTGTTTTACAGATAAGAGAACAGACCCAAAGAAACTAAGTGCATGTAAAAGATCCTATAGCTCAGTAAGAACTGAATAAGACTTCTATTTTAAGTCTATCTCCCTTCAAAACCCATGCATTTTCCTCTATTCTGTGCTTCATCACAATTTTCAATGAAGCAATGTAAGTGGTTAACACCTGTTTCTTCAAGATTCTGATTTATTCAACCCCCTGCCTCATGTAGATAGGAACATGGAATTTCTCAAGCTTGAGAATTGCCAGATCTCCTAGGAAATGTTATAGAACTTTATTTTCTGTGATATTATAAAAAGTAATACTTCCACTTTCAAAATATACAATTTACTGTACAATTTAACTCATAACCATAGTCTTTACCCATCACACCCCCTACCATCCCCAGATTCCCAGCATTAATCTTTTATATGGAGTCATTATACATGCCACACTGTCTCTCAATAGCCCAGTTGTGTGTGTGTGTGTGTGTGTGTGTGTGTGTGTTTGTGATGTATTTATTCTTTTACCCAAAAATCTCTTTTCTTCAGTTTCCTTGAATTTTTCTGTAACTTAGAATATAATATTTTATCTCCATGATGCAAATGCTCTTCAAAGAGTGGACTTATTAAGTCAATAGTTCTTAATACATTCATACGTTTAAATTTTCTGAATGGCCAGTCACTTCAATAAGGACTTGAGAGATCTGGGCTAAGCAAACTTTAATATAAAACAAGTTCAGAAAACTCTAGGTCAGAGAGAGTGAAGGCCACTTGGATAGAAAAGGCCCATTGAGCAGCTCTATTGAAGAGAGTTCTGGATACAAATGGGATACTGTAAGAACAGTAGGAGAAATGGGGAACATATGGTTAAAAGGGAAAAAGAAAGCAGAAGGAAGAGAGAAATAAGGCAAATTTTAAGAAATTGTGTTTTGGCTTATAGATAATGATGTATTAGTCCATTCTCATACTGCTAATAAAGACATACCTGAAACTGGGTAATTATAAAGGAAAGGGGTTTAATTGACTCACAGTTCCACATGGATGGAGAGACCTTACAATCATGGCAGAAGGTAAGAAGGAGCAAGTCACATCTTACATGGCGGCAGGGAAGAGAGAACTGGTACAAGGGAATTCCTCTTTATAAAACTATTAGATCCTGTGAGACTTATTCACTATCATGAGAACAGCACAGGAAAGACCCACCCTCATGATTCAATTATATCCCACTGGTTCCCTCCCATGACACATGGGAATTATGGGAACTACAATTCAAGATGAGTTTGGGTGGGGTCACAGCCAAACCATAACAAATGTTATCCTCTTATCTTTGATTTATAGAATATATGTTGCATTTATAGAAAAGTTAGTTACAGGCAAGAAAGTTCTTTAAAAACATAATTTAGTGCTATTTTTGTATATTACTTTTCTTTTTATTTCCCTCCTGGGATAAGGAGTGTAGACTCTTTCGGGGAGGGCATGGCTAGGTTCCCCGTGACAGGAGGCCGCTGGTTATCCCAAGGTGCATGTAGAGAGACTGATGCATTGGATAACTCAGGGAATTCAAAGCATTCTCCAGCTAGAGGATCCCCAGCAGCTCCAGAAATGGCTGAGCCTGCTGGCAGGCTGAACATGCAGGCTGACCACAGCAACAGACCATACCACACTGGGAGAATCTGCCTGGGAGAAGAATGAGTTCTCCACTAAGAAATTAAGCTAAGAGGAGATAGGACTATTTTTTAAGTGGTTGAAGGGGAAATTAAAGGGAGGGGGAGGAATTGGGGGAGGGTTAATGGGTTTGAGGGTTAGCTTTTCATTTTGCATTGAAGAGTCAGTTAACAATGGTTACAAAAGGAAATTAAAAGGCTGGAAGTAGTTGAGGTTTTTGTTATTTCTGAAGTTATGAAACATGCCAGTATTGCACAGGCATGTGTTTAATGTGGTATAACAATGTGACAGCCTTTGTGGATGGTCTCTGGAACCCTTTGAATGGGTTCCATGAGCAAATCAGAATTCTCTTGATGACTGTGACTGTCAGACTCTGTGTGCCCATTTTTCCAGCTCTTAGAGGGCATAGTCCGAAATTTATCATGAGGTATACTCAAACAGTGTGCATTTGGGGAGTTGAAGGAAAGAAGAAAGGCCTATTTGGAAATCTGGCTGTGAAGTTGAGGAAAGGATGAGTCCAGAACAGAATTACCAAATGACAGCTAAAAGCAACAAAGTGACTGCTGATATTCTTGTGATGAAATTGCCACTTGAATCTCAAATTATAGCCAGAATCTTACCATGGATTCATACTTAAATACATATAAAATGTGCTGTTAATTATAGCCAAGAGAAAGGGCTCCTTCTCAAGCTTTGTTAGGTTAGATATCCTAAACAATGAGTCTCTCAAATTCATTCAGCTAACAGGTAAGTATCAGAACTACTTTCAGTTGTAGAACAGAGCTTACATTAACATTTTTCAAGTTTATGTCACGTTAAAAAAATGCATCCAAATAATTAAAATTACACATATAATTTTTACAATGGTCTTACTGGGTAGACATCATTATCATCATTCAACAGGTGAGAAATGGAGATAAGAGAAGGAATTTGTCCAAGTTCATACAGCTAGGAATAAATGGATATAGTATTTATTCCCTGGCAGACTGATACCAGTGCCACACACTTTACCATTGCCTCTGCTCACATCTACCTCATATCCCATGACTTAAAAAGAATCCATTCTTAAGTGAAAAACAAATAGACTTCTACATTATTATATAATTCATTTGTTGTATGACAAAGTTTACAATTATAAGCAGTTTCTTTAATTAAACAATAATTTAATTAAATAAGGTTGTATTGTGTTACTGATATACGTTTGAAAACCCCACTTCAATCTACATTGCATAAGAAGCATATGGTTTTCTAGAACACTTGGATGAACCAAGGCTTCTCCAGTCCCCAGCCCTGTGTTCAGAGGATGAACATAAAACTCCGTTCTAGATTTGGGCCTCTCATAATACCCAGGAGCCTTTCCCTCTTACATGTTCTAATATTTTATGCTTTTTGAAGCACACAAGTAATGTTTTCTTCATTTCCAGAATTTTGTTAGGACTTTCTAATTTGTTAATAATTCAGAAGATAAACCTCTTTGGCAGTTTTAGATCTCAGAGTCTAAGGAATAAAAGACAGGGATGAACCAGGAGGGTGTGACATAATGAAAGAGGTGGGAAGACTCCCAGGAAAGCGTTGCCAGCCTGCAGCACCATCACACTGCTCCCTATTCTCTGCTGGGTTTTTTTGTTTTTGTTTTTGTTTTTGTTTTTAAAGGGCAGGGGTGTAACTTGTATTCTCCTTGGAAAGGGGCTCAAATTATATAATTAAAAATTATTATACCATTCCCTCTGTGGGAAAATAACTTTGGTCATATTCAAAATCTAAAAAAAATGAGGCTGCTGTTCAATAGAAATTCTGTATAATTTAACTGAAAACCTTTTTCTCTGTTTGTTGGTGTTTTGTTTCTGATGGGTGTACGTACCTGTGCATTGAAGGCAGGGGGAGCAGATGAATTCCTAAATCATATTCTGAAGACAACGAGAGAAGATACTTCAAAATACATCTGTTAGTCCAAAAACTATTTGTTGAATACCTAAAATATATTAGCTGAAGATAAGCAATATAAAAAATGTGAAAGCTTATTTGTTTTCCCAACAATTATTTGTTAATAAGAGATTTTTAATAAGATCATATGTAAAAATATGTTTCTCATTATTTTTAAAATTGGTGACTATATAATTATTTCTTCATTCACTATAACATGTAATCTTTCCAAAGGGAACATAAACCTTATCAGCCGGTTAGAAACCCCTCTTAAATTGACCTTTATTTTCACCACTGCCCGTTGTAGGAGAGATTTTGCAGCTACTTGTCTTCGCATATAAGCTCTTATTTATTAAATGAACATGCTATGTTCCTCATTAGTAAAGAAGGCAGAATATAATTGGTTAAAATTTTTTTTTATCATTCATTAAAAACAAGAACTTAAAGCAGTTCAATTTTGGCTGGAGGCAGAATCAGCATTAGGAAAAAGGTAAATGACCTACAGCAAATATTTAGTCTGCAAATTCATTTAAATTAAGTTTTAGAAGAAAGAGAAATCCAAGAATGTCAAGGAAAGTTCAAATGTGGTAAGCGCTGGCAACAGTTACAAATATTATCATGAAGGGTAAGGAAAAAGACAAAAGAAACAGAAGATTTGACAAAGGGGTTTCCTTCTGGTCAGATGCTTGGATGTCCATAATGTCCTACAGTGACCACTGAAAGGATCAATGACATTGGAGCTACTGGAGAGGTTAAAAGAGAACATTTGTGAAGAGTAGTAACCAGGAGAGGAAACCTTTATCTATCTTAAAAATGGTATGAAAAATATAAAATGGTATTAATCCTTAATTCACAATAGAGAAGAGATAGAAAGTTCCATTTTAATCAGTTTTTCTAATGACTCACTATGTATTCATGAGACCCTGAAGATGTCATGCGCTCTGAAGATTCAAGGCATAGTATTGTCAAAGAGATGATTAATAAAGTGGTATCTTTATTTATAAGAAAAGTAAATCAATTCTGAGTTATTTTGTCTTACCATGGTTTAAGAAATCCTCTCATATTTAGGAAGCCATACATAGGTCAAATAAATTCCCCTATGATATTTTAGATTTTGGTTGAAAAATTCATCTAAGTCTTTCTCAAACTCCTATAGATTACACCTGCAGCATGATATCTTCCATGAATCCATACTCCAATAGGACTTTAAAGCAAACACTCACAGAAAGTGGCATGCCTTAGAAGCTGAAGGCATAGCTCTAAGTTCTGTCTCCCATATTTACCACTTGTTTACATTTAGGCAAGCTATTTAAAGTCTCTGAAGCTCAGATTTCTTATTTTTAAAAAATGAGAAAAAAATGATGTCTTCAGGTTTCAAGGTGATACTCTATATTGAGAACTTTGTCCATTATACAGTTTTGGGTACATACAAATTGTTGAATGGCAGCTGCTACTGCTTTCCTAATTTAATTAGCCCTGGTGCAAAAATAAAATACCGAATTACTTAATTAGATTATATGCCTAAGAAGGATGTGCTATATAACTGATAAGGTCTAGTTCAAAATAAAAATGCAGGGCCTCCTATTCAAAAATTATGAAGACTTTCAAGACTGCAGTAGCAAAGCATTAAACCAAGCATGGAGCCCTTCTAAGCACGAGGCTTTACATGACTTTATGGGTCACGTGTCCTTCTCTTACACAACCTTTGAAAATGACCTTGCTTCAAGAACAGGAATAGGTAGGTCACCAATTCCTGTTGGTAACCAATATCTCCTGCTTTAGTAGATTTAGTGATAATATCATTATCAATATTAAGTATCAGGATATATATTACCAAAAAAAATGCCAGCCAGTTTCTCTCCCCTAGTTCTGTTTATTGCCTGGGGTCATACTCCCCAAGGAAAATACATTTAAGACTTGAGGTCTGATGAAAAAAGCCTCCATCAATCCTTCTTTGTTTTTCAATGCAATTGACCCTTGCAAGCAGAAAAGGAATTAGAAAAACAAAATAAACATTTAAAAACCTGAAGCATTCTGGACAGTGATCAGAGAGGAAAATGTGTTAATGAATATAATTCTGTTTAGGACTGCAAAATGAGAATGCAACTTTCATTAATATCCTGGGCTGAATCCAGGCTTTTGTCTGATTGATATGGAGAATTCCAACTATGAGGTTGGGAAAGGGACTAGATAAATGTGTATCAGTATTTTTTACAGCTATGTTCATGTCTCCAGAGGCTCAGGAAGATTTAATAAATCAAATAAATAAATAAGTAAAAGAATTCTATGCTCAGTTCTTCACGCAGTTTCCATCATTGTCCAAGAGATTTCCACATGCACAGCAAGAAACAAAGTTGGCTCTCTTGTTACCAATTATTTGGGAGAAACTATCTAGCTTTGATAATGATGTAATCTGGCCTTCACCCTCTGAACTTCATAGAAGTCTATTTAATCTTTGTCAATGTCCCCTTATGAGCAAAGACTTATTTTCCACTTTTAATGTTGGTTGAATAGCTTGTGAATACTTTACAAGGGATATGTCACTGCTTGGTTTGAGGTTTTTATGTGGTAAATAATTTCAGCTATAAGAGAGTCTGAAAAATAACTGCACCACTTGGGGAATATTTTTTTTTCTTTGAAAGAAAGAGAGAGAAGAAGGGAGGGAGCAGGAGAGAGAGGGAAAAAGAGAGAGAGAGAGAAGAATTATTTGGTATTCATGAGCTCAGCAAAAGTCAACTGACAAAAACAAAATGCTTAAGCCTTTAAAAAATTGGTCACCGAAACCTTGCTATAATTTACAGAATCATAACATCATATAATTTTTAACTGAGAAGGATTAAAGAAATCATAAGCCAAACCTTTAGTTTCATATGTAAGGAAATAAAGCTTAGGAAAATTAACTTACTACATTTGCTAGTTTATATGCTCACTCCAGGTTTCTGGCTACATTCCTGTACTTTTCCTACATGACCTCTCTATGGAGTTCATTTCAGGGGAAGCTTTGAACAGAAACTCCTTTCCCAGAAAATTATGTCCAGGCAGGTTTATAAACATTTTGCTATCTCATGTGATAATTCACTCTAATTCACCCATTCATTTATTCATCTATTCATTAAATAAATTGGATAGGTCTTTCAAAGAGTGTATCCCAAGCCCATGTTATATTTTGGACTGAAACACAGACCCAGTTCCTGACTGCAAAAGATGCAAAACAATGGAAAAAATAGAGCTATCAAAATGAAATAAACAATTAGTCACTAAGGAGGCCCATGAATTCAGGAAGAATGCAGCGTATATGGACAATGCACAGTAACTACACAGTTAGGTAATGGCAGAGTTGACTTATCCTAAAATGAGGTACAGTTAGGATTCCCACTTTTCAAAGTAGGGATGCGGTATGTGTTTGGCATCATGGTTCAGAGTGCGAATTCTGGAACCAGACCACCTGGTTCCCAATTTTAGCTCTACTGCTCACTAACTATGAACTCTTATGCAACTTACTTAACAATTCTAACCTCAGTTTCCTCCTTGGCAAAATGCTGATTAATAGTAGTACCTAGCTCACATGGCAGTGGCTGGAACATAATCAGCACTGGATAAAAGTTTGCCATTATTATGAAGTTACAGAGCTGTAATTTATCCACTGAAATTATTATACTTACTTTATAATTGGTTGCATCATATTTTTCTAGCTTCAAAATATGTGAATAATAGTTTTTCAATCATACTGTCCTAATCTAAGGGATAAATAGCAAAAGTTTAAAAGTATCGAAATGCTGGCTTTTCTTTATGATTCCCTTTGGTATAGTTATCAGCCCTAGATCATAAGTACTCCATATAGTATTATTTTCTCAAAAACAAAAACAAACAAAAGGCAACATACATCAGAATGCTTCCTCAGTTGTCCAGGCAACTATTTTTATAATATGGAAGATGGGGCACAGAGTTTACTTGATGGTATAATACTCAGAAGGTGAAGGATATCAAAGCCACTGTGCACTGATCCTCTGAAGCCAGGCACCACAAATGGTAAGGAGCTCTTGTGGAATGGAGAGAACAGGGGAACTAAAATAAAATGCTTGAGTCTCAATACAGGCTCTATTAGTTCCTTGGTTGCTTTATTACAGGCAAGTTGCTTAAACTGTTTGTACCCTAGTTTCATCATCCTGAAATTGGGAATGATAATATGAGAGCATAAGTTTATTGGGAAGGTTATATGAGAAAAGGTGTTTGAAGCCATAAGTTTGTAACAAAAAAATAAGGCACTATAATTACTTAGTATATTCAATTTAATTTGTTTACTCATTTTCTGGTCTTTGGATAAGGCAAAACATTTAGGTTAAGAAAGGGCATTTGTATATATATATATTATATTAATTTATTTATATATGTATGCCATATACAAATTCCCTTTATTAACCTAAAAATTATATATAATATGTAAAATTTACATATATATGGCACCAGTCTTTCCTTTTCCATCTCTATTTGTTCCTAGTTACATCCCCACTCCTTTCCTATAAAAAAGCAGGAAATGATCAGATATAATTTGCATTTTGATTGGGGTTGATTCACACTGATGTGTTACCTCTCAGGAGTTGGTGGTATAACTCTAATGTGTTACCTCCCTTACTTATTTGGCGTTTAATCTCCATTTGAAAGCATCAGTTACTTTAAAGTTAAATTACAGATAGTTCTGCTTCAGCCTTTTGGATGGTGTGAAGGCTGAATTTAAAAGGGACTTCAGACATAGATGGGAGGTGTTAATTCCTTCCTTCCTCTTCACATCTCTGTCCTTTAGTTTTGAAGTCTTTTAATCTTCTAGCCAAACACTTCCTCTCTGTACACAGTCAAATCCTCTCTCCTGATGCTCTATCCCCTCTCTGAGCTCACTTTTGGGCTTCAGGTACTCCTCCCTGTAGGGTGTTGGCTTTCACTTCTCACCCCAAATTCCTGCTGCTAAAAATCTCTGGAACTTAAGGCACCAGCCTAAAATGAGGCTATGGATGCAGTAGTTCTCTTATATTGGAGGTTATATTGGAGTTTAAGAATAGAAGACGCATAGGAGATGACAGAAGAGTTGATGGGGGTCTCAGGGTAGGAGCAGAGAGCAGGCAATGAATTTTGATGGCCTAATTTTATATATCAGGGTAGGAGCAGAGAGCAGGCAATGAATTTTGATGGCCTAATTTTATATTATATTGTAATAAGAAAAAGTACCTATTGCCTCCAAGACTACGCCCCACAGTGGTGTGGGAGTATGAGAGTGTGTGTTCTATACCTGGAGGTTTGTTCTCACCAAGTACATAACCTCAGGAGAAATGTCTACTTTGAATTACTTGTTTCTGAAAGGGAAACATCAAAATGTTGGGAATGCAGTGTTTAGGGGCTGATAAGGTGCTGATGAGATAAGGAAAGTTAATTCATTATGACCTACTGTAACTGCCCAGAAGGGTCTTCCTCCCCACTGAATAAACAAAATCAGCTCACAGAGACTATGGCCTTGCAGTAAAGAAAGAGTTTAATAGACACAAGGCTAGAGCCAAGATGGAGTCAGCCATGTCAGGTTTCTCTTACTGTCATATTTTTGCAAAGGCAGTTTCACTACAGTGAAAATAATTCCTTGTATGGTACAAAAGCTGATTGTCCAGCTCTACCCCTTACATAACAGAGGCATGAGAGCAGCATCTCTGAAGAAGAGTTATTTGGACCTTCCTGATAGTCTACTCCTCATACAGGATGCAAAACCTGGCAGGCAGGAATTCTGTGTTGCTTATTTGTTTCTTGTTGGGTAGTTGATTTTGGTGGACTTTTATCTCTTTATTTTTCTAAATTTTTCAAAACCCATTGATATTTTGAAAGATTTTCCTAGTTAAGATTTCTGTGTTGTTGCTTCATGGCTTGTTGTTTCCAGTTTTGTTGTTTATTTCGAGTTTTCTGCACGCTTACTTTATTGGATTGCATCCCACCTTTCTCTTCCACCTTAAGATGGAAAGAGAAAGTAGTCAGGAGGAGACCACCCTTTCTCCAAGGGTCAGAGAAAAGATACTTGTCTTTCCTCTTGTTTGGTAGAAGCCTTTGCTAAGTCACCTTGCAGATCTCTAATGCTAGCCCTAAAAAAGAAGCTTTTAATCTCTACATCAGTAGACAAGGAAAAAAAATGAAGAGTGCTTGCTAAAGATCATTCATTTTATAGCTCAAAACAAACTCAGGCCAAACTACCAATGGAGAAAGCAGTAAATTATCCCCAAAAGTAAATTTAAGAGATTATCTTCCAAGGTATCTAAGGGCTCTGTGAGATAATTTAAGAATAAAACTACATGGTCACCAATAAATACAGCTTTTCTGATAATCTTTCTAAGAGCTCACAATTTAGGCAGTTTAACCAAGGTGTTTTAGTGTAATAAACATTTTCTTAAACGTTTAATGTTCAAGAAAAAACAGATTAACTTGAAAAGGGAAAAATTGGTCAGAGAATATATACCAACCTCTTTTCTACCAATACTTTTTCTTTTTTCTTTTTCTTTTCTTTTTTTTTTTTTTTGAGACAGCATCTCACTCTGTTGCCCCGGCTAGAGTACAGTGGCACGATCTCGGCTCACTGCAACCTCCGCCTCCTGGGTTCAAGCGATTCTCCTGCCTCAGCCTCCTCAGTAGCTAGGACCACAGGCACGCACCACCACGCCCGGCTAATTTTTGTATTTATAGTAGAGACAGGGTTTCACCATATTGGCCAGGTTGGTCTCGAACTCCTGACCTCGTGATCCGCCCACCTCAGCCTCCCAAAGGGCTGGGATTATAGGCGTGAGCCACCACGCCTGGCTACCAATACTTTTTCTATTGCACCACAATGCTGGGGATTTTGTAAATATCTTTAAATTTCTGCTTTAAGAAAAACAAAATACCATTAAGGTAGATTGAAAATTATACATCTGAGGCTCTTGTGTTAATTCACTCACTTTCACTAAATAAACTTCCCACCCATGCCTGTGAGTTTACCCAACAAATAACTCTGTTCTTAGCTAATTCCTATCCAACGAAGCTTCCTAACATGAGGATTCTAAGTACAGTCTCAGTTCCTTTTGTGCCCATCTGATTACTTTAAAGACACCTGAGTGTCACCTCTTTTTCTAGCCACTCCAGCCACCAATGTAACATAGGCTTTTTAACAGCTTCCCCTGGAGACTTGCATACACTTGCCTCATACAGAGCCTCCAGCTTCTTGTTTCCTGCACTTAGCTATGACAAAACTTAAAGTAGTTATAGAGGCACATATGCTCTTTTTTTGATGGGATGGGCTATTTCACCTGATTCTATAGTGCAAAGAAACTTAGCAGTGTTCACAGAGTCCAGATTATATTTACATCAGTGTATCATAGAAATCTACCATAAATTATAAGCAACACACACAAAAAAACCAAAAACTAACCAGTAAGATTAAAAACTTCAAAATATTGTACCAATTATAATCACTTATTTAAATTACCTTGTTCTTATGCCTACTTACTTAGCAATGACTACGCATATCATGAAACGTGTGTCAGTTTAACCCTGTGATAACTTTTGTTGATGTCAATGATAGTTTTCATAATATTTATAACATTCATGATTCATAGCTTTAGCTGAGAGGATACTATCCTAGTATTATCTAAATAAAGTCAAGGACTGAAATACAGTTGACTATGTAATTTATTCTAATTTTCCAGTGCTCAGTTGCTATACAGCTACCCCCAATGACCCAAAAACTTGGTGAAAACTACCCCCAAAACTTGGTGAAAATTTATTATATTATGCTCATGAATCTTTTGGGTTAGGAATTCAGACTGGGAAAAGCAGGAATGGCTGTTCTTTGCTCCGCAGTTGTGAGGTCTCAGCTGGGAAGACTTTCAGGATGAGGGTCATTCAATGGTTGGGGCTAAAATCACCTTGCTGCAGTTTCATTAACATGCTGTCTTCACTCACATGTCTGGTGATTGTTGCTGGCTATCGGTTGGAACCTCAGCTTGGCTCTCAATCAGAACACTTGCCTGTAGCCTCCTCATATAGTCTTTCCTATGGGCTAGTGTGAGCTTCCTCACAACATGGCTCTGTGTTCCAAAAGCAAGTGTCCCAAGAGAGCAAGGGAGAGGTACATGACATTTTTATGATTTCGTCTCAAACTCAAGTAGTGTCACTTTTCTCATACTGTATTAATTGAGGCAGTCGCTAAAGTCGGCCCACTGCAGGGAGAGGGGACATGGACTTTGCCACTCAGTGGGAGGAGTATCAAGGTTTTGAGGGCAGTTAAAAATGTGATCTGACTTTTATTTGACAGCAAAAAAAAAAAAAAAATGCATTGTGAAGAAAGAATGCAGGCCATCTTTGGAAAATACAATGTGTCACGGTCTACTCTCTGGCTACAAAAATTCACATCCTTTCTACCCTTCCACATGCAAGATGTACTCATTCTCTTCCCTAAGACTTTCAAGTCTTCTCACACTGTTGCATGTACTCTACGGTTTCCTCATCTAAATCAGTCAAGATTCAGATGAATTGTAGTTCCTCAAGTACAACTTCTTCAGAAACATTCATTTTGATCTAAAGACATAATATCTAAAGAGATGAGCTACTTGCTCCCCAAATATTCTATATTCAATGATTGAACAAGAATAGGATAAGTTTTTTACACACTTCCATTTAAAAAGGGGGAAGCCAGGAGGCACACAGCAGTCACAGGTCTATATAAATTGCATTTATTTAACCTCTTTCCAACAATTTCATCTGTATAAATACTATATTGCCAATTTTGATAATAGACCAGCATTATATAAACATTTTAACTTAAAAACTGGCATATTTATCACATAAACCAGAAATTAAATACAGTCAATGATTTGTATTTTTTTATTTATACATATATATATATTTTATTATACTTTAAGTTCCAGGGTACATGTGCACAACATGCAGGTTTGTTACATATGTGTACATGTGCCATGTTGGTGTGCTGCACCCACTAACTCATCATTTACATTAGCTATATCTCCTAATGATATCCCTCCCCCCTCCCCCCACCCCACAACAGGCCCCAGTGTGTGATGTTCCCCTTCCTGTGTCCAAGTGTTCTCATTGTCCAATTCCCACCTATGAGTGAGAACACGCAGTGTTTGGTTTTTTGTCCTTGCGATAGTTTGCTGAGAATGATGGTTTCCAACTTCATCCATGTCCCTACAAAGGACATGAACTCATCCTTTTTTATGGCTGCGTAGTATTCCTTGATGTATATGTGCCACATTTTCTTAATCCAGTCTACCATTGTTGAACATTTGGGTTGGTTCCAAGTCTTTGCTATTGTGAGTAGTGCCGCAATAAACATATGTGTGCATGTATCTTTATAGCACCATGATTTATATTCCTTTGGGTATATACCCAGTAATGGGATGGCTGGGTCAAATGGTATTTCTAGTTCTAGATCCCTGAGGAATCACCACACTGTCATCCACAATGGTTGAACTAGTTTACAGTCCCACCAACAGTGTAAAAGTGTTCCTATTTCTCCACATCCTCTCCAGCACCTGTTGTTTCCTGACTTTTTAATGATCATCATTCTAACTGGTGTGAGATGATATCTCATAGTGGTTTTGATTTGCATTTCTCTGATTGCCAGTGATGATGAGCATTTTTTCATGTGTCTGTTGGCTCCATAAATGTCTTCTTTTGAGAAGTGTCTGTTCATATCCTTTGCCCACCTTTTGATGGGGTTGTTTGTTTTTTTCTTGTAAATTTGTTTGAGTTCTTTGTAGATTCTGGATATTAGCCCTTTGTCAGATGAGTAGATTGCAAAAATTTTCTCCCATTCTGTAGGTTGTCTGTTCACTCTGATGGTAGTTTCTTTTGCTGTGCAGAAGCTCTTTAGTTTAATTAGATCCCATTTGTCAATTTTGGCTTTTGTTGCCAGTGCTTTGGTGTTTCAGACATGAAGTGCTCGCCCATGCCTATGTCCTGAATGGTAATGCCTAGGTTTTCTTCTAGGGTTTTTATGGTTTTAGGTCTAACATTTAAGTCTTTAATCCATCTTGAATTAATTTTTGTATAAGGTGTAAGGAAGGGATCCAGTTTCAACTTTCTACATATGGCTAGCCAGTTTTCCCAGCACCATTTATTAAATAGGGAATCCTTTCCCCATTTCTTGTTTCTGTCAGGTTTGTCAAAGATCAGATAGTTGTAGATGTGTGGTATTATTTCTGAGGGCTCTGTTCTGTTCCATGGGTCTGTATTTCTGTTTTGGTACTAGTACTATGCTGTTTTGGTTACTGTAGCCTTGTAATATAGTTTGAAGTCAGGTAGCGTGATGCCTCCAGCTTTGTTCTTTTGGCTTAGGATTGACTTGGCAATGCAGTCTCTTTTTTGGTTCCATACGAACTTTAAAGTAGTTTTTTCCAATTCTGTGAAGAAAATCACTGGTACCTTGATGAGGATGGCGTTGAATCTATAAATTACCTTGGGCAATATGGCCATTTTCACGATATTGATTCTCCCTATCCATGATCATGGAATGTTCTTCCATTTGTTTGTGTCCTCTTTTATTTCGTTGAGCAGTGGTTTGTAGTTCTCCTTGAAGAGGTCCTTCATATCCCTTGTAAGTTGGATTCCTAGGTATTTTATTATCTTTAAAGCAATTGTGAATGGGAGTTCACTCATGATTTGGCTGTCTGTTTGTCTGTTATTGGTGTATAAGAATGCTTGTGATTTTTGCACATTGATTTTGTATCCTGAGACTTTGCTGAAGTTGCTTATCAGCTGAAGGAGATTTTGGGCTGAGACGATGGGGTTTTCTAGATATACAATCATGTCATCTGCAAACAGGGACAATATGACTTCCTCTTTTCCTAACTGAATACCCTTTATTTCTTTCTCCTGCCTGATTGCCCTGGCCAGAAATTCCAACACTATGTTGAATAGGAGTGGTGAGAGAGGGCATCCCTGTCTTGTGCCAGTTTTCAAAGGGAATGCTTCCAGTTTTTGCCCATTCAGTATGATATTGGCTGTGGGTTTGTCATAAATAGCTGTTATTATTTTTAGATACATCCCATCAATAACTAATTTATTGAGAGTTTTTAGCATGAAGGGCTGTTGAATTTTGTCGAAGGCCTTTTCTGCACCTATTGAGATAATCATGTGGTTTTTGTCTTTGGTTCTGTTTATATGCTGGATAACGTTTATTGATTTGTGTATGTTGAACCAGCCTTGCATGCCAGGGATGAAGCCCACTTAATCGTGGTGGATAAGCTTTTTGATTTGCTGCTGGATTCAGTCTGCCAGTATTTTTTTTTGAGGATTTTTGCATCGATGTTCATCAGGGATATTGGTCTAAAATTCTTTTTTTTTGTTGTGTCTCTGCCAGACTTTGGTATCAGGATGATGCTGGCCTCATAAAATGAGTTAGGGAGGATTCTCTTTTTTTCTATTGATTGGAATAGTTTCAGAAGGAATGGTACCAGCTCCTCCTTGTACCTCTGGTAGAATTCGGCTGTGAATCCATCTGGTTCTGGACCTTTTTTGGTTGGTAAGCTATTATTGCCTCAATTTCAAAGCCTGTTATTGGTCTATTCAGAGATTCAACTTCTTCCTGGTTTAGCCTTGGGAGGGTGTATGTGTCGAGGAACTTATCCATTTCTTCTAGATTTTCTAGTTTATTTGCATAGAGGTGTTTATAGTATTCTCTGATGGTAGTTTGTATTTCTGTGGGACCTGTGGTGATATCCCGTTTATCATTTTTTATTGCGTCTATTTGATTCTTCTCTCTTTTCTTCTTTATTAGTCTTGCTAGTAGTCCATCAATTTTGTTGATCTTTTCAAAAAACCAGCTCCTGGATTCATTAATTTTTGGAAGGGTTTTTTGTGTCTCTATTTCCTTCAGTTCTGCTCTGATCTTAGTTATTTATTGCCTTCTGCTAGATTTTGAATGTGTTTCCTCTTGTGTCTCTAGTTCTTTTAATTGTGATGTTAGGGTGTCAATTTTAGATCTTTCCTGCTTTCTCTTGTGGGCATTTAGTGCTATAAATTTCCCTCTACACACTGCTTTGAATGTGTTCCAGAGATTCTGGTATGTTGTGTCTTTGTTCTCGTTGGTTTCAAAGAACATCTTTATTTCTGCCTTCATTTTGTTATGTACCCAGTAGTCACTCAGGAGCAGGTTGTTCAGTTTCCATGTAGTTGAGTGGTTTTGAGTGAGTTTCTTAATCCTGAGTTCTAGTTTGATTGCACTGTGGTCTGAGAGACAGTTTGTTATAATTTCTGTTTTTTACATTTGCTGAGGAGTGCTTTACTTCCAACTATGTGGTCAATTTTGGAATAGGTGCAGTGTGGTGCTGAGAAGAATGTATATTCTATTGATTTGGGGTGGAGAGTTCTGTAGATGTCTATTAGGTCCACTTGGTGCAGAGCTGAGTTCAGTTCCTGGGTATCCTTGTTAACTTTCTGTCTTGTTGATCTGTCTAATGTTGACAGTTGGGTGTTAAAGTCTCCCACTATTATTGTGTGGGAGTCTAAGTCTCCTTGTAGGTCTCTAAGGACTTGCTTTATGAATCTGAGTACTCCTGTATTGGGTGCATATAAATTTAGGATAGTTAGCTTTTCTTGTTGAATTGATTCCTTTACCATTATGTAATGGCCTTCTTTGTCTCTTTTGATCTTTGTTGGTTTAAAGTCTATTTTATCAGAGACTAGGATTGCAACCCCTGGCTTTTTTTGTTTTCCATTTGCTTGGTAGATCTTCCTCCATCCCTTTATTTTGGGCCTATATGGGTCTCTGCAGGTCAGATGGGTTTCCTGAATACAGCACACTGATGGGTCTTGACTCTTTATCCAATTTGGAGTCTGTGTCTTTTAATTGGAGCATTTAGCCCATTTACATTTAAGGTTAATATTGTTATGTGTGAATTTGATCCTGTCATTATGATGTTAGCTGGTTATTTTGCTCATTAGTTGATGCAGTTTCTTCCTAGCATGGATGGTCTTTACAATTTGGCATGTTTTTGCAGTGTCTGGTACCAGTTGTTCCTTTCCATGTTTAGTGCTTCCTTCAGGAGCTCTTTTAGGGCAGGCCTGGTGGTGACAAAATCTCTCAGCATTTGCTTGTCTATAAGGATTTTATTTCTCCTTCACTTATGAAGCTTAGTTTGGCTGGATATGAAATTCTGGGTTGAAAATTCTTTCATTTAAGAATGTTGAATATTGGCCCCCACTATTTTCTGGCTTGTAGAGCATCTGCCGAGAGATCAGCTATTAGTCTGATGGGCTTCCCTTTGTGGGTAACCTGACCTTTCTCTCTGGCTGCCCTTAACATTTTTTCCTTCATTTCAACTTTGGTGAATCTGACAATTATGTGTCTTGGAGTTGTTCTTCTCGAGGAGTATCTTTGTGGTGTTCTCTCTATTTCCTGAATTTGAATGTTGGCCTGCCTTGCTAGGTTGGGGCAGTTCTCCTTGATAATATCCTGCAGAGTGTTTTCCAACTTGGTTCCATTCTCCCCATCACTTTCAGATACACCAGTCAGATGTAGATTTGGTCTTTTCACATAGTCCCATATTTCTCAGAGGCTTTGTTCATTTCTTTTTATTCTTTTTTCTCTAAACTTCTCTTCTCACTTCATTTCATTCATTTGATCTTCAGTCACTGATTCCCTTTCTTCCAGTTGATTGAATCAGCTACTGAAGCTTGTGCATTCATCACGTTCTCATGCCATGGTTTTCAGCTCCATCAGGTCCTTTAAGGACTTCTCTGCACTGGTTATTCTGGTTAGCCATTCATCTAATCTTTTTTCAAGGTTTTTAACTTCTTTGCGATGGGTTCGAACTTCCTCCTTTAGCTCGGAGAAGTTTGATCATCTGAAGCTTTCTTCTCTGAACTCATCAAAGTCATTCTCCATCCAGCTTTGTTCCGTTGCTGGCGAGGGGCTGTGTTCCTTTGGAGGAGGAGAGGTGCTCTGATTTTTAGAATTTTCAATTTTTCTGTTCTGTTTTTTCCCCATCTTTGTGGTTTTATTTACCTTTGGTCTTTGATGATGGTGATATACAGATGGGGTTTTGGTGCGGATGTCCTTTCTGTTTGTTAGTTTTCCTTTTAACAGTCAGGACCCTCAGCTGCAGGTCTGTTGGAGTTTGCTGGATGTCCACTCCAGACCCTGTTTGCCTGGGTATCAGCAGTAGAGGCTGCAGAACAGTGAATATTGCTGAACAGCAAATTTTGTTGTCTGATCATTCCTCAGGAGGTTTCGTCTCGGAGGGGTACATGGCCGTGTGAAGTGTCAGTCTGCCCCTACTGGGGGGTGCCTCCCAGATAGGCTACTCAGGGTCAGGGACCCACTTGAGGAGGCAGTCTGTCCGTTCTCAGATCTCAAACTCTGTGCTGGGAGAACCACTACTCTCTTCAAAGCTGTCAGATAGGGACATTTAAGTCTGCAGAGGTTTCTGCTGCCTTTTGTTTGGCTATGCCCTGCCCCCAGAAGTGGAGTCTACAGAGACAGGCAGGCCTCCTTGAGCTGCGGTGGGCTCCACCCAGTTTGAGCTTCCTGGCTGCTTTGTTTACCTACTCAAACCTCAGCAATGGCGGGTGCCTATCCCCCAACCTCGCTGCTGCCTTGCAGTTCCATCTCAGACTGCTGTGCTAGCAATGAGCGAGGGTCCATGGGCGTGGCACCCTCCGAGCCAGGCATGGGATATAATCTCCTGGTGTGCTGCTTGCTAAGACCATTGGAAAAGGGCAGTATTAGAGTGGGAGTGACCCAATTTTCCAGGTGCAGTCTGTTATAGCTTTGCTTGGCTAGGAAAGGGAATTCTCTGACCCCTTGCACTTCCCGGGTGAGGTGATGCCTCACCCTGCTTCGGCTCATGCTTGGTGCACTGCACCCACTGTCCGACAAGCCCCAGTGAGATGAACCTGGTACCTCAGTTGGAAATGCAGAAATCACCCGTCTTCTGTGTCACTCACGCTGGGAGCTATAGACTACAGCTGTTCCTATTCGGCCATCTTGGAACCGCTGACTGTGTATTCTTTAATTATAACTTCACATATTCACTGTCAGCCAAAAATGTCTTGTTGTGCTACCCCTAAAATGTCTTTCTTATAGATTCTATTAATTATATAATTATGTGCTTAACAATACACCTAAAAAGTTGAATATATCCCCTCTGGATAAATTATTTCCTACTCTAATGTCATTTGACATATTAAATATTTGAATAACTATAGATGACATCTCACTATGGCAGGCTAAAGTGTGTGATGTTCCCCAAGATTTCTGCTCTAATTTCTGGGCCTGTCATTAGGTTATGTTACATGGTACAGCTAAATGTAAGAAAGGGCGATTATCCAGGTAAGCCTTATTGGATCACGTGAGCCTTTAAAAACAGGATTTTCTCCATCTGCTGGAAGAAGAGGAAAGAGATAAGCTCTGGCTGGCCTGGAAGAAAGCAAATACCCTTGTGGTGAACTGTCTATGGAAGCCACATGGCAAGGATTGGAGAAGAAACTCTAGGACCCAGGAGCAGCTGACAGCCAGCAAGGAAATGAAGCCATCAGTCCCACCACTGAAAGGAACTGAATTCTTCCAACAAGAAGAATATAGAAGAGGAACTTCCTCCACTGCCTCCAGGTGAAAACACCTTGGAAACACCTTGATTTCTAACTTGTTATACCCTGAATAGAGGTAGAACCTACACAACTGAGAGCAAATAGATGATGCTCTTTTGAGTTAAGTTTGTGGTTGTTATGAAGCAATAGAAGCTAATATACTCAGTCAGGGAAGGAGAGTTTTAAGTGAGCAAGGAAATCAGGATTAGTCAAGGAGGTGATATAGGACAAAGCAGAACTCACACTGAACTACTGACTCTCCTTCCCTGCCCCTTTCTCCTCCTTTATTCTGCGTACAGGTAAATTTCTTCAGGATGTGGTCTCTGTGCACAGGTGGGCTATACTGAGCAGGATATCCATGGGGTTGGTTCATTCAGGCCTGGACTCAAATGATTGCTCTCCCACGAGATTGCAATCGAGTTACTTAATCTCTGAGCTCCCAGTGTAATGGAGAAAGCCTCTCTTTCAATGTGTGTCCAGAGAAAATGAATGAGGTAATGTATAATAAGCATTCAAATTAATCTACTAAGAGTCATTCTGTAGAAGTTTTAACTGTACATCATTTAACACAGCAGAGACTCATGGGAAGACTAAGATTCTCAATCCACGCAGGAAGCATCATCATTGCCATGGCATCGTCCTCTATTGATATTCTCCAAGAGTCTACTTGCTTAAAATACCTTGGAATGACAGGAAGGAAGTTTCCCAATGGGCTCTTTGAAATATCTAGTGATAAGACTGAGCTCCTGGGGGAAGGGCTCCATGTTTGGTAGGCAGTTAGAAATGTTATCTGATTTTGATTTGACCTGAAGGGAATGTCATGATAGTATTCACTAACTAGATGTATTCATTAAAAAGTAAATAAAAGGTTTTTTTTGAAAAAGAAATGCAATTGCAGACATTCTTTTTTTTGTTTGTTTTATTTTGTTTTTTAGTTCACTTGTTTTAACAAGGAATTTTTTGGTGTTGATGCTGATGGTGGTAGTTATGCTCTTTGTATTTTAAATAAACACGAGATTTTGTAGTACAACCATTACCCACCCAACCATGTACTAACTGTTAAAGAAATCTTAACATGGTGTGATAATTCAAAGATAAGACCATCGGCTCAAACGAAGGAAAAACAAGACTGTAATAGTATGGTTATTGCCTCTAGTTGAGATGATCTTATCTGTTAAAATAAAAAATTGTACCCTTTGTCAAAAAAAAATGGGTAAGCAAAACATGAAAAGTATAAATTGAACTTTTGCTTCGTGTTACATCTCTGCTGTTTACCAAAATCAATTTGTTTCTGTTTGTTTTACTGTCTATCTGCTGAAAACATATCTGAATCCAATGAAAATTTAAAACATGTGATTTAAAATAGTTTGAGGAAGGAAAAAGGAAGCGTGCTGTTAAATGTTAAAACGGGTTCTGTGGTAAATTGTATACATGCACCACATCAAAAGTAAATTGAAGTTAAAATAAATAATGTTACACTGAAAGTTGAAAGAATATAGCAAATCATAAAGATGGTTGTATACTAATTGAGAGTATTTTAATTGTTAAAAGATTTAGAGAAATAAACATTGTAGATGGGAACACAGTGCTGAAAGATCAGCGCCGGTTCTGGTTTTCCTTTCTAGTGGCTTGGCACGGCGGCTGCGCTGAGCTCCAGCCCAGCTTTCGGAAAACAGAAGCAATGCTGTTCAAAGGATTAATCAGTGGCCCATACACAGGAGGCCTGGGGCCACTCATGTACAAAGCCCTAAAAGTTGGTACAGAAAACCTGTGCCTTCCATCCTTGCTGTCTTGCAATTCCGTGAAGGCGGCGGTTCTTGGCAGGCATACCCTGTAGGGTTAAGTTTGCTTCGTTTTTACCTCCCATATCTGCAGTGCTATTGACCTCACCAAACTACTTCTCTGTTCCCTTCCTCACTCTGTTGCTAGTCACCCTGTAATACAACATTAAAATGACCAATACTTCCTTTTCCATCCTGGTCTGTTTTCTTACTCATGCTGATCTACATTACATGGCTAAAAGGGCTCAAGACAAAAAGGTTGTCTTCATGAAAAAAAAAAAAATTGCCATTGTTTATCCCTCTCTTCATTCCTATTGAATTCAAATCAATAGAATTGAAAATTTTTTTTTACAATATAATCTACACATATTTGAATTGTATATAAAAAAGCCTTCTAGGCATTTGATGGAGATATATTAACATTGGTTAGGGTTTGGGCATTTTGTAAAAGAAAAATATTTTGGTTTGTGTGTGTCTTTCAAATGTATATGATATTATTTCTAAGTCCCCATCCTTTTTCTTCTTTCTTCAAAATGTACCTCGTCTTCACCTTCAAGGGGCAAATTAATTGTTAAGTACAGTCAAGGAAGGCATCAGATAGAGAAAAAATTAAAGTATTTCATATATAGGTGTATAGCCTATCAAATAAATAATTACCATCACACCTTTTAAGCATTCACCTGTGTTATGTTAAGAAATATTCTAGGTTTTATACATAAAATATCACATTTAATCCTTAAAATAACCCTGTAAAATAAGTATTAGTGGCCAGACATGGTGGCTCACTCCTATTATCCTGGCACTTTGGGAGGCCTAGGCAGGTGGCTCGCTTGAGCCCAGGAGTTTGAGACCAGCCTGGACAACAAGGCGAGACCCTGTCTTTAGAAAAAAATACAAAAATTAGCTGGGTGTGGTGGCATGCATCTATAGTCCCAGCTACTTGGGAGGCTGAGGTGGGAGGATAGTCGGAGCCTGGGAGGTCAAGGCTACAGAGCCGTGATTGTGCCACTGCACTCTAGCCTGGGCAACACAGAAAAACCCTGTGTCAAAAAAAACTGTTAGTATTTTATAAATTAGGAAAATAAGAAAAATTAAGTTTAGAGATATTTTTACCTTCACTTTTTTTCCCTAATACTATATATTGAACATCTAATTTGTGCCTTACACAGGATGATCGTTTGGAGATAAAATGGTAAGCAAAAATATTCAAGATCTATCCTTTCATTGGATTTCCAAAGGAAAAGCATCTGGTTAATAAATCAGTTATTAGGTGGCAGATCAAGTATTCAAATTCAGGACTTCCTGATGCCAAAGCCAGGACCTCACTAGTGTTTCTTTGTCAGCCTTTCTCAGTAAAGAAGAAGAAAAATAGTGTCAGAAGCTGGTCAGTCCCTTTTATATACGGCCTCCAATTGTTCCAGGTATAATTAAACCCTAAGAAGGCAAACAAATTTTCCTCCCACTTAGCATCTACTGTTAGATTCTTAGGAATACTAGCCAAACGTCATATTCTATGGTTGACTAGTGTCCAGTGGAGAGGCTATTTCAGGTCCAATAATATATTTGATCAGACATTTGGTTACCAAATAAACACATCCAGTAGTATAGATTCTGGATACATTTAGTAATTATGGATGCTGTTAATGAAAACACCATATTAACTTTTCAAAAACATTTACTTTAGTCATAAGTTTCAATTTTTGTCTGCTGACTCTATATTTTAAGTGAATTTACAAAATGTATAGATGTTTAAGTAGGATTATAAATCCAGAGCTTTTGTGTGACTTGAATCCCCTCCTGCACTTACTTTTCTGCCAAGTAAATGTGTCATACATAAGTCTCATACCTATTTAACAAAATATGTCAAAAACTTACATCATTTTTTCTGCACTCCCAAACAAGTTCAGGATAGGGAAATCATTCCATCCTAGTTGTGGCACACATGAGTCAAAAATCAGGAGACTCACACATATTTCTAGGTGACGTGATCACTTAGTCATCTACTCACAAGCAGATTAAGAGAAAGAAAAAAAAGCAAGACTTCAAAAACAAATCACCAACAGAGGCTGGAAAACCAGTTTCAGCAAAGCAAATCAACCTTTATTCTCAGGGCTAGCTACTTTCTTGTTCTTAATAAAGAACTACTCTTCCATGCCACACTTCCCAGAGGCCCAAATGACCACTCCATGTTGTCCCAGATATGATTCAATAGAGCAGTGTCTTGCTGACCCAACCTCTTACAAATGAATACCTACCTTCTATTGATAATAGCTACCCTTATATTTCCTTGAAGATAAACCAAAAACAGCACTAAAGGAATTTAGAAAATATTTATGCATGCAATCTTTTAAGTCCAGAGCTTGAATGGTATTATCTGCTTACTGAAAAGAGTAAACATTCTGGAATGTATTTTTGGTGGTTACATGAATGGCAACTTACTTGCTGCAAATATGCCAAGTGTATATTGCAAGGGCTATACATATTGCTTACTGGTTCAACATGCATTTCTTTCCAGAATGCCAAGAAATGTTGCTCTAGCTTCTGTTGGTGCTCTATTAATGCAGATGCAAGGCTAACAGCAGTCCTCTCCTTTCAAGTCACTTTGATTACATTAACCTGCATCAGTAGATATGGCACCCCATGAGTGGTACAAAATGCAGTAGTGTACTGGGAGTACCTTTAGAGCCACATTTGAACACATTATGAAATATATGCCTCCTTTTCCTAATGAAAATGGAGCCACATTTTCCTGTTCTTTCAGCCAGATGGAATTATGATTGGTGTGTGCTTGCCTTTTACATTACTATTTGATTCCATAATAAGAACCACATGAGACAATTTTATTTTATTGGTTCTTCAGTTGCCAACATGGCTTTTGTACAACTAATAAAATAAATAAAAATATTTCCCCTGTGGTTTTTCATATAAAATACATTTGTTTATGAAGGATAAGCACATACCAATCAAAACCTGATCTGGCATGAGCAATATTGTCGTGCTTTTTCTCATTAAATAGGAAGCAAAGGAGTATTTATTAGTTTCCTAATAGCACAGTTGGCTCAGACTGGCATATACCTATGTATTAGATACTGAAGGTATTTGTTTAGAGAGCAATAGGTTAGGCTGGTGTCTTGGCAAAAGTTTCAAAACCTAGTTACTAATG
Source organism: Homo sapiens (assembly GCF_000001405.40). NCBI lineage: Eukaryota > Metazoa > Chordata > Mammalia > Primates > Hominidae > Homo > Homo sapiens. Next base: position 126,720,743 of record NC_000006.12, on the reverse strand, counting down.
AAAATATATTTCCTGGGAGGGCACATAATGAAGGAAGTAAAAAGAATAAAAAGCTGCATAGCTTCTTGGTGTCCATGGTAACTGAGCCATGATCTTCTTCAGAGGGAGCTCCTGAAAAAGCACTGCTGGCATTGCATCTTCTGTACTGCAACCAAGGAAGCCTAAAATGAACCACAACAGCATGTCTAAAGTTAGTGGCCTGCCATTCATAGAGCACAGGCCAAGATTTTGAGAATGAACTGAAAGGTCACCTTTTAAGTATACTTGAATGTAACTCATACTGCCCTAAAATCTGTGATTAGTCATCAGCTTACATAAGTTCTTATTATTTAGAATATTCAAAAACAATTCATCAGTATCCCTTTCCATATACAAATGCTTAACAGAGCAATGGCTTAGGAATAAATTTGCAATAGAAATGGATTTTCTTCTTAAATATCTTTCTGAGCAAAGAACAATAGAGGACCACTTTACCTCTGATAAGTCATCACACTTCCATTGACTGACGTTGGTCCTCCAAGAAGCCCATGAAATCTATCAGAGGTCTTGTTCTTTCATTGTTTTGTTTTCAGTATCCACAGGCCTTGAAAGATGAAGATAGGGTTATAGGCAGTCACAAGCATGTTGAAGCCTTACTACAGAAAGTAAGGTGAACATCTGAGAAATGGCTCTTACCCTAAAATGATGCTTTCTTGCAAAGAAGAGGCTACACTACATAAGAATTGAATTATACTACATGAGACTTGAGTTTAATTAAATAGTTGCAAGAAATACTTTACAAAACTAACTTTGTCAGTCATTTTTTTTTAAAAAAGAAAACCTGTCCATGTTGTTTTAATAATTTGGTAAAAAAATTCCGTTTGCTTAAACTCTTCCATTTCCCGGTTTGATCACTTTCCATTATTCTATCATGAGAAATATAGAAAGAAAAAATGAAAGCATCCTCTTACCTGGACTTTATAAAACCTAGACATCATATAAAAATAAACATCTGTCTTAAATGGAGAAGAAAAACAAGAATTTGAAATCTTTAAAGAAGCTAAAAATATATTTTTTATTATCATTTAGATTTACAATTGTTAAGATATGAAATATATAAAAATAAGCAATTCAAAGGAAACACAGTTTGTCGAGGTGATTGTTGTTTTGGTTTGATTATTTTGTATATATGAACATGTATACATATATATGCATATATTTTTATTTATTTATTAGAATAAAGCAAAAGGTAGAAAGGCAGAGGTTGTTTGGGAAAAGTACCCCAAAAGAAAACAATTATTTCCAATATATTTTAAGATTGAAGAGAAAGTATTGATTTGAATCATTTTCCCACTGGTTCATGGAAAAAAACAACTCATAAAATGAGTTTGATGGGCACAAAGAATTAACTTTGACCTTTCTTTGGCTTCAGAGGATCCAGGTCAACTTGGAGAGACTGGAAGTGTTATGACACAGGAGAGGCCAATGGGACACAGCCCCACACTCAGAAAACTGCTCCCTCTCACACAGCCAGCCAGCAACAGCCTTTCACAGTGATGTTGCTTCTCTTTCTATGTCAGGGTTAAGGTCATTTTTAGGGCACAGCGAGGAAATGTAGAGGCCCGGGCTGTCTGCACCACATCTGTGCTGTGAGAAACAGGGGGTTTCAGTTTCCAGCCTCTGAATATCACACAACCTAACCTTTACCTGCCTGCCCTCACCCTAGTACACAAAAAGCATAAAAATAAAATTAGACGTTTCAGAGTATGGACTAGCAAGGTCAAAGGTAGACATTCCTGAAACACATTAGGACCTTAGGACCTTCAGAAAAAGGTAACCGATACAGGCAGAGCCTTATTATTCAGCTATGATCATACAGTCTCCTGTTTAGTTATTTTACAGGATAAGAAAGGGTTGGGAGGTGAGTGTGTAGAAACTATATTTCAGTTACTGTTTTGGTACATATGGGGGCAGAAATCTCAGGTTATTTATAAGTATACAGGTTACTGAGGGCTGTATTTGCAAATATAACCAGTTTCTTATCATCTAGAGCTTATTCTTATATTTACTTCATTAATCACCAATCACACTTCTGGAATATAGAACAGAAGCAGTGAAATTGACATTGGAAGGGACATAAAGAGAGGAAGCATTTTACTGTGTGGTTCTGGAGCTAGTGAACTCTTAGAGAATAGGAACCCAATAATCTTACTCATAAGTATAAAAACATCATTAATAAAAGCTAGTATTGACTTAACACTTTTCCTAAGCTGTGAGCTGCCTTTTGCGCTTTCCATGTGGTACTTTGTCAATCCTCATAACATATCTGTGAGCTATTATAATTATTGGCATTTCAATATGATGAGAAAATTGGGACCGTTTCTTCATATTTAATATAATTTTTCTATATTGACCCACAAAGTAGCTGAATATTCCCAATGTGTTCATGGCATTCAAAAACAGCAAGTGCTATTGCCCATTTACAATGAAGGAAACATGTCACTAGTGGTGCTTGTGATGCCCTTGGGTTTCTCTGAGATTGTACAGATGTAAGTTCTTGATTTACTAAGCCATGCTAACTGAGAAATCTTTTAACTGAAAATAGTAATAAAGAAGGGAAAAATAACCTTTAGAAATACGACATAAATTGGTGCAGAAAGTGGTGCAGAACCAGGCTATGGGTAGGACAAGAGACAATTATCAGTGAGGTATGGTTTAAGGGGCAGTGGAAGTTTGCTTACACCAGACATTTACCTCCAGTTCAGGCTTTGCAATTAGACAAAGCTAGAATCAAACACTAATTTTATTATAGCTATTGTGACTGTCTTTGAGCAGAAGTTTAATTCGTCCAAAAGTTGCCGTGAGAATGAAGCTAGGCAATGAATGTCAATACTTTGAATGTGACAAGTCTTCCAATACATTTTGTTTCCTTTGTTCTCCTTTTCTAACTTGTCTTCCTTCCTGTGATTTAAAGTGAGGGTTTAAAATGAGGAATTTTCATATAATGAGTGATAGAAACATATGAAAGTATTAGAACCTGCCCTTGGAAGAACCACTATCTAATGTTATACTTTGTGACCTAGAAAAGGCTTTCAGCTCTTAAACATTTTCCAATCATTTAGATATTTATTCAGGCTAACAAAAATAACAAACTCAGGAATCTATACAAATAATTAGCTTGTCCAAAAATGGCACTACATTTTACATTGTATTAGGAAAGAGAAATTGCAATACCATAATATTGGTCAATGTTATTTATTATCTCTTGGTCTTTTCCTGTTTCTCACCAGGTTCCTATAAAGTTCCTGATAGTTGAAGAAAGTCAGGAGATCTTAGAAACTGACTTTCATTTATAACCTGCTGATTCACCTAGATCAGGTTACTGGGAAGAAATCCAAGTCAGACCTCCTGACCTACTCGAAACAGCATGAGGTATGCCCTGCCACTAAATCCTGATTCCTGTGTACCTCACCCTGTCACTAAATATGATTTAGAGAAACCTTTAGAAATCAGGTAAAAGGATTTAGTGCTTTACATGTAGGTTACAGCTGCTGGACTAGCTTTTATAGTAACGTAAGTAAGTAATTTATTAAATGGCTCAGTCATTAGATATACCAGGCCTTTAAAACATTCTTGTGAGGGAGGCTACTCTGGGGAGTGAGAAGATTAGCATTTCTCAGCAGCAAGTATTTTTGACAAGATTAATGAGGCACAGGGCAGAGGGATCTGTTTCCCCCTTTGTGTCTGCTCTCCTGGTTTCCTTGCCCTTTATTTGGTTGTCTTTTCCTCTGTGGCACCTGCTGTCACCGACATGGATGAGATGCCAAAACAGCATTCCTTTACTTCAACACTCTTCACACCTTCTTCTTCCCCCTTCTTTCTCCCCAGGAGTTATTCCTTTCTCCTCTTCTGGGATTGGCAAGGACATTATTTTAGTTTTCAATAAGAAATGCCTGATAGGCATTTTCACATTAGAAGAAATAAAATTAGGAACAAGATCAGAAACAGTTCTCAGTGATTCCTTTTATAAAAGGAAATCAGTTATATAGGAGATCATTTTAAAAGTACATATCTGTTCTAATACATCTTGTGTGTTCTTTCAGACCCATCACCATCTCTATGGTACCAGTTTTGCCTGTTAACAGGATATAATTTGCTTCATATACTGATCATTTGATAGAATGTGTATGTTCTCATTTTTTTTCTCATGTTCTCAGGAACAAAAGCAGGACAGACACTGCCCTGCTTTTGTAAGCTTACTTTCCTTCAAAAAGAATTATATCGTGCAGACTAATAACAAGTGTACTTTCCTTTAACAAAGTCCCCAACTTCACTTCTGTTTGTTCCTCTTCCAGCTCAATTTCCCCTTGTTGTCTTCCAATAAGTTGCCATCCTTCTTACCCACAAGTCTCCTAAGTATGTCTTTTGGTTTGACAAAACACATTTTTTACATCTTATAAAAGCTAATATAGCAGAATTTCCCATTTGTATTTTTAGCATCTGCCAACAAATGTTTGCGATGATCCCAAGCCCGAGTTATTTTTAGGTCTAAAGTAATGGCAGAGGTATTTAAAAGCTTAACAGATGGTAATATCTGTGGCTACCCAATGGGCATCCCTGGGTTGGATGAGGGCCTGGGAGTCTGGAAAGTTGGGAGATCAGCAAAAGGTACAAAAAATACCAGATTTCAGGAATTAATGAAGGTGCTTCATGTTTATTCCTGTAATTTTCTAATTTTGTAATTTTAAGTTTAAATTCTGGTACTTACTCTATCATTCTTGATTTGGCCATATGACTTAAAATAAGCAATTATGTATAAATGAGAACCATGAATTCCAAGAAATAAGTCATTTGAATTGCAGTAATCGTCCAAAGGAGCCCCAGTTTAATTTCTTAATTATTGGGCTCAGCTATGAACCTCAGTAGAGCATCTGCACATGAGGTCATTCTGGGGGTGTTCAATGAGTGCTTGGCTAAAACAAAAATGGGATTTCAAAATGTTCAAAAAGAAGATTGCTCATATGGTTATATACTCTAGGATAGAAAAAAACATTAGCAGGAAATAAAAATGACATTTTCTCACTTTCAATTATGAATAAGGCCAAGATGTAAAAAATGGGAAGGATTTAAAAGTCACAGTTTTGCAGGTACAATGTAGATTTTAAAAAGCCAGTACTAAAATGAAGTTTTGTAGCTAAATTGTGTATCTTCTCAGAATTTATTTCTTCATCTGTAAATTGTGAAAAATAGTAATAATCATTTTATAAGCCTATTGTAAAGATTGAACGAAATAATGTATCTAAAGCTCTTGAAACAACGATTAATAATTGTTAAATAATTAACTATTGTAATGCACTTAAAAAGCACTGATAACTCTCTCAGGGAATATTTTAAATTAATAAAAATAAGAAACACAGGGAGGGTAAACGGTCACTGACAAATGGAAGAGTGGGACTGGAATCGTGTTGGTAAGGATAAAGCCTGTGATGAGCTAAGAATCTGAAGAATGAAAGTACTTTAAAGTTATTTGGGGTGCAAGAATCAAGACAAGAGAGAAACAGACCAGTTGATTTGCATAGGAGGGTCTGGTGTTCAAGAATATTGTGAGATCACCCAAATCCTTAATTTTTATGTCACTCTCTCTCCCCTGTAAAATAAGGTTATTCTTACACTAGAAAAGGAAAAATAAGCATTTTAAAAAGGAAATAGAAATTCAAGACAGGTTAGAAGATTGGGAAAAAAGCCCCTAGTTGATTATGTAAATAAAATGTCTGGGTCCAGTGAAGCTTCATATTGAAAATTTTAAAATACTGTATGTGTGCCCCATTCTCCTAACACAACTTGCTTTACACACAGCAATGTCTTACACACATACTTTGATTTACCTGAAATGCCTTTCCTTAATTTTTCATGTGAGAAAATGCTATTGTTTAGACATGGATTTCCCAGCTTCCCTCGGCAGATCTAATCACTCCAGGCCACCTCCAGCTTATGCAAGCCTCTTTTTCACATTTGTTAGAATGTATTGCAGTGATAAGATTGTATGTCTCTCAGTCTCCCTGTCCCAGTTGTGACTTCTCAAGACTACAGACTGTAGATCATTTTTGTATTCTGAGATTCTTCCACAGAGTGTGGCCCATGGTTACATTCAATTAATGTTAATTTGACTGAATTTAATTTAAAGGAGAGAAATGGTTGCAGGAGGTTAGAAGTCTTGACATGGGAAGAATTTAGGGAATAAGCGAAATAATAACTACATTCAATAATTGACAGGTATTACATGAAAGAAAAAGTAACTTCAGAGGATAGAACTATGAATAGTGGATCAAAGTTAAAAAGGAAATAGCTTTTGGCCCAGTGTGAGGCTAGACTTCCTTTCAGAGTTGCTCAAAATTGGAAAGGGCTGTCTTGTATGATAGTGACATTTCTGCTAGATTGTATGATTAAGTAGAAACTGAGTAATCTATTGGAGACATAGTGCAGCTAGTTCTTGCAGAAGATTAAGATTCGATTTGAAAATCTGTAAGTTTCCTTAAAACTCTAAGATTCTATGATTATCAATTAATGTATTGGTTTAGAGATTCAGATATTGCGGTAAACTTATTCATTCACAGAATCCAAGTTTATCTCAGCTACCATCTTTCCCAGGTAACAATCTCTTCTACAAGTTTGAGAAATTTGTTTTTCACTGCAGGCCCTGCTTTTATTAATATTTCCCTCCCAATAACATTTCCCACACCACAGGTATATTCCATGGAGACTCAAAAAGTTGGCACCTCTGAAACCTTATTGTGAAGTTTCTCCTGCTTTGCTTTGTAGTCCTAGTTTAGCTGGAAAAAAAAAAAGCAATATGTTTAGAAGACTATTAGTATCAACCTGAATAATCAGAAAGGGGCTCAGCTCTGTAGAAAACAATAATAATAATTAAAGTTTGCTTCTTTAGTGTCTGGAATTCCAACTGGGACAAGCTCAAAGCTTTGGTTTATCATCACAAAAGAGCCACAGAGCCCTCAAGAGCCCTTTCTGAGTTTCCAAAGAAAATCTACCAAGGCAGAAACTCTTTCTTCAAGATTTTTTTTTTAATTAAAAACAAATAAAGGCAAACACAAACACATTCCAATACAGAAGCATATCTGAAGAGCCACAAATCCACAAGGTTTCAAGCCTTTGGCCAGTCCAATCCACTAGTGTAAAATGCTAGACATAATTTCAGCCAGCATGAGGCTCTCTTCTACATTACGACTTACCTTTATTTATGTCCTCAAAGTTTGTATTATATTTTTCTCTCTCTCTAAAATTTTACAGTTTATGTAGCTTCTCATTTGATTTTTAAGTTCACATGCAAATTCTATCTTCAGCTCTAAACTAATAGCACATATGTTTTGTTTATCTGTATGGCGGCAAGACAATTTCATGATCTGCCCACAGCTTACAAACTGATCAGTGGGGTCTGTCTCCATGGTTCCATGACTAATGAACATCTGCAATTGTCAGCTGTACCTCTGTGAGGTTGAGCCGTGACTTGAACTAAAGATACAATGTGAGCAGTCATTTGAACTTCCCTGCCACTTGCTAGGGAAATAAGCAAGAAGGGTAAGGATAATCTGTAGTATTAAGAAAATTTTCCTTTCTATTAGCTTATATATTCCACAGTCTGATGTAATGCTATTATCAATTTTATGCATCTAGTAATAAGACATTATAGTAGTTAATTGATATATATGTGTATATTATATTCCAAGATATCTTCTGTGAGTATTTAAAAACCTTTCAGAATAAGGTTTAAAGTAAATATAGTAATATAACATCATTAATTAATTTTCTTTTCCAAGGCATTATGTATGTCTTTAAAAGAAGTGTTGTCAGAATGCACTAGCCCAAGTCAATTAAGAATATTCATATGCTTCCACCTTAGGAGGCAGTGTTACAGAGTTAATACTCATAATAATAATATCTGACATATATGTAAAGATTTATTGTATATGCTCTATTATGTACCCTTATAAGATACTAACCTATCTACTTTACATGGGAGGTAAGTACTATTTTTATCCCCATTTTACACATAAAGTCACTAAGGTCTCGATAAATTAAGTAATTTGCCTAAGGATAATTGACAAGAACCGGAGGCTAGCTCTTTAGGTACTATTTCCATTTCCAAAACTTCCTAAATGATGAGAGCCATGATTCTGCTTGAGCTGTGCATGGACTTCTACCAATGGCTGGGCTTAAGGTATATTTGTCAAGCTGATGATACAGGCCTGATGGAAATATATTTGTACCCTCTGGGAAAAAATTCATATTCCATCTATTGCTCTAGTTCAGACACACTGGCAGGTAGTACTGGTGAGTGGTTTTACCAAAGTCTTTAAACACGAGGTACTGAATAAGTTCCCTGGAAAGGATTTCCCCTTGGGGAGAGCAGGCTAAGCCTGGTGAACTTGACACAGTTACTCATTTCAACCACAGTAGGAGAGTAAACATGTGAGTCTACCACAGAGGCTGTATTTGAACCCAAATGAAAGACATGAGCCTGAAATAAGGCTGCTTTGGGCCATCTTGGAAAGAAACAAGAAGAAGAGAGGGCAGTTTTCCCAACTTGACATTGGTGGATGCCAATGAGGGGCCAGCAGGAAACTGCAGCATCTGTGAGAACAGACAGGAGCAGCCCTCTCATGGTAGTGGGAGTGGAACCTGGACAATAATTCTCAGGCTTGGTGTGCAGCACCAAAGATTCAATGGGGATGGCATCGTTAAATACATCCCAGGGCCTCCAAGAAATACTTGAGGGGTGGGACTTTGATAGGATGTGAAGGTTCTGCTCAATTAGGTCAGGGGAAAGTTGGGAATCCTGTCTAAAAGGAGTTCAGGAAACACACTGGATAGTAATTGTTCAGGAATGACCATGGAAAGACTTTGGAGTTTAACTTTTAATAAATTAAAGCAAATTTAAGAAAATCTGGAACAAAAAATGGAGTATGCAAATGATCTCAAAATAAAGGATGTTCCTTTAAAGTAGAAATTTGGCTTGTGAAAAACTCACTCCTTACATTTTCATTTTACTGGAGGCTGGAGAACATCTCATCACAGGCTGCACAGGTCTGCAGAGAGGTATTTGGAAACAACAATATGATGGCAGCTCTGTTGGATCATCTGGTCCACTACTTCTAAGGTTCAAAACTCATTATTTCCAATGCCAAGGGGTTAACAGACCTTGAGAGAATGACCCATGTTAGCTTTAATACACATAAAACTGTGGCTGATATCAAAATGCCAACTTATTCTTTTAAAATAAGAAATACATAGAAGAATTGGAATATCCATGTTGGCAGGAATCTTATATTTTCTCCCTGTGGTTCAACTACTTGGAAGTGTATCAATCACATTGCTTTCCGCCATAAGATTTTTTCCCTAATATTTATGAAAAGCTTACAATTTATAAAAATTCTTAGTTCTTTACTTTGTATTAACACTTTTAGTTTATATGACAAACATAAGGAAAATGAGGCACAACAATATTAAATTCCCCCACATTCATGCATTGAGGATTTGGCAAAGCCAGGATTCACAATAAGACAGTTGGTTCTTGAGCCCATGCTCTTAACTCAATACTATACTGCCTTAAACTGAGATAGTTCAAACCTAAGTCTTAATTCATGTTTTATGCTTTAGCATAGAGGTAGAGCAAGTCCAGAGCTAATTAATTCAGGGGATGATAGTGTCATCAAGGCCACAGTTTCTTTCTCTCTCTTCTCTCTCTCTCTCTCTCTCTCTCTGTCTCTCTCTGCCTGATACTCAGCTAGCTCCCCTTGTGGGGTCATTGCAGAACTCTGAAGTATCATACAGAAGACAAAGCCTTTAAGAAGTAGAAGGCATGCTTTCATTTGCACCAAATGAAGGGATGAGGAATCTTTCCTGCGATCCACCAGTTAACTGCCTTTATATCTCACAGGTTAGAACTGTTTCTGGCCTAGACAAGTTGCTGGCACAGAAAATGGGAATCATTGATCAGTGTAGACAAATAAGGATTCACCCCTGCTTGGAGGCTGCTTCCAGCCTCTAAGAAGCCTATGATCACAAGAAAGAGAATAGATGCCTGAGTAAATCTGGGGTACTCTTAGGAATGTAATCAAACAAAAATAACTAAACCAGGAAGCTAAATAGTAATCAGACACAGTTTTACTGAATTTCCAGAAGCAACTTTTGTTACAGGGACAAGAAAGGTTTAATGGCAGTATAACATTCTTGCACACCTTTATTAGACACACTTGCTTGGTGAGCATGGACATAAGCAAGCAGAATTAGACAAATCTATTGTTTAATGGCTTCACAATAAGGATGGTATTGGCAGTGTGATCTGAAACCCACTGATTACAACTTCCCATATTTATTTGCACTCTAGCAATATCTCTGTCATTAGAAATTGAAATATTCCAGGTTGGACGAACAATTTCCCTTTCCTTGGATTATCTTTGGATAGATGTTGCCAACAGATACATTTGATACTCATCTCTTCTCTGTGTGTCTAGGAGTGACAAATTCCTCTTTCTGAGAGTCTCAGTCTTTGACAAGATACATGAGCATTTTCAAATGGGTTACCAGGAACTCATTTCAGCTGACACACCTCACCTATATTCACCTGATTTTATAGTTTAACTCAGATGCATTTCTAAAAATTTAATTCCAAACTCTTGGAGATCTTTTAATTAAATCCCAAAGTTTTATAGTAGTAGACAATAAGGAACTATTGTAGGCACTTACAGGAATTATTATAGTTATGATTATGGCAGACACAAATTGATAAGATGAGTGAGAAAAGAGAAAAGTCAGGTAGAAGTCTCGTATAAATCAGGCTATAATCTGATGAGAGGTGTCATGGTTAGTATTGAGTGTCAACTTGATTGGATTGAAGGATGCCAAGTATTGTTCCTGGGTGTGTCTGTGAGGGTGTTGCCAAAGGAGATTAACATTTTAGTCAGTGGACTGGGGAAGGCAGACCCACTCTCAATCAGGATAGGCACAATCTAATCGGCTGCCAGCATGGCTAGAATAAAAGCCAGCAGAAGAACATGGAAAGACTAGACTGGTTTAGTCTTCTGGCCTACATCTTTGTTCTGTGCTGGGTGCTTCCTGCCCTCAAACATCGAACTCCAAGTTCTTTAGCTTTGGCACTCGGACTGCCTTCCTTGCTCCTCAGCTTGCAGATGGCCTATTTTGGGACCTCACCTTGTGGTCATGTGAATCAATGCTCCTTTAATGGCAGTATAACATTTTGCACACCTTTATTAGACACACTTGCTTGGTGAGCATGGATATGAGCAAGCAGAATTAGACAAATCTATTGTTTAATGGCTTCACAGTAAGGATGTACACACAATATGGTGTAAAAGATAAATTTACAGTAAAGATAAGTAGTCACTGGTGCTCTTTTGTTAGGACCCGAAATACCAGAAAAGAAAATAGGCAAGCAAATATGTACCTTCCAAGTGCCCAAGTTAGTATAAAACTGACTAATAATATATATAGATATGATGACTTCCTGAAAGCTCTGTAATATCAGGCATCCTCTAAGCCTGTAGGAGTATTACCCTAGGCTTCTTGAATGAATATACATATTTCAGGACAATCAGCAATATCCAGGTCTAAGTGAGGCCTGCAGAGAACAGAAAACATTTCTTCTTTGCTAAACCAAACTATAGATTCCAGAATATTGCTTCCCATTTAATGGTTATAAAGTTCAAAAGTTAAACTGCAAAAATGGAAATTCACTACTTATTTCAGAGTTATCATAACAGCTGGATGTTACAACAGAACCAAAGAACAGTGTTGAATGCTGGCATAACCCAAACACTGGCAAGGAATCATTCTAAATATGAGATCCTAGTTTCTATTTCTTTTACGATGAAGCTTAATTTGCTTTCTAATTTGTCACAGTTTTTTAAGATCCTTCAGTAGGGAGGAGAGGTTCTATTCTGATGTCCTTTGTATCAAATGCCTAGTGATCTGGCCCACTGTATGAAAATTAAAGAAATGCTGACAGTCATGAGGAAATTTTATTTCTTTTAAAATATATTTTTCTCTCACATAAAAGTTCTGAAGCTATAAGATAAAAAAATAAAAAGTAATAACTAGCATTTATTGACCACCTACATTATACCAGATTATATAAAATCTCAAACTCTCACAACTGTAACATTACGAGGTAGAATTAACATCCCCTTACAGTGTGCCAGGTACGATGCTTGCCCCAATTCACTCAGCTATTCAAGGACAGAGTCAGATCTGTCTAATTCCAAATCCCATGTCCTTTCTACTCTAGCATGTTAAACTAAAATGCTATCTTTTAAAAAATATAAAGTGACACAATAGACTGAGTAGATTAACAAAAGACATACTACTTAAAAAGATGATATTCTCACAAAATCACATGCAAACAATGTCTCATATCTCATACATTTATTTTACTTTTCTGCTAGCCAACACTACAATCCTTCGGATCAGGAGATTTGGCTGCACTACAGAGTATACACTGAAAGTCAAGCAACACCAAGGCACCATTAAGATCATTATTCTTGTGGATTTCTTTTCCTCCCACAGGGACAGGCATATCAATTTTTCTATATGTTTTGAAGAGCTTAGCCACATGATTTTAATTATTTCTCCCAGGTGGCTCTTAGAACTTGCATGGTGGCCCTATATGTTATCCAACCAAGGACAGGTCCCAATGAGGCCTGATGAATGAGTGGGAGACCAAAATCAGAGATTTGAAATTCTCTTCCCTGAGGAGCAATAGTTTTACCTAATATTGCTTGGGGATCATAGGGAATCTGAATATTGGAAAACAATGTAACTTAAGGTTTTGAGCTAGACCACAATTTGAGATCATCTAGTATTTTTAGCTATTTTTACAAATGTTCTGGTTTGGGTAAAACCTAAATTATGTTTTTCTAGGTATCTTTCCCTTCAATTTTTAAATATTTATATATTTTAATGGAAATTTAATCCTCTTGATATTAATTTATTTATGGTTAACTCATCAAAGTGTATTCAAAAACCTATTTCCCAGTTGGCTTTACAATAATTTTTACCAACTGTAGAATGAGTACAAATACACAAACACACACACACACACACACACACGTTCTCTTGCCAGGAAACAAAAGGAAAATACAACACACCAAAAAGTTCAGGTTAGGTTCAAATCTCAAAAGCCACAGGATCCAGTGAATTCTAAACTTGGGTGATGGTTTCTTTCATCCAGGAATCTGTCCCACATGTCACTGAGTGGTGCAACCGCATCAACCACAAGTTTAAGCTAGTTCTCTTGTACTTTTTAATTGACTTCATCCCCCAAATTTTCAAAATGTAGACTGAATTGAACTTTTCTAAAATATTGCAATTAAAAGGCATTTTTCACCTGACTATTGGTATGGAAGACAATGTCAATCATCTTTCCCTTGGTAAAGAAATCTCTCTTTCTTCCTTTTCACTTCCAGGTGATAGACTATGCAGTGAGTGATGCCATGGAATGACATTCTCTTATTTTTTCTAATATATCTTCCTGTCAGTATACATCAAGAATCTTTAATCATTATATATAATTCATCAAATATCTATATAGCCCTTTCTATTAGTGAAGTGCTTATTTTAACAAAAATATATCCATATATTTGTTGAATATCCATATATTTGTTGAATATATATGTTGCATATATATATATATGTTGAATATATATATATATAGAGAGAGAGAGAGAGAGAGAGAGAGAGTTAACTATGCCCTAGTCTTCTGTCAGGCAAGTTAATTCACTGAATAATGTAAAAGTGATAATAAAAAATATAATAAGAAAGAGTTGAATATTTATGATATTCATAATGCTGTATCACTATCCATAACCACAACAGACATTCTTAATCAATCTGATACATTTCCTGTGGACCTCATGCATGACTATTGAATTTTTTTTCAACTGAGTGTTCCATAAAGTTTCCATCAAACCACTAGAGATGGTATTGTATATATAACCTATATTATATCTTTGTACCATATGAAATTATTCTACCTGAGTGATATTCAACTCTTGTGTGTATTGTTGGAGTGCAGTAGTCAGATGCATATGAGATTATTTGTACTCCCTGGACTTCACCACCTCATGCCTCTGCAATCCTTCTTAGTGCATGTTTCCTTAAGGTTGTTGTTGTCAATGCCTACCAGTGTTTTGTTTGGCTGTTTCTATTTCTCTTTCTTAAACTAGGAGACGCAAAAACAAAACAATAACCTACTCAATAAAGTGAAAGTTTAAGTCTGTCATATTTCCTGAAATAATGAAAATCATAGGTGAATATGGTGTATTGAAAAGACTAAGGCATAAAGAGGCAGGAGACAAGGATCACTTACCCCTAATTCTTCTCCTGATACCAGCTGTTTGACCTTGGTTTAACTACTCATTCATTTATAAATCTATTCTGAAGCAATCATTATGTCCCAGGCACTCTTCAAAGGTTATGGTTGACTCATCTGAAAAATGAGGAGAATACACTTCTTTTCACCTTCAGATGTAGACAGGACTAGGACCATTATGGTAGTTTTGATTATTGGTCTTTTGGGTTTGGTGAGGAATGAATGTTTTGCACTGGTATAGAACCAGTAAGTAGGTAATTAGTGTCCATTTTGCTCCTAGGCATATTTTCTAGGAATTACCCAAGAAAGCATTTTGACCACTAGAACATCAAGTTCCTACTTTTTCTTCTTTCTTCTTTCAAGTACCTCTTCTCCCATTTGGACTCATTTTTCTTCTCTTGCCATAATTTTGACCAAATTTTGGAAACATTATGTCATCTCCAATTTTTTCTCATTTTTCCTCACCTCTAATTTCTAAATTATTCATCGTCTTTATTCTTTGAATTATCAAATTCTATTAGCTAGTTAGGTTTGTATTGGATTATATTATACCTTTCAGGCTGCCAATTATCTGAAGAAAGCAAACAAAATATATGGCCCACAAGGCAAAATGTCAATAAATTAATAGCTACAAAAATAAAAATACCCTATAACCTCTTGTCAAACACAATATTAAATATTAGTTACAGAAATTCTATGATTAATAAAATTAATGAAATTACATTTTAGAATATCTGAGATAGAAAAAGTGGTTAAGTGCTTTCTTAAATAAGAAAAAAATTTAAAAAAATTAGTGAAATAAAACAGAAAAGTAACAGAAACTGTAGCCTTAAAAAGGTTGAAGGAGAAAAATAGGGTAAATTGAAAAACAGTAACTAGTGAATTAGACTAAAAAATAGGTTATCTCCTCAGTCTTCTTCATTTCTGCTCATTATACTTCTTCGTGGTGGAAAAATTTAGAAGGGCCATAACTTGCTATATATAGTTTTCAACGTGGGAAACAATAAATATACAAAAGGATTAAAACTTTGAAATATACGTAATCATTTTTTACTCTCTTAATTTTATAATTTAACTCATCTCTGCTCATCTCTGTTAGTTGTCTATTAAATGTTTTCAGTGACAAAAAATACTCATTTTCTCCAATATATACTGCTTAGTTCTTATTTTTATTTACCACATATGCCAAAGAAATAAAGACCATACAAAACAACAACACTCTCTTCCCATCGTCTTTTTTACTGGGTCTGTTCTCATGAGCTCTTAATCTCTTCTAGCCGCCATGTTCTGTCTGTAATGGTCACATTAGAATTCAGAACCAGCTCAGAATTCAGGATTCTGGGCAATAGCTGGAAATACACACTCCCCCAACTCCAGCAGGTTCAGTTAGAAGAGCTCACAACCTGTTGTCCTGTCAATTCTACAATTGCCCTCTATAGGAAGAGAAGTGCCTGGGTCAGAAAAAAAGAGTATTAAAAAAACTGCATTTTGCCAGGTGCAGTGGCTCACGCCTGTAATCCCAGCACTTTGGGAGGCCGAGGTGGGCGGATCACCTGAGGTCAGGAGTTCGAGACCAGCCTGGCCAATGTGGTAAAACCCCGTCTCTACTAAAAATTAAAAAAAAAGAAAAAAAAAATTAGCCAGGCGAGGTGGCGGGCGCCTGTAATCCCAGCTACTCAGGAGGTTGAGGCAAGAGAATCGCTTGAACCTGGGAGGCAGAGGTTGTAGTGAGTTGAGATCGTGCCATTGCACTCCAGCCTGGGTGACAAAAGCAAAACTCTATCTCAAAAAAAAAAACACAAAAAAACCTGCATTTTATATTTTGAATTAAAACAAAATATAAATCACCAGAAAGAGGATAGATAATAGAAACAGATTTTTGAAATTTAGTTATATGAGTCTACCTTTTATTTATTTCTCTTTTCTATCTACATTAATTAGAACAATTTCAATTGATGTTTATAATAGTAAATAATTTGTACCACAAATTGCAAAACTAAGAAAGTATAAAAGTAATCACATAGATTCCAAATTTCTAATCCTTTCTGCATATTTGTCATTTCCTATCTTGAGAACTACAAGTTATGCCCCTTTGTATTCTCAGTACCAAGATAGAAATAAAAAGAGCAAAAATGAAGCCAGCTGAGAGCACTGGCAGCATAAGTTCCCAGCACATGGGTTAATACTGGAGTCCCAGAAAGGCCAAAATACAACATTCATCAATAACTAAGGCCAAAATACAATACTCATCAATAACTTCAGACCCTAAGTAGCCATGGAGAAAGAGGTGGGAGCATCTACTTCCCCCTTCAAATCTTTAAAGTGGCATTTTTATCATTTTTTTTTAATTGACACAATGGTTGTTAGGATAAGGATTGAAAGATATTAGAAGAAGCAGTAAGGAAAGCAGGATCAACACGTTCAACAATTGATGGAAAACCAAAGAACACATAGCTGGTAGACAAAGAGAAGTGGTTGTTTTGTTGCTTGCTTCCCAACCAAAACATTTTGGAATAACCTGAGGTTTTATCCTAACTATGTTAGAGTCAAGCAATTTCTGACACTAAATCTAGGTAAAGCCCATCCTAGGAGTCAGAGCTTAGTTGGAAATTGGAGATTAGAACTAACGGGAAAAAAATAGAGAAGCTAATGGAAATAGGGAAAATATGTAGGAGTTATGAAAGTATTTGCAAATACAAAATCAATTATGTCAGGATATTTATTAAAGACCTATGGCCCAATAAATTCTGCTTAGTAGGCTTGAACCATCATCTGTCACTACAATATCCAAAAAGGTATAATGTCAATTAACAAACCAGACTGTTGATTGACATTATTATTCAAAAATAGAAAATGGCCAGGCATGGTGGCTCAAGCCAGTAATCACAGCACTTTGGGAGGCAGAGGCAGGCAGATCACTTGAGGCCAGGAGTTCGAGACCAGCCTGGCCAACATAGTGAAACCCCATCTATACTACAAATACAAAAAATTAGCCCAGTGTGGTGGCACATGCCTGTAATCTCAGCTACTCAGGTGGCTGAGGCACTAGAATCGCTTGAAACCAGGAGGAGGAGGCTGCAGTTAGCCATGACGGTGCCACTGCATTCCAGCCTGGACAATACGGCAAATCTCTCTATCTCAAAAAAAAAAAGGAAATAATTTTTCCTTAATTTTACATTTTTATTATGTACAATTAGATACGAAAGAATGTAGGGAATGTAAGAGTTATAAAGTATATTATAAAATAATCACTTGTGAACATACTCCACGTAAGACATAGAAAATTCCAATACCATTAAGCATACTAATATGCACCTTCACTATTGAATCTCCTGACTTTCCCCAAACTAGCATAACTAACCAAGATTCTGAATATATTTCTCTATTTTTGTATTTTATTGTTTTGTCACGTGTATAGACTAATGAAGCCCTTGTTTTGAACTTCATAAAAATTATACATTCTATGTAGTGTTCTAGAAGTTGATTTTCATTCACATTATATGTAAAAGTTTATCCATATTATTGCGAGTAGCTGTACTCTACTTTTACTATTGTGTAATATACTAAGTGTGAATCGTTCACAATTTATTTCTCTATTTTTTTATGATGAACATTGGGTTAATATCTTTTTTTTCATATAAACAAAAGAACTGTGGAGATGAATGGAACTTTCTAAGAAAATCCAGAAGTCCTCCAGTTTGACCTCCCAATTGATACAAAAATTCCTTTGACAGCTTGCTACAGATGGCTTTCCAACATCTTCAAAAACACTCTATAATGATGTTCAATTTGAACCCTAGAACCGTATTTGAAAGATACTTTTAGAAAATATTTAAGTCATGTTATTTTTCCTGGTAAATTTATTGATGTAATCCAATTTTCCAAAATAAGTGAAAACACAACTGAACATTTGCCTGAATCTTCGATATTACAATAATGATGACACCATATAGATATTGTGCCAACACAGTATATCATTTAAGAAACAGCACAACTGATTCTCATTAAAAAATTGGAAGATGTTTCACAATTCTTAAAGTTATGTTCCAAATCAATCAGCATATGAACAATACACTTGGGACCAAAAAAGCTTTAGGCTTAACCCTTCTTAGAGAACACTACAATAAGACCATGAGAAATATCGATTTTAATAATCCTTAATTTGGAAATGAGTTGATACATTTTATATTAGTCAAGAAGGCATATAAATTCCTAATGAGGAATGGCATCTGTTTATTTAATATTCTGCATGAACAGGAATTTTGGAAATACATCTGGTGCTTCCAGTGACTGTATAATAATCAATGTATCCTGACTCTAAAGAAAAGCAGAAGTGAAACTGAAAGTACAGACTACAAGGTGGAATATGATCCCTCTACTATCAACTAAAAGTCTTAGACTTGCTACCCTTCTGAAAATGGTATGTTTGGAGAGCACTGTAGAATATGTGTGATGCTCAACTGAATTCCATCTGCTTGCCCATATTTGTTAGCCTCCTTGCAGTTCAACACTAGCATGTTACTAGTTTTGGCTGGTAAAATAAGATCATTTCCAGATTGAGGAGGTAGAAATTACACCCACGATTCTCTTATATCTCTTTCCCAACTATCAAAGATGCTGCATGTTTCAGAGGGTGCTGCGCTAAAATGGTGGAGATGCTATCATCCAGGAATATGGACTGAAACTATGCAGACTAGAGTTCAGTCTGTGTGAGCATATGATAAGGAAATGAAGTTTAAGATTAATTTGTTATAATAGCAAAATCTAGCATTCTGATTAACACTGAGCAACTGCTGGATGCAATGTTATTATATTTAATAAATTATTTTTTTCAAAATTTGTGATGTAGCCCATAATGAGAAAAATACTTGAATTTTTTGCCTTTAATTCTTTTTTTTCAAGGTGGATGTAATTCTACAATAAATAAAGGGACTGAATTCTAATTTATGAGCTTTACTTCAACCAGCACTTACTCAGTTTGTTATATTCAGCAAAATAGATACAATTATTATTTAAGTATTATTAACTCAGTGGGGCGCAAAAGACTCAGCTACATAGCCTGATGATCAAGTCAAGACAGAATAGGGGTCCTTGGGTGGAATGAGCCCTTGCAGTGCTCAGAGAAACTGCGAGACATTATTTTTCTTTGCTAGCTACCCTGGATTCTGCCCTGATGGTTCCTATCCTTTTAACCTCTGTGGCCTCCAACCTGACACCTCTGTCTGCAGCCTTCATCTCCACTTCTTCCCCAGGTCTGACTACTTGTGTCCTCCCAAAATTCATTTGCTAAAACCTAATCACCAGTGTGATGGTATCAGGAGGTAGAGTATTTGGGTGGTGATTATCATGGCTCTGCCCTCATGAATGGAATTACTGCCCTTATAATGGAGTCTCTAGAGAGCTGCCTTACCCTCTCTAGATGTAAGGATTCAGTTTAAAGGTACCATCTATGAACAAGGAAACCAGCCCTCACCAGACACCAAATCTGCCAGCACCTTGATCTTGGACTTTTCCAGCCTCCAGACTCAGAGAAATATATTTCTGTTATTTATAAGCCACCAGCCTACAGTATTTTGTTATAGCAGCCCAAACAGACTAAGATACCCGGCTACTATGGATTTTGCCACAATCATTGTAATAAAGCCCAAAAAGAACAATGCACACCTGTTACTGTATACAATTTCCTTCCTATAAAAATCTCTGGAAAGATAAAAGGAATCTGGAATAGTGTTATGGTACTCAAAAAACAGAGACCAATGTCATGTTTAAGGTTAGTAACTCAAATCAGAATACAAGTAAGTGGAAATTAGCAAGTATCAAGTACAGCCATTCAATATGTATTAATTGGGCAGCCACAATATGTTAAACACTATACTAAGCACTGGATGTAGAGTGATAAACAATATCAATATGGTCTGCTGTCCCAGATGGGTTCATAACCTAGTGGGCACAAAACGAACCAGATATAAAGAGAAGAGTAGGAAATTAAGCAACATGATGTTCATCTGTCATTCAGGGTACATTTTTATATTAATAGAAACAAATCTTATCACTCTGCTGTCTAAAATCTTTTGATGGCTTCTTATTATACTAAAAGAAAAGTTGAATTACCTTATCATGTCCTATAAGTCACTTTGTGATTGGGATCCTACCTATTTAACCTCTAATCATCAGTTTCTTTGTCTGTAAAGTGCTTATAATAACATTTACTTCATATAATTGTTGTGGGAATTAAGTGAGATAGTTTGCAAAGCACTTAATTTGCACTGTATCTGGCAATAGAAAGTCCACAATAAACACTAGTCAATAATATTGCTGTTGTTATCTCTTCTGCATTATCTCATGCTTTTTTCATTTTCTCTCATTTTCCTTCACCCACATTGGCCCCTGAAAACTCTTAGAATACATCAAGTTCTTGTCTGCTTATGGATTTTGAACCTTTTTTTCTAATTCTCCCTTGGCCTGACAGGCTTCTCATCTGTCACATCTCAGCCTTAAATTGTCATTTTCAGACTTGTTTTAAAAGTCCCTCTTACAGCTGCTTGTCTCTCTCATAGTACCCTTTTTGTTCCTTTCATTGAATGTTTAACTATCTGAAATTATTTTGTTAATATGTGGGTTTGCTTAACTTATTGCATGGCTGGCCCAGTAGAATTAGACTCCAAGGGGCAGAGAGTATCCGCCCTGGTTTGTCCATTGCTGTATCTAATATCCAGTCTTATTAGAGCAATGCCTTGAAGGTAGAAGTGCTTTAAAAAAAATTTACCAAATGACCCAAAAATGCACAAAGAAATCAGACATTGCAATTAGAATAAAGGTTAGGAAAATATTTTTAAAAGAATAGAATTCAAAAAAAAAAGTACACAAATAGGTAGAACAATCTCAAAGTACTGATTTTCTTGCTAAAGAATTGGTCAAGAAGTAATCAAGTGGATTAAACAAGGGTATTGGTACTTCTGCCCTCACTTGGACAAAAACTCACCCACAACATGAAGGTTCTGATTTTGGAGGTCAAATCATTAATATAATCAAACACTTAGAATTATCTATTATAGGGTAGTATAGTAGTTGCTGAGACTATGAAGATGAGTGAGAAACCACAGAGGACTCTGATATAAATGAAAAGAAAATTACTTATTTAAAAAATCGTTAAAAGGTGTTAAACTATAATCTTCTCTTAGGCAGTAAAGTACCTAAGGAGTGTTAAGGAGCTTACAAAGTAAAGGATTTGGCTTTTGCACCAACACTGAGTTGATGACAGACTTGAGCAGGACTTCATACAAGGACATAGAAAAGATAAGATACAAGATATGATATAAGACTTCATACAAGGACGTAGAGAAAAGGTTGGGAGAAGAGTGTGAGCACACTGGGGCACCTGTGTGCTAGTAAAGAAATTAACCACCAATCTATCTAGCACTTAAGCTACACTGATAAAGCACTTCCTGTTAGAGAGGAAGCATCAAAAACCAATAGGACACATTAGCTAGGATCACATAGTAGAGTTGACAGTGCCCCACATCGGGTATTTTACTGAGTATATGCCATGTGCAATATTCTATGATTAAAGTTATTTCATTTGTATAATGTGCCATAATTTATGAAGAGTTTTCAAATAAGTTATCTTAACTAACTCTCATAATAAATCATTTAAGAAGGTCGTCATTTTGTAGGTAAAAAAACTTGTCATTTTTCAAGGTCAACAGTTAGTAAATTATAGATGTATGAGAGTGTTATTGAATATTAGACTCTTGTACAGCGCTTTTTTTATTGTCCCATCTCTGCCTCCCAGTAGCCACAAATATTTATGTCACTTCAAATACAAGTACCACTCTTTAGAATGAATCTATTAGTCATAGTATCACATGATTTAAGTATGTATTTTCAAACCAGTTAAAGCTGCCATTGTAGCAAAAATATTGCCTTAAAATTATACCAATTGTCGTAATTTAAAAGAAGAATTTAAAAAAACTTATTTAACCTCTGTAGAAATGTTTGTATCGAAGTTGAAATGGTAGAAACCAGAACTTTCAGTTTTCACTAATTAAAATAAGTGTGAAGGTATGAATGTTAAGTAAAAACCATGAATGTAATGAGGACAAATAATTCAGAACATTCATGTTATAAGAGTTAGCTTATAAGAAAATAATTTTATGTCACAAGTATAGCGATATAATATAAAGGTATTATGTTAGTTGGATACTTTTGTTTGAACAGCTTAAGAGCTTAAAACTTCGCTGTTTAGTTATTATAATCTACGATATTTACATATTGAATTTTACCAAACTTTTCACTTGTACTAATCTTAAGGGACATATTTAATCAATATGCTATTACTTGATATTTGTATAACTACTATAAATAAGATATCATTATTTTATATAAAAACCTGTACAATCAAGTCATTTGTAACATTTAAAATATATCAAATAGCAAATTCTGTCAGTCATTATATGAAAATACACAATAATCACAAATAGATACTGCTTTAACTGAAAGGGAGCTAACACTAATATTTATGTTGCTGGTGACATTTACTCTAAAAGTTTTTATAGTATCTTTTCCCCAAAATTGAAAAAAAACTAAAAAATTGACACATGCAACTTCTTTACTGAATATTATTTTAATACTAATGAGAAAATTTTCTTTGTGCACAAACACTTTTCTTTAGGGTACATTTAAAAAAATCAACCTGAAGAATTCTGTATCTGTTTCACTGGCGATGACAAGTATGTTAATTGCTTGCAGATAACATCTGTTCTAGTGAAATCAAGATGCAGAGTCTGGGTTGGATCTGTGGTGCTAGCAGCTTTCTAAAGCTTTGTCTGGGAGACCCACTGCATGCATTTCACAGACACTCCAGGCAGCTGGAGGGCTTTTTAGTTTTTCTGACAACCATCCAGCAACTGAAATAAAATCTGCCAGGAATCCTGGGTCATTGAAATGTCTCCCTTTGAGCAGTGGACTCACCTTTGAAGCTTCAAGATATCCACTGACCATGACGCCTGAGCGTGCTCTGGCTAAAGCAAGTTCAGGGTGAGCTGCCAACTGCCTGCATGCAAGAGCAAGTCTCTGACTTCCTTCTCTGTTTACAGAGGAGGGTGAAGGGCCTCTCTAGAAGGGATAGCAATAGCCTGGTCAATATAATGTCAGATATAAAGAGCCCTTATGCTCAACAGGCCACATTTACAATTTTACAGGGTTCATGGACTGCAATTGCTTGCCAGATGTGCCTATGGAGTTGCGTAACCATGGCATCATGATTGCTCTGGTCTCGATTCTTTGGGGGCTCTGTATAATTGCATCTCCTTTAAGCTATGATTTGTATAGACTCTGATGTACTGTTCCTAGTAGAGCCAACCCCACTCCTCTGTGGAATACATAGCTGTGTGGCCTTTTGTTCTGCTGTAGAAATGTGGAGCAAGGCCTGGAGTGGTGCTTTTTAGTATTTGTAGACCCAGCTGACTATGTCAACCAAAGTTGTGAGCATAGGGATCTCACTAGCTCTGCAGATAGGCTTAAGGTGATGTAGCTCAAAAAATTAAAAAATATATCTGTATTTGTCACAGGTTATACACTTGAGAAAAAAGAGACAAGAGAGATGGATGAAAAAATTGAAAAAGGAAACCATATGAGACACATGAGGGAGAGGTGAGAGTAAGATGTGAAATCTCAAGGATAAGAAAAGTGGATATAGTGAGAATAGAACTATTAAATAATATAACACATCTGTATTGTAGTATATAAATTGATTTAAACCATTTAACTCTAAAATCTAGATCCTTATTGCCAATATGAGTGTTTCATATATTTCTGCCATTTTTAACACATCTTGTTTGTATAAGAGCTAATGATACAATATCTTAAAATAAATACAAGCTGATCTTATAATACAGAAGAAATAAGCTCTTTTTGGTATTTCATCTGAGGACTCTTCCTATGTAATAAGTAATATTACAGTAGATACAGATAATATTCTTCTCTTCCTATCAATCACTGTCTCAGTCAACTTGGGGTACTGTAACAAAATATCATGGACTAGGTGACTTAAATGACAAAATTTTATTTTTCATAGTTCTAGAGGCTGGGAATTCCAAAATCAAGGTGCTGGCCACTTTAGTTCCTGGTGAGAGCTCTCTTCCTGGCTTGCAGAAGGCTGTCTTCTTGCTGTGTCCACACATTGTGGAAACAGGAAGTTCTGGTGGGTTTCTTCCTCTTCCTATAAAGGCACTAATCTCATCATGGGGACTTTACGCTCACAACATCATCTAAGCCTGATTACTTCCCCCAAGGCCATACCTCCTAACACTACCACACTTGGGGTTAGGGCTTCAACATATGAATTTGTGGGAAACACAAACATTTAGTCTATAATAATAACCTTTTTTTTTTTTGACATTTTACTACTTATTCAGAAAGAAAGCACAGGAATAATTTTATAGAAATTGAAAATGGGCCACATTTATGAAATAGTTCATGTAAGAATAATTAGCTAATAATACAAGATACTTTCTTTATATATGGATACAGTCACCCTTGTTTTTCCTATCATCATATATGAGTAAAAGTTTAGAGCTTATATATTTGTCAATTAGAGAATGATTTTAAAGAAAGAACTGCCAAAAATTTCAGACTAGAAAGCTAAATTGATGAATGAAGCCAAAAAATAGTAAATGTTGACAGTATAATCATTGAAATGATCAAGAAGGGTAGGGGTACTTTTAATTTAAATCCAGTCTATAATCTGGTTTTTAAAATCATTTGGGCCAAGAGATCTTTTTTGATAATTAGATTACTGTTTTCAGCTCCTTAAATTCAACCAAATGAAATTACTTTTAATAAATCATTTATTTCAGACTTTAAAAATTAACAATACCATTTTGAAAAGATACATTTTCATTTTAAAGACAGTACATACCAAATATAATTTGTTTCTTTAAAAAAATGCTGTAACCTTGTCCTCTAGAATTAGGTAGGTTAGCAGGTCTCACCATGCATGTTAACCCTGTCGAAGTAGCTACTATTTCTCCTTTGTAAAATGTATCCCTCTTCTTGGTAATTATGTGTTTGATGAGTACTTTCCTAGTAGACATTGAGTCCTATAAGGACAGTGGCTTTACTTTTCAGAGGATCCCTACTTCCTGGTATAAAGTAGACACTCAGCTACAATTTGATGAGGAAGAGAAAGGACGGGAGAAAGGAAAGGATGGAGGAAAGACAAAGAAGAGAGAGAAGAATAGAGTGACCATGATATCACCTTTGAATATTGCTATTAAATCAGTCTGATCTCAGGGATGCTCAATCATCCATCAAGAGAAGGAAAGGAAAGAAATGCCATTTTCTCATAAAATCTGATGTGGAAGGCTATGTATTAAGACAAGAGAGGAAAAAAAGATTCAGGGCATAACATAAAACTGGGAAAAAGAAACCCATGCTGAAATGTTTTAAAGGAAAAAAAATGAAGCTCAAAGCAGGTTAAACACAAGGGTAGGCATGATATATTAATAGTTTGGATATATGTCCCCAAAAATCTCATGTTGAATTGTAATCCCCAGCGTTGGAGGTGGGGCCTGGTTGGAGGTGCTTAGGTCATGGGGACAGGTTTCTTTTGGCTTGGTGCTATTCTATTGGATAGTGAGTGAGCATGAGAGTGAATTCTCATGAAATCTGGTCGTTAAAAAATCTGTGGCCCCTCTCCCCTCCACTCTCTCTCTTGCTCCTGTTCCCGCCATGTGAGATGCCTGCTCCCCCTTCGTCTTTAGCCATGATTATAAGCTCCTTGAGGTCCTCACTGGAAGCAAATGCTGGCATCACACTTCTTGTACTGTCTGCAGAACTGTGAGCCAATTAAACCTCTTTTTTCTGTAAATTACCCAGTCTCAGTCATTTTGTTATAGCAATGCAACAACAAAATTACACTGATAATACAAGGCATATTTGTGTATTACCATAAAGATAAAGCTGAATGTAGAAAAATAGTAAACTAAAGAATTCCTTAGATCAATCATTCTTTAGGTGTGGTCAGTAGACCAGTGCTGGCCCAAAAACAGTTTTTACCTGTTCATAATAAGATAAGCACAGAACTTGAGAGTAAGCAGTGAGAAATGTTTATAAAATTTGATAAAATAATTTTGTGTCCATTGAAAATAATGAAGATAGATTTGGGCTTGTGCCTGTACAGTTTAATTTGATTATTTGGTAACTAAGTTATATTTTTATAAAGTAAAATTATTAATTAAAAAGATAAAAAATAAAATGAAAAATGTAAAAAGGTTTAAAGGTTTAATAACTGCATTCAACAAAGGCAGTCTGAGAAGTACTGCCTTAGACAATGTATTGGCAGCAGTGCATGGTTTCATGGCTTCTCCCCATCTCTTGTGGTTGGATAATTCTACTTGTTTTAAAGCAAATACACACAAATACCCCCTGCAAGCTTTTGCACAATGGAAAAATAATCTTAAACATACCAACTGGGAATTATTTTAAAGAGTTTTCTAATTTGTGATGTGTGACAATATATGAAACCTCAAGTAGAATAAATACAGAGGTTTTTGGTTTGGTTTCAATGCATAAAGCTAGAGCACTGTCACCACGTGGGTTCAAAGCTCTTTTCTGCTCGATTGTTTCTGTAAATGTTTACATAGACGTAGACCACTTTTCAAGCATTTGCAAATGGCGGTTTGCTATAATATAGATTCAGAAATCTTCCTTTCAGAAAATCTTGGGAGCAGAAATGTTGAGCTTTAAAAAATTTAAAGTCCTTCTCCAATTTTCCCCTTCTGTAACAGCATTCCATATTAAAAGTTCAGTTACACCTCATCTTTTTAAAAAACCTGTTAAACCATATGTCAGACAAGTGAAAATATATTAGGAATAACATAATCAACATTAACTTATGCAACATTGAGCTTAATCAAGTAAACATTACAAACAGAATTGAAGACTTTGCCCTGATCATGTTATCTCTTATTTCCTTTACGTAGAGGTGAATGCTGGTTTTGTCCATTTCTTTGTTAGTTTTAATAAAGAAGGTGATCTCATGTCCTTCTGGTGTTAATGTGATGGAATGTGGAAAAAATTCTAACCCTCTGCAGATACTAAACTATCAGGCTCATGTTGCTGAATAGCAGGTAACTTTTTTTTTAACTACCAGGTTCTGAAGGGGCCCAGGAAGAAACCTCCTCTTCCCCAGCTGAGTTGAGAACCAAGTGGAAGACAAAGAAGTTAGACAGCAGATGAAAAAGTGACCTGCCTTGCACCTTGCCAGTTGGCTTGCTAGCTCTCCCCTGATTTGAACTTCTGACAACAGAACATGCTCCACCAAACTTACCATGTGAAGGACAGCACATGGGCATTCTTTCTGAGACCTGCAAAGAAAACAAAGGGAGAGGCTAAGCAGACAAAGGAAAACTCTTTCTTCTCAAATCAATCAGATAATGAACTCCTGTTCCCTTTAGGAGAAATGAGTGGGTGGGGAGAGAAAAGCAAGCAGTTGACCTCTGGAGGTCCTTAGACTTAAAAACATAAAGCCCAAGGAAGAAAATTCCTCCCCAGCATTAACTTGGACCAGTAATGTTTTTCTATTTATATTCCATATGTAAATATGCCTGTGAGGTATTATGTATTGTCTTTGTGCCTTTAAGTGCATTTCTTTAAAAAATCTGTAACTTTAAACTTAAATAGAAAGGCACAAAATGGATTGTTATTTTATACAATGGAGTTCTGATATTAATTATTGTTACTTCTCACAAAACAAGTACTAAAGATTTCTTAGTTTTGGCTAAAATAGTATTGTGAATTGTGGCTGAGTGGTGTGCTCTTTTTGAATTTCCCAATTTTAGCTCATTCACTTCTCTATATGGCCCTCTATTCCTTTAAAAAAATTTTAATAGCTTAATTAAGATATGATTTATATACAATTCACTAAAGTGTACAATTCAATGTTTCTTTTTTTTTTTTTTACTATATTCACAGATATGCACAGCCATCAGCATGGTCAATTTTAGAATGTGTCCATCACATCCTAAGGAAAATCTGCTGTCTACATTACCTTCCCTTTATCTCTCCATCCAACCCTCTTTCCTAAGCAACCACCAATTTACTTTCCATTTTTATAGATTTTGTTATTCTGGATATTTCATGTAAATGAACATAGAGTATGTAGTGTTTTGTGACTGGCTTCTTTCACTTAGCACAATGTCTTTAAGTCTTATCCATGTTGCAGCACAGATCAGTACTTTATTCCATCTTATGCTGAACATTACATCTGCATAGCACATTTTGCCTACCCATTTAGTCAGTCAATGAGTGTTCGGGTTGTTTCTACAACTTGGCTGTTGTGAATAATTCTTCTATAAACATTCACGTCTAACATGTGTGTCCTATAGACAGTGTATAGTTGGATCTTATTGTTTTATTTTAATCCATCTGACAATCTCTGCATTTTGATCAGATTTCTTAATCCATTCACATTTAATGTTATGTTTGATATAGTTGGATTTATAGCTGTCATTTTTACTTTTGGTTTACTGTGTCTCATGTATTTTTCTGTTCTTCTATTCCTCCCTTACTGCTTTCTTCTGCATTAAGTAAATATTTCCTAATGAAGAATTTAAATTATTTATCTCACTATGTTTTTTGAGGTTTGTTGTTGTTGTTGTTGTTGTTTTTAGGGGTTACTCTAGGGCTTACCATGTATATCTTAATTTACAGAATCAGCTTCCAATATGTACTTGATCCCAGTACATATTGATCTCAGCTTGATCCCAGAGAGACATAGAAATATATTACTCCCATACAACACTATTTTCTCCCCTTCTTTTGTGGTATTATTATTACATCTATTAATATTGTATATTGATTCATGTTACAAATTCAATAATACATTGTTAATTCTAATACAGATTTAATCCTACCCACCTCCTCTGTGCAGAAACATACTGCATTTCTATGTTCTATAGGACTAGCAATACGTTATATACATATTATTTTACACAATCACTTTTAAATCAGTTAAGATATTGTGCATTTGCCTTTATCCTGTCTTCTATAATTACATAATTACTTTTACTGGTGTTCTTTCTTTTTGTGTGGATTGCAATTATCCTGTAGGGTCACTTACTTTCAGCCTGAAGAACTTTCTTTAGTATGTCTTGTAAGACAAGTTGGCTAGGAACAAATTGTCTCAGTTTTTCTTTATCTGGAAATGTCTTGATTTAGTTTAATTTTTGAAAGATAGCTTTGCTGAGTATAGAATTCTTGATTGATAGTTTCTTCTTTGTACATTTTCAATATATTATCCCATTGTCCTCTATCCTCCATTTTTTTGTGATGAAAAGTCAAACTGTTAATCTTATTAGAATTTGCTTTTATTAATAAGTAGTAAGCCATTTTTGCTTGCTGCTTTCAAGGTTTTCTCTTTGCCTTTGATGTATGTTAAGTAGAAAGGGTGCACTCTAAGATAATGATAAGAAGTATATTATAGGAAATATATAAACAAATGACATAGTCATTTAGTATCATTATCAAGTATTATGTACTCTACTGCACTACACTGCACATCTTGGCTTCACTGACCTGAAATTTAGCCTCAATAGCAGATAGTTGCGGGCAAGATGAAATATACCGATGTCTTTCCCTCCAAGAAGGAAAGTCCTCTAATTGGGAACTGGAAGGAGAGAGACCTGTATTCTTGTCTCCACCTGTCTACAGTGCAGTTTCTATTTCTCTGAGCGTGGGTACGGAAGGGAAGGAACAATCTTCAAGTACAACAGATTTCTACTTTTCTTACATCACTTTTGAGATTTCTTGCATAGATGTTTCTTCATTTGTAGGACCATTTTAAGAAGTTATAAAGTGTTGATTTTACTTTTTCATAATTTTCACCAGATTCTCTGGGGAATGCACTGCTGAGCTCCTCAGGCTATCAGGCATGCCACTTCTTCTATTCATAACCTTTATTATAAATGGTATTACACCATCTGAATTCTTCAATAGCTAGGTTTTTATCTTAATACTTTGATGATAAATTCAGTCACTATGTTAATTCATTTTCGTTATTATAAGATTCTGTTCAATGATTGCAACATAATTATTTTCTTTTTGATGGTTTTAGGTTATTTTTATTTTCATTATTACAAACTATGCTGCAATTAACATTCTTGAACATATCTGTTTGTAATCTATGTTAAAGTCTCTCAAGGTGTATATCTAAGATTAGAATGTCTGAGTTTTAGAGAATACATATGCAAGTATCACCAAATTGCTTTTCAAAGATGTTACATCACTTTGACCTTCCACCAGTAAGGATACGAGTTCTTATTTTCTCCACATTTTCACCATCACTTGGCATTTTCAGAACTGCAGTCTCATGTGAGTAAACTAATCATTCATTATGGTTTTAATGTTCATTTGCTTGATTTCTAGCAAGGCAGATTTTTTTTAGTGTTTATTGACCATTTAGGTTTTCTTTTTGTGCACCACATTTTTTTGGTTACTTAGCATATCATCCATGATTTCTTTCAGCAGTGTTTTGTAGTTTTCCTTATCCAGCTCTTTCAACTTCTTGGTTAGGTATGTTCCTAAGTAT
The DNA here is from genome assembly GCF_000001405.40 of Homo sapiens. Lineage (NCBI taxonomy): Eukaryota > Metazoa > Chordata > Mammalia > Primates > Hominidae > Homo > Homo sapiens. The sequence goes on along the minus strand of NC_000006.12, from coordinate 126,689,775 downwards.
TTTATTTTTTGTACTGTTGTAAAAGAGATTGAGTTCTTGATTTGATTCTCAGCTTCGTCATTGTTGGTGTATAACAGTGCTGCTAATTTGTGTACATTGATTTTGTATCCTGAAACTTTACTGAACTCATTCATCAGATCTAGGAGCTTTTTCAATGATTCTTTAGGGTTTTCTAGGCATACAATCATATAATCAATGAATAGCAACAGTTCGACTTCCTCTTTACCAATTTGGATGCCCTTTATTGTTTTCCTTTGTCTGATTGCTCTGGCTAGGACTTCCAGTAGTATGTTGAATAGCAGTCGTGAAAGTGGACATCCTTGTCTTTTTCCAGTTCTAAGGGGGAATGTTTTCAACTTTTCCATGTTCAGTATAACGTTGGCTGTGGGTTTGTCATAGATGGCTCTTATTACTTTGAGATATGTCCCTTCTATGTCAACTTTGCTGAGGGTTTTAATCATAATGGGATGCTGGATTTTGTCAAATGCTTTTTTTGTGTGTCTGTTGAGATGATTTTATGATTTTTGTTTTTAATTCTGAGTATGTGATGTATCACATTTATTGACTTGTGTATGTTAAACAACCCCTGTATCCCTAGTATGAAACCCACTTAATCATGGTGCATAATTTTTTCAATATGCTGTTGGATTTGGCTAGCTAGTATTTTGTTGAGGATTTTTACATCTATGTTCATCAGGGATATTGAATTGCAGTTTTCTTATTTTGTTAGGTCCTTTCTTGGTTTTGGTATTGCAGTGATATTAGCTTCATAGAATGATTTAGGGAGGATTTTCTTTTTCTCTATCTTTTGGAATAATTTCAGTAATAATTGATTGGTATCAATTATTCTTTGAATATCTAATAGAATTCAGCTGTGAATCCATCAGGTCCTGGACTTTTTTTGTTATTGGCATTTTTTTTTTTTTTTTTGAGACAGAGTTTTGCTCTTGTCACCCAGGCTGGAGTGCAATAGTGTGATCTCGGCTCACTGCAACCTCTGCCTCCTGGGTTCAAGTGATTCTCTTGCTTCAGCCTCCCTAGTACCTGGGACTATGGGTGCCCACCACCATGCCCAGCTAATTTTTGTATTTTTAGTAGAGACAGGTTACACCATGTTGGCCAGGCTGGTCTCAAACTCTTGACCTCATGATCCACCCACCTTGGCCTCCCAAAGTGCTAGAATTACGGGCATGAGCCACCACGCCCAGCCGGCAATTTTTTAGTTACTGTTTTAACCTGGCTACTTGTAATAGGTATGTTCACAGTTTCTATTTCTTCCTAATTTAATCTATGAGGGTTGTATATTTCCAGGAATTTATCTATCACCTCTAGATTTTCTTTTGTGCATATAAAGATGTTCATAGTAGCCTTGAATTATCTTTTGTATTTCTGTGGTATTGGTTGCAATATCTCCCATTTCATTTCTAATTGAGCTTATTTGGATTGTTCCTCTTCTTTTTTAAATTAATCTTACTAATGGTCTATCAATTTTGTTTATATTTTCAAAGACCCAGCTTTTGTTTCATTTACCCTTTGTATTTTTTGTTGTTGTTGTTTTACTTTCATTTAGTTCTGCTCTGATCTTTGTAATTTCTTTTCTTCTGCTGGGTTTAGGTTTGGTCTTGTTTCTCTAGTTCCTTGAGGTGTGACCTTAGATTGTCTATTTGTGCTCTTTCATATTTTTTGATGTAGGCATTTAATATTGTGAACTTTCCTCTTAGCACTGCTTTCACTGTATCCCAGAGGTTTTGTTAGGTTGTGTCACTATTATCATTCAGTTCAAATAATTTTTTAATTTCAATCTGGATTTCATCATTGACTCAAAGATCATTCAAGAAAATATTATTTAATTTTGTGTATTTTTATAGTTTTGAGGGTTCCTTTTGGAGTTGATTTTCAGTTTTATTCCACTGTGGTCTGAGAGGATACAGGATACAATTTCAATTTTTTTGAAATTTATTGAGACTTGTTTTGTGGCCTATTATATGGTCTATCTTGGAGAATGTTCCATGTGCTGATGAGAAGAATATATATTCTGCAGTTGTTGGGTAGAATGTTCTGTAAATATCTGTTAAGTCCATCTGTTCCAGGGTATATTGAAGTTCCCTACTATTATTTTGTTGCTATCTCATCAGCATGTAGTAATAGTTTTTTATAAATTTGGGAGCTCCAGTGTCAGATGCATATATATATTTAGGATTGTGATATTTTCCTGTTGGACCAATCCTTTTATCATTATATAAAATCGCTCTTTGTCTTTTTTTTTCTGTTGTTTCTTTAAAGTCTGTTTTGTCTGATATAAGAAGAGCTACTCCTGCTCACTTTTGGTTTCCATTTGCATGGAATATCTTTTCCCACTCCTTTACCTTAAGTTGATGTGAGTCCTTATGTATTAGGTGAGTCTCTTGAATACAGCAGATACTTGGTTGGTGGATTTTTATCGATCCTGCCATTCTGTATCTTTTAAGTGGAACATTTAGGCCATTTACGTTCATTAGTATTAAGATGTGAAGCACTGTTATATGCATCATGCTAGTTGTTGCTTGAATACCTTGTTTTTTCCCCCCATTGTCAGTTATTGCTTTCCCTGTGAGATTTATGCTTTAAGAAGGTTTTATTTTGGTGTACTTCGAGGTTTTGTTTCAAGATTTAGAACTCCTATAGCATTTCTTGTAGTGCTGGCTTGGAAGTGGTAAATTCTGTCAGCATTTGTCTGAAAAATAATTTATCTCTCCTTCATTTATGAACCTTAGGATTGCTGGATTCAAATTTCTTGCCTGACAATTATTTTGTTTAAGGCAGCTAAAGATAGGACCCTAATCCCTTCTGATCTGTGAGATTTCTGCTGAAAAATGTCCTTTAATCTAATAAGTTAGATTAACATATGGGTTACCTGACACTTTTGTCTCATAGTTCTTAAGATTCTTTCTTTGGTCTTGACTTTAGATAACTATATAGGTTACCTGATGCTTTTGTCTCATAGCTTTTAAGATTCTTTCATTCGTCTTGACTTTAGATAACCTGATGACTATGTGCCTAGGTGATGATCTTTTTGTGATGAATTTCCCAGATGTTCTAAAAGCTTCTTATATTTGGATGTCTAGATCTCTGGCAAGGCCAGGGAAGTTTTCCTCAATTATTTCCTCAAATAAGTTTTCAAAACTTTTAGATTTCTCTTCTTTCTCAGGAACACCAATCATTCTTATGTTTGGCCATTTAACACAATCCCAAATTTCTTAGAGGTTTTGCTCATTTTTAAAAAATTCTTTTTTCATTGTCTTTGTCTGACTAGATTAATTCCAAAGCCGTGTCTTTGAGCTCTGAAGTTCTTTCTTCTACTTGTTCTAGTCTATTGTTGAAACTTTCCACTGCATTTTGTATTTCTCTAAGTGTGTCTTTCATTTCCAGAAGTTGTGACTGTTTTTTCTTTATGATATCTATTTCTCTGGAGAATTTTTCATCCAAATACTGTATTGTTTTAATTTCTTTAAGTTGTTTTTCACATTTCTCTGGTATCTCCTTGAGTAGCTTAATAGTCAAGTTTCTAAATTCTTTTTCTGGCAATTCAGATATTTCTTCTTGGTTTGGCTCCATTGCTGGAAAGCTACTATGATTTTTTTTTTTTTTGGTGTGTTATAGAACCCCATGTTGTCATGTTAACAGAATTACTTTTCTAGTTTCTTCTCATTTGGGTAGGCTATTTCATTGGAAAGATCTGGAACTCAAGGCCTGCTGTCCAGATTCTTTTGTCCCATGGGTTGATCCCTTGATGTGGTGCTCTTCACCTTCCCCTAGGGAAGAGGCTGAGAGAGAGACTGCAGTGATTGCTATTGCTCTTCTGGGCCTAGCCACCCAGTGGGGCTACCAGGCTCTGGTGCTGAGGAGTATCTGCAAAGAGTCCTGTGATGTGATTCGTCTTCAGGTCTTCCAGCCATGGATACCAGCACCTACTCTGGTGGAGGTGGCAGGGGAGTGAAGTAGACTCTTTGAGAGTCCTTGGTTGTAGATATGTTTAGTGTGCTGTCTTTCTTGAATGCTGGTTATGCTAGCAGTGAAGTTATCACATGGATAGACTCAGGACCTTCAGTTAGCCAGGATGTTGCAGGCAGTGGAATTAGCTATTGTTTTCTTCTTCCTGGGAGCAGTGTTATTCTGTCTTGAGTTGCTCTAATGGTCTGAGTTGGTCAGCCTCTAGCCAGGATGTGGCACTTTCAAGAAAGCACCAGTTGCAGTAGTAGAAAGGGAGGGGAAGGGAGGGGAAGGGAGGGGAAGGGAGGGGAAGGGAGGGGAGGGGAGGGGAGGGGAGTAGTAGAAGAGGGGAAGGGAGGGGAAGGGAGGGGAAGGGAAGGGAAAGGAAGGGAGAGAGAGAGAGAAAGAATGAAAGAAAAACAAAGAAAGAAAAAAGATCTATAACGTGAAAGAGAGAGACAAACTGAAAATTAAAACCTAGTAGAACCAGAACTAATGCAGAAAAAAGAACTTTAACAAACAAAAAAGTATATAAATCAGCCTTAGGGAGTAACAAGGTAATATAATACATCTATAAACATCTAAGAAAGAGGAAAATGATGAAATTGCAAATATGATAGACAATTATAATTTGAAATTTTAGCAGAAATGTTAAAAAATAAAACCAAGTAAATATTTCAGGAAACAAAACAATGTAATTGGAATAGAATAAAAATGATAAAATATTCAGAAAAATCAATTCAGATGTCAACCATCAGATTATTAGTTACTCTAGAAAGAAAAAAAGAGAAAATATAAGTAAAAAAATCATTAAATATATAGGATGAAGATCCAATTTGTGAAGAGAGTCATAATTTAATTTCAAATGCCTGATTTCTAGTTTCATTTTTTAATATTTTATTTTAAATTTCAGCTTTTATTTTAGATACAGGGGGTATATATGCAGGTTTGTTACATGGGGATATTGCATAATGCTGAGGTTTGGCGTAAAGATCCCATCACCCAGGTAGTAAGCATAGTACCCAATAGGTAGTTTTTCATCCCACGCCCTCTTCCCTCCCTCCCCCTTCTAGTAGTCCACAGTGTCTATTGATCCCATATTTATGTCAATGTGTGCTTAATGTTTAGCTCCTAAATACAAGTGAGAACATGTGATATTTCTGTTCCTGCATTAATTCACTTAGGATTATGTCTTGCAACCGCATCTATGTTGCTGCAAAGGACATGACTTTATTCTTTTAATGGCTGCGTAGTATTCCATGGTGTATACGTACCACATTTTTTTTTTAAATTAATCTACCATTGATGGGCACCTGTGTTGATTCCATGTCTTTGCTATTGTGAATAGCCTGGCAATGAACATACAAATGCTTGTGTCTTTGGGGCAGAATGATTTATTTTCCCTTGGGTATATACCCAGTAATGGGATTTCTGGGTCTAATGGTAGTTCTGTGTTAAGGTCTTTGAGTAATCTCCAGACTGCTTTCTATGGTGGCTGGACCAATTCACATTCCCGCCAATAGTGTATAAGCATTCTCTTTCTTCCACAGCTCACCAGCATCTGTTGTTTTTTGACTTTTTAGTAATAGCCATTCTGACTGATGTGAGATGATATCTCATTGTAGTTTTGATTTGCATTTCTCTAATGATTGGTGGTGATGAGCATTTTTTCATATTTGTTGGCTGCTTATATGTCTTTTTTTGAGAATAGCTGTTTGTCCCTTTCTCTCATTTTTAAATGGGGTTATTTTACAACCATCTGATCTTCAACAAGGCTGACAAAAACGAGCAATGGGGAAAGTATGCCCTATCCAATAAATGGTGCTGGGATAACTGGCTAGTCATATGCTGAAGACTGAAGCTGGACCCCTACTTTTCACCGTACACAAGTATTTTTTTAATCATGCTGAATTATTTTAAATTATGTACAAAGATGTAACATGTCACCCAGAGACCATTTTACACACTGTTCTGTTTAGCCACCAGTCTCTTGTCTCCGTCTTTAGCAAAGGTGAGGTGGACACCCTTTCCTCGGGGAAGGTTTGTTGCCCTTGGCTTGTTGCCATGGTTTGTGCCATGGTTTGTTGCCCTTGCCAATAACAAAAAATGTTGGAAAGCCAGGTGGCAATGCTGTTGCCGTTGGCGTCTTTCACGTGAACCATGGCAAAATATCCAGGGTGCCTCTCTCTGTTGGTGATCACACAAATTATTCCCAAGTTAGCACCTCCAGTCACCATATGCTGGTTACCAGCATCAAGCTTGATGAAATCAGTATCTTGCCAGTCTCCGAGTCAATCTGAACGGTTTCATTAACCTTGATGAGGGGATCAGGGTAGCAGATGGTACAAGCATCATGAGTCACCAGATGAGGGATTCCTTTTGTGCCCACTAAGATTTTTCTCACTTTGCATAACTTGTACTTGACCTCCTCAGGTGTAATACAATGTACACCAAAGCAACCCTTGGTGTCATAGATCAGACAGAAATTGTGTCCCTTGTCAATGCTGATGACATCCATAAATCTAGCAGGGTAGGTTATATCAGTTTGGACCTTGCCATCTATCTTAATGAACTGCTGCATGCAAATCTTTTTCATTTCTTCTCAGGGCATACTTAAGTCTGTTCCTTAGGAAAATGATGAGGGGGAGACACTCTCTAAGCTTGTGAGGACTGGTGGATTGATGAAGAGCAAACACACTGGTCAATGTATCCAGCATCTAGTACTTTGGAGCTGCCACCCATTTCAGATGCTTCTTGGGACCAGGAGCCATGGCTGCGCTCGGCACGGAAACAGCCAAACATTAACTCAAAATGGATAAAAGATTTAAATGTAACACCTCAAACTGTAAAATTCTAGAAGACAAATTAGGAAATACCCTTCTTGATATTGGCCTTGGCAAAGAATTTTTGGCTAAGTCCCCAAAAGCAGTTGTAACAAAAACACAAATAGACATGTGGGACCTAACTAAACTAAGAAGCTTCTGCACAGAAAAAAAAGACACTATCGACAGAGTAAACAGACAACCTGCAGAACAAGAGAAGACATTTGCAAACTATGCATCCAACAAAGGCTTAATAACCAGAATCTATAGGTAACTTAAACAAATCAGCAAATAATTTCTAGTTTCTACTGGCACAGGAAATACCGAAAGTTACCACACCAATGCACATTATTATGCAATATCATAATACCAGTGATAGAGAGAGGATTCACTAACTTCTAGAGAGAAAAACACTTCATAGGAAGGAGCAATCAGAATAACATCATATTTTTCCACAGCAACATTTGGTACTACAAGATAATGAAAGATCTGATAGAATATTTGTTAACATTTGTAAATAGAAGAAATTATATAAGTGAAAAAACTAAGACAATAATTAACTCTAGAGAAAACAATGAGGTTTCAAAAAACAGGAAATGCAACATATTACACTGCTTTCTTATTTAGCAAACAATATTTATATATTCACTGTAATGAAACTACATCATCAACTAATAATTATGATAAAGTACATACAATATAAGATATACTATGTATTTGAAGATAAGAGTTGGCATGAACGAGTTTACCTTCTTTTTCAAAATAATAAATTTACTATATATTTATAATTAATAAATCAAGGGAAAGAAATACAGCCATGTTACTTAGGTTTTGAAAAGTGAAGAAATTATGGCTAATGCCGGAAGATACAACTAAAAGTATTAATACTCCTTCTAAGCAATTTAGAGAAGAGCAATGCAGAGGACACTGATTTCAAAAGAATCCTCTGATACTATTAATAATTATGTGCATGAATTATTTGATTAAAAATTAAGACATTATATAATTCAATATAATATTTAAAATAATGACTCTGTGTCCTGTGTCCTAGGGGCAGACTTAAATCCTCTTTGGGGAAAGAAACGATCAGAGGGCTGCCTCCTTTAATTTTATCCAAACCAACTTATTTAAGTTTCCCTAACTGCCATCTTTTGATCCAGGAATTTACTTTTCTTTCAAAGCAGAGCAACTAAAAGATGAGGCAACATGTACCCCCATATTCATTTTATTTATGCAAATCCTAAACATACCAATGAAAGGAAAAACAGGCACATGCACACCCACGATATTCCCAAGCATGCATTTTGTTGTTCATTTTTATTCACCACCCACCTGCCATCTCCTCTACTCAATATCCCTTCTATATTTTAATCTAGTTTTTTTCTTGAGGTGCTATTAGCCAAACCATATGCTGTTCCACTGCTAATTGCTTTCCCTCTCTGTGTGAACAGAGCCCTGTGTCCAGCACGGTCAGGGATTATAGCTCAACAGCTAATTTTGCCTCCGGTCTACTTGATCCCCTTACAGCTGTGTTCTTGGCTTACTTTGCTTTGGTGTTCAAAAAATTACAGGTATCATAATATTTATTCTCTCTTATCTTACCTGCATATTCATATATATTACTGACCAAGACATGTTCTTCTGATTTAGTACATTTTACTGCTATTAAAATACAAATCCAAATATTCCTAATCACATTGTTATAACTTTACATAATATCTAACCAAGAACCAAGCATATTTTATGTTGACCAATATTGTGCATCAGAAAGTAGTATGAAAGAGGAATAATAATCATCATCACAATATTATTAGATATCATTTACATGTTTTGAATGTTTTCTGTGGGTCAAGTTCTGTGTTAAGTAATTCAGATGCATTATCACAACAGCCGTGTAATGTAGGTACTATTATTATCTTATAGGTCAGAAAACTGAAACTTAGGGATATTAAATAACTTCCAAAGTTCACAAATCAAGTCAGAGATAAAACCAGGAGGCATAAGTTCCTACTGGATCATAAAAATGGAATTCCATCTTGCCTGTGAGGAATAAAAGGTTTGGGAAAGAGTCTTGAAAGAGATAATTCCTGAATTAAGTCTTGAAAAAAATACAGGAGCAAACACATGAAGAAGTAAGAGAGTATGTCATCTTAGTGAAGCCAAAAAGAGATCAGTATGATGAAATTACACACCATGATGATCTTTATTAAAACATAGCCACACTTATTTGTTATGCATTATCTATGGCTGCTTTAGCACTACAATGTTGAAATTTAGTAATTTCAGCAAAGTTCATTTGGCTTACAAAACAAAGTATTTGCTATCTGATCCTTTATGGAAAGGCTCGCTAACCTCTATTTTAGAGAGTCAATTAAGTCTTAGAGCAATTAAAAATAAGAAAGATAACCTAAATAGTTTTATTTTTACTTTCATTTATTTAATTTCCAGCACTCCTTATTTCTTTGTGTAGTTGTAAGTTTTTGTTGAGTACCATATTTCTACTGCCTGAATATCTTTTAAGATTTCTTACATAACAGCAGGTCTTAGGCCAGGTGTGGTGGCTCACACCTGTAATCCTAGCAATTTGGGAGGATGAGGCGGGTAGATCACTTGAGGTAAGGAGTTTAAGACCAGCCAGGCCAGTATGGTGAAACCCCATCTCTACCAAAAATACAAAAATTAGCAGGTGTGGTGACAGGCACCTGTAATCCCAGCTACTAGGGAGGCTGAGACAGGAGAAATGCCTGAACCCAGGAAGTGGAGGTTGCAGTGAGCCAAGATCGCACCACTGTACTCCAGCCTGGGCAACAGAGTGAGACTCTGTCGCGGAAAAAAAAAAAAAGCAGATCTTATAGAGAAATCACTATTTTCCTGTCAGTGATGACCTTGGTTACCAAAATAAGTACAATCTCACTTAAATGGCAAAACTCAAGCTACCTCTTGTTTGCTTCTGTTCTTATAACATGGCTCTCCAATGTTTTCTCACAGTTTTTTTTTTAACTTTTATTGAAAAATATTTAAACTGGCAGGAGAATCTGGCAATGATACAATAAACTCCCATGTATACACACCTAAAGTGACCACACTTTCTTTCCTGCACACACATAACAAAAACACACACATACATTTCATGTCAACTAAAGCATTTTAGAGTCTTTGACATCACGACTTTTAACCCTCAAATACTTCAGTGTACATTTTCTAAGAAAAAGGACATCTGATTACCTAAAGCATGGCACAACTATTAATTTCAAAAATTTAAACATTAACACAAGATTATTTCTTCCTTTGTTTTAGTGTTGTCCTTGCAGCATATTTTTTTCTGATTGATGATTTTCTGTTTTTTTCTGATGATGCAGAATCATGCATGTATTTACTTGTTATACGTCTTTTTTTAATTTATTATCTCTAATAATTTTATTGTTATTATTATACTTTAAGTTTTAGGGTACATGTGCACAATGTGCAGGGTAGTTACATATGTATACATGTGCCATGCTGGTGCACTGCACCCACTAACTCGTCATCTAGCATTAGGTATATCTCCCAATGCTATCCCTCCCCCCCCCAAACCCCAAAGCAGTCCCCAGAGTGTGATATTCCCCTTCCTGTGTCCATGTGTTCTCATTGTTCAATTCCGACCTATGAGTGAGAATATGTGGTGTTTGGTTTTATGTTCTTGCAATAGTTTGCTGAGAATGATGATTTCCAATTTCATCCACGTCCCTACAAAGGACATGAAATCATCATTTTTTATGGCTGCATAGTATTCCATGGTGTATATGTGCCACATTTTCTTAATCCAGTCTATCATTGTTGGACATTTGGGTTGGTTCCAAGTCTTTGCTATTGTGAATAATGCCGCAATAAACATATGTGTGCACGTGTCTTTATAGCAGCATGATTTATAGTCCTTTCGGTATATACCCAGTAATGGGATGGCTGGGTCAAATGGTATTTCTAGTTCTAGATCCCTGAGGAATCGCCACACTGACTTCCACAATGGTTGAACTAGTTTACAGTACCACCAACAGTGTAAAAGTTCCTATTTCTTCACATCCTCTCCAGCACCTGTTGTTTCTTGACTTTTTAATGATTGCCATTCTAACTGGTGTGAGATGATATCTCATTGTGGTTTTGATTTGAATTTCTCTGATGGCCAGTGATGGTGAGCATTTTTTCATGTGTATTTTGGCTGCATAAATGTCTTCTTTTGAGAAGTGTCTGTTCATGTCCTTCGCCCACTTTTTGATGGGGTTGTTTGTTTTTTTCTTGTAAATTTGTTTGAGTTCTTTGTAGATTCTGGATATTAGCCCTTTGTCAGATGAGTAGGTTGCGAAAATTTTCTCCCATTTTGTAGGTTGCCTGTTCACTCTGATGGTAGTTTCTTTTGCTGTGCAGAAGCTCTTTAGTTTAATTAGATCTCATTTGTCAATTTGGCTTTTGTTGCCATTGCTTTTGGTGTTTTAGACATGAAGTTCTTACTCATGCCTATGTCCTGAATGGTAATGGCTAGGTTTTCTTCTAGGGTTTTTATGGTTTTAGGTCTAACATTTAAGTCTTTAATCCATCTTGAATTGATTTTTGTATAAGGTGTAAGGAAGGGATCCAGTTTCAGCTTTCTACGTATGGCTAGCCAGCTTTCCCAGCACCATTTATTAAATAGGGAATCCTTTCCCCATTGCTTGTTTTTCTCAGGTTTGTCAAAGATCAGATAGTTGTAGATATGTGGCGTTATTTCTGAGGGCTCTGTTCTGTTCCACTGATCTATATCTCTGTTTTGGTACCAGTACCATGCTGTTTTTGGTTACTGTAGCCTTGTAGTATAGTTTGAAGTCAGGTAGTGTGATGCCTCCAGCTTTGTTCTTTTGGCTTAGGATTGACTTGGCAATGTGGGCTCTTTTTTGGTTCCATGTGAACTTTAAATTAGTTTTTTCCAATTCTGTGAAGAAAGTCATTGGTAGCTTGATGGGGATGGTATTGAATCTATAAATTACCTTGGGCAGTATGGACATTTTCATGATATTGATTCTTCCTACCCATGAGCATGGAATGTTCTTCCGTTTGTTTGTATACTCTTTTATTTCATTGAGCAGTGGTTTGTAGTTCTCCTTGAAGAGGTCCTTCACATCCCTTGTAAGTTGGATTCCTAGGTATTTTATTCTCTTTGAAGCAATTGTGAATGGGAGTTCACTCATGATTTGGCTGTCTGTTTGTCTGTTGTTGGTGTATAAGAATGTGTGTGATTTTTGCACATTGATTTTGTATCCTGAGACTTTGCTGAAGTTGCTTATCAGCTTAAGGAGATTTTGGGCTGAGACAATGGGGTTTTCTAGATATACAATCATGTCATCTGAAAACAGGGACAATTTGACTTCCTCTTTTCCTAATTGAATACCCTTTATTTCCTTCTCCTGCCTAATTGCCCTGGCCAGAACTTCCAACACTATGTTGAATAGGAGTGGCGAGAGAGGGCATCCCTGTCTTGTGCCAGTTTTCAAAGGGAATGCTTCCAGTTTTTGCCCATTCAGTATGATATTGGCTGTGGGTTTGTCATAGATAGCTCTTATTATTTTGAAATACGTCCCATCAATACCTAATTTATTGAGAGTTTTTAACATGAAGAGTTGATAAATTTTGTCAAAGGCCTTTTCTGCATCTATTGAGATAATCATGTGGTTTTTGTCTTTGGTTCTGTTTATATGCTGGATTACATTTATTGATTTGTGTATATTGAACCAGCCTTGCATCCCAGGGATGAAGCCCACTTGATCATGGTGGATAAGCTTTTTGACGTGCTGCTGGATTTGGTTTGCCAGTATTTTATTGAGGATTTTTGCATCAATGTTCATCAAGGATATTGGTCTAAAATTCTCTTTTTGGTTGTGTCTCTGCCCGGCTTTGGTATCAGGATGATGCTGGCCTCATAAAATGAGTTAGGGAGGATTCCCTCTTTTTCTATTGATTGGAATAATTTCAGAAGGAATTATTCTCCTTGTACCTCTGGTAGAATTCGGCTGTGAATCCTTCTGGTCCTGGACTCTTTTTGATTGGTAAGCTATTGATTATTGCCACAATTTCAGATCCTGTTATTGGTCCATTCAGAGATTCAACTTCTTCCTGGTTTAGTCTTGGGAGAGTGTATGTGTCGAGGAATTTATCCATTTCTTCTAGATTTTCTAATTTGCGTAGAGGTGTTTATAGTATTCTCTGATGGTAGTTTGTATTTCTGTGGGATCGGTGGTGATATCCCCTTTATCATTTTTTATTGCGTCTATTTGATTCTTCTCTCTTTCCTTCTTTATTAGTGTTGGTAGTGGTCTATCAATTTTGTTGATCCTTTCAAAAAACCAGCTCCTGGATTCATTAATTTTTTGAAGGTTTCTTTGTGTCTCTATTTCCTTCAGTTCTGCTCTGATTTTAGTTATTTCTTGCCTTCTGCTAGCTTTTGAATGTGTTTGCTCTTACTTTTCTAGTTCTTTTAATTGTGATGTTAGGGTGTCAATTTTGGATCTTTCCCGCTTTCTCTTGTGGGCATTTAGTGCTATAAATTTCCCTCTACACACTGCTTTGAATGCATCCCACAGATTCTGGTATGTTGTGTCTTTGTTCTCATTGGTTTCAAGGAACATCTTTATCTCTGTCTTCATTTCATTATGTACCCAGTAGTCATTCAGGAGCAGGTTGTTCAGTTTCCATGTAGTTGAGCGGTTTTGAGTGAGATTCTTAATCCTGAGTTCTAGTTTGATTGCACTGTGGTCTGAGAGACAGTTTGTTATCATTTCTGTTCTTTTCCATTTGCTGAGGAGAGCTTTACTTCCAAGTATGTGGTCAATTTTGGAATAGGTGTGGTGTGGTGCTGAAAAAAATATATATTCTGTTGATTTGGGGTGGAGAGTTCTGTAGATGTCTATTAGGTCCACTTGGTGCAGAGCTGAGTACAAATCCTGGGTATCCTTGTTGACTTTCTGTCTTGTTGATCTGTCTAATTTTGACATTGGGGTGTTAAAGTCTCCCATTATTAATGTGTGGGAGCCTAAGTCTCTTTGTAGGTCACTCAGGACTTGCTTTATGAATCTGGGTGCTCCTGTATTGGGTGCATATACATTTAGGATGGTTAGCTCTTCTTGTTGAATTGATCCCTTTACCATTATGTAATGGCCTTCTTTGTCTCTTTTGATCTTTGTTGGTTTAAAGTCTGTTTTATCAGAGACTAGGATTGCAACCCCTGCCTTTTTTTGTTTTCCATTTGCTTGGTAGATCTTCCTCCATCCTTTTATTTTGAGCCTATGTGTGTCTCTGCACGTGAGATGGGTTTCCTGAATACAGCACACTGATGGATCTTGACTCTTTATCCAATTTGCCAGTCTGTGTCTTTTAATAGGAGCATTTAGTCCATTTACATTTAAAGTTAATATTGTTATGTGTGACTTTGATCCTGTCATTATGATGTTAGCTGGTTATTTTGCTCGTTAGTTGATGCAGTTTCTTCATAGTCTCGATGGTCTTTACAATTTGGCATGGTTTTGCAGTGGCTGGTACTGGTTGTTCCTTTCCATGTTTAGCACTTCCTTCAGGAGCTCTTTTAGGGCAGGCCTGGTGGTGACAAAATCTCTCAGCATTTGCTTGTCTGTAAAGTATTTTATTTCTCCTTCACTTATGAGGCTTAATTTGGCTGGATATGAAATTCTGGGTTGAAAATTCTTTTCTTTAAGCATGTTGAATATTGGCCCCCACTCTCTTCTGGCTTGTAGAGTTTCTGCTGAGAGATCCGCTGTTAGTCTGATGGGCTTCCCTTTGAGGGTAACCCGACCTTTCTCTCTGGCTGCCCTTAACATATTTTCCTTCATTTCAACTTTGGTGAATCTGACAATCATGTGTCTTGGAGTTGCTCTTCTCGAGGAGTATCTTTGTGGCGTTCTCTGTATTTCCTGAATCTGAATGTTGGCCTGCCTTGCTAGATTGGGGAAGTTCTCCTGGATAATATCCTGCAGATAGTTTTCCAACTTGGGTCCATTCTCCCCGTCACTTTCAGGTACACCAATCAGACGTAGATTTGGTCTTTTCACATAGTCCCATATTTCTTGGAGGCTTTGCTCATTTCTTTTTATTCTTTTTTCTCTAAACTTCCCTTCTCGTTTCATTTCATTCATTTCATCTTCCTTTGCTGATACCCTTTCTTCCAGTTGATTGCATCAGCTCCTGAGGCTTCTGCATTCTTCACGTAGTTCTTGAGCCTTGGTTTTCAGCTCCATCAGCTCCTTTAAGCACTTCTCTGTATTGGTTATTCTAGTTATACATTCTTCTAAATTTTTTTCGAAGTTTTCAACTGCTTTGCCTTTGGTTTGAATGTCCTCCCTTAGCTCGGAGTAATTTGATCGTCTGAAGCCTTCTTCTCTCAGCTCGTCAAAGTCATTCTCTGTCCAGCTTTGTTCCGTTGCTGGTGAGGAACTGCGTTCCTTTGGAGGAGGAGAGGCGCTCTTCTTTTTAGAGTTTCCAGTTTTTCTGCTCTGTTTTTTCCCCATCTTTGTGGCTTTATCTACTTTTGGTCTTTGATGATGGTGATGTACAGATGGGTTTTTGGTGTGGATGTCCTTTCTGTTTGTTAGTTTTCCTGCTAACAGACAGGACCCTCAGCTGCAGGTCTGTTGGAGTACCCGGCCGTGTGAGGTGTCAGTCTGCCCCTGCTGGGGGGTGCCTCCCAGTTAGGCTGCTCGGGGATCAGGGGTCAGGGACCCACTTGAGGAGGCAGTCTGCCCGTTCTCAGATCTCCAGCTGCGTGCTGGGAGAACCACTGCTCTCTTCAAAGCTGTCAGACAGGGAAATTTAAGTCTGCAGAGGTTACTGCTGTCTTTTTGTTTGTCTGTGCCCTGCCCCCAGAGGTGGAGCCTACAGAGGCAGGCAGACCTCCTTGAGCTGTGGTGGGCTGCACCCAGTTCGAGATTCCCGGCTGCTTTGTTTACCTAAGCAAGCCTGGGCAATAGCGGGCGCCCCTCCCCCAGCCTCGCTGCTGCCTTGCAGTTTGATCTCAGACTGCTGTGCTAGCAATCAGTGAGAGTCCGTGGGTGTAGGACCCTCCAAGCCAGGTGCGGGATATAATCTCCTGTTGCGCCATTTTTTAAGCCGGTCGGAAAAGCGCAGTATTCGGGTGGGAGTGACCCGATTTTCCAGGTGCTGTCTGTCAGTCACCCCCTTCTTTGACTAGGAAAGGGAACTCCCTGACCCCTTGCACTTCCCGAGTGAGGCAATGCCTCGCCCTGCTTTGGCTTGCACACGGTGCATGCACCCACTGACCTGCACCCACTGTCTGGCACTCCCTAGTGAGATGAACCCAGTACCTCAGATGGAAATGCAGAAATCACCCATCTTCTGTGTCGCTCACGCTGGGAGCTGTAGACCAGGGCTGTTCCTATTCGGCCATCTTGGCTCCTCCTTGTTATATGTCTTTAATCTCTTCTAAGCTATAAATTTCTTAGCCTTTCTTGGTCTTTCCTGAAATGACTTTTTTTTTAAAGGGTAAGTGCCAGATGTGTTTTGTAGAAAGTCCCTCAATTTGGATTGTCTGCTAATTTCTTCATGATAAGATTTAGTTTATGACTATTCTTGCAAGAATACTATTATCTCTCTCCCCATATATATATAGATATATACTATACAATATATGTACTATACTATACAATATATGTGCTGTGTCCTTCTTAGCATATTATTTCAAAAGGCACACAATATTTATTTGCTCTGCTGATGATAACTTTAATCATTTTGTTAAGATGGAGTCTGTCAGATATTTTCATTGTACAATAATTTTCCCCTTGTAACTACTAAACAATATGTGGGGAGATACTTTGGAAATGTATAAATACCCTACTGCTCAAACTTATCCAATGATTTTATCCCAGCAGTGTTGGTCTGCCCCTGGTTTCTCAACTTTTACCTACAATCAGAGTTGGTTAGTGAAAAGAGGCTATAGATCCTCTGTGCCAATATACCATACTCTCTAGGCTTTTGTTTCTTGCCTTTTCTGTTTTCAGGTCTTTGTTTCCTAATTACTGAGACTTTAATAGGTTTCACTTTCAATTTCAAAAGCTTTTAGTTTAGATTTCAGCTTCTTACACAGTCATAGAATATAGCAAATGTCTTTTATGGAAAATGGCTGTGTATCTACGGCCCTCAAGCCCTCAATCTATCTTTCTATTCCCAAGTGACTGCTAAAGTCTACATTGGTTTCTACATCTTTCAGCTGCTGCTCTCTGTCTGGGCCAAGCCACAAACTTCAGCTCACATCAATAATTGGCAAATTCCTCCATGTAAAAAAAAATTGCTATTTATCTACTCACCACTGAATGTTTCTCCTCTCTGTAATTTAGGCCCATTCAGTCCTCATAGCTTCTAAACCTATATGATGCCTTTTCAAAAGTATTTTTGTAATTTTTTTTCTTAGCTATAAACTTTGTATGTGTAGGCTTTATGTAACCTTTTAAATTCTACTCAGAAGTCCAAGGAAAATAAATTCTTATTTTCATCTGATAGCTCCAATATTATTGGCATCTCCTGTGATTCTGTTTCTATTGGGTATTTTTCCCCTTTGCTTTTTTGTCACGTATTCTGTCTCCGTATATGCCTGGTAATTTTTTGACTGAATCACAGACTTTTAAAATAAAAAATTGTGAAGGTAATTTGAAGTTCTCAAGATGTTATTGTCTTGAAGAGAGGATTTATTTTGTTTTAGGCAGATAAGCTAAAGGAACATCACCTTAATCCAACTTGGAACTGAACTGTCTCTAACTAGGTTTCATTCTTTTTTCTTTCTTTCTTTTTTTTTTTTTTTTTTGAAACTGAGTCTCACTCTGTTGCCCAGGCTGGAGTGCAGTGGCACAATTTTGGCCCACTGCAATCCCCGCTTCCCAAGTTCAAGTGATTCTCATGCCTCGGCCTCCTGAGTAGCAGGGATTACAGGTGTGTGCCAGCACACCCAGCTAATTTTTGTATTTTTAGTAGAGATAAAGTTTTGTCACGTTCCCCAGGTTGGTCTCGAACTCTTGGCCTTAAGTGATCCACCTGGCTCGGCCTCCCAAAGTGCTGGGATTACAGGTGTGAGCCACTGCACCCGGCCAGTTTCATTCTTTATGATGACTGATCTATTTGGGGTTCTCCCTTACCCCTAGAGTGCAGCCCATTAAAAGTCTCATCTGAAAGCCTGAGTTGTATGTCAGACCCTTTTGGTTTCCATATTCTGAAATGACTGCTGGAAACTTTGTTCAGTTTCTCAGCCTCTCAGCTGCTGCTTCTAAACTGACCAAAGTCAAGTAGAAAAGTGGTGCAGAATATTGGCTTTTCTCTCTTTGTCACCCTTCTCTCTAGTATCTTCAATGCTCTCTCAGGTCTCTATGCTTAGCTCTCCAGGGTCTTAAAACAGACCAAACAGATTATCTGTGTGTGTTTCCTACTTTTGCAGTTGTTCTCAAATCAAGGGTTGTTCTGCAACAAGTTGTGTTGCCTTTTCAGATACCATAAAATACTTGCTTTTGTTTTTGTTTTTCATTTTCCTAGTATATGTTATATATACACATATATACATTCTATATACTTCTTTTAGGTATTAGATGTGTCTTGTATACACAGAACTGAGTTAGGTTTTGATTTGCAACCCAATATGAAAATACTTTTCTTTTAATAAATCTTTTTTCTTTTAAGTCATTTTTATTTATTAATATGGCATATATATGTATATCCAGTCTTAGTTCTGACTGTATTTTACGTTTTGTTGTGTTTTCTGTTTTTAAGCTGTTAAGTCTTTTGGTATTTAGTCTTTTTCATTTGTTTGCTGTTTATATATGTAATCATTAAGATAACTTTTTGGCCAGGCATTGTGGCTCACACCTGTAATACCAGCACTTTGGTAGACTGAAGTGGGCAAATCACCTGAGATCAGGAGTTCTAGACCAGCCTGGCCAACATGGTGAAACCCTGTCTCTACTAAAAATGCAAAAATTAGCCAGGCATGGTGGCACATGCCTGTAATCCCAGCTACTCAGGAGGCTGAGTCAGGAGAATCACTTGAACCCAGGAGGCGGACGTTGCAGTGAGCTGGAATCATGCCATTGCACTCTAGCCTGGGCAATAAGAGTGAAACTCTGTCTCAAAAAAAAAAAAGATAATTTTTTAATATTTTTATTCTAATGATTATTTTTAATATTGTATATCTTATTTGCAGCCCTGTATTTTAAACACTTTATCCATAATTCTTTATCACAATCACTTTAACATTACCATAATTCCTGGATTTTTTGGTCACTCAAATTTAGTTGATATATTTTCTTTCTTATTATTTACTTTTCTATGGTTACATGAACTTATCCTTTTATTCCTTGATTTATTTTAGTTTGAAATGAAATAATTTGGTCCCTTCTGTTTACATGAAGTAAACAGGAAATTTTTCTAAGCTCTACTTTTAAGTTGTGAGGCTAATGTATAAATTATGAAGGCATGTCTCATTTACATTCTCATCTGTAACCCTAGTCTCTACAGTTAATATATGTCAAGAATTTAGAACAGTGCCTAGTACAAAATAGATAGTATATAAATTTTTTGCTACGTATGTTAGATTTAGTTAAACATTTAAATGTATACAGTACTCAGTCATTTTTTGTGGTTCCTTCTTTCATCTCTTTGTGAGCCAAACTTGACACTGGTAGTTTTCTCAAAAATTCTCAAGGGAATTTTTGCATGTAAAAATTGTTTAGTTTTTTTTACAAGTTGAAGTATAGTTTGGCTGGATATAAAATTCTTGAGTGACATCTTCCAGTATTGAATTTCTTAAATGTTATTCAATTGAATAGCAGCCAATGTTGCTGTAGAGGAAATCAGGGCCAGGCTGACACATTACCTATTATAGGTTATTATTTATTTTACTGCTTCATGAAGCATTCTTTCTTTACCCTTAAAGTCCAATGATGTCTTAATATTAACCATTCTGGATTATTTTTTACATTCATTGTGGATTTGTTATATTTAGCTCAAGTATTGTTTTAGTTCTAAAAATGTATGTCTTTAATTATAATTATAATTATAATTATGGGTTCTCTTTCTAAATTTTAGGATTTTAGAGTTTTTTAAATGGGGGATTCCAATTATGAAGGGCCTGAATCCCCTTATCTGCCTTCTATGTTTATCATATTTTCCCTAATATTTTTTCTCTTTATTTTTCTGTCATTCATGTAGCTCTACCTCACTGTTTATTTGTAAAGAATATTAAAAATATCCATTAAGACAGCAAATGTTGTATAATTAAAAATATATATAATAGACTTTGTAATCATATTTATAGCCAAAGTTCTGTATTTGCAAACTGATATTTACAATGTCTTCCACTCAAGTCCTGATGGAATAAACCCTGTAGAACCTCAGGAATACTAGGTGAATACTACATTTAGTAAGTCAAAAAGGTGACATTTAATTTCACCTAAATTATGTGAATGCAGGAAGTAAAATCTAAAGAAGCCTATAAATTTATCATTTCCAACTCATGCAGCAATTTTGAGTCTATTTATGGAGCTCTCGATATGTGACACAAAAGGAACTATCTACTGCAATTTATTTCATAGGAAAAAAATTCTGTTATTCAAAGAGATTAGGTAGCCTTTTCAAGATTCTACCAAAAAAAATCTTTCTCATAGTTTTCTAATATTGGCTATGAAAAAAACAATATCTGATTTTGTTTCAGCATTTCTACTGTGATATTTATTTTTCCTCTGGTCTTTAAGTTCACTAACACAGATTGTGAAGAAAAAAAAGATGAATTCTACAAATCATATTTCATTGCCTTGGGACTTTAAAAGCCCACTCTGGGTACTCATTTTCAAATTCAACTTTAAATGCATTATGATCCAAATAAAAGTGAGATCCTGACAACTTTGATCACTAACATAGGCAGTAACTTCACTTAGAAAAGATACTCTGTGCCAGCTTGTTTAGGTGCCAACAAAAATATTGAAGAGAAACTCTTCAGCACAGGGTTTGAAAGTTATTGCCACCTAATGTGTAAAAATAAAAATAACCATCCTTAGGATTATTGATACCATATGCAAAGTAACTTGTTCAAATATCTATAATATACAATAATTATTGTAAGTTTACAGATTCATAACTAAATCCCAGAGATAAAATGAACATTTTTTAAGGTCACTCTTTTAGTCCATTCTCACACTGCTACAAAGAACTGCCCAACACTGTGTAATTTATAAAGGAAAGAGGTATAAATAATTCACAGTTCCACATGGCTGGGGAGGCCTCAGGAAACTTACAATCATAGTGGAAGGCACATCTTCACAAGGCAGCAGGAGAGAAAATGAGTGCAAGCAGGGGAAATGCCAGATACTTATAAAACTAGCAGATCTTGTGAGAACTCACTCACCATCACAAGAACAGCATGAAGGAAACCACCTCCATGATTCAATTACCTCCACCTGGTCCTGTCTTTTACATATGGAGATTATTACAATTCAAGGTGAGATTTGGGTGAGGACACAGAGCCAAACCCTATCAGTCACCTAGTGGGAGGTAGAACTAAGATTTGAAGCCTTCTCTCTCCACTCTACCTCTGAGTTAAACATTCTCTTTCTGGGAGTTTATCTTTTCAGATGACATGTTGCAGGTTTTAGAATCCACTCATCAATCTGATTATTCTTTCTGAACATGTTCACAATTGTCCATGCCCCCTTCTAAAACATAACACCTAGAAATTATCAAAACACTGTAGTTGAATTGTCAGTGCCAAGTACAAAGTAGATCATTTCTAGTTCTAACTATTAACTGGGAATAATGAGAAATTGCTGTATCTTGGCTGAACTCAAGTACCAAGAAGAGAGAGAGAAAAAAAAAACTTAAAAAAAACTTAGAATAAATATCTCCTTTCAGTTGGGTCATAATATTCTACTTCTGACAGAAGGTAGTCCAAAATAACCACCACTTTTACTGAGTTGTGAAGACATAAATATGTTAAATATGTTGGTTATTCTGCAAGAGGGCACTAATGCTGAACCTAGGAAGTTCATAGGACAGGTCACCATGGACAGTTCTTTTTCATAAATTTACAAACAAATTTGTTACTTTTATTAGGGACAGTGGAATATTTGCTGCCTCCTACTTGTTAAGCACAATTGCACTATTGAATCTTAACTGCAGCCCTTAGAGTTACAAGTTATTGTGCCCATTCTATATATGTGAACTGAGGGACAGTAGAGTGTACTAGCATTCATTTATTTACCTTTACAACAGAGAATAGAGAGACATGTCCATGTTCAGATAGGTAGAAAGTTTCAGGGCTCAGGTCCCAACTTACGTCTGAGGGACCATTAAAGAGTCCATGTGTATTTATCCATGTCAGATTGCCCCACAAAGTATGGTAGGCAGTCTCTCAGGTGATCCTCAAAGATTCTTTATCTACTGGTATTTGTCCCTTTGGGCCCTTGTGTAATACCTTGTGTGTTGGTTTAATGCCCTTCAAATGAATGGAAAATGGTAAAAGGATGTAATGTCACTTCCAAAATAAGGGAACAAAGAGAAGCTGTCTCCCATGTGTGGTACTCCCTCTCTTTCTCTTTTACCCACTCACTCTGAGGAAAGCCACTTGCCATATTGGAAGCTGTACTACGCAAAGGCCCACACGGCAAGGAGCTGATGTCTCAGTCAAGAGCCAGAAGGACTGGAGGCTGGTCAGCAGCCATATGAGTGAGCCTGAAAGCAGATTGTCTCTCATAGGAGCCTCGAAATGACTATAGTCCCAGCCAACACTTTAATTGCCACTGTGAGAGAGCCTGAGCTAGAGATACCCAGTTTAGATATATCCTGATTCTTGAATCACTGGAATTGTGAGATAATAGATGTTTGTTTTTTCAAGCTACTGTTTTGGGGTGATTTGTTTCACACCAATATGCAAGTAATACATTACACTAAAGCAAAGCGATTCTGTGGGAAAGAATTACATGAAATCAACCAGATCAGTACCTGTCTCCTACCAGGTACTAGGTGTGCTCTGGACATTGTTCCTATTTTGTGCTCATTCTACAGCCAACCACATCCCTAATGAAGTTGATGCCCACTCTATATATGCATTATGTTGTACTGGATCCAAAACTTCTTTTTTCTGAAACACTGTAAAAGGGTGCACTTCTCTTAGCTTTCCTTGTTGGTGTTGTTCACAACAATGACTATTAAAATGTAAATATGTAGTCAGAATAACTATGGATTTTTTGATGTCTATTTTATAGAAAAAAACGAAACTAGCTTACAAGATTTTTGAAGGCTGGAGTCATAATTTTTATTCACCAATATATTTCTGATACAGCTCATATGGTATACATAAATGAGCATTTATATCAAATGCCTTCTTATTGGCAACTTAATTATATTTAGGATTAAAATTAATAAATATAAGCCACAGTCCAATTTTAGTTTCCTTGCCTCCAGGAAGCAACATGTTTAAGAAATTATCACACCCAGTTTGGCCAAAAGAATCTTTTCATGATTGTTCATGTGTTCTTGCCTCCACCAAAGTTGGAGTCCCCTCTAAATGTTCATGCACTAATACATAATCCTCACATAGTGTGTATAACTCTTTTTACAAACAATAAGCAAAATAACAATAGACTACATTTAGAGTCCAATTGAAACTTAATAAAATATTATCATTAGCTATAAGGGCAAATATTTTGAGCAGGCAAATGAGTTTGCTAGCTAAAATTTTATTACATAGAGAACTATTCATTGTAATGTCTGAGATAAGATGTTAATACATTATGCAGGATTGTTAAAAATGCATAAAAACTCAGGAAATTTTAACTGAGAATACCTTTCTCCTAGGGAATAAAAGGTTGACATAATTTCAATATAACAGCAACATTTAGAGAAGTTTATTTTTCAAGAATAATAATAAGCATTATACATAAGCATGTTCTCCATTAAATTGTAGTTAGTTCTAGCCTTTTCTCATTGTGGCACATACTGTTGTTTGTATCCCGATGCAACAGCCATCTTGGCTTTATAGCTTATATTCTCAATTTTTTCTTAACTGCCTTTAGTTCGCTGCAGTCCCCAGATTAAAGAAAGGACTGTGAACATATTGTATACATCTAACTATTTCTGGGAACGTGTGAGTAGAGACAAAGCTATGAATTTTTAAAATAAAATCATGATGCAAATCTATGGAAGGAAGACAAGAAAGTGCATTCCTAATGCTTAGCAAATCAAAATGCAAGACTTCCTAAGATATTTTGGGCTTAATTCCTTACCACAAGTTAGGAACTGTATGAAAAATACTTCACATGTTTTCTATAGCAGAGATGAAGCTGTAGTGGCAATGTTAATGTTTCATGAATTTGGTGGGCTTCCATGGCTCAACTTTAACAGATCTTTGCCTAACAGAAAAGCCCGAAGTCCCATCTCATTGATCCAATAAGTTCCAGGCATCTGATACTGTCAGTAATTTCTTGCTTGTTAGCACTGGAAACAATTTTTTACTGGGCCTTTCTTACAACTAGGTGTGATGAGCTGCCTCTGTTCAGACCAAAAGTTTGCAAGGAGAAAAACTGAACAACTACTAGTGAATGTCCTTAGTTTAATCCCCCAAATGTAAATAACATACCCTAGTCTATGAATACTGCCCCAAAATTCAACACTACTGTTTTCCAGTGAGCCTTAATGGTAAACTATTCCAATATGAGTGCTGCCTCTGATTGCTCACTTTTATCTGTCACAACACACTTTATGATTGCCTTTTTAGAGGCCTAAAAGATAGTGAGTCACCAAAACTACACACCTACTGGGTGGATCTGAATTAATATTTACTTCAATTATCTGGGAGCATGGCTTCCATATTACAATCAAAGACTTGAACATAATAGCCTGGGAAAATTCTTCAACATGTGAAAAGAAAAATAGAAACTTAAAAAATATAATTTAAGGCTTCTTTGGGGAATAAAATTTGAACTGAAGTCTAGTCAGACTCCATAGCACCAAGTGAAAGTTTTCTTATTTTAGTAATATTCAACTTGGAAAAATTAACATGATTTTCCAGGGCTTTTTAAGATATTTAAACAGTAATAGTTTATGACATAGTATAAATATAGAGATAACTAAATAATAGTTTCAGTCTAATTTTGCTGGCAGTTTCTTCCGAAATTTCAAAGTGTTCTTAGAGAAACCCACATTATGTTTTCCTTTTACAATATCTAAGGATTAAATATATACTGATGGTTCTGTTTATTAAGATTTTAAATTGTTGTCTTTAATATAATTTCTATAAATATCTGACTTCATACTTCTATTTGCATAAAATTGGACCTGGTTTTATTCTTATTTTTTCCCTTATTTTTTCATGAATCTGGAAATTATGCAACTGCCTTGTCCCAGGCAGCAAATCCATTTGCCCTCTGGTAAAGACTGTGGCACTGCATATGGGACTACTGAGCTAGCCTCTGTGTCTCCTGATACTATTCATCATAGAGTTTTGTGCCAGTTTTAGTCTCCTAGGCCTTTTCAGTTTACATTCCTTATTCAAAGAGATGCCAAGAAACCAGCAAGAAAGCATTTATTAAATTGGACAGGGAGACATTACAGAAATGAAGGCGCTGGATAGATGAGTATTTATCTTTACTAGGCCCCAGCAGCAAGGATTATTCAGATGGCCAGTTATTGCTTGGTTCAGTGTTCACCCTACTTTCTTCTGCCTTTAGTTCGCTGCAGCCCCCAGATTAAAGAAAGAACTGTGAACATATTATACACATCTAACCATTTCTGGGAACACGTGAGTAGAGACAAAGCTATGAATTTTTAAAATAGAATCATAATACAAACCTATGGAAGGAAGACAAGAAAGTGTATTCCTAATGCTCAGCAAATCAAAATCCAAGACTTCCTAAGACATTTTGGGCTTAATTCCTTACCACAAGTTTAGGAACTGTATGAAAAATACTTTACATGTTTTCTATAGCAGAGATGAAGCTGTAGTGGCAATGTTAATGTTTCATGGATTTGGTGGGCTTCCATGGCTCAACTTTAGCAGGTCTTTGCCTAACAGAAAAGCCGGAAGTCCCATCTCATTGATCCAGTAAGTTCCAGGCATCTGATGCTGTCAGTAATTTCTTGCTTGTTAGCACCGAAAACAAAGTCGTATTTTGTAAAATTAGAAATTACAAATCTGCATATCTTCAGCATCACTTTTAGCCACAGATATACAAAGACGCCTGCATTCGGAAAGCAAATACTTCCTGGCCTTTGGGAAGTGCTTTGACATAATTTCTCCCTTTTCAGTCCAAGCACATTTGCTGTCAGGAAAGCTAAGGTTAAGCAGTTCTGACAAGTAAATATATGGAGTCAGGTAAAGAATGCTGCTTTCTATCCTTTGACTTCTGATATATCTCCTCGGGCCACTAGGGAGAGATGTTTGATTTTTAAAAATGCTTTGGTTGGTAATTTTGAGATTTCTTTGCAATGTTTACTCTCAATCTCATTGCTGTAGTCACGTAATTTGCAAACCTTGTATACTTTGGCTTCAGGAAACTTGAGAGAAAATATCTTTAATTGGTACTGGCAGAAATTTCTAGCATGAGATTTCTCTAGTGTCAAAATTAAGTATTTTCCAGGAACTCACAACTAGATTGAAAGCTCATGGAAGACAAGGACTGAATCTAATATAATCTTGTGTTGTCCAAAATGCTTATTATGTGCCTAGGTTCATTAGTTACCCATGAAATATGAGTCATATAAGAGGAAATTTATTGTTATCAGATTATAACCAGAGCTTTTTTTTGGCAAAAAAAGGCAAAAAATGCATCTTATGTTGTTTATTACTTGAACATTCCAACTCAGAATTAGTTCATCAATTAATTTTCCATTCATTCAATAAAAATGCATGGACTTCCTCTGATGTAAAAACTAAACTAAACAAACAAAACTAAATTTAAAGTGTATTAATTTAGGGAAGTGCAGTTTAAAGAAGTATAAGATACAGCCTCACTCCACAGACTTTTAAATTCTGTTAAAAGATGATTATTTGGGAAAAATAGAAATCAGACAAATACCTGAAGAAGTGCCTTGGGTTCTATAAAACATTCTACTGGAAAAGATAAATGACAGAATACACACAAATCTCCTACATCTAGATGATATAGGAATATAAAAGCATATCAATGGCAGAATGTAAAAGATTGGATTTAGAACCAAATTCCAATTGGAGTTGATTAGTTCTGTTTTGGGCCTGATTTAGATGACATCATTTCATGTGTAGAAGTAGGGGTCAGTTTTGACTTACACCCAGATCTACAGTAGTTAAAACCTAAGAAAAGAAAGACTAGATGTGTATAACTAGGAAAATGGCTCCTCATGGAAGACAGAGATGCTGTGGTTAAGTTTTTAGTAGGTAAACACCTTCATTTGTCTGAGGCTTGTGAGCTCCACTGACTCTACCCCACACATTGCTCCTGAAGATGACACATGTTCATGCACATCCTCAGAATACTGGAGACCAGAAGCAAGGAAAACTAGCTCTTTTTTCAAGGTTGTTGAACCCTGAGTTTAAGAATCTTTGGGTCAAGTAGCTAATTAATATCATCGGACCCAATTGTGAGGAAAAAGATATTGATTATAAAAAATAATAATTGGCTCCTTTCCCCTTCTTTCTTTTAGTGACTTTTATCTCATTCATAGTCCAATTGTTGCAGGCAGATAGGAAAAGCAGCCCTTTGTGAATGGGAAGGTAAAATATGATATGATATCGATGCATATAGGTTCAGATAAAGTAAAAGGTGGACAGAGAGAAGCATGCAAGTACAGAAACTTCTGTGTCTCCCAGCACACAGATCACTAATTCACTGCGAGAACACGATCAGCAATAGTGAGGATTCCCAGAAGAAATCACTTTCATTCCCACCATTCTTAATCCTTTTTTTAACCCCTCTATGAAAATACCCCAATCTACATTCCAAGATGCAAAATATTAGTATATTCATCAAAAATCCCCTCTTGCTTCATGCCATCACTCTGAGGATGGGAAAGTGAGCTCAGGGAAATGCTTATGAAATTCTTTGGAATGCAGCTAAATATAGGAAAACATGAGTTAACACTGCCCCATGTAAGTAGTAACTCACTGGGGAAAAAGAATGGTGTCTGAAACCACAGAGTATTTGATGATTCCTAAATTTGTCATTGAAATCATGAGATCCCAGGCCCTGACTTTTTGTAGGATCC
Source organism: Homo sapiens (assembly GCF_000001405.40). NCBI lineage: Eukaryota > Metazoa > Chordata > Mammalia > Primates > Hominidae > Homo > Homo sapiens. The sequence goes on along the minus strand of NC_000006.12, from coordinate 126,661,741 downwards.
CTATTATGAACATGAGGGTTAAAAATCTTTAATTTCCTCAAGTTACCAGGCAAGATTTTCCCTAAACTAGATGTAGTTTAATTAAATACTCATTTTTCAGAACCTTAAGTTAATGTCAGACACATATAGCAAGATAATATATAACACCACCAGAACTGGTGAAAAGAAAGAAACTTTTTGAAAAATATGTACTCTGCTAGGTATAAGATTTTTCATCTCCTTCCTCTTTCCTTTCTATAATCCATTATCATATAAAGTACCATAATGTGTGTGTGTGTGTATGTTTGTTTAACAAGGAAAACAAAAAAGTTCTCCTTATATTTTCACATTTAGATAAAAGTCTGCCTTCATGAGGGATGTTTTCTCTATTTCATATATATAAACAACCTGCATATTTCATTTCCTCAAAGAATTAAAATATTCATAAGAGTAGGTACTAAGTCAGTTCTACTTACTCTTCTGCACCCTGCATTGCATGTATATTGTGGCCATATGGTAACTAATTATGTAGTATATACGAGATCTAGAAGAGAAGGAGCTCATTTCAAAGCAGTTGGTGAGAGATAGAAGCACCCTATCAATGCTATAGAAGACGTCATAGAAGAAAGGAGAGCAGGCAGATCAGCCTGAAGAAGTGATTGTTAGACCACAGTAAAAGAGGGCATAGAAAACAGCAGTCAGAAAATAAGGAAAAAACAAAAAGGGCAGGGAATTTTATTTATAACTAAGAGAGAGGTTGTCATGGAGAATTTAGGTTTGGATTTATATGAAAGAGGGTTGGGCCTTCTGACTCCAGAGTGGATAAAATAAGGTCTGGAGGTGGAAGTAGATTGATGACTGAAAAACAGGCTTTGTGTTGGACAGCAGTGAAAAGAAGATTGATTAAGTAAAGAGACACCAGATAATGGATCATCATAATGCTAGGCTGAGCAGATTTAACTTGATATTACAAGAAATAGGAAATAATTGGCATAGCATATAGGAAGTGTGTTTTTTTTAAAGCATGTACTTTATAGATATACAGACTGATCAGCAACCAGTTCTGATATTTTTGGCTATCTTACCTGATTCTGGACAATTTCTTGAATTCCTCTGATGTTCAATTTTTTTCTTCCGTAAATAATATAATATCTGTACTGTAGTGTTGTAGGTATTAAATATGCTTACTTATGCAAATTGCCTGGTTTATTTTAACAAGTGCACAATGACTATTAGTTCATTCTTTCTTCCATTTGCATGTTGTTTTGGAAAGTGGAACATTAGCACAATTGACTAAATAGTCAATGAGGAATGTTAGAGATTAAGTTGAGTAATAAATTTAAAATAAATTTAGAAATATTCAGTAAATAAAAATGCAGAGAATGTAATTATTTTAATATGCTCATTGATTAATGAGCATTATTAATAATTTACCATTGTCTCTAAGACAGAACTTGATTGTAAATAACACAAGATAGCTCCTGTTCATTTCAACCTTAACAGTTCATTTATATGAATGCTGTTAACTGATCAGTATCCTTGCTTGTTTAGAAAAAAAATGACAATATTTGGATTCACAAATATTTTGAGTGCCATAAATTATCCTTTTCAATGACCCTTTTTGCACTCTTTTGAGTCCTAACAAATTTAGTCAAGAGAACTATTCCTCCTTTTAGCACAAACATTTCACCATTAAGAAGGTGACCTACTTTTAATAAATTTCAAAGTTATTGTTGGCTCTAAATTCTCTCTCTGAAACTGAATGAGTATTTGTCTGCATGCAAGTTCTGAAACCTAATATAGATTATAAAGTGGTCCAAATCTTTTAGCAATTCCTTTTGTACATCAAAATGGTGTCAAGAGTACTCAAAATATATTTCTAAACTTTTACGCTACCTTGTCATAACATAACCTTCTATTGTTATAATTTCATTTAGCTAGGAATGGAAATGATAGCAGAATTTAATTAATAAGAAATTGGATGGGCCATCTATATTACATGTAAGAACACTATTGTCAACAACTCCCATATTTTAGAAACCTCAGAGCACTGTGGAAAAGTAAACAAACAAGCAGGTTAATTCCACTAAATTAGAATCTTTTCTGGCATCGACTCAAATGAATTTACAATGAATATCTTTGTAAGAAAGTCCTGATTTTCAATTTATCTTTCAGTGGTGAATTAGTCTGTATTGTCTCTTGTTTTAAAAGAGTTGTTTGCATGTTGAAAGATAAATATTTAAATTTGGCACTGATGTCCTTTACAAACCCTTTGTTGGAGAATCTGATATAAACCTTCACTAAATGGTTATTGAAATACCTCTGGTCATCTCAATGCCCAGTTATCTGAATTAATCTGTGGAGTGTACATGACATAAGCTGACATAACCATATTCTTTCCACTACTTTATGGATGTAGTACACAGAAATTACATTAAGTTACTAGTGGGTGCCAGGCATAGAAGGTTATAGACCCATAAAAATCAAGACTCATGTGACCTCAGAGGAAGAGTGATCAAGATATGAGTGTCCTCAGTTCTTGAACAACATAACAATCCCTCATTACAGAAACTGTATAGACCTAGCTCCATTTTCTTCCATTTGAATTGCATGATGTTTCCTGGTTTTATTTTACAATAAATCCCATTTACTAAATGTAGTTTGAGAAGTCCTTTTTTTAGTCATATGACACCTGAGTTACATAAAGGTATTGAGTGTCACACAGATCTTCCATTTTTAATATCCTATAGTATGTTGCAGAATAAGTAAGGAGAATAGTAGGATCAAAATTTTATATAAAGTTATATGCATTGTTCCTAATCATCTCTGCCCATCTCTCTTATCTCCTTACCACCTGTCTTCTTCCTACACATAGACACACATACATATAGACACACACCATGGTTCTTGGAAATTCCCAGGGATATAAATTTGAAACAAGGTAGTATTGTTGTAAGGGTCATCAAAAAGTCAATACATATTAGGTCACTGTCATTCTCAACAAGATAAACACTGGAATCTTGAGAGAAATTGTAGGGATCATCAATCAATTTATTATATTCTAAAAAATACATGAAACTCCAATGTGCATTAAAATTTAGGAAGAACCTAGAAATCTTATGACTAGGTTAGTTCTAATCCCCAGAATGTCTCTAACCCATGCTCCAGCCTAGAAAATTAAGTGTATTGTGTGAGAGAAGCAAAGTAAGTAAAAGCTGTAAATCTCATAAGAATGGAAAAATGTCTACTTTAATTAACGGTTGTATACCCTGCACTGTGCACAGAACCTGTGACATGATTAGTTCTTCTTAAGTGTTTGTTGAGAAGTTAACTGAATGAGTGAATGGATGATTGGAAAAATTAGAAGTCAATTTTTTAATCTAAAATCAGTAAATTAAAGAAAAATTTATTGAGACTCCATAAAATAATAAGCAAGGCATACAACCTCCAGCCTCACATATTGCATATTATGAAGCACTCATAGACTAACATATTCTATATCATTAATTATGGCTACTCTAAAATCTTCCAGAGGTCTGGAGTTCCTAGTCTTCATCTTTTATCTCCAAACATGACTTAAACTATTAGAAGAATGTGTATCTTTCACCCATTTGGGAAGGAGGGCTTTGTTACTATATTAAAATCATAATCACAAGAAGTCTAGTGGTTACTGGAAACTATTGTGATTGCCTTCTAATAGGAACATTTCCAAACTTCTCCCTTAATGTGGTTGCAATTTTGAATACTTGATGTGAGAAAGTCAGTGTGGTAAAAGATACAAAATACTTAAATTTCTCTACTACAACAAAGACCTGGAGGAAAAGTCTTGAGTTGTGCAAACAATTCATCTTAGTTGTTATCACCACTTAAAAACATTTATACTAATGTAAAAACGCCAAGAAGAGATCGTTTTCCTCTGTCTTTTGAATGTAAAATATCAGAAGGAAATTTTGTTTGGCTGCCTCTTCAAAGAACAAATCACTTGTGTGTAAACAACACCAGTCCAACAGAGGGAGCTAAGTGCACACAGGGATTGAGGGAGAGGGTAAAGATTATTAGATTATAGTCAGACATATATTTTATTCCCTGAATTCCATCCTACTCCTCCCTTAGAAGGACCCATTGACCACAGTGGGGATAGAGAGTTGATTCCGAAGCCCACTGCCATGACTTATCTCATTTTTAAATCTCTTTTCCACTCCTCCTTTTGTTCTTACTTTTCCTTTAGCTTCTCCTGCTTTCTTGATGCAATTTCTTTCTCTCTCCTATTTTCGTTTCCTTCATGTCCTACATGCTAGCTCTGACAACGAATTTTATGACTATTCCACACAATGCAAATGGCATATAAAAACTTATAAAATCCTAACTAAAAAATATACAAATAAAAGATGTCGGGGGGATTCAAGGGGCTGAAAATAAACGGTACTCTAATTTGATTAAGGGAAAATAAATATACACTAGGATTTTAAAGAATATACTAAAATCACCATTCTACTTAAGCAAATCTAAAATGATTGATAATCAGAGGGGTCTTACTTAATAATATGCTACAGATCAAGAAAATATTCCAAAATAAACAAACATGAAAACCTTGTTTGTTTGAAAATCATGCTTTTGAGAAGAATGCTGTATTTCAAATTTCTTATATTTTTATCATCATTTAACCTTTAATAACATTGAAACCTGAGCTACGCCCATCAAAGTAGAGACGGCACCTATTCTATTTCTTGTATAATCCATATAAGAACAAACATGTCTTTTCAATACCGATTTTAGTAGAAGCTTACATATAAAATATAGGTATGTGCACAAAAGTATAATCTTGGCATCAAGGGAAATCCTGGATAATTATAAAGAAGACACAGCTATTAATGTTTATGTGTTAACTGGTATTTTTATCATCATATTACCTTAATTCATTCTTCTTCATCTTTTTGATTAGCTTTCTCCTATCTGATACACAGGTTCCGAATGATTTTCTTCCTTATTTGGAATGCCTTCTCTATCTTTTGTACTCAAATATGTCCATTTTTTAAAGTTCAAATTAAGTTTCATCTCTCATAGTTTCTGGAGTTGATTGAGAATTTGGCCATGCAGATACACAATTGGTAATCTAGAACTGCTAGAAATCATAAGGATATACTTATGTACTTCCATGGAAAACATTTTTTAACTGTTTGAAAGAAAGAGGGATTTTTTTTCATTGTCACTTGGTATGTAATCTTTAATTTTTTATTAGTACAAATTTATGGGATACACATGAAATTTTGTTACATGTATATAATCTAGAGTGATCTAGTCAGGGTATTTTGGGTGTTCACTTGAGTACAATACATTTTTGTTTAACTACAGTCACCCTACTCTATCAAACATTGAAATTTTTACTTTTATTTATCTGTAAATTTGTACTCTTTAATTAACTTCTATTTGTCCTTCCTCTCCCCTGATTCACCCTTCCCAGTCTCTGTTCTCTATCTTTCCACTCTCTACTTCCATGTGATCAGAATTTTTAGCTCCCACATATAAGTGAAAGCATGTGATAGTTGTCTTTTGTGCCTGGTTTATTTCACTTAAGAGAATGATCTCCAGTTTCATCCATGTTGATGCAAAAAACATTATTTTATTCGTTTTTATGGCCTAATAAAATTCCATTTTATATATATAATGGCCATAAAAAGGAATACATGCACGCACACACACACAAACCACATTTTCTTTATCCATCCATTCGTGGACACTTAAGTTGACAATGTATTGGTAAATCATTTTTCTCTAAGACATTGAAGCAGAAAAACAACGGAAAAAAATGGGGGACGTATGGTAGATTGGACTGCAGGAGTCATATAATGTTTAACAATAAACCTAAAGTTTCAGAGAAACTCTGAGGTTGTCTGTTCTGTTTTTCTCTGCTATTTGCAAAGGTTCAATAAACATTTGTTGAATGCAGAGTTTCTTTCACTTTTCTGTTGTTGTCTGTGGAAAGTTCTTTTCCTACTCCTTTTACAATAGCACTTTAGAGCCCCAGTGTATTAGTCTGTTTTCATGCTGCTGATAAAGACATACCTAAGACTGGGTGACTTATAAAGAAAAAGAGGTTTAATGGACTCATAGTTCCACAGGGCTGGGGAGGCCTCAAATGGGATACAGGCATTGGATAAATACACCCATTCCAAATGGGAGAAATGGGCCAAAACAATGGGGCGACAGGCCCCATGCAAGTCCAAAATCCAGTGGGGCAGTCAAATCTTAAAGCTCCAAAATAATCTCCTTTGACTGACTCCATGTCTCACATACAGGTCATGCTGATGCAAGAGGTGGGTTCACATGGTCTTGGGCAGCTCCACTCCTGTGGCTTTGCAGGGTACAGCCTCTCTCCCAACTGCTTTCACAGGGTGGCATTAGGTGTCTGCGGCTTTTCCAGGCACATGGTGCAAGCTATCAGTGGATCTACCATTCTGGGGACTGGAGGATGGTGGCACTCTTCTCACAGCTCCATTAGGCAGTACCTCAGTTGGGTCTCTGTGTAGGGGCTTTAATTCCACATTTTCCTTCGGCACTGCCCTAGCAGAGGTTCTCCATGAGGGCTCCACCTATGTAGAAAACTTCTGTCTGGACATCTAGGCATTTCCATACATTCTCTGAAATCTAGATGGAGGTTCCACTGCCTCAGTTCTTGACTTCTATGCATCCGCAGGCTCAACACCATCTGGAAGCTGCCAAGGCTTGAGGCTTGCACCCTCTGAAGCAATGGCCCAAACTGTTCCTTAGCCCTTTTTAGCCATGGCTGGAGTGGCCGGGACACAGGGGACCAAGTCCGTAGGCAGCACAGAGCAGAGGCGCCCTTGGGCCTGGCCCATGAAACCATTTTTTCCTCTTAGGCCTCCAGGACTGTGATGGGATGGGCTGACGAAAAGGTCTGTGACATGCCCTGGAGACACTTTCCTTATTGCCGTGGTGATTAAAATTTGGCTCCTTGTTACCTATGCAAATTTCTGCAACCAGCTTGAATTTCTCCTCAGAAAATGGGTTTTCCTTTTTTATTGTATCATCAGCCTGCAAATTTTCTGAACTTTCAAGCTCTGTTTTCCTTTTAAAACTGAATGCTTTCAATAGCACCTAAGTCACCTCTTGAATGCTTTGCTGCTTAGAAATTTCTTCTGCCATATACCCTAAATCATCTCCCTCAAGTTCACAGTTCCACATATCTCTAGGGCAAGGGCAAAATGCCACCAGCAAGAGTCTTACACCAGTTTCCAACAAGTTTCTCATCTCTATCTGAGACCACCTCAGCCTGGATTTCATTGTCCATATCATTATCAGCGTTTTTGTCAAAGCCATTCAACAAGTCTCTAGGGAGTTCCCAACTTTCCCACAATTTCCGTCTTCCTCTGAGCCCTCCACGCTGTTCCAAAATCTGCCTGTTACCTAGTTCCAAAGTCACGTCCATGTTTTCGGGTATCTTTTCAGCAGCACCCTACCCTACTGGTACCAATTTACTGTATTAGTCTGTTTTTACACTGCTGATAAAGACATACCCAAGACTGGGTGATTTATAAAGAAGGTGAGGTTTAATGACTCACAGTTCAACGTGGCTGGGGAGACCTCACAATCATGGTAGAAGATGAAAGGCATTTCTTACATGGCAGCAGGCAAGACAGAATGAGAACCAAGCGAAAGGGGTTTTCCCTCATAAAACCATCAGATCTAGTGAGACTTATTCACTACCACAACAACAGTATGGGAGAAACCACCCCCATGATTCAATTATCTCCCATTGGGTCCCTCCCACGACATGGAGGAATTATGGGAGATACAACTCAAGATGAGATTTGGGTGGGGATGCAGCCAAATCGTATCACACAAAATCTCTACAGAATTGTAGAATGCTACTACAAGAGGGGCAAAACTTATTGTATACTGCGTTATATGAGAAAAGGTTAGGAATTGCCTTATGTAATATCCTCATCAAAAGTTAGACCTTGAGTTAGGGATTTTATATTATGTGGAAGCACATGAAAATGTTATATTTGAAGGTCAAAACTGTAAATTAGCAGCAATTTTATGTAGGTCAACCCAATAGTTTTCTCTCACTTTTCATAATATCTAAAGTCTGACAGAAATTTTAATATAGGAAAATCAGTTTTGTCATCTCTCTGAATCTCTCACACACACTCTCAATTTCTCTCACTGTTTCTTTTTTGTCTCCCTCTCCTCTACTCCTTTATTTTACTTCAGTATTTTGAATTTTTCAGTTTCATCAATCAACCATCAGGCAAGCATTAATCGTGGGGTTTCATTTTCCACTCTAATATACTAATGTGCTGTCTATGATGGTGGAGCTCAAATCTCTGACATCTGCTGGCTCAACACTCTGGCTCACCCTTAGCTTAGTTTCAACGGCACCACAGTTGTTTTCAACTAAATCAAATTTGGATATACAGTCCTCTAGGATAACATCATAAATATTACCATTTTTGTACAATTAATACTAAATTATTGTTCATTAATATGATTCACATACTGAGGCAAGTGAAGGAATCATGGTATGACCCACAATGAATCTCTTTACCATAAGTTATTTGATTGTTTATCTACACATTTAATGTTAAAACAGATGATAACCTCTCAGTTCATTTCTCCATCCATAAAAAAATTCATTTGCTGACAAGCATTTTTGCAAGACATTTAATACTTTTAAATCCAAGAGAAATATTTTTCTATAGTTTTTTTTTTGCATTTACAGTACATTTGAAGAAGTCTTTCTTAAAGTCTGCATTTCTTTTCTATTCAACTCAGAGTTTTCAATTAAATAACATCATAAAATCTCAAATCATTATGATGCTACTATTATTTTCAGATTTTTATCAAAGTAATTACAGATTTATTAAAACTCTCATAGATTAACTATCCCTTGTGTATTAAGGTTTTAATTCATAAGCTTAAAAACAGCCTTACTGGAGGTTGCAGTAAGCCGAGATCACGCCACTGCACTCCAGCCTGGGTAGCAGATCCAGACTCCATCTCAAAAATACAAAAAAACAAAAAACAAAACAAAACAAAAACAGCCTTACATAATCATAAGCTTAAAAACAGCCTTACATAAATTAGGGAGTGAATTTAGGATGTTTGAGTTTGGGTCATAGTTCTAGAAAACTCCCCAAATTCTGTTATATACTTATTCTATATTATACTAATATATTTAGATAAGAAAAAATAAAATAATTTTTTACATATATGGAAATATAAATTGTGTACACATATGTAAATATAAATTACTATATATTGTAAATAATTTATATATAAGAATACAATGGATTAATCCATATAATTATTATTTAATAGAGCAGCATACGACCAAATTTTGGGTGTCAAATTTGCCCAGAAAAGTTTTTTTAAAATTTATTTTGGCACTCCCAGAATAATTAATATGTTTGAACATCTACCAAATGAAAATCATTTGCTGAATTTTAGAAACTGGGTGCATTTTCCACATTGGAAACATAACTGTTGTGTGTGTGTAACCAACTCCAACTACTGGTCTTTTTAAGAATTGCCCACCTCTAAAACAAATTGTTTCATCTTAAAAAACATGAAGGCTGATCATAACTGACAATTTACCAGTAATAAATTGTATTCTGCTGTACTTTCCAAAATCTGCCCTGATTTTTCAATAGTCTTAAATGATCAACAGAGCTAGAAAAATTTGGTTTGTGAAAAAATAAGTCAGTTTTGACATAATGGGAAAACTGTTGCCTTGAAAGTATTGAAAGCGGGAAGGAGATTAATACTAAATTTTAACCAACCCAAATTCTGGGAGAATGTGGTTGGGGATGAAGATTGAGAATACCCACCACGTAATATGGAAAGAAGTGTCTTATTTTTTAAAGTAGCTTCTTTAAATAGTTAAATTAGCTATTAAAACCAGCATAAAATGAATGCTACTTTAATTTAATAATGAATAATTTCAGAGTATTAAAGATAGTTGCATTTTGTATTTATTTTAGAGCACTTCGTAGCATGAATCATAGAATCATCACAACACATTTAAAATCTCTATTAGAATTGAAATGAGCTTTCTAGAGTGGTTAATTGTCCATATGTAAAGAGAATACAAATAAAGATAGTAAATATCATCCAAACTTTTAACAGGTATCACACAATGAAATCTAGTTCTGGATCAGAACACATACACATTCATTATTAAGGAGATTGTCAGAACCAATGTTACAAAATTTACTGTAACTTGCAAACATGTATCAATTTTCTTATGCATATTTCATTTAAAGTAGAATAAATAATCACCTACAAAGAGATTAAATTTAAATAAAGAGGAGAGAGAGGAAAAAAAATCCAATGTTGGAAGAGGAACTTGAAATACAGCATTTTTCTTTTCCTCCTTTCCTTTTGTATAAGATCTATTGGTTAATTTAACAACTAGATTTTTCTCTTATTTTTACTCAATCTTTTCCTTTAAATGTCTTCATTCATTAACTGTGTTTCTTAGTACAAATCTTTGCTGAATAATAATTTTCAAGTTTGCTACGAACACTGCTTTAATTTCCTAGTAATCTGAGAAGACAACCACAGCTGCAATTTTGAGGCAGCCAGTGATTCCTGATACTGGCAGTGTTCCTGAAAAGAGAAAGGAAATAGAACGACTCCCACAAGTTTACCACAATCATTATCTCTAACAATAGCTGTCATAAACTGCAAAAAATAAGAAAATTCAGCTAAGTCCAGCTGTATAAAATTTTGTAAATATTTTAATAAGAAGCTTTTAATGAAAATCAATATTTAAAACAGTTGTTTCTCAAACTGGAGGGTATAGATTCTTCAGGAAAATGCAAATATATTCTCAGGATCCATGAGTTTTCAAATTTGAGAACAACTAATTTAAATCAGTTAATGAAAACTTCTTATAGTCAAAAGATTGCTTAAAATTACATTAATTTGGAGAAAATTTATATTTAATTTTCTACAGTAACACCAACATCATACTTAAACAGTATTTAAATGGAAACAATTAAAATGATAAAACTGCATGTTTCACATTTGGGGAGAGATGAAACACTGCTTAACACTGTGCTTTTAGTTCGTGTGTGATTTGTACAAAAGTGAAGCAACTAAGTAGACCTATGTGCTTGAGCTAATCTTTATCTTGAAAAATTATTGATCTCAAGCAAAAATTGACTGGATAAAGACTGCATTTACAAGGAAATAAAATGTTTCACCAAGAAGAATGTGAGAGGAGGTGATAGCAACATGGTGTAATAGAAAGTCCCAGGCTTTGTTTCCTGGGAGAAACACTGATTTCACAACAATGTATGGACCAGAAAATCCTTATGAGAGGTTCAGAATCCAGCTCAGATGAAGCAGTACCCCCAGATCATCACAAACTGAGAACAGTTGCATTTAAAAAGGTGAAAAGAACAATTTCACTTTATCCACATTACCTCCTCCCCCATGCCAGCCCATCTCAGGACCAAGAAAGACTGCCTCCAACTTGTATTTCTTCCTCAGAGAAAATAGTGGAGTATGTATCCAATGTCTCAGGCCTTTCAGTGCACTGCCATAGGGACTGGTTTCTGTTTTACCTCACACAAAATACTAACGGAACCAGCATAGTTCCATTATTGGGGCTTCCATTCCAGAAGCCTGGAGGCAATTAAGAACCAAGAAAAGGAGAAGAAATCTTCCTGCAGCCAGACAGCTCTGCAAGAGTGGAAAAATCTGGGCAATGCCCAGACTTTTGCCTCCTGGAGGAAGGGAAGGAATGAAGCATGCATCCAACATCACAGGCTTTTGAGGCACTGCCCTAGGGAGAAGGTGTGGACAACTAACTGCAGCAAACTCAGCCCTATGAGAATGAGAGAAGGTGTACATCCCCATTCTTCCCCAGGAGAGAGGTTAGAGAAATAGAGTGCACAGAGGTGTCAGAGACCCCTAGAATCTTTAGCTAGGTTGATTGGTGAAGGTCTTTCCTCAGCAAAGCAAGTGTGTAAAAACTGGGAAAGGTAGCTGCTTCTTCCATTGCTCATATACCATGCAAAATCACAAGACTCATGAAGAATTAGGAATATATGACACAACTAGGGAAACAAAATAACTCTACAGTAAAATTTAAAGAAATATTTAAATAAGCTTTCCTCCCCCTTCTCTCTCTCTCTCTCCTCTTTCTGAGATATGCATATGCATATATTGGTTCATTTAATAATGTTTCATAACTCTCTTAAGGTTTCTTCACTTTTTTCAATCTTTTTTTCTTTTTCTTCTTCTGACTGCATAATTTTAAAAGACCTCACTTCAAGTTTGCTGAATCTTTCTTCTGATTGTCCAGGCCTGCTGTTGAAGCTCTCTATTAAAAGTTTTAGTTTATTTATTATAGTCTTTAGTCCTAGATTTTCTGTTTGGTCTTTTTTAATGGTTTCTAGCTCTGTTGATAGTCTCATATTGTTTACGTATCATTTATCTAATTGCTTTTAGTTGTATTTCTGTGTTCTCTTACAGCTCACTGAGCTCCAAGGCAATAATTTTTAATTGTCAAGCAGTATATACATATCCATTTCTTTAGGATTGGTTACTAGAGAATGATTTTGTTCTTTTAGTTGTATCATATATTCCAAATTCTTCATGTTTCTTGTAAATTTGCATTGGTATTGAGCAATTGAAGAAACAGCCACCTTTCCCAGTCTTTCCAGACTGGCTTAAAAGCCTCCAGCAATTAGCCTGGCTACAAATTTTAGGAGCCCCTGAAACCTCTGTGTACTCTCCACTCCTCTATCTCCCTGCTGGTGGAGGAAGTCTCAGAGATGTGTACCTTCTCCAAATGGCTGAAATTTCCCAAATCTTGGAAGAGAAATCAACATCCAAATTCATGAAGCCAAAGGGATGCCAAACAGGAGAAGAAATCTACACCAAGATACATTACAATAAAATTTTCCAAATCAAAGGCAAAGAGAGAATTTTGAAAGTAGCAAAAGAAAAGCAAATTACCACATACAAGGGAACACCATCAGACTATCAGCAGACTTTCTGGCAGAAACCTTGCAGGGCAGAAAAAAAGTGGAATGATATATTCAAAGTGCCAAAAGAAAAAAGTTGCCAACCAACAATGCCATACCTGATAAAAACTATGCTTCAGAAATGAAGATACAGACTTTCCTAGGCAAACCAAAGCAGAATGAGTTTATTGCTCAACATGCTTTACAAAAAAAAAAAAAGATGCTAGTAGAAATTGTTCAAGTTGAAATGGAAGGACCTAAAGAGCAGCACCAAAGCATATGAAAGTATAAAACTCACAAATAAAGGTAAATACATAGACAAATGGAGAAAATTGTAATACTATAATGGTGGTATGTATTCGTGGCTCACACAACTTTGAGCTAAATCTCTCAACAATCAGCAAGCTCCAGAGAACATTCCTAGTCAGTAATGGGCCCAGTTTCCTTTGATCCAATAAAAACACTGCTTCTTTTGAATTTAACCAAAGGGCCACTCTTCCCCCAAATCCATAACCTTGCCTATTCCTTTGTTTAATAAGGTTCTGCATTTCTCCATGCAATTTTTGTCTGCTTTTGTTTTTCAGGTTTAAATTATGTTTTCTGCTAACTCAGTGAACATATAGATGACCTCTACCTTTCATATATATTTCTATATGTGTATGAAACATATATATAGATATATGAAACATACATATGTATAACCTATACACATATATGCATATATTTATTTCTACATCTAGCAATTAGATATTTTGAGCTAACCTAAGAACTCTTTTCCTTACAAACACAGAGAAATGTGCACAAAATACTACAAAACTTGATATAGACATTGAGCTAGAACAGTTGATACTAGAAACACAAACTAGAATTAATAGAATGATATTTTTGCAAACAGATGCTAAATAGCTTTTTTGTGATATTAGATTAGATATGGTCCCTAAGAGCTATCAAACATGGAGAAAAGCTCTAACATGTAAGTACTGGGTCTTTAATCTCACATAAAGTGAGATGGTAGGTGTAGCATTGACATATCTATAGAAAATGTGGGGTCCTTGGAGGGATACCCTTTCAATGAAAAAGAACCTGAAAAAAACTTTGACCAGCAAAACTTATTTGTTGCTGATTGAGGATACTGATGAATAAAACCTCCTGTTGAAAAATCAAAGCCCCAAACCTGTGCTGTACACAAGTCTGGGGTCTAAAATTTACATTAATGTCATAGTGCTTGACTTCTCAAGCCAAAAAATATTAGTGAGAAACTACTCCTAGTCCTAGTCCTATGAATTTCTCTAGCACTAGAAGATGGAAATGTGAAAAAAATAAATAATATTACACTAGTTTAGAGTTCACAACATTCCTAGAAGGGAAAAAATCCCCATTGAAGATGGCTTCATTGCTAAAAACTATAAAATATATGAGGAAATAATCCCATTATGAGGGAGAGTCAGTGAATCCCACAAACAGAAAGAATTTAACTCTATAATAACGGAAACAATCTAAAGATTATGAAATAAGTACATTTTAAATGAAAAAAGACAAAAGAACAAATATAAATCAAAAGGAAAAATTAATGTTATAAAGAGGGAAAAACACTTATAAAATGCAATCAAATTTTCAGGCATAAAAATATAGTCATTAAATAATGGACAGTCTATTAGGATATTAGACACAGATAAACTGGAAGACAGATGGAGAAAATTATTTAGAATGTAACACAAAGAGTTATCCATGTGAAAATATGAGAAGTTACAATTTAAAAAGAATATAATAAGAAAGTCAATATATTTCTAATTTGAGAACAAGAAAATGAGGCTTGTGAGTTGCAGGAGGCAATATTCACAAAGCTAATGGCAGAATTTTCAGAATCGAAAAATAATTTCTCAGATTGAGTCCAATTATTCTCAAACATAATAAGTAAAAGTAAACCCAAATTATATGTCATCCTAAATTATACAGCAATAGCAAATTATTCAAAAATATTAGTAGTTTACAACAACGAAGGTATATTTCTTGTTCATGTTACATGCCCATTATATTTCGGCTGTGCCTCAGGCTCATGTCTGCACTCCAGAATCCAAACTATTGGGCAGCTCTTCTCTGGGACATTGCTGGTCTTGTCGCAGAGGTAAATGAGAATAGAGTGAAAACCATGTAATATCTCTTAAAGCTTGTGCTTGAACATGACACATGTTACTTCTGCTCCCATTTCACTAGTTAAAACAAATTGGATGGCCAATATTAATATCATTGGGATAAGGTTGTATAATATTTAACATTAATATAATCTGCCATATTCTCACTTATATTGTATTAATCAACATCCAGGTGGGAAACAGAAATACCCTAGGTGTTTCAATTAGAAGAGTATAATATAGAGAATTATTTACAATGTGTTAGAAGAGCTAAAGGAGCAAAAGATAACACTTAGGTCTTACCTAAGTGTTGCTGTTGTTGTTGTGCTGTTGGAACCATTAGTACAACCATATTGTAAGAAGCCAACAGCTCCTACTCCTGAGGACACTAAAAAATCTGGGAGCCCACATTCCCATTGTTGTTGCCGCCACATCCACGCTACAAGTGTTGCCTGCTACTGGTACTGCTAGAGACTGACTGCTGAGGTTGCTGGGCAGCAGCAGTTTCCATTATTGAAACCAAAAAACCTGAGCTGCTGAGGTGGGTGGAGTGCTGCTGCTGCCACTGTCAGGATAAGAAACAGAAGAAAGAAAATCAAAGACAAGGAAGATATAATAAAAGCAATCAGAAAAAAGACACACAAAAGAACAATTAGATGAGAGCAGATTTCTTAGAACTACAACAGAAGTCAGAAGACGATGCAGTAACATCTTCAAAGAGCTGAGGGAATATATATCTTAAGTTAGAATTCTACATAATCTTATTCAAATGTGAAGCTTAAATAAATATATTAACAAGCAAAGATCAAAATAGATCAAGTTTTGCAGACCTAACTGAAGGAACATTTATTAAATTTCAGTAAGAAGACAGTAAAATAAGAAAGAAGATTACAAAAATAAACTTGTAAAAATATTGGGAAATCTAAACATGTTTTGATTATAAATATAACAGTAACAGTCACTAATTTGAACAGTATAAATAAATTGAATCTAAAATATCAGGCTTTATATTTGGGAGATAGGAAAGAATGATGAGGGTGACTGAGACAAAAGCATTCTTTTATATTATTTATTTAGAAGGGTAGAGATATATCAAGTAGTTTTAGCCCATTGTAAAGACAATTGTTTTCTAAAAATTGAAGAATAACAACTGAAGGATCAAAAATGAATGTACGATTTCAAAATCAAAAGAAGAAAGGTGGGTGGGATAACCATCTACTAGAAATTAAGAGAGAAAAATATATATATATTTTGTATTTGACTCCATTTATAACCCAAGTACAGTGACTTAAAATAGATTATTTTCCTCATATAATAGGAAGACAAGAGAAAGCTGTTAAGTTCTGTCCCATGGCTATCAATGTCTCTGCTATTCTTTTGGTTACAAGATAGCTGTTACAGCTATAGCCAGAACGTCTGCATTCCAGTAGGAAGAAAGAGAAAGGAAAAGCTATGACATTGTACCAGAAGAGCAAAAAGTTTCCACAGCAGCCTTCCTTTTATATATTCTTGGCCAAATATCTTTAGAAATATTTCCAGAAAATAGTCATCTTATTTTAAGTGTTTGTCCTTGTTTTACGTTTGATTTTTTAAAAATTCAATGATGGAAGAAACTGGAAGAAAAAAATTTAGAGCAATATCACTAATAAACAGAACTACCACCATGACAATAAAAATAAAACAAACTTTATCAGTAATCACAATAAATATAAATGGATTAAAGTCAGCAATTAAAGGAGATCCTCAGATTAATATAAAAATTTAAAACTATCCGGCTAAATGTCTTTTAACATAACTAACATAGTAAAAGAAAGGCTAAAAGTAAAATGATCAAAACAAGGCAAACGCTAACTGATATAACTCCATTAATATCAAATACAAAAGGTTTTAAGGTAAAAATAATCATGAGATAAAAAGAATTTTTGCATATTTACGAAAGCAAACAATAGAATTAATGATAGAGTTCCCATAAACTTTCAAAATTGTCACAAAATAAAATTTAATTTGCCAAAATCATGAGAAGAAGAAATTCAAAAATTTACTATGACAGTGGAAAATTTTAACACACTTCTCTTAGGAAGTTGTACATAAATCGGAGAAAACATTAGTAAAAAATATGTAGAATATTTAAATATGCAAACAATAAGTTTAGAAAAAGTATTTCAGTTCCCTAAGCCTCAGTTTCTTTATCAGAGCAATGAATATTATAATGGTAACTTTTTTTTTTTTTTGACAGGGCTGGAAGTTGATTTTTAATGATAAAGTACAATGGAGGGAGGGCCGAGGGGCTAAGCCTAGCTGTCTGGGGTGCTGTGGTGGTGGTGGGCTGGCTACACAAACTGTTGCTGCTGCTGCTGCTGCTTCTTGGTGGCCGCCTTGCTGGCGAGGTCCTTGGCCTTCTCTGTAGCTGCCAGTGCCGTCTCCTTTGCCTTCTCCTTGGCTTCCTTGGCTGTCCCAACAAGTGTTTTGGAAGGGGCCTCGCCTTGCAGCTTCGCCAAGATATATTCAAAACCCTTCATAGTCTTGGTCACGTTGCTTTTGAACCGGCAAGTCCAAATTCCTGGACAGCTCTGAAGACACCAAATAAGCTAGAGGAGACTCAGGCTTCCCGGCGGATTTCGGTCCAGCCACTTGTCAGAGTTCACACAGTAAACACATCGTTCCTCCACCACCATCAGCCGGGCGTGGTTGATGTTCCAGGTGAAGGTAGTCATGGTCTGATTCTGTGGGTCCACAACAGAGTCCTCCAGGATGTACACCGAGTGAGCAACATTGGCAGGAAACAGTCGCTCGGCTCAGCGGGGCATCCTGTTGGTCTTGGTCAGGAGTCGCCGGGACAGCAGTTTCTGGTCAGGGGTCACCTCCCGGTGTACTATGTCTTCCGTCAAGACATGTTTGCTATAGGGATTCGGGTACCGCTGCCAGAAGGCGGCGAACACTTGGTCCCAGGAACTCCGGAGCATGCTCTGGCCCAGGAAATACTTCACCATCGTCCCGGCCGGAGCAGGCTCAGCACCCGCGCAGCATCAGGGGTGCGGAGCCTGGGACGCACGCAGGGGCCTGGCCGGACCGGGGCTCGGCGCGCACCCTCCGCCAGGCTCGTAGCTCAGTCAACACCGCACCGCGCCCAAGCAGCTGCCGCCGCCGCCGCCGCCATGAGTTGTCCGGCCCGGTAACTCTTTTAAAAGACTTTTGAGATATAAATCATTTAGCACAATATTTGGACAGTGGACAGGATCCGTAGATGGAGCCAGCAGCATCCACATTTAGAATAGCGCTAACAGGAGAACTACCAGAAATTGCAGTAATGGCAGTGATAGTGACACTATCTATTTTTGAATTTTTTCCAGGTCCTCATAAAATAAATGAAAATTAAGAAATGGTAGAATTATTAAATTTCATCAGCCTATAATTCTATTTGTATTAAACAGTTAAGCCTTAGGATGCTTATCAGTAGTACATTTACAGATGAAAATTTGACTTTCAAACCTGTTTTAAAATATATTTTATGAGTAAAATTATATATAATAATCTTTTCCCAGTTTTAACATGGTAGCTACAGATCTTTAAAGGAATAAAAACATAAATATAGCACTATAAATATTTTTATGTTTCTCTAACTTTGCCTTAAATATGAAAAATATATTTGCATGAATTGAAAACTTCTGGAAATTTCACATTTTGATTTAATGTCTTTAACACTCTAGCACCTAATTCACAAGTTTTCTTTCTACTGTGATTTCTCCCGTCTGCTATTCTTGGTAAATTCAGCATTCCCATAAAAGGCTCATTTAACAAAATAATCTCTTGCTTATTTGAATTCCAGTATTGTTTTTCTTCACCTGTCATAGCCACCTATGAACACACGCCCACCCACTCTCACCCTATTTTACTTACTTTAAGGAACTTACTTTCTCATTTTTTTAACTCGACCTTCAAAATATATCTCCATATTCATTCTCCTTTCAATTCTCAAAACTGAAAAATCTCTTCCCTTTCTCCAAGAAGAAACCAAATCTTGACTTACTTAGAAACACGTAACTTGAACTTAGAGATCATTGTTCCTCATGTAGTTGGAATTGAAAGTTTTCAGTTTCTGGAGTTAATATTTATTACTTTGAGCAAGTCACTTTAATCTGGTCTCTCCCAGTCCTCTGCACAGATACCTACACACTGATCTTGCTGCTTCTGCACATGCCTCTGCATCTTTCCACATCTTTCTTCCTAAAGAAATAATAACCCACCTTTTCTCTTTTATAATCTTGTACCTCTCTCCCAATATTCCTCATCTTTCATCAAAAATTTCTCATCACTTTAGCCCTTAAGATTTTTCCTCATTCTGAACTACTCATCCATATACTACTTATTGACTGTTAACTCACATTTAGCATCAATCATATATTGCCCTATAATTTTAGGACATGTCTAGGTTCATGAGCTTTTAGAAGAAATGCATAATGTCATTTAGCTCTTCTACCAGGCCTAAACCAGGACCCTACATATTGTGAGTAAAGTAAAATTTACAGAAAACTTAGAAACAATGGCCTTCCAAATTGTGATTAACTTTATGCAATAAAATAATTGATTATAAATTTAATTTTAACTTCTTTGGGTATAAGCACAATACGGTGTTTTGCAATATTATCTTTTCTTTTTGTTTGTTCATCTTTTTACATCCCATTCCTGAAATATAAGAAAGAAATATTTCATCATCATTGAGCACTTCCATCACTCTTTCCTACTGTTATTTCTTTCACTTCTTGCAATATTGCCAGCATTTTTGTCAATATGTTTTATTGTCTCTGGCTTTCCTTTACTGTTTGGTGATCCACCCTATTTATCATTCTTTTTTGGTGCTTCTATGACATTACAAAACTCTAGAGATATTTATAAATGTTATGGTAAGTACATTATAATTGTTATTTTTAGTAACAAGTTATAAGTAACAATTTAAATGAGTATACAAAGTAATTTTTTCTTTTAAAGAAAGCAGATACTGAGCTATTTTCTCTAACGTATGCTCTTGGCAGTTAACAAAATTCTCAGCCTTAGTCCTAAAGGCTAAAACTACTTATTATAATAAGTGACAGATATTCTGTGTGAATTGAATAGCACATTAAGTACAGAAGAAACAAATCAAGTCTTTAAGAGTACAGGAGTGATTATAGTCACAGCATAGCTAAGCAAACTTATGCTTTAACCTTTTATTTGAATTTTAAACATTTGTATTCATTTTAATAAAAAATTAAAAGTCAAAACTATTGAGAATACTAGTTAATTTAAAATTATTTTGCCATTCTGCTACTTAATACATGGATCCTCAAGAATTATGAGTGCAGTGAAAATCTAGCAATGGGAGGACCATCTTTTCCAATTTACTTTGAGCTTGTGTATTAGGAATATCCTTGCCTGAAAGCTTTATGAGCTATCTATGAGCAATGACCAGTAGGTGTACAATTTTAGCAGCAGGACTCTCATGGGGTTAGTTAAAATATCTTGTGGTAGGATACTTTCAGGATTCTTTTTTTTTTTTTTTTTTGTCCTCCTACTCTGACTCACTGAGAACCTGTTCTAAGCTTTATTAAAAGAAACAGCAAATGTGTCAGTTAAAATAGTTTTAAAATTATAGGCATTACAAGAAAGTAAGAATTGTGAAAAGAATCAAAGCTATTAGTAACAACAGTAGAGAGGTAAATTGGTTTTAGCTAATTTAAAGCAATATAGCTAGGAAAAGTAGAAAGAGGGATTAGGCTATAAAAAGTAATTGAGAGAACGAAATTCCAAAACAACTGACATCACAGGTATGTTGATGAGGCCAATGTAACTCTGCAAGTCAACAGGTAACAGATTGCTATGTTTATAGCATCATACATCATGGTTCCATCAATCCCCAACAGCACAGAAGGCCTCATAGTTGTCAGTATGTTTTGACTGGAGATTTTATGTGACGATCTTTGAAAAATACATATCCTCCTTTTTACTTCGCATTTCAATAATCTTTGTTGAATATCTGTTGTTAGTTTAGCCCACCCCCTTTGCTGTCCCTGTGTCAGACATTCCAGATAAGCATACTAACTATGGAGAAGGACTCACACAGGGAGGTTAAGAAACTATTCCCTTCTCTGAATTCTTAGAGGATTCCAGGGCCCTTTGCAAGTACATTAATACTTATGCTCATCCATTGAAGGTGAAATAAAATATTGCACTGCTTTTAAAGCAATGTTTAAAATAAAAAATCAGTGAACTATAATAATGTTTATACAAAGCCTTAACATGTTATTGAACCTTATGATCACTCCCTCAGAAAAAGTCTATAGAATGAATTAAAATGAATTAAATCTAAATATTTTATTTTGTTTTATTTTATTTATTTATTTTTTTGAGACGGAGTCTTGCTCTGTTGCCCAGGCTGGAGTGCAGTGGTGCGATCTCGGCTCACTGCAAGCTTCGCGTCCCGGGTTCACGCCATTCTCCAGCCTCAGCCTCCCGAGTAGCTGGGACTACAGGTACCCGCTACCATGCCTGGCTAAATTTTTTTTTTTTTATTTTTTTGTATTTTTAGTAGAGACAGGGTTTCACCGTGTTAGGCAGGATGGTCTTGATCTCCTGACCTCATGATCCACACTAATTTTAATGTATATTCAATTCCTATAACTTGGAGGATGAGGTCACATGAACTACCTTTCCACTGACAATTAAAAATGCTGAATTAAATGTACAAAACATTTTTACAAATACTTTTGACGAGCTGGAATGAATGTAAGAAATATTCAGAGGCCGAAAAGTGAAATGAAATCAGGAACACAGAGAAAAGCTGAACATTGAACCTGGCTGTCTCCTGAAGAGAATTTGCCAAACCTAGTGAACTTGGACTTCAATTCTCATGGTTTCATAAGGATCAGAGAATGGGAGAAAAATTTTAGGATCTGGACAAATTGAAGAGTCTACCTGGAGACCAGAGCACCAAAGGAATAAATCCTGATGGCAAACTGAACCAGAAAAAAGCAGCCTACCCTACTGCTAGAAGGTAGTAAGGACAATTTCCTCTATTGAACCTTCTTGCCCCTAAGAATTAATAACCATAAACTAGCCCTCACCTAGATGCGCACAGTAAAACTGAACTACCTGAATGATGTAAAAACTTAAAGGCAACAATAAAGTAGCTTAAGGCTGGTAGAGTCATGGCATCTAACAGGAGCAAATACAAAAACTTTCTAAAGCAGTCCACCCAGGCCTCAGATAATTTCCTTAGATAAAGTTCCAAGAAACAAGATCTCCCCAGACCTTTGTGTCTAAATACTGTTTGCCAATAAAAGAAACCAGGGCTCTTTGAAAAAATGTTTCTTCCTGGGACTGGGGCAGAGAATACAAAAGATGAGCTTGGAATACCCTGTAGTGCCAGAAAGTAAAGAAGTGCTAAAAAAGAGAAAAAGAAAGAAATCGGGAGTATGTTGAAAGAGAGGAGCCAACTTGAATAGTAACAAAAAATGAGCCAAATTTGCGCATCCAAACAAATAATGAAAATGGTTTAAAACCTATGGAATAAAATAAATATCCATGAGTATACAATGCTATAAATAAATAAATAGGAAAGTAAGCCTACCTCTTATTTTCAATGGGATTCTAATTAATAAATGTAGAAGGAATGATGAAAATGGAAGATCACCACTAGACAAACACAACAAAGCATCCAACAAATTCAGATTGAAGGACATGCTAAAAAATCAGTCCTCTTCAAAAAGATCAGTACTTCAAAGATCAGTACTCTTCAAAAGCATCAAAATTATGAAAGAGAAAGACTGAGGAACCTCTGTCAATGGAGAGAGAATAAAATGACATGACAATGAATGCAGCTTGGGGTCCTGAATTCGATTCTAGATCAGAAAAAAGAAAGACATTAGTGGGAAAATTGGCAAAATTTAAATAAGGCTTATAGATTATTTAATAGTATTGGTGCAGTGTTAATTTTCTGCGTTAGGTAATTGCCCTATAGATATGCAAGATGTTAACTTTAGGGGAAAATACATGAAAATTTTACATAAACTCTCCATACTATTTTGTGCAACTTTTCTCTAAGCATAAAATTACTTAAAAATAAGAAGTAAAAGAAAAGAGAGGAAGATGATTTCTCAATTAAAAATAAAATCACAATGAAATAAGGATTTTTGAGTTAGGGCCAAAAGAAAAAACAGATAGGAGAATAAGAATTGCAAAGATTTTAGAGCAGAATTATAATAATAACTACAGATTCATAATCCCCTATCTGTCATTCCAAAATCTTCAACACTTTGAGAAACCAATATTTTTTTCTAGACTTGTCACAAATTGATTTGGCAGCAAAACCCGGCCTTAACTGATGTTAGGCTATTTTCTTAGTAGTCTTTACTTATGTCACTTAATGAGACATTTATGTATTCTGGAATAGAATAAATGTCTCATTAAGTGGCATAAGTAAAGAAATATATACATTCAAAGCCTGGAAGGAAACTGAAAGTAAATAAACATCTTTCCACTATCTAACCCCACTCTTGAATTCCTACTGGTGAGTAACCATGACCAAATCCAACCAGAAACCAGACATCTAAGAAGCTAGGTGATATAGTCTATCTTCCTGGAGCTACAGCAAGGACAAGAAAAGGTGATGAATTAGATGGAGAGCCAAATAGAGATCTAACCACCAGAGCTGTATAATTAATCAATGTGTTAAGTATAATTAAAACACTTTAAATATGACTAAGCAGGTTGGGCCCAGTGGCTCATACCTGTAATCTTAGTATTTTGGGAGGCTGAGGTGGGAGGATTGCTTGAGCTGAGGAGTTTGAGACCACCTGGGCAACATAGGTGGTCTCTACAAAAAATTTCTGTAAAAATTATCCAGCCATGGTGGTACATACCTGTGGTCAGAGCTACTCGCGAGGCTGAGGTGGGCCCAGCCTCGCTTGGGCCCAGGAGGTTTAGGCTGCAGTGATCTATGATCACACCACTGCACTCCAGCCTGTGTGACAGAATGAGACTCTGTGTCAACAACAACAACAACAAAATGCCTAGACATAGCTTTTAAAGAAAAAAAGTAGAAAATTTAGAAATAAAAATACAAATTATATAACTAAAATTAAGAACTCCTGTTATGTATTAAATGGAAGATGGATATAGCCAAAGAGAGGATTCTTGAACTAGTAGAGCTGGAGGAAATATCAGACAGGGAGTTTAGAGAATCAGAGGTGAAAAATATAATAGGGAGATAAAAGATATGAGATCAGGATGGGAAGATTCAACATACATCCAATCAGAATTTATAACGAATCCACAAATTTAAGAAAACTGATGAATTCCCAACAAGGTAAATTAAAAGACAAATATTGTCAACCTCAAAATTTAAAAAATCCATCTGTATGCTGTGTGTAGGAGACATTTCTAAACCAGGGATATAGACAGGAAAGAAAAACAACAAAAGAAGATATAACAGACAAATACTAATGAAAATAAAATTAATGAAACTATGTTATTATTTGTAATAAGACTTGAAATTAAAAAGCATTGCAAGAGATGAAGTCAGTGCATAATGATGAAGCTTTCAACGTACAAATTGAAGAATTTTTAACAATCTCACCCTTCATGCACTGAATATCACCTTAAAATAGAACAGACTTTTTTTTCAGAATAAGGAAAATATACAAATTCACTATCATATTGCAAGATATCAACATAACTTTTTCATTAAATGACTAAACAACAGACAAAATAATAAAGAACCAGAAGAATTGGATAACATTATTATAAACTTGAACTATTAGAAATATATTTAAAAAACTGTACCCAACCACCGTAGAATTTATATATTTTCAAGCATATATGAATCATTTTTTTAAGTTGAGCATAATAGGCCACACGCCAAATTCCAGTTGCAAATACTGATATATGTATGTAATATATAATTGGACAATATAGGCTGCATAATATTTAATATAATATACAATACTACTGTAATATATATTTTATTGTGTGACTAAGTTAAAAATAGTAAAAAATGACTAGAAAATTTCAAATTCATTAATTGAGACAAATATTTCTAAATAAAAACTAGGGCGGAAAGAAAGTATAAATTGTCATGGAAATTAGAAAATATTTGGAGCTAAATAATATTTTAAATTTAATAAGTAATATTAAGAACATAAATAAAAACATCTGTGCACAGCTAAAGCAGTGCTTGGGGATAGATGCATAGCCTGGTTTTTATTAGAAAAGGATGAGGGCTGAAAATTAAGCATTCAAATAAAGAAGTTTGAAATATTTTTAAAAAATTGAAAGTAGTAAAAGGAAAAAATTAATATATAGGAGCAAATATTAGTAATATAGAAAAACACAATTTTTTTCATAGTAAAATTAACAAAACTCTGGGAAGACCAATCAAAGAAAACAACAAGAAAGTGCAAACACACACACAGGCACATACATACACATTGTCAAAATTAAAAATGGAAAATAATTACCACAGATATGAAACAGATAATAGAATACCACAAACAGATTATGGCAGTAAATTTGAAAACTTGGATAAAAGGGTCAAATTCCTAGGAAAATATAATTTATCAAATTATATCAATTGGAAACAGCACAAACTATCACTAACCATAAAATAAGTGAATCTGGAAATTCTTTATATAGGATTTCTTTCCCACAAAATGTTCTGATAAATTTTAAGAGCTAAGAATATGTTCTGGCAGAGATGATATACAAAATAGAAGTATAAAAATTTTACATCAAAAATATATATAAACCGCTTTTAAAAGTGAAAAACTGACACAACCTAAAAGCTCAAAATTAAGCACGTAAGAAATTTTAGATTGTTTTCCAGAATAGAATATTAAGTAGCATTTTAAATATTTCTAACCTTTTTTCCTTTTTATTTTGCAATTTCTGGTAACCCCAAAATTCTGACAAAGTTTTATTATCTGTTAAATGCTTGACATTAGCTCTTATTTGGGAAATTTAGAATGTTCATTCTTGAAGTGCAGCAGTCAGGACAGACAGAATGCAGGCTGGAGTCTGATTAAAGGTGATAAGAGACAGCAACATATGAGCAACATCTTAGAGTAGACAGAGCATTATGGTGACAAGTGAAAACAAGGATGGATATGGGAACATATGAGCATTCTTCTAGGACCCCAGAAATACTTCAGGAATGCAGCCTGCTAAAAGACTTCCTACTAATTGAATAATGTGGGATTCTGGGACATTATTATTTGAATATTAATGTTAGTGAGAACCTGGAAACATCTCTTCTAAATATGAAAAGATGTTTGCTAAACTAAAGAGCATCTGCACAGCAAAATAAACTCTCAACAGAGTAAACAGACAACCTACAGAATAGGAGAAAATTTTTGCAAAGTATACATCTGACAAAGGTCTAATATACATCATCTATAAGGAACTTAACCAAATTTACAGAATAAAAATAAGCAACCCCATTAAAAAGTGGGCAAAGGCATGAACAGACACTTCTCAAAAGAAGACATACATGCGGCCAACAAACATGAAAAAAAGCTCAACATCACTGATCATTAGAGAAATGCAAATCAAAACCACAATGAGATACCATCTCATACCAGTCAGAATGGCTACTATTAAAAAGTCAAAAAATAACATGCTGGTGAGGTTGTGGCAAAAAATACTTATACACTTTGGTGGGAGTATAAATTAGTTCAACCATTGTAGAAGACAATGTGGTGATTCCTCAAAGACCTAAAGACAGAAATACCATTTGATCCAGCAATCCTATTAGTGGGTATGTGCCCAAAGGAATATAAATCATTCTATCATAAAGACACATGCATGGGTATGTTCACCACAGCACTATTCATAATAGCAAAGACATAGAATCAACTAAATGCCCATCAATGGTGGATTGGATAAAGAAAATGTGGTTCATATATACCATGGAATACTATGCAGCCACAAAAAGAAAAAGATCACGTCCTATGCAGGAACATGGATGGAGCTGGAGGCCATTATCTTTAGCATACTAACTCAGGAGGAGAAAACCAAATATCTGATGTTCTCACTTATAAGTGAGCACTAAATGACTAGAATATATCAATACATAGAGAGGAACAACACACATTGGGGCTTATTGGAGGGTGGAGGGTGGGAGAAGGGAGAGGATCAGGAAAAATAACTAATTGGTACGAGGCTTAATAGCTGGGTAATGAAATAATGTGTATAACGAACCCCTATGACAAACGTTTACATATGTAACAAGCCTGTAAGTATATCCCTGAACTTAAAAGTATATATATGTGTGCACGTGTGTGCAATATGTGTGTGTGTGCATATATATATACATATATACACATATATATGTATGTGTATATATATATGAAGGCCTTTGGGGTCAGCAGATTCTATTGAATCTGACAACAGTTAAGCAAAGCTTAATTTGTATTAATCTGGTACTAATAATGGTTATATATGTTTCTACATTGATCTGTTACTATCATAATCATATCATGTGTTTAAAGCTTTTATCTACAAAAGAATTTATTGGAATGAGGTACATCAATATGTAAACAATAGTTGTGTTTGTGGGTTTACATTTATATTTTTTCCTTCCTCCAAATTTTCTCTATTTTTCTATTGTTTTATTTTAAAATGAGCATATAGAGAAATACTAACTGGAAAAAGTACAAAATTATTTGATTGCCCAGAGTGGGCAAACAAGACAAGGAAAATACCTTTACAAAACAGTGCCTAACCAGGCACCCTTCCCAAAAGCATATGCCCTATATGACACAGCCTTTTACCTTTGACCCAAAGAAATAAACAAAAATCCATTTTGTGCTGAACCAGTTCTACTTCTTAGTCTTAAGCATGATTCTTGCTGTTGGCTGTTTGCCTCTTGTAATGCATTTTCTGAAATAGCCACAAAAATATGTAGCACAAACATTAGTTCTCTGAACCCATCATTCATAAGATAACCATAATGAATTGCTCTGTAACAGACTCTCAAAAAACATTAAATTTTCATTCTGAAGTGAAATAGAAGCCTGCATTACATCAGCCTGGCATTTTCTGACTTGCCTGCTGTTGGTTGACAATAACTCTTTTACCCTGCACTCTGCATTTGGGACTGAATGCAAACCACAGAGAACTACAGAAAGCCTAAGCTGCATTTCTTGTGGAGGCAAAAGAAAAACTTGGCGCTTTTGGCAATCAATAGAACCAAGGGATGTCATATTCTCACCACTCCCATATCATTACCAAGCAACACTACTCTTTGCCTTTAGTGCATTGGCTAGAATTGTAAGAATGGCAAAACTGACACAGCTCCGTGTTTCCCACAGAAGTGTCTGGCAAAGTTAAGATATTGGTTATTGTTGTCTATTCAGGCCACCAAACCTTTGGTTTTTCAAGCTAATGTTTTTCAGTAGAGAAGAACTGGTCTACATGACAAGTAATAAAAAATAGCAGCTACTGAAATACTGACCTTAAAATACCCCAAGTAATAGCATCTCTCTTGCTCCAGCTCTATCTGTAGGTATCTGTTAAGGATACTAACAACTATGTTCAATTTCTCCAAGGGAAAAACGCTGAAGGATATATATGACCTTGAATCATTACCTAGTTTTATACAAATATGTTACTTTATTGCCATCAGGAGAATAGTTCCATAAATTTCTTTATCATTGAACTTCCCGTAAATATTCAACAGGTATTATTTTAAAATAACAATTAACTTAAACCATAAACAACCTTTAAAAAACACAAAACTATGTTTAATGCTGAAACTGGTAGAAAAAAAAGAATCCTTAAATTTGAAATATACAATGTTTAGATATTTTTAAATCAAGTTTTTAATTGAGAACGTTAGTAACTACATAAGAATATATAAATAGCTCTATATTAAAATGGATGTTTCTAAATGAAAATAAACTATGAAAATATAGTTCTTCACTTAGCAACATCTTTTCCACTGATAGTGTAAAAATAATTCTTTTCTATCTAAGCTACAATTATTTTCTATCTAATTTTCAAGTTTGCAATAGTTTGCAGTGTAGGGTCTTTCACATTCTGTGACCCTACACTCACAAACAATGAATCACTTCCATGTGGTCTTATTTAAATAAAGGGCTGTTGCAATCAGACTTGATCACCAAAAATTAGGCAAATAATAATTGTAATTCTCCAGCTATTTGTCTCCACGATGACTTCAGTTTCAGTGACTACATACTTCACTCCTTGAATTTAGGAGCTGTAACTTGGTTAATACTAAAATAATGGTTGTAAAATTAACACTTTTCTTTCTAATCCTTCCCATTCTCATCTTCCTCATTGTTTTAACAGGGGTGAAAAAACATTTTATTTCTGAGTACTTCATTGACTGAAAGTACCTAAAGTGCAAAAGTTCTAAGTGCTTCATGTCTGCTTTTGAGCAGAAACATTTTCAGTACAGACTGTTTCATACCCCCAGCTTAATACGTAACAGATTGCCTGGTAGTACAATCATCCTTCTGCTTGCAGAAAACCAAAGGGCTCAGATGACATGAATGACACTGTAAATCTACACAGCTATTCATTTTGTACCGACTTTCAATGTTCTCAACCTCATCAGAGAGCCTGATAATCCTCAAATAATTTTGTTGGCTTCTTGCACTGTTGCCTGGTAATGAAAACACAGCCCTCCTCCGTTCCAGCCATTGGCCTTCACATCGCCCTCTGGAAACACACACACACAACACACACACACACACACACACACACACACACACACACCCTCCAGATATGTTAATATGACTCAGTGTTCATTTGGGGGCTCTAATTATTAATAGCTTTTTTGGATCAAATCAGATAATTTCTTTAGTTGCTTTCCTTTTGGGCCTAACAACCTAACTGAACAAATCACATATTTGCTCCAAGTCTTTTCTGGTATGAAAATAAGACATTATGGGAAAAGTTGAATTTTTAATATGATTAATCTATAGCTAACTCAGCTTGCTGTCTTATGCAATACCATGAGAAACAGCTGGGTCTCACTAACCAGAAAGCACTTTTATGGTTTCTCTTAAGGGCCATTAAATCAATGTGATGAGAGCACAGCTGGACTGAATCCTGAAAAATTTATCAGATCCCACACAATTCATAAAGGAAGCATGTGGTACTGTTGCAGACTCGGCACTGGCCTCGTTGCTTAGACTGCAGGTGAAGTTTACCAGAAAAAGCAAACTCCCTTGTTGAGTCCTTGAAAATCTGATGTTTGTCTATACCTCTTCCCTCTGTGTGGGTATCTTCTTAAAATACCAGTTACTCATGCAACCATTAAAAATAGTTTTCTGGCTGGATTTATTGGCATGACAAGGACATACAAGGACCTGTTTGGCTGTCCCAACATAACTTTCAACACCAAAAGTCATGTTTTGTGCTTAATAAATTTTAGCACATTTGGGGGGGACCCCAAACTGCAGCCCTTTGAATACTTAGGAAGCATAGTGACTGAATAAAGGCTTCCAGTTAAGGGCCAATGCCCAAGTAACAAGTTCTACCTTGTTTAACCAAAGCAAGAATAGTACAACTGCCAAAAATACATATTTTTTTCTTTTATTGTTTTAACTTAATTTCCTCAGTACTCTATGAACAATAAATGTGATACAAAAATCATTATTACTTAAAGGGTAAAGAAAGATTTTGTAATGAATCAACAAGCACATATAAGGTAAAACAATGATAGAACTTAAAAATAGAAACTAAACTCCCAAATCTGTTGGCAATTAGGCATAATTGCCTAGAATTCTAACCCCATGGTCTCTGCTCTCTTAATCACTATGTCATACTAAGAAAGATAGAGATAGCATAAATTTAAATCTAAGCTGTGAAGTCAGACTGCCAACTTTGTAACTCTAAGTAACTTATTTAATTTTTGGAAACTAGTTTCATCTGTAAAAGGGGAATAATAAGAGCGTTTCCCTCCATGGGCACTGAAAAAAAAAAAGGAAAAAAAAATCCGTGTGACATATTTAGCTCAGGAATTGGCATGTATATAGTTAATGCATGTTATGTCATTTCCTTCTCCTTCTCTCCTTCTCTACTTCCCTTTCACCTCTTTTCTTCTTTCTACCTTTCCTTCTCCTCTTTCTCTATGGTCATCATCATTGTCATCATGTTTACTATAGCATAATCACCTTCATGAGATTATGAACTTCTTGACTGTGGAGAAATTATCTTTTTTATTTCTACATCTTTCATAACACACTTAACGGTTCATGAATGAAAATGTTACTTAATCAAGCCCTGGGTGATAAATCACTTGTGCTCTGCTGGATGAAAAAAAATCCCTAAAATCAACATCAAATCTCATCCCTTTCATATGGCTGGAGAATTTTCCACACATCAGAATTGACAAGTTCCTTTTAAAATCCACACATCGCAAAATATAAATTTTCATACTATAATGGATAGTGATTACCACATATCATGAATGTCCATAAAAATATATTTTTATCAAAAGATAAGATAGGAAATGCTATATTATGGTGTAATTAAATAAGCTATTGTTATGTAACATAGCCACACTGATGATGGTCACACACGTCTCTAAGGAATCTGCTCTCAGGAAATTTATAGTTGAAACAGAGGTATCATATGAGATAAAAGAAGAAATAGCTAAAAATCAACCAGCAAAAAAAAAAAAAAAAAAAAAATTCAGATAAATAAGCTTAGTAAGATTATCTTCCAGAAAAGGCTAATGATATTTTGCCTATTATGGGCAGTTTAGGAACATAGGTTTTTATTTTTCTTTTCCTTTCTTATATTAAGATAAAAAGTACACTCCTACTTCCTTTCCTCTCATAGTTATTTTAAGCTTAGCCAGCTATAATAAGGGCACCCTCAAGCAATAACAATCAACAAACTTAAATTTCAGAGGTTTACATTTTTTGTTCATGTTGAATTTTTTCATCACATTTCAGAAAGCACAAGTTAAAAGTACTTACATTGAACTTTTCATGCCTTTTTAAAAAACACTCTCTCCTATCCCCAACACTAAAATATATCATATGACAGCTAGAAAACTACGGGTAAGATATACGTCTTGTGATTTTATTGCCTCTAACAAATGAAGGTCCAGCAATCAAATGTTCTTGCATATAACATGAAGATTCCTCTTATTTATAGTATAATTTTGAATCATACAAACCTTAGTTTTAACCATCTGGGTACTAACCATTCATGTATAATTTATGTTTACAACATAGTTTACCCTGTTTAAGTTTGGCACAAAATGAATGATATAACCAAGGCCTGTTTTCAATTCCAATTTAGTTAGTGTCTCAGGGTACTCTGATTTTGGATCTTCCTATGATTCCCTCATTTTATATTTCAGTGTTTCATGTGAATTCTATATTCTCTTGCTATCATAGCTCAATAGCCAGAGAATAGTGGAAGAAAATAAAGGGGTAATTGAATTATACTACAGGAATTAAAATAACTAAATAAAAATTTAGCTGAATTTTCACAAATTCACCACTCTACAGGAAAAAAAAATATCTTTCAATACTTTGATGTATTGAAATATTGCAAATAATCAGTATCATCATATTATAAATAATCAGTATCATGTTGTTTTTCAGTTGAGGTTAATCAACCAAGGCCTCTGTCAAACCCAAGACTGGACAATTGTATAGTTTGGCTATTATAACTAAGATTCATGTTGTTCATTACAACATTATTAAAAAGTAGTGGATGGTGCTATCCATCTCCTCCCGTGGGCCTGAGGAAGCCTGGGCAATATGCTCCTCTCAGTTAGTTAAGGGATGTGATCTAGAGAAAGAAAAAAGAAATTATCATGTATCTGGATCAGCAGCAGCAGCTGACACAGCCAAAGGTTCTCACTCCACTTCACTTCTGACACCATTATGTACAAGCTGGAGAACTTTTGAGACCAGTGGGCAGGAAAATGTAAGGCAATGGTGAATCTCCAAATGGGTTCTATATGAAACTGCATAAGCTGCCAGACCCCTTGTCTAAGCCAGGAAGGCCTCACTCTATTTCTTGTAAGCTGTTTCAGGCTCCATAGCATGTCTTAACTCATTCCTCACCACTTCTCCAAAGCTTGGAGTTGTTTCTCCTGGGATACTCATGCTCCTCTCTACTGGGATGGTCTCCAACAGGGCAGCTGTTTCAACTGCTCAGTATCTTCATCAATCTTTATTTGATATTCCTAATTGAGTACCTCTGCCAACAAGCTGGAAGATGGTCTTCTGATCTGTAATACCACCCACTGGCTTTAGAGGGCCTGCTTCCAGGCAGAAGACCATCTTCAGAGCGTTGGCTGTATTCAGTCTCCATTTTCATCCTCAATCTCGTGCCCCTCGACAGAGAACAAGCTCCACAAATGGAGAGCTTGCAGAGGCCCTGTTGCCCAGATATCATTGTAATCTTATCTCTTGGAAAACAATGCCACAGGACTTCAGATAGGCCATGCCTTTTCAGATGAATGTTACAGTCCCTGTCAGTCCACCAAACAGCAAAATACAATGAATTTATCCTTGGCAATTAACCAGAGAATCAGTATTCTCATGGAACAACCATCCCCAATTGCTCCCAACATATAAAATAGATGTAGCTGCAACAAACAGCAGATGATGTCTGTAATCAGAAAATAAAGGCTATAAATGAAGGCTGTATTTTCCTACATGGAAAATAAAGGGAAGAGAGCTGTAAATGAAGCACCAAAAATTGCCTCTGTAGACATTTTGTAATATTCATCTAAGCAGAGCAAATTCTCCAAATGTAAAAAAATTCGATTTTTGGGGGATCAAGCCACCAACAATAGTACAAGATGGTGGCACTAAAATTTCATATCCTATCCCGGAGGAGCTTAGGAGCTGAGAAGAATAATTACCAAACTCTTACTCCCTTCTTAACAGTGGAAATCATTCTTCTGGGGATGAGAGTTTAGGGGACCAAGAATGAACAGTTACCATGTCTCTAGAATCTTCTGTAACTTTCTGAATGGTGTTGCTGAAATAGATATGAGTAAGAATATCAAACAAAATATCTTACCTCATGGAAGATCAGCTTCCTAAACTATCCTAAATCTAATCCTGGGGCAAATATGGATATTAGAAAAGTGGGAGGAGACAATATTAACATAGAAGGGGAAAATTGATGTTGATTCTGTAAAAATGGTGTCTTCTGCCACCTGTGCTAGGTAAAGAAAGCTTTATTTACCATCTTCAAGGGGACTGCATTCTAAATCTGTGAGGAATCTCAGGAATTAAGGTATCAGGGCCTGAATTCTTTTTAAAATTTGATTGTTGACATCTGCCTGATGGTTAGGGGAGGCAAAGTTGCTTTTATTCAATATTTTACTCTCTTTTTGACATTGTTATTATTGCTGCTGCTGCTAATATATTGTTTACCTCTATCACAGTTGCTGTAAAAAATAAAATAACCTTTCTATTTTGATATTATAATCACTGTTCCTTGGGAAAAGAGCACATTTGGATAGTGGCTGTCATTCACTTTGCCCATTTGTGTCCATATAACACTTTAACTAAATGATCAGATTTGTAACATTTTAAATGTAATTAAGGTAGAATATAAACTGAATGTTTGCATCCAGGTTGCTTGAGCTTGATTAATACTTTTGATATCCATACCATTTTGAATTTGGAAGGAAACTTAGAGGTCACATATATTTTGAAACATATTTGTTCTTATAATTTAACTGGAATAATGCTCTAAATTCTCTCAAAACCTATTGGCACCATTCCAGTACAGTCATCATTAATGCTCACATGGACTGTTCTCTCTTGCCACCCCTCAACTGAGTTTCTCTCTCCTCTCAGATGCTTTCCACTGTCATTCCCTTTCCTGTATCTATTGCTCATCCTTCATGGTTCGACTAAAACGTCCCTTCCTTTCAAAGTTTTCTGACCTCTCCTCCCACCCTTTGACTCTATAGCACTTTTCCCCTACTGTAGCTTCTCATTTAGTAGTGTGCTGGAGACAGCTGATGCTGGCTTACCAAAGCCAACTGTGGGCATTTATTTTCAATGCCATATTCCGTAGCCACACATTGGTAGCTTGAAATTGGCCAATGTGAAAGTATTTAAATCACATACGTTAGAAAATTTTACAAATCTGGGCTCTTATTATTCATTCATTTATTCATCCATTTTTGAAAGCCTATTAAACTTCTAGCAGCACACCATTGGTCATTGCTCTTATTACATGTCCACAATAGAGTTTATAATTTTTTGTTATATATTTTATTGTGCTATTTTTGTTTTCTCTTCTTTGCTGCCTTCTCTTAGATGGTGAATTCTATAACTTCAAGAACCATATCACTGCTGCTGATTCCCAATCCAGTGCCTAGAACACAGTAGATAATCAGCATGTTTTAAAGAAGACAATAAGTTGCTGATATAAATAAAATACTCATTTCTAAAGTATTTACTTCAAAATTAATATGTGATTATTGCAGAAAATTTGAAAATTGCACATATGCTCAATAAAGAAAGTAAATATCATACAGAGCTTACCATAAAAATGCACTGTTTCAATTTTGTTGAACATCATTTAAGTCTTCTTCCTAATTACAAATATATACAATAGGTATATGTGTGTGTTTTGTAGTTTTCACACAAAATATTATGTTTTCAAACAAATTATGAATGATTTTACCTTAGTATCTTTCTATGTCTATTTTATAGTTATATATCTAAATGCTTAGATATTTAATATTTTTTGAATATGCCATGATTTTTTAAAGCAATACTCTGTTTAGAGGGTAATTTAAGATTTTGAAAATAATTTAAAAACCTGTAATTAATGTTTATATCTATATTTCTTTTTATATATTTTCTAATCATTTCTATAATTTAGAATCCTATAATTACTGATTCAATCTATATTTATACATGTGAATATCCAAATTATCTTTTATTAACTGAAATTCATGACCTTGACTGCATATAAGGACTTGTTTCCCCAAACCTTCCCAGTTAGCAGATAGTATTATCTGCATGTCTCCCAAAGAGATGAACAAAAAAATGAATGTAGCTTTAGTTCACATTTGTTTAATTTTAAGTAAGATTGAGTACATTTTCCATGAGCTGATTATTTATATCCCTAACCACCAAATAATAGAAACTCTAGAAGATAAATAATTACATGATTTGAAGAATATACACTTTCTCTTCCCCAGCAAGCTTGCTAAAGTTTTTGGATACTCTGTAGAGTTTAAGGTCAGTCCTAAAGATACAGTCTTTCAAATTTGATGAGAAAAGCAAAAGCTCATAAGTGAAATGAGGGTGATAACCTGATTCCTGGTGACTAAGTAGAGAATGTGGAGAGAATTCCATCATCTGAGAGGATCCAATGGAAACTTCAAGACTTTAGAACAACTGCCATCCCTGGGAGCTATCCAGGGTACTGGATCGAAGGTTTGTCTGACCCAAGGAACCAGAGCCCTGAATCTCTATGAATGTAACCTCTGTTATAATTCTGCCCTGTCTTCCCAAATTCCAAATACCACTCCAAAACTATAACTACTTTGTTCACAACTAAATTATAAAACCAATCAACTGATTTTCTCGATGTTTGAGGAGTTTTTTCGTAGTCTTTTGGTTTACTTGCCTACCACTCATTCCTGTAACCTATCATTTATGCCCCAGATAAGCAGCCTGATTCCCTAGCTAAGTACCTAAAACAAATGCTTTAGTAGTAGCTGTCATTTTCAATGAAAAACAACACTTATGCATTGTTAATCTCTATTTATCATGAAAATTTTCACGTCCATGCAAGTTGGCTTCAACTTATTTTCATATTACCTTAAATTTTCCTTCTCTGGAACTTTTACCTAATATTTATTGCATTATATTAACATCCTCAAATTCTCCTTCTCAAACATTAGCCTTCTTCTCAAAGATGGATGGAGGAAGGAGAGTACCAATTGCAGTAAATCCACAGGTTAAAGTATGTATGTGAGTGTTGCAGATATTAAGTGGCTCAGGAGACTTATGGACCTGTAGAAACCTAGGCCTTTCACTTAATTGTGCCAGTGAATTGATCCCAAAAGACAGCTGAAGCTGTTGCTTTATGTAACAAGTTTCTTTGAACTAATTGTTGCATGCCTTTCTAGGCCAGGCACTCTCTAAGAGTAGAGAAAAATAAGGGCGATATCCCTTCTCCACTCTTTTCCATGAAGACCACAGCAGCTATATTTTTACTTCTCGTAAATGGCTGAGAGGACAGAATTCACTATTCTGTCACTTTAGAAATCCCCCACATGCATAGCCAGCAACCCATGTGAAGGCAAAGCCCATCAACTCAAATGCCTCGCCAACACATATGAAGCCCACAATAACCTTCTTAAACATCATTCTTTGATAAATGAAGAAACAAATATATGATCATACATTTAGAAAAAAACCACCAATTTATAAGAAAATTCAGACTAAACAAGAGTAAAAGATGACCTGGGAAGATCAAAACTTTCTAATTAGGCTAATATTGCATCCATAGAAAGGAAAGATATACAAAAGAGGATATTAAAAAGATATTAAGAATGAACTTTTAAAAATTCAGAGCAATTACAACAATAAAAATTTCCATAGGTGTGTTGCAAAATAACATTAAGGAAATTTTGCAGAAGATAGAATAAAAAATGCAAAGAGGTCAAACTTAGGGCCATAAAAGATTCATATAAGAGACCTAACATAGGAAGTCCTATATCCAAACAATAAAGTTTCAAAAAGAGATACAAGAGAAAATAGAGGTTGCATTATTTCAAAGAAGTCATGGGAAACTTTCCGAGGCCCAAAGGATACAAACTGCAGAATAGGAAGTCCATCAAGTGAAAAGATTCTAAAAGCTTGCAGGAATGGTTATGAAGGACCAAAAAAAAAATCAATCAATTATTATGTTATTGTAAAGACATTTTGGGACAAGAAAGAAATCAGAAAATTTAACAAAATTTATTAAGAAGATGCTAGAATACACATATCACCAAAATAAGAGGGTTAACCTAAAAGAGAAAGATACAAGATTTAGGGAACAGTGGATTCCGCCTAGAAAAGTGACCGAAAGATGTCTCAGGAAGACAACTGTATATCAGTTCTTGGCAGTAACCAACCTAGATTGAAGCAGGATACTCAACAGATTGTATAATAAAGGTTTAAAATTAAAATATTGATGAGTCTAAGTCAAAGGCATGTATATTTTAAAACTATATATATATATGTATATATATATTCCCATAGTTGTGTTAATTTACAGTTGGAATTATGGTGTGGGTGAGTTCTAACTTGTCACTCCCATGCCTATATTACACATATTTTTATTTTAAAATATGCATTTAAAAGCCTGAAATTTTAACAATAACTCTAACTAAAACTATATTAAAACAAAAAAGAAAGTACAAGAAAACATTTAAAAATCAAGATAATAAAGTATAGTTAAATTGGCTATGAGGAGATAATTCCTTATGAACAGATAATTCTTTGCTGTGGGGACTGTCTTGTGCATTATAAGATGATTAGCAGTTGCCTTGACATCTGCACACTAGATGCCAGTAGCACCCTCCCACAGTTGTGGCAACCAAAAATATTGCCAGACATCGCCAAAGTACTCTGGTAGGCAAAATCATCTTTGGCTAACAACCACCTTATCCTCATCATTTCTCTACCTAATAAAAATGTTACGGCCGGGCGCGGTGGCTCACGCCTGTAATCCCAGCACTTTGGGAGGCCGAGGCGGGCGGATCACGAGGTCAGGAGATCGAGACCATCCCGGGTAAAACGGTGAAACCCCGTCTCTACTAAAAATACAAAAAATTAGCCGGGCATAGTGGCGGGCGCCTGTAGTCCCAGCTACTTGGGAGGCTGAGGCAGGAGAATGGCGTGAACCTGGGAGGCGGAGCTTGCAGTGAGCCGAGATCCCGCCACTGCACTCCAGCCTGGGCGACAGAGCGAGACTCCGTCTCAAAAAAAAAAAAAAAAAAAAAAAAAAAAAAAAAAAAAAAAAAAAAAGTTACAATCTATTTCATATTCATTTAAAGAATTTAGTAAGGTTATACATATATTTGACCATTTTAAAAAGCTTTAATATTTTTAGCCATAATGTAAACTCCTATGAATCCAAACTCACTTTACATTCAACTTTTTCAAATTAATGACCTTGCTATGTTAGTGGAAGCTAACATTCAATGCAGACAGGCAATGATGTGGGTATTACTCTACCAAAGAATATTTTCCATTTACCCTAACTTGCTCTTAGTTAAGACACTTGGATAAAATTATTTTTATATGTTTATGTACTATAAAATATTTAGTTATTAATTTTATTTTCATATAAAACTGTTAAGTCAAAAAAAGAATTCACAATAAAGGGCTCCGGTGCTAGCTTTTGATCTTTTTTTTTTAACTTCACAAGTAGTATGTGATGCTTCCAATAAGAAGGGGGTTTGTGTGTGCCTGTGTGTGTATGTGTGTGTGTGTGTACACACATATTTCCTATCTCCCTATACCAAACTCCTTCTCTTGGTAGAAAATCACTGTTAATAGTTTGGTATAAACTTTTCCAAAGATTTTTCTGTGTACGAAGACATAGATATCTTCATAGCTCCATATAGGAGAATTATAAAAAAAGTTGAAATTGTTTTTATTCTTTCCTTGTACATAGATTACTTTAGTCAGACAAATATATAGTTTCCAAAAATAAATCTATTCCTATCTTAGTACTCTAAATTTTTCTTTATAGGGAAAGAAGACTGGAGAGACGTTCAAAAAAATTTTAACAGAGGTTGTGTTTGAAGACAAATGTTGTGGGTAATTATTAGTTTTCTTTTTTCTCTACTTTTCCACACTACCTTTTAAATAAGAACCTAAATATTTTTTCATAAAAAATATTAATAGTCTTCTAAATATACTATGCAAATAATTTAAAAGGAGGCTACCCCCATTTTTTCACATAGAATTTTTATCATTTTACTTAATAAAATATTAAGTAATTAAACATTACTTTTAGTAATGTTTTCTGACCTGAGTTGCATATGCCAGAATTATGAAGTCAAGAAGAATGGAGACAGTCCAAAACTAGACATTTACAGACAGCTCTTGTCAACACAGTGTTTCATTTTGTTTTCCCCACGTACATGCACCTCTAATAAGCTTTACAAACACATGCTAATTCCCCTGAGCAGAATTAAAACAACAATCACATTCCCAGATCTTAGGAAAAGGAAAGTTTTCTGTTATTGCTACCCAGAGGTGACTCAGAGTTTTCAAGAAAAACAGGTACTGTAATCTCACATCTTCCTTTCCACTCCCCTACATGTTCTCTTCTTTCATTCCCAATCTACTTTAAAATCCTAATCTTTTCCTTGTACATGTAGCCTCCCTCGAAGTTCAACCTTCTGTGGACTTTCTATCCCCAAAAATATTTCCCTCCTGAGAATTCCTGGAAAACTATGATCTATGTGATACTAATCCATAATTGCTTTTTACTATGAGTATTAGTTACTTTTTAATATTATCCAGACATCTCTCTTCAACTTGACTATAAGGTCCCACAAGTAAGGCTGTCATTAAGAACTTCATTGTTTCTCCCACTATATATGAACACCTTGCCAAACACCCAGGTTCCACTAAGAAAATTCTACATGAATAATTAAGATAAAATGGTGTGCCGAATCCCAAAACCACTTCTGCTTTTTCAAATAAACTTTTCTTATCTCTTTCTAGGGTCCTTATGCTTCTCCTTTCTCTGCAATAATTGACCTCAAGCTATCTCTTTGCAGATGCTTTACTGTTTGCTTTTATGTGACCAAATAGAAAGACTTCAAGAGGCAGTTAGCAGGATGAGGTGAGCAGGACTTTTCAGATGTCTGCACTTTAATTTCCACAAACATGGATCCATTATTCATGAGGATTCTTTAGAGGACTTGTACTCTAATTGTAGCTCTACTAAAAGGACTATTAAAAACCAAGCCACATTGATTAACTTCTCTGTGATTCAGTTTCCTATTTTTTTATAATAAATATAACAATATATATCTCCCTTAGCCATCCAGAAGATTAATGCAATAACATATTTAAAAGAGCTCAGTAAATGAATGGCCTAGAGTTAGCACTATAACCACCATGATTTTGGGATCATCACAGAAGTTTAAGGCAACTGTGGCTTTGTCTTTACCGTGAAATGGTTTTAAAAACAATGTCCTCTATACTTAGCACCTCATATGTGTCTCAAATATAGTCATATTTGTTTACTAATACTTATTCGGAATATGATTTTCCAAGATGCCTCTCTGGGAAATTTTTCTGCAATTCCTTTGTATCTTTCCAAGATACATATTACAAAAGAATTGCAGAAAATTCTTGATTAAAAATATAATAGCAAGCTACCCAGAATGACTACTATTTGCTTGAGACTGACATGTGACTATTCAACATGGAATATTTGATTATCTAATGTGCTGGGCACATTTTCTGTGTGTGAGAGGAAATCAAAGGAGTGCTATCAGACACTGCCAAGATAGCAAAATAGTGAGAGGTGGAAAAAAGTACTATTGAAAAAGCAATATGTTCTACCTGGAATGTATCTTAAGAAATATATACAGTTACATTAATTGGTTATTTTAAATAAAATAAAGAGAAATACTACATCCAATAAAATTATTGTTTCAAATCTAAGTAAAGAGAAGAAAATTTTCTACTGTTTTGAAAATGGCTAAAACAATTAAAAACACAAAACATGGTGGAAGAAGATACTCAACTGATACTTTGACAAATTAATATTAGTTAATGAAATTTTTATATTTTAATAGGGTACAATTTACAGAGTGAAATATACTGATTTTATGTATATGATTCAATAAGTTTTAACATACATGTTTATCTGTGTAACCAATAAAAATAATGAACATTCCCACCACCCCAGAAAGTTCCCTCCTGAACACTTGCATTTAATCTCCAATCCCCATAAACAGCTCTTCTAATTTCTGTTACTATAGATTAAATATGCTGGTTCTTGCATCTCATATAAATGGGATCATACAGTAATTACTCAACAAAGGAATTTTTAAATATGACATTAAAAGAAACCAAACTAATTCAAGTAACTGTATTATAGCAGTGTTGTTATGTGACATGTAATTTTTGATCCATTACAAAAATATTTTCTTTAATATTTGTTTGCACATGCCCCAGATTATGCCATGATATTTTTTCTTATGTTACTTGCATTAGGATAGGAAAAGCTAAATAAATAATGGTTAATTGAATGCTCCATTTGGAATATACAGTGTTAACTCATGTTCACTGCTGCAAAATACATGAATTATGGTAAACATTTTTTAAAACTATCTAAATTTGCATAATGCCATAGCTGTAAAAGTATCAGCTAAGAAAATTAAAGGCATATGAAATTTTATGTACAACTTGCAAACTCAAATGAAGTGGGAATAGGATAGGACTGGGAATGGAGCCAAGAAGAGAATGAGGGTGGGGCAGTAGGAGAAAATTGACATAGGGAGGAGTACAGATTTGTGCTGAAAGTCCTCAAAGAGCCCAAGAAACATTTTTCCTAACCTGTCACCATCCTCTTTCCAAAAATGAAGGCACACTGGGAAGCCCTCTCAAAGGAGGAAGGAAAAAATAGCAGACTCTGGGAATTATAGTCATGTTTTTAGCAGAAGAACTACTGTAATCAGAAAGTATGTCAATAATTGTCAGAAGGTTAATACAGGGTTTTAGTGTATTATGCCCTAGGAGTGGACATTGATCCTGAAGCAGAGAATAGTCCTGTAATCAAGAACACTAAGTCTCTACCTTGTAGAACAGTAAACACCATCCTCCTTTCCTTTCACACTCCCATTGATTTTCGTTTTCTGGCTAATGCAATAAATTTAGGTACCTGCATAGTGTGCAATCAGTAAGAAATTGATAT
Organism: Homo sapiens; assembly: GCF_000001405.40. NCBI lineage: Eukaryota > Metazoa > Chordata > Mammalia > Primates > Hominidae > Homo > Homo sapiens. The sequence goes on along the minus strand of NC_000006.12, from coordinate 126,618,684 downwards.
TTTGGAAGAAATTGTATCATTCTTATATATAATGTTCATTACACTTATTATATCATATAATTTCTCTAAAAATTAAACTTTATTATCAAGACTTATAGCAATGCTAGTTACAATGTTAACAAGTTATATTTTGTAGCAGTTATTTCCAGGAGACCTTTGGTTTGTGTTTAGATGATGGCTGTGGAAAGTGGGCAAGAGTGGGGCTAGAAGAAGTGGTGGTGAGTGAGGAGTGGATTAGGCTAAAAGGGGTATTGCTAAACAAGCAACCTGTGGAACTTCAAGGGAAGATTATGACTGTCAAATGTGGTACATAAATTTGATTCAGTTATACTCTAGGACATTTTAGAATTACAACAGCTTTATTTGCCTAAACTTCTCTAAGATAAGACAGTAAAATATATACCAATATTCCTCGTTTCCAACTCATCATTAATTTCAGCTAGTTCCAAAACTATAACCATTTGTAAGTCTAACTTAGAACTTGAAGCATTCCTCATTGACTTTTTAATTTACCAACCCAAACAAGATTTAATTAAATATTAAAGTAATCTCAACATATTTTTATAATAGTATGTGGGTCGAATTCATGTATAGATACATTGATATTTCAAAATCTAAAACTGCATTATACTTACATTGAGTAAAACTGAAAATGTTTTGGTTTCCCTGCTTTTCAAATTTTTTTTAGTTAGCTGCTATTTTGATGTTTCTTATCATATACTTTTGCAATTAAATGACAAATATTCTATATTCAGAAATTTCATATTTAGGATGAAAATTAGGACAATCTTTTGCTTAAACAATCTTTGATCCCTTTCTTTTAGGGAGATTTATAGTACAAAATGAAAATCTTGTTACCATACACCCCAGAGGTTACATTTCCCCTCCTGCAAAACTGCCACAGAGGGGAAGACAGAATCTGAAATTGTTTGCTCCCTCATTTCTCAGATGTGGATCACAAGGATTCTTGTCAAGCAGCATGTAAAAGCATTTTAAAATTGAAGAACACATTTTATTAAAGCAAATTTTACCATAAACAGAAATTGTTAGGCACCAACTCTCACATAACACTCTACTGTTTATTTGTTTGAGAGAGGAAGTAAAGGTTTCACCTTCTTGAAAGCTGAACTGTACAGAGCAGAAAAGCTGCTTTCTTTAAAACAACCATAACACAAAGCTTATGATAAAGATATTTTCATAATGTTTAATACATGGTAGCAGAATTTATCCCAAAGTGGAATCATGATTATTTATTGTTAATGGTGTGTACTGCACTGTATCGGACCTCTCCTCCATTAGAAAGAATATTCTCATGGATACACCACTTTCAATGAGGCAGCTGCTAACTTGGGACAGTTTGAAAGGATACAGTGTACAAAGTAGTGCTGCTGTGAAGGCAGTTTCCAGAAGTCAATGAGCATGCACGACTTTCATCCCAGAGGCATCCTTACTTCACTTAGTATCTATATTATCAAAAGACCATATTAAAGATTCAGTACACTAGGGATTTTGGATAATCTAAACTGGAATTTCATATGATTAATAGTTGGTACATTAGAAAATAAGAAAGTGTGGAGGAGCCCTAGAATCATCCACTTGCTATCACTCTGTTTGGCAGAGAAGTACAGCGTCTTAGTCTAGCCAAGAAGATGCAAATAAATTCAGAATATGATTTCTTTCTTTCTGTCTGCCTTCAGTTCCAAGTTTAAATGCTTAGTATTAGATATGGTTCCAAGATCTAAAACTATGGTAAAAGTGATTATATTAGTTTCCCAGACTAAATTTAATGGCAACCTACTCTGCTATAAGTAGGGTGTGTGTGTGTGCGCGCGCACATTTACTTGTGTTTTAATAACACATGAGATCAGAAATAAATATTGCTTATAGACCAATTTCCATGTCGGTCTGTTCACTTTGTATACCAAACACTTGACTGAAATAGTCAGATAGAACACACTTTGTTGTTCGAATTCTAGAAATAATGGCAACTGAACTTGGGACCTCAAAAATCATTGAAAATGATCAAATCCAAATTCAAAAATCAGGAATATATATACTTTCCAGTGTTATTTACTTAAGAAAAATACAAATAAACAACAAATAATCCCTAAAAACAATACAGTAGTGTTCTAACCTAAGTTTAGAGTTTCTTTTCAACATAAACCTTGTGAAAAAATTTTACAGACATGCTAATGGAATAATCTTTCTTCTGGTTCCAGCTGTATTTCTCTTTTCCAAGCCTTGGCTAAAGTTCTTCTATGTACCACATGAGGTTGCAGCAATACAGTCACTTATTTAGAGTGAGCCTTCAACTTTGATTCTTGTTTGTGAACCTGTTCAAAATTCATCTTTAGTGCAGCTTTATCACTTGATTTACATGCAGTCTAACATCCTCCTTTAGATGCTAAAAAATATTAATGCTGCTCACTATGGCCAGAGATGTCATCCCTGCTTCTGTATTCCCTGCCAGGATGTGGAAATGAAAATTCATTTTTTGCTTTTTGATTTAAGTTCCTTATAGCCTCTAGATATTAGACTTTTGCTGAGTATATACTTTGTGAACATCTTCTCCCATTCTATAGGTTGTCTGTTTACTCTGCTGATAGTTGCTTTTGTTACACAGAAACACTTTAGTTTAATTAGGACCCACTTGTCAATTTTTGCTTTTGTTGCAATTGCTTTTGAGGACTTAGCCAAAAATTTTTGCTGATGAATTTTATGCTGATTTTGACAAGGTTTTCTTCTGGGATTTTTATAGTTTGAAGTCATATATTTAAATATTTAATGCATTTTGAGTTAATTTTTGTATATGATGAAAGGTAAGGGTCTAGTTTCAATCTTCTGCATATGACTAGCCAGTTGTCCTAGCACTACTTACTGAATAGGAAGCAGTTTCCCCATTGCTTATTTTTGTCAGCTTTGTTGAAGATTAGATGGTTGTAGGTGTGCAGTTTTTTTTATGGGTTCCCTATTCTGTCCCATAAAGGTTATGTGTCTTAAAAAATGGGCAAAAAACATGAACACACACCTCTCAAAAGAAGACATCCAGACATACAAGCAGCAAAAAAATCATCATCATCATCATCATCATGATGAAAAAAAGCTCGTGATTATTAGTCATCAGAGAATTGCAAATCAGGGTGGCTGGCAAGATGGCCGAATAGGAACAACTCTGGTCTGCAGCTCCCAGAGAGATCAAGGTGGAAGGCGGGTGATTTCTGCATTTCAAATTGAGGTACCTGGCTCATCTCATTGGGACTGGTTAGACAGTGGGTGCAGCCCATGGAGGGAGCATCAAAGCAGGGTGGGGCCTTGCCTTACCCAGAAAGTGCAAAAGGTCAGGGAACTCCCTCCCCTAGCCAAGGGAAGCCATGAGGTACTGTGCCGTGAGGAACTGTGCCATGAGGAACTGTGCCATGAGGAACTGTGCATTCTGGCTCAGATACTATGCTTTTCCCATGGTCTTTGCAACCTGCAGACCAGGAGATTCCCTTGGGTGCCTACATGACCAGGGCCCTGGGTTACAAGCACAAAACTAGGGGGCTGTTTGGGCAGACACCAAGCTAGCTGCAGGAGTTTTTTTTTTTTTTCATAATACAGTAGTGCCTCAAATGCAAACGAGACAGAACTGTACACTTACCTGGTAAGTGGGCTGAAGCCAGGGAGCCAAGTGATCTAGCTCAGTGAATTCCACCCCCATGGAGCCCAGCAAGCTCAGATCCACTGGCTTGGAATTCTCAATCCCAGCACAGCAGGCTGAAGTCAACCTGGGATGCTACAGCTTGGTAGGAGGAGGGGCATCCACCATTACTGAGCCTTGAATAGGTGGTTTTCCCCTCACAGTGTAAACAAAGCCTCCAGGAAGTTCGAACTGGGCGGAGCTAACTGCAGCTCCACAAAGCTGCTGTAACCAGACTACCTCTCTAGATTTCTCTTCTCTGGGGAGTGCATCTCTGAAAGAAAGCCAGCGGCCACAGTCAGGGGCTTATAGATAAAACTCCCATCTTTCTGGGACAGAGCACCTGGGGGAAGGGGCAGCTGTGGGCACAGCTTCAGCAGACTTAAATGGTCCTGCTTGCTGGCTCTGAAGAGAGCAGCAGATCTCCCAGCACAGTGCTGAAGCTCTACCAAGGGACAGACTGCCTCCACAAGTGGGTCCCTGAACCCCGTGCCTCCTGACTGGGAGACACCCCCCAGCAGGGGTCAACAGACACCTCATAAAGGTAGCATCTGGTGGGTGCCCCTCTGGGATGAAGCTTCCAGAGGAAAGAACAGGTAGCAATCTTTGCTGTTCTGCAGCCTCTGCTGGTGATACCCAGGCAAACAGGGTCTGGAGTGGACCTCCAGCAAACTCCAGCAGACCTGTAGCAGAGGGGCCGGACTGTTAGAAGGAAAACTAACAAACAAAAGGAATAGCATCAATATCAAAAAAAAAAAAGTCCATGCAAAAACCCCATCCAAAGGTCACCAACATCAAAGACCAAAGGTGGATAAATCCATGAAGATGAGGAAAAACCAGCGCAAAAAGGCTGAAAAATTCCAAAAACCAGAATGCCTCTTCTTCTCCAAAGGATCACAAGTCCTCACCAGCAAGGGAGCAAAACTGGATGGAAAATGAGTTTGACGAATTGACAGAAATAGGCTTTGGAAGGTGGGTAATAATAAACTCCTTTGAGCTAAAGGAGCATGTTCTAACCCAATGCAAGGAAGCTAAGAACCTTGAAAAAAGGTTAGAGGAATTCCTAACTAGAATAACCAGTTTAGAGAAGAACATAAATAACCTGATGGAGCTGAAAAGCATGGAACAAGAACTGTGTGAAGCATACACAAATATCAATAGCCAAATTGATCAAGAGGAATAAAGGATATTAGAGATTCAAGATCAACTTAATGAAATAAAGCCTGAAGACAAGATTAGAGAAAAAAGAATGAAAAGGAATGAACAAAGCCTCCAAGAAATATGGACTATGTGAAGAGATCAAACCTATGTTTGATTGGTGTACCTGAAAGTGATGGGGAGAATGGAACCAAGTTGGAAAACACTTTTCAGGATATTATCCAGAAGAACTTCCCCAGCCTAGCAAGACAGGCCAACATTCAAATTCAGGAAATACAGAGAACACTACAAAGATACTCCTCGAGAAGAGCAATCCCAAGATACATAATCATCAAATTCACCAAGGTTGAAATGAAGGAAAAAATGTTAAGGGCAGCCAGAGAGAAAGACCAGGTTACTTACAGAAGAAAAAAAAAAAAAAAAAAAAAAAAAAAAAGCCCATCAGACTATAGCGGATCTTTCTGCAGAAACCCTACAAGCCAGAAGAGAGTGGTGGCCAATATTCAACATTCAAAGAATTTTCAACCCAGAATTTCATATCCAGCCAAACTAAGCTTCATAAGTGAAGGAGAAATAAAATCCTTTACAGACAAGCAAATGCTGAGAGATTTTGTCACCACCAGGCCTCCCTAGTAAGAGCTCCTGAAGAAAGCACTAAATATGGAAAGGAAAAACCGGTACCAGCCACTGCAAAAACATACTAAATTGTAAAGACCATTGACACTATGAAGAAACTGCATCAACTAATGGGCAAAATAACCAGCTAGCATCATAATGACAGGATCAAATTCATACATAATAATATTAACCTTAAATGTAAATGGGCTAAATGCCCCAATTAAAAGACACAGACTGGCAAATTCGATCAAGAGTCAAGACCCATTGGTGTGCTGTATTCAGGAGACCCATCTCATGTGCAAAGACACACATAGGCTCAAAATAAAGGGATGAAGGAACATTTACCAAGCAAATGGGAAGCAAAAAAAAAAAAAAAAAAAAAAAAAAGCAGAGGTTGCAATCCTAGTCTCTGATAAAAGAGACTTTAAACCAATAAAGATCAAAAAAGACAAAGATGGGCACTGGGCATTACACAATGGTAAGGGGATCAATGCAACAAGAAGACCTAACTATCCTATATATGTATGCACCCAATTCAGGAGCACCCAGATTTATAAAGCAAGCTCTTAGAGACCTACAAAGAGACTTAGATTCCCACATAATAATAGTGGGAGATTTTAACACCCCACTGTCAATATGAGACGGATCAACAAGACAGAAAATTAAAAAGGATATTCAGCAGTTGAATTCAGCTCTGGACCAAGCTGACCTAACAGACATCTACAGAACTCTCGACCCTAAATCAACAGAATATACATTCTTCTCAGCACCACATCACACTTATTCTAAAATTGACCACATAATTGGAAGTAAAATACTCCTCAGCAAATGCAAAAGAATGAAAATCATAACAAACAGTCTCCCAGACCACAATGCAATCACATTTGAACTCAGGATTAAGAAACTCACTCAAAACTGCACAACTATATGGCAACTGAACAACCTGCTCCTGATTGACTACTGGGTAAATAATGAAATTAAGGAAGAAATAAATAAGTTCTTTGAAACCAATGAGAGCAAAAACACAACATACCAGAATCTCTCAGATGCAGCTAAAGTAGTGTTTAGAGGGAAATTTATAGCAGTAACTTCCCACAGGAGAAAGCAGGAAAGATCTAAAATCAACACCCTAACATCACAATTAAAAGAACTAGAGAAGCAAGAGCAAACAAATTCAAAAGCTATCAGAAGACAAGAAATAACTGAGATCAGAGCAGCAATGAAAGAGATACAGACACGAAAAACCCTTCAAAAAATCACTGAATCCAGGAGCTGGGTTTTTTGTTTGTTTGTTTGTTAAGATTAACAAAGTAGATAGGCCACTAGCCACACTAAAAAAGAAGAGAGAAGAATCAAATAGAAACAATAAAAAATGATAAAGAGGATATCTCAACTGATCCCACAGAAATACAAATTACCATCAGAGAATACTATAAAAACCTCTAATCAAATAAACTAGAAAATCTAGAAGAAATGGATAAATTCCTGGAAAAATACACCCTCCCAAGACTAAACCAGGAAGAAGTCGAATCCCTGAATAGACCAATAACGAGTTCTGAAATTGAGGCAGTAATTAATAGCCTACCAACCAAAAAAGCCCAAGACCCAGACGGATTCACAGCCAAATTCTACAAGAGGTACAAACAGGAGCTGGTACCATTCCTCCTGAAACTTTCCAAACAATAGAAAAAGAGGGACTCCTCGCTAACTCATTTTATGAGGTCAGCATCATCCTGATAACAAAACCTGGTGGAGATACAACAAAAAAAGAAAATTTCAACTGATATCCTTGATGAAAATCGATGTAAAAATCCCCAGTAAAATACTGGCAAACGGAATCTACCAGGACATCAAAAAGCTTATCCACCACAATCAAGGTGGCTTCATCCCTGGGATGCAAGGCTGGTTCAACATATGCAAATCAATAAATCTAATCCATCACATAAAGAGAATCAGTGAGAAAAACCACATGATTTTCTCAATAGATGCAGAAAAGGCCTTCGATAAAATTCAACATTGCTTCATGCTAAAAACTCTCAATAAATAAGTACTGATGAAATGTATCTCAAAATAATAAGAGCTATTTATGACAAACTCACAGCCAATGTCGTACTGAATGGGCAAAAGCTGGAAACATTCCCTTTGAAAACCGGGACAAGACAAGGATGCCCTCTCTCACCACTCCTATTCAACATACTATTGGAAGTTCTGGCCAGGGCCATCAGGCAAGAGAAAGAAATAAAGGGTATCCAAATAGGAAGAGAGGAAGTCAAATTGTCTCTGTTTGCAGATGACATATTGTACATTTAGAAAACCCCATCGTTTCAACCCAAAATCTCCTTAAGCTGATAAGCAACTTCAGCAAAGTCACAGGATACAAAATCAATGTGCAAAAAGTCACAAACATCCCTACACACCAATAATAGACAAACAGAGAACCAAATCATGAGTGAACTCCCTTTCACAATTGCTACGAAGAGAATAAAATACCTAGGAATACAACTTACAAGAAATGTGAAGGACCTCTTCAAGGATAATTACAAACCACTGTTCAAGGAAATAAGAGAGGACACAAACAAATGGAAAAACATTCCATGCTTATGGATAGGAAGAATCAATATCATGAAAATGGCCATACTGCCCCAAGTAATTTATAGATCCAATGCTATCCCCATCAAGCTACCATTGACTTTCTTCACAGAATTAGAAAAAACTTCTTTAAATTTCATATGGAACCAAAAAAGAGCCCAGATAGCCAAGCCAATCCTAAGCAAAAAGAACAAAGCTGGAGGCATCAAGCTACCTGACTTCAAACTATGCTACAAGGCTACAGTAACCAAAACATCATGATACTGGTACCAAAACAGATATATAGACCAATGAAACAGAACAGAGGCCTCAGAAATAACATTACGCATCTACAACCATCTGATCTTTGACAAACCTACAAAAACAAGCAATGGGGAAAGGATTCCCCATTTAATAAATGGTGTTGGGAAAACTGGCTAACCATATGCAGAAAACTGAAACTGGACCCCTTCTTTACACCTTAGATAAAAATTAACTAAAGATGGATGAAAGACTTAAACATAAGACCTAACACCATAAAAACCCTAGAAGATAAACCTAGGCAATACCATTCAGGACATAGGCATGGGCAAAGACTTCATGATTAAAACACCAAAAGCAATGGCAACAAAAGCCAAAATTGACAAATGGGATCTAATTAAACTAAAGAACTTCTGCACAGCAAAAGAAACTATCATCAGAGTGAACAGGCAACTTAGAGGATGGGAGAAAATTGTTGCAATCTATCCATCTGACAAAGGGCTAATATCCAGAATCTACAAAGAACTTAAATAAATTTATAAGAAAAAACCAAACAACTCCTTCAAAAAATGGGTGAAGGATATGAACAGATACTTCTCAAAAGAAGACATTTATGTGGCCAACAAACATATAAAAAAAGCTCATCATCACTGGTCATTAAAGAAATGCAAATCAAAACCACAATGAGATACCATCTCACACCAGTTAGAATGGCGATCATTAAAAAGTCAGGAAACAACAGGTGCTGGAGAGGATGTGGAGAAATAGGAACACTTTTACACTGTTAGTGGGACTGTAAACTAGTTCAACCATTGTGGAAGTCAGTGTGGCGATTCCTCAGGGATCTAGAACTAGAAATACCATTTGACCCAGCCATCCCATTACTGGGTATATATCCAAAGGATTATAAATCATGCTGCTATAAAGACACATGCACACATATGTTTATTGCAGCACTATTCACAACAGTAAAGACTTGGAACAACCCAAATGCCCATCAATGATAGACTGGATAAATAATATGTGGCACATATACACCATGGAATACTATGCAGCCATAAAAAAGGATGAGTTCATGTCCTTTGCAGGGACATAGATAAAGCTAGATACCATCATTCTCAGCAAACTAACACAGGAACAGAAAACCAGACACCTATGTTCTCACTCATAAGTGGGAGTTGAACAATGAGAACACATGGACACAGGGAGGGAAACATCACACACTGGGGCCTCTCGGGGGGTGTGGGGGCTAGGGGAGGGATTGCATTAGGAGAAATACCTAATGTAGATGACAGGTTGATGGGTGCAGCAAACCACCATGGCACGTGTACACCTATGTAACAAACTTGCACGTTCTGCACATGTATCCCAGGATTAAAGTATTAAAAAAAAAAAGAAATGCAAATTAAATCACAATGAGATAGCATCTCACACCAGTCAGAATGGTTGTTATTAAAACGTCAAGAAATGACATGTTGGCAAGGCTGTGGAGAAAAGGGAATACTTATGCCCTGTTGGTGGAAATGTAAATTAGTTCAGCCACTATGGAATGTATTATGGAAATTTCTCAAAGAACTGAAAACAGAACTGACATTTGATCCTGCACTCCTACTACTGAGCATATACTCAAAAGAAAACACATCATTTTACCAAAGAGACACTTGTACTTGTATGTTCATCACGGTGGTATTCACAATAGTTAAGATAGGAAATCAACCCAGGTGCCCATCAACGGATGATTGGATAATGAAAATTTGATACCTATACACTGTGGAAGACTATGCAGCCATAACAAAACAAAATCATGTTCTTTGCAGCAACATGAATGCAGCTGGAGGCTATAATTCTAGGCAAATTAATGCAGGAATACAGAAGGAAATACTACATGTTCTCACCTATATGTGGGAGATAACTGAGTACACACAGACATAAAGATGGGAACAACACGCACTGTAGACTGTTAGAGGAGTCAGAGGGGAGGCAGGATGGATTGAAAAACTACCTATTGGGTACTATGCTCACTACCTGGGTGGTGGGACCTGTACCTCAAACCTCAGCATCATGCAACATACCCATGTAATAAAACTGCATATGTACTCTTTGTATATAAAATGAAAGTTGGAATTGCAAAACAAGAAATGTTCTATTAAAAATTCTATTTTTATATTTCTTGTTACCTTCATATCACTCATAAATATATCACATAGGGTCAAATAATAAATGCAAGATAACTAATGGTTTTACCTAGAAGACTGTATCACACTGGTGATTTTTCATTTCTTGAAAGTAGATTACTTACATGAGCATAGCATTTTTATGTGATGCAATTTAGATAAGCACTGGCAGCAAAATGAAAGCTGGATTTCAAATGACACATCTAAAATATTTCATTCTGGTAGCTGTGTTGCTCGAAGCTGATATGATTTCACAAAGTGTTACTAATTAAGATGTGTACTTAAATGGTATTTGTAAAGTTAAATAAGAAAGTGATATTCAACCAAACAATTCTGGGAGAACTTCTGAATATTATATAGATTTCCATTCTTGGTTTTACATATACAGATTTTATATATGTACATGTATATGTAAAATCTGTATATGTAAAAACAAGATGTAAAATCTGTATATGTAAAATATTTATGTATTTCACCTATACATATTTATGGTTGAAATAAAGAATATCTTAAACCACCAGCATAAGATGTATAATGTTCAGGTTTGTTTTGCTTTAGGGGTTATTTTCTAAGAAATATCAATATTTTTAAAAATGAAAAATGTACAACATACTGAAAAACTTACTTGTTAGTTTTGTGCTATGATGAAGCATGTTTCTATTACAGCTACAGTCATGTGAATAAAAAGAGTATAATAATGTCAGATTATGCCGAAGTTCTTTGCCCAGAAGGCCATTGCTAAGACATCTGCTTTATCCATGAGTCAGAGCAGATTGACAGCTATATTTTTAAACAAATATGTCATCTTGTAAACCAGTGACTGTATCTTTCATTTTAAATATCTAAAAAACAACTGGCTCCTCCAAATCAACAATTCCCTGATTTAATTATAAATTTGATACCATTGAACATATTTTTGTTGTTTTCATTGTTGTAATACCTTAATGGGATAATAATTTAAAAACTATATTTAGACTAAAACATATATGATTGATTAAAAACAAAGTTGGTGGATAAGCTTGTAATAAGTTCAAAGTATATAAAACAGAGAAAAATCAGAAAAATCTAAAATCTTTGATGTTTAAAATAGAAAAGAGTTACTATTAAGACTCCCTGCAATGAACCTATAAGTGAAGATGGTAGTAATCTCTTAACACAATCAGAGGGTCTTTTGGAAGCAGCGGCAATGTAAGAAACAGTATTTATAGATAGTTATTTGCAGTACGCAAATTAACTGTAACTGAAGACAGCTGAATAATGGCTTTAAGAAACATCACTCTGACAATCACATTTAAAATCCAGCGATGAGAATTTTAAAGAAAGTGTCACAACTGAAGAGAAAAGTCTCTGTTAAAGATAATTCAAGAAAAGGATACTCAGAGCAGTACTAGTTTTCCAATTGCTGATCCTTCCATGAAAACCAGCTTCAGAATTTCCGTGGTAGTAAAAATTTGTACAATAGGACAAACAATGATGACCCAGAGAATCAAATCAGCTTTAGGTTGAAAAAAAAAAAAACTTTACGCTCAAAAAGATGTGCTTATTGGATAATATTTTCAATCATTTTAATATACTTACATACTATTTTTAAATGACTGCTTAGAGGTCGCCTGTTACATGGTTCTTTGCCTTAGAGGAAATAATGGGAAACTGATAATTTGGACATTTAATAGATATTTGGTTAAAAGGGTTAAACTCCTCTATTATCTCAATAATAGAAAAATGATACCTAGTTGTCTTATTTAGCAGGTATGATACTGAGACCAAAGAGAAACCAAAACTGCAGGATGAAATTGTGAATGTTTTGGTTTTCTTTTTGCACTACAAGATATGCAGACTAAAATGGAATTCGAGCATCGGATGAGAGAGTTTATTATGAGAATGAGTTGTTTGAAATTTATTTTATTTACATGAGATTTATGGGTGAAATAACAAATATCATTAACCACCAGCATCCTCAAATTGTCTTTTCCCTGAGTTCCTTTCAATCTACAGTATCATGCAACCACCAATCCTCTCAGGAAGACGTCGTAATCAACATTTTTATCAAAATAGGTGAAAAACATTCTATACCACATTTGGGGCAGTATTCTTAGTGCAGTAACTTCACTGATTGCTCCTATATGGTATAGAGAGTGGAGAAAAACAGTTGCCATCTGAATCTATATACTTATATGAAAGGCTATGTTAATATATTGTGACATCGACTGAGAAGCAAACCAAAATAATTCAATGTTGAATGTGAAATGAGCATTAATTCTCTTCAATTTAGCCCAAATTTCCAAAGCTGACAGGCCCAGTGAAGAAGGAATCCTATCTGTTAGTCAAGAAGAATAGTAAAAAATGTTTTTTTCTGATGGTAATTAATTTTAAAGACTGCCACACCCCATGGAGTATACAATTTTTATATGAATCCATAGAATATTCATAGGGTATGTGCTGCTCAGAGCTGTCCAGAGAAATAGATCAATAGGAGATATGTTTGTTTGTTTATTATATGGAATTGGCTTATGCAATTATGAAGGCAGGTAAGCCCCAATATCTACAGGGCAAGCCAGAGACCCAAAGTTGATGATGGTTTAGTCCCAGTCGAAGTCTGAAGGCCTGAGAACCAGGAGAGCTGGTGGTGTGCTTCCTGTCTGAAGACTGGCAGGCTGGAGATGGAGGAACGGCCAGGGTTTCAGTTTGAGTTCAAAGGTAGGAAAAAAGCCAATGTCCCAGCTTCAAGGAAGTTGGACAGAAAAAAAAAAGGTCTCTCTTATTTAAAAGAGGGTCAACAATTTTGTTCTACTGAGGATTTGAACAGATTGGATGGGGCCCCCCCACAGTGAGGAATGCAATCTGCTTTACTCAGTCTACCATTCAAATGTTAATCTTATCCAAATACACCTTCATGAAAACACTGAGAATAATGTTTGATCAAATATCTGGGCACCCTGTGGCCCAGTCAAGTTGACACATAAAATTATTCATTACAGGGTATATGTTTATGCTTCATCACATTTATGATATGCAAAGTTAATCAATAATTTTGAGGTTAAATAAAAATGATAATCAGCAACAGAACATTTCATGGAAAAGTAAAGCAGAGACATTAAGATCAATGCATATAATATTCATTGTTTTTTCATGAAATTGTGGATTCTAATTGTAACTTAATCAAACGATTAAAATTTTGTTTTCATTTTAACAGATTAAAAAGATTAGCTATTAATTACCTGCCTAATGAAACTAAAGAGTAGAATTCAACATTGTGTCCAAATCTAATAGTTTACCACAGAGAAAAGTAAATAGCAATATCTAATATTTCAAAAATTTTAAATGTTTTCTCTTCTAACCACTCTTATGAGACTGTTATTTAGTTTAATATCACAAATATTTTTTGAGTAGATAATATGCAAGATAATATTCTTGAAACTGTGGTGGAGTAGGGGAGGGTACACATATGAATCAAATAAAGTCTCCTACATCAAGCTTCTTATATAGTAATTACACTTTATTGAAATAGTGGCATAACTCTAGTTGTAGTAGAACATAAGTTCACACAAAATTATAAAGAGTGAAATGAAAAAAAAAAGCAATAGAAAGCAATGGAGGGTTTTAAGTTGGAATTTAAATATGATGTATTCTGTGTTTCAGAAAAATCTTTCCAGCTGATATATGATGGATTATAAGGAGGTAGGAATGGAGTAAAGAGACAGGCAATTATGGGGTTTAAAAGTACTTTAAATAAAAGATAGTCATAGATGAAATCAGCATCCCCGCAGTGGGGGTGGTAAGTGGTCAGATTTCAGGATATATTTTCAAGGTAGTGACGGCTGAATTTAGAAGCAGGTTTTTAAAAAGTACACAAGAAAGAGAATAATCAATAATGGCACCTAGCTTTGCAGACTAAATAAATTCCTAATTTACTGTGATGGGGAGGGCATGAGGGAGAATGGATATGAAGAAAAAATTAATAGTTCTATTATGGTCATGTCCAGTTTGAGATGTTCATTGTCCATCCTGACAGAGATTGGAGAGAAATCATTGCATAGATGATGCTAGCGCTCAAAGAAGAGACCTAGGTGCTAGGTAAGACATTTGAATCAATATATGGATAGTATTTGAAGGCATAGGAAAGAATGAGATGCCACAGGTAGAAAAGGTAGATGCAGGAGCCCATGGGCATTTCAACACCCAGAGCCCAGTAGACAGAGGAGGAGGAGGCAGGAAATGTTTCTGAGGAGAGGCTGTGAGGGAGGGAAACCAGGAATATTAGAATCCTAGAGAGGTATGTGTTTTATAATGGAGGCAGTAGGCAGTGGTCAGCCTTTTCTAGTGCTTCTGGGAAGTGACAGAAAATGACAGAAAAGTGACTGATGGCTTTGGCAATATATAAGTTGCCTGTCACCCTAATAAGAACTATTTTAGGGGAGTAGAGAGTATAAAAGCCTTATTGGAGCTCTGCCACTAGCTATGAGGTTGCCGCAGTAATGCAGCAGCCCACACCATTGTGCCCTTACTGGCCTCTCCTTGCCTAGCAAGAAGGCCCTGCCACAGTGGCCCAGTCCACTGCCACCCCCCATAGCCAAGTCTACCAGATTGGAGCCTTCATCCTCCTTCCTCAGAGTGCTCAGTGGCCCTGGCACTGCAAGATGGCAGAGCTCCAGCCAGAGCTACATGACGATGTCCACCACACTTGCAAGCCTGGGTAGTGCGCTGTGCCTTGGCAGCAGTTGCAGCTTCTTTATCTTGTTTCCTGTGTTTTGTGTATGCCAGGAGCTACTCCACCATGTACCATCAACAGCAACTTGGAAAAAAAATGCCCGCACCAACAGGAAAATGGAGCTGCAGGAGCTGAATGATGGTTTCATACACATCGACAAGGTGCACTTCTTGGTCCAAAAGAACAAGATACTGCTGATAAAGTGAAGCAGCTCCAGAAACAGGGAAAGTCAACCTGGGGAACTTCTACAAGGAGGAGATGCAACAGCTGCATCAGCAAGTGGACCAGGTAACCAACAAGGCCAGTATCAAGGCTCAGCATGACATCCTAGCCAAGGACATCAGGACAATTTGCAGAAAGAGATGCTTCAGAGAGAGGAAGCTGAGAGCACCCTTAGAAATCCTGCAAACTTGCAGACTGCATGTTGACAATGCTTCTTTGACACTCCATGACTTCTGGCAATCTCTTCCTTGCAAGAAGAGATTGCCTTTTTGAAGGAACTGCGCAGGAATGAAACCTGGGAGCTGCAGGTCCAGATTCAGGAAGAGCCATACAAATTGATGATATTTCCAAGACTGACCTCATGGCTGCACTGCGTGATGTGTGTTAGCAGTATGAAAGTGTAGTTACTAAGAACCTTCGGGAACCAGGCCAGGTTTGTTGATCTCTCTGAGGCTATTAACTGAACCTGGACAGTGATGCCCTGCATTAGGCAAAGCAGGAGTCAAAAGAGGAGGCAAAGACAGGTCCAGTCCCTCACTGGCCAAGCACTCAAAGGAACTGAGAATTCTCTGCAGTGCCAGATGTGTGAAATAGATGAGAACTTTGCTGTGAACTATCAAGACACTATTGGCCTCATGCAGGATGAGATTCAGAATGGGAAGGAAGAAATAATTAAGGCCTGCCACCTTAATCAATGTCAGGACCTGTGGGATGCTCACAGAGCCCTTGACTTTGAGATTGCCACCTACAGAATGCTGCTGGAAGGTGAGGAGAGCAGGATTTCTCTGTCTCTTCCAAACTTTTACTCTCAGAACTGGAGGGAAACCATTCTGTGTTCACTCCCTCTGGTTGACAGCCACTCATACAGGACCCTTCTGACATTTAAAACTGGGAGATGGACAGGTTATCAATGAACCTTCTCAGCCTCATGATTAGCTTGATGAAAAATTGCACATACTCGCTGCAGCAATATATCACCATCAAGAATAAAAAGGAAGACTACATCTTAAAGAAACAGCCTTCAAATGCCCCTCTACAGCTTTTCAGTAGCATAAGATAAATTTGGAATAGAAATAAGCTACAGTTCTTAAGAACTAACACTCCTAAAAGATTTAGAACAAAAGTTTAAAACATAGTCTGGTTTATGAAGAAGTTTTGTGCTACACCGGTTTTGTAAAAATATTTTGAAAATCGTTATAACTGTTTTTTTGTTCCAGCAAGTATTGGACTAACTTGTTTCTACTTCAATAAACCTTTGGAAAAACCAACCAGCAAACAACAACGATTTTAAAAATGCTTCTTGGGATGAGTTGAAGAGAGAATGGAAGGTAAGAAACTGGGGAGAGCAAAGAATACTTTCACTTTTTGAGGAGTTTCGTTGTTAAGGAGAGAAGTAAACAAGATCAGTAGCTGGAGGAAAATGTGGGGTCAAGAGATGAGTTTTGATTTTGGTTTTTAAAGATAAGTGATATTGAGACATGTATGGGTTAATTCTGTGGAGATGAAAAAAACTGATAATGCAGGTGAAAGAAGGTAGGTGTATAATTGTAGGAACAAAGCCTTTGAGAAGAAAGGGGATGAGGTTCCAGGTCAGGGGGAGCTGGCCTAAGGAGCAGACACTCTCTTTCATAACAGGATAGAGGGCTGAGAAGTATTTGGAGATGCAGGCAGGTTTTTAGAACTCATGGTGGAAACATGAGATCTTGATTTCATCAGACTACACTGGTTTTCTCTGTAAATGTTTTTGAGAGGTCATCATATAAATGTTAAAAGAGAAGATTTTGTTGAAGATTTGAGGAGAAAAGGATAGGACAGTGAATTTAACAGGAAAATGTAGGGGTATTATGGAAGTGTTTAGTGTCCCTTCAAGATTTAAATTGAAGCCAGTTTTGGTTTTTTTTTTTTTTTTTTTTTTTTTTTTTTTTTGAGATGGAGTCTTGCTGTGTCACCCAGGCTGGAGTGCAGTGGCGCGATCTCGGCTCACCGCAACCTCTGCCTCCCGGGTTCAAGTGATTTTCCTGACTCAGCCTCCCAAGTAGCTGGGATTACAGGCGCGTGCCACCATGCCCAGCTAATTTTTTATATTTTTAGTAGATATGGGGTTTCACCGTGTTAGCCAGGATGGTCTTGATCTCCTGACCTTGTGATCTGCCCGCCCTGGCCTCCCAAAGTGCTGGGATTACAGGCATGAGCCACCGCACCAGGCATGTGGACCTTTCAATAGTCAAGTTTTGTTTTTCATGCACACTTAGAAAGTAAGCAGGAAAATATGTTTAATTGGCACTGTTCTGCCAGATGGATATAATGGCTAGACCATAGAATCTAAGAGAAGTAAAGATAAAAGTTATTATGTGGGTGACAAAATAATCTGTACACCAAACCCTCAT
This sequence comes from Homo sapiens, assembly GCF_000001405.40. Taxonomy (NCBI): domain Eukaryota; kingdom Metazoa; phylum Chordata; class Mammalia; order Primates; family Hominidae; genus Homo; species Homo sapiens. The sequence goes on along the minus strand of NC_000006.12, from coordinate 126,600,909 downwards.
GACATGCAATTTACCTATATAGCAAACCTAAACATGTATACCCGAGCCTAAAATAAAATTTAAAAAGAGCAGCAAGTTCTCAGTACATTAATATTTGATGATTGACTTTATTTTCTCTGCTGTTACACATATATTTTCTAAAAATACTACAAAGCTGACTCAGATATAAAAAATAAACAATGTAGTACATGTGGCCTTGAATCTTATTCCAATTCAAACTTTGACTCAAGTTATTTGAGCACAGATTTTGAATATCAAGATAAATAGCCTATATACTTTGTGTTAAACCATTTAGAACACATATCATATAGATCAATAGAGGAATGCATTTATAAATAGAACTGTATAAACAGTCCAAAGTGGAAGGAAGAACTTAGAAGAATGCCAAAAAAGATAATATAAAAGCAATTATAGCACACTCAGTAAAGGGAGAAAACAAGGAGACAAAGGTTATGTCTAAATAATGCCAAAGCAAACAGTTGATAAGTGAAACATCTAGTCAATCAGCTGCATGTTTTGTCTTTGGGGAGACTAGCAACTGACTTGACTGATCTTTTTTTTGTTTTCACTGAATTGACTGAATCAAGTGGGTTTTTTTGGAAGCATGTTGACATATGCATAATGAAAGAGTCAGAAAGGAAGAAAAGGAAAGGATGCATTTGGGAGAAAAGTCCTTGGGATCTCGAAGTGATAGGTGATAAGATTAAAAGGTATTAATTTGAAATGAGAGCAGATTTTCAGAGGGGGGACGAATTTAGTTACATTAATTCAAATTTGGAAAATAAGCTACAGGAGTGTATTTTCCATAACTATGGGAGACTTGTTTGTGACACAATGGAAATATTTGAAGACTAAGAAGATAAAAGTTTCTGAAGGGTCTGCTTTTAGTCTCTTGTATTGATTCTGCTACATATATTATTACTAGCATATATTACTAAAGTGCAAATTATCTTCCTTGAATTATAATTTCATTTACTATTACAACAATATTCATTTTCCTACCCTTCCTACTTTTTAAATACTGACTTTGAGCTACTCTTCTTAATACTTCACTATACAAGTATACTAACAAAACAACAACCTCCAAATCTCCTAACATCAAGATTATCTACCTGCAAACAATTTCTATTTAGAAAGTGATATAAGTTATATTACGCACTTTTAAATTTATTCTACTTGGGAAGTAGTGAATTACTAAAGGAGATGCACTATCCTGCTAGGTCATGTGAATAGTAAGGAGGAGGAGAAAGACACTCAACAGCACACAGTATTTGAAAATAAATATTCTTTTAGGACTTCAATATTTAAAGATTGACGAAGTATGTATATAAATACATATAATTTTTAGTTTTGTTTAAAAATACATAAATTGTAGTATATGAAACAAGAAACTCTTCCTGAATATTAGGTGAAGATTTATAGAAACTATAGAAAAAAATGTCATTCAATTGACTCTATAGTACAAATGAGGCCAATACAATGCTGAATCTTTGCTGCTACTTCTAGATTATCTTCCTGATTTTTTTTCCTAGATTCTCTTAAAATGTCTCACTTAGTAGTGGTTCTCCCAGCACACAGCTGGAGATCTGAAAATGGGCAGACTGCCTCCTCAAGTGGGTCCTTGACCCCTGAGCAGCCTAACTGGGAGGCACCCCCCAGTAGGGGCAGACTGACACCTCACACAGCTGGGTACTCCTCTGAGACAAAACTTCCAGAGGAACGATCAGGCAGCAGAATTTGTGGTTCACCAAGATCCGCTGTTCTACAGCCACTGCTGTTCTGCAGCCACCGCTGCTGATACCCAGGCAAACAGGGTCTGGAGGGGACCTCTAGCAAACTCCAACAGACCTGCAGCTGAGGGTCCTGTCTGTTAGAAGGAAAACTAACAAACAGAAAGGACATCCACACCAAAAACCCTTCTGTACATCACCATCATCAAAGACCAAAAGTAGACAAAACCACAAAGATGGGGAAAAAACAGAGCAGAAAAACTGGAAACTCTAAAAAGTAGAGTGCCTCTCCTCCTCCAAAGGAACGCAGCTCCTCACCAGCAACGGAACAAAGCTGGACGGAGAATGACTTTGATGAGCTGAGAGAAGAAGGCTTCAGACGATCAAACTACTCCAAGCTACGGGAGGAAATTCAAACCAATGGCAAAGAAGTTAAAAACTTTGAAAAAAAAATTAGAGGAATGGATAACTAGAATAACCAATGCAGAGAAGTCCTTAAAGGAGCTGATGCAGCTGAAAGCCAAGGCTTGAGAACTACGTGAAGAATGCAGAAGCCTCAGGAGCCGATGCGATCAACTGGAAGAAAGGGTATCAGTGATGGAAGATGAAATGAATGAAATGAAGCAAGAAGGGAAATTTAGAGAAAAAAGAACAAAAAGAAATGAACAAAGCCTCCAAGAAATATGGGACTATGTGAAAAGACCAAATCTATGTCTGATTGGTGTACCTGAAAGTGATGGGGAGAATGGAACCAAGTTGGAAAACACTCTGCAGGATATTATCCAGAACTTCCCCAATCTAGCAAGGCAGGCCAACATTCAGATTCAGGAAATACAGAGAACGCCACAAAGATACTCCTCGAGAAGAGCAACTCTAAGACACATAATTGTCAGATTCACCAAAGTTGAAAGCAAGGAAAAAATGTTAAGGGCAGCCAGAGAGAAAGGTCAGGTTACCCACAAAGGGAAGCCCATCAGACTAACAGCAGATCTCTCAGCAGAAACTCTACAAGCCAGAAGAGAGTGGGGGCCAATATTCCACATGCTTAAAGAAAAGAACTTTCAACCCAGATTTTCATATACAGCCAAACTAAGCTTCATAAGTGAAGGAGAAATAAAATCCTTTACAGACAAGCAAATGCTGAGAGATTTTTGTCACCACCAGGCCTGCCCTAAAAGAGCTCCTGAAGGAAGCACTAAACATGGAAAGGAACAACTGGTATCAGCCACTGCAAAAAACATGCCAAAATGTAAAGACCATCAAGGCTAGGAAGAAACTGCATCAACTAATGAGCAAAATAACCAGCTAACATCCTAATGACAGGACCAAATACACACATAACAATATTAACTTTAAATGTAAATGGGCTGAAAGCTACAATTAAAAGATACAAACTGGCAAATTGGATAAAGAGTCAAGACCCATCAGTGTGCTGTATTCAGGAAACCCGTCTCACGTGCAGAGACACACATAGGCTCAAAATAAAGGGATGGAGGAAGATCTACCAAGCAAATGGAAAACAAAAAAAGGCAGGGGTTGCAATCCTAGTCTCTGATAAAACAGACTTTAAACCAACAAAGATCAAAAGAGACAAAGAAGGCCGTTACATAATGGTAAAGGGATCAATTCAACAAGAAGAGCTAACTATCCTAAATATATATGCACCCAATACAGGAGCACCCAGATTCATAAAGCAAGTCCTGAGTGACCTAAAAAGGACTCCCACATATTAATAATAGGAGACTTTAACATCCCACTGTCAACATTAGACAGATCAATGAGACAGAAAGTTAACAAGGATACCCAGGAATTGAACTCAGCTCTGCACCAAGTGGACCTAATAGACATCTACAGAACGCTCCACCCCAAATCAACAGAATACACATTTTTTTCAGCACCACACCACACCTATTCCAAAATTGACCACATATTTGGAAGTAAAGTGCTCCTCAGCAAATGTAAAAGAACAGAAAGTATAACAAACTGTCTTTCAGACCACAGTGCAATCCAACTAGAACTCAGGACTAAGAAACTCACTCAAAACCGCTCAACTACATAGAAACTGAACAACCTGTTCCTGAATGACTACTGGGTACATAACGAAATGAAGGCTGAAATAAAGATGTTCTTTGAAACCAATGAGAACAAAGACACACCATACCAGAATCTCTGGGACACATTCAAAGCAGTGTGTAGAGGGAAATTTACAGCACTAAATGCCCACAAGAGAAAGCAGGAACGATCCAAAATTGACACCCTAACGTCACAATTAAAAGAACTAGAAAAGCAAGAGCAAACACATTCAAAAGCTAGCAGAAGGCAAGAAATAACTAAACTCAGAGCAGAACTGAAGGAAATAGAGACACAAAAAACCCTTCAAAAAATTAATGAATCCAGGAGCTGGTTTTTTGAAAAGATCAACAAAATCAATAGACTGCTAGCAAGACTAATAAAGAAGGAAAGAGAGAAGAATCAAATAGATGCAATAAAAAATGATAAAGGGGATATCACCACCGATCCCACAGAAATACAAACTACCATCAGAGAATACTACAAACACCTCTACACAAATAAACTAGAAAATCTGGAAGAAATGGATAAGTTCCTCGAAACATACACCCTCCCAAGACTAAACCAGGAAGAAGTTGAATCTCTGAATAGACCAATAACAGGCTCTGAAATTGTGGCAATAATCAATAGCTTACCAACCAAAAAAAGTCCAGGACCAGATGGATTCACAGCCGAATTCTACCAGAGGTACAAGGAGGAGCTGGTACCATTCCTTCTGAAATTATTCCAATCAATAGAAAAAGAGGGAATCCTCCCTAACTCATTTTATGAGGCCAGCATCATCCTGATACCAAAGCCTGGCAAAGACACAACCAAAAAGAGAATTTTAGACCAATATCCTTGATGAACATTGATGCAAAAATCCTCAACAAAATACTGGCAAACCGAATCCAGCAGCACATCAAAAAGCTTATCCACCATGATCAAGTGGGCTTCATCCCTGGGATGCAAGGCTGGTTCAACATTCGCAAATCAATAAATGTAATCCAGCATATAAACAGAACCAAAGACAAAAACCACATGATTATCTCAATAGATGCAGAAAAGGCCTTTGACAAAATTCAACAACCCTTCATGCAAAAAACTCTCAATAAATTAGTTATTGATGGGATGTATCTAAAAATAATGAGAGCTATCTATGACAAACCCACGGCCAATATCATACTGAATGGGCAAAAACTGGAAGCATTCCCTTTGAAAACTGGCACAAGACAGGGATGCCCTCTCTCACCACTCCTATTCAACATAGTGTTGGAAGTTCTGGCCAGGGCAATTAGGCAGGAGAAGGAAATAAAGGGTATTCAATTAGGAAAAGAGGAAGTCAAATTGTCCCTGTTTTCAGATGACATGATTGTATATCTAGAAAACCCCATTGTCTCAGCCCAAAATCTCCTTAAGCTGATAAGCAACTGCAGCAAAGTCTCAGGATACAAAATCAATGTACAAAAATCACAAGCATTCTTATACACCAATAACAGACAAACAGAGAGCCAAATCATGAGTGAACTCCCATTCACAATTGCTTCAAAGAGAATAAAATACCTAGGAATCCAACTTACAAGGGATATGAAGGACCTCTTCAAGGAGAACTACAAACCACTGCTCAATGAAATAAAAGAGGATACAAACAAATGGAAGAACATTCCATGCTCATGGGTAGGAAGAATCAATATCATGAAAATGGCCATACTGCCAAAGTAATTTATAGATTCAATGCCATCCCCATCAAGCTACCAATGACTTTCTTCACAGAATTGGAAAAAAACTACTTTATAGTTCATATGGAACCAAAAAAGAGCCCACATTGCCAAGTCAATCCTAAGCCAAAAGAACAAAGCTGGAGGCATCACACTACCTGACTTCAAACTATACTTCATGGCTACAGTAACCAAAACAGCATGGTACTGGTACCAAAACAGAGATGTAGATCAATGGTACAGAACAGAGCCCTCAGAAATAATGCTGCATATCTACAACCATCTGATCTTTGACAAACCTGAGAAAAACAAGCAATGGGGAAAGGATTCCCTATTTAATAAATGGTGCTGGGAAAACTGGCTAGCCATATGGAGAAAGCTGAAACTGGATCCCTTCCTTACACCTTGTGCAAAAATTAATTCAAGATGGATTAAAGACTTACATGTTAGACCTAAAAGCATAAAAACCCTAGAAAAAAACCTAGGCAATATCATTCAGGACATAGGCATGGGCAAGAACTTCATGTCTAAAACACCAAAGGCAATGGCAACAAAAGCCAAAATTGACAAATGGGATCTAACTAAACTAAAGAGCTTCTGCACAGCAAAAGAAACCACCATCAGAGTGAACAGGCAACCTACAGAGTAGGAGAAAATTTTCACAACCTACTCATCTGACAAAGGGCTAATATCCAGAATCTACAATGAACTCAAACAAATTTACAAGAAAAAAGCAAACAACCCCATCAAAAAGTGGGCAAAGGATATGAACAGACACTTCTCAAAAGAAGACATTTATGCAGCCAAAAAACACATGAAAACATGCTCATCATCACTGGCCATCAGAGAAATGCGAATCAAAACCACAATGAGATACCATCTCGTGGCAGTTAGAATGGCGATCATTAAAAAGTCAGGAAACAACAGGTGCTGGAGAGGATGTGGAGAAATAGGAACACATTTTCACTGTTGGTGGGATTGTAAACTAGTTCAACCACTGTGGAAGTCAGTGTGGCAATTCCTAAGGGATCTAGAACTAGAAATACCATTTGACCCAGCCATCCCATTACTGGGTATATACCCAAAGGATTATAAATCATGCTGCTATAAAGAAACAGGCACACATTTGTTTATTGTGGCACTATTCACAATAGCAAAGACCTGGAACCAACCCAAATGTCCAACAATGATAGACAGGATTAAGAAAATGTGGCACATATACACCATGGAATACTATGCAGCCATAAAAAAGAAGAGTTCATGTCCTTTGTAGGGACATGGATGAAACTGGAAACCATCATTCTTAGCAAACTATCGCAAGGACAAAAAACCAAACACAGCATGTTCTCACTCATAGGTGGGAATTGAACAATGAGAACACATGGACACAGGAAGGGGAACATCACACTCCAGGGACTGTTGTGGGGTGAGGGTAGGGGGGAGGGATAGCATTAGGAGATATACCTAATGCTAAATGATGAGTTAATGGGTGCAGCACACCAACATGGCACATGTATACATATGTAACAAACCTGTACATTGTGCACATGTACCCTAAAACTTAAAGTATAATAATAATAAAATAAAAAGTCTCACTTAAACAAAAATTTTTAAAGCTCCATTGAAGAATTATAAGGCAATAACTTGACAAAAGATTCAAACACATTTAACCTTGAAATATATATTTTCACTGATCTTTCCCTGCCCTCTGCCACCCAAAAACCCGTGCTGTGAGGTTCTAAGGCACTGTCCACATGGAGCCCAGAAAGTAACTTCTTTCAGAATTCCCTTCTGCCTAACTCTGTAAGCAATATCCTACTTTCCAGAAAGCCATGTGGCCTATCGGGAAAAGGACTGAATTGGAAAACAGACCCTGGTCTTTCAGTTTACTAACTCTATGATTTTGGATGAGTTGTCTAAATTTTCTGTGTCAATTCAGAAAGATGAGTAATGAGTTAAATGAGATAGTGTATGGAAAGTATGTAATACTTGCTTGATTTTCCTTATTGTCTTTACTTTGTATCAGTAGATCACAGCAGTTTCAAAATTCATTTTGTAAACACTCCACTAAAATGTAAGTTGTTTCTCTACTCAGAAATAATCATGTTGAATTTGTTAATAAGAAATCCCTAAATATTTTATATTAAGAATACATAACATGTTTACTTACAGACACTGAAGTTCAACTCCATTTTACTTCCCAAAATACACATTTTTGGGGGGCAAAAACATCCCTGTTCAGATCTGCCAGATCTTCTTATAACTTTCAGGTAAGCAGTTGTACTTATCATTCAAAGTTGTAATAAAAATTACTAATATTTTAAGCTCAACAAATTTTGCACATTATTTGTTCCTCAAAATTTGAATCCAAGTGGAAATAGCAGTTTTAAATTCTGAAAGTTTTCTGGCTTTTCACCTTTGTACAAAATATAAGACTTTTACTAATTCATACAAAATATATGAGCGATTGGTGAATCATGTATATGTTCTTAACCAAATGCTTAACTGAAAATTTATATCAAATGTGAAATAAATGATATGAGTTCTAATATTTAATTAATAGGTGATATGCTTAAAATAATCACTAACAAAAATAACTTTTATTTATAATAATAAAGAGTGAGCAAATAGAGATAACTTAAGGAAAAGAATAAAATGCTCACAAATAATTTTTTTAGGTTTCTTACAAAATTTTGAGTGCAATGCAACTTTTTCAAAAGATCTTTAATAATTTTGAAGCAATAGATATGCATTCTTTTATGTTAATTCGCTAAACCTCGTTTCAATCTATCTTTATTTTCTGAAGTCTTATAAGTAACATCTGTCATCCATCACTGACTGTCATCTGAGGGGAGAAAAAAAGGAATGTTCCAAGTATGTTTTGAAAACTTATTTCCCAGTATGGAAATAAGTCGTTTAGGCAGAGTAAGAGGTGTTAAATAGGAAAAATAGCCAATCTTGAAAGAGAGGGATCAGCTGTACAATGGGGGCAAGGGGGAGAAAAGACAAAAAACATTAAAAGATTTTATCAATAACAGTAACAACTTCAATATCCATCCTGGTCCTATTTTTTTAAAGTAAAACTTAATTGAAGAATTGAATGAAATTCTTATCTCATTGTTCAGTTGATAAAATTTAATGTTAAATGAACTTCTCTGTTTTAGGCAAGGGATCAATATGAGGACAGTTTGTCCACACCCTTCTAGTAACAGAAAGTTTGGATGCTAGGGAATAGTATATCAGAAATGATAAATTAATTCCAAAATGTCTTAACAGCCAAAAAGAACATTTGAGTCAGATTACAAAAAAAAAAAAAAACCACCAGATGCATTTGTACAAGACATACTAAACAGCAGCAGAACTCTATTCTACCCTAACTGTAGTCTCCACCACCACATGTAAAGAAAAGATTAGCGATATCTCAGGACATATATTGGAACTATATACATGCATAATTTGGTTACAATGAAAACAGTTATCTAATTTACTGATTAGATATCTGTTTATACAACAGAGTTGCTAATCTGCACTTGTACATTTGAAGCAGGGGAGGGGTTTAGGGAGGGTAGAAAACTTGAGGTATATGGCAGAGTGGAGAGAGAGGGTTGTGTATGGAAAGAGCTGCAGTGAGGCCAGTGCACTCTCATTTCTTTGGGTGGCAGTAGATTTGTGCCTCATCATGGCCCAGTGGACAATAAGGAAGTAACTGTGCTTTAGATGTCTGCTTGGTATTCTATCAAGAGATCCTGGCAAGTGTGTAAGGATGAGGAGCCAGAGAAGAGTCCATCTAAGAAATTCTTCAAAAGACGTAAAGCCAGAAAATAATCTTCCTTATTTGCAAATGATAAAGAATTTATCAAAGGTGTCTCTAAAGAACCAACCCATGACACATGTAAAATGCCACTATTTAAACACATGCCACAAAGAGGGCTTAAGAAGGAGGGAAAGAAAAATCAATAGAGAAGGGAGTGTGCTCTCTCTCTGAACTACTTTTCTCTATGCCTGGATAAAGATGGACCCAGAAGGGGAAGGGAAGGATGAAAGAAAGAACAGCCCTCACTGCTACCTACAAGTGGCTTTTGGGCCAAAGTCAGGTTTGAATTTAGGAAAAAAGGGATATGAGTTTGAAACTTTAAGCTGGATAAACCAGAATTGGATTAGATTGTTTCATGCCTTTAAATGACGATAAAGCTACGGGATCCTCTCAAGGTGTAATTGAAAGATGGAAAATGAAGAGTCTCCATGCCATAGTCAAAGGTAAAGATTACAGGGGAAAGAATAATGCTTCATGCTTGCACCTCAAGTTTGGAAATTCAATAAAGTGGTTATGTTAGTTAAGTGGTAATATTTAATTATATCTCCAAAAGTGTGTTCTTTTAAATTTAAGTTTACATAACGGATTATTGGATAAGCTTGACTCTTTCTCTTAAAACATCTAATAAGAGAAGCCCTTATGATAAAAATCAGTGAAATCGCATCCAAGTCTTGATTCCTTTTGCATTTCACATTATTCCACATGAAATTGATTCCTCAGTTATTGACCTTTTCCTATTGGTTTTTCAATAATAGTTCACATATATTTGCACTGGTGCTTTTCTAAAACTTCATGTTATTGTTTTTTATTTTTATTATTGCTACAATAATACAATGTCACTTTATCAAAATCTACTTGTGTAAAATTGGAAGAGACATAATACCCCTAAGTAATTTGAAGAACAAAAATCTCTTTAACTTAAATGTATTTTTGAAGCTTTGTGAAGGAAATGATACTAACTTAGAAAGGATAAAATATTTAATGTTCAATGCATTATTTAATATAAAATAATATGAACTAAGTAATTCTTAAAAACCTCACAATATTCCATTCTTATTTTGAAAAATTTGTAGAAGTTAGATGAAACAACATTTTCAGTCTCATAGAATTGACCTGGTATGTTGAGCTTATCATCCTTGAAGCTTCTTTAGGGTTACCTGGCCAAGGGTCTTTGCCCAGGATTTGTCTTTATTAAATTCAAAGTACTACTCACTTCAGCAGCAAATATACTAAAATTGTGATGATACAGAGAAGATTACCATGGCCCCTACACAAAGATGACACACAAATTCATGAAGCATTCTATATTTTTCCAGAAAAGATTGGGATTCTATTTCCAAAGTGCTGAAAGAAAAAAAAAACTGTCAACCCAGAATTTTGTATCCTGCCAGAATAAGCTTTATAAATGAAAGAGAAATGAAGTATTTCCCAGACAAGCAAACGCTGAAATAATTCATCATCACTAGACCAAACTTACAAGAAATGCTCAAAGGAGTTCTTAACATGGAAAATAAAAGGTTGACACTCATCATCATAAAAATACATGAAAATATAAAACTCAGAGGTCTTATTTAAAAATTACACAAAGCAAGGAAATGAAGAAAGCAAGTAGGAAACATTACAAAACCCCACAAATCCATAAAGACACACACAAAAAAAAAAAACAGAAAAAAAATCAAAAGAAACAAAGAATCTACAAAGCAACTAGATAACAATGAACATTATGGCAGGAAATAAATTCACATATATATTTATCAACTTGAATATAAATTGATTAAATGCACCACTTAAAAGATACAAATTGGTGGAATGGATTAAAAACAAACCATAATTCAACTACATGCTGCTTACAAGAAACTTACCTTACTTGTAAAGACACATAGGGTGGTGGTAAAGAGATGGAAAGGGATATTCCACACACACAGAAACCAAAAGCAGGCAGGAATAGCTATACTTATATCAGATAAGACAGATTTTACACTGACAACAGTAAAAAAATAAATGACAAACAAGGCCATTAGATAATGAATGATAGAGTTTGATTCAACAAGAATATATAACAATCTTAACTATATATGTACTCAACACCAGATAACCCAGATTCATAAAACAAACATTACCAGACCTAAAGAAAGAGACATACAGCAATACAATAATAGTAGGGGACTTCAACAGCCCACTGATAGCACTAGACACATCAAGACAGGAAATCTACCAAGAAACTGTGGACTTAAATTGGACTTTAGACCAAATTAATCCAAAAGACATTTACAGAACATGCTACTCAACAAATGCAGAATATACATTTTTCTTATCAGTGCATGAAACATCGTGCAAAATAGACCATAATTTAGTCCATCAAACAAGTCTCAATAAACTTTTGAAAATTGATATTATATCAACTATATTCTCAGATCATAGTGGAATAAAACTAGAAATCAATTCAAAGAGGAACTGTCAAAACTACATAAATACATTAAAATTGAACAATTAAATGAATGATCTTTGGGCCAATTATGAAATTAAGAGAGGAATTTAAAAATCTTTCAAAATAAATTAAAACAGGGACACATCATACCAAAACATCAGGGATACAGCAAAAGCAGCGCTAAGATGAAAGTTTACAGTGTTAATTACCTACATTAATAATTAGAAAGATCACAAATTAACAACTTATTGTCTTACCTCAAGAAATTAGAAAACAAACAAACAAACCAAACCCAAAGCTAGCAGAAGATAAAAGCAAGAATCAAAAAAAATAAATGAATGAAATTGAGACCCCAAAACAATACAAAGAATCAACAAAATGTAAAATTGTTTTTTGAAAATATAGACAAAATTGTTAGACTGCTAACTAGAATAACTATGAGAAGAAAAAATTCAAATAAACATAATCAGAAATGAAAAAGGAGACATTACAACTGATACCACAGAAGTATAAAATATCAAGGACTACTATGAAGAACTGTATGCCTGTACACTTACGAACTAAAAAATCTAGAAGAAATGTATAAATTCCTGGAAATATGCAACCTTTCAAGATTGAACCTGGAAGAAATATATATCCTGAACAGATCAATAATGAGCAGTACAATTGAAGCAGTAAAAAACAAACCTCCCAACACAAGCCCAGGATCAGATGGATTTACAGATGAATTCTACCAAACATAACAAAGAAGAACTGATACTTATCCTACTGAAAGTCTCCCAAAAATATTGAGGAGGAGGGAATTCTCCCCAGTTCATCCAATGAAGCCAGTATCACTCTGATACCAAAGTTAAACAAGAACACAGGAACAACAACAAAAACAGCAAAATGACAAACCAGTATTCTTGATGAATATAGATGCAAAAACCCTCAACAAAATACTGTCAAACCAAATCCAACAGGACATCAAAAAAACAATATACCATGATCAAGTGGGATTTATTCCAGGAATGCAAGGATTATTCAATAGCTACAAAACGACAAATTTGATTTGCCACATACACTGAATTAAAAACAAAATTCATATGATCATCTCAATAGATGCAGAAAAACATCTGATACCATTCAGCATTTCTTCATGATTAAAACACTCAGCACACTGGGCATAGAAAGAAAATACCTCAAAATAATAAAAACCATATATGATAAACCCAAAATAATAAAAACCATATATGATAAATAATAAAAACCATGTAAGATAAACCAACATCATACTGAACAGGAAAAAATTGAAAGCATCCCCCTCTAAGATCTGGAACAAAACAAGATGCCCACTTACGCCACTCCTATTCAACACAGTACTGGAAGTCTTAGCCAGAGAAATCAGGCAAGAGAAAGAAATACAAATCATCCAAATTGGAAAAGAGAAAGTCAAATTATCTCTGCTGATGTTATTATCTTATACCTACAAAAGCTTACAGACTCCTCTAAAAGACCCCTAGATTTGACAAATGACTTCAATAAAGTCTCAGAATACAAAAATCAATATACAAAAATTGGTAGCATTTCTGTACACCAATAATGATCAAGCTGAGAAGCAAATCAAGAAGTCAATTTCATTTACACTAGTTACAAAAAAATCAGTATAAAACACTTAGGAATATATTTAACCAAGGAGGTGAAATATCTCTACAAGGAAAACTAAAACCCACAAATAAAATAACTTGCAGATGACACAAAGAAATGAAAAAACATTCCATGCTCATGGATTAGAAGAGTCAATATTGTTAAAAATTATCATATTGCCCCAAATGATCTATAGGTTCAATGCAATAACTATCAAAATACCAATGTTGTCTTTCACAGAATTAGAAAAAAAAATCCTAACATTTATATGAATCCCAAAAAGAGCTCAAATTCCCAATGCAATCCTAAGCAAAAAGAACAAAGCTGAAGGCATCACATTACCTGACTTCAAATTATACTACAAGGCTATTGTCATATAATAAGTAGTATAGTAACCAAAACAGAATGGTACTGGTATAAAAGTAGACACACAGATCAAGGGAACAGAATAGAGAATCAAGAAATAAAGCATACATACCTACAGCCAACTGATCTTTGACAAAGTTATCAAAAACATACACTTGGGGAAAGACACACTATTCAATTAATAGTGCTGGGAAATTTGAATTGTCATATACAGGAGAATGAAACTGGACCCCTATGTCTCAGCATATACAAAAATTAACTCAAGATGAATGAAAGACTTAAATGTAAGCCCTGAAACTATAAAAATACTAAAAGAAAACCTAGGAAAAACTCTTCTGGACATTGGTCTAGGGAAAGAATTCTTGATTAATACTCAAAAGCAAATTCAACAGAAACAAAAATAGACAAAATGAGATTTAATTAAATTAAAAAGCACTACATAGTAAAAGAAATAATCAACAGAGTGAACCAATAACCTGCAGAATGGGATTAAATACTTGCAAACTATACATCGTACAAAAAACTAATATCCATAATCTACATGGAACTCAAACCACTCAACAATAACAAATCAAATTAACTGCTTAATAAGTGGGCAAAGAACACACACAGACATTTTGCAAAACAAGACATAGAAATGATCAAGAAGCAGATGAAAAAAAATGTTCAACATCACTAATTATCAGAGAAATGCAAATTAAAACCGCAATGAGAGACCATCTTTTTTTTATGCTTTAAGTTTTAGGGTACATGTGCACAACGTGCAGGTTAGCTACATATGTATACATGTGCCATGTTGGTGCCCTGCACCCATTAACTCGTCATTTAACCTTAGGTATATCTCCTAATGCTATCCCTCCCCGCTACCCTCACCCCACAACAGGCCCCAGTGTGTGATGTTCCCCTTCCTGTGTCCATGTGTTCTCATTGTTCAATTCCCACCTATGAGTGAGAACATGCGGTGTTTGGTTTTTTGTCCTTGCGATAGTTTGCTGAGAATGATGGTTTCCAGCTTCATCCATGTCCCTACAAAGGACATGAAATCATCATTTCTTATGGCTGCATAGTATTCCATGGTGTATATGTGCCACATTTTCTTAATCCAGTCTATCATTGTTGGACATTTGGGTTGGTTCCAAGTCTTTGCTATTGTGAATAGTGCCGCAATAAACATATGTGTGCATGTGTCTTTATAGCAGCATGTTTTATAATCCTTTGGTATATACCCAGTAATAGGATGGCTGGGTCAAATGGTATTTCTAGTTCTAGATCCCTGAGGAATTGCCACACTGACTTCCACAATGGTTGAACTAGTTTACAGTCCCACCAACAGTGTAAAAGTGTCCCTATTTCTCCACATCCTCTCCAGCACCTGTTGTTTCCTGACTTTTTAATGATCGGCATTCTAACTGGTGTGAGATGGTATCTCATTGTGGTTTTGATTTGCATTTCTCTGATGGCCAGTGATGATAAGCATTTTTTCATGTGTCTTTTGGCTGCATAAATGTCTTCTTTTGAGAAGTGTCTGTTCATATACTTTGCCCACTTTTTGATGGGGTTGTTTGATTTTTTCTTGTAAATTTGTTTGAGCTCATTGTAGATTCTGGATATTAGCCCTTTGTCAGATGAGTAGATTGCAAAAATTTTCTCCCATTCTGTAGGTTGCCTGTTCACTCTGATGGTGGTTTCTTTTGCTTTGCAGAAGCTCTTTAGTTTAATTAGATCCCATTTGAGAGACCATCTTACATCAGTCACTTATTAAATGGTAGAAAAAAATAATGGATGTTGGTGAGGATGTGGAGAAAAGAGAACACTTGTACATGGTTGGTGGGAATGTAAATTAGTGCAATCTCTATGGAAAACTGTATGGAAATTTCTCAAAGAACTAAAAATAAATATATCATTCAGTCCAGCAATCCCACTACTGGGTATATGTCCAAAGAAAAAGAAATCATTATATCAAAAAGATACCTGTACTTGTTTGTTTATCACAGCACTACTTATAACAGCAAGAATACAGAATCTATGTAAGTGTCCATCAATGAATGATTGGATAAAGTTATTGAATACACACACACACACATACAAACACACACACGTACAGACACGAGTGCTATTCAGCCGTCATGTATTTTGCAGCAACATAAATAAAACTGAAGGACATTATTTTAAGTGAGATATCTCAGAAAATACTGCGTGGTCTCATATGTGGGAGCTAATTTGTACATATGGACATAGAAAGTGGAACGATAGACAATGGAAACTCAGAAGGGTGGGAGGTTGGGAGCAGGGTGAGGGATAAGACATTCCTTAATGGGTACAATTTTCATTACTCAGCTGATGACTATGCTAAAAGCTCAGAGTTGACCACTATGCAACATATCCTCGTAACAAAACAACACTTGTACTCACTAAATCTATAAAAACCAAATGAATCCAAAGCACGCTTTAACCACTAGAAATAATTCAATACAAAATAAAGTTGGCAATAGCTAAAAATGAAAAAGTTAACATTATTATTAACCAAAATGTAAGATATAGTAAAGTCTTTGGCAACATTTAGATTCATAAATTCAATACAGGTAAAAATGGACTTCATAGAAATAAAGATTTTTTTCTAAGGTTCCTAGTGGCAGAAACTATATTTAGGAGAATGTGATATCAATGGTGTTGCCAGGCATGTGAATATCACACAGTATGGTGTATTAGTTAAATTCCCAGGTTTGAAGCATCTACTTGAATTCCACTCCCAAATCTGTACCAAATGTATATCTTTGGAAAGATGCTTAGGTATCTATGCCTCAGTTTATTATTTTTTATTTGTGAAATCAAAACAATATTATCTATCCAGGCTGCTAGAAGTTATATATAAAATTTAGAAGCATATATTTAGACGTATATATATATATATAAAATTTATAAGCATGTCTGGCAAATAGTGTCTGCTAAATAACTATTATCTACTAGTGCTGTTAAGATTAGGGAATGATATTCCAGACAAAGAGAATGCTAAGGCAAAACTAAAGGGGGAAATGATTGTGGCATATTTTGAGGAAGAGAAAGCCTGTAATGGGTAGGCTAGTCAAAACTTAAGAAGGAGAGTAGGCACTCATGGATCCTGAGGAGCTCTATAACTAAAACATAAGCTTGGATTTCACTCTAGGTGCAGTGCTGAACACTTAGATGAATTTAAATGCTGAGGAGAATTGTTTTGTGTGCAAGGAACAGAAAGTAGGATGGATGGCTTTCCCTACACATACTAGAAAATCTGAGTTGAAAGTTAAAAGGTAAATAGGGTAGTTCAAAGAGAAAAATCAACTGATGGTGGTCTTTAGTGCATTAATTTAAAGGCTTTGTATTTGAGATAATAGAGAATTAGAAACCACTACTATTTCTGAGAAGGGAAGTGATTCACTTAGTCACTTACTTAGACAACATTAAACAGAAAACGACCCCGGAATTACAGATTTTTATAGAAAGATGCTGATGGCTTTTAGGAGGTTGCTGAAGATCTGTATTGTTTTATCTAAGTTATATTACCAAGAGAAAATTATGCCAGTAAAAATGAAGTTGAAAATATTTTGATGGATTTCAAATTTCTATCCAATCTGAGAAATTCAGGAGATATATTAATCACTATTCTAATTATATGAATAATTTGGACAAAGGAAGAAGAAAAAGGGGCTGCTTATCCGGGTTAAATTATGCAACTACTGATAGAGCCTGAAGGTGAAAAAAATCCTATTTTAAAGAGCTGACACAAAACAGCATAAAATTTCAAATAAACAAAAGCTAAGTAATAAAAATGATATGTATTATTTCACATAAAACTTAGCCAATATGTATTAGTTCACATAAAACTTAGCCAATAAGATTTTTATATTTTAAAATTATATTAATTATATAATTATACATATATTCATCTTGCCTACCTACATATAATGCTGGAGGGTATTTGTGCAATATGCCCCCAGCTACACATCTTATTTTAAAACTTCATCACTTTTAGGTTATGATGTAAATACTAAGACATGAAGATGCAGCTAAGGATTTTATAGGCCATTGTAGGACTTCAGTGAAATAGTGAGCCATGTGACAATTTTGAGTAGAGAAATGGCACTATATGATATCATTTTTGAAAGCTTCACTGTAGCACTTTTGTTAATTATCAGTAGTAGAAAGGCAAGAGTATAAGCCAG
This sequence comes from Homo sapiens, assembly GCF_000001405.40. Classification (NCBI taxonomy): domain Eukaryota; kingdom Metazoa; phylum Chordata; class Mammalia; order Primates; family Hominidae; genus Homo; species Homo sapiens. Next base: position 126,582,979 of record NC_000006.12, on the reverse strand, counting down.
GAGACCTGCTTAGAGATTATAGTGGTAATCCAGGTAGGAGATGAAAGTGGAAATAGTGGAAGAGATGAGAAAACACTAGAGTATAACATACACAATATTTAATATAGAGCTGAAGAGATTTGCAGGTGGATAGACTGCAAAGTGTGAAAAAGAGGAATCAAGAGTGAATCCCAAGGTATTTTTTGGACTGTAACTTGGGAGGATTGAGTCAATGCATACTAAGAAAGGAAAGAGTGGGACTGGTTTTATGAGGAAAAAATCAGAAGCTCATTATTGGGTTTAAATGCCTGTTGAAATTCAGGGAAGATTATAAATGGGCAGTTGAATATAAAATCCAGTTTAGGACAGAGACTATGCTGAAGATAAATTATTGGGATTTGTTAGCATATATAGGATGTTTAAAACCATGAGACTAGATGAGACAAAATAGCAAATGAAGACAGCAGAGAAGAGAGCAAAAGGACTGAGACTAGAACACTGTAAAATGTAGAGGTCAGAGAGAAGAGGTATCAGCAAAAGCTAGTGCGAAAGAGCCAGCAATGAGGAAAGAGAAATCGAATAGTCAGTTGTCCTTAACCACACATTGGGAAAGTATTAACACATAATGAATTGATTTAAAGTACAAAACACTATGCTTCAAACTAATGAGTTTAAAACAGAAGAATTATGAAGAAAAATACAGTTCTTCTATTTTGGATACTGCTTTAAGGTAAATAAAAAGTACTTTCCCAGTTAACTTTTTTACTTAAACTCAAGCATAGCATGTCTGTTTTGTGATTTTATCTATCACTGTTTCCAAAAGTCTGCAATTACCAGTGAGTTAAGGCACTTAGGCTTTATTACAAAAGTTGGGGAGTGTGGAGAGCCCAATGCAAGCTGACAAAAAAGAAAAATAAGTTTTTAGAACATCCGTGACTAAAAACTATGAATCATAAGGGAATAAAATAATAGAACTGTAGACTTGGACTGAAAGAGCCAATGCACAAAAAAATGAAGAAGAAGAAGAAGAAGAAGAAGGAGGAGGAGGAGGGGGAGGAGGAGGGGGAGGAGGAGGGGGAGGAGGAGGAGGAGGAGGAGGGGTTCAATCAAGAAGACAATCTAGACTCAAGAAATCAGAAACACTATTTATTAGACATGTGTAATACCTAATAAATAATGTACTAGGCAACAAAATGTTAGCTAATACCACAACTTGATAAAATTCATTATATCTTCTAAGTATATAACCAAGTATATATATACTTCATCACTCATATATATATACTTCATGATGTAAAGTATATAGATATGTGTATATATATACACTTCAGTGCTATGTATACTTCATCACTCATATATATGAGAGAAAGAGAGAGGGAAGGAGAGAGGAAAAGAGAGAAAGAAAGAAAGAGAAAGAAAGAAAGAAAAGAAAAGAAAAAGAGAGAAAGAAAGAAAAGAAAGAGAAGGAAAGAAAAAGAAAGAAGAAAGAAAGAAAAGAAAGAAAGAAAAAGAAAGGAAGAAAGGAAGGAAGGAGAGAGAGAAAGAAAGTGAGCTGAAAAACAAAAGGAAAGAGGAAGGAAAGGAAGGAAGGTGAGAGAGAAAGAGAGTGGGAAGGAGAGAAGGAGGGAGGGAAACAAAGCACCACTGTAGGAATCAGTGGATGAGATTTGTTAGTTTTGAGTAATTTTTTTACTTAATTATTTTTTCAAGAGCTGGGGTCTTGCCATGTTGCCCAGGCTGGTGTGCAAGGGCTATACACAGGCATAATTATCATAACCCACTGTAGCCTTAAACTCCTGGCCTGAAGCAATCCTCTTGCCTCAGCTTCCTGAGTAGCTGGGACTACAGGCGTATGCCATCACACCCAGCTTAATTTTTTATAAGAAAAAAAAATAGCTCTCACAAATTACTACAACTTTCTGCTCTCCATAAATTGTTTTATTTATAACTATGACAATGCATTTAATTCTATTTCTCACCGCAAGTAACAAAATCACCCCAAATAATAAAAATTCTGGTTTTCTTCATGATCTTAGAAATATTCTTTAGTTGCCTAAAGAATATGTGTGTGTGTGTTTTATATATATATATATATATATCACATATATAAAACACTTGGAACCAAAGAAAACATGGATTTGTGGTTCAAAGTGGTTAAAATCAGAAAGCCTGAAGCATAAGCTTAAAATTAGAAAAAGTAAACAAGATAATTAGATAAATCCAGAACAATCTGAGATCATCAAGGATTATGACAAACATGTGGTTGGTCTTGAGGCTACCCACTATGTACTTGATGACAACAAGGATAACATCACTATTCCAGCCACAGTTAGAGTTAGAAGAAAGTAGTAGCCCTCTGTCTTTAAATTATACCGTGTATGTAGATACTAATATGAACTGTATTATTATTGAGGAGATGCACGTGAACCCAAATTTTGCCGAAGGACCCTGAGCAATAGTTGAATAAAGTCATTACATCTACCGAATGGCAAAATTTCAGTTATACACGATGAATAAGTTCTAGAGAGCTGCTATACAACATTGTGCTTATAGTTAACAACACTATATTGTGCACTGGAAAATGTGTTAAAAGGGTAGATCTCATGCCAGTCAGAATGGAGATTATTAAAAGTCAAGAAACAACAGACGCTGGTGAGGTTGTGGAAAAAAATGCTTTTACACTGTTGGGAGTGTAAATCAGTTCAACCATTGTGGAAGACAGTGTGGTGATTCCTGAAAGATCTAGAAGCAGAAATACCATTTGACCCAGAAATCCCATTATTAGGTATTTACCCAAAGGAATATAAGGAATTCTATTTTAAAGATACATGCATGCATATGTTCATTGCAGCACAATTCACAATAGCAAAGACATGGAATCAATCCAAATGCCCATCAATGAAGAAAATGTGGTACATATACACCATGGAATACTATGCAGCTGTAAAAAAAAAAACAAGATCATGTCTTTTGCAGGGACACGGATGGAGCTGGAAGCCATTATCCTCAGCAAACTAACACAGGAAAAGAAAACCAAATACCACATATTCTCACTTATAAGTGCTTATAAGTGGGAGATGAACAACGAGAACACATGGACACATGGAGGGGAACAACACACACTGGAACCTGTCAGGGGGTATGAGGGGAGGGAGAGGATCAGGAAGAATAGCTAATGGATTCTGGACATAATACTTAGGTGATGGATTGATCCGTGCAGCAAACCGCCATGTCACACCTTTACCTATGTAACAAAAGGGCACATCCTGAACATATACCCCAGAACTTAAAATAAAAGTTGAAGAAAACAAATCTGTAAAGATATATCTAAAGAATACAGAAAATGATGTTCATTTTTAACATCCCAAAAGATGTTTTTTTAAAAAGTCAGATTGAAGACATTCACTTGTCAAATAATGGTAGAAGCATATTCAAGGTAAATAAAGGTTGGGAAGAATTAAATCTACAACAATAAATTTTTTTAAAGGGTAGATCTCATGTTAAATGGTTTTACCTCAATAAAAAATCTACAATCATATTTAAAATTTCATTATGCCCATATTGAAGGAAAATAGCCATAATTTCCAAGACTATTAATCTCCTTCTCTGTTGAGTCTTTTTTTTTTTTTCCTTACCTTACGATGTTGGAGTAACCAGGACTTATTTTGCAGACCTCATTGTTTTTCTCTCCTTTGGTCATCTCTTTCAGTCTCATTGCTTCAAATATATGTAGTATTTAAGCTCTCAAATTTATACTCTCAATCTATATCTCTCCCATGAACTACATATTTGAGCAAAGCATTGAACTAAAATTTATGAAATCTAGACCCTAGACCTCATTTTAGAAAGAAAAATAATTCTAAACCCGTATCTCTTACTGCTCCTTCAACTAAAATAATTTAATTATGGCCAATAAACTATAAAGTTTAGGTCCAAATTTCATGGCATCACTTAAAATTTCCTTCAAAATCTGGCCCTTGTCTACCTTTATAAGCTGGTCTACCAATTTATACAACAGGTACCCTTTGCATATCTGGCCTTCACAATACATTTACAGTTTCCTAATGTTATAATGATCTTCCTACCTTCATACAGTGTCCTCTGCTTGAAACTCTCTTTCCTAGTTGTTTTTCAGTCTTTAAGAATCAGTGCAATAGTAGTGGAAGCAAGGGTAATTAATACTTCCTTTTAAAATAATTTTTTGCTATTTTTTATTGTGAATAATACTAATTGCATAACATACAAGAACACATTGTAGGTTCATATAAATGAGCATATATTCCATGAAGCTTAAAATCCTCTGTCTCTCCTTATGATGGTATTTAGCATGTTTCTATGCTTCTTTATCTTATCTATATTTTTAATATACTGTATATCACCAAGGTAAAGAATCTCACTCCATCTTTATAGTGCCTGCTTAATATGGTTCCTGGTTGCCATTCTATAGCAAACATTTAAATAGGTTTCTGTTTAAAAATTTAGCCTCTATAGATTCAAAACTAATACAATGTATCTCAAATAATTCCTCTTGTATCTGTTTTTAGTTTCAATTAGTAGGAACAAAAGGTATCTTTAATACATTTTTCTATTTTTCTTTTCTTCAGACTCCTTATGTCTGAAATAATGATAATTTATTATGGATATTACTGTACATAATTTTGAGGGTTTTTTTTAAATTAAACTTTGAGATGGCAATGTTGACATTCAGCTTTTAATTCATCCTTACATGATATGACACAATCTTAGATAAAACTTTTTGAGTTACTCATATCCAAAAAAGAAACTAAACAATTAAAAATTAAAATCATTGCTTAAGGTTATTTTGATGTTATAAATATGAATACACAAACAACTTTTATAAGATTTTAATACCACAATCTTATTCTGCCTTATATTAAAATGTAATTTTGTAAAACGTTTTTGGCTCAAATATGTTTACAAAACTATCTAACATTCCTTGTCCTACGATATGTCCTGTGAAGTTATTTTCACACATTTCATTTTTTGTCCATTTTTAATAATTGCTTATATATTTGCTTAATAGTTTTAATCATCAGTAACTATCGGCACCAGTTTTTCATTGTGCTAATAAAATAGCATTTATATTTTTGTTGAATGACAGCATTTAAACATATAAAGCACATACAGAAATTTATACTCAAAGTTATATATGGAATCCTTACCTGTATATTAAAATGATTTTTTAACACTTAATTGATTTGAATGATATGCTTTATTTGTATTACTGTAGTGTTATGCTAATTAGATATAGTTGTAAACCACTGGATCAATCTATACTAATAATATACAAGATCAGTGATGGTAAAAATGACACTAAAACTGTATAGCAGAACTGAATAGCATGCTGTGTCCTAATGTTGAGGCTGAAGCCTAGCTTCAGTTCATCAAGCATCAAGCAAATATAAAACTAATTATATTTAGCTTTATAACTCTAATTATTTAAGGGTATTGTCTAATCACTCCCATCATATTTTAAGGTCCTTGAAGAAAGGAACTTTTCTCCCTCTAATTAATTTTTTCATTCCCAAAGAGCTTAGCCTAATGTCTAGCAGAAATGGAGTTGTGCAAATGTGTATTTATATAATTACTTAACGAATAAATAGTTACCTCCGTAAGCTGATAGATCTCTGAAGCAAAATTCTGTATTAATCATTTTTATTATGAATAGTGAGCAACCAAGAGTTGGTTCCAGTTGACCCTGGATGTGACAGGACAGCCTCCCTACTCCCAAGTAACAGAGGCAGGATGTGGAAGAATGTTGAGTCACTAAACTCAGCAAATTCAGCAGACCCAGAATTGTGCAGTGAATTTTAAAATAATGATCATTATATCATTTTAAAGGTCTAATTTAAAAGAAATTTTAAAAAGTACAATTAAGACTTTACCTCCTACTTATTACATGAATTGGAAGAGAGGATATACCATGCAATACATCGTGTAGATCTTTTACTTTAACTTTATTATTTAGTTTACAAGGTCAGCTGGCAGTTATTAAAGGATGTCACATATTTTTGAAAGTAATCAGGAGACTAGATAAATAAAAAGTGAGATCAGTTTGGGCATCATAGAATAAAATGGGAATAAGAAGTTGTAAGCTATTATGAATAGCAGCTGAAACATGGTCTTAACTACTCAAGTATGACCTTCTGTTATTTCTGTACTTTTTATGCAAATACTATCCCTGAAAAGATGGACCATAAAACACACTAGGTGCCCTGTTTCTTTAGTACATCTGACTTAGTTAAAAAGTAAATTCATTTATATTTCCTAAACATCTATGTTGTTTTCCTAGAATTCACATTTCTGTTGGAGCTGTTTCCAGTTCCACTAGGAAAAAGGACTGGCTATATTCTACAGTCAGGGGCCCCCAAATAGTTCCAATCTCAGGAGGAACTAAGAATTCTGGGTATGTAGTCAATAGCTAGAAGTAGGTATTGAGGTGGTATCCTGTTCCTGAAGGGTGAGCCATCCCATGGGAATGGGGAAATAAAGTACCAAAGTAGCCACGCTTGGGACACAGGAACTGAGAGACAGCAAAGAGACATTGAAAACCATATACAAGTGGGAGTGACTATTCTTAGCATTTGGAACTGAGGTAATGTATTTCCATCCTGTCTTGATCAAATGGGTCAGGAAATTGGGGTAAGATTGAGACCGTAGGTGGTGAGGTATCAGCGGATCACACCACAGTAGTCCACATAAAACAGAGGCAGAAGAAGAAAGGAGTGGCTTGAAATGCAGAAATCCTAAGACTTCTGTATCTCTCAATGTTCCAAGCATACTATAATAATACTCAATCTCATTGATTAGTTCTTCTGAACTCTAAATTTAGGACAATATGTATGGACTCTCTAGTTATTGTCACACAGGAGTTACACAGAAAAAAAAAATGAGCATGTATAGGAAAATGATAATGTCAAAATCCCCTGACTTTCAGAAATGTGATTTTTTTTCTTAAATATTAGGATCAAATATTTTTATATATATACCTCAAATTATAATAAAATTAACACAAAAGATTATAAATTTTATTTTATTTATATAAAATGTCCAGGATAGACAAATTTGTACAGACAAAAGAGAGATTAGTAGCTACTTAATCTAGTTAAATTGACTTAACCTATAAAACTATATAATTGCCCCCTAGAAACTTTTTGTACTGCTTTTGTGTTAGTCAAGAGTTTTTCAGAGAGACAGAACCAATAGTCTATGTATATACAGACATGCACACACACACACACACGCATGACTTAAAGACATGATTTAAATACATTGATACTTAAACACATGATTTAAATTTGGTGGCACTCGATTTTTAAAAATTAACTTGTTTTTTTTTCTGATGAAGTATTTTAAAATAAAGTGCAGATAGATGAGATTATTTTCCCTTGAACTCAGTAGGCATCTATCAGAAATAAAAATTGTTTCTTATATGTCCAAAATACCATTATAACACCTACAAAATTAATAAAAAGTCCTTCAAATCATCTAATATTAAGTCTATATTCAAAAATTTCCAGATAATTTCATAAATGTTCTATACAGCTGGACTTACAAACCAACCATTGTACATTGGGTGTCCCAGCAAGCAAACTCTGTTATATAGTCAGTGTGCACGAAGTTTATTAAGGAATATTCTTGGGACCAATGCTTGTGGAAGAGAAGGAAATGCTGTAGGATTGAGCAGAAATTGGAATGTGGGTAAAAAACTTTCTCTACAGCAAATGAAAATTTCCAAAGATGATTACAGCCAACAGCACTGCCAGCACCTGTGGGCATAAAATTTTTAATCCTAAAGAGGGACCATGTGGCACATAACAATGTCCACTACAAAGATCATCTGTTTTTAAATTTGTTGCTTTACAGTTTCACAAGTTGGCTAAGTACTGATTTCCTTACTCTGCTTGGCTTTTCTTAGCATTCTGTTTCTGATGATTCATGTCTTCCATCACTTCTGCAAAATTCTCAGCTTTTTTTTTTCTTAAAGTATTATCTCTCCTCACTTTTTCTATTACCTACCTCTGGTTTTCCGATTATAAAAATATCTTCATTGTATCTTCTAAGTCTCTTAATATCTCTTTAGCTGTTTTAATCTGACACTTTACTTCTCCACCTAGTTTTTAAACCCAATTATACAGGTTTTACAAGTTCCATTTGCTGGATTTTTGAAAATATGTGTGCTTATATTTGATGGTTTCCTGTTCTTAGCCCTATTTCTGATGTATTATTTCTTTAAGCCTATTAAGTATATTTGCATTGTATTTTCCATCTGGTAGTCTCTATAACTGTTAATATATTCCTTGTTGTGGTCTGATTCTAGCATTTGTTTCTTCTGACTCTCATTTACAGTTTCTTGTTTCCTTTTTTGTGTTGTGATTTTTGACTGTGAGCTCAAGTTTATTTGAATATTATATACAGCAATCTTTAGGACTGGCTTTATGTTACATCCCTCTAAAGGGGATTAGTGTCAGTGTCTTTTAGATGCCTGAGGACAGAACTATCATGCTGAATTTATTGCTTAGACTTTGGAGTCATGCAGGAAGTCTGACTGAAAGCCTGTTTTACGCTCCAAATTCTCTGGGAAAACTCTACCCTGCTCCTACATCTCAGCCATGATAAACACAAGTTTCTTTCTTTGGGAGGTGGAGTTTTATGTTGTATATTTGTTTATTTGATTGCTAAGTCATTTACCCTTTCAGAAGGGCTAGATTTACACAGGTTTCTCTGACATGACTTTTCACTTCACTCCGAATCTAGCTTTTCTCCTGTTGCTTAAACATGGTTGATTAAAACTAAAAATCTTGCCTATTAAGAATGGACTGAGAGAAACTCTCATCTTTCATGTTACCACTCTGAATTTGTGCTTTCTTATTAAGTCTGAAAATCTGCTTACTCTTTTGCTATACATTTAAAAACCAAAGTTCAATTTATTTTTTCAGTATTTGTATGTAACTAGGCTACTTAGTCTTCCATTTTACCAGAAATGAAATTTACTATTATTCTAAAGTAGGAACTTGGTATGCTTAACAGTGTCCATTACCTGATGTAGCTTTTTACTTAACATTGTTCATCAGTAAATGATAGTATATTTTTTCTTGTCTTCTTGTAGAAACACTGAAAGGAAATGTGATACCATGGAAAGTACACTGAACTGGGAAATAGAAAGTATGAGTTTTCAATCCACCACCGAGCCCCTATGTTACCTTAGGTGAGTCATTAAACTTTCTTGAGGTTTATGTATAGATAAAAAGAGGAAAACAATATCTGTTAAGCATAACTCACTCAGTAATAATACACACCAATAATAAATATGTATGTCAAAGTGATTCATCAACGCTATTACATTATCTAAATACAAACTCTAATTATTAATATGAATATATACTGGTGTCACAAAATAACATGTTCTTACCTCATGCATTCCACAGGAGAAAATTACATGAGAGTTTTGGGGAAAAAAATCACACACACAAATATTGCCATTTTACTTTCAGGTAGATATAAACATCTTGTGGCGCCCTCAGTCATTCTCTCAGGTAAAACCATAACCATCAATGGTATTTGATTTTCTTAAATCTTAACCAAAAGAATCTCAGTATTTTTGTTCAAATATGCTTAAAGAAACTTGATAGAAAACTCTCTATTTGTTTTTGATGTTTTCCTTAGTCAGTTATCAAAACTTCATTGAGGTTGGCCATGGTGGTTCACACCTGCAATCCTAGCACTTCGAGAGGCCAAGGCAGGCGGATCACCTGAGGTCAGGAGTTTGAGACCAGACTGGCCAACATGGTGAAACCCCGTCTCTATGAAAAACACAAAAATTAGCCGGGCATGGTGGCACACATCTGTAATCCCAGCTACTCAGGAGGCTGAAGCAGGAGAATTGCTTGAACCAGGAGGCAGAGTTTGCAGTGAGCCAAGATCATGCCACTGCACTCCAGCCTGAGAGATAGAGTGAGACTCTGTCTCAAAAAAAAAAAAAAGAAAAATCTTTATTGAATGTCCCTGGGTTATAGATCTGTCACTGTGATTTGATGTGTGAAATTATATATTTTACTTTCCAGTTCATTGTATGACTTAATACAATTTAAACATATGTTTTCATATTGGTGTTGTCTAAAATGCCAAATTTTAACACATTAGAGAACACACAAAAAACAATTACCAATCAATGTTTTACACTCTCATTTTGGGCCAAGTTCCTTACTCTATGACTGTTGATATAAAGATAATTGACTTAATTCTCCACTTGGTTTTGTGAATGAAAACACAATTTGGGTTTACAAAAAAGGAATCACCAACAAAAGATAGTCACAAAACAAGACAAGGAAATTAAAGTTAACTCTGAAAATTCAAGGTAAAATCAACGTAATCCGTAAGCCACAGTCACCTTTGGTTCAAATGAAAATAGAATGTTAGATTGACTCTTCAACACAAAGTGATATCTAATATTAAGAATGTAGCACAAATATTACCACTGTCAATCTTAAGGCTTTGTCATCTAAGATACTGTATTTAACACAAAAATATTCACTGCTGATAGTAGAGAACCTCCTGGTTCTACCCTTGACAGTTGTTTTCTTTCTCCCTACTTTTTTCCTTGCTGCTGGGCACTTCATATTGATCTCGCTTCTTATTGATCTTACTCTGTGCTTTTTGTAGATTAGCAATATCAAAAGAGATGGAGGCAAGGAAGAAAAGGAAATAGAAAGGCAAATGCCAGTAGCAGTTCTTTTTTTAAAGTCTCTAGCCCAAATCCATTGAACACCCTCCTTGCTACTCTGCACCCCGTATACATCTATAATTCTAAGTCATGATTCCTGCCTAGAATATCCTCTTCGAAACTTCTACCTAATGCCACATATGGATGCTCTCACTCTTCCAGGCATCATTTTCTCTAAGCAAGTCCTCCCTGAGATTCATACTCCCCTTCCTCATGGATCAAGTATCCTAATCCATATTCAACAGTGCTTTTTGACAAAATTTCTTTTAAACTTTTATCATATGGCCAGCCATACAAAATGACTTAGTTCAACATCAGGTGACTTAATACACATTTCATTTCTTACAAAAACTTTGTGAGGCAATTATTATTATATTTACATGTGATAAATAAGTTAAATAAATGTTCAAGGTGAAGCATTGGATAGTCATAGAGCCAAAATTTGAACCTGGGTATGTGTCATTCTAATATGCTTGCTTTAACCCAATGCCTCCCAACACTTTACTTCTTAGTACATTATAAATTATATAGATTTCTGAAAACTGCCTAGAAACCTACCTACTAAGTATAACACTATTTCTATGTGGAAATACATTGAAAGTTTCAAATTACCAACTTACAAATGGACCACAGTCATTTCTTAAAGTGGGGATTACCTGTGTTACCAGAGTGTGCAGAAACAAGTTCTTGATCCAAATGATGAATTATGGGACTAAGACATGGACTGGAAAGTAAGCACAAATTTTCTCTGAACTTTGGGTCCTTGCCTTCTTCTGTTCTGATGGTGAACGCTTGTTATTCTACAAAATAAAAACTCATTACTCCCAGAGGTCTCATTTCCCTTTGAAGCAAGGCAAGCTAAAATTTTTTCTAAAGTAAATAAATTGCACAAACTTTATAAATTTGGCCATACAAATTGAGTTTATGAGGAGGGATGGAGAGTTGAGTAGAAAGTTTGAAAGTCTTCTCCAATGCAAATAAGAAAGTGAAAGCCTTGCTTCTCAGACATTAGAGTGTACAAATCACCTAAGGATCTTGTTTATATGCAGGTTCTGATTCAATAAGCCTGGGATAGTGCCTTACTTTTTTTCCTTTGGCATTTCCAGTGAGCACCCAGATGATGCAGATTATGTTGGTTTCTGCACATTCCTTTGGGTAACCATAGTTTATTTCATGTAAGGATTTTGTGTGGCTTAAACTATCAATATAGTAGGTATCAATTAATTTTCATTGATTTTACTTACATGAAAATATCTCTACCTACCATAACAAACTTACATAATTTATACACACCACTCTAGCTGAGTTACTTATTTTTTAATGAGAACAGTGTCCTTGGATAGCCATTCCCTAGCCCACTACAACTTTATGATGTATATACATATCTAACCTGCTTGCTTAGAATTTTTTTTCTTCTTAAAAATTCCCTGTGTTTTGATACCTTCTGGGTTATATTTAAATTATGAAACAGATGTTACTATTTTTTTTCTTGAAGAAGATGGCATGAAAAAGATGCTAGGGAAGAAAATTGCTGACTGCAATATTTCAATGTCTATGTGAAAAAGAAATGCTTATTCTACATACGTATCAGGAACACTTGAGAATCCATAGTTCTTATAAGACCCCATAGGGCTTTATTGATACCTAGTCAATTTTTTATCAATGCCAAATAAAGGCTTTCTAACATAAATCTTTTACCTCTGACACTAGCAAGATTCTTTCTTGGTTCTTTCATCAGAACATAAATCTTCTTACATATCAATAAATGATGTAGTATTTACATTTGGCAGAACCAGACAACAAAAGTAGTTAATGTAGATGGGTGTTGTATTAACTATAAAAATGATTTGATTCTAGTTTATAGAACTGAATTTCTTTTATAATTTGAGCATGTTATGCACGTGAAGAAAGACTGTCCTGAATCTTTTTTGCAATACTTAAGTTTTTGGTCTACCTTTGATGATGACTTCTGAGTACAAATTAATGCCAACTGATTATGAACACTTCTACTAATATCAGGTTATAAATACTTGTATTGATATGATTTACTTACACTTGCTTCTGTTAAATTTTCTGTGGGGGTCATTTTTTTTTCCATTTTTTTTTGGCCAGATTAACAATGTCTTCTTTTGGATGTGACAAAATAGGACACATATATACTAAGACATATATATACTTACTTTGAAAGTATACATCTTTTACTTCAGGCTATCTCTACAATTATAATCCATAATTTAAGCCTTGGCATAATAACAATACCTTACACTTATGTAGTGTTTATATTTTCCAAGTCAGCTTTTTTAAATCTATTATGTTATTTAACATAGGCATTTAGTATAGATTTACAAAAGCTAAAAAGGGTTTATATTGTTTCCTCTCACACTAAAGGTATTTCACCCACCCATTAGTGAAACATCAGGCAAAGAAGTTTTAAAAAGGATTATCCTATTGTCTAAACCCATCCTATGTTACCAAAATACCAAAGATCCTGTTTCTTTCCTTAGTTTTATTTACATCCTTAAAGACAAGACGCAAAGGTTAAAAGGGCAGTTATTACTGTTCTCACATTAAGAACATTGATATCTATCTGCTTTTGTTTTTACAAAAGGGAGTCACTGTCATAGACCAATAGTAAATAAAATAACTAGTTAATAGCAGAAAACAATTAAAAGAAAAACTGTCTAACATCCCAGGCAGTCAGCAGTCTCATCATTTTTACCCAATCATCTCTGGTTGTTGTTCTAAGTTTTTGCTTTACTTTCATTTATTGATTTAGGGAAAAATAAAATATATATGTATCAGGTACAGCATGTTGTTTTGAAATATATATACATTGTGGAATGGCTAAATTAAGGTAATTAACATATGTGTTACCTTACTTATTTGTTGTGGTGAAAACATTTAGAATCTACACTCTTAGCTTCAAGTTTCAAGAATACAATACATTGTTATTAACTATGGTCATCATATTGTACAACACATCTCTTGAACTTATTCCTCCTGTCTAACTGAAATTTTGTATCTTTTTTTTTTTTTTTTTTGAGACAGAGTCTCGCTCTGTGGCCCAGGCTGGAGTGCAGTGGTGCGATCTCGGCTCCCTGCAAGCTCCGCCTCCTGGGTTCACGCCATTCTCCTGCCTCAGCCTCCCGAGTAGCTGGGACTACAGGCGCCCACCACCATGCCCGGCTAATTTTTTGTATTTTTGGTAGAGATGGGGTTTCACCATGTTAGCCAGGATGGTATCGATCTCCTGACCTCGTGATCCGCCTGCCTCAGCCTCCCAAAGTGCTGGGATTACAGGCGTGAGCCACCGTGCCCGGCCGAAATTTTGTATCTTTTAATGAAAATCTCCCCAATCCCTCCAAATCCCTTACCCCTGGTAACCTCCATTCTACTGTCTACTTATATGAGTCTAACTTTTTAAGATAACACATGAGTGAGATCATGCAATATTTATCTTTCTGTGTCTGGCTTATTTCATTTAACATAATATCCTTCATGTTCACCATGTTTTAGCAAATGACATATTTCCTTCTTTTTAAGGGCTGAATAGTATTCCATTGTGTATATACACACATTTTCTTTATCCATTCTTCCATTAATGGACGCTTTGGGTAATTCCATATTTTGGCTATTGTGAATAATGCTGCAATGAACATGGGAATGCAGATATATCTTTCACATACTGATTTGATTTCCTTTGGATATAAATCCAGTAGCAGGATTCCTGGCTCATATGGTAGCTTTATTTTCATTTTGTGAGGAACCTCCATACTCTTCCACAATGGCTTCACTAGTTAGCATTCCCAGCAACAATATGCAAGTATTTCCTTTTCTCCACATCCTCCCCAAAACTTATTATCTTTCATCTTTTTGATAATTAGCCATCCTGACAAGTGTAAAGTGATATCTCATTGTAGTTTTAATTTGCATTTCCCTGATGACTAGTGATATTGAGCATATTTTCATATGCCTGTTGTCCATTTGTATGTCTTCTTTTGAGAAATAGCTATTCAAGCCCTTTGCCCATTTTAAAAATTGGGTTATTTGTTTTAATGCTATTGAATTGTTTGAGTTATATATTTTAGATATTAACTCTTTATATATTTTGGATATTAACCCCTTATCAAATGTATGGTTTGCAAATGTTTTCTCCCATACCATAAGTTGTCTCATCACTGTTGATTATTTCCTTGGAAGTGAAGAAGCATTTTAGTTTGATACAATTCTATTGGTCTATTTTTGTTCTTGCTACCTGTGCTTTTTGGGTCACATTCAGACAAATTATTGCCTAAACCAATGTCATGGAGCTTTCCCCTGTTTTCTTTTAGTAGTTTTTGTGGTTTCAGATCTTTTTATGTTTAAGTCTTTAATTCATTTTTAGTTGAGTTTTATGCATGATGTGAGAAAAGGGACTAATTTAATTCTTTTGCATGTGAATATCCAGTTGTTTTAATACCATTTGTTGAAGAGACTGTCCATCCCCATTGTGTGTTCTTGTCACCTTTGTTGAAAATCAATTGACTGTAACTGCATGCATTTATTTCTGGGCTCTCTATTCTGTTCCATTAACCCATAGGTCTGTTTTTAAACCAGTGCAATGCTGTATTGATTACTATAGCTCTCTAGCATATTTTGAAGTCAGATAGTGTGATGTCTCTAGTTTTTCTTATTTTGGGTCAAGATTGCTTTGGGTATTTGGAGTCTTTTGGGTTTCCATGTGAATTTTAGAATTTTTTTTTCTATTTCTGTAAAAGATATCATTGGTATTTTGATAGGGATTGCATTGAATCTGTACATAGCTTTAGGTAGTATGATCATTTTAACAATGTTACTTCTTCCAATCCACAAACATGGGATATCTTCCATTTATTTGTATCTTCTATTTCTTTCATCAATTTTTTATAGTTTTCAATGCACAGGTCTTTCACTCCCTTGGTTAAATTCATTTCAAAGTATTTTTTGGTTGCTATAGTAAATGAAAATATTTTCTTTATTTTTAAGATTGTTTGTTGTTAGCATATAGAAATGCTACTGATTTTTGTGTCTGCTGTTGTTGTTTTAATGGGAATCTTTAGCTTAATATAAAGAAAAAAAAAACCTTTTTATGCCAGTTGCTAATTTTTAAGATTATTCCATAGCAAATCTGGCAAGGTAAAATAGTCTATTAAGCCTTGTGTTTTGACTTGTCATCTCAACTGATTTTTCCTATCTGAAAATACTATTAACATTTCATCTGTTTTATTTTCCTAAAAAATCATTAATTAGCTCTTTTTCATTTGTTCCCCAGAGTAAATTTCTCCTCTGTAGTCCTTATTTTTTCATCTCTGTTTCAAATTTTATTCTCTATCCTTTAGTTTTAGAATCAAATTTAAAACATAGAAGGATAAGCTGAGTGCAGTGGTTGCACTTGTAATCCCTACTTGGGAGGCTAACACAGGAGCATTGCTTGAGCCCAGGAGTTTGATGCTGCAGTGAGCTATGATTGCACCACTACACTCTAGCATGGGCAACAGAGTGAGACCTCATCTCTAAAACAAAAGAAAACAAGAATAGAAAATTTATCTAATGTTTTCAAATCTATTTTGATATAAAACACAATATATAATAAAAGACCTTTTGGAGATGGAACATAACTTAGATTCTGTAACTAGGTCAAAGCAGGAAATAAAGACAAATCTAATAACACCTTAGCCTCACATTGGTTAACCAATCTTCTTAATCACCTAGAAAACCTGTTTAGGTGATTTCATTACGGTATTTCTAGGATTATAATAAAAATTATATCTAAAATTTAATAAAATTATTGTCATAATTGAAGTGGGAAAATAACCACTATATAATGATTATTTATTTAGAGATTTTTAAGTGCTCCCAGGAATCAACTTTCAAAGGTTTATACCAGAAACTGTTCAATAGCAAAATAGGAACCAAAAATGATACGGTTTTGATATGGCTCATAAAATGCAAAGTATTAGATCAAGGAAGCAGCTAATAAGCCTGAGCTTCAACTTTGATCTTCTCCACAATAATCATTGTGAAGGCTTCTACTTCTGCTACTCTTTGGGCAGGCTGAGATTCTCGAAAATTTTATAACCAATGATAGATGTTTCTCTCTGTCTATAGTTAGAATGCATAGCAGAGAACTGAGACAATTTTAAGTCTAATTTAAGCCTACTTTCCCCCCATTAGGTTACTGATACCTAAAATAATTCCAATGAGTGATAATCCAGGACATTTATAGATGCTTCAGATCAAACAAATCCTGAGCTACATGAAGCAAGATCAACTTCCTCTTGGCTGGATTTGAATCTTTTAGAAAAGTGCTATATGCTGTTTGGAGTCATATATTCCTTTGCTAATCTGATAAAATCTGTAGGTCCTAAATGCAAATGCTCCCCAAGTTGAAAATTGAACATAATTCAATTCTACACAACCCAAACCTACAATGCACAGACAGTGGTTTGAGAACAGCAGAGAATGGAAAGGAAATAAGTGATCCACATAAATATCTTTGATATTTAAGTTATGAATATATGTTCCTTAAATACAACTTTTTACTTAGTATGGTACATTTTGTGGTTTCTCTAGAAAAAATATTTCTCTATAAAACACATGGTCCATGCACAAGTCTCACTTTTTCCTACCGCAGAAACAGGCCTTACACTGATCCTGCTGGGAGACTTACTATGTGGAAAATTGAAGTTCAGTTCCACAGGCATTTTTGTTGTGTTTTTTTAGTTGTGTTTGTTTTGTTTTGTTTTGACTATTTAATTCCTTCTGGTGAGAAAACAAGCATAATCTAGAATTTTAAAGTAGGAAGCTTGTGGTTATTAAAAAATAAAACACACCTTTATAAGATTACAGAAGAAAAATTATATAACTTTTAATAGATACAAACCAGTATTTTGTTATATCCCACATTTATTCATGGTTTTCAAAACCTCTTAGCAAACCAGGAATAAATGGAACTTAATCGGAAAAACGTACAGCGAACATCATATTTAATGGTGAACTGTTAAAATATCTAAAATTTTTAATTTAAAAAATTGGAAATCAGACAAGGTATGTGTGTACTTCATTTCTATTACATTTGACACTGTGTGGGCTTACTTAATGAAATAAGGCAAGAAAAAGAAATAAGAGACATAAATATCACAAAAATGAAGTTAAACTACCTTTGTTCATAGATTATGTGACTGCATATGTACAATACAAGAGAATCTGTCCAACAAACAAACAAACTTTTCTCTAGATCCAGTAAGTGAATTCATGAAGGTCTCAGGATACAAGGTCAAATACAGTTACACGTCGTTTAACACCAAGTGTATGTTCTGAGAAATGCACTGCTAGGTTATTTCATCATTATGCAAACATCAAAGAGTGTACTTAACATAAACCTAGATAATATAGCATACTACATACCTAAGCTACGTGGTATAGCCTAGTGCTTCTAGGCTATAACCTGTAGAGCAGGCACAATATTATGCTAGATACTGCAGGCAATTGTAACACAATGGTAAGTATTTGTGTATGTAAACACTTCTAAATATAGAAAAGATGCTATTAAAATACTGTATTAGAATCTTACGTGACCAGTCCCTTAGGTGTGGTCTGTCCTTGACCAAAGTATGGTTATGTGGCACATGCTGTAGAAAAATTATTATTATTATTATTTTATTATACTTTAAGTTCTGGGATACATGTGCAGAACGTGCAGGTTTGTTGTACAGGTATACACGTGCCATGGTGGTTTGCTGCACTCCTCAACCTGTCATCTACATTAGGTATTTCTCCTAATGCTATCCCTCCCCCAGCCCCCCAACCCCTGATAGGCCCCGATGTGTGATGCTCCCCTCCCTGTGTCCATGTGTTCTCATTGTTCAATTCCCACTTATGAATGAGAACATGTGGTGTTTGGTTTTCTGTTCCTGTGTTAGTTTGCTGAGAATGATGGTTGCCAGCTTCATCCATGTCCCTGCAAAAGACATGAACTCATCCTTTTTTATGGATGCATAGTATTCCATGATGTATATGTGCCACATTTTCTTTATCCAGTCTATCATTGATGGGCAATAGGGTTGGTTCCAAGTCTTTGCTATTGTGAACAGTGCTGCAATAAACATATGTGTGCCTGTGTCTTTATAGTAGCATGATTTATAATCCTTTGGGTATATACCCAGTAATGGAATTGCTGGGTCAAATGGTATTTCTAGTTCTAGTTCCTTGAGGTATCGCTGCACTGTCTTCCAGAATGGTTGAACTAATTTACACTTCCACCAACAGTGTAAAAGCATTCCTATTTCTCCACATCCTCTATAGCATCTGTTGTTTCCTGACTTTTTAATGATTGGCATTCTAACTGGCATGAGACAGTATCTCCTTGTGGTTTTGATTTGCATTTCTCTAATGACCGATGATGATGAGCTTTTTTTCATGTTTGCTGGCTGCTTAAATGTCTTTTTTGAGAAGTGTCTATTCATACCCTTCACCCACTTTTTGATGGGGTTGGTTTTTTCTTGTAAATTTGTTTAAGTTCTTTGTAGATTCTGGATATTAGCCCTTTGTCAGATGGATAGATTGCAACAATTTTCTCCCATCCTGTAGGTTGCCTGTTCACTCTGATGATAGTTTCTTTTGCTGTGCAGAAGCTCTTTAGTTTAATTAGATCCCATTTGTCAATTTTGGCTTTTGTTGCCATTGTGTTTGGTGTTTTAGTCATGATGTCTTTGCCCATGCCTATGTCCTGAATGGTATTGCCTAGGTTTATCTTCTAGGGTTTTTATGGTTTTAGCTCTTACATTTAAGTCTTTAATCCATCTTAAGTTAATTTTTTTATAAGGTGTAAGGAAGGGATCTAGTTTCAGTTTTCTGCATATGGCTAGCCAGTTTTCCCAACACCATTTATTAAATGGGGAATCCTTTCCCCATTGCTTGTTTTTGTCAGGTTTGTCAAAGATCAGATGGTTGTGGATGTGTGGTGTTATTTCTGAGGGCTCTGTTCCATTCCATTGGTCTATATATCTGTTTTGGTACCAGTATCATGCTGTTTTGGTTACTGTAGCCTTGAAGTATAGTTTGAAGTCAGGTAGTATGATGCCTCCAGCTTTGTTCCTTTTGCTTAGGATTGGCTTGGCTATCTGGGCTCTTTTTTGGTTCCATATGAAATTTAAAGAAATTTTTTCTAATTCTGTGAAGAAAGTCAATGGTAGCTTGATGGGGATAGCATTGAATCTATAAATTACTTTGAGTAGTATGGCCATTTTCATGATATTGATTCTTCCTATCCATGAGCATGGAATGTTTTTCCATTTGTTTGTGTCCTCTCTTACTTCCTCGAACAGTGGTTTGTAGTTCTCCTTGAAGAGGTCCTTCACATTTCTTGTAAGTTGTATTCCTAGGTATTTTATTCTCTTTGTAGCAATTGTGAAAGGGAGTTCACTCATGACTTGGCTATCTATTTTTTGTGCATAGGAATGCTTGTGATTTTTGCACATTGATTTTGTATCCTGAGACTTTGCCGAAGCTGCTTATCAGCTTAAAGAGATTTTGGGCTGAAACAATGGGGTTTTCTAAATATACAATCATGTCATCTGCAAAAATTTTACTTCCTCTCTTCCTATATGAATACACTTTATTTATTTCTCTTGCCTGATTGCCCTGGATGGAACGTCCAATACCATGTTGAATAGGAGTGGTGAGAGAGGGCATCCTTGTCTTGTCCCAGTTTTCAAAGAGAATGTTTCCAGCTTTTGCCCATTCAGTATGACATTGGCTGTGAATTTGTCATAAATAGCTCTTATTATTTTGAGATACGTTCCATCAATACCTAGTTTATTGCGAGCTTTTAGCATGAAGGGGTGTTGAATTTTATCAAAGGCCCTTTCTGCATCTATTGAGATAAACATGTGGTTTTTGTCATTGGTTCTGTTATGTGATGGATTATGTTTATTGATTTGCATATGTTGAACCAGCCTTGCATCCTGGGGATGAAGCTGGCTTGATTGTGGTGGATAAGCTTTTTGATGTGCTGCTGCATTTGGTTTGCCAGTATTTTATTGAGGATTTTCACATCGATGTTGGTAAGGGATATTGGCCTGAAATTTTTGTTGTTGTTGTTGTATCTCTGTCAGATTTTGGTTTCAGGATGATGCTGGCCTCAAAAAATGAGTTAGGGAGGAGTCCCTCTTTTTCTATTGTTTGGAATAGTTTCAGAAGGTATGGGACCAGCTCCTGTTCGTACGTCTTGTAGAATTTGGCTGTGAATCTGTCTGGGTCCCGGACTTTTTTTTGGTTAGTAGGCTATTAATTACTGCCTCAATTTCAGAAATTGTTATTGGTATATTCAGGGATTCGACTTCTTCCTGGTTTAGTCTTGAGAGGGTGTATGTGTCCAGGAATTTATCCATTGCTTCTAGATTTTCTAGTTTATTTGAGTAGAGGTGTTTATAGTATTCTCTGATGGTAGTTTGTACTTCTGTGGGATCAGTAGTGATATCCCCTTTATCATTTTTTATTGTGTCTATTTGATTCTTCTCTCTTTCCTTCTTTATTAGTCTGGCTAGTGGTCTATTTTGTTAATCTTTTCAAAAAACCAGCTCCTGGTTTCATTGATTTTTTGAAGGTTTTTTCGTGTCTCTATCTCCTTCAGTTCTGCTCTGATCTTAGTTATTTCTTGTCTTCTGCTAGCTTTTGAATTTGTTTGCTCTTGCTTCTCTAGTTCTTTTAATTGTAATGTTAGGGTGTTGACTTTAGATCTTTCCTGCTTTCTCCTGTGGGCATTTAGTGCTATAAATTTCCCTCTAATCACTGCTTTAGCTGTGTCCCAGAGATTCTGGTATGTTCTTTGTTCTCATCGGTTTCAAAGAACTTATTTATTTCTGCCTTATTTTTGTTATTTACCCAGCAGTCATTCAGGAGTAGGTTGTTCAGTTTCCATGTAGTTGTGCGGTTTTGAGTAAGTTTCTTAATTCTGATTTCTAATTAATTTGCACTGTGGTCTGAGAGACTGTTTGTTATGATTTCTGTTCTTTTCCATTTGCTGAGGAGTGTTTTACTTCCAATTATGTGGTCAATTCTAGAATAAGTGCAATGTGGTGCAGAGAAAAACATATATTCTGTTGATTTGGGGTGCAGAGTTCTGTAGATGTCTGTTAGGTCTGCTTGGTCCAGAGCTGAGTTCATGTCCTGAATATCCTTGTTAATTTTCTGTCTCCTTGATCTGTCTAATACTGACAGTGGGGCATTAAAGTCTCCCACTATTATTCTGTGGGAGTCTAAGTCTCTTTGTAGGTCTCTAAGAACTTGCTTTATGAATCTAGGTGCTCCTGTATTGGTTGCATATATATCTAGGATAGTTAGCTCTTCTTGTTGCATTGATCCCCTTACCATTATGGAATACCCTTCTTTGTCTTTTTTGATGTTTGTTGGTTTAAAGTCTGCTTCATCAGAGACTAGGATTGCAATCTGCACTTCTTTTTGCTTTCCATTTGCTTGGTAAATATTCCTCCATCGTTTTATTTTCAGCCGATGTTTGTCTTTGCACATGAGATGAGTCATCTGAATACAGCACACTGATGGGTCTTGACTCTTTATCCAAGTTGCCAGTCTGTGTCTTTTAATTGGGGCATTTAACCCATTTACATTTAAGGTTAATATGGTTATGTGTGAATATGACCTTGTCATTATGAGGCTAGCTGGTTATTTTGCCCATTAGTTGATGCAGTTCCTTCATAGTGTCTATGGTCTTTACAATTTGGTAAGTTTTTGCAGTGGCTGATACCGGGTTTTCCTTTTCCTGTTTAGTGCTTCCTTCAGGAGTTCTTGTAAGGCAGGCCTGGTGGTGACAAAATCTCTCAGCATTTGCTTGTCTGTAAAGGATTTTTTTCTCCTTTGCTTATTAAGCTTAGTTTGGCTGGATATAAAATTTTGGGTTGAAAATTCTTTTCTTTAAGAATATTGAATATTGGCTGTACTCTCTTCTGGTTGTAAGATTTCTGCAGAGAGATCTGCTGTTAGTCCGATGGGCTTTTCTTTGTGGGTAACCCGACCTTTGTCTCTGGCTGCCCTTAACATTTTTTCCTTCATTTCAATCTTGGTGAATCTGATGATTATGTGTCTTGGGGTTGCTCTTCTTGAGGAGTATCTTTGTGGTGTTCTCTGTATTTCCTGAATTTGAATGTTGGCCTGTCTTGCTAGGCTGGGGAAGTTCTTCTGGATAATATCCTGAAAAGTGTTTTCCAAGTTGGTTCCATTCTCCCTGTCACTTTCAGGTACACCAATCAAGTGTAGGTTTGGTCTTTTCACATAGTCCCATATTTCTTGAAGGCTTTGTTTGTTCTTTTTCATTCTATTTTCTCTAATTTTGTCTTCACGCTTTATTTCATTAAGTTGATCTTGAATCTCTGATATCCTTTCTTCTGCTTGATCAATTCATCTATTGATACTTGTGTATGCTTCATGAAGTTCTCATACTGTTTTTCAGCTCCATCAGTTCATTTATATTCTTCTCTAACTGGTTATTCTAGTTAGCAATTTGTCTAACCTTTTTTCAAGGTTCTTAGCTTCCTTGCATTGGGTTAGAAAGTGCTTCTTTAGCTCAGGGGGGTTTGTTATTACCCACCAGCTGAAGCCCACTTCTGTCAACTCGTCAAACTCATTCTCCATCCAGTTTTGTTCCCTTGCTGGTGAGGAGTTGTGATCCTTTCCTTTAGAGGAGAAGAGGTGTTCTGGTTTTGGGAATTTTCAGAGTTTTTGCTTGAGTTTTTCCTCATCTTTGTGGATTTATTTACCTTTGGTCTTTGATGTTGGTGACCTTTGGATGGGGTTTTTGTGTGGACATCGTTTTTGTTGATGTTGATGCTGTTCCTTTCTGTTTGTTAGTTTTTCTTTTAACAGTCTGGCCCCTCTCCTATAGGTCTGCTGGAGTTTATTGGAGGTCCACTTCGGACCCTGTTTGCCTGGGTATCACCAGCAGAGGCTGAGAACAGCAAAAATTGTGTCTGTTCCTTCCTCTGGAAGCTTTGTTCCAGAGGGGCACCTGCCAGATACCAGCCAGAGCTCTGCTGTATGAGGTATCTGTCTACCTCTACTGGGAGGTGTCTCCCAGTCAGGAGGCACAGGGGTCAGGGACCCACTTGAGGAGGCTCTCTGTCCCGTAGCAGAGCTCAAGTGCTTTGCTGGAGATCTGCTGCTGTACTCAGAGCTGGCCCTGGTGGTGTAGGCACCCTAGGGAATCTTCTGGTCTATGGGTTGCCAAGACCGTGGGAAAAGCATAGTATATGGGCCAGAATGCACCGTTCCTCAGGGCACAGTCCCTCATGGCTTCCATTGGCAAAGGGAGGGAGTTCCCCAACCCCTCATGCTTCCCGGGTGAGGTGAAACCCCACCCTGCTTCGGCTGGCCCTCAATGGGCTGCACCCACTGTCTAACCAGTCCCAATGAGATTAACCAGGTACCTCAGTTGGAAATGCAGAAATCACCTTCCTTCTGCATTGATCTCACTGGGAGCTGCAGACTAGATCTGTTCCTGTTCAGCCATATTGCCACCCACTGTCCAAAAATTATTTTTATTTCCACATATGAGTAACAAATAGAACATGTAATTTTAAAAATTAATTTCATTCAGAAAAACATCAAAAATAAATAAAATATATGAGATAAATTTAGAACAATATATAAAGGAACAAAGCATTGTTGAGAAAGTTTGGTGTTGTTGGAAGTTTCAATATTGTAAAGATGTCAATTATTCCTAAACTACTCATAAGGCAATTAAGATAAAAATCCCAGCAGGCTTTTTTCGTAGATATTGACAAGCTTATACCAACATTTATATAAAAATCTATTGGTCTCAATTTGTCTAAACAATTTTGTAAAAGAAGAACTATTTTGGAAAACTTATACCAACCGATTTCAATACTTACTATAAAGTTATAGTGATCCATACAACATGGCATAAAGATAGATAATAAATAAATAGATCAAGGGAACAGAATAGAATTGAAAAAGAAGCATACATATGCAAACAAATGTTTTTCTTAACAAAGTCTCTGATATAATTCCATAGGAAAAGAAAAATATTTTAAATGAGTGGTGGTAGACCACTAGATATTGAAAACTAGATAAAGAATAAATAGAAACTTGATTCACACCTAATGCCATACACAAAATTAATGCTAGATGGCTTACAGACATAATTGTAAAAACAAAAAATATACATGCTTCTAAAAGAAAACACAAGAACACATCTCTTTTATCCTGGAGATAGGCAAAGATTTCCTAGACAGATATAAATATCTACAATTGTAAGAGAAAAAATATAAACTAGACTGCATTAAAATTAAAAACTACTGTTAATTAAAACACCTTGAAAGAAATGAAAAGCAAGCCCCAGACAAGAAGAAAATATATTCAGAAAAGCAACTCATATCAAGATTTAAAAAATTATAAAAATTATAATAAAAAGACAAGCAAACAAATACAAAAATGGGAAAAAGTGTTATACAGACATTTCACAAAAAAATGTATAAATGGCCAATAAATGAACATGAAAATGCTCAACATCATTAGCCGCCAGGGGATTGCAAATTAAACTTTAGTTACTACTACATGCTTGAGAGAATGACTAAAATTTAAACAATAATTAAAAGAAATTTACAACACCAACCATTAGTAAAGATGCAAAACAGCTAGCCTCTCATTCATTGCTAGCAGGAGTATAAAATGTGTGTGGAAAACTGGCAGTTTCTTTAAGTTAAATATGCAACTACCTTATGACACAGCAATTTCACTCTTGGCTATTTATAAAATTTTTTTTAAATGTATGTCCACAAAAGCTTGTACTAGAATGGTCACTGTGGTTAATTTATATTAACAAAAATTGGAAACAAACCAAATGTCCATCAACAAGAGCATAAACAAATTGTGGTATATCCATACAATGGAATATTACTCAGCAATAAAGAGGAACAAACTACTGATACATCCAATCTCATAGATGAATCTCAAAAACATTATTCTTAGGGAAATAAGCCAGAACAAAAGACTGCATACTGTGTGACTTAATTTTTATGAAGTCCAATTATGGCCCAAACTAATTTATGGAACAGAAATTAGAGTAATTTCTGCCTTCAGTGTGGAGGAACAATGTAAAGGGACACTATGGGACATTCTAAGGTGATGATGATGTTCTATATTTCAATTGACGTGCTGGTTACTTGGGTACATACTTTGTCAAAACTCATGGAACTCTATACTGAAGATTTGTACATTTTATTATGTAACTATACTTTCATTTTTTAAAATGAAGTTAAAAACTTCTTAGGATAAGAAAGAGAAGCTTCATGCACCTGGTAATTTCTTTTTCCTCTATAAGTGGTAAAATTGGCAGCTGTAGGTCCTTGTAGGGAATTTGGAAAACGTAGGAAGCCTATAACTCAGTGGTTCTTAAACTGGCTGCACATTGGAATCACCTGGGGAGTTTTAAAGAGCAGTGGTGTCTGGGTCTCACCCCTAGAGATTCTTTTTTAATTGCTTTTGGGGGTGGCCTAGGCATCAGATTTTTTAAAGCTCCCCAGATAATTCTAAAGTGCAGCCAAGATTGAGAATCATTACTAAAACTGTTACTGGAAGCATGCTGCACTGCCCCTTGGTTTGAATAAACATTTCCAAACATAGTATGGTATTCTTCATCCTTTCAAAGTCTTTTATAAACCATATCAATTGGCATATTCATAACCATCATATTACCACCCCATTGTGATTCCCATGCACATGTAAAAACAAGCAAGAAATCAAATAAAAACAAAAGAGGTAGCACTTGACTTAATATCTGGACTTAATATTCCTATGCTGGAATCTCCTAACATAGGTTTTGCCCTTTGACATCTATTCACATAGCATCCTAAATTTTTCTGTCTACTTACTAGACCTGTGCTATGTCTCTTCTACCACCTCAAAACTTAAAAATGCAGGGACCATATGTATCATTTTAACCACTACATACAGAACACCTGACATATTATAGAAGCTCAATAAATATATGTTGAATGATAAAAATAAACTCCACCTTATTTGGCAATTTGCTAACAGGAATGATGACTGTTCTTCTCATCTTTGATACAGGAGAAAAATACATGTAATGCTTTTCTCCCCTCCAGTCAGGTCTATGGTGAAGAAGCAAGAATGCTGTGGGAGAAATCTGTTTCAACAAATCTGTACCAGACTCTCTGTTTTAGGGATATGTCAACCAACAATATGACAAGTCATGGCTGACTGGAAAGAAAAAGATTTTGGGGTCTCTGCAAGGGGGCAAATGGGGAAGACGAATTGTTTGGACTGCTGCTAATCATGGTTTATTACGGGGCTGCTATTAACAGGGCTGCAAACAGCCCACCTCACAGAAGAACAGGCATGCAGGCCATTCTTAGATTCCATAAATTGCCTAAGAACAACACAGTGCATCAGCCTTTAATGAGGAAAGCACGTGGAGCAGGCAGCATAATTTAACACCAGCAAATAGAAATATCTACCACGGTTTAACACTCCTTAACCTTCACTTCATTAGACAGCTGCCCTGTCATTTATCTATTTTATTGGTGTTACATTATTAGCAATAGCCAAAAAATGGACATTGATGCTGAACCATGGATCTGCTTCCAATCAGCATGCAGACAGGGACAAAGCTCTTGTAACATTGTGAGTAGAATGCTCCAGGAGTCAGCCCTCGGGGCATTTCATGGAGTGAGAGATGCAGACATTTGCAGCGTTTCAGCTCTTTCCCATACTGCACACTGTGAGTACCTTGGTACCAGAAATTATGAGTGCTGAATGAAATACCTGGCTGAACCCAACCCATCTCTCTTCTATACCCTCCTCAGCCAAAATGGAAACCAAAGACTACAGAGAAAGAGATTTTTGTTTCAGACCACATTAAATCTTTCCTTTCACTCAAACTAATGTTTAATTATAGGTTATTAAAACTAGTTCCTGGAGGGGCGCAGTGGCTCATGCCTGTAATCCCAGCACTTTGGGAGTCCGAGCCGGGTGGATCACCTGAGATCAGGAGTTCAAGACCAGCCTGGTCAACATGGCAAAACCCTGTCTCCACTAAAAATACAAAAATTAGCTGGGCAGGTGGCACACACCTATAGTCCCAGCTACTCGGGAGGCTGAGTCAGGAGAATTGCTTTAACCCGGGAGGTAGAGGTTGCAGTAAGCAGAGATCGCGACACTGCACTCCAGCCTGGGTGACAGAGCGAGACTCTGTCTCAAAAAAAAAAAAAAAAAAAAAAACTAATTTCTTCAACGATTATCAGAATGCTACCCACATAATTTTTTACTAATGGTTTTAGTTAGTTTCATGATATTTTCCAAAGTTAACATTTACCTTCTTGGACTTGAGTGCTGATCATTTCCAAAACTAAATAGGTAGGCTGTGGTGATACACAGTTCTATGGGAGTGTGTATGTGCATGCACACACACACGCCTGCCTGCGTGCACACTCATACACACACACACAGATGTGTGTGTATGTTTTTCTTTGTTTTTGGAACAATTCTAAAGTAACAAGCCATTTCAGAAGCATTACATATATATGTATATGTATATGTATATATATGTGTATATGTATATGTATATATATGTGTATATATATGTATATATATATGTGTATATATATGTATATATGTGTGTGTATATATATATATTCACTGGAAATAGTATAAAGAAAATCGTCTCTCTTTTTCTAACATACATACTGTGGTCTGGGCCTAACCCAAGAAAAAGAAAGGTGAAATAATTTATAAGTCAAGAAGGACCCTAAGAGTGAAGAAGGCATTCAGCATCTGTTTATAAGACTTGTATGGAAATATCCATGATATAGTGATTAGAATAACATGAAAACAGGGACCACATTATATATATATATAATATATACACACACACATATATACATATATATATGTAACAGGGACCACATTATATATATATATATATATATATATACACACACACACACACACACATATATATGTATATAATAAATATAAGAGTAATATTTTTGCTTTAAATCCATCATCACATAAAACATAATGAAATTTAAAGTAATAATAACACCTTAGCAAATGGCATTATTATTGTTATTGAGAAACGGATTGAGAAACAGATTGAAGCAGTTAGGAGGCTGTTGGCTGATCTGAGTCATTTTCTACATAAAATGCAAACTTGGAAGCAGTGAACAACTTTAATGTGACTAAACCCTTTTAGTATAAAGTGAATACCTCTGTGCAAGTTTCTAGCCCAAAAAGTTAGAAGAGTTGTATTTGTTATCTATTGCTGCACAACAAATTACCCTCAAATTTAGCAGATTACAAATAAGAAACATTTATTAGCTCACAGTTTCTGTGTGTCAGGCAAGTGGGGACAGCTTGTATAGGTGTTTGTGGCTCAGGGTCTCTTATTCTCTTGAGGCTGTAGACAAGATGTCTGCCAGGGTTGCAGACATCTGAAGGATAGACTGGGGATGAGGGGTCAATTTTCAAGGTGGCTCACTCCACATGCCTGGCAAGTTAGTGCTGGTTGCTAGTAGAAAGCATCAGTTTCTCATTACAGAAAGCATACAGTTTCTCATTACAAAAAGCCTCTTTCTGCAGGGCTTTTTGAGTGTCCTCATGGCCTGGCAGCTGGTTTCCCCAAAGTAACTGATCCAAAGGAGCAAAGCAGAACCTGTAGTGTCTTTTATGTCCAGCTTCAAAAATCACAAACCCTAATTTTGTCAATATCCTTTTATTACGTAGGTCAACCATATTTACTGTAGAAAGGGACAACACAAGGTTGTAAATATCAGAAAACATTCAGAATTCTTGGAGGTCATTTGAAGGCTGGCTACCATACCAGTGGACATATGGAATAAAGAGACACCTTAAGTAGCAACAATGGGAATAAATTCAGGCTTGTGTTAGTCTATTACACATCAAATTACCGTTCAAATGCATTTATGAGTTAATACACATCAAGCTGTTGTAGGCACTGTATTTATCTGAATGTGTCCTCCAATGTATTACCTTTACAGGCATCTAGGCAAATTTCCCAAAATATACATGACCATCTTTTTCCAGGGGCCCTGATTCTGAATTTCAGTATTTACTCAAAAGTTTTCACAAGCTCCTATTATTGCACCATTTAGGACAGAATGTTACTTTATCAGAAATACTAACATATAAATATAGGAGTTGATATCAAAAATAAAGAAATGCTATTTTTTTCCATATTTCTCTCTATATCAGTCTAGGTGTTGGAGCCTTTATACATTTTATTTAAAATTTTGATGCTGTTATTCTAAACTTTACCTGACATTTTCTCCAAAATAGAATCCAAACTTTTTCTAATGAGTAGATTTTGGATCAATTTCCTCCAACTAAAACTATTTAAATATATACAAATTGAGCATCAAAACTGAAACATTTCTTCAGGGTTTTATATATTTTTTTTAAATAAAAATGTGACCTTTTCCTACTTGACTCTAAAATATTTTCTAGTTTACCCAACCATCCTTACTAAAATTATCTTCCCAGAAAGAAAATCTAGTCAAATTGGCAGGCTTTTGGTTAGATAAACCTAACTTTTAAATCTATCATCAAAACTTACATAAATTTAGAAAGTCCATCACTGGCCAGGCACGGTGGCTCACGCCTGTAATCCCAGCACTTTGGGAGGCTGAGGTGGGCAGATCACCTGAGGTCCGGAGTTTGAGACCAACCTGACCAACATGGAGAAACCCTGTCTCTACTAAAAATACAAAATTAGCCGGTTGTGGTGGTGCATGCTTGTAATCCCAGCTACTCGGAAAGCTGAGGCAGGAGAATCGCTTGAACCTGGGAGGTGGAAATTGTGGTGAGCTGAGATGGCGCCATTGCACTCCAGCCTGGGCAAGAGGAGTGAATCTCTTTCCCCCTCCCCTCTCCCAAAACAACAACAACAACAAAAAAAAAACAACAGTCCATCACTCACTGAATCCTGGCTTATATATCTATAAAATTGAGGCTAATGACTTTGAAATGTTGGTTTGAAGATTGGAGTTACATGTAAATTTAATTTTAATTGCCTTGCTCCTTTACTAATCACAAATGAAATGGCACATTACAGAATAATGCTCAAACTCCTTGGCTTGCCATCAAGGCCATTCATGAATGTGTCACAACTACATTTGCATTTCCCACCATCTCTGCAGCCCACATCCTCTAGCCACATTGGATTGTCTGATGCTTCCCAAACATATCTTATAACATCATGCCATTCTAATTTTGTTTGTGGCATTTGTTATCCATGAAATGCAAAAAGACTTCTGCACCTAAAGAAATCCACTCCTCTTTTAATGATCCACTCGACTATCTTCTTCTCTAGGGAACTTTACTTGATAGTCTCAGAAAATTTTCTATCTCTGGACTTCCACTGTTAATTTATATGTATGTTACAACACTTGTCATTATTCTCTTTTGTTAGTTGTTAAAATGTTGTTAACTCTTTCATAGCTGGTGTGGAAATAAAGACCCTATATTAATTATCTTTTTCTAAAACCAAGCACAGAGCTAGGCATATATGTCAGTTCAGGAACCAACACTGGAAAAATACTGTAAGTAATCAGTGGAAATCTTTGAGAAATGAAAACTTACCAAAATATGGAAAGTGATTAAATATTTTCAGAATGTATAAAAGATATTTCCAGATCAGTAAATTCTGCATTAGTCCATTGGAGATTCTGGAATAAACACCTTTAGGGTACTTCTAAAGAACACTGTGGTCACTAGGAACTTACAAGCTCACTACAAGAGAATGGTGTATACAAACTACATTTCATTATTGGTGCTCTTTAAGAGGGTAAACTCCACATTATCTTGATTTTAGGAAGACGTTTGAAAAAGCTTTTTAAGATGTCACTGACAGGAGGAAGAAATGTGGCCAGGATGATGATGATACTGACACGGGAGCAGGGCAGGGAGGTGCTGGGTAGAGATGGGTGGGGTCCCTGGCAAAGGCTCAATCCTCAAGCCTGGGCCCACGGACCTAAGTGAGAACAGGCACTCCTGTTTTCACGCCCAAATGTTGCATTTTCCAAGACCACTCTGGCCCGCCATGCCCCCATCCTGTGCTCATATAAACATGAGACCATAGGAGGCACAGACACAAGTGGCTGAATATCAAGAGGAGCAGAGGAACAGACCAGCAGACACCAGCAGACCAGCAACAACAGAACAACACAGCAGAGAAAGAGAGAAGAGGAAGGACATCTGGCTGAGGGGAGTTCAGCCAAAGGCAGTCGGAGAAGAGCCTGGTAGCTGGGCGGCCTGACTCCAGGGGAAGACCACCTTCCCACTCCATCCCCTGCTTTACACCTCCCCGTCCATCTCACTGAGAGCAACCTCCACCACTCAATAAAACCTTGCACTCATCCTTTGAGTCCACATGTGATCTGATTCTTCTGGTACACTGGGCAAGAGCTTGGGATATAGAAAGCTGTTGCACTAGCCCTCTGCCCTTGCGATAAGGCAGAAGGTCTAGTGAGCTGATTAACACAAGCCGTCTGTAGATGGCAAAGCTGAAAGAGCACACCGTAACACACACCTACTTGGGCTTCAGGAGTCACAGACACCCACCCCTAAACATTGCTGTGGGGACGGAGCCCAAAAGCGATCCCTATGGCCTCTGCACCTGCCTGTCTGCATGCTCCCCCTAGGGGTTTGAGAGCAGCAGGGTGACCAAAGGAGCCAGCCACACCCCTGTCACAGGACCTGCAAAGGGTATAAGGGAACTCTTCTGTTTCAATACTAAACTGGGGTCTGATTGCAGGCAGTGCCCTATGAGTATTGATTAATGGAGAAAACTCAACCAGGTGAATGAATTGTCTAGTGTGTGTCATTCAGTTTTGTGCTTATGGTTTTCTGGTAAGCATTTTTATCAGCTACTTGAGAAAAGACATAGGAGACAAGTTCATTATATTTGCTGATAAAATATAAGGAGGTACATTTTCTTTTTTTTTTTTTGAGACGGAGTCTCGCTCTGTCGCCCAGGCTGGAGTGCAGTGGCGGGATCTCGGCTCACTGCAAGCTCCGCCTCCCGGGTTCACGCCATTCTCCTGCCTCAGCCTCCCAAGTAGCTGGGACTACAGGCGCCCGCCACTACGCCCGGCCAATTTTTTGTATTTTTAATAGAGACAGGGTTTCACCGTTTTAGCCGGGATGGTCTCGATCTCCTGACCTCGTGATCCGCCCGCCTCGGCCTCCCAAAGTGCTGGGATTACAGGCGTGAGCCACCGCGCCCGGCCAAGGAGGTACATTTTCTGAGATAAGCTACTGGCATATGTCACCTCCCCTCTGCTCTATTTTGATAATCAAAAATGTTCCCCGACATTGCCAAATGTCTCCTGGGAGCAAAATCTCCCTTAGTTGAGAACTCCTGGGCTAGAATCAGGACGTGATCCTAACCAGATGAAACATATATAAATGCTTCATGAGGTAAAGAATGCACTATCTTTCTGGCTTAACTTTTTACGTTCTGTGCTTGAGACATAGTAGGCATTTATTGAATAGAGAAATGAGTGAGCGAATAATTGATTAAAACCCCAGATCTGAACTTATATTTTGAAAAGCACAATAACATCTCTTGAATACAAAGAAAGTCCAACTGATTGAATGTGCTGTCAAAAATACAAAATTTCGTACAAATTCAGCATGAGCCAAATAATAATATTGCTCCTGAGAACCAAAACAAACAAATAAATGCAAGGTTAGGCTTCGCTAATAGAAGTGGAATATCCCGAAAAAGGGATGTGATGTTACACTGACTAAAACATGGCATTCAGTTCTGTTGAATTATATTTAGAAAAAAATAACAGATTGGGGTGATTTTAAGAGTAAACGTAGGTAAAGTTCCTGAAAAAATATGTCACAAAATAAATGGCTGAAGTATAAGATTATTTAGTTTATGGGAAACTATGCTGGAGAACATGAAAATTTCAAATATTTGAAAATTAATCCTGCGATTAGATTCTGTGTATTCCAAAGGCTGAAATGGAATTAATGTATAAAGTTTTAAAGATAGATTTAGGCTCAAAGGAAATAAATAACTTCTAAAAATAGAACTTTCTAAAAATTTAATAAGCTATAATGAAACCTCATGACTAGCTTCTGTTTCTGAGATTCTAAGAGTTTTCAATTATCAGATGAATAATATCCTGAAAGTACTTTGATATTCAAACCATGATGATGCCTACAGGACTATAATTACAGTCAAAATGTGATCAAAATAAAATGTTCAAAAGACACCTAGATTCAAAATTTTTTTTCCTTGGATGTTTTTCTTCGGAACCAATTTGAAATGTTTAATAATCATCATTGATACAGTAAGTGAATCAAAAATCTTTTTTTCTCATTTCTATAAAGTGAGGGATGTTGCAGCCTACATATGTCAAATGAACATTGGTTCAGTTACTAAGTGTCAGCAGCAAGTAACCAGAAGTGGTGAGCTAAGCTAAGAAACTATCAGATGTGAAAATGCTGGGGGTACAACAACCTGAGGGAAAAATGAAAACAGAAGAAAAAGGAGTCCTCAGACAGTAGCTCAAAAGCACTAGGATTGGTCTTTATTGCCAGGGATTTTTCCCAGAGAGAAAAACGACTTTCCTGCCTAATTCTCTCACAGCAGCTCAGAACATCCTTTGATTGCCTCAGGCCACATGGTCTCATCTAGTCTTAAAGAGAACTGGACCATTGAAGGCAAAAGGAATGTTTTCTATGAACCAGGCATTCTTCTTGTCTCCCTGGAGAGGATGATCTACTTCTGCACAGTAAACTAGGGATTTCTGTATGAGCCAATGGGAACTGTTACTCTGAGCTCTCTACGATTATTTCTATGATTGGCTCCCTGCAGCAGACTTCAACAGTGGTCCAATTCACTGATAGATTTTTTTTTAAAGAAATACCAGGCGCATAATAGGCTTATGACAGAAGCATTGGTTTCTTCTTTGTCATTATCTTAAGCTTTTTGGCTACCACCATGGCTATAACACCCTTGGCACTTCTACCACTGTCTGTTCAAACCCCACTATGTTTTATCCTTTCTGGACACGGGCCTCAACTCCCTCTACTATGTCATGGCTACCTTCTCAGCTATCTGAATCTTTACTGCTGGCCCTGTGCCAGCTACTATACCATCTACCAAAAAGCTGCTGACCCTGCCACTACAGAGGGGCATTTCTCTCTTCGCATTCTTCACATTGACCTCTGAGCTTTCCCCACACCTAAACCACACATAAACTGCCTGACCACCACACCTTTTCTTTTCATTCTATTTATTTATTCATTTATTTGGTACAGACAGTTTTACCAAAAAGAAACTATGGTCCCAGCAGACTGGTCTCCCTACAGATGTTACAAAAAAGAAGCAATGTTGGATTTAATAAAACACAATTCTTTAATATGTTTTAATTTGAATTTTGCTCAATAAAATGCCCCCCCAAAATAAGCTAGTCATTTAAAAAAGAACACAGATGATTTCTGCTCACAAAAGCAAGATGCAGAGCTCACATAACAATATGAATTAGAAAGAATCACATATGTTGAAAAACTCAGTGGGGTTCTGCTTCATAGATGAATTCTGTCCTCACTGTCATTCTAATCTCACTGATTCTTGAGCAAGGACAGAATTGTCAAGAAAACTTTAATTGTACCTCAAGAGGTCCCCTTTTTTTTTTTTTTTTTTTTTTTTGAGACGGAGTCTCGCTCTGTCACCCAGGCTGGAGTGCAGTGGCGCGATCTCGGCTCCCTGCAAGCTCCGCCTCCCGGGTTCACGCCATTCTCCTGCCTCAGCCTCCCGAGTAGCTGGGACTACAGGCGCCCGCCACTACGCCCGGCTAACTTTTTGTATTTTTAGTAGAGACGGGGTTTCACCTTGGTCTCGATCTCCTGACCTCGTGATCCGCCCGCCTCGGCCTCCCAAAGTGCTGGGATTACAGGCGTGAGCCACCGCGCCCGGCCAAGAGGTCCCCTTTTTAAAGAACTTTAATAATACTTTGTGGATTTAGGGAGAAGCAGAAATTATTGCTTCAGACAAATCTGAAGATTCGATCAATGTTAAGATAAAGAGTGCTAAATTTGGGGAGCTGTTTTTCAAGTGTAACCTCTGAATCTGTTGAAGTTGTTTATTAACAAGACAAACTAGTTACTAACCAGACTTAGGAATGCATCCTGAGGCATTAACATTTCCTTTCAACTGACAAAGCTTATGTGAATTTAGCATCATCCACCCTTAATCCCAAAGGATTCATCACACCTGGGCAATCACCCAAGTGCTATTTAAGTTCATGTATCAATTCGAGTAAGTTATATGTTACATGTAATGAAAACTAGCAGCCCACCAAATAATTTTACTTCATAAACATATCTAACAAGTGGAGAAAGGAATTTCTGCTTTTTATGACCCAAAGTTTCCATTCAATGTCTCAGACAAGGCTACTTTGACACATACAAAAAGATGACTAGGAAGAACAGTACTCTCATAAAAAGCAGTGTAATATCAGAGTAAGTTTTTCCTTCTCTAGTA
The DNA here is from genome assembly GCF_000001405.40 of Homo sapiens. NCBI lineage: Eukaryota > Metazoa > Chordata > Mammalia > Primates > Hominidae > Homo > Homo sapiens. The sequence goes on along the minus strand of NC_000006.12, from coordinate 126,546,662 downwards.
ATGATATTCAGGTCATGTGCCTGCCAAAATCCATTCATTTTGGGAACACTTTTTCCTGCTGTTCTCTCAACATACACCAAACAAAATACAGATTTTCTATAAACAGGATAACTTTAGTAGTGTAATATATAACAACAAAAAGGAAGCTCCTCCCCACATTATATCATTGGTATCCAAAGCCTTAAACGAAACTCAGCCCAAACCAGCCTCATTTTTAAAAAAACCTCATAACAAAAAAATCAGGAAAATTTCTGAAAACAAAGACAGTAAATTTCCTAGGAGTACTGGCAATTTTTGTAATCAGTGATATAACATTCTCAGAACGCACATGTGTTGATTCTGTGGGACATGGCAGTTCCCATAAGAGCTGAAAAAAGCAACAGAAACACTTGTGTTACCACAATGTGCTGAAGATTGCATTGTGATGGCTACTTCAAAACAAAATAACTTTTGAATACTAAAAAGTAATCACAGACTTTCAGGAAAAGTATGCAGTAGGAGCCATATTCAGTTGCTGAAACTTCCATGGAAATATTTCTCTTCTCATAAACACCATACAAGAAGAGAGAACATATCCACAGAAGGCAAGTCCAGAAAAGTTGGAAACATTGTTCTACCTGACAAAAAGAAAAGTAAAGAAATTTTTAAAACTACTGTCAGTAGAGATAAATGACAAGACTAGTCTTAATCATTTTAGGAGGTTTATTTGCCAAAGTTAAGGACGTGTGCCTGGGAGACAGGCCTATGCATTTCTCTGAAGATAATTTTGAGGGCTCCAGATTTAAAGGGAAAAGGGTGGCATATTGAGAAGTATACAATTTTCATGTAAGAGGTGGGTAGAGAAAAATAGTCATTCATGCCTTTGTCTGGCTCAGTGAATCTGTATTTTTTTTTTTTACATAAGATGACATAGACAAATGGGGCAGAGGAACAATCAGGTATGCATTTGTGTCTGGTGGGCATGGGGGTGACTGCACCTGTAAAGATAAGCTATCAATAATATTGCCATGGTTAAATTTTAACAGAAACATCTTAGGGTAAAGGTCTTGGAGCTCACTAGGAATTTCCCTGTGGGCAAAATATGTGGGAGACATGTAGCTTTTCATCTAGTAGCCATCTTATTTAGGAACCAAAGGGGAGGCAAGTTTATGTAACTCAGCTCCCAGCTTAACTTTTCCCTTTGGCTTAATGAGTTAGGAGTTCCAAGATTTATTTTCCTTTCACACTATCATTTCATATAAGTCATAATTATTTCTTCTAACAAAGTAAATCATAATCATGTAAGGTTCCTATGTGTCAATGTAATGTGCTTATATGTCAATGTGTAACTTATTTTGAACATTGTTGATCTGTGTTCGCAAATTCCTGTCTAATTAAATAATTTTTTTTCAAACCCATGGCTGCCAAATGTATTAAACAATATGAGTGCTAATAAATATTTTTGAGGGTGAAAACAGGAAAGCAAGGAAAGGCATATAGTCTCAGGTTCACTGCCAAGGTTATCATCTAAATCTAATTTAGAGAGCCTCATTAAAGATAAGCCTCAGGGCAAATTCAATGGAACTCAGGAGAGGCAACCATTTAAAAGTTTTAGGAGAGCAGAATGCCTGTTTTTAATTGATAGTTTATTTCATTTCAGAAACTGTTTTTAAATGAACATGTAAGGCATTATCAAGAATTACTTTATTCCATGTAATCTGTGTTTTAGCTGGGTACATCTTTTGCACCTGTCATTGAGAAAATACAGTGTTTGAAAAAAATTAGATTTTGAAAAATAACAATTTTAGTAGGATGATTTTTATATAAAATTATATGATAAATCTTTCCTATGTTATTTAAAAATCAAAGGTTTATTCCACACTGTTATCAAAAAGATGAATAATAACAAGTGTTGGTAAGGATGTAGAGAAAAGGGAACTCTTCTACATACACTATTGGTGAGAATGTAAATTAGTACAGCCATTTTGGAAAACAGTGTGGCAATTCCTCAAAAAACTAAAAATTGAATTACCATATGATCCAGCAATCCCACTTCTGGGTATATATCTAAAGGAACTGAAATTGATATGTTGAAGAAATATCCGCACTCCTATGTTAATTTCAGCATTGTTCAAAATAGCCAAGATCTAAAGGCAACATAATTGTCTACCAATGGAAGAATGGATAAAGAAAATGCGGTGTATATACAATGGAAGGCTATACAGCCTTAAAAAAGAAAATTATCTCATTTGTGACTATATGTGACATTCCTTAGAATATCTGGCATCCATCTCAAAATCCAGGAGCCCTGGATTATACACAGTTATTTCCTTCAGCCATATGTAGCACCTTATAGTCCAGTGACCCATGAACTAAAAGTCAAGTTGTCTTCCCCCAACTCTTCTGACACCCAACATACAATGTGGCAGCAGAAACAGAATAATCACCATAAACACTCCCACTGGCAGAGGGAAAGAATACGAAACATATGTCAGTCCCTGGTCCACAGCAATAATGAAATTGTGTCAGGCAGACATGGTGAAGACCTTTATTTACCCACACAATGATAGAAGCTCTCTTCTTAGACTTGGGCTCAAAATTTCCTTGCCAATCAATTCTTTCAAAGTTATGAGGCCTCTGAACTGTTTGCTGCTAGTGAATTCCATGTGTCAATAATGACACCCAAAGTTTTTTTTATCTTCATTGCAGAGTTGAGCCCAACTGTTTAACTGAAGTCTTAATGAGATTGTTTTTCAATCTCATCCAGTTGTGGTCCAGACCTTGAGATTTTTCAACCTTGTGAGGCCTCAGATTTAATCTACTTCCTTTTATTTATGCTCTCAAAGCAGTCAATTCTTGCCAAAATTCATCTCTTTCTTGTAATATAAAATGTAGCAAGTAACAATAAACATAAAATATAATGCTGTTTTCCAGCTCCTGCTTCTAGAGCCACAGCCTTGGAAGCATATGGCCTAACTTCAAAGTTATCATAGGCAACAGTTTTATCAATGGTCTGCCACTGTAAAACATGGATCTTCATTTTCCCAACCTCCAGTATCTGTTTTATCATCATCCAGTCTTAAGATCAATGTTACATATTTATGCTTTTTGAAAGCTGCAATCCCACTTCCAATGCCAATTTGGTTTGGTAATACTAGTAGCTATAACAAAAAATAATTTTACTGACAGTAGATATTCATTTCCCACTCTTATCCCAATTCCTTATAGATGAGAAATCTTTGCACTGATCTTATCAATCAAGTGGTTCTGTTAGCAGGCAGGACAAGACAATATGAAGATGCCCTACCAGCTCCTTAAAACCCAGGCCCAGGTATGGCACACACTGTTTCCTTTCATATTCCAATGGTAAGAACAAGTCACATGGCCATACCTGGATACAACAGTAAATGTGAATTACTGGCTGGGCAGCTATCTTCCAATATAACCTACCTTATAGAATGAGGTGTATAAAGTTTTGGTAATCAAATGACTTCCTTTTTCACATATAATTCATGGCACTAATATAATTATTAGAAAATAACTTATTAAAACAAAACAAGAACTAGAAGGTTAGAGCAGAGGTCTATGTATTGGGGCCTTTCTAATCTGTGATAAAAACAATTTTAATTTCCTCATAAAGGAGATTATGATATTAATCTCCTTTAATATCTCCTTTAAAGACAGAACCACTCCTGACTGAGTTTAATTATCAAATTTCATTTCATCTAAGCATAGCAACAATATAAGGCAATATTGCAGCTTTTTCTTTTCATTCAAGAAATACTGATTCAGTGCCAAACTACTCTGTACCAGGCACTATTCTAGGCTCTTGGGATTCATCAGGGAACAAAATAGATCCAGTGAGATATCTAATATCCTACAAATAGCACAGATTCAAAAACATCGTGTTAGTTTTTTAGACAATATATGTCTTTTATGACTACGGTCAACCAGTCTGGATTCTTACCCACACTCTGCCCATTATTAGAACTGTACTCTTGGGCAAGACGTGTATTCTCTCCCAAATCTATCAACTTCATCTCCAAAATTGAAATAAAATATCTCTCCTTCCTGCTTTACCCAGTTGTTTCAAGAGTCAAAAGTTATATTATGTATGGAAAGTTATTGAATGTACAGCTGTGTTAAGATGCAGTAATGAATAATCGGTAGGCATTCCAGCTTTCAGAAATGGAGAGATACCTAATTTAGGGAAAATATTATCAATCTGTTAAGATTTCCACATCATTCTTTAAACAAAATTTTTGGCATGAATTTGATTCTATCTTTCACAGCCATTCCATCGGAATTCCTGTTAACACCCATTTCAAAATATAATTGCATCCGGATACTATTTACCATGCTTATCACTAAAATCCTGATCTTAGTAACCTTTATTTCTCACCAGGTTAATCTCAGTGACTTCCTAATGAGTCATCCTATTTCACCTGTCTCTCTTAAGTCACTCTCCTCAGAGCAGCCTTAGTGATTTTATTTATTGCTTTTTAGAGTTTATCCCAAGTATGCCTCAGAAGAAGCATATTTTCCTCAGAAGTAGCACATAAGTAATATAATCTTTGCATTCTCTCACGTCCTCAAAATTACACTGGCTGAACCTTCAAAATCTATCCAGAATACTATCACTTTTTACTGCCTCTACTGCAGTCATCCTGGCCAATGTCCCTGTCATCTCTCACATGAATAATTATAATGACTCCTACACAAGTATCTTGCTTTCATTTTGCTTCATAGTCTATTTTTTACACAGCGAGGAGTTTAATCAAGTCACTTGTCTGTTCACAATTCTTCAATGATTCCAGTGCATTCTAAATAAACTCCAAAGTCCTACTCACGTACTTTAAGGCACCTGTGATCTTCCTCCTGGCTCCCACTCTGGCCTTAACTCCTTTAGTTCTCTCCTTTATTACTTGACTGCAAACTCACTGGCCTCTTGGATTTTTTTCCAGAATACAGGCTCAGGTATGCCTTCACTATTGCTTTCTGAAATCTTGGCCCCCAGATATTTCCAAGGCTTTCATTCTCTTTCTGTCCACAGATAGGAGGACACCTTCCCTGATGAAACCCATAGGAAAAAACCATTCATTTGGCACCATAACTTACTACCTCCTTGTCCTGATTTTTTTATTCTTCATAGTATTTATTACCACTGCACATCTATCTTTATATTTGTTTAATATCTGGCATCCAGAGTATAAGCTACAAAGAACAGAGATAGTGTCAGTTTTGTTCAGTGACTAAAACAGCATCCAACATACAATACTGTATATGTAGGTGCTCAATTAATCATCTTTAAATTCATCAATGGTCTTTAAGAATATCAGTTGTTATTTACATTCCTCTATTAAAGCAAGTATTATTAGTTATGAGTATAATCTCCAACCCCCCTGCTAGGGTTCAGTTAAGCTATTGTTATGTTAAATTAATAAAAATGTTGCCTATACATTTTATTTTTCCTGATGCAATCCTCCTATAAAGAATGTTTCTGATAATCATGCCAAACTGATGTATGTTATTAGAACAAGACTATCTTGATGAGTGTCCATAACTTTGTAGTCATATCCAAATGCTTGTGTGAAGTTCTAGTTATAGCCAAATGCATGGGACACTGATTTATATCATTCCATCATCTAAACTAAAAATTGTTCATAGAGACAGAATTGTGCATGTGTACATGTATTATATGGAGAGAGATGATAGATTAGTATAGATTTGCATATTTTCATTGTAAATATTAAGTAACTAAATATATATAATAAATATATTATAAATAATAATTAATAAATACATTTCTCTCTCTTCTTGGTCCTCCATTTCTGCAGGGGTATGGCGAAGAGGGGAACATGTGCTTCTCTATTAAAATACAGATCTTTAAAACCTTGAAATCTCAGTATAAATTCTACATATTCCAGGAAAGGCAGAGTTTAACTTAAATATATTTTTCCAAAGTAATTTTTCCTCTCAGAAATTGGTAGTTAATCATTATTGCTTCCTTATAAGTGTTATATAATTGCTGGAAACTCCTCACCAGATTTTGTTCAATTTAGCCATTTTATAATTAAATTTTCTGTTGAAATTCTTGGATTTTTGCTATCAGCTGCCAACTATACTGCATTTCAAGAATACATTATCAGTAAGAAAGCAAAACTGACCCTAAGATAATCACTACCCTCTTCCAAAACAAAAAAATGTAAGAATGTATTACAAGGTAGCTCTCAAAATATACTCTTTGAATGCTAGGCTCTGTGTGTTAAAACATAAAACCTAACATCAATAGATTCCCAGAAGACCTTATTAAGCAACACTGGACTTCTGGCTCTGGGAATCACATGGGCTCAAGTGTTATGAGACCATTAAAAGCACTATTTGAGGAATGAAATAACTCATAGGTTCTAGATTATAGATAGCTGTCCTCTGAAACATTATTTTAAAATTTAAGAAAGTTAGGAAATATTTTATCCTCCAATAAAAACTAAACAAAACAAAAATCTTATGATAAAATAGGATGGAAAAAACCCTTTATATTTGTCTAAGTAATTTGATTACTTTGGAACTCATGTAGTGAAAAAAAAAAACCACTAATAAAATAATTAAAGGTACAGCTGTTCTGGCCATACAGTTCCTAAACTGAATTTCTACAAGCTGAATCAAAAACAAAAAACAAAAATTCTGTTGACAAAGTCCCTTGCTTCCTTCCTACCCCTTTTATACTGTTTCCTCCAATATGTTTACTTATGGGGTCAGTGCTTCATTTTTTCTCTCATCACATTCAAAATCACTCATACAGAATATTGTAGCATATCAAATTTAAAATGTTTCTATTTGTTTCCATTCATACTTTGCCTGCTTTCATTTCTTCCCAATATATTTAACCATCTAGAAAAAATTTCCCAGTGTGGCTTCCTCAGTATTAATCCCATCTCCCTCATTAGGCTGATTTCAATATCCCCCCACCCATGACTTCTAAGGTAGAAGTTACAAGAAAGCCACATCAAAGCATCTTCGAAATAATAGAAAATGTTTTCCTTTTAATATATCTAATTCATTCAGGCATCGATTCAACAAATGAGCCTACTAGGCATGAGGTTCTATACTTTGCACCGTGAAGCATAATAAGCTCACAAAAGGACATGGTCTTTTCACATAAGAGTTTATACTCATGTGGAAGAGAAAAATATTTAGACTCTATCTAAAGGGCAGTGTAAGATAAGAGTTATACAACTGATACAAACTAGTTATTTAAAAGGTGCAGAGGAGAAAAAATTTTTCTTCCAGCTGGGATAACTATGAGCAGTATCAAAGAAGAGGCAAACTTTTAGCTTGGGCTTAAAGGAGGGCTAGACTTTTAACAGAGGACAGCACCTTATAGCTGAGGGATAGGTATGAACTGAAGAGACAAGATGAGAAATTGCCAATTTCAGTGTCCAAAGAAGGGTGACTAATCCACAATGATTCAGGCCTGAGTCATGATCTATGGTGATGGAATAAAAAGGATGGACAAGAGTGAAGCAAATAGCAAAACTGCAGGCAACTTGATTGGGATTTAGTACAGAATAGTAGTATTCAAGCATTCTTTTGTTCATAAACCCCAAATAATGTTGAAAGCTAGATAACCCTTCACATATTTTTAAGATCTAAAGTAGTCATGATAAATTTAAATATTTGCAAAGAATATGATTTCTGGAAAATAGAATATGTTGGTTTTTAAAATAAAGTTGTTGAGTCACTCTTTTAAACATATACAATAGAACCTAGTATATGATGTTCTCTACTAGAACCTATATATACTTTGACAAATGCCAGCTATCATCTAGTTACATAAAGGTAGACAGGCTCGTATTTAAGTTTCACATTGTTAGTATTTTTCATAGAACTTATTTTGATCCCACTTTCACTGCATAATTTTACCTCATCTATTTGTATGTTTGGAAGTCTTCTGCTACTATAACCCTTCTTTGACAAAAAGTACATAAATAGAAAGTAATAAAATCTATTTCCCTTGTCCTTAAAGTCTCTAATATTAAAATAAATGTTATACATTGAGTTATTAATATTAATAGTAGTATGAAATTTGGCAAAAATCATATTTATATCACAAATTTTAACAAAAAGCATTAAACATAAATCTTTTTTTGAAATTACTCTCTCAGTGTGATAGATGAGATAGGTTTTTTCAATTGGTATATTATTACATACATAAACATCATTTTTGCTGGGATAAAATAAGGCACATCATAATTCTATCTTATTTTCACTTTTATAAGTGTAGCAGTAGGAAAAGTTGTTCCTAAAATAAGGACATGGGAAGGGAAAGGTTATTTTTATAGAAATGTCACAAAATTCTTTGAACTCTGTCAGCGTTTCATGCCAAAAATCACATGGTGATCTATCATCAAAAACTATTTTTAATGATCTACCAGCTGACAACAAGATTAGATTTTCCTTCAGTTTTGTTGAAACATAGGAAACCACCTGCCTTGGGGGAGGGTGGGGAAGATGAGGGAGATCTAATCAGGTAAAAAAGTCCTGTGACCCACTACAAAAATTACAGAGAAGGAACCAAAGGACACGTTCATTCATTTGTGTTCAAACTGGAAAGGAGATTCTCCAATCTCCTTCCCTCACACAAATGAAAAATAATGTCAGCTTCAGCAATAATAACAGCAGCAGCTGCATAGCCATTGTAAATATCAGGGACGACACTGAGAATTTGAATGCTTAAAATAATGGCAATTAAATAGCATATTTGAACCATCTTTATAATTCCATATAAACCACTTATATTGAAAAAAGGAAATAGAGACTTCATGAAAACAATTACATTAAATAGAAAATATATTTTTATAACTTTTAAAATTTTTTTTTCAATTTTAACTTAGGTCTCTTCTTTTCTGGGAAAACATAAATTTTGCAACTACTTTTTGTTATAAAAAGGTAGCTTACAATGTGCAAACAAGATTCCTTTTGTGAAATTCATTCTTTCTTTCAAAACTACCATGAGAATTGAAAGTAAAAGCAAACCAAAAGTCACATAGCTGAGTTGAGCCAAAGTAATTCTGAGATGTGCTCCAAATCTAGAGCTGACAATTTTTGAGTGTACTGTATTTTAAAGTTGGCAAAATTACTTCTCTCTTCTTCCAAATAGAGAACAATGAAATTTGACTTGGACCAGACTTATTTTTTTTTAATTCAGACCAGTTTCCCACCACCTAACTACCAGAATTATCTTAATAAGGATTAAAAGGTAGCATCTTTATTTGAGCACTTTTATAATATTTTAAATAAGACATAGATTCACCAGAAAAAGTAAAGTGAAGCAACATAGGAAAATTCTTCCAAAAATATAGCAAAGTATGTGAAAGAAATAAAATCATGAAGACATGTGGCAGCATGCAAACTGATTTACATTTTCTTCTATGCCAGTGTGCTAAACTTTCCAAATTAAGAGACCACTGTGTTATCTTCCAAGGAAGTGCTCCCAAATCTACCAACATAACCAATTTTATTGAATTTTCCTTGCAGAAACCTATTAGGATTCATATTATAGACTCTTCTAGATCTCTCAGTAAATCTCAATATTCATGAGTAAGGAAATACGGGATGAAAAAGGTTAGAATTCACATATTATTAATTAGTGCTTATAGAATCCATATTTTAGAAAATTGAAACTTCATCTGAACCAAAAAAGCAATACTCAGTTGGTAATTTGGGACAGTAGTAGCATGTTCCTTAAATAACTTTTTGTACTTCTCTGTATTTAATTTCTCGAAAGAAATAAAAGAACATTTAAATGAAAAAGAAAGAAAGAATAATATATTGGCTTCCCAATACCTGCACACATCTAACACAAAACACACACATTACACACACACACACACACACATTTTGTCACTGACAATTACGCAAGAAGGAGAAAAGAGTATGTTTAATCATAGACTGGGGGAGATAATCAATCTGAGTTGATCAATTTTAAAATAGTTTATCATAAACCATATCTAGGTCTGCATCTGTCTATGAATTCATCTGACAAAGTTCTAATTGCAGCATTGATTGATGTTACACTATTAGAGACTCAAAATTGTTGTTCTTGGTTATACATGAAGAAGATGTTAAATAGATCAATATACGGGGTGCTGAGAGAGATATTGGAATAATATACCTCTGGAGGATTCCTTCTTTAATTAGTCTGTCTCTTTGCAAAGCGAATTCTGAAGAAATAAAAAGGTCCATATATCCAGCTATTATTCATTTGACTTGTGGAAAACAAAGAAAAATAAATTTGCCTAAAATTAGTTTTAGATTAAATTCTAGCTGTTGAAAAACATTCAATAGTCTTAAAGTACTCTGAGAAATGTAAAACAAAGGAGTTATCTGTTACAAAAATTATATTTTTCCCAGAGATATTTAAGATACAAATGCTGAGCAAAAGTATGAATTAGACTAGAACAGAAAGAGTGGCACAAATGTAACTAAGTTTTGGGTCTGATTTCAGCATAACCTCCAACAGATTACCTAATTTCATTTTCAAATTTCACAGCCTTACTTCCCTTTAAAGATACATATGCTATGAAAGAAACAGTTATAGCTTGTCTTACAAAGAAGGAAATAAATATACCACACCACAAAACAGACTGCAAGGACTTTTCAGTGATTACTATATGTTTTAGAAGCCTTAAAAAGAGATATGAATTTAATTAAGCAAAGCAGCTCTACATATTGACTGGCTCCACTGTTCTCTGAAAGTAGCCAGAATTCTTCTTTAATAATGCTCTTGAAAAAAAAATCTGTTTCAATCTCCATGAAAATACATTTAGTCCTGTGTGTGTATCTTGGTTAGCGCTCTCAAAACATTCAGGCTTGGTGCCCTTCCAAATACTTTTTTAAACCGCACTGCTCCATGACATTGATGGATTTAAACACAGGGGCCTGGGAGCAAAAAGGAAGGTGTGGTGATTGAACACTATGCATAGAATTTTCAAGGTGATTCAAATGAAAGCCTTAAACTAACCAATCTGAGATATTCAGCGTCTCAGAATTATTGCCAAGGGTAAGGTTTGATTTCTTTCAACTATACTCATTTTTGTTGTTGTTCATAGTTTTTCATTAGTCATAATATAGCAAAAAAAATTCTGATCATGTTTTACTGCAGTTATAATTCATGTATTTAATAATCTAAATCATGTGAATAGAACATATGCACTAATTGAAAAATAGCTCGAACAATAACGTTATATTTTTATGTGGGAGTAATTTCTAGCTGATAGCACACACTTCATGTATAACTCCAGACTCCCACCAAATCAAAGAGATGTCCCAGCAGGGGATGCTTGCTTAACAGAGAAAAGAATACTTTAATGACAGCACATAATGCATACCCCATGCACAGCCCACAGGGAAGTCTGATTTCTTTTAACCCCTTTAGATAACATTCACTGTCAAAGGATTCGTTGTTCTTGTATTCTTCTGAATTCCAAGAGTTTTCCTTTTATTTTTTATCCCCTTATGGACCTCAAATTACAAATTTTATGTATGTATATCCTATAACTCTACAGCAATTCTGAGCACTTAAGTAATGAAAATATTTTGCCATGAGTTTTGACTCATTAACAGTAATGTTTTGCTATCTATTTACTATTCAAATCTAAGGCCTGAAGTGAAGTTGAGGCTGGAAAATAAAATGGTCATTCTTACTGAGGAGAGTTCAGTTAAGACTATATTCCTAAACCAGATTGGTAAGGGTAGCCAAGCTGCAAAAGTTTATTTAAAATGCCAGAATTGTACAATATGTTGTCTTCTGTACCAGAATGACACCGCTCACCCACCATCGGGCCACATTAGCTCTGATCTGGGGCCTCCTTGAGAACCATTTCCTGATTTGTAAAGTAGCCGACTTGGAGATATGGATTTCCTTCGTTATTACAAAGCAAAACTATTTTATCTTCAGTGAAAACTGGCAAGTAATGGAGTTTTATATTTTAGTCCACCTTTAACACTCACACTACACTTTTTATCTCAGTATTGAAGCACTTGTGAAAATACATCATAGACACACCCTTGGTGTGAGGCAAACAGTACAGTCATCTGACAGCCCTGTGAAAAAAAAGGTTACAAGAAAATTGGAAGAAGTTTCTCCTTTGCATTTATCTTTCTTCCAAGGAAAGACTTTTAGGTGCTTTCTGTCTTGTCCATTCTCATTGTGTTTGCCATAACAGGGAACAAGCATTATTTTGTGTGTTTTGCAGGGAGACCTGTAAAATCACTCCACTCAAACCAGAAATATCATATGACATGATTAAGCCACCTCCTGCTCTTACTACTATGTACACTGAATTGAACAGACATACAGCCTTCAAAACTTAAAGTTAGATTCTTAAATGGTGGCATGTTGCTAAAAATTTTGGATTTACCAAGGGTGGTTGTAGGATATATCTGTCAGAAACATCTTAAGTGTGATCCTGGTTGATGGTAGGGGATGACCAGGCAAATGAACAGTGCCACTGTGGTAAAATGCCATGTTTAGATGATGTCTCTTTACTGTTATTCCTGTTGCCAAATGCTGTGAACCCCTTCCTAGAGACTATGTCCTTTGAGAGCATCCCCTCTCCTTTCTCATACATCATCTTTTGAAGTAAGAATAGGGAAAAATCAAAAGTTGCTACATGAATAAAATATATCTGAGCACACATTTTATTCCAGTGGAGATTGTTTTAAAGAATTGAAAGAATTTCTATCTAGGTCCTGGATGTTATGAAGTATAACTCACAGCAGTTCAGCACTTTCTGAGTTCAACCTGCTCTCAGTATAGACTTGTTCTTGCGTGGCTATCTCAAAATTTCTAATTCTTGTAAAATGGGCCCTGTTTCAGTTCTTCACTTCAGCTCAAGTTGAATTCCTACCTCTCCACTCCCTCTCCCATAGCACTTCTGCATTAAGAACATAAATATTTCCCTTCCTTCTTTCTTTTCTTCCTGTCTTTCGTCCTTCTCCTTTTCCTTCCACGGTGTGACAGATGTTACTCTAGGTTCCACTGGTAGAAATATTAATAAGATGGAATTTGCCATTTTCTTCCCTTGCTGGTGTCAAATGATTCCTCAAGACATCTATAGATTTCCATAGCCACAGACTCTAAGGCAAAGCTAAGGTGTTGAACCACAATTCTATTTGACTCACCATTGTTTTCATGGCTTTGTTGAGTGCTAACTATGTACCTGGCTCTCCACTATACCCTGAGGGTACAGAAATTAATACAATATATCTTTTCCCATATAATATAGTGGGAGAGGTGAGTATTTAATTAAAATAAACACAGAAGGTGCTATAGAAAATTTACAGAAACATGTAGGAAATAAATAGGGATCATGAATGGATTTTTGAAGAAGATGACTACTATTTGGTTTGAATCTTAAGTAAGAGAAGAGGCTAACTTGAGAAGGATGAGGTAAGTGAGAGGGAAAATACTGTGGATGAGCACTACCGTCAGAGGAGAACAGCATGAGCAAATGACTTGTGGAAGGAAAAAGAATACCATGATGCCAGAACGGGCAAATATTTCATGCTGCTAGCACAGGTCATAAACAGATAATCCAGGGCCCACTTGTCCTGAAGACATGTCTTATTGCCCTAATACAAATAAAGTTGAATTCTTTAGGTGGGCCTTGTATATTTCAGAGTGCCACAGTTCCCACAACTCCCTGTTTCTTCCACCCAGCCCACTTCAATTATTTATCTATCTATGCCCTGCAGAGAAGTGTTTTGCAAGCAGGGACATTTGAAGGCGGGGAGTAGGCAGAGATGAGGCTAGAATGATTGCAATAACCAGATTATGGAGGGTCTTAAAAATACAATAACAGAGGCTGGATTTTATCTTCTAAACAATGAAGAACTATTTTAGAAAGGAAAGTGACATGGACAGAATAGATAGAACATTTTGTCAGTTGTGTAGTAGACAGACTAAAGATAGGGAGACTAGGCTGGGCATGGTGGCTCATGCCCATAATCACAGCACTTTGGGAGGCTAAAGTGGGTGGATCACTTGAGCTCAGGAGTTCAAGACCAGCCTGGGCAACATGGTGAAACCCTATCTCTACAAAAAAAAAAAAAAAAAAAAAAAAATTAGCCGAGAGTGGTGTCACATGCCTATAGTCCCAGCTACTCAGAAGGCTGAGGTGGAAGGATCACTTAAGCCTGGGCAGTTGAGGCTGCAGTGAACCATGATCATGCCACTACAGTCCAGCCTAGGTAAAGAGTGAGACCCTGTCTCCAAAAAAAAATAATAATAAATAAATAAAATAGAGAGACTAGGGCTCAACTAACTTTGCCTAGACAAGAAGAGAAAGATGTAGCTGAATTAAGGCACTGAGAGAAGACTTGGAGATGTGTATAGGGATTCAAGGAATGTTTTAGGGATTAAATCTGGCAGAACACAGATGAAGGAGAGTAAAGGAGAGTCAATGGGAAGAGAGAGTGGGAGAATATCCTGGAAGTAGCAGTATCATGGATAAGCTCATTAACAGGAAAAATGCAAAAGATGATACAGAAGCTAAGATAGTGCCAGTCAAAGGGTGAAGGCATAAGTGGGAGAGGCAAGGGAGCATGTTTGCACACATCACTCCTGTAATGGTTGATAGTATGTTTCAACTTGACTCAGCTAAGGCGAGGCTAGATAGCTGGTAAACATTACTTCCTGGTGTGTCTGTGATGCTATTTCCAGAAGAGATTAACATTTGAATCAGTAGACTGAGTGAATATCACCTTCACCAATAAGAGTGGTCATCATTCAATCTGTTGAGGGCCCAAATAGAACAAAAGGTGGAGGAAATGTGAATTTTCTTTTATTTTTTATTTTTTTCTCTCTCTCTCCTTAAGCTGGGATATCTACCTTCTCCTGCCCTCAGACATCAGAACTCTTGTTTCTCAGGCCTTCTGGCTCAGACTGAATTACACAAGCTTTCCTGGATCTCTGGCTTGCAGATGACATACCATGGGACTTCACTGGCCTTCATATCTGTAAGAACCAATTCCTATATTTTCTCTTATATATCTATATATCCTATTGCCTCTGCTTCTCCTGAGAACCCTGACTAATACAATTCCTTTGTGACTTATCAAAGCTAGCTTCCTCCAATTACTCTATGCTAACTTTCAACTTCCCCTTTTAATCTCTTTCTTCACCTGTTGTTACACATGAACCTTGTGTCTTGCATTTATCTTACTGTCAAATTGCCAGGCAGAATTCTGGCCAAACATATACCCATTTCAAATTAGCATATATAAACATGTTCACTTTATAGGGCAAAGTCTTCTTCAGAATATAACCAAGGACAGCAGTCTAGAGACTCTCACTGAATAAACTAAAGCCAGCCTAATATTTAAATAATTACTGTAAAAAGTTTTCTAAAGACCTCCACAAATATCCTACAATATTTTAACAGCTGAGGAATATGTAACAGCATGAACCTAATACAACATTCTACAGTGACAAAGTTCTCACTTAACTTTTAATGGTAATAATTTGCCACATCTGATTAATATTACCACCCTACTAAAGAATCTGTTATGGTATTAGAACAGAAAGTCAACTAGTTTCTATTTTATACTGAAGTTTCAATCCTAGCCAAAAAAAAAAAAAATTAAAAGGGAGGTATTCACAAGTTCATGTTGAATATAGCTTTATTTAACCATTACAAAGTTCATGGAAAGTACAGGAAGTGAACTACTTATTGCTTACACTGAAAGGAACACTTGATGTACTCAGCCTCCTCCCAGATAGATGTCTAAGCTTCAGAGAAAAGGAAATAAAGCAGATATTTCTAATACTAATTAGCTTGTGCTATATAAACACTTTATACTGAGAAAAGGCTTTATCATTTGAATTTAGGGACTTTTCAAATCTATGGTTCTTATTACAGGGGATAACATTTGGCCATATCATTGTTTGATTTGTACTTTCAATGTTAATTTTCCTGTACTGGGTTTCATGACTCTTGATTTCTGTACCACTCTCAGTGAGTAGGCATGTTATTTATACTATATATAATGTTATGTGAAACTATCATTAATATCCAGTTCTTTGAACAATGATTATCCCTAGGAATTCTAATGGCCCTCAGAAAGTGGAGGCACCCTCCTCATATTGCTAAACAAGCTAGTCTAGTGAAGAATAGCAAAATGTTGATTAGTATGACCTATAAAAGATCAAATTGTCCAGCCCTAAATTATTCAGAAAAGAAAAATATTTTTCAAGACAGAAAGGTCAGCCTTTTTCCTTTCACAGACAGTTCTAGCCGTATTATTATAAATTCACATTTATTTATAAACTGTTGATACAATTTCTTGTTTCTCTCAAAGTACTGGATATCTCTTGAGATAGTTGTTCAAGCTTATGTAATGTTAATGTTAACTACTGTCCTTTTATCTAAGCCAATGTCTTCACAAACTTGATCCTTAAATCTGTGAACTCCGGGCAGCCCTTGTCTTGTTACATGACTCTCAGTTTCCAGGTCAAGTCAGAAAAGCTAACATGAACAAGCATCTCTGTGTTTCCCTCATTTCTGGCAAGAGTTTAGGAGAAAAAAAAAATGAGTAGGGTAAGATTAGAGTCCCTTTGAACCCCAATATGATCTGGGACTCTGCTTGAGTGGAAGTGGCTTTGGGTGATGATGTAATTTACACATCAATGTCTGTCTCTCCTGTTATCATTGTTCCACAGGGACTGTTTCTGCTGCAACTTCAAAAGGTCCTTATGGCATACAAGTGTGTGCAAGCTATCAACAGCCAGTTTCCTTATTTGTCCTTTTCTCCCTTGTCTCTTTTTATTTCCTTGCTTACTACATTATCACAGACCTCAGCTTACTGTGTAGTTTGGTTCTAATCATTCTAGCACACTCTGCTGTACAGTGGTAACATCACAACATGCTCAGTACTCTCTTTGACGTTGTGCATCTCAACATAGTTGTCTGTCCCAGCTAATTAACCTGGAGCTGATAGTCATCCTTCACTTAGCCTTGGCAGCAATTCATTCACCTTTCTTTTTTCTAGCCAATTGATCATTTCCTATAACTTTTTCTAACATGATTTTTGGATAGTTTTCCCAACATGATCCTTTAGCATCAGATAGATGTCTTCAAGTCACTTTGGTCTTTTTAACCACCTTATTTATTTTTCCTTTTCTTTTTTTTTTTTTTTTTTTTTTGGAGATAGAATCTTGCTCGAGTGCAGTGGCATGATCTTGGCTCACTGCAACCTCTGCCTCCTGGGTTCAAGCAATTCTCCTGCCTCAGCCTACTAAGTAGCTGGGATTAGAGGCATGTGCCACCATGCCTGGCTAATTTTTGTATTTTTAGTAGAGATGGGGTTTTGCCATGTTGGCCAGACTGATCTCGAACTCCTGGCCTCAAGCAATTCACCTATCTCGGCCTCCTAAAGTGCTGGGATTACAGGCATGAGCCACCGTGCCCAGCCTATTTTGTCTTCTTAATGGGATATACTACAACCAACTCACTTTCAGTTTCAAATCTTATCCTCTCCTCTTATTTTTTAGATTCCCCACCACATCCATCCCATTTAAGAAATCATTACTAGAAGAATGCCATAGCTGGATGTTTTGGAAAATTTTCTAATAATATCAAGAGAATAAAATTGAAAATTTTCCACTAAAAAGAGTAAGGTCTTAGAAGATCTGCCTGCTAGAGGGTAATGAGAAGGATAGCCTGACCTATTGACAGAGTTTTGTTGCAAAAAAATAATGTTACTTATTGAGAATGCATATTGCATTTCTCAGATATATTGTTATTTGAATATTAGAAAATAACTAAAATGAAGAATACATATATTTCATTTGAAGTTATTATAAACCACTAATAAATAGCTCTAAAAATAAAGTCATTCAGAGATATCAAACAATACGTCAGTCTTCCTCACTTTTATTTCTATAAGATTGTGAGGAGGAGAATGAGGATTAAAGAGATAAGCTGCTATAAGACATGGTAGGGCAATGGAATCATCATTCTGCATTTCCAAAGTACATTTCCTAGACCCTACATTACCAGAGTCTAGTAATAGGGATGAAGATCTTTTTTAAGGATCTTGTAATAGGACAGAACATGACATAGATCCTTCCAGAATAAGGTAGGCCTACATAGAACAGTAGCATATGTATGTTTTATATTGAACATTTTAAACAAATGGGCTTCAATGAGTAACTCTCAAAACTACTTATTTTGAAGATGTAAAATATATAACAAAATACAATGCATCAAAAATTATTATATCAAACATGACAAATAGGCAAGAGGCATTGTTGCTGAGTGAGCTAGTGAAGGCCTCTGCGCCGAGTCTGACTATGCCAGGTGAAACTAATCTGAATAGGAGACAAAGATGTTTACTTTCCTCCTCCTGGAAAATCATTACAGTACATCTGCTAAGCTTTCTCATCTCTAGTAGAATAAATGTGATTTCCAGTTTTTTACTTGCCCTGTTAACAAAACATACAGCATTAAAGAACCTCTTGTTTTTGAAGTCACAAAACCAAGTATAGTACAATTATTTCATTTACCAGCATAACCTCAAATTTTTAGCAGAGATATTAATAGAATTATACATGCTAAAAAGGTTAATATCAAGTCACTTATAATAAAAAAAGAGGCAATAAAAATGATAGCAATATTCAGACCTAATCAGAACTATCTAAGATAATACACATGCAGAGGCTGAAAAGATTCTTGGCTCAAAATCTGACTAACCTCTTCCCTCCTCCATTTGAAACAGCTCTCAAAAATATGTATTAAACTAAGAAGAGATTGAATATCTTTTGTTTCTTCTTGGCTTGACAAAATGAAATAGCTTTCATGTTAACAAAGAGTCCTTTTCAATTCTGCAAACATACAGTTTTTAATTAAGACATTTAAATCAAAATAGACAACTGAAGGATGATCTGAATTATAGCTGGGAATATCTCAGATTCAGGGCAGTTAGAATACAGTTTACCTACCTACAAAATAATTATAAACTTCTCAACTGACATGATTTATTCTTCACCTATAAACCTGAATTTAAATGCAAACATTCCTCCAAGTATAACAATAATAATAAAAAAGTAGTTAGGGAAGAATTCCAACACTAAAACAAAAGGATGAAGAGTAAAGAAATGAGAAAGTTTAATAGAAAGTTAGATATTTCTTAAAACTGCAATGGCACTTTACATTAACAGAATACATTTTGATAAGAATCTTGACCACAGGCAAATTGAACCATGAAAAATCAGCTCCCTGAGTGTTCCTGTCAGAGACCAGTGATGGAGGGATCCCTGTAAATTCTTAATCTGCCTTTTTTCAGAGCAGGACAATATAGCTCTACTGAAAGGAAGGTCGAGCTGCTGAACCTCCACAGTAGGTAACCCAGAAAGCAATCAAGCTGAGCTGGCAGGGAGTAGATTCCAACTGAACTCTGTAGTGAGGTCTTTTCTCTTCCTCTGCAGGTACCATACAGAAAGGAAGATTCCTAGGACTTGTGGCTTAATTTCTCTGGCTACCGCACTAATCGCACACATCCCATAATTACTGTCTTCTTTCTTCCTCCAGACTGTCATTCTTCTGTCTTTTAGCTCCATCCCACAGGCAGACAGTGTCTACACAAAGAGCCAAGCTAGTTAGCCAGCCACCTGAGGGAACTTCGTGGCTCCACTGTGCTCCTGTGCTTTTTTTTTCTTTTTTCTCCTTCACTTGTCCCCCCTCCCATTCTTTCTAGTAAAGAATATTTAATTTGCATTCTTTCCCAGCTAAAGTAGAGTTAAGGAAATTGCTTCGTTAAATGAGACGCCTATGCAGAAAAGCTGAAGAAATCTGTGAACTAAGTCTGGGCTCCTAAAAAAAACAACCACAGATCTCTCAGGTACCACCAGGATACCACAAAGAGGTGCCTTAGGCAGCCCACAGTGGTGTCAGAGCTGCCCTGACTATGCTTTAAACATTTTTACAGGTGTGTGACCTGTAACTCTCTCCCTGGACTGGGCACTAGAAGACTTTCCATATGGATTTATGGCTTTTCAATGGTCACAAATGAGGTTATTGAGAAATCTCTAGTCAAACTAGCTAAGAAGTGATAAACATATGTGTGACTATAAAATTTAACAGGAGTGGGGCTTGTGCCTTGCGCACCAAGCTTGATTTGCTTTTCTGTGTGTCAAAAGTATTCTTCTCAGTCAGTGTAAATACAGGAAGAGACAAACAAAAGAATATTCAAAAAGTTCTGTCTTGGAAAGCTATACATATCTTTTGATGTGTCTTTCTAGGACCCTGGGGTAGGTGTACTAACCACTTATGTAAAAGATTGATTGGTTTCCAGACCTGGAGCATCTGGAGGCATTGTGGAGACAGTTTATGGTCGCCCTGGAGGTGCAAAGCACCTCCTACCATGCTGAGGTGACCCCATTGGTAAAGTGTTAATTGGCTCTGAAGGGAGCCTCATCTGGTCAATCCAGATGGAGATGCAGATTTATTTCCCTAGATTGAAAATACCACAAAAATGCCAAGCCACCTTCTGAGAAGGATGGAATTGATGCTAGACAATAACAGATTGTCGATATAATGAAAGGTTAAAGAGCAATCAAATGACTTGTACTTCCCCCATTTACTATAATGAACAAAGGTGGAGTGTTCACAGGACATAAAAACAATTTAACTTATCTGTTTTGTTTAATTGAAACAAATATATATATATATATTTTTTAAATGCCCAGGTCAATTAATTCTTGGGTTATGGGCAAAATAATCGAGTATATTTAATCATTATAAATAAGTCAGAAAAATGATGTTAACAAATGTAGTTTAATTCACACTAGACACCTCCTGTAGGCTTTAAGTCTCTAGAGCTCTCTTACAACACATATGTACCACAGGAAGACTTATTAAAGTGCATTAACTCTGTTTCCCCTAAAACCAAGCCTAAGAATTAATGACCAATTGTTTCTCAATTATACATGTTGCTTTTTTTTGTTAAGTATCTAGATTCTCTGGTGTGGGGAATTGTATTATAAGAAATCTGCCACAACATCATGAATGTAAAGCAATAACAACAAAATGTTAGACATGGTCGTTGCTCAGTATATAGAAGCTGTCATCCTTACACTTAAGGAGAAATTAGAAAATAGGTAAAGATTTTAGAAAATATAAAAATATATCCTTTCCCATTGAAAGCACCTTTCTTCAGCTAATGAATCTCATTATGGCCAGAAGTTCAGTTATGATCATTCATAAATATTATTTACCGTTTGTCAGTCACTATACTCAGTATTTTCTGCAGGTTGAGGAAACCTCCAGCTTCACAACCACCCTGCAGAGTAACTTTTATTTGCCTAATTTGGCTACTTAAATCTCTAAAATCGTTAGAAAGTATAAAAACATAAAATATCTCAAATATTCATATGTTAAATTTAAATAATTTGTTATTCTATGTTACAGACTCACATTACTTATGACTGTGTGCTTGTACAAATAGACGGCTGTTTTTACATTTTAACACCAGACTGAACACATGGGAAAGGAGCCACAAGTTTAATCTTTACTTAGGTGACTTGTGAACAATACTCACAAAGCATAAGCTACAATCAGCTCTTGGAGACAGATGGGATCAGCTACCACAAAAAGAATAGGGACAAGTTGGGACACAAAAACCCCTACTATCCCTTTGACCCCTTTGATGTTCTCTGAACTACAGCTTGAATTTACACAGTGAAAGGGCTGGTACAATCATTTCTGTTACTGCTGCTTCAGTATGCTCAAGGAAGGCTGGCAAGGAAATTTTCCTTACCTTGACTATTTCACTCAAAAAAACTGTTTGGGGAATGTGCTCACTTAAAAAAATGATATGAAAACTTGATCAGTGTGCTAGGCTCACCACAGAGGTTTATTCTGGTTGTTCATGTGGAGAAAAATTAAATATGTTTGACATATTTTCTCATTAGTCTCAAAAATAGCTTAATGACTAAGAAATGGGGTCAATACAGGCTGCATTTCCTATGATTTGTTTTCTCTTCATTCTTGCAAACAGGAACTCATTTTAAGAAATAGTTTTGTTTTTGTTTCCCCCCGCCCTCCCAGGCATAAAGTATTGCTTCAATCTCCTAAGCATTACTGGGAAAATAAGTGTTTAATATCTAGTTGAGTTTTCTATATAATTGAAGCTTATACCTGATAAAGTCACCATTTTTGAAAGCAGTTTTGATCAAGAGTGTCCTTAAATGTCCATCTGAATAACTGATTTTAAAAATTAACTCATTAAGTAAGAACAAGTTAATGTTTACATATAATCAGTCATGTCCCCTGTAAAGGATTTCTAAATTCAAACTGTATAAGTTGAATCTAATTTTATGAAAGAAATAATTCAGTTTTATGTATTTTACCAAAAGTCTGATGTTGATTGAGGGAGAATTGTAAACATCACGTTTCACTATCTTTGATCAATCCATAGTAGAGTTTAAGCAGTCATTGTCACTCACAAAATAAAACCAAACAAATTAAATGTGTTACAGAAACTTATAACAATGTGCACTATATAATTAATATTCAGCATTTAGGGGACTAAGTTCTTATTGTTTTGTCTGTAAAAATATAATATGAAATAAAATAATTCCTTCATTTTATAAGAACAATGCTTGGGACATGGCATAGCAATTATTGAGCAAGGTTTTACCAAAGACACGGCACTAGTTACAACACTTTTAAAACAAGTCCTGGAATGGAAAGATATCCTGTGTTCATGGATTGGAAGAATTAATATTTTTTAAGTGGTAATACTACTCAGAGCTATCACAGATTCAGTGCAATCCCTATCAGAATACCAATGACATTTTTCACAGAAATAGAAGAAAACAAACTTAAAATTTGTATAGAACCACAAAAGATCCCAAAGTATCCAAAGCAGCCTTGATCAAAAAGAACAAAAACAGAGGCATCACACCACCTGACTTTTAGATATACTACAAAACTATAGTAATCAATATAGCATTATATTGGTGTAAAAACAGACACATAGACTAGTGGAACAAAATAGAGAGCCTATAAACAAATCTATGCATTTATGGTCAATTGATATTTGACAAAGCTTTCAAGTATACATATAATGGGAAAAGGACAGTTTCTTCAATAAATGGTTTTTGGACAAATGGATATCCACATGCAGAATGAAATTAGACCCTTATCTCACACCATATACAAAAATCAATTCAAAATGGATTAAAAACTTAAACTGTAAAACTCCTAGAATGTAGGGAAAAACTCCATAGAAAGACAAGTATCACATGATCTCAATTATGTGAAATATAAAAATGTTAAACTCATAGAAGCAGAGAGTAGAATGGTGGTTACTAGTGTCTAGCAGAGGGTTTTGGGGAGATGTTGGTCAAATAATACAAAATATTCTTATGTAGGAGTAATAAGTTCAAAAGATCTATAACATAGATACTATAGTTAATAACAATGTATTATATTCTTAAATATCACTAAGAGGATAGGTTTTAGATGTTCTCATCACAAGAAAATGATGTGTGTGAGGTGATATATATGTACATTAGCTTGATTTAGCCATTTCACAAGGTATACATATTTCAAAACACCATATTATACATAATAAATATATACAATTACTGTCAATTAAAATACTTAATTAATTATTTTTAAATAAAATAACCAAACTCTGAAACACATATTATGCTGCTTTTAAAATTTCTCTTTGCACATCTCTCTGTCAAGCATGGGAATTCAAGGCAAAGCTCATTTTTCTTTTACCTTTTAAATAAATGTCCTTTTTAATTTTTGTACTTTCTATCAATACAAACGGCTCTAACCTTTTGTCCTTATGAGAGTGTATACTGCATTTTAAAAATTGTTATTTGCATTCACTTCTTTATCATTTGATCACTCATTATTGAATTGCCTTCTATAGGGAACCCAATAACATGTAATATTTAATTTTATCACAAGTACACAGAATCAAATATCATTATCTCTTAGTCATTATCTCTTATCATTATCTCAATATCTATCTTATCATTACCCCAATATCACTCTTTTAGTCATGCATTTCACACAGCTATTAAAGAATTATTAAAATTTATAGTGTGTCATTCTAAAACACTGAATTATTATGTATGATCCAACCAGTATAGCAGCCCAGAGAGAGACATTAAGAGAAAATAGGATGTAGGGTTTGTTTGTTGTTGGTCTTTAAACATTCCAGTTCAGATCTTAGTATGTTTTGTGATTGTGATGGTATAATTTTGAAGAATATTCTTTATACATGGAACTAAGGTAAATACATATATCTAAAAATATTTGGGGGCAGAGCAACATGGCAGAATAGAAGGTTCTACCTATCATCCCCCAAACCAAGACACTCCAATTTAACAACTATCTACACACAAAAAAAGAACCTTCATAAGAACCAAAAATTAGGTGAGCACTCACAGCACTTGGTTTTAACTTCATATTGCTGAAAGAGGCACTGAAGAAGTAGGAAAAACAGTCTTGAGTCTCCGCCACCACTTCTTCTCCATCCCTCTCAGCATCAGTGGCTTGGTGCAGAGTGTTTTTGTGCACTGGGGAGACGGAGAACACAGCAATTTTAAGGCATTGAACTCCCCTGTTATAGCAGAAAACAAAACCAGACCAAACTCAGCCAATGCCCTCCTAGGGAGGAAGCATTCAAACCAGCCCTAGCCTGAGGATAATCGCCATCCCAGTGATCTGAACTTGAGTTCCTCAAGTCTCATCAATATGGGCTAAAGTGCTCTGGGGCTCTAACTAAACTTGAAAGGCAGCCTAGGCCACAAGGACTGCAATGCCTAAATGAGTCCTAGTGCCACCCCTAGCCAGTGGACTGGGACAAGCTCAGCCTACTGAGACACCAGCAAAGGGCAGCTAAGAGAGTTCTGGCATTACCTCTCCCATAACCCCAAGCTACACAGCTTGTGGCTCCAAAAACAACCCCTTCCTTCCACTTGTGGAGAGGAGAAGGAAGAGTGGGGAGCACTGCATCTTGCATCTTGCATATCAGCTCAGCCACAACAGGATAGGGCACCAGTCAGTCATGAGGTCTTCTTTCCGAGCCGTTGCTTCCAAACAACATTTTTAGACATGACCTGCACCAGAAGGGAATCTGCTTTATGGAAGAAAAGAACCCAGTCCTGGTAGGATTCATCACTTGCTAACTGAAGAGCCCTTAGGCCCTGAATAACCAGCAGCAATACCCAAGTACTATGTTGATGGCCTTGAGGGAGACTTTGAGACTTGCTGGCTTTAGGTGAGACTCAGCACATTCCCAGCTGTAGTGGCTGTGGGGTGAGATAACTTCCACTTGAGAAAAGTGGAGGGAAAAGTAAGAAGTACTTCGTCTTTTACCTCAGGTACCAGCACAACCACAGGTGAATAGAGCACCAAGTGGGCTCTTGGGGTTTGCAATTCCAGGACATGAATCTTGGATGGCATTTCTGGACCTGCCCTGGGCCACAGGGGAGCCCACTTCCCTGAAGGGAAAATCCCAGGACAGAAAGCATTCACCACGAGCTGACTGAAGAGCACTTGGGTCTTAAGGGAACATCAGCTGTAGTCTGGCAGTACTCCCCATGGGCCTGTGGTGGAGGTGGCCACAGGGTGAGGCTCCTCTGCCTTTGGAAAGTGGATGGAAGAATGAGAAGAACTACATCTTGTGGTTTGAGTGCCAGGTCAGACTAAGTATGTTAGAACATCAGAGGGACTTTCTAAGGATTTTTGCTCTAGTCCCAGGCTCCCAGACAGCATCTCTGGATGCAACCACGGCCTAAGGAAACTTGCCACCCTGAAGAGAAGGACACAGCACTGACTGGCTTTGTCACCTGCCGATTGTAGGGCCCCAAGGCCTTGAGTGAATGTAGGTGGTAGCCAGGGAGTGGTTATAGAAGGCCTTGGGCAAGACCCAGTGCTCTGTTAGATTCAGGCCTGACCCAGCACAATCATAATAGTGGTGGCCACAGGGGTGCTTATGTCACTTCATCACCTGGTCCAGGTGGCTCAGAACAAATTCCATTTGTTTGGGAGAAAGTAAGGGAAGAGAACAAGAGTCTCTGCCTGGTAATCCAGATAATTCTTCTGGATCTTGTACAAGACCATCGAGGTGGTATTTCAACAAGTCCACAAGAACCACAATGTTAATAAGGTTAGGGTGCTCCCAAAAGCAGATACAGCTTAGATCACAAGACTCAACTCCTTTTGCATATCTGGAAAGCCTTCCCAAGAAGGATGGGTACAAATAAGCCCAGACTGAGAAGACAATAATAAATACCTAACTCTTAATAATGCCCAGACACTGACAAACATCTACAAGTATGAAGACCATCCAGGAAAACATGACCTTACCAAATGAACTAATTACAGCACCAGAGACCAACACTGGAGAAACAAAGATAAGTGACCTTTTGACAGAACATTCAAAATAGCTATTGTACAGAAATTCAAAGAAATTAAAGATAACACAGAGGAGGAATTCAGAATTCTATCAGACAAATTTAATAAAGAGATTAAAATATTTAAAAACATTCAAGCAGAAATTCTGGAGCTGAAAAATTTAATTGGCACATTGAAGAATGCATCAGAGTCTTTTAATAGCAAAGCTGATGAAGCAGAAGAAAGAATTAGTGAGTTTGAAGACAGGTACTTGAAAATACACAGTCAGAGGAGACAAAAGAAAAAAATTAAAAACAATGAAGCATGTCCACAGGATCTGGAAAATAGACTCAAAAGGGCTAACATAAAATTTATTGGCCTTAAAGATTGGAGAGTAGGTACAGAAAGAAATGGGGTAGAGTTTATTCAAAGGGATAATAACAGAGAATGTCCGAAACCAAGAGAAAGATATGAATATCCAAGTACAAGAAGGTTATAGAACAGCAAGTAGATTTAACCCAAGAAGACTACCTCAAGGCATTGAATAATCAAGCTCACAAAGGTCAAGGATAAAGAAAGGACTCTAAAAGCAACAAGAGAAAAGAAATGAATAACATACAATGCAGCTTCAATACACTTGGCAGCAGACTTTTCAGTGGAAACCTTACAGGCCTGGAGAGAGTGGCATAACATATTTAAAGTGTTAATGGAAAAATGTGTTTTACCCTAGAATAGTATATCTGGTGACAATATCCTTCAAACATAAAGGAGAAATACAGACTTTCCCAGACAAACAAAAGCTGAGATATTTCATCAACATCAGACCTTTCCTGTAAGAAGTGCTAAATGAAGTATTTCAATCAGAAAGAAAATGACATTATCAGCAATAATAAATCATCTAAAGGTACAAAATTCACTGGTAATAGTAAATACACAGAAAAACAGAATATTATAACACTGTAACTGTGGTGTGTAAAATAAGTTCCCTTAAGTAAAAATAATGAACCAGTAAAAAATAACAACTACAACAACTTTTTAAGAAATAGAAAGTACAATAATATGTAAATACAAACAACAAAACTTAAAAAGTAGGTGGATGAAGTATCGCATAGAGTCTTCATCAGTTTAGTTGTCTATTTGCTTGTTTGTTTACATGAATAGAAAGTTGTTATCATCTTAAAATAATGGGTTATAAGGTAGTATTTGCAGGGCTCATGGTAACCACAAACCAAAAAACATAAAGCAGATATACAAGAAATAAAAAGTAAGAAACTAAACCATATCACCAGAGAAAATCACCTCCACTAAAAGGAAGACAGGAAGAAAGAAAAGAAAGAAGAGAAGACCATAAAACAACCAGAAAACAAATAATAAAATGGCAGCAGTAAGTCCTTACTTATCAATAATAATATTGAATGAAAATTGACTAAACTCTCCAATCAAAACACATACAACTGAATGAAGTTTTAAAAAAAGACTCAATGATCTGTTGCCTACAAGAAAAACACTTCACATATAAAGACACACATAGATGAGAAATAAAGGAATGGAAAAAGATATTTCATGCCAGTGGATCCACAAAAGAGCAGAAGTAGCTATATTCATATCAGATTAAATAGATTTCGAGACAAAAATGGGTTGGTGCAGTAGGAATTGCGGTTTTTGCGTTGTTGGGATTTGCTGTTTGATATTGGAATACATTCTTAAATAAATGTGGTTATGTTACACGTTATTTTAATAGCCATTTCTTGCTTTTTTTCTAATGACTTATTACTTGCTGTTTATTTTAGACTATTGAAATTATGTTAGATAAAAAGCAAATTCGAATAATTTTCTTATTCCAGTTAAAAATAGGTCATAAAGTAGCAGAGTCAACTGGCAACATCAACAATGCATTTGTCCCAGGAACTGCTAACAAACGTACAGTGCAGTGGTGGTTCAAGAAGTTTTGCAAAGGAGATGAGAGCCTTGAAGATGAGGAGTATAGTGGCTGGCCATCACAAGTTGACAATGACCAGTTGAGAGCAATCATCTATGCTGATCCTCTCACAACTATACAAGATGTTGCCAAAGAACTCAAGGTCAACCATTTTGCAGTTGTTTGGCATTTGAAGCAAATTGGAAAGGCAAAAAAGCTTGATAAGTGGGTGCCTCATGAGCTGACAAAATTTTAAAAATTGTCATTTTGAAGTGTCATCTTCTCTTATTCTACACAACAAACCATTTCTCAACCAGATTGTGACATGTGATGAAAAGTGGATTTTATATGAAAATTAGTGATGACCAGCTCAATGGTTCGACTGAGAAGAAGCTCCAAAGCACTTCCCAAAGCCAAACTTGCATCACAAAAAGGCCATGGTCACTCTTTGATGGTCTACTGCCAGTCTGATCCACTACAGCTTTCTGAATCCTGGTGAAACCATCACATCTGAGAAATACGATCAGCAAATCAATGAGATGCACCAAAACTGCAATGCCTGCAGCTGGCATTGATCTACAGAAAGGGCCCAATTCTTCTCCAGGACAATGCCCAATCGCACATCACACAACCAACACTTCAAAAGTTGAACAAATTGGGCTATGAAGTTTTGCCTCATCTGCCATATTCACCTGATCTCTCACCAAGGAACTACCACTTTTTCAAGCATTGCAACAACTTTTTGCAGGGAAAATGCTTCCACAACCAGCAGGATGAAGAAAATGCTCTCCAGTAGTTTGTCAAATCCTGAAGCATGAATCTTTATGCTACAAGAATTAACAAACATATTTTTCATTGGCAAAAATATGTTGATTGTAATTGTTCCTATTTTGATTAATAAAGATGTGCTTGAGCCTCTTATAATGATTTAAGATTCATAATCTGAAATTGCAATTACTTTTGCACTAACCTAATAACAAGAGACAAAGAAGGTTACTATATAATGATAAAGGGGTCAGGTTGGGCATGGTGGCTCATGCCTGTAATCCCAGCACTTTGGGAGGCTCAGGTGGGTGGATTACCTGGGGTCAGGAGTTTGAGACCAGCCTGGCCAACATGGCAAAACTCAGTCTCTACTAAATTTACAAAAAATTAGCTGGGCGTGGTCATGGGCACCTGTAATCCCAGCTTCTTGAGAGGCTGAGGCAGGAGAATTGCTTGAACCCAGGAGGCGGAGGTTGCAGTGATCCAAGATCATGCCATTTGCACTCTAGCCTGGGTGATAGAACGAGACTCTGTCTCAAAAAGAAAGATAAAGGGGTCCATTCAGCAAAAGGATATAACAATTATAAATATATATGCACCCCAACACTGCAGCATCCATATATTTAAAGCAAAATTATTAAACTAAAAAGAGATAGATCCCAGTACAATAATAGTTAGAGACTTCAACACTCCATTTTTAGAATTGGACAAATCATTGAGAGAGAAAACTCAACAAGGAAACATCAGACTTAATCTGCACTATAGACCAAATGAATCTAACAGATATTTACAGAACATTTCATCCCAATGGCTGCAGAATACACATCGTTTTCCTCAGCACATGGATCATTCTAAAGGATAGACCATGTATTAAGTCACAAAGTAAGTCTTAAAACATTTTAAGAAATTGAAATAATACCAAGTATTTTCTCCAACCACAATGGACTAAAAGTAGAAATCAAAAGCAAGAAGAATTTTGGAAACTACACAAACACATGGAAGTTACACAATATCCTCCTGAATGACTAGTGGGTCAATGAAGGAATGAACAAGAAAATTGAAACATTTCTTGAAATAAATGATAATGGACATATACCATACCAAAACTTATGAAAAAGAGTTAAAGCAGTGCTAAGAGGGAAGTTCATAGCTAAAAGTGCTTACATCAAAAAAGAGGAAAAGTTTCAAAGAATCAACGTAACAATGCTAACGCATCTTTAAAAACTAGAAAAGCAAGAGGAAATCAAACCTAAAATTAGTAGAATAAAATAAATAATAAAGATCAAAGCAGAAATTAAAATTTATTTCATTGAAATAAATGAAATTGAAGTGAAGAAAACAATACAAAAGATCAATAAAAAAAACCTTGGATTTTATGAAAAGTTAAAATTGACAAAGCTTTAGCAAAACTAAGAAAAAAGAAGATCCAAATAAAATCAGAGATGAAAAAGGAGACATTACTTCTGATACTGAAGAAATTCAAGGGATCATAGTGGTTACTATGAGGAACAATATGCCAATAAAATGAAAAATCTAAAAGAAATAGACAAATGATTAGACACACACAACCTACCAATATGAACCATGAAGGAAAACTCGATATCCATATGCAGAAGAATGAAACTATATCCCTCTCTCGCCATATACAAAAATCAAATCAAAAATGGATTAAAGACTTAAGTCTAAGACCTCAAACTATGAATCCACCAGAAGAAAACTTCGAGGAAGCTTTCCAGGACATTAGCCTGGGCAAAAATTTCTTGAGTAATATTCCACAAGCACAGACAACCAAAGCAAAACAGGACAAATAGGATCACATTAGACAAAAAGCTTCTGTGCAGCAAAGGAAACAATCAACAAAGCCAAAAGGCAACTCACAGAATTGGAGGAAATATTTACAAACTACCCATCTAACAAGGGATTGATAACCACAATATATAAGAAGCTCAAACAACTCTGTAGGAAAAACTCTAATAATCAGATTTAAAAATGGGCAAATAATTTGAATAGATGTTTCTCAAAAGAAGACACACAAATGGCAAAGAGGCCCATGAAAAGGTGCTCAACATCATTGATCATCAGAGAAATTCAAATCAAAACTACAATGCAATATTATCTCAGCCCAGTTAAAATGGCTTACATCCAAAAGACAGGTAGCAACAAATGCTGGCAAGAATGTGGAAAAAAAGGAACATTCGTATACTGTTGGTGGGAATGTAAATTATTACAACTACTATGGAGAAGAGTTTGTAATTCCCTCAAAAAAAAAAAAATAGAGCTATCATATGATCTAGCAATCCCACTGCTGGGTATACAACCAAAGGAAATCAGTATATTGAACAGATATCTGCATTCCCATGTTTGTTGCAGCACTGTTCACTATAGCAACAATTTGGAAGCAACTAAGTGTCCATCAAGAAAATGTGGTACTTATACACAGTGAAGTACTATACAGTCTTAAAAAAAAAAAAGAATGAGATCCTGTCATCTGCAACAACATGGATGGCACTGGAGGCCATTATGTTAAGTGAAATAAGCCTGGCACAGAAAGACAGATATCGCATGTTCTCACTTACTTGTGGGATCTAAAAATCAAAACAATTGAACTCATGGAGATAGACAATAGAATGATAGTTAACGGAGGCTGGGAAGGGAAGTAGGGGTATGGGGGTAGGTGAGGATGGTTAATGAGTACAAAAAATAGTTAGAAATAATGAATAATACCTAGTATTTGACAGCATAACAGAGTGTCTATAGTCAATAATAATTTAATTGTATATTTTAAAATAACCAAAAGAGTATAATTGGATTGTTTGTAACACAAAAGATAAATGCTTGAGAAGATGGGTACCTCATTTTACATGATGTGGTTATGAAGCATTGCATTCTTGTATCAAAACTTTCCAGGTACTCCATAAAAATACACATCTACTTTGTAGCCACAAAAACTAAAATAGAAAATAATAAAAGTAATTCACAGAAATTATCAAGAATAAAGAAGGAAATAGACCGATTAATTTAAAGCTGGTTAAGTTAATCCCTGAAAAACCAAGTGTCCCACTGTAGAGCCAAATAAATTGACCATTTAACCGCCACAGATTGGCAGAGATTTTTCCTGGGAAGAATCACAAAGGTAATTTCTCTCACAGTCATGAAAGTATTGAAATTAAAGTACTGGTCCTGTGCACTGCAGATATATGCTGTTTCAATTCCCACACAAGCCATCAAACAAACATTTGTTAAATGTTTTTAAAAATCTTTATTGTTGAAGATAGTACAATGATTTAGAAAACATCTTTCTAAAACTTTGTTTTGAGAAAACAAAGCATTTTTAAACTCAAATGGAAAAACAAACCAGAAGGAAGTCAAAGAGCAGAAAATTCAGAGGCAGAAAGAAAAAATAATCAAAGCCAAAAAGTTTGTAAGTGGAGAAATGTGATATGATGGTGAAGATTTATTTAAAAATTGAGGATCAATGAAGTTCAAGGAAAGGTATGATGGAAAATTCCTAGTTTCCATTTATGGCAAAACATAAATTGTCCCTAAAAGTAGTCTGCTAAAACTACATAAAAATGTGAAAAACAGTAATATAAAAAGGATTTTAAGTATTTTACAGAGTTTTCAATAAATAAA
Organism: Homo sapiens; assembly: GCF_000001405.40. Lineage (NCBI taxonomy): Eukaryota > Metazoa > Chordata > Mammalia > Primates > Hominidae > Homo > Homo sapiens. Next base: position 126,513,941 of record NC_000006.12, on the reverse strand, counting down.
GGGAAATAAGTTGGAGATTTAGAGGAAAAGAGACCTGAACACAATAGAAATTAGCTAAATATGTGACTTCTGCGAATACAAGGTGAAATGCAGGGTGAAAAGGTTAGCTCTGGGGTGGCAGCCAATATTTATAACCCAAGGATTCTGGTTTTAAACTCTGCATGGAAATAGAGGGGAACTTCTCCCCTCATAAGGGGGCAGTTGGCACACACGAATAAAGCCAGGACCCTCAAAAGGCCATACTCTTGTTTGAAGAACAGAAAAATTCTGTCCACCACCACAGAGAGTTACTGATGTTAAGTATTTCTGTCAGAACTCTGGATGAGCAAAAACAAACTAACAAATTTTAAAAAGCTTTCCTAAAAATCTAACTTTTGCCTCTTGTAAATTTTAAATTTTAACCTCTTTATGATCTGAAAGCCCTCAAGTCAAGAAATAAATTTAAGAATTTATCCTGGGTTGATTATTCCATGAAGCACTTGGCAGCGTGTGCAACCACAACTGCAGGGTAAACCATTAACTTAAATCACAGTTTCTACTGATAAAGTCACCCTGAAGATGAGTTCACAATCAAAAGTTACAAAATGTATGAAGAAACAATTTATCAGAAGCTAGAGTTAGCAGAAAAAAACAGACAAGAGGACTAGAAACCCAAGAATTTAAGGAGGCAAAATAATCTGATATAAAATATGTCTTAAGTAAGTAAATAAATAAATAGCAAAATAAAGTACACACACATAACATGAGTCAGAAATTGGTATGATAGGATGTGAAAAGAACTAAGAAAACCCTACAAAAGAAAGACATGGTCATTGAAATTTAAGAACAAATAAAAAAATGGATGTGGGTAAAAAAGAGGGTTAATAAACTAGAAAAAAGGTATCAGAAAATTTACACAGTATGAAGTACAGAAAGATTAATAAATGATAAACAAAAAGAAGAGTTTGAGAGATATGAAGGGTAAGATAAGATGGTCACCTTCGGATAGGACTTACAGAAGGAGAGAATAGATAAATGGTAGGAAAGACAATATACAATGAGATGATAGCCTGGTTTTGAGAAGAATCATAAGCTCTAAATAAGATAAATAAAACTAAATTTCTTTCTAGACATAGTGTAATAATAAATAAATTTCTTTCTAGACCAAAAATAAAAAGGTCTAAAAACAAGCCCAAGATAAAAGAAAGGTTATAGATTAAAAATAACATTTAAACTAATAACCAATTCCTTATAGCAGCAATATAGAACAGAAGACAATAAAAGTAGCTTTATAGCAATGAAATAAAATACCTTTCGACCTAGAATTCTGCAACCAAATAAATTATCATCTACTAAAATATTTTTAATAAAGACTGTTTGCCATTAATTACAATTACTGAAAACTAAACATAGTACTTTAGAAATAGAGAACAAGAATTCAAATTAACAAAATACAAAATGAAAAACTAGAAGATGTCTACAAACATAGCCATTAAAAGAATAATAAATCTAATGAAACAAATATAAGCAAAAGTTGATTTGGGGAAAGTAAAGTGAATCAACAGAGACAGTGCAGATAGCTTAAAAATTATTAAACTTACAATTATTAATGCCCCTTTCTACCACCTAAAAATAGAATAGAAAATATGCCACTCTCTAGTGCAAAAAAAAATCTACAAACTAATCTAGCAAAAATATTCATAGAGAAAAAATTTAAAATCTTAAAAACAGCATAGAAGTGGGTCCGAATAAATGGAGAGATATACCAGTTACACAGTTATTTGCATTTCTCAGCCTAATAGTGTGACCCTCTGCATGCTTATACATTTGTGAATTTTCAGTAAACTATATAATTTCTTCAACTTTATTTTGTAATTTTTGTACACGTTATAATTTTATTTTCCAGGTTGAATCTTATATCTTGAATATATTAATTGTAACTGATATATGACACTTCATTTCAGGAAAATTGTAACTACATGCCTTAGCTTCAACTCAAAATAACAAAAGATACAAACATATTAAATTAGTGTCCTAATATTAACTTCAGAAAAACTGGCTTATTTCTGTGTATATTTGCTTTATTAAATCAGAATCTTACTCTGAGTGTGGGATAGTTTATATTCTTTACCAACACTTGAAGTTAATGAACATATTAGTCCCGCCAATCATTTAAATTAGTCTTTGCCTGATTACCAATGAAATTAAGCAAATTTTTATATAATTATTAGCTATCCAGACTATCTTTTTTGTGAATTGCTTGCTCATATACTTTTGCCCATGAAAAAAAGTTTTTTAAGTTATGGGATACAAACGCAGAACATGTAGGTTTGTTACATACGTATACGTGTGCCATGGTGGTTTGTTGCACCTATCAACCTATCATCTAGGTTTTAATCCTCACATATATTAGCTATTTGTCCTAATGTTCTCCCTCCCCTCCACCTCACCCTCTGAATGGCACCTGTGTGTGTTGTTCCCCTCCCTGTGTCCATGTGTTTTCATTGTTCAACTCCCACTTAGGAGTGAGAACATGCGGTGTTTGGTTTTCTGTTCCTGTGTTAGTTTGCTGAGGATGATGGCTTCCAGGCTCATCCATGTCCCTGCAAAGGACATGATCTCATTCCTTTTTATGGCTGCATAGTATTCTATGGTATGAATGTACCACATTATCTTTACCCAATCTATCATTGATGGGCATTTGGGTTGGTTCCATATCTTTGCTATTGTAAATAGTGCTGCAATAAACCTATGTGTGCATGTGTCTTCATAGTAGAATGATTTATATTCCTTTGGGTATATACCCAGTAATGGGATTGCTGCATCAAATGGTATTTCTGGTTCTAGATCCTGGAGGAATCACCACACTGTCTTCCATGATGGTTGAACTAATTTACATTTCCACCAACAATGTACAAGCGTTTCTATTTCTCCACAGCCTCGACAGTATCTACTGTTTCTTCACTTTTTAGTAATTGCCATTCTGACTGACATGAGATGGTATCTTACTGTGGCTTTGATTTGCATTTCTCTAATGATCAGTGATGTTGAGCTTTTCTTCATATGTTTGTTGGCTGCATAAATGTCTTCTTTTTAGAAGTGTCTGTTCACATCCTTTGCCCATTTTTTGATGGGGTTTTTTATTTATTGTAAATTTGTTTAACTTCCTTGTAGATTCTGGATATTAGCCCTTTGTCATATGGGTAGCTTGCAAAAATTTTCTCCCATTCTGTAGGTTGCCTGTTCATTCTGATGATAGTTTCTTTTGCTGTGCAGAAGCTCTTTAGTTTAATTAGATCCCATTTGTTAATTTTGGCTTTTGTTGCTATTGCTTTGGGTGTTTTAGTCATGAAGTCTGCCCATGCCTATGTCCTGAATGGAATTGCCTAGGTTTTCTTCTAGGTTTTTATGCTTTTGGGTTTTACATTTAAGTCTTTAATCCATCTTGAGTTAATTTTTGTATAAGATGTAAGGAAGGGGACCAGTTTCAGTTTTCTGCATATGGCTAGCCAGTTTTCCCAACATCATTTATTAAATTGGCAATCCTTTCCCGATTGCTTGTTTTTGTCAGGTTTGTGGAAGATCAGACGGTTGTAGTGGTGTTATTTATGAGGTCTCTGTTCTGTTTCATTGATCTACATGTCTGTTTTGATACCAGTACCATGCTGTTTTTGTTACTGTAGCCTTGTAGTATAGTTTGAAATCAGGTAGCATGATCCCTCCAGCTTTGTTCTTTTTGCTTACGATTTTCATGGCTATATAGGCTCTCTTTCGGTTCTATGAAATTTAAAGTAGTTTTTTCTACTTCTGTGAAGAATGTCAATGGTAGTTTGATGGGAATAGCATTGAATCTATAAATTACTTTGGGCAGTATGGCCATTTTTATACTGATTCTTCCTATCCATGAGGATGGGTTATTTTTACAATTGCTTGTGTCCTCTCTTATTTCCCTGAGGAGTGGTTTGTAGTTCTCCTTGAAGAGGTCCTTCACATCCCTGTTAGCTATATTCTGAGGTATTTCATTCCATTTGGTAGCAATTGTGAATAGGAGTTCATTTATGATTTCACTCTCTGCTTGTATATTGTTTGTGTAAAGGAATGCTTGTGATTTTTGCACATTGATTTTGTATCCTGAGACATTGCTGAATTTGCTTATCAGCTTAAGGAGCTTTTCAGCTGAGACCGTGGGGTTTTCTAAATATGGAATCATGTCACCTGCAAATAGAGACAGTTTGACTTCCTTTCTTCCTATTAAATACATTTTAGGTCTTTCCCTTGCCTGACTGCCCTAGCCAGAACTTGCAATACTATATTTAATAGGAGTGGTGAGAGAGGACATCCTTGTCTTGTGTGGGTTTTCAAAGGGAATGCTTCCAGCTTTTGCCCATTCTGTATGATATTGGCTGTGGGTTTGTCATAAAATGCTCTTATTATTTTGAGATATGTTCCATCAATACCTAGTTTATTGAGAGCTTCTTCTTTAACATGAATTGATGATGAATGTTATCAAAGGCTTTTTCTGCATCTGTTGAGATAATCATCTGGTTTTTGTTAGTGGTTCTGTTTATGTGATGGATTACATTTATTGATTTGCATATGTTACCCAGCCTTGCATCCCAGGGATGAAGCCAACTTGATCGTGGTGCATAAGCTTTTTGATGTGCTGCTGGATTCAGTTTGCCAGTATTTTATTGAGGATTTTCACATCAATGTTCATCAGGGATATTGGCCTAAAGTTGTCTTTTTTGTTGTGTCTCTGCCAGGTCTTGGTATCAGTGTGATGCTGGCCTCATAATATGAGCTAGAGAAGAGTCCCTCCTTTTCAATTGTTTGCAATAGTTTCAGAAGGAGTGGTACCAGCTCCTCTTTGTACCTCTGGTAGAATTCAGCTGTGAATCTGTCTGATCCTGGGCATTTTTTGCTGGTAGGCTATTTAATTACCACTTCAATTTCAGAACTCATTATTGTTCTATTCAGGGATTCGACTTCTTCCTGGTTTAGTCTTGAGAGAATGTTTGGGTCCAGGAATTTATCCATTTCTTAGATTTTCTAGTTTTTTTGCATACAGGTGTTTAGAGTATTCTCTGATGGTACCTTGTATTTATGTGGGATCAGTTTTGCTATCCCCTTTATCATTTTTATTGTGTCGACTTGATTCTTCTTTTCTATTATTCTAGCTAGTGTCTGTTATTTTTTTCAAAAAACCAGCTCCTGGATTCATTGATTTTTCGAAGGGTTTTTTTTTTTGTGTGTGTGTATCTCCTTTAGTTCTGCTCTGATCTTAGTAATGTGCTGTCTTTTGCTAGCTTTTGGATTTGTTTGCTCTTGCTTCTCTAGCTCTTTTAATTGTGATGTTAGGGTGTCGACTTGAGATCTTTTAGCTTTCTGATTTGGGCATTTAGTGCTATAAATTTCCCTCTTAACATTGCTTTAGCTGTGTCTCAGAGATTCTGGTATGTTGTCTCTTTGGTCTCACTGGTTTCAAAGAACTTCTTGATTTCTGCCTTAATTTCGTTGTTCACCCAGGAGTCATTTATAAGCAGGTTGTTCAATTTCTATGAATTTGTGTGGTTTTGAGTGACTTTCTTAATCCTGAGTTCTAATTTGATTGCACTGTGGTCTGAGAGACTGTTTGTTATGATTTCTGTTCTTTTGCATTTGCTGAGGAGTGGTTTACTTCCAATTATGTGGTCAATTTTAGAATAAGTGCCATGTGGCACTGAGAAGAATGTATATTCTATTGATTTAGGGTGCAGAGTTCTGTAGATGTCTATTAGGTCCACTTGATCTAGAGCTGAGTTCAAGTCCTGAACATCCTTGTTAATTTTCTGTCTCATTGATCTGTCTAATACTGACAGTGGGGTGTTAACGTCTCCCACTGTTATTGTGTGGGAGTCTAAGTCTCTCTGTAGGTCTCTTAAGAACTTGTTTTATTAATCAGGGTGCTCCTGTGTTGGATGCATACATATTTAGGATAGTTAGCTCTTGCGGTTGAATTGATCCCTTTGCCAATATGTAATGCCCTTCTTTGTCTATTTTTATGTTTGTTGGTTTAAAGCCTGTTTTGTCAGAAACTAGGATTGCAACCTCTGCTTTTTTCTGCTTTCCATTTGCTTGGCAAATTTTCCTCCATCCCTTTATTCTGAGCCAATGTGTGTATTTGCACGTGAGATGGGTCTCCTGAATACAGCACACCAATGGATCTTGACTCTTTAACCAATTTGCCAGTCTGTGTCTTTTAATTGGGCCATTTAGACCATTTACATTTAAGGTTAATATTTTTATGTGTGAATTTGATCCTGTCATTATGATCTTATCTGATTATTTTGCACACTAGTTGATGCAGTTTCTTTATAGTGTCTTCGGTCTTTATGCTAAGGTGTGTTTTTGCAGTGGCTGGTACTGGTTTTTCTTTCCATATTTATTGCTTCCTTCAGGAGCTCTTGCAAGGAAGGCCTAGTGGTGATGAAATCCCTTAGCATTTGCTTGTCTAAAAAGGATTTTATTTCTCCTTTGCTTATGAAGCTTCTGGGTTGAAAATTTTTTCTTTAAGAATGTTGAATGTTGGCCTCCACTCACTTCTGGCTTTAGGTTTCTGCTGACAGGTCTGCTGTTAGTCTGATAGGCTTCCCTTTGTAGGTGACCTGGCCTTTCTCTCTGGCTGCCCTTAACATTTTTTCCTTCATTTCAACCTTAAAGAATCTGATGATTATGTTTCTTGGGTTTGATCTTCTCGTGGAGTATTAGCGATGTTCTCTGAATTTCCTAAATTTGAATGTTGGCCTGTCTTGCTCACTTGGGGAAGTTCTCTTGGATAATATCCTGAAGTGTGATTTCCAATTTGGTTTCATTCTCCTAGTCTCTTTCAGGTACTCCAATCAATCGTAGGTTCAGACTTTTTACATAGTCCCATATTTCTCTGAGGTTTCATTTGTTCCTTTTCATTCTTTTCTTCTCTAATCTTGCCTACATGCCTTATTTCAGCAAGATGGTCTTAAACTCTGATATCCTTTCTTCTGCTTGGTCAATTCGGCTATAGATACTTGTGTATGCTTCACAATGTTTTCTTGCTATGTTTTTCAGCTCCATCAAGTCATATATGTTCCTCTCCAAACTGGTTATTCTAGTTAGCAGCTCCTGTAACCTTTAATCAAGTTTCTTAGTTTCTTTGCATTGGGTTAGAACATGCTCCTTTAACTCAGTGGAGTTTGTTATTACCAACCTTCTGAAGCCTACTTCTGTCATTTCATCCATCTCATTCTCTGTCCAGTTCTGCACCTTGCTGTAGAGGTGTTGCGATCATTTGGAATAGAGGCACTCTGGCCTTTTGAGTTTTCAGCATTTTTTTTTTCATTGACTCTTTTTCATCTTCATGAGTTTGTCTAGTTTCAATCTTTGAGGCTGCCGACCCTTGGATGGGTTTTGGTGGGGACTTTTTTTGTTGATGTTGTTGTTGCTGCTTTCTGTTTGTTTTTCTCTCAATAGTCACGTCCCTCTTCTGTAGGGCTACTGCAGTTTGCTGGGGGTTCACTTCAGGTCCTATTCCTCTGGTTCACTCCTGCATGTGGATATGTCACTCGAGGAGGCTGGAGAACAGCAAAGATGGGTGCCTGCTCCTTCCTCTGGGATCTCTGACCTCAAGGGGCACTGATCCAATGCCAGTAGGAATGCTCCTACATAGGGTGTCTGACAACCCCTGTTGGAGGGTCTCACCTAGTTGGGTGGCATGGGAGCAGGACTCATTTAATGAAGCACTTTGACTATCCCTTGGTGGAGGGGGTATGCTTCACTGGGGGGAAACCCACTCATCTGGGCTGCCCAGATTCCTCAGACTAGCAGGAGGAAAGACTAACTATGCTGGTCTGTGGAGATTATGGCCACCCCTCCCCCTAGAGGCTCATACCCAGGGAGATCAGAGTTCTGTCCCTGAGTCCCTGGCTAGAGTTGTTGAAGTTCCTGCAGGGAGGCCCTGCCCAGTAAGGAGGGATGGGTCAGGGTTGGGCCTGAAGAGGCACTCTGGTCACAGTCTGCCAAAGCCAGTGTGTTGGGCTGTGGGGATACCTCTTGGGACCAATCTGTCTAGCCTCCCTGGCTCCAGCAGGGGAAAAGCATGGCCTGAAGCTGAAGAGATGGCTGCCGCCCTTTCCCCACCCTGGGATCTTAGGCAGCTATCAGTCCCAGTGTTGGCTGCTACCCCTCCCACAAGGAGCTCAAATGGCTTAGACAGCCCAGTGTCCTCCGGAAAAGAAAGCTCTGGAGGGTCAGGCCACTCTTTTTCTTCAAAATAAGTAGGGGGTGCAGAAGGGTAGGGATGAACCTCTTCCTCCTTTGCTGCTTTAGCTTTAGCTGGCAAACAAACCTGCTCTGTCATCTCTTCTGTTATTTCATTATACTTTCCTTCCTTTTATTATTAGTGTGAAAAGGTTCCAACGTAGAACAAGCCAGAGCCCACACTTGTCCCATTGTTACCCTGATGCTTCCAAGCTCCCCTCACCACAGGGATTGCTTATGAGTACTCAGGTGTCCTCCAGCTTAGTTCCACATTCTCCAACCGTCGCTCCAGTGACCCTTTGACCTGGGTTCGAGACTCCACGTATGGGCACCACTTGCCAAGACCAGCTCGGTTGTGGAGACACTAACCCAGCAGCGCTAGAGGAATTAAAGACACACACACAGAAATACAGAGTGTGGAGTGGGAAATCAGGGGTCTCACAGCCTTCAGAGCTGAGAGCCTTGAACAGAGATTTACCCACATACTTATTGACAGCAAGCCAGTCATAAGATTTACTAAAAGTATTCCTTACGGGAAATAAAGGGATGGGCCAAAATAAAGGGATGGGCTCTGGCTAGTTATCTGCAGCATAAACATGTCCTTAAGGCACAGATAGCTCATGCTATTCTTTGTGGTTTAAGAATGGCTTAAGCAGTTTTCCGCCCTGGGTGCGCCAGGTGTTCCTTGCCCTCTTTCCGGTAAACGGACAACTTTCCAGCATGGGCGTCGAGACCATAACGAGCGTGTCACAGTGCTGCAGAGATTTTGTTTATGGCCAGTTTTGGGACCAGTATATGGCCAGATTTTGGGGCCTGTTCCCAACATATAAGTTGTAAATTACTTTAGAATAAATAATGTATATATGTAATTATATATAATTTATGTTTTAGTCTTATTGTGAAGATAGTAATTTGAATATAAATATTCAATAATTGTATACTTTAATAATTATAAGAGAAAAAAGAGTTCTTACTTATAATGTTAAGATATTAGCTCCAAGAATGAAATTAAATGAGTGGGTATATTGAAGAGTGTTATGAAGCTATATTAGAACCACTTGATGAAAAAGAGGTAGCCCCTTTGTTCAGAAATATGATGTGATGGCAAAAGACAATGGAAAAAATATGAAACGACTTTCTTTTGTGCTTTTTGTCAGTGATAATTTTAAGACTGGAAAGTGGAACAAACATTTGCAGGAGTAAAAGAAAACCCCAGGGCCGGGCGCGGTGGCTCACGCCTGTAATCCCAGCACTTTGCAAGGCCGAGGTGGGCGGATCACAAGGTCAGGAGATCGAGACCATCCTGGCTAACACGGTGAAACCCCGTCTCTACTAAAAAATACAAAAAATTAGCTGGGCGTCATGGCGGGCGCCTGTAGTCCCAGCTACTCGGGAGGCTGAGGCAGGAGAATGGCATGAGCCTGGGAGGCGGAGCTTGCAGTGAGCCGAGACAGCGCCACTGCACTCCAGCCTGAGCTACAGAGCGAGACTCTGTCTCAAAAAAAAAAAAAAGAAAAAGAAAAAAAAGAAAACCCCAGGTAGTAAAATAAATGGTCAGAACACCTAATGAAATTAACTCAAGTTTTTGGCCCAAAGATCTACATCTCAAATTACTGAGAGAATTGGTAGGTGTAGTTGCTGAACATACTTACATAAATTTTTATAAACTCTGATTAATATAGAACAATAGGACAAATTACCAAGATAGGCAAATATGTTTCTGATCTTCCAAGAAAAAGAATAAAACAGAAATTATTGACACACTCAATTTAATTTCAGGAAAAAGTATTTTACTGATTGTTAAACAAAAGACAGGTCCAAAAATAGAGGGAAGTTATGATATCTTGAAAGCCTTATAAATAAACTTTACAAAACCAATGCAATTTCTTTTCTTTTTTTTTTTTTTTTTTTTTGAGCCGGAGTCTCACTCTGTCACCCAGGCTGGAGTGCAGTGGCGCTATCTCGGCTCACTGCAAGCTCCGCCTCCCGGGTTCACACCATTCTCCTGCCTCTGCCTCCCAAGTAGCTGGGACTACAGGCGCCCACCACCACGTCCAGCTAATGTTTTTGTATTTTTAGTAGAGATGGGGTTTCACCGTGTTAGCCAGGATGGTCTCGATCTCCTGATCTCATGATCCACCCACCTCGGCCTCCCAAAGTGCTGGGATTACGGGTGTGAGCCACCGTGCCCGGCCTCTTTTCTCTTTTAAAGGAGGTGCAAAATATGGCAAATAAGGGGGAAGAATAGAGATAGCATATAAATGAATTTCTGCCAAGTATTTCACTTGAGAGTATATGGTATAAGATGGGAATGTGGACTCTGATAATATAGATAGGTCAATTTGTATTGGGCTTAATGTTTTTCTTTAAAAAAGCTTATTAATGATGGATTAATCTTGTCCCGAAAGGAGTTATCATGGGATTCCTAAGTTTTCTCTTTTGTCCTGGCCCCTGTTCTCTTCAATATTTTTATCAATAACCTAAAGAGAGACAGAGCATGCATAATACTTACAGGTGGACATTACCTAAATGTGGGAAGAGAATTAATACATTGAATCACATGCATCCAACTTGTTGTAAGAATTAAGGACAGTTTTGTTAAACTAATGAGTTAGTTCAGACATAGGTCAGACAGTTCAAAAAACTGAGCCAAATCTGTGTGAAATTAAAGTGATATTGTGTTATAGCTAGATTAAAAACAAGAAAAACAAAACAAAAGCTACACTTAATGAGAAATACATGTCAGGGGCACTTCAGGTGAAAAAGACACAAAGACTCACCACACAAAAGCCCCAAATGATGGAGAAAATCTAGTGTTTGTTTTTAAAAAAATGTCTAATATAATCCTAGAATATGTGTGATCTATATTGCTAGGTTTTACTCTGGTCATACCCATTAGCAATATTATTGTTGTTTTTAGTTTTTCTCTTCATTTCTAATAGAGACGTAGATAACTAGAACACAATCGGAGGAAAAAAAGAAAAAAGTCAAAAAAAAAGTTTTCTCTGAGGAAAAGGTGGAGCAATTATTGCTGTTTAACCTGGAGGAGACTCAGATGTCACACAAAAGCAGTCTTTAAATATTTAAAAGACAATTGAAGAGCAATTAAATCATTTATGTCTGTCCCAAGGGGACTTAATATGATAAAATGATGGACCATCGTCGTGACATAGAATTTGACTCAGTATACAGAATTAAGATCAAGTTTAGCTGTATAAAAACTGAATCAGCTGTATTGAGTGATAATGATTTCCACATCCCTGGGGAGATTATAAATTATACTGCTATGTGAATCGAAGCTAGGGATTAGACCACAGATTTTCATGGTAAATTTCAACTCTAATATTAATATTTTTTCATTTTATGATAAACAATTTTTAACTTGCTCATTGATCCACCCATTTTTTTACTGGTTTTTTCCAATTGTTGATATTCACCAGCAAAATTATTATTTTCTCACAGTTGATAATTTTATGACCTCGCTATATTGACATCATCAAAGTTGATGGGGGTAAAAATCATTATGTCTTAGAATATCTCCAAGAGCTGAACTGTTTTCTGGAACTTTCTTTCAGGTTTAGCCTGAAAATGCCAGTATGGTGAAGTTCCAAATATTCTAAGTCACAAAATTATTCAGTTAGAAACACTATCTAATTTAACTATGAATTGATTTTTACTATAAGAATTCTTGAATATTTTATTAAACAAGGAAGAAAAAATGACTTAGGAATCTAATCAGTATAACAAACTGCGATATGAATAATCACAGTATATGTTTACAAATGTAAGAAGTTTTTAAATTCAAAGACATCAAAAAGTGGAATTTAAATTGAGCAGTGGATAAAAAGTTATTGACAATAATTGATTTCACTTTAGAAGTGTGTTTTTAACTATAGTACTACAAGCTTTAAGCTGTGTCTATACGAAGATAGAATTTGGAATAAAATGGCAAAGCAGTACATTTTATAAGTCATAATTTTGTGTCATCTTTAAACTATTATTGACTCAGTACCTACTATATGACAGGCACTGTTTTACTCACATATCGTACAGTTTATTAAGAAACAAAGTCCATAATCAAGTAAACTAACATAGCTGAACATACCATTATCAAGTATACCAACAAAGTGTACAAATTTTCATATAGGATTTTTTATAAACACATTTTTAGTTAAATGGCATGTTGAACATTTTAACTAAAATGAGACAATTTTATTTTGGGACCCATATTCCTTATTATTATTTATTTTCTGTGAGAAAAATAGAAACACCACATTGCATGGACATCATAACATCTATGTTAATTTCTAAAGAAATATTTTCTTTTTTGCAGAATTCTCATCTATGTATATACAGAGCTCTAGTTTAATGAATTATCTAACATATACAATTTCAAACTTCACAACATATTAATATGAGAATAAAAATTTAAATATTTAATTTTTAAAAAAAGGAGGGCTGCTGAAATTTTGCATACTGTCAAAAGCAAGAAATAATAGCTGTCTCAGCAAAGGAGAAGATTTTAAAAACACACAAAGTTGTTTTATAAAACAGAAAAGGAGCCATTTAGTGTAAGCACAAACATGTCAATAATCCCTGAAGAAAATATGGCTTTGTCTAATTATTAAAGTTTGCAATAAAGACTGAGCAATCAATCAATCAATTCTTAAATTGTGATTCATATATTAAGAAGGCAGGGGAAAAGATAACTTAGAAACACTCCAAACAAAATAGTTTTAATGATAAAACATTGATTCCTAAAGCCGTGTTTCAAGTACCTGATACCAGAAAAATAAGCTCTTATTTTAAAGTTAATTCTGAATTCATGATCTAAAATAACTTCTTCATCAATGTAGCTCATGTAAGTTACCAAATAATTCAAGTTTGGATGTTTTTAAAGATTTTTTAAGTAAAAATCACTTTACTTCGTATAAACAGCATTTGCAAATTTAAATAAATTTAAGCAAAAAAATACTGAAAGCAAGTTGAAAACATTTATCTAGAAATAACTGATATATATATAGAAATATGAATGGAGGATGAATAAATGCATAAATAAAATTGCTTTTCAAAAATGGAACATTACGTGTTTTTTTAATTAAAAAGAATTAAATTTAGTTTTACTTTATGGAAAAAGGAGACATCTGAAATAAATATGAAGAAATTTCTAGAAGCCATATTATATATATATATTTCTTTCTTGTAAAAGATGATATTTCTTATATCAGTTCAATTCTGAGGCATACATAGTGAAGCTTTTACTATAGTTATATTTTTCCAAGTTTCCTTATGTTATACATAGTTTTATTCATTTGCTATTATTTAATTATAATTTAAATTATAACTTAATTGTAAATAAATTATATTTATAATTTAATTATAATAAATGTATTTAATTATAATAAAATGTATTTGTATTATTTAGTGTTTTGTTTAAAGCACAAATGTTAAAAGCATTCTGTTTTTATTGAAAACTTCCTGAAACTTACTGAAATATGAAATAGGTACTTAAACGTGCATAAACAATAAGCTGTTATACACATTCCCATATCTGTTTCTTGATGGATATAAACACTCATTTATATTGGGTGTATACCTAGAGGGGAGTTATGGGTCAAGAGAATTATGGGTTGAAGTAGATGGACCCAACATGGCTCTGGACTGAGGTTTTTAATTGCTGTTTGCATGCAATGTGCAAACAGTGGTATGTTTATATAGCCACTATGCTATTTATTTCCTGTCGAATCTTGCATAGTTCTGTCCTGATCTTCTATTTTTCTAATGTAGTGGATGACTTCTTTATTTCCCTCTATCTGAAAATAGTTTGCTTTATCTAATAAACTAAAACTTAAGGGCTCAGATTTTCATGTTCTGTTCATTTATTTCATAGCTTGGGGACATCGAAAAGGGAAGAACTCAGAAGTTTTGCAGGAACTGTTAACAGGTCCTGGCATCTTTCTCACTTCTGAGGTTCTGTTTAATGCCTTGTTCCTGATACCACTTGTATCTAGAAGTGTATTCAATTCTCTAGGAAAATTCCATTCACCACATATAGCACAGCATAATGCATGCACTTTGGTCAACAATGGTGCATATATATGATAGTGGTACCACAAGATTACAATACTGTGTTTTTACTGTACATTTTCTATGTTTATATATACAAATGCTTACCTTTGTGTTATAATTATCTACAATATTAGGTACAGTAACATGCTATACAGGTTTGTAGCTCAGGAGTAATAGGCTATACCATATAGCCTAGGAGTTTAATAGACTATCCCCTCTAGGTTTGTGTAAGTACACTCTATGATGTTAGCACAATGATGAAATCACCTAACGACACATTTCTCAGAATGTGTCCCCATTGCTAAGTGACACATATATAGCTCTAGAACATTTACTTCTATCCAGTGGTCAGTGTTGTTGGTCACTTCAATATAGAATGTTCTGATTACAAACTGGGCTCTAGTGCAGGTTGAGATTTCTTAAACTAAAAATCAAAAATCTGAAATGCTTCAAATCTGAAACTTTTTGAGCACCAACATGACAGACACCACAAGTGAAAAATTCTAAACCTGACCTCATAGGACAGGTCACAGCAAAAACACAGTTGAAATTTTGTTTCATCCACAAAATTATTTAAAACGTTCTATAAAAGTACTTTCTGGCTATGTGTATAAGGTATATGAAACATAAATGAATTTCACATTTAGACTTGGCTCCATCTCCAAGATATTTCATTATGTATATGAAAATATTCTAGAATGTGAAAATATCTCAAATCCAAAACACTTATAGTCCCAAGCATTTTGGGTAAAGGGTACTCAACCTGTATCAGATTGGCTGAGTTCAAATCAAACTTTTGCCATTTACTAGCTGTATGGCTTTTGATAATTTACTCAAACTCTCTTAGCCTCAGTTTTCTCAACTGCAAAAAGGGAATAATAATGATACTAACATAATAAATTTATTATAAGGAATAAATGAGATACTCTATTTAAAGTACTTGGAACTATGTCTGGTACATAGTAGGCACTCAAACTTGATTTTTTTTGTTGTTTTCTTGTTTTGTTTTTGATTGTTTGCTACAATCCATTACTCCTCAGTGAGAAAAGATAAATGAGAATACTCACTCAGTTTATTCATTTCAGCCCTGAAGAATTTAGGGAGCATTCTCTAAATTTTGTTGGTACACAGGTAAAGTTTCTGAAATAGAGTACCGGGAAAGGACAGAAAAGAGTCAGGGTTAGCAGCTTCGTTCCTCTGTGTGCCTCCAGAATTGTCTGTTTTTGACCTTGGCTGTTTTTTTTTTTTTTTTTTCAGTTTTATAATATTTGGCTGCTTTTTAAAAATTAAACTCATTTCTCAGTAATTTTGTTATTGCTGTTCTTGTTTATATTATGAACTATTGGGAAAAAAGATATTTTTATAATGTATTTGTAGTTTGCTATTTTATTACAGTAGTCCACCAATTTATTTTTAAACATTTTTTAAATAATTGAATATATAATATATACACAAAATTACATAAGACACAAATTATGGATAAATGAATTATTAGAGTGACAACCTCTATAACCACTGTCTGGGAAGTGAGGAGGGTCACTGCCCGGCCACTGTGCAACCTTCCAAGTGTGAAGTGACAGCCTTGTGTGTGATCTTTTCTGTCTTTCCCAAGTTTGCATTTTCGACATTAAAGTTTACTTTTTAATTAAAAAGAGAGAGAGAGAGAAATATTACCAATGTCCTCAAAAACCCCACAAGTTTCTGAGAGTAACTAGACCTTCTTTCCTACCTCCTCCTTCCCAAAAGGTAATCACCTCTTTACCAATGGTAACTACTGCTTTGACTTCTGATACATTTTGGCTGTGGCCCCACCCAAGTCTCAACTTGAATTGTATCTTCTAGAATCCCCATGTGTCATGGGAGGGACCCAGGGGGAGGTAATTGAATCATGTCGGCTGGTCTTTCCTGTGCTATTCTCATGATAGTTAATAAGTCTCATGAGATCTGATGGGTTTATCAGGGGTTCCCAATTTTGCTTCTTCCTCATTTTATCCTCCTGCCACCATGTAAGAAGTGCCTTTCACCTTCTGCCATGATTCTGAGGCCTCCCCAGCCATGTGGAACTGTAAGTCCAATTAAACCTCTTTTTCTTCCCAGTTTCAGGTATGTCTTTATCCGCAGCATGAAAATGGACTAATACAGTAAATTTGTACCAGTAGAGTGGGCATTGGTGAAAAGATACTTGAAAATGTGGAAACGACTTTGGAACTGGGTAACAGGCAGAGATTGGAACAGTTTGGAGGGCTCAGAAGAAGACAGGAAAATTTGGGAAAGTCTGGAACTCCCTAGAGGCTTGTTAAATTGCTTTGCCCAAAATCCTGATAGCAATATGGACAATAAGGTCTAGGCTGAGGTTGTCTCAGATGGAGATGAGGAACTTGTGGCGAACTGGAGTAAAGATGACTCTTGTTACGTTTTAGCAAAGAGATTGGCAGCTTTTTGCCCTTGCCCTAGAGATTTGTGGAACTTTGAACTTGAGAAAGATGATTTAGGGTATCTGGCAGAAGACATTTCTAAGCAACAAAATATTCAAGAGGTGACTTGGGTTCTGTTAAAGGAATTAAGTTTTATAAGGGAAGCAGAGCATATTGGGAAAATTTGCAGCCTTACTATGTGATAGAAGAGAAAAACCCATTTTCTGGGGAGAAATTCAAGCTGGTTGCAGAAATTTGCATAAGTAGCAAGAAGCCTAATGTTAATCCCCAAGAGCATGGGGAAAATGTCTCCAGGCCATGTCAGAGAACATCACAGCAGCCCCTCCCATCACAGGTCCTGAAGCCCAGGAGGAAAAAGCGGTTTTGTGGGCCTGGCCTAGGGTCCCCGTGCTATGTGCAGCTTAGGGACTTGGTGCCCTGTGTCCCAGCCACTCTGGCCATGGCTGAAAGGGGACAACCTACAGCCTGGGCTATAGCTTCAGAGGGTGAAAGCCCCAAACCTTGGCAGCTTCCATGTGGTGTTGAGCCTGCAGGTGCACAGAAGTCAAGAACTGAGGTTTGGGATGCTCTCCTAGATTTCGGAAGATGTATGGAAACACCTGGGTGCCCAGGCAGAAATTTGCTGCAGGGGTGGGGCCCTCATGGAGAACCTCTTCTAGGGCAGTACAGAAGGAAATGTGAGGTCGGAGCCCCCACACAGAGTCCCTACTGGGGCACTGCCTAGTGGAGCTGTGAGAAGAGGGACACAGTCCTCCAAACCACAGAATGGTAGAATCACCTACAGCTTGCACTGTGTGCCTGGAAAAGCAGAAGACAATCCCAGCCTGTGAAAGCAGCCAGGAAGGGGGCTGTACCCTGCAAAGCCACAGGGGCAGAGATGATGGGAACCCACCACTTGCATCAGCATGACCTGGATGTGAGACCTGAAGTCGAAGGAGATCATTTTGAAGCTTTAAAATTGGACTGCCCCTCTGGATTTCGGACTTACATGGGGCCTGTAGCCCCTTTGTTTTGGCCAATTTCTCCCACTTGGAATGGCTGTATTTACTCAATACCTGTACCCCCATTGTATCTAGGAAGTAATTAACTTGCTTTTGATTTTACAGGCTCATAGGTGGAAGGGACTTGTCTTGTCTCAGATGAGACTTTGGACTGTGGACTTTTGGGTTAATGCTGAAATGAGTTAAGACTTTGGGTACTGTTGTGAAGGCATGATTGGTTTTGGAATATGAAAACATGAGATTTGGAGGGGATGGGGTGGAATGATATGGTGTGGCTATGTCCCCACCCAAATCTCTACTGGAATTGTATCTTCCAGAATTCCCACATGTTGTAGGAGGGACCCAGGGGGAGTAATTGAATCATGGAGGCTGGTCTTTCCCATGGTATTCTCGTGATAGTGAATAAGTCTCACGAGATCTGATGAGTTTATCAGGGGTTTCTGCTTTTTCTTCTTGCTCCTCATTTTCTCTTGCTGCTGCCATGTAAGAAGTGCCTTTTGCTTCCCATCATGATTCTGAGGCCTCCCCAGCCATGTGAAACTGGAAGTCCAGTTAAGCATGTTTTTCTTCCCAGTTTCGGGTATGTCTTTATAAGCGGCATGAAAATGGACTAATACAACTTCTAACATTATAGTTTACTTTTGTCTGTTTTTGAACCTTATATAAATAAAACATCTAGTATGTATCTTTTGTCTGCCTTCTTTTATTCACACTTATGTTTGTTAAAGTTGCATTGATCAGTTGCATATAGTGGTAATTCATTTTTTTCATTGCTATCAAGTGTGTCATTATTAACTATATCATAAATTATCCACTTGCAGCTTATGACCACATGGATTTTTTCCACTTGGAAATTACTACAAATAATGTTGCCATGAATATTTATCCATGTATGTCTTAGAGAAATATGCATATATTTTTTATGAGTATACATAGGAGTATAATAATCATGGCAGAAAATATGAAAATGATTTTAGTGAGCAGATATTGCATTGTGAGCATCAGGATGAGCTATACTTACAGAGGAAAATAAAAACAAATGCTTACACCTAACCCTGTGTCATATAGCAAATACCTGCTAACCCATAACATAAACTGGTCCCTTTCCTAAGTACAATGACAACTTGCAAATAATTAGTTAAAAAATAAATGTGTGTCATACAAATACGAGGAACAAACAAAAAATAACCAGCACAGGATCTATGGGAAAATAGAAAAAGAAGACAAGAAATAGAAAATATAAGTGGATGACAGAAGACCTCAATGTGAAATTAAAAAGTGTGATCACAAAGCAGGTAATTTTTTACCGAAAATTTTTACCAAAATATTTTAGCAGAAAAGTTTAAATACAACAGTGTAATTAGCTTTACAAAACAACAGTACAAATGAAAGATATAAAAGACAGGAAATATATGTTAAAATAATAGAAGTAAAAATGTAAGATGGCAAGCTCATAAAAAATGGATCAAATTTTTAAAACTCTCAAAGAAAATCAGGTAAAATTTGAATTCAAATAAAATACAATAGATACTATTAACAATATAGTAATAAACATAAAAACAGAATTTAGAAAAGCAAGCAGAATAAAAGTTAATGGTCAGAGTTAAAAAGCATTGGAATGACAATGAGACTATGATATGTGAGACAAGCAAAGAAGATCTGACTTAACAGTCAATATTAGTAACAAAGTGACTGAAAAATAATTATATTTAACGATACAGAAAAAACGCATGCATCTGTAGATTAAAATAACGTGAAAGACTGGTGTAGTGAGAGTGAAATATAGTTTACTAAAATATTGGTCTTCAAAATAAAAGGTATAATTTTTTGACAATGGGGTAAATATGTATGTGTATGTACATATGTACATCTATGTGTAATGTTAATAGCACTTATATACACACACACTTATCAGAGCACAAACTGTGACAGACTGTTATAGATTTAACCTGTGACAAGTTGAATTAAAGTAGGATGGTCTCATAGTTCTCTACAACAGGAAGCAAATTTAGAAGTTAAAAAACAGTGAAATAATGACTATAAAATACCCAAGAAAAGAAAGAATGACTAAAAATATTTTTATGCAAATTATCATTCGAGCATAAAGGCTAAATCATTTCAAATTAAGTAGAAACAAAGAAAAGAGGCAGGAGTCACAGGTGCCAGTGCATAGATCTTGGTGGCACCTCTGTGTTCCTGCCAACTTCAGTGACCAATCAGAGATACCAGCCAACTTCATAGCTCATTTGCAAAGCTATACATGTATGCTGGGACACCTGGGCATATACCTAAAAGAATTGAAAGCAGGAACTCTAACGAATAGTTATAGAAAGAATATTCATAGAAACAACAAGCTCTGCCCTCCTGGGGTCATCATTAGCAGGCCTTTCAAGATAAACATAAATTTCCCCTGATTGTTTTCATATATAGAAAAACCTACAGACTCTAAGAACAACCTCTTAGAACTGATAAAAGAATTCAGAATAGTTGCAGTATACATAATCAACATGAAAAACAAGGAGTAGATTTTCTATATATGCACACCAAACTGGCTGAAAAAGAAATTAAGAAGACAATCCCATTTACAATATCAGCAAAAAGTAAAATAAAACACCAAGGAATAAATTTAACTGAAGATGTAGAATATGTCTACAATGAAAATTTTGAAACACTGATAAAAGAAATTGAAGAAGATACAAATAAATGGAAAAACAACTCATGGTCATGAATTGGAAGAAGTCATATTGTTAAAAAATGACCACACTGTCCAAAGTAATCTACAGAGTTAATACAATTCCTGTCAAAATATCAATAGCATTGTTCACAGAAATAGAAAAAAAAAATCTTAAAATTTTGATGGAACCACAAAAGATCCAAAATAGCCAAAGGAATCCTGAGCAAAAAAGAACAAACCTAAAAGCATCACACTACCAGACTTCAAAATATACTACAAAGCTATAGTAAGCAAAACAGCATGATCCAGGCATAAAAACAGATACATAGGAACAGAATAGAGATTCCAGTTATTAATCCATGTATCTAGAGCCAACTGATTTTTGGCAAAGTTTCCAAGAACACTCATTAAGTAAAAAGTCTCTTCAATAAAGGGTGCTGTGAAAACTGGATATCCCTATGCAGAAGAATGAAACTTACCCCCACCTTTCACCCTATACAAAAATCAACTAAAAATTGATCTAAGGCCTAATGAAATATATACCCAAAATGATACAACTAGTAGAAGAAGACATAGGGAAATTATTTCAGGACATTTGTCTGGGAAAAAAATTTTATAACTAAGACCTCAAAAGAACAGGCAACAAAACAAAAAAATAAGTAAATAGGATTATATCAAACCAAAACGTTTCTGTATGGCAAGAGAAACAATCAACAGAGTGAAAATATAACCTGCAAAATGAAGAAAATATTCACAAAACATCCATCTGACAGGAGAGTAATATCCAGAATATACAAGAAATTCAAACATCTCAACAGAAAAAAAAAATCCAGCAATCCCACTACTGGGCATATATCCAAAGGAAAGAAAATCAGTATATCAAAGAGAAACCGGCACCCCCATGTTTATTGCAGCACTATTCACAATAGTCAAGAAACGAACTCAATCTAGGTTACAACAACAGATGAGAGGATAAACAAAATATGGCATTTTATTTAAACAATGGCATACTATTCAGCCATAAAAAAGAAAGAAATTCTGTCATTTATGGAAACATGGATGGAATTGAAGAGCATAATGTTAAGTGAAATAAGCTTAAAATAAAGATAAACACTGCATGCTCTCATTCATATGTGGAAGCTAAAACAAAAACTACTCCCATAGAAGTAAAATGTAGAACAGAGGATACTAGAGGCTGAGAAGGGTAGGCGAAGGGAAAGATAGGGAGAGATTTGTTAAAGGATATAAAATTACAGCTAGATAAGAGAAATAAGTTATAGTGTTCTATACCACTTTAGAGTAACTACAGTTAATAATAATAATACATTATATAATTTCAAATAGCTAGGAGGATATTGAATGTTCTCCACACAAAGAAATTATAAATGTTTGAGATGATATAGTAATTATCCTGAATGGTTCACTATACATTACATGTATGAAACATCACTATGTACCCTATAAATATATATAATAATTACATGTAAATTAACAATTTTTTAATGATGAAGAAAGCTAAAATAAATGAAAAAAAATAAATTAACAACTTATTGTTACTCCTAAAGGAACCAGAAAAGGAAGAATAAATTAAGCCGAAATGTAAGAGAAGGAAGGAAATAATAAAGATCATAGCAGAAATAAAACGAAATAGATACTAGAAAAACAATTAAAAGATCAACAGGCCAGGCTCGGTGGCTCACGCCTATAATCTCAGCACTTTGAGAGGCCAAGGCAGGTGGACCACGAGGTCAGGAGTTTGAGACCAGCCTGGCCAACATAGTAAAACCCCATCTCTACTAAAAATACAAAAATTAGCTGGAGGTGGTGGGAGGCACCTGTAATCCCAGCTACTCAGGAGGCTGAGGCAGGAGAATTGCTTGAACCCGGGAGGCAGAGGTTGCCGTGAGCTGAGATCATACCACTGCACTTTAGCCTGGGCAACAAGAGCAAGACTCCATCTCAAAAAAAAAAAAAAAAAAAAAAAAAAAAGATCTACAAAACCGAGTTGGTTATTTTAAAAGATATAAACAATCAGCTACTCATTAGCTAGACTAACAAAAAAAGAGAGAAGACTCAAATTATTAAAATCAGATATGAAAGAGGAAACATTACAACAGATACCATGGAAATACAAAGGACCATAAGAGACTACTATAAAATATTATATGCCAACAAATTGGATAACCTAGAAGAAATGGATAAATTTCTAGACACATATAACCTACCAAGATTGAGTCATGAAGAAATAGAAAATCTGAACAAATCAATAATCATTAAGGAGATTCAATCAGTAATA
Source organism: Homo sapiens (assembly GCF_000001405.40). Lineage (NCBI taxonomy): Eukaryota > Metazoa > Chordata > Mammalia > Primates > Hominidae > Homo > Homo sapiens. The sequence continues at coordinate 126,491,216 of NC_000006.12, read as the reverse complement.
ATGTCTCCCATCAAAGTAAGCCAGGACCTGATAGCTTTATTGTTGAATTTTATCAAACATTTAAAGAATAACTGATATCAATCCTTCTCAAACTCTTCAAAAAATTGAAGGGGAGGGAATACTTCCAAATACATTTTTCAAGGTGAATATTACCCTGATATCAGAGACCAAAAAGAATATTACAAGAATGAAAAACTACATGCTATTAATTAACACACATGTAAAAATCCATAACTAAGTACTAGGAAACCAAATCCAACAGCACATTACGAGGATCATATACAACGATCTAGTGGGATTTGTTATTGGGATGCAGGGCTGCTTCAGCATATGAAAGTAAATGAAAGTGATAGATTAATAGAACTAAGACCAAAAACTATGTGATCATGCCATTAGATGTACATTTGACAAAATTTAACAGCATTTTATGATTTTAAAAAACTCAACAAGTTAGGTGTCATTGTGTACCTCAAAACAATAAAGGCTATATATGAGAAGATCACAGCTAACACGATACTCAATTGTGAAAAATTGAAAGCCTTTCCTCCAAGATCTGGAACAAGACAAGTATGCCCACTCTTGCCATTTCTATTCAACATACCATTGGAAGTCTTTGCCAGGGCAATTAGGCAAGAGAAATAAATAAAAAGCATGCAAATAAGCAAAAATTGTCACTGTTTTCTAATGATATACCCAAAATATTGTTTTCTAATGAAAACCCAAAATGCTTCACCAAAAAAAAAAAAAAGTTAGAACTATTCAACAAATTTTGAAATGTTGCAGGGTACAAAATCAACATGAAATAATCAATTGCATTTTTATACACTAACAATGATTTATCATAAAAAGAAAACAAGAGAACAATCCCATTTACAATAGCTACAATATAATAAAATACTTAGGAATAAATTTAACCAATGAGGTAAAAGACCTATACATGGAAAATCATAAAACATTGATGAGAAACATTGAAGATGACACAAATAAATAGAAAGATATCCCCTATTCATGGATTGGAAGAATTAATATTTTGTAAATGTCTATACAATACTACACAATGCAATCTGCAAATTCAATGTGATTCTTCTCAAATTTCCAATGTCACTTTTGAGACTAAGAGAAAGAAACAATACTAGAAAATTATAAAACATTGATGAGAGAAATTGAAGATGACACAAATACATAGAAAGATATCCCCTATTCATCCACTGGAAAATGTCTATGCAATAATATATAATGCAATCTACAAATTCAATGCAATTCTTCTAAAATTTCCAGTCTCACTTTTCAAATCAATAAAAAATACTAAAATTCATATAAAATTACACAAAAAATCCCTAATAGTCAAAGCAATTATGAGCAAAAAGAACAAAGTTGGAGGCATGACACTAGCTTATTGCAAACTACACTGCAAAACTATAGCAATTGAAACAGCATGATACTGGCATTAAAGTATCACATTGAGACTTTATTGAAACAGCATGATACTGGCATTGAAGTATCACATTGAGACACATTGAGAAATATACAGAATAAAGAGTGCAGAAATAAACCCACCCATAAGCTCAATTGATTTTTGTCAAAGATATCAAGAATACAAAGAAAAGAACAGTCTCTTCAATAAATGGCATTGGGACAACTGGATATCCACATGTAAAAGAATAAAATTGAACCCTTATCTCACACAATGTACAAAAATCAACCAAAAATAGATTAAGAATGTAAATTTAAGATCAGAAATTCTAAAACTACAAGACGAAAACAGAGAGAAAACTACACAATATTGGCCTAGGCAATAATATTTTTGTATTTGACCCCAAAACACAGGCAACAAAAGCAAAAATAGACACATGCAATTACATCAAATTTAAAAGCTTCTGCACAGACAAGGAAACAAGTAACAGTGTAAGGAGACAGACAACCTTCAAATTGGGAGAAAATACTTGCAGGCCATACATTCTATAAGGGGTTAGTATCTAAAACATATAAAGAACTTAACACAATAGCTACAAAACAACTCAATTTTTAAAAATAGGCAAAAGACTGAAACAGACATTTCTCAGAACAAATACAAACAGACAAGTATACATAAAAACTCCAACATAACCAATTATCAGGGAAATACAAATTAAATCCACAATGAGCTACCACCTCACACCTGTCAGAATAGCTATTATCAAAAATATGAAAAAGTGTAGGCAAGGATGTGGAGAAAAGAGAACCTTTGTACACTGTTTGTAGGAAGGTAAATTGCCATTATGGAAAACTGTATAAGGATTCCTCAAAAAACTGAAAACAGAAGTACCATATGACCCAGCAATCCCACTTCTGGGTATTTACCTGAAAGGTTTAGGATCAGCTGTCAGTTAGATGCAATGAATAAGATCTGCACTCTTACATTTATTGAAGCACTATTCACAACACCCAAGTCATGAAACCATGGTAAATATTCATTAACAGACGGATGGGTAAGAAAAATATGCTATATAGGCCGGGCGCGGTGGCTCACGCCTGTAATCCCAGCACTTTGGGAGGCCGAGGCTGGTGGATCACAAGGTCAAGAGATCAAGACCATCCTGGCTAACACGGTGAAACCCCGTCTCTACTAAAAATACAAAAATTAGCCAGGCGTGGTGGCGGGCGCCTGTAGTCCCAGCTACTTGGGAGGCTAAGGCAGGAGAATGGTGTGAACCCAGGAGGCGGAGCTTGCAGTGAGCCGAGATAGCGCCACTGCACTCCAGCCTGGGCGACAGAGCAAGACTCCGTCTCAAAAAGAAAAGAAAAAAAGAAAAATATGCTATATATACACAATGTAATAATATTCAGCCTTCAAAAAGAAGGGAATTCTGTCAGTTGCAACAATGTGATTGGAATCGGAAAACACTATGTTAAGTGAAATGAGACAGGCACAGAAAGACAAATACCATGGACACAGGGAGGGGAACAACACACACTGGGGCCTGTTTTGGGGTGGGGCCTAGGGGAGGGACAGCATTAGGAGAAATACCTAAGGTAGACGGCAGGTTGATGGGTGCAGCAAATGTAGATGCATTAGGAGAAATCCTACATTAGGAGAAATACGATGGCAGGTTGATGGGTGCCACCATGGCACGTGTATACCTATGTAAAAAACCTGCACGTTTTGCACATGTATCCCAGAACTTAAAGTATAATTTTTAAAAAGAAAAAAAAATCTTAAAAAAAGGTTTTCCTGTAGGAGTAGCCTTCTATAATTCATTGATTGTAATGTTAAATGTTCTATATTCATGCTTAATTGAAGAATCTGTTAATGTATCCATGCCAAAGAGCCAGAATTAAATTTTCCATAGAAAATGGCAAAAAAGATTCTCAATTATATGAGAAATTTAAAATAATAAAACTCATAGAAGACAGTATAGAATGGTAGTTCCAGAGGCTGAGACTAAGGGAAATAGGAAGATGATGGTCAATGAATACAAAGTTTCAGTTAAACAGAAAGAATAAACTTTATTATGAGAGGTACTGCACAGCATGCTTAATATAATTAATAATACTATATTCATATATGGTACATTTCACAATCGTTAAAGAGAGTACACTGAATATTCTAACAATGAAAAATGATAAGTATTTGAGGTAGTAGAAATGTTAATTATCTTGATGTAATTGTTTTACATTGTATTCATAAAACATAATATAAACTCATAAATCATAAAAACATTTTGTACCCCATAAACATATACAATAATAAAATAACGATTTACAATAAAACAAAAATTATATTTTTTATTTTTTTATTTTTGTGGGTACCCAGTTGGTATATAAATTTATGGGGTACATGATATATTCTGATACAGGCATATAATGCATAATAATCACATCAGGGTATATGAGGTACCCATTACCTCAAGCATTTTTTGTTTCTTTGTGTTACAAAAAAAATCCAATTATACTTTTTGAGTTGTTTTCAGATATACAGTAAATTATTGTTGACTGTAGTCATTTTGTTGTGCTATTAAACAATAGATCTTATCCATTGCATCTAACTATATTTTCATGCCCATTAACCATTCCCACATTCCCCCACCCCTCACCTTTGAACTACCCTTCCCAGCCTCTGATAACCATACTTTCAACCAGACTTCCATCTCCATGAATTCACTTGTTTTAATTTTAAGCTCCCACAAATAAGTAAGAACATGTGAAGTTTGTCTTTCTGTGTCTGGCTCATTTCACTTGACATACTGACATCCAGTCCCATCCATGTTGTTGCAAATGACAGGATATAATTCTTTTTTGTGGCTGAATAGTACCCCATTGTGTATATCTGCCACATTTTCTTTATCTATTCATTAGTTGGTGGACATTTAGGTTGCTCCCAATCTTTGCTATTATGAATAATGTTGCAATAAACATGAAAGTGCAAATATCTTTTTGATATATGGATTTCCTTCCTTTTGAGTATATACCCAGTAGTGGGACTGATGGATCATATGATAGCTGTATTTTTGGTTTTTGGAGGCACTTCTAAACTGTTCTCCATAGAGGTTGTACTAATTTACACTCTCGCCAACAGTATACAAGGGTTTCCTTTTCTCCACATCCTTACCTGTATTTATTACTGCCTGTCTTTCAGATATAAGCCATTTTAACTGAAGTGAGATGATATCTTTTGTCTGAGAAATTCTTTATTTCTCCTTCATGTTTTAAGGATATTTTCGCTAGTTATACTATTCCAGAATAAAGTTTATTTTTTTCCTTAAGCACTTTAAATATGTCATGCCATTGTCTCCTGGCCTGTAAGGTTTTCATTGAAAAGTCTGCTGCCACACATACTAGACCTCCATTGTATGTTATTTGTTTATTTTCTCTTGTTGCTTTTATGATACTTTCCTTATCTTTGACCATTGGAGTTTATTAAATATCTTGAAGTTTTCTTATTTGGGCTAAATCTGCTTCATGCTCCATAACTTCAATTACATGTGGAATTTAAAATAACTAAACTCATAGAAGAGAGTAGAAAATGGTAGTTACAGAGGCTGGGGGTAGGGGAAATAGGGGCATGATTGATTTCCTTGAATATTGGTATCTTTGTTTAGGTTTCTCTGTTATTATTCCTTTGAATAAATTTTCTATCCCTACCACTATTTCTATCTGCCCTATTAAGGCCAGTAACTCTTAGATTCGCCTTTTACAGGCTGTTTTCTAGATCCTGTAGGCATGCTTCATTTTTTTTATTATTTTTTCTTTTGGATCCTCTGTGCATTTTCATGTAGTCTGTCTTCAGGCTCACTCATTCTTTCTTCTGCTGGATCAATTCTGCTATTAGATACTCTGATGATTTCTTCAGTATGTCTATGGCATTTTTCAACTCCACAATTTCTGCTTACTTATTTTTAATTATTTCAATCTCTTTGTTAAACTTATCTGATAAGATTCTGAATTGCTTCTCTGTGTTACCCAAATTTCTTTGAGTTTTCTCAAAACAGCTATTTTGAATTTTCTGTCTGAAAAGTCCTCATATTGCTGTTTCTCCAGGATTTCTCCTTGGTGCCTTATTTGGTTCATTTGGTGAGTTCATGTTTTCCTGGATGATCTCTATGCTTGTGGATGTTTATTGGTGACTGGGCATTGAAGACTTAGGTATTTATTGTACTCTTCACAGTTTGGGCTTCTTTGCATCTATCCTTCTTGGGAAAGGTTTCCAAGCATTCAAAGAGTGTTGGGTGTTGTTATCTAAGTTTTTGGTCACTGCAGCCATATCTGCATTAGGCAGGGCTTTTCCTGTGGCTCTTGCAGACTTGTAGAGGTACTACCTTGGTAGTCTTGGTTAAAATCCAAAAGAATTCTCTGGATTCCCAAGCAGAGACTCTTGTTTTCTTCCCTCGCTTTCTCTCAAACAGAGTCTCTCTCTCTCTCTCTGTGCTGAGCTACCTGGTGCTGGGGGAGGGGGTGACACAAGCCTCTTTGTGGCCACCATCACTGGGGCTGCAATGGGTCAGATCTGAAGCCAGCACAGCACTGGGTCTCACCCAAAGCTCATGGTAACCACTGCCTAGTTACCATCTGTGTGTACTCAAGGCCCTAGAGCTCTACAATCAGCAGATGGTAAAGCCAGCCAGGCATTTGTCCTTTCCCTCAGGGCAGTGAGCTCCCCCAGCCCTGGGTGGGTCCAGAGATGCCAGCTGGGATCCAGGGCCTGAACTCAGAAACCTTAGGAATCTACCTGGTGCTCTATTCTATTGCAGCTGATCTGGCACCCAAGCCACAAGAGAAAGTCTTTCCCACTCTTGCCTATTTCTTCCACAAATAGAAGAGTCTCTCCCCTTGGCCACCACCAGCCCAGGCTTGCAGCAAGTACTTTCTGGTTACTGCTGATGTTCACCTAAGGCCCAAGGACACTCCAGTCAGCTTGTGGTGAATGCTGCCAGGCTGGTACTCTCCTTTTAAGGCAGTGGGCTCTCCGCTGGCCCAGGGCAGGTCTAGAAATTCCATCCAAGAGCTGAGGCCGGGAATTGGGACCCCTTAGGCCCAATTTTGGCCATGGTGGGTAAGAACACAATGGAATAGTGTTCTAACCCATTGTGGCCAAATTGGTACCTAAGCTGATTTTCGGTTCTCATGAAGGTGCTTTTTTATTTAAATAGTTGTTCAATTTGGTGTTCCTGTGGAGGGGACGACCAGCAGAGACTTCTATTTAGCCATCTTGCTCCATCTTCTCCCCTAAAAATTGTTTTTAAATGAAGGTACAATAAAGATATCTTTGAAAACAATGGCTGAGAAAATTCTTCACCACAGACCTGTGCTAAGGAAATAAAAACTAGGTCTTTCAGCTAAAAAGAAAAGGGTCCCAGTTACAAGCAAGAAGATGTAATAAGAATTGAAGTAAATATTTTGGGCAAGAAAGAATATTGATAATTATTGATCTAATCTTTCATTTCAAAAAGCTAGTGGCAGAAGAGCAAGTACAAAGAAAGTAGATGAAAAACAGATAATCAATATAGCCCCAAAAGTCAATTCACTAGAAAATAGGCACACAAAAAAAATAACAAAAGCAAAAACTTTAAAAATATTATTGTGATATATTAATATATTAACATTATATATAACTACAGGTCCTACAGAATTTAGAAGAAAATAAAGGACATTACTAACACTTTGATGCTGGTAATTTGGAAAAAAAGGACAAATTACTTGAAAAACCACAAGTAATAATTCACAAAAATAAAAAATATGAACACTCCAATATCTACTAAAAACATGTAATTTTAAGCTTTTCTTACAAAGAAATCTTTAGACCTAGATGACATCTCTGGAAAATTCTTTCAAACATGTAATGAAGAGAAAAAAATACATTCTAACAAAAAATTATCCAGAAAACAGAAAACAGAGGGAAAAATTTCTTAATTTACGAGGCCAGCATAACCCTGATGCCCAAACCTTACAATAACAATGTAGGACTGGAAAAGTATAGCCCAATATATTTCATTAATCTAGATGGAAAAATCCTACCCAAAATATTATCAAATTCCACCTAGTAGTGTATTTAAAAATCATAGGTTTTATATAAAACTAATTGGAGTTTTTGCCAGGATTGGAAGTTTGGTTTAATATTTTAAAAATCAATCAGTGTAATTCATCAAATTAGAAAAAATAGAAAAACTTTATGAATATTTCAAAGGAATGTGGAAAAAAGCATTTAGTAAAATTTTACATCTGTTAATAAAAGAGAAAACCCATTTGATGATTTTAGTATATTCAATAAAAAAGCTCTTAATAAGATTCTACACTTGTTCATGATTTGTTTAATTCAGTAAGTTAGGAACAGGAGTGTATTTTCCTAATCTGATAAAGAGGTCTACTAAAAATATATAGTTAATGGTAAAGTTTTAATGCAATTGAACAAGGATAAGGAAATAATATCAATTATCAGCACTTTTATTCAACATTTCACTGGAGTTTCAAAGCAGTTCAATAAAGCCAGAAAAAAATATAAATTTTCTGCAGAAAATTTACAAGAATCTACAAAAAAATTAAAAATAAGAAAATTTACAAATAAATGTTTCCAATAATCAGTCACCTCCATTTCTTTATACTAGAAATAACTGAAAAATGAAATTTAATTAAAAAGCAAAATCATTTATAATAACATCTAAAAGGGTCCACTACCTAGGATCACATATATAGAAACATTGCAAGGCTTTTTCCTTAAGGACCATAAAACATTGGTGAGAAAAATTAATATCAAAATAACTAAATAGATATACTCTGTATATTGACTGAAAGACACAATATTGATAAAATGCCAATCTCCCTCAAATCAACATAATCTCTATCCAAATCCCAGCCTGTTATTTTGTGCAAATTGACAGTTTTATTCTAAAATGTACATAGAAATGCAAGGACTTTATATAGTCAAGAAAATATTACAGAAGAAAAACTAAACAGGAAAACTTATACTACCAAATATCAAAGCTTTTATAAGGCTAAAAATAATTAAGATGGTGAGGAAATAATACAACAAAAGGTAAACAAATGAAACAAATTAGAGAGTTCAGAAATACACTCACTCAAAAATACTTAGCTGGTTTTGATAAAACACTATTGCAATTCAATGTATAAAGGATGTCTTTTTGATAAGTGGTTCTGGGTCAATTGGCTATCCATATAAAAATAAATTAACCTAAATCCATACATAATATCATGTATAAAAATCTTATATTTAAGGACCATCAAAACCTAAATGTGAAATATAAAACAAGACTTTCATAGGAAAATATAGAACATTATTGTCATGATGGGTGCCTCTTTCTTAAACAGTATATAAATAGCACTTACCATAAAAGATTGAAATATTAAACTTTTATTATATCTATCTGACAAAATAATAATATTAATATATGTAATGCTTATAAACCAGGTATTATACTTGCTGGAAGGAAAATTGTACTTGCTGGAAAGCACTTATCTGGCTTTAGAACATATTTTATTAAGCAGACCATATTTACTCTCAGAAATGTTGCACTGGGAAAATCAAACTTGATCAAACAGCCCAAGAAAATGATGATATCCAGTAAAATTAAGAAACCCAGCACAAACAGTGTCTATACTCTGAAATAAAAATTCTCTACCACAAAAGAAGTTATTCCTGAATTCTAGAGCATTTCCTCTAGCATTTTGGGATGTTTTTGATGAGTATGGAAAATAAATACAACACAAAGAAAAATGGGCAAAAGGCTTCAAAAATGAACTTCACAAAGTAATATATCCAAATGATCAATAAGCATGTGGAAATAAGTTCAATATCATTTGTTATCTAATTTTTAGTCATTAATGCAAAGTAATACCAAATTTAATATCACTACATATTCATTATGGTGCTAAAATTAAAATAATTGACTATACCAAGTATAGTAAGATTGAATGAACAATTAGATCTCACAAATGATTCTGGTGGGTGTTTAAAATGGGTACATTCACTTGGAAAACTGGCGTTTTTATAGCAAACATGTATGCTATGGTTTAAATATCCCTTCCAAAACTCATGTTGAAATGTAATTGCTACTGCGACAGCATTAAGAGTGGGACCTTCAAGAGGTGATTGAGTTATAAGGACTCTGCCCACATGAATACATTAAGGCCATTATTGTGGGATTGGGTTAATTATTGCTGGAGGGGGTTGCTGATAAAAAGATGAAGTTCAGCTCTCATTCTCTCTGTCACAAGCATGCTTCCTTGCCATGTGATGCTTTCCACCATATAGGACACAGCAAGAAGGATTTCACTAGATGCAGCCCCTTGATCTTGGACAATCTCCAGAACTCTGAGGGAAATAAATCTCTTTTCTTTATACATTACCCAGTCTACAGTATTATGTTATAGAAGCAGAAAACAAACTAAAACAATATGCCTATCAAAAGATCCAGAAATTACATTCTAAGTATGCACCCCAAAAAAAAAATTGCTTAGTTATATCCACTACACAATCAAAAGTATTCAACAGTCCAAAATTCCATGTAATCTGAAGCTCAGGTAATCTGAAACTAGATATTCAATAAAATATATTCTACCAAATATGAAGAGACGACAAGAGGAGAAGCAAACAAGAAAGAAATATAGTAGTGAACTGATGAAATAAATTAGTTATAATTTATTATGGCCAAAGTTCATTACACATATCCTTAATACATATATGTAGGATTAGTGCAAACTGAAGCTGATTCCATTTGCCCATTGATCTTATTACAAAGCTATGTGTGGTAGTTGAGATTTTTGGCATTTTATTTTCCCTGGGGTAAAAAAATTTAGAATATAATGTTTTAGAATATAAATGTTTTACCTCTGGTAAAATATAACATATTGAATGTTAATGTGCTTACTGGAAGGCATTTATCTAGCTTTAGAAAGTATTTAATTGAGCAGAACATATTTGCTCTCAGAAATGTTGCACTGAGAAAATCTAACAGTCCAAGAAAATTATAATATCCAGTAAAATTAAGAGACCCAGCACAAGCAGTGTCTATACTCTGAAATAAAAATTTTCTACCACAAAAGAGTCATTCCTTAATTCCACGGCATTTCCTCCAGCATTTTGGGATGTTTTTAATGAGTACTTGCATAGTGTTCATCTTCCCATTCATTTTGTGGTATTTGAGGTGACCTGTCAATAACAAATTAAATATATTACGATTCTAAAAAGCTCAGCATTTCTTAGATTTCCAACTAACTCTTGGTGTATTATTTATAGCTGCACTGTCAATCAAATTAATGATCTCCAAGTAGACTAGAAGTCATAAAGTAAGTGAAATGAAGATATCAGGTAATTTGTCCATGGCCACCCACAGAGTTCATTTTCAAAGCCAGCATTGGTTAAGAAACTTTCCTTATTCTCTGTCCCATGTTCATAGACCACAACACCATGCCTCATAACCCAAAATGATGAAATTAAGTATTGCAAAGTAAAATAACATTTTTTATTTCTCCTAACCCTTTCCTTGACCCTCTGGAATTTCTTATATTAACATTATTCCTATTTCATTTCTCTGTGTGTGTGTGCGTAGAAAAAAAGACTTTAAAAAACAAAGTTAAATAATAAGCTATGTATTTTTGCCCAATTTTTGTATTATAAATATGGCAAGGGGAAGTAGGAGGATGGGAAAAGGACTATAACATGCACTAAACCTTATACAGTTGGGTTGGGCCTCAGGTTCACACCCATGTCCTCCATGCATGGTGGAAGGTCAGTTTGGTCAGAAGAGTACTTATTTTTAAGACATGGAAAGCCATATATTAAGTGGTTGTGTAAGCAGTTAGGAAAAGCATTGGGAAAATGTTTCCAGAATCTTAAGAAAAAAAAGAGTAAAAGCAAAATAAAATGATAGAATCTGCAAGATACCTCTTAAAATTATAGTGTTCTCATATAACAAGTGGAAGGTTATAAATAAAATGATAGAATCTGCAAGATACCTCTTAAAATTATAGTGTTCTCATATAACAAGTGGAAGGTTATATATTATAGCAAAAACTGAGAGAAATTAAAGATCCAAATGTAAACGCTTCCTTGCTAAAAAGAAAATTAATCTAGAAAATGGGATTTGAAAATATATGTGAAAGACATCTGTGATCCCTTACTTCCCACACCACCAGCTTTTCTTAATATGCTGAAGAATATTCAGGAAAAAGATGCATTTTCAAGAAACATAGACTATGAATCTGAAGGGAGAAGAAAATCCAGAATGTGTCCCTCAAGTCTTGTTTTGTTTTGAATGAACTGTATGGTCTACTGCTGGGAGGGGGAATTTGATGGAAAGAAGGTGAAGATGATCTCACTTTTAATGAGGGTGGAATCAAGGTACTCATAGAATACTCAGGAGGTGATGTACAGCAAGTAGGTAAATTTGAGGGTCTGGAGCTCAGGACAGAGATCTGAGTTGTAGATAAAAATGTATAAGATATTTGTTTATAGGAAGTATCTAATAACATAGAGCAGAATGAGTTTGCCAGGCTAGGAGGCCAAGTGGAAATAAAAATGGATTAAAAACATAGAGCCCTGGGACAATAGCCTTTAAAGGAAAGCAATGAAAGAACAGACTATAGTTCCCTAGGAAGAAGAACCCAGAGAAGAAAGAGATAAAACCAAGTAATGTGCCACATAAACCGAAGGAGGATTGCTCAAAGAAGGAGAAAAGAATAAATTTTGTGTAGCAGGGCTGGGACTCAAATGTATGCAGGACTCTCTGAGGAGTCTGGTAGGAGGTATATGAGAAGGTTTATCCAAGGGCTTTGGCCAAAGAGGCCTTTCTTCACAAATGAATCCTATCAAGAGACAGGCAGCTACAGAAGCCAAAGTTTTCTTCATTAGGAACTCTGAAACAGGAGAACTCAGTTGTTTCTTTTCGTGTCCAGATAAGAGAGTAAGAAAGAGCCAAGAGGATTCTCCTACTCCTTCACACATCACAGCATAGCTGTGAGCCATCATTTTTAGCAGTTCCAGTGTTCTGGGATATTTGGGACTATCACCTTCCTACAGATATCAAGGGCCTAAGAAGGACACCAGTAGCAGTGAGTAGTAGGTAGGTGAGTCAAATCTCTTCAAAATGCAAATAAAGAAACATAACTGCAGCCAGTTTAAGCAAATATGGGCTTTGTCACTGACAAAACTGGGATGGACAGAAAAGGATTCAGGGACAAATACTCTGTCCAGAGCACATTTTTTACTCTCTCTACAATTCTAGTTTCAGCTTTCTCTATGTGTTGGCTTCATTCTGTTGATCTGCAAATGGCTTTCTTTATACACACGCCCACAGAGAGAGAGAGAGAGAGAGAGATAAAGAGAGACTTCTATTTGGAGGGAGTGGTGACAGATGACTGCTGGCAGACCTAGAATTTTTTTCCAGCTTAGTGGGCTGGAGGAAAAATGAAGTGCTTGTCTTTTTGCTTCATTATTTAAAAATCTCAAAGAAAACACCAATTCACTCAGATTGGCCACTTCTTAGACCAATCACTGTGATTGTCTGACTGGGTAAACTCAACTCCCAAAGTCAATTAAGTCAGGGAGAAGCTATTCCACCAAAGAAATAGCTTTGGTGTAATCAGAATAAGGAAGAAGAAATCCTGTATAAAATGTATAAAAATAAAATACAGATTATTCTTATGAATTTGACCAATTGGCATCCACAGTCTGGTGAAGCCAGAGGAAGTTGGATCTCAAGAGTTAAGTACTACTTAGGTCAAGTTAGGCAAGAATAAGAATTGAAAAGAGCTGGTAGAATCCAGCAATTAATGATCACTGTTCATCTGCAGATGAAGCAGTTTCAAGTCATGGCAGAAGCAAAAGACGGTTGGCAATAAGAGGAGTAAACTGGTGGTGAGGAAGTGAAAACAACACTAGACAGGACATGTTCTAGAACCTAGAAGCTTAGCTATGAAAGAAAAGAAAGCAAAAATAATGTGCAAGATAGCAAGACAATTTGCTGAAATTTGGGGGAATTTTAAAAAGTTATCACTTAAAAGTTAATTAAACTACCTGCCATCTTACTATCACACAGTTATTTTCTTCACATAATTCAAACTTTTACTCTTTGGGTTTCAGGGTTCATTAGACTTTGCTCAAATCCTACATGCACAAAATTGAGTAAGTCATTTGAGCTCTTTGAGTCTGTTCCTTTATTTGTAAAGTAGAATAGTGCTTATCACAGAGTATGTGAGAATTAAATGAGATTAATACATTATTTGCTGGCAGAGATCTCTTAAAAATGGTTGGTTCAACGAGCTATTATACATTTTCTCAGGTGAATGTAATTGTCATCAGTTCAGAAGCTAAAATTAAAGCATTAAAAAAACCTGTTAGAATTTCATTTGTTCAAGCTCTTTTTACATTTGTTCTCATGCCAATCTCTTTTGGTTGTAATGATTTACAGTTCTGCCATGTTATTAATGTTAATAGTTATCATCGATCTAGTTTTCAATCCTATCAGTGATACTATTAGGAAGTAAGCAAACTATATATTGACATTGTACTCTCTTAATAGGCAACTGGTGTTTCTTCAACAATATGTTGGAGACAGAGGATGTTAGCAAAATTAAGGTTAATGTAGAAAATATGATCCAAACTATTAACGGTAGACTTGAATTTTCTCTGAATCCCAATATGGTGTTATCCTCATGTTTTGAATGTGGTAATATTAATTTCTTCAGCTTTTATTTCTCTAATAAACTTAGATTTGTTTTTTAATGAAGTATATTTCCTTTACTCATTTACTATATAGGGAGAATTAAGCTAGAACAGTCACCCATTTAAACTGGTAAGGCTCAGTTTACATTCTTTAACCCATCTGGTGTTAGACATTAACCCATCTGGTTTTAGACATTAACCCATCTGGTTTTAGACACTTACACAATTCTTCTCTTTATGATCACACAGGTAGATATAGAAGGACAGCTACAATCAACCTCTCAGAGCATCTGTCTTTATAAATGGGAAACGATTATCTAATTTGTGATATATCTCCTTAAAAAAAGGTTCATATGCACTGATATTCTCTCATACTGAGATATTTTAAGTGTTAAAATGAGTTAGCAAACAGATGGGAAGCCTTACAATCCCGTATCAGAATTACAAGGTCTTTGGGAATAGAAATAGGGTTCTAACAAAAGCCATTTTGTAATACTCAACACATAATGTGACTCCTCTAGTAAAAGGACATTCAAACTGTATTTTCATTGCAGGTTTAACTTTATGAAATCAAACACACAGTAATAAAGTATTATCTTCAGATGAGCCACACTAAAGATGTTGAAAAGATTTTCAACATGATTTTCTCATGATTTTCAGTCAAAATGAAATTTTAGAAAATTGATCACTAATACTTAAAAATTTTTCAGTAGAAAGCTAGAGGGCATACTAATCTTCGTCATGTTTAAATTCTTCCAAATTAATATTTTAAGAAAAAGTAAAAATAGGAAAATCATCACAAAATGTAATCTTTGAGCTTCAACTGACCACAACACACAAAACAATGAAACAACCACAAAACTATCTTCTAGCTAATATCCAACTGTCCTGCTGGGTGACCTGAACATAATTCTACTAGGTAGAAAGAGTGGAGGCTATGAGGGGAAAAACTTAATCACCTGATTTTTTTTTTTTTCTATAGGAAAACTAGAAAAATGTACTGGCAGTCTGGTAGAAAGAGTGGAGGAATTAGAGTCAGGGATTTGAGTTCTACTACTACTACTAGCTGTAGCATTAATTCACTATAAGTGGCCTTCAATAGCTCTAACGTGACACAGACAGTTTCCCCAACTGAAAAATTAGGGCGTTAGTGGCAACTCGATAATTTCTAAGGTCTTTTTTAGCTCTGGCATTCCATGTATAAAGATGCCGAACCTATCAAGAGTGGTGTAAACTGAAGAATGCATAAGCAACCTCAGATATTATAAACACATATATAATAACAGTATTTTTCAGTGTTTTCAAAGACCCTATGTCAATGTTTACATATATTATTATAAATGTTTAAAGTATTTGCAGAGTAGTTTTCATCATCCACATTTACAAATGAGGAAATGTAAACATAAGAAAGGTTAAGTGACTTAACAGAGATGACTGCTAAGTAGCAAAACCAGGCTTTAAACTTGATACTCCTAGATGCAAAGCCATTGTTCTTTTCAACAAACCAAATATTTTACCTAGGTTATAGTTTGTTTATAAGGCCTAACTAAAAATGAATATTCTTGCCTTCATATTTTGAGAAAATGAAAATGAACTGCAATTCACAAATTCATATAACCTTTCATTTTTACAATTTTTTATTTAAAAATTTTTTTTAAAAAAATTTGTATCTATTTATGGGGCACAAGAGATGTTTTGATAAAGTCATGAAATGTGAAATCATGAAGAATGGGGTATTCATCCCCTCAAACACTTATGAGTTACAAATAATCCACTATCCACACTGTTTACAATAGCTAAGATTTGGAAGCAACATTTTATTTCTTGATATAAAATCCCCTGGTAATAATTGTAACTAATATAAAGGTGGGTGTCTACATAATTGGTTATTATTAGGGTGACACTCAAGTTTTGAATTTTCAAAACATGTTAAAATAAATTTAAGTTAGAAATAAAAATAAGAAATTTTAAAGATCTTTAAATTCAGAATATTTAATATTTTTTTCAGAAACAAAAGTTTAAAAGAGCTAACTGGTGGCTGCTGCAAAGTATTTACCTTCCACATGCCACATGTAATGTGATTATGAGCCTTGTGAACATACACACTGGTGTAATACAACCTTTCTTTTCATAGCAGGCACCTAAAATCTGCTTTCATATGTAGCAAAGTAAAATTTATGGAACTGGATGATGCAGTGGCTTTATTTCAAACTAGTTTATTTTATTGGCAAAAACTAATAAAATCTTCAATGGATTCCACAGTTACTTTTAGAAATCTTGATGTTCCACCCTAGGATAGAGATCACAGGTGAGTTGAGTGTAAAACCAGTGAATAAGAGGAAATAGATCTGGTGTGCTGAAGGGTAATGATATTGTTTGCATATGATTTACATTATAAAGTGTTTGCTTCAAAGGGTGATAAAATATTCTGGCCAATTTAAGAATGATAGTGGCTTACAGCAGAAGCAGAACCTAGGAGAGATAATTGTCATAGCAGACAAAAGATGAAAACTTTCCACTGGCCCTAATAACTCTTTTGGGAACTACCTGTTATTAAAATATTCTAAACCTCTTTGCTCTTGGTCACATATAAGCAAACCTCCACGTCCTTAGGAATATGAAAGAACCTCAGGTCACAGTGTGGGTGCCTGGTAATTGGTTCAAGCCCTCTCTAAATTTCTGACCCTTTAAACCCACAAGGTTTACATGGGGAAAATTATATTATTCTGAATCCTTAGCAAGAAATGTAAAAACAAAACAAAACAAAAAAACAAGAGCTTTACTGTTTGGGCTAGAACTTCCAGTACCATGCTGAATAAAAGTAATGGAAATGGGCATCTTTGCCTTGTTCCCAATCTTTACAGGAAAAGCTATCAGTTTTTCACCGCTGAGTATAATGTCAGCTGTGGGCTTTTCATATATGAAAAGATATATATACATATATATACACACATATATATGTGTATCTCTCTCTATATATATATGAAATATATTCTACTCTCATTGTGCCCTCAGTAGAATGACTAAAATGATAAAAGACCATATATACATAGAATATATATATTCTATATATTCTATATATATTCTGTATATTCTATATATATTCTGTATATATTCTATACATTCTATATATATTCTATATCTATGCTATGCATATATTCTATATATCTATGCTGTGCATATATATTCTATATATCTATGCTGTGCATATATATTCTATATATCTATGCTGTGCATATATATTCTATATATCTATGCTGTGCATATATATTCTATATATCTATGCTGTGCATATATATTCTATATATATATGCTAGAGAGAGAGAGAGAGAGAGAGAGAGAGATTCACTCTCGTCCAGACTGGAGTGTGGTGGTGTGACCTTGGCTCGCTGCAACCTCCGCCTCCCAAGCTCAAGCGAATCTCTTGCCTCAGCCTCCAAAGTAGCTGGAATTAAAAGCATGTGCCACTGCCACCCAGCTAATTTTTTTTATTTTTAGTGGAGACAGGTTTCACCATGTTGGCCAGGCTGGTCTTGAACTCCTGACCACAGATGATCCACCTGCCTCCGCCTCCCAAAGCGCTGAGATTACCGGAATGAGTCACTGTGCCCGGCCTATAAAGATATTTCTAAATAGCATGGGTTAAAGAGGAAAAAAGTTAAGATAAAAATACTTAGAATTCTATAATTTAAAAGCCATATATCAAATTCACTATGGAAGAAAGTTTGCCAATTTTTTATAGAGCTAAACATAGTTTTACTATGCAATCCAGCAATCTCATTCCTAGGTATTTACTTAAGAGATTCAAAAACTTACATCCACCAAAACAAAAAGGCCTACATGTGAACATTTATAGATGTTTTATTTGTAATTCCCAAAAGCTGGAAACAACCAAGATGTCCTTCAGTAGGTGAATGAATATGCAAACTTTGGCTTAACCATACAATGAAATACTATTTAACAATAATAATAAATGAGCTATCAAGCTATGAAAAGGCACAGAGAAATCTCTAATGCATAATGCTTAAGTGAAAGAAGCCAATCTGAAAAGGAGGCATATTACAGTATTTTAATTATATGTCTAATAATGTTGAGCATCTTTCTTGTGTTTATTTGCCATTAGCATATTCTATTAGATAAAAATTCTCCACACATCTTTGGTTGACTTTTTTAAAGTTAAGGATATAGAAATTAAAATCATGAAGAGATAACATTGTACCCCTAGTAGAATGACTAAAATGATAAAAGACTGATCTTACCAAGTGTTGGCAAGGATGTGGAGGAACTGTAACTCTCATATGCTGAACAGCTGTAAAATGGCAAAATATTTGGCAAACAGCCTGTCAGTTTCTTATAGACTTAAATGTGCACTTACCATATAGTCTACTCATTCTACTCCTATGTATTTATCAAAGAGAAAAGGAAATCTATGTCTATACAAAGTGCTCATAGCAGTTTTATTTCTAACAGGCCCAAACTGGAAACAATCCAGATGTCCCTCAACACATGAATGGATAAGCAGATTTTGGCATTTCTATGCAATGGAAAGCTACTTATTAATTAAAAGGAATGAACTATTGATACATGCACCAGCATGGGTAAGTCACAATTCATTATGCAGAGTAAAAGAAGCCAGAAAAAGAAAGAGTACATACTATATGATTCCATTCATATAAACCTGTGGAAAATGCAATTTCATCTACAGTGACAGAAGGCAAATCAGTAGTAGCTGGTATGGTTGGGCCAGAGCAGAGAGAATTCCAAACAGGCATAAGAAAGTTTAGGGTGGTGAGGAATATTTACATTTCTTGATTATGTATTGTGGTTTTCATGGGTGTATACATATGCTAAAACTTATCAATTTTTATACAATAATTATATGCAATTTCATGTAAGCCAATTGTAACATACTAAAGAGCTTTAAAAATATACCAGGGAAAAAGGAAGGTTAAATAATATTGGCGAAGCTTATAATTATTGAAGCTTTATGATAGGTTCACAGGTTTCATCATATTATCTCCCTTTGTGCACATTTGAAAAAATTTTACTATTAATAGTTATTTTAAAATGAGCTTTTGTTGAAATATATAAAGAAATTGAAAAACCTAGCAAAGAGATTTATAGCCCAATAACTGACATTAGATTCATGTGCAAAATATATTTATATTCCAACTTACACAGATAAAAACATTGCTCAACTTGAACACACCCATGTGATGAGCACTCCCAGATCAAGCAACAGAACATTACCAAACCATCATAGGTCCCATTCTTGCTTCCTTCTAATTATTGCACCCTTTCCCCATGCTTTAGTTTTGCCTATTGAACAATATATAAATAAATCACATGGGATGTACCTTTTTGTATATCTGGTTTTTTCTACCAACTTTATATTTCTGAGATTCATCATATTTTTATGATTAGTTCTAGACTGTTTATTTTGATTACTGTGATGTTTTCAATGGTGAGAATATATATTTATCCATTCCAGTGTTGATGAACATTTTGGTTGTTTTCAATTTTTGGCCATTTAAAATAGTGCTGCTATGTACATTTTGATACATATATTTTGATGACTAAATGTATTCAGGATACATAGTGTATTTATTTTCACACTGCCATAAAGTTACTACCTGAGACTGTATTTTATAAAGGAAAGTCTCATAGTTCTGCATGGCTGGGGAGGCTTCAAGAAACTTACAATCATGGCAGAAGACAAAGGGGAAGCAGGCACCTTCTTCACATGATGGCAGGAGAGAGAGAGAGTGCATGCAGGGAATCTGTCACTTTTAAACCATCAGATCTCATGAGAACTACCTCACTATCATAAGAATACCATGGGGGAAATGGCACCCATAATTTTATCACCTTCCACGAGGTCCCTCCCTCAACACATGGGATTACAATTCAAGATAAGATTTGGGTAGGGACACAAAGCCAAACCATATCATTCAGCCCCTGGCCCCTTCCAAATCTCATGTCCTTTTCACGTTTCAAAACCAATCATGCATTCCCAACAGTCCCCCAAATTCTTAACTCATTCCAGCATTAACCCAAAAATCCAAGTACAAAGTTTCATCTGAGACAAGGCAAGTCCCTTCCACCCATGAGCCTGTAAAATCAAAAGCAAGTTGGTACTTCCAAGATATAATGCTGGTACAGGCATTGGGTAAATGTTCTCATTACAAATGGGAGAAATCAGCCAAAACAAAGGGGCCACAGGCCCTGTGCAAGTCCAAAATTCAGTGAGGCCATCATTAAATCTTAAAGCTCCAAAATAATCTCCTTTTACTCCATGTCTCACACCCAGGACATGGTGAAGCAAGAGGTGGGCTCCCAAGGCCTTAGGCAGCTCTGCCCCTCTGGCTGTACAGGGCACAGCCCCCGTGGCTGCTTTTATGGGCTGGTGTTGAGTGTCTGCAGCTTTTCCACATGCACAGGGCAAGTTGTCAGTGGATCTACCATTCTGGGGTCTGGAGGATGGTGGCTCTCTTCTCACAGCTCCACTAGGCAGTGCCCCAATGGCAACTCTGTATGGGGACTCTAAACCCACTTTCCCCTCTGCATTGCCCTAGTAGAGGTTTTCCATCAGGGCTCCACCCCTGAAGCAGACTTCTTCCTGGACATCTAGGCATTTCCATACATCCTGTGAAATCTAGGCAGAGGTTCCCAAACCTCAACTCTTGTCTTCTGCACACCCACAGGCCCAAAACCACATGGAAGCTGCCAAGGTTTGGGGCTTGTAGCCTCTGAACCAATGGCCTGAGATGTACATTTGCCTCTTTTAGCTACAGCTGGAGCTGGAGTGGCTGGGATGAAGGGCACCAAGTTCCAAGGCTGCGCAGAGGAGCAGGCACCTGGGCCCTGTCCATGAAACTACTTTTCCCTCTTAGGCCTCCAGGCCTGTGATGGGAGGAGCTGCCTTGAAGATCTCTGGAATGCCCTTGAGACAGTTCCTCCATTGTCTTGACAATTAACATTTGATTCCTTATTTTACCAATTTTTGCAGCCAGCTTGAGTTTCTCCCCAGAAAATGGGTTTTTCTTTTCTACCTCATGGTCAGGCTGCAAATTTTCTAAACTTTTATGCTCTGCTTCCTTTTGAAATATAAGTTCCAATTTCAAACCATCTCTTTGTGAATGCATATGACTGAGCACTTTCAGAATCAGTGAGGTCACCTCTTGAATGCTTTGCTGCTTAGACATTTCTTCCACCAAATACTCTAAATCACCTCCCTCAAGTTCAAAGTTACACAGATCTCTAGGGCAGGGGCAAAATGCTGCCATTCTCTTTGCTAAAGCGTAGCAAGAATGACCTTTGCTCCAGTTCCCAAGAAGTTTCTTATCTCCATCTGAGACCACCTCAGCCTGGACTTCATTGTCCATATCACTGTCAGCATTTTGATCAAAGCCATTCAACAAGTCTCCAGGAAGTTTCAAGCTTCCCACATCTTCTTGTCTTCTTCTGACCCCTCCTAACTGTTCCAACTCTCTGCCCATTACCTAGTTCCAAAGTTGTTTCCACATTTTCAGGCTACCTTTATAGCAGTACTCCACTCTGTTAGTAACGATACTCTGTATTAGTCTGTTTTCACACTGCTATAAAGATGCTACTTGAGACTGGATAATTTATAAACAAGAGGTTTAACTGACTCATAGTTCTGCATGTCTGGGGAGGTCACAGGAAACTTACAATCATGGCAGAAGATGGAGGGGAAGCAGGTGCCTTCTTCATAAGGCGGTAGGAGACAGAGGGAGCCCACATGCAGGAGAAACTGACACTTTTAAACTTTCAGATCTTGTGAGAACCCCCTCACTGTCACAAGAACGGCATGGGTGAAACGGCCCATATGATCCAGTCATCTCCCACCAGGTCTCTCCTTTCTCATGTGGGGATTAAAATTCAAGGTGAGATTTGGGTGGGGACACAGAGCCAAACCATATAACATAGATACATAGATATAGAAATGCTTGGCTGAGTGCAGTGGTTCACACCTGTAATCCAGCACTTTGGGGGACCGAGGTGGGTGGATCACTTGAGGTCAGTACTTTGAGACCAGCCTGGTGAAACCTTGTCTCTACCAAAAATACAAAAATTAGCCAGGCGTGGTGGTGTGTGCCTGTGGTCCCAGCTACTCAGAAGGCTAAGGGAGGAGATCACTTCAACCCAGGAGGTGGAGGTTGCAGTGAGCCAAGATCACACCACTGCACTCCAGCCTAGGTGACAGAGACTCCATCTCAAGAAATAAAAAAGATATGCTCCACATTTTTAGCAACAATTTATAGCATATTCCATCTTTACATTATAGTTATTCCAATGTAAGTCTTACAATATCTAACTGTATTTTTAAAATAAGCATTTTTAGAACAATTTTAAATTTACAGAAAAATTGCAAATAGTATAGAGAGTTTCCATGCACCCTGCATCCGATTTCCCCTATTATTAATATCTTTACATTAGTTTGGTATTTTTATTATATTATATAAACTAACAATGATACATTATCACTAATTAAAACCCATAATTTATTCAGATTTCTTTAGTTTTTCTCTAATGTTACTTTTCTGTTTCAGGATTCTATTTAAAATACTGCATATTTAGTTGCCACATTTCTTTCTCCTTTTTTTTTTTTTTTTTTTTTTTTGAGACAGAGTTTAGCTCTTGTTGCCCAGGCTAGAGTGCAATGGCGCTATTTCGGCTCATTGCAACCTCTGCCTCTTGGGTTCAAGCGATTCTCCGGCCTCAGCTTCCCAGTTAACTGGGATTACAGGCATGCACCACCACACCCAGGTAATTTTGTATTTTTAGTAGAGATGGGGTTTCTCCATGTTGGTCAGGCTGGTCTCAAACTCCCAACCTCAGGTGATCTGCCCCCCGTCAGCCTCCCAAAGTGCTGGGATTACAGGCATGAGCCAGAGCACCGGGCCCAAGTTACCACATTTCTTACTAGTTGCCCTATCTCTTTAGGCTCCACTTGGCTGTGACAGTTTCTTCTTTTTGAGTGTCCTTGTTTTTGATAACCTGGACATTTTTGCATTTTAGTACTGGTTGCGTATTTTGTACAATGTTTCATAATTGGAATTTGTCACATGTTTTTCTTATAATTATATTGCAGTTACAAGTTTGGGGAAGGAAAATCACACAGGTAAAGGACAATTTTCATTACATCATATCAAGGGTCTGTATTATCAACATACTTATTATTGATGTTGATTTTGATCAATAGTTGAGCTAATGTTTGTCAGACTTCTCCACTATAAAACTACATTTTTGCCCCTTTTTATACTGTATTTTTTGGAAGACAGTCACTGTGTGCAACCCGCCTTAACAAGTTATGCCCCTTGAAGGTGCAGTATCTGCATAAATTATTTACAATTTTTCTGTCTGGGAGATTTGTCTCATCTCCCACATTTATTTATTTATTTATTTATTCAATCATTTATATCAGTATAGACTCATGAATATTTAATTTACATTTACATTATAATCCAATGTACTTTGTTGAGCAAATTGTTCCAGCTTTGGCCATTGGAAGCTTTTTCAGTAGGCTCTTGTTTCCCTTTGACATACTCCCATGTTTCTGGGTTTTGTGGTATTTATTTGTTTTTTAGTTTGTTTAGCATTTCCTTACTTCGTAGTTTTCCCAGCACCGTTATTGAGTAAGAAGTACTTTCCCCATTGCTTGATTTTGTTAGCTTTGTTGAAGATCAGATTGTTGGAGGTGTGCAGCCTTGTTTTTGGGCTCTCTATTCTGTTCCATTGGTCTATGTATCTGGTTTTGTACCAGTACCATGCTGTTTTGGTTACTCTAGCCCTGTAGTATAGTTGGAAGTCTGGTAACTTGATGCCTTCAGCTTTGTTCTTTTTGCTTAGGATTGCCTTGGCTATTTGGGCTCCTTTATGGTTTCGAATGAATTTTAAAATAGTTTTTTTCTAGCCTGTGGAAAGTGTCATTGGTAGTTGGTAGGAATAGCACTGAATCTATACATTGCTTTGGGAATTATGGCCATTTTAATGATATTAATTCTTCTAATTCATGAGCATGAAATGTTTTTTCACTTGTGTCATCTCTGATTTCTTTGAGCAGTGTTTTGTAATTCTCACTGTAGAGATCTTTCACCTCTCTGGTTAGCTGTTTTTCCCCTATTCCTAGGTGTTTTATTCTTTTTGTGGTAATTGTGAATATGATTGAGTTCCTGATTTGGCTCTTGGTTTGGCTCTTGTTGGTCTATAGAAATGCTAGTGATTTTTGTACATTGATATTGTATCCTGAAACTTTACTGAATTTGTTTATCAGCTGAAGGAGCTTTTGGGTCAAGACTATGGTGTTTAACTGGACCCCTTCCTTACATTATATATAAAAATCAACTCAATATGGATAAAAGACTTAAATGTAAAACCCAAAGGAATATATGGATGCACACACAACAGGCACATGTGCACGTACATGCACACACCTATAAATACATCTATATGCAAGTGTATCTATATTAAATTAAACATGAGTTCATACCAGTGGCTCCATCTTTATACCATTACCACATGGATAATTCTTGTCTCCTGCCCTGCTTATCTGTAAATCTCAACTCCAAAAATGAGAAATCTGGTCTCCACTATTCAGCATAAATTTACTTAATTGTTCAATTCTAGTACACATATAGAGCGGTATCAGAAGTGTAACCCATACATCTCTGAGAAACACTTTTATCAACTAAAGTTCAGTGCTTATATACAGTTTCCTTTGCCTTCAGTTTTATAGACCCCAGTGATTTACAGTTACTTAGCCTTACCTCCCTTAACGAGGTTGTTTTATACACTTGTAATGTATTTAGATTGTTTTACCGCATTATACATTCCATTTTGGAATTCCCTTGATCCAAAATTATTTTCTTTTTATTTACGTACCTTAATGATTTTTATTCTTTGGGCTATAAATTTCTAAAGGTTTTGAAAATGCATAGGGTCATGTATTCAGCACTACTATATACAGAATACTATTGCCATCTTTAAACATCCTCTGTTCTTCACCTATTCAAACCTTCCACTATACATCCTAGAACCCGTAACAACTAATGTTTTTACTGTCACTGTAGCTTTGTGTTTTAGGTTTTACATTTAGGTGTATGATTGATTTTCAGACAATTTTTATGTATGGTGTAAAATAAGAGACTTATATCCCCACATGATCTAGATAATACTGTCTGTGAATATAAGTTTTACGTCTTTGTTTTCAATCTAGAATCATTTTCACCACTAATATTAACAATTTTCCAGCATTATCTGTTGGAAAATCTTCCCATTCTCCACTATGTGTCTTCATACCTTTGTCAAAATCAATTCTCTATGTTTATGTGGTTTTACTTCTGGATTCCATTATTTTTTTCATCAGCTAATTTCTCTGTCTTTATGTCAAAAACATACTGTTTTGATTCATGTAGCTTTATAATAATTATTGAAATCAGGTAGTATTTTACTTCCAATTTTCAGAGTTATTTTGGCTATTTTAGATATTTTTAATGTTCACGTGAGTTTTATAATCAGCTTGTCAACTTCTAAACACGAAAAAATGCCAGCTTGATTTTGATTGGGATTATGCTAAATTTGTAAATCAATAGGCAGACTGGAAATTTCAATAGTATTGAGTTTTCTAACCCATGCAATAGGTATTTTATCCATTTATTAAAATAACCTTTAATTTCTCTCAAAAATATTTTATAGTTTCAAAGGTACAGGTGATTCATATGTTTTGTTAGGTTTATACTCAGGTACTTTATATTTATTGATGCTATTGTAAACTCTGTTTTTAATTTTAATCTTTAACTGAAATTAAATTTTAGTTAAAATTTTTAATAATTTTGATAGTTTGTAGGAATACCATTGATTTTTGTATATTGACTTTGTGTCTTATTACATTGCTAAGCTCATTATTTCTTACGTTTATAGATTCCATCAGATTTTCTATATAAATGATCATATCCTTTGTGAACAAAATAGTTTTGCTTCTTTATTTTCAGTCTGGATGCCTTTTGTTTTCTTTTTCTCGCCTGATTGTACTCACTAGAACCTCCAGTACAATATTACCTAAAAGTGGTAATACTGGACATCCCTGTCATGTTCCTGATCTTAGAAAGAAAGCATTCAGTTTTTTGCTATTATAATATTAGCTGTAGGTTTTCCATAGGTGCCTGTGTTAGTCAGGGTTCTCTACAGGGATAGAACTAATGGGACCTATGCATATATGAAAGGGAGTTTATTAAGGAGAATTGACTCACATGGTCACAAGATAAAGTTCCACAATAGGCCATCTGCAAGTCAAGGAGCAAGGAAGCCAGTGATGGATAGTCCAAGTCCCAAAATCGCAAAAGTAGGGAAGCACACAGTGCAGCCTTCAGTCTGTGGCCAAAGGCCCAAGAGACCCTGGTAAACCACTGGTGTAAGTCCAAAAGTTCAAGAACTTGGAGTCTGATGTTCGAGGGCAGGAAGCATCCAGCATGGGAGAAAGATGAAGGCTGGAAGGCTCAGTAAACCTATTCTTCCATCTTCTCTTGCCTGCTTTATTCTATCACACTGGCAGCTGATTAGATGATACCCACCCAGATTGAGGGTGGGCCTACCTCTCCCAGTGCACTGACTCAAATGTTAATCTCTTAGTCACAGACACACCCAGAAACAATACTTTGCATCCTTCAATCCAATCAAGTTTACACTCAATATTAACCATCACAGTACCCTCTATCAGATTGATAAAATTCATCTCTATTCTGACTTTACTGAGAGTTTTCATTAGGCATGAATATGACATTTCACATCACAACTGCTTTTTCATCACCTATTGAGATGTTCAGGTGGTTTCCTTTTTATAATTTTTAATATGGAGAGTTGTACTGATTGTTTTTCAAATGTTAAACCAGCCCTATGTTTCTAGGGTAAATCACATTTGATCGTGATGTATTATCCTTTTACCATATTGTTGGATTTGATTTTGGTAAAATTTTGTTTACAATTTGATAACAATAACATATATGTTCATAGTTATCAATATGTAGTTTTTTTTCTTACAAGAAAGATCTTATTATGTCTCTGTCTGGTTTTGATATAACGGTAATTTTGGCCTCATAGAAGAGGCCAGAATTCTGTTAAAAGGTATCTTATTTAAAAATTTTTGGAAGCATTTATGAAAAATTGGCACTATTTCTTCCTTAAATGTTCTGTGACATTCACCAGTGAAGCCATCTGGACCCAAAGTTTTTATGGAAAGTTTTTAAATACAATATCAATTTGTGTAATAGGTATAGGGCTATTCCTGTTTTCTATTTCTTCTTGAGTGACTTTTTGGTATTTGTGTCTTTCACAGGCATCCATTTTATTGAAGTTGTCTAACTTATTGGCATAAAATTGCTCAAGTATTTATCCTATTAAGATCTGTAAATCACAGTGATATAATCTCTCTTTTTCGTGATATTAGTAATTTATGTCTTCTCCTTTTTTTCCTGATCAGTTTGACTTTATCAATTTTATTTACCTCCTCAGGAAATCAGCTTTTGGTTTTATTGACTTTCTCTATTGTCTTTATGCTTTCTATTTCATTGATTTGTACTTTGATGTTATTTTCTTTGTTTTGCTTAATTTGGGTTTAATTACATTTTCATTTCCTTAAGATGGGAAAAAACAATTTATACTCTTTTAAAGGAGATGGCTTATCTCATTCTTATTTCCTAAACTGTGATTCTAAAAGTCAGATTTATTTCATCAATAAAAAGATACTTATATTTTTCATAATTTATAGACAGCTTCCCTGCCTCTAGGTATATCCTAGGGTCTCCAAACCACTCTAAAAACATCCAGGGCTTTAGTCTTCTTGTGTGTGCACTCCCACATAGAATAATGTCAGTGAAGAAAAGTATTCAAAGATCATGTAATTTAACATAAGAGAGGAATGTGTCTGTATAATGTCACGAAGTAAATTAGGAACAGAGCCACAGTTAAAACTCGTGATTCCAGACTTTATACCTAATCTTCTTTTCACTATCTTATGCTATTTCCTAAACTTGTCCCATTAAGCTGTCATAGTGTGAACTAAATGTAATATCCTACTCCAAAATGATATGTTTTAGATAAATCAATATCCTAATTTGCAAAATACAAATTTACCACATTTTAAAAATTGTATTTCATGCCTTCAATTTATATGCCCTCTATTTAAATACACATCAGCCAGTTAATCCAGCAGTTGATTGTACAAGCACTCGTCCTTTCAAGTCTGCCACATAGCTGAGCTCATTACATCAGTTACAGGCAAAGACACCAATGCCTGTATATATTACAATAGAAGGGTAATTATTGTTGTTTTTTTAAATAAATAATTTTGAGTGTAGCAGAGTATTTTGTATATTGGTCTCAGTCTGGGACACAGTCTTATTTTATGCCTGGTAGTGCTCAAAGGAATTTACTATCTATGTAAGTTAAAGGAATGGAAAAAGCAAGAAAGAGAGTAAGAGAAGATGCGTGTGTGTGTGTGTGTGTGTGTGTGTGAGAGAGAGAGAGAGAGAGAGAGAAAGAAAAGAAGAGAAGAGGTGAAGGAAATGAGGGAATAAGAGATAAAAGTTTTCATTTTCTCCTCAGCTTTCTACATAAACTAAAAAAAAAACTGAAAAATGTTCTTAAATTTTCTAAAGAATCTAAACCAAATCACTAAACTGTATCTTGAGAAAAGCTAAAAAATCTTGGGTGGTATGTCTATCAGTTTAAACTTAGTTATAAGTTACATAAGTAAAGTGGCATGACAGGAACACTAGAAAGCTGTCCGAGATGATGGATATGTTAATTTGCTAGACTGTAACTATTTTACTGTGTACAAATACATCAAAGCATCATGTTGCACACCTTAAATACATATGATAAAAAATAAAGATAAAAGAAAGATGTCCTTCCTGCTCAAAATCATTTCCCCTACTAATATCTCAATATTTATGAACAATCCACTCTATCAATGTTTTCAATATCCCAACTCTCTTCTTTTAAATGAAAAATTCTCCTAGGAGAATAGCATACTAAGTTTCTAATATTTTAGTGAGAAGTAATTTACTGGACAATTTACTCACCTTACAATGTTGTTAGAAATGAGCCTACTTCTAGACAATGATTCCTAAAGAGTATAATTCAGGATTGTTACCACTAGAAACCTTAGAGATCATCTAGTTGGGCCTTCTAATTTTATAATTGAGAAAACGTATATATTAAGAGACTATTTTAATGTCACATATTGAAAACTTTTCATTGCATTATAATCCTCTATTATTACTTACAACATACATCAAAGCTGTATCATCATTCTCTGTTTGGGAAGAAGCCTTACATAATAGAAAATGTGCCAAAAGAGATAATATGGTAAAGTGACTAGAATACAGACACTGGAACGTATTATGTACATTTATTTCTCATATCAAAATTTTTAGCTAAGAATTACTATTCTCATTTTAAAGATGAGAAGACTAATCCTCAGAAAATTGCACATGGTCACAACTGGTGTTAGGTTCAAGATTCAAACCCAATTCTGTCTGACTCCAAAGTCAGTACTCTTTTTTTGAAATAGCTTAGTATTTGGGACACACTTAGCCTTCAGTAAGACTCCAAGGCTAGCACATTTTCTTTGAAATAACTTAGTATTTGGGACATGTATTAGTCCATTTGCATGCTGCTAATAAGGACATCCCTGAGAGTGAGCAATTTACAAAAGAAGGAGGTTTATTGGACCTTCAGTTCCACATGGCTAGGGAGGCCAGACAAGAGAAGAGAGCGTGTGTAGGGAAACTCCCATTTTTAGAACAATCGGATCTCATGAGACTTATTCACTAACATGAGAACAGCACGGGAAAGACCCGCCCCATGATTCAATCATTTCCCACCAGGTCCCTCCCACAACACGTGGTAATTATGGGAACTACAAAATGAGATTTGGGTGGAGACACAGAGCCAAACCGTGTCAGGTCATATCTGGAATTTAGTAAATCCTGACACCCTCCCCCAATGTATAACTTCAAAAACATTTAGTCAACATCTTCTATCTGCCAGCCAGTATGTTAAGAACTGGGAATACAGAAAATAGATATCGTCTGTGCCTTTAAGTAATCCCCTGTCTAGTGACACAGACTTTCTCCTTGACTAAACTTTAGTCAGGCTCCTCTAAGCCCTCTAGTCTTCAACTTTTATGTCTGCCTTGTTGGGCCTGCATGGCCCAGTTGTAGTAAGAATCTTGCTAACTTAGTTTACAGACCATTTCCCACCCTTGATACCATCTTGTCACTGTCTTGGTGACAAATCCCTACTTGCCCATGCTGCATTAGAAACTGAGCCAGGTTCTATACTGAGGTCTCTTTTCCCCCATTGCAATAGCTCTGAATAAAATTTATTTTTACTGCTTTAACTACTGTCCAGCTCTGGTTTTCGTTAACACTAGTAAGTAGAAAAACATGGACACAAACCAATACACTGTAATAACTTAAGTGATGAGGGAGAATCATGGCACTTTTAAGGACACTGAAATCAGGAGGGGGTAAGATGTTAGGGCACAGCGTTGACATTTGAGGCTAAAAAGATAGAATGCTCTCCTTCTTTAAAGCGCTTGCATTACACAGGAAAGCAATTGTGCAAACATGAATAATAAAGTCAAAAATCCCGTGATTTTCAGGCTAAGTTCTCAGAACCATCAATTTGAGTATCAAATTGAGAGCAATTTAATTTGAGTATTAGTGAACAATATTGGTTACATTAGTACACGACAGGAAATACTTACAAATCTTAAATTAAGGGTCCCAAATGTAATTCAGGATTCTCTCTTCTTCAAGTAAATTTAAAACAAATCCTCACCCCCTGATCCAAATTGTTTCCACATTAACACATGTGCTTGCAGGCTTAGAGACTTTCAAGATAAATAATGAACTAAGTTACCGAAAATTTGGTGTAAGCTTTAAACTGAGAATTGTCATCACTTGAGTATATTTTCCCCCCAATTTGAATGTTAACAGCAATCCTGCATCTTTGCTTATTAAAAACACAAAATTACCCATAAGAATAGAATTTATTTGTTCAAAAACAAATAATTAAAATGTAACCACCAAAGAAAAAAGGCTTTCCTTAAAAAAAAAAGGAAGAAAAAACATTGTCAGGACATTATTTTGAGACATGTAACAGTTGTTAATACTACAAACAGCGTTTCTGTTTGTCCCCGAATTACAAGAGAATTAGTGAGGAGCACAAAGTTAGGGAGAAAAAGAAGCTGTTTAATGGTCTGTTGAGTGATCTCTTCTAATACTGATTTTTTAAATTAATTTTCTTTCCAATGCAGCTAACTCACTGACTTGTTCTTGAAAACACCAAGACAT
Source organism: Homo sapiens (assembly GCF_000001405.40). Lineage (NCBI taxonomy): Eukaryota > Metazoa > Chordata > Mammalia > Primates > Hominidae > Homo > Homo sapiens. The sequence goes on along the minus strand of NC_000006.12, from coordinate 126,459,683 downwards.
TTGATTTCTCCAATATGGAATGTTGCAAGCTAATATACAAGATATTTTTAAGACACCATGCCATATTTTACCCAACTGGTGTTACCTCAAAAATAATTTCACTTTTGATAATATTTTTTTGATGACTCAATTCACAAATTACTATGTGAATTCTGTGTTTACAAATCCTTTTGTAAGGTAAACAATTGTCATTCTGCCTTAAATACATTAACTATAATAGATACTTTCTAATCTTATTTTGTAAATCATCTTTTAAGGTAAATCGTATTTGCATTTACAAATTATTACCAACCTTTCAATCCTTACTTCTCATCATTCTGGAGTTTATTAATTCTTTATCTTCTCTTTTTCATTGTTACTAATTGTCTAAAATATAGACTCTCTAGCAAAGTTTCTATTCTCTAAAATATAGACTCTCTAGCAAATTGTCTAAAATATAGACTCTCTAGCAAAGTTTCTTCATGTAATGATCAAAAATCGGAATGGAGAATAGCAGGTCACAGAGAAGCTAAAAAAATCCATTAGCATTGGATCAATGAAAATCAGAACAGAAATAGGCATTTGGAGGTGAGATACAAAATAATTAAATAGCAATGAAAGACTATTTATAAATGTGATAAAAATTATGGTACAGATAATAAAACTTGAAATTTAGACACAATGAAGATGACTACATACTAGAATAATCAGAGAAAACACCCTAGAGAACTTAGTTTTACTGGTCCATGAAGAAACTGTAGGCAGGTTTTCACACAGGTAAGGAAAATACATCATTTATTACCTCCTACACAGACCAAAAGGGATCTGAGAATGTAAAATTAAGCAAGACATATAAGGTACATTTTATTATTATTCTAATTCCCTGAGACATCAAGATCTGTTACTTAAAATCTTCAAAAACTACATTACTACATGTAGTTGTCTTTAATAATTGTTTCAAACTGATGATGACTCCTTTCTCCAGGCAGACCTCCTTTCTATCATGATATAGGTAATGCCATTAATAAGTATTCATTATAAGCAAATTTATTCTCTCAGTAGGTTGATTCTACTAAGATTCTCAGTGTCGTCCTGAAAATTCATTATTTTCTTCCTCAGTACACAAACAGAGAAATTACCCTTAAATATGGGCATGGAAAGCTCACCTATGGTAACAGGCTGGTAGAAAAAGCATCGATGCTAATAAATGGCAGATGTGGTGGTAGAAGCCTGGAAAAATTCTCATTTAATTGTTTCAATATTCTCAGTAAATTATAAAGTTGAATAAAAACAGGAAGAAGAAATGCTGTGGTTTGAGGAGAGAGGGGAATATATGAAATATTTTGGGGGAAGAGTGAGAGAGCAGTTTGACTGGGGACATATAGTATGATTGCCTAAAAGCAGTAAGATCCCCTTTGAGGATCATAGCCATGAATTATCCTGAGATCGCTCAGAATAATTTTATATTTTTATCCAGCCACATTCAGCTGTACATGTGCTGATGGGAAATGGGTGGAGAATTGGATTAAAACAGGAGTTCAGTTATGCCAGAAGAGGAAAGTAAAACAAGCGAAAGAAAGCCAAAAGTATACCCAAGGAAATGATTATCATTGACCAGAAAGTGTAAGCTCAATAGAAGAAATAGAAGACAGTGAGATGATAATATAGACTGGCATTCTCAATGAAGTCAAAAGTAAGTTGAGATAAAGATTCTAGAAGGTGAGAGCTAGAAAGATGATGGTGATAAACAGAGAGTCCCATGCATGAAGTTTAGATTATTGGATGGTACTTCCATTATTGATTCTAGGACCCAAATACTTCTACCATGAGGGGGACTATATCATAGAATGATCTGTGAGTTAAAGTGTATATTGCCTCTTGTAAGAGAGAACCCCATCCTTTCAGAGTGTTGTGTTCCTACCAATGCCCTGAGTCTTCAATAAGCCATTTTGCTTTTCCATTAGGCCAGTCAATACCAAGCGGTGGTTTTAGTGATAATACCAGTTAATTTCATAGACATGAGCTCATTGCTGTACTTGCTTTCCTGTAAAATGAGTTCCCTGATCAGACACAATAATATAGAGATGTCATGACGCTGATAAAGCCTCTTCTGAGTGCTAGATCTTGCTATTAGCAGAATGATTACAGTAGGCCCCAGTGTCTGTTGTTCCCTTGTTTGTGTTCATGTGTAATCAGTGTTTGGCTCCTATTCATAAATGTGAACATACAGTATTTGGTTTTCTGCTCCCGCGTTAGTTTGTTTAGGATAATGGCCTCCAGTTCCATTCATGTTGCTGCAAAGACGTGATCTCGTTCATTTTTAAGGCTGCATAGTATTCTATGGTGTATATGTACCACATTTTCTTTATTCAGTCTACTATTGGTGGGCATTAAGGTCAATTCTATGTCTTTGCTATTGTGAATAGTGCTGCAATGAACATACATGTGCATATGTCTTTATAAGAGAATGATTTCTATTCCTTTATTGGTATATACTCCCATATTGGTATATACCCAATAATGGAATTGCTGGGTCAAATAGCAATTTTTTTTTCAGTTTTTGGAGATCGCTACATTACTTTCCACAATGGCTGAACTAATTTACATTACCACCAGCAGTGTATAAACATTCCTTTTTCTTTGCAACCTTGCCAGCATCCATTATTTTTTTGATTTTTAATAGCAGCCATTCTGACTGGTGTGAGATGGTATCACGTTTGTGGTTTTCATTTGCATTTCTCAAATTAGTGGTGTATAGCATGTTTTCATGTGCCTGTAGGCCACAGGTATGTCTTCTTTTGAAAGTGTCTGTTCATGTCCTTTGCCCATATTTAATGGGGTTGTTTTTTGCTTGTTAATTTGTTTCAGTTCCTTATAGCTATTGGATATTAGACCTTTGATGGTTGCATAGTTTGCATATTTTCTCCCATTCTGTAGGTTGTGTGTTTACTCTGTTGATAGTTTATTTTGCTGTGCAGAAGCTCTTTAGTTTGATTGGTCCTATTTGTCAATTTTTGTTTTGGGTGCAATTGCTTTTGGTGTCTTCATCATGAAATCTTTGTCAGGGTCTATGTCCAGAATGGTATTTCCTAGGTTATCTTCCAGGATTTTAATGGTTTTGGTTTAACATTTAAATATTTAATGTATCACAAGATGATTTTTGTGTATGATGTAAGGTAGAGGTCCAGTTTCAATCTTCTGCATATGGCTAGCCAGTTACCCTAGCACCATTTATTGAAAAGGGAATTGTTTCCTCATTGTTTGTTTTTGTTGACTCTGTCAAAGATCAGATGGGTGTAAGCGTGTGTCCTCATTTCTGGGCACGCTATTCTGTTCCATTGGCCTATGTGTCTGTTTTTGTGCTACTATTATGTGTTTTTGGTTACTGTAGCCTTGCAGTATAGTTTGAAGTCAGGTAACATGACACTTCCATCTTTGTATGTTTTGCTTAGGAATGCCTTGGCTATTCAAGCTCTTTTTTGGTAGTATATGAATTTAAAAGTTTTTACTAATTATGTGAAGAATCCCATTCATAGTTTGATAGGAATAGGATTGAATCTGTAGATTGCTTTGGGAAATATGGCCATTTTAACAATATTGATTCTATCCATGAGTATAAAATGATTTTCATTTCTTTGTGTTATCTCTGATTTCTTTGAGAAGAGTTTTGTAATTCTCATTGTAGACATCTTTTGCCCCCCCTCGTTAGATATATTCCTAATTTTTGTGGCTGTTGTAAATGAGGTTGCATTCTTGATTGACTCTCAGCTAGGACACTGTAGGCATATAGAAATGCTACTAATTTTTGTATATTAATTTTGTATCCAAAACCTTTGCTGAAGTTTTTTTTAATCAGATCTAGGAGTTTCAGGGCAGAAACTATGGGGTTTTCTAGATATAGATTCATGTCATCTGCAAAAAGAGATAGTTTTACTTCTTCTCTTTCTATTTGGATGCTTTTCTTTCTTTCTCTCGCCTGATTGCCCTGGCTTTGACTTCCATTACTATGTTGAAGAGGAGTGGTGAAAGTGGGCATCCTTATCTTGTGCTGATTTTCAAGGGGAATGCTTCCAGCTTTTCCCCACTCAGTATGATACTGGCTGTAGGTTTGTCATAGATGGCTCTTGTTATTTTGAGGTGTGTTGCTTCAATACCTAGTTTGTTTAGGGGTTTTAACATAAATTGATGTTGAATGTTATCAAAAGCCTTTTCTATGTCTATTGAGATGATTGTGTGGTTTTTGGTTTTAGTTCTGTTATGTGATTAATTACATTTATTGATTTGCATATGTTGAAACACTTTGCATCACAAGAGTAAAGTGACGCAAATCCACCTACTTGATCATGGTGGATTAGCTTTTTGATGTGCTGCTGGATTCAGTTTGCTAGTATTTTGTTGAGAAATTTTGCATCTATATTTATCAAGAATATTCTCCTGATTTTTTTTATGTCTCTGCCAGGTTTAAGTATCAGGATGATGCTAGCCTTATAAAATGAGTTAGGGAGAAGTCATGCCTCAATTTTTTAGAATAGTTTCAATAGGAATGGTACCAGCTTTTGTTTATACATCCACTAGAATTTGGCTGTAAATCCATTTGGTCCTGGGGTTTTTCTGGTTGGTAGACTTTCTAACGACTGATTCAATTTTGGAACTCGTTATTGGTCTGTTCAGGGATTGAATTTCTTCCTGGTTTAATCTTGGGAGGTTGTATGTTTCCAGGAATTTATCATTTCTTCTAGGTTTTCAAATGTGTGTGCCTAAAGGTGTTCATAGTACTTTTGAGGGGTTTTTTTTATTTCTGTGGGGTCAGTAGTAATGTCCTCTTTGTCATTTATAATTGCATTTATTTGGATCTTCTTTCTTTTTTTATTTGTCTAGCTAGTGGTCTATCAATCTTATTTATTTTATCAAAAAACCAACTCATGGATTCATTGAACTTTTGTATGATCTGTTTGTGTCTCAATTTCCTTCAGTTTAGCTCTGATTCTGATTGTTTCTTTTCTTCTACTAGGTTTGGGATTGTTTTCCTCTTGTTTCTCTCATTCCTGTAGGTGTAACGTTAGGTTATTAATTAGAGATCTTTCTAACTTTTTTGATATAGGCATAAAGTGCCACAAACTTTCCTCTTAATGTTGCGTTAGCTGTGTCCCTGAGATTCTGGTATGTTGTACCTTTGTTCTCATTAATTTCAAAGAATGTCTTGATTTCTCTCTTAATTGCATTGTTTACTCAAAAGTCATTCAGAAGCAGATTGTTCGATTTACATGTAATTCTAGGATTTTGAGCAATTTTCTTAGTATTAATTTCTATTTTTATTAAGCTGTGGTCTGAGAGTGTGTTTGGTATGATTTCAGTGTTTTTGAATTTGCTGAGGACTGTTTTATGGCTGATCATGTGTCAATTTTAGAGTATGTGCCATGTGCACATGAGAAGAATCTATATTCTGTTGGTTTGGGGTAGAGAGTTCTATAGATGTCTATTAGGCCCATTTGGTCAGGTTTCAAGCTCTGGTCCCAAATATCTGTGTTAGTTTTCTGCTTTGATGATGTACCTAATACTGTCAGTGGGGTGTTGAAGTCTCCCACTATTATTGTGTGGTTATCTAAGTCTCTTTGTAGGGCTCTAAGAGCTTGCTTTATGAATTTAGATGCTCCTGTGCTCATGCATATATATTCAGGATAGTTAGGTCTTCTTGTTGAATTGAACCCTTTACCATTATGTAGTGCCCTTCTTTATGTTGTTGTTTTTTGTTTTGTTTTGATCTTTGCCAGTTTAAAGTCTGTTTTTTCTGAAGTTAGACTTACAACCCTTGCTTTTTTCTGTTTTCTCTTTGCTTGGCTGATTTTTCTTCATGCTTTTACCCTGCACCTATGGGTGTCATTGCTTGTAACATGGATCACTTGAAGACAGCATATCATCAGGTCTTGCTTCTTTATCCAGCCTTCCAATATGTGCCCTTTAATTAAGCCATTTAGCCCATTTATATTTAAGCTTAATATTAATATGTGCAGATTTGATCTTGTCCTCATATCATTACCTGGTTATTATGCTGACTTATTTGTGTGATTGCTTTATAGTGTCACTGGTCTATGTACTTAAGTGTGTTTTTGTGGTGACCAGTAGGAATCTTTCTGTTCCATATTTAGCACTCCCTTAAGGACATCTTGCAAGGCAGGTATAGTGGTAGAAAATTCCCTTAGCACTTGCTTGTCTAAAAAGGATCTTATTTCTCCTGCCCTTATGAAGCTTAGTTTGGCTGGATTTGAAATTCTTGAATGAAATTTCTTAAGAATTCTCAACATAGGTTCTCAATCTCCTGTGACTTATAGGATTTCTGCTGAAAGGTCCGTGGTTAGCATGAAGGGGGTTCCCTTTGTAGGTTACCTGCCCCTTCTCTCTATCTGCCTTTAACATTTTTTCCTTCATTTCAGCCTTGGGGAATCTGATGACTATGTGTCTGGGGGATGGTCATCTCCTATATTATATCACAGGGGTTGTCTGCATTTCCTGAATTTGAATGTTGGCCTCTCTAGCAAGGTTGGGGAAATTTTTATGAATGATATCTTCAAATATGTTTTCCAAGTTGCTTGCTTTCTCTCCATCCCTTAGTTTCCCTTCATCTGAGAATGTCTATTTTACTGTAATTTCATATCTGAAGGAAGTTTTTGCTGAATAAAGAGTTTGAGTTGACAATAATTTTCTTTACTTTCTTTTAGCACTTTAAATATGTGGTCCCACTTCTTTATGGCCTGTCATGTGTCTGACGAGAAATTACAGAAAGTCAAATCATTGTTCCTCTATAAGTAATGGATCATTTTTGTCTGGATTATTTTAATAATTTTTCTTTGTCTTTAGCTTTCATCAGCTTGATTATGATGTGTCTGGTCATGGATTTATTTGGCTTCATCATGCTTGAGGTTGCCTAAATTTAAGTCTCTAAGTTTATGTCATTTGCCAAACTTGATAATTTTTTAGACATTATTTTCAAAAAGTTTTTTTCAGTACTGCACTTTTTCTCTCTTTGGCACTCTGATAGCATGAATTTTAGATATTTTATCATTGCTCCACAGGTTCCTGGGGCTGCTCTTAGTTTTTAAAAATATCTTTTTCCTCTGTTGTTCTACTTATATAATTCCTATTGACCCATTTTCAAGTCCACTTACTCTCATCTGTCATCTTTATTCTGCTCTTGACCCCATTCAGTGAGAATTTGGTTTGGTTTGTTGTTGTTGCTACTCTTTTCTCAGCTCTTAAATTTCTAATACGTTCTCCTGTATATCTTCTATTTCTTTTGTAAAATCTTCTATTTTTACATTCATTGCAGAAGTGTTTGCAATTGCTTGCTGTAGCATTTCTACAATAAGATGTTTAAATTTCTGTCCGATGATTCCAACACCTGTGTCATTTGTTCTGGAATCTCAGTTCTTCTCTATGCAAGTTGAAATATTCTTATTTTCTCATATATCACGTTATTTTGAATTAAATCCTGGATGTTTTGAATAATACACTATGAGATAGTAGGTCCTACTTAAATCTCATTGAAAATGTTGATATTCTCCTTTCAGTAGGAAATCAATTTGGGTAAGTTTAGGCTGTAAGTTCTAACCCATCTTCTGCAGTCTATGATTTCAATGTCACTTCAGTTGTCAAAGCCTTTGCATTTCTATTTGTACCTGTTCCACATGTGCACCAACCAGTATCAGTCTATGACCTGGGTGGGGGGTCTATTGGTTAATTCATGTCTGAAAGTCTTTCGTATAGTTATTAGGATCAGATCCACACATGTGCATCTCAAAGATGAGCTCAGGAATTAATTTTCTATTTGTGGACTCATTTCCCTGAGCTCCATCCTCCCCATGATTGCCACAATACTAACCAAATTTCTTGGGCTCCAGTTTTCATACCTCCTACCAAAAAGCTGAAATTTTATTTACTCCTGTCACACACTTGTGTGACTGAACCCATATGTAGAGCTAAGTGGCAAGAGGAAAGGGGAGAAGAGAGCAAGAGGGGAGGAGGGTGTTTATCCCACCATCTTGGAGGTCATGCCTCCACTGATCAGAAGGTTTCCTCTCTCCCAAATTTAGTCTCCTTGCAGGTTCCCATTGAAGCTTCTTTATCCACCCTACAAGCTTGCTTGGGGACCAGTGTGCAGGAAAATAGAGAAAAAATAACTCAAGAATCTTATATTATCTTTCTGAGATTAAGAAGTTTAATTTCCTTTTCCTCGAGCTGGAACTAGAGGGCTTTTCCTAGAGATCTCTCTTTCTTCACATATGCCCAAATCCAGGTTTCAGGATGTACGTTCAGGCCAGAGAACACCAATGGGAGAAAAATGATAAACCTGTAGGCTTTTTCTTGGTATACTGAATTCTAGTCTTCTTCCCTACTCTGCTTGCTAATATTTCATTCTGAGTACTCAATTATTTTCCATGCATTCTGTCAAAGTTTTATAGTTGCAATCAGTGGGAGAGACAGGTAGGGTGTGCCTACTCTATTCTGCCCCAAAGCAGAATCCATTAAATTTTAAAATAAAGATGTAGAAAAATTTCTAATATTTAACTTTGACTATACTCCTAATATTAATCCCATTCAAAGTTGGTGCACTATTCCCTTAATATTTGCTGAAACAGAATTACTAATATGTTAATTAGAAATTTTGCATTTATACTCATAAGTATAATTGCTTCCATAGTTTTCTTCTTTTTCTTCTGGGTTACATAGAATTGTGGCAGCTTTATATACTGTTTTTTATATATCTCATTTTTCTGAAGTTCAAATAACATGGATTATTCATTCACTGACAATGGGAATTCACCATTAAAACTTTCTAGGTTAAATGTTGTATTGTTAATTTTTCTAAAATTTACCTATAAGATTTTCTCCTTACCTATAAGGAGAAAAATAAATTTGACAATTGTTAGATGCAGCCACTAAAACTACAAAGTGGATTATGTAAATTAATATATAACATTCTGTAAATCTAATAGTAAGCAAGCTTGAATAATACTGTGGAAAATTCATGCCTTTACAGGAAAAATAGCTACATGAGCATGCCTTTCCATGAGTTGCTTCTCATTTTCAGAGTGTAACAAATGCAATAAAATGAAAAAAAAGCAAAGGATATCTAAAAAATTAATAAGTCAAAAAGCTTTTTTCTGTTCAGTTCATGTGGTAGAAGAAAAAATGGAACTATGAATCAAAAGGCCTGAATGAGACAACCAACTCTAGTACTTACTGGTTGTATGACATCAGAATATATCACTTAATGTCTTCAGACTTCAATTATCTCATCCATGGAAAGGTTGCTGTATAATTCAGTGTTTCTCACCAGATTTGGTATGATAAGATTCATCTTTAATACTTAGTAAAAATTATGACTTCAGGAGCTTTACCCCAAGATTCTGATTCAGTAAGTCAGTCTTACACATTTACATTTTAACAAATGCCGAAAGTGATTTAATACATATTGTTTAACAACTACAACATAGAAGATATAGCAAAATATTCCAATTTCCATTTGGTCTTATCTTGAAACTTTTTATTAGAAAACAAATAAAAGCAGAACTCAATTTTTAATCCACAGAGCTTTTAACTATCAGTGTCTTTAAACCTTGGTTTACAAAACTCATGCATCTTCTGAACAGTTGGAGTTGACAGAAATTGAATCTTTTACTTGAAAGAACTACTTTTACTTGAAAGACATTGCTGGGCACTGTGGAAATTTCAAATACAATGTGCTTGGGAAGTGCAAAAAGCTATTAAGTTGAAACATAGGAAATTGTTAATATTCAATCATTTTTCACCTACAAAACTGCAATTTCCTATTGTTTAACTAAGGTCATTTTCTTTTAGTTTACCCTTTCCCAAAGATTAGTTGGCATAATTATTTTCAGTATTTCTGTACTATTCCCTATGTTGTGAGCAAGGATATTTATAGAAGGCTTGATGGATAGGAAATTATTATGAGGTTTTTAGGTCATTAATTTTAAGAGTTGAGAAGGCTATGTTTGTACTGGCGATAAAAATCAACATTAGTTATTTTCTTTGTGAAGCTATTTACTAGTTTCACCTAATCCACAGTCTATTCTGACAGAGCAGAGAAAATGGGTAAATCTGCAGAGATTAATTGGTCCCTGTCACAGCAGTCAAGTAGCTTCTTAAGATTTGAGCTCTGAGTTGTCTTACTGGTTAGCCAGAAGTTTGGTTAGCAATACACTAAAGAGACACAGAATGAACCAATTTCCAGTATTAGGAAGGAGTAAGGAGATCATTCATTTTTTCATTCTGTAAATATTTGTCAAGGTTTTGCAAGGCACCACTAGGCACTGTGGGAATTTCAAATATAAATAAGTCCCAGTCTTTGTTCTCTAGAGGCTAAAAATTTAGTGGGAAAATAGATACATGCACAAGTAATTACATTACAAGGTAGATGGTGTGATAAGGGTTATGATTTTAATATCATCTCTAATGAAATGAATATGTCTACTCATCCAAACAGCATCCAGTGGAGGTGGAGTATATTTGGTCTCATTTCTGTTTTTAAGAAAATGTAATAAAAGGTTTAGATATCTTTAAAAGAGATCAAAGAAGGTTTGTTTTTTTACATACATTGTGAAGTAAATATTTGTATTAATATCTCTAAAGACAACATGGCATCAGTTGACCCATTATTCAGAAATTATAGTTCATGCTTGGGAATTTATGGTAATGGCAGATAAGACATGGCAAACAGCAGAGCTTCTTGGTTAGAGCAAGATAGTTTGAATGAATATTCAGTTTGAATATTTAGTTTGAATGAATAATGAAAGAATATATATGAACACTTCATTGGTTCTTAACCGACTTTTGGGGGAGACAGGTGGGTATAGGCTTAGTGTTGTTTTATTTCTGTTTTTTTGGTTTATTTCTTTTGTCGTAGAACCTGATTTGAGAGTGGATTTATCCTTTGCAGGGAGTTATATGAATGTCATGGTAAAAAACCTATTACAGTACCAGTGACAGCAAAGCCTCAAATATATGGATGCTTCCTTGACCCTAGGATTTACCAGAAGATCTCAAAAGGTTTTATAGGTATTAAGTAGTCAAGCCTCAGATCAGCTCTGAAACATGGATATTACCCAAAGTTGGTGCTATGAACCATGGGGCACTAGGACAAATATATTTAAACAGAAAATGTTTCAAGAAACATCAAGCTGAGACTGAACAGTACTACCCCACACTTGATTGTAGAACATGTGTTAGTGCACATGTTCTCCAACTTTCTGATGCCTAAATCCATGGAAACAACTTATTAAAAATACAGTTATCAGGCCAGTACTTTTGAAAGCCCACATATATTGTTAAAATACAGGTTCTGTTTCAGTAGGTCTGAGATCAGACTACATATTAAGTACCAGAGGCTGGCACTGGTATCACTCACAATCAGTAAGTTAAGCTGGGGCTTACCTTGATAAAACATAGATGGCTGGGCTGCACCGCTAGAGATCCTGATTCAGTAAGTCTTGAGTCAAACCCAAGAATTTACATTCCTAACAAGCTCCCAGGTGATGCTGATGCTACCTGTCTAAGGATGACACCTGGGGTAGCACTAATCTTTGCTCTCCATAACTGCTAGTCTGAGCAATCTTATTTTTAACATACTCTGCTGATAATTATAGTGAACATAAAAATTTGAGGACCATAAAATTCAATAGAGACTCACCTGGCTATAGGGGGCTGACCCTGGAACAGGAAGCGAATAATACATATTCATGAAAGCAAAGTTTTCCTTCAGTCAATGCCCGGAGGAGCAACACAAGAAGTGGAACAGTGAATGGAGATAAGAGGTGGTTGTAAACACATAGGAACAGGACCAACCTCGATTCCAGTTCCAGGAGGCCTAGCTCTTCAAGGTATTACTTGGTTCAGGAGTGGTAGATAGAGGGAGCAGGATCTGACCAAGGCAATGTATGGCAATCATAGAGCCAGAGCAGTCAGTAGAGAAATGAGACATGGAGTGACAAGCCAGGAAATCAGGAACATAAAGTATAAAGCAGTCAGAGCAAGCTGCTCAGGACAAAGGCCCAATTTGATATTGTAGTGGCTGGTCTGACATCATACCTGGAAGAACTGAGTGAAGTGAACATGGACATTTAAAACACTGTATCTATTTCAATACTAATATCTACAAATCTCTCTTTCTGTTTCATGTGAAAGTAGTGTAAGCTCCTTATTGTTTACCATACATACTTCCATTCTCTATTTAATCAGTCTTCTTCAAACATCAAGCTACCTGTCATTTTCATAATTTTTGCTTCTATTTGTCCCAACTTTTTATTTGCCACTGTTTACAGCACAATTGATAATTTTCTTTTTCAAAAAACAATTCTCTCCTGACCACTAAAGTTCACAAATTGTGCTTGGATTCTTTACCTGGCATCTAAAATTCTAATAAAGTTATTTATCAAATTAAGGTCTGAAGACAACTTGCAGTATCACATGTATAAAATGCAGATTCCTGGGCATTATTCTAAGCTTACTGAGTCTGAATCTCTGGAGCTAAGCCTCTGTATTTTTAAGAGTTCCTCCTGAAAATATCTATGCACACAAAAGGTTGAGAGTTACTGTACTTATTGTTCTTTCCACTCCACATCCCATCCCCCTATAACAGCAGGTAGGCCTCAGCTGTTACAAATTTTCTAGTTTGGGTTACTCCTTCCAGGTGAATAATTCAAAATAGCTTCTTAGAGGCATAAGATCTGTATCAAACTTGGATATTCTGATCTGACACTAGCCCAAAATAGACAGAAAAAATCATTTAAACATGATTAAACAGTTTATTTTCCATGTTAAAATATATAATATAAAGATTATTTTGGACCAGATCCTCACAATATCAAACCAAATGACGTACTATTGAATACATAGAGAAAAAACTACGTACAATGTTAATTTGAAGTAACTTTATCTATGTTGATATCTAATAATATGGAAATAAATAAAATCAGATATAAGCCTGAATAACATTGTCCTCTACTTTATAACCCAGAACATCAAGTAACTTCATTTACTTATTTTATTTTTGGTTAGGTTGGAAGGATAAACCCATCACAGTAGCCTCTGGGCATATTTACAACATTTTAGAAGAGACAGTCTACAGTTTCTGTATAAATTCTGAGCAGCTTATAGTGAATACTAGCTCTGTTATTTAAAAGGATTTCTGGTTTGTTTCAACTTGAAAGTGATTTAATAGGAGGCCCACAGAGAAAGTCTGTCTCAGTAATCAAATTATAACAAGTAAGGATTAAAAGTATTAAGAAGTTTAAGCAAACTTTTCAGCTGCCCTGTTTTTTTCTTGTGGGGGGGCCAGGGAGGGGGTCATTTGAAGTTGGCTGTGGGAATAAGTACAGCAAAATTATAAGAAGGAAAAACACAAAAACTGCATGTATTCTGGGTTCATTATAATATCTCCAGCAGCAGTGTTTTTCAAACACTCTTTGGCCAAGTCCTGGCAGCCGTTTTCCCAAGGACATTTGTCTCAGTTTACTACCCCCTTTATGAATTTATAAAACCAACTATATTTTACAGGTGAATTTAATTTACATTTTCCAGTTCATTTCTACTTAATTCATCAAAGTGTTTTGTCATGTGAGCCACTGGGTTTTGGAAAAGAATTGTGATCGTTTCAATTGAGTTTTGGAATTTTTTTTTATCCTTTCTTAGAAACAGGAAGCCATTTTAGCTAAAACCAAACAAGGTTAAACTCCAAAGTGTTCAATTTGGGCTTGATGTTTAGAAACCGCATATCCAAATGGGTCTTGAGCTTGGCAAAACATTCCTTCCCTTTTTATTAGGTGAGAAGAAAACATTTAGGATAAAAGCAAAACGATTCAAATGGGAATGCATTCCTGAGTCTTTTATAAGTAAAATAAATTCACATTTTTTTAATTTAAAGAAACTCTAAAATAATTTGTAAGCTAAATCAATTTTAATGTGTTTTTCTTTATATATATATACTGCATAGATATGTATTATATATTGTAAATTTCTGTGTATACATACACATTTACAAAGAGCACATTTTCAATTAGTTAAGAGTTTATTTAGGTAACTGCTTTTCTGAAATGACTAAATTGTATGGTAGGATATAACAATGGCAAAGATCTCAAAAAAGCAGATAGTTAAATGTATAGACTCCTGCCCCAAATATGCAAAATGATTGTTAATTAAATCTTCAAGGAAAAGAGTTCAAATCCTCTTAGAGTCATGAAATAAGATTAAGAATAAACCGATTACTGGTTTCTAGCAGGATAGTATAGGTTACACTGGCCTGGTATTTTAATCTTTCCAAACCTTCAATAAAACAAAGAAGCTAGAATGACAAAACAAAATTTTATGGCCAACATCTGTAGCTGAATTCACAAAATGGGTGTTCCTACAATACCAAAATTTGACCTTATATCAGACCCACATGGTATCAGCCCCTGTATGGGAGAAAGCAGAGAAGAGAAAAGTACCTCTGGTGAGCCTGTTAGAAAGCAAATTTCTAACAGATATTTACCCTCAAAATAAAGTGTCCTCTCTAGTGGTGAAAGCTCAGTGAGTCAATTTGAAGGCATTCAAAAGCTGCAATTCATGAGTGAGTTCAAGGGACCACAGAACAGAAAGATCATGCAGGGGAGTCTTGACCAACATAATTTGCTGTGAAGGGACCCTTTCAAAACAAGTGCCCAACCTAAGAAGAAATGCCTTGGAGGAAAATCCCTAAGTAGAAGCAGGGTGGAAACATTAAGGGTAAAGGAAAGAGAAGCTCCAGGATAGAAGTATGGAGAAGTCCAGAGCCACAAAACTGGGCAGGCTCATCTGACCCTCCCTTTCTTTGAATACAAGAAAATCCTTTTCATTTAAAATCAGGAAGAGGAATGTATTGTGGACAGATCACATGTAAAGTTTTTGTAAGGAAAAAGGATAATATTCATGTAGATAATAGAGGCATGCCAGGAAACATCCCATAAAACAGATAAAAATATTTCCTAATATTTCAAAACAATCTAAAAGAATTTTATAAAATAATAGAAACTATGAAAGAATAGCAGAAAAATTAGAAACAGTCAGAAATGAGCTGAAGGGAAGAAAAAGAATATTTGTAAAGAAAGGGAACAAAACTCAAGAAAGACTTAGAAATAAAAGAAAAATCATTTCAGAAATGATGACTAAACCTAAAGGAATACAAGAACAAATAAATGGATTTGAATAGTGAAAAAAGCATTTGGATACATGGATAGCACCTTATAAAACAGAATATAGAAAAAGGAAAATTTAAGTAAAATATAAAAGTGAGTATAGAAAAACAACTTAAAAGAAAGTGATGAGAGATAGAAAAAGGCAAGCAAAATCAAACACATATGTAGTAGAAGTCTCCAAAGAAGACACCTACAGCAATAGAATAGAATCCAGACCAAAATGTAAGTTCAGGAAAACTTTTCTGAAATAAATACTTTAAGCTACATATGTACAGAAATAACAAACCATATACCTAGAAAAAAAATAACCAGAAGAGACCACAGGGAAACATGTTCTAGTAAAAATAACTTTTAAAAAAAAATTAAAAAGATCCTTCCAGTGTCTAAACAAAAAGACCAAGTCACTTATAAAGGAAAAAAAAAAAAAGACCTGATTGACGTCATGCTTTTTAACAGCAATGCTTTATGACAGAAGACAATGAAATATCTTAATATATTTGAGAGTCTCAAGGAAAGAAAATGTGAGCCAAGGACTTTATATGCATTTTAAGTGACCTACAAATAAAAGTGTTGAACTTTTTGTGAACACACAAGAACTCAAGAAATATTGCCCCATAGAGCTCTTCCATAGTATTCTACTACAGAACAAACTTCAGACACCAAAATGACTGGAGAGTGGGCAATAAGGATCACATATAAGGAGCAGTAGTAATAATTAAATTCTTATTTACCTATAGAACCAAGATTAAATAATAAATGCAAGGAAAGCATTATAGCATATAATGGCTATATGTCATGATAATGTTCATATAGCACAATTATTAAGAAGTGCAGGGAGAAAGAAAAGAGAATATAGAAAATAGAATAAACTTACTAGTTACCTTAGAGAAGTTGTTAGATAATAAATGAAGGTACCATGGAGTTAGAATATCACCAGTCCTTAATGAAATAAAGGATCTAAGAGAAATAACCAGGCATGTGCCTCCTGATAAAAGTACACATTACCATCTATGAAGTATTTTTGTTATGCAAAAATAAATCAAACCTGAATTTGAAAAAGTTTCCAAATCCCGCTAGTTTACAGAAAACACAGAGAAAAGAAGAACATATTGAATAACTCTACAGGAATGCAGTGAGCAAAATCCAGACTGTGGGAAATTCTTCTGGACAAATTACGCAGTTTCTTCTACAAATAAATTGCAAGGAAGAATTAGGGGTGAAGAAGGCTTACAGATCAATAGAGACTCAAGATACATGTCAAAAAATTGTAATATGTATACTTTGAATTCTGATTTGAAAAAACTAATTCTTAAAAAAATTTATGAAGCAATTGAGAAAATTTTAATACTTTTTGGATATATAATGATGTTGAGGAATTACTGTATAATTTTAAATATTTTGTAGTTCCATTTCTTAGAAAAAATAAACAGCTGACTATAAAAATCTCATCTTTCTATTAAATAATCACATTGTCATAAAATTACATTAGCACTATGAAGACAATAACATCAGATCACAGTGATCAAATAGAAATTTAGAAATTCTATGTATAAAAATAAAGAACTGAAATGCTAAAAAAAAGTATGTCAAACGAGGTCTAGTCTAACAAATGATTCCTTGGCCCCAACCCTGTCATTTTAAGGGTGTTCAGTGATAAAACTTTGAGTTCACTGATTAGTCTGTTCCATAGATGTAAGTAGTATTCTATTAAACTGCTTATTTTTATGCCTAAAATGATCTCTTTTTGACTTACATTTGAACCCACTTTCTTTATTCATCCTTCTCAGAAATGGTCATATCAAGAGAGAGCCAGATTTGACTATCTTTTTGTGAGTAACCACTAGGGGTTTTGGGGAAACTTAGAGGCTCATGAAGTAGATGTAAAGTTTAAGTGAGATAGTATTTAAAATGGTGCCATGTAAAAAATATCCATTAGTTATTATTGCAAAGAAATTTGATTAATAGAGGTAGCAAGCAGAAAACTTATTCACAGAAAAAGCAATCTATGCTGGATGTATAGATTGTGAAGATTTTCTCCCACTCTGTGAGTTGTCTGTTTATTCTGCTGATCATTTCTTTTGCTGTGCAGAAGCTTTTTAGTGTAATTATGTCCCATCTATTTAAGGACTAACATCCAGAATCTACAAGGAACTAAAACAAATCAGCAAGAATAAAACAAACAATCCCATCAAAAAAAGGGCTAAGATCATGAATAGACAACTCTCAAAAGAAGCTATACAAATGGCCAACAAACATATGAAAAAATGCTCAACATCGCTAATTATCAGAGAAATGCAAATCAAAACCACAATGTGATTCCACCTTACTCCTGCAAGAGTGGCCATAACCAAAAAATCAAAACATAATAGATGTTGGCATGGAAGTGGTAAAAAGTGAACACTTTTACACTGTTAGTGGGAATGTAAACTGGTACAACCACTGTGGAAAACAGTGTGGAGATTCCTTAAAGAACTCAAAGTAGAACTACTGTTTGATCCAGCAGTCCCACTACTGGGTATTACCCAGAGGAAAAGAAGTCATTATATGAAAAAGATACTTGCACACGCATGTTTATAGCAGCACAATTCACAACGGCAAAAATATGGAATCAGCCCGAATACTCATTAATCAATGAGTGGATAAAGAAAACGTGGCATATGTATACCCTGGAATACTACTCAGCCCTGAAAGGAACGAAATGATAGCATTCACAGAAACGTGGATGGAATTGGAGACAATTATTCCAAGTGAGGTAACTCAGGAATGGAAAACCACACATTGTATATTCTCACTCATAAGTGGGGGCTAAACTATGAGGATGCAAAGGCATGAGAATGATAGAAGGGACTTTAGGAACTTGGGGGAAAGGGTGGGAGAGGGGTGAGGGACAAAAGGCTAAACTTGGGCACAGTGTACACTGCTCAGATGATGGGTGCACCAAACTCAGAAATCACCACTAAACTTATTCATGTAACCAAACACCACCTGTTCCCCCAAAACCTATAGAAATTTTTAAACTTTTTTTTTTAAGTAATCCACTATCCTAGTTTTAGAAGAAAGAGGATTATTGTGGCAGGAAATGGAGGGAAGTTCGGCAGTTTACAGAATCTCTGGGAGAACAAAAAATTCTGTTTGGCTACTAGAGTCAGGAACAGAGCATCCAAGGAAAATGCCCAAATTTCTATAGGCTATTCTAGTGTCCACATGACAGCTAAACAGCTATCATCTTGCTGCTTAACACCTAAGACACCAGGGACTAGTTACCAGAAACTTAGATCGTTGCTAGCCATAACAGAACTAATTGCCTCCACTATCAGGATTGCCAGCTGACCAGATCTCATTTACATAACCACTACTGCTCACTTCCACCTGCCAATCTTAATTGGGTATATCTGCTTGGTAGACTGTAGAACATTAGCAGAATCTGCCATACTGCAAAGGATTCTGAGAAGTGTGACATTAGTCTTCTAGTTTCTATTGTACAAAAATTATGTTAGAAGGGAGTCAAATTCTTACTAGGTAAACTCAAATAAATATCTTCCGTTGTGGTCTAAAGTACTTAAAAGCAACCTATGTTTTCCCTCTCTAATACAAACATAGCTAACACTTCTGACCCTCCTCAAATGGACCATTCTTTCTGAATACCTTTCATCATCCTTCTAGGCTTCTCCAGTCCTTTCAAATCCTCTATTAAAATGTTATTAAGCTAGGCCATATAATCTAATTTATCTAATTAATGCCAAATATAGCAGAAGGATGACTTTTTTAGAAGGTATATATCTGCTAAAATACCCCACTATATTCTGACCTTTATGAAAATAAGTTGATTTTGCAGATACATGTTCAGTTTGTTTGATATGATCCTTTTTTCTTCTGTAGACATCTATAACATGTTCTCTATATATTAGCATATACTTCTTTAATTAGAACTATAGTTGAATTCTAGATTGCCTTTTAAATTTATTAAAATTAAGAAAAATAATTATCTTTTGATGAATATTTAGAATATGTTAGATGCTACTTTTAAAAAGGGTAAAACAACATAAATGTTACTAAATTACTTTTTAACAAAATAATAACTCCTAGTGGCACTTGCAATACAATAGAGTCAGATTCTGAAATTCCCATTCTTTGAGATGGAAGGTATACTGTCTTTTCTCTTTTTAGTTCAGTGTTCATTGCTTATGGCTACTTTTAGAGTTTAAGGAATTATACAAACTATATATTGCTTATGGCTACGTTTAGAGCTTAGGAAACAAACTATATTTATTCATGCTCTCACCTATGAATGAATCCCCTTCTTTAAAACTCTTCTTCCTTCTTCCTAGGCAGCCATACCTACATACATGTAAAATCATTTAAATATAAGTAGACCCAATGAAGAGTGAGAGACTTTTGCCTTCTAGAAGTAGATGTGTTAATAAATGCATCTGCTCATCAAAGTTTGACTACCAAAAATGATCTAACTTAGACATTTCATAATTCTGTTTGCAATCAAAATGGTAAAGAAATCAAATGGAAAAATAAAATTTGTGAAAGCCTATGAGCTGAAGAATAGGAAAGTGTGGAAAGAGATGAAGGTAGAGGTTAGGAATTACTTGAAGTTATGGATGAATGGTTTAAATATGATACAGAAAGTCATGAAGAAAAAATAGTTTAATGATTCCAGGGGAATACCATGATCTTGGCTATAGAATTTGGAAATGGCCTGAAGTATAAGAAGGCCTAGAGAGAGTGGTTAGAAATCTTTGGCTTCATTGGCCTAAAGCAGGTATATTTCAAAGTTTTTTAGCTTTGATAAACTACAGCCGTCTTCAAGTGGCCAAAATAATCAATTTGGTACAAACATTCATGTACAAATATTAGTGGTCAGTTGTTCAGAACAATAGCAATTGATTGATAGACTGAAACTTTTCAATATAATAAAGAAATAATAGCTAAAACCAAGGAAGAGGAAAAAACTCCTCTTTCCCTGAGAAGTCCCAGAGAAAACCCTCATACATGCATAACCAAGTCTGATAGGCCAAAGTTTTCAGGCTTCCTTCTTGCTCTAGGGTTATCAGTCCAATGTCAGAGGCAATAACCAACCTCTTTCAAGTGGGCCCAGAAGGATCTGACAAGCAAAGTTCAAATCTCTGGAGAATATTTTCATCCCTACGATGAACTACAGGCCATGCTTGTGTTTACCATATGGGCTTATTCTCCAGCCAATTAAAAGATAAGCAGCATCAGAAAACATGTGGTACATATTCTACAATACTTTGGAGAAACTATAGAATGTATCTTCCATAGAATCTACAGTTTAACAGAGAATACAAACCTGCATTACAGTCTCAGGAAAACTGCCAGTATCAGATTGTTCTTAGGCATAAGTAAATATTTATTTTGCCCTTCTTAATAGGAGAAAAAAAATCCAGATCATCCAATATAGTTGGTATTCTATAATTTTTCTCCTTGTAAGCATAACAAAAATACATATCTTTGCTAGCCATAAATTACCAATGTATACTCTTTTGTATCTATGTAAGCTACCTTCTTCAAAGTATGTAACAAAGTTTAAACAGTTCTTGTGTATTATGTCTTAAAGAAACATAAGATAATTATTCTATCAATTGATACTGCTGTATTTTGTTTAATTAAAAGTGTATCAGTGTGCAAGTACTTTAAAATATTTTCAATGAATCTTTAAGTCCTATCTCATTTTGTCATGATATAAAATTATAATCTTTTCCCCTGAATATATAATAAAATATCAGTTTACAGGGCATCTCTGGGTAGTATCTGGGGTGTATCTATTGCAGAAAGTGTGTTTGTACTCCCAAAGAGGGTGACAAGATCCCTTTAATTTATAATGTAGAGTAACTGTGCTATTTTACAGCAGGCAATTTTTTATTTTCTCCTTGTCTTTATTTTTAGTTCCTATGATGTTTTGTTCCCAGATGTAGGAATGCAGCTGAAAAGGCACTGCTGCTAATTGTTAAACAACACTGTATCCACATGAAGTCCAGATGTTAATATGTTATTAATTTTTTCTATCAAAAAATAGATTTCTTTCTGTGTCATGTTGAGATCAGATAATTCCCTTTCTATACTTTTAGTCATTAGGAGCCCTTACTTTATTTAGTTTTCAATAGGTCACATATCATTCAGCTACATTTTTATTTAAGGTTTGTATCCAAATGAAATACTTCATATATGTTTCTCAATTTGTTAAGCCCAATTTAGGTTTATATAATAAGAGAAGCCCTTAAGAAAGGTATTTAATTTGCAATTTATAAAATAAAGTGTGAAAAGTAAATACAAAGAGAATGTCTGAAGAGGGGAGAGAGAGAGAGTGAGAGAGACTACATTTTACTGGGCATTAACATCACATTTTCTTCCAGGGTAATTACTAATAATGAGAGAATAATACAAAATCATGGCAATTTTAAAGGTCTCTCTGTTGGAAGAAAAAAAAAAGCCAATCTCCCATGGTTTTCCAATTGATCAATAAATATTCATCATATAAAAGTGTTTTTATATTTTAGTTCTAATTTTATTTACGGAGTCTATACTCCAGCGCTATACGGCTGCTTAAATAGAGACAATTGGCACAATGTTTTCTAAAGCTAACCTTCTACTATCAACTGATTTCATTTTGTTTTGGGTCCCGCAGAAATATTAGCATTATAAACCGAACACTCAACACTAGAAAATGTGCATTTCAGGCTCTAGCTCCCATATGTGAATAAAATGAGAGTAGAACAAAACCAAAATTGATAATTTGAAAAAAATAAAAGGTCAAGGAGCTTAAAATTGTTATGGCAACTTCCATACAATTATTAATTTTTTGATTCTTGGAAACATTAAAAAGCACTTTCTTAAAGTATGTCTCCATTACTCAGTAAGTATATAAACTTATTTCCATTTGTAGACAAAACTGGGTGAAGAAATCCAGAAGACACTATAATTTCAAGCTGTATTTTTGCTCAAACTGAGGTTATAACATTACAAAGTCTTTCCACCAACCAAGGAGCCAAAGTGGCTGCTTGTTGTCTGATTTGGCTTAAGTTATAAGGGCCATGGCCTTGGCCTTCAGCAGAGTTGGTGGAAAACCAAATTCAACTGGGCCAGAGTCAAAAATGAGCATGATACAGATATATCTGATTGTTTTATGTAAGAACATATGGTATGGAAAGATTAATTTTGAGAAATATCTAAGTGTAAACTGGCTTTACTTTAAATTTTAATTTTCTGACAAATTTAGCTTCCTTTTTTCATGCCAGGCAATTTTAAACACATTTGTTTAAGAAACTGCTTAAAAGAAATGAGCCATTTAGTTTGGCATTAAAATAAAAATTACTGTCTACAGACCTCTTTCTGTTGTGCGTAATCAATGAAAACTTTTAAATTACTCATATACAGGTTGACCGAATGTAGTTTACCAATTAGCAAGTCACACCCTATGAATGAAAAAAAAAAAGCTTCAATGCCCATTATAGACCTTTGCATCATGTGACAACATAATGCAAACTACAACTCTCCAATGTAACTAACTCTCCAACGTAAACTATCAATTCATACATCTTAATAAATAACAGCCATGTGAATTAATACGTTAATCTAGGGCCAGAAAGAAAGCAGGCCATATGCCTAAAAGAAATCAAAGAAATCAGATGGCATATCTGTAAGTTCTATTTTTCTTTTATTTCTATTAGCAAACAAAATTCAGCTGATTTATTTTTATTTATTTAGGCTAATGACACATGGTGAAAAGGGGGGTTATGATTAGATATTATTAAAAATAAATAGATTTTAAACATTCTAAAGGAAAGTGAAAAATTTTGTGAGGTCATTGATCTAAAATATTTTTAAAAGTTTTCATCCTTGATATTGTGCTTCATATTTCAGGAGCTTGGACCCTAAACTGCATCCTTAACATCATGGAAGTATTTAAAATAGATTTCCCTGCAATGCCAATCAATGTCTCATATTTAGAAGGAAATATCATATCTGGATGATATTAATAAGTAGAGTTGTGTCCAAGGTCCTCACTAAAGCTAGGACCTCAAAAGACACTATAGATTCCATAGAAGTGATGTCTCAACTAACAGATTTGTGATCATTTTCTTTTATCATCATGTAGCATAACACTAACATCCTGGAAACAAATAACTCTGGTGGACTGAAAAGCATTTTGTTAAAATTATCATTTCCTTGATTACTCAGCTTTACAAAACCACAGACTAAAAAGTCTTTCAAAGGTGATTAGTACACCTGCCTGATTCTAGGTAGGATTACACCTAGATTATCTAGTAAATGTAATTGGTGGGAGAAAAATATAGAAAATACATCAAATCGATTATGATAAGCTCTAGTCTCAGAGATTTCATTGCCAGGAAATATTTTTCTGTCATTATAAACCTTCTTACCTACACTGACCCCGGAACGCTAAACTCTGGATAATAAGGTTGGTCCCAAAAGGTATCATCTCAATTGACTGTATGCAATCATTTATAAGCCAAGCTTTTAATGAAAGCATAACAGCATTGAAACATTATTTTTACTTCATTAAAAAAATACAGTGTAGTATTTATTTCTCCAAAATTTGCACTGCATTTGATAGCATACTTTTCAAAAAACAAACAGTGAAGCATTAAGAGTCCAAGGCTTTATCTACACAAATAAAGTGAAATATTAGCAAAGTGGTCTTGTGGGAAGGGCAGTGGTCCAAAGGTTTTCAGATGCCTCTATCTAATAAGACATTACACTGGGCAAGTGACTCAGCCTCTCATTTAATATTTTTAAGCAGTAAAATTGGAATAATAATGGTTATCTGAGAAAATTAATTACATAAGTAACATAGATTGCAGGATTTACAAAGATGCTAAATTCATCTTTTTACTTAACAGCAGGATATGAGCCTTAAATTACCTAAGTTTCACAACAGACATAGGATACTGATAAGTCACAAAGTTGTACTAAAGCATCCCAAATTTCTCCTTCTATATAAACAAATATAAGATAGATGAAGTCTAGTAGACCACCAGGAAGGCAGAAAAAACAAAAGATATATCAATCACAATGGCTGAGAGACTAAATAACCTTTTAATAGAAAAAAGTAAGCATAATATCACCATAAATGTACAGATTTATGTAAAAAGGACAGAAAATAATGTACCTGCCGTTTTTCATATTTTCATTCAAGAGCATTATAAAAAAATATTTTTCCACTTTTGAAAGAGTTATTAAAATGAAATTTCCAGAGGCCAAGAAATAACTATTAAAAAGAGGAAAAACAATTATTACAACATACCATTAAATAAGTTGTATGTTTTAAGACAAAGAAGTGGATGCTTTACCTACTGTCTTCGAATGGAAGGCTATTACAAGGAGAATGTTAACCAATTGTTCTACATCATGACAAGATGAAAGATTTTAAAAACATTATAAGGAATATTTTTAAACCTTAGCAGGAGGGGCCATAATTGAGTTATTGTATAATTTTTCATTATGTGGTTAGGCATTGAAACAGACAAGGAAGAAATGGCATAATCTGGATCTTTAGAATAGGAATAGAATAGACAGCAATTCATATTGAATGACTTGGCTCTACCTTTGCTAAATAAAGCCTGGGCATTTGATCATTGATCTTTGATGTCTCCTCCAGAACTTAGATTTTGTAGCTTATTCTCAGGAACAGAAACAGACTGGTCAACTGTGGGTTATAATTTCTTATTTTATTATATGTATTGTAATTTTAACACACCATTTTTTTTGCCAAGTTAATAGCAATGTTTTACTAGAAGATGTGAAGCTCTGTATTCAATGAGTTTAATGCCAGTCTATTCACTTTAACTGGGGCAGTTTTGAAACAGAGTAGCTATAAGGTGAATTTGTAACGTAGTTTTCATACACACAATGAATACTACTGTGTTTTCATTTCTAGAGGTAAGCATAATTGTACATGTCTAGCCAGCTATAATTAAGTCTGAAAAGCTGAAAAATTGCAGACAGTATTCACAAGAAGAAATGTAATGGAGTAGATTTTTATTATTAAATGTTATATGTATTATGATATGCCACAAAAGAGACATTTCATTTTTAAATGATTATTGGTTATATTCAAAATGACCCTCTAGACCATTAGGTAGAATTTGTTTCCTTAGAAGACTGAAAGTGATACAGCCCTCATCATTTAACTGCTGATTTCTTGGTTCCCACATATTCCAAAACTAGGATTTGGCCTGCTGAGTTTGGCAAGTTTCATGTTGGTATCAAGCAAACTACCATTCAAAAAAGTGTTGGATAGCACTACCATAACTCTTGAGTTGTACTGAAATCCAAATGTGAATTTCCTGGAACACATATGGGAACATGTAGTCAACAGATTTCTGAAATTGCATACCAGCACTCTGCTTTGCTTCTACAAGTGCTTGCCTATCTTGGAAGAAAATCTATTAAAATGTTTCCTGATGGATTCAGAGAGAAGATAACTGCAAGTAAAATGGTCACTTCACTAGTCAGCTTCAAAATTATATACTCTGACTTTCATATAAAACAGAACAAATAAAACATATTTATTATGTATATATAAAGGCATACTTCCAAAATAGCAAAGGATTAGAGTGATAAAATAATTATCATCATCCTCTATGCAAATTTTCTTTAAATTCAGCCGTTCCCCTTACCCATAACCCCCATAATCAAGACAAGGTTGAGACTTTTAAGACTAAAACTTGCTATTAATATTTTGTGCGTTTTCCCAAAAAGAGGTTTGGCTAAAAGCTACTTTACATTGCACTTTCTTAAACTATCTAAAACATTGGTTTATATATATTTAAATTTCTTTCAACTTGCTAAATTTCCTACTCACCTTCTACCTCTTATTTCTAAAAGAATCCTCTTGTTCCCTGCTGAACATATTCTCCACTCTTCAGTTTTCAGATACCTGAAAAGCAATGAAAAAGCTGAGAGAAAAACTCCACTGCTTTCTGACATACTATACCAACAGTCTGATAAAATCAAGTTAACTTGAGAAAACAACGTAGTTATCATATAAGCAGCTAATGCTTATTATCTTCTTCTTACACAGTCACTGGGTTTCTGATGCATGCAGAGTATTCTCCAGTCAAGGTTTATTCAGCTTACCAGGTAGCCCTGGGCATTTTAAACTACCATGATAAAAAGATTCTAGCACAAGGCCTAATATATAGTAAAATGAGGGAAAGACAGAATTAAACATAGAAATACCTTTTCTAGAATCTTAAAAACTACTATTTGTAGTAGAAATAATCTCAGAATAGAAAAAATATGAAAAACTAAATATGTGTTTCTAAATGAAATGTGTCATGCATAATCTTTAAAAATACAAATTTTTGAAGACAATGGACTACTGTATATGATTGGCACAGAGATAACTCTCAAATCAAAGAATCAGAACTGACAGGCCTCCACTGAGCAGGCTGGGCCAATTCACAGAAATCTGGGACAACTAGCACAAAATCACTGTTTTCTCTTGCCACTCCTTCCCCTAGAGTTTTCTTAAAAATGTTTTTAAGTTTTCATAAGAAGGCCATATTAAAAAAATACTTCCTTATCTAGGGTAGCAGAACAAACTGGCATTTTAGATGTGAAGTTTGAACTATGTTTAGGGCAATGACTATGTTTGGAGAGAGAGATTGTCATAGTGTGGAAGGTCCCAAGTCTAAGTGATATGCACAGCTCAGATTCAGACAGATGTGTCCAGGTCTAGCAGATACAGGCAAGCCAGACAGATGTTTATCTGAGTGAGAGGCATTAGAATGGACAGAGCTCATTTTAATGGATGAGAATCAGGTCCATAGACTTTGGCCAATAAAAACAGCTGGATTGGTGAGCAGGAGTGGTACTAAGTGTGATAGTCAGTACAATAAGGAGTCTACCACTAATCAGATTAGTCTCCTGACTCAACCTGATATCTGAGTTTTAAGGAGATGGAGACTGCAAATTAGAATGGAAAAAAAATTAAAAAGCTAATTTAAAAAAAACTGTAAGATATTGAGGTTCAAGCCAATTCTTTGGTATATACCCCTAGAGAGGGGGTAGCAGTAGGAAGACAACAGAGACATACTTGCTAATGGCCTTGCAGCATTGTAGGGTACAGGATATAAGCCATACCCCAGTTCCATGGGTAGTGGGATGTAGCACACAACTAATTGCTTACACTCAAAGTATTTTCTAAGAGCAAGTGTATTGGGAACATAGGGAGTAGACAGTATGGGTGACAGGTGCCATGAGTATTTATGGACATTGAGAATTTGAGAGCACATGAATGCCACGCAGCATAATTCCCAGATAAAAGAAAACCTTTGAATTGAAGTAAGTCTCAAAACAGGAGATGAAAATGAGAACCAAAGAAAAATACCCTCTTTTTTTTTTTTTTTTTTTTTTTTTGTGAGATGGAGTCTCAGTCTGTTGCCTAGGCTGGAGTGCAGTGGTGTGATCTTGGCTCACCACAACCTCCACCTTCTGGGTTCAAGCGATTCTCCTGCCTCAGCCTCCCAAGTAGCTGGGACTACAGGTGTGCACCACCACACCCAGCTAATTTTTGTATATTTAATAGAGATGGGGTTTCACTATGTTGGCCAGGCTGGTCTTGAACTCCTGACCTCATGATCTGCCCACCTCAGCCTCCCAAAGTGGTGGGACTACAGGCGTGAGCCACCGCGCCTGGCCAGTATTGCTCATTTCTAGTAACCCATCTCCATAACACTCTCCTCCAGGTTGCTGCGGCATGAAACAACGTGGGTTGCATATTTATTATATATATCAGCTAGGACTAGAAGTAGATTAGATTCTAAGAGCTCAGGAAAAATCAGATTGTTTGCATTTCCACCTACAGCAAGTAGTGTGTTAGAATTTCATAATAACGGATTGTTTGATAAACTCACCAGCTTCATTGTGAAGCAGGGGGTAAAGAAAACTGCTTCTTTTACTTTACTTGAAAATGTAAACACTCTTAACAGAGGAAATGCATTTGAAGTGGTTTCATCTATATAATAAGGTTCAGTGTATGTTTGGAGAAACAATCCCCAAATCTCATACATTGTGTTTAGCCAGGAAAAATCCTTGAAGGATGAGAGAATCTCAGCCATTGCTCTGCTTTACTTCACTTGTTCAATTGTATATCCTTTTAAAATGCAATGCAACATTAGCAGATTAAAACAAACAAGCAAAAAACGCACTGGGGTCAGAGCATTCAGGAGGTGAAAAAGAAAGGTCCTCCTTCTAATCATCCAATGGACTAGAAGTTTATGTACTTTTAAATCAACAGGTGTTTATCTCATAAAATCAAAATAGTATACTTAACCTCTCCTTGGCTGTCCTAAGGATATTTAGGATAAAATAGGAAGAAAATTCTCCTGTCCTCAGAGTAATGATTTCACCTGGCTTGACTATGTCTGTATGCATGTGTGTAGGATAGTGGTGAGGAAGATGAAGTAAAAATATGGTGTTTCTTATTTTATAAAACATTCACTAGTTGGATTCAATAATAATCTTTACTTATTTTATTTTATTTTTTATTTGTTTATTTTTTTTTGAGATGGAGTCTCACTCTGTCACCCAGGCTGGAGTGCAGTGGCGCCATCTCGGCTCACTGCAGCCTCCGCCTCCCAGGTTCAAGCAATTCTCCTGCCTCAGCCTCCCCAGTAGCTGGCTAATTTTTGTTTTAAGTAGTGATGGGGTTTCACCATGTTGGCCAGGATGGTCTTGATCTCCTGACCTCGTGATCTGCCCACCTCGGCCTCCCAAAGTGCTGGGATTACAGGCGTGGCCACCGCACCCAGCCAGGAGTCAATAATAATCTTTATAGATAACAACCGACCTTTCCTACCACCCACTACTATGAAAAGAGTTCAGACTCTTCCCAAAGCAGTGAGCATCACAGCCCAATCAGAACAGGACCCATTGGGAGGAAATCTGTCAGACCCATGTGCAAAACAACACTCTGCCTGCTCCATTTGTTCAATGTATAGCAAAGATACAGACAATGAAAAGTGTAATTATTTAAATTATGCTGGTATATATATGTCTTTTTTATTTTATTTGAATGGATCATATGTAAGCAGTCTTATATACTAAATTAAAGTTTAAATCTATTCAAGGCAAATCATTCTTTTCTATGTTGAGCACTGGCTCATTTCACTTAAGAGAGTTATAAAGCCAAATTGTGTTTTACTTATATTTCCCTTCATCACTTGTTTGTAAATATAAATTTACTAGGTACTACACACCTGATATGTTCAAGACATGATGCGAATAAATCAAGGGTGGGGAGAGACACAGAGAGAAAGCATAAGATGCAGTCAGTACACAAAACAGCTCAGAATCTATTCCAGGTACATACACAGGTCACTAACTCTAAAGCCAGGCATTCCATGATAAGTGAGCTAACAGATGCCACAGAATACTATGGCAGAACAGAAATTTGAGCCAACCTTGGAGTCTGAGGACATGCTTTCTCTCAGGTGGGGAAGGATATCTGAGGAAGAAGGACAAACACAGACAAAGGCATAGAGGCATGAGAAAAACTGTATCAAAATTAAAATGTCTCATTTGTCTTGTAAGAGAGGAAATAACTTTGGAGAAAGAGTAGAGGGGCATTTCAGGACTTTTTGTTCTCAATGTACTCTAAGTAATTCTTAGATCCCTGTAGAAATTGTCTGAAACATAATACACCTATAAGGAAAAACTCTAAATAATTAATAAATATATTTTTAAAACTCAGCCTAACTGGATAGCAAAGAAATGCAAATTGTATTAGGCCATTCTTGCATTGCTGTAAAGAAATACCTGAGACTGGGTAATTTATAAAGAAAAGAGTTTTAATGGGCACATGGTTCTGCAGGCTGTACATGCATGGTGCTGGCTGGCATCTGCTTAGCTTCTGGGGAAGCCGCAGGGAGCTTTTACTCATGGCAGGGGGTGAAGCGGCAGTAGGCACATTACATGTTGAAAGCAGGAACAAGAGAGAGTTGGGGGGAGGTGCCACAGACTTAAACAACCAGATCTCTCAAGGTCTCACTATTGCAGGGACAGCACCAAGGGATGGGGAATCCACCCCCAAGACCCAAACATCTTCTACTAGGTCCCACCTCCAACATTGGGGATTACAGTTCAACACGAGATTTGGGCAGGAACAAATATCCAAACTATATCACAAATTAAAATAAGATATTTGTTTTTCACTTATCAAGTAAAGAAATAGAACAATAATACTCTGATTTAGCAAGGGTGTGGAAAGATAGACATTTTTGTGTATTTCTTGAGATGTATCCTAAGGAATAATCATTAGCCTACAAGAAGATATAATAACAAAAGAGATTAATCAAGACATTATTTACTAGTAAAAAAAACTTGGGAAAATTTAAATGTCTAATAATGAGAAACAGGTTAAATAAATTGTTGTACAAACATAAAATGAAACATGTATTCAACATATTAAATAATTATTGAGATGGCTTGTGTGTGCTCTTTGTGTTAACTGAAAAAAATGAAGTCTATATACAGTATATACAGAAACAGAACTAATAGAATACATACAAAAACAGTAGCAAAAGTTATCTCTAGGTGGAATATATAATTATAGTTATTTTCTTATGTTCATCTGCATTTTCTAAAATGAGCACATATGATTTTATGTCAAGAAAAATTATGTATCCAACTTTACAAAAAAAACAAGGCACAGTTGATTGGTCCTACATTGGATCAAGAGCAAAGTACTTTATAGTGGTGAGGACAATTTTCTTTCTGCCAGTAAAAGAAAATTTTTAAAAGAGGAAGAGGCCTTTAGACTTTCTTTCACTGGAGTATAATCACTTGTAGTGTGAAGTTACTGTCTTCCTTCATTTTCTCAATCACTCTAATGAGCAAAGCGGGTGTTCCCATGTGAATGTGTTGCGCCTAAACCCAGAATTGAAAAGAATCTTCCAGGAGATCTCTTTTATGCAAAGTTACCCTCCACTAGACCACTGTATTAGGAATACAAAGGAACATATTAACTCTTTGTAGTTGCTAGGGTATATTTACACCTATACCATGGCAAAATACAAAGTCAAATTCAACAAAGTCATGAAAATATATTCAGTTCTCTATGAAATAACATTAAAATACATTGAAAATGACAATAATAGTCAATGTATTTTTTAATGATATTTAAACACTTCTGCATTTTTATCAGCATTTAAGAAGTCCTGTAGTTTACTGATTACAGAGGAAGTATAGTTTCAGTGGGTTTAGCACCTAAGAAATAAATGTCAAGATACATGTGTAATATATGTGGATATGTGTAAAAATAAATTTAACTCTGATCAGGGCCTTGTGGCAAATGATATACAAATAATAGTTTTGGAAGAACATGATTTTCCTGAAAAATCTTAGTTTGCCAAAAGGTAAGCTTTTCTTTCGGGTGAGACATCCTATTGCTAGTGCAGAGCATTTGGTAATTTCGTTAGGAGAGGTGAGATCATGCCAGTATGGTTTAGTTTTTAAAGGTCTGTGCTCTTCCCTTTCTTAGAATAATAAGGGAAGGTAAGTTAAAAAGTAACTTTCACTAGTTAAAAGAGCCAGATAGTTTCATGGAAAACAAACATAGGTTTTAAAGAAGTCCAGGCATCACGTGTACAGTCAGTTCTGCTGTAACACACCTATGTGTTCCTAACACTCACTATGCAAACTTGTACATGAAAAATGTAGGACTTACATGGAAAATGGGGTTTGTCACACAACAGTTGAATACTTTGTTAGTTGCACATTAAAAAATAGAAACCTAACAAAAATGGTAGCACTCATTCAATAGATTAAAAATGCATAATATAATAAAGATAATACTTTACTTTGAAAAGTGATCTGAAACTTTCTTGTTGATATCTGAAGAGTTGCAACTTGTGAGTTATTGTGAGGTAGTGTAAGGAGGGTTATCTGGAATTAGACTAGAAGTTATAACACTAAATGTAGATAGATGTGGCTTTTAATACACAGTAAACTGATGTAGCTGGTAGATGTTTTAGGTGTCCACATAATTAGGAAATGTAAAATTCACACGGTGCTCAAATCCTATCAATTGTTTTAGCACAAATTCCCACTTTCATAACAAAGAGATTTGGCTACGGCTAGTAAGCTTGTGTGACAGACACTAAGTGGCTTCTTCTACCATGTAATTTTAACCTCCTATTTTTACTTACCTATACCATAGGAAATAAAAATAAAATAAAATACACTCAAAGCAAAAAATGGCCATGTAACACAATTCTTATCAATGACATACAAGCAATGAGACAGTTTAATCGATGAGGCATAACCACTTGGAAGGTGAGCCCAGTGCCCCAGCTGAGGGTTATGCCACACAGGAACCCTCACTAAAGCCCTCACCTCCCATGATATTCCAACAGGCCATATCCTTGGAAATGTGCAAAAAGGATAGTACAGAATATTGGTGATTAGCTCCACAGTCGGAAAAGATATACTGAAACAAATCAGGTGACAAATTATATAAGGATTATCTACTGTTTTTCAGAACAGCTGCATCATGATGCCAGAAGACTTAAAGAAAAGTTTTCCAATTTTTTACATGAAAGCTTTATAAACTTACTGCGGATGTCACTGGTACATGCCTCATCTGTTACTAGCATAATCCTAGCAAAACTGTAAAAGTGTGACAAGGAGGAGGTCAAAAGCCACAGGTTCCTTTGAATAGCTCATTTTGTAGCCTTAGTTTATAAGTCTATTACCCATTTCTATTAAATTTTTGTATATTGTTTGAGGTAACAGTAGAGGTTCATTTTATCCTTATGAATATCTAATTGGTCCTGAATGATTTATTGATTTCCCCACTGAATTATCTTGGCATCATTGTACAAAATCAATTGACTATATATGTGTGAGCTATTTCTGACTATGTAGTATGCTCCATTGATCTAAATATCTATCATATGTCATGTATATCTTGATTATTGATTCATATCTTCCAGCTAAAAAAAGATACCATATTTTACCCTCTGATACATGGAGTGGTCTCCAACTGGGAGATATAAGAGTGAAGATTCTTAGGAATCTTTCATAAATAAACAACTTTCAGGAGGCACTAGTAGCTTTTAAAGGCCTGAAATCAAGTAGACAACCACAGGAAAAAAGAGCTTTCACTCAAGACCCACAAGCAGCCACAACTACAAATTATCACACTTTGTCTTTTTCCTTCTCCATTTTCCTACTTGGTTGTTTTTCCTTTCCTCTTTGCTAGTTTAAGGTTCTGTTAACAGAGCTAACATCTAACTATGATATCTGAAATAAACATGTTACCATTGTCTCTCTCTTTAATATTGATTTTTACATCCTCAGCCACTTCATGTTGTGTCTATATGTTTTATTCAAATCCTTAGAAAACCAGCCAGGCACTGGATTTTTGTCAGGGAGTGACTAAGGATGCACATTTAGTAGTGTATTATAAGGATCTGGTATTATAGGAAACTGGGTGGCACTCCTTTAGTCTCATTTTTTTGTAATACATAAGGTAATTTCCTGGGTATTTACAGTAAATGAAATTTTGGGGGAAAATTATCATAACTGGCTAAAAAAAAAGTATCCTAAGGCCCTTTTTCATGCTGTACCTTAGAGATGAACTTTGTCTCCACCAAAACAAAACTTGAGGGTTTTTTTTTTTCACAGCTAGCTTTGATAACCAAACTTTTATAGAAATAAGACTAGGAAAGAACTAGTGTACAGATGATGCATATTTGGTGGCTATCTCACTTTTATATACCTTACAAAGAGAAGCACTACTTATCCTCAACACCAAGCTCTTTTGCTATAGATCTATTTGATAATCTCTCTAATAAAAAAGGGATTGTGTGGTGCAGTACTACTCTTATTGAATGGAAAAAAAAATACCATTACAATACTATTTGACAATTTCATAAGAGTCTTTGGCCAAAAGAGTTTACGGTCCTTAATGATTAGTAATCTACTACTCAGCTCAAACTCCTATTGGCTACTGCCCTTAAATCAGACAGGATTTTTATGTCAGTAAATTGGTGTCTACCTTCAAGATAAAGGTCAATTTGGCTATTGGCTGTTCTTGAGAGAGAGTAAAAGAGCGAGAGAAGAAAGAAGAGACAAATAAAGATGTGGGTGATTTCACTACAGAAGGAAAGGAAAGACTTTGACCTCAATTGAAGTCCAAATTTTTTTCCTGCCAAGTAATTTTTTTGTATTTTTATAGATTTGGAGGGTACAAATTTTAACCCCTGCAAGAGAATTCCAAACAGCTCTCTTCTTCTCCAAACATTTCTTTTTTATCCTCTGTGAAAGACTCCAGGAGTGAGAAGAATCCTACTTGCTATTGACTAGGAGAACTATAAAATATCTATAAGCCATAAAACTGCTTTCCCAAGATGTTCATGAAATTGAATGAGCAGTAGTTCAAAATAGAGCCACGTTAGATATGTATTGTCTTTTTTCCTACAAACCTTTTTTGGATCTTTGATATTACTAAGCAGATTCAGGAAACAAACAAAGAAAATATGAAATTAGATAACTAGCCCATACTCCTATATCAGGTGCTAGAGGTGCTTAGGGATTGGGAATGGGATCTGGTTTTGAGGGGTAATTAGGGTTCTTGGATCCTGGCTTAGATGAGGGCTGCAGACTCTGATAATGATTCTTCTCTTAGTCTTTGTTTTCAATGCAGAGCTCAAATGCATAACTTTCAGAGTCTGTTGCACAGCCACCATCCAGTCAAATGATCCAACCCATGGCCATCCAACAAAAGAACAGAAAAACAGCTGCCTCCAAAAATGCAATACATGAGCACAGCACCCCGAACAGTGGTACAGATCTGGATTGATCTTTTCCTCAGATGATAATGGTCTATCCTCCAGCTCAAGCTGAAGAACTGCCACAAAGGGGAGAACTAAGCATTGAGGCTAACTGTGTGGTCTTAAATCCCTTCTCCACAAATTATTTCAAGTTCACATAGGTGCATATACTGCATGTCCTAGTCCATTCTTCAAATATGTTTCTGAATTGTGAGAAAATACCCAATTACTTTCACTATGAACTCTAAATCCCTACATTCCAGTGGGAAAAAATGAGCAGTAATTTAGTATATCATACTAGCTGAATAAGAGGTCTCAGTGGTGTAAAACCATATATTCAAATATGTCATGACTAACTCAGCCTCTTGCCTCTCTAAAAGTATAAAATAAATGGAATTCAGTTTCTCTGTGTGTGGTCTTCAGAATAGGACCCGAATAAAATGAAGTATTATTTGTTCTAAAAGGACATCAAAGTTTGAAGAACATCTTATTTAGTCAGTGTTTTTGAGACAATAGATGTTAGTAGGTTAAGAATCTAAGTCCTATATTATTCACCACAGTGTAAAAAGCAAAAAGATCCAAAGAAATTTTTAATACAAATTTTTTTCTAAAGTTAAAAAATGTCTCAATGTAATTTTCTTCTATAAAATCTAAATGTATTAGTTATTTAAAAGTAACAACTTTTCCTAATGCTAGATGATGAGTTAGTGGGTGCAGCACACCAGCATGGCACATGTATACATATGTAACTAACCTGCACATTGTGCACATGTACCCTAAAACTTAAAGTATAATAATAATTTAAAAAAAAGAAAAAAAAATTTAAGAGAAAAATTAAAATGTAAAGATTGAAAAAAAAAAGTAACAACTTAAAATACATATTTCTTCAGGGTGATTAAAATACCCCAAATACATTTTGCCTTTTACCAATAGCAGTGTTCTATGAATGCTTCCCATGATTCCTTAATTGGAAAATGCTATATTCCCCGCCCCACCCCCAAAAAGTCTCATGTTACACACCACCACCACCATCCACCACACATAACATCTTTCACCATTGCCAACATTTTCCTGTTGTTCATTGTCTATGTAAAACAAAGACACAAAAGGTAACTTTGACCTGGTTTTCTTATTAAAATTGTCTAAATCATATGGATGTAGACTTTAGCTTCTTGCCTAAAAAATGCTGTTGAATATTTGGCAGCATTTTTGTATCAAATGTCTCATTTCTGCAGACTCAAAAGAGAGTCCCTGAAGTGTCATACTGTACATCAATATGTCAATTTCAAGCAAGTGTCGAATTTTTCTGCTTTTTTCTGTTTCTGTTTAGAACAAATGTAGAAGAGAGAGGAAAAGAGTCAAGTTCAAAAGCAACACATATTGGAAAGAAAATAACTAACTTATAATGGTTCATTCTCCTTTCTTATTTCCAGCTTAGAAACATCTTTCTGTAATTAAAGATGTACTTCTTGGAGATTAAAAAAAAAATTCTACAGCCACTAGATGTCATTGTGATGTCATTCAAATACTGATGGGCAACCATACATCTAATAAAATGCAAAAGAAAGATTTATGCAAGAAGAAAATATGATACGTCATCATTATCTTGAAAATGGTGACAAAACACTTCCTTTATCAGGGAAAAGCAAGCTAAAGTTCCTATTATCTGCTGAAAAGATTCTCCAGGAACCTTGGGAAAACAATTCACTGTGGTTACTTGACGTTGTTCTAGCTTTATTACTTCAGAAGGCCCCGTTCATTCTACAGGCGTGCTTTAATTCTGAAATTATTAAGACTCCTGTTGTTAAGTACCTAACTTAAAAGGGGAGGAAACAATGGATGTGTGAAAGCAGTTAAAGGCACGTTTTCAGGTGAAGAGGAAAAGGGAGAAGGTTGAAGAAGTCTTATATAATAGTCCCTACTTCCTCTGTGAGTTAGAGTGAAGGCAGATCAAATTTTTTGGCATGAGGGATGAAGTAGAGTGTAGCTGAATGGTAAAAAACGATGAAGATTTCAAATATCTTTTGCAGGTAATGAAAGACTGTGATAGACTGAATTGTGTCCCACCAAAAGTCATGTTAAAGTCCTGTCATCATAAGGGTGAGGTCCTAATTTAGTAAGTTTGGGTCCTTATAACAAGAGGAAGAAACACCAGCGATGCACACAAATAATGAAAACGCCACGTGAGGATGAAGAAAAAGGTGGTCATGGGCAAGCCAAGGAGAAAGGCCCCAGGAGAAATCAAACCTGCCAGCACCTTTGTCTTAGATTTCCGGTCTCCAGAACTATGAGAAAATTAATTTCAGTAGTTTAAGCTACCCAGTACATTGTATTGTATTATGGCAACCCTAGCTGACTAATAAAAAGAGGTATATAACTAGGTTAATATAGGATTACTTGCGGAGTTAACATAGAAAAATTAATTTGTAATGATGCTGTGGCAAATACTGTTAGTGGCCTCCTCGATATTTATTTATTCTCATCTTTTTCCTTGCGAGAAAATATATATTTGCATACACACGTACACACATGCACATACATACACACATATACAGTCCTTCTTAAAGCTAACACTGGTTCTCAGCAAAGAAGTCTACTGAGACATTTCTGAAACAGATTTGCTTTTCAAATATAGGTACTGTCCCTTTTCTTCTGGTTATTTCCTTAATTTTTTTCCTGACTGCTCTTTGGATGTGAGGCAGAACATGGCAAATTGCTCATGGCCTTGAAGCTCTCATTAGATAACCATGATGATTAAAGCCAAATGAAAATAATAGTGGAGCAGAAAGCTAGAAGGAACTCAAAACATTAATAACGTAGTGGAGCTACTGTTATTAAAACAATAAACATCTTATTTGGTTAAGCCATTGTACTTGAGTTATCTATTGCATTCATTCGGCTACAATCTTTGACTGATAGAGATGCCAACTTAATAGACAGATTTACCCAAGACTGAAGGTTTGCCAGGCAATTATAGCAGAAAGACTAGGGGAAAAAATGGAAGTAATTTGACCAGAGACTAATGCAAATCCAACCTAGTTTATGTGGTGTAAAAAAAAAAAAAAAGAAAGTGTTAGAAAAGGTGCTATTTAATCGGGAAAATTTGCAGAAAAAAAGTCTTAATAAAGTTGGAGAATGGATGTGGAGGGAATAAGTAAATAAAATGACAGGAAAAATAAAAGCGGTAATCAGAGTGGCACATTAGAGTTTGCCATTTAATAATGAAATAGTTTCTTGTAGCAACACATTTCATAATATAGCCGGGGTAACAGTGGCTCAATTAGAGGAAAATAAAGATCTTTAAGGTAGACATGAAGAAACGTTGTCATCTACATAGACAGTAATGACAGGTAGAAAAATGGCATAATATGAGTTTAAAAGGAAGACTGCAGGCTATATACTAAAAGTTTTAATGAAATCTGTAAATCATCAATATACTACAGTGTGGAATAGTAGAGGACAAAATAACTATGAGATGGATTGACAGTATGACATGGATTTTAAGAGGATCAATTTTATACAAAACAAGAGTAACAGAAAGTTAAGAGAATATGTCTTCCAAATCCCTTGGTACTGGAAAGTAGCTTCCACTTATCTTTCTAATGATCTTTCAAGCAGATACTTATCAAATGTTTATTAAACAAAGAATGACTACCTTCTCAATTCTTGATCATATATAATTCCCACACAGAAGCCTTCTGAAAGAATCTGATGATAAGTTCCTAAATTATTTTCCTATTTTCCAAAATAAAAAATAAAAAAAAAGAGCAAGCTGACATTTTAGAAAGGCTGGAGACTTCAGAAACTGAACCTGGCCTTCAACCATGGTGATGTGTCCCTACTTTAATGCAATTTTCTCTTAAGCATCTTTCCCTTTGTAGGACCCACTTAATTAGAAGTCCTTTCCTTCAGTAGAGATTACCGTACTCCCCATTTAGCCTCACAGAGGACATTTTCTTCAAAGCTGCTTCCTACTGAGGACATAGATTGCCAGGTGTTTATTTCTAAAGTCAATTTCTTCTTCCCTAAAAGACCAACCAGCAAATATCTGCAGATAATTTGGTCTAGTTCCTATAGACTCTCCCACTAAATAAACTTGGGGAGCCATGCCATTTCTTTGCCAAGACAAATTAAGCTTACCTGTCTCCATCTATACTAATACCAACTTCAATTTCCAGTTGCTATGCTGCATCAGGTTACTTAACATAACATTTTAACCCTAATTTTGTAGTTTATTTTTCAGCGACTACCATTTTTTTTAAAATGTGTCTAAAGAAGATACTTGATGCAAAGATACTTATCTGCTTGCTTACCCTAGTTCAGTAAATCCTACATAATCTGACTCCACCCTATCTCTCCCATTCCTACTTGTACCACTTAGCTCTTAGGCCATCTCACATCCAGCCACTCTGGCCCTCTTTATTTTCCTGACAAAGCAAATTTGTTTCTCTTTCTTCTGCCTGGAGTGCTGTACTACCTGACCATCCCAGGTTTGGCTCCTTTTTATCCTGTGGATCTCAGCTTAAATATTCCTGTTCAAAGAAAATTTTCATGACCACCTAAAATAGCAAGTCAGCTGTTCTTTATGGCATCAACAATGTTAGTTTTCTGCACTTCATTTATAACTACTGTGCTAGGCAGAATCCTGGTCCTCCAAAGATGTTCATATCTTCATTCCCAGACCTGTGAATATGTTACCTTATATGCCAAAAGAGACTTTTTATGTGACTGGGTTAAGGATCTGGAAATGGAGAAATAATCTTGGATTTTCCAGATTGACTCAATATAATCATTAGGATTCTTATAAGAGAAAAGTGGGAGACTCAGTGGCATGGAGAAAACATATGATGATGAGGGCATAAGTTGGAAGAAAGAGACCACAAGCCAAAGAATACAGGAAGTGTCTAGAAGGTAGAAAAGGCAAGGAAATGGATTCTCTCCTAGATGCAGAGGAAGCACAGCCCAGCTATAACACTTTGATTTCAGCCCAGTGAAACCAATTTCGGACTTCTGGTCTCCAGAACTGTAAAGTAATAAATTTGTGTTATGTTATTGGTTTGTGTAAATTATAGCAGCAGTAGAATACTAATACTCTACCTGACATTTTTCTTGTTTTATTTATTTGTTATTTATCATCTGTCTCCCCTTACTAGAATATAAACGCCATAAGGACAAGAGCCTTGTTTTTTTATACTCACTGTTTATATTCTTAGAGCAATATATAATAGGCACTTGGTAAGTTGAATTGAGTGAATAATTGTTTATCATGTGTAAATTTTGCATTTTGTCTGTCAAAGAATTATCTCCCTAGACATCAAACCTTTATGCTTTTTGACTGTGAAAAAAGAAACGTTTGGTAGAGATAAAAGTACATTGATCATTCTAATCTCAGTGTTGGAGGACAGTTGCAACTTAGACTCTCCTGCACTAAAAATATATTCCTTCTCATCCTGAGTCAGCACCCTCATAAGAAGGACATGATCTACCTCGATATTTGTAATTCTTTGCCAAGGCACATGCTGTTGGTTACTAATTTGATTATCTTTTTAAAATATATATATATTTTATTATACTTTTTAAGTTCTAGGGTACATGTGCACAACGTGCAGGTTTGCTACATATGTATACATGTGCCATGTTGGTGTGCTGCACCCATTAACTCATCATTTACATTAAGTATATCTCCTAATGCTATCCCTCCCCCCTCCCCCCACCCCACAACAGGCCCCGGTGTGTGATGTTCCCCTTCCTGTCTGCAAGTGTTCTCATTGTTCAATTCCCACCTATGAGTGAGAACATGCGGTGTTCGGCTTTTTGTCCTTGCGATAGTTTGCTGAGAATGATGGTTTCCAGCTTCACCCATGTCCCTACAAGGGACATGAACTCATCATTTTGTATGGCTGCATCATGTATAATATTAACCCCAGAGTTGATATGATTATTTTTGGAGCTATAAACAGCAAGAATGATGATGGAGTTGCCATAACTTTATCTGGAGTTTACTGGATTTTTTAAAAGTTTACATTAGGATTCACTCTTAGTGTTGTACATCCTGTGGGTTTTGACAAATGTACAATGACATGTATCCACCATAAGTATCATAAAGAATAATTTCACTTCCCCAAAAATCTCCTGTGTTACATTTACCCCTTTCTCTCCCAAAATCCTGATAACCACTGATCTTATTATTGTCTTCGTAGTTTTGCTTTTTGCAGAAAAGTATAAAAAATATTTTGCTGAAAATATTCCCAGTGGTATGGATATACCACATTTTATTTATTCATTCATCAGCTGATTAATGGACTATTAAGTTTCCACTTTTTTGTTACTATGAATAACGCTGCTATGAGCATTTATGTAAAAGTATTTGTGTGAGCATATATTATTATGTATCTTGATTTTATCCTAAGAGTGAACTGTCTGGTCACATGGCAAATCTATGTTTAACATTTTCAGAGAATGCCAGACTACTGCACAAAGTAGACGCACCATTTTACACTCTGACCAGCAGCGTATAATAACTTCACTTTCTCCACATCCTTTCCAACACTTGGTATTGTCTATCTTTTTTATTACAGCTATCCTACTGGGCATGAAGTGGTATCCCAAAGTTTTATTTGTGTTTCCCTGAGAGCTAACAATGTTGAACATTTTTCATGTGCTTCTAGCCATTTTTATATTTTCTTTAGAGAAATGTCCTTTGCCCATTTATTATTTGAGTTACTTATATTATTGAATTTTAAAAGTTATGTATATATTCTGGATACATGTCTTTAACAGACATATAGGATTTGAAAATATTTTAGGTATAATTGATGACTTTTAAGCAAAATGGATCTGGCACCTTTTCATATTACCAAATGTATTAGTCCATTTTCACACTGCTGATAAAGACATACCCAAGACTGGGCAATTTACAAAAGAAAGAGGTTTAATGGACTTACTGTTCCA
Organism: Homo sapiens; assembly: GCF_000001405.40. Classification (NCBI taxonomy): domain Eukaryota; kingdom Metazoa; phylum Chordata; class Mammalia; order Primates; family Hominidae; genus Homo; species Homo sapiens. The sequence goes on along the minus strand of NC_000006.12, from coordinate 126,417,697 downwards.
AGTGACTGGGGAGGCCTCACAATCTTACATGGATGGCAGCAGGCAAAGAGAGAGCTTGTGCAGGGAAACTCTGCTTTATAAAGCCATCAGATCTCATGAGACTTATTCACTATCATAAGAACAGCACAGGAAAGACCCACACCCATTATTTGATTACCTCCCACTGGGCCCATCCCACAACATGTGGGAATTTAAGATGAGATTTGGGTGGGGACAGAGCTAAACTATATCATTCTTCCCCTGGCCCCTCCCAAATCTCATGTCCTCACATTTCAAAACCAATTATGTCTTCCCAACAGTCCCCCAAGTCTTAACTCATTTCAACATTAACTCAAAAGTCCACAGTCAAAGTCTCATCTGTGACAAGTCCCTTCTGCCCATGAGCCAGTAAAATCCAAAGCAAGTTAGTTACTTCCTAGATACAATGGTGGTACAGGCATTAAATACAGCCATTCCAAATGGGAGAAATTGGCCAGAACAAAGGGGTTACAGGCCCCATGCCAGTCTGAAATCCAGCAGAGCAGTCAAATCTTAAAGCTCCAAAATGATCTCCTTTGATTTCATGACTCACATCCAGGTCACACTGATGCAGGAGGTGGGCTCCCGTGGTCTTGGGTAGCTCCACCCCTGTGGCTTTGAAGAGTACATCCTCCTTCCCAGCTGCTTTCATGGGCTAGCATTGAGTGTCTGTGGCTTTTCCAGGTGCACAGTGCAAGCTGTCATTGGATCTACAATTTTGGGGTCTGGAAGATGGTGGTCTTCTTCTCACAGTTCCACTAGGTAGTGCCCCAGTAAGGACTCTGTGTGTGGGCTCCAACCCCATATTTCCCTTCTGCACTGCCCTAGCAGAGGTTCTCCATGAGACCCCTGATCCTGCAGCAAACTTCTGCCTGGACATCCAGGCATTTCCATACATCCTTTGAAATCTAGGTGAAGGTTCCCAAATCCCAATTCTTGACTTCTGTGCACTGGCAGGCTCAACACCACATGGAATCTGCCAAGGCTTGAGGCTTGCACCCTCTGAAGCCATGGCCTGACCTCTACATTGGCCCCTTTCAGCCATGGATGGAGCAGCTGGGACACAGGGCACCAAGTCCCTAGGCTGCACACAGCACAGGGACCCTGGACCCAGTCCACAAAACTACTTTTTCCTCCTGGACCCTGGGCTTGTGATGGGAGGGGCTGCCATGAAGGCCTCTGACATGCCCTGGAGACATTTTTCCCATTGTCTTGAGAATTCACATTTGGCTCGTTAATTACGCAAATTTCTGCGGCCAGCTTGACTTTCTCCTCAGAAAATGGGATTTTCTTTTCTATCACATTGTCAGGCTGCAAATTTTCCAAACTTTTGTGCTCTGCTTCCCTTATAAAACGGAATGCCTTTAACAGCACTAAGTCACCTCTCGAATGCTTTGCTGCTTAGAAATTTCTTCCACCAGATACCCTAAATCATCTCTCTCAATTTCAACGTTCCATAAATCCCTAGAGCACAGGCAAAATGCTGCCAGTCTCTTTGCTAAAACATAAGAAGAGTCATCACCTTTGTTCCAGTTCCCAACAAGTTTCTCATTTCCATCTGAGACCACCTCAGCCTGGATTTCATTGTCCGTATCATTATCAGCATATTGGTCAAACCATTCAACAAGTCTCTAGGGAGTTCCCAACTTTCCCACAGTTTCCTGTCTTCTTCTGAGCCCTCCAAACTGTTCCAACCTCTGCCTGTTACCCAGTTCCAAAGTTGCTTCCACATTTTCAGGTATCTTTTCAGCAACACCCCACTCTACTGGTACCAATTTACTGTACTAGTCCATTTTCATGCTGCCAATAAAGACATAACTGGGACTGGGCAGTTTCCAAAAGAATGAGGTTTATTGGACCGACAGTTCTACATGGCTGGGGAGGCCTCACAATCATGGTGGAAGGTGAAAGGCATGTCTCACATGGTGGCACACAAGAGAATAGAGCGTATGCAGGGAAACTCCCCTTTTTAAAACCATCAGATCTTGTGAGACTTGTTCACTATCATGAGAACAGCACGAGAAAGACCTGCCCTCAAGATTCAATTACTTCCCACCAGGTCCCTCCCACAATACATGGGAATTCAAGAGGAGATTTGGGTGGGGACACAGCCAAACCATATCACTTATGTTTGAATTCTAGGCACTTAATTTAGTAGCTCTGTGAATGTGGACCTGTGATTTAACTTCTATAAGTCTCAATCTTCTCCTCTAAAAAACTGTACTAATAACAGACCCTACTTCATTTAATGATATATTTAATTTTTATTACATTATTTAAATAATATTTATTCAGCACACACAAAGATTCATTGTAACAATTTAGGGAAAATCAGGACAAATAAAGAAGCTAAGATGTCTGCTTTTGTAAGGTTATAATCTAGTGAGTGAATAAAAACAATAAATAATAAAGTGGAAATATATATACAACAAAAATCAAGATCTAAGGAGATAATAATGTAAAAATATCAACCCACTTATGGGAACATAATGAATACTCAACCCCTTTCTTACACCTTACACCCCCTTGAGTTACACAAAAATTAACTCAAGATGGACTGCACACTGAAGTGGGAGATTTTTTATTACAGGTTCAATCTCAATATTCTTATTGATCTGTTCAGTTTTTGTATTTCTTCCTGGCTCAATCTTGTTAGGTTGTATATATCCAGGGATTTTTTTCATTTCCTATAGATTTTCCATTTTGTTGTATGGTTATTCATAGCCATCGCTAATGATCCTTTGTATTTCTCTGGTATCAATTATAATTTTTTTGTTTCTAATTTATTTGTGTGAGTCTTCTTTTTTTCCTAAACTAAGATTGTCAATCTCGTTTATGTTTTCAAAAAGCCAACTTTTCATTTTCTTCATCTTTTTTTTTAGTTTTATTTTATTTATGTTCTTATTTTTAATATTTATTTTTCTCTACTAATTTGGGCTTTGGCTTGTTTTTGCTTTTCCAATTCCTTGAGATGCATCATTCGGTCATTTACTTGAAATCTTTTTACTTTTTTGGTGTAGGTACTTATTGCTATAAACTTCAACTTATTACTGCTTTTGCTATATCCCATAGGTTTAGTCGTTTTAAGAAAGTTTTAAATTTCCTAATTAATTTCTTCATGAACTCATTGGTTGTTCAGGAGCATATTGGTTAATTTCCATATATTTGTACCTTTCAAAAGTTTCTCACTATTGATTTCAGTTTTAGTTCACTGATACGAGAAAAGATACTTGATAATTTCAATTTTAAAAAGGATTTGTTGAGACTTGTTTTATGATCTAACGTGATTTATTCTGGAGAATGTTCCATGTGTTCATGAGAAGAATGTGAATTCTGCAGCTGTTGGATGAAATGCTTTGTAAATGTCTGTTAGGTGTAATGTGAAGTTTAAATCCAATGTTTCATTGTGGATTTTGTTTCTAGATTATCTATCCAAAGCTGTGAGTGGCATGTTGAAGTATCAAACTACTAATGGAGAGTATCTCTTCCTTTATATGTAATAATATTTGCTTTATATATCCATGTGTTCTGGTGCTTCGTGCATACATATTCACAATTGATATATTGTATTCCTGAATTTATTCCTTAATTATTATATAATGATCTTTTAGTCTTTTTTTAGTCTTTTACTTAAAGCTTGTTTTATCCAATATAAGTATAGTAGCTACTCTTGATTGCTTTTTGTTTTCATTTGAGTGAAATATTTTTTACGATTTTTCACTTTCAATCTATACACATCTTTACCAGTGAAGTGAATTTCTCACAAGTAGCATATAGTTGGGTCATTTTAAAAAATCCATTCAGCTAGTCTATGTCTTTTAAGTGGGGGATTTAATCCATTTATATACAAATTATTATTTTTTGGTGAGCAATTACTCTTATCATCTGTTGTATTCTGGTGGTTTTATATATTCTTTTGTTCTTTCTTCCTCTCTTATTGTTTTATCATCGTGATATGGTGGTTTTTTTTATGGTGATCAGATTTTATTCTCTTGTCCTTTTCTTTTGTGTATCTGTTCTACCAGAGCTTTATATATTTCTCCATGTTTTCATGATAGTAATTATCATATTTTTTATTTCTAGATACAGGGCTACTTTGAACACTTCTTGTAAAGCCAGTCTAGTGGTGATGAATTTCTTCATTTATTGCTTGTCTGAGAAAGATTTTGTTTCTTCCTCATTGTTGAAAGATGGCTTTTCTAAGTATTATAATTTAGTTGGCTTTTGTTTTCATTCAGCACTTTAAGTATATCATCATATTTTCTCCTGGCATATAAGGTGTTTGCAGAGAAATCTGCTGTCAGTCAAGTAAGGATTTCCTTATATATGAATTGATACTTTTCTTCTCTTGCTGTTTTTAGAATTCTCCCTTTGTGTTGATTTTTGACAATTTGACTATTTTGTGCCTTTAAGAATCTCTTTCTGCGTTGAATCTATTTTGAGATTTTTGAGTTTCCTGGTTATGGATGTCCAAATTTCTCTTCAAATTTGGCAATTTTTCAGCAATTATTTTACAATATAGATTTTGTTATCTTTTATTATTTTTAAAGGTATTCCAGAAAGCTTCTGGAATGAAGGTATCAGAAGCTCTGGAAACCTCTCTACAGAAAACAAACATAACTGGTAAAAATTATTTTGAAATAATCATTTAAAGCTTCTGGAAAATGTCATAAAGATATACAGCAAGTGAAGAAATATTTATTCGAGAAAATCTACTAAATCATAGGAAGAACACTGAGACTCTGTAGTACTTGAGACTTGACCAATTGCTTCCCTCCCAAACCCCAGCTCTGTGTTAACAAATACAATAGCTGAAAGAAAACTGACTAGAGGGGCTCAACAGTAAGTCTGAAGAGGCAGAAAAGAGAACTTGAAGATATATTAATAGAGATTATTCAATCTAAAAAAGGTAGGAAAAAAGAATTTTAAAAAATGAACAGAGCCACAAAAAATGTGTGGGAAATGTGTGGGACATAATGTAGGCAGTGCATAAATGTAGGCATAATGACATAACCAGAAGGAGAGGAGAGAAAGCAGAAAAATATATTCAAAGAAGTAATGGCTGAAATTGGATTTTAAAGAAACACATACACACACATTAGTCACACAATGAAAAAGCTCAACAATTCCATGTAGGATAAATACAAGTGATACATACCCAAGCACATCATAGTAATAATGTGGAAAAATAAATAGAAAATCTTGAAAGTAACAATACAAAAATCACTGATCACATACAAACAAATACCAGTAAGATTAACAGCTTACATTTCTTCAGATACAAGGAGGCCAGAAGGCAGTGGGATAACATATTTAAGTTGCTGGGAGAAAATAATAACCTGTAAAACAAGACTCTAAATACAACAAAAGTATGTTTCAGAGATGAAGCCAATGCAGGCTGTGGTCGTTCATGCCTGTAATCTCAGCATTTTGAGGGGCTGAGGTGGGAGAATCACTTGAGCCTTGGAGTTCAAGACCAGCTTGGGCAACAAGATTAAACTCTACCTTTACAAAAAATTTAAAAACTCAACCAGGCATGATGGTGCATGCCCATAGTCCCAGCTGCTTGGGAGGGAAGGAAGGAAGGAAGGAGAGAGAGAGAGAGAAAGGAGGGAGGGAGGGAGGGGTGGAGGGATGGAGGAAGGAAGGAAGGAGGGAGGGAGTGGGAGGGAGAGAGGAAGGGAGTGGGGGAAGGAAGGAAGGAGAGAAAGGAGAGAGAGAGGGAGGGAGGAAAAGGAGGGAGGGAAGAAGAAAGGAGGGAGGGGGAGGGAGGAAGGAAGGAAGGAAGGTAGGAAGGACGGAAGGAAGGAAAAAAGGAAGGAAGGAGAAAATATAAATTCCAGATAAACAAAAACCTAAGAAAATTAATTGCTACACAGTGCTTCATCTCCTGGGTCCTGAGTTACAACTGATTACTATTGGCTCAGGTTCCCAAATTGAAGCTTCTTTGGCCCAAACCTCCAAACCTCCAGAGCATTCCTTTACCCTTGGAGTCAGAACAGTGCTGTGCCCTGTACCCCAGAGGTAGAGTCACAGCTACAACCTGGTCAACGGGCCTGAGTTTCCAGGAGGTGCCTCAGTATAACAGATCCTGACCCTGTGGGAAGTCCACATCTGACCCTGATACAGAGAGTGAACTTGCACGATAAGGCCCATGTGCCACAATAGGTTCAAGAAACATCAAGTTTAGGACCCCCACCCCACAGCTACTTCAAGCATCTGTACATGAAACTCAGCAGCACTGCAGCTGTTTATAGACTGATTCAGACCTGTCATTAGGAGGGATCCCTCCAGCTAGGTCTCCCCAATGTGGGGAAAACAGGAATAGAAAGACATAAAAGCACTTGACATCCAGGGCATTAACAAACTATGTCACTGCTGCTGCCATAAATTTCTACAGCCGTGGCCACCAACAATTATTGTTGATATTGGACACAGCTGAAGAATCTGCAGAGACTACATCACTGCACCTATCTGGAAACAGAGTCCCCATACCCCTCCTAATTGGCACACATAAGCCCAACTGCAAGTGAAAGTCTTTCTCTATGAAAGCCACTCTAGAAACTATGGAAGAGGTAATAGTTCCACCTGATGCAGGCATCAATACAGAGACACAGAAAATATGAAAAACCAAGGATCTATGACACCACTAAAGGAACATAACTCACTACTAAAAGGTCCTAATGAAAAGGAAATAAATGACTTGATGGAAAAGGTATTAAAAATAATGATATTAAGAAAATGCAGTGAGGTAGAGGAAAATACAGATTGACAACTCAACAAAATCAGGAAAACAATTCACACAGAATATGAGTAAGAAATCCAACAAAAATAAATATAAAAAATCAAATGCAAAGCCTGCAGCTAAAAAATTCAAAGAATGAAATGAAAAATACAAGTGAAAGCCCCAACAGCAAACTTAATTAAGCTGAAGAGTTTCTAAATTTGAATTTAAGAGGTTTAAAATTACTCACAGGGAAAAAAATGAAAAAGAGTAAGGTAAGCCAACAAGACTTACAGGACATCCTTAAGCAAACAAATATTTGATATATGAGAGCTGCACAAGCAGAAGACAGGAAAAAAAGATAACAAAAATCTATATTGTAAAATAATTGCTGAAAAATTGCCAAATTTGAAGAGAAATTTGGACATCCATAACCAGGAAACTCAAAAATCTCAAAATAGATTCAACCCAGAAAGAGATTCTTAAAGGCACAAAATAGTCAAATTGTCAAAAATCAACACAAAGGGAGAATTCTAAAAACAGCAAGAGAAGAAAAGTATCAATTCATATATAAGGAAATCCTTACTTGACTGACAGCAGATTTCTCTGCAAACACCTTATATGCCAGGAGAAAATATGATGATATACTTAAAGTGCTGAACGAAAACAAAAGCCAACTAAATTATAATACTTAGAAAAGCCATCCTTCAACAATGAGGAAGAAATAAAATCTTTCTCAGACAAGCAATAAATGAAGAAATTCATCACCACTAGACTGGCTTTACAAGAAGTGTTCAAAGTAGCCCTGTATCTAGAAATAAAAAATATGATAATTACTATCATGAAAACATGGAGAAATACATAAAGCTCTGGTAGAACAGATACACAAAAGAAAAGGACAAGAGAATAAAATCTGATCACCATAAAAAAAACCACCATATCACGATGATAAAACAATAAGAGAGGAAGAAAGAACAAAAGAATATATAAAACCACCAGAATACAACAGATGATAAGAGTAATTGCTCACCAAAAAATAATAATTTATATATAAATGGATTAAATCCCCCACTTAAAAGACATAGACTAGCTGAATGGATTTTTTAAAATGACCCAACTATATGCTACTTGTGAGAAATTCACTTCACTGGTAAAGATGTGTATAGATTGAAAGTGAAAAATCGTAAAAAATATTTCACTCAAATGAAAACAAAAAGCAATCAAGTGTAGCTACTATACTTACATTGGATAAAACAAGCTTTAAGTAAAAGACTAAAAAAAGACTAAAAGATCATTATATAATAATTAAGGAATAAATTCAGGAATACAATATATCAATTGTGAATATGTATGCACGAAGCACCAGAACACATGGATATATAAAGCAAATATTATTACATATAAAGGAAGAGATACTCTCCATTAGTAGTTTGATACTTCAACATGCCACTCACAGCTTTGGATACATAATCTAGAAACAAAATCCACAATGAAACATTGGATTTAAACTTCACATTACACCTAACAGACATTTACAAAGCATTTCATCCAACAGCTGAAGAATTCACATTCTTCTCATGAACACATGGAACATTCTCCAGAATAAATCACATGTTAGATCATAAAACAAGTCTCAACAAATCCTTTTTAAAATTGAAATTATCAAGTATCTTTTCTTGTATCAGTGAACTAAAACTGAAATCAATAATGAGAAATTTTTGAAAGGTACAAATATATGGAAATTAAACCAATATGCTCCTGAACAACCAATGAGTTCATGAAGAAATTAATTAGGAAATTTAAAACTTTCTTAAAACGACTAAACCTATGAGATATAGCAAAAGCAGTAATAAGTTGAAGTTTATAGCAATAAGTACCTACACCAAAAAAGTAAAAAGATTTCAAGTAAACGACTGAATGATGCATCTCAAGGAATTGGAAAAGCAAAAACAAGCCAAAGCCCAAATTAGTAGAGAAAAATAAATATTAAAAATAAGAACATAAAATAAAACTAAAAAAAAGATCAAGAAAATGAAAAGTTGGCTTTTTGAAAACATAAACGACATTGACAGTCTTTACTTAGACTAGGGAAAAAACAGAGAAGACTCACACAAATAAATTAGAAACAAAAAAATTATAATTGATACCACAGAAATACAAAGGATTATTAGAGATGGCTATGAATAACCATACAACAAAATGGAAAATCTATAGGAAATGAAAAAAATCCCTGGACGTATACAACCTAACAATATTGAACCAGGAAGAAATACAAAACCTGAACAGATCAATAAGAATATTGAGATTGAACCTGTAATAAAAAATCTCCCATTTCAATCTGCAGTCCATCTTGAGTTAATTTTTGTATAAGGTGTAAGAAAGGGGTTGATATGGTTTGGTTGTGTCCCCACCCAAATCTCATCTTGAATAGTAGCTCCCATAATTCCCAAGTGTCATGAGAGGTTTCCAGTGGGAGGTAATTGAATCATGGGAGCAGGTCTTCCCCATGCTGTTCTCGTGATAGTGAATAAGTCTCACGAGATCTGATGATTTTATAAAGGGGAGTTCCCCTACACACATTCTCTTGTCTGCCAGCATGTAAGACATGCCTTTGCTCCTCCTACATCTTCCACCTTGATTATGAGACCTCCCCAGCCATGTGAAATTGTGAGTCCATTAAATCTCTTTTTCTTTATCAATTACCCAGTCTTGAGTATGTTTTCTTTAGTGGCTGAGAACAGATTAATACAGGGGTCCAATTTCAATTTTCTGCATATGGCTAGCCAGTTTTCCCAGCACCATTTATTAATTTCAACTTTATGCATATGGCTACCCAGTTGTTCCAGCACCATTTACTAAATAGGGAATCCTTTCCCTATTGCTTGTTAAACCCAAAACTATAAAAACTCTAGAAGAAAATCTAGGCAAATACCATTCAGGACACAGGCACAGGCAAAGATTTCATGACGAAAACACCAAAAGCAATTGCAACAAAAACGAAAACTGACAAATGGAATCTAATTAAACTAAAGAACTTCAGCATAGCAAAAAACCTATCATAAGAGTGGACAGACAACCTACAGAATGGGAAAGAATATTTACAATCTATTCATCTGACAAAGGTCTAATATCAAGAGTCTACAAGGAACTTAAACAAATTTACAAGAATAAAACAAACACCCTCATTAAAAAGTGGGCAAAGGACGTGAACAGACACTTCTCAAAAGAAGACATTCATGCAACCAAAAACATGAAAAAAGCTCCACATCACTGATCATTAAGGAAATGCAAATCAAAACCACAAAGAGATACCATCTCACAGCAGTCAGAATGGCAATTATTAAAAAGTCAAGAAACAACAGATGCTGGCAAGGTTGCGGAGAAAAATAATGCTTTTACACTATTGGTGGGAGTATGAAAATTAATTCAACCATTTTGGAAGACAGTGTGGTAAATCCTCAAAATCTAGAAGTAGAAATACCATTTGACCCAGCCATCCCATTACTGGGTATATACCCACAGGAAAATAAATAATTATATTATAAAGATACATGCACATGTATGTTCATTGAAGCACTATTCATAATAGCAAAGACATGGAATCAATCCAAATGCCCATCGAAAATAGACTGGATGAAGAAAATGTGGTACATATACACCATGGAATACTATGCAGCCATAAAAAGGAACTAGATCATGTCCTTTGCAGGGGCGTGGATGGAGCTGGAAGCCATTATCCTCAGCAAACTAATGAAGGAACAGAAAACTATACACCATTATGTTCTCACTTACAAATGAGAGATGACCAATGAGAAAACACAGACACATAATGGGGAACAAGACACAATGGGGACTGTTGGGGAGGTGATGGGTATAGCATCAGGAAGAATAGCTAATGGATGATGGGCTTAATACCTAGGTGATGGGGGTTGATCTGTACAGCAAGCCACAATGGCAAACATTTACCTATGTAACAACCCTGTACATCCTGCACATGTACCCTGGAACTTAAAATAAAAGTTGAAAAAAAGTCTCCCAGCAAAGGAAAGCCCAGGACTGAATGGTTTCATTGCTGAATTCTATCAAACTTTTTTTTTTTTTTCCAGGATGGAGTCTTGCTCTGTCACCAAGGCTGGAGTGCAGTGGTGCAATCTTGGCTCACTGCAACCTCCGCCTCCCGGGTTCAAGCAATTATCCTGCCTCAGCCTCTCAAGTAGCTGGGATTACAGGTGCCCACCACCACACCTGTCTAATTTTTGTATTTTTAGTAGAGACGGGGTTTCACCATATTGGCCAGGCTGGTCTTGAACTCCTGACCTTGTGATATGCCCACCTCAGCCTCCCAAAGTGATGGGATTACAGGCATGAGCCACTGTGCCTGGCCTATCAAACTTTTAAAAGAGAACTAACACCAATTCTTTTCCAACTATTTTTGAAAATTGAAGTGGAGGAAATTTTTTCAGTCTCTTTCTGTGACACAAGCATTACTCTGATAGTAAAACCAAATTTTAAAAAAAGAAAGAAAAAGAGAACACAGATACGCATGAAAGAAAAAAATACAGTTCAATATCCTTGATGAACATAGATCCAAAATATCTCAATAAAATACTAGTAAATGAAATCCAACAACATATCAATAAATTTATACCCATAATCAAGTGGGATTTATCTCAGGGAGCAAGGATGTTTAACATTTACAAACAATAAATGTGATATATCAACAGAATGAAGAAAAAAAGCCATATAATCCTCTCAATAGACACAAAAAACATTTGAGAAAATTAAACATCCCATCATAATAAAAACACTCAACAAGTTATGTATAGAAAGGATGTACTTCAATGCAATTAAGGACGTATATGACAAATCCACAGCTAACGTTATGCTGAATAAGAAAATGTTAAAAGCTTTTCCTCTAGGAACTAGAACCAGACAAGGATGCTCACTTTCACCACTCTTATTCAACATAATACTGAAAGTCCTAACCAGAGAAATAGGAAGTCAAATTGTCCCTGATTGCAAATGGCATAATCTTATATATGGAAAAATCTAAAGACCCCCCCCACAAAAAAATCTTAGAATTGATAAGCAAAATCAATAAACTTCCAAGATATAAAATCAATGTATAAAAATCAGTAGCATTTCTATACACAAATAATGAAATACGAGGAAAAGAAATTAAAAAACCATTCCATTTTAAACAGCTAAAAAATAACTTAGTAACAGACAATTAAGGAGATGAACATTCTCTATAATGAAAACTATAAAAAACCAATTAAAGAAATTGAAGCAGACACACATAAATGAAAAGACAGCCAATGTTCACATATTAGAAAAATTAATTTTTTCTAATAACTGTACTACCAAAGGCAATCAACAGATTTAATGCAATCTCTATCAAAATATCAATGTCACTTGTCATGAAAATAGAAAAAAAAATCCTTAAATTTGTATGGAAGTATAAAAGGCCTCAAATAGCCAAAGCAATTCTGAGATAAAGAACAAAGCTGGAGGCATCACACTACTGTCTTCAAAATATACCACAAAACTATAGCAACCAAAACAGCAAGGTACTGGCATGAAAACAGAAACATAGGCCAATAAGACAGAAAACAGAACCTAGAAATAAATCCATGTATCTACAACCAACTTAATTTTGAGAAAGGTGCCAAGAACATATTAATACATTGAGAAAAGGATAGTCTTTTTAAAAAATGATGCTGGGAAAACTGGATATTTATAGGCAGAAGAAAAAACTAGATTTCAATCTTTCACAATATACAAAACTCAACCAAAATTGAATACAGTCTTAAATGTAAGACCTAAAACTATAAATCTACCTGACGAAAACAGGACATTGGTCTTATATTGGACATTGGACATTTAATGTCTTATTCAACACCATCAGCACAGACAACAAAAGCAAATATAGATAAATGAGACTACATCAAACTAAGAAGTTTCTGCACAGCAAAGGAAACAGTCCATAGAGTGAAAAGACAACCTGCAGAATAAGAGGAAATATTGGCAAAGTATTTATCCAACAAAAGATTAAAATTCAAACAAGAAATACAACTCAGTAACCCAAAAAAAAAAAAAAACCCAAATACTTTAACTAAAAAATGGGTCAATGAGCTGAATATACAGCTCTCAAAGAAAACATACAAATGGCCAATAGGTATATGAAAAATGCTTCACATCACTAATCAAGGAAATGCAAATCACAAACACAATATCATCTCACTGCAGTTATAACGGCTATTATCAAAAGGACAAAAAATTAAAACTTTTGGTGAGGATACAGTCCTCTTCTGGGACTCATACACTGTTGGTGGAAATGTAAGTTATTACATCCATTAGGAAAAAAGTATGGAGGTTTCTCAAAAAACTACAAATAGAACCATCACATGTTTGAGCACTCTCACTACTGTTTATATACCCAAAAGAAAGAAAATCAGTATGTTGAAGAGATATCTGCACTCCCGTGTTTACTGCAGCACTGTTCACAGTAGCCAGGTATGGAATCGATCTAAGTGTCCATTAACAGACAAATGGAAAATTTATTCCCAGAAGATTTTCAATTTAGTTTGCTCAGATCCATTAGAAGAATTACTATGTCAACTCTAGCCTTATGCAATGTTTGTCTTAAATAAGAACCTATGACAGCCAAAATTACTCCTTGATCCATGGGCTGCAGAATGGATATTGTGTTAGCAGATATGTAAACAACATTAATCTTTTATATCTCTATCAGAGCTCTTGGATGACCAGGTAAATTGTCAGTGAGCAATAAGATTTTGAAAGGAATCTTTTCTGTGCAGTAGGTCTCAACAGTGGGCTTAAAATATTCAGTAAACCATGCTGTCAACAGATGTGTCATCATCCAGGCTTTGTTATTCCATTTATGAGAGCACAGACAGAGTAGATGTAGCATAATTCTTAAGGGCCCTAGGATTTTTGGAACTGTAAATGAGGCTTGGATTCAATTTAAAATCACCAGCTGTATTAGCCTCAACAGAAGAGTCAGTCTGTCCTTAAAGTCAGGCATTATCTTCTCCTCTCTAGCTATGAAAGTCCCAGATGGCATCTTCTTCCAATGTGAATCTATTTCATCTACATTGAAAATGTGTTGTTTAGTGTAACAAACTTCATCACTTATCTTGGCTAGATTTTCAGGATAATTTGCTTTAGCTTCTATGTCAGCACTTACTGTTTCATCTTGTATTTTAGCTTCTATATCAGCACTTACTGTTTCATCTTGTACTTTAGCTTCTATATCAGCACTTACTGTTTCATCTTGTACTTTTATGTTACAGAGATGTCTTATTTCCTTAAACCTCATGAATCAACCTATGCTAGTCTTCAAACTTTTCCTCTACAGCTTCTTTACCTCTCTGTCTTCACTGAATTGAAGAGAGTTATGGCCTTGCTCTGGATTGGGCTTTAGCTTAAGAGAATGTTGTGGCTGCTTTGATCTATTCAGACCACTAAAATTTTCTGCATATCAGCAATATGGCTGTTTTGCTTCCTTGCACTTTTTAATTTCCTTTAAGAACTTTTCCTTTGCATTCACAATTTGGCTATTTAGTGCAAGAGGCCTAGCTTTCAGCTTATCTCAGCTTTCAACATGGCTTCCTCACTAAAGCTTAATCATTTCTAGCTTTTGATTTAAAGTGAGAGATATGCAACTTCTCCTTTCCTTAAATACTTACAGCCCACTGAAAAGTTATTAATTGGCCTAATTTCAATATTGTTATGTCTCAGGGAATAAGGAGGTCCAAGGAGAGAGAAAGAAATAGGGAAACACTTAGTTGATTGATGTAGCAGTCAAAACGTATTTATTAAATTTGTCATCTTGTATGGGCATAATTTGTGGTGTCCCAAAACAATTATAACATCAAATATTTCTGATTACAGATCACCATAAAAGACATAATAATATTGTGTATGAAATACTGCAAGAATTATCAAAATGTGACACAGAGAATTGAAATAAGCACCTGCTCTTGAAAAAATGGCATTGATAGACTTGCTCCACACAGGGTTGCCACAAACCTTCAATTTAAAAAAATGCAATATCTGTGATACACAATAAAGTGAAGCACAATAAAATAATGTGAGCCTGCTTTGTACATGAATATTCATAGCAGCATTATTAATAATAGTCAAAAAGAGGAAACAACTCAAACGTTCATCAACTGACAAATGATAAATAAAATGTGGTATATCCATACAATAGAATATTATTCAGTATTAAAAAGAATGAAGTGTTGATATATCCTACATTATGCATGAACCTTGCCAACATATGCTAAATAAAGCAGTCACAAAGGACTACACATTGAATGATTCAATTTATATAAAATGTCTAGGATAGGCAAATCCATAGAAAAAGAAACTAGATTGGTGGTTGCCTATGGCTGTAGACAAGTGGGTGGGTGGGTGGGAGAAAATAGAGAATGACTGCTAATGGGTAAGGGGTTTATTTTGCTGTGATTAAGATATTCTAAAATTGATAGTAGTGATTATTGTACAATAATGTGAAAATTGGATGTTATGTGAATTACATCTCAATAAATCTGTGATGGAAGGAAGAAAGGAAGGCAGGAGAAGAAAGATGGAGAGGGGAAGGAAGGGAGGAGAGAGAAGGGAGAGGAATGGAGGAAGGGGAGAGAAAAAGAGGAAATAAAAGGGGAATGAAAGGAAAGAACAAAGAAAATAAAGGGAAGGGAGGGTAATCTGGATGGGAATATTTGCTGGAATAATTGCTCAATTTTCCTGTTAAAAATACGTGTCAGATTTTGGCTTCTGCATAGGAAGTGCAAAACTTACAATATCAAAACAACATTAAAAAACTGAGATATCTGTAAAAATCTCAAACTAACTTAAACCCATCATGGAGTCCAGGTTCCAGGGCAATCAACTAACCTGAAAAGAAAATAGGTGCTGCCAATGAGAGGCTGTGACGAGAGCACTTGCTTACTGAGGGTTAACATGGGATGCATATAAAATGCTAAGAATAATTAAGATAAATTTTTTAATGAATTGCTAAGAGTAAAGTGGGGACCAGCTGAGAGTATAGAACACCTGGGAGCCACAGACATAAGAGGAATCCACTCCAACTCTCAGGCTTTTCTCCACAGAACTTACTAGGTTTTCACCAGAAAAACAGGACATAGTGAGGGATAAAGAGAAGATTTCCTTTGTGGTACAGGGCTTGGTGACGGATTCAGCATCTGCTACAGGAAAAACCCAAATGCCCAACCCCAAATCCATCTCCTTTATCTCACATATGGAACAAAAGCCTTAAGCCACTGAGAGAAGGGCAACAACCCTCAAGGCACAGGTTTAAAAAATCCAATAGAGCAAGGCAAGTGAAAAAAAAATTCCTCTGCTCCTGTGGGAAATACCATTAGAAATCCCCAAAGATGAGGGAAGGGGAAGAATCACTTAGGATTCACTCCTAAGACTCAGTATCATAGCCCCTACCTAAGACTGAGGCTAAAACAGAAAAACAGGACAATCCCATCCACCAACCACACCCACTTCACTAGGCTAGCAAGCATAAAGTAGCAAGTAGAAGCATGAGGAGGCTAGAGAGACACCCTCTCCGAAGCCCAAGTACAAAGGAAAAACCTAAAGTTGAGGTGGCCCAGATATTGAAAAACCCTCTGGCAAACCAGCCTGTACTCTAAAAATAATACTAGAGGAATCTGGACTACATTAATAACAAAACCTAAACCAAGCTCAATTGCTGGCTAAACTGATTCAACACCCTTTTCCTACCCCAATATTCAAGCATAGATAACTTTATTTCAGTTATTCTTACACAAGATTCTGGCTATCAGACAAAAATTGGGGGACAAAAAAAGTAAGAGGAAAACATGATGTAAAGAGATGAAGCAATCAACAAAACCAGACTTGGATGTAACCCAGACGTTTCAAACTACAAGACAGAGAATTTAAAATAACTAAAAATAATATGCTAAAGATTTTAGAGAAAAAGTTGGACAATATCAGATATTCACACCAAGAATTTCTGAATTAGAGAATTAAAAACTATTAGAAATAATCTATTGAAAATGCTAGAAATGTGAAATGTAATAAGAGAGATTAAGAGTGCCTTCAGTGGGCTCATCAGTAGATGTGACATAGGTGAGGAATGAATCAGTAAACTCATATATAGGTCAACAGAAATTACTTAAAGTGAAAATATAAAGAGGAAAAAAGTACATAAAACAACAACAAAACATCCAAGATTTGTGTAACAATAACAAATAGTTTAATAAATATATAATCAGAACTCCAGAAGAAACAAAATAAAACAAGAAGAATATTTGAAGAGATAATGTCTGATAAATTTTTAAATTTAATTGTAGACACCAACATACAGATTCAGGTAGCTAAGAGAACAACATACAGGATAAATACCAAAAATGTGATGTCACTTCACTGAGTTAACAACAACAACAAGAAACACAGATGTATATATGATAAAGGACTGATATCCCAGGTGTAAAATAAATCCCACAAGTAAAATTTTGCAAAGACAGTATAAATTTTAAAATGGGCAGATAACTTGAATAGAGAACTCGCAAAAGAAGATATATGAATAACCAATAATAAGAAAAGGTGCTCAACATCATTATCTATCAGGAAAATGTAAATTGAAGCCACTATGAGATAACAGAATGATTAAAACTGAGAAGACTGCTGTTGCAGATGTGGAGTAATTGGTATTCTCATACATTTCTGTGGGGTGTAAAATAATACAACTGCTTTGAAAAACTGTTACTCACTCTAATATAAATGTATAAGCAAGCATTTGCCTTCCTAAATATATTGCCAAAAGAAAGGAATATATGTATCTTCCAAAATAACTCGTTCAAGAATGTTCATAACAGTTTTATTTTTAAGAACTCCAAAATGGAAGCAACCCAAATGTCCATCAGCATTAAAATGGAAAAGAACACACCACCACATGAATTAAATACAAAAACATTATTTGGTGGCTAAACAAACTAGATAAAATAGTAATACTTTAGGATTCTGTTTTTATAAATTTTAAGAATAGGCAAAATTAACCTATGGTAATAAAAATCAGAAAAGAGTAAAGGGATATTTACTAGAAAGGGCACCAAGAAACTTTAGAGATGACTGAAATATTCTAACCATGATCAGGTTGATAATTACATAGGTCAAAATTCATTGAGCTGTCCACTGATATTTAAGAACTTTACATAAATTAAATCTCTATTGTATACTCAGCATTAAAAAATCAAAAGAGAAACTCATAAAAGCACCATTGTAATAGTTTGTAAAAGGTTTATTAAGATATAATTGACAAATAAAAATTGTGTATATTTAAGGTAATAAAAAAGAAAAACAGATGTAAAATGGCAATAAAAAATTGTGTATATTTAAGGTAATAAAAAAGAAAAACAGATGTAAAATGGCAATAATAAGCACAAAGATCAACTTCGTAAAATAGATTTTCTATTTAAAGCCAAAGTTAAAACTTGTAATTATTCTGTCAATACCTGGTGAAATACTATGTACCATCCACTCTGCCCTTGTGCCAGTATAGTCTCCTTCAACTGCTGCTTCTCATTTGTCATTTGATATAGCCGGCCCTCCATATCCCCTGGTCCCCATCCATGAATTCAACCAAAATAATATACCCTGTTGATGGGAATGTAAATTAGCTCAGCCACTATGGAAAGCAGTTTGAAGATTTCTCAAAGAACTTAGAACTACCATTTGACCCAGCAATCCCATTACTAGGTATATAACCAAAGGAAAATAAATTGTTCTTCCAAAAAGACATATGCACTCATATCTTCAACACAGCATTATTTACAATAGCAAAGACATGGAATCAACCTAGACGCCCAACAGCAGTTAACTGGATAAAGAAAATATGGTACAAATACACAATGGAATACTACACAGTCATAAAAATAAATGAAATCATGTTCTTTGGAACATGAATGCAGCTGGAGGCCATTATCCTAAGAAAATTAACACAGGAACGGAATCAAATACTGCATGTTGTCACTTATAAGTGGGAGCTAACCACTGACTACACATGGACATAAAGATGGGGACAATAGACATTGGGGGATACTAGATGTTAGAGGAAAAGGAGGGCAAGGGTTGATAAACTATATATTGGGTACTATGCTTAATATCTGGGTTATGGGATTATTCCTACCCCAAACGTCAGTGTCACATAATATACCCATGTAACAAATCTCCACATGTATCCCCTGAACCTAAAAGGAAAGTTGAAATAAAAAATACACTTACAAAATAAAATAATTTAAATAAAAGTAATAGAACTGAAAACCAACACAGTATAACTATTCCCATAGAATTTACATTGTATTAGATAGTATAAGTAATTTTATAGGAGATGATTTAAGGTATATCAGAGGATGTGTATAGGTTACATGCAAATACTATGCCATCTTATATAAGGAACTTGTGCATCCTTATATTTTGGTGTATGTTGGGAGGTCGGTCCTGGAACTAACTCCTCATGGATACCAAGGGAGGACTGTATTTAATTCAGGGCATATTTTATTTATTTATAGTGTTTCAACACATATTTATTTGGCACCTACAAAGCACTAGGCATGATGCTAAGGATCAAGATGCTTCAGCAAACAAAACAGACACAGGTCTTTCCTATGAAGCCTAAATTTAAATGGGATAGACAATTTAATTATACAAGTAAGTGTTTAACTGCAATTGTGTATGCACAGTAAAGGTTATATACAAGTAGGGAAACCATAATTTGCAATCCAAACCTCAACATTTTTAAGATCAAAAAGAGGTGCTATTGGTAGTTATGTCTGCACAATAGGAGTAAACCAGGACTGTCTGAGAAAAACTGGAATGCACAGACACACACACAAGGTGTAGGAGACAAGCAGGCATATAATGAACCAAATCTAGTTTGATGAGTCAATAAAAAAGGCCTTTAAAAAGTAATATATGAAATCAGCTCCACAGAAGGTATACATCTTTTATCTACAAAGAAAAAAGAGGGTTAAGAGCAGCACAGGTAAATGGAATAGGATGTGAAAAGGCTCTGAGTCAACAGAAAGCATGGCAAGGTTGAGGAATTGAAACAAGGACAATGTAGCTAAAGTTTAGAGTTAGAGTGAAAGTAATGAGATAAGTTTGATAATGTAAGAGGGAACAGGTCACCAACAATGGGGAACTTTAAAGGGTTTTAAACATCAGAATGATATAAGCATGTGTGTATTTGTAAAGAACAATCTAGGGGCAGAGTAAGGTGGCTGAATAGAGGCCTCCACTGATTGTCCATTATCTCCCACAGGAATGCTAAATTTGATAACCATCTATACACACACACAAAAAAAATCACCTTCATAAGAATCAAAAACGAGATGAGCAATCATAATATCTGGTTTTGTAATAATTTTATATTACTGAAAGACGCACTGAAGAGGGTAGGAAAGACAGTCTTGAATCACCGAACCCACTCTCCCTGATTCCCTGGCACCAGCCACATGGTGTGGAAAGAGAATCTGAGTGCTTAGAGGAGGAAGAACACAGAGTCCTGTGAGCCAGTGCATTGAATTCAGTGCTTCCCTATCACAGCAGAAAGCAAAATCAGGCTAAACTCAGCCAATGCCTGCCCACAGAGGGAACATTTAGACTAGCCCTAGGGAGAGGAGAATTGTCCATCCTAGGGGTTGAAACTTGAGTTTCAGCAAGCCTTGCCACCATGGGCTAAAGTACTCTAGAGTCCTAAATAAAATTGAAAGGCAGTCTAGGCCACAAGGACTGCAATGTCTGGGCAAGTCCTAGTGCTGTGCTGGGCTTGGAGTCAAGTGGACTTGGAGACACCAAATGAGACACCAGATAAGGTAACTAAGGAAGTACTTGCACCACCCATACCCCAACCCCATGTAGTGCATCTTGCAGAAACAAAAGTGACTCCCTCTTTCTGCTTGAGGAGAGAACAGGAAAGAGTAAAAAGAACTTTGTCTTGCATCTTAGACACTAGTTCAACCACAATATAATAGGGGACCAGACAGACTCATGAGGACCCCATTATAGGCCCTAGATCCAAAACAACATTTCTAGACATACCCTGGGCCAGAAGGAAACCTGTTGCCTTGAAGAGAAGAACCCAGTCCTGGAAGCACTCATCATCTGCTAACTGAAGAGCCCTTGGGCTTTGAATAACCAGCAGTAACACCCAGGAACTATGTCTTTGGTCTTGGGTGGAACTCTCAGATGTGCTGGCTTCAGGGGAGATCCAGCACATTCCCAACTATGCTGGATATGGTGAGAGACTCCTTCTGCTTGAGAAAAGCAGAGAGAAAGGTAAAGATGACTTAGTCTTGCACCATAGGTACCACCTTGATCACAGTGTGATAGAGGACCAAGCAAGCTCTTGGAGTCCTTGATTCCAGGCCTTGGCTCTTGGATGACATTTCTGAACCTTCTCTGGGACAGAGGGAAGCTCTCAACCTTGAAGGGCGAGTTTCAGGACTAGCAGCATTCAACACAAGTTGACTGAAGAGTACTTAAGCCTCGAGTAAACATTGGCAGTAGCCAGGCAGTGCTCCCTGTGGGCCTGAGGAGGTGGTGGTGGTGGAGAGTGGCTCATCTGCCTGTGGAAAGCAGGGTGGCAGGGGGATGGGAAGAGTGGGAAGGATTCTGTCTTGTGGCTTGAGTATCAGCTTAGTCATGGTAGCTTAGAACACCATATAGATTTCTAAGGTTTCTGCCTCTAGTCCCTGGCTCCTGACAGCATCTCTGGACACACTCAGGGCCTGGGGGAGCTCACTGCCCTGAAAGGAAGGACACAAATCTAACTAGTTTCACCACCTCCTGATTGTAGAGCCCTAGATTCTTGAGTGAGCAAAAGCAGTAGCCAGTTAGTGGTTACACTGGGCCTTGGGTGAGATTCAGTGCTGTGCTGGTTTCAGGTCTGACCTATCACAGTCCCAGTGGTGGTGGCCACAGGGGGCTTATGTTACCTCACCCCCAGCTCTATGTGGCCCAGCAGAGAGGGAGACACTCCATTTGTTTGGGAGAAAGTAAGGGAAGAAAACAAGAGTCTTTGCCGGATAAGCCAGAGAATTCTTCCAGATCTTATCCAAGGCCACCAAGGTGATACCTCTATGAGTCTGCAAGAACCACAGTGTTACTGGGCTAGGGGTACCTCCTGATGCAGATACAGCATAGATCACAACACCCAAGTCCCTTTGAATACCTGGAAAGTCTTCCCAAGAAAGACAAGTAGAGACAAGACCAAATTGTGAAGACTACAATAAACACCTAACTCTTCAGTGTACAGATATAAAAAAAATCTGCAAGCCTCAGAACCATCCAAGAAAACATTACCTCATCAAAGAAACTAAATAAGGCACCAAAGACCAATCCTGGAGAGACAAAGATATGTGATCTTTCAGACACAGAATTCAAAATACTTGTGTTGAGGAAACTCAAAGAAATTTAAGATAACAAAGAGAAGGAATTCTGAGTTCTATGAGATAAATTTAACAAAAAGTTTGAAATATTAAAAAGACTCAAGCAGAAATTCTGGAACTGAAAAATGCAACTGGCATACTGAAGAACGTATCAAAGTCTCTTAATAGCAGAATTCACAAAGCAGAAGAAAAAAAATTAGTGAACTTAAAGACAGGTTATTCAAAAATACACGATTAGAATAGACAAGAGACAAAAGAACAAAAAACAATGAAGCATGCATACAGAATCTAGAAAATAGCCTCAAAAGGGCAAATATAAGAGTTATTTCCCTTAAAGAGTGGAAGGGGGAGTAGAAAGTTTATTCAAAGGGATAATAACAGAGAACTTCCCAAACCTAGAGAAAGATATCAGTATCCCAATACAAGAAGGTTATAGAACACCAAAATGATTTAACCCAAAGAAGATTACCTCAAGCATTTAATAATCAAACTCCCAAAGGATAAAAGCAGCAAGAGAAAGAAGCAAATAACATACAATGGAGTTCCAATACGTCCGGCAGCAGACATTTCAGTGCAAACCGTACAGGCTAGGAGAGAGTGGCATGACATATTTAAAGTATTGAATTAAAAAAAAAAACTTTTAGTATAGAATAGTATATCTGGTTTAAAAAAAGAAAGAAAAAAAGAAAAATCCTTCAAAGATGAAGGAGAAATAAAGACTTTCCCAGACAAACAAAATCTGAGGGATTTTATCAACACCAGACTTGTCTGACAAGAAATGCTAAAGGAAGTTCTCCAATCTGAAGGAAAAGGATGTTAATAAACAATAAGAAATTATGTGAAGGTACAAAACTCACTGGTAATAGGAAGTACACAGAAAAACATGGAATATTATTATAACACTGTAATTGTGGTGTGTAAACTCCTCATAAGTAGAAAGATGAAAAGACTAAATGATCAAAAATAATAACTACAACGTTTCAAGACATGATAGTAAAATAAGATATAGACACAATGAAGAGTTAAAAAGCAGGCAGACAAAGTTATATTTTTGGTTTCTTTTTGCCAGTTAGTTGTTTGTTTGTTTATGAAATCAGTGTAAACTAGTCATCAGTTTGAAATAATAGATTAAAAGATTTTATTTGCAAATCTTATGGTAATCTCAAACCTAAAAACATACAATGGATAGACAAAAAATAAAAAGCAAGGAATTAAAACATACCACCAGAGAAAATCACCTTCACTAAAAGGAAGATAGAAAAAAAATAAAAGAAGGAAAAGAAGACCACAAAACATCCAGAGAGCAAATAACGAAATGCTCACAGTAAGTCCTTACTTATCAATAATTGCCTTCAATGTAAATGGACCAAACTCTTCAATCAAAAGACTCAGAATGGCTGAATGGATTAAAAATACCTAATGATCTGTTGCCTACAACAAACATACTTCACCTATAAATACACATATAGACTGAAAATGAAGAGATGCAAAAAGATAATCCATGCCAATGGAAACCAAAAAAAGAGCAGGAGTAGCTGTATGTATAGCAGACAAAATGGATTTCAAGATGAAAAGTACACAAAGAGACAAAGAATGTCATTATATAATGATAAAGGAGTCAATATAGCAATAGGATATAGCAAATGTAAATACATGATGCACATGTATTTATATATATATGCCTATATAATGTATATATAAATATATATCCACATATAATTTTTATATATGTATATCCATATATAATTTATATATATAAATCACTCTCAAGGACAGAACATACATTAGGTCACAAAACAAGTCATGAAAATTTCCAAAAAACGGAAATAATATCAAGCATCTTCTCTGTCCACAATGGAATAAAACTACAAATTAATAAGATAAATTTTGGAAACAACATAAAAAAATGGTAATTAAACAATATGCTCCTGAAAACGAGTCAGTCAATGAAGGAATTAAGAAAGAAATAGAAAAATTTATTGAAATAAATCACAATGGAAACACAACATACCAAAACTTATGGGATACAGCTAAACATTACTGAGGGAGGGGTTTATAGCTATAAGGGCCTACATCAAAAAAGAAGAAAAACTAAATAAATAACCTAACAGTGCATCTTAAAGAACTAGAAAAGCAAGAGAAAACCAAATTTGAAATTAGTAGAAGAAAATAAATAACCAATATCAGAGCAGAATTAAATAAAATTAAAACAAAAAAATGCAAATAATCAATGAAATGAAAAGTTAATTTTTTTAAAACATAAACGAAATTGACAAATCTGTAGCAAGACTAAAAAAAATGAGAAGGTCCAAATAAATAAAACCAGAGTTGAAAAAGGAGACATTACTTCTGATACTACAGAAATTCAAAGGATCATTAGTAGCTACTATAAGCAACAATATACCAATACATTGGAAAATCTAAAAGAAACGGACACATTCCTAGACACATACAACCTACCAAGATTGAACCATGAAGAAATCCAAAACCTGAGCAGACTAATAGCAAATAATAAGATTGAATCTGTAATAAAAAGTCTCCCAGCAAATAAAAGCCCAGGACCCAATGGCTTAACCCCTGAATTTTTCCAGTTAAAGAAGTACTAATACCAAACCTACTCAAACTATTCTGAGAAATAGAGAAAGAGCAAAATACTTCCAAACTCATTCTATGAGACCAGTATTACCCTGATACCACAACCAGACCAAGACACATGAGAAAAAGAATACTAGAAGCTAATATCCCTGATGAATATCAATGCAAAAATCCTCAACAAAGTACTAGCAAACAGAATTCAACAACACACTAAAAAGATCCATGACCAAGTGGGATTTATCCCAGAGATGCAAGGATGGTTCAACACATGCAAATCAATGTGATACATCATTCTAACAAAATGAAGGACTAAAACCATATGATCATTTCAATTGATGCTGAAAAAGTGTTTGATAAAATTCAACATCTCTTCATGAAAGAAATCCTCAAAAAATTGGGTACAGAAGTAACCTACCTCAACATAATAAAAGGTATATATGCCAGACCCACAGCTAGTATCATACTGAATGGGAGAAAACTGAAAGTCTTTCATCATAGATCTGGAAAACAATAAGGATACCAAATCAACATATAAAAATCAGTGGTATTTTTTATGCCAACTGCAAACAATTTGAAACAGAAATTTTATATGCCAACTGCAAACAATTTGAAACAATTTGAAAAAGAAATCAAGAAAGTAATCCTTTTTACAATAGCCACAAATAAAATTAAATACCAAGGAATTAATTTAACCAAAGTGAAAGGTTTCTACAATAAAATCTACAAAACATTGATGGAAGAAATTGAAAAGGAAACAAAAAATGGAAAGATATTTCATGTTCAGGGGATTGGAAGAATCAATGTTGTTAAAATTTCCATATTACCCAAAGCAATCTACAGATTCAATGCAATCCCTAACAAAATACCAGTGACATTCTTCACAGAAATAGAAAAAACTATCCTAAAATTTATATGCAATCACAAAAAGACCTAGAATAGTCAAAGCTATCCTAAGCAAAAAGAACAAAACTGGAGGAATCACATTACCTGATTTCAAATGATGCTACACAGCTATAGTACCCAAAACAGCATGGCACTGGCATAAAAACAGACATATGGGCCAGTGGAACAAAACAGAGAACCCAGAAATAAATCCATACATCTACAGTGAACTCATTTTTTACAAAGGTGCCAAAAACATACACTGGGGAAAGGACAGTTTCTTCAATAAGTGGTGGTGGGAAAACTAGATATCCCTATGCAGAAGAATGAAACTAGCCTCCTATCTCTTGCCATATAACAAAAATCAAATTAAAATATATTAAAGATTTACATCTAAGACTTCAAACTATGAAAGTACTAAAAGAAAACATGGGAAAACTCTCCAGGTAATTGGAATGGGCAAAGGCTTTTGAGTAATATTCCACAAGCCCAGTTAACCAAAGCAAAAATGAACAAATGTGATCACAATGAGTTAAAAAGCTTCTGCACAGCAAAGGAAACAATCAGTGAAGTCAAAAAGGCAACCCACAGAACTGGAGAAAATCTTTGTCAACTACCTATCTGAAAAGGCGTTAATAACCAGAATATATAAGGAGCTCAAACAATTCAGTAGGAAAAAAATCTAATAATCTGATTAGAAAATGAGGAAAAGATCTGAATACATATTTTCAAAAGACATACAAATGACAAACAGGTATATGAAAAGGTGCTCAACATCACTGATCATCAGAGAAATGCATTTGAAAACTACAAAGGGATATAATCTCATGTCAATTAAAATGGCTTATATCCAAAAGACAGGCAATGACAAATGCTAGCAAGGATATGGAGAAAAGGGAACCCTTGTACACTGTTGGTGGGAATGTATGTTAGTACAGCCTCTATGGAGAACAGTTTGGAGGTTTCCACAAAGTAGCAATACAGCTATAATATTGTCCAGCAATTCTCCTGCTAGGTATATACCCCCAAAGAAAGGAAATCAGTATATTGAAGAGATATCTTCACTCCTATGTTAAATGCAGCACTATTTACAATAGCCAAGATTTGGAAGCAACCTAAGTGTCCATCAAAAGATGAATGGATAAAGAAAATGTGGTACATATACACAATAGAGTATTTTTCAGCCATAAAAAAGAATAAGATCACGTCATTTGTGACAACATAAATTGCACTGGAGGTTATTATGTTAAGTGAAATAAGCCAGGCACAGAAAGACAAACATCACATGTTCTCACTTATTTGTGGGAGCTAAAAATTTAAACAAGTAAACTCATGGAGATGGTTGGAAGTATGGTTAACAGAGGCTGGGAAGGGTGGTGCAAGGGTAGGAGTTGTAGGGGAAGTGGGGATGATTAATGGACACAAAAAAAATTAGAAAGAATGAATAAAACCTAGTATTTCATAGCACAATTGGGTAACTATAGTCAATAATAATGTAATTGTACATTTTAAAATAACTAAAAGAGTGTAATTAGTTTGTAACACAACAGATAAATGCTTGAGGGGATGGATATCCCATTTATCTTTGTGTTATTATTGTGCATTGGGTGCCTGTATCAAAATATCTTCTGTGCTCCATAAATATATACACCTGCTATGTACCCACAAAAATTCAAAATAACAAAATTTTAGAAAAGAACGCTTTAGTTGCAATGTGGATAATGGATCATAAGAAGGCAAAAACAGATATGGGGAGACCAGTTAGCAAGCTATTGCAGTAGTCCAGGAAAGATGATATTGGTATGGTTTTAGGCGGGTTGCAGTAGACATGGAAAAAAAGTAACAGATTTGAAATACATTTAGAATTTGATGATTGGTTGAGTATAGACTGTGAAGAAGAGTGATGAATCAAGATTGAAACCCAGCATTCTTTCTGGCTTTTGCAGAAATATGTTGTCCTTCCCTATGAATTCTAAAAAATGAATCACCTCTGTGAGAAAATGTGGCTACAAAGACTAGTATGTGTCATTATAATGCACACATATATCATAACTTGCATTTGTGGCAGCAGCATTTTACTTGCAGGCCAGTGTTGTAGCAGAGTGAAATGAATTTGGGCATTTCGGGTCAAACTTTTATTTGAAAGTCCTTTTCCACTAACTATGAAACCTTGGGCACATTATTTAAGCTGAGTTTCACCTTCTAAATCTATAAAATAAATATTTATGTACACTGAATTAGATAATGTATATATAGTGGGAATAAAATTTAGAGGTCTTAACTGGATTTTACATAATTCCTGGTTTTCTACCCCATGAGGAAGGCACACACACACACACACACAGAGCAAAGGTCATAGATAACAAGGGTTTTGATTTGCTAGAGCTGAGTATTATGGAACTCAAAAAGTAAAGCCATGAAGACAACTGGATGTGCACGCGTGTGTGTGTGTGTAGCTTGATTGCCCTGACAATGTAAACTAGTATTCACAGGCTGGATGAGACAGAGTTGCAGAAATGGAAAAGAAAAGGATTCTTCTCTCTAGGGACATAACTAGAGAAGGCAGTTTTGAACAACAGAATCCCAAGAAATGTTTGGGAGAAATCAGTGCCTCATTTCCTAAAGGAAGCCTAAGGAGGTAGAAACCTTTGGAAACGTTTCCTATTAACAAAAAACAAAGTACTCTTACAGTAAAATTTAAAAATGTGACCAATTCATCTGCAACTGTAGATAGCAATTGTCTCCTATGTGGTCCCACATCTGTGTCATGGCAGCAGTAGAGATAGTTAGAAATTATCCTGTGTTGGAAGTGAGTTGGAAGCATTCTTGGTGTCCATCAGTTAGAGAGTGATAGGTAAAAGGTAGCCAATGCATACAAGGGTATTATGTTACAGTTAGAAGAAACAGATTGTTTCAAAGAACAACAGAGATGGATCTTTAAAAATTAAGTCTTGGGGAAAAATTAGGAAACAGAATGAGATCTACAATTTTTTCATTGACTACTTATCCTCTGCCTCCATAATCATCAAATCTATGGAAACCCTTTGAATGCTTGCTTTTTCATCTAGTCATTCATTAGATATTTCAGCCCCTATTATGTACCAGCCCAAGAGCTACATGCACACTATTTGATATTAAACAAGAAGTGTTCTACCCTCAAGAAGCTTAAAATCTAGTAGGAGTGGCAGAAAAGTAAATAGGCAATCACAATGCAATAAAATAATTATTAGCATGTATTCATTCTCTTTCTTACCCTTTTCATCTTCTTTCCAAGTGAAATGTCAGTTTACCAACTGATAGAAAGACACACCTAAAGCCCAAATGACTATAATGGCCTCCAAGTACATCAACCAAGTAAGCAACGTCCCATGCATTCTCTCAGACAGCTGAAACTCATTAGTTTCCTTGGGCAGTCCTATAAATACTCCACCCAAACATGAACAGTAGGTCCTGACCTTAGTCAGAAAACTGACAACCAAATGTCCTGTGTGTTATCCATCTGTGGTATTCACTATGACAACAAGAACCACTTCAAAAACAATATGTGGCATTTGATAAAATAGAAGGTGCTGGAGGGAAGAGACCATCAGTTCAGTAAAATTAGATCCAGCTGTGAGGGACTCAGGCCGGTGCTATCTGTAAATCGCCTTTTTCCCCCTGCCCTGTACATTATAGCAATCTACTACAGATTACAAGAGCACGGCCAAAAGCCATATGTTTGGCATCATATGAATAGCATCTGGTATTTTTTAAGATACAACTAAAAATGTTGAAAACACAATAAAACAACTGTCATTCACTTAATGTTTATGCTTATATCTTAGCTCATAGATGGTTTTATGACAAATAAACAGTTGTATGAAGTCTCAGTTTAGTCACCTTCCTTTATACATTTCTTTCCTTGGTGAATTACACTTTTGTCTTTCTTTTTGGCTTGGTCTGAGTGTCCTTTTGTGCTACTGTATATGGTGAAACGTTGTATAAGCAGAATGAAGCTATCTTTTAAGGTGGATTCAGCCAAATAGTCTGCAAGGCCATAAATATTATTTACACTCAATTCTTTTTACTAGAAGTCAGTCGGGCTCTGGCTAGTATGTTTCATAAGGTCTAGAATTCAGGATTCCATTAGAGTAGTAAGGGAAAACCACATGCAGTTGGCACTTTGGAAAGTGGACATGGGCAGTTTTTCTGGCCTATATACAAACTATCATTCTTGATCAAGTCTATCCTCTGATTTGGAAACTAATTTAGGCATTTTGACAAGTGTACCTGTTACTAATTGGTAACCTCAAAGCGGTTTATGTAAACCCAATAATCGGTAGAAACCTCTTAGTTACTGATTTAGGAAGACACTTAACCCCTTGCTGAAACAAATTAATTATATCGACTGATTCATGTCTTCTTTGCATCTGCCCATACAATATTGCAGTTAGGCTTAAAATTTTAAGGTAGGAAGTGTTTCTTTTCTGTCTTCAGAAGCCAATTCAGGAAATGATAAATATACTAATTGCACTTGAAAGGCATATAATAGAGAGGATGGCAAAAATATTACTATGGCTTTTTAGAAAACCACAGTTTAAAAAATGGCAACTTTCCTCCGTGAAATTGGGATATAATTTCCAAAATCAAGCTACGCCGTATATGAAACACCACATTTATACTTAATGAATACTTCTAATCACTCTTTCTTACTTCAGAGTTTACACTTTTCATTGTGATTTATTTTTGAGAGTAGCTAGTATGTGATCTGGCCTGCAGATATGTAGATTTCATATCCAAAAAAAGATTATAATAACAATAACAATAAAGGTAAAGATGAGTTAGGACAAGTTCTCAGTGAAAAGTAGAAAGGCTTGGAATTTATTTATTAAAAGAAAAACTAGAAAATCTCTTAGTTAATTTATAATCAAAATTAAGGATTTATACTCTAGATTTATTGTTTCACTAGTCAGTTAACTCTCTAACTTAGTTTCTCTAAATAAATCACTCAGTCATTTAAAAATAACTAATTTATTTGTAGTAAATTATTTTTAAATTAGTGATGTTTAATGGTATTACATGGACTAAACTCCAAAAAGTCTGCTTTAATAGGGCACAGAATGTAATTTTTAATTATATTTCTTCCTACCTTGGCACTCCCATGCTACTTTATTCCAATTATTGTACTTATCAAGATAAAATATATTTACTATAATTAGACTATGTGTTCTTCTAGTATCAAGTTCATGTCTTATTCATCTTTGTGCCCCTAGTGCCTACCTGGAAGAAGCTAACTTGTAGGGCAGTGGAGGGGGAATAAAAAAGGGTGTTGAATAAAAAAATAAATTATTTGAAAGCAAAGCAGCTGGTCAGTTTGGAGACTGTTTCTCTAGTGTACACTGCACAACTATTTCATCTCTTTAAAGATATAAACCCTAATCTGTGCCAATCTGTGAAACACAAACCCATTAAAATGGCAGAAGGCGCAGTGTACATAATTCAAAGAGCAATAAAAATTGACTAATGCAACTGATGACCATTAAATTCCAAGCAAGGAGACTGATATAGTTAAATAGTACTGGGCATGTTTAATAGTGCACTTTACTATATGAGTTATAGATCAGTCACTGCTAGTTTGGTGCGAGGATGGAACATGGCAGCAGATTGACAACATTTCCCTCACAGAGATATTCTCCCTCCATTTATACACATGGGGAGTTTGTGTTATAACTGAAAGACAGTAAATAGTCTGACTGAGGTAGATGTTACAAGTGGGAAAGAAAGTAGCCTTTGTTTCCTACCTGACCATATGGGTTAGATTTGAGCTCTTACTGTCAAATGACAGAAGGCCAAGTGAAAATTAATTAGATCGTCTGCATATCTAAAAAGATAAAATTGTACAGAATGGTTTGAAATAACTCCTACTAATCTTGAAACTCACTCCGAAGGATAATTCCTTTTACCTGTTATAATATTCTATATTTCAAAAGAATACATTTATACTCTCTTGGTTTATGAATTTTAGGCATTACCAACTGAATTCTAGTTATCTGAAAGTTTAGCTTACCTATTGAACTAATCTCTTCTCCTCCTTCTTTTCAATATGAATGTATTCATCTGTTTTCATATTGCTATAAAGAACTGCTCAAGACTCAGTAATTTATAAAGACAAAAGGTTTAGCTGACTCATAGTTCAGCAAGGCTGGGGAAACCTCAGTCTTACAATAATGGCAGAAAGCGAAGGGGAAGCAAGGCACCTTCTTGAATAGGCAGCAGGAAGAAGTACCAAGCAAATGGGGAAGAGCCCCTTATCAAACTGTCAGATCTCATAAGAACTCACTCACTATCAGAACAGCATGGGCAAAATGGCTCCCATGATTCAATTATCTCCACTTGATCTCTCCCTTGACATGTGGGGATTATGGCAATTACAATTAAAGATGAGATTTGGGTGGGGACACAAAGCCTAACTATATCAATGAATAAGCAATATTTAGTCTTCTTTCATAAAGTTTAAGTAATATATTTCCTCATTTATTCCTTGTTGCATCAACCAAAGTAATAGTATCTCTCAAAGGACATGAGTTTGTTCTTTTTTATGACTGCATAATATTCCATGGTATATGCACCACATTTTCTTTATCCAGTCTTTTATTAATGGGCATTTAGGTTAATTTCATGTCTTTGCTATTGTGAATAGCACTCTGATTAACATATGTGTGCACATGCCTTCATGATAGAACAATTTATATTTCTTTGGGTATATACCCAGTAATGGGATCGCTGGGTTGAATGGTAGTTCTGTTTTTAGCTCTTTGAGGAACTGCCACACTGCTTTCCACAATGGTTAAACTAATTTACATTCCCATCAGAAGTGTGTAAGTATTCCCTCTTTGCAACCTTGCCAGCACCTGTTATTTTTTAACTTTTTAATAGTAGCCATTCTGACTGGTATGAGACAGTATCTTATGGTGGTTTTGATTTACTTTTCTCTAATAATCATTCATATTGAGCTTTTTTTCATATGCTTCTCCACCAAATGTGTGTACGCATTTGAAAAGTGTCTGTTGATGTCCTCTCTCCACTTTTTTAATGGGGTTGTTTTTTCTTGTAAATTTAAGTTCCTTATAGATGCTGGATATTAGATCTTTGTCAGATGCATAGTTTGCAAAGATTTTTTCATTCTGTAGGTTGTCTGTTTACTCTATTGATAGTTTCTTTGGCTGTGCAGAAGATCTTTCATTTAATTAGATTCCATTTGTGTTTGCTGTTGTTGTGATTGCTTTGCTGTCTTCATCATTAAATCTTTGCCAGTTCGTGTGTCCAGAATGGTATTGCCTAGATTGTCTTCCAGGGTTTTTATAGTTTTGAGTTTTACATTTAAGAATTTATCCATCTTGAGTTGATTTTTGTATAGTGTAACAAAGGGGTCCAGTTTCAACTTTCTGCATATGGCTAACCAGTTATCCCAGCACATTTATTGAACAGGGAATGCTTTTCCCATTGCTTGTTTTTGTCAGCTTTGTTGAAGATCAGATGGTTGTAGGTGTGCAGTCTTATTTCTGGGCTCTCTATTCTGTTCCACTGGTCTATATGTCTGTTTTTGTAATAGTACCATGATGCTTTGTTTACTGTAGCTCCATAGTATAGTTTGATTGGGGATCATGGTGCCTCCTGCTTTGCTATCTTTGCTTATGATGGCCTTCGCTATTAGACTCTTTTTTGGTTCCATATAAATTTTTTAAAAGTGCTACAAATTTCCCTCTTAACACTGCCTTGGCTGTGTCCCAGAAATTCTGGTATGCTGTATCTTTGCTCTCATTAGTTTCAACGAACTTCTTGATTTCTGCCTTAATTTCATTATTAACTTGAAAGTCACTCAGGAGCAGGTTGTTCAATTTTGATGTAATTACATGGTTTTGAGTGATTTTCTTCGTCTTGAATTCTATTTTTATTGCACTGTGGTCCAAGAGAGTGATTGCTATGACCTCAGTTCTTCTGCATTTGCTGAGGATTGTTTTATGTCTGATTGTGTGATCAATTTCAGAGTATGTTTCATGTGCACCAGAGAAGAATCTATATTCTGTTGCTCTGTAGATGTCTATCAGGTCCATTTGTTGGGTTCAGGTCCTGAATATCTTTGTAAATTTTCTACCTTGATGACCTGTCTCATACTGTCAGTGGGTTGTTAAAGCCTCCCAGTATTACTGTCTAGGAGTCTAAGTCTCTCTGCAGGTCTATAAGAACTTGCTTTATGAATACAGGTGCTCCTGTGTTGGGTGCATATATATTTAGGATAGTTAGGTCTTCTTGTGGAATTGATCCCTTCATCATTATGTAATGCCCTTGTCCTTTCTGAATTTTGTTGGTTTACGGTATGTTTTGTCTGAAATTAGGATTGCAACCCCTGATTTTTTTTTCTTTTTTCCATTTCCTTGGTAGATTTTTCTCCACCCCTTTATTTTGAGCCTATGGATGTCACTGCATGTGAGATGGGTCTCTTAAAGACAGCATCCCATTGGGTTTTGTTTCTTTATCCAGCTTTCTACTCTGTGCCTTTCAAGTGGGGGCATTTAGCCTGTTTATACTCAAGGTTAGTATTGGTATGTGTGGATTTGATCCTGTCATCAAGTGAATAGCTGGATATTATGCTGATTTGTTTGTGTGGTTCTTCATAGTGTCACTGGTCTATGTACTGAAGTGTGTTTTTGTAGTGGCTGGTAGTGATCTTTTCTTTTCATATTTAGTACTT
Source organism: Homo sapiens (assembly GCF_000001405.40). NCBI lineage: Eukaryota > Metazoa > Chordata > Mammalia > Primates > Hominidae > Homo > Homo sapiens. Next base: position 126,383,271 of record NC_000006.12, on the reverse strand, counting down.
CTTCAGGAGCTCTTCTAAGGCATTTCTGGTGGGAACAAATTCCCTCAGAATTTGCTTGTCTGAAAAGAATCTTATTTCTCATTCACTTATGAAGCTTAGTTTGACTGTATATAAAATTCTTGGTTGGAATTTCTCTTCATTTTATCAATGTTGAATATAGGCCCCCAATCTCTTCTGACTTGTGGAATTTCTGTTGAGAGGTCTGCTGTTGGTTTGACTGACTTCCCTTTGTAGATAACCATTCTTTCTCTTTAGCAGCTTCCTTCATTTCAACCTTATAGATTCTGAAGATTATGTGTCTTGGGGATAATCTTCTTGTGAAGTGTTTTGCAGGAATTCTCTGCATTTCCTGGATTTGAATGTTGGCCTCTCTAGCTTGGTTGGGGATATTCTCATGGATGATAACCTGAAATGTATTTTCCAAGTTGCTTCCATTCTCTTCATCTCTTTCAGAGGCACAAAGGAGTTGTTGACTTGGTCTCTTTACATGATCCCATACTTCTTGGAGGTTTCATTCATTATTTTAATTTTTTTTATTCTTGTTAACTATCTTATTTCAGAAATTAGTCTTCAAGCTCTGAGATTCTTTCCTCAGCTTGGTCTATTCTGCTGTTAATACTTGTGATTGCATTATATAATTCTTGTGGTGTGTTTCTCAACTCCATCAGGTCAGTTACATTCTTTTCCATACTGGCTATTTTTTTCTGTCAGCTATCATTTTATTGTGATTCTTAGCTCCCTTAGATTGGGTTTCAACGTTCTCCTAAGTTTCAATGATCTTTGTTCCTATCTATATTCTGAATTCTATTTCTGTCATTTCAGCCATCTCAGCCCAGTTAAGAACTTTTGCTGGAGAGCTAGTGCAATTGTTTGGAGGAAAGAAGGAACTCTGGCTTTTTGAGTTGTCAGAGTTCTTGTGCTGGTTCTTTCTCATTTTTGTGGGCTTATATGCCTTCACTCTTTGCAGCTGCTGTCCTTTAGATATTTTTTAATCCCATTTAATGACCTTCAAGGTATATATATATATATTTTTTTTGAGATGGATTTTCGCTCGTCACCCAGGCTGGAGTGCAATGGTGCGATCTCGGCTCACTGCAACCTCCTCCTCGCAGGTTCAAGTGATTCTCCTGCAGCTGGGATTACAGGCATGTGCCACCACACCTGGGTTTTTTGTTATTGTTGTTTTGTTTTTGTATTTTTAGTAGAGACAGGGTTTCACCATGTTGGTCAGGCTGGTCTCAAACTCCTGACCTCAGGTGATCCACCTGCCTTGTCCTCCCAAAATGCTGGGATTACAGGTGTGAGCCACCTTCAGGGTTTAATTGCGCTCTGAGGTGGGTTCAGTCGACTGGCTTCATTTCTGGAAGATTTTAGGGAGCCAAGGTTCAGCTCAGGACTTCTGAACTGTGTGCTCTAACTTTAGGGGACTGGTACTGAGCCCTGGTTTTGTGCTCTGACTCCTCGAGGTTAGGAACTTGCTGCACTAGCAGGACCAAGATGCTCTTGGACCACTGGTCACAACACTATGATGGGCGGTGCCAGCCAAAGCCCTTCATAGGGCAGTGACAGTGGGATCCATATTTATTCACGTGTCAGCAGCAGCAGCAGTGCGGCAAGGTGCATGTTGGTTGGCTGGCGGCAGGGTGCTAGAGGGTGCTGAGATGACAGGCTCCAGGTGAGAGTTCAGATAATGTTGGCTTTTGTTTCAAGAACACAGGGCAAAAAAAGTAGAAAAGCATTTCCCTGGGGCTTGAACAATGTTAGTCTTGACAGTGGATGTTCAGGATATTTAAGGTTACTGGTTGCATTAACAGAGCTGGACACTGGATCATGAGTAACAGAGGTAGGTGCTCACATATAGTTTAATAAAAGTGTATATGCATGCATTTGGGATATCTAGTCATCAACTAGATCTCTAAAGAAATGTGAGGCCCAAGGCTAAGGTTCTCTTGCCTAGTAATAAGGGTGATACTGCTGCCAACAACAGAAGTGACTCAGATGCCAGTAAAGGTCCTAAGACAACATATACAAAAAGAATAAATATCATCATTAGACAAAAACAAAAACATTCAACAATACTTGTTAAAACATGTTAAGGAAGATTCATTAAGGACCACTGAGGGACTACAGCAACAGGATTTGGCCGTGGAGGAGAATTGGGGTAAGGGGGATTCTTGCTGAAGACAGGCCAGAGTAGTTAGACATCACCTGGGGAATGGTGGAGGATAAAGAACTTGATCAAACGTTGAGAGTGATCAGATATCAAGGGTGGGAGGTTCTTGCCAAACTGTCTTAGCAGGGTTCTTTGCTAAAACTGGATTTAACAAGAAAGTACAAACACACGCCTAGGAGAAGGTTCAGATCCTGGCTAAAGTTCGATCAACAGAGAATCTTTGTCATTACTAACAGTGACTCTTAAAGGTTCCTATGTCATTGTTATTATTTCAGGAAAAAATAAACAAAGTTTTAAAAATAAATTTGACAAACTTTAAACTGCAACTTTCATGATGCAGGTATCATGTCTGTGGAGGTCACTGCCATTTACTGTGAATACTTGATGCCCAATAGGATCTTTAAAAATATGTATTAAATAAATAAGCAAATAAAATATTTTTATTTTGTCTACTATGCATTATGTGATAAGCTAGAGTTAAGACAGTGGGTGCCCCCTATCCATGGCTTCAAGGGGATACCAGAGACAAGATTCACATGCTAGAGTAGAATTTAGCAACCTCTCATCAGCCTTTCCACAACTGGGACAGCTCAACCTAAAGCACAGGGAAACCCTCTGCCATGAACAACATTACACACAACAGCAGAGCCATTGCTCATTACTAAGGTCATAGGTGAATTTCAGGGTTAAGTCAACACCAGATCTGAGTTCTCATTACTTTCAATTCAATACACAATTTGAAAGCAAGCCAGTTAATCTGAGAGGATATGTTTCAGTACTATGACAGCCTTATTCCAGCTTCAGCTTGGACTTTGGTTCCCATTACTTTCAATTCAATACACAATTTGAAAGCAAGTCAGTTAATCTAAAAGGATATGTTTCAGTACTATGGCAGCCTTATTCCAGCTTCAGCTTGGACTTTGGTTCCCACTCTGCTTCTGCTCCCGAGCTTAAATCAACTTCCAGTCTCTGTTCCAAATTGGAGTTGTGCCACAAGCAATTCCCCTGGCAAGTCACTTTAGTGATGAACTTTAGGGGTTGGTGGCACAACCCATGAACTTAATCTGGATGGGTAATTTGGAACTGGTAATGAAGCTTGATTCAATTTATCAGCTGCCAAACCTTGATTGAAATATTTAAATTCATCCAAGCTTCAGACAATTTATGGGAACTTTATAAAAAGAAACAGAGAAAAATAAAAGTTGTTGCAATAAAATGAAACACATTTTTGGAAAATGCCTACTTTTATAGCTGTCAAAGATTATACTTTTCATGGAATTATACTTTAATTCGTTTGATTTTTCTTTCTCCAGAATAATCACACATACTCGGACTCCAGGCCCAGGTAATTATATGAACATGTCAACTCATTTAATGACAGCATGGAGTTTTTACCAGTTATACGTAAATAGTGTATTTGTACAACTGGAAGTGATTTGCAACAACTTTGACTTATCAAGAATACTAACTTTAGCACTGATAAATATTAGTAAAATGTTGGATGGGATTCAGACCACATTGGTTGGAATAAACCAGTGTAGGTTTCAGGGGAAGCAGAGGGTTAGCAGCATAATAAAAATTAAGAGCATTAAATTCACCTAAAGGGCCAGGCTGACAGCCCTGGAGGCCAATATCTTTCCTTTATTCCCAAAGCATGTATAACATAGGCTTCACACTCAAGTATTAGTAAGATTTCCTCTAGTGTTCTTCCAATAAATTTAGCCATTTTCCATGAAGGAATGCCTTATATATATTAAAGAAAAAAGCTTTCACCTCATAATTTAAAATTTAATCTTAAAATTTCTTAATAAAAGAAACAATTATTTCCTGGGATTACGAAAACCTCCACTGTGAGTTTAAAGCACTTGGAGCTCCTTAAAGGCAGAAACTATGTCTATAAGACACATTCCTCACAGAAAGGGCTTGGTCCAAGGTGGGTGTTCTACCTATGCTTATTGAGTAAATTTATTAGTTAATATAATTTACTAATTTTTCAGCATTAAGTTAAAAAATTTCAATCAGAATAAGAGTTCACACATTTTGTAACTAGTACACAAAGGCCAGACACTGAAGTGCCAATTATCTACCCAAAAATATGTTGACTGAAACAATACAATGTATATTTTACAATGTAATATTTTTCCTATATGCAATAGAAGGTTAAATTCTTTAAATTTCTATATACAATATTTCCATTTACAATGCCAGTGGCTAATCTTTCTTGCTTTTTTATTTAGACCTATTTCTATGTGATTTTTTTCTTAAAGAATATGAGGTGTATTTCCTTTTTCTCTAAAGAGTGCAGCTATTGGAATTAGAAATATTTTCAAATTGTCACATAAACATGTCTGACATTCTGCATTCTATGAATCTCATTGTATGCACACAGCTTTCATCCTCCTGTTCTGGACTTTAGGTTATACCTTCCACATAAGATTAATTACCATTCCCTGTTTTATGAACCCAAAGTGCTCTGGGCAATATATCACAGCAAAAATGAGTTCTAAAGCAGTATGATAAAGTATCTTACCATCACAGCTTTACATTATTTGGGGATAGAGTGCTCACGACCAGTATATTTTTTATTTCTGCCTACATTGATTGAAGTTAATATTAGTTAAAAAAAAAAAAAACTCAAGGGACATTTTAACTTTAATGGCCCTTATATGTGTGGTTATAGCAGAGTGCAAAACTACTAAAATGAGTTGTCGTACCATGGTTTTATGGTACTATAACAATTACCTGGGAATTGCATCCATGATAGAAAACTCTACAAGTGATCGATTATCTTGTGCTCTTCAGCAGAAAAGCACTAAATGAATATATAAATAATTGTATCAATGTATGAAATCATTGGTAGCCAGTTGACAAATGCTCGAGCTGCAAAAAGCACAAACCAACTAGAAATAACACCACTTATTACCCATTCTAGCAAGGTCAACAATTGGAAGTATTTTGGTAGAAAAGTTAAGTTTCTGTTTTCTTCCAACTAAAGAAGATAATTTGTAGTACTCAGACCCTGAGGGTGCTAAAGTCAAGCTGTAGCTAATTTGGAGTTTTAAAGATGCGAGAGCGTCCCCTGCTTATTTCATACCATTTCCCCACTTTGAAAGAGTTCTTAAGCAAATGTTTACCTTGTCATCATGTGTAACTTGGGCAATATGTTCTGAGTATTATGGGGTTATGTGCTCCCCACTGTGGGTTTTTCACAAAACTTCCTCTAGTTGCTGTGCAAAGCAAGTTACTGTGAAGGTTCTCCAAGGTTCTGGTTGATTTGTGTTTGGAATAAGTCTTTTGTTGTTACTTGCTCTCTGACAGAGGGACTGGAAATTATCTGGACTTTGGAAGAGACTTTGTGATATTTGGATAATGTTCTCAAAGTGAGTAGTATATTAGCATGTGGTTTACTTATGCAAAACAAGTCAAAAGATGAATTTAAAATATATTTCTTAAAAGTCTGAGTTTTTTGAAGTCCCTAACAGTCCCAATTTTGTGGTACAACAGACTCACACTGGCTAAAAAATCTAACAAGGCATTTAACTATCACCTTCTGCAATCTGAGTTTAGTAACACTGCAGAAACTGTTTCTCCCTTCCCCATAAACTTATAACAGATAGTTTATTTAAGAATCACATCTTAAAAATTAAGTAGACAGTGATACCACTTGTCTGCCACTATATTTTGCCAAGGTCTAAAATAAAGTTTTTGAATAGCAGCACCACAAATCTAAGTCAATTCTATAGTGACTAATTCTGGTCTTTTTTCTTCATAATAGGATGCTGGGTAGTAAACTGCTAAATATGTAAAGTAGTGAAAAGTTAATTAGGGTATACACACTTCCATAAAAGAATACATCCTTTTATTTAAATTGTGAGGATCTCTGTAATTATATAACTCCAGTTAAAAAATAGAAGTATAAATTTGATACCCAGTGTGACTAGAGATCTGGGTCAAAGGACTCTCTAGCTCTCCCCAACTTCCCTACTCTCTACTCTCCACACAACATTAGAAGATGATGCTGCATTCTTTTATCATAGCTCTCTTCCTTACCCCCAGAATCTACAAATGAAATAATTAATTAAAGAAATGATTTAATTGATGTGCTGGAAAAGTTGAATATCACCTTTACCTAAAGATGTATGCACACAGGATGAATTCATCTCAGAGTGACTTTGTCAAAATGAAAACCGACATACCTACCACAGCCCCATTCCTGACATGCCGGAACACCAGGGTGCCCCCATCAGCACAAGACACCTCTGTGCTCTTCTCTCCTTTTATCAATCAATGGCACATTATTCACCATATGGAACACTTTTTTTGGTGCCAAATCCTATGATTAAGGGAAAGTATTATGTGCCCTTCAGTTTGCCTTAGGGAATATTTAACATTTTAATACATCTAAAAACATGATTTGTGACTAGCCACAGAAATTCTAACAAATGTGCATTCCTAAGTAATGCCCAGTTCCAAGACTTCAGCTGAAGCACCTAGTCTGGTTCTCCTCTCCTGGCTGTTATCAACCACGGCCCTGTCAACCCTACTACTGTTATTAGGGGATCTAGCTGCCTCCTGAGTTGCTACCTTTAAATAGTAATGACTGAAATGACAAGAGAGGCCTACTGTTACTAATGTTGTAATACAATTCCGTATTAGGGGTATGTCCTTAGAACAGTACAAGACTAGAGAGAGTTGGAATCCCAAGTCAGGAACATGTTGACCTTGATGCCCATTCTATCTCAGCAGGATGATGGGCTGCCTGACACAATTATTTGGTCCCAAGCAATAACCTGGGATGTGAAGACTATTAGGAAGATAAACATTTTTCAGCTATGCATGCAGAGCTGAATGGCTATCAGCTTATGTGAACCACAAAATATCTTTACTGCACCAAATTTTTATTTCCATTCATTCACTAATTTATTCATTCACTCGCCTCAGTATCAAGTAAGACTCTTGCTTGATGCTGAGGTGAATGAATGAATAAGGCACAGCCAAATAAAAACTGGGTTAGTGTCTCAGCCAGTTCCATCTTCAGGACGTGCAAGTCATGTTTATTGATATATTCCCTTGATGAGCAACTACATTATGAGACTTTCCATGGCCAACTAAGGCTATAATGAGAACTAGGTTGATGGGCCTCTGCATAGGAAAGAGAGCAACAAGGTCAAAATCTTTTAAATTTCCTAGGCTGGATAAATTATAAAAAACTAGCCTCTTCATATGCCTCCTCAAAGGAGTAAAGGATTAGAAATTCATTAGAAATTAGAAAGGAGTAAAGGATTGGATGGCCTTTATAAGGCCTGAATATAACTAAAGTAACGAAGAGTGAGAGAAAAAAGAAAAGCAGAAAGGAATAACATATAAAAGAAACAGGAGAGGAATATGGACAAGCAGCATTAGAGCAAGAAGTAAAATAGGAGAGAAAAGGGGGCTAGAGGCAAAACTGGTGAAGAGCTGTGATGCCCAAGACAGGCCCTCACCAGCCATTACACTGAATTAGGGAAAAAAAAGGCAATATGTGGAGAGCAAAGACGGGAAAGACAAAAGGGTGAGAGGCAGAGAACATCAAACTTCTCACCAACTCCACCACTTTACCTAATCCAGGTTGCCATCATCACCATGGAGTACTGCAATAGTGTCTTGTCATCTTTCTGACCCCTGCTCCTCTATAGTTTTTTCAACACAGAATCTAAAATGACCTGCATAAAAAGTAAATTATAATCCTGTCACATGCCTGCTCAGAACATTCAAATGCCTTCCCTTCCCACTGAGAATAAAATTCAAAGTCCTCATTACAGTTTCAGAGTGCACATATTATCTGGCCTAATTTACCTCTTCTTCAGCATGCTACAGCAAGGCTGACTTACTTTCTGTTTCTTGAACACACTGGGTTTATTTTCTCTTCATGGCCTTTGTGATCAGTTGAAACTCTCTCCCATCAGATCATCTCAAAGCTGGCTTCTCATATTGGAGATCATAGTTCAAAAGACACTTTCACTGTATCTATCTCATAGTAAAACTCAATAAATGTCTGCTGAATGAATGAGGATTATAAAAGCTTTGTCATAAAATTAACCTGAGGAGCAAAGATGACTTGGGCAATGAGAATGCTTGTTTCTATAGATGATTTAGGGGTATCTTGTAGAAAAAAGACTTATCTTTTTCCAGAGCACAGAAATAATGCCAATGTATGTAAGATGAGCATAGGTTTCAGCCTAACACAATACTTTCAAAATTAGAACAGTTTATGCTTCTTTGGATTTCCTCTGTATTGAGCTACTCATATAGCTAGTAATCAACAAAGGTGTTAAATGAATGAATGGAATTATTTATTATATACTTGGAGTTGACTTTAAATTCCAAAGTGGAGGCCATTGTAACTACTTGCTTTATTAAGAGTTCACTCTAGACTTTTACTTCACACCATAACTACTGTAAGGTCAAGACTTACGTGTTCACAGGAGATATGTATTGTAACTCTCTGAGCTGTCAGGTCTCACCTCAGTGCTGACAAATGTGATCTCAGTTGCCACAAATCTGTACTCTACCAAGCTTAATCATCAAGGAAGCAAAACTCCCAAACCATGTCTATGCCTGTCTTTTCTTACTTGTCCTATATTCAAATAACATGCTGGTTTAGTCTGGCATTAACAAGCTGTCAGGAAAAAACCTCAAATCTGATGAGAACAGAAAATTCTTCCAAATTAAATTTTGCCATTTTATTTCTAAACCCAAAGATGGCTCAATTTTAAAGAGCCACTGGCTTTGCTATTGTTAAAGAACACAGTCCCTACTTAGAATTGCATCGGCCTTTAAAAAAATCTATTTCCTATGCAATTTCATTAGTTCTTTCTGCAGTAAGTGACACTAGCAATACTAGCTCTGATAAACTATTAATTTTTAAATTTTTATTAGAGTTCTTATTGATGCAGTGACATTGTTTTGCTACCAGTACATTTTTGCATATGCTGTTCTTCCCAACAGAGGATCCCATAATTCTCCCTCTATCCCTGTGATCTCTATACCTGGCCTTTATGACTCAGGAAAAAAGTCTTAGCTAATCTTTGGAGAGTACTTCAGTCACCCAAATTGAGATAATTCTCTATTTCTTAGAACTCCCACAGCAATTAAGGCCTAAACCACTAATCAGGCAATGTGGTAGCCATTCTCCAAAGAGAGCCTCCAAAAATGTCTCCCTTCCCTGTCTGCTGTTTCTCACATCAAGAGGTGGAGCTTATTCTATCCCACTCCCCAAACTCAGAACTGGTTTTGTGACTGCCTGGCCCAATAGAATGTGGTAAAAGTGGGTATTTTGGGAATCCCAACTTTGACTTTCTAACTCTTGGAGGCCTCAACCATAATGTAAGAGGTGCAGGCCAAAGAGGCCACATGGAGAGGTTCCGGAGGATAAGACATCTCTGGGAGACTGAGTCCACTTGGAGGAATCCTGAGAACTCAAGCGAGTGAAGAAGTCATCTTGAACATTCTAGCCTAGCTATGATTTGATTGCAAGAGTATGAGAAACTTCAAGTGAACCAGCAGAAGAACTGCCCAGCAGAGCCCCAGCCAGTCCACAGAATCATGAGAAATACTTGCTGCTGTCGTAAGCCATTAAGTTTTAGAGTAGTTTGTTATGCAGCAATGAATAAACAAAATAGGCAGTCATGTTAGAAGCACAAATTTTTATGGCTCGAAGAAGGGCTTAACATCTTAGCAAACTGCCATATGTCTTCAAGTTATTTTCTGTGTTATTTGTTCAAATTGTAAACTTCTTAAGGACACAGAATGTGTTTTAATGTTTTATATGCCTCTCATTCTCAAGCATAGTGTGTTAAAAATAGTACATTATGAAATAATATTTAATATCTTATCCACAGAATAAATACTTTAGAGTTTCATCTAATTTCTTTAGGTTACTGGAAGCTTTAGAATAATGTAAATTTTGTTACAAAATCATTTACAAGATTTCAGAATCTGAAACATTATTATGCTACCATTTATATCTTGTACATTTATTATTTTCCATATGTGAAAAAGCATTAATACAGTTATTCAACTATAATATAAAAAGACAATATAATTACTTTGAGATTTCGCTTAGAAAGCTAAGGAGAAAAATGACTCAGTTGCATCCATAAACAAAGCAACATTTAAAATTCCAAATGACTAAGACTAACATTTTATTTTAGTACTCCAGGGCATAGAATCTATATTACTCGTAATATCCCAAAGCACTTTAGAGGACTTATGTGAGTAGCAATGAAATGATTGCATTTCCAGAAAGGACACTTAGCAAGTTTATTGCTGTTTTTTTCTGTACTTCTTCAGTGATTCAATCTTTTGGCTAGACATTATAACTCCTTCTGAATCACTGGAGGCTTGTTCAAAAAATATTTCAAATAGCCATGTACCTTTAGGGCCTCATTCTTAAAACCTTCAGGAATATTTCAGCAATTTCATGATCTCATGGGCTAATTACCTTTAGCTGTACAATTTTGCACCTATATTACATATTGTCTGAGGAATAAAGTGTACTAACTATACCTGATAATGTATCTGGCTACATTTATTTCCTATTACAGAAGTGTTATAAGTATTCTGGGTCATTCATTTAATTTAAAGGCTTACCATCAACTGAGATCGCAAGTATTATTAGAAAGCAAGATAATAAAATGATATGCAATTTTGAAAAGATAATTTAAAATGTTAGAACCTGAAACTATAAACATAGAATATAAATCAAAATTTTAAATTTAAAGATGTTAAAACTATATACTGATATAATATTTTTCACATGCATAAATTGGTCCTCAAAGCACATGAATTTTCTACATTTTCTTGCTGGTGTCATCTGGGTTTCCTCTGGTTACCCAGTCTGAGAAAGAAACAGTATCAGAATAATAGTGAAAAATGTCCATTTAAGGTCACATCTCAAGGAACTAGAGAAACAAGAACAAATTAAACCCAAACCCAGCAGAAGAAAAGAAATAACAAAGATCACAACAGAACTAAATGAAATTGAAACAAAATAACAATATAAAAGATAAATGAAACAAAAAGCTGGTTCCTCGCAAAGATAAATAAAATGATAGACCACTGTGAGATTAACCAAGAAAAGAAGAGAGACAATCCAAATAAGCTCAATTAGAAATGAAATAAGATTTATTACAACCGATACCACAGGAAAAAGAAAAAAGAAAAAGATTGTTCAAGGCTACTATGAACATCTTTACGCACATAACTAGAAAACCTAGAGGAGATAAGAAATTCTTGGAAATATACAACGCTTGTAGATTAAACCAGGAAGAAATAGAAACGCTGAACGGACCAATAACAGGTAGTGAGATTAAAATACAAATTTTAAAAATACCAACAAAAAAAGCCCAGGACCAGATGGATTCACAGCTGAATTCTATCAGACATTCAAAGAAGAATTGGTACCAATTCTATTGACATTATGCTACAAGATAAAGAGGGAATCCTCCCTAAATCATTCTATGAAGCCAGTATCACCCTAATATCAAAACCAGGAAAGGACATAACAAAGAAAACTATAGACTAATATCCTTGATGAATACAGATATAAAAATCCTTAACAAAATATTAGCTAATCGAATCCAACAGCATATTAAAAAGGTAATCCACCATGATCAACTGGGTTTCATATCAGGGATGCAGGGACAGTTTAGCATATGCAATTCAATAAATGTGATGCAACACATAAACAGAATTAAAAACAAAAACCATATTATTATATCAATAGACGCAGAAAAAAAATTTGACAAAATCCAGCATCCCTTTATGATTAAAACCCTCAGTAAAATCACCATAGAAGGGACCTACCTTAAGATCATAAAAGCTATCTATGACAAACCCACAGCCAGCATAATACTGAACAGGAAAAAGTTGAAGCATGTCCCCTGAGAAGTGGAACAAGACAAGGACACCCATTCTTGCCACTTCTTTTCAATATAGTACTGGAAGTCCTAGCTAGAGCAATCAGACAAGAGGAAGAAATAAACTGCATCCTGCCAGGCACGGTGGCTCACGCCTATAATCCCAGCACTTTGGGAGGCAGGGCGGGTGGATTACCTGAGGTCAGGAGTTCGAGACCAGCCTGGCCAACATGGTGAAACCCCAGCTCTACTAAAAAAACACACACACACACACAAAAAATTAGCCAGGCGTGGTGGTGGGCACCTGTAATCCCAGTTACTCAAGAGGCTGAGGCAGGAGAATCACTTGAACCTGGGAGGCGGAGGTTGTAGTGAGCCGAGATCACGCCACTGCACTCCAGCCTGGGTGACAGAGCAAGACTCCATCTCAAGAAAAAAAAAAAAAGAAATAAACTGCATCCAAATCAGTTAAGAGCAAGTGAAACTGTCGTTTGCTGATGATATGATCGTATACCTAGAAAACTCTAAAGACTCTCCCAAAAAGCTCCTAGAACTGCTCAATGAAATCAGAGAAGTTTCAGGATACACAATTAATGTACACAAATCAGTAGCTCTGCTACACACCAACATGACAAAGCTGAGAATAAAATAAAAAACTCAACCCCTTTTACAAAAGCTGCAAAAGTAAAAAATAAAATACTTAGGAATATACCTAACCAAGAAGGTGAAAGACCTCTACAAGGAAAACTACAAAATGCTGATGAAAGAAATCACAAATGACACACATGGAAACACATTCCATGCTCATGGATGGGTAGAATCAACACTGTGAAAATGACAAATTCATTGAATCTACAAATTCAATACAATTCTCATCAAAATAGCACCATCATTCTTCACAGAACTAGAAAAAAAAATACTAAAATTCATATGAAACCAAAAAAATCCCACGCAGCCAAAGCAAAACTAAGCAAAAAGAACAAATCTGAAGGCATCACATTACCTAACTTCAAACTATACTATAAGGCCATTGTTGCCAACATATCATGGTACTGGTATAAATAGGCACATAGACCAATGGAACAGAATAGAGAACCCAGAAATAAAGCCAAATACTTACAACCAACTGATCTTTGACACAGCAAACAAAAACATAAAGTGGGGAAAGGACACCCTATTCAACAAATGATGCTGGAATAATTGGCAAGCCACAGGTAGAATGAAACTGGATCCTCATCTCTCACGTTATACAAAAATCAACTCAAGATGGATCACAGATTTAAATCAAAGACCAGAAACCATAAAAATTCTAGAAGATAACATTGGAAAAACCCTTCTTGACATTGGCTTAGGCAAATACTTCATGACAAAGAACCCAAAAGCAAATGCAAATGCAACAAAGATAAATAGATAGGACTTTAACTAAAAAACTTCTGCACAGCAAAAGAAACAATGAGCAGAGTAAACAGACAACACACAAAGTGGGAGAAAATCTTTGCAATCTATAACTCTGACAAAGAACTAATATCCAGAATCTACAAAGAACTCAAAAACATCAGCAAGAAAAAAACCAAACAATCCCAACAAAAAGTGGGCTAAGGACATGAATAGATAGTTCTCAAAAGATATACAAATGGCCAACAAACATATGAAACAATGCTCAACATCACTAATGATCAGGGAAATGCAAATCAAAACCACAATGTGATTCCACCTTACTCCTGTAAGAATGGCCATAATCAACAACTTTAAAAAAATGTATGTTGGCAAGGATGTTGTGAAAAGGGGACACTTTTCCACAGCTAGTGGGAATGTAAATTAGTACAACCACTATGGAAAAGTGTGGAGATTCCTTTAAAAATGAAAAGTAGAACTACCATTTGATCCAGCAATCTCACTACTGGGTCCCAGAAGAAAAGGAGTCGTTACATGAAAAAGATATTTGCAAACACATTTATAGCAGCACAATTCACAATTGGAAAAATATGGAACCAGCCCAAATGCACATCTATCAACGAGTGGGTAAAGAAATTGTGGTATATATATATACACACACCATGGAATACTACTCAGCCATAAAAAAAAAAATGGCATTTGCAGCAACCTGGATGGAACTGGAGACCATTATTCTAAGTGAAGTAACTCGGGAATGGAAAACCAAACATTGTATGTTCTCACTCATAAGTGGGAGCTAAGCTATGAGGACACAAAGACATAAGAATAATACAATGGACTAGGCACTTGAGGGAAAGGGTGGGAGGAGGGTGAGGGATAAAAGACTACACATTGGGACTTTGGGAGGCGAGTCACGTGGATCACGAGATCAGGAGATTGAGACCATCCTGGCTAACACAGTGAAATCCCGTCTCTACCAAAAAACACAAAAAATTAGCCAGGCATGGTGGCAGGCGCCTGTAGTCTCAGCTACTCGGGAGGCTGAGGAAGGAGAATGGCGTGAACCCGGGAGGCGGAGCTTGCAGTGAGCTGAGATTGCGCCACTGCACTCCAGCCTGGGCAACAGAGTGAGACTCCAACTCAAAAAAAAAAAACTACACATTGGGTATGGTGTACACTGCTCGGGTGATGGGTGCACTAAAATCTCTCACATCACCACTAAAGAATTTATTCATGTAACCAAACACCACCTGTTCCCCAAAAGCCTACTGAAAAAAAAAAAAGTCCTAATACAGTATCCAAACAACTAAAAGTACTCCAATCCAATACATTAAAGTTTTTAATTTTATAGTTTAATATTTTTGAAGAATCAATGGGTTCTACAGAACAACTTTTTCTCAGAAGTGCCTACCCGGTGTCTGCTTCTCCTTCCCTTAATTACAGAACCTTTACTGTGCTCAGCCAAAACCAAAATAAAACAAACCTCACTCTCTCCAGACTCCAATGCAGCTAATGGTGGTCTATGACACATACAAGTCAATAAGATAAAAAGCTTTTTCCTTCCTGATGCAGGCACTGCCTTTTCCTGTTTCTCATTTTATTCCCCCAGTGCGGAACATAAAGGTGATACCTGGATATGCAATAGTTATCTTTCAACTAGAGGGATAGGCACAAAGACGAAGAAAGGCCTTCACAGAAAGACTGAGAAACAGAAAGAGCCCAGTAGCCTGATGAAATAGTTAAGCCACCACAGAAAACCTAAATCACCCACTTCCCCATTTTACCTAAGCTGCTATATTTGGGATTCTCATAACATATCTTAACATCCCAAACTAATGGAAGTCCTCTAGATTACGGTTTAAATCAAAATCGTAATTCATCAGTGTTTACCCTCAACTGGTTAAAATGAAGTTAAACTGACTTAGACACTAAACAAACACTTTATGTAATTTTTTTTTCCTTCCTGAATTCTCCCACATCAACTGTCTCCTCTTTATTTCAGAACTTCAAGCCTTTGGTGTAATTACTTCATACCTGACCCACTGAAACACCTTCCAAATGAGTTTCACTGTCCCTATTATCTCTTAACCCACTCAGTTACTAGAATAATCTTCAAGAAACTCACTACCACCAGGTCCCTACAATGATTCTAAATCTCTAGTGTTTCAAGACTCCCACCATTTGGAAGTCTTCCTGACAGTCTCTTCAATCTCATCCTATCTACCCTGCTACACTCTAATCTGGAGTTACTCTTAAGGTTTATTCCTTCTTGTCTCATTGTACCACTTCCTGTATGTTTTCTGCCAGTTGTCAACCCTCCTTTATCCTTTTCCACCATGTCTAAACTTGGTGCCAAAAAAAAGGAAAAGAAAAATTATATCAGGAAGGATTTCTGATCCAAATCTTGTACATTGCATCTCTGTGATTACTATGACCTTGTTTTTCTATATTATATATGATCACTAATTTTTAAATTTATTTTACTTTTTCTATTGGAGACAATGTATACTATCTGGGTGACAGGTACACTTAAAACCCAAACTTCACTACTACACAACTCATCCAGGTAACCAAAAACCACTTGCACTACTAGAGCTATTAAATTGAAATTTAAAAATAATTAATAAAATAAAATTTTAAAATATATGACTCTGATTCTTAAAATTTTCCACTGGTAAATATTTAAATTTGCCAGTGAATTTAAATTCTATAGTAAAATACTCTGGTATGGTTTGAATGTGTCACCCAAAATGCATGTGTTGGAAATTTAATCTCCAGTACAACAGTGTGGAAAGGTAGAGACTAAAGGGAGGTGTTTAGGTCATGAAGGCTCTGCCCTCATAAACAATTAATGGCAATTATCAAAGGGCTTTAGGCTGCAAGTTCCATCTCTTGCTCTCTTGTGCATCTGTCTTGACCCTCCCACCATCAGATGAGATAGCAAGAAGACCTTCCCTAGATGCAGGTCCCTCAACCTTGAACTTCCCAGCCTCCAGAACTGTAATAAATAAATCTCCGTTCTTTATCAATTATCCAATCTCAGGTATTCTGCAATAGCCACACAAAAGAGACTAAGATATACTCTCAAATAGTTAGATGGTAACATGAAGTACAGGGATAGTGTCTCTCTTTCACTCTACTTGATTGCTGAGCACATAGCAAGAATTAAGTAAACAAACATGCCTAACGAGATTGAGTATATGATATATATTTTAAAATTCAGAAACTATTCATAAAATGGCACTCATAAAGGTATTATTCAATCTCAAAGGTACGTATACAAGTATGGTTCATTAATACTTAGTCCAAGATCCAATTAAAATCTAAACTGACAAAAATGTACATAGATTACTGAAAATTTGTTGCAATCATACATTGAAATATTAGATGACAATTTTAAAAACAGAAACTTCAATGGTTTAACTTACAACAAATTTTCTAAAATTCCTAAAATTTGTATAGTCTTGAAAACTGCCTCTATTTCACTAAACAGTTTAGCAAAAAAGCTAATAAAATATATGTATTCTATTTATGAGTAAGGTAATTTTTTTAAAATTACAGAGTAAAATTTTGGAAAAGAAAAAAAATATTTTGAAGGCTCTAACTTGAACTTATAATACAAATCACATGTAACTATACTATACATATATTAGAGTCCAATGTTTTCCCCTGCATAGCAAATATCATGAAAACTCAATCCCAACTTTATTTTCATAGTTGACTTATTTTTAGTAATTATGTTTCACAATTTCAAAGCCTTAAACTTTAATGCTAGTAGGGATAAAAACTAATGTTTTTCCTCATTTAAATCTTGGCAGCCTCAACTCTCAAAGTTCAGAGATAAAATTTGATTTAAAAGCCCACTAAGAACAAACTGCTTAATCAGAAATCTGGACTTCACAATTAAGTTGTTTCATCATCCACAAAATATGGAGAGAAAATGCACTGTCACAAAACATAAAAATGTTCATTTCCTTTCATTCTTTGTGGGTCAGAGTTAAGGAGAACAAAAACAAACATGTGCTTTTCTTGCTTTACCAGTTACAGAAAAATCGCTAAACAGTAGCTTTAGATTATTCTTTACATCATAAATGCATGTATTTTTGCACATGGGTAACAATATTTTCTTTATACTAACATATCCTAATAGTGGTTGCTATGGTCTGCTTCTGTGTCCCCACCCAAATCTTATGTCAAATTGTAATTCTCAAGATTACAGGAGGGGGCTGGTGGAAGGTGATCGGTTCAGAGGGGCGGACTTCCCCCTTGCTGTTCTCATAACAGAGTTCTCAGGAGATCTGGTTGTTTGAAAGTGTGTAGTGTCTCCCCCTTCTCTCTCTCTTCTTCCCACTGGTCATATAAGATGTGCTTGCTTTCCCTTCAGCTTCCGCCATGATTGTAAGTTTCCTGAGGCTTCCCCAGAAGCAGAAGCCTGTAGAGCCTGCAAAACTTAATGAGCTAATTAAACCTCTTTTCTTATAAATTACCCAGTTTCAGGTATTTCCTTACAGTAATGTGACAACAGACTAATACAGTGGTTTAATTGCAACTCATGTAAATTCCTCAAAATCTATAATTAGGTCACAATTCCATTTTAATTATATCCCTGACTCCCAAGTTTACAAAATTTGAAGTAAGAGTTAGGCCAGGTGATCTAAGTTATCCATCCCCATAGTCTACTTCTACCCCAAAATTAAGAAATACTAAGTCATTTCACATCATCCAGATCCCAATATTCACCAGAACTATTATCTTAAATCCTTGTGTCTACATGAAAAATGCCTGCCATGTGCAATTTTGAGCATGTTTATGTGCATCAAGTTACTTCTCTCTGAATCTTAGTTTCTTGATTTATGAATAAGTGAATAATTGTGACTATCTTTCTTACAGGCTTTTGTGGGGACTAAATACCTTAACTATTATGCAAACAGGGTATTTTCTGAAGTGCTTTTACTCCATTATGATTGCCTAGGTATTAATATGCTTTTTATATCCCACAGTAGTTCAGTAATTCTCTTTCTTCATATAGGAGGGTGACAAGGTAAGAGACAAACTAAATTTCCTTCATTCAAGTTTTCATTGTACATAAAATAAAATGGACAGTTTTATTTACTCATTCACAACAGAGTTGTTTCTCATGAGAAAAACAACCTTGATAGGAAAAAGTTACATATAAAATGGATAGGGGTAGGGATAACACCAGAAATGGAGGGTTATGTGCTTATATACATTAGGATGGTTGGAAATGTAGTGTACAGGAAGAAGAGGAAGAGCTAGTGAACACTGAAAAAATATATATTGATAGTTCTCTGGAGAGAGTAGGAGAAGCATAAATTTTAAGCAGATTTTATTAACAGGAAACTTTGGGGAAAGGGAAACTTATCTGAAGAAAAACCTTAGAAACTTCTCTGTGAAATGCTACAGAAAACTCTATACTAGGCCTTTAAGAGAGCCTAAATTATGATCTGCATTATTCTTCAAGACATTTGGACACAGGTTTCTGTTCCTTTGAACG
Source organism: Homo sapiens (assembly GCF_000001405.40). NCBI lineage: Eukaryota > Metazoa > Chordata > Mammalia > Primates > Hominidae > Homo > Homo sapiens. Next base: position 126,364,289 of record NC_000006.12, on the reverse strand, counting down.
TGACACAAGGACTAGGTCAAAACAGGATGAGTTTTAAGTCGTTTCTATCACTCATCCACTCAAAAAATATGTAACTGAGTGCTCAACTGGCGTAGGATAGCAATGCATTTTGTGGGGGTACCATTCAGAATTATAGACCTCAGGTTTAATGCCAGGTATTGCTTACAGTAAATTACCACCCTAGAACTAAGCCTAGAGTACATTTTCACTATAGCCTGTCAAACTCTTGGGATTAAAAAGCAAAGGAGTGTGAGCAAGACAATTAACTCTGTGCTATTATGGTTCCTAGAGAAGCATCATAAAAGAAAAAGAGACACTGTTGAGTAAGTACAATTTGAGAAGGTCCCCTTTGGTGCTGAATATTCAAAGAACCAAATCCCATGTAGCACTGTTATCTGCACACTAAATTCAGGAGGTCCAAGAAACTCCCTCGAAAGCAGCAAATTGGACATTGGTTTTAATCCATCCTGTTTAGAAACAAAAAATCTTAACAAATTTGAGTTCCCTTTGAATAGGAGAGATAAGGTTGATAGGAGATTTTCTTAGATGAGTTTAAATACTTAGCACTACTCTAGATTCCTTAAGGCCCTGGCTGTTGCTATTGGACTTACAATTGAGCAAGCTCTTGAACCAATGGTACAGGCTAACTGCTACCAGAAACATGAGAAAATATTGGAAAATACCATGATGAGAAAGAGAACATAACAGAGTCATGGGTAGTGCATGCCACTAAAATAGTATCAAATGTCAGATTTAAAGTTTTCAAATGGATTACGAACTCAAATGCCTAAAGAGGTGCTATATAGTTAACATAAGTAAAGCTGGCAATGTGTCTTCATCTAAAGAAAGAAGCTACTATTTAGGTCCAACTAATTGTGGACATATTATTGCCATATTGTCCAATTTTTCAAAAGAAGGCAGAAATTAAATTTGTATGTGAAATCTAATTTTCAAGTAATTCCATTTTTTAAAAAACTATGTGGGCCAAATAAAACTTATCTGTAGGCCAAACATACATACCTGGGCTGCCAGTTTATGGCTTCTAGTTCTCCCATCCAATTCTAGATGGCCAAGTGATGAAATCTCTCCATCTGAATACGAACCACTTTTCCTAGCTGGTCTATTTGCTGTTAGGAACTCAACACAGAAATCCCAGAAACTCTCCACTTAGCAGTACACTGTCTCTAGGTAGTGTTGTTGTTCATTAAAGAAACAGATCTTGGTGGCTGTTAATCCACAAATAATCTTCAAATTGAGACTAACATAGGAAATTTTTATTTTGAAGTATATTTTTAGATTAACTAAAAATATGTTTTTAAAACAAAATTTCAGCATGCAAGCCAAAACTGTCCCAGCTCCATACAAAAGATATATTTGAAGCAACCATCTTTCACCAGCAGTATTTCTCTTATGGGTAGCTTTGGACAAATCAAGAAGAGTGTTTCCAGTATGAATCTTAACTCCAAAAAGCCTGTTTTCAGTACAATTTTAAAAGAAATTACAGGAAATCATAGGAGAAGAAATCAGAAGACAGGACATAGAAAAAAGAATTAAATGCTACAGAGACTTAGAAAGGTTATCAACAAAACAGCTTTTCTCCTTTAGGGCTCTTATATAAGCAAAATTAAAGATACTAGTGCGCTCAGAACTGTTATATATAATCAAGGTGGGGGACAAGATAGCACTAGACAAAGCCACGAAGCGCTGTTCCCACTGAGAGAGAACGAATTAACAAGTAAACCAACATAATTTGGGTAGATCTTTGGAGAGAAAACACTGAGGGTGGATGAAGAGACAAGTAACACTGAGGCTGAAGAGGAAGCTGAGCACTGAGACTGAATTGGGTGCACCAAACAGCTCCTAGGGAAGGAGTGAAGGGACTGAGGGACAGCTCAATCTCACTACAGACCACTGGGATCCTAGCTACAGGGAACCCCACACCCCCATGGGCCTGTGAATTGGCAGAGGGATATGGCCAGGGAGTAAGCAGACAGGGCCTCAACTGGCACAGAGCCCATGAGCTTTTGTGCATAGGGTGGCTCCAACAAAGGGCAGCCATAGATGCTCACTCCCACAGCATGTCATCTCCCTCTGAGAAGCTCCAGCCCCAGCTGACTACCAAGCCAGGAAAGGGCAAGACTGGCTTTCCTGCAGGACTGGGGTGCATCAGTTCTACAGGCCCTCCTGCCCACCAGCCCCTCCCAGGGCCCCTGTCGACCCACTCCATAGAAGTGTGTGCACAGAGCAGCCTCCAGGGCCCAGCCTGAGTGCTCTAATACACCTGAGTACTTTCCTGAGAGCACTTTGTATCCCCCAGCAGAGCCAGAGCCCAGCCCTAAGCCACTGGCCCTCCGAGCCTGCCAGGGCTGTGGCACACAGCTCTGGAGTACTGAGCTGAAAGTTGTGGCCGGCACTTAAGCAGAGGAGCCCCCACTTTCACAGCAGTAAGAGGGACAAGATGTGTGGCAGTGGGGCATGCCTCTTTCCACAGTACCAGTTCAGAAAGAGTGTAGTCTATCTCCCTGTCCTGGCCTCTACCTGATGAAGTCCCACAGCCTGGAACACTCAACAAAAGAAAAATGAGAGTGGTGCTAGTGACCAAGGGGATTCCCTAAATGCCCAGGAGCAGGCCTGGTGAGGGTGTCATCTCTCTGCCCACCACAGAACATGGTTATGAACATAGAAATACAAAAGAGGCTGGGCGCGGTGGCTCACGCCTGAAATCCCAGCACTTTGGGAGGCCAAGGCAGGTGGATCACGAGCTCAGGAGATCAAGACCATCCTGGCTAACACGGTGAAACCCCGTCTCTACTAAAAATACAAAAAATGAGCCAGGCGTGGTAGCCGGCGCCTGTAGTCCCAGCTCCCCTGGAGGTTGAGGAAGAAAGCATCAACCCAGGAGGCGGAGCTTGCAGTGAGCCGGGACTGCGCCACTGCACTCCATCCTGGGCGAGAGCAAGACTCCGTCTCAAAAAAAAGAAAAAAAGAAAGAAAGAAATAGAAAAGAGCCACACATCTTGATTAAGAGCCCATCTACCCGCAATTACTCTTAAGCGTCTTAAGCGCCATCTACTGGATAACAGCTGAAACTATAACACCAAAATTATCTAATATACATCCCTGTGAAAACAAGTATAAGAATTCATCCACAAATAAAAATCCCATACAGAGTCATGACCCTCTGAATGCATCGCGAAATGAACCCAACTTACTATATTCAAACTATACCACAGTTAAGAGAATACTAGCCCCTCCAGATGAGAAAGAATCAGTGCAAGAATTCTGGCAATTCAAAAAGTCAGAATGTCCCCTTAACCTCCAAATAAGCCCACTACTCCCCCAGGAATGGTTCATAACCAGATTGAAATGACCAAAATGACACACACAGAATTCAGAATCTGGATGGCAAAGAAGCTCATTGAGATTTATCAGAAAGTTGAGACCCAATCCAAGGAATCCAGTAAAATGATCCAAGAGCTGAAAGATGAAATAACCATTATAAGAAAGAAACAAACTGACCTTCTGGAACTAAAAATTCACTATGGAAATTTCATAATACAATAGAAAGTAGTAGCAGCAGAATAGACCAAGTTGGGGGGAAAAAAAAAACCCAGAGCTTGAAGACCAGTTCTTCAAATCAACTCAAATGAGAAAAAAATAATTTTTAAAAAAATTAACAAAATCTCTGAGAAATATGGGATTATGTAAAGATACCAAACTTACAAGTCATTGACATTCCTGAGAGAGGAGAGAGAATAAGTAACATGGAAAATATATTTGAGGTTACATATCACAAAAATTTCCTTAATCTAGCCAGAATGGTTGACATGCAAATTCAAGAAATACTGAGAACCCTAGCTAGGTACTATAGGAGACAACTATTCCTAAGGCATAGAGTCATCAGATTCTCCAAGGTCAATGAGAAAGAAAAAAATCTTAAACACACCTAGAGAGAAAGGTCAGGCCACATACAAAAGGAACCCCATCAAGCTAGCAGTGGAACTCTCAGCAGAAATCTTACAAGCCAGAAGACACTGAGAACCTATTTTCAGCATCCTTGAAGTAAAGCAATTCCAACCAATAATTTAGTATCATACCAAACTATACTTCATAAGCAAAGGAAAAATAAAATCCTTCCCAGTCAAGCAAACACTGAGGGAATTTGTTACAATTAGACCGGCCTTATAAGATGTCTTTAAGGGAGTGCTAAATATGGAACTGAAATATGTTTTGCTACCACAAAATCAAACTTAAGCACATAGCCCACAGACAATATAAAGCACCTACACAATCAAGTCTACCTAACAACCAGCTAACACAATGATAGGATCAAAATTTCACATACCAATACCAGGCCTGAATGTAAATGGGCTAAACATTCCACTTAAAAGGTAGAGTTGCAATTCAGATAAAATGACAAGACCCAACTATCTGCTGTCTTCAAGAGGCCCATCTCACAAGTAACAACACCCACAGGCTCAAAATAAAGGGATAAAGAAAGTTCTATCATGCAAATGTAAAAAAAAAAAAAAGAAAAGAAAAAAGCAGGAGTTGCTATTCTTGTTATCAGACAAAACAATTTAAACCACTAACTATTAGGAAGGACAAAGACAGGCATTATGTAATGATAAACAGAACAATTCAACAATAAGATATAACTATCCTAATTATGTAATCACCCAACATTAGGGCACCCAGATTCAAAAAACAAGTTCTTGACCTAGGAAAAAACTTAGACAGACACATAGTAATAGTGGGAGACTTCAACACCTCACTGACAGCATTAGACAGATCACTGGAGCAGAAAACTAACAAAGAAATTTTGAACTTAAACTCAACACTTGACTGATTTGACCTAACAGACATCTACAGAATAACCTACCCAAAAATCACAGCATATACATTCTTCTCATCTGCACACAGAACATATTCTAAGATCGGCCACACGCTGTCATAAAGAAAGTCTCAATAAATTAAAAAAAAAAAGAAAAGAAATCATATCAAGTACACTCTCAGACCACAGTGCAATAAAAATAGACATCAATATCAAGATATCTTGAAATTCCACAAATACCTTAACAACTTTTTCCTGAATAACTCCTGGATGAACATTGAATTTAAGGCAGAAATCAAAATATTTTTTGAAATTAATGAAAATAGGGATATAACTTACCCAAATCTCTGGGATGCAGCTAAAGCAGTGTTAAGAGGAAATTCTGTAGTGCTAAACACCTTCATCAAAAACTTAGAAAGGTCTCAGATTAACTATCTAACTTTGCACCTAGAGGAACTAGGAAAGAAAAGAAAAAAAAAAAGTGAAACCAACCCCAAAGCAAGCAGAAGAAATAACTAAAATAAGAGAAGAACTTAATGAAATTGTACATCTAGAAGAATTTGCCTGTGAATCCATCTGGTGGATTTTTCTTTTCATTTATGATTAAATTTTGGAACTTGTTATTGGTCTGTTCAGGGTTTCATGTTCTTCCTGGTTCAATCTTGGGAGGTCCCAATTTTACTGAAACTACTCCAAAAAAATCAAGGAGAAGGGGCTTCTCCCTAACTCATTCAATGAAGCCAGCATCAGTCTGATACCAAAATCTAGCAGAGACACAATGAAAAAAGAAAACTTCAGGCCACTATTCCTGATGAACACAGATGCAAAAATCCTTAACAAAATACTAGCAAACCAAATCCAGCAGCACATCAAAAAGTTAATACATCACAATCAAGGAGGCTTCATTCCTGGGATGCAACACTGACTCAATATATGTACATCAATAATGTGATTTACTACACAAACAGAATTAAAAGCAAAAACCATATGATTATTTCAGTGGAACGCAGAAAAAGCTTTCAATAAAATCCAACACTTCTTCATGATAAAAACCCTCAACAGACTAGTCCATCTAAGGAGCATGCCCCAAAATAACAATAGCTATCTATGACAAACCCATAGCCAACATCATACTGAATAGGCAGAAGGTGGAACTATTCCTCTTGAGAACTGGAACCAGACAAGAATGCCCAATCTAACCACTCCTATTTAACATAGTACTGGAAATCCTGACCAGAGCAATTTAGGAAAAAGAAAGAAGGAAAAGGAATTCAAATAGGAAAAGGCAATATATCTTTACTAACGATATGATTCTATACCTGGAAAACCCTAAAGACTCCACCAAAAGGCTCCTATAAGTGACAAACAAATTTAGCAAAGTTTCAGAATACAAAATCAATGTACAAAATTCAATAGCAATTCTATAAATCAATAACATTCAAACTGAAAGTCATGGAAGAAGACAATCCCATTTATGGTAGCCACAAAAAAATGGTAATACCTAGGAATACAGCTAACCAAAGAGGTGAAAGATCCTATAAGAAGAACTGGCCAGGCGTGGTGGCTCACACCTGTAATTCCAGCACTTTGGGAGGCTGCGGCAGGCGGATCATGAGGTCAGGAGTTCAAGACCAGCCTGGCCGATATGGTGAAACCCCGTCTCTACTAAAAATACTAAAATCAGCCAGGTGTGGTGGCACATGCCTGTAGTCTCTGCTACTTGGGAGGCTGAGGCAGGACAATCACTTGAACCTGGGAGGTGGAGGTTGCAGTGAGCCGAAATTGCACCACTGCACTACAGGCTGGGCGACAGAGCAAGACTCCATCTCAAAAGAAAAAAAAAAAAGAACTATGAAATATTGCTGAAAGAAATCAGAGACAACACAAATAAATCGAAAAATGTTCCATGCTCATAGAAGAATACATGTCATAAAAATGGCCATACTGCCCAAAGTAATTTACAGATTCTATGCTATTCCTATACAACTAACAATGTCATCTTTCACAGAATTAGAAAAAAAATTCACATGGAACCAAAAAGAACACAAACAGCCAAAGCAACCCTAAGCAAAAAGAACAAAGCTGGAAGCATCATACCACGTGATTCCAAACTATACTATAAGGCTACAGTAATCAAAACAGCATGGTAATGGTACAATAACAGACACATAGACCAATGGAACAGAATAGAAAACCCAGAAATAAAGCTGCACACCTACAGCCATCTGCTCTTCAACAAAGCTGACAAAAGCAATGAAGAAAGCACCCCCATTCAATAAATGGTGCTGGGATAACTGGCTAGCCATATGCAGAAAGATTAAACTGCACTCCTACGCCATATAAAAAATTAAGCAAAATGGACTAAAGACTTAAATGTATCATCTAAAACTGTAAGAATCATAGAAGCAGCCTAGGAAATACCCTTCTCAACATTGGCCTTGGCAAAGAATTTTGGGCTAAGTCTCCAAAAGCAATGGCAACAACAACAAAAATTGACAAGTGGGACCTAATTAAAACTAAAAAGTTTCTGCACAGCAAATAAACTATAAACAGAGTAAACAGACAACCTACAGAAATGGGAGAAATGGGAGAAAATATGTGCAAACTACACATCTAACAAAGGTTTAATATCTAGACTCTATAAAGAACTTAAACCAACAAGCCAAAAAACAAATAACCCCATTAAAAAATGGGCAAAGAACATGAACAGACACTTCTCAGGAGAAATACAAGTGGCCAATGAACATATGAAAAGGTATTCATCATCACTAATCATCAAAGAAATGCAAATCAAAACCATAATGAGATACTATCTCATACCAATCAGAATAACTATTATTAAAAAGTCAAATAATAGATGCTGGCAAAGCTGCAAAGAAAAGGGAATGCTTATACACAATTGATGGGAATGTAAATTAGTTCAGCCACTGTTAACAAAACATAATTATATTCTCAGGTTACTAAGGGGTTTAATTAGGAATGATTAAATGTCTCAAAAATTTATTTTGGCATCTTTGATATTACTAGCATAGCAAATCCCGCTGTCCCGTATCTCCTTCAAATCATTACCGTCTTCATCTTTCCCAAAGAAAAACCTTATCCTGATTTAAAGCTCTACCTATTAGTTTCACCTACTCTTGAACTTTTTATAAATAAAATCACACAGCATGCAAAAACAAACAAAAAGAAGTGTTATAATCACATTGTGGTTTATAAACTCAAGATAACATGAGTTAGGGCTTGGATGCATCCAAATAGTAGGATATTATCCATGTCAGCTTTCTCAAAAACTAGTGTCTTTTTATTTTTAGAGTTAGAAGAGGTGTTAGAAACCATTTCTTTCAAATCCTTAATTTTTTATAGAGAGAAACATCCTACTTTGCCTAAGTGTAGTTTGTGACAGCATCAAGACAGTCATCCAGATTTCTTAAAACATGCAGCAATGTTCTTTCCCTTGGATTGTTATCCTTACAGTTAAGTAAAGTAATGGATGTATTACTACTGGCTACATATAACTGGAAGAATTGATGCTCCCTCTCTATTAAGCCTTGCTAGTTGAAAATCCAGCTCTTATTTTGTGAATAACACATCTGCACATGGACTTTGAGTACTAAAGAATCAGAAGCTCTTGTCCTAGAAGAGCTTCCATTCTGATTGGCAAAATACCAAAGAAATATGAAATTAAAAGTTAAAAATAATATATAATTTAAGACAGCGCAAGTACTCTCTCACAGGACAGATTAGTTAATTGCCAATAAAATGGGTCTTGTACCTGATATTCAACATAGCCTTTTAAAAAATTATAACTTAATATTTTAAAGAAACACATCTACCTTTGCAGCATTATTTAATGGACAAACTTAAAATATCAGTATAACACAGGAAGAACAAGATACATGTCTACAAGTGAAACAAATTACTGTCTTCAGGTTATGGAATACAGCTTTCTGTCCCCAAGAGCATAAAATGTGCCTTTATACCACTTTTGTAAAGTACCTATTAGTTATGACTCCCTCAGAGCATTGAGTTATTGCCTTAAAATAAGACAAACTGGCCAACCTGAACACAGCACAAGTTTCTGAGATGTTGATAGGTAAACATTTTAGAGTCAAAAATACCTTTAAAAAGTGGGAAAATAAAATTCAAATTTTATTTTAGAAAAACTCCAACTTTAGGAGGAAAAAGACATTCAAAACTATTTCAAAAACAAAACTAATGAGTTTGCTAATTCTTTGCTTAGGAATGATTAACAAGATAATAATTAAATGTTCTTTTAAACTCTGTAGTAGGTACAATTTCTAAACAGTAATTATTTGTATTTGCCTCCTGGAACACTTTTATTCATGAAAAAAATGGCAATAACAGTTTTAAAGTAAATAATTTAACACAATTTCAATGTGAAAATTCCTTTCCACATGGGTTTTATTAAAAGTACCTTTCTGAATATTAGTTTCATATTAAATTAAACTTACTTTTATTTCTAGGTAGTTTGGAAATACAGTGACCAACTGTCCCAGTTTGCTTAGGATTGAGGGGTTTCCTGAGATGCAGGACCTTCAGGATTAAATTGCAACAGTTGAGCAAACCAGGACAGTTGGTTACCCTAGTTGGAGTATACGTACCACCAATCTGTGTTCCCAGTGAAAACTAAAAAAGCTAGATAATATACAGAAACCATTTAATTGAAGAGCAAAGATCTGCTACAGTGACAAAAAATGGAGGGACTAGACTCCAAAAAGGAGACTCTTAAAGAGGTGAGCTGATGTTTACTGATGATTTTACCACGGAGACATTTACCAATTCTAGGCAAATGGAGGTTGAGACTCCAGGCTACTATAGTAGAGCTTTTATGGAGACCTAGCACTTTTAATTACAAGGTCAGTTTTTCCTTCAGGACATTTATAGATTTTTTGTATTAGGTGGGTGCAAAAGTAATTGCAGTTTTTTGTACGTAGATATTATGTTGGTACAAAAGTAACTGCAGTGGCAAAAATCGCAATTACTTTTGCAACAACCTAATATCTACATAGAAAGACTCTGAAGAGTAAAGCAGAGATTTTGGCATTCTCACATGTCAAAGATTAGTGTTCGGTACATGCCAGAAGAAGGGCTGCAAAAAAACATAGCAAGCTCCCAGTTAAAACACCTGGAGGGCCAGGGGTAAAAAGAGGCCAAGTGAGTCTCATGAGAAATACAACTAAGCCCTGAAATTAGTACAGTCACTAATTACATTAAGGTGCTTAGCCATCTATCTGCATAGTGGGGAAAAAATGATCCCTCTGTGAAGACAAACATCTTTTTTTTATTTAACAAAATACCCATTATTTGATAAAAAATTTATTAGTAATGCCAAAAGACAGTACTACATGATCAAAAGCCAAGAAAAAAAAACAGATACTCCAAATATTGGAATTAGTTGATAATTACGTGAAAATAAATATAATTAATATGTCTAAGAAACAAGAAAAAGATAGATAAAACAATTAAGAATTTCCTCAGAGAATATTAATAAAAATCTTTAATCAACTGTAGGCATGCAAGGAAAAAAATACACATACACATGATCTGAAATGTAGAACTCATTAGATGTTTGAGAGCAGATGAAACAGATGAGAAAATTAGTGAAATAAAAGACAAGTCAACAGAAATAGCCAAACTAAAAGACAGAGAAAAAATTCAATGGGAAAAATGGAAGAGTGTAAGAGATAATGTGTGACATAATCAAACATCTAAGAATAATACATAATTAGAATCTCGAACAGGAGAGAGAAAATGGGGCAGAAGCAACACATGAAAAGAGAATGGCCAAGAATCTCCCAAACTGAAGAAAAACACCATCCTATGGTATCAGAAAGTTCAGGCAGGAACCCCAAGCAGAATAAAAAGGGAAACAACAACAAAAAAGACAAATCCTAGGAAAATGAATCATAGCAAGATTGCTGAAAACCAGAAAGAAAAACCTTTAGCAACAGATTTTTTTAAAAAAGACATATTACCCTCTATAAGCCTAACTTCTAAAAATATGAGAGAAGCCTGAAGACATAAAATGACATTTTAACATTATTTGCTATAATAGGCAATCTAGACTTTCCTATCTGATGAAAATATCTTTCAAGTTTAAAGTGAAATATTCTATCAGAAAAAAAAGAAAACAGGAAATGTACTACCAAGAAACAGTTACTACAGGAAAATAGTAAAGAGAGTTCTTCGGGTTGTTAAAAAAAAAAAAAGATCCCATAGGGAAATATAAAATTGTTAAAGAAATGATCAGCAAAGAAAACGGTAAATGTGATAATATAAATATTCACTTAGTAGTGACAGTACCAAGTCATACTAGTAATACATTTGTGTCTATATGGTTGGTTTAACAAATGTAAAATTAAAATAATCAAAAGGCAGCAAGTAAATGGCATTAAAGCCTTCTAAGGTTCTAGAAATAGTCAACAGTGCAGATTATAATCTTTAGTAAAAGTTTATATAAATAGCAGATTGATAGAGGATATAACAAGTCAATGATGCATGTTATAATTCCTAGTATAAGAATGTATAACTAGAGTAATAAAGAATAAAATGAATCATAAAAGTTAATTCAAAAGAAAATAAAAGCAGAAAGAAAAAGGTGCTGGGTCACATACACCAGCAAATTGTAAAATGTATAATAGAAACCAAATGTAGCAGTAATTACATTAAATGTAAATGGACTGCAAATTCCAATTACTAAGACTACCAGATAAGATGAAAACACAAAACCCAAATATACACTGATTATGAGACACACTTTAAAGGATGCAGGATGTTTGTAAGCATCATGATGGAAGATATATATCATACAAATGCTAACCAAACAAAACTCTTATAGCTAGTTGGAAACAGGAAATGCCAAGTCTCAGTAAGGTAGATTCCTTCAAAAAGGAAATACAAGCAACATGGATTAGAGATGATAATATCTCAAGAAAACAATGTAAATAGTTGTTTTACTGGTGATAACTGGAGTATCTCAAAACTCTATCCCTCACTAAATTCAATCAGAAGTGTCATACTTCAGTGTAGCTAATATAAATAAAAAGCCTCTAGAGTATCAATCCCTCTTTTGCCATTTTGGCAACTCAAGTAAAAGCAAAATACAGAGGTTAGGGCAAGAATTATCTAACACAGGGGTCAGCAAACTTCTTCTGTAAAGGGTCAGATACTAAGTAACTTGGCTTGCAGGACACAGTATTTGCTGCAACAACTCAACACTACCCTAAGTTGTAGTAAGAAAACAGCCACAGATAAGCAGCACATGTGTGCCTGTGTTCCAATAAAGCTTTATTTACAAAAATATTGCCAACCTGTGATCTAGAACAGTTGTTCTCGGAAGCATGGCCCCTGGATGGCAACACTAGCATCACCTGGCTACCTGCTAGAAATACAGATTCTCAGCTCCCACCTAAATAGAATCAGAATCCCCATGAGCAATCTTTATTTTAACAAATCTTCCAGGTGATTTTGAAGCTTAGTAAAGCTTGAAAACCACTGACCTAGGGAGTATACTGTTATTAAACTTACCTACAGCCACAAGGTGCTATATTGATTGTCAAGATTAAAATACTGAGGAAGAAGAACTAAATATCCATCTTAAGGTCTCATACCCATCTCATGTTCATCAATCAAGACCTCAAATGAGGTTGAGGATTTTAAAGAAAAAAAAAAATGAAACCCACAGTTGAGATATAGACCACCCATAACCATGAAGCCAAAACTGAAGTCACCCTGATTTTCCCAAAAAGGAAAATATGTGGCCAAAAACAGTAGTTACTAAATGTACACATGGGGAAACTAAGGCTCCAGTTAAATTACTTGTTCAAGGTCTCACTGACTCTCTTCAACATCCAGAAAAAAATGCAGTTAATCTAATAAACACATCTTCCCCCACCTCTAATAAACTCCACATTCTAGATTCTCTTTCTTTTCTAAGTCAGGTAGGGAAGTATGTGGCATATAAACACCCCAGACGACACAGAAAACAAGCCAATACATTTATCATATCACTATTACTATCCTCATTTTGACTTTGGTTTAGTTCAGTCTCTAACTCCCCAACATGAAAATGCTGGAGTTATAATTTTTTACCAAAACAGCAAAATTCCTATCTACAAGAAAGCCTCCCAAAAGGAGGCTTTTGGGTATCACACAGGTATCACAAAAGTCACCCAAAAGGAGGCTTTTGGCTGTGTGGTATCACACGGATAATATCACCTACTTCTACTGACTCTAGCAACTTCCCTCATCCTACTCCACTTACACACACACACACACACACACACTCACTCTCTCTCTTTCTCCTCCACCTTGCCTGTTTCAGGAACAAGGCAGTGGGATTAACTATCACTATATAAGAGATAGAAAATATGGGGAAAACATCATTAAAAAAAAAAAGACATTACCTCTGAGCACATTAGTTCTGTCTTAAAACCAAAATTCCCTAGTCCAGCTCTTGAAGGAAAAATAACATTTTGATATTAATTACATTTAAAGAACTATTCAGCATTAACTACATATTCTAGTTGTTTTTTTTCAAATTTACATTCTCTTGAGAAGTCCTATTTATTTATAACTATTTTTGTTCAGAATATAATTTTATGTTAAACATGTATACTTACATTACAAATAAGATTTAAATTTTTTCACATTAATGCTTTAAAAAATTACTAATTTGGAAACATATATGTATTACTATATTATGCTGAACTATGAATCCATGAGGCTTTCTGTTCAAGACTGACCACACAGGTATTCTTTCCCTTATATCTCATTAAAGTATAAAAATGTATAAGTCAATATACAGATGGCAAATAAGCACACGAAAATATGTTCATCATCAGCTATTATGGACTAAATGTTTGTGTCCCCCAAAATTCTTACATTGAAATCTAATCACCAGTGTGATGGTATTAGGAGGAACGACCTTTGGGAGGTAATTAGGTCATGAGAATAAAGTCGTCATAAATGAGATTAATGTCCTTTAAAAGGAGGCAGAGAGCTCTCTGGCCTTTTTTCCTCCGTATGAGGACAGAATGAGAAGTTAGCAGTCTGCAACTCAGAAGAGGACCCTCACCAGAACCTGACTGTGCTGGCACCATGATCTCAGACCTTCCGCCCATCAAAACTGTGAGAAAAAAATTTATGTTATCTATAAGCTATCCAGTGCATGGTATTTCATTATACCAGCCTAAACTAAGACATTAGCCATCAGGAAAATGTAAATTAAAACCACAATGCTGCATATTCTTGCCAGAACAGCTAAACTAAAAAATAGTAACATTACCAAATATTTGTGAGAATATTAAGAAAGTGGATTTCCCATACACTGCTAATGGAAATGTAAAATGGTACAGCCACCCTGGAAAATCATTTGGCCATTTCTTTTTAAAAAATTAAACCTGAGCCAACCGAACACAGCAGCTTGCACCTGTGATCCCAGGTGCAAGAAGGAGGCTACTCAGGAGGCTAAAGGAGGATAACTTTAGCCCAGGAGTTTGAGGCTGCAGTGTGCTATGATCACACCACTGCACTCCAGATTAAGTGACACAGCAAGATTCAGTCTTTTAAAAAAAATAAATAAAAATTAGGCCTATACTTACCATGAACTCAGAATAAAACTCCCAGGGAAATTAAAATTTATGTCCATATAAAATCCTGCAGATTACCCTTCACAGCGATTTTATTTGTAATAACCAAAACTGTAAGTAACCAAAATGCCCCTCAATTTAAGTGAATAGTTATACAAACTGTGGTAATTCCATACTACAGAATACTACTCAGTAATAAAACGGAACAAACTATTGATACATGTAACAACTTAAATGGATCTCAAGGACAATATACTGAGTGAAAAAAATCCAATGCCCAAAGGTTACCTCTTGTATGATTCCATCCATATGACATTCTCAAAATCACAAAAGTATAGACTTTAGACGGAGAATAGTTCATGGTTGCCAGGGTTTAGGAATGGTGCTAGGGTAGGACACATTTTAAACAAGGTCTAATTGTAAAAGGATAGCACAAAGAGACTTTTTTGGTAATGAAACATTTCTAATTACAGTAATGGTTAAACAAATCTACACCATAAAATGGCAACAGAACTACATGTACACTGTACCTATATGAAATTCCTGGTTTTGATATTATACTATAGTTATGTAAGATGTAACCATTGGGGGAACTGGGTGTACTGTACATGGGACTTCTCTGTACTATCTTTGCAACTACATGTTGAAATCTATAATTATTTCTAAATAAAAAGTTAAAAGTAACAACTATTTGATGATACATAATAAACTTCTAAATTATCTTATTTAGGGGGAAAAATTATCTATTAAATCCATGAGACTTGAAGAAAATAAGTCATTTGCTCCAAATTTCTATTATTTTGGTTTTGGGAGGGAGATAGGTTTTGAAAAACCTACCTGATGTTTATAATTGTCCAGCTGAGAAATTATAACATTACTACTGGCATAATATAAAAGTAGATTGCATTGCTTTGCAAAGACATTAAAAGTTAAAATATTGAAAGTGCACCTAGATTTGACTGCATTTGCCTTTCTTCAGAGATTAAATTCCATAGTTAACTGTGGCTAAATCTAAATATATATAAACTTAATTCTAAGAAGTACATTTTCAAAGTATTTAATATAGTAAGATTTCATTTTTGATACATAAAATATTTGCAGCAGCAACAAAACAAAAGCAAACTGAACTAGAGGACATTTAAAATAAAAATAATAGTAATTCCCATAAAAGGGTTAAATAGTCCTATGCATTTACTTGAGATATTTCATGCCAGAAAAAAAATACAAACACACACATCACTTATAGCCAATATTTAATAATCCCATATTAACTGATGTGTAAAAAATGTCTTTATGATCTGTTACCACCCAAAAGAATGCATCATAACTTTCAAGAATATGTTCTTTGACTTCTAACCTCTGCTCTTCTTTAGAATTACCTGTAAGAGGGAAAAAAATAAGATTCATATTATATCTATGAAAAATAAAACATCATTCCTTAACAAAAAGTTAAATAGTCCTGGGTGCATAATATGCAAGACTGAATTTATAAAACCCAATTTTCCAAATTGGAAATCACCTTCCAGGTGATTAGGGAATCTTTTGTCTTATAGTCTTAGATTTCTCTAAAAACAGTCTTATCTCAATGAATATGAAACATGCCTAGATTCTAAAAACCTGCCTTTATTAGTTACCTCTAGATGTTAATTTCTTCTATTGTAAACCAAAAGTGTCCAGATTAATGGTTTCGAATTTGAAATTTTTAGACAATTTAGTTATCTAAATTAGGAGTTAAACAATACCAATTAAAGAGTTAAACAATATTCTTGAGTCTATATTAGACTCAAAAAGTCTATTATAAATCAGACATTTCACAACTATAAACTAGGACAAATCCACTGCAACATTAAATTTCTTATAGTTGGACTGGAATTATAATCATTTGAGACTAAAACTAGTCATCTTATGCTGAACAACCTGTTAAGTAGATTATTTTCAAAATAATAGTCTGTGGCACAAATAAAAAAAGGAGATTTTTAGTTGTAAAAAGACTGACGGTATTAGTCAGAATATCTCTTTTTTTAAAAAAAAACTTATCTACTATTTTAAGTAAATAAACCTACAGTTTATTAATAAAAATCCTAAATGTAAAAAACACGTGTATATTCTTCAATATCTTAAGCCTTGTTTTTCCCACAGAAAAATATTTACATTGACTTTAATAGTGTAGAAATTTGTTGGAATGTTTATAATTGCAAGATAATTTAAAGGCCCTAGAAAATGCCAAGACATGCACATTTCTAGGCTTCCACAAGACCATCAAATAAATCTGTATCTAGACTAGTACTTCTCTGTCCTACAAGATAATTATCATGGGTACTTCAAAAGAAAGTTTGAATACTCAAATGAATTTACAAAACGCTGAGTATATTATGTACTCAAACTTACAAAATACTAAATGGAGTTCAACAAGTTTCCTTATTGCTATATTTCTCTCATAGCCTTTCATAACTTTACATGACTATAGTTATTTAAGACATTAGGATTATGAGAAACTGGATACAGGGTACATGGGAACTCTAAACTATCTTTTGTACCTTATTTCAAAATAAATCTAAAACAAAAACGTCTACAAAGAGGTAGACTGTCAAAAATAAGTTTCCCTCCTCTATCATCCCCAGTCAACTGTGGTTGCCAGTTTCTTACATATTCTTACAGAAACAAGTTCTACAATAATACTGTGACTAATCAAGGAAGTATAGTATGCAAGGTTATCTACACTTATTTGACAACAGAAGCATCTGAGGTAGGGCCTTGATTAACATCATTTGGAAATAACATTTTCAGGAACATATCTGGAAAACTGCACCGTAGGCAACATATTCTTAACATTATATAAAAATAACAGTAAAAAGCAATCATCTCTACTTATAAGAGATTTTTTTTTCCTTTTTTTGAGACGGAGTTTCGCACTTGTTGCCCAGGCTAGAGTGCAATGGTGCGATCTTGGCACACTGCAACCTCTGCCAAAACAAAGTTAAAAGAAATCAAATAATTGGTGATATGGTTTGGCTTTCTGTCCACACCCAAATCTCACCTCACATTGTAATCCCTCCATGTGGAGGAAGGGAAGTGATTAGATCATGGGGGGCGGTTTTCCCCATGCTGCTCTCCTGATAGTGAGTGAGTTCTCTTTCCTTTATAAATAACCCAGTCTTGGGTATTTCTTTATAGCAGTGTGAAAATGGACTAATACAATGAGGTAATTAGGATAATTTTAAAAGATCAAGAAGAAAGTAAGTTTTGATAAATTTCAAGGTGATATATCTTCTCAGTCTACAGATTAGCAGATTGTAGGAACATGAATGTTTCCTCTAAAGCAGTGGCCATTAATATTACCATTGGAAATTAATAATATACATATGGAGGAAATATAACTCCTTAATTAAAATCATTAATTCATAAAAGGCCAAATATCGACTCAATCAACAAAGCTGAGTAAGGTATACAAATCAGGGAGAGGTGATGAACCGAGTGTTATTTTTGAAGTTTAATTCTTGCTCGAGAAAAGAAATTTGGATTTTACCTTTGCTGCGGCCAGTACATGCTCCTTGTTAATGACTCTACATTTACTCGCACAAGCGTTTGTCCTGGACTCTTCTGCTAATCGATGAACAAACAGTAAACAGTTCAGATGGACCTTTAAAACAGAAAATCCAAGTGGATTTTTAAGCTCAAATACTGATGCATTGAAATAATATTTTTAAAAATTAGTTATCTCAAAATGTATTGTACTATTTACCATTGTGATTAAGTAAATTAACTCTTCTATTTAAAATTACATAGAATTCAGTCTAATATAAGTCCATCTTAGATTCCCTGCAAAGAGACTTCGTCATTGCAATGTATAAAACAAGCTATGCAAGGCTAGACCAAAGGCCATTTTGTAAAGCATCATTACATATCAAAACGTATGTAAGATTCGCTTAGTAACAAATATTCCTGCTTCTGATTCCAAATGGATTTAAATTTATAACATAATTTAAAATTTCCAGAAAATTTTAAATCAAAACATATCAACAACTACATTTTAGGCTATTATTCTACAATCTGAGGTCAAAGATTTTTAAACAGATATATTTAATTTGAAATATTTATTAAAAAACATGTTAATAGTTGAAATTGTTTAAGTTTGCTAAATTGAAAAGTGTATGTACAAAGGTCATTTGTCATCCAACAACTATCATAAAATAACCATACTTACTATTAATAATCTTCGAGCCTCTTTTTAAAAAATTATTTAAAATAGGTAATATAAGCAGACTGAAAAATTTTAAAGTCTATTAAAAAAATATAGTTATGTAAGATATCAGCATTGTGGAAAGCTGGGTAAAGGATACACGGAAACCGTGTACTATTTTTGCACCTTTTGAGTCTATAATTATTTTAAAATAAGAATATAAAACAACAAAGTTTACAAAAGGGTAGTAAACTATCAAAAATAAGTATATTCCCCATCTCATCCCCCAGTCAACCATAGCTGACACCTTCTTGTACATTTTTACAGAAACAAGCTCTACATATAAGCAAAACATATGTACTCATCTTCAGATAATATATATATCAACATTATCGGATTACATATATGTATAAACAAGCTCTGATATGTCATATAAAATAACACTTTGTTAAGTATTTTACTCAAAATCACCATCCAAACCAACAAAAGCCCTAATCTACAAGAACATTCCTTGGAAAAAAGTTAAAGTACATGTAATCCAAGCAGAAGAAAATGTGAAGTGAGCTAAAGTCGTATCTCAATCTCCACTCAAGAATCATATGTAGTACTCTTATTTATATTATTGCACATATCTTCCCCATCCTTTGCTTCTGCCAGGTACCTGAGGGCACTACCAACTTAGATCCAATTAGATAGTGTCTTTACCATGATTTATTTTGTTATTTACATGGTGGCAAGTGATCTTTGCAGTAAGAAGAACAATTTATACACAATACTTAACATTCACTATCTTGTGTACTGCACACTCTCCCACAGTTCACTAAATGTTAAATAACTAGTAATGTGGTGTTTTAATGCTTTATATAATGCAGAAATCTTTAATAGATTGTTATATAGGTGTTTAATAATGTTCTAGTGATATGTGGAGAAAACGGAGGTTTGGGAATTTAAACAATATGAACAATCTATGAAAGGTGGATATTCTTTTGGTACATTTTTGATGCACTATCTTCATTGATTCTCACAAGAACTCTGAGGTAAAGCATCCCAATTCCAATTATTTACATTATACTGTGCCAATTATTTTTTAAACTTTCAATGATAGCCCATTTATTTTGGTAGCAAAAACACCCCATAATATGGCACAATTTCATTTGTTAATCTATTCTTTCTACTTCTAAAGGTAAATAGCTTCCAGATACCCTCAGGATAAATTCCAAATTCCTTAACACTAAATCCCACTTGACTGGGAATCTAGTTTCACCTCTCACTGTTCTAAGCTTCCAGTTCTACACTAGGCCTTTTGAATTTCTCTGAGAATTCAAATGCAACCTTGCCTCTAGGCATCCTACTTGTTTATAGACTTCTCTGAAAAGCCCAACTTCCCCCAATATGTAAGGTTATATTGATCCATAGCATTCTGAACTTTCTATCACTGCATAGACTACATCATGCTGTAATTTCTCACTTAGCTGTCTTCCTCAATGTACTCTAAGGATATGAATTATGCCTAGTCTTTTCAACACTGTATCCCCAGTGTCCCTTAACACATTGCTTAATACATAGTAGGCAGCTAATAATTATTATTGCATGAAGACCCCACTACATCTCCCCAGATAAGGCAAAAAAATTTTTTTTTAAATCAGACCCAATTAAACCACACTGTCTTAAGACTTAATTCATTAACCTAGATGGAATACCCTTTCCTCTTCGTGGCCATGAGCCACGGATACTGTGATGGTTAGTACTGAGTGTCAACTTGACTGAAGGATGAAAAGTATTGTTCCTGGGTGTGTGTGTAGGTGGTGCTGCCAAAGGAAAATAATATTGGAGTCAGTGGACTGGGCAGACCCACCCTCAATCTGGGTGGGCACCATCTAATCAGCTGCCAGCATGGCTAGAATAAAGCAGGCAGAAGAATGTGAAAGTACTTGACTTGCTGAGTCTTCCAGCCTTCATCTCTCTCCCGTGCTGGATGCTTCCTGCCTTTGAACATCAGACTCCAAGTTCTTCAGCTTTTGGACTCTTAGACTTACACCACTAATTTGCCAGTGGCCCTAGGGCCTTCGACCACAGACTGAAGGCTGCACTGTCGGCTTCCCTACTTTTGAGGTTTGGGGACTGGGACTGGGACTGGCTTCCTTGCTCCTCAGCTTGCAGATGGCCTATTGTGGGACTTCACCTTGTGACTGTGTGGGTCAATACTCCTTAATAAACTCCACTTCATATATACATCTATCCTATTAGTTCTGTCCCTCTAGCAAACCCCAATACAGATACTGAGACAAATTAGTATTACTTTTTCAAATCTCACAAAAATTTTTTCAAGCAACCTACATTTATGTCATAAAACAGTTAATTGAGTGGTACTACTCCAATGCGCTAAGGCTTATATTAAAATGGTCAGAACAAAAGTTAGTTTTAGGGTATTTAGCTAGGCATTCTAACTTGAAAAAGGTAAGCTATTCCATCAATAAGTTACTTTTAAAAATCTGCTTGCTTGAAAAAGAAATCAAAAGAAAATTTATAAAGAAATACTTCTTGACAGTCTCAGTTGACAGAAAGACTGGGCCAGTCTGACTTTCTCCTCCCTTTGTCATAGCACTTTTGAATTTTACATGAACTATAAGCACCCAGATATTTGCACAGCATTCCTTTACATTTAACAGATGTTAACTCTCTCCCTAGTACCATCCCTGGGGCTAAACAATCAAATAAGGCATAAAACAAACAAAATAACAAAAAGCCAGTGAAGAATAATAAAATAACACAAAGAAATTATAAATAAAATGCTAGAAATGACATCAATCCACATAGTTGTCATGCATTTCCAAAATTAATTGTAGACTCAGAATGTTGAAGCTATTATGCAAAACACCAGGAATACAAAAATTTCCAAATTCAAGTTCCCAGACTAGTGGCAGAATCAAACCCATAAAGAAAAAGGCAAATGTGTGACAATAGATGATGGAGAAGAAGATAAGATTGATCCTTTCTAAGGACATTAAGGAAAGCGTCACTGAAGTAACATTTGAACTGGATTTTGAAAAAATTGTAGGTTGCCAAGTAGAGTGAAGACATCTTCAAGCAGAAGAAATACCATGTACAAAAGGCAGCATAAAAGTAGATTAATTCTGTGTTAAAGATAATGGGAGACAGAAAAGGAGATATTCATTCTCCTCAAGAAGCTGCATACCACACTAGGAAACATCAGCATATGAAAACTCCTAGACAACAGTGTTAAGAGTCCCAATAGCTCAACTGTATGATGTATACTCTTACTGCTGTCCAAGTTCAGAAAAAAGAGCAGATCAAAACAAACTGCTTTAACTATAGAAAACTTTGTGGATGATGTGGGATGCAAGTGAATTACACTTCTACATAATTTCATTTGATCTTACCTTAGGTCTTTTCATGATTCTAGCTTTTCTTTACAAATGCTGCTCCCTTTAATTTTAAGGTTCCTCTCACTTAACCTTGCAATAACTTTCAGGTGTAGTTTAATGCTAATTCATTGAACTTTTTGCTAACTCATTGAACTGGGTAAGATATGAAGTGTCAAAGGTGAGCAGAAAGCTATAAAGAAACCAGGGTAATCCATGCCACATTCAAGACAGTGAAGGCGAACTGTTTAATGAAAGCCAAACACGACGAGCATACTACCTGGGAAAAGCTACTGACCAAAAGAACATTCTATACCCCATCAATGCAACCGCTTGAAATTTCAACTCACCCACTTTCCCATGCCACCTGGATCCCACCGCACTATGGAGCCCCTCTGTCCATGGGTTCTTTGGAGGAAGAAAGGGGTAGATGTGGGAGGATGCTGACTACCTGAGGAATTTCCACTAAGCCATTTGCACCAGCTAGTGGTCTCTTGGATATCTTTGATCAGGTACATTTCCTCTCCCTCCATTTAGAAGCCCCAGTGAAAGCTCCATAATATACTACGTAAAAATGTTTTGCAAGTGAATTTCATTTGAATTCCGTTCATTTGTGCCACCTCTATCACCAGCATGGGATAGTTAATTGGGGTCGGGGCACAAGACAGCCTGTATTGCCTCTTCTTACAAGATTTAAGAAAGTAACAAAAATAAGGGCAGAAGATAGAAGTAATACTTTTCTGGGGGAAAATGTGTTTTTGTTGTGTTTTGGCTTCAGAGACCAAATAAGGGGAAAGGGGCGATAATTCTATAGTAGTTTAGAAAAGGAAGCAACAGATGGGGTGGCAGTGGAGAAGTCCAGGAAGCAAAAGAGTAAAGAGGAGGTAGAAAAACCAATGTCGTTTAAGAACAGCTAGGATGATTCATGCAGTATGCTCTTATTATCCACAATTCTGTACCTTGATCTCCTGGAAATTATGTGTCCATTTATAATGGCTCCTTTACTCAAAGAGCCAAGGACAAGCTACCGAACATGCCTCCAGTGGTTTAAACCTAGAGAAATAGTGTTCATTGTGCCAGAGGAATATGTGTTCCAGGTATTCAACACACAAACTGAATTTATTTCAAGACAGAAACATTATTATACAGTGGTTTGATTGGGGCTTCTTATTAGGAGAACATTATGCTTCAGGTATTATGGGTCAGATAAGCAGGCTTTAGTAGTCTAGCTTAAAAACTGACTAGGTGTTCTATTACTTGTCTAGCGAAATGAATTAACAGTTGAGAGGACTCTTCCTACAAATAAACTTTCCCATCAGGGTCCTTTAGTAAGCACCCTCACCTAGAGGAAATAAGGCAATGTTTGGTTAAATGCGTAAATAGAGGAGAGACGGAGGGAGCCAAGGGAGGAAAGAGGAGACAGGGAGGGAGGCAAGAAGGGAGGCCCTTAAAAGGCATGTGAGCAATGCCTTTTACAATAGCTAAATAAAAATGACCCAGACTGAATTCCAAAATCTATTTTTTAAAGGGTGATTCTTTCATACCCTTTGCAAGTACATTAATCACGGTGCCAGATTGTGTTCCTAAACAGCAATATTTAAAACTGTAAGCAGTAACTGTACGTTAAGCTCATGTGACTAACAGTCTCCCTTTAAAAAGATCCAGATATTTACTTTTCGGCGCGGCCCGGTACAACTGAGCGCCAGGAATATGAACTGACATGCCAGGGTGGGGCATACGTTCCCTGTCATTGTTGGAACTGCCTTAAACAGGGGCCTGAAAGAGCTATAAATTGGCTCGGGGCGGAAAAACAAAGGCTTAAGGTTATTGCCCTTACCTCTCCCGTGCCCCATTCCCAGCCCGAGAAGGGATGGAATCTCACCAATAAGTCACCACTTTTCTCCAGACGAAGTTGAGGCTTCTTTCGCTTGAAGACTCGCTTTAGAAAGCCACGGGGAGCCTTCCGCTTTATCTGCTTCCTCTGGGAGACTATGGTCGACAGCGCCATCCTCTCTGTCAAGTACCAGCTGCCTCAGCTTCCGAGGTGCTCTCTGTATCGCACACAAGCTCCGGGGACACTGGGCCAGCGAAAACAATCCGGTCCGTATGACGCTTCTTCAGGCAGAAAAACCTCAGTCCGAACGTTCGAATCCGCCGCCAACGGAACGCGCCCGGCGCTCAGTAGTGACGTTAACCCTGAGCAAGCCCCGCCCCCGGAGACGCCTGCCTGTAGGTGGAAAACGCCCACGGTGGGCGGGTCCCGGGAATACCTGACGTCATTGAGAGCCTGCGTCCTCCTTTCATCACTTTCTGTATTATAACTTTTGCTCTGTGGAAGTGTTTCTGCTAGGTTCCCTAGAGATGATTGGAAGTTGTGGAGAGAGAGATTGGTAAGCCAAGGCAGTTCTTCAAGCACTCACTCTATACTGTCCCTAATACCAACGAACAGAAGTTTGTGATGTTTTATCAGGATTCCGACAGCACTAATGCCATGCCTTCCTAGCAAGGAATGCATGATTTTCAGATACTAACAGTTAAGAATTTTACACTTCTACGTAATTTCATTTGATCTTATCTTAGGTCTTTTCATGATTCTAGCTTTTCTTTACAAATGCTGCTCCCTTTAATTTTAAGGTTCCTCTCACTTAACCTTGCAATAACTTTCAGGTATAGTTTCATGCTAACTCACTGAACTTTTTGTTATTTCTTCAAGCTGTTAATTTCTCTATTATCTGTGCTATTATAGAAGTATTAATAGTTATCAAACCTTAATGTGCATCAAAATCACCTGGGGGACTTGTTAAACTACTGTTCGCAGGGCCCAGCTCCCAGTTTCTCATTCACTAGATCTAGGAGATACTCAAAATTTGCAATTCTAACAAGTCAGGGACATTGGCATTTGCTAGTCTGCAGACCAATCTTTGAGATCCGCTGTGATTTTAATTATAATTATCTCTAATACTATCTCTATTGAGATTTCAATATTATGTTATTGTGATCTCACGCACACAAGTGATCCTTCTACTATCTGGCCTCCCATTTCTGAGACCTCCTCTCTGCCAGTCATCTTCTACACCCTTGAGTTATTCATGCATGTGGTCATACCCTAGGCGGTGTCATTACTAAATACCTTTACCTTCGGTTTGATCTGCCACTTTCAATTTAGTTGTCTCTCTTCAACCGTATCTTCTATCTTTTGAATTTACTCCCTCCAACAATTCTTCGATGCTACTGGGACTACTGTCCTATCTTTTTCAGTTCCTCTCACCACACCCCCCAGCTCTGCCACCCCACTCTATGCCTTATCTTCCCTCCTGTAGTCCATTATGCATCGATCATCATAATACTGCCCTGTATTTCTCCACAACTTTATAGCCATTCTCTTTTATCCTCACACTAACCTGGCAATATTCCAACTCTGCTTAAGTTAAAATCTCAATCTATTCAACACTTGTATCTGTGTATTAATATTGGCATAAGAAAACAACACTCACAGGTATATGTCTGATCTCAATTCAAATTCATGACCACTCATGTGGGCTCTAAGTACTGCTACAATCCTTTGATATTTCCTAAAGCCATTCATTCATTTACTCATTCTCTTACATAGCTATGTCATGCCTTCTATTTCTTACCTACCCCATTCTCAATCTCCAGTGATGACATTGCTTCAACAACAAAATAAAATTTAAAAAAATCCATGGAGACTTTCTGTATGCTTTCACCACCCCATCTATCCATCAGTCTCCACCTGCTCCCATGGATGAGATGCCAACTACTCCACTTGTGCCCGAGATCAAGCCCTTTCCCCTTTCTTAAGGACATTTCTGTAGCAATTCTCCTTGCTCCTCTGCTTCATGAATTTTCCTTCTTTGCCAATTTTTTTCCATCAGCACCCACACAGCTTATAATATCTCCAGGCTTTTGAAAACCCTCTCTTAATCCTACCTTTTGCTGTTGTCCTTCTACAGAACAAAACAAAACTAGAAACCGTTGGCTAAATTCAGTGTCTCCAAATACTCTTCGCTTATTCTCTGTTAAATCCAGTACAATCAGACTTTTCTAGCTATCTCTTCACCAAAATTGTTTTGGCCAACGTGACCAATAGCATCATAGTTGCAAATCCTATGGCCAATTTTCAGGCTTCAGTTTATTCATCAAACCAGAAGTATTTGTTGAGTTTCATGATTTTTCCTTCCATAAAACAACATATTTAATTGGATATGATTCTCTTTTGTTTTTCTTTGTACTTGATAGCACCTCAGTCTCCTTTTCTGGTTCTTCCTTTTCTTTTTGATCTCTAAATTTTAGAGTACCCCACAACCACATCCTGAGATTTCTCCTCTATCTACATTCATACCCCATGTGATCTTCTCCAGTATAAAGGTTTTAAATACCAAATTTACATCTCCAGCTGATTCTCCCCTAAACTTCAGGCATGTATATCCATTTCTCTGATGGATTAGAATTCTAAAAGTCATCCTAACACCATGTCAAAAATTAGGGCTTGATCTGCCCTTGCTCCCCAAACATGTTTCTCCCAGTCTCTTACCTATCTTATGTGCTAGCACTTCCAACCTTCCAATTACTTAAGCCAAAATCTTGGAATCGGCCTTAGCGCCTCTCTTTATCTCACCCCATATTCAATCTTTCAGCAAATCCTGTCAGTTCTCCTTGCAGTATCTGATCACATCTCACCACTTCCACTGCTACTACACTTGGCCTGGACACGATCATTCACATGGCTTATTGCAACATCCTCCTGAGAGTGTCTCAATCTGTTTCTATTCTTTCTCAACAGAAGAGCTAAATTTAATTCAGATTATGTCATTTCAGGACTCACTAGTTGTTTCCTCTCTCCTTTAAAATCAAAAAACAAAGTCCCTATAATGACCTGAGGCCTTACCTGCCCCCCTACAAATGCACATGCACTTACAAATACATAATTAACTTACTTACCTTCTACAATGGAGCAACTCACTCTCCACCGTGTTAGTCTCCTTAATATCTTCAATGGTCCAGATGTTTTTGTCCCCCCAAAATTCATATGTTGAAATCTAATCATAATGTGCTGATATTAAGAGATAAGGGCTTTGGAAGATGATTATGTCATGAGTGCAGAGTCCCCATAAATGGGATTAATGTCCTTATAAAAGAGGTCCCAGAGAGCTGCATTCCCTTTTCCACCAGGTGGGAACATAGCTAGAAGGCACACCATCTATGGGCCCCGAAAGAGGGCCCTCACCAGAACCTGACTTTGCTGGCACCATGATCTCCGACTTTCCATCCTTCAGAATTGTGAAAAACAAATTTCTGTTGTTTATAAGTGCTATAGTTTGAATGTTCCCTTTAAAACTCACGCTGAAACTTAATCCACAATGTGGCAGTATTGAGAGGTGAGACCTTTAGGAGGTGATTGGGTCTCAAGGGTTATGTCCTTATGAATATTTAGTCCCTCCACGGGTTAATGGATTAATGGGATATCATGGGAGGGGAACGGGAACTGTGGCTTTATAAGATGAGGAAGAGGGTCCTGAGCTAACACATTAGCATGCTCAGCCTCCTCACCATGTGATACCATGCACCATCTCAGGAATTTACAGAAAGCCCCCACTGGCAAGAAGGCCCTCACCAGATGCAGCCCCTTCACCTTTAACTTCCTGGCCTCCAGAATTGAAAAAAATAAAGTTCATTTCTTATAGATTACCCAGTTTTAAGTATTCTGTAATAGCAAGAGAAAATTAACTTAGACAATAAGCCCCCAATCTATGTTATTTCTGTTATATCACCCCAAACAGACTAAGATAATATATTTCAGACAGACCTCAAGTACATGCAACACAACACACTCACACACCCATCAGGTGTTTGCACTAACTATTCCCTCTGTTAAGAATGCTTTTTGGCCAGGCGGGGTGGCTTAGGCCGGTAATCCAGCACTTTGGGAGGCCAAGGTGGGCGGATCACTTGCAGTGAGGAGTTCAAGACCATCCTGGCCAACATGGTGAAACCCTGTCTCTACTAAAAATACAAAAATTAGCTGGGTGTGGTGGCGTACACCTGTAATCCCAGCTACTTGGGAGGCTGAGGCAAGAGAATTGCTTGAACCCGGGAGGCAGAGCTTGCACTGAACTGAGATGGCACCACTACACTCCAGCCTGGGCAACAGAGTGAGATTTTGTCTCAAATGAAAAAAGAAAAAAAGAATGTTTTTTTCCCATTTATCTGCATAGGTGGCTTCATCACCTCTTTCAGGTTTTTGCTCTGACAAGTATCAGACAAACCTTCTGTTTACCATAGAAACACATGTAACTATATATATGCCTAGAAGCTCATGTACACACATACATATACATACCCAGTCATGCGCAGAATCTGATCTCATCCCAGCTCTGTGTTCAGTAGTATTATGTTGGT
This sequence comes from Homo sapiens, assembly GCF_000001405.40. NCBI lineage: Eukaryota > Metazoa > Chordata > Mammalia > Primates > Hominidae > Homo > Homo sapiens. The sequence goes on along the minus strand of NC_000006.12, from coordinate 126,335,864 downwards.
AGCTAGAAACTGGTGATGGTATGTGTACTTACAGCATGGAATTTGGCAAACGCCAAAATTCAGATATTATTATTGTTGTGGTTGTTATTTCTGAAAAGCAAGTTATTAATGAATTACCAAAATAAATTACACATATCTCTAATGGCTTAAATCCCTAACCCTCTCTCTGTGGTTCATTTTTCTCTGTAACACTTTTTGCCATCTAATGTTTGCTTCTGCACAGAGAAAAATTTTATTGTAGCTTTATTTATAATAGAATTGGAGACAAATAACATTTATTAAGAGAGTAATAGAGATACATGTTGTCATATGTATTCGTTTTCTTTTGCTAATGTAACAAATTATCACAAACTTATGGCTTAAAACAATGGAAATTTCTTATCTTACAGTTCTGAAGATCAAAAGTCTTAAAACCAAGGTGTTAGTGTGTGGCATTCTGTCTGCGGACTCTAGGGAAGACTGTTTCCTTGCCTTTTCCAACCTCTAGAGGGAACCTGCATTCACTGGCCCATGGTTCCTTCCTCCCTCTTAAAAACACATCACTCTAACTTTGTTTCCATCATCACATTGTCAATCTACATAACAAAGAGAGAGACGTTCTCTTAAAAATAATATTTATTCAGGAACAGGGCATTGTAATGGGAGTATGCATGCCATAGTAAAATTTGTGTGTACTGAGAGAAGTAAAGAAAGACAAAGGCGTTTGTTTTGGTTTTGGTTTTAGTTTTTGAGAGAGAGTCTTGCTTTGTTGCCCAGGCTGGAGTGCAGTGGCACCATCATGGCTTACTGTAACCTCTGCCTCCCAGGTTGAAGCAATTCTCAATTATCCTGCCTCCACCTCCCAAATAGCTGGGACTGCAAGCACATACCACCAGGCCTAATTTTTGTATTTTTATGTGACACAGGGTTTTGCCATGTTGCCCTGGCTGGTCTCGAACTCCTGGCCTCAAGTGATCTGCCCCCCTCAGCCTCCCAAAGTGCTAGGATTACAGGTGTGAGCCACCGTCCCTGGCCAAGAAAGACAAGGGCTTTAAAAGAAAACATGAAGAGGATTACTTGTTTTGAGACAATGAACCTTGGCTATGGTGCCAGTCTGAGGTTGGACAGGCAGATGCTGGGCAGATGTCCTTGCAGAAGTATTTTTTCTGTAAGATTGCAATGGCCTTTGTGCAAAGTTATGGTTTTTGCAGACCCTTTTGTGATAGTTTTTGTTATAAGGCATTTATGACTCTCCCACTCCACTTCATGACCTTCCCCAGCTCTATTTGTCAGGTGTTTTTCTTGTTTGTTTGTTTGTTTGCTTGCTTTGAGATGGTGTCACATTCTGTCAACACAGGCTGAAGTGCAGTGGCACAATCATAGCTCACTGTAGCTTCAAACTCCTGGGTTCAAGTGATCCTCCAACCTCAGCCTCCTAAGTAGCTGGGACTCCAGGCATTCACCACCATGCCCAGCCAATTTTTAATATTTTTTTAATGACAGAGTATCACTATGTTGCCTAGGCTGGCCTTGAACTCCTGGCCTCAAGCGATCCTCCTATCTCAGCTTCCCAAGTCACTAGGATTACAGGTATGAGCCACCATCCCAGCGCAATATGTCATTTTTTAAAAATATGAATGAGTCCATTTTGATGTCAACAACTTTTATATTTCCCAATGTTAATCAAGACCTTTGTCTAAAAGCACTGCTGATAAATCATCCTGTAGTTCGGTTTTGATTGTCCCATGGTGCCAGGATGGACTTATCTTGGGTATAAGATACCAATAGGTCTGGTCCCACATTGGAGGGAGTGAATGGCTACTAAAAGTCAGTTTCAAAATCCATTTAGCCAGATTTGAACAATAGAAAGGTTTAAAGAGAGTGGCTCTCCAGCTAAGCCTGTGGTCCATTATTAAGTTCAATTTTTGTCTGTTCCATAGTCTTTTGCTATCATCTCAAAGTGCTGGATCAGCTTTATTCTGTTAGTACTTGTATTGCTGCACAAATTTAACAAGTAACAGATACACAGCTTAAAAGGGGGAAATACCAGGTAAATTAGTATTAATATGACAGTCTCAGTTTGCGTAATGGTATTGAGCCACAAACCTAGGCTTAAAGGCAACCAGTTTAAATAAATCAATGACCGTTGTCTTCCAAGTGAAAAAACTAGGCATTAAAAGGAATTAAAGTCTCATTATGATATGGAGCCATTTTCCATCATCTTGGAAAAGCTGTCTAGAGCATGAAAATATAAAGTTCTTGTGTTTCTTTGTAGTTTGAATATCTCTGGCTATAGTGTCAGGTAGTAGGGTAAACTTTCTGTGTAACCCATGCATTAGGCATGAGACTTGTTCCTTAAAATTCATCTACTTTCAGCTTATAGGGCTTCAAGAAGAGAGTAGTTTCTCTTTTAAATAATTCTATGGAAGAAAATTGGATTGGAGGAAACTAGAAGAATTTAGGATCTAGTCTAGTCTACAGGTAGATAACAAGAACTTGAAAGCAATGTGCAAAGCTACAATCTAATAACAGATGTAGTATAGCTTTTCTTTAGAAATGTAAGTTTTTCTTTCCATATTGATAACATAGGAATCAGATTTTAAAACCTCTTTGGGATAGGAAGCCAAACCAAGGTAGACTTTAGATTTAACTCGTGGTCTACAATCTCTGGACCTGCCAAAAAGTGACAGTTTTTATTCATTCACTGTAAGCCTAGGAACCCTTGAAATGAGGTATTCTATGCATATTCTCAAATATGACGCTTTAGTAAAAACCTTGGTAACATAACCAACATTTCCAATCATATCTTGTTATAAAGAGAGAGCAGATTTTTTATTGAACTTATACAAGTAACTATAGTGCCATAAGAATACTCACCAGTGGTTTCAAAATTTGGGGGGAACCAAGTAGAAAGGAAAAGCAAATGTCTCCACCTTTATTCACAGAAGTATTCTTTACCAAATTGCTGTATAAATTACTCTAGATACAAAATTTTCTTAAATCTGGAAAAGATATTTAAGTAAATAACAAGCAATGCTTCAAATAAAAATTATTATTATTTTTATCAGTTATTCAAGTTGATGTAATGAATGTTTGATCTTTTTTTAGCAGTTTCATGAGCCAATCAGTTTCTTTTTTTTTTATTTTATTATTATTGTACTTTAAGTTTTAGGGTACATGTGCACAATGTGCAGGTTAGTTACATATGTATACATGTGCCATGCTGGTGTGCTGCACCCATTAACTCGTCTTTTAGCATTAGGTATATCTCCAAATGCTATCCCTCCCCCCTCCCTCCACCCCACAACAGTCCCCATAGTGTGATGTTCCCCTTCCTGTGTCCATGTGTTCTGATTGTTCAATTCCCACCTATGAGTGAGAACATGCGGTGTTTGTTTTTTTGTCCTTGTGATAGTTTACTGAGAATGATGATTTCCAATTTCATCCATGTCCCTACAAGGGACATGAACTCATCATTTTTTATGGCTGCATAGTATTCCATGGTGTATATGTGCCTCATTTTCTTAATCCAGTCTATCACTGTTGCACATTTGGGTTGGTTCCAAGTCTTTGCTATTGTGAGTAGTGCCGCAATAAACAAACGTGTGCATGTGTCTTTATAGCAGCATGATTTATAGTCCTTTGGGTATATACCCAGTAATGGGATGGCTGGGTCAAATGGTATTTCTAGTTCTAGATCCCTGAGGAATCACCACACTGACTTCCACAATGGTTGAACTAGTTTACAGTCCCACCAACAGTGTAAAAGTGTTCCTATTTCTCCACATCCTCTCCAGGACCTGTTGTTTCCTGACTTTTTAATGATTGCCATTCTAACTGGTGTGAGATGGTATCTCACTGTGGTTTTGATTTGCATTTCTCTGATGGCCAGTGATGATGAGCATTTTTTCATGTGTTTTTTGGCTGCATAAATGTCTTCTTTTGAGAAGTGTCTGTTCATGTCCTTTGCCCACTTTTTCATGGGGTTGTTTTTTTCTTGTAAATTTGTTTGAGTTCATTGTAGATTCTGGATATTAGCCCTTTGTCAGATGAGTAGGTTACGAAAATTTTCTCCCATTTTGTAGGTTGCCTGTTCACTCTGATGGTAGTTTCTTTTGCTGTGCAGAAGCTCTTTAGTTTAATTAGATCCCATTTGTCAATTTTGGCTTTTGTTGCCATTGCTTTTGGTGTTTTAGACATGAAGCCCTTGCCCGTGCCTATGTCCTGAATGGTAATGCCTAGATTTTCTTCTAGGGTTTTTATGGTTTTAGGTCTAATGTTTAAGTCTTTAATCCATCTTGAATTAGTTTTTGTATAAGGTGTAAGGCAGGGATCCAGCTTCAGCTTTCTATATATGCCTAGCCAGTTTTCCCAGCACCATTTATTAAATAGGGAATCCTTTCCCCATTGCTTGTTTTTCTCAGGTTTGTCAAAGATCAGATAGTTGTAGATATGCGGCGTTATTTCTGAGGGCTCTGTTCGGTTCCATTGATCTATATCTCTGTTTTGGTACCAGTACCATGCTGTTTTGGTTACTGTAGCCTTGTAGTATAGTTTGAAGTCAGGTAGCGTGATGCCTCCAGCTTTGTTCTTTTGGCTTAGGATTGACTTGGCGATGCGGGCTCTTTTTTGGTTCCATATGAACTTCAAAGTAGTTTTTTCCAATTCTGTGAAGAAAGTCATTGGTAGCTTGATGGGGATGGCATTGAATCTACAAATTACCTTGGGCAGTATGGCCATTTTCACGATATTGATTCTTTCTACCCATGAACATGGAATGTTCTTCCATTTGTTTGTGTCCTCTTTTATTTCATTGAGCAGTGGTTTGTAGTTCTCCTTGAAGAGGTCCTTCACGTCCCTTGTAAGGTGGATTCCTAGGTATTTTATTCTCTTTGAAGCAATTGTGAATGGGAGTTCACTCATGATTTGGCTCTCTGTTTGTCTGTTATTGGTGTATAAGAATGCTTGTGATTTTTGTACATTGATTTTGTATCCTGAGACTGCTGAAGTTGCTTATCAGCTTAAGGAGATTTTGGGCTGAGACAATGGGGTTTTCTAGATATACAATCATGTCATCTGCAAACGGGGACAATTTGACTTCCTCTTTTCCTAATTGAATACCCTTTATTTCCTTCTCCTGCCTAATTGCCCTGGCCAGAACTTCCAACACTATGTCGAATAGGAGTGGTGAGAGAGGGCATCCCTGTCTTGTGCCAGTTTTCAAAGGGAATGCTTCCAGCTTTTGCCCATTCAGTATGATATTGGCTGTGGGTTTGTCATAGATAGCTCTTATTATTTTGAGATACGTCCCATCAATACCTAATTTATTGAGAGTTTTTAGCATGAAGAGTTGTTGAATTTTGTCAAAGGCCTTTTCTGCATCTATTGAGATGTGGTTTTTGTCTTTGGTTCTGTTTATATGCTGGATTACATTTATTGATTTGCGTATATTGTACCAGCCTTGCATTCCAGGGATGAAGCCCACTTGATCATGGTGGATAAGCTTTTTGATGTGCTGCTGGATTTGGTTTGCCAGTATTTTATTGAGGAATTTTGCATCAATGTTCATCAAGGATATTGGTCCAAAATTCTCTTTTTTGGTTCTGTCTCTGCCCAGCTTTGGTATCAGGATGATGCTGGCCTCATAAAATGAGTTAGGGAGGATTCCCTCTTTTTCTATTGATTGGAATAGTTTCACAAGGAATGGTACCAGTTCCTCCTTGTACCTCTGGTAGAATTCGGCTATGAATCCATCTGGTCCTGGACTCTTTTTGGTTGGTAAGCTATTGATTATTGCCACAATTTCAGAGCCTGTTATTGGTCTATTCAGAGATTCAACTTCTTCCTGGTTTAATCTTGGGAGGGTGTATGTGTCAAGGAATTTATCCATTTCTTCTAGATTTTCTAGTTTATTTGCGTAGAGGTGTTTGTAGTATTCTCTGATGGTAGTTTGTATTTCTGTGGGATCGGTGGTGATATCCCCTTTATCATTTTTTATTGCGTCTATTTGATTCTTCTCTCTTTTTTTCTTTATTAGCTTCCTAGCGGTCTATCAATTTTGTTGATCCTTTCAAAAAACCAGCTCCTGGATTCATTAATTTTTTGAAGGGTTTTTTGTGTCTCTATTTTCTTCAGTTCTGCTCTGATTTTAGTTATTTCTTGCCTTCTGCTAGCTTTTGAATGTGTTTGCTCTTGCTTTTCTAGTTCTTTTAATTGTGATGTTAGGGTGTCAATTTTGGATCTTTTCTGCTTTCTCTTGTGGGCATTTAGTGCTATAAATTTCCCTCTACACACTGCTTTGAATGTGTCCCAGAGATTCTGGTATGGTGTGTCTTTGTTCTCATTGGTTTCAAAGAACATCTTTATTTCTGCCTTCATTTTGTTATGTACCCAGTAGTCATTCAGGAGCAGGTTGTTCAGTTTCCATGTAGTTGAGTGGTTTTGAGTGAGATTCTTAATCCTGAGTCCTAGTTTGATTGCACTGTGGTCTGAGAGACAGTTTGTTATAATTTCTGTAATTTTACATTTGCTGAGGAGAGCTTTACTTCCAAGTATGTGGTCAATTTTGGAATAGGTGTGGTGTGGTGCTGAAAAAAATGTATATTCTGTTGATTTGGGGTGGAGAGTTCTGTAGATGTCTATTAGGTCCGCTTGGTGCAGAGCTGAGTTCAATTCCTGGGTATCCTTGTTAACTTTCTGTCTCATTGATCTGTCTAATGTTGACAGTGGGGTGTTAAAGTCTCCCATTATTAATGTGTGGGAGTCTAAGTCTCTTTGTAGGTCACTCAGGACTTGCTTTATGAATCCGGGTGCTCCTGTGTTGGGTGCATATATATTTAGGATAGTTAGCTCTTCTTGTTGAATTGATCCCTTTACCATTATGTAATGGCCTTCTTTGTCTCTTTTGACCTTTGTTGGTTTAAAGTCTCTTTTATCAGAGACTAGGATTGCAACCCCTGCCTTTTTTTGTTTTCCATTGGCTTGGTAGATCTTCCTCCATCCTTTTATTTTGAGCCTATGTGTGTCTCTGCATGTGAGATGGGTTTCCTGAATACAGCACACTGATGGGTCTTGACTCTTTATCCAATTTGCCAGTCTGTGTCTTTTAATTGGAGCATTTAGTCCATTTACATTTAAAGTTAATATTTTTATGTGTGAATTTGATCCTGTCATTATGATGTTAGCTGGTTATTTTGCTCATTAGTTGATGCAGTTTCTTCCTAGCCTCCATGGTCTTTACATTTTGGCATGATTTTGCAGCGGCTGGTACCGGTTGTTCCTTTCCATGTTTAGTGCTTCCTTCAGGAGCTCTTTTAGGGCAGGCCTGGTGGTGACAAAATCTCTCAGCATTTGCTTGTCTGTAAAGTATTTTATTTCTCCTTCACTTATGAAGCTTAGTTTGGCTGGATATGAAATTCTGGGTTGAAAATTCTTTTCTTTAAGAATGTTGAATATTGGCCCCCACTCTCTTCTGGCTTGCAGAGTTTCTGCCGAGAGATCAGCTGTTAGTCTGGTGGGCTTCCCTTTGTGGGTAACCTGACCTTTCTCTCTGGCTGCCCTTAACATATTTTCCTTCATTTCAACTTTGGTGAATCTGACAATTATGTGTCTTGGAGTTGCTCTTCTCGAGGAGTATCTTTGTGGCGTTCTCTGTATTTCCTGAATCTGAATTTTGGCCTGCCTTGCTAGATTGAGGAAGTTCTCCTGGATAATATCCTGCAGAGTGTTTTCCAACTTGGTTCCATTCTCCCTGTCACTTTCAGATACAGCAATCAGACGTAGATTTGGTCTTTTCACATGGTCCCATATTTCTTGGAGGCTTTGTTCATTTCTTTTTATTCTTTTTTCTTTAAACTTCCCTTCTCGCTTCATTTCATTCATTTCATCTTCCATCGCTGATACCCTTTCTTCCAGTTGATTGCATCAGCTCCTGAGGCTTCTGCATTCTTCACGTAGTTCTCGAGCCTTGGCTTTCAGCTCCATCAGCTCCTTTAAGGCCTTCTCTGTATTGGTTATTCTAGTTATACATTCGTCTAAATTTTCTTCAAAGTTTTCAACTTCTTTGCCTTTGGTTTGAATTTCCTCCTGTAGCTCGGAATAGTTTGATCATCTGAAGCCTTCTTCTCTCAACTCATCAAAGTCATTCTCCATCCAGCTTTGTTCCATTGCTGGTGAGGAACTGCGTTCCTTTGGAGGAGGAGAGGCGCTCTGCTTTTTAGAGTTTCCAGTTTTTCTGCTCTGTTTTTTCCCCACTTTTGTGGTTTTATCTACTTTTGGTCTTTGATGATGGTGATGTACAGATGGGTTTTTGGTGTGGATGTCCTTTCTGTTTGTTAGTTTTCTTTCTAACAGACAGGACCCTCAGCTGCAGGTCTGTTGGAGTTTGCTAGAGGTCCACTCCAGACCCTGTTTGCCTGGGTATCAGCAGCTGTGGCTGCAGAACAGCAGATTTTCATGAACCGCAAATGCTGCTGTCTGATTGTTCCTCTGGAAGTTTTGTCTCAGAGGAGTACCTGGCTGTGTGAGGTGTCAGTCTGCCCCTACTGGGGAGTGCCTCCCAGTTAGGCTGCTCGGGGGTCAGGGGTGAGGGACCCACTTGAGGAGGCAGTCTGCCCGTTCTTAGATCTCCAGCTGTGTGCTGGGAGAGCCACTGCTCTCTTCAAAGCTGTCAGACAGGGACATTTAAGTCTGCAGAGGTTACTGCTGTCTTTTGTTTGTCTGTGCCCTGCCCCCAGAGGTGGAGCCTACAGAGGCAGGCAGGCCTCCTTGAGCTGTGGTGGGCTCCACCCAGTTGGAGCTTCCCGGCTGCTTTGATTACCTAAGCAAGCCTGGGCAATGGCAGGCGCCCCTCCCCTAGCCTCGCTGCTGCCTTGCAGTTTGATCCCAGACTGCTGTGCTAGCAATCAGCGAGACTCCGTGGGTGTAGGACCCTCCGAGCCAGGTGCGGGATATAATCCCCTGGTGTGCCGTTTTTTAAGCCCGTTGGAAAAGCGCAGTATTAGGGTGGGAGTGACCCAATTTTCCAGGTGCTGTCTGTCACCCCTTTGTTTGACTAGGAAAGGGAACTCCCTGACCCCTTGCGCTTCCCGAGTGAGGCAATGCCTCGCCCTCCTTCAGCTCACGCACGGTGCACTGCACCCACTGTCCTGCGCCCACTCTCTGGCACTCCCTAGTGAGATGAACCCGGTACCTAAGATGGAAATGCAGAAATCACTCGTCTTCTGCATGGCTCATGCTGGGAGCTGTAGACCGGAGCTGTTCCTATTTGGCCATCTTGGCTGCCCCCCAGTTTCTTTATGAGACTTCTGGAAACTTCTTATTTAGTCCATTTATCTTAAAGTTTTTTGAAACCTGTATTTAACAGTAGTTGTTAGAGTCTTTTCCATGAATCCAGTTGCAGGTCTCTTTAGAAAAAATTCAAAACATTAACTATAGATTACAAAAGCTTAGAATAATTATGGTTAAAAATCTGATGGAAGTTTACCATAACCAGAAATTGATAAGAAAATGTGGTCATTTTTTTGGCATGCAACATAATAACTGGAATTATGGCTGATGACATACTAGATTTCTAAAATATAATTTTGGAACTATTTGAATTTTGAAACATTCATATTAATAACATATTCATAAACATAAATGAAAGAAAATCCAGTAGCACCTGTCATTTGAAGTATTTCTCATGTAATTTACCAAATAAGCCTACTCATTTAATATCTCTACAAAATAAGAGATACATCCTTTGAGGCCCTTGAAGGGCCCAACTGGAAAGATCCCAAAGTCAATTTTAGGTCAAAAATACCTAATTTAGAATCTTAATTCCAAGAAAGCCTGCCAAATATGTCACAATGTTCAAAACACTGATAAAAACAAAATGACAGGTCACTGTGAAATAATAGTTATTTATTTAACCAGAGTGATAGTCAGAAAATGTAAAGAAAGCTACTTGACTGTAATAGCCTTAACCCTTTCAAATCTCAGTTTTCCTACATGATCAGTAAAATCTAATAAAGATAACACAGGAAAATATCTTGATAAATATAAAATATTTTGAGTTTTATTTAGGCCAATTAAAAAGGTTAAAAAAAACAAACCTTCTGCAGTGTGATTGCTTTCTCTTAGGAAAAGCCCATTTAGATAACCTGTAAGTCAAACATGATTGAAAAGTCCTTGGATTCAATCAGGCACATACAGAGTGTGTGTCCAAGGTTATGAGTGTATACCACATTAAAGAGGAATATAAACAAGAAAACTAGTACCTTGAGCAGGAGAATACATAGCTTTAGTAACAGCATGGGAAGTGTTCTCATTACATAGAACAATTCAGACACATCAAGAAAAGTCAAGACTACAGAATCAAGTTATACTGGAGGAAAACATTGTTTTTCTAGGCCTTAAGGACAGAACATTTTATTGACAGTTAAGACATCAGAGTTAGAACCAGAGGAAAGGGTTACAAAACTGATGAGAAAGTTCAAAGGGAGAGTTATTATCCTGCCAAGCAAAACGATTTAACTTCTGAAAAGGAGAAAGAGCTGAAGGCAATGATGTACAACCTGCAAATGATGTGCAAGATACGGCAAAAGTCAAACTTCTGAGATATGAATCTGAGAAACTTCAAAAGTAAAACTACTTCAAGAAATGAAGTTACCATTCCAAATGGAGAAGACAGCATTTCCAACCTGAAACTGGGGGAATAAACAGATCGCAGGGAGAAATGTGGCAGAAATAAAAAATGTCTACAATTTAGAAGACGGCTGTTGAAGAAACAAATTTCAAAATTAAATCAAAACCTCTTACAATTTTACTAAGAACATATCAATACTTCAAGGAAAATTTATTGTTGTAACTTTAGGGAAACAAATTTTTAGTTTTGTATCCATGTATTTTTAAGATTAATGATCGATCTTTTAAAAGACAAATAGTTTCCTTCTGATTGTAGCCCATTTGATTACACATAAAATTCCTTTCACAAATTCATTCTTAATGAACCTTTTACAGCCTGCATAGATCTTCAACAACATACTTATACATTCTGATTTGTCCTATACTTACTCTTAAATAACCACACTAGATTCTTTTTCATACAAAATTATTTCTTTTCTGTTTAACTTTTCTTACCAAACATACATCTTCATATTCATAACATCTTCACATCTCTCTCTTCTACTTATTGGTTCCTTTCTTTTTATTTCCTTTCTAAATCCATGTTTTGAAACAACCTTGTAATAAGATCAGACAAATAAAATTAGTTTTTTCAATAGAGAACACATTTTAATGCCTTTCTTATGCCCCTACATGGCACACAAGGCAATTTTTATGCCAGACAGAGATACCTTATATTATCGCTCTGGACTTAAAATTTTGACCTCTTTGATCTGAAATTATAACTTTTATAAACATTTATCCAGTTATTTTTCTTTTAAAATATTAACCTTTCAATTAATTGTTCCATCACGCTAAGCAATTGTTAGCCAGGAAAACCTAAATTTACCTTAAAAGAGATGACTGAGATGTCTAGGTTGATAGTTGCCATAGAGCTATTGTAAATTATAAAGCCACAATTAAAAGCCCTTTAAGACTTTTTTTTTTCTATTTTGGCTGCAGTGCCATAAAGCAGCGAATTTTATCTGGACACCTGAAGATGTATCAGCAGATTCAAAAGATTCAAAGTAGAAAGAAAAAATAGAGAAACAGAGAATGTAGAAGATTTTACATGTTAACTCTATATTTGCAGGGGTTTTTTTGTTGTTGTTTTGTTTTGTTTTGTTTTGTTTCTGACGGAGTCTTGCTCTGTCATCGAGGCTGGAGTGCAGTGGCGTGATCTCGGGTCACTACAACCTCGGCCTCCCAGGTTGAAGTGATTATCCTGCCTCAGGCTCCCAAGTAGCTGAGATTATAGGTGCGTGCCACCATGCCCTGCTAATTTTTTGTATTTTTAGTAGAGATGGGGTTTCACCATGTTAGCCAGGATGGTCTTGATCTCCTGACCTCGTGATCCACCCACCTTGGGCTCCCAAAGTGCTGGGATTACAGGAGTGAGCCACCAAGCCCAGCCTGCAGGGATTTTTAAAAAGAGATTTAAGTTATGACCATCTGGTCTCTAAATTTTTCTTGTTGTAATTTGCCCATCAGTTTAAAAATGAGCATAATAATGAGGAATGGGCTATATTATAGTCAGCTGGAGTCCCAGAAACCCTGGTAAACCTTAATGTTTGAGAAGTCCATTTAAGTTCTTATTAAGCTCTCAAAAGCAAAGAAAACCCCAAAATCCTGTAACAGAATGTCAGGAGTTTACACCAGTGTTTTAGATGATGGTGATTTCCCTAGTGGCTTTTAGTTAGCCATTCTGTACCCACCATTTGTAATGTTTAGCTTTGCTCTTGGAAGATTTTTAGAAACAAACAAGAAAAAGAGACAAATTATTTACAGATATATGTAAACAAATCAAAATAAAACCAAAATCAGAGTGCTCACAAAAATTTTAACCCAGGTGTGTAGATCAAACAAAATATTAAATTAAGCATGCAGAAAAGAGCAAAACTAAATTAACCAGAAAAGAATGTGTTACAGAGAGGACATATATTCTGTAGAAACCAGAGTATTCAAACTAGAGGAACACTTGTCTTTATGCCAGAAAGGACTTGCCAGAAGAGACTTTTTATCTTTTATCACCCCAGGAAGGATATAAAGTCCTGTATCAAAGACTGTCTTATAACCAAACCAAATCCCAAAATAGTTAAAAACAAAACAAACAAAAACAAAAAACCACCTCTACCAAAAAGAAGGAGGCTCAGCCTGAGGAAAGATTCACCAGGAGAGAAATGGCAAGCCATGAAAGCAGAGAGCTCAGAGGGCTCAAGTGAGTATTGTACACTAAATCCAAGAATTGCCAATTCCTTTCCAAAGTGATTATGCTTCAGGTCTTGCTTCTGGATACCATTTATGTCAACCTAAATAATAAATAGGGGAGCTCTCTAAAAGAAAACAATATTTATTCAGAAATAGGGCATCATACTGGGAATATACACAGGCCATAGTAAACTATGCACATATTTAGGGAGATAAAGAAAGACAAAGGTTTTTAAAGAAAAAATGAAGAGGTTTACATAATTGTTTTGAGATAATTATCCTTGGCTATGGTGCCAGTCAGAGGTTGGACAGGCAGATGCTGGACAGATGTCCTTGCAGAAGTATTTTTTGTGTAAGGTTGCAATGGCCTTTGTGTAAGGCTATGGTTTTTGTAGTCTTTTGTGATAGTTAGTTATTGTTATCAGGCAATTATGCATGACAATTCTCCCTTCATGACCTTCCCCAGCTCTATTTGTCAGGGATTTTTTTTTTCAAACACAGTATTTACTCTAACAACTTTCACATATCTTTTTTTCCGACTCTGACCCTTATGCCCTCTGCCTCTAGAAATTGTAGTTATTACACTGGGCCTACTCAGATAACCCAAGGCAATTTTTCATCTCAAGATCCTTTACTTAATTATATCTGAAAAGTCCTTTTTGACATATAATGTAGTATTTTCAGGTTCTGGGTACTAAGACATAGACATTATCGGGGGTTGTCATTCTGCCTACCACAAGCTCTCTTACTGGACTTGATTGAAGAGCAGCGTTGTTCAATAGAACTTTCTCTAGTGATAGATATATTCCATATCTTCTCTGTCCAATACAGTAATGCCATCCATATGGGTATTGATTATTTGAACTATGGCTAGTATAACTAAAAACAATAATTTTATTCAATATAATTAATTTACATTTCCGTTTAATAGCCATACGTAGCTCATGAATGTCATATTGGACAGTGCAGTTAGAGCAAACTAACAAGTAATTCTAACAAGTAATTCTCTCTGAAAGTTTTGGAGGTGACTAGGAGGCAGAAAGCAGGACTCAAAAAGGACTTATAATTTATTTGCATTTTTATGCCTTTACAATGAAAATACACTAATAGGTATTTTAAAAGTTCATTTACTTAAAAGAATACTTTTAGTTGGATAGGAAAGGAATAATTTTATTTATCCCTCTAATGAAGCTACACTTTATCTTATTTGATCTTAATAAAAGTATATTGGTAGGGCTGGGATGAACGTTATACTTTCTATTTTACACAAAAGGAAATCATCAGAGAGTTTGAGAGGCCCAAAGTTTGAGAGGCCCAACTTTTCCACAGCTTATGTGGAAAAGTTAAGGCCTTAACCCAAGTGTTTTAATTTTTCAATATATTACACTATCTTTAAGTGGAAGAGAAGCATCTGAATTTTGCTAAATTGCTTTCTTTTAAAAACTTTATTTTTATGGACTTTCATCCTCATTTATTAAAGAGTCACAGGGTATAATATTGAAAAACTTTAGCAAAACCTAAAATTTCAAACTGTTCTCCTTTTCTTTTATCATTTTTCAGTAATTTAAGTTCCTTTGATTCAAAGGGTTAAAAATCACAAGGCAGCCATTGGAACCCTAGCACACACAGGAAGAATCTTCTCTCCTAACTGGAGGTGACTTGAGAGATCTGATAGCTCCTAACTCCAAATCAAATGGAACAAAAGAGAGATCCCATAAATAAATTCATGCACTCACATTCAACTGATTTTCAACATAGGTGCCAAGAACACAAAATGGAAAAAGACAATCCTGTCAAGAAATGGTGCTGGAAAAATTGGATTTCCACATGCAAAAGAATGAAAATAGCCTCCTATCTCTCACCATATAACAAAAATCAGCTCAAAGTGGATTAAATACTTAAATGTGAAACCCAAAACTATGAAACTACTAGAAGAAAATATAAGGAAAATGTTTTACAATGTTGGGCTGGCTGAGGATTTTAAAATAAGACCTCAATTCACAGTAAACAAAAATAGACAAATTAGACTACATCAAACTAGAAAGCTTTTGCACAACAAAGGAAACAATTAGCAGAGTGAAGATACAACCTATGGAATGGGAGAAAATATTTCCAAACTGTAGATCCAACAAGAGGTAATATCAAAATATATCAGGAACTTAAACAACTAACAGCAACACAAAACAAAACCCACCAAATAACCCAATTTTTTAAATGGGCAAAACACCTTAATAGGTCTTTCTGAAAAGAAGATATTCAAATAGCCAACAGGTAAATGAAAAAATGCTCACCATCACTAATCATGAGAGAAATGCAAATCAAAACTACATGAGATACTACCTCAATCCAGTTAGAATGGCCATTATCAAAAAGAGAAAAGAACAAGGTTGTTGGTGATGATGATCTGTGAAAAGGGAACACTTACATACTGTTTGTGGGATTGTACGTTAGTAAAAGCACTATGTAAATGGTATGGAAGCTCCCTTAAAAGCTAAAAATATAACTACCTTATGAACCAGCAATCCCACTACTGGGTATATAGCCAAAGGAAATGAAATCAATAAGTCAAAGAAATATCTGCATTCCCATGTTTATTACAGCAGTTTTTACAATAGCTAAGGTGTGGAATCCAGCTAAGTGTCCAATAATGAATAAAAGGATAAAAAATATATGATATATATTCACAATGGAATATTATTCAGCCATAAAAAGAATGAAATCCTATCATTTGTGACAACATGGATGGTCCTGGAGGACATAACATTAAATGAAATAAGCCAGACACAGAAGGAAAAACAAATACCACATAATATCATATGTGGAATCTTAAAAAAAAAAGAAGAGTAGTTGATATCACAGAAACAGAGAGTAGAACAGTGTTTACCAGAGACCAGGGAGAAGGGAGAGAGAGGAGAAAGGCGGACGGGAAGAGATTGGTCAAAAGGTATAAAGTTATAATTAAATAGGAAGAATCACTTCTGGTGTTCTATTGTATAGTAGGGTGATGATGGCTAACAGTGAAATATTTTATACTATGAAATAGCTAAAAGAGAAGCTTTTGAATGTCCTCATCACAAAAAAAGGATAAATTCATGAGGTGATGCTCATGCTATACATCCCAAACTGATCATTTTACAACATATGTGTATAAAACATCAAATAGTACTTCTCAAATATGTAGAATTACAACATGTCAAGAAAAAAAAGCAATCAAACACCATTGACAAAGGAGAGATCATAATAGCATTTAGAGAAAATAAACTGAGAAAATAATTCTTTATAGTAACAATAGACATCAAAAGACAGTGGAATAAAAACTTAATCTGCTGAAAATTAACAACATTCAACTTGGGATTTTATAACCAAACCATCCTTCAGAAGTGAAGGCAATATAAAAGACATTTTCAGACAAACAGAAGTAATCATTACCATCAATAGCCTTGACAGAAAGAATGTCTAAAGTATGGCCTTCATGAAGAAAATGTTAAAACAATAAAGAAGAAATTATATGTAAAAAGTAATACACAGCAAATAAACCTAAACCAACATTGATTCTCCAAAATAATAATGCTATTCAATTTGGAGAAATTTGAGAGAGTTAAATCCTAGACAATAATCACATATGAGATAGGAGGAAAGAATCATAATAAAATAGTGTGATGTTCTTCTATCAAGGGAAGGAAAGTAGAACTATTGGATGACTTTATATTTTATTAATTATATATACTAAAATATTAAGTAAATTTAGAAAAGAAGAGGAAGAGAAGATATAGCTTCCAGTAAAAAAAAAGAAATGCAGAAAAGAGCAGAATTAGCCAAAGTGAGAAAGTACACATAGCAACATTATGCTCACGAGTATGAGATAACAGAACAAAATATCTGAAGGAGAATTGAAAAAATCAGCATTTCTTTATTTTAAGATAATTTTTGACTTCCAGAAAAATTACAAAAATAATGTAGGGAGTTTATGCATATCTTTTACCCCATTTCCCATAATGTTCACAACTTACATAACCATAATACAATGGTCAAAACCAGGAAACTGAATGATGCAATACTGTTATTGTACCTTATGCAAGAAAAATTGATATCTTAAAATAATCAAATACATAAAATCCAAAGGCAGAATTATTAAATTAAAAATAGACTTAGGGAAATTATCTAGAACTTGGAACAGAGAATAAAAGCATGGAAACTACTAAAAAGAAATTAAGAGAAGTTGGGGATAGAATTAGAATGTCCAACATGAACTGAAGCTGAGTTCCAAATGGAAAGAACAGAAAGAACAAAGGAGAGGCAATACTTTTTTAAGTGGTTTAGAATTTTCCAGGGTCAACAGAAGATATAAAATCTCAGATTCCTAAAGTACAAGCAGGAAAAAGAAATTAATTTACAACATAGGCATCATAGAAGAATTGCAGAAATGTGAAAAAGAGGAGAGATCTTAAGAGGAGTAAGATGAAAGAGAAGTTCTTGAAATTTTTTATAAATATAACATTCACATAAAAACTACATAAAGACAATTGAAGGAAGAAATATTATAGGGTTTTACTTATAAACTAGATAAAAATTATAAATAAAAATCTTAGCAAAAAGATAAATCAGTAATATATTAAGAAATACATTTAACCCAGGAATGCAAGGATGATTAACTTTGGAAAAGCTATTAGTATGATTCACCACAATAACACATTAAAAGATAAAAACCAATATTTCAATAGAATTAGAACAGTTTTGATAAAATTTGTTACACATTTATAACTTAAGAAAACTACTAGCAAACTAGGAATAGAAGAGAACTTCCTTGTCTGATAAATTTTGTCTGTCAAAACTCACTGCAGATACCAAACTCAATTTTGAAACAATACAAGCATTCCTTTTTTTTTTTTTTTTTTTTTTTTTTTTTTTTTTTTTTGAGACGGAGTCTCGCTCTGTCGCCCAGGCTGGAGTGCAGTGGCGCGATCTCGGCTCACTGCAAGCTCCGCCTCCCGGGTTCACGCCATTCTCCTGCCTCAGCCTCCCAAGTAGCTGGGACTACAGGCGCCCGCCACCACGCCCGGCTAATTTTTTGTATTTTTAGTAGAGACGGGGTTTCACCGTTTTAGCCGGGATGGTCTCGATCTTCTGACCTCGTGATCCGCCCGCCTCGGCCTCCCAAAGTGCTGGGATTACAGGCGTGAGCCACCGCGCCCGGCCGCATTCCTTTATAATTCAGAAGAAGGTGGGGATATAGACAGTCACTGCTTCTAGTCAATATCACATTGGAAGATCTTCAAGTAAACTAAGGCAAAAGAGAGTTATAGAAGATAAAGAGCAAAAGCAAGAAAAAAGAAAAAAATAAAGAAAAACTTGTCATTCTTTTTAGAAAATAGTATTGCGAAAATAATTTCAGTGAGTAAAAGAAAGAGGTTGGCAATTTTGTTTGATATTAGCTCAGTACACAAAATGAAGAGTATACTTTATATTTTAGCAGCAAACAGAAAAATGTACTTTAAATGTACTTTTTTATTTTTGAATGTACATTTAAACTTTAAATGTACTACAATAGTAACACAAACTATATATTTTCTGATAATAAATCTAATAAAGGAAATACAACAACCTTTGTGGAGCAGATAGTAAAACATTACTCAGAGACATATAAAAGTCTTAAATACAATAGCATGTTTATGGATAATAACTATAAATAATATAAACATGACAATTTTAACCAAAATTAATTTATAAACTCAATGCAATTTCAACTCACAGGATTTTTGTGGAACTTGACAAGCAGATCCAAAAATTTATATGGAACAGTAAAGGGACAAGCATAGAAACTGGATTGAAAAATAAACATATTAAAATATCCTTAAAATCATGGGAATGTAATTTAGGTAACAGTGGGATAAATTTCTGAATCATTAGTTAGACAATAACTAAATTTTGTGAGATGTCAGGAAAGATGAATCATTCATACATTTCTGGAGGAATTGTAAAAAAGCAAAATGTGATATACATACTGTGGTAAACAGAAATTATTCCTATGAATGTCTGTCCCTGACAAACTTTCACACACATGCACAAAGAAATATGTACAAGGATTGCCGCTGAGCATTCTTTGCAACAGAGAAACTTAAGAAAATACAATTGACTCCCATTAGCTGGCTTGCTCATGCAGCGGAATAATGTTATGTAGCTGTGCAAATGATTGACATAAGTCTGCATGCATTAATATGGTTAAATTTTAAAAATATAACATTGGATAAAAATTAAATCTGCAGAAACCTACGTGCAGTATGGTAACACTGATTTCAAATGTAAAAAGTTCAAATGTAAAAAAGCAGTATAGGTTTGCCTGTATAGTAAGCATAAATAGCAAACACTGGAATGACACATACCAACTTGAGCGTAGTGGTTGCCTCTGGAACGGAAGGGAAAGATAGGTGATAGGGCTTTAGATGTTACTGGTTCTTACAAGCAACAAACAATATACTCAAAGAGACTGTAATAAGTACGAAAATATACAAAGAGCTATATAATCTCAGTGGGGAGACCATATTTTTGGTACATTTAAAATATTTCATGATTAAATGTTTAAAATTAATAAATGTGCATAAAGCTGTATATACATTTTTATTGCAACATTGATTACAACTGCAAAAAAAATCAACCTGAATATCCAAAAATAGGAAAGTGGATAATTACGTTATAGTACGTCATACCCAGGATTACTATTATAGAATAGTGTAAACCTGTAAGAATGTGTGTCCTATAGAGTCAATTAATGACCCCAATTCTTTGTCCCCTCTCAAGGGCAGGGCATTTTCCCATGCTTTGACTCTGGGCTTGACTATATGACTTGCATTAGTCAAACAGAATGTTATCAAACATGGCACAACCAAAGGTTTCAAAAGTTCTTGGGCAGAGGAACTCGTTGTCTTGCTGCTCTTGCTCCTTTGCCATAACCAGAACACGCCCAGGCTACCATGCTAAAATGTGAAGAGCACATGGAGGAGAGCTGAGTTGTCACTATGTTGACCATCCTACACCAACCAGCCCCCTCCATCACCCAGCTGACTACAGAGAGACACATGGGACAGCCCAGAGGAGATCTGTGGAGCTAAACCTAAATCAACAAAAATGCCAAGACAATCATAGACTTCCAAGACAAAAATCAGTTGTTTCAATCCTTTTACCAAAACAGTATATTAGTAAGGATAATTCTGATTAGAAAATGATGTGATAGAATGTTTAAAATGCCATTACCTAATCAGAATTTTTCCTAACAATTTATCTTTTTGAAAATTGAACTGAAACAGCACACCTCACCATTACTCCCCCCTAAATATTTCTTTCCTTATTTGGCTCTCTCAAGAATTGAATTTGTATACAGTACTCCAGATTACATTCAGTATCAAATTTACCCTTGCTAAGAGTATAGAGTTAGAATACCTCAGCTTATAACAGAAACAAATTTCTGTAAGGACTACTTACTTCCAGAATATAATGTTTTAACCAGGAACTAAAGATAATTATTAACAGAGTATTACATCTAAAAGTGTTTCTTTTTCAAATCAAAAATATAAATAAATCATACAATTGTAGAAACATAAAATCGAAAGAATCCACAAGAGATGCTAACGCTGGGTCAATAAGCAAAAATTTAAAATCAGCATTCATTTTAAGATACAAATTAATATGTGCATCTCTTATTGATGTTTTCTCTCATTTTATGAAAATACTATGCTATCTAGAGGAACTGGAATCATGATTTGTTTCCCAAACTACTGCAAAGCAGGTACTTTCTTAACAAACGAATAGCAGACATGTTTTTCTGTTTAGGTAAATGTTAATAATCACAGCTGCTTTAGTAATTCAGTTATTCAGCAAAGACATTGTAAACTACTTGAAAAGGAACCATCTGGCTTGCAGTTGTAACACTGAAACCAATTAAAGCATTCAAATGACATTTTGTTTTTCATTTTAATCTGTAAAAATACATTTTGCAAGTTCCAATTAGGGGTTGATTTTTCTCTATTGCTTTTATAATATGAGTCTGACTCAAATAATTTTTAAGTTCAATAAAGCCATTCCTATAATTGATGTTATATGGAACACCAGAGGATTTAAATAATAAAAAAATATAAAATATACATACACTGATATACATAGACACAAATAGTCTAGTACACAAAATTTCCATGTGTCAAACTGATAATAGGGGAAAATGTCCACCATTTTGCAAGAATTCGTTAGTTAGGAATACCCTAAGAACCTCATAATCTAGTTAAGGAACTGTATCCACTAAAGAACAAACAGCTAAATCACAGAACTCAAAGGTTGTAATCAGAAAGTACTTTTTTTCACCCACTTTTCCTTTCAATTTATTCAGCAGTCTGAGCTCTTCTCTTTGACCTTGGAATAAAGCACAGGTAGCCCCATGACTGCTCTCAGTTTTCAACAAGAAAAAGTACTAGAATCACTGTGGGTTTCAAAGCTTCAAATGTTAAGTCTCAGGTAATTATCAAAGCATCCAACTCCATTCAAAATTAGATCTATTCTTGGTTCCCCAGGTGGAGCCTGTAGGTGTCAATGAAAAGAGTCAAACTCTGTAAAATATTTGAAGAGATTTATTCTGAGCCAAATATGAGGGACCACTACCTGTGACACAGCCCCAGGAGACCTTAAGAACATGTGTCCAAGGTGGTCAGGCTATAACTTGGTTTAAACATTTTAGGGAGACATAAGACATCAATAAATACATGTAAAATGTGCATTGCTTCTACCCAGAGAGGTGGGACAACTTGAAGTGGGAGTGGTGGGGAGCTTCCAGGTCATAGGTGGATTCAAATATTTTCTGATTGACAGTTGGTTGAGTTATTATCTAAAGACCTGGAATCAACAGAAAGGAATGCTTCAGAGCTCTTACCAGACCTAAAAAGATGCCAGACTCTTAGTTAATTATCTCCTGGATAAGGGAAAAGACCTGGAAAGAGAAGGGGATTCTCTACAGAACGTACAGTTTCCCTGTAAGAACAACTTTTTAGGGACATTTCAAAATATGTCAAAGAAATATACTTTGGGATAAAATACCTCCATTTCTTTCAGGGCCTGCTGTCTGTTATGTGATGCTATACTAGAGTTAGGTTGGGATTTGGTGTCTTGTTGCTACAAAATGTCTGTTTTATCAGTCTAAAAATCTCTGTTTTATTGTTAATGTTGGTGAGTTGCACCTGAATTCCTAAGGGAGGAGGGTATAATGAGGCATGTCTAACCCCTGCTTCCCATCATGGCCTAAACTAGCTTTTCAGGTTAACTTTTGAATGGCCTTGCGTGATAGAGGAGTCCATCAGTCAGTTGGGGGGCTTAGAATTTTATTTTTGGTTTACATAGGCCTGTTGTAAGTAAGAGGCCAATAAAGGAGGGGAGGTACGTTTTTATATTTTTTTCTCTCTTGCACTTTCCTTTAAACCTTCACTCCTGCACCACCATCTTGCTAACTGTGGTTTTGAACCTTTCCTCCAGTGTCAGAGGAGGGAAGAGGGATGACTGGGGGCAGGAAGTTTTTATTAAATACTTGACCACTACTATCTTAAGTTGCCTTGTGTGTTTTAAGGGCTGGCAAATGTTGAAAGTTAGCACTTTCTCTTCTAGGAAATTTTTGTATATTTTTTGGAATGTCCCATTCCAGGTGCTCTCTGACGTGCAGTAACATTGACTAGGGTGAAGGCATGGCATTTCAGTGGTTGCTCACTTCTCCTGCTGTAAGGGATCTGGTGCTTCACCTCTAACTTCACCTGAGACTCCCTTGCCATCTGTGGACCTGCATTCACAGTATCTTATAAAGCATCTATGTCAAATCCCTCTCTTGGCCATATGTGATGTACAGGAAACACTCAGGCATCCTTGACCTCCACAATATCTGGGGCAATGGGACAACCCCAGTAGCAAAGCTTCATTCTACCTCCATGCAGCTAGCCACTCCACTGTTTTCTGTACTTCTCTGGGACTCCCTAACTGTGGGCCATTGCTCAGCCTCTCAGAGGAATTGGTTAGAAATCCTCTGCCTTGACTTAAGATGAAGAGGCAATCATGGGTTTGTTCAAAAAATCCTCTTTACAAATCTTTCCTCACCCTCTACTCTCTTTGCTGTTTATATTCCCAATGAGACGGTTTTTTAGTCAAGGGTTTTTAGTCAAAGGGATTTTTAGTCAAGAAGCCCATTCACAGACATTTCCTTTGAAAATTTTCATTTTGGTCTTGCATCTCACTTTAGAATTTCACAACCCATTACATTCTAATATTTCAATTAAATTTTCACTTTGGTATCTGGCCTTAATAGTAGTTTTTTTTTCCATAATGATCCTTAGCCAGAGCACATTTAAATTATGTACAGAGAAAATATTTCCATCTTTAAAACAATAGTAGCATTACAAATATTTAGCACCTCATATAAATCAGCTCTCTATATTCTCTATAATGTTACAGAATGGAGTACTAATAAAATAAAATAATTAGTTTCTCTTTGTAGTGGCTATTGCCATTGTTGGTCTGGCCTAGTCACCCTCCTTTGAAAAACAGTTCCACATCTTGACAGTAGGTGGAATCATGTGACCCAGGCTGTACCACTCAAAGAATGCTTTAGTCCTGGGCACAGGAATTGGTTCAGGAATAGGTCTATGCTTCCAGGTGAGTCAATTCATATTCTTCCCTATGATTTTTCTGCTAGAGATGATAAAATACTATCTTTTCTCCCTGATTATGAAGCTGAAAGCATGAGACCCTAGAACTTCCAGCAGCTATGTCCCTGACACCCAGAAAGAAGCACTATTAGAGGTTGAGAGTCTGAAACCCCTAAGGCTGTCCTAGTGCCTCATATCTTCCTTTATGTGGTCAACTCCAGCATCTCCCCTATGAATCTTATTTTTCACTTGAGTTAATTTAAAAGCTGTTTCTATAATTTTCAATCAAACATGAATGGGCTCTTGATTTTTTAATTCTCAAAAGGTATATCGTACCTAAGATCATAAAATGTTTTAAACCCAAATAAACAAAAGTAAGCCTAACTTTAATAGCAACTATAGCATTGATATTAAAAGTAGCTGTAATCCTTCTAAAGACATGAACAAAGAATAAAAGAAGACATTCTACTATTTAAAATTCAAGGGAATAAATTGACAGTAGTAATAAAAAAGATAAGCATATCTTTTCAATTCCCTGATTTTGTGACAACTAAGTGTTTTAACTCCTGGTTCTTTTAGATGCTTTGGTGGGACTAAAGACAAATGTAGCGAGTTCAAAATAGACTAATTAATGGTGAATGAGGACATTGCTTTCAAGTACAGAATACACATAGTAGGAAGATGAAAATGTAAATTTCTTTTCTCAACAAAAGCAAAAGAGAATATATAGAAAGCACTAATTTTTAAAGAATACTTAAAGTGGCAGGAAAATTAACACATCATACGTGCCTTGCCTAGATCCAAACATTCCAAAATATACATGTTTGCTTTTATCTATTTATCACCTCATTGAAAAATGACTTTAAGTAGCAAGAGAGTATTTGGACGCCTGCCTTCCAACAGTTTGAATACCCCATTCAAAGAGTCTCCAAAATACATAAGACACCTTGTGCTCATATCATCTTATCATCTCCATTATTATTTACTTTCAGTTTCAGATACTTTTTATAGAAAGCATAAAGGTGAAATCTATTTATGATCTGTGCAGCAAACCGCCATGGCACACATTTACCTATATAACAAACCTGCACATCCCGCACATGTACCCCTGAACTTAAATGAAAACGTGAAGAAAAAAAGAATTTAGAAACATTTGTCACATAGGTAACATAGTTTCATATTTAAATAGCAAGCTGACCTGAATTATATTCTTCATTTTGTTACTGAGTGCAATTTAGAGTATGAGCGTATAAACAGGTTCATGTAGAATAAAGAAAGTCCATTGAATGAGTAACTTATCATTGATCTGCGGTTTCAAATAAATTTTAACTACGTTAAGAAATTCATTTACTAACTTGCTATCACATATTAATGTGTTTTTTTAATTTAACAAGTATATAATAAGAGGAAATTTTCCTCATCTTAAAAGAGTCTTATGATCAAATAGAAGCGATAACCAGGCAAATTCAGAACACACATTAAAATGTCATTATAGTTCTAATGGAAGTGTGTGTGAGTGTGTGTAGGCATGCATGCGCTTATGCACTTGTCTATGTAAGATGTAATCTAATTAAAGAGGACCTAAATTTACATAGGTATGTAAATTCCACAGAAATGGAATTGGGAAATTGAAGAAGAAAACTTCACAGAAGAAATAATATTTGATTTCAGAATTGAAGAATCAGCTGGAGTTTCCCAGGTAGCAAAGTGAGTATAAGGCATTCTATGCAAAGGGAATATAAGATACAAAAGCATGAAGATGTGAGAAAGCAAATGAAGTCAGTAACCAGGTAATTTAGTATGACTAAATCCTAAGGTGAATGTTAAATGGTAAAAGAATAGGCAATCAATAGCTATACTATGAAGTACAACATGTTTGGATTTTTCTCCTGTAGCTGTAAGAAGTGCATTTAAAGTCTTCTGGGTGGGGATATAATATAATCTAATTTTCAGAATTAAAAATTTATATTGGTGCATAAGTGACTTTAGTCACCATCCTACTTTTTAGGGGTCTATATAACTACTATATTTATATAGTTAAAGAACATAGGTGCTGGATTCAGATTGAAAGGGAGATAATTAAATATAATAAGTATTAAATACAGGCTGGGTGGAAGACGGTTGCCAGCTGGACCACTTGAAATCTATCTGAACTTCATAAAACACATAAGTCTTCTTAATAGGGACCCCCTGTTTCATAATGCATTAATTTTAAAAATTATATTTTAATGTTATTTATAAATAGTCTTGAAACACTAAATTTTCCAAATATACCTCTAAAATTAAAAAGATTATTAGACACACATTTTAAATGAGTTTATTTTTAAAAGTAAGAAAATAGCTTGCCAAAATTGTATCATTGTAAACTGGCTTTTCTTGTTAAATAGAGGGAAAGGTCATAAATCAAATATAATGATTTATATTTTAATTTATATTTATATTTTCTTTTTGTAAAGTAGACCATTCAGAACAGAAGTAACTTTGAACTACTCTATTGTCAAACATGTATCTATTACCTTTCATATGATTTTCATAATCCATATAGTTATCCCAGACAATTGCCAGAGCTATATGTATTTAAACAGTGTTTTGCTTCCTCTTAGCTTGAATTCTCCATCATTTTGATTGTCAAGTAAAGTTGAACTAGTGAATTTGGAACATCAAAATCTGATCTAGGATAACCATTGGTTACTGTGGTCAATCATGACTTTATGGTCTCTTTTACAGAAATGAGAAAAAAATTGCAGTAAAAGAGTATTTGTACAAATTATTCAAACAGTAGAAAAATTTAATCTCATGGCAATAGAAAATAATAGCTAACATAGTCTCTTCTTTGTAAAAGTCCTCAGTTTCTGCATTCATAGAAGTATAAAACATTTTCTTTTTAAAAAAAGATAGCACCACTACTTTTTTAAAGGCCATTTTTTGTGTTTTTTTCTGTTGTTGTTGTTTTTTGAGAGGGTGCCTTGCTCCGTCGCCCAGGCTGCAGTGCAGTGGCACCATCCTGGCCCACTGCAACCTCCGTCGCCCGAGTTCAAGCAATTCTCCTGCCTCAGTCTCCCAAGTAGCTGGGACTACAGGTGCTCACCACCACACCTGGCTAATTTTTGTATTTTTAGTAGAGACAGGGTTTTGCCATGTTGGCCAGGCTGATCTCGAACTCCTGACCTCAGGTGATCTGCCTCCCTCAGTCTCCCAAAGTGCTGGGATTACAGGCGTGAGCCACCATGCCCGGCCTTGAGGCCGCATTCTTAAAAGCATGCAAATATATGCAGCTTGTATGAAAATCACCATGTGATGTACCTATTTGGTCACATTGAATATTAAAGGTTGCAGGGTTAAGCAGAAGGCCAAAAAAGAGGTGAGTTGACCACGTCTTCCAGGACTTTGAACCACATTTTTGGCGTTAAAAACAAAAACAAATGTGTTATCCATTGCTATAGTACTTTGGTACCAATGTGTTTTATGCACAAGGGTCATATATTTGTATTTTTCTCTACTGTAATGGATTAAGGTTGAGTCCCATAGCACTATAGTATTTGTATTTACAAATAGAAACCACATTTATTCTGAATGCATTTGTAACTAAGTGTATAATTCACAGCTTTATCGCTTGTTTTATGAATCCATTTGACTTGGGACAGAAAAAAAATAATCAAGTCTATATATTTCAGGGCCTGGTCTTTATTTATGCAGAAACTGCTTATTTATTAACATTAAGCATCTCCCATTTGGTCTCAAAAAGACATATAGTTACGTGGAAACAGAGCAGCTTTCAGTTGATGATTGCACAACTACAGATGCTTTTTTCCAACACCATCACAGCTGAGGAGGTCCACCCAAATGAAAAACAGTACTGATGAAGTGAGAAACAGAAAAGCGGTACCATGCAAATGTTATTACATAATAAAATGCAGGCCAGCACACATTTTTTAAACCCTTTTTATTAAATTTATGTGAATCAAGAGGAAAGGGTGAAAAGTATATTTACTGATGATAAAAAATATTCTCTGGATAATTTCAGTCATCTCATTTAAAATATAGTCTTTAGAAGTTTCTAGTTTTCCCAGTA
The DNA here is from genome assembly GCF_000001405.40 of Homo sapiens. Taxonomy (NCBI): domain Eukaryota; kingdom Metazoa; phylum Chordata; class Mammalia; order Primates; family Hominidae; genus Homo; species Homo sapiens. The sequence continues at coordinate 126,308,297 of NC_000006.12, read as the reverse complement.
TCCTTTTCAGCTTACCATCGTCTACTCCAAAGTTAAGCTTTTTTGATAAAATGAAAAATAGAATTTACAGGTAGTATGTTCCTGAACAGGCAGCATTCAACATCAAGTGATATAACAAAACACTTAAATGAAAATTGGAAGACTGTCCTCACTAATACTAGTCTTAAAATATTTTCAGATGATTCATCTTAACCTGTTTTGACAGCCATGTTAGTGTGTGTGTCTCTCCTGCTCCACCGGGAACGATGCCAGCCATGCAATGCATGAAATCATGGGATGTGTTATGATGCTATCCCTGAAAGATTTCCAACCTAAGTTATACTTACAGCAATTATACTACAGGGAGGCTAGCACCCTGATGGATTCTTAAAATACATGCAGATGTGTTTTTTCTGAATATACAGTGCTAGAAATATTGCTTATCCTTCTGGAATGTACTAATATAGAGGCGGATACAAATATTAGACTAATTTTAAAACATACAAAAGTGAATTAAGCATAGTGATTTTTTGCTACCAAAAGTTTTTTCCTCCATTCTTTGTATATAAACATATGTGAGGGTATTTTTGTGTACACATATACACATATACATATGTATACACATATATAAAGTTTTGTCATCTATTTAATTGTTCTGGTTAAAGTAATCATCTCTAAGTATACTTCCTAGTATTCAATTTTCATTTTCACTGTCATTCATGAGCATTTATTATTTGCCAGTAAACTGTGCTGAATGTTTAACATAGATTATCTCATTTAATCCTTACAATGGGTTTATAAAGTAAGTATTCTTGTATCTGTTTCACCTATGAGGAAATTGTGCCTCTCAGAAATTGAGGCCTGTGTGAGACAACCAATTAGTTAGTAAGTGGGGAGGCCAGAATTTAAATTCAGGCTCTAGCTCTAAAGGCAATGCTCTTAACAAGTATTTCTTTCAAGTCAGCTAACCAATAAACTAACTCAATATATTAGCACAAAAGGAACATAAAAGTGATTCCAATTAAGTATGTTTTAATTTAAAATATCATAATAAATGAATAAAATATGCATCCTAACCAAAGGCAGTAGGAGGGAATTTATTGCTCTACTGAGTCTCCAGCCCAAGAGTCATACCAACATCCAAAAATATTTGCAAGAAATATAAATCTATCATAGGATCTGAGATATTTTGACACTTTACATTTATATAGCATTTCTGTAAATGTTCTTGATGATTTACACTCCTACAGCATTGCCATTTGCTTGGGTCAAATTTACCCAAGACTGCTTTGCATGCCGTTCATTCAAGAGACTGTGTCACATCTTTAATTTCTGTACAGTGAGTTCTACTCTTCTGGTATATATTTCCCCTTCTGCATTTTCTACTCTCTTCAGAGGTGTATCCAAAGATAGAAAAGATAGGAATGAAATGCAAAAGGCCTATTATCATAAGCTTCAGAGAAAGCATGATAATATATTAACACATTTTGTTATTTGACTTGGATTTACTGGTGATGTGAAACATTATTTCTAGCAAAGCCATTACGACTTCTTTTCCAAAGGGAGTACAAAGAAGACAAAGCTGGCATTTTTTTCGTTTTTTCTTTTTTTTTTTTTAGACGGAGTCTTGCCCTATCGCTAGGCTGGAGTGCAGGGGTGAGATCTCAGCTCACTGCAACCCCTGCCTCCCAGGTTCAAGCGATTCTCCTGCCTCAGCCTCCCTAGTAGCTGGGACTACAGGTACACACCACCATGCCCAGGTAATTTTTGTATTTTTAGTAGAGACAGGGTTTCACCATGTTAGCCAGGATGGTCTGGATATCTTGACCTTGTGATCCACCTGACTTGGCCTCCCAAAGTGCTAGGATTACAGGCGTGAGCCACCATGCCTGGCCAAAGCTGGCATTTTTAATATACCAGTCAGCCCTGAATATAGGCAAGTAATATTTGAAACCCTAATCTACTGGACTTGTGAAAATTCTCATAACTCCTTTTTATTAGACAGCAAAAGCAGGTATGGTCTCTACCCATGGTATATAAACCAGTAAAATAAAACATGCTTTGATGCTACAGTCAATAAGATTGTTTTTGATAGAAGTAAGATAGAGTCAGTCCCTTTTCTAAACTATGGAAAATTAATTAGATAGTACTGAACCTGTAAGTTCTTTTCTTCCTACCCACATGCCCCCTCCTCATACTAGCAGTGAACCTATATGAACTATAAGAGAGAGAAATAGTGCAAAGAAAATATGCAGTGCAAAGAAATAAAGAAGCCTTCTGGGACACTGAATGATATAGCAAATATTTTCCAGTCCAAGCGTTGGAGAAAAATAAAACTATGCTTAGTGTAATTTTGTATGGATTTTTTCTATAGTAACCTAGACAAAAATCATAGCTTTAGTCTCAAAAATACAAGTGAATGTCACTGATGTTAAACTCTAAGCAGTTGCTAATAAGGGGATTATGAATTATCTGCAGTCACCATAAAATCATGATAAAATAGTACTACCATTCTGACATTGTCTAGCCTGAGATATATTTCTGAAACTAAAAGAGAAAGAGTGCATGATTTGGAGCCAGGACAACAAAGGAAGAATGGAATCTAGATAAGAGTAGGACAGAGCTTTCCTATATCACATCTGAACAAGAGTCTCATTATTTCCTGGTAATAAGCCATCAAAATTACAAGAGCATATACCTTAATTATGTATACATATTGATATCCACTGAAGCATCTTTGTAATAACCAAAGATTGGAAACAACCCAGATTTTCATTAAAGGGAAGTAGTTTCTAGGTGACTGTATATCCATGCAATAGAATACTATGTAGTTCTAAGAAATAATGAGAAATTTCTCTATACCCTAATAAGAAAAGCTTTCTAAGATCTATTAAATGAAAAAAAGCAAGTGCGTAACTATTTTATAAAATGCTATGTGTTTAGAAAGTGGAGCAAATTAGAATATATATTGATGTTTTCTGGTATTTGTATTTTGGAAACTCAGAAAGCTCACACTGGAAACTAATAAAAGTGCTTATTTGTGGAGAAAGAGTGGGAACTGGGAAGATGAAAGAGTACTTAGCACTTTTTAATATCTGGCTAATATGAATGTTATAATAATATCTGACTAATGTGAATGTTATATGTTTTAATTAAAAATAAAGTCAATAATGAAATTGAGCATTGCCTATAAATTGCCATTGAATTTTTGACAAAATTCAACACCCATTCATAATAAAACCATCAATAAGCTAGAAATAGAAGGAAAATTTTTCAACTAGATAAAGATTATCTAGAAACAACCTTACAACTAGTATATATTAATGGTGAAAAACTAAATGCTTCCCACCAAGATTAGGAACAAACCAAGGACATTCATTCTTACTCCTTTTATTAACATTGCACTGAAAGTCCTAATCAGGGAAATAAAACAAGAAAAAGAAATAAGACATGCAGATATTAAAGCAAGAGGTAAAACTGTCTTTACTCACAAATAAAATAATTGAGCACATCTTTCTTTCTTTCTTTCTTTTTTAGACGGTGTCTTGCTGTTGTCGGCCCGGACTAGAGTGCAATGGCGCGATCTCGGCTCACCGCAACCTCTGCCTCCCGTGTTCCAGCAATTCTCCTGCCTCAGCCTCCCGAGTAGCTGGGATTACAGGCGCCCGCCACCACGCCCTGCTATTTTTTGTATTTTTTAGTAGAGACGAGGTTTCACCATGTTGGCCAGGCTGGTCTCAAACTTCTGACCTCAGGTGATCCGCCAGCCTCGTCCTCCCAAAGTGCTGGGATTACAGGCGTGAGCCACCACGCCCAGCCTGAGCACATATTTTTAAGGAATCCACAACGAAAACTATGAGAACTAACAAGTGAATTTAGTAAGACTGTATAATACAAGCCCCATACAAATGTATAAGAACATATAAAATTAATTGTATGTATGTGTGCTATCAACAAACAATTGAAAATTCAAAACACTATTTGTAATCATAGCAAAATCTATAAAATGCTTAGGCATAATATTAACAAACTATGTGAAAAACCTGTCCTGAAAATTTCAAAACGCTGCTGAGAGAAATTAGAGAGCAAAATAAATAGATCAGCATATGATATGGTTTGGCTGTGTCCCCACTTGAATCTCATTTTGAATTGTAATCCCCTTGAAAAGAACGGGACCAGGTGGAGGTAATCAGATCATGGGGGGCGGTTCCCCATGCTGTTCTCGTGATAGTGAATGAGTCTCATGAGATCTGATGGTTTTATAAGCGTCTGGCATTTCCCCTGCTTGCGTTCACTCTATCCTGCCACCCTGTGAAGAAGGTGCCTGCTTCTCCTTTTCCTTCCGCCATGATTGTAAGTTTCCTGAGGCCTCCCCAGCAAAAAATGTGGAACTGTGAGTCAATTAATCCTCTTTTCTTTTAAATTATTCAGTCTTGGGTATTTCTTCATAGCAGAGTAAGAATGGACAAATACAGTAGACCATATATATAGATAGGAAGACTAGCTATTGTTAATATGTTAACGCTGCCCAAATTGGTTTATGGACTAGTTCAATATATTCTCAATGAAATATCAGCAGGCTTTTCATAAAAATTGATAAGTTGATTCTATAATTTTTATAAAAACATAAACAGACTAGCCAAAACAGTTTTGAAAAAGATGAACAAAGAAGATTTACAGTACGTCATTTTTAGACTCACTATAATGCAACAGTAATACAGACTGTGGTATAGATTTAAGATTAGATACATAGATCAAATAAACAGAACTTTGAAATCCAAAAATAAACCCATACACATGTATATATGTATATGAATTATATATATGATTTTAGATGTATATATAATTGTGTGTGTATGTGTATATATGTGGTCCATTGATTTTTGACAAAGATGCTAAGGAAGATCAATGGGGAAAGGGATAATCTTTTCAACAAATAATAACAGAACAATGGAATAGCCATATTTTAAAAAGAAAACTTGACCTGATCTCACATCGTATACAAGATTACTTTTCAGTCTATCATAGACCTAAATGTGACAGCTAAAACACATAACTTTTAGTACAAAGCGGGAGAAAAATCTTTGCTGTATTGCAAAAGGAAAGGATTTCTTAGATTGCACGCAAAAACCAGAATTATAAGATTAAAGAATGATAAATTCGACTTCATTGAAATTTAAGACTTCTGTTCTTTGAAAGACATGGCTAAAAATAAATAAAAAGCAAGCCACAGAATTAGAAAAATATGAAAGACTGATATCCAAAATCCATAAAGACCTCTTATAACTTAATACTAAGATGACAAATAACTAAAGTAATAATGTACAAAATATTTGAACAGGTATTTCAGAAAATAAGAAAAATAATCAACATTCACACAAAACAATACTCATCATCCTTATTTGTCAGTGTTGGCCTAGAGGTAGAGCTAGGCATTCTTGATTACAAAGAGGCAATTGAGAATTTAGATATGTTTTATGCCTTTAATTAGAAGAGCAGTTACACAGATATATAGACGTTTGTCAAAACCATCCAACTCTACACTTTAAATGTGTACATTTTATTTTATGTGACTTATACCTCAAAATTTGATTTTTGAAACAGAAAAAAGTATTAGAAAACAAGGGGACTAAATGTGAAGAAGATGAGGAGAAAGAGTGGCCAAGGAGGTATGAGAAAACCCAGGAGGATATGTACATTGGATACCTCTTGAGCCCTACATAAAATGCTCATGGCCATACCCTCTCACTTCTAACCTTCTCTCATGCATTGAACCAGCTTGGCACTAACAATTTTCCAGTCTGAAAGTATGAAGGAATTAATGTGCATGGAGCCATCTTTGACTAATAGAGTATGAGAGACAATTAACAAAGCAGTCAGTTTCAAAATGCATTGTGTATGGTTTCATAGGGATTACTAACTTAACAATGCACCCTGTGTTGGTTTTTCCTCCTTCCTTGTTTTACTCATCTGGTCCCTCACTTCCTTCCTAAGGTCATGTTACAATAAACTACCTCATGCATGCTTTTATTACACATTCTGCTTTTTTAAAATGTGGGCTAGAACACAATTGGAAAGCAAGTAATATGATCATGAAGATAGCTGAAAAGCATGTGCTTATTATGTCCTAGAAACCCTTTAAGATCTCCACATATATCAACTTATTTAAGTCTGATAACAACCCTATTTTATAGGTGAGAAAGCAGAGGCAGAAGAAAAATAAGTGATGAGTAGGAAAGTGGCTAACAATAACAAATGCTACTAAAAATTATGAAATTCAATGGATTTGGTAATCGAATATTATTGATAAACTTTATACAAGAAATTTCAGTGGCATAATAGTAATAGAATCCAGATTTGATGAGAATTTTTTTAAAATCTTAACTAATTAGTCTCCAGTTGTAAAGATATATAAATGTCATAACACTTGGAGGAATATTAAGAAATACTGTGTTGCATAAATTTAACAAAGCCTTCATATGCACTCAGATTCTAAACTTCTCTGAATCTCTTTAATACCGCTATTGAGAACTTGAGGATATGCAGTAAGGAAGATTCTTTTGGCACTTCCAAAGATATGAGTACTTTAATAAATAAAGCGAAAGAATAATGAAATGTGTTGTTAATCTAAGAGAAAAGGGAGGAGTGAATATGATAGCAATAAGAGGAAATGTAAAAATATTCAAGGCCAATTCTGATGACTTTCAAATGCAAGGCCAATTCTGATGACTTTCAAATGTGTCTTTATCATGAAGGAAATTTTGTATCCCAGTGTGAATTCACCAAAATAATGTGTTTAATATTTCAGTTTTCTTTGTGGCAATGCTGGGTTGTATACTATTATTTCTCTATGAATGCTAAATATAAAATAAGAAAAGTATGAACATTAAGTCCAACAAAGGACTATTGATTTGAGAAAATAAAAAAGCTCTAACATTTGTCATGCACATCCACAAGCCATATTATCTAAGTAAACTCTAAGACTTCAAATTATTGGTAAATGAACATGTGACATATCTATTATGAGTTTGCAAGGTCATGATTATTAATCATTTTTTCTGCATGTAAATCAATATGATGATAAGTTACAAACTTCAAAATGAAACAAATTCTGAACACCCAACTCAAAATCCTGGTCTCTAGTTTTGACTCTAATCAATGCAAAGTTTGGATTTGAGAGTTAGCCAGTATGTTCAAGTGTAAGTCCCAATAAATAAGACAGCAGTTGATATTCTTAGTAGACTTGTGGAAATTGCTGTCTGTCCACCATCTCTGTTGGCACATCATCCCAGCTAATAGTCTCATCATTGTAACAAGTGCTGTCATTTATCAGGTATTCACCACTTTAAAATGAAACTAAACTTGAAACAAATTGAAAGCAAAACTTCATAAGATGTCTGTACACTCTAGAAAGAAGAAGATGCTTGGCAGGAATAAATATGTGCTGGCAACACATCTCCTCTCTTATTTCAAGGACAAAATTGAAACCATATTTTCATGGGGGTGCAAACATTGATTGCTATAGGTTCTTATAAACAGAGAACTACAAACAGTATTTCAGCATTCTCTTGATCCTCCTTCACTTTTATGTGAAGTCCAAAAATGTATCAGTTAAAGGAGCCTTCTGAATTCAATTCAAAAACCAGACAGGGATTCATACATCACAAGTAGAGGCAGACCATATTCTAGGTAAAAAAAAAAAATAATAATAAAACTACACTTGTGTTCAATTTGAAAGATTTAAAACTATTATTCACTAATGTGTATAAAATGAATAAGCACAAATCACAGACAATTTCAAAGTTTTATTTAAGTCATAAGTTTTGTCCTTTCATCTCTCTTCCTCCCTCTACTAATGGTCAGGCCTGGTTATTCATCCAACGTGTGCAAAGTACTTCTTAATCACTCTCCACTTACTTCCCTTCAAGAGTTTTATCATCACCTGCCAGACACTGCATTGTTTAGTTTCTACCATCCTTTGGAGCTTCAACTCTCACCACCCTGTCTACTTTCTCTAATAAGCCCCAGCCACATTGACTATTTCAGTTCCTCGAACACTCTTTGGGTCTTTCTGCTCTGCCTAACAAACCATTTCCCATCAGTATTCACCTGGTTAACTTGCATGCATTCTTCAAATTTCAACTTTAATACCATTTACCCCACGAAGATGATCCTCCACCCCAGATTATCTCAAAATACCTATTGTGTTCTTTCATCACATCTTTTGCTTCTTCATAGCACCTATGATTAGAGCAAAATCATTAACTTTGAAATAATTTATTTAATGTTTGAGTATAGGTTGCTTAAATGCTATCTTGTCTGTGTTGTTGGTCATCAGGTCTTAAGTATTAAAATTAGTGCTCTAATTACTTAAGTGCATAAATAATTATTTGGGAAAGGAAAAAAAGGCAGGAAAAGGAGAGAAAGGGAAATAAAGAATAGAAAAGGAAGCAGAGAGAAAAGAGAAATGGAAGGAGGTAAAAAAGGATGGAAGAAGAAACGATGGTAGTAGAGAATGGAGAAAAGACTGAATGCCTATTAACTAAGTTTTGTTATGTAAAACAAAGGGCAATTATCAGTCATCATGTATATAAATACAATGGCCAAATGAAAAAATGACGTTGAAAACCTGTATTAAGCAAGTATCAGGAGTCAAGAGAAGAAAATCAGAGAAGTTAACCTCAAACAGCAGCAGGTGGGAGTATAGATAGAATCCAGAGATGAGGAGATCAAGGAATAGCCAGTGCCTGCAAAGAAGCTTTCTCACCATCTTAGATTATGTTTGTATGATAAGCACAGTCTGTAAAGGGACTTGGATAAAGTAATTTTTGGCCATTTGTTTCCAGCTGGATTTTTATTCTGGCCAGTCTCAACAATTTGGTCAACATACACTTCTGCCTGAATGTTTTGACAAGTATCAGACATACAAAATTTAACTTCTAGTAAAGAAAACAAATTTTTAAAAAATTAAATCCTAGAGACTCAGCAAAATGTTCAGTGAAGTTTCATTCTCATTATTTATTAAATAGGTTTCGTACAAATAATCCTTGGGCATGATTTTTGTGAAAAGTGAATTTTATTGAAACATAATATTATTTCTGGTTCCTTTTTTAGAATTAATAAATATATTTAGCATATACCCATTACTTTCTTAAAACCCTTTCCTTGTTTAAAAAAAAAAAAAGTTATGCTTCCTGGATGGACACAGTGGCATGAACCTATAGTCTGAGCTACTCAAGAGCCTGAGGCAGGAGGATAGCTTGAGCCGAGGAATTCAAGGCTATAGATTGCCTGATGATCTCACTTGTGAACAGTCACTAAACTTCAGCTTGGGCAACATTGTGAGACTCTGTCTCTAAAAAAAAATTACAGATAAAAATTGTGCTTCTCAATTATCCATTATAAAGATTCAAATAGGAAGATTCAAACTGTAAGATTCAAACATGAACATTTAAGATGTTATGGTCTTATCTCTATGTACCCACCCCCGAATTCATACATTAAAATCCTCACTGGCCAGGTGACAGTATTAAGAAATGAGGTCTTTGGAAGGTGAGTAGGTTGTGGGGTTGGAGCTTACATAAATGGGATTAGTGCCCTTATAAAAGAGGCATGAGAGAAACTGCTTGTCCTTTCTGCCATGTGAAGTTAGAATGAGAAGACAGCTGAAGAAGCAGCCCCTTGCCAGACACTGAATCTGACAGCACCTCGATCTTCTATTTCCCAGCTTCCAAAACTCTGAAAAAAGAATTTCTGTTGTTTATCAGCCACCTAGCCTGTGATATTTTGTAATAGCAGGCCAAATGGGCTAAGACAATAGGTAAGTTGCTAATATTACTAAAGAGTTTAGTGAAAAAGTACACAATGTTAGACCCCTACTCAGGTTACAAAGACAAACAGAAAGCCTTCTGAAGGCATTGTGCTTTTCTAAATTTGTCTTCTGGCTGTCAAAATATTGTCTGTGTTAAATCAGCCAGGGTCCACACAATTTCACCAATATAACAAAACCCCTGAACATGTTCTGAACCCACAACTTCAGGAAAACAAATAAGAATTATTCAGAATGATTACACTGTAGTTGCTCGTCTCCAAAGGTGGCTACCATCAATTATTTTCTTCCCTGTTTGTACATATCTGCCACTCCCCTATGGAGAGATGGAGCTGATTTTCCTTCATTTGAATCTGGGCTGGCAATGTACTATTTTGAACAGTGGAATGTGGCAGAACTGATATTCTGGAATTTCTGAGCTGAGGCTTTAAGAAGATAGGTGGCTTTGGCTTTCTTCCTATGGGAATTCTTGTTCTTGAGATACTGCCCCATGGAACCAACCAATATGCTGTGAGAAGTCAAAGACACAAAGAAAAGCCACATGGAGGAGAATGAAGGCACTCAGACTCACAGTCCCCACTGAGTTTCCAGTCAATAGTCAATATCCACAGCCAGCCATGTGAGCAAGCATCTTGTATGTTCCAGTTTGATTGAACTTCAAGATAACTGCAGATCAGGAAACATCACATAGAGCAGGAGAACAGCCCGGTTAAGCCCAGGTCCCCACAGACCGATGAAAGATAATAAAATGGTTGCTGTTTTAAACAACTAAGTTTTGGAATCATTGGTTCCCCAGTAGTTGGTAATGAAAAACACACAACCATGAAATGTATTTTATTCTACATTGATCCATCACAAAAATATGTACAAACTTTGAATAATGTATAACGTTCTGATTTGCATTTCTAGTTTCTCTTATTAATTAGTTCATAAGTAGCTTTACATTATTTGACTAAGAGTAAAAGCTCTGTCTGGATTTTACCTCACATATTCTCCAAGTTTTACATAGTCTGTGCTTTCTTCATACTAAAGTGTCCATGATGGGATTTTTAAATTGCATTATATTACTATCGACAGAGCATTTTTAATGTTTCACAGGCAAAGGCTGTAAAAAATTTCACTTAATATGAAAATTCACATTAAGTTCCAAGTATTTTTCAAGGTAATGTAAAAAAAAATCATGATTTCCTTTAATACATTCTCCAAATCAATGTTTCCTGACAAATCACTTTATTGAACTAGCTTAACTTAGTAGAGGGCAAGGAACAAGCAACTATGTTCTTTAACAAAACTTACTGTTAAACTCACTTTGACAAATAGTTCTTTCATTGACCCTGAGTGAAATCTTGTGGGAATTCCCATAGCTTTAGTAATAACTCATAAACAATTAATGAATATTCTTCAAGTCCAGTCTAGTGGTATTAGAACTACAATCTAGCTGAAAGCTTCTCTTTTCCCCTGGCTTGGGACTGCTTGGACTTAGAAGACTGTTGTAGGTGAGGGGAGAAGGTTACAGTTTCTTCACAACATCTTAGCTTGAGCTCCCACCTTACTCACTTGACTGGTGCAGTTGAAATCTGCGGTTGGTGTATGCTAGGTGCAGATGTTCCCATTTTCCTCTCATGAAAGACAATTATGCATTCTTTCATGGTCTACCTGATGGGGGATTCTGACTGCGTTTCTCCCAATACACGTGATGTCTCCTTTGGCTACAACTATTAGTTTCTTCCACAACTCTTGGTTACAACGATTCATTATTCCGTTAGGGCCATTTCTCCCCCTCCAAGTGGCCCTATAGGGTGGAATCCCTTTTAGGACAACCCCAGGCCAGCTTTGTTTTGTGGAATCCACACGGTTTCTGGGAAACATCTCGATTTTCTCTTTCCTACTGGAAATGTACCTCACTTTCAGTGTGGTTGTCTCTTTGCTCTGCTGTGAGGCTGTTTAATTCAGCTAATAGATTTGCCAGGCAGGAGTTGGATATGAGTCCTTATTCCTTCTAACAACCTAATGGAGGTATGTCAATCTCTCAATGGACTTTCTTGAAGCCTCCTTCTGTTGGCTTGAATTGGGGTGAATGCCCCCATCACTCCTCCCCCATAGTAGGATAGAAAGAGCACATAGCACGCTACCGGTACTCTCAAAAATAAAGTTTATCACTATACCTTCATTCTCTAAATGAACGCTCTTCTTTGATGAAGGCTAGGATTAACGATGAGTCACTGGAAACTCAGGCCCTCCTCTAATGTTTGAGGGGCCTGCTCAAGAGTACAGTGGAGGCTTACCAGACATATATTTATAATTAGAAGTTCAAATAAAGCTAAACAGAAGTAAATATGTTCTATCCTCCAATCTTGACAGATCTGTTTTTCTAAAAACAAAATTGAAAAATATGTGTATAACTCTGGTTTCTATATAAATTAAAATGAGCATACTGTTAACAAGCCATCAATGTTTGGATAAGTAATAAAGACAACTTATGCTTTTATGTTTATGCTATAAAATTTGTCTTGCCTTTGATTTAATAAAATTACTACTTATGTTCTCATGATCAATGATTTATGTACTACTGACAATGATGGCAACTTAACCAACTTTTCTTGAGTCAAGGTAGTTCTTAAGTAGTAGTTTATAAATGAGTTTGTAGAAACTATCTTTTTCTGAAGTAATACCAATACGAATCAATACAATTCCAAGACAGATAGGAACAAAAAATTTTACATATTGTGTTCAAGCATTAAAATGGGATCAGAGAACTATTTGTTATTACAGAAATGTTACAACTTTATCAAATCAATTATTACTGCTTATATATTATAATCTTTATCATCTCAATATCTGGATCCATACACTAACGTACACTCAGTATCATCATTCACTCATGTCATGTCTAGAATTATGTATAAATTTGAAAATCATATACATTTTTTAATATTGCTGTTTTCACTTGTTAAATGTTATTCATCCACCATGTACAATGATTGCTAATAACTACACAAATATGTGACTACCATAAAATGAAACACGAAGAGAAGGAAGAAATGGACACTGGGTGTTACTAGGATATCATACTTCATTATATAAGACTATATTGCATTGGTGCTATCAAACAGGAAGGATTTTAAAAGTTAATTGGTCTTTTCTCTTACCCCTAAGCACTTTTGCTGCTGAAATGCTCCCTCTGCTTCAAAGCAGTGTCTGCTCAAAATGTTAGCAGTTGCATAACCCACACATTTTCAAGGTATTCAGAAATGCCTTTTCAAAAAAAGGCAACTTTTACTTTTTCTGGTTCAAAAGGTAAGTCCAGAGATGTGGAGAAGCATTTCCCTAAGGTCTAACAGTTTCAACCACAAAGGTAGATGGCTAAGCTTACTGGGTTTGCTGTGTAAGTGCTGAATGCTGGACCCCAGGTAAGAAAAATGGCCACTTCTTTCTTTTAGAAATATTTACTTTTAATTCATTTAAAAATAAAAATAAACACATGTCAATACAAATAACTTTTTTATACTAATTCATTATATTTTCTTCTAAATGATAACAGTGAGAAGATGAAATTTTATATTTTTACAAATCTCATTGAGGTCTGATTTAATGAAAGATAGATGAATTGTCATATGTACTTCTGTATTCAATTTGTTGCCATATGTTGTTCATGAAGTATATAAAAATAATCCAGCCACACGCAGAAATGTAATGAGAAAAAGAAAAGGTATGTTAATCATCTTTTCAGATAATTCTGGAAATTCTTCTTTGATAGTACACCAAAGCTCAACAAGTAGAAATTTCTCAAAAGTCTGTTGCAATATGGATGAATTTTTGTGCTCTGTGACATTAAAATCCATTGGTCTCTCTTGCACTTTAATTAGTTCATTTACCCATGTGTCATTTTGTAATATCCTGTATTGATTATTTGGAACATATTAGTTTACTGAGCTGTGCAGGTCTTATAAATGTATTTATATTCTTATAAAATTATATTTGGTTTTAACAATCATTTGATGTATTTTGATGGAAATATCCACCAAATACCTAAGACTAAATAGACATAATTTGTTTGTTAGTCATTCTTTCAAGTGAAATGGTGTGTCATGAAAGAAGTGACCATTTCAGCTTACAACTGAAGCAATTGCAAGAGTAATATTCCTCTTGACAAACATCATGCTTAGTTTACAGAAGTGCTTTATGCATAGCATTTCCCATTTATCACACAGAATATTAAGAAGACATGCACTCAAGAGTTATGGTTTAATAAAAATAACTCTTCTTTATCAAGAACATTTTGAAATAAAACTGGAACTTTTTTTCTGCCAGTGCAGTGGTGAAGAAATTAATGACTACAAATATAGTTTGAGGCCATGGCTCTGATTTGAGCCAACAGTTTAGTCACCAATTGCTTTTGAACATTCAGTACAAATGTCAGCACAGCTGTTTCAGAAGCCATATGATTCAAAAGAAGACATTCAATCCTTTGAATATTTTAGCACCATTTGTGTTTGTTGTCAAGCATTCACATAAAAGAAGATCTTCAATCATTGGTTTGTACTGATACTGTACAGCTGGTACTGGAATATAAGCAAAACAGCAAGCCCAGCTATGTCTATAGGTACTTCCATTTGTATGGAACAGGTACAATTCTACAGAGAAGATTGAATTAATATTCATATTTGCAGCTAAATTCTTAATTGGATGAGTTGCTACAGCATTGGAAAATGGCAGTGCCATTATTTCTTTTACTAACTTTTTTCATCTAGCAAGCATTCAGCAATGTCAACTGTATAAGACATTTGTATATGCTTCTCTAGTCAATGCAACATAACTTACCCTTCAAGAGGATCCTGTAAAACCTTTAGTGTCTAGTCTGAAATTCTATAATAAACCTATCTTTTCTTTTAAAAGAGTTCATCATTGTCTACACTTAAAATTTAAATTTCTTTTTTTAAACACAAAATGATTAGTCTCAAAATGTCATAACATAACTGGCACCATATTATTATTTAAAATGTTCTATTGATTAAAAAAAAAACACACACACACACACAAAAGAAAAACATTTAATCTATTAAGCCCAGAGAAGAACAGCTTTCATTATATTCATGCTTTTTAATTAAAGTTTCACACCAATTTTCTTTTAGTAGATTCCTCCCATCCATGAATAAAACTCTATGATAAGTCATTTCTTCTTTTTTAATAGTATCTTTATACATAAATGAAAGCAGCTGTGGGTTGAGAAACCAAGTCTTCTAATTTACCATTTTAAAGTCAAAACTTTGTCTTTCTAATACAGCCACCCCAAGATGCTGCAAATGGGGAACTGGAGTGCTGATGCCACAGCTGGCCACCAGTCACACAACCAGGAAGAAAGGGCCTCATCTATTCTTTAAGTAATTTATTTTTGCTTGTGGAGGATAGGTAGGAAATGCTAATGTGTGGAGCTCAGGGAAAGGACCCTTCTTATCTGGGCCTAAGGTATTACCTGAGGATATCCCTGGCAAGCTACCATAGATTATCCAAAATTTGTATAGCCAGGCATGGTGGCTCATGCCTCTAATCCCAGCACTTTGGGAGGCTGAGGTGGGAGGATTCCTTGAGCCCAGGAGTTCAATATCAACCTAGGCAACATAGTGAGACCCCATCTCTACAAAGTTGTTTTCAGAAAATTATCCAGGTGTGGTGACATGTGTCTGTGGTCGCAGCTACCCATGAGGCTGAGGCAGGAGAATCACTTGAGCCCAAGAGGCCAAGGCTGCAGTGAACCATTGTCACACTAGCCTGGGTGACGGAGCAAGACCCTCTCAAAATAAATAACTTGCATAACCCATCAGACAACCTGCCTAGCCAAAAATGCTCTGGGGTTTGAGGCTGACCTGCTGGTTCATTATCACATAAACTTAAACAAGATGTATTTTTCTGAAGGAAGCCAATCTAATGATCTCCAAAATATACACTCAGTTCTTTTTTTGTTTGTTTTTTAAGAGACATGGTCTCACTCTGTCAACCAGACTGGAATCCAGTGGTGCAATCATAGTTCACTGGAGCCTCCAACTCCTGGGCTTAAGAGATCCACACTGCCTCAGCCTTCTGAGTAGCTAGGACTCCAGGTATGTATCACCATGCCTGGCTTTTTGTTTTTAAGTTTTCATAGACTTGAGGTCTCACTATGTTGTCTGAGCTTTGATTCTTATGGTCTTGCTAAGCACCATCAAGTTTTTAGGATGCCTATTAAAACCCGACTCATTTTACTTAAAATAACAAAGGAAAACAGAACATAAACACTCTTTAAATTTTATGATGGTGATATTTTAATCATAAGCCAAACATTTTTCCCTTATGATGAATTTCTAAAACCAAAATAAACTGTATTTATTATATTATATATTATATATTGTTATATAATTTATATTATATTACACTATATATAATATATAGTATATATAAAATACTATATACTATATATACTATAGTATATATATAATACTATATACTATATATACTATAGTATATATATAATATTACACTATATACTGTATATATACTATAGTATATATATTACATTACACTATATACTGTATATATACTATAGTATATATATTATATTACACTATATTAATACAGTGTAATTTCAACTAATGCACAAAGAAAAAGGAGAAAAAGGACTTAATGGGTTCCCACAACATTACAATGGGCCATGTCTATGGAGGTCAGTGGAATGGGGGCTGGTACCTTGTAAACTGATCTCACCTCTAACAAAAAATTACCTCCATCTCTTAAAAGATTACCTGTTTTTAAGTTTTGTTTTAGAAGCAAATAAAGGGATAGATGCATAGTCCCATATCCGTGGCCAAATATACCTAGCATGATTAGATGACATTCACGAAGCAGAGAGAGTAAAGATTCACAATTCTCAAGTGTCTCTTCTCAAGTATTCCTTCCTCTAACTCAGACTCTTTCCCCAAAGCAAAAGTGCGTTTAACTCTTCAGACCACCGGAACAATGCCAACCAGTGAAATCTCTAAGCAGTGAACTATTTTCTAAGATGATTACGGCCCATCCACTTAGTTCTTGAAAGATTACATTTAACACTTTCTTTTAAAGTTATCTCATACTTGTAGAGGACAGAATCTTCACCATCTACTGTAGAGCAGTTTTAATCCATACTTACGATATTTTCCACATCTTTCAAGTGAGTATTTCGGTTGGGGCTAATTTATATTAACAATAAAAGAGATGAAAATGGTCTTTGTCCTCACTCCCACTGAAGAAGTAATCACTGATATTCAATAGCTTAGAGGAAAATTAGCCTTACCACTGAATTAAATTTTATGACCTGTGAATTTTAATTAGGTGAGGTTTTCAGTGGCTCCTATAATGAGCCTACATTGTCAAATAAAAAGAACCTGAATCGTAGAGAAAAAAACTGGTGTCAAAGATCTAATAAAAAATCAAAACAAAGAAAAACATGCTGTAGCTGGAGTGTTTAGGACATAAGGAGTGCACAGACAGAGGTGGCAATGTATTTTGAAACCTTTATAGTTTAACTTACGACAGTCATATAGACTTCTGTTTGTACAGGAAGGAGGTCGGGGAATAATGCCACTGCAGGAGTTACTCAAGTTTTATCTACCCAGGACCACCCATCAACAAGGAAAGAAATTAGTTTTTATAACTCATCAGTCATAAGCTATACAAAAGTCAAAGGCAAGATTAACTTAAGTCTTTTGGAAATAAAACACATATACACCATTTGCTTTTTAACTTTATAGAAAATATAAAGCTCTATTCAACAAATAATAATTATATATGCCTCCATTTTACTATGTTGACTGGTAGAGAGATTAGGACAGGTTTGAAGAGAGGTGTTGCTTGATTAAGGTTTCTCCTTATATTGCACTGTGGGAATCAACCTATCTGCTATTATCCTCTTCTCCTATTTTATTGCTTGTTAGTTGATTTGGTTGCTTTGTTTTTAGGCATATCCATTATTGGCTCCTTCTCCTCCAAATGTAAAAACAAAACAATCTTCCGTTGATTGTATGCCACCACTAGCTAACACCCTAGCTCTCTTCCTTTTCACCTAAGCAACTTGAAAATAAAACTAACCCTCTTCCACTCCTTAAGCCATTGCAATCCAGCTGCTATCCCTACAACGTCATCCAAACTGCTCTCAAAATGCATTACCGACTTCTGGCTGCAAATTCAAAGAACACTTTTTAGTTCCTATATATTTGATTTGTTTTGCAATATTTGCCATCATCTTTTACTCACTCCATAGCTTCCAACAGACTGCTTTTCCACTCACATTTCCATCCACTTCATCTTTCAAATTGACTCCCGATCCTCCAGTATACACTGAAACTATGTAATCAGAGTTTCTAGCTTCTGGTCTTTGAATGCTTTCGGATTCTCAAATCTTTATATCTCAGGTCCCATAAATCTATGTCCAACAACCAAATAAACAGGATGCATTTTGATTTTCCAAGGATTCTCAAACTTAGCTTGTACCAAAAGAACTAATCTACTCCTCTATAACTTTCCCCTCCTCTCAAATCTCTGTCTAAGTGAATGACACTTCATCCCTCACATACTAGAGTGAGAAGCCTGGGAAGAGACTACTACCTCCCACCATCACATCAGTTGAGTCTTGGCTTCTTTTTTCCTATATATCTCATAAACACCCCTCAATATATTTCTTCCTCTCCATATCCACTGCCTTGGTTTTGATCCATATCCACTGCCTTGGTTTTGAGTCTTATAAATTCTCTTCTGGATTATATCAGTAGACTCTATATATCTCTTCCTGTCACCAGCTTAATTTTTCTCCTAATTTCTGTACCACTTCCAATTGCCATTTCTCACAAAGCAGATCTAAATATTCTCCCTCATTTAAAATCTATAACAGGCCGGGCACAGTGGCTCATGCCTGTAGTCCCAGCACTTTGGGAGGCTGAGGTGGGCGGATCACTTGAGGTCAAGAGTTTGAGACCAGCCTGGCCAACATGGCTAAACCTCATCTCTACTAAAAATACAAAAATTAGCCTGGCCTGGTGGCGTGTGCCTGTAATCCCAGGTATTCAGGAGGCTGAGGCAGAAGAATCCCTTGAACCCAGCAGGGCAGAGGTTGTAGTGAGCCGAGATCAGGCCACTGCACTCCAGCCTGGGCAACACAGGGAGACTCTGTTTCACAATCAATCAGTCAATCAATCAACCAATTTCTGTAATGTTCAAAGATTTTTACCAGGGTCTTGTAGGCCAAGGTAAGGCAATAGGATTGTATTTTAAGTGCATTTTGTTCATATGCATGTATTAATCTGATGAACATTTTGATAAAATCACTCTGGCTGTGAGGAATGGATTATGACATAACAAGATTGGTAGCAGGGACACCATTATAGAGGTTAGCATTCCAGATGATGGTGGCATACACTAAGGTATTGAGTGTAGAGATGGATAAGTGACCAAATTCAAGAAATTCTATGACGATCGAGGCAACAGGTCTTGCTCTTCGCTTTGATAATGCACAATAAGAAAATAAAAAGACTCATGGACAAATCAATCCATGTTTTATGCTTAAGCAAGTGGCTAGATAATTGTGCTGATTACTCAATTTGATAAAAAGGCTATGAAAGGGAGATTTTGTGGATGAGGATGTGGGAACCCGGGAGAATCAGGTAGTCTGTTTTAGACACGTTATAGCTTGAGATTCCTATTAGATATTGCTATGGACTGAATTGTATCCTCCCTCCAAATTTACATGTTAAAACCCCAAGCCTCCACATGACAATATTGGAGATAAGGCTGTAAGGGGTGATTCAGGTTAAATGAGGTTGTAAAAGTGGAGCCTTGATCCTATATAACTGATTCCTTATAAAAAAGGAAGAGAAAGCAGAGATTTCTCTTTCTCCACCATGTGAGGGCAAAGGGAAAAGGCAACTATCTGCAAGGCAGAAAGAGCCCTTACCAGAGACTGAACCCTCCTGGACCTTAATGCTGAACTTTCTAGCCTCTACAACTACGAGAACATAAATTTCTGTTTTTTAAACCACCCAATCTATGGTATTTCATCATGGCAGCATGAGCTGTCTAATGCAGATATCTTGCTAGAATAATAATTTGACATATTATCTGGTTTTTACTTTTCTCCTCTTCATACCCTGTATTCAAACAGTCATGCCATTCTGTGGCCAGAAAAGAAGAGATACCCTGGGATAAAATGGAACAAAGAAGTGAAGAGGGTTGGTGGTGTAGGTCAGAGGGCTAAATCTGAATGGGCCACATGGACAGGAATGGGGACTAGTTCAGCAAAGAACCACAGTGAGGAGCATTGCTCAGGTACCTAAAAGCCATGTAGAAGTCATCATCTGAAAAGTGCACTGGTCTACCTTTATGCAATCACTGTCCATCCCTTGTGCCCTGATATTATGCAAGCTGTCCTTTTCATCAATGACTAATAAAAGCATCTCTTCAGTAGTATCTGGCACTTCTCCAAGCCACTGATCTGCAGGAGTGACACCTGTTGGTCCTTCAATTTTGTTTGACCCTTCTCTGACTTACCCCATATGAACATATAGACAAATCATTTTGCAATATCCCAGGAACTCATAAGCCTTAAGCAAGCCCTGGACACTTAGCAGAAGATGATGGTCTGGAAGGGATGTTTCCACACATGTAATGAGTGCAATGAAATGCCAAATGAGGTCGCCTTGTGATGCTTTCTAAACTGAGATGGTAATATAATATATTTAAGTAGGTGAGTGGACATGAATCTGATGCTTAAGGGGGTCCTGACACAAAAGAAAAATGTAAAGCCATAGAAATGGATGAGAACACGTAAGAAGAGCCAAATTCTGAAAAATAACAATAGTTAAAGAGACCATCAAAGAAGAATGAAATTATTGTGGTAGGCCAGTGTGGTAGAAGATAGAACAGGTACAGAAGCCAAGGTAAAGAGGGTTTTGAGAAGAACCTAGATGTCACATTGCATATTGCTAAGAGGTCTAATAAGATGAAGACAGAAAAATAGTTTATTAACTTTAATGACATAATAATTCACACCAATGAAGATATGAAAATGGAGAGAGATTGGAGGATATTGAAGAATGAAGAAGAGGTGAGGAAGTAGAGGTGGAGTGTATACATCTCTTTCAATAAAAATGGATATGACACAGGGCAGAGAAATGGTTTGGTAGTTAGAAGGAGCACTTAAAGGACAGGTTTCCTTTCCTTTCTCCTCCTCCTCCTCTTCCTCCTCCGTCTTTTGTTTTTTTCAGCATGGGATATATCAGATGTTTAAGCTGATAGGAATGTTCCAGCACAGACAGAGAGATTAATTAAGTAGAAGAAAAAAGCAATAGTAGAGATAATTTTCTATATAAGGCAAAAGTGGAGGCATTGACCTTTGATGGAAGGAGAGACACCTCCTCCAAGTTGACAGGAAGAAGGAGGGTGAAGACAGTACAGACATAGGAAGCCTAGACATTTGGTGGTGGGCAGCTGAGGGAGTTATTATAGGAACTTCTATTTTGTAAAAAAAAAAAAAAAAAAAAAAAAAAATGAGGCAAAATCAACTGAGAGTACTTAATAGGTGAGGGAAGAAAGAGGTTTAAGGGGAGAAAAAAAAACCAGTAAACATTGTCTTAGATTCCAAATTAAGTCCAAAGAAAGACATGGAAGAATTTGTGAAAGTTGTTGAGAATTTATTTGCAGTTTGTAATCACAAAATTTAAAATGAAATTCACCAAGCCAGTTGTGTGATTTTTCTCCAATTGTGATTTGGTGAGACAAAAATAAATGATTTTTTTCAAGTATGTGGTGGAGAAAGAAAGGCCAAGGAATCTGAGGGTATTTTGTGACTATACTGAGAAAATGACTCCTCTGAGATAACAGTGCTTCCTGAGCATCCTTGGAGCATACCAACTATCACACAGAACTGTGAGTATTGGTTTTGTGAATACTCTGAGAACATGAAACCCATTTGGGATAGTCTATTTCACCTCTACAGTTTCAAAAATCACTAGGCACTAAATAAATGTTTGTTCAAAGAGCTTATGGAAAAGCCATGGGAGATAAGGTAACATAGAAAAAGATAGTAGATATCTTTTAAATTTCAAAAGCTAGAGAGTGGACTTAAGCACCTGAGTTCCCATGAAAAATGAGAAGCACAACTATAAACCCTGGAGTGATAAAACTCTAACAGAAAAAAAAAATGTCATCAGTGCACAGAATGCTGAAAAAAAATTGTGAGACCCAGGAAGAGCAGCGGGCCCTGAAGACTAATGCCTTCTTCAACATGGACAGAGGTAATGTAACATTGAGAAAACAAACCTTTGATGGGTAATGACTACATGACCTATTTCAGTGTGCTACGGTTTCAGGGCTAAGGAGTGTTTTACAACCACCAAAAGAAACTCCATGCTGTAACACAGCAAGTTAAACTATGCCCAGCACAGAGTTTTAATTACAAGAGATCATAATGACTTACTTTGTCTGAACACAGGCAAAAGTAACTTCAGGAAGTGCTATAGGAAACTGGCCATTGGCGGGAGGTAGCGGGAGAAAGTGAAGTGTCTACATACTAAAATTAGTTCACTTTAGTAGATATTTATTGAATACCTACTGTGTTCCAGGCACTGTATTCAGATGTAAAACTTCCAAGTATATACCTATGTCAAGACAGCCTACTCCACTTAATCAGGGGTAATGTGTGTGTTTATTACATGCATGTGTGTGCAACTCTGTTTGCATAGTAAATTATATTTACCTATATTCTCTGTCAACTTTTCTCAGAAAATGTTCCTTAGAATATAAGGGTCCCTCCCATAAGAGATTAACAAACGTTCTGGGGAAGGAAGGGGTTCCAAACATGAATAAGTTTTGGAAGCATAAGGTTAAGCAAGTTAAATGGCTTTCTTTATGGCAGAGCTTCTAGAAGACTTAAAAGTATTAATACATGTTATGTTTTAATAAGAAAGGGGAAATGAAACAATAATTCATCATTAACAAATTTATTTGATTATGGACTCATTTTATGAAACATCTTTTGACAACTCAGAGGTTTCGTGTTTCATTGCTTGAAAAATTCTAAATATATCATATTATACATTTTATATGAAATATGTAAAGTATATATGTATATTCATGTATGTTAATTATCTTTTTTAGTCCCATTTCCACCCCCAAGTTTGGGCAAATTGTGGAGATATTTTACTATCAGTTTATTTTAAAAACATACATGTTTTCAACCTATTGAATATAGGTATTTTAATCAACAGCAAGTACCTACAATTTTAATTATACATATTCTTAAGAAGTTTATAGCAGGACAATGGAGAAAGAAAACATGAAATATTTTACCTCAAACTAGAGTACCAAGTAAATATTTTCATGATTCAGAAGAGGTATGTTTCAAAATATCAATTAATCCAAGTATTTTACAATACACAAGAATATTTACATTATTTCAAAGACTTGGACACTCAGTAAAATGACACTCAATGTTCTACCCAGATACTTTTATCTAAATATGTCACAGTGTTCTACAAATATTTCTTAAATCAGTTTTAGAAATAATTTTAAAAATTCATGCCCACAGAAACTGGTTTGGCCAACACAGTTGGAACTGTTCACATTTGTGAAGTTAAAGTTTTTATTCCTCCTAGATATCCCCATGATTCCCAGGCTATATCAGCCATCTTCAGCTATATAGAAAAAGCCAAAGGGCTGAAGCCCAAGAGTGGAAATTATACAGTTGTTCTTTTCTGTTCCATATGAGACTTAAACTAGTTTTTTCTAATTCTGTGAAGAAAGTTAATGGTAGCTTGATGGTGATAGCATTGAATCTATAAATTACTTTGGGCAGTATGGCCATTTTCATGATATTGATTCTTCCTATACATGAGTATAGAATGTTTTTCCATTTGTTTGTGTCCTCTCTTATTTCCTTGAGCAGTGGTTTGTAGTTCTCCTTGAAGAGGTCCTTCACATCCTTTGTAAGTTGTGTTCCTAAATATTTTATTCTCTTTTAGCATTTGTGAATGGGAGTTCACTCACGATTGGCTCGCTATTTGTCTGTTGTTGGTGTATAGGAATGCTTGTGATTTTTGCACATTGATTTTGTATCCTGAGACTTTGCTGAAGTTGCTTATCAGCTTAAGGAGATTTGGGGCTGAGATGATGGGGTTTTCTAAATATACAATCATGTTATCTGCAAACAGAGACAATCTGACTTCCTTTTTTCCTATTTGAATACACTTTATTTCTTTCTCTCGCCTGATTGCCCTAGCCAGAACTTCCAATACTATGTTGAATAGGAGTGGTGAGAGAAGGCATCCTTGTCTTGTGCCGGTTATCAAAGGGAATGCTTCCAGCTTTTGCCCATTCAGTATGATATTGGCTGTGGGTTTGTTATAAATAGCTCTTATTATTTTGAGATATGTTCCATCAATACCTAGTTTATTGAGAGTTTTTAGCGTGAAAGGGTGTTGAATTTTATCGAAGGCCTTTTCTGCATCTATTGAAATAATCATGTGGTTTTTGTCATTGGTTCTGTTTATATGATGGATTATGTTTATTAATTTGCCTATGTTGAACCAGCCTTACATCCCAGGGATGAAGCCAACTTGATCGTGGTGGATAAGCTTTTTGATGTGCTGCTGGATTCATTTGGCCAGTATTTTATTGAGGATTTTCACATCGATGTTCATCAGGGATATTGGCCTGAAATTTTCTTTTTTATTGTTGTTGTGTCTGCCAGATTTTGGAATCAGGATGACGCTGGCCTCATAAAATGAGTTAGGGAGGAGTCCCTCTTTTTCTATTGTTTGGAATAGTTCAGAAGGAATGGTACCAGCTCGTCTTTGTACCTCTGGTAGAATTCGGCTGTGAATCCGTCTGGTCCTGGGCTTTTTTTGGTTGGTAGGCTATAACTGCCTCAATTTCAGAACTTGTTATTGGTCAATTCAGTGATTCAACTTCTTCCTGGTTTATTCTTGGGAGAGTGTATGTGTCCAGGAATTTATCCATTTCTTCTAGATTTTCTAGTTTATTTGCATAGAGGTGTTTATAGTATTCTCGGATGGTAGTTTGTATTTCTGTGAGATCAGTGGTGATATCCCCTTTATCATTTTTACTGTGTCTATTTGATTCTTCTCTCTTTTTTTCTTTATTAGCCTGTCTTGTGGTCTATCTACTTCGTTAATCTTTTCAAAAAACCAGCTCCTGGGTTCATTGCTTTTTTTGAAGGGTTTCATGTCTCTGTCTCCTTCAGTTCTGCTCTGATCTTAGTTATTTCTTGTCTTCTGCTAGCTTTTGAATTTGTTTGCTCTTGCTTCTCTACAAGGCTACACTAAGCAAAACAGCATGGTACTGGTACCAAAACAGATACGTAGACCAATGGAACAGAACAGAGGCCTCAGAAATAACATCATACATCTACAACCATCTGATCTTTGACAAACCTGACAAAAACAAGCAATGGGGAAAGGATTCCCTATTTAATAAATGGTGTTGGGAAAACCGTCTAGCCATATGCAGAAAACTGAAACTAGACCCCTTCCTTACACCTTATACAAAAATTAACTCAAGATGGATTAAAGACTTGAACATAAGACCTAAAACCATAAAACCTCTGGAAGAAAACCTAAGCAATACCATTCAGGACGTAGGCATGGGCAAAGACTTCATGACTAAAACACCAAAAGCAATGGCAACAAAAGCCAAAATTGACAAGTGGGATCTAATTAAACTAAAGAGCTTCTGCACAGCAAAAGAAACTATCAGAGTGAACAGGCAACCTACAGAATGTGAGACAATTTTTGCAATCTATCCATCTGACAAAGGGCTAATATCCAGAATCTACAAGGAACTTAAACAAATTTACAAGGAAAAAAAACAACCCCATCCAAAAGTGAGTGAAGGAAATGAACAGATACTTCTCAAAAGAAGACATTTATGCGGCCAACAAACATATGAAAAAAAAAAAGCTCATCATCACTGGTCGTTAGAGAAATGCAAATCAAAACCACAATGAGATACTATCTCACGCCAGTTAGAAAGGCAATCATTAAAATGTCGGAAACAATAGATGCTGCAGAGGATGTGGAGAAATAGGCACGCTTTTACACTGTTGGTGGGAGTGTACATTAGTTCAACCATAGTGGAAGACAGTGTGGCGATTCCTCACAGATCTAGAACCAGAAATACCTTTTGACCCAGCAATCCCATTACTGGGTATATACCCAAAGGATTATAAATCATTCTACTATAAAGACACATGCACATGTATGTTTACTGCAGCACTATTCACAATAGCAAAGACTTGGAGCCAACCCAAATGCTCATCAATGATAGACTGGGTAAAGAAAATGTAGCACATACACACCATGGAATACTATGCAGCTGTAAAATAGGATAATTTTATGTCTTTTGCAGGGACATGGATGAAGCTGGAAACCATTATTCTCTGCAAACTAACACAGGAACAGAAAACCAAACACCATATGTTCTCACTCCTAAGTGGGTGTTGAACAATGAGAACACATGGACATAGGGAGGAGAACATCACACACTGGGGCCTACTGGAGGGTGGGGGGGCTAGGGGAGGGATAGCATTAGCAGAAATACCTAATGTAGATGACAGGTTGATGGATGCAGCAAACCACCATGGCACGTCTATACCTATGTAACAAACCTGCACATTCTGCACATGTATCACAAAACTTAAAGTATAATAAATTTTTTTTTAATTTTAAAAAATGATACTCTAAGGATTCCCATAGCAGCCCACTTAAACAAAACCAAGGAGAGATAAAAAGGAGATTATGCACTATCCATTCCCTTTTAAACACACTGAGTTTTTTAAAAATCACCATTAGTGTTTAAATACCTTCACTGGTTTCCCATTATCTGCAGGATCAAGTCCAGACTTCCTGATATGGTAAACTAGTCTTTAACCATATATATTTTTTCCATCTTCATCCATCACCATGTCACTTAGCTCCTCATTTTTCCTTTCCTCAGGTTACACTAGGTTTCCACTGCTCCTAAAAAACACCATTTTATTTTCCACACCTTTGTACATTGTTTGTATTGTCTGAGATTCTGCTCGTTTTCTTCACCCTTTGAGGCTCAGGGCTGATTTTACCTCTTCTCTGAAGATTTATCTGACTCTCCTAGGCTTTCTTTCTTTCCTCTTTTTTCACCTACAACACTGTAAACATTTATCATCTGCATATCTATTTTTTTCTCCTACTAATTTCTTGAAAACAGGGACAAATGGCTTAGTTATTTTTGTATCTCTACCACCTAATCCAGTATCTTTTCCAAAGAGGGAACTTAACAAATATTTGACAAGCAAATATTGAATAAATGTTTAAATGAACAATGTAAACTATAGTCCTGACACTTTATTATTTAACTGTCAATAGGTAAATTGAGATATCAAAAGATATTAATTACCTGGGATCACATCATTACTTTCTATTTATATAGTTTTGTGAGGAATATAAGTATTTTCCTCTCCCTGCTTGAACTCTACCTAAAGTTATATTTTATCAAAATACATAAAAGAATGACAACCAACTTTAGTTAGTAAATCTCTATGTGTTGACAATATAAAAATTTTCCCAAATTCTGCATTCATTTTCCATAACACACACACACACAAAACCTATATTAAGAGACCATTGTCACTGATTTTGTTGAAATTATTCTCAGTAATGGAAATTGCTAGGGGAGGTCTTATTTACACACAATGTTCCCACAAGATAGACTAAAAGTGCCTACACAAATTGCCTCCAGATTCTAACATGAGTTTCCGCCCTTCTAACTCTGAAGTTTTATGATTCTTCTATTGGAGCTTCAAAAGCTGCCATTTCCACTTTCACAATTTTTCTGAAAAGTCATGGGGCTTTTTACTTCCTCAGAAAAAGGGATATTATGGGATGGTCTCCGTGAATTCAGTCTTACCTACTAGTTACATGAAGGTTACCGTGTAATTCTTACTAGTTACCCTTATCTGTTCTAAGCAGTTATGAAAAACATAAATGGTTTCAAACTTTTGTCAAGAACATGTGTTGAATGTCTGCCCTGATAACGAGCTCATTTGAGAACATAATATTTAGAGTAGTAAGTAGGGACAATATAAAGGAGTGGTTAAAGCTACTGGTATTGAGGCAATATGTAACACCAACACCCCAAGCTGTGACACTGCACAGATCTTGTAAACCAATACTGCAGTTAGATAGCAACTTCTTGCTATTTAATCAATTGCACTGATTCATGAGCCTGGAACATGAATATATAATTGAATATATAAGAAGCATAGGAATAATGACCACAGAGCTATGATGCTGCTGAAAATGATGATGATAAAATAGACAATCATCCCCATAAAGAACTAAAATTATGTCACTACCAAAAGTTGCAAGCATAGTACTTTCTCC
Organism: Homo sapiens; assembly: GCF_000001405.40. Lineage (NCBI taxonomy): Eukaryota > Metazoa > Chordata > Mammalia > Primates > Hominidae > Homo > Homo sapiens. The sequence goes on along the minus strand of NC_000006.12, from coordinate 126,280,055 downwards.
ACAGTAGATAATAAATTCTTGCTTTATTTGGACCTTCTTAGGATCATACTTAAACTGGGTGAAGAAATCCAAAATATTTGTGGAACATCCTTGAAATAGTTTATTGTAAACACTTTGAGAAAGAAAAGGATTTTCCTGTTTTAATATGAAACCCCGAAGCATCAAATACCATTTGGACCTGCAAAACATGCTCAAAAACTAAAGTTTATTGAATGTTAAATAGCAAATGCATGCCTAAATATTTCGCTTTTTCAGAGCTAGAGGAGGAGTACCTCTTATCTTACATTTCCTTATGCATTAGTCTTTTATATTTGGAATTAATTTTTTTTTGTTTTCACAATTTGCCAGCAACTATGAAAGGACTTGACTTATAATAATTTGGTTTTGGCTTAGACAGAAATTACAACCAAATATACAAGGCGGTTGGTTCACTAAATAGAATCTAACCTACTAGTAAGCATCTACTTTTTCAATATATTCCCCCACTTTGAATGTAAATAGTGACATTTCTGAAATCCTGAAATTTATTTATTGACATTTTGATCTGGATGATAAAAAAAAGAAAAGAAATATATGTATTTCTTGGGGAAAATATCCCTGAATATAAAACCATCCACTAGTTTTTACTATGGGAATGAGTGAATGCATAAGCATGGTATTGAATAAAGTAGGTGGATGTGAGAAAACATGCCCTAGTGAGACAGGGGTTTAGAATAATGCCAGTGAGGTTTTTTTTCCATAATCATACCCATGCCTACACCCACATTTCATCTAAACAAATTTTTTTTGGCTGCAGTATGCTGTTAGTGTTTGGGATGAAATACGAATTTGGGATAAATTATGAGAGCAAATACCAAATTTGCTAATGGCTCTACAATGTGAATAATTTCACCATATTTTTCACTGGATATAAGAAAGAGTAATTTGTAATATTATTTCTATAGGGGCTTTAACCTGTGCAAAATGAGGAGCAAAATAATAAATTTTACTTGGGGAAAAAGTCAGGGGCCCATAGAAATGTATCTCTAAAGCTATAGGTGGCACATTCCTAGTACAGATACAGGAATATATTTTATCATGTGGAAATACTTTTTTTTTTTTCATTTGAAAAAACATATAGCCTTACCTAATCTGAAGTAAACTAGAAAGGCAGCATCTTTGGACCATAACCTCATACATATGTTATCCTCCCAAGCTAAAGAAACACATAAAGAAGGTTAGAATAACATTCAGACCAGAATGAAAATTGTTAGAAAAAACTATCTTAGTGAGAATACACAAGGGAAAGAGAACACAAATTTTCAGGTGGCCAAAGCCAAATTGACCTCAACTTTAGGGCAGTGCAGCCAACAGCATAATTAAGCCAGGTTTATTTACCTTTCTGCAAAATTCAGGGCACCAAGAGGCCAGATTTCCTTGGCAGACATATCTGAAAGTGTGGATCATGGTATATCTCTTTTGAGACTGGTTTAACAAATGTTTTGGCCAAAAGTGTAGCAATATATTGCTTCCCATAACTTTGAATTTAAGGTTCCACTAATACATCAAATATGCACAAGCCATTTTCATGTCTGAGTGTCAATTAACATGGTGTTCCGTTCCCCTAACATCATGACACTCTCTTAGCCTTCCAAACCAAGTTCTGATGACATACACACTATGGAAAAGAGCTAAACACTGATGCCAATGGCTGGAAGAATTAAAACATGTTTATATTACAACATTGCTAAATGATTGATGAACATTAAATCTTTAGTGGGTGAGGCAAAATCTGAAAAGTGAAATTTTTAGAAAGCCATGTGGTTGGAGGCAGGCTTCCATCCAGAGAGGATAGAATGATGCCCATTATAAGAGCTGCATGGAAAGTGAGTGGTGAAGATTTTGTGGACACCATTGTAGGTCATGAGAAAGAGTTGGTTAAATGTGCAGAAAATTAGGGGATTGGTTTCAACATGGCAGCAACTACAATGTTGAAGAAGAAGAGCAAACTACTTTGGGTCTTTGAAAATATACTGAGGATTTTCAATCTGAGATGCAGAGCGTCTAACATATATGTTTATTATTAATAACTAATAAATATGTTGGAGACATTTTAGGAAATGCAAAATTAATTGCTCAGAGCATAAGGATAACTATCATTCATGATATACCTTAATAACATATTTCTTTGCAAGCTACCCCTCTTCTGGTATCCTTCCATGTGCATGTTATTATTTTACCCTGACTTTTCTCCACCAGCTGCTTCTTCCATAATAAAGGTCAATGTAGCTCCCTCAGCAAGTCAGGAGGCCCTTGTTGAACAGTTTTGAACCAACTTTACCTGCTGTGAAATATATTTCATGATTGCTCTCACCCACTCTGTACATGCATTGCAAAATAGAAATTCTCATTCAGAATCACCACTGTCCTTGTTTTTTTTTTTTTTTTTTTTTTTTTTGAAATGGAGTCTCACTCTGTCACCCAGGCTGGACTGCAATGGCGCGATCTCAGCTCACTGCAACCTCCGCCTCCTGCGTTCAAGCAGTTCTCTGCCTCAGCCTCCCGAGTAGCTGTGATTACAGATGCCCGCCACCATGCCTGGCTAATTTTTTTTTTATTTTTAGTGGAGACTGGGTTTCACCATGTCTGCCAGGCTAGTCTCAAATTCCTGACCTCAAGTGATCTGCCCACCTTGGCCTCCCAAAGTGCTGGGATTACAGGCGTGAGCCACCGCACCTGGCCACCACTGTCCTTTTTTATATCTGTGCAGTATTCCATGGTGTGCTGATGGGGTCATTTGTACCCCAAACCTCAGTGTCACGTAATATACCATGTAACAAACCTGCACATGTACCCCCTGAATCTAAAAGTTGAAATTACTTTTTCAAAAAACAAAATTGCCATATTACAGATGCTTTAGTTTTGCAAATTCTGATAAGCTTAAAATTAATATTACAAGCTATAATAACTGCTATAATGTCATGTAGAGTTTTTTGCAGCAAAATTAGAGTAATTGCTTTATAAATGGTTTTATTGCTATGTTAATAGAATCATGAATGACCTGAAGGAGTCACATTTTTCAGTTATACATGACTGCATTGGAGAGCGTGTGGTAAAGTATAAACCATTGAAAATCTGGGAATTCACAAATTTTGAAGGGTAGAGTTCGAAGGTACACTAGAAAGTATAACAATTAACCTTCACTGCTATCCTTTTCGAATGAAAATAGAATCTATGTAGGCTGTCCCTCACTTAAGTTTTGTAATAACATTTTTTATTTGTAAGTGGATGTCCAAGCTCCTCAAAATCTAAAGTCCTGAATTACATAATGACTCCACAAATGTTTTAAGTTAAAATCCTTAAGTAAAGGACAAAATTATTCTTACAACCTTATTTTTACAACCTTTTTGTTTTATTTTAGTTGATACTGTATTTTTGTAATTGTCGGATTTTAGAGATAAATAAAATTTCTCTCCATCTCTAAACTTACCCATAAACTTACCCATCTTGTATATTTCATCTCCACTTCTCCCTCAAGGAGGAGCAGGGCTGGTATAACTGATTAAATCCTCAAGCCTTACATTCATCATAGTCCTATTGGGTAGAGTTTTTTAAAAGGATAATATGTAGGGCTTCCTTAAATGTGGCCCTTTTGAATGTATCTTCTTCTCTCACGCAATTTTGTCCAACAGGCTTAGTGACAGGCACACTGGTCTGAAAATCAATGCAAGGTGTTACTCCTTGTCCTCTATGGGGTTTCCTTTCCACACAAAGGAGTGGCAAGACCAAGATGTTTAGGTTGAGCCTGGAGAATGGAGGTAACTACTAAGCAGTATTTTAGTTACAAAACTAAAACATGTGAAGAGAGACAGGGAGTAGGTCCTATGAAAAATGAGAAAGTAATTAGAATAAAGTGATTAGAGGATTTTTAGGAAGTTCTGCTGTGTGTGACAAAATGTAATTTCCTCTTTGCCACCTTCTCAGGAGATCTGCAATAAAGTCCTACAATATTTTTGAAGTTTTATGAAGTTATAGTTGTATTTCTTTTAGATACTGTGCTAAAACCAGCCTTAAGGCAATCTATTTTCAATCCAGTTTTGTGGGTGATCCTGAAAACTTGGCCAAATGCTGTCATCCAATTTAGCATTTTTTATATTGGCCATTTGGGTTAATGTGTTCTAAAAACTCAAGTCCAACATCATCATTATTTGTACAAAAACACTAAAACTTAGGGATGATGTAAGTTATTCCATTTTTTAAAAGGAAGGGCAGTGCTTTTCTTTAAATCACATTTTAAAAACTTTTTTTTAACGGTTATGATCACTTAGAAAATATTTTAACAGCACTACATCCTACCCTTAACTAAAAATTACATTTACTCATAGCATATTTATTCTGAATTCTGATTAAGCAACACTTAAATTAAGAAATCCAAAAATGTAACTTATTTGGAATCACAACCTGCCCCCTATATTACAACCATAATTGTTGTCAATCACAATGGCGCATATGAATATCAACAGACCATGACCTCATGAGTTGCTAAATACTTCAGGCTCCCAAAGGATTATACCTGGAAAATAAATTATGTTGATATAAAATTATAAACTTCCAGTCGGATAAATGCAAAATATTAATAAATAGTTGCCCTTTGTTGAGACCTTACCCTGTGTCAGTTGCAAATATAAGTGCTTTACCTACACTACATTCATTTAACCCTCTCAACAACTCAACTAAGGCAGATGCCATTTTAAGCCTATTTTACAGATGGGGAAATGGACACATATGTTAAACACCTTGCCTAAGGTCACAGTAAATGGCAGAGCCAGAAACTAACGTAGTTTAACTGACTGCAGAACCATTACTCTTAATTATTATCTTACATGACTATTGATTTCCAATAATTGTTTACAATAAAATCTCCTGTAAATGAATCCATGGCATTATGTAATAATGTTCATTTCAAAAAACTATATTTGATATGGCTACCACCAATATTAAAACACAATGTGTTTAGTCTTTTTTAAAAATCTGATATTGTGCTGGTTATTGATTTATTACCTCTTTATTTCAAATTCACCCTTTTTTCCAGCTCTATGAAAATGAATCTGGACCCTTTAAATATTTTTTCTTTGCCAGTTGGCACTAAAGTTCTTTTATTAGAGAGTGCTGAAAAGACATGGCAGGAGGAAAAGAGTTTTGTTTCCTGGTTTCCATGTTCTCACTGGGCAGGCACAGTGCCCAGCAACACCCAGTGGCCATCAGTTTCCCTTAGCATACCCTTCAGGTGTTTTTATAACAGAATACCTCTGGTGAGACACCTCCCTGTGAACAGCTTAGCAGATTCCACCAATGTGGTTTCACAGTGACTTCTTTGTTCTCAAGGAACTGATTTCTCTCCAACAAGACTTGAATCTCACTTAATCTTGGGAGAATGGGAGGTCTTCATCCAGGTCTATCTCATTCTTAGGAGCAGTAACTGTTTCTTATATCAACTATTCATGTATTTTTAGTATTCTCATTACTTCATACTAGCCAATTCCACACTACATCAATCCTCTGATAGAGTTAATATGTTACATTAAACTTTATTCATATTACTGTGTGGTTTCTCTCTCCTAACTGGTCTCTGACAGAGATACATATCCCAAATGAGAAATCTAGTGGAAAGTAATCTTGTAAGAAGCGAATAACTAGATGTAGTTTTTTTTTAAGTACTAGAATATACACACAAAAAATACATTGTTTACAAACAAATGTGAAATTATTTTATTTGTAATTATTAATTCAATTGAAATGTTAAGTACAATAACCATAAACCAATTCAAGTTGAAATCTGCTTTATTTTTATGTCATTAGTTTAATATTTTTATCTTATTTTTTATTTTTTACTATATTTAATGGGAAGTAAATAAGGAAAGCACCTGGCATGCTGATTCTTATTACATTTTATAAAGCATGTAAGTTAATAATTATTTAAATTTATTCAAATAAAACCTAAATATATCACATTTAATAGATGTATGCTGTAATCATTATCTGCCTTTGCAATTCAATATGTATTTAAATGCCTTTTTATTTTGGCTATAAATATAGCCTGAGCCCGTATTTCAGAAAGCCTTGGGAATGTTTCAAGCCAAAAAGAAAGAAAAAAATATTAGTTGAGTTTAATTCCTTTCAGCCAGTTATGCCTAGGGAAATACATATTGGAATGTAAGAAAGTCAATTCTCATGTGTTTGAAGTGAAAAATTAATCAGAAAGCAGCAAGTTTGTGGGATTCCATAATACACATATTATTGGTAACTTTAAAAATTCATAAAAGTTAAATTTAAGGCAAAGTTGGCAGAGAGTAACTGATTTTCAAACACGATGAGCTTCATAACAGGTTTAACCTATTTACTTATCATGACTGAATGGTGAACATGAAGGAGTGCTTACTGAGTTCATTGCCCATTGAAAACATATGACTCTTAAAACTTTTGTTTATGCATAGAAGTGTGACTTTAAGGATTGGAAAATCTATGTTAAGAAAAGCTAAACTTTTCTGAAACTTAAGACCACCCTGTGCTGTGATTTTCTCAGTTCTCATAAAATAAACTAGGTCTTACTTTGTCATTTACTTAGAAGGAAGACCACCAAAGAAAATCCAAGGTGTGACTACATGCAGTGATTCTATAAATAGGCCCTTTTTGGGAATCAGCTTTAATATTGGCTTCAAAATCGTGTTCAAAGCTGTCTCAACCACACACATCGTCTACATAGATTGCTTTGGTTCTCTGATTTCTGATTTAGACACTGACTCCTTGGAGATTGCAGAGAAGTCAAGGGATAAAAGTGAAAATGCCATAAGACTGATTCAACTGTAAGAGTGCTGGGAAGGTAGCAGGTTTGAGTATACTCTCTGTACTCAGATCCTTTCTGGATGGAATCCTGGCTCCCTTCACTTTGTACTTTCAGCATTAGGCAATTCACTTTTCTGAGCCTTGGTTTCCTCATCTGTAAAATAGAGATAAGTCTAACCTCATAGAGTTTCTGTGTGGAGTAAATGAAATACTTTGTATAAAGTGTCCTGCACACAGTAAATTAAATGCCAATTCCCTTCCCTAACATCCCCATTCCTGGGAACATATTTTTACCCAATACTAGTTCAAAGTTTCCAGCAAGAGTTAGGTAATGACAAAAAGGAGGTAGAAAGGAAGGTATGTAGTCATGAAAATCAGAACTAAAAAATGAAGAGACAGGGAGAGAAAAGTGGAGGGCAATGTGGAGGACAAAATGAATTTGTTGCTGTTTTCCAATTATTATTTTTTTCCTTTTTATGCGCTAAACTTTCCGCCATCACATTTCTTGACATCGAATAAATTGCAAAAGAAAGTAAGTAGAATATACTTCACTGCACAATCAAAGAAAGCACAGTTTACCCAAGAAACCACTGGTTCCAGGTATTGCTTTTATTTATAAAATATAGGAATCTTCTAGATTAGTAAGCAAAGGAATGCCCATATGCAAAATATACTAATTATTGGAATGCTTTTATTCTGTTTTAAATTACATGTCATAAAGCCAGTCACACTAACTTTCTAGCAACACAAACACACACACACATGCATGCACACACACTTTTAAGCATTGTCCTATCAATTGTGTTATTTCATTTATTTATTTCTCATAAAGGATAGAACACTGAAAAGGCTTCACTAGACCATTGTCAACAATTTTAAGACAATGCAAAAAACATCAAAATTTTTATTTTAAAACAAGTCAAGTTTTAAAATAAATACTCAGAGAATAACATACAATATGCAGAAAATACATATTCTGAAAAGGTCACTTACTTAGTTTTGGTTAATTTAAGGACCAGAATTTTGTCTATAGAGCATGCTCTGTCCAATGCAAGCGCCATATACAATATTTACATGTGCTTTTAAGTAGGAAATTTATGAGACTGACTAAAGGATTTATTCATAATGATGAAATCCATATTCTATAATAATAACTATGTACATTTTTTACTTCTATATAAACTATGTAATATTCAGCATTCTGATATTTGTCTTCAGTTTCTCCTCATTAAGGAACTGATGGTAACCCATATCAATGTGGGTATGAAAATCGTCCTTTTCCTATGAAGATCACATTTCATGTCCATGCAGTCTGCTATCTATTGACACTTCACCTTCTTGGTTCTGAATTCTTATTAGTGTCCACAGGTAAATCTTGTTAATCTGGTCCTGTTTTTCTTTGCCTCTCAGTGAACACTCTGATATCGACCTTCTACAGCTCTGCTCCCTCTTTTCTTTAAATAAAATTATGACCTTCCTATAGTCATAATTGACAACGGGTCCTCCCTTTACTTAACTCCTTGACACTTCATGACAGTGTCAGTCACTGAATGCCCAATGTTTTATGTAAGATGTTAAATCCAGTATTTTGGTAAGCAACCTACATATTTTCTTTTAGACAGATGTAAATATGGCATATTTTTACCAAAAATATATTTTGCCTCTGATTCCTCCTGACATATATTTTTAATGGCTGTTAGCATTCTATAAGAACTTTCAAACATAAGTCATATATATATATATATATAAACCATTTGGGAAATAAGAATAAGATAGAATGTGAAAATTATTAAAATATCACATAGGTCAGTTTTGCCCTCAGATTTCCAAATGAGATTCACTTTCTTTTTTTTTTTTTTTTTTTTTTTTTGAGATGGAGTCTTGCTCTGTTGTCCAGGCTACAGTGCAGTGGCACCATTTTGGCTCACTGCAACCTCCACCTCCCGGGTTCAAGCGATTTTCCTGCCTCAGCCCCCTGAGTAGCTGGGATTACGGGTACATGCCACCACATGCAGCTAATTTTTGTATTTTTAGTAGAGATCGGATTTCACCATGTTGGCCAGTCTGGTCTCGAACTCCTGGCCTAAAGTGATCTGCCTGCCTCAGCCTCCCAAAGTGCTTCAATTACAGGTGTAAGCCACCACACCCAGCTGTGATTCACTTTCTATGAAGCAAGATTTCACTCTCTCTCTTTAAAAATGTGTGTGATGAGAACATGTTTGGGGCCAATTAAGATATTATACTTCACAAATACTTGCTTTATATTTACACCAAATTAAATCAGCAAAATGTGACCAAAATAATCAGAAGATAGCAAACTCTGAAGAGTAAGAACACATGATGTGCTTTCCAAGTATTCACAAAATCATAGAAAGGGTAGAAAGGTTGAAAAACATGGGAAAATTACAACATAATGATACAGACAAGCAAGGTAACAAGGAACAATTCAGAATGTGATACATAACTTTTTGACTTATTATTTTGAAATAATTTTAAACCTACAGAAATGTTTAAAAAATATTCTTTATCCAATTTTTTAACATTTTGCAAAATGTATTTTATTATTCTTTCTCTGAAAGTTTTGCTTAATTCCTCAGCATGTATTGCCTGAGAACAAGAATATTTGCTTATATAACTACAATATAATTATCAAATGCAATAAGTGTAACATTGATACAATACTTTTATCTAATTTTTAAAAAATCTATAGTGCATATTGCCATTATGCCAATTGTTCGAACAACATCATTTATAATATACTTTTTCTCTTCATTCTAGGGTCCAGTCTAGGATTATGTATTACATTTAGATATTATGTTTCGTTAGAAACCCTGAAGTCATTTTGTTACAACCAATTTTAATCCAAACTCATAAGGTTCTTCACCATCCTTATTCTATATTTGCATCTCCCTTCTGTGAGTACCCTGGCTCTCAACACCATCAATACATTTACTCAATTTTGTCGAATTCTGTAATAAAAACAAATAGGGTTTCAGAATTTCTACACTCATGTAACTAGAAAAAAAGAAACCTACTAAAAGAATGTAAGATACAGGGCCAAGTACTGTGCTCAAATTATCTGGATTAGTTCTTTTTCCCCTTTTGGTGTGGTTATGCCATGTATCTGAGATACAATTATATATTTGAAATACTGCTTGTATTCCATTCCAGGTATTTTCCCTATCTTTGTTGATTTTACTTCCATTTTGAATATGTAGAATACTGACATGCTTCCAAATGTCAAAGGTGTACACAAAGGTATACTCAGAGAAGTGTTCTTCCCTCCCCATCCCTTCCACCACTCCCTCTCTTACAGGTAGCCAGTTTCAATGTTTTCTGACTTATCCTTATGTTTCTTTCTGAAAAAATCAGCAGATACATATTTGTTTCCTTATTCCTCCATCTTTCTTATATAATAGGTAGCTTACTCTGGAGATTAATACTTTGGTTTTTTCTCTTAAAACACATTATAGAAATAACTTCCTATCACTTCATAAAGCTCCTCCTCATTCTTATTTGACAACTGTATTGTATTCTGCTGTGTATATGTAAAGTTTTTCAACCAATTTCCTGTGTTTAGACATTTATAACTATTTGCAATTATAAACAATGCTATAATGAATAATCTTGTGCATATGTAATTTTGTATGGTTGGAAGTGTACCTTCAGAATAAATGATCAGAAGTGGGATTGCTGGGCTAAAGGTAAGTGCATACAGTATGTAGTTTTGTTTAATTCTACTTTATCTGATATAAAGATTTAACCCCCTGATTTTTATTTTTTCCACTTGACTGGTATCTCTTTGCCCATATATTTAGTTCTATCTTTTTAAAATTTCTGTGTGTATTTGGTATGTCTTTTTTATACAGTATAGAGGTGTATTTTGCTTTATCAGCCAATTTGAAAATATTTTTTTCTTTAATAGGTGATTTAAACCCAGTCATATTTTTTTTTTTTTTTTTTTTTTTTTGAGACGGAGTCTCGCTCTGTCGCCCAGGCTGGAGTGCAGTGGCGGGATCTCGGCTCACTGCAAGCTCCGCCTCCCGGGTTCACGCCATTCTCCTGCCTCAGCCTCCCAAGTAGCTGGGACTACAGGCGCCCGCCACTACGCCCGGCTAATTTTTTTGTATTTTTAGTAGAGACGGGGTTTCACCATTTTTTAGCCGGGATGGTCTCGATCTCCTGACCTCGTGATCCGCCCGCCTCGGCCTCCCAAAGTGCTGGGATTACAGGCGTGAGCCACCGCGCCCGGCCAACCCAGTCATATTTTTATATGACTAATATGTTTGGTATCAATTCTATCATATTATTTTATAATTAATTTATTATGTTGTACTTACCGTAGTCTTTTCTTCTCTATGTTCTCTGCTATATTTAAAATTTGTGTTTGGTTTAGAAAGGTTTGTATTTTTTTACCTATACATCCAATTTTGTGTTTTAATATCCAATTTTAACATCTAATTTTTATTAAAAATTAATAGCTGTAATTAATAAGTAACTTGGATTGAATAAAATGTTCCAGAACACTAACAAACATGTCTATCACACATTATGAACTCAGTTTTAACAAGGTTTGGGAGTGTAGGCCACTGCAGCAGAATGTCCCAGCTGAGAAAGAAAGAGGCTCAAGTCTCAGCCAGAAGATTTAAACAATGGCATTCATGGAACAAATTCTTCTTGATTTTACTGGGTTCAGTTTGTAAATAAATTATTTCCAAAGATGCGAGTTCAGAACGCCTCACACAACCTGTCTGTAAAGGTTGGGTTATTACTGGTATGCCCCCTCATCCCAGCATCTTCTTTGCTCCCACATTGTTATTTTGATACAGCTAAAAGTTCACCTCCCCAGCTCAACTCCAGTGCCTCCTAATGAGGGAAGTGTAACACTATCCAGGTGTCTCCCAGTGCAGTGATCAGAATGTCACTGCTCTGCACAGTCTGATTTATGTCAGCTTGGTTAGAAATCACCCACATGCTGGAAACCCCCTGTGGAGAGTGTGCACTGGCCCCAGGCGATAGCTCTCTTCTTCTCCTTCTTCTTGTTTCCTTCTCTCTGCCCAAAATCTGTGGTTGAAGGGACGTGCTGTGTATTTGTGAAATTATCCTCATAGGAACACAGGGAAGAACTTTAGCCTCCTTGAAATAATTTACACCTAATTTAGTTTAAGGAGCATAAATGATGGGACTGCTTTATAAAATCAACAAGAACCATCATTTGCACAATTTTTCATGTGGTGTTGGAGCACACGCAGCAAACACTTTCTATCTTCTGGGGCTAGCAAAATCTCTCAGAGTAAGAGATTATTTTTGACATTATGGTTCTAAATCTGAAGAAAAAAAAATAGTCATGGCAGATGGCCTGGGGCCAGTCAGGAAACCCTTAATCACCCAGAAAAACAAGGAACAGGAGAGGTCATTATTCTTAGTGGGCCAGACTGTAAAACAATGTTTTTAAGTCTTCAGATTTATAGCAAAGCACCTTGAAATATCTCAGGCAATTATGAAGAATAAGACTGCTCCAAAAGGCATTATGCAAAATTTTCTTGCTCATTTTTCTTAAGCAAACAAAACTGCCTAACCATCTTCTAACCTCACTAGAGAGCTTTCCTGTGGTAGCAATCACAGAATTCTTTCACTATGGTAAATTTAGCAGAGTAAATTAATTAATCCTAAGCATTATAATAATTTAATGGAAGAAGAAATTAATTAGGGACAATAAGCATAAACTTATTCATTTTCAAGCATATAATTTGGCCCTAATAGCTTCCACCTGTCAGTGTACAAAGACTATGAGAGATTGACTAGAAGGCCTTCAGGTGGGTGGCCCATATTGGACCAGAGTCATAAATCCTAAAATTACAGGCAGTAGTAAAGATTAAAATGAAAATGAAATTAATACTTACAGAGTCCTGCAATGTGCCAGGCTCATCATACCTACATCCTTTCATTATATCATTATATCACATGTACATTAAATCATTTAATACTTAACAATGACCATGAAATAAAAGCATTATTGCCAACAGTTTTATAAATTAAGAAACTGTGACCTTGACTAGGTAAGTGACTTACCCAAGCTCACACAGCTGGCTTGTGGCAAAGTTAAAATTCATTTCCAAAGACCATATTCCTTCTAGAGTTCCACACTAGCAATGGGCAGACCCATGTGGAAACAGGGCCTAAACCAAAATATGCAATAAAATTTTGTCATAATAAAAAGTAATAATAATAATGAGATTTTTCATGTCACTCTTATTGTCAGTACATTTTATCAAACATACTCATGATTTTCTTTTATCTTTACAGGTTAAGGAGGAAGAGGACAAATGAGGAAATTCTATAATGTTTAACTGTCTTCCTGTTCTTTTATGAATCTCACACTATAAAAAAACTGTGATTAAGCATGACAGGCAGTCATTGTAAAAGAACAATTCCCTTTTAGCAATAGGGTGAAGCCAGGAAAAAATGTTGAAATCCCTGGAAACAGTTGATTATTATGGCAATGAAAATAAAATTTGATTATGTTCCAGACGATATTGACTTGCAGTTTAGAATAATAACAAAACATGAGAGGAGGAGGTTTTGCACCTCATTTGTGTTATCGCTTAGAAGACAAAAAGAAAAAGATGGATAGCTTTTATAAAAAGGAACCCCAATGCAAAGGGCAGTCCCATATTAAGAGATTAACACCTAAAAGAAGAACTAAATAAGGGAGGTTTACATCAAAGAAAGAAAGACAGAATTTCTGGGATGTCCTAGTTCCTAATACCTTAAAATGCTTAAAAACACACCAAAAAAGCTGCCAGTAGCTTCATTTAGCTGTTGAACACTAAAGCCTTAAAATTAGCACACACGAGTGGTTACCGTAGAAAGCTCTGATGCTGAATAGGAACATGCTAATAAGTGATTTAGTCATATATTAAAAGTTCACTCTTCACATTCTGAGCGCCCCAAGTAATGTAGAAATATATTTTGGAATTTCTTAGGACTATTCTCATAAGGAAAGTCACATGTTCAAGGGAAGATATAACACGCACTAGACATCAGGCAAACTTGTTTTAGTCCAGCTGAGTCATCAGGGTTGGTCATTTAACTTACCTGGGCCACAGTTTCCCCATCTACAAAATAAAGGAATGTAACTGAATAATTTACAATCATTTTCAAGGGTAAGATTTTGATTGTGAGCTATGTTTCATCAATAAAGGATTTTGTTTAAAAAAGATGGCTCATAATCCTGAATTTCATAGACTCTGTTCCTGCCTTACCCAAGGGTTTATAGGAACATGGATGAGAGATCACCTTTAGAGACAACGCCAATAAATTATAGACATATGTTTCTTTTGACCTTAATATTTACAAAGTTATATGTTGCTTATATGGCTTGAAGAAGAATGATAAATATAATGTCTTCAGAACATAATTCTTTTTTCACAACTAGCATACAGAGATGAATATTATTGATGCTAAGATCAAGTTTCCTGACTCTCAGTAGGAATCATTGTACATGTGTTAATTAATCATTGGAAGCCTGGTCCATTTTTTGTCCAAATGAGCAAGTAGCTGCATTAGAAAGAAATAGAAGATTAAATATACCAGGTAACATTATACATTAAAAAGGTAAAAGCTATAAACTTAAAAAAACTATAAATTAATATGGTAAAAGTTTACATGAAGAATTTACATGTAATTCTTCAATGCTACTGTTGTTTCATTTTATAGTTTTATATAGTTATTTTGTTTTAGATGTTTCAGTTGCTAGTCATGAGTAAATGAAAACTGAATAATTAAATAGAATTACAATTATTTTAACAGTAAAAATTAGAAAAGTATCTTCAGTAAAACCAAAACTTTGGGATAATTTATAAAAATGTCATCAGTTATTAGAATTTCAGCAGATTTTAGGGATATATACAGCAAAAATAATACTATAGGAGGTAAATATTACAATTATACAATAGTAAATATGGTGAAGTGAATCTGTCTTCACAAGATTACATGTTGAGGTTAAAATTTATCATTCTCTTTAGAGTTTCATAGCAAAACCTGAAATTGTGTCTTATTCATGTGTAAACAAGGCCACACTCAATACTATACATTAACACGTATACAGGTGTGCATGTGTGTATATGAACATAAATGTGAATATACAGTAACAAATTGAATTACAACTCAGTAAGCCAATATGAAAGAAGTGTTTATATAAAATGAAATTTGGTGTAGTGCTCTGAAATCAACAGAACTAGATCTGAACCTTGACTTTCCCATTTACTAGCTGTATTCATCTATGTTCTCCAGAGGAACATGAGCCAATAGGATACATGCACATATATATAGAAAGAGATTTATTTAAAAGAATGGGATTATATGACTATATATGATTTTGGCTTGATGAATCCAAAATCAACAAGGAGGCAGGCAGGCTAGAGATACAGGAAAGAGTTGCAGTTTAAGACCAAAGGCAATTCTGCTGTAGAACCAAGAAGATCCAGTGTTGCAGAGAAAGTCCAAATGCAGTCTGCTGGGAGAATTCCCTCTTGCTTAGGGATGGTTAAGTTTTTGCTCTCTTCAGGACTTCCAACTGATTGGTGGAGACCCACTCACAATACAGAGAGCAATCTCTTTTACTCAATATCTATTGATTTAAAAGTGAATTTCACAGAAATATTCAGAATAATGCTTGACCAAATATCTGTGCTCCATGGCCCAGCTAAATTGACACATAAAATTAGCCATCACACTAACTGTGCAAGCTTAAGCAAATCAATAACCTCTGAACCTCCGTCCTTGTGAAATTTGTAGAATAATATTTACCTCTTAGAGTTGCTGTGAGATTATACACACATAGTTAGTACACAGCAGGCAATTAACAAATATCAGTTTTCTATATATACATATTTTTATGACCATGATTCCTCAAGTATAATTGGCATATTTAAAGTGAAATAAAACTGAAAAAAAGAAAGAGAAAATAAATAAAATATATTTTGAATATATGTTCTCCTCACAGAATTGATAAAGAAAATACAATAGAAAGTAGTTTACTCCTGTTTACTCTCCATGCTTACAATGGACTATATCTTAATGGTGTTCCTTTAACTTGACATAAGGCTCCATTTGGTTTGGTGCCTAAAACCACACCTAGGCACGTGTTAATGATCAGTAATATGCACTCTGCCGTTCTGGAGCAATTATCTGCTGTCAAATTCTTACTTGAGACATGTAAAACAAGCAGAAATTCACTGTTTTAAAGAATGTTTCACTATATTGCCCAACCGAAAACAAACTAATATTAATGACCTCTCATTTGGAAGATTAAAATATAATTTTTAAAGGTAGATGAATGCAGCCAGCTAAAATAGAAACTGCTCTTAATCGCTAACCTTTCCTCCAAATTTAATCAAAGTCTCTTTCTGAGGTTTGAGAAACTTCAGAGTTTCCCTCAATTTTTCTTCATTTGTGCCTCTCTCTGCAGTTTTGGGTTCCAGCTGGAAGCAAACATACCCAAATACCCTAGATGAAGTTGTTCTCATAAGATGTCCAGCCCAGTTTTCAAGACTTGAGAGGTTCAGAGGGTTCAGATAAAGTTTGGGATCAGCAGCCAAGCACTTGAACGCTTATTTGAATTGAACCTTCTAAGTTTTGTCCAATATTAGCCCTTTAACTGGAGATAAATGTTTATTACCTCTCATTAGCTCTTTGTGTCTTAGATACATCTGGATCCACATAGCATTAAGATATTACACATTTGTCATTTTGCATGTTTTTGTGGAGATTTTTGTGTTGTAACATTTTAATAAATTAAATTACAGTCACAAGAGGAAATAGATAAAGAAGAGTTTAGTGATATATTTATATGTTTGCCAATTACCAATATTTAAAGACATACAAGTTTTAGACTTAGCGATGGAGATCACCTAATTCTATGGCAGAGGCATATGACATGGAACTATAATTCACTATTTTCCCCCCAAAATAATTAGCATGTTTAATAAGTAAATGTTTCATAATCTATATGGAAACCCAAGAGCAGATAATTCCTTTTAATTTAAAATTGGAAAAAGTGAAAAAAAGTTCTGGTTTGAGATGGCAACTGAGCTGAACATAATTCTTTTCTCCCCCTAGAGACCCCAATAAAATGATACTAAAGGATAAACCTTTAACACTGAAGAGAATAGGAAGAGGGTAAATATCAGTTAGGACATTGTAACAACTCTATGTAAATCAAAAATGAAATGGGAGGAGTGATGTTAGAGTTACCTGACACCTCCCACCAAGAAAAACAGACCAAAACAACAAAATAAATAAAAATGTTTTGACTAGTGAGACTTAGGAAGTATGCTGAAAAGCACCAGGGAAATAGCAAAATCCCTGTGGAGCACAGAAGCCCAGGACAGAACCATCAGGAAGGAAGTGAGATATTCTGCCTCTGCCACACTGTCTCCTTCACCAGGACTGGTTTGCAGTCAGGGTAGCTTCTTACAGGGAAAATGTAAGTTGGATATCCCCAGCAGTCCCTATTGCTGCCACAAATGCCAGCAATCCTTGCTACAGGAGAATCCCCCAGTCCTCATAGGCCCTAAATCCAATTTGAAGAGTATCCAAAATTTCACACAAGTACACTGCTGCAGAGTAGGAGCCTACACTGAGCCCCTAGGCTGTTAAGGATGGCTAACTGCTAGAGTGGCTAGAGTGTGTCCTGTCCTGGGAGGTTGTAGCAATGGACTCTCTCCATCCCTGAGGCTCCATGATCATTCTGTCACATTCACATGGGTGCCTGTAGTACCACAACCGTGGCTACCTGGATTCCAGACCATATGAACAACCAAGACTCTGGTGCTCAAGTCCATACAGCACATCACCCCTAAGGGAACAGGTATACCTGTGCAGTGAGAATACTACCATGCAGCTAGCTCAATGCCCTGCCCACATGAACTCATGTTGTACACCTGGCTGGACGGCAAGTTCATGTGCACCCACACCTAACCTGACTGCCAGTTCTGCAGCGGCTCTGCTTCCCTGACAGGCTGTTGCAAGCCCTCCGCTCCACTACACTCACACTGAATCCATTCTTGGCCTGACAGCTGGTATGGTGGAAGAGCCATCCTTGCACACATACTGCTGCAAAACTTCAGGTTCCACTACACCAGCATGAACCTTCACTTAACCCAGTAGCTGGTCCCGCAGCAATGCTGCCTCTACAGGCAGATAGCCACAGGACTTCCCACCTCGCTGTACTCACACAAACCCATGCCTGGCACAATAGCTTGTCTGAGAGTGGCCCACCCCTAGACAGACTACCGTAGGACCTCCCAGCCTTGCCGTGTCTACACATGGCTCAGCTCAGTCTCACAGCTATCCCAGTAATGAACTCCACCTCCCTGGAAAGCCTGACAGAGCCTCTTGGCCCATTGTGCCTACACATACCCAACCCAACAACCAGCTCAGCACTCCCACCTACAGCAAAACTACACCAACACCATCATAAACTCATGCAGCCTAGACCAGTAAGGCAATCACAGAAATTACTGACAGTGATTACAGCTGAAGAAACTTCATGGAGTCCATGTTACTGACTCACCCAAAACCAAAGTCAATGCACCGTACCTCACTAAAACTCTAGAAAGTGTCTACAGGAAGAAGTCTATCCCTAGGACAATTAATTCACAAATTGGAAAAAGAAACTATTCTACTAGATACACGGATCAATGTAGGGACATAAGAAATATGAAGAACCAAGGAAGCATGCATGACAGCCCCCCAAAACAAATAAACACAGTAAATCCTTAGTAGCAGACTCCAAAAAAAAGGATATTAACAAAATGCCTGAAAAATTTCAAATTAATGATCTTAATAAAACTCAGTGAGATACAAGAGAATACAAATATTTCAATGCAATCAGAAAAGCAATTCATTATCTGAATGAGAATTTTAACAAAGAGATAGATATTACATGAAAAAAGAACCAAACAGAAACATCAGAGCTGAAAAAAATCAGTTAATGAAATAAAAACTACAATTGAGAGCTTTAGCAACAGACTAAACAGAATAATGAATTTCTGAACTTAAACAGATCATTTGAAATAACTCAGAAGGGACAACATAAAATAAGAATAGAAGAGAATTTAAAAAGCCTATGGGGCTTATGGGATACCCTTAATCACACAAACTTTCTCATTATAGTAGTTTTAGAGGGAGAAGAAATAAAGAAAGTCACAGAAAACCTATTTAATGAAATAATAGCTGAAAACTTCCCACATATTGGAAGATATACAAACATCCAGATTCTAGAAACTCAAAGCTCCTCAATTAGATTCAACTTCCAAAAAATCCTCTCTGAGGCATATTATAATCAAACTGTCGAAAGTCAAAGACAAAGAGATAATTCTAAAAGCTGCAAGGGAAAAGCATCAAGTGATATAGAAGGGGATCTCCGTGAGACTATTAGCAGATTTCTTAGCAGAAAACTTGCAGGCCAAGAGAGTGAATGATGTAGTAAAAGAGAGTTTAACAAATAAATTCTTTCAGTCAAGAATACTATATCCAACACAACTATTCAGAAATAAAAGAGAAATAAAGACCTTTACAGAAAAACAAAGCCTGAGAGAATTCATCACCATTAGACTAACCCTACAAGAAATGCTTAAGGGAGTGCTACAACTGAAAATGGAAGGACAATAATTACTACCATGAAAACACGTGAAGGTATAAAGCTCACCAGTAGCAACCAGTTCATAAATCAAACTCAGAATATCACAGTGATATAATGGTGCTATATAAATCTCTCAATTCTCTGATATAAAGGTTTGAAGTAAAAGTGGTCAACGACAACAACAGTTACAATTAGTGGCTAGGGAACATATAATAGAGAGAAAAATTAGGCAATTAAAATTTAAATTGAAAGGAGGAAAATGTCCAGAGAATTTTTATGTGACCAAGGTTAAGTTGCTATCAGCTTAAAATAGTCTATTTTGGCAAGACTCTTTATGTTAGCCCAGTGATAACCACAAAGAAAGCAATTATAGCAAATAAACAAGAAAGAGGAAGGAGAAAGCTTCACACCAAACCACAAAGGTATACAACAAAATAAAAAGTGGGAGTAAAGAATCTATTAAACAACAATAAAACAATTAACAAAATGGCAGGAGTAAGTTCTTATCTAACAATAATCTTTAATGTAAATGGTTTAAATTCTTCAATTAAAAAATATAGAGTAGCTGCATGAATAAAAAAAACTAGACCCAACTATATTCTGCCTGCAAGAGACTCACCTTAGCAGTAAAGACAAACAGACTAAAAATAAAGGGGTGGAAGAAGATCCCATACAAACACAAATTAAAAGCAAGAAGGAATAGTCATATTTATATATGATAAAATAGAATTTCAGTAACATATAGTAAAAAGAGGCAAAGGTTATTCTTTAATGATAAGGAGATCAGTTCAACAAGATGATATAACAATTATAAATATATATGCACCCAAACTGGAGCACCCATATATATAAAGCAAATATTATTAGACCTAAAAGGAGAGAGAAACTGAGATGCAATTATAGTAGGGGACTTCAACAGCCCACTTTCAACAATACCCTTACTAAGAATATACCCAAAGGAATAGAAATCATTCTATCATAAAGACACATGCACACATACGTTCATTGCAGCACTATTCACAATAGCAAAGATATGCCATCAACATAATACCCATCAATGGTAGACTGGATAAAGAAAATGTGGTGCAGGCCAGGTGCGGTGGCTCACGCCTATAATCCCAGCATTTTGGGAGGCTGAGGCAGGCAGATCACCTAAGGTCAGGAGTTCAAGACCAGCCTGGCCAACATGGCAAAATCCCGTCTCTACTAAAAATGCAAAAATTATCCAAGCGTGGTGGCACATGCCTGTAATCCCAGCTACTGAGGAGGCTGAGGCAGGAGAATTGCTTGAACCCAGGAGACAGAGGTTGCAGTGAGTCAAGATTGCATCACTGCACTCCAGCCTGGGTGATAAAGTAAGACTCCATCTCAATTTTTTAAAAATTTGGTACATTTACAACATGGAATACTATGCAGCCATAAAAAAAATGAGATCATGTCCTTTACAGGAACTAGATGGAGCTGGAGGCCATTATCCTTAGTAAAGTAACACAGAAACAGAAAACCAAATACTGCATGTTCTCACTTATAAG
Source organism: Homo sapiens (assembly GCF_000001405.40). Taxonomy (NCBI): domain Eukaryota; kingdom Metazoa; phylum Chordata; class Mammalia; order Primates; family Hominidae; genus Homo; species Homo sapiens. Next base: position 126,259,052 of record NC_000006.12, on the reverse strand, counting down.
TGGGAGCTAAATGATGAGAACACATGGACACATCAAGGGGAACAACACACATCACGTCATATGGAAGGGTGGAGGGTGGGAGGAGGCAGAGGATCCGGAAAAATAGCTATTGAGTACTAGGCTTAATACCTAGGTGAAAAATAATCTGTACAACAAATCCCCATGACACGTTTATCTATGTAACAAACCTGCACGTGTACTCCTGAACTTAAAATTTTAATTTTTAAAAAGATCAACAAAAAGAAATGTTTGTTTAAAAAAACAAAATTGAGAAACTTTAACTAGACTGAGAAAAAAATACCCCAAAAAAATAAAAGATTAAAAATTAGACATTACAATTGATACCACAGAAATACAAAGACACATAAGGAATTATTGTGAACAACTATACTCCAACAAATTTGATAACATAGAAGAAATGGATAAGTTCCTGGATTACAACATACTCAGATTAAATTATCAAAAAAATAGAAAATCTGAACAGACCAAAGAGTGAGAAAATTGATTCTGTAATAAAAAGTCAGGGGCGCAGCAAGGGCAGACCTGGGGGCTCCGCATGCTGCAGCTGTCCCCCAGCACCCCCACTGTAATCTCCGTGGAGCTGCGCAGAGCGGAGCCAGCAGGCTAACCCGGGCCAGCCACCAGGAGCCAGGCAGCTGGCGTCCAGACACAGTGAGGGGACTGATGCACGTACATGGCCCTGGCAGCCGCCATGGCAGACGGCGGCCCTGGCCCCAGGGCGGGGCAGTGGTGGCTCAGGACCACGTGTTTACTTTCAGAGCCCACCCCCCAGGGCCGCAGGAGGAGGCCCGGGCGGCACAGACGATAAGGGCCCAGTGAGGCGCCAAGGGAAGGTCACCATCAAGTATTACCACAAGGAGCTACAAAGTGCCTCAACCTGGAGGAGTGGATCATGGAGCAGCTGACACAACTCCCCGACTGCCAGGAAAAGGAGATCCCAGAACTGGAGATTGACGTGGATGAACTCCTGGACATGGAGAGTGAGGATGCCCAGGCTGCCAGGGTCGAGGAGCTGCTGGTTGACTGTTACAAACCCACCGAGGCCTTCATCCCTGACCTGCTGGACAAGATCCGGGGCATGCAGAAGCTGAGCACACCCCAGAAGAAGTGAGGGTCCTTGACCCAGGTGAATGGTGGCTCAGGACAATCACTGTCCCCCCGACCTCATAGCAAGAGCAATACCAGCGGACCCTGTGGCCAGGCTCAGTGCCATGAGCAGGTCTCTTCCCCTGCCCCCTTCGTTTTCCATTTTTGGGGTTCTTCATTGTTATTAAACCGATGAGACTTTTTGTGTTTTTATGTTGACTCTGTGGCGCAGGACCTTTAATAAAGCTAGGATATGCCTTTGGTGCAGCTAAAAAATAAAAATAAAAATAATAAAAAGTCTCGAATCAAAGAAAAACCAAGGATCTGATAACTTCACTGCTTAATTAGTTCTAAAGAAGAACTACTACCAGTGCTTCTCAAACTATTCCAGAAAATTGAAGAGGAAGGAAAACTTCCAAACTCATTTTATCAGGCCAGATTTATGTTGATTTCAAAACTGGATAAGGACTCAACAACAACAAAAAGAAAACTATAGGCCAATATTCCTGATGAACATAGATGTAAAAATTCTCAACAAGATACTAGTAAACTGAATCCAGGAGCACATTTAAAAGATCATTTACAATGACAAAGTCAGATTCATCCCATGGATGCAAGGATGGTTTAATATATGCAAATCAGTAAATATGGCACACCACATTAACAGAAAGAAAGATAAAATGAAAAGGACCTTTTAGACCCCAAAATAGCTACAAGCAGAAAACAGGCTGAGAAAACTACTCGCTTAAAACACAGGCTAGGCCGGGCACAGTGGCTCACACCTGTAATCCCAGCACATTGGGATGCTGACGTGGGTGGATCATTTGAGGTCAGGAGTTCAAGATCAGCCTGGCCAACATGGTGAAATCCCATCTCTACTAAAAAAACAAAAATTAGCCGGGTGTGGTGGCACACACCTGTAGTCCCAGCTACTTGGGAGACTGGGGAAGACGAATCACTAGAAACTGGGAGGTGGAGGTTGCAGTGAACCGAGATTGCACCATTACACTCCAGCCTGGGTGACAGAGCAAGACTCCATCTCGAAAAACAAACAACAACAACAAACAAACAAACAAACAAAAAACAAAAAAACACAGGCTACCTTTTATCGGCAATAGGAAGGAAGGATGACTCAGAGAATAAAAGAACCTAGGGAGTAAAGCCAAGAGCACAGTGGGACTCATTCCCAGAGCTCATAGGAATGAGAGCTTATCAAGGAAGTGCTAGCATATATCCTGCTGGATTTCAGAATTATTATGGACCAATGTTTCCTATGTGCCTCCCACTTTCCCCTTTTTTGAATGGAAAAGTTCCTAGTACTTTTCTTATTCCTCTTCCATTATTGTATTTTGAGTGGATTTGAGATGCAAATAATTTCTTTACTTCACAGGTCTTCAGAGGGATAGGAATTGTGTTTGAAGAGCTGTACTTGAAGAAACACACATAAGGAGCTTCATGTGCACTTGGACCTGATTTAGATGACGAGAACCTAGTCCTCAAGCTGATATTGTAATAAGAAGAAACTGAGGATTCTTGGGAGAGGATGAAATGTATTTTCTATTTGGAAGAGATGTGACCATTGAAGGTGAAAATGCAGACTCCATTGGTATTCACTTCATTGTGTATTCCCTTCCCATATTGACTCAATCTTCAGAATACTGTAAAAGTAACTATGTATGACTTCCAAAGTTAAGTCATAAAAGGTATTGCAGCTTTGACTCTGACCTATTGGATTGCTCCAAGAAAACACAGTCATCATATCTTAAAGACACTCAAGTAGCCCAATGGAAACACTCACATGGAGAGAAACTGAGACCTCCTACCAACAGCCAGCACCAGCCTGTAGGTCATGTGAGAAAGCAACCTTTGATATGGATCCTCCAGTCTAGTTAAAACTTTAGATAACTTCGGTCTCAGCTGACAGATGACCACAACCTCATGAGACATCACAGAGCCAGAACTGCCCAGCCAAGCTACTCCCAAATTCGACTCACAGGAACCATAAAAGATAATAAATGTTCAGTTCTTTTAGCCTCTAAGTTTTGGGCTGACTTGTCACACAGCATTAGATAACTAATACAGAGGCCCCAAGATTCCTTTATATAGAGTAATATTATATTCTACTTTCTATCCCAACATTATAAGGCATGGGTTTATGTAGTAGTATATTATTTTGAAATATTACCTAATTATTTTCCTTCCTCATTTTTTTAACATCCCTTCCCCAAAAATTCTTCCACCAGTAAAATTAGTCCAGGAGCCCAAGGGTCATTGCATCAGGAAAGGGAAAGTCAGACATTGTCCAGAATTTAAAATCATTGCTGACATTTCATGGCTGGGTTTCAAGATAGATTTAACTTAAGTCCATAAAAGGCAATGATATGAAAGCAAGAGCATTTGATATGTAAGAGGTAAAATTTTTATTAGAGAAATTGGTTATTTTTTTCCTGGAAGTCTCAAAATTGGAATTTACTTATCAAATACCAAGCCAGATGACTACAGGTTAGAGCTTTACTATAAATAACATGAGGATGTGGCAATTTAACAATATTTCCTGCCAGATGGTCTCTGAGATGAAGAGGAAAAAGAGAGACAGAGACAGAGAATAAGATACAAATTAAGTCATGTTATCAGTTACCATTCGAAGTGCTAAAGAGAGCCTGTGATATTTGCTTTCAATTCTAGCTATAGCGATTCTCAGAAAAAAGGTATAGATATTATTGATGAAAGAAAATTATCTATCCTTATTACTTTTATTTTCTCTTAACTAAAGTCAGTATATCAGACAAAGAATTTAGAACAAAAATATAGACATATTAGTGGCTATTTGGGAAGTAATCAGAACACCTACAGAAAAGCATTAAGGTTATATACAAAGAAGAAAAAAGCATCCTTTAGTTTCTATCACTAGGTATAGCTCTCAAGAAATATTTTTTATTTTTAAAAAATAATTGATTTATGATCATATGAACATGGCCCCAAACTGAGGCCATCCTGCCATCTGTCTACCTCACAGTTGCTAGGGAACTAGAAGGCAAATGCAAAGACATTTAGAAAGGTGTTTTTTTTTATGTTTTTTGAATTTCAAATCCATAGAAATAAAGAGATTTTACAAGTTCCTAGATCCACAGACTATGTCAGATTTATTGGTTTAGGTAGTTAAAAACAAGATGAGCTAATGGCATTTAACAGTGTCATAATTGCAAGTTCAAACAGTGGTTCTTAATAATTTGATAAAAGCCAGCATGACACCAAAGAAAAGGAGAAATAAAACATAGCGATGAGGGAGAAAAAAAACTCTCACCTTGTAAGTTTCACACATTATGAGAAAAGAAAGAAGTGATGTCCTTAAATTGTTAACTATGTTGGGGCCAACCGATTTTACACATTCTATGATCTGCAGAATCCACAATATAGCAAATAAGCCCCTCATGAGACTCACGATGTAGGAGCCACATTTTATTCTATTTGTAATCTCCAGCACATGGCACAGTGCTTGGTACACAGTAAGTGTTCAATAAATAGTTGCTAAATTCTTGTTAATCTTTATAAACTCTGCAGTGGAAGGAGGTTGAAAACTGATAACAAGTATAACTTTCTTGTATAACTGCTCACTAGCTCTCCTTAGAAATGTACAATGTTGACTCAGTATTTTCCTATACCACTGCTAGCACTTAACCATACCTATCTGAGAGTTCCTGAAGGCTATTTCCTTAACCAAGCATTCCTTTAACACAATAGGTGAAGGCAACAGCACCTGGAAGAACTCTGCAGTAGCCATTCTCTGTGTACTAAAGATGATGCTGAAGGATGCTACAATGGAGCTGGCTTCCCTGATATCAGTGGTAATGACAAGATTCCTATGTAAAAGAGGCCAAGGATGGTGCTTTGTCAGAGACGAAGTGTGAAAAATAACCATAATCAACTCTAGTGTTAGAAAGTAATAAGACTGTTTGACCTGAGAAATATGTGGTGGTGGCAAGTTAATCTCTGGGTCTGTAGAAGTGAAATAGTTGACCAGTCTATGAAGATGCTGCTTGACCAGTCTATGAAGATACATAAATGGAAAAATTCTAGGTCTGCTAGGAAGAGACCTTACTTGAAGCATCCAAGTGGAGACTCAAGGGTTTTCCTTCTTCCCTGAGAGAGTTCACAGGCTTGTAGTCTCCTGACTAGGGGATAGCCTAGTCAATTTGAAGAAAAATCCTACAGTGTGACCACTGGTTTATAGTCATGTGCCACATAATGACATTTCAGTCAACAACAGACTGCATATATGACGATGGTCCTGTAAGGGTATAATGGAGCTGAAAAATTCCTGTCGCCTAGTGACTAGTGACATCACCTAGTGACACAGTCACACAACACATTACTCACATGTTTCTGGTGATGCCCATGTAAACAAACTATTGTACTACTAGCCTTTAAAAAGTCCAGAAGATACAATTAAGTATAATACATAATCCTTGATAATCATAATAAATGACTATGTTACTGGTTTATGTATTCACTATACTATCCTTTTTGTCATTATTTTAGATTGTACTCCTGCTTATTTAAAAGAAATAAGAAAGATTAACTGCAAAACAGCCTCAGGAAAATCCTTCAGAAGGTGTTCCAAAAGAAGGCATTGTTATCACAGAAGATGACAGTTCCATGAGTGTTATTGCCCCTGAAGACCTTCCTGTGGGACAAGATGAGCAAAAGTGAGTGATATTTATGATCCTGACCCTGTGTAGACCCAGCCTCCCAAAGTGCTGGGATTACAGGCATGAGCCACTGCTCCTGGCCCCAAATAATGTACATATGTATACACATTTTAGATTATAACTTGTTTTTTTTTTTCATTAAATCCAAAGACATTTTAACTTCATTATTTTCCTAAAGATATTTGACGGTATGTGTAAGCTTACTCCATACATTCTTGTTCAGATTCTGTGCTGGAGTTATTGGCAGCATTGATTAACACACACATAAACTGCAAAAGCACTCCTTGGGTTCTTGGAACACAGGAGGAATTCAATCAAAGTTAGTTTCTTTCCTGTCTCCTCCTCTACTTCCTGAAGAAACATTTAAAAATGCATAAAGAAACAGAGAAGTTGGTATTACAATACTTTCGTTATTCCGGAAAAGTTCAATAGGTAAAACCATACTAAAATCCTAAAGAGAGTCATCTTGACATTTTCTTGAGTCATTTATGCATCACTAAAACAGTCCCTTCCCTAAAATTACTTTTTCTACCTGCTTGCAGATGCCTGAAATTCTACTATTCTCTATTTGCTTTTTTCACTTCCTGTCTTCTGTAAAGAGGCAAACCATCTTAGGCAACTGATTAAGCATCATGATTGTTTTAACCACAGGCAGAAATTTGCGGATACTCTTCTCATTGAGAAGGGGTCTCTGGCCCTTCTTAAGTTATGATAAACACTTTGACTGCTTTAACCAATAAAGTATGTTGGATATGATGCTATGTGAGTCCCAAGACTAGATAATAAGAGACCCTGCAACATCCACTTTGGACTCAGAGAACAGTCACTCTTAGAGCACCTTGGAGTTGCTGTGTAAGAAATGCTGCCACCCTGAGGCCACCATACTGGAGAAGCCGTATGTAGGCACTCTTGTTGGCCATCCCAGGTGAACCTGACCCTCAGTCATCCCAAGTCACATACCAGACATGTGAGGGGAGGCAAGCATCATCTTCAGGGGGCACCGCCAAGTCCCAGCTGTCCCAGCTCTGCCACTGGAGTCACCCAGCTATTTTGAGTCATCTCAGCTGAAGCCCCAAACATATGGAGAAGAGAAGAGCTGTCCTTTCGTACCTTACTGAATTCTTGAGCCTCAGAATCTGTGAGCATATTAAAATGGTTCTTTTTCTACTCAGTGTTGTGGTAGTTTGCTACCCAACAATCAATAGACAGAAGAAGCATTATTAGCATTTACATCTCATGCATGCATTCAATGTTTATCGAAAGCCTAATGTGGCCAGACATTGTACTGGCTTCATTTAGATTGGATGAATTTCTCTGAATCTTTCTCAAGATTATGTTTGCTGGAAGCTGGGTTGCAGAGGCACTGGGCAAGATACTAAGTACATTAGGATACCTGATGTAAATAAGTTGAGGAATGGCACAGAGGATAAAGAAAAAGTTAGAACAGAGGATAGAGGGCAACATAAAATGAGTTCGGATTATTTCCCTGGACCCTATCTGGCTGCACAAGTGGGTATCTGACTGCATGATCTCATTTATATGTAAATCTGAAAGATGAACTCATAGAAGCAGAGGAGAATGGAGGTTACCACGGGCTGGGGACAGAGAGGTGGATTAGACAGATGTTGGTCAAAGGATATAAAATCTCAGTTTGACAGGAGGAATGAGTTGAGGAGATATGTTGTACAACATGGTGATTACAGTTAATAAAACAATGTATTGTATACTTCAAAATTATTAAAAGTGTGAATTTTAAACACTTTTCACACAAAAATGATAAGTATATGACATAAGGAGTATATTAATTAGCTTTTAGTCATACTACAATGTATGCATATATCAAAATTTTATGTTTCGCACCCTAATTACATATAATTTTATGTCAATTTTTAAAAATTGAAAAATTGGGGCCGGGTGCGGTGGCTCACACCTGTAATCCCAGCACTTTGGGAGGCCGAGGCAGGTGGATCACGAGGTCAGGAGTTCGAGACCAGCCTGGCCAACATGGTGAAACCCCATCTCTACTAAAAATACAAAAATGACCCAGGCACAGTGGCGGGCACCTGTAATCCCAGCTACTCAGGAGGCTGAGGCAGGAGAATTGCTTGAACCCGGGAGGCGGAGGTTGCAGTGAGCCTAGATTGTGCCACTGCACTCCAGCCTGGGTGAAAGAGCAAGACTCCGTCTTGGAAAAAAAAAAAAATTGAAAATTAAAAAAAAAAAACAAATTGGGATCTGGCCCAAAAAAATGAATTGAAATGACTGAGGTGCCTTGAATTCACCAAAGGAAATGACCTAGTTATTAAGGACAATCAACTTTCATTCAATAATTTCTGGATGGCAAAGATAGATGGTTTATCAATTTGGCATATTTGTCATAACGGCTAACGACCAAAGCTTAATATGACATAACTTTATCAAATGAAAAAAAGCCCACTGATACTTCCCTGCATTTTTAGAAATATGTATGGGTAGAAGGATATAGTCAAGTATGCCTCAAACATTTACCATATAGAAACATAATTATGTCTTAATAGATTCAGAAGCCTCTGTAGTGAGTGTCTACAAAAGGCATTTCTGAAAGGGTGGGCTGAGGGGAGGGAGATAGGAAGAGCCTTAAAATTGTAAAATAAGCCTCCAAGAAAATGTTTTTGATGCTTGCCTCATCCAAAATGAAAAGGAGAACAAAGATACAGATATTATCTTTTCTTGGAAAACCTTTAGATGACCATTCAATGCTCTTTGTATATCATGATCCTTTCATTTATAAGATATGACACACCCTGTTTTACAATCTAAGTGATCTTTAGGTAACCATAATCTTTAAATATCAGCTATTTAGCTTCCACATGCTCTCTGTTTCCTTGTTCATCAAAACTTCTTTAAATTAGCTTATATTCATACCTGCTGCCCCTACTCCTTTTCACTTCTCATTGAGGAGAGAGTTCCCCTGCAATTCTACTTCTGTCTCTACACTCTACGAAAATTACACTCATTAGGTCTCCTCCAAATTACCAAATCCAATGAAATCTTGGTTCTTTATCTGATTTAGCCTCACTGCAGCATTGAAGTCTGTTGCCTGTTCCCCTTCTTATTCTATAATAGCATATACATATCATTGTATATAATTTTATTCAAAAACAAAATAACTCATTGCAAAATAAAAGTAATTGAAAATTGTTTAACGAAGAGTGTAACAAAGTCCTTTGCTCACTATCCCTCCCTTCCACTTGTAGGGGAAACCAATGTTCATAGCCAGTGCTCATTGTGCCTGACATTTTTCTGTGTGCATCGTATGTAATTTAACATTTCCTATCCAAACTGAGAGGATTCGAGATTAAAAATAAACTGTCCTTTGCTCTCAATCATACTCCTAATTTCTGATAATCAGTTACAAACATTTCTGTTTCTTTTGGTGGTTATATCCATCATGTTTATCTTCATTCATTTATTTATCAGTTAAAACTAGATCTCACTACTACCTCTATTGTGAAGAGTGAAGAATTTTGCTGACTTAAATTGCTTTTTCGCCTCCCTATCCCCACACTTTCACACCCCCAGGCTCTAAGAGGCATATTTTTATTTATTAAGTGTTTTTGTTTGCTCATCTGTGTCTTCAAATAAAATATAACCTTTATTTCTTGACTTATCCATTTTAGGCATTATCTCACATTTTATTATGCACAATTTTATAACACTTGTCTTCTTATAGCTAAAAGTAACTCTGCTTTGTCTATAGTTTAACACAAACAAAAAACAAGAAAATATCCAAAACCAGCTTTTACAATATTATAGTTATTTAAATGTAGTTCCCTGCAGAATCAAGTAGTGTGATTGGACACTGAGTGGAGGTGGTTTCCTTGTCATTAACTTGCTGTTGGAAAGAGCACATAAATAATGAATAGAGGGGTGGGGGCAGCATAATCCTTTTATTTCTTCATTTATTGTCATAATGCTATGGGTTCACCTTGTCATTAAGGTCACGTAGCTTCTTAATCATATGTTTTATGATAGGAAATTATTTTTCTCCTTGACAAAATTCTTCCTGGAGCCCTCATACTCCCTGTTCTAATTTGCATTCTAGACCAACTGCATAACTGATATTCTGGCATTATTTTTTCTTTTTAAAAATTTTTTGGTACTTATCTTAAAATTGATTTATACCTTGTTCATTAAAAAGAATGATGTGTCAGATCACCTTCTCAATACTCTTAAAATTGAAAACTGGCATTTAAAATACTTTTCCCTTGGATAGATTACAAAAGACATCTTAATTTCAAGAACATCCCAGGGGACAATAATCTTACAACTGGTGTTTAACTGGATTTCTTTCGATGTAAAAATTGCAGTGAAATGTGGTAATCTCTAATAATAAGCAGTATTGAGTAGTGGCAGTTTTAGTAATAATATTTTGTGAAGAGTGACATTTTACTTATTGCTACTGTTTGTAATAATAAGGTTTTCAGTTCATTCAACAAATATTTATCAAGAAGTCAGTATGTGTTGGCAGTGTTCCATGTTCAGGAAATATAGCAGTGAACAGAGTTCCTCATGAAAGGTTTATACCAGTTGTTGAGTCAGAGGCAAAAGACAAGAAACATAAACTATTAAATATATAATAATAAGTCGATTGTTGATTGATATTAGGAAGGTGAGCTGAGGAATGGAGAACGGGGGTGGAATTTCAGATAGAAGGGTGTGGAACTCACTGAAAGGTGACTTTGTTTTTTTTTCTTGTTATCTTTTACAATTTCTTCCCTCCATTTTATTTTTTAAATTATCTTTATTTCAAAATAATCATGCAGTTACAGAAAAGGTGAAGATACAATACAAAGCATCTTTTCCTGAACAATTTGAGAGAAAGTTGCTGACTTCTTGTTCCATCATTTCTGAATACTTTAGTTTATATTTCCTATAAAACAGAGATACTCTGCTACATAATCACAATACACAATATATTAAGTACTCTGTTTCATTGATCTCATTTTTTACCTCTTTCTTGAGTTCCTTTGTTCTTTTTGTTGGATAAATTACATAAGCAAGTCTTTCAGAGGATGATCAATGAGTAGTAACATTTTCTATAGCTTACATACCCAAAAATGTCCTTATTTTACCTGAACTCTTGCTTTAGAGTTTGGCTGGGCGTTTACTTATAGGTTGTAGTCATATTTTTCTCAGATCTCAGTTTTCAAGCATACGGTATCTCTTATAAGAAGTTGAATTCTCATTTATTGGAAGCAATAAGTGGAAGCATTCAAAAATCTCCTCTTTACCCTTCATGAGCCTCTGTATAGCTGTGGTCTTTCTACTTCAATTGTATGCTCTTCATCCTGTGGTTTTTTTCCAAGCTGAAGATGCATGTGGCTAAAAAATAAATTTTCTTTCATTATTTCTCTAATAATTTCTTTAGGATATTTTGTTTTCTTCTCTCTTTCTTAAACTCCTTTTGAAGGATCTTAGCTTTCCCCGACGGATCTTCTAAGACTTTAAACTTTACTTCTATATGTTCCTAGTTTTCTTTTATCCCAATTTCTAAGAGATTTCATCAGGTTTTATCCCAGCACTTATTTTCCATTTTCCTTATTTTCAGGCATCATATTCCTAAATTTCCAGTAAGTCTTTATAGTTCTATGGTTGCTTCTTTTTTATAATGACTATTATATATATATATTTATATATTTATTTATATTTTTATATATTTATATATTTATTTATATATTTATATATAGAGAGAGATAGGTATTTTAGATAGATAGATAGATAGATAGATAGATAGATAGATAGATAGATAGATATGTTCTGTGTCCTAAATTATCTGTTTATTGGCTGGGTGCGGTGATAACTCATTCGTTCTTCTTGGTACTGTGTGTGTGTATATGTGTGTGCGTGTGTGCGTGCATGTGTGTGTGTATAAGATTATTTCTCCTCTGTTATGATATTTGCCAATTTAAAGTTATGAACTGAGGGCTAGTTTAGTTGATACACTTTGCTAGTCTGGGCTCTCTCTGCCAGCATGCAGTCCTATTCCCCACAAGGCTCTTCAATAGGAGAGATGGATTGTAAGCTTTGAGCCCACAAGTCTTTTTAAACCATGTGAGCAGAAATCAGGGAGCAAGCTAAGCCCATACAGCGAGGAACAGCTGTTTGGAGAACAACCATACACCTAGACCTCTGGCCACTGCCTTCTTCAAAAGCTGGAAGTCTTATCTCCAGGTTGGCAGAACTTCGGAAGCACCAGCCTCAGGCAGCATGACTTCTACCTTCACCGCAGCCCTCTGTGAGTGCAAATTGTAGGCTGCGCTCCTGCTTCTCCATTTCTTAATATGTAACATATTTTCTATCTTCCAGAAACTAATCAAGATTAATAGTTTGCATGTGTCTCTGCCTGATTTGAGAACTACTATAAATTTATTACCTTTGGTACTTTTAAGTTTTATTTTAATGGGATTTATGGAGGGAGAATAGATATATGTATTTTCAATCTGTCACCTTGAACCAGAAACCTTACTCCCTCAACCTCAAAGTTTTCTCCCACAGCCCTGCTCTCTGCCACTTCTCTGATATTTATTTGTCCTATTAGTGCTGGCTTTTCTCTTATCTTTCCCTAAGTGTTGATATTTCATCCTTTAATATCTCCTCTTTTCTTCCACTTTATTCTCTGTGGAGGGTTTTCAGTCACTTCCGTGGATGCAGCTATCACTTTATGCAGGTGGACCCATTCCACATGATCAGCTCTCATCTCCCTCTGGGCTCCAGTTTCTGAGCTACTCACTATTATCATTCACACTATGTTTTACTTTTCCATCCAGATGTCAGGAAATGGTAGATCCTCAGTAATATTTGACTTAATTAACTAATTAACTAGTGAGAGCTGAAGGGATCTAGAATGAGTTTTAAGGTGATCTACTACACCATATTATTTCCCAATTATTTTTCACAAATGCATCAGTAATTAGTGAAGTATTTGTTCACCTTCGTGTGAGCTCAACCATAAGCCTCCTGTTTACCATAATTACTTTTAGGAGCAAGATCTCACTCCATCACCCACTGCAGCCTCGATCTCCTGGGGTCAAGCTGGGACTACAGGTGTACATCACTACACCTGGCTAATTTTTTTTTTAAGAGACGAGGTTTCACCATGTTGCCCAGGCTGGTCTCAAACTCCTGGGCTCAAGCAATTTGCACGAATCTGGGCTTAGTCTCCCAAAGTGTTAGAATTACAGGCATAAGCCACAGTGTCCAACCCATAATTTTTACATAACTGATTTTTTAATTTAATTTCTTTTCTTTTCTTTTTTTATAATAGAGATGGGATCTCAATATGTTGCCTAAGCTGGTCTTGAACTCCTAGGCTCAAGTGATTCTCCCACCTTGGCCTCCCAAAGAGCTAGAATTATAGGCATGAGCCACCACACCCAGCCTATAACGGTTTTTTGGTAATACAGTATATTCAAACTTCACTAGCTACCCACCACCAAACTGGAGACTAAAACTCTAGAGAGGAACAAAGAGCCATACCAATTTCCAGTTTCCAGTTATAATACAGCACTGTAATTCCACTTCCAATTTCAGTTACTATAATCAAACTTCTGTTATATCAAGTTTTTAAAGCTAAAATACTCAAAGCAGAAGTTTTCACTTACCTAATTGGCTACCAATGCAAGTGCAGATTCAATCCATCTGTCCCTAAGTGGATATGTGTACCTCTGCCAGTCTGACCTTTGTTTTGACTTTAAATTACCTTTTAAAGGCTGATTTCCCTTGGAAGCAAACCTTTTAACAGTTGCCCTTTAAGTTTGAGCAATTCAATTATAATAACTTTTGATACTGGACGTAGATTCTATGCCATCTTACAGTAGGAGGTGAACAGTTTCAAATTAGACAAGTTTCTCCCATCACCATATGTACCATATGCATATGTATATGCATAAAAGGCAAATAAATAAACACTCTTCTTTGTCCACACAGCACAATTATATGCACATCCAATAAAGTGGTATACTAAACACAAAAATAGTTCCTCCAGCTCTAATCATTCATGGGTCCACCCAATTTGTCTTCATATTCAAGGGTTCCTAGAATAATTGCTCACATATCCTCCCAATGAAAACATAAAGCCTTTCTTAAATTTAAAAAAAGAAACTGAAGACAAATGGGGATTTTCTCAGATTGGAAATCATATGTCAACCTTTATCTAAATATTTTAAACAGAAAACCCTTAATATGAATAATAGTAACAATAATGTGTTGGATATAGACATTATTCTAACCTCATTACATTGAATATTTTACATAATTTTTAAAATAACTTTTTGAGAAGTCATAAAAAGTTAAACGTCTTGACCAAATTGTTTTGCCCAGTCTCTAAACTGTAGAGTTGGGACTTAAACCCAGGCAATCTGATACCAAAACCCACGTTTTTAACCACTAGTCAAGGATATCAAATAAATTGCACCTTGCGTGTCACCTGTTATTGACTGATAGTTCCTGTATGGAGTAGGATGTTGAAAAAATTTAGTAACAAAACTCAGTCAGACAGAGTGTCGAAACTGAAAAATTTCAGCCATGAACACATTAGAGTTGTGGATTCTATTCTAGAATATATCTGTCTAGAATCCATCCGTCCCTAAGTGGATACGTGTATCTCTGACAGTCTGACCTTTGTTTTGGCTTAAATTACCCTGTCAAAAGCTGATTTCCCTTGGAAGCAAAGCTTGTAATAGTTGCCCTTTAGGTCTGAGCATTTCAATCATAACTTTTGATACTGGCCATAGATTCTATGCAATCTTACAGTAGGAAATCTTTGCCCTTCTAGGAAAGGTAAAAGTGAAAGGCGGGGAAGAGAGAGAAGAGACTTATTGACCTGTGTGTTTACAAACAACTCTCAGAAAAATCACAGATAATTTAGTTTTAAAAATAACACAGAATATAGCAAACCATGCCAGCAATCTATCTTCATCTATATTAAGCTTATATTATAAAAAAATACTAATGATTTGAGTTTTAGTTTAGCTGTATGTTACTTTATTTCTCCCATACACTGATGGGGATTTTTTTTTTTAATGAAGGAAGTAGTATGAAAAAGAAAGAGGAGAGAGACGAGATGCTTAGAAACCCATCACTCAGATGAATGAGTCTATTTTGTTCAATGCTAAGAACATTTTAGAAAATATAGAAAAGACCTTAACTTTCTTTTCTAAAGGCTCAGATAGCAGAAACTCACGTAGAAAGTGGAAACTAAAATGTGGTAGAATCATATTTTTGTGATATTTACCTATGCTTTTTTTCTTCTGGCCCTTTTTTTATTATACTTTAAGTTTTAGGGTACATATGCACAACGTGCAGGTTTGTTACATATGTATACATGTGCCATGTTGGCTTGCTCCACCCATGAACTCGTCATTTACATTAGGTATATCTCCTAATGCTATCCCTCCCCACCTCCGCCCACCCCACAACAGGCCCCGGGGAGTGATGTTCCCCTTCCTGTGTCCATGTGTTCTCATTATTCAATTCCCACCTATGAGTGAATATGCGGTGTTTAGTTTTTTGTCCTTGGGATAGTTTGCTGAGAATGATGGTTTCCAGCTTCATCCATGTCCCTACAAAGGACATGAATTCATCTTTTTTTATGGCTGCATAGTATTCCATGGTGTATATGTGCACATTTTCTTAATCCAGTCTATCATTGTTGGACATTTGGGTTAGTTCCAAGTCTTTGCTATTGTGAATAGTGCCGCAATAAACATACGTGTGCATGTGTCTTTATAGCAGCATGATTTATACTCCTTTGGGTATATACCCAGTAATGGGATGGCTGGGTCAAATGGTATTTCTAGTTCTAGATCCCTGAGGAATCGCCACACTGACTTCCACAATGGTTGAACTAGTTTACAGTCCCACCAACAGTGTAAAAGTGTTCCTATTTCTCCACGTCCTCTCCAGCACCTGTTGTTTCCTGACTTTTTAATGATCGCCATTCTGACTGGTGTGAGATGGTATCCCATTGTGGTTTTGATTCGCATTTCTCTGATGGCCAGTGATGATGAGCATTTTTTCATGTGTCTTTTGGCTGCATAAATGTCTTCTTTTGAGAAGTGTCTGTTCATATCCTTCGCCTAGTTTTTGATGGGGTCGTTTGATTTTTTCTTGTAAATTTGTTTGAGTTCTTTGTAGATTCTGGATATTAGCCCTTTGTCAGATGAGTAGATAGCAAAAATTTTATCCCACTCTGTAGGTTGCCTGTTCACTCTGATGGTAGTTTCTTTTCCTGTGCAGAAGCTCTTTAGTTTAGTTAGATCCCATTTGTCAATTTTGGCTTTTGTGGCCATTGCTTTTGGTGTTTTAGACATGAAGTCCTTGCCCATGCCTATGTCCTGAATGGTATTGCCTAGGTTTTCTTCTAGGGTTTTTATGTTTTTAGGTCTAACATTTAAGTCTTTAGTCCATCTTGAATTAATTTTTGTATGAGGTGTAAGGAAGGGGTCCAGTTTCAGCTTTCTACATATGGCTAACCAGTTTTCCCAGAACCATTTATTAAATAGGGAATCCTTTCCCCATTTCTTGTTTTTGTCAGGTTTCTCAAAGATCAGATAGTTGTAGATGTGTGGCATTATTTCTGAGGGCTCTGTTCTGTTCCATTTGTCTATAACTCTGTTTTGGTACCAGTACCATGCTGTTTTGGTTACTGTAGCCTTGTAGTATAGTTTGAAGTCAGGTAGCGTGATGCCTCCAGCTTTGTTCTTTTGGCTTAGGATTGACTTGGCAATGTGGGCTTTTTTTGGTACCATATGAACTTTAAAGTAGTTTTTTCCAATTCTGTGAAGAAAGTCATTGGTAGCTTGATGGGGATGGCATTGAATCTATAAATTACCTTGGGCAGTATGGCCATTTTCACGATATTGATTCTTCCTATCCATGAGCATGGAATGCTCTTCCATTTGTTTGTGTCCTCTTTTATTTAGTTGAGCAGTGGTTTGTAGTTCTCCTTGAAGAGGTCCTTCACTTCCCTTGTAAGTTGGATTCCTAGGTATTTTATTTTCTTTGAAGCAATTGTGAATGGGAGTTCACTCATGATTTGGCTCTCTGTTTGTCTGTTATTGGTATATAAGAATGCTTGTGATTTTTGCACATTGATTTTGTATCCTGAGACTTTGCTGAAGTTGCTTATCAACTTAAGGAGATTTTGGGCTGAGACGATGGGGTTTTCTAGATATAAAATCATGTCATCTGCAAACAGGGACAATTTGACTTCCTCTTTTCCTAATGGAATACCCTTTATTTCCTTCTCCTGCCTGATTGCCCTGGCCAGAGTTTCCAACACTATATTGAATAGGAGTGGTGAGAGAGGGCATCCCTGTCTTGTGCCAGTTTTCAAAGGGAATGCTTCCAGTTTTTGCCCATTCAGTATGATATTGTCCATGAATAGCTCTTATTATTTTGAGATATGTCCCAACAATACCTAATTTATTGAGAGTTTTTAGTATGAAGCATTGTTGTATTTCGTCAAAGGTCTTTTCTGCATCTATTGAGATAATCATGTGGTTTTTGTCATTAGTTCTGTTTATATGCTGGATTATGTTTATTGATTTGCATATGTTGAACCAGCTTCGCATCCCAGGGATGAAGCCCACTTGATCATGGTGGATAAGCTTTTTGATGTGTTGCTGGATTCAGTTTGCCAGTATTTTATTGAGGATTTTTGCATCAATGTTCTTCATGGATATTGGTCTAAAATTCTCTTTTTTTGTTGTGTCTCTGCCAGGCTTTGGTATCAGGATGATGCTGGCCTCATAAAATGAGTTAGGGAGAATTCCCTCTTTTTCTATTGATTGGAATAGTTTCAGAAGGAATGGTACCAGCTCCTCCTTGTACCTCTGGTAGAATTCGGCTGTGAGGCGGTTCCAAGAAGGCCGAATAGGAACAGCTCCTGTCTACAGCTCCCAGCGTGAGCGACACAGAAGACGGATGATTTCTGCATTTCCAACTGAGGTACCGGGTTCATCTCACTGGGGACTGTCAGACAGTGGGTGCAGCACACCGAGCATGAGCCAAAGCAGGGCGAGGCATCACCTCACCCAGGAAGGGCAAGGGGTCAGGGAATTCCCTTTCCTAGCCAAGGAAAGGGGTGACAGATGGCACCTGGAAAATCAGGTCATTTCCACCCTAATACTGCGCTTTTCCAATTGTCTTAGCAAATGGCACACCAGGAGATTATATCCTGTGCCTGGCTCGGAGGGTCCTATGCCCACGGAGCCTCGCTCATTGCTGGCACAGCAGTCTGAGATCAAACTGCAAGGCAGCAGCGAGGCTGGGGGAGGGGTGCCCACCATTGCCGAGGCTTGAGTAGGTAAACAAAGCGGCCTGGAAGCTCAAACTGGGTGGAGCCCACCGCGGCTCAAGGAGGCCTGCCTGCCTCTGTAGACTCCGCCTCTGGGGGCAGGGCATAGCCAAACAAAAGGCAGCAGAAACCTCTGCAGACTTAAATGTCTCTGTCTGACAGATTGGAAGACACTAGTGGTTCTCCCAGCACACAGCTAGAGACCTGAGAATGGACAGACTGCCTCCTCAAGTGGGTCCCTGACCCCTGAGCAGCCTAACTGGGAGGCACCCCCCAGTAGGGGCAGACTGACACCTCACACGGCCGGGTACTCCTCTGAGACAAAACTTCCAGAGGAACAATCAGGCAGCAACATTAGATGTTCACCAATATTTGCTGTTCTGCAGCCTCCACTGCTGATACCCAGGCAAACAGGGTCTGGAGTGGACCTCCAGCAAACTCCAAGAGACCTCCAGCTGAGGGTCCTGACTGTTAGAAGGAAAACTAACAAACAGAAATGACATCCACACCAAAAACCCATCTGTACGTCACTATCATCAAAGACCAAAGGTAGATAAAACCACAAAAATGGGGAAAAAACAGAGCAGAAAAACTGGAAACTCTAAAAATCAAAGCACCTCTCCTCCTCCAAAGGAACGCAGCTCCTCACCAGCAACGGAACAAAGCTGGATGGAGAATGACTTTGACGAGTTGAGAGAAGAAGGCTTCAAACGATCAAACTTCTCCAAGCTAAAGGAGGAAGTTTGAACCCACGGCAAAGAAGTTAAAAACCTTGAAAAAAGATTAGACGAATGGCTAACTAGAATAACCAATGCCAGAGAAGTCCTTAAAGGACCTGATGGAGCTGAAAACCATGGCATGAGAACTACGTGACAAATGCACAAGCCTCAGTAGCTGATTTGATCAGCTGGAAGAAAGGGTATCAGTGATGGAAGATCAAATGAATGAAATGAAGCAAGAAGAGAAGTTTAGAAAAAAAAGCATAAAAAGAAATGAACAAATCCTCCAAGAAATATAGGACTATGTGAAAAGACCAAATCTACGTCTCATTGGTGTACCTGAAAGTGACAGGGAGAATGGAACCAAGTTGGAAAACACTCTGAAGGATACTATCCAGGAGAACTTCCCCAGTCTAGCAAGGCAGGCCAACATTCAGATTCAGGAGATACAGAGAATGCCACAAAGATACTCCTCGAGAAGAGCAACTCCAAGACACATAATTCTCAGATTCACCAAAGTTGAAATGAAGGAAAAAATGTTAAGGGCAGCCAGAGAGAAAGGTCAGGTTGCCCACAAAGGGAAGCCCATCAGACTAACAGCTGATCTCGCCGCAGAAACTCTACAAGCCAGAAGAGAGTGGGGGCCAATATTCAACATTCTTAAAGAAAAGAATTTTCAACCCAGAATTTCATATCCAGCCAAACTAAGCTTCATAAGTGAAGGAGAAATAAAATACTTTATAGACAAGCAAATGCTGAGAGATTTTGTCACCACCAGGCCTGCCCTAAAAGAGCTCCTGAAGGAAGCACTAAACATGGAAAGGAACAACCGGTACCAGCCACTGCAAAAACATGACAAATTGTAAAGACCATCGAGGCTAGGAAGAAACTGCATCAACTAACGAGCAAAATAACCAGCTAACATCGTAATGACAGGATCAAATTCACACATAACAATATTAACCTTAAATGTAAATAGGCTAAATGCTCCAATTAAAAGACACAGACTGGCAAATTGGATAGTCAAGACCCATCAGTGTGCTGTATTCAGGAAACCCATCTCACATGCAGAGACACACATAGGCTCAAAATAAATGGATGGAGGAAGATCTACCAAGCAAATGGAAAACAAAAAAAAGGAAGGGGGTGCAATCCTAGTCTCTAATAAAACAGACTTTAAACCAACAAAGATCAAAAGAGACAAAGAAGGCCATTACATAATGGTAAAGGGATCAATTCAACAAGAAGAACTAACTATCCTAAATATATATGCACCCAATACAGGAGCACCCAGATTCATAAAGCAAGTCCTTAGAGACCTACAAAAGACTTAGACTCCCACACAATAATAATGGGAGACTTTAACACCCCACTGTCAACATTGGATAGATCAATGAGACAGAAAGTTAACAAGGATATCCAGAAATTGAACACACCTCTGCACCAAGCGGACCTAATAGACATCTACAGAACTCTCCACCCCAAATCAGCAGAATATACATTCTTCTCAGCACCACACCACACTTATTCCAAAATTGACCACATAGTTGGAAGTAAAGCACTCCTCAGCAAATGTAAAAGAACAGAAATTATAACAAACTGTCTCTCAGACCACAGTGCAATCAAACTAGAACTCAGGATTAAGAAACTCACTCAAAACCGCTCAACTACATGGAAACTGAACAACCTGCTCCTGAATGACTACTGGGTACATAACGAAATGAAGGCAGAAATAAAGATGTTCTTTGAAACCAACGAGAACAAAGATACAACATACCAGAATCTCTGGGACACATTTAAAGCAGTGTGTAGAGGGAAATTTATAGCACTAAATGCCCACAAGAGAAAGCAGGAAAGATCTAAAATTGACACCCTAACATCACAATTAAAAGTACTAGAGAAGCAAGAGCAAACACATTCAAAAGCTAGCAGAAAGCAAGAAATAACTAAGATTAGCGCAGAACTGAAGGAGATAGAGACACAAAAAACCCTTCAAAAAATCAATGAATCCAGGAGATGGTTTCTTGAAAAGATCAACAAAATTGATAGACCGCTAGCAAGACTAATAAAGAAGAAAAGAGAGAAGAATCAAATAGACACAATAAAAATGATAAAGGGGATATCACCACCGATCCCACAGAAATACAAACTACCATCAGAGAATACTACACACACCTCTACGCAAATAAACTAGAAAATCTAGAAGAAATGGATAAATTCCTCGACACATACACCCTCCCAAGACTAAACCAGGAAGAAGTTGAATCTCTGAATGGACCAATAACAGGCTCTGAAATTGAGGCAATAATTAATAGCTTACCAACCAAAAAAAGTCCAGGACCAGATGGATTCACAGCCGAATTCTTCTGACCCTTTTAGAAAATTATTTCCTTTATTTGAGCAGATAATCTTCCCTGTGTTCTTTGATTTAGAATTAGTTTAGGGCAAGCTTTCCTGGTTTTTCTTTAAGAGACTTTTTATTTATTTATTTATTTATGAGACCCGGTCTCACCCTGTCACCCAGGCTGGAGTGCTGTGCCATGATCTCAGCTCACTACAGCCTCAACCTGCCAGGCTCAGGTGATCCTCCCCCCTCAGCCTCCCAAGTAGCTAGGATGTCAGGCATGTGCCACCACGCCCAGCTAATTTTTTGTATTTTTTGTAGAGACAAGGTTTCGCCATGTTGCCCATGCTGCTTTCAAACTCCTGAGCTTAAGCAATCCTCCCACCTCAGCCTCCCAAAGTGCTAGGATTATAGATGTGAGCCACCGTGCCTGGCCAAGACACTTTTTAAATTTAAGATAATCTGACTTCTGCTAGGGGGTGGATAAAGATTTTCCAGCAGAGGAGATGGAGATAGACGGAAAGAATTTTTAAGGAGAGCAAATCCTCCCTGGATCCTAGAGAGAGAGTCTTTTTCCCTGTTTCCCAGAGGAGAGCTTAAGGGAGATACAAGGATCTAACATAGTTTTATAGGGCACTGAAACAAACAGTGTCTGGTTTCCCGGAAAGGCTCTAGGAAACACAAACTATTGATGCTTATTCTGAGAGGTGTTTATTGACATACAAGTCAATAATCAGTCTCTCTCTCTCTCTCTCTCTCTCTCTCTCTATCTCTAGGAGGTCAAGTACCTAGAAAGGTTTAGGAGACCATGGATAGCCTCAGACAGATGTCAATGTGTCAGCATGTTAGATGGAAGCAGAAAGATTTCCTGTGAGTGATGCAGAAGCCAGGAAGAGCCCTCATGGCCAAAGGAATTATGCCCAGGGAGCTGAGGACATCCCTGCAGCAGACCATGTAGAGGGATTACCTAAGACCAATTAGGAAAGTGGGTATCCCAAATGATATCTCCATGGAAATATGACACAGAGACCACACGTATCCCCTCCCCAATCAATGCTGTGGTACTACACAGCCACTCAGAAATCTTAGATACATTCCCTAAGGAAATATGGAGAGGAAATCCCAAATTAATGGAAATAAATATTCCTTCCTATTGTAACATAAAGAGAACACAAATACGTAGTAAGCTAAATTATATAAAAATTTAAACATTATACTCTTTATATCCAACTATCTGGATGGAAATTCATTCCTGGTGCATCTGTTTTTAATAATCTAAGAAATGATTAGAAAGAATTCGTGTCAATAGTAATCTATAACAAGATGATTTCTTACTTCATAAAAGATCAATACAAGATAGACATGAAGAGGTAAAATTAAATTTGAATATTTAGTGTCAATGGTAATCTATGACAAGATGATTTCTTACTTCATAAAGGATCAATACAAGGTAGACACAAAGAGATAAAATTAAATTTGAATATTAATAAAGTAATCTAAGAAAATAGCTTATTAAATTACAGAGTGTGAAATCATATTCATGTTGAAGAAGTGGAAGGCCATCACTCAAGGCCATTAACATTAAAACCAAGCAAGATAGTGAAAGGTAGAAGGACCTGTAGTTTATTTAATCTTGTCTTTCCATTCTATGTGCTATCTCCTATACAATGTCAAATACTTATGGGCTAATGCAAACACTTTCTAAAACTGACTTTCCACATAAGAGAAAGCTTACTTCCTGAGTATAATGGTTAAGTCCATTTAGGAGAATCCTAACCCAGGTCACAAGTGACTACTTAAGGAATCAAAAGCAATGAACTACTGGATAAGGCTTGGTGACATGTGCAAAATACACATTCTCTAGGTACCAACATATTCACATGGCAAAATTCACAAGCTCTGTCTAAAGAGCCAAGGCAGAGAGAATGACTCAACTGTCAAACATATTTTCTGTTTTTTTATTTCCAACTTTTTTTTAAGTTCAGGGGTACATGTGCAGGATGGGTAGCTTTGTTACATAGGGAAATATGTGCCATGGCAGTTTGCTGCACAGATCATCCCATCTCCTAGGTATTAAGCCAGCATCCATTAGCTATTCTTCATAATGCTCTCTCCCCTCCCAATCCCCATCCTCCAACAGGCCCCACTGTGTGTTGTTCCCCTTCATGTGTCCATGTGTTCTCATCATTCAGCACCCACTTATAAAGGAGTACACCATGGTATTTGGTTTTCTGTTCCTGCTTTAGTTTGCTGAGAAAAATAGTTTCCAGCTGCATCCATGTCCCTGCAAAGGACATGATCTCTTTTGCATGACTGCATAGTATTCCATGGTGTATATGTACCACATTTTCTTTATCCTGTCTATCACTGATGGGCATGTAGGTTGATTCCATAGCTTTGTTATTGTGAATAGTGCTGCAGTGAACATATGCGTACATGTACCTTTGTAATAGAATGGTTTATATTCCTTTGAGTATATACCCAGTAATGGTATTGCTGAGTTGAATGGTATTTCTGCCTCTAGGTCTTTGAGGATTCGACAAACTGTCTTCCACAATGGTTGAACTAATTTACACTCCCACAAACAGCGTAAAAGCATTCATTTTTCTCCATAACCTTGCCAGCATCTGTTGTTTTTTGACTTTTTAGTAATAGCCATTCTGACTAGTGTGAGATGGTATCTCATTGGGATTTTCATTTGCATTGCTCTAATGATCAGTGATGTTGAGTATTTTTTCATATGTTTGTTGGCTGTATGTATGTCTTCTTTTGAGAAATATCTGTTCATGTCCTTTGCCCACTTTCTAATAGGGTTGTTCATTATTCCTTGTAAATTTCAAACATATTTTCAAATAAACAAATTCATGCATTACAAATAGGCCAAAGAAGACAGCCATCCTTGCCTATTTGGAAGGGATTGTCTTAATGCCCATATTACATAGAGTAAAATGTTTGCCTCAGAAAGATGCATTGTGTTTATCCATCAGTGTATGCAGACTGCACACTGGCTTGAACGCAAAGCTTTGGGTCCTTTAAAATTATTAGAGCTTTAATCACAACCTTAGAAGAAAGCATGAATAAAGACAGTTTGCCACCGTAAGTGCTACTAATACAACTGAAATACACATATATTAATTTTTAAAGTTTTAAATATTGATATTTAGAGAAATGTATTATTAATATAAACATATCCCAGTATGCAAAAATAAAAAACAACAGTGTACAGATTATCCTCACAAATCAGGTATCTTCCTGATTCTTTTCCTCAAGCACCTGCATTTATCCCATGACACCTTATCTCTGGGGCCTGTTCTCTGTCAAGACACATCATCTTATTCAAGAAAATAAATTCTAACTAACTTCAACTGCCAATTGAACAATATATTTAAAATCTAAAATTATATTTATTGGGAGCTTCCAATTATAAAATTTATTTATTTTAAACTTTAAATTAAATAAATATGAAAATAGTAAATAAAACTCCACCTTGCAGTGAGAAATTTTTTATACATTTCAGTATTTATCTTTCCAAGTAGATACAGATCAGATATTTCACATTCTGCTTTGAAATTGTTTCAAGCTGTGTGAACTTTCAACTAGGGCCTCCCACAGCTAATGCCTTAACCCAAAGGAGTGTCTCTAACAAGGCAAATCGGTAGATGACAGAATTAAAGACAAAGGTGCTTTTTTGTTGTCCTCAAATTATACAAACTGTCTCCCCAACAGAGACGTAGGTTTGACTATATATGGAAGAAGAGGTTCCCTGAAAAGTAAGATGATGATGTTAAATTCAGAAAAAAATAGTATCTTTAAGGGTAAACTAATACAATAGTAATAATAAAGGCAAAATGACAAAGAATAGTAATTATAATATCTATTTTTAATCACATTAATTCTACCTTTACAATATTGTATGGAAAGTTTTATTAACATCTCTATGGTTTGGGCCACATCATGACTTTGTGGCCCTAGGATTTTCCCTTTGTGGTCTTCCTCCTCTACAAGAAAGTATTAGAAATTTTATTTTATGACTGCATTAGAATAAAAGCAAATGAAATCCAGGCTGGATTCATCATTATATATCCATTATTATCATACTCCTTTTCTTCTGATTTCAAGAAAAAT
Organism: Homo sapiens; assembly: GCF_000001405.40. Classification (NCBI taxonomy): domain Eukaryota; kingdom Metazoa; phylum Chordata; class Mammalia; order Primates; family Hominidae; genus Homo; species Homo sapiens. The sequence continues at coordinate 126,233,708 of NC_000006.12, read as the reverse complement.
TAAAATTAAAGCCTTTTTGTAGACCTCTAAAAGAATTGTGGGCACTGTGTAGATAATGCTGGTTAAACTGTAATAACTATTCACCTCTTCTAGAACAATGAAATCCTCAATTTTCAGCTAGGCACAGAGCCATCTAAAATAAAGACTGCAGTTCTTAGCCTCCCCTTGCAGCTATGTGTGGCCAGATACTAAGTTCAGCCAATGGATGAAAGTAGAAGTAATAGGCACAGTCTTCAGGTTGTATTCTCTTTTCCTACAGTTGGAATTCAGAAGTGGGAGTGAGCCATTTGGATAATGTAAATGCGGCAACACCCTAAGGTTGCTGAAACAACAAGATAGAAAGAGCCTGGTCTCTGACACATTGTAGAGCCCTGGTAATTTCCCAGAGCAGAGTCACAATACCAGCCCAGATTTTATATGAATGAGAAATAAACTTGTAGTAGTTAATATTGCTACTATTTGGGGTATAGGCCACATTCAGCCAAACCTATACCCACAGTAATAGAATTGCCTTTTATAGTGAGGAAACTGAGGCACAGATGTGATCTCTTCAATGTGATTTGGTACAAATTAAAACATGGTCAGGTTCAATACTGACCCATCCATGTTCAAAACGTACGTTCTATTAACTGTCTTCCCACATTGTCTTCTCTATTCAGAGAAACAAAAAGCATGCAGAACAAAGCAATTACAAAGGAAAGAAGAGAGCATAAACTTTATGAAGCAATAAGTGTCATCAAAAGAGAATTCAAACAAAAAACAAATGGAAAGAAAAAAATGAAACATTTAATGTGGATTTTAGCCAGCGCCACATGACTTGACATTTTGAATTATGACTACTTACAGGAAGCATTAGAAACTTTCCAAGAAAGGGATGCTTCACATAAATGATGGATTCAGCACATTTTGCTTATTTGTTAACTTTGACTCAAAGTTTATACATTGTCTTTTTTCTCTGATAATTTCGAATGTCCACTAACACAAAGCATCTCACCAAGGTGAGAGCCCACAAAACATGTCTGGGAAAAGCATCTAAGTGAGAAATATTTTCAGAAACAGACGCAGTTGCTTCTTTCTAATCCTCAGGATATAGGTTCGTCCCTCCTGAGCACTTTCCTGCCCTACTCATTTTCATCAGGGTGAACAAGGACCCCTGCCCAAGCAGTCATTTTTGTTCTTCAAATACATTAAAATGTCTAGTTACTAACTGAATTTCACTTTTTAAAGATTAAGACAATTTAGCATATATACCTGAGTCGCAGGTATTTTCTTTTAAAGATACCAGAAAAAAAAAAAGTTTTCTACTGTTCTATAAAAGCCATATTTTATTTAAAAGGAAATCTTTCATAGAGTTTGGGGGTTTTCTTCTATTCAGTGCTCATTTCAGTAAAGAAAATGTAAGAGCACAGACATTACTTGCTCCCTGGGAATCTCTTACTTTTGTAGGACAGTCCAGGTCATCTTAGAAGTCTTTAAAAACTCAATCTTCTCCATCACAAATATATACATGAAATATTCAGTATTCAACTACACACACATCTACACACACACACACACACAAACACAAATGTCTCTCAGTAATACATATTTTGTTTTTATTTTAAAGCCTCCAACATTTTTCAGTTTGGATATAGCAGTATGGGTCCCACCAGAAGATTTACCATATGATTATATACTTTTTTCTACTAAGATCAAAGCTGATCCACAAAAACAGAAAATCACTAACTAAAGTCATATCATTGCCAATTCTATTACAAACACTCTCTGGTAGCCAGAGCCAGAACTAGATAAAGAACTGGGAGGCAAAGATACTTTTTATCTTCTCCCAGGGAGTAGCCCCACAAAGGGCATTAATGAAAGACAATTTGTTAGGATGTGGGGGAAAAACACTAAAGCCTTATTTGTTAATCCAAGCAACACAAATGTAACTAAGCTTTGTTGCATAGGTAGACATTCCCCCTCGTTCAGTCTGTATCAGAACCCTCTGCCACATGTAATGGGCAAAGTATCCCAAGGTAAGAGAGGAGCTACTTTCAAAACATAACAGGGGCTACAACAATACACTTTCTCATGTGCTTGTTTCCAATGTACTGTTGACTCTTGAAGGATGTAAGGTTAGAGGCACCAACCCTCTGCACGGTTGAAAATCTGCAAATAACTTTTGACTCCCCCAAAACCTAACTACCAATGGCTTACTGTTGACCGGAAGCTTTAGCCAAATAACAATAATAGTCAATTAACGTATAGACTAGTATCTACATATATTTTATGCATTTACGACATAACTTTTTCTTAATTTTTTCAATACTAAAAATGCTACATGGTTTGTCTGCAAGTTTTTTTCAAATTATCACAAATCTCCAAAAACTTTTCCAATATATCTATTTAAAAAAATTCAGGTATAAGTGGATCCATGCAGTTTAAATGCATATTGTTCAAGGGTCAACTGTATTCTGACATTTTGTTTTGGGGGGTCCTATTAAAAGAACCAAGAGATTCTCTGGTTTCAAATGAATTTGCTCTCAAAAAATGTCAAGTAGATTTTTAAAAATCTTGCAAATAACCCAACAGATTAAAAAATGCTAACTCAAGCACAAGCAAAACACCAGATAAAAGACAGCTAATGTGCTAGCTCCTATTATACATTTTTTATCAGCCACATTATATGTGAAAGAAAGATCACATAGTCATGTAGAAAAAGATCTTAGTTAAAAGAACACTATTTGAAATATGGATTTACCTTCATTATTTTTAACAATAGACAGCCACAATTCTTATCAATGAATCTCACAATGAGGACGTATTATTCCTTAAGGTATTAACTCATGATTAGAAGTTAAGACAGTTTTAACGTAGACATATACAATATAGCACAGTCATTTTTATCAATGTTTAAAGTCATGCTTTCTCAAATCAGAAACATTTATAACATTTTACTATATTTAATATATTTTATATATTTAAAAGTCATTCCTATGGTTTCTTAGTTAATGGTGAAAGTCGCATACCACCAGGGAAATATCTTCTCCTCCTAGTAAAAATATCCGATGCAGTTAATAGAAATTAATATACTGACAAACTGCAAAACATTTCTATATCAACAAATAGATTTGGATGATGCATAGAAAATATTGCTGAAGAGTTGCCAAAATAAGATGCATAGAGAACATTGCTGAAGTGTTGCCAAAATAAGCATCACCTTACAAAGTTTGGGAGGTTGTATGGTAGGTGTACTTGATACCAAGAACTTAAGCATGCTCTGAGAATGATCCCGTATGGCAGATGCGCCTGAATGTGTGTCCAGAGTTCGAAGCTAAGGAAGCCAGGAGTGGCCAAGCCAGAGATTCATTCCTTTTCAATGAGAAACACCTGAACCCTCAGCCTGTCCTGTGGAACACAGGCATACAGGGGATCGAGGCCCTTTATTTTGGGGTAAATGAGGGTTGCCAGGTAGAAGTTGTTAGGAAGAGGGTGTTAAGGGAAAATGCTATATAAACTGCTTGATTTTTGCAAGTGGTTAGGTGCTCCTGTGCAGCCTGTGGCCACTGGACCATCCCTGTAAGTAAGTTTCATGCCAATAAAACCCTATGTCTCATTTACTGGTTCCACGTCTCTCCTTTGGCCTCTAATCTGGTGCCATCCATATTGAAGCTAATGGCGGTCCAGCATGACAGAGGTTTGGTATAAGTTAGATGAACATAGTGATGTTCCCTCATGTCTCAGCTACCAGCTTATATCTGTCAAGAAGACAGCTTTTTTATTCCTATCAACCATGAAAGGAAAGATGAAAAAAAGAAGTTAGATTTTCAATGGTATAAAAATTACTTAAAAAAACAACGCTTTTAAGACTACATAATATAACTTCTACTGGAGCCACTGCCTTGACTACAATATCATGAAAGGATTGAAGGTTAAACTTACAGAAATAGCACGGTACAAAAGACTGCTTCCTGCCTCATTCATAGGCCGACTAAGGTAGGAAAGAAGTTAAAGCCAGAGGTGCCCTTCAACCCACAGGATGTCATCACTATAATAAATTTTATAGAAATAAGCCTTTAAAAAATAGAAACTTAGAATATTTGGAATGAGGTAGAAAATGATCAGGAAAATCTTTTGTACTTCAAGGATTGGCTGTTTTATCTTGTGGCCACTTTCCTAAAAGAGTTGTTGAACTTAAAGGCAGGATACATTTCTTTTAAATGTGTAAAATCTACCAGCCTTTTCAATGTGATTACAATGACTGCCCATACCGTCCTCCCAAGAAAAATTTTTTCAATATAAATACATTTAAGCTGTCTGTAGGAGTTAAAGTTAGATGTTCCAACAATGAGTATGAGTCACTGCTTTTCAAAATGAAATCCTGCAATGGAGACAGCATTTTGAAGAAATTTGGAAATGTTTCCCCCTGGCATCTAGCATTTTGTTACTGAAAATAATATAAATGTGTCACCTACATGTTTATTGGACTAGAAAACAAATTGTCCAACCTATTTAAAGATCTAGACAAAAAATTTTCAATAAGTTTAAAACCTCTGTTTAAAATGTCAAAATATAACATTTTTTATTAGTTTTCTAGAACTTAGTAACATCAGAGAACACAGAAATACAACAAATTTCATTAAAAGATTATATAAATGGAAAATGCTATCTAAAACATGAGTATCTAATTTAGAAATCACTGCCAAAATATTCTTCCTCCTTTTGGAGCCACATATCTTCATGAAGTGTCTTTTTTTTACTATAATAGCCATTAAAAGCACCAGAACTAATTTGAATATCGAAACAGACCATGGAAGCATCACTGCATCTTAGAGCGAAACCAAGATTTTCAAGTGTTAATGAGAAAGAAGTTGACAGTAACTACGGCAAACCCAAACCTATGCAATCCCTTTAACTGTCAGTGCCCAAATGCTCGTGGAGCTCTGAGAGTTTGCTTGGTTTATTGGAAATCATTAAAATGGTGTGCTGTACCCAGCTGATGTTAATAAGACTACACCATCCTTGGGGCCAGCAGTACCACTGTGTAATTCGCAGCAGCCCCCAATTATCTGTGGGAGATCTGCAGGCCTGACTCACAGCCTGTGGAGGGGGTTCCACACCAGCAGGCGCTTAATGAACAGATCGGCTTATAAACACAAGCTAATCTCTCCCACATGAGCACCTGAGGAGGATCACAAGTGACAGCTGTTTAAATTTTCAGGGAAATTAATGACCCCTAAAGAGGCAGCGCTTATCAGGCTTGGAGTAGGTTTGATAGAGGAGAGTCACCGCAGGGCAAAATGTTTATAATCATACACAAGTACGTTATTCTATGGCTTCATCTCAGGAACTTTTATTAACACGGTCTCTTCTATTCATGCTCGTGCTGGCAGAAAGCAGAGCGACTTGCTTCAATCTGTCCCTGACACTGGACTTCTATGGCCACTAATGAGCATCTCCCTAGCCTCAGATCACAAGCCATTTAAAACGATCAGGACTGTGGTTGGCATCCTGACCACTTAGTGAAAATCCCAGCAGACACATACATTGTTTTGGTCCACAAAGCATTTGTAATACAGCAGCTTCACCCCAGAGCTGGGCCTCACAGAGGGATGGGGAATAGACTGACCACACTGCTGGCTGTCTGGGAAATAGAGCAGGAACAGGTAATTAAGTGCAGATTGGCCAAGGGGCCAGAAGTGACTTTTAAAAAACAGATCTGGAGAGAAACAGCACATGGCAAAACTCACCACCCTCCTCTCCCACCTGTGCCCCCTGCCCTGCTCTCATGTTTTACGGCTTTTATGTACCTTTACAACAGGACACACTACCTTATTCTCAGTTGTCTTTACATTCCACATTCCCCAGGATCACTTAACAGGAAGTGGCCTCATTTCCAAGGGGGCTTTGCAGAGTCTAGTGTCATATAAAAGGAGGTATGATAGAAAGAGACAGAGAGACGGAAGTAAATGAGAGAGAGATCCTGGTCAGTAAATGGTGTTAAAGTGGGAAGACCTCTGCGAAACTAAAATCGAGGAAGGGATAGCAGTATAAGGTAACTAAACAGAAGCACATTGTAAACATCTAGAGTGTTAATTTCAGAGGCTTGAAGGGAATTTCATTAATTTAGGGAAAGTGGGATTAAGGACCTATAAAACATTATCAGTTTTTTAGGCAATTTTCTGAGATGGTTAAATCGGCAAATATTCTGTAGAGATATGTAAATATATCCAAATTCAGGTTCTGTGGCAGAGAGGAAAGATCATCCTGCTTGGATAAGATGCTCATGTATCTCTCTGGCTGATTTCAGTGGGAGTCTCTTATGGTTAGCTGAGACTTAAACCGGACTCTGACACCTCGAATCCTGGAATACCAAGGTATTGACAGCACCACTCAGAAAAGGGAAAACTACTCTCTATGGAGTCTTCTCCCCAAGACTCTCCAGGGTAAATGGCACATTTGCCTGCTTTTTCCATGAAACAAACACTGAAGTCTGTATAAGCCTCTGTTGCAGACCTACTTCAGTCCTTTGTGGGGTTTTGCTAGTTATTATAGCATTTACATAAGGATAAATAATTAAAAATCAATATCTATTGTATTAGTCCATTTTCATGCTGCTAATAAAGAATACCCAAACTGGGCAATTTACAAAAGAAAGACGTTTAACAGACTTGCATTTCCACATGGCTGGGAGGCCTCACAATCATGGCAGAAGGCAAGGAAGAACAAGGAGGAACTTACATAGATGGTGGCAGGCAAAGAAAGAGTTTGTGCAGGGAAACTCCCCTTTATAGAACCATTAGATTTCATGAGACTTATTCACTGTCATGAGAACAGCACAGGAGACCTGCCCCCATGATTCTATTACCTCCTACTGGGTCCCTCCCACAACACCTAGGAATTCAAGATGAGATTTGGGTGGGGACACAGCCAAACCATATCAACTGCCTTACAACCTAGTCCATTAAAAATGTATATTTTAAAATGAGGAATACAGAATTTTTAAAAGTATGCTGGCAGCAAATACACACATGCCCACAAACAATTCCTTCAATATTAATGTTTTATTGTACTTTATTCTTTTTCTATCTGTAGTTTCAGAGTTTTGTCCCAAAAAGCATTATTCTATTACTATAATATTTACATTTCTATAATAGGCAACAAACACCATATGATAATCATTTCCATATAGAAATTATTATAATTCATCTGTACTTGAAAAGCAAGAAATTTTCTTTAATGCGAGCACAGAAAAGATTGTGAGCAGATAATATGAATATGATTATTTTGGTTAAATATTAATATTTACAAAATATTCATTGAATAAGTAACAAACGGTATTCTTAAGTAATTGATATTGGGATTGGCAAGGTCTATACAGCTTCTTGCCTGAATTTTTTTATTTTGAAAAAAGTATTTCCTGATATTTGGCAAAATAAATTCTAAAATTATCAGTCAAAATTACGAGTTTATTTAAAATATTAGCCAGTACATGATTAATAAAAACACATTCAAATTTTCCATTCTTTTTCCTCTTGTCCTATGGTTAAAAGCAAATAAGTAAATAGCTTATTGCTTACTCTCTAACATAAATGCTAGTTTTGGGTTTTATTTTCATAAAAGCCCAAGTAAATTTAGAGCTTCAAGGTTAACTACTCATTATGTTCTCAAATTCATTTAATGGTCCAGAGTGACACTACACAGGGAAATGTATTTCTGATTAAAACTTAGTAAACATAGGCCAGGCGCGGTACTCACGCCTGTAATCCCAGCACTTTGGGAGACAGACGGGCAGATGGATCACTTGAGGTCAGTAGTTCGTGAGTACTCTGGCTAACGTGGTGAAACCCCATCTGTACTAAAAATACAAAAATTAGCTGGGGGTGATGGTGCATGCCTGTAGTCCCAGCTACTCAGGAGGCTGAGGTGGGAAAATCGCTTCAACCAGGAGGTAGAGGGTGCAATGAGCCGAGATCGCGCCATTGCACTTCGGCCTGGGACAGACCAAGACTCCATCTCAAAAAAAAAAAAAAAAAAAAAAAAATAGTAAACATAATTGACTCATCAAATCTCTGGCAAAAACTAGCAGAAAAACCTTTAATAAGATCAGTTTTGTTCAAAGTTTATGTTTGAGGATAACATTTGACTACAGAGAAGAGCCAAGATGGTGGACTAGATGCAGCCGGGAAGAGCATCTCCCACGGAGACCAGACCACCAAGAAGATCGGCACAGTCCTAGCAGATCTTCAGAAAGAAGGCATTGAGAATGAACAGAGGAAGAGTGCAGACCCTGGACTGAAGGGAGAGGAAGCTGGGAACCCTGCATGGGGTTGCTGAGCACTGGAACTCACTCCTGGCCCTGAGCAGCTACTGGAGAAGGGATGAATTAAATAGGCATGGAGTGGCCCCCTCTCTCCATGGACCTCCAGGATCCTAGCTGCAGGAGAAGCCATAAACCCCCTGGTCATTTGAGCTGATAGGGAGAGCTGCTTGGAGAATTGTTAAGGACAAGACTACAGCTTGTGTCCAGCCCAGAGTGTTTGGCACAGGAGAAGCTACAGTGGAACATGGCCAAAAATGCCCATCTCTCAAAGCTCACCATGCTCCTTTGGGGTAGCTTTGGCTTTGTTGACTGTCAGACCTGAACAGAACAAAACTACCTTGCCTGTGAGATGAGGCCAGTCTGATCTGAGCACCCCTCTGTCTGTCAGCCTCTCTCAGGCTCCCTCGTGGCCACACCCACTTGCAGTGCAGACTCGGATGCCCAACCAGGTCCTTCCCAGCAGCTACCTCCATAGATCCTTTTCTGAGGGACCCCACCTAATCATCAAAGAGCTTCTGCAGATGGGCCCCGACCAGCACGCACTTGCCTGCAGCCTCCATCCACTGCTTTTCCAGTGCGTGCAAGTATGTAGAACTTGTTGCCCCACTGCCACTGGCATGTGCACCAACCTTGCCACCCTATCACCAACAGTGCATGTAACCTGTCATTCTTTCACTGCCAGCACAAGCGTACACATGTGGTGCTTGCCACACTGCCACTCTGTTGCCACCAGGGCACGCACATGTGTGTGGACCCTGCTGCGGTGCGACTCTGCCACTGCTGGAATGTGAGCATGGGCCGTGCTGCCACCACCCTGATGAAGCACTTTTGCTGGCACCCCTCATCAGAGTGTTGTTGCCAGAGGACCAGGAAAACCTTTGCCCCCAAGATCAACAGGTGCTTAAACTTGAGGGGACAAAGAAAAAAGCCATGGGCCTGGTCCCAGCCCCCCGGCATTAGAGAATGCAGCCCAGTAGTACTGAGGTGAGCCTTAGCCCCCTGAAATCATCCAGAAACAAAGCTACCAGATTGAACCCAACTTATACCACAGTCAAACCCCAAGGCCATCAAGGAATGTAAAGGCAAAAAGCCTCATTCAAAGGAAGGCAACTTCAAAGATTGAAAGAATTCTCATCAACCCACAACGATGAAAAATGAATGCCAGAACCCTGGCAAGTCAAGAAGCTAGAGTGTCTTTTTACCTTCCAACGACTGCACTAACTCTCCAGCAATGGTTCTTAACCAGGCTGAAATGACTGAAATGACAGACATAGAATTCAGAACCTGGGTGGCAACAAAGATCATCAGGATTGAGGAGAAAGTTGAAACCCAATTCAAAAAATCTAAGGAATCCAGTAAAATAATATAAGAACTGAAAGATGAAATAGCCATTTTAAGAAAGAACCAAAATGGTGTGACAGAGCTGACAAACTCACTACAAGAATTTCATAATACAATCAGAAGTATTAACAGCAAAATAGACAAAGCTGAGGAAAGAATTTCAGATCTCAAAGATAGATTCTTTGAATCAACTCAGAGAAAAATAAAGAAAAAGAATGAACAAAACCTCCAAGAAATATGGGATTATGTAAAAACATGAAACCTACAACTCTTTGGAGTCCCTGATAGAAAGACAGAGCAAGCAACTTGGAAAACATACTTGAGGATACTGTCCGTAAAAATTTACACAACCTTGCTAGAGAGGACAACATTCAAATTCAGGAAATTCAGAGAACCCTTGCAAGATACTATACAAGACAAGCTTCTCCAAGACACATAGTCATTAGATTTTGCAAGGTCAACGTGAGAGAAAAAATATTAAAGGCAGCTAGAAAGAAAGACAGGTCACCTACAAAGGGAACACCATCAGGCTAACAGTGGACCTTTCAGCCCAAACCTTACAAGTCTGAAGACATCAGGGGCCTATATTCAGCCTTCTTTTTGTTTTGTTTTGTTTTGTTTTGTTTTGTTTTGTTTTGTTTTTTCGAGACGGAGTCTTGCTCTGTTGCCCAGGCTGGAGTGCAGTGACGCGATCTTGGCTCACTGCAAGCTCCACCTCCCGGGTTCATGTCACTCTCCTGCCTCAGCCTCCTGAGTAGCTGGGACTACAGGCGCCCACCACCATGCCCAGCTAATTTTTTGTATTTTTAGTAGAGATGAGGTTTCACCGTGTTAGCCAAGATGGTATCAATCTCCTGACCTTGTGATCCACCTGCTTCGGTCTCCCAAAGTGCTGGGATTACAGGCATGAGCCACTGCGCCCAGCCTCACCATTCTTAAAGAAAAGAAATTCCAACCAAGAATTTCATACCAGCCAAACTAGGCTTCGTAAGTGAAGGACAAATAAAATTTCTTTTCAGATAAGCAAATGTTAAGAGAATTAGTTACCACCAGACCTACCTTACAAGGTTTTTAAGTGAGTGCTACGCATGGAAACAAAAGACCATTACTAGTGACCACAAAAACACATTTAAGTACATAGACCATTGACACTATAAAGCAGTTACACAATCAAATCTATATAGGAACCAGGTAACAACAAGATGTCAGGATCAAATCCACACATATTACTATTAACCTTGAATGTAAACAGGCTAAATGTGTCCACTTAAAAGGCATAGAGTGGCAAGATGGATAAAGAAGTAACACTATATGCTGTCTTTAAGACATCCATCTCACATGCAATGTTATCCACAGGCTCAAAGTAAAGGGATAGAGAAAAACCCATCAAACAAATGAAAAACAAAAATTCATAGCATTTCTATATACTAATAAAGTCCAAGTTGAGAGACAAATCAAGAATGGAATCCCATTCACGATAGCCAAAAAAAAAGAATAAAATACCTAGGAATGCAGCTAACCGAGAAGGTGAAACATCTCTACAATGAAAATTATAAAACTGCTCAAGAAATCAGAGATGACAGAAACAAATGGAAATGGAAATGGAAAAACATTCTATACTTATGGATAGGAAAAATCAATATTGTTAACATGACCATACTTCCCAAAGCAATCTACAGATTCAATGCTATTTTTATCAAACTATCAATGACATTCTTCACAGAATTTAGAAAAAAAAACTATTCTAAAATTAATATGGAACCAAAAAAGAGCCTGAATAGCTAAGGCAATCCTAAGCAAAAAGAACAAAGCAGGAGGCATCACGTTACCTAACTTCAAACTATGCTACAGGGCTACAGTGACCAAAACAGCATGATAATGTTACAAAAACAGACACATAGACTAATGGAACAGGTTAGAGAACCCAGAAATAAAGCTATAAATCTACAACCATCTGGTCTTTGAAAAGTTGACAAAAACAAGCAACAGGGAAAGGACTCCCTATTCAATAAATGGTGCTAGAATAACTGGCTAGCCATATGCAGAAGACTGATACTGGACCCTTTCCTTTCGCCTTTTACAAAAATCATCTCAAGATTAATTAAAGACTTAAATGTAAAACCTAGAAATATAAAAATCCTAGAAGAATACTGAGGAAATACCATTGTGGACATAGGACCTGGCAAAGATTTCATGAAGAAGGCTACAAAAGCAATTGTGACAAAAACAAAAACTGATGAGTAGGGTCTAACTAAATTAAACAGTTTAGTTTATGCAGCAAAAGAAACTAACAGAAACTATCAGCAGAGTATGCAGCAAAAGGAACTATATACAGCAACAGAAACTAACAGAAACAGAGTAAACAGACAATTTACAGAATGGGAGAAAATACTTGCAAACTATGCATCCAACAAAGGTTAATATCCAGAATCTATCAGGAACTTAAACAAATTAGCAAATAATCTCATTAAAATATGGGTAAAAGACATAAACAGATACTTGTCAAAAGAAGACATATACACATCCAACAAACATACAAAAAGATGCTCAATGTTACTAATCATTAGGTCCATACAAATCAAAATCTCAGTAAGATACCATCTTACACCAGTCAGAATGACTAGAATTAAAAAGTTAAATAATAACAGATGCTGGTGAGGTTGCAGAGAAAAGGGAATGCTGATTTGGTGCTGATGGGAATGTAAAGTTCAGCCACTGTGGAAAACAGTCTGGAGATTTCACAAAGAACTTAAAACAGAACTACCATTCAACCCAGCAATCCCATTACTGGGTATATACCCAAAGGAATATATATCATTCTACCATAAAGGCACATACATGCATATGTTCATTGCAGCCCTATTCACAATAACAAAGACATGGAATCAACCTAGGTAACATCATCAGTGGACTGAATAAAGAAAATGTGGTACATATACATCATGGAATACTATGCAGTCATGAAAAGGAATGAAATTACATCCTTTGCAGCAACATGGATAGAGCTGGAGGCCATTATCCTAAGCAAATTAATGCATGAACAGAAAACCAAATACCACATGTTCTCACCAATAAGTGGGAGCTAAACATTGAGTACACATGGACACAAAGAAGGGAATTGTAAACACTGGAGCCTACTTTAGGGTATAGGATGGGAAGAGAATAAGGATCGAAAAACTACCTATCAGTTACTATGCTTATTACCTGAGCAATGAAATAATCTGTACCCCAAACCCCATGACATGCAATTTACCCATATAACAAACCTGCACATGTATCCCCTGAACCTAAAAGTTGGAAAAAAAAAAATAGACATCCAGATTTGAAAGGAAAAATTTAGAACATAAATTTGACTATGTAGACTTGACCAAATTATCTTTTATGTAAAGTGTTCAATTATGTAATGATGGGTATAAATGGACTCTTTCAAAAGAGCAAAGAGCAATAGAGACTGCTGGCATATCAGCTTCTGACTGTGAACTTCCTAAAGAAATGTCTTCATTTTTATGATCTTCAGAGCGTGAAACTCTGGATATAGCAGCAATTGACTTGACTCCTTTCATTTGGGAGCAAAAGCAATAACAGAGACATGGTTAACCATTTTTTCCTAGAATGGAAATGTCTAGGTACCAGTGTGGATAAAGAAAAATAACATAGAGATCTGAAGTCAGGGGTTTGTGGGCAAACCTTCCAAATTCAAGCTCTGGCTCCTCTGTTTTTAAGCAAGCTGCTTCTCCGTATGTCTATTTATTCAGTTTTAAAGTGAAAATAATAAATGCAGTAGACCAATTTTTTGTTTGATCACCAAATATTTATGATTCTCTTTTTGATAGGTCTCTGCTATGACTGTACACCTCTACCCCCTTGTAGTTAGACATGGCTAGGCAACTTGCTTTTCCCAAGTGTGTCACTTCTAGGTAGAAGCATTTAGGATCTGGGACATGATTCTCCATCATCCGTCTTCCCTTCTGCAACAATTCAGAAGCATGTGTCAAGATGAAACATCTAACCTGAGTCTCTGAATAACTACAACAATGCCTTCCACCTGCTAACCTGTATGTTACACAAAGAATAAGCCAGAAAAAAACTTTGGCTGAGGTCATCTTAAATCACTGGATTTGGGGGGCTGTTACCACAAGGTAACTTAGATTATCTTGACTTACAGAATAAAATAATTCTACCTCCCTCATAGTATTTATGTAAAGAAAAATCAAGTTAATGTTTATAAATCACTTAGAAGAATACGTAGAACATTATAAATGCTTCATTCATTATTTAGCAAATACTTGGTGGAAGGAATATAGTGTGAGTAAAAACAAAAAGTACTTGTTCACAGGGTGTTGACCATATAGTGAGAGAGGCAGTTGTTAGTCAAATGATTACACAGAAAACTGCAACTCTGCAAACTGGAATCCCTAAGGGATAGATAATGCAACAAAAACATGAGGTAATTGACCAAGATGCAGAGGCTAATAAGGGCTTCCTTAAGGAAGTGCTGATTTTAGAAATCACGGGAAGGTGTAAATTGGGGAAAGTTAGAAGAAAGAGTCTTCCTTGAAGAAGAGAGCTGGTATGTAAGACCTTAAATCTGTGCAGTCTGATGCTGGTAGGCTCTACAGATTTGGTAAAGTGGCAAGGTGCATGGTACCTGCAAGAGACTAAACTTGCAGGTACAAGGGAAAAGAAGTACAAGATTAACTAAAGAGCTAAATAGCAATCAGTCTTTGTAGGCTAGGGAAGATTTTGGTCTTATCTAAAGGACAATGGAGGAGGGAGGTGAAGCAAGATGGCCAGAAAGCCTCCACTGATCTTCCTTCTGGCAGGAACACCAAACTTAACAACTATCTACACACACAAAAAAAACACTTTCATAGGAACCAAAAATCAGGGGAGCCATCACAGGACCTAGTTTTAACTTCATATTACTGAAAAGGGCACTGAACAGGGTAGGAATGACAGTCGTGAATTGCCAACAACACCCCTCCTCCATCCCCTGGCAGCGGCCACATGGCACGGAGAATCTATACACTTTGGGGAGGGAAAGCATAACAATTGTGGGACTTTGTATTGGAACTTAGTGCTGTCCTGTCACTCTGGAAAGCAGCACTGGGCAGAACTCAGCTGGTGCCTGGAGAGAGCATTTAGACCAGCCCTAGCCAGAGGGAAATCACCCATCCCAGCAGTCAGAACTTGAGTTCTACCAAGCCTCATCACCACAGGCTAAAGTGATCTTAGGTTCTAAATAAACTTGAAAAGCAGCATAGGCCACAAGGACTGCAATTCCTGGGCAAGTTATGGTGCTGTGCTGGGCTCAGAGCACATGACCTAGTGAGAAAATGGCTGGGATAGCCAAAGGACTTCTGCCACCTCTCCTCCAACCCCAGGGAGCGCAGCTGGCAGTTCCAGGAGAGAATTCTTCCTTCCACTTGAGGAGAGGAGAGGAAAAAGTAAAAAGGACTTTGTCTTGCAACTTGGATATGAGCTCAGTCACAGTAGGGATGGGACACCAGGCAGAATCCTGAGGCCCCATTCCAGGCCCTAGCTCATGGATGATATTTCTAGCTATACCCTGGGCCAGAAGTGAAACCACTGCATTGAAGGGAAGGACCCAGTCCTGACAGGATTCAACACCTGCTGACTAAAGAGTTCTTAGACCCTGAAAAATCAGCAGCAGTGGCCAGGTAGTACACACCATGAACCTTGTGTGAGACTCTGAGACATGCTGGCTTCAGGTGTGCCCCAGCACATACCCAGCTGTGTTGTCTATGAGGAGAGACTCCTTGTGCTTGAGAACAGGAAAGGGAAGAGTAAGGGGACTTTGTCTTGCTGCTTAGGTACCGACTCAGCCACAGTGGGGCAGAGCACCAACTGGGTTCTTGGGGTACCCAGTTCTAGACCTTGGTTTTTGGGTGGCATTTCTGGAATGCCCTGAGCCACACAGGAGTCCACTGCCCTGGCAGTACTCATCTCGTGTTGACTGGGCCTTGACTGAACATCAAAAATAGCCAGATAGTACTCACTGCAGGCCTTGGGCACTGGTTGCCAGGGGAAAAGACTCCTCTGCTTGTGAAAAGGGGAGGGAAGAGTGGGAAGGACATTGTCTTGTGGCTTCAGTGCCAGCTCAGCTGCAGTAGAATAGAGAATTAGGTAGATTCCTAAGGCTTCTGACTCCAGGCCCTGGCTCCCAAGTGGCATCTCTGGACTCACCTGCAGTTGAGGGAAAATTGCCGCCCTGAAAGGAAGGACACAAACCTGACTGATTTCACCATCTGCTGAGTGTTGAGCCCTAGGGCCTTGAGTGAATACAGGAGGTAGCCAGGCTAGTGATTACCGCAAGCCATAGAAAAGACCCACCTAGTGCTGTGCTGGTTTCAGGTCACACCCAGCACAGTCTCAGTGGTGGTAGCTACAGGGGTGCTTGTGTCACCCCTCCCCCAGCTCCAGGCAGCTCAGCACAGAGGAAGAGATTCCATTTGTTTGGGAGAAAGTGAAAGAAAAGAACAAGAGTTTCTGCCTGGTAATCCAGAGAATTCTTTTGGATCTTATCCAAGACCATCCCGGTGGTATCTACGAGTCTGCAAGAGCCATAGTGTTCCTAGGTTTGGGTGCCCCCAATGCAGATACTGCCACAGTGATCAAAAACTTGGATCATAACACCCAAGTCGCTTCAAATACCTGGAAAGCCTTCCCAAGAAAAATGGGTACAAACAAGCCCAGACTGTGAAGACTACAATAAATACCTGACTCTTCAATGCCCAGACACCAACAAATTTACATAAGCATCAAGATCATCCAGAAAAACATGACCTCACCAACCAAACTAAATAAGACATAAAGGACCAATCTTGGAGAGACAGTCATAGGTGATCTTTCCAACAGAGAATGTAAAATAGCTGTTTTGAGCAAACTCAACAAAATTCAAGAAATAACTCAGAATTCTATCAGAGAAATTTAACAAAGAGATTTAAATAATTAAAAAGAATCAAGCAGCAATTCGGGAGTTGAAAAACACAACTGACATATTGTAGAATGCATCAGAGTCTCTTAACAGCAGGATTGATTAAGCAGAAGTGAGAATTAGTAAGCTTGATAGGCTATTTGAAAATACACTGTCAGAGGAGACAAAAGAAAAGAAGACCAAAAAAAGTATGCCTACAGAATCTAGAAAATAGTCTCAAAAGGAGAAATCTAAGAGTTATTGACTATGAAAAGGGGAAGAGAGAGAGACAGGTGTATAAAGTTTATTGAGAGGGATAAGAACAGAGAACTTCACAAACCTAGAGATAGATATCAATATTCAGGTACAAGAAGGTTATAAAACAACAAGCATAAGTAACCCAAAAAAGACTACCTCAAAACATCCAATAATTAAACTCACAAAGGTCAAGGATGAAAAAAGGATCTTCAAGGTGGCAAGAGAAAAGAAATAAATAGCATATAATGGAGCACCAATATGTCTGGCAGCAGACTTTCAGTGGAAACCTTACAGTCCAGGAGAGAGAGGCATGACATATTTCAAGTGCTGAAGGAAAAATCTTCTCTGAACACAATGGAATAAAACTAGAAATCAATAACAGGAAGAATTCTGGAAACTATGGGTCAATGAAGAAATTAAGAAGAAAATTGAAAAATTTCCTGAAACAAATGACAATGGAAACAAAACATACCAGAACCTATGACGCAGCAAAAGCAGTACTAAGAGGAAACTTTACAGCTAGGTTTACAGAAAGTTTACAGATAAGTGCCTACATCAAAAACATAGAAAAACTTCAAATAAACAACCTAGAGGTGTTTGTCCTAGAGTAATATGCCCAGTGAAAATAGCCTTCAAACATGAAGAAGAAATAAAGACTCTTCCAGACAAACAAAAGGTAGGAGATTTTATCAACACCATACCTGTCCTGCAAGAGTTGCTAAAGGAAGTTTTTCAATCTGAAATAAAAAGACATTAATGAGGAAATATAAATTACCTAAAGGTACAAACCTCACTGTTAATATTATGGTAAGTACACAGAAAAATACAGAATATTATAACACTGTAATTGTGATGTATAAACTACTCATGTCTTGAGTAGAAAGACTAAAAGATGTACCAATCAAAAATAAAAACTACAACTTTTTAAGTCATAGACAGTACAAGAAATCAACAGAAGCAGCAAAAAGTTGAAAAGTAGGGAGATGAAATTAAATTGCACAGTTTGTATTCTTTTTGCTTGTCGGTTTGTTTGTGCATTCAGCATTAAGTTGTCATTAATTTAAAATAGTTGGTTTTAAAATATTATTTCCAAGCCTCATGATAACCTCAAATCAAAAAAAAATGCAACACATACCAAAAAAATAAAAACCAAGAAATTAGAACATATCATCAGAGAAAATCACCTTCACTAATGAACTAAGCTCTCTAATCAAAAGACAAAGAGTGCCTGAATGGATAAAAAACCAGGAATCAGCTATCTCTTGCCTACAAGAAAACACATCACTTATAAAGAGACACATAGACTGACAATAAAGGTATGGAAAAAGATCTTCTATGCAAATAGAAAACAAAAAAGATTATGAGTCACTATACTTATATCAGACAAAATAGATTTCAAGACAAAAGCTGTAAAAAGAGACAAAGAAATGTCATTGTATAATGATAATGGGGTCAATTCAGCAAGAGCTTAAAAACAACTGTAAATACATTGGACCCAACACTGGAGCACCTAGATATATAAAACAAATATTATTAGAGATAAAGAGAGATATACCCCAATACAATCATAGTTGAAGACTTCAACACCCCACTTTCAGCATTGGACTAGATCATCCAGACAGAAAATCAACAAAGAACATTGGACTTAATCTGCATCCTAGGCCAAATTGACCTAATAGATATTTCCAGAACATTTTGTCCAGTGGCTGCAGAATACACATCCTTCTCTTCAGCACATGGATCATTCTCAAGAATAGACTATGTGTGGAGCAACAAAACAAGTCTTTAAAAATTCAAAAAAAAAATGAAATTATATCAAGCATCTCTCTGGCCACAATGGAATAAAACCAGAAAATAATAACAAGAGGAATTCTGGAAACTATTGGTTAATTAAGAAATTAAGAAGAAAATTGAGAAATTTCTTGAAACAAATGACAATGGAAACCAAACATACCAAAACCTAGGATACGGCAAAAGCAGTACTAAGAGAAAGCTCATACCTATAAGCACATATATCAGAAAAGTAGAAAGCCTTCAAATAAACAACCTAAATGTGCTCCTTAAAGAACCAGAAAAGCAAGAGCAAACCAAACACAAAATCAGTAGAAGAAAAGAAATAATAAAGATCAGAGTGAAAATAAATGAAATGGAAACAAAGAAAACAATATGAAAGATCAAAGAAACAACAAGCTGGTTTTTTGAAAAGATAAACAAAATCAACAATCCCTTAGCCAGACTAAGAAAAAAAGAGAGAAGACTCAAATAAATTAAATCAGAGATGAAAAGGGAGACAATACAACTGATACCACAGAAATTCAAAGGATTATTAAGGCTACTATGAGCAACTACGTGCCAATAAATTGGAAAAACTAGAAGAAATGAATAAAGTGCTAGACACATACAGCCTACCAGTATTAACCATAAAGAAATCCAAAACCTGAAGAGATTAATAACAAGCAACAAGATTGAGACTGTAATAAAAAGTCTTCCAGAACAGAAAAGCCCAAGACCTGATGGCTTCATTGCTAAATTTTACCAGATATTTAAAGAAAAACTAATACCAATTCTACATAAACTATTCTGAAAAGTAGAGAAAGAGGGAATACTTCCAAACATATTCTATGAGGCCAGTATTACCTTGATACCAAAACTAGAAAAACACATCAAAAAAGAAAGCTACAGGTCAATATCACTGATGAATGTTAATGCAAAAATCCTCAACAAAATACTAGGAAACAGAAATCAACACATTAGAAAGATCACTCCATCATGATCAAGTGGGATTTATCGCAGAGATGCAAAGATCGTTGAACATGCACAAATCAATTAATGTGACTCATCATATCAACAGAATGAAGGACAAAAACCATGAACATTTCAATTGATGCTGAGAAGCATTTGATAAAATTTAACATTCCTTCATTAATAAAAAGCCTCAAAAAACTGAGAAGGAACATAAGTCAACACAATAAAAGCCATATATGACAGACTCAAAACTGGTATCATCCCAAATGGGAAAGAATAAAAGCCTTTTCTCTAAAATCTGGAATAGGACAAGGATGCCCACTGTCACTACTGTTTCTCAATATAGTACTGGAAGTCCTAGCTAGAGCAGTCAGAGAGGAGAGAGATATAAAGGGCATCCAAATTGGAAAGGAAGAAGTCAAAGTATCATTGTTTGCAGATGATAAGGTCTGCACATTTGGAAAAAACTAAAGACTCTGTAACAAAACTATTAGAATTGATTTTTAAAATTCAATTAAGTTGAAGGATTCAAAACCAACATACAAACATCAATAGCCTTTCTATATGTCAACAGCAAACAATCTGAAAAATAAATCAAGAATGTAATCCCATTTACAATAGCAACAAATAAAATTAAATACCTAGGAATTAACTTAACCAAAGAAGTGAGTATTCATAAAAGAAATTGAAGCAAACACCAAAAAAAGGAAAGATATTCTATGTTCTTGGATTAGAAGAAACAATATTGTTAAAATATCCATACAACTCAAAGCAAGCTACAGATTCAATGCAATTCCTATAAAAATACCAATGACATTGTTCACAAAATAGAAAAAGAAAAGCCCTAAAATTTATATGGACTCACAAGAGATCCAGAATAGACAAAGCATTCCTGAGCAAAAAGAACAAAACTGGAGTAATCACAATACCTGACTTCAAATTATACTACAGAGCCATATTAATCAAAATAGCATGGTGCTGGCGTAAAAACAGAAACATAGACCAATGGAACAGAATAGAGAACCTGGTACAAGTCCACACATCTACAGTGAACTCATTTTCAACAAAGATGCCAATAGCATACACTGGGAATAGGACAGTGTTTTTAATAAGTAGTGCTGGGAAAACTGGATATCCATATGCAGAAGAATGAAACTAGACCCCTATCTTTCACCATATACAGAAATAAAATCAAAATGGATTAACGACTTAAATCTAAGACCTCAAACTATGAAACTAATTTTTAAAATGGGAAAAGGCTCCAGGACATTGGACTAGGCAAAGATTTCTTAATACCCCACAAGCACAGGCAATCAAAACAAAAAAGGACAAATGAGATGACCTCAGGTTAAAAAGCCTGTGCACAGCAAAAGAAGCAATCAGCAAAGTAAAGAGACAACCCACAGAATGGGAGAAAATATTTGAAAACTATTCTTCTGACAAGGGATTAATAACCCAAATATATAAGGAGCCCAAACAACTCTATAGGAAAAAACTAATAGTCTGATCAAAAATGGGCTAAATATCTGAACAGACATTTTTCAAGACATACAAATGGCAAACAGATATAAGAAAAGTGCTCAACATCATTGATCAGCAGAGAATATTCCAGTTTTGATTCCAACCCAAAACTATAATAAGATATCATCTCACAACAGTTAAAATGACTTTTAACCAAGAGACAGGCAATAACAAGTGCTGACAAGGATGTAGGGAAAAGGCAACCCTACTGCACTGTTGGAGGAAATGTAAATTAGTACAACCACTATGGAGAACAGTTTGTAGTTTCCTCCATAAGCTAAAAATACAGCTACCATATGATCCAGCAATCCCACTGCTAGGTATATACCCAAAAGAAAGGAAATCAGTATATCAAAGAGATATCTGCACTCCCATGCATATTGCAGCGATATTCACAATAGCCGAGATTTGGAAACAAGCTAAGTGTCCATCAGCAGACAAATGGATAAAGAAAATGTGGTACATATCATATAATAGAGTACTATTCAGCCATAAAAAATGAGATCCTGTCATTTGCAATAACATGGATGGAACTGGAGGTCATTATGTTAAGTGAAATAAGCCAGGCACAGAAAGATAAATATCACATGCTATCACTTATTTGTTAGAGCTAAAAATTAAAGCAATTGAACTCTTAGAGAGTAAAAGGATAGTTACCAGAGGCTGGGAAGGGTAGGGGGTAGGAGTAAAGAGAGGATGGTTACTAATACAAAAAATAGTTAGAAAAAATGAATGAGATCTAGTATTTGACAGCACAACAGGGAAACTGTAATCAATAATAATTTTTGTACATTTTTAATAACTAAATGTATAATTGGATTACTTGAAACACAAAGGATAAACGCTTGAAGTGGTGGGTACCCCACTTAACCTGATGTGATTATTACATATTATATGCCTGCATCAAATATCTCATGTACTCTATACATATATACACCTACTATGTACCCACAAAAATTAAAAAATATATATAATATAAAAAATATAAAGAAAAATGGAGAGCTATTGATTATTTTAAGTGACAGAGGTCTGCATATTGAAAAGCTCATTCAGGCTGAAGAGTAGAGAGTGGATTATAAGAGTTATAAGGGGCACAGTAGATGCAGAGTTTAACCAGCCAAGAGGCTATTGACAGAGTCCATGTAATAGATAATGAAAGCTTATAATAGGATAGTGGTAGTGGAGATGGAAAGAAAATGATGGATTAGCTGGCTTTAAAAAATATATCCATTGACCTAATCTAATGTAAGCAAAAAATGAGACTATATCAGGATATTAAGTACCTTATAGAATTTCTAGCAGGGTCAAAGCACCAAGATGGAATGCCCCACAGCTAGAAGCAACACAACAAAGAGAAAAGTCTAACACAATACAAGACTGACTGTTCTACTGGAAACCTCCAAGGCCCTCATGATGCTAAGGACCAGACAGTGTAACTACTGCCTTAGCTGCCCCAGAAGAGTCATCATCTCCACAATAGTGTTTGCTGCATGATCTGAGCCCCTCCTATGTGGCTGCCACCTCTCATTGTTTGTATTCACCTTGGAAAATTCACGTGAATACATCTGCCTCACAGAATCCAAGGCTAATGAGAAATCTTAGCTACCAAAAAAAAAAAAAAAAAGGGAATGTTATCTTTAACTTTTTAGCCTCAAAGCTACAGGGAAGGGCATACTTGTGGGGGATAGAGTAGATGAGTAAACCAGACTGAAGCACCGGCCACAAATACATAAAATGAATTGGAATTTGTGATGGATTTGATAAAAGGGATGAAGTTGAGCAAGGTATCAACACAATTCTAGGATTTTTGCTTCCCAGTTTGATGGTTGATAGATGATATTCAGTGAATTTTGCTTGAAAGTAACAAACATAAGTTTGATTTGAACACATTGCAATTGAGATA
Organism: Homo sapiens; assembly: GCF_000001405.40. Taxonomy (NCBI): domain Eukaryota; kingdom Metazoa; phylum Chordata; class Mammalia; order Primates; family Hominidae; genus Homo; species Homo sapiens. The sequence goes on along the minus strand of NC_000006.12, from coordinate 126,210,701 downwards.
GCTTTAAGACAGCCAAGAGAAAATGTCAAATAGATAATTCGGTATACAAGAGAAGGTCTTGCTGGAGATATAAATTTATGACTCATCTGTAATAACTGAAGTCATGTTGTATTCATTTTCCTATTGCTGCATCACAAATTACCACAAATTCAACCACTTAAAACAACACCCATCTATTGTATCAAGTATCAATTTCCATGGGTCAGGAGTCCAGTCAGGGATAAACTGAGTTCTTTGTTCAGGGTTTTACATAGCTGCAATCAAAGTGTTGGCCAGAACTTCAATCTAATCTACAACTTAGGGTTCTCTTTGAAACTCACTGGTCGTTGAAATAATTTAGTTCTTTGTGGTCATAGGACTGAGACCCTCAGCTCCTGGAGGCTGCCTGCCATTTCCTGCCCTGTGACCCTCTTTAGAACATAGCGATTTACTTCTACAAGGTCAACAACAGTGCTTCCTGTCTCTCTCACTTTGAATCTCTCTAATTTTGAATTTCAAGACCCTCTTTTAAAGGCTCCACTTGATCTGGTCAGGCTCAACCAGCATGATCTCCCTTTTGATTAACAAAAAATCATCTTACTAGGGACCTAAGTCACATCTGCAAAATCCTTCCATCTTTGCTACTCAAAAGTTCCATCTGCACTAAAGAGAGAAATACACAGCATGTGTACATCACAGGATGGTAATCATGGGGGCCATCTTAGACTTCTGTTTACCACACACATCACAAAGTGAGGTATCTTAGAGAGAAAGTATAGAGTGAGAAGAGCGTAGAGCCTAAGAAAACAACTGTGAAGCATTCCAGTATTTAATAATGGGACAGAGATGACTGAGATTGATATAGAGAAGTGGAAGCTCTCTTATTTTTAATGTTTTCATAATTGAAAGCCTAATGTGCTTAATTATAATACACCAAAGTATTTTGTTTTTGTTTTTTTGTTGTTGTTGTTGTTTTGTTTTTGTTTCTTTTTTTGAGATGGAGTCTCGCCGCTGTCTCCCAGGCTGGAGTGCGGTGGCATGCGATCTCAGCTCACTGCAAGCTCCGCCTCCCAAGTTCACGCCATTCTCCTGCCTCAGCCTCCCGAGTAGCTGGGACTACAGGCGCCCGCCACCATGCCCAGCTATTTTTTTTTTTTTGTATTTTTAGTAGAGACGGGGTTTCACCGTGTTAGGCAGGATGGTCTCGATCTCCTGACCTTGTGATCCACCCACCTCGGCCTCCCAAAATGCTGGGATTACAGGAGTGAGCCACCGCGCCCGGCCTACACCAAAGTATTTTGAATAACTGATCTATTTCAGGCTTTGCAACCTTACAGAGAAATGTAATATGGCCTGAGAAGTTTATCAGTAGTTTAGACTCATAACTCTGTAGTTTCTAAATATAATAAAAGTTAGAAAAGACCTAGTAAAGCCTCCTTGTTTTATTAATGATGACACTAATCATAATGACTTTGCCAAAGTCGTTCCAGTCAGTGATCTCCTGACTCTGAAATCAGTATTGGCTTTTTTCTTTAAGTGTGTTCCATGAGATTAAAATTTGCTATGATGCTTTTTGCAGAAAATTACCATCTTTAAGATCTTTTTTCTCTAGTGCTCCAGGACTTCCCCTCAATAATTTCCTATATATAACTCATTCAAGAGGCCATAAACATTAGTGTATAAAACACTGTTCCACACTATGGCAAGCATATTGTCTCCATCTCTGCTGAAAATGCTTAAACTATGTTGTAAATTCTATTTTATTACAAGCATATTGTGTCCATTTCTGTTCAAACACTTGAACTGTGTTGTAAATTATATATATTAGTCTTCCCCTACCAGGCCTTTAGGCGTATGTGGGCACTCAATAGCTATTTGTTGTTCATCCACGGAGGACTGGAATGTTCATTGCCTTTGGAACCAAACAATAATATATTGGAGTCCAGCCTCCATTACACAACAACTATGTGATTGAGAAAGTTGTTTCTATGAATCGTTTTATCTGTTAAATATATATGACTATTGAATTCATAATATTTTGAGAATTTAATGAGATAACGGATGTAACATACCCCATAAACTACATAATCTTCAAGGTATTGTTCATTTTCTTTCCATTGCCTCTCAGTCCTTTCATCTATCCTTTTGTCATAGAGGTTCTTGTGAACTAAAAATAATAGAGCCATCCTATCTTTATTTACATTATATATGTTTTGGTTTTCACGTAAATCACTCAATTTTTTATTAAATAAGAGCCATCTCTTTTACTGAGTCTAAATCAATTTTTACTAGCCTATTTAACTCAATTGGAAGTGGAAAGAATAAATACTCAAAGGAAAGAGGAACTATACTGGGCAAACAATGACATCATGTCCACTACAGATATTAAACATCATCAGCAGTTAATATCAATAACTGCTATTCTCTTGCTGAGATTGTCTCCTAAGAATAGGATTTGAGGTAGGAAAAAATACCCCTTTAGAAACGTATATGAGAAGCTCCAAAAAGAGAGTAAGAGGAGCACATGTAGTTTGAACAGTCTCCCACTCCAGGTGATTTAGAAATCTACCCCCAAGTATGGGCTGCTTCCTCCTGATACCTTCCTGTTAGGATTGAGATCCCTAGATAAATGTTCTGATGCATTTTTCATTGCTATTCAATGCACGTTTAATATTTTTTCTTCTTTGCGGGTAAATCATTACTCACAAACAATCCTTTGTTTCTATTAAAATTAGTCTAAGCTGCTTTTCTTTTCCTAATGTTCAGTTTTAAATGGGCTGACCTCATTTACTTTTTGAGCCAGGCAGATTTATTTTTCTATTTCTTTAATCAATGTCTTTAGTTTTAAGCTTGAGTTCACTTTGTGCATTTTGTCTTGAGAATGTTCATGTTCAGTCAAAGTTGTGACAATAACTATGATTATTATATTTTATGTTTTTAGCCTTTTGGTGTCACATGCATAATGCACTTGCTGGCAAAAAGAGACATGTTTCAGTTGTTCTTCATTAATTCTGGTTCTTGTTTGCAATTGACTTTATACACCCTAACTACAGCGTGGCCATGAGATATAGCAGCCTCAGTGAGGCATCCCTCTATTTTACTGTTCTAAAGAAATGTGCATTGGATATTTAATAGGCCTCTTTCAGTTATAATCAGTAGACAACCAACTCAAACTGGCTTTACAAAAAGGGACATTTTGGCTACTAAGAGCTGGGAAACTCAAATATTTGAAATAAAGGCCAAAGAGAATTAAGACAACCCAGATCTTTGTGGTGTGAAACTAGTATCTCAATGCTTCTCTGCCTGCTCTTCTCTCTGCACCTACCCATCTCCCATCTCTGTTGGTCTTCCAGTAGTCTTATTCTCTCCCACTAAAATCAATATCATCTTGTTGCCTGATTTGTCTTCTACCAGCTCCATGATCCAGGGACAATACCCCTTCATATTCACCTCCAAACAAAACAATTCCTGGGAGACCTCTGTCTCAGGGTGGGTCACTTAACCTTCTCTGGACTAAATCATCTTAGACTGGGGAATGTGCCAATATGATTGGTCTTGTCTTGAGCCCTATGAATGTTGGGCAAAGAACCACAAAACAAAGCCCTACCAGAATCATTCAATTCGAAGTGGAGAGAATAAATTCCCAAAGGAAAAAGGAACTATACTGGACAAATAATGACATCATGTCCACTAGAGATATTAAACATCATGAATGTAAGAGTTAACTTTCAATTATGTGGCATGAGGACTTCAAACTTCTTCTGCCAAAAAGAAATAGAAACAAGGATACTTGGCTAAAAGATACTGCTTTAATTTATACTTTGTTTATTCAAAGGAAAAATTCCCACCTTGTTGCATTCAAGAAAAGAGTGTAGGTGTTTTCCAAAGCAAAACAGTTTAATTCAGTTATGTTAAATTAAGGTGAATTTCCCTTAAAGAAATGATTAATGATCACATATTCTCTGACTGACAAAGTAACCAGAAGATAAGTATGTTTTGAAGGAAGTCAATCCTTTATCACAGAGACCAAATCCAAGGGAGGCTTAAAGAGTTGTATGAGTTATTATGAGTTCTGAACTAGCAGCACTCAATAAATAACCCATGACAGACTAAAATTAGCATCTCCACCAATGATGTGAACAAACATATGAAGTGTTTTTGTATTAAATGTTTTTATATTGTATTGCAAGGCTGAAAGATATAGAGAATAACATTAACTAGATAACTAAACAGTGCTTGTGCTGTGAACTAAAGTGGAGCAACCTAACCCTTGCTACTCAAAGTGTGGTCCATAGACCGACAAAGATTGACATAACCGGGGAACTTGTTAGAAATACAGAATCTGTGGCCCCACCTCAAACTTACTAAAACAGAATCTTTTAACAAGATCCCTAAGATCTTGTTAAAATGAGATACACCAAAGACAAGATCCCCATAGACATTAAAGTTTGAGATGCACTGTCCTAGATTAAGTCTATGAAAGCAACAACTCAAAAGCAGCCTAGGTTATTATGTCAAGCAATCTGGACTAAATGTAAATATAAAGAAATGGCTTTGGCCAAGCTGACAAAGAACAAGAATAGCATTTTCGAAGTTAGACTGCAGATTTTGAAAAGCAGAGTTCTAAACAGAAACAAATCCTAAAAAGAAAAACAGTGGCCATTATTACTAAGACAGTATGAGGACATTCCTACAAATTGGCAGCAGTAGCTTTGGCAGCCATATCTTTATATCGTCATAGGGGAATATAGAAAAGCTATATTCCTGTGTGTGTGTGCGCGCATGTGTGTGTGTGTGTGTGTGTGTGTGTGTGTGTGTGTGTGTACCCTCTCACATGTGCAGGCATATTTGAGCTTGTTGTCTGTGTGTTTGTCTGAGGTTTCCGCCATCTTTTTTTGCCTCTCCCACCCCTAGCTGCTAGATGTTCTCTATAACTGCCATCTTCTGGCACAATTTTTCCTTCAACTCCTCTTGCCAGAAAGAGAGATAAGAATACACAAGAAAAAAATGCTGAGAGTCTTCAATTAATACTTTGTTACACCCAAGGAAAGAACATAGATGTTTTCCAAATAAAAACACAATTTAATTGACTACAATTAAAATCAAAGTTATGTTAAGGTAAATTTTTCTTAATTTCCTTAATGTACAGTCATCTTTAAAATAACATGCTCTCTTTTCTTTTAAAATGCTTTTTAATTCTTTTTCTCTTTTTTATTTTTGAGATGGAGTCTCACTCTGTCACCCAGGCTAGAATGCAGTGGCACGAGCTCAGCTCACTGCAACCTCCACCTCCCAGGTTCAAGTAATTCTCCTGCCTCAGCCTCCTGAGTAGCTGGGATTACAGGCACTCGCCACCACGCCCAGCAAATTTTTGTATTTTTATTAGAGACGGGGGTTTCACCATGTTGGTCAGGCTGGTCTTGAACTCCTGACCTCGTGACCTGCCCACCTTGGCCTCCCAAAGTGCTGGGATTACAGGCGTGAGCCACTGCACCTGGCCTTAATTCTTTTTCTTTTTGCTTCTTTAGAGAGCAAGAAAATAAAAAGTGATTGAATTTTCCTATTCCATCTCCTCTCCCTATAAATGCACTTCTTTCAAACTTGTGCATCTGCTCAAATTTCAACTGGGATCTGAATATAATAGCCTGAAAATGTATTGCTGATTATAATAATTTCTACATTTTTACATTACAAACAAATATTTGCCAAACTTTCTCTGATGCCTCTAAATATTTTTAAAGGGCTGTATTGTACAGGCTGCATAAAAAGGGAAAAGGTCCTAGGTGTAAATATCTTGTAATGAATATTAACAAATCCCAAATCATAAAGATTCTATCAAAAGGCCAACAGGTTTAGGCAACTGGCTCTGCCCAATGTGCTGACTAATCCCTGGCTCAACAAGTGTTGCTATTGCTGTAGGCAAAGCTCTAATATATGATTTTGTGCATTAGTTAATACATAGTACTGCACAATGTTGGCAGAAGTCTCAGATAGACACAAAGAACTGTAATTCACCTCCATCAACACTCAAGGAAATGAAATCTCACCACCCCAAGACAAGTTTGGGTTCTTGCCAGTCTGTCATATTAAACTGTAATTGACCTATGGAATCAAGACCTAATAGAGGGGAACACATACATATAAGTACAGACAGGCTGATTTTATAAGTTTCAACCTTGCTGCTGCCCTCTGAAGCAAGAATCAGAGCTAAGCGGACTTGTCAGGATAGTCTATAGTGGTTGGAAGAATTGAAAGAACGCAGTACACAGGGATTCTAGTATATACAATACCTTCTCTCCCTCCATGGTGTGAGAGAGTCATAGCCTAACGGCAGAGAATCCGGTCCTGAATCTTTTTATCAAACTGGCAAGCAATGTAGCTCACAGATGGGGGCCTTGCCACTTCTCTCACACCTATATACAATAACAGCTGAGGTGATGCATTCTGCACCTGCCACAGTTTCTGGAGAAGTTTCAGAGGAAAGCCCAAGAACAGTAAATTATAGTTGACTGTCCAGAAGAAAATGAAGATGCTTATAATATCTGTAATGGGAAGAAAATAACATCCCATTGAATCTTTTTAACTTATAATTATTTCTTTAATGCCTATCGTTTTATTTAAAAAATGATGAAAAGCTGTAATACAGTTTTCTTGCACATGGAAACAAATCTTGCAAATGGTTGGTTGTTTTTTGCCTGGTTAGTTGGTTGTTCTTAACTGGTATAATTGCCCTACAAAGTCATTATTGAAAACAGAACACATTAATACACACACACACACACACACACACACACACACACACAAAATGATGATCCCACCTCCCAGAGATAACTACATTGTGTTGGACAGCTTTGTAAATTTTTATTTATGCATAGATTTTTTAATGAATCATTCTATACACAGAATATTCTAATATTATTTTTAATATGTAGTAGTACACACCTAAAATGTCATTTTAATGGCTGCCTGATATGCCATCAAGTAGATTATAATTTATTTAACTAATCACATTTAGATTATCTCCAATTTTTGACTATCACAAATAACATTATAATAAACATGCTTGTACGTAACAGCTTTGCATACTTTGTCCTGGGGCTGAATTGCTAAATTAACACAAATACATATTTCAAGGCTTTTGAGATACACTAGTACAAGCTGGCTTTGAAGTCATCTTTACTTATCACAATATAAAATGCTTTTCACTGCCCCCAAATTTATTGCACTCAATCTGCTGGTGACCAGGGTAGGCTGAAGTCATAAAACAGACTCCTGGTACATTTGGAGGATCTCAAATGGAAGGGTACAAATTTACTGATATTTCTGCTCAGTGTTTTGAATCTGTCTTCTACTTTTTAAGTGGTTGGAAAAAAATCTAAGTGGTCTCTTCCAACTTTGAAAATGTTATGAAAGATAAGTCCCATGCAGTAGACCAGCTGAGTAATTTGCAGGGCTCACTGCAAAATGAAAATGTGAAAAGATTAAATTGTTCAAAAATTACTGAGACTGTCAAGACAGCAACAGCAGAGCATTAAACAAAACATGGGGCCTTCTGAGCTCAGGGCCCTGTGCGACCACACAGCTCCCAGGTACAGAAAGTGGTGCTAGTCTCATGCTCACTCACAAGCTACCTGCCATGATTACTTGGTAAGCCACAGCCAGTTGTCAGACCTACTGCTTTATTTCTCAGAAATTCATACTTTGCTGAAGAGCAAGAAACACCCTTTATGCAACTGCTGATGTAACCATTTGTTACTTCCCACTATCTATATCCAACCACACTTTCCTTACACTTCATATAAAAGGGAAAAAAAATCATCCTAATTCTATAAATGAATGAGGTCATCAGCTGTCAGAGAACAGTTTAAATTTACAGCAAACACCGTCTTTGCTTAACCCAGCAAAGATGACGCCCCCATAGAAATCACATTGAAACAAAAACCTCATTCATGAAGGTTATTTTTCCAAATTCTTCAAGTTTGTGCATGTTTATAACTATCTGTTTTAACTCAGCCAACATATAAACTTTAATTTTTAAAGTTTTTTTTTAATTTGAAAAGCCTTGGTCTAGCTGTTAACATTGAATTAAAGAAATCAACACAAAACTAAAAGAAATCAGGCGATGGGCTGAAATTTGGCAACCAAAAGACATTTTATATTCAATCTCTCCCTTTTCTATTGCTTTTGGTTTGGTTTCTATGGAAATGTATATTTTCTGCAAGCCAAAGCTTTTTGTGGTCTTAGCTACAGGGGGAAAAGAAGTAGAAAGAAAGGCAGATAGGTAGTCAGAAGACATGTTGACTTAAAATATTTGTGAGGCACATGCAAGCCTTAGAAACTGGATGAAATTCTGACTAACCCATTGAGTTCTTAATAATCTTTACAAGTAAACCAGTTTGCTCCAAAATATGGGTACATCAACCTAAGAAACACAGAAAATATGTTTATGTTGGCAACAATATGTTAAGCCAGGCTTTGTATATAATGCTTATCTTTACTTTATCCATCAGACATTTATTATTATTATTAAACAGACCTTTATTGAGCACCTACTATATACCAGACACTGCATTATGTACCAGGGCTACATATGAGTTTAAGTTAGTTTATTTCTGTGGCTGGCAAAATGGTTAAACAATGTTATTTAATTCAGCATTTTACATACACGTATAGGGCATCTTCTCCGTGGTGGACTCTGGAGAATACAAACATAAAAATAAGTAAGACTAGACATATATGGTATTAAATTAATGGTGCAGGGGAACGTGAAGCAGTCATAATTATAATTTAATACAGTAGAATAACGCACCATTGAACAGGCTAGCAGTTTCCACAGATACATTCCACACAATTCAATGAAGAATATAAAAGTACTCTGAATTGGATTTTAATGATCAGAGGCCAAAAAGAAGTAATTGAGTCAGGTGAAAAATAAATATTAGAGAAAATGAGGAGAATGAAGGAGTAGACAAATAATTTAGAGGAAAATAAAAATAAAGAGAGAATGTAAGGAAAAAATATAGGAGAAGAGCAGAAAAGAAAAAAAGGAATAAGAAGAGCAGAACCAAGATATAAACCATCAATGTCAAATGCCTGAAGAAGTGGATGAGTGGAGAAGGATAGAGGGCTCTGTGAAATATCATTTGCACAAAAACAGGACAGCAGGCTTATTCTATAATTTAATGTGTCCATTGTGTAATTGATAGGATCCGGATCAATCCACAGGAGGGACATCTGTGGAAATGCTGTCCAGTTCTTGGAAGGCAATGGTCCCATATGGAGTATGTAGGATAAAACAGGCAGCATGCAGGATATACAAATGAAAGATTGTGTTCCATATAACTGCCAACTTTCACACCTTTGTTCTATCTAAGGAAAGCAATTTGTCCAAAGAGTGATGTAGAATTAAATCTGTGTCAATTTTTTTTCTATTTGGATTTTCTTTCTATGAGCAGAAACAAATTTCAAATGTAACATTTATTGTTTAAAATCAATGGCCAATATTCAAAACTGTTTCCGAAGCACTATCATGGCTATTCCAGATACATCAAAGCACTTCTCCATGGACCATGCAGTAACCAAGGAGACTGAATCAATAAACATATCATTTGTTAAAGATGCCAAGATTTCATATGGAATATGATATTGGCAGGGAGTACGCTTTGGATTGTCACTCAAATTTGCATTTAAAGCCATGTTAGCAGACAGATCTGCACAGCCTTTGTCTAAACACCCCCTATTCTAAATGCTTCAAAAATATTTGCACCCTTATCTAAAAATCATTGCCTCCATAGAAAGAACTACTTCTCCTAGTCAGAGAAATCAGGACAGGCCAATGATGAGTCAGCCTTTATTTATAAATGCATGTCGGGCCGGGCGCGGTGGGTCACGCCTGTAATCCCAGCACTTTGGGAGGCTAAGGCAGGCGGATCACAAGGTCAGGAGATTGAAACCATCCTGGCTAACACGGTGAAAACCTGTCTCTACTAAAAATAAAAAAATTAGCCAGGCGTGGTGGTAGGCGCCTGTAGTCCCAGCTACTTGGGAGGCTGAGGCAGGAGAATGTCGTGAACCCAAGAGGCGGAGCTTGCAGTGAGCCGAGATTGTGCCACTGCACTTCCAGCCTGGGCGACAGAGCAAGACTCCGTCTCAAAAACATAATAATAATAATGAATGCATGTTGGACTAGGATGGAGATTTAAACACTAAAGACTAGTATTTTATCACACGTTGCTTAGCAGTGAATTCATAACTAGGTATAAACTCCAGAGATTAAGATATTGAGTTATTTTTAACTTCTGACTTTGTATTTTAAAATAACGGTGGCATTTTCTAGATGAGAAGTAGGTAAATGCTAAGGCCAGAGAATGTTATGGTAATGATAGCCTTGCACCCAATGTATCTTTCCTACTTCATTTGATGTGGCCATTGCTTTCTTCAAGCTTCCAGGAGCCATCCTCAAAACCTGTTTTGGATATCTTCGAGGATCTTTGTCAGGATGTAAAATCCTCCACTGGGAGAGTATTTCCAACTTGATAAACTCTTTCTTGTCTAACTTTCTGTTCTTCTCTGTTTTCTGAATCTAGCACCTTCAGAATTCTGTCCCATTTATACTCTCATGACCCCTGCCCTTACAAGTTGGTTAGGCCCTGCAGCTTCTTCATTATCTAGTCCCATTCCTCCCTTAGCTGATTGCTCTTATCTCTGGACACCCTATATTGTTTCTCAACCACCTTATACATGTTACCCATCAGTGCATTGCATTTCATTAGTATTCCATCTTAGCGTAACATTAGTGAAAAATGTTAAGTTAGATCACTACCTGGTTCCAAGGTGTATCTGTTCTCCATCTATCACCACTGATGAGGTCTTCATTGCTAGGCAGGCTACAGGTGATCCAGGTCCAAAATTCTATCTTAGAATCTGCCTTCTTTAACCACATTATTTATTACCAACCAATGTAGCTTGGGATTCTAGGAAAACAGACTTCAAGACATACATTAGCATGTCCCTCTGCCACTACCGCTGCCACCATCACCACCCTTTGCTAGTTTTAGTTTCTCTTTTGGTTTACAGCAGATTTACAGTGACCAAATATATACAAGTGACAGTCACTGTTTTCACTGAAATAAAGTTTTAATTTGTGACAAACTAAATTCTATAATTTATAGTGCTAGCATTTGAATACTGACTTCAAGAGCCCTGGATGAGTCTAACACATTTGGACTCTGAAAGCTCAAGTTGTTCCAGCTTGGGAGGACAAAGTATGTGAACACTGGGGTGAATATCTAATCTTCGACCAAAGCAAACATGATCTTTTGGGAGATTCAAAGAGATGTCTGCAGAGCCTGAGCCTGAGATTGGAAGAAAAAAACAGACTAGAGCATCTTTTATTTAAATTCAAAATTGAAATGGAATGTTTGTTACCCTAAGTATACACATAGATGCTTCTGCCACAGTGGTTTTTGTATAAAGCAGGTGCTCATGACATCAGGTGATTCTGCGAGCATATTAGAAGTGTTTGTCCCTCAAGTCCTTTGTTGGCTTTGTGTTCACAGCTGTTATAGAAACTTTTCTCTGTTTAAGCCATTTTTACTTCCAGCTACACACCAATTATTTAATGGATGTCCAGTTATGTTAACATATTATAGAAAAACATTCTTTGTTCCTCCTCCTAGGACTCAAAGTACTTTAGTTATAGTCCTACCAGTATTATTGTCACTGGATCCAAAACAAACCTTTCAAACATGAGAGAGAGCAATAAATTGGAGGACAGAGATCAGGGGAGGCTCCCTTCATGGTCGTTTTAACTACACATCAAGGTTCTTGGAAGGTTGTGCTGCTTACATTTTGGAAGGAAATACTGCTGTGCTCTTCTCCCCCATGATGATGATTTGAAGCATTTACAGTAGAAATCCTTCACCCTGAAAATATACATAGAGTTTCTCAAAGAGAGAGAGGGCTCATGAAGGCAAGCAGTTATTTTTACCCTCTCACTACCCATAGTGCAAGACATTCTCACGTTTGCTGGATTTCTGTGGCAGCCTTTCAGACAAAGAAAGAAGAGCTTTTGTAAACTGAGATTAACTAAATAGTGTGGTCTAATCCCGTCTAGTTGGTGTTTATGCATGCTTCACTGTGGGATTTACAGCCTTAGCTCATGGAAAGACAGAATAAATGTAGTGAACACAAAGAATCCAGGCTTTGTGTTTCTGGAATTAGGATCAGGTTCAGGTGGGAATCCATCAGAAGATTTATCTGAAAATAAGATATGGAAATAGAGAGACAGAAGAAATCAAACTCTCTTAGCTTTCATGAAGACCCATTTAAAATTACCTTTAAAAAAGGAAAACACTCTTATATATATTCTATACAAGAATAAACACAATGACAAATTTGTTTGATAGACAGTAGTTCTTATGCTTGTTTTTTCCCTACAATGGTTTCCTCCATTTCTGACCCTAAGTTTCTGCCACCAGAAGTACCACACCAGTGTTAGAGATTTATTTTTTTGTCATGCATCTGGAAGATTCTTGGACTTATAACCCATCAGGCTTGTCAGTAAAGAGATGGCAGTAATTGACAGAGGGCAGTGACTGTGTCCTGAAAGGTTAAGAGTAGAATGTAAGCTATGTCTAAAATGTTCCCACCGAGTCCATTCTACTTTATTAAGCTGTTTCAAAGACTACATTCATTCTTTCCACTCCAGATCAAGTTGACTGATAAGGAGCTTTTATTATTTCTTCTCACCTGGATAAGAAAGGGTCTACTAGTTATGAGAGGTCTTTTTGTTAGATGGTATATGTCCTTTGTGTTCATGTTTTCCTTTGGTCCCTCACTGCCTCTTGGATTTTATCAGCTTTCACCTTGGGAGAGCTGAGGGCAGCTGGGGATCAGGATTGTGATAGCTTTAGCTGCACAAAAGTGGTGGGATATGACACTCAAAGGAACAAAGCCAAAATAAGAAAACCTCCATATTTGTGTCCTTATTGCATTCCTATCTCTTAGATGATCTTGTCAATGATATAACAAAGCTGATTTATGTGGAAGGAAAGGAAGAAGAACAAGTCTGCTTTGTACAATGCAGATATATAATGTATAATACGTAGTGAAAATAAAAGATAAGGAATCTGAGGAATATACAGAAATCTTTTATGGATTGAACTGGCCATCAGAAATTGCACTAATAACCTCCCATAAAGTGAAATAGTATGTAGCTTTTAAAATGTGTAATGATCAAGGATATTTAACAACATGGGAAAATGTTCCTATTATATGATTAAGTTAAAAATATGTTAGGAAAGAGATTATCAGCCTCTGGATAAAACATGGAAGACTGAACAATTCACTTATATTTGTTTCAACCTGAAATCCCATTGAAATTACAGAAAAAATTTTTTTCTAAGGCATAAATCCTAAAAGACGAAGCAAAAGGGAAAGGAAATGACGACCAGCTAGAGAAGTCAACAGATATTGGAAACTGGTAAGTGGTAAGTGGTAAGGAGCAATAACTGGCCAGATAAAGCAGAAGAAGTAGAAACACAAGCAACTGCAGAGGGAGTGACCAGAATCATTCAACTTTAATGTGTGTTAAATTAAATACATGTAAAGTTGATAAATAGGTAAGAATAAATAGACAACAGACAGACAGATGATAGATGAATGCTTTAGGCATCAAAAACTCAATTCAAAATAGTTTACACAGTGAACTTCAAAATTTTGGGGCTAGTGTATCTTCTCATTTTTTTTGAGAAACTATGTATCTTCTCATTTTAAGTTGATATCTAAAATTTTTTCTCATAAGTTTAAATATTTGTGAGGTAGATAATATCAGAAAATCATAAACCTTGTTTTTTAAAAAAAATTTTAATTCCCAGTTTTGAATTTAACAATGGAAATTTAATGGCATTACAGTTTTATGCCCATTGTCATGAATTTTTAAATGAAACTTAAAAGGTCTTATTTAATAGGTATTCCTTTTCTTCCTTGAACTTGTACTTCCATTATACCTTCCTCACAGCTATTCTAATGAAGTATGTACTTTTACGCTTGAAAATCCTTTACAGATATTCTGTCACACTTCTGTGCAATAAAAATATTTTTTAATTTTAAATTTAAAAATTAATTTTCTAGTATCATAAAACTCCAAGTAATCAAAATATCTTCTAGTTATGTCAAATACTATTAAAGAATTAGTCAAACTGCCAAAAAGTTGTAAATTATTAAAAATTATTAATAAAAAGAAAATTTTTATTGAAAATAATATTGTTAATCAGATAGATGAGGGATTGATTTTGATGCCCCAATTAAGGGAGCTTTCTTGATGTTATTTTACAACTTAGGTGATAAACCTTAGTGAAACAGAATAAGTGAGTGGTAGATCTTTCCTGTGTAAAGCGTAAAAGAAGCGATTATGAAAGAGGTGGGAAATGAGAACTGCCACAACCTCCTTGTTTCGTGTGTTTTCCAAAGGTCAATCAATTTTAGTACAGAGTACTTGTAGAAGTTGAGGATCTGGAAATTGATTTCTTTAAAGCTATTTATACCTATTTACCACCTGGATAGTTTTTGACTTTCCAGGGTACTAGCATGAAGTTTGAAAACCATTGGCTTAAATAACAAAGTATTTTATCTCACTGAGCCATATGAGCAGAGATAAACAGTTCTAAGGTTGGTTAATTCAGCAACCTAATGATGTCATCAAGGATTCAAGTTACTTGTAGCTTCCTGATTTGCCATTCTTAGTGCAAATAATTTTCTCTCAAGCTAGCCCAGCAGCCCTCATAGCCACAAGATGATAACTTTACTTGCAAACCACACAGAGACATGAAAATATCCAAAGAAAGAAAGAAAGAGGCCATCTCTTCCTGTGTGTATCTCTTAAAACAGTGAATCCTTTCCCTGAGCCACGAAGCTGACTTCCCTTCATGTCTCATTGGTCAGAATTGCATCACCTGCCTAAGCCAATCCCAAATAAGGGAAACAACCATGATTGGTTTAGACCAATCAAGAGTCACCCCCAGGGCTGATGAAGGGGTCAGCCTCTCCCTCCAAAGTACATGACTATGGGAAGGGGTAAGATGCCTGAACATACTTGAGATTCTGTAAGGAAGGATAAAGGAAGTCAGGGATGTACACTGAATAAACAACAATGTTTCCAGAAATACATATTTTTAAAGCCCAGACAGAAAAATGCCAGAATGTTTACATCTGTGAATGGTTTTTACACTTTTCCTTTTATTTATTTCTATTTAAATTTTGTTCCAAAGTCTGTAATAATAAACACAAGATGATTAAAAAACTGCCAAAATACTTAATATATGAGATTATCACTGAAAATATTTGGATAAAGGCAAGACAGCAATTTATGTGTGAACATAAGACAAGCAGAGATTATATTCATATTGCTTACGACTCATTTATCTTATTTTCATCATGATTTAAATATACTTTTACTAAATGTTCACTAAGAATCTTTTGCTTCCATTGAAAATAAAAACATGCCTTTTAAAAGAGGAAACACATTGTTCCAAAAGCCTGCTGTTGAAGCTTTGTGTAATCTGAATTATCTGAATCATAAAGTAATTAATTTTTACCAATAACTTTTATAACAGGGTCTCACTCTGCCTCCCAGGCTAGAATACAATGGTACAATCACAGTTCATTGCACCCTCAAACTCCTGGTTTCAAGCAATCCTCCTGCGTCAGCCTCCTGAGTAGCTGGGACAACAGGGGCATGCCACCACACCCAGCTAATTTTTTTTATTTTTTATAGAGATAGGGTCTCACTATGTTGCTCGGGCTGATCTCAAACTCTTGGGCTCAAGTAATCCTCCCTCCTCAGCCTCCCAAAGGGCTGAGATTAAAGGCATGAGCTACTATGCCCAACCTAGTTTTTAAGTACTGCAGGTGATAGGTAAATTAGGACCAATGCTCTATGACTATGCTTAAATTCTTTCTAATAACTAAAGTTTTGAAGACTTGGTATGAAGTATATTTCTACTCTTTTGAAAACAAAGCAAATAAGTTTGTTAATGTTGATTCACAAAGTTGAAAGGGACAGTGAAAAGTTGCCTAGTTAATGCCCCCACCGATATTTGGAACTAAATATGCCCAGAGAGTTAAGAACTATCTGAGTTTTTAAAGTCATTTAGAGCAGTTCCAAAGTTTGGTAGTCCATTCTAAGTTCTAAAACCATTACAATAAGATTGTATTAATGTATCTGTGAATCAGTGAACATTAGGGCGCGAAATTAATAAGGTCTTGTTGAGTGCACAAGGAGAAACAACTTCATAAAGAAATAATTGTCATATAAATGGTCAGTAGTGTGTACCATCAGTGAAATGGAAAGGAGCACAAAGAGGAGAATAAACATGTATTCATCCAATACCGAAGAACTCAAACATATAAAGCACATATTAAGAGATCTAAAGGGAGAGATAGGCTGCAATATAATAATAGTAGGGGACTTCAATACCCCATCTTAAGCAATGGAATGGACAGAACACTTATGCAGAAAATCCACAAACATCAGAGTTAAACTATACTCTAGATCAAATAGACCTAACATACATTTACAGACCACTTCATCCAACTTCTCTTCAGCACATGGAACATTCTCCAGGATGGACCATATATTAGGTCAAAAAGCAAGTCTCAACAAATTTTTTAAAGTCTAAACCATATGAAGTATCTTTTCTGACCACAAAAGAATAAAACTAAAAAGCTAGAGGAACTTTGGAAATAATACAAACACATGGAAATTAAACAACATGTTCCTGAACATCTAATGGGTCAATGAAGAAATTATAAGGAAAATTTAAATTTTTTGAATAAAATTCAAATGAAACACAACATACTGTACCATGAAATACAGCAAAAGGGGCACTAAGAGGAAATATTATAGTGATGGAGGTCTACATCAAAAACACAGAAACGCGGCCGGGCATGGTGACTCACGCCAGCACTTTGGGAGGCTGAGGCGGGCGGATCACGAGGTCAGGAGATCAAGAACATCCTGGCTAGAATGGTGAAACCCCGTCTCTACTAAAAAATAGAAAAAATTAGCCAGGCGTGGTGGCGGGCTCCTGTGGTCCCAGCTACTCGGGAGGCTGAGGCAGGAGAATGGCGTGAACCTGGGAGGCGAAGCTTGCAGTGAGCCAGGATTGCCTGCACTCCAGCCTGGGTGACAGAGTGAGACTGTGTCTCAAAAAAAAAAAAAAAAAAAAAAAATACAGAAACGCTCCTCTTAAATAACCTAACAATGCACTTAAAAGAACTAGAAAAGCAAGAATAAAGCAAATAATGGTTAGTAGAAGGAAAGAAATATTAGAGATCAGAGCAGAAATAAATAAAAATGACACTTAAAAAATATAAACAAAATAATAAACCTTTAGTTAGACTAAGAAAAAAGAGAGAAGACCCAAATACATAAAATCAGAGATGAAAAAGGAAACATTACAACAGTTACCATAGAAATACAAAGGATCATTAGAGACTATAATAAACAGCTAGATGTCAATAAATTGGAAAACCTAAAATAAATGTAAAAAATACAACCTACCAGGATTAAACCAGGAAGAAAATGGAAAAACCTAACCAGACCAATATTGAGTAATGAGACTGAAGTAGTAATAAAAAGTCTCCCATCAAAGAAAGCCCAGAACATGACGAATTCACTGCTGAATTTTACCAGGCATTTAAGAAAGAACTAATACCAATTCTACTAACCTATTTCAAAAAAAAGTTGAAGAGGAGGGAATACTCACAAACACATTCTACAAGGCATGCATTATGCTACACAAAAACAAGACAAGGACATACAAACAAAAATAAAACTATACGCCAATATACCTGATAAATGTAGATCCAAAAATTCTCAACAAAATATTAGCAAACACATTAATGAGATAATTTACCATGATCAAGTGGGATTTCTCCCAGGGATGCAAGCATGGTTCAACATAATCAAATCAATAAACATGATACATCATATCAACAGAAACAAGGGCAAAAAAACATATGATCATTATGTTGATATTGAAAAATTATTTGATAAAACTCAACATCCCTTTACAATAAAAACTTTTGACAAATTGGATATAAAAGGAGCATACCTCAACCCAATGAAAGCCATATATGACAATCCCACAGCTAATCTCATACTGAAAAGGGAAAAACTGAGAGCCTTTTAAGTAAGATCTCAAAAAAGACAAGGATGCCCACTTTCAACACTTTTATTCAATGTAGTACTAGAAGTCTTAGCCAAGAGCAGTTAGGCAAGAGAAAGGAAAAGAAGGCATTCAAATGGGAAAGAAAGAAGTCAAATCATTCTTGTTTGCATAAGACATGATCTTATATTTATAAAAACCTAAAGCCTTCACCAAAAAACTCTTAGAATTGCTAACCCATTTTAGTAAAATTGCAAGATACGAAATCAACATACAAAAATCAATAGTTTCTATTTGTTAACTATGATTAATCTGAAAAAAAATTAAGAAAGCAATCTCATTTGTGATAGCTATAAAAAATACAATGCCTAGGAATACATTTAACCAGATAAGTGAAAGGTCTCTTCAAGAAAAGCTATAAAACACTGATGAAAGAAATTAGAGGACACCAAAATATGGAAAGATATCCTGTGTTCATGGATTGGGATAATTAATACTGTTAAAATGTCTATACTTCTCAAAATAGTCTACAGATTCAGTACAATTTTTGTCAAATTACCAATGAAAGTCATCACAGAAATAGAAAAAAACTTCTAAAATTCATACAGTACAGAACCACAGAAGAATCCAAATAAAAAAGCAATTCTGAGGAAAAAGAACAAAGCTGGAATAATCACACTACCTGTTTTCAAATTATATTACAAAGCTGTAATAACCAAAACAGCATGGTGCTGGCATAAAAACAGACACATAAAACAATGGAACAGATTAGAGAACCCAGAGATACATCGTACACTTATAGACAACTCATTTTTGACAAAAGTACCAAGAACATACATTGTAGAAAATACAGTTTCTTTAATAAATGGTTCTGGGAAAATTAGATATCTACATGCAGAAGAAGGAACTAAATACCCATCTTATACAATATACAAAAATCAACACAAATTAGATTAAAGATTTAAATGTAAGACCTGAAACTATAATATGATTAAAAGAAAACATTGGGGAAATGCTAGGCAAAGATTTTGAGGGCAGGGCAAGATCTCAAAAGCACAGCTACAAAAGCAAAAAAAAAAAAAAAAAAAGACAAGTAGGATTACATCAAGCTAAAATCTCCTGAACAACAAGGGAAATAACTAACATAATGAAGAGATAGCTTATAGAATCGGAGAAAATGTTTGTAAGCTAGCTATCTATCAAGGGGTTAATAACCAGAATATATGAGGAACTCAATTCAATAGCTAAAAAGAAAAAAAACTAGTAATCTGATTTTAAAATACACAAAAGATCTGAATAGACATTTCTCAAAAGAAGACATATAAATGGCCAACAAGTATATGAAAAAGTGCTCAACATGACTAGTCATAAAGAAAATGCAAATCAAAACCATAAGGAGATATCATCACACCTCAGTTAAAATGGCTACTATCAAAAAGGCAAAAAAAATAACAAATGCTGGTGAGGATGTAGAGAAAAGTTAATGGTCATACAGTGGATGGTGTGAATGTAAAGTAGTACAGCCATCATGGAAAACAGTATGGAGGTTCCTCAAATAATTAAAAATAGAACTATCCTATGATCCAGCACTGCTAGGTATATATTCAAAAGAAAGGAAATAAGTATGTTGAAGAGATATCTGCACTCCTGTGTCTATTGCAGCACTATTTACATTAGCAAAAATATGGACTCTTCCTAAGTGTCCATCAGTGGATGAATGCATTAAGAAAATGTGGTATGTAGACACAATAGGATATTATTTAGTCATAAAAAAGAATGAAATCCTGTCATTTTTAGCAACATGGAGGGAACTGTGGGTCATAATGTCAGGTGAAATAAACCAGGCACAGAAAGTCAAATATTACATGTTCTCACTCATAGGTGGGAGTTTAAAAAGTAGATCTCATGGAGGTGGAGACTGAAATCATGGTAAACAGAGGCTGGGAAGGTGTATTCGTCCATTATCACACTGCTATAAAGAATACTACCTGAGACTGGGTAATTATAAAGGAAGGAGGTTTAATTGACTCGTAGTTCTGCAGGCTTAACAGAAAGCATGGATGGGAGGCCTCAGGAAACTTACAGTCATGGTGGAAGGTGAAGGGGAAGCAGGTACCTTCTTCACAATGCATCAAGAGGGAGTGTGTGCAAGAACAATGAAGTGCCCCTCTTTAAAACCATCAGCTCTCATGAGAACTCACTCCCTATCTCGAGAACAGCATGGGAGAAACAGCCCCCATTATCCAATCACCTCCCACCTGGTCCCTCCCCTGACATGTGGGGATTACAATTCAAGATGTGATTTGGGTTGGAACACAGAGCCAAACCACATCAGAAGGAAAAGGGGAAAGCGGGTAGATGAAGTGAAGCTAGTTAATGGGTACAAAAACGCAGTTAGAAAAAACAAATTCTAGTATTTGATAGTACAGTAGGAAAATTATAGTTAATAATCTATTGTATATTTCAAAATAGCTAAAAAAGAAGAAATTATAATGTTTCCAACACAAAGAAAAGATAAATGTTTGAGGTGATGTATATCTCAATTACCCAGATTTGATCATTACTCATTGTATATATGTATGAAAATATTATATGTATGAAAATATTATATGTAACCCAAAAATATGTACCACTATGATATATTTAAAAATACAAAAGAATCAAAGAATAAAAGGGCTTGTAATGAAAATATTTTTCTTCTGAAATAAATAACTTTTTAAAAACAATGACTGTTTTGAGATATAAACAGAAACTTGGGATTACTACATGTTAAAGTACTATATTTACACTTATCTTGTAAAAATGTCCAGTATGCTACCTTATTACTAAGCCAAAAGTAACCTGAGTACCGCAGCCCCAACCAACAATAAAATAAAACCCAAAGAACTAATGACATGTACTATAGGCAAAGTGAAACCTATTTTTATGTTTATTGGCCATAACAGGAATTGAAACCTCAGAACCTGAGGTGCTCCATTTTCCTTAACCCTAAGGGAAGGAATTAAGTAACAATTTTCCCATTTTCTATAAAATTTTATTGGGAAACATAAAAGAGGATTTGAATGTTCATGGATTTAATTTTTTTAAATGCAAGATATTTTTGCCTATAAAATTGGCAAAGATTAGAAAGAGATAGTACCCCAACCTTCTTTAGAATTGGGGGCTACAACTCTGATTCTTATCAGAAGAAGGATTTTAGTTAATAATATGAGCTGCAATTTAGTGAATACCTACAATATGTGAAGCACTGTCTTGAACACCTTTTAAATGAAACTCATTTAACCTCACCACTGCCCATTAAGTCTGGCATCATTATACAGAAGGAAACTGAGGCCCACAGAGGGTAAGCAATTATCCTGCATTTAAGTCATTGAAGTACTTGGTAAATAAAAGATCAGTACAGGGGTCTGTCTGACCCCACAGTCCAACTCTTAACCCCTTCGCCAAATCCCTTAAAGGCTCTGCTTTCAGTCTGTGACAGAAATTAGAACCAACCCTTCTCCCAATCCACAAAATAAATAAAATGAGAGTCTATAACCTCCTATGATTTTTTTTTCAATTAGGAGATAGTCATTGCTTTTACCCTTTTCTTTTCATGTTTAAAATGTACTTCCTCCAGACAGAACAGCTGGCTGATTTGAATATAATAGCTATATGTATTTAATGCATTTCCTCAACTGTAAAATGTACCATTGATTTAATAAAAAGTCCTTGGTAAGAAGATCAATCAGTTGTCAGATTTATTTTGAAATTGGTTGTAAGACAATACATGTGTTTGGGATTCAAGAAAATGTGATAAACAACAGTAACTATATAGTGGCTGACTTAACAAGGCTTTAATTTGCAAACTTGTCTACATGCTCTTTGAAGGTACGAACAACTTTGTTTCACCCATTATGAACTATAAATACATAATTGTTGGGTAATTGCATGGATGAATAACATTTTCCAGAAACAATTTTATCACATAAATCAAATCACTTTGAATAGAATTTAACATGAACAGAAATTGAAACTCATTTCACAATAGCACTGATCTGATTCCAGTTGCTCCATAACCTTACTAACTTTGAAAATTGCCAGACATTGTTTATTTTAGCCATTCTAGTGGGTATGGAATGTTATCTTGTGGTTTTCAATTGCATTTTCTTGAGTACTATGATGTTGAATCCATTTTTATGTGTTTAATTTTTATCATTCAGTTATTTTCTTTTTGAAGTTCTTGTTCAAATCTTTTGCCCATTTTTTATGGATTTGATTTTTATTGTCAATTTGTAGGAAATCTTTATCTATTCTAGATGTGAATCTTGTCAAATATAAGCATCGTGAATATTTTCTCCCAATTCATGGTTCACTTCTCAGTTCTTTTTTGTTTTCTTGGGATATGGGGGGTTGATGATATCTTCTAATAAGTAGATTATTAATTTTGATAAAGTTTATTTTATGAATTGTGTTCTTTTAAAATTCGTGCTTTTGTATCCCCTCTAAAAAATCATTGGCTACCTCAAGATCACAAAGATATTTTCTTGAGGTTTCTGTAGACATTTTATGGTTCTAGCTTTTATTGTTATTTGTCTCAAATTAGATTTTATTTATGGTGTGAAGTAGGGAGCTAAGGGTCACCTTTTCCAAAAGAATAGTGAATTGTTCCATTGCCATTTCTTAAAAAGATTCCTTTCCTCTAATGAATTTCCCACTGACTGGGTGCTTGATGGAAAAGCAATTTACTGTATATACATGAGTCTATTTCTGAGCTCTGTTCAGTTTTCTTGACCTATTTAATCTATCTTTACCCCATCACCTCAGTGTCTTAATTATTATAGCTGTAAAATAAATCCTAAAATAAGGTAGCATAAGTCTTTACACTTTATTCTTTTCCAAGATTGCTTTGGCTATGCTAGATTCTTTGAATTTCAATTTCAATTTTAGAATTTATCAATTTCTTCAGAAGTTTTAGAATTTATCATTTCTCCAAAAAAGTATGTTGAGACTATGATTGAGATTGAGTTGAACATATAGATCAGTTTGGTCTTCTTAACAATACTGAGTCTAACAATTTACAGACGTGATATTTATCTATCAATTTAGATCTTTTAAAGTTTCTCCAAGTAACATTGTATAAATTTTAGTGTAGGGTCTTGCACATTTTTTATTAAACTTGTTTTCAGATATTTGATTTTTTTTACTGTATCGCAAATGGTATTATTTTTCAAGTATTGTTTTCCAATTGTTAGCTGCCAGTATATAACAATTCAATTGACTATTTTATATCAATCTTGGATCTTGCAATTTGACTAAATTCACTTATTATTTCCAAGAGTTTTTTTGTGGGTTCCATAGAGTTTTCTTCATACATGATCATATCATCTACAAATAAAATGTTTTATTTCTTCTTTTCAAATTTACATGAGTTTATTTCTTTCTCCTTATTGTACTGGCTAGGACTTTGATATAATGTGGAAGAGAAGTGATGACAATGGGCATCCTTCCCTATTTTGATCTTAGGCAAAGTATTTCATTTTGCCATTAAATAAAATATTAACTGTAAGCTTTTTTATAGATGACTTTATTGGGTTAAGCAAGTTCTATTTAAATACTAGTTTACAGAGAAATTTTTATCATTAATAGGCATTGACTTTTTATAAAAGTTGGAAGAATATTTCTTTATTAATACTTGAAATTCAAGATTTAAGGTCATTTTTCATTAATTTTACCCAGCACTTCATGAGCTCTCGTGATCAGAAAACTAAAGGTCACGAGAGAAGTATTCAAGATTCAAATGCAGAATTTGAAGCTGTGTCAGAAAATAAAACATCAAGGGAAAAAAGTGACTAAACATTACAAAGATCTATGCGGATATTTAACAAAACTCCTACAACATATATGAAAGATTCCTAGATAATAAAAAGGTAGTTTCACAATCAACTTGAGTGAGATGTCTAAGTCAATATAATTAAAACAGCAATTTTCCTAGGTAATATTTAATTGTAATTTGTCAATGTTTAAGTCAACATTTTATAGTCACCTGAAAGATGCAACCAAAATATTACATTGCTTTCTTTTCCAAAATCAGAATTTGATGTAGCTTTTTAGTTCAACATCCCACTTCTTGTATCACTCTACAATTCTAGGAATTTAATTAAACTATTTGGTTGTTTCGAAGTTGAATTTAGATATTTTTATAGATCCCAAAGCAAGGTGTTTCCATAATTAAATAAAAAAAAAGAATACTGCTTTATCTTGAATTTAGATAAAATCAAACAAAATTATAGTTACTTTGTGCCCAAGATACATCTGACTTTATCAGTCTCACCAAAATAAGTAGTGATGCTCTGCCCTCTGTGCTGTAAACCAGTAAGCTGCCTATATTATGTTATTTGGTAAGCTATGAAAGACCTTTGTGCTCTGACAAGAAAATTATAGAGCTCCAAATCTCACAATTAAAGTAAAGCTTTGGAAATAAAGCATTTTCTTCAGAAGGATATTTTAAAATGCACATATCATTATGGAGGGTGATATGGTTTGGTTGTGTCCCCACCCGAATCTCATCTTGAATTAGAGTTGCCATAATCCCCACATGTCATGGAAGGGACCTGGCAGGAAATGATTGGATCATAGGGGCAGTTTCCCCATGCTGTTCTCATGTTAGTAAGTGAGTTCTCATGAGATCTGATGGTTTTATAAGCATCTGGCATTTACCCTGCTTACACTCATTCTCTCTCCTGCAGCCTTGTGAAGAGGTGCCTTCCACCATGATTGTAAGTTTCCTGAAGCCTCCCCAGCCATGCAGAACTGTGAGTCAATTAAACCTCTCTTCTTTATAAATTACCCAGTCTCAGGTATTTCTTCATAGCAGCAAAGGAACAGACTAATAAAAAGGGCTAACTAAACCCTAAAGCCATTATCTTAAATTATGGTCTCATTTATTTTATCAGCAAGCTTTTACCCTGGAAAGCAGTAAGAAAGAGAATAGAAGAACATTAGATAGAAAAATTAAGTATTGATGAATGAGAGAATATTTAAAAATTAGAAAAGCATATCAGTAAGATAAAACAAGTGACCTCTCCTTAGAATACACAGGCTCAAAAGATATGCAATATGTATTTTAGGTGGATGTTAAGAATAGTCTGGGGCCAGGACATGCAAAAGAAGCCTGGCTCCTA
The DNA here is from genome assembly GCF_000001405.40 of Homo sapiens. Classification (NCBI taxonomy): domain Eukaryota; kingdom Metazoa; phylum Chordata; class Mammalia; order Primates; family Hominidae; genus Homo; species Homo sapiens. The sequence continues at coordinate 126,185,389 of NC_000006.12, read as the reverse complement.
ACCAGGTCATTGCTCACCATTCTAGAAGCTGAAGAGTCCCCTGAAAAAAGAGCATGAAGAGTGCCAAAAAGATTTGTGATGGCTTCCTGGAGAAGACTGTAGGAGTAAAGATAAACTTTGCTGACCAAAACAGCTTATCTATACTAGTCCTACTGACTCTATCCTTCACTTAGAAATAAATCTTCATTACCAAATAAATATATGAATCAAGGAAAAAATGTGACTTATTTCCAGGGGATTGCCTGCAAATACCTCCCCTACTCACCTACCATGTTTTCTCCTTTCTCTTGACCTTCAAGATCTACAATTAGAATTACTCTTTGAATTAGAACAATGTTCCTCAAACTTGAGTGGACCAGGAAGAAAGACATGATCTCAAAGACCCACAGTGTTAATATTACATATACTTAAAGTTGTTTAATAATGTGCAAACACAAAACCAGGTCTGTCACTCCTTTCTGCTTGATCCCACACAAGCTGCTGTCCCTGTTTCGTGTTTTTGGACAAGGAAATTCTTTGTCAGGCTGCCTCTGATTGCATTTAACCCTAGTTACTATGCAGCCTCTCATCTTAAAGAAATACTTTTCCTCCATAGTGACAACAACAGAGAGCCAGGTTCAGGTTCACCCTACTCTTGGAACCCACAGAATCCTCCTACAACACTGGCTGGGTCTACAATCTTTCTCAGCTACTTTCCTTCAGTTGAGGGAGCCCAAGAAGGTCTGAAGGAACCAAGAGAAAGCACCAAGAGAAAGATACAGGGGGAGAGAAAGGGTCAGACAAGCAAGTTATTGCCATCAAGGGAAACAGGCAGCCTCAGTCTGCATCCCAGCTTCACCATATTGGTTGTGTGATTTGCCATTCTGAGCTTCAGGTTCTTCACCTTTCAAATAAATAATAACAATAATTGAAGTATTATATGTAATGTTTCTGGCATAGTATAGCAGTTCAAAACCTGTAACTGTTACCATGATTATGCTCTGGACTTCAAAGTAAGAACATTGTCACCTAATGTCCCAAAGCTTCTATTTAGCCAGTCAGTGACCAATATTTATTAAGCAGTGGAGAATTAGAGAACACATATAATATACCCTCCTTGCCTTCAAGTACTTATTTCAAAGAAGACCTCTAGTGTATCAAAGTACAATTTTTGAGAGGTATAGAAAAAACTAGAAATCAAAAATCCTGGATTCTTAACATAGTTTGCACTGTGCATTACCTGTGCTTCATAAGGTAATCACTTCACAGTTCTGAGTCTCATATTACTCCTCTTTAAAGCAGAGATCATGTTTTGTGCTATGCCTACCTCAAGGATTATTATAAAGCCAAATAAGATATATTAGGGCATTAATAAATATAATCTATTATTATTAGTCATTTTCAAGACCAAAATGACATCTCATCCAATTATCTCATTTTCCAGATGGCAAGACAGAATCCCATAAAGGCTTCATGATTAGTCTAACAACATACAGCTAGAGCTGCGACTCGCACTAAGGGCTGAGGTAACTCTCTCTCAGGTTGCTCGCATCAGCTTCCCCTCCCTCCCACCCTCCTTCCCCACGTATCGTCCCCAGTGCCTTAAAAAGATGAAGCACTCTATAAGTGCTAACAGTTAATCTATAATTCTTATTAAAAACGGTGAGCTGATAGAGTAGGAAAATAATCAGAGTTTAGAGTCAGGGAAGGTTCCATAAAGATGAGTTCCCAGAGCAGGTGCTCTGCAGATCACAGGATCTCATTTCAATTCCCTGTCCAGTACCATTGCTTACACGCACAGCAATAAACTCCCCCAGCATTTAGCACTCCCTGGGACCTCTTTAAAAGGCCCTCCACTCTTCTAAACTGCCCAAGTAGGCTAATTAGTGAGGCTATCTGAAATCCTTTACTCCAACTGTTCAGATAGCTGCACACTTTGGGGACCTACCAATTGTTTCCCGCTTTCCATGAGGTGGCTTATTTTGGTCAATGCAACACCCCAACACCTCTGCCCACTCCTGAAAACTCTCACCCCAGATCATCTGGGCCTTATTACAGAAGAAACTTTTGCTCTCAGTACTTTTAACTTGGAGTGCTATTTGGAAAGACTCGGCTCATAAAAAGTCTTACAGTTCCTTTGTTGGCCTTATCATGACCTGAACATTTTGTTAACAAAGCACCCTGTTAATGTTTTGACCACAAGAACTAATGTGCTTGGGGTTGATGGTGTTGCCAAAGTGATGCTTGCTCCTAAAAAGGGAAAGTTTTAATTCTATTTTCAAAATAAGTCATCTTACCCCTGCTATATTAGGAAATGTCATCAATCAGTCTACGAAGCCTGCAGTGGGTGGGTGGTGTTGGAGGGATGGGTGTGTTAATTCACTTGTTATTCCAGTTTCCCAGTTTCACAAACCTCACCTCCCTGTAGGGGGCAGGTGAAGTTCCAACAGCCCCAGTTGAAATGGGCCTGAAATTGGCCTTTCAATTACAAAACATACAAAGGTATTATCAGTGGGTGCAGCCAGGCTGATACCTAGTGACTGGGCAGAGATTGCAAAATAAAAAAGGTGATCTGAGGGTCAAAAGACAGACAATGATTCAATTCATTATTTCCTGGGCAAAGTCATTCTCAGCTCAGGAAATCCCCAGAGTCCTAAGTTCCAAAAATAATCCCTCTAAGAGCAAATCTTTAAAGCTGTCTGCCTACCTGCACAGGAATGAAGGCTGCAAGCTCAAGTCAGGAGGAAATGTAGTATAGTATTGTACAAGGTGTCCCAGAGAAGAGGCTTAAACACCTGGAAAAGGGTCACACTGCATGGTGGGGTTGGGGGAGTCAGGGGTCAGGCTACCATACTGATCTCAAGCACAGACCCCATAAGGGAAGATGACAAAAAGGGGTCCTCAAAAAGAGACCACTAAGGCCTTCAACAATCAAACCCCATTAGCCCAGATGCACAGTAAAGCAGTCTATACCAGGTCTTCCTGAGTGGTAAGTCCAAATCCTCTTGAAGAAACGACCACCAAGAAGTGGGAAAAAAAGAAGAAATGCTACCCAAGTCAGCAAGGCTCTATTCACAGACAAACTCCCTTCAACCCTTCTGCTTTGCGAGGATATGCTGATTATCACAGGATCCCCCATCGGTACCTCCTAAAGAGCACCTCTTCCTTCCCCAAAATCTTTCCCTCAACCCTGAAAAGTCATATTCTTTACATCCTTTTTGTAGAAAGGTTCTCAATCCCATTCTGCTTTGATGCACCTGTGCACTCTAGAGTTTATGTTAATACGTAATATTTACATTCTATAAAGTTATAAAAGCTTTCATGTTTTATATGCTTTATCTACGAGGTTGTTATCTCCTGTCTTATCTCCATCAGTCTGTAAAATCATTGATAGTAGAAACTGTCTACAATTTCTTTTGAATCTGTCTTTTCAGACCAAGGAGTTTTATCTTGAAATATCTGTTTTTGACAGGATGACTTGCTATGTATTTGGCAAACTGTATTCCTTACCTCTAAGTGTTAACAAAAAGCCATTAAAATAATAGAATTAATAAAGGAAAGGAAATAAGGCTAGTAAGAACTTTGGCTCAGTAAGCTGCCTCAGTTGCCTCAGCTCTCCTGAAAACAGGCCAGATATTAGAACACTTTACACTCACAGGATACTAACATCAATCCCAGTCTTGGAAAACACCCTCTTCTTCTTCATCCCCAGAGCCAACATGGCTGACAATGTTTTCTATTAACTATCATAATCACAATCCCACTGGAACAATGGTGCCCTTTTCTTTTAAATCAGAGTTCACCTTGGGCAATTTACATTCCTGACCTTTTAAGGTAAAGCCTTCTTGCTCCTTGGTCCAACCCACAAAACCCTTTGATATGTAGGAATCTGTATTAGGGTAAAAACAGTTGGTAACATGACCCAAGAGGCCTAAATTGAACAGAAACTTCTCTATCACTGGAAGAAATCAAACAGAAGTTAGGTGATAATCTTAAGCAAGGCTGTTGTCAGGGGAATTTATAAAATGAGGACAGGAGTGGGACTAACAATTATCACATGCACTTCCAACTATTAGGGTTTGGGATTATGAATGTTTTAACAAAAATAAGAGGATTTAGGTGAAACATTTCTACCAGCCTGGTCATGCATTAAGCCAGAGGAAAATTTCACCCAGACACAAAATCTTAATTCAAAGCAATAATTGGGAGTGAAAACATTTCTATTCTTAACCTCACAGCAAAGATTCAAAAAATAATCTAGAGCAAGTTTCCAGTAACATCAAGCACTAAAAGAGTTTCATGTTTTTAGCCAGAAGTAATCACTAAAATATTCCTTTAAAAAAAAATCCTCTTTCTAAATGTGTGTCCTATTTATGGAACAATGAGCAGTTTAAATCTTGAGAAAATTGTGTTCTTGTAAATACTTATTACGTAAATATAAAACATAAAGTAAAATATAATTTGTTTTAAAATTTCCAAACAAAAGATTTTACTGCTCAGGGAATGCCCTTTGCGCTTTAAACTATTAAATTAAGTTGTGTAATTAGTTGGGCTTTGTCATCAGAGTCATGTTGCTATTACATGAAAAGACAATAGGACAGAACTTTAGCAGTCAGAGTAAGACAAGCAATTCCCATGACTCGTAAACCACAAAACTGTGTGGCCAAGTGACTAAGGCATCAGCACCTGTCTTAGGCTCATATTGCCACATGCGTAAGCAGTTGTTGAAGAAAAATAGATAGTAACTCATTGATTTGAATACTGTCTTAAAAGTATATGAATCATTCTTGTTTCTATATGTTATAGCTCTGACCTAAACTTACTACCTTCTTTACAGTAATCCATTTAAGGACTAACATGTTAGGAATTACTGTGTTTATAACTCTAACACTAAATTTTCTTTGCCAAATTTTCCCTGCATAAATTTTCCTGGCCTCCTGGCTATAAACATGATAAACTACACATCCTTGCTAAATTGTCCTTGCGTCCTTTCTGAGAACATGATAGACTGTGTAATGAATGAAGGTGATACTAGGTTCACTTGGCTAATGGCAATAATTACTATGGCTTGGACAAGGTATTTATCACTTATACAGAATATTTAGCTCTCTGGTACAAATTCTGATTTGAATGGCATAAAATATACTCAGGTATATTTTTAAAAAATTATAATACATATTCACAATAGGTAATCTTTGTAGATCATCTAAGATGACCAAATAAAATATTTCTGAAAATATAACCTCACGAGTCAATGATCAAAAAATACAATGATTGAAGTTTTGTCTATAAAGTTATATCTTTTTTCCAATTTCTTTCATTCCAAACTATTTTTTCAGTCCTTTATCACGTAGCATATTCTATTCTAACAAAGGAAATTTGATTCAGGCATATTGATTTATTATAGTTTACAAATAGGTTTTTCTCCTTTCTTATATAGAAACTGGTTTGACAGAGTTGGATATAATCTATAATTGAAAAAAATTCAATAAGCATGAATTTAGTTTGTGTGTTTTTAAATTTTCTTCCCTAATTATTAGAGGTAAGTTAAAATGTGTTCATATTTTTTAGGTGTTTGAACCTTATAACAATATTTCAGAAAACAGAAAAAGTTTAAAATCATTTTACTTGCTTGAGTGCTAAGTGAATATCTTTGAAAAGTATATACTTCACTCTCATTTGTGAGCTGTCTTATAGTTATTCTTCGCTATATGTGAAACCTGACATGTAGTCTTTCAGTTTTGTCATCCTATCTGCTCTTGCACTTTAGTTAATATTATTTGGTAGAAATGCCATATTTTGATTTTTTCATGACAAGTTAATCTTTGGGGAAATGAAAGATTAAACAATGGGAATGAACAGTCAGAAAAGTAGAAAAAAAACTTTGTTCAGTGTGATATCCTGGAAGCCAAGTGAGGAATGTTTCTAAAAAGAGGACAGGATCAACACTGTCACATGCTGCTGATTTGGTACAGTAAGAGTACTCTGATGGGTTCAAACAAGTTCAATCAGAGCATGTATATATAACTATGCTCTTTCCAACTCTACTTAAATAACAATACAGAAATTTTTAAAGATCTGAACCCACATAGATAAAGAGAATGGAAGCAGGGACCACAGCAGAGGAGCAATATTGACAAAATCTTGAAAGATGAAGAGTGAATAGATAAGCAGTAATTCACTTAATTGAAAGCAGAGAGCCTCAAGCGTTCACAGGAAGGAAGAAGGTCCACAAGAAGTGACACAATTTCTTCTGCAGAGCCCTAGAAAGGACCAAGTTTGGGAGGTATAGTATACCTCTGAAGGCACAGTGGAGGCAGGTGGGTGGGGGAGCTGATAACTTTAATTTTGAAGTAATTGGTTGAAATTTTGTTTAAGGAAAAATTAGATTCCTCCAATCACTTCCCAATTTCAGATATCCTAAAATTACCCCTCCTATATACCCTGATAGACAATAAGAATAAAGAGAATTATCTAAAGAATTCTAAACAGAGAAGTTTAGTATGTTTTTCGGGCAGAATTGAAATTGGGGCTGAAATTCCAGACTAAAAACCTAGACTATTAAATTAAAATGTTTACACTGATAATGTAACTCCCAACCGCTTCCCTGACTAGATCCCAGAAAGCTGCTAGCCAGGTTTATGCTCCCCAAGCAGGAGAAAAGATGAAACTGTCTGGGGTCAAGAAAAAAGACCTAGACACCAAATAAACAGCTGGTTTTCTCAGTTTTTCTACATGGTGACCCTAAGGAAACATGCGCTATACATACTTAGGATTTCAATCAACTTGTCTTTCACATAAGGCAGAACAGAAAGTATCTAGCATAGAAGTCAGAGTCTACAATGCATAAACAGAATAAAAGTAACTTAGAAGAGACAGATATATTGTATGAAGAAGAATATAGTCACAGCTATGTTTCCCTGGGAGGTAGACTCTGAAATGGGCTTGAGCATGCAAGATATTTATTAGGGAGTCACTTTGGAGGGGACAAAAGCAGGGGTGGGCTAACAAAGAAGGCAAGCTGCAAGGCCAGTCCCATGACAGCCTCAGCCTCAGTGTCTGGGGCTAGAACAGCCCTTCAGAACTCTCCCACATTGGGCCAAGATGGCCAAGCACTCATAGCTCACATGGAACAGTCTTTGGGTGTGGCTACCTCAAAAAGGGAAGGTGATCTTGGGCAACAACTCTTTCCTTGAAGGGTGATCTGAGTGTTGCATCCAGTGCCTACCATAAAAACTTTAAAGAAACTATAATAAATAAATTTAGAAAGCTAAATAAAAGCACTATTCCATCTGATGAAATAAGAAAATAATGTTATGTATTTTTTAACATAGAGTATTCTGAAAACATAAGATCGCTCTTGAAATTTTAAAATATAACAATGGAAAGGGTTAAAGAGAATCCCCAGTTTGATAGTAAGGGGAAGACCCTGGACCAGAGCTTGCAGTAGGCACAGGGAACAACCAGTTGTGGGAGGAGGCAGCCAGAGGGCTTAAGGGAAAGGGGATGGATACTTTGAAAAAAATGAAACTGATGGATCACTTATTATATTTGCATTGAGAGAGGCTGTATACCTTGGATTTGGGGGATGAATCAGTAGTAGAAATATAAAAATCAGCTAATGAAAAAATCGTGCAATTTTTCATTTAGGAAAGCAAAGAGTTGAAAAAAAAGGTCAGAGCACCCTTCTGAGCTCAGCTGTGTATAGTATTTATGTAGTCATAATAAAGCAAACACAGAATAGAGGTTAAACCAAAAATGGTAATTTACCAGCATTTAGAGGCTGAGGAAATGGGAAGTATATATTAAGTGGTGTGGGGAGAGTTGATAGGGCTGGATTCTTTTCTCCAATAAGAGGAAGCAATAGAAAATACCTAAAGCTTTATTGCACATATATAAGAAATTAGTATAAACATGTTATTTAGCCATTTGGAATTAGATGCCAGAAGAAATAGCTAAACAAGTTGAAATTGGTATCTGCACATCGAGAGTTGGGGATAGCAAATGGAGAAGTAGAGTACTGCTGTTTTTCATTATAAATCTTATAATCCTTTTTGACTCTATATACTATATACCTGCATTAAATCCTGCTTTATGTTGATAAAAATTCCTGTTGCCATAATAGTTTTGCATCCAATCTTTTTGAAAAGCTTGGTTTATGGCACTACAATTCAGTCCAAGAGGAATTAACCCAAGTTCAAGCATATTTTATGATACCTGGGAAAGAAGAAATCAGAGAGCCAATGGTATTCATACTTTAATGATTTGATTTCCCATTTCAATAATTAATAATTTTCTTGACTCTGATGAAATACAATGACTTTGTTCCTACATGACCCATTTTACTCTTCATCTCAGCTAACTTTTCTTCAGCCACAATTTCTTTGTTTTTTTTTTTCTTGTTAAAAAACATCTGTTGAAGTCTAGGTAAAATTAACTTTAATTTTGGTTTCTTTCCAAATTCTGCATTTAACCTGGATGAGTGAATGAAGGGTTGAAGGACCATCGCATTTTCATGTTATAATTGATGTTTATGTTGGGCAAGTGAACACTGTTCATATATCAAGCTGTCAAGTATTGTCACCTTAATAGAGTAAACAATTAAAAAGAAGAATTGTAACAATCATTTTAATGGGCTTCTTGTTCATTAATTTCATAGAAAAAAACTAAAACTGATTTGTGAAAATAAACTACCCATACTTTGCCTCTTTCTCTCTTTTTAAAGTGATCCATCAGCTAGACCATCACAAGTGTTCTGTAAATCTATTTTATTCCCCTTACTTTATAGGAAAATTAGATTATAGATCCAAGTGGAGAAAAGGCCATTGTCTGGGTTCCTGTGATCTCATTTTACCCATAGGTCACAGGAGGTATTCAAAGTTCTTAAAATTGCACACTACAAAGAAGGAACTGAGGTCCTTTTTCTAGACAAGATAACCCACCACCTCCCTCAAGTGGTCAGTTGGATTAGTTTTCTGTTTCCAGAGCTGACTATAGTTATTTCCAAGAACTATAGAGTCATGTATAATGGCTGGGTTGAATGGACCTTTTTTTCTTTAATAAATTGATTGGATTTTAGGGTGAAGTGTGCTGACTATATTAAATTGCACTATATTTTAACTTCTCTATGTCAAAAGAAAAAGACACTTAACCAGGGGCTAGCAGTTGTTTACAGGGCTGGCCAGCTCAGGATTGCTTTCACTGTGGCCTTTGCCTTTCCTGCTAAGAGCTTAATCCAAACTTCATCATTTTGACTTCCTTAAAGTCTTGTACCAATTTCTTTTTCACTAGAGCAAAGGTGTTAATTCCTGCTTCCTGAACAAATTGGCGTTTCAGTGATTACACATCACCCAGCAAAACTTGCTTAATGATGTTATTTCCTAACCAAAACTGAAAACTTTTTTAAATGTTTCCTCAATTAATCTCTGAGAAAGGGGATAAGGGGTGGAGAGAGGGAAAGGAGACCCAGGGTGTCTTTCTGATGAGCAGCAGTAAGTAAAATTCTCAGTGTTATCTATAGTTAAATCATTTTCAGGGCATTTTGTACCAAAACATCATTTCAGGAGAAATTTATGAAAATCATTGCTTTAAGTCATTAAGGCTAACTTTAGTTCTAACAATCCCAGAATAAAATATCCAACAAGGATGTCTGCAGAGTACTAAACTGAATAAAGATATATGAGTTGATGATATTCATGCTTTCTAATAGTAACTAAGTAAAATGCCTTTTCTGTATGTTCATTCCTCAGGTTTGTGAAAGGATGAAAGGAACTGGAAAAGAAGTCAGCCGGGAAGCTAGGTATCAGAGCAAACATAATGAAATAGACTTTTGTTGCCTTTAGTGTTTGAATAATGCTTATCCAAAGTTTTCAAGTTGATTTAGATAACCTAGCAATCAGCTAAATCAGATATTTGAGGGCAGTTTTTAGCTTTTTCTTTTTCAAACCCAACCACAAAATAAACTAACTCTTGCTACAAAAACAGTCAGCCTCTCTGGTATTTTGGCTCCACAACTCACATCTCAATGAAGCCAAACCCCTAGGAATGAAAAAATATCTACAAATGCACACAAAACTTACTAAACCTATGTCAGAAAAGGGCCAAGTGTGTCAGGTTGGAGAGGACCCTGTACACTCTAATCTCAAAGTAGATCAAGCTATAGCAGGTTTAATTCTTCTATACCTTGATCTATTGCTAAGCCCCTCCAACTATTATTGACAAGAATACCTGGGTTCAATCACTGTCCCAGTACCAGGGGTTTGAAACAGTAGAGTGGACAGACACAGGAAAAGTAGTCAATGATACAAAACATTCCAATATGTGTATCATACTGGCTGAAGGTAATATGTTAACATCATAGTTGGATAGTTTGAAGCCAACTTAGGAAAGCTGCAGCAACTTTGCACATACAATATGCTCCTTTTGATACAACATTCTGTAAGAAATCATTTTCTGAGCTTTGGTTGTTATCATCAAGAATGGATGTGGTTGGGACTCACCAGGGTGCTCCATTTCTGTCATTTTCTCTTTTTGCGACTCACTCTTCTGCTTCTCAATCTGCTCTTGCTCTCTCACTGTCTTTTCCTCTGAAAATTCAAAGGCACAATTATAGCATGAAGTTGCAAAGGTTTTTTACCTTTCACCTGCAAGGAACTAACAGGCAAGGACATTCAGGGTGGGGATGTAGACCAAAGAGAAAAATTCCTTTAACTAGATATAACCTTAATTGAAGAATTTTGACTTGTCCACAAGAGATCTGTGATAATGGAATCAAATACTGTTCCTATTTTACAAAACAGAAAGCATTTATATTAACTGCCAGGGAATAAACACCTCTGTTTGTTTTTTGTGTAAAGTGCTAAGTGCCATATAGGCAAGCGTGGTTAGGAACAGTGTGGCTTTAAGGTCCTGAGGCTGAGAGAAGCATCAACATTTTCCTCATTATTTGGGTAGAATGCCATAAGGAAATTTCCATATTTTGGTAAATTGAAGGGCATGGTAGCCCAGCAGATGTCAAGAAGTACAGATACGAAATTCATACCCTGAAATGTCTGGCAGCTTTTTGTGGGCTTCCTGACATTTAACCAGCAAAGACTGTAGATGTGTCTGAAATAAGACTGTTCCTTTGCTTTCTGTGACTTAGACTTTTCTGGGTTTGGAGTCTTCTGGGTTTAGAGTTTGTAAAATAAAGATCAGAATGCTTGCAGCTACACCTTCACCAACACTCCACCAATGCCATTCCTGAGGATAGCCTATGAGGAGTGGGCGACAGTGGGGAGTGAGAGGCTGCAGAAAGGTGAGGAAGGAACATGTGTTGCCAAGGCCAGTGCTCCAAATAAAAACATCAGGTTCTGGGATGGAACTTGAGATTCTGCATGTCCAGCAAGCTCCTAGGAACACACTTTGAGCAGCCAGGACCTTGGATCAGTGCTTCTCACACTATCTGTTGAGAAGGAATAGCTCCCCCACCCACATGATCCCAGGCAGGACTCTGCTCTTCTGTTCCCCAGACATTCTCCTGGGGCAGAGAAAGAGGCCACAGTGACATGACACACTAATCACTTCTGCAGCACACCAGGAACCAGATGCACCATCAAAAATTCTGCTGGTTTCCAGGTTGGGCATATGAGGAAAAAGACAAAAAGAATTCTTCACTTCACTGCTTGAGGCCACACAGTCTCTGTAACACACTGAAGGATGCTAAGTTCCTTTGGTTTTCCTGCAAACAACCGCTAACACCAGTCTTGTATTTAGAGTAGGATTTAAAATCCATCCACAGCCCATACTTTTTAAGGAAGCAAATCATGGGGTTGGCTTCCCATATGCTTCTCATCTCTGGGGTCTGCTTACCAGTTGACTTCTCATAGCATGCTTGCCCCGACTGCCTTGCAGTCTTTTCAGATGAAATTCAAGATTCTCCGGTAACTGTAGCAGGACAACTCCTAAGATCAGCGACCTTCCAAATAACCTTCTCATTCCTCTCATGTTCAGAGAATGGGAAAGGATGCCAGAAAGCTATGTGAGGGTGAATGAGGGCCAGAATTGTAATTTATATCTATGACCTGACAGAAAGGTGGAAACGGGGAGAATGTTACTCAATACTTTTTTGCACTGTACTAATCTCTCCTCAAGGATGCTTTGCCAAGACAAATCATATATTTTTATATAAAGCATCTACCATTTCTACTCCTTTGCCATAAACAGGCATTTCAAACTTAGCAAGGGCAAGAGAACTTTTTTACTAGAATAGAATGTTAGCTCCTTGAAGACAGAAATTCTGCTAGGCTCATTTACTGCCATACCCTGAGCACCAGAATAATGTTTGGCACACAGTAGGTGCTCCGAAAACATGTGTTGGCAACTACCTAACCATAATGGTAATGAGGGCATTGCGAGGCCTCATGACATATCTTCTCTACCTACATATTGTACACATCCTTCTTACACCCCGGTTCACCTCCTGCCAGCCTTTCCTGACTCTTCCCACATTTTATAAACTCCCTTCCCTTCTGTGCAAATTTATTATCTTCCCAGTATCCTCACCTCATCTATATGCCTCCTTTGTTCTACATTTTCTCTGATCTTGCATGTATCAGAGACTTTTACAGCATAAGTTTAAAAACTTATGAAACAGTGAGTGTTACAGCTCCACTGTCCCTTCTAAGCTTACTGCCTAGAACCATGAAAGAATGAAGACTCTAGTTTGCAAAGATTTCCTGCAGAGGTAACAGCTGTGAGTACAGCAAATATTGGACGGATGGGACACAAAGTCACGCTAACAGTATTGAAAGTGTTTCAATAAGACAGAAAAAAAAATACACTTGAAGAAAATGTCCTACTTCACACTTTTGACCAGGGCTAGAATAAATCTGTGAGGAAATATTTGTTGAGGCTTTATGTGATTCTGAGCAATCTGTGAGGTAAAAATCACATAACTACCGGGGACTCTTTTCAGATGTAATGAAATGCAGCCATGGTCCAACCTTGACTAGAGATTCTGCATGGGGGTTCTGCCACATGATGGGAAAGACAGATGGCCCACAGGATTAGTGTTTCTCTGCTCACATAACTTCTTGGAGTAACACTCAAGAACAGACCAAAATGACATCTTATTCTAAGTACCTCCCTTTGTCGATGTGACACCTCAGCAATCCCCCCACAATGACAGAATTTTGGCTCCTCAGCTAAACTTAATGATGCAGAAATAATTCAGGACATGAAAACTGAGGGGAAAAAAAGGTGCTGTACTAAGCAAAAACCACTTAGGGAAAATACCTTTTTTTTTAAATTTTGATCAAGTAATTCAGCCACTCCAAACAATGTAATCATGTTTGTGTTTCTCATTGAGCACTGGTGAAAAACATTTAACCTTTTTTTAAAAAGCCCTTTAAAGGCCAGGTGTGGTGGCTCTTGCCTGTAATCCCAGCCGTTTGGGAGGCTGAGGCGGGTGGATCACCTGAGATCAGGAGTTTGAGACCAGCCTAGCCAATATGATGAAACCTTTCTCTACTAAAAATACAAAAATTAGCTGGGCATGGTAGCAGGCTGCCCGTAATCCTAGGTACTCGGGAGGCTGAGGCAGGAGAATCGTTTGAAGCCGGGAGGCAGAAGTTGCAGTGAGCCGAGATCACACCATTGCACTCCAGCCTGGGCGACAAGAGCGAAACTCTCTCTCTTAAAAAAAGAAAAAATCTTTAAAGACACAGTTTCTCAAGATCCGATTTTAAAACTACAACATTAAAGTATCACCACCTAATAGTATTGTCACACCCTCCACTCTTGTGACAAATTGTTTTATGACTATTCCCTCCCCAGTTCTCACACTAAGAATACTATAAGAGCAGTTAAAAAAAAAAATCTTGGTTTCAAGTTTTCTTAAATCAGCTACAGTTCAACAACCTGAAATAATTAAAAATAAATTAGAACCTAATGTTCAGTAACCCAATCATAGCATGTGGCTAATTGTGAGTATCCAGTCAACACCAGCACCAAGTTCTGATGAAATAAAACCATCCCACTGACATATCCCCGGCACCCACCACCCCCAAGACTCTTAGGATACAATGTCTATCTATCACTTGCCAGGGTTACTTCCTTCTGTTACCACAAACACTCCCATTGCCAGCAAAAGCCTTAATCAGTCTTGAGAAAAAAAAAAAAGTAAGCGAATCCTGCTTTTGCTTTCATAACGCTATAAAAATACATATAGCCTCCTTCGATAGTTATCTATCTCCCCAGTTATGGCCTCCCCAGAATAAATTCTGGTGGGTTTAAGTAGATGAAACCAAATACTTCGAAGTTCCTCTTTCCATAGTAATTACTTACCTCACAACCAAAAGAGGGCAGCACTGAGGGCATCAGTAAAGGAGGTCAAAGTTAAATAGCATATTTAAGTGGGGATCAACCTGCTCATTAAAATCACCTGGTACAGTAAAAAATACCATCCCCAGAGTTTCTGAATCAGCTGCCCTGAGGAGGGACCTCTAAGGCATTGACATTTTATTGATGCTTCCCAGGTTATTCTACTGTGCCTTGTAACCAAAGCAGTTTTCACTTTATGTTTTTCCCTTATTTTCACTTATTAAAATATTTCACTTATTTTCACTTAGTAAAATAGGTTTTCCCTTATTTTCAGCAAAGTTAAACCTGGAAAAACCCCCAAAGAGCATCGAGATTGTGCTTCTCAAACTTCCATGAGGGCACAGATCAGCGGGAGATCTTGTAAAAATGCAGATACCACGTCAGGAAGTGTGGAGTGAGACCTGAGGTAGCACAGTTCTGGCGAGCTCACAGGTGTGCCTCATCTGAGAACCACACCTTGTTCTCCCTGTTAACTTTACTAGATAAAAAAAAATGAGACCCAGACAGAGACTGTGGCTTCCTTCAGGTAATACAGCCAGCGAAAGAACAAAATGTGATCAGAACTGAACATAATGACCTCTGTCTTGGGTTACCACAGCAGCTGACATATGGAAAGAACATCCACTGAATTTTCTATGGGAAACTGGGAGAAAACTAAGTGATAAGGAAATTTTGGCAATTTCAAGTATAAAAAACTCATAGTGTAAAGTTAGTGTAAATAAACTAGGGAGAGGGTTACAATTAAAAAAGTAAGAATCAGTTTCGGGTTTTTTGGTTTTGAAGCAGGAGGTATGAATGCATGGTAAGAGAATAAAACAAACTGAACAGAAGTGAAAAATAAGCAAACCCTGTATAATAGCACATGAAAAAGGGCACAGAGAGGGAAAAAATGAAACAATAGAAAATAAAAGACACCAGGCTGACAAAAGGAAAATAAGAATAAAAGTAGAGAGCTGGAAAATTAGACACAGGTTCTAAAATAAAAGGAAAATACAGCAGCATGGAAAGGAACAAAAAGAAAAATCTAATGAGACGGGAGGATTCCTGGAAAAAGACTATATAAAATAAATTGCAAGAGAGTAGAGACCATGAGAAGGTAAAGTACTAAAGACAGTCAGGAACCTGAACACATATAAAAAAAAATTTGTCTTATTTAGTAGAAAACAGAAAAGAAGTTGTATTTCATGAAATATCATGGTTTTTATTTTTCCTGTTTATATTTTTTAAATAACAAAAAGTAATTTCTCCATTACCAGCTGGGACCTGAAAGATTTGCACAGTTCTAGGAAGGGGAAGTAAGAACTCTTCTGAGGCTACCATCTCCTCTAGGCAGAAGGAGTTGAAAAGAAAACAGGTTTAAGTCCAAAAGCATTCCATTTTTTGTGTCCTATGTAAAATATTATGGGACCCAGAAACTCTTCACCAGCCAGGTGACCACATATTTTACCACAGCATGAGAGACAGGCTTTTTTGAAGAAGCCATAACTCCAGCTTTATGAACTGATCCAGGCAGTCAAAACCAAGAGGAATCATCTTCAGGAGGAAACGTTTCCCCTGAGCATGTATCTGTGAAAACTAAGTTCAGACTGATGAGTCTTTTCGACATGGGTAACACTAAGCACCATTGTTGCCCAAATACATTTAGATCGTGGCTCTAGGGAAGTCCCTTTAATTACATATTTCCACTGACCATTTCCATTCACTAACCATAGCTCATTTCCAATTCCAAAACATCACTTAGAGTCTCAAGGAAGAAAAAAAAATATTGCAGAAGTTTTCTTTCCTATAGACCAAACGTTAAAAATTCAAATGCCTACAAGGACAGGGCAGCTCACACAAATGGGTAAAGCTGGCCTGCCTTAATAAGACTGGGAGCACGTGTCACATTAAAAGGTAGCTCCATCTACCCAGTTCCAGTATGCAGAAATGCAGACTCAGTGCTACCACATGCACCTGCATTCCAGGAGACTGAAGAAATGCAGATTCTTAGGTGCGATCTCCTGATTTTTAAATGTTAATGATTAGTTTGTTCGTTTGTTTGGTTTGATTTTGGAATAACTTTGCAATTCTGTTTTAGATCCTGCATTTTCGTTGGAAAAGATGGAAAATTTTCTTAGCAATCAAAAAGGAAAGAAGTAGACATAATGGTATGAGACAAGTGGATCCACCACAAGTAGACTCACCCATAAAATAAAGCACAAGTGGTTTGTACTTTTATAACATTTCTTTTCATGGCAGGGCATGGTGGCTCGCACCTGTAATCCCAGCACTTTGGGAGGCCGAGGCTGGCAGATCACAAGGTCAGGAATTTGAGACCAGCCTGGCCAACAGGGTGAAACTCCTTCTCTACTAAAAATATAAAAATTAGCTGGGCGAGGTGGCACACTCCTGTAATCCCAGCTACTTGGGAGGCTGAGGCAGGAGAATCGCTTGAACCCAGGAGGCAGAGGTTGCGGTGAGCCAAGATCGCGCCACTGCACTCCAGCCTGGGTGACAGAGCAAGACTCCTTCTTGGAAAAATAAAATAAGACCTCTTTTCATCCAAGGAGAGGGAAAGTGGCAATTCTAACATAATGGCCAATATGATCAGTAGGATACAGCTGGCAAAAACTTAGCCTCACTTCTAGCATTTATTCCTATAGCTCCATATATTGAGAGCATTTTCTTTCCATTCACCAATGACATGTCATTCATATCATTAACAGAAATAAGTTTAGTTCTTAGATTTTGACTTGAAATCCCCTGGGTAGTCCCTTTTTACTCAGTATCAACGACTGTTGGAGAAACCATAAAGAACTCCCCCTAACACTGGTTCTGACTACACAGCTTTTCTAGGAGGGCTGAGGTTGCCGGTGTAAGAGAAGGAGTTCCACAGCTTCACTGTTCAGCATTAATATTCACTGATAAAAAGAAATGTGTTTCTTAATATGATAACCAGCTCCTAGTCTCCTGAGGCTCCACTGTAGCTGAGTTTCATGAGGCCCACATCAATCTTCCAAAACACATCTGAAGCCATGCAGTTCACATTCCAGCTATAAATGGGAGACACTGACCCAAGTCCAAACAAAAACAAAAATCATCCAAAACCTCCTCTTTCCAACATCACAGGCTTCTGAATAAAATGTTTACATTCTCCCAGGCTGGAGTTCTTCCAGACAGGGCTGGAAACCAAAGTCACAGTGAATATCAGAGGCTGACTGATTACAAATCAGGAAACCTACCCAGAAACATATGTCCGAGGTGGAAAAAGAAGGCTGGTCTGTTGAGCGTATGAAGACTGGGAAATACACATATGTGCTGTATCACTTGCATACATTTGAGAAACTAATGATTATCCATAGGCACAAATACAGACACACACCATATACACACACATAAGAGCATTGCCTTCTCCTCAAAATTCACTGATTCCCATACTTTATTTTTTAGATAAGCTGAACACACAATAGCAAATTAATGTTTTAAGAACCATAACAGATGGCTGGCAAGATGGCTAGGAAGAGCTCTGGTCTGCAGCTCCCAGTGAGATCAAAGAAGAAGGCAGGTGATTTCTGCATTTCCAATTGAGGTACCCACTTCGTCTCATTGGGACTGGTTAGACAGTGGGTGCAGCCCATGGAGGGTGAGCAGAAGCAGGGTGAGGCATCACCTCACCTGGGAAGTGCAAGGGGTCAGAGAACTTCCTCCCCTAGCCAAGGGAAGCTGTTAGGGACTGTGCCATGAGGAACAGTGCTATCTGGCCCAGACACTATGCTTTTCCCATGGTTTTCGCAACCCACAGACCAGGAGATTCCCTCGGGTGCCTACACCACCAGGGCCCTGGGTTTCAAGCACAAAACTGGGCAGCCATTTGGGCAGACACCGAGCTAGCTGCAGGAGTTTTTTTCATACCCCAGTGGTGTATGGAATGCCAGCGAGACAGAACCATTCACTCCCCTGGAAAGGGGGCTGAAGTCAGGGAGCCAAGAGGTCTTGCTCAGTGGATCCCACCCCCAATGAAGCCTGACAGGCTAAGATGCACTGGCTTGAAATTCTTGCTGCCAGCACAGCACTCTGAAGTCAACCTGGGACACTTGAGCTTGGTGGGGGGTGGGACACTGGTCATTATTGAGGCTTGAGTAGGCAGTTTTCTCCTCACACTGTAAACAAAGCCTCCAGGAAGTTCGAACTGGGTGCAGAACCCACCGCAGCACCATGAAGCCACTGTAGCTACACTGCCTCTCTAGATTCCTCCTCTCTGGGCAGGCCATCTCTGAAAGAAAGGCAGCAGCCCCAGTCAGGGGCTTATAGATAAAACTCCCATCTCCCTGGGACAGAGCACCTGGGGGAAGGGGCAGCTCTGGGTGCAGCTTCAGCAGAATTAAATGCTCCTGCCTGCTGGCTCTGAAGAGAGCAGTGGATCTCCCAGCATAGCGCTCGAGCTCTGCTAAGGGACAGACTGCCTCCTCAAGTGGGTCCTTGACCCCCGTGCATCCTGTCTGGGAGACACCTTATACAGGAGAGCTCCGGCTGGCATCTGGTGGGTGCCCCTCTGGGACGAAGCTTCCAGAGGAAGGAACAGGCAGCAATCTTTGTTGTTCTGCAGCCTCCGCTGGTGATACCCAGACAAACAGGGTCTGGAGTGGAACTCCAGCAAACTCCAGCAGACCTGTAGAAGAGGGCCCTGACTATTAGAAGGAAAAAAAACAGAAAGGAATAGCATCAACATCAGCAAAAAGGATGCCCATGCAAAAACCCCATCCAAAGACCTCCAACACCAAAGACCAAAGGTAGATAAAGCCATGAAGATGAATTAAAAATAGAGCAAAAAGGCTGAAAATTCCAAAAACCCAATGGAAGGAAGCTAAGAACCTTGATAAAAGGTTACAGGAACTGCTAATTAGAATAACCAGTTTAGAGAAGAAAATAAATGACCTGATGGAGCTGAAAAACACAGCACAAGAACTTCATGAAGCTTACACAAGTATGAATAGCCAAATCGATCAAGCGGAAGAAAGGATATCAAAGACTGAAGGTGAACTTAATGAAATAAAGCATGAAGACAAGATTAGAGAAAAAAGAATTAAAAGGAATGAACAAAGCCTCCAAGAAATATGGGACTATGTGAAAAGACCAAACCTACATTTGATTGATGTACCTCAAAATGACAGGGAGAAAGGAACCAACTTGGAAAACACACTTCAGGATATTATCCAGGAGAACTTCTCCAACCTAGCAAGACAGGCCAATATACAAATTCAGGAAATACAGAGAATACCACAAAGATACTCCCTGAGAAGAGCAACCCCAAGACACATAATCATCAGATTCACCAAGGTTGAAATGAAGGAGCAAATGTTAAGGGCAGCCAGAGAGAAAGGTTGGGTTACCCACAAAGGGAAGCCCATCAGACTAACAGCAGATCTCTCTGCAGAAACCCTAGAAGCCAGAAGAGAGTGGGGACCAATATTCAACATTCTTAAAGAAAAGAATTTTCAACCCAGAATTTCATATCCACCCAAACTAAGCTTCATAAGCAAAGGAGAAATAAAATCCTTTAAAGACAAGCAAATGCTGAGGGATTTTTGTCACAAGCCGGCCTGCCTTACAAGAACTCCTGAAGGAAGCACTAAATATGGAAAGGAAAAACCATTATCAGCCACTGCAAAAACATACTGAAATGTAAAGACCATCAACACTATGAAAATACTGCATCAACTAATGGGCAAAATAACCAGCTAGCATCATAATGACAGGATCAAATTCACACATAGCAATTTTTTTTTTTTTTTTGAGGCACGGTCTCACTCTATCACTGGGCTGGAGTACAGTGGCACCCATCTCGGCTCAGTGCAACCTCCGTCTCCCAGGTTCAAGTGATTCTCCTGCCTCAGCCTCCTGAGTAGCTGGGATTATAGGCACCCACCACTACGCCCAGCTAATTTTCTTTATTTTTAGTAGAGACGGGGTTTCACCATGTTGGCCAGACTGGTCTTGAACTCCTGACCTTGTGATTCGCCCACCTAAGCCTCCCAAAGTGCTGGGATTACAGGCGTGAGCCACTGCACCCAGCCAACGATATTAAATTTACATGTAAATGGACTAAGTGCCCCAGTTAAAAGACACAGACTAGCACATTGGATAAAGAGTCAAGACCCATCAGTGTGCTGTATTCAGGAGACACATCTCATGTGCAAAGACACACATAGGCTCAAAATAAAGGGATGGAGGAAGACTTACCAAGGAAATGGAACGCAAAAAAAAGCAGGGGTTGCAATCCTAGTCTCTGATAAAACAGACTTTAAACCAACAAAGATTAAAAGAAAAATACAAAGAAGAACATTACAGAATGATAAAGGGATCAATGCAACAAGAAGAACTAACTATCCTAAATATATATGCACCCAATACAGAAGCACCCAGATTCATAAAGCAAGTTCTTAGAGACCTACAAAAGACTTCAACTCGCATACAATAATAGTGGGAGAATTTAACACTCCACTGTCAATATTAGACAGATCAATGAGACAGAAAATTAAAAAGGATATTCAGGACTTGAGCTCAGCTCTGGATCAAGTGGACCTAATACACATCTACAAAACTCTCCACCTCAAATCAGCAGAATATACATTCTTCTCAGCACCACATAGCACTTATTCTAAAACTGACCACATAATTGGAAGTAAAACACTCCTTAGCAACTGCAAAAGAACAGAAATCATAACAAACAGTTACTCAGACCACAGTGCAATCAAATTAGAACTCAGGATTAAGAAACTCACTCAACACAGGTGCAACTACATGGAAACTGAACAACCTGCTCCTGAATGACTACTGCATAAATAACAAAACGAAGGCAGAAATAAATAAGTTATTTGAAACCAATGAGAACAAAGACACAACATGCCAGAATCTCTGGGATGCAGCTAAAGCAGTGTTTAGAGGGAAATTTATAGCACTAAATGCCCACAGGAGAAAGTGAGAAAGATCTAAAAGCAACACCCTAACATCACAATTAAAATAACTAGAGAAGCAAGAGCAAACAAATTCAAAAGCTAGCAGAAGACAAGAAATAACTAATATCAGAGCAGAACTGAAGGAGACAGCAACATGAAAAACCCTTCGAAAAATCAATGAATCCAGGAGCAGGCTTTTTGAAAAGATTAACAAAATAGGTAGACTGCTAGCCAGACTAATAAAACAGAAAAGAGAGAAGAATCAAATAGACAGAATAAAAAATGATAAAGGGAATATCACCACTGATCCCACAGAAATACAAACTACCATCAGAGAATACTATAAACACCTCTATGCATAGAAGTGAATAGACCAATAACAATTTCTGAAATTGAGGGAGTAATTAATAACCTACCAACCAAAAAAAGCCCAGGACCAGACCGATTCACAGCCGAATTCTACCAGAGGTACAAAGAGGAGCTGGTACCATTCCTTACGAAACTATTCCAAACAATAGAAAAGAGGGACTCCTCCCTAAATCATTTTATGAGGCCAGCATCATCCTGATACCAAAACCTGGCAGAGACACAACAAAAAGAGAAAATTTCAGGCCGATATCCCTGAGGAACATTGATACAAAAATCCTCAGTAAAATACTGTCAAACCAAATCCAGCAGCACATTAAAAAGCTTATCCACCATGATCAAGTCGGCTTCATCCCTGGGATGCAAGGCTGGTTCAACATATGCAAATCAGTAATCCATCACATAAACAGAACTAATGACAAAAACCACATGATTATCTCAATAGATGCAGAAAAGGCCTTCGATAAAATTCAACACCCCTTCACGCTAAAAACTCTCAATAAACAAGGTATTGATGGAAAGTATCTCAAAATAATAAGAGCTATTTATGAAAAACCCACAGCCAATGTCATACTGAATGGGCAAAAACTGGAAGCATTCCTTTTGAAAACCAGCACAAGGCAAGGATGCCCTCTCTCACCACTCCTACTCAACCTAGTATTGGAAGTTCTGGTCAGGGCAAACAGGCAAGAGAACAAAATAAAGGGTATTCAAATAGGAAGAGAGGAAGTAAAATTGTCTCTGTTTGCAGATAACATGATTGTATATTCAGAAAACCCCATCATCTCAGCCCAAAATCTCCTTAAGCTGATAAGCAATTTCAGCAAAGTCTCAGGATACAAAATCAATGTGCAAAAACCACAAGCATTCCTATACACAAATAATATACAGAGAGCCAAATCATGAGTGAACTCCTATTCACAATTGCTACAAAGAGAATGAAATACCTAGGAATCCAACTTACAAGGGATGTGAAGGACCTCTTCAAGGAATACTACAAACCACTGCTCAAGGAAATAAGAGAGGACACAAATAAATGGAAAAACATTCCATGCTCATGGATAGGAAGAATCAATATCATAAAAATGGCCATGCTGCCTGAAGTAATTTATAGATTCAATGCTAGTCCCATCAAGCTACCATTGACTTTCTTCACCGAATTACAAAAAACTTCTTTAAATTTTATATGGAACCAAAAAAGAGGCTGCATAGCCAAGACAATCCTAAGCAAAAAGAACAAAGCTTGAGGCATCACACTAGCTGACTTCAAACTATACTACAAGGCTACAGTAACCAAAACAGAATGGTACTGGTAACAAAACAGATATATAGACCAATGGAACAGAACAGAGGCCTCGAAAATAACACCACACATCTACAACCATCTGATCTTTGACAAACTTGACAAAAACAAGAAATGGGGAAAGAATTCCCTGTTTAATAAATGGTGTTGGGAAATCTGGCTTTGCCATATGCAGAAAACTGAAACTGGACCCTTTACTTACACCTTATACAAAAATTAACTCAAGATGGATTAAAGGCTTAAACTTAAGACCTAAAACCATAAAAAACCTAGAAGAAAACCTAGGCAATACCATTCAGGACATAGGCATGGGCAAAGACTTCATGACTAAAACACCAAAAGCAACGGCAACAAAAGCCAAAATTGATAAATAGGATCTAATTAAACTAAAGAGCTTCTGCACAGCAAAAGAAACTATCATCAAAGTGAATAGGCAACCCACAGAATGGGAGAAAATTTTTGCAATCTATCCATCTGAGAAAGGGCTAATATCCAGATGGATATCCACTTTTGATATCCATCAAAAAGTGGGTGAAGGATATTAACAGGCACTTCTCAAAAGAAGACATTTATGCAGCCAACAAACATATGAAAAAAAAGCTCATCATCACTGTTCATTAGAGAAATGCAAATCAAAACCACAAATGAGATACTATCTCACCCCAGTTAGAATGGCGATCATTAAAAAGTCAAGAAACAACAGATGCTGGAGAGAATGTGGAGAAATAGGAATGCTTTTACACTGTTGGTGGGAGTGTAAATAATAGTTCAACCATTGTGGAAGACAGAGTGGCAATTCCTCAAGGATCTAGAACTAGAAATACCATTTGACCCAGCCATCCCATTACTGGGTATATACCCAAAGGATTATAAATCATTCTAATATAAAGACACATGCACACATATGTTTATTGCAGCACTATTCACAATAGCAAAGACTTGAAACCAACCCAAATGCCCATCAATAATAGACTGGATAAAGAAAATGTGGCACATATATACCATGGAATATTATGCAGCTATAATAAAGAATGAGTTCATGTCCTTTGCAGGGACGTGGATGAAGCTGGAAACTGTCTTTCTCAGAAAACTATCATAGGAACAGAAAACCAAACACCACATGTTCTCACTTATAAGTGGGAGTTGAACAATGAGAACATATGGGCACAGGGAGGGGAACATCATATGCCAGGGCCTGTAGGGGGGTTGGGGGACAAGGGGAGGGTTAGCATTAGGAGAAATACCTGATGTAGATGACAGGTTGATGGGTGCAGCAAACCACCATGGCACATGTATACCTATGTAACAAACCTGCACATTCTGCACATGTATCCCAGAACTTAAAGTATAATAAAATATTTAAAAATAATAATAATAAAAAGAACCATAATACCAGATGTACCAGGTGGTGGCTGCCAATGTGTGCCACAGATTAAGTTTTGACCTTTTGACTCACCCCGATTTGTACTTCGATTTCTAAACTTTCTGTACTTTTATTTCTAAACTTTCTGTACTTTTATTTCTTTCTTCTTGCTTGAAGAAAATTGTCTAAATAGGAGTTTTCTGACAGGCTCCTGTCAACCAATCATTTGTTAGCTTCACCTAAAAGAAGATTATTGTTTGGAGATGGAGATGAAGTTCTAATTATCATTAGTCTTTAACACGTTTTATAGCTCTCAGTAAAAGCATATGAGGTCAGAGTGTCTGCTGTTTTCAGTTTGGGATTAAACAGGTCTCGTCATGTCTGTGAGGGTGGTAAGCAGGAGGGTCAAGAGAAAAGGAAGTAATGCTGGTCAAGAGTATATCTGACTAAAGAGACCCCTGGCAAGAGCTTATGCTGAGGGAAGGAGAGTTAGAAACACAGCTACACAGTCACCAGGAGGAGCGAGTAGAACAATGCTTCAGCATGAAGTCTTCCTATTGTTGAGATCGCTGTCCTTCTTACCTCTCCAGAATCATCTCTGCCTTCCTTCTAGTCTCCATGGACTTGAGCATGAGGTCTAGAAAGATGGTGACTCTTCTTTCACGTAAATATATTTTTTGAAAAAGAAAAAAAAAAGAAGCAATAGCAACAACTCTGAGACACTTTGGGTGAGGAAAAAAGTGTGAAAAATAAATTTTTCCAGTATCAGTGAAGTACAGCATGGTCATAGTCCAGTGGGCTTCAGTAATAAGTCTCCCTAAGAGCATATAATCACTTTGTGAGGTGAATTGTGACCTCCAAAAAGACATGTTTAAAGTTCTAATCTTTAATATATCTGAGTGTAACCTTATAAGGAAATAGGGTCTTTGCAGATGTAATTAAGATATACATGACTATGAGGTCATACTGGAGCAAGCTGGTTTCTTGATCCAACATGACTGGTGTCTTTATAAGAGAAGAGCCATGAATATGTCCAGAAGTGAGGGAAGAGTATGTTAAAACACCCGAGGTAAGAGATCAGACAGGATAGTCCTGCTGTAAAATTGTATTATTTCACACTTTTTTTATCACTTATATTTTGTAGTTTCCTTCCAATTCCTGTTGACTTCATGAAAATAAAACTATGTACAATGTTATTATTTGAAAAACAAGAGAGAGAGGAGAAGAGACACAGAGACAAACACACAGGGAGAATGCTATGTGAGGACAGAGGCAGATTGTAGTGACCAGGACTGACCGATGCCACCCAAAGCTAGGAAGAGGCAGGGAAGGATTCTCCTCTAGAGGTTTCAGAGGGACCACAGTCCTTGATTTTGGATTTCTGGCCTCTAGAACTGCAAGACAATAAAATTCCACTGTTTTAAGCCTCTTACTTTGTAATAATACTGTGTTATGGCAGACATAGGAAACTAAAACATGAATGAAATACAATAGAAACTTATTTGTCCGTATTATAATAGTGGAAGATGGCTGTTCCTGGTTGACAAGCAGCTTTCCTCTATGTAGTGATCAGTGGCCAAGTTCTTTCTGTCTTGTGGCTCTGCTATCCTCTAGGGAAGGTACCAGCAAAATATAGCTCAGAGATTCTTTTTGTAAATAAAGTTTTATGGGAACAAAACCATACATATTTGTTTACGCATTGTCTATGGCTAGTTTTGCACAATAACAGCTGAACTGAGTACCATAGTCATGACAGAGACCATATGACACTAAAGCCTAAGGTATTTGCAGACCTCCGCCCAGAGTGCCATCACCATTTGGATCTAGCCAGCACAAAGGGGAAAGAAAGTTTGGAGGGGACAAACCAGCTATCCACAAAGTGGCACATATCACTTGCAAATATCTAGCATTGTCTAGAAATTAGTTACACGGTCACATCACATTGCAAGAGAGGTTGAGAAGTGTATTACAGGTGTCCCAAGAGGAGGAGAAAACAGACATTTAGAAGAAAAATTAGCACACTCTGCCCTTTGGCATCAGTGGGAAATGTCACCCACATCTGCACAGTAGCAGTAGCAACTGCAAGGGGCCACCTAAGTAATGTTTCACAGAGCCCAGAGGCTTTAAAGAAGACATCACCAAAGGAAGTCAGAGCTGGATGGGCAACGAGGGAAGTGACAGAAAGATGCCACGTGGTAGCTGAGAATACCATTTCAAGAGCATCCAAAAGACACCATCTAGAACTTCCCACAGTAACTGGTGAGAGAGAGAGGCCTTTGTAGGAGGGAGAAGTTCCACAAAAGCAGGTGGGAGATAGAGCCACAGAAATTGCTTTTTTCCCTAAAATTTGGCTCGACATTGCCCCAAGCTTGAAGTGGCCTTTGCAACCTGGTTTATACCAAATGCAATAAGTAAAAGGCATTTAGAATGTAAAAAATAAATACAGTACAATTTGGGGAAGCTTGTCTCCTATTTGCCTGACATTTTTTGAATCTTTCATATACCATAAGGATCCAGAGCATGAAAGTAGCACTAAAGAACCTATTATATAATAGATTTAGACACTAAACATCAACAATTGTTGGCCTCATAAAAAGAAATAGACATGAGCTTCCTCCTATAGTCTTCCCAAACACTCCTTCTAGTATTGCCAAAGATATTGAACTTGAATCTGATCCAGTGTCTGGATCCAGCTGCTAATTTGCAGAAAATACAAAAGGACAAAGGAACATACCAAACTATACCATGAGCATGCATTCAGCAAAGTCCAGACCATGGGAAACTTTACAGGTCAAACAGTCCAGGTGTTCGACAGAAAAAGCACAGGGAAAAGATTGAGGTAGAGAGAAGAACCATAGACTGAAGGTTTCAAAAGACTGATCAAATTTTAAATAATGGAAAAGACTAAATTACAATGTGTAGGAGTGGACTTATATAAATGTTCAAACTAAACATACACACACATACAAGGAAGTGATTATCAAAAATAATAGTAATAAGCTTATTACTATTATTCTGTTATATAGCATAATTATTACATATGGCAGAAGGGAGGGGATTATGATTGGAATAGAGGATATAGAGGGGCTTATGAGTGGCTGACAAAGTTCTATTTGATCTAGTGTTGGTTACAAAGGCTTTTGCCTTAAAATTTACTAAGCAATTCATTAACATGTACACAAATTCATGGGAGAGCATTCTGTATCTGCATTTTATTTTACAATTTAAAAATGTAAAGACTAAATTATAAAAGAGAGAAAAAATAGCTGAATAACAGCAAGGTAAAGAAAACTAGAGTAACTCTCTTTTGAACAAACTATACAGTCATTAATAGAAATCCAAATGTAAATTTAATTCCTTTTCATCAGACCCATCTAAAAAATCCCAACAGTCAATTGGTGGCTTACAGATGATGCTGATGTACTGGATGATTAATCTTTTTGTGATATTAAGCCAATGTCATTTCATCACAGGTAAACTTCAAATTGTAACTTTCCTATAGTTCTCCTTATCTTCCCTGCACCCTCTTAATCCAGCGGGGTTCATTGACTCAGGAAAAGAGCAACACACAGCCAAGAGCAGCAGTCATCAATCAGTTTACAGCTTTATAATATGAAATTTTACATCCATAGCAAGGCTATTCCCTGAATGCAAAGGCTTTTGGTTTAGCAGGAGCCAGGCTTTCTTGAGGAGGAAAAGGGTTCTATTGAAATTCTCCAAAGCTAAGTATTTGTATATAAAAGCCAAACTTGAAGGACTCAGATCAATAATTACATGCTTCCCAGAGTAGAAAAGAAAGACAATAATCTATTGTCAATTCTAGAAGATAAGAACTGAAATGAAAAGCCATTTCTATGCTGGCAGAAAGAAGAAGAGGAAGTGTGGACGAGGTATCAGAGGTGGGCAGCCCACTTCCTGCCTCCCTACCCAGAGGTCAAACCTCAGGGACAGAGAGCAGTCTATGGACAGGAGAAGCAGTGATGTAGGTTTGGGGGCATCTGAGGGACCATTGTTGATCCTCTGCTTTCCTGGGCAGAGACTGGCCCTATCAAAAACCTTTCAGAGAAACTCTGCATTTGGAATGGTACAACCTCACAATGGCAGCAGGAGTGGACCCAGCTGAAGAGGCAGATTCCACCGCTGAGGAAGATGCCTGTGTATGAGTGATATAGTTTGGATGTTTGTCCATCCAAATCTCATGTTAAAATTTAATCTCCAATGTTGGAGATGGGGCCTGTTGGGAGGAGATTGGATCCTGGGGGCAGATCTCTCATGAATGGCTTGGTGCTAGCCTCGTGATAGTAAGCAAATTCTTGCTAGATTCGGTTGTTTAAAAGTTTGTGGCACCTCCTCCCTCTCTCTCTTGCTCCCACTATGGTCATGTGAGATGCTTGCTTCCCCTTCACCTTCCACCATGACGGCCCTCACCAGAAGCAGATGCTGGAGCCATGCTTGTACAGCCTGCAGAATCATGAGCCATTTAAACTTCTTTTCTTTATAAATGACCCAGTCTCTGGTATTTCTTTATAGCAACACAAGAATGTACTAATACATAAAACTAGTACTGACGAATGTTAGTCTGTTCTTGTGATAAGCCTGCAGGTGCACAGACTGCAGGAGTGAAGGAGGCTTGACAGCTCCCACCTATATTCCAGAGGATGGATAGGAAAGCCTGGGAGCTGAGGCAGAAGCCTGCTATATGGGTGTTGCCCCCACAGAGAAACTCTACGAGGGCAGTGCCAGGGGAAATGTGGGGTGGAGCCCCCACACAGAGTCCCCACAATGACACTGCCTAGTGGAGCTGTGGGAGGGGGTCCTCCACCCCCTCAGACCGGAGAATAGTAGAGTCACCAGCAGCTTGCAACCTCAGTGTGCAAAATCCACACACACTCAACTCCAACCTGTGAGAGCAGCAACAGAAACTACACCCTACAAAGCCACAAGGGCAGAGCTGCCCAAGGACTTGGGAGCCCACCCTTGCACCAGTGTGACCTAGATGAGGGACATGGAATCAAAGGGGATTATTTTGGAGCTTTAAGATTTAATAACTTCCAAAAGGCTGGGCACGGTGGCTCACACCTGTAATCCCAGCACTTTGGGAGGCTGAGGCCGGCGGATCATGAGGTAAGGAGATTGAGACCATCCTGGCTAACACGTTGAAACCCCATCTCTACTAAAAATATTAAAAAAAAAAATTACCCGGGCATGGTGGCGGGCACGTGTAGTCCCAGCTACTTGGAAGGCTGAGGCAGGAGAATGGCGTGAACCTGGGAGGCAGAGCTTGCAGTGAGCTGAGACTGCGCCACTGCACTCCAGCCTGGGTGACAGAGCGAGACTCCGTCTCAAAAAGAAAAAGAGATTTAATAACTTGCCTGCTGGGTTTCAGGCTTGCATGGAGCCTACTGTCCCTTTCTTTTGGCCAGTTTGTCCCTTTTGAGATAAGAATGTGTACTCCATGACTGTATTACCATTGTATCTTGGGAGCAAATAACTTGTTTTGATTTTACAGGCTCATAGGTGGAAGATGAGTCTCAGATGAGACTTAGGACTTTGGACTTGATGCTGTAATGAGTTAAGATTTGCGGGGACTATTGGCAGGGGATGATTTTATTTTGCAGTGTAAGAAGGATATGAGATTTGAGGGGCCAGAGGCAGAATGATATAGTTTGGATGTTTGTCCCCTCCAGATCTCATGTTAAAATGTAATACTGAATGTTGGAGGTGGGGCCTGGTGGAAAGTGTTTTGGCCATGGGGGCTGATCCTTCATGAATGGCTTGGTGCTGTCCTTGTGATAGTGAGTGAGTTCTCACGAGATCGAGTTCTTTGAAAGTGTGTGGCACCTCCCTGCCAGTCTTACTCCCGCTCTTGCCATATAAAATGCCTGCTCCCCCTTCAACTTCTCCTATGATTGTAAGATTCCTCGGGCCCCATAAGAAGATGCTGGAGCCATGCTTGTATAGGCTGCAGAATAGTAAGCCAATTAAATATCTTTTCTTTTTAAATTACCTAGTCTCAGGTATTTCTTTATAACAACTCAAACAGCCTAATACAATGAGTTTAGAGACCAACCCCACAAGGTTCACACACACCAGTGAGGTATGGAAAATGGAAGGCCCCATGGACTGTCATGGGTGATGCAAAGGTGCTCAGAACCTAGGTCTAAAACAGTCCATCAACATTGATCAGGAATCTCAAAATCAAGGGTGCACGAGCATCAGTTATAGAAATTAGTAGGATGCTCAAAAGATCAGTCCATGCTTGGACCAGGCAAGCCCAGGCACCACTGGGCCAAGACCTGCAGGAACCAGGAGGACAACAAAAAAATCAAAGTCATGTCCCTGCCTCACTGCCTGATTGGAAATGACTTTTCCCAGTGTTCCCAGATGCCACTGAGGAAAATGGAAAGAAATTCTTCCAGATGCCCTTTACTGAGAAGTGGCCGGGCTTTGAAATGAACAATAACTAAAATATTCAATTTTGGCTAAGAAAAATCAACTGGATCAAATTGCTACTGGGCTAGAAGAAATGACATTATCTCCTCTAAGCATAACAGAACCTCAAGAGTATAAGTTAGATTCTAGAAAAGAAAACCACATTTCTCTCTTCTTAAGTTGTGATGTGTAAATTTCTACGTGCTACAGTAAAACTTTTCCATACAAGGGTTCATGCTATCACCCGTCAGAAAGTCACTTCATCTTCTTTAAACTTCTGCTACAGACACACACACACACACACACACACATACACACACACACATATCTTTATTACTGATACCTAACACTAACAGGACAACACCATCATAAAAATTGCTAAGAAAACTAAATGTCACGTTCAAAGAAAATTTAAATCTCACAAGGTTTATAATTCCATGTATTAGGTAGCAATACACTATAAAGACTGAAAGCTTATTTGCTAAGTGGTAGTGGAAAGAACTTATTTATTACAAAATTAGGGGGCTTTTAAAAAGTGGCAGATGTCAAGAAAAAAGTTTTAACTGCCAGTAACCAATGAGTGGCATACAGTCTTCCCTATGCTAGTGGTACCAACGTGGAATAAATATGCCTGGCATCTGGTCTCAAACACGTAAGACCGCACATGGGGGCCTCAGTGTCAATGCAGTGAGAATGACTCACTGACAGTAGCCCAGCCTGGGTATGTCAATGAAAAAGGAATTCTGGCTGCACATTGGATCTTTTCAGGCACACCCACACACATGGTTAACAATCATCAACACATCACTTAAAAATACAATGTGCAAAACATGCAATGCAGCATACATTGCTTAAACAGTTAAATTAGACATTAACAAGACTGATGTGGTGAGTGGATACAGAATGACAATCTGAGTGGTCTTTTCCTACTTTATTATCTGTGATGTGGTTATGTGCAGATTTGGTTTAACAAGTTTATAAACAAATCAATCTGCCCTTGGCAACTAAGAGATTAACCCAGCTAAATAAGGAAAGCGCAACCTCTAAATTTCTGTTTGGCAGAATTTTTTAAAGAATGGCTTAAAGTGACAGTATCTTCTTAGTCATATACTCATATTTTACACTATAATTTACTTTACAATATGTGATAGTCTTATGTCAAGTGAACGTACACATTGAAACTTGGCTTTATTTTTATAAAAATCTTGAAACTAAATTAAATGTCTCAGGTTAAAACTAAGTCAGACAACTTGTTTTCAGTTTACTTCAATGTCAAATTTTGCCTAATGGTTTTCACCATTGTTTAGACCAAAACACACTTTAGGGAAATGTTTAAGTGTTTTGTATGTAAATTCATTTTATTATCCTTAAATAAAAAGTTATTAGCCCTTTTAAAATGAAATAAATTATTCCAAAACTGTATAAATAATGTCTGTATAAATTATGTCATAAATGTTATAGCCTTCTTGAAGGGAAAACATTCATGAACTTTCATCCTGGAATGATATTTCCAAGATATAATATTATTGAACAACCGCATAGATTTTCAGTGCTTCTAATGCTGTGGATCTTTGAGAGGTACCTACATGTTTAGCAATTATCTGGAATTGTGAAAATAATCTAGCATTATTCCCTCAATTTTGCAGATGAAGTATCTGAGCGTGTAAGAAATTCCATCACATTCTTCTGGTCAAAAATGGGTTTAGACTCCGGGTCTCTGAAAACCAGTGTGGGAATTTACAGTCTCTCCCATAACTGCCTCAGGTTGGATTCCTACCCTGTCTTCAGGACTTGAATTGCAACAGCAGTGACTGAGGAAGGACAGCAAGCACAGTGAATCAAGACTGAGTTTTGACACAGTATCCAAATCAACATGGCTTCAATCTTTCTTCCTGAGTAATACAACTAACCTAAAGAATTTGGGGCCAAATTTAGAAAGAATATTTAAAAGCAACCTCAGCTCCAGCACCACTCCCTACTCCAGCCTGAGAAATAGTTGTTCTTATTTCCTTTGTATTCAACCTTGGGAAAACAGTTAATATCATCTCTGTATTAGTTGTAATCTCTTAATCCCCATTGTCTTCTTTGACCTGAGGCATGTGTCTCCCAGTAATCTCTTCATTTAGTAATGATCATCTGCAATTTCTTCTTGTAATGCTAATAATCCTTGGATTCCACACAGGGCAGAGGGCAGTGACTTCCCAAACCACTGTCTTATCTTCTTTTCAAACACATTATCAAGTTAAAACAATTCTCTACCCACTTAGAGACTGAAGTTATTTTTGTGTCCACTATCCTGTTCTTCAACACACATGTTTTTCTCAAAAGGCTTTAAAAAGTAATAACTGTGCTGATCATGTTTGATTTTTTTTTTTTTTTTTAGCCATTTGGTGACATCACATGAATCCAAAGTGAACTAGCATGCCACAACCTAATCTGCATTTCAGGAAGTTACAAAATTTCATTCAAATTGCAGTTTAAACTTTTCTGTGTGAGGACACATACCCACTACCATACTTACCCAATCCCCAAAAAAGGAGAGAGAACTAAATAAAACAACATCAGAATACATGCTGCCTGTAACAGAAAAAAAAGAAAGAAAAGAGAGAGAGAGAAACAGAGAAAGAGAGAAAAAGGAAGGAAGGAAGGGAGGAAGGGAGGGAGGGAGGGGAGAGAGAGAGGAAAGAAAGAAAAGAAAGAAAGAAAAGAAAGAAAGAAAGAAAGAAAGAAAGAAAGAAAGAAAGAGAAAAGAAAGAAAAAGACAAGGAAGGAAGGAGAAAGAAGGAAAGAAAGAAAGAAAGAAAGAAAGAAAGAAAGAAAGAAAGAAAGAAAGAAAGAAAGAAAAGACAGAGAGGAAGGAAGGAAGGAAAAGGGTGAAAGGAAGGGAAGGAAGGAAGGAAAGGGAAGGAAGGATGGAAGGGAGGGAGGGAAGGAGGGAAAGAGAAGGGGTGAATAAAAGGGTGGGAGACAGTGGGGATAGTCTACTTTTGTCAAGAAATTGGTGATGGGGATACTATGAAAGTGGGAGGCATTTGGCAAGGTGAGAGAGAGGTTGGGCAGGTCCCACGGTGCTCAGGTCTGACCTAAGTTAACAATCGTTCCTTGGGTCTACCCTGAGCTCTAAGTGTAAGGTTATAAGTATAGTAAGGAAATTAACAATTTTATGTAAGATGTAGAAGAAAGTCAGTAATGGAGTTCCTTGGGAGAAAGAGAGGAAGGAAGAAATCACAAATGGAGGGAAGAGGAAGGGAAACTCTTAAAAAATATTGAAGCCAAATAACTAGGAATCAGGCATGTTTAGTTCTTATTTTAATTCCTCTACTTAATTGCTAAGGGAACTTAAGCAAGTAACATAACTGAGAGCTCATAAATTAAAATATGAAATTTATATAGTTCTTTCTCAAAGGGCATCATAGCGTTTTAACTAGTAATTGAAAAGGACTAGTGCCAACCTGAAGTGCTTTACATACATTTACAATATATGAAAGTATATTTGATCGATATAAAAAGAGAAAAATAACCCCAAGGTATATGCAAATGCCAGAAGGAAAAGTAAATAATATTTCAAAGGTTAACAGGTAGAAAATGAGAACTAATAATTCTAATAAATTAAAGTCCTTTCTTAAGAAATGTAATATGATGCTTTTGCTCTAGCCAACCATTTAGAAAACACACCCCAGCTCTAGTAATAGCTCTATCACTCAAAGTACACAAGGGGAAAAAAAATGGATCTACAACTTAAGGAAGCTGACGTGAAAAATAATCTTTGTAAGGCAACCATCACTCAGCCAGATTCAAGGAATAGAACATTCCTTCCTAGAAGGGTGCTGGTGACCAAATGAGACCCTAAGCTATCAGATCACATGTTAGTCAGAAAAGGAGCAAGAATTCAGGAAGAGCAATATGCAATGTATTTTTAATGGCCGCTGAAACACTAATGTTTTTAAACCAAGTTGGATAACTGGTTCTGTTTATTTGGAGGGCAGGGAGGAAGAGCAGTAAGCACAGACAATCCATGCCTTCAGGCCTGTCTCCTGAGCTTCATAGATGATAGAGAAACCACTATGCCCTCGTATTCACAAGTATTACTTGAGCACCTGCTACTAGCTAGACTCAATGCTAGGCACCACAAAGCCAGTAATGAATAAAATGGTGCTCATGCTTATGGATACAGCGATTGAGGTACTGTGATAAGGTTTATA
Organism: Homo sapiens; assembly: GCF_000001405.40. Classification (NCBI taxonomy): domain Eukaryota; kingdom Metazoa; phylum Chordata; class Mammalia; order Primates; family Hominidae; genus Homo; species Homo sapiens. Next base: position 126,150,448 of record NC_000006.12, on the reverse strand, counting down.
CAAACACCTAAAGATGAAACAATTTCATCTTGCTTTGTGTCTTGGTTCATTTTCTATTGTTTATAACAGAATCCCTGAAACTGGGTAATTCCAAGAAACTGACATTTGTTTCTTCTAGTTCTGGAGGCTGGACCATCCAAGGTTGAGGAGACACATCTGGTAAAATCTTTCTTGCTAGTGAGGACTCTCTAAAGGATCCCAAAGCTGCACAGGGTATCACATAGTGAGGGGGCTAAGTGTACTGATGTGCTAGCTCAGGTCTCTCTTCCTCTTCCTATAAAGCCACCAGTTCTTCACCCATGATAATTCATTAATCTATTAGTCCATTAGTCCATTAATCCATGAATGGACTAATCTATTTATGAGAGCTCTGACCCACTCACTTCTTAAAGGCCTCACCTCTCAATACCGCAACATTAGGGATTAAATTTCAACACAAGTTTTAGAGGGAAAAAGAATTCAAGTCATATCACTTGGGAAGTAAGGGTTGGGTTTTCCTATATCACAAAAAGCATCCAAGTGAAAACTACAAAATATAGTCATACTAATACAGACACAGTCCACTTTTATCTTTTCAGAAAAGGTCAAGAGAGACATTCATGAATCACTGCTGGCTGCTCAGGTGGGAAAATTCTTCAGTTGTATAGTCCTGAGCACTGCAGAATATTTGGCACTGCTGATCCCTGCCCAACAAATCCAGCAGCCCCTTAACTCAGTTAGGCAATCAATACCCTCTTCAAACACTCCTTAGTGGGGTAGCACTGCTCTGGGTTGAGAACTCCTATTGCCTTCCCTTTTTCTGTGCTTACACTAAAGTAATATGAAAACCAGTGAACCAATGCAGTGGTAAGAGCATATACCTAACTTGAGTTTGGTAAGAGGGTTAATCTCAGCTCTCTCATTTAATGTTAGGCAAGTTACTGAGTTTCACTTTTCTTGTCTGTAAATATAGATGATAATGCATACTTCAGAGGGTGATTGTAAGGACAATATTAAATAATATCACTGAAAATGTCTCACAAATTGTGTATCCCAAGGTGGATGCCCCATAAGATGACCCCAATAGAGATACAAAATAAAGAGAATGTTCCTTATCAAAATGATTCTCTTAGAAAATGATGAATAATTCTGTACAGTAAGACACTAGCTAGGACTCCATAGTAGCTACAACAACACTTAAGCTAAAATGGCTTTAACAGGCAAAGAAAACAGAATTTGCAACTGCTTAGCCAGCCGTTCTGGGCAAAACATTCTGCTTCATTACAAACCATCCTTCTGGCTTTCCAGAAACACTGGCCCTAAATCAAAAGATTAGCACTCACCAAAATGCTGTCTTGCAGATTCTGGTCATTACATTGAGGTCAAAAGTCCTACCAGATACTATCTACTTGCTTTCAACTTTGACACAATAATTACACTATGGTTTGTAAATCACAGCCACACCCAGCAGCTCATTTAATTCTCACAGCACACCTGGATGTAGTTTATAGCATCTGTCTGTAGGTAATATTAATATTATCCTCATGTTGCAGGTGAGGAAACATTCTTACAAAAGTTAACTGAATCAAGTCTTATGACAATTATAATAATAGCTAACATTGACTGTTTTAATGTTAATTGTTACATTTACTATGTCATACATTAATAATGTTAAGATATTGATAACCACTACATTTTTAAAAAATATTCACTATTATCAATCTAATCTAGTGGTTATATTAATCACTCGACTAAATGACTCTCTTTTAGTTTTTACTTCTTAAAAAACTTTGGAATAATACTATTATTAGTCTTATTAGTAATAAAAACTTTGCAGTAATACTATTATTAGTTTTACTTTAAAGGGGGGAAAATAAGCTTAGAGAGGTTAAATAACTTACCCCAGATCATTCAGCTAATATGTGGTGGAGACAGAACTTCAACCCACATCTGTTTAATTTCAAACATGCTGCACTGTATTGCCTTGCTTAAAATCCTTCTAAGTGATGCCCAGATACAGTGACCAGGGGAACCTTCATTATAGGGGCTTTCATGGAAAATAAGGTGCTTTGAGAAAGAACGCATGTAATTAAATAAATCACATAAACTGCCCCTACATTTAATTAAACTTTTAAAGCCTAAAATGCATTTGTGATATTCACTGTCATTTCTGCATTGGGTTGATATGCTCGGCCTTGAAGGAAGCCATGTGTCCTTTGCCAGGTAAGACGGTCTTCTGGTCAGAGACCTGTGGCCTGGCTAGCCAGGCTCCAGCCATGGACCAGACTAACTGAGAGGTAAACAGGGCAATACCAGGAGTGGTAGAAAGATTTAAATGAACAAATAGCTAAATATTATTTAATTTAACCTCTTTCTAAATTTTATATAGAGCATCATACAATCTCAGGAATTTTTTTTTAATTATTATACTTTAAGTTCTGGGGTACATGTGCAGAACATGCAGGTTTGTTACATAAGTATACATGTGCCATGGTGGTTTGCTGCACCCGTCAACCCGTCATCTACATTAGGTATTTCTCCTGATGCTATCCCTTCCCTAGCCCCCTACCCCCACGACAGGCCCCAGTGTGTGATGTTTCCCTCCCTGTGTCCATGTGTTCTCATTGTTCAACTCCCACTTTTTTTTTTAAATGCCTTCCTAATCTTGCATCTAGTTGCAAAGAGAGAAATGCTGGGTTATGTTTTTAACCTGCTTCACTTGTAGAATTTTAAACAGCCCTCTGGCTCTCCAGTGATTTCCTCTTCTTTTTAAATCCCCACCTCCACAGCTTCCTTCACAGTCTGTGACTATGAGGGAGAGTGAGGACATGAGGTAAGGTACCGCAGGGACGAAGCATTCCAGTAGCACTTACTGCAGTTGACCACTCAGTACAAATTCCTTAATACATGGACGAACAGCCATCATGAACACTAGATTGTGTTTCCTGGTTCGTGGAATGCAGCTTTTCCTTAGCAATTTGATGTTGTCTCTAGGAATATAAACTCTCAATTCTCCTAAATATAAGCACTTCTGCAAACACAGCTCCCCAGAATTAATTCCAGAATTGTGCACTTTCAAAGCAACAGCTGAATAGTAAACCAAGATTCTTAGAGATTTAAAGTGACATGACATCATGAGCATGTTTATTATTTTGGCACAGGTAACAGCTAAAAAATGAAATGAGATTCCATAAAAGGATACCAATAAAAGGGGGGAAAGAGAACGAAAAAATCCACAAAAATAGCTCTAAAACTCTATAGTCTTTTGTTATATGCTTACTCATACTTTTTCTCCCCTGACCTCCTCTTTTGAACCTTAAATTCCCTTTTGTGTCTTTTAAATTCTACCTACTCTTCCAGGCCCAATTCAATCCTCACCTCTTCAGGAAGGTCATCTTATCCCCACTTGCTGAACTGCTTAAATCTTTCCTTAACCTGAGAGCCTACAATTGAAAATATGACCATCACCATAGAGTTTAGCACTTCAGTATCCTCTAGGTAATTAATGCCTAAGTATTTTAACCCCTAAGCAGAATATGAGCATCTTGACATTATGTCTAATAATCACTTTTAGTAGAAACAATATAAATAATTTAGTAATATCAGTAGTTACTACTTATGGAGAACTTAAGCACAAATAAAATGTCATTTAGGCTGGGCGCAGTGGCTCATGCCTGTAATCCCAACACTTTGGGAGGCTGAGGCAGGTGGATCACCTGAGGTTAAGAGTTCAAGACCAGCCTGGCCAGCATGGTGAAACCCCGCCTCTACTAAAAATACAAGAAATTAGCGGGGCACTGTGGCAGACACCTGTAATCCCAGCTACTCGGGAGCTGAGGCAGGACAATTGCTTGAACCTGGGAGGTGGAGGTTGCAGTGAGCCGAGATCACGCTATTGCACTGCAACCTGGGCAAGAAGAGTGAAACTCTGTCTCAAAAAAAAAAAAAAAATTTCATTTAGTCATCACAACAATCCTATGAGGTAGATGCTATTAAAACCTCATTAAACATATCAAGGAACCAAACTACAGTTAGAATATCAGTTCGATAGAGGAAGAGAGTTGGAATTTGAATCCATCGCCTAATCCTGCTGCTACTTTTTCCTCTGGAGCAAATAGGCCAGAGTGTCACACAAAACATGTCTCATGATGAGGATACTCAGTGTCCATATTAGAGCTAGGCAACTTCTGCTGGAAAAGGTGGGAAATTTCCAAATACTGGATTATGAATGAGACTGAATTCATAAAACAAGACGCAACTGTTCTACTGCTTCCTTATTTTGGAAAAAGGCCAAAAGTCCAAATTATCCCAAAGGTCACTGGCAGATGCACACTTCCCATCATGTATATTCAAACTGAGTCACTGGCTTGGAAGAAGGCAATCATTTTGTCTTTTTCCTGAAGGTTAAGTTCTCCCAGGATTCTGCAAAAGGACCAAATTCATATCTCTTCATGAAATAAAATGTTTGAGATAAAATAATCCTGTGGGATATTTGCCAATGAAATACTAAAAGCACAAAGATGATGGATTAATATGAACCTTTGGTCCACCTGGAGATTTATTTTTAAAATATCAGATTTTTAACCTGTAGAAAGTAAAAGGTTGAGGGCAAAATGATAATATAAAACATAAAAAAGGAGCTTAAACAAAAATTTAAAATTTAATTTTAGCTCAGCTGAATGGGAGAAATAGAGAGCTAGAGATACCCAATTATACAAAACATAAAATGGAAATCCAGAGAGAAGTAAACAGACACAGTAGATAAAGTGACAAGGCTGTTGAAGAACCCTGAAACGGCTGCTGAAAACGACTAGGGTGCTGACCATGGAAGTCGTTACTGACCTTCTCTCCCCCTCTCCCACCTTCTCCTTACATTACTGGGGAGTGCCTTCTGGGAACAAAATGCCTGGCAGGAGGAGCAGCAGTGCAGCCAGGGCTATGACAAGGATAAATTGTCTTTTCTCCACTGGGTGCCTGGCGCTAAATGGAAAGTTGGCTGTAAATATCCCATAGCCCCCTCTCCTTTTCTCTCTCTTAAGACTACTCCCAACCTGCTAGTCCAGCGTTCTCTGTCGTTCTTTTCCAATTTGGCTCCTGCATCTTATTTTCTACCATTTCTCTGTGCTCTCTTTCTTTTTCTACTTCCCTCCTCTGTCCTAGGGAGTGAGGGATGGTGAAGAGATTCAGCATCCCAGCACCAATCTATTAAAGTTCCAAAATGCTCATTCACACTTAATGTAAGTGTAGTGTTTGGTTAGTGTTCTAAAATCTGTTGATTCACACCAGGTTGCAATTTCTTTTGACCTTATCAAACCATTTCTTCTCATTTCTGCTTTCTAGAAAGACTTAGTAAATGATATTTCTTTGATCTTCTCTATTTTCAAATCACACCTATTTTCTTCCTATAGTTACCCTAATGTCTAGGACCATAGAGATATAAAACTTTCACTGGCAGTCTTTAAAAAGTAGGATGGAGATCTATATTTATTGGCATGGAAAGGTGATCATTTTAAGTGAAAAATTATTTTAAAGCACAACAGTATTAAAAAGTCATATATTAAAGAACTTAATTGTATAGAAAAATCAGGAGGTCTGTTTAAAAATCTTGAAAATCTCTCTGTAGGAATTTGGCTTTTTTCATCTTCCACATCTTCTCAAAAAATAATTTTATAAAAACATACATGCATAGCTTGATTCATCAAAAACAAATAAACAAGAGAGAATTAAAAAGATATTAAGCCTTTAGTACCTTCCTGACAAGGAAGAGTGTCTGAGAATCAAATGGGCAACAGGGAAGCAGAGTGAAGGGATGTAGACATCTGTCTGATAAGAAAAAAAGGGACAATGTTTGGGCAAAAGTGAGGGATATTGTGATTCATTGTCTGCAAAGCTTTGGGGAGAGGCAAACTACTATTTATTTTGGGGAAAAGCTTTTTAGTCATAACAGTGGCACCGGCCATACAAACTGCTTCCTGCACCCTCATTAGCTGGTTCTAAGTAACTCACATAATCCAAAAAGGAGAGAAGAAAAAGTCTGGGCAGCAACCAGGACAAGAGCAGAAAATGCTCTTCCCAAGGAACACGGAGCCTGGGTTACGGTTTTAGTGAGAAATGAATTCACGCCAATTTTTTCCAATTTTAGCTTCCAAATAAGAACCTCCAATTTGGATGTTAGCCCTGTGGAAGTGATAATAGCCCCATCAAATTCCCAAGAGGAAACAGCTATAGAAATAAAAGGAAAACACCACAACAATGTTTAAAGCTAAGGAACACAAAAACACTGGTCTGAGCTTTACAAAACGGAACAATTGGCCAAGCAAAACCTAAACTTCAGGAGCACCAGACCGTGAAATGGAGAAACAATGCATACTCAAGTGGGATTGAAGACTCAAAAGCAGCTATTAATTCAAACAAGATCAAAACAGAAATCAATCTATTCATGTGACTTCCAAAAGATCATTAAAAACTAATTACTTTCTGTCTACCTCAATTGCTTTGTTGCTTTAACTGGTAAATTGTTGTCCTCACTTTCTGTCTAGATGGCTGTGGAATAAAGCAGTGTGTTCCAATTCAGATCACAGTGAGTCAAGCGGCCCCATCCTAGAGCCCAGACACTAACTCCAAGTATTTCTAAGCATTATAACAGATGCCCCACTTATCAGCACAAAGCTTATGTATGCAGCCAAGCAACACTTGGTTACATAAAGCAATGTCATGAGTTTTTCCAATTTCACAATAATAAAGAATTATAAAAAACATGCTGAAATTTCTCAAACTTATAGATCTAATTTAATTTTTTTAAAAACCAAACCCTTCCTTTCAAGGGCTATGGTCAGTGATTTGGCATGTTTCTTCCGTGTTGGTAAATTAGTTCTATTGTTCAGAAAAAGTCTAAATGACAATAACAGAGACAATTCTTAATTCTTTTCCAAATCTGATGAAATTATCCAAAAATAAAAGAAAAAGAAAATCTGCAGCTCAAGCAAATTTACTCTGTCAAGGGACCTTTCTTTTAGATAAGTATTAGCTTTCAAAAAACAACTTCTAACAATATTAATTTTATTTGATCTTAATAAGTAATCTCATTTTTCTTTCAACCTAAAATTTTCCATTTATCTTCATTCAAAATAAAACTCCCAATATTCTCCATACCCTTATGTATATATGGCTTCTAGGAGAAGATTCAAGCTACTCTTAGTTGTTTCATAGGAAGCTAAGGGCCTTTCAGTGACCCACAATTATATTTGTAAAAGAACAAATGTTAATACTCAGAAAAAAATTATTTTTTGGAGTCCTATTTGCACAGGGACTTAGAAAAATGACCAAGGATACATGTGGTGAAACATGACAAGGAAATATGTGTTAAAATATTAAGAACTTTTTTTTCCTGAATGTCTATTTATTCTGATTTTGAGATAAAATACAGTGTATACAACATTAGTGCCTGAACTAATATTTTCTTTTAAAGGAAATGGCTTATATATCTTTAGCACTCTATAATTTTCAAAGTTTATTGCATATTATTTTCTCATTTAATAGTCACAAAATTTCTCTAAGACGGACCTTTTATTTGAACAGATACTTCTTCTCATTCTACAGTTTAGAAAATTGAGACTCAGAACATTTATGGGAACTACCAAGGTCAGATATTTTCTGAGAAATGGAGCTGGGGACATAACAGGAGTCTCCCTGCTCTCAGCACTGTTAATATAGCTATTGAGCAAAAGAGGAATTAATAGACATTAAAGTTCTTTTAGGTGTCAGACAGCTTACTAGTGCTTTACAAAAACATTTTATTTTATCTTCACAACAGCCTGATGAGATTAATATTATCATTCATGTTGATGTGTCTACTAAAATTCAGAAATTGTGAGTGCCTTCATCAAATTAATACAGCTAAAATATAGCACAGCTCAAATTCTAACCTGGGTTTTCTGACTATAAATTCATGTTCTTTCTGTTATTTCTTAACGCAATTTCTACCTACAAATCAAAAGTTACAATTAAGTCATTTAGACAACTCCACTCATTTATTTAAAAATAAAATATGTGATAGTGATGTTCAGAAATTATAATACAAATACAAATCAAACTCAAATGCCATGAAAGTGATCACAATATATCTGATATTTGTGCCCCCCTCTGGTAGAAGCATCTCTCAAGGATGTGGAATTGTTGGGCTGAAAGGTCTGCTCCTTGCTCTATAAAGCAATGCAAATATGACTTTCTTAATCACTCCTCCCCTCCTCTCTCCAGTATATTATTTATTCTCACTATGTATCACACATCTTCTTCTCCAGGGATGAAGAGTTAGGTAAAAGACAGAAAATCTCCTAATCACAAAAAGTCTGGAAACTCCATCAGTAAAAATGTACATTTATTGCTGTGTGACACAGTTTAACTTTATTGAGGAGAATAATGCAAGGAAGTATAAAAAGGACACAAACCTCTAGCCACTTAATCTGTGTCTTCGATTTGAAATTTTAAGACAGTAAGACAAATGTTCTTATGAGGAGAAATTGGAAGCACTTTCCCTGGTAGAGAAGGAAATACTTTAAAATTGACAAGAAAATGGCAAGGACAGTTGAGACAAAGTCTTGAAATAGTGAAGTCTTAATGCAAAACTATGAGAAAGAAAATATTATTTAATTAACTAGACTTGACTTCACTTACGCTTAGAATAAAAAGCATTTATTAATATCTTGCAAAGAAGGTCAAAGATAAAGGCCAGAACTGAGCAAATGTTGCTAAAGAGAAGTTGTTCAGCTGATACTGAATATACACCATATATAATCTCCTTTTCCAAAATAACGGATTTAAGTTGGTTAACTGTGTCCCAAACTTAACAGAATATATAGTTCAGGTTCTTGACCTCATCTCCTGACCATTCTTCTCACATCACCTTCACTGGCCTGCCAGGCTTGGTGGACTTGGAGTAGATAAATTTATCTTTCTGTCAATTTTAATTTTTGCAACAGCAGTACAACCTATATATTCATGCTTGAATGATATATTCAAATTTGCTACTTTCCTACAATTACAGTAAGACAACAAAATCATTCTCACTGATTTAACATGTGTGTGAAAACACAAATACTTTTGACTATTTAACTTATTTGACTGATTACATTGATTAAAGCTGTAACTAGCTACATGCAATCACTTAATTATTTGTTCATTTTATTTTTAGTTAAGCTGACAGGTCTACTTGTTTGATAACCAAAATTAGACAAAATAGTCCATTTATGCTTTATCCTGCTAATTAATTAAGATGATTAGAAATAGTCCAAGCCCCAGATTCAATTATAATTACTTACACATAGAGGAAAACTCTCTTATTCAAATTCACAGTTTGCTAAGTACGTTTTCTCTAAAGCAAAGGGCATATATTAATACAAACTTATCCCTATAACTTAACACACACAAATGTTGTATGAAGACCAGTAGAGTCATTATGTACTTTAATATAACTACCCTCATGAGATAGCTATTTGTTATTTTCTATTTCACTGGTGAGGAAACATGGAGTTTAAGAAAATTCGAAGCATTTTTTAATTCTATGATTCCTGAATTCTGGAATCGAAGGTGTCATTATGAAAATACATTGTCACTTGATTTTTTTAAAAGCAAAATTTCCCATAATTATTTGATTGCAAAATAACTAACTTCACTGAGAGACCACAAAAACTAAAGCAGCATATAGTACAAATACTCTGTAGGTTGTTTTGTTGGTGGAAAGCTAAAATTAACTTGTCAAGTAGAACAATTTCTCTGCCCCTGGCAAGTGAGAAAGCAATAATGAATCTTCCATTTTAAGGTGGAAATTTTAGCATACCTATATGAACACTTAGCTAAAATGGTCAAATTTCTAGAAAAATCATCAAAATCAGCTCAAAGAATTTTTAAAACACGCACATCAGTAACCACTGAATACATTAAGCTAACAGAAAAGACTATACTTGAAATGGCACCCAACTCAAGATTTTGCTTGTGAATTTTATCACATCCTTAAAAAACACATAATTCTTGTGTTATATAAACTTTTCAAAGTAAAGACAAAGATAAGAAATTATCTGATCCATTTTACCAAGCAAATATAGCACTAATACCAAAACAAGAGAAAGCACAAGAAAGGAAATCATGGACAAATAACTTTTATAAATGAAGATATATACACCTTGAATTACATATTAGCAAATCAGATACAGGGATTTTTTTTTAATTACACATCAGGACCAAATAGGGCTTATCCCAGGAATACAAGGATGGTTCAATACTAGAGAACCTACCAATTCTCCATATTAAAAGACAAAAGACAAAAAATAAGTAATGTAAAGGTATTGACTAAAATTTAATACCTCATTTTTAATCTTCTGAAATTAGAAATAGAAGAAAACCCTTTTAATAAATGTCACTAGTGGAAATATGTAATAAGTACCATACTTAATGGATAAAATATTAGAAGTAATTTCTTAAAGTAAGGAATAATGCAAAATACTATCATTATCTATCCAGCACTTCTGCACCATCCTTGTCTATCCAAGACAATAACAAATCAGATATAAGAATCAGAATAAAAACAGACAAAATTATCATTATTTGCAAATGATATAATAATTACCAAAAAAACCTCTAAGAAATTAACTTGTGAATTGTTAGAGTTCACATTAGAAAGTTTAGCAAGGTAGCCAAATAGAAGTTACAAAATAACCACATACATTAAAATACTATTTACATTTTAAAACACACACATCAAAAAAAACTATATAGATAGTATGTGGCCATAAATATTTGTTACATAGGCTGGGCATGATGGCTCACACCTGTAATCCCAGCACTTTGGGAGAGTGAGGTGGGTGGATCATTTGAGGTCAAGAGTTCAAGACCAGATTGGCCAACATGGTGAAACCCCATCTCTACTAAAAATACAAAAATTAGCCAGGTGTGGTAGCAGGCGCCTGTAATCCCAGCTACTTGGGAGGCTGAGGCAGGAGAATTGCTTGAACCCAGGAGGCAGAGATTGCAGTGAGCCAAGATCACACCACTGCACTCCCACCTGGGCAATAGAGCAAGACTCAGTCTTGAAAAAATATTTATATATATTTGTTACATAAATAAAAATAAAATCTTCTGAAAAGATATACATCAAATTAAATGCTGTTGCTACTTCTCAAAAAAGGATCAAGATTCATGGTAATGATCAAAGGAGATTGTAGCCATACCTATAATATTTTTATTTTATAGTCTGGATATATGTATTAGTTTTACTATTTAAATTTAATAAAATTTAAAATATGCAAAAAATAGTTTCAGCTACTTCTATATTTATTTGGATAACTTCATATTATTTCTTAAAATTAGAATTATTACTTAATCCAGGAATTGAACCAGGAAAATAAAAGGGCACATCAAATGCAGGTCCATAAATTAACCTTGCTGCTAAGTATGCATTATTGTTTTCCTAGGTTAATATTTATGAGAACTGACTTACTAAAGTTTTTAAATTTCAATAAATAAAATGTAAGACTACTGAAGCCAGATATTGAGAAGGTTTATATATTTATACAAATACATATCTAGGTATATAATTTTCCCTACAACTTCACTAGCATTACAGTATAAAAAAATAAACAGTCCATTAATTTGGGTCAATGAAATACTTTCATTGTGATAAAACACTGAAAGTTATCATTCAAGATTATAACTAAATTTTTTAATGCTTTCAGAAAAGACCCTTATATCATTGGATTCCTCTATTTCTCAGAAATGTCAAACAGATTCCTTTTTGTACATTTTAGAAGCCTCAAATATTCAGAAAGATGGACCTCTGTTCCCAAATTAAATATTTGCCTTAAAAATAATAGCAAACTTTTCAAGAATTTCATCTAAATCTCTGAGGATGATTCATTCATTTATCAACACCAGAACACCTTACCTCAGGTATAGCCACAGTGTGTGCTTCAAATGATTAATATTATCTATATGCAATGTTGACAGAAAAGAATTCATATTCATTCTCAAAGGGAAGACAGCACATACATAGAACTGCCCTATCAAACTCATTACACTCCATTAATATTGCATGACAAAATTGACTGTAGTAAAAGTCTTTTAAGAAATAAAATTTACTCTCTAGTATTCAGACTGTTAAGATTTTAAAGATTTTTATTTATATTACCAGATATTCAGCTATTCATAACACACTTTTATTGTATTTTTATTGCTATATCACAGTTGTACACATTTTTGTGAACATGGTATTTTAATATACATATACAACATATAGTGATCAAGTCAGAGTAATTGAACTATTCATCAACTCAAATATTTATCTTTTCTTTGTGATGGGAACATTATAATTCTTCTTTTCTAGCTATTTTGAAATATACAATAAATTATTGTTAACTATAATTTTCCTACTGTACTTTCAAATAATAGAACACATTCCTTCTATTAACTATATTTTTGTACTCATTAACCAACTTTATCCTCTTCCACCTTCTCTTGACAGCCTCTGGTAACTACTATTCTATTCTATATCCATGAGATCTACTTTTATTTGCCCCTACCTATGATTCAAAACATCCATTATTTGTCCTTCTGTGACTGGCTTATTTCACTTATAATGACCTCCAGTCCTATCCATGTTGCTGCAAATGACAGGATTTCATTAACTTTTTTATGGCTGAATGATATTCCGTTGTGTATATACACTATATTTGCTTTATCTATTCATCTGTAGATGGACACTTAGGTTGATTCCATATCTTGGCTATTGCAAATACTACTGCAATAAACGTGAAACTGCAGATATCCCTTTGACATACTTATTTCCTCTCTTTTGGACATATACCCAGCAATGGAATGATTAATCATATAGTAGTACTATCTTTGTTTTTCTGAGGAACCTCCTACTGTTTTCCATAATGATTTGACATTCTCACCAACAGTTTACCAGTGTTCTCCTTTCTCTGCGTCCTTGCCAGCATTCGTTATTTTTTCTTTTTTGATAAAGCCAATCAGATAATATCTGATTGTGGTTTTGATTTGCATTTCCCTGATGATTAGTGATATTGAGCATTTGTGGCCATTTGTATGTCTACTTTTGAGAAATGTCTATTAAGCTCTTTTGCTCATTTTTAAATCAGATTTTTTTTCTTGCTTGCTAGCTTGCTTTTTTGTTAATAAGTTGTTTGAGTTCTTTACATACTCTGGTTATTAATTCCTTTTCAGATGGATAGTTTGAAAATATTTTCTCCTGTTCTGTAGGTTGTCTCTTCACTTTGTTAATTATTTCCTTTGCTGTTCAGAAGCTTTTTAGCTTTATGTAATACCATGTGTCTGTTTTTATTTTTGTTGCCTGTGCTTTTGAAGTCTTATCCAAAAAAATCTTTGCTAAGTCCAATGTCCTGTATGTCCCCAATGTTTTCTACTAGTTTTATAGTTTCAGATTTTACATTTAAGTCTTTAATCCAATTTGAGTTAATTTTTGTACATGGTGAAAGGTAGGGGTCTTTTTTTTTTCATTTTTCTACATATGGATATCCTGTTTTCCCAGCATCATTTATTAAAGAGACTGTCCTTTTCCCCCAGCGTATATTCTTGGTGCCTTTGTCAAATATGAGTTGACTGTAAATACATGCACTTACTTCTGGGGTCTCTATCCTCTTCCATTGGTCTATGTCTCTGTTTTTATGCCAGTACTATGCTGTTATGTTTATTATAGTTTTGTCATGTAATTTGAAATCAGGTGGTATGATGTTTCCAGCTTTGTTCTTTTTGCTCAGGATTGCCTTAGCTGTGCCAGATCTTTTGTAATTCCATGTGAATTCTAGGATTGTTTTTCTATTTCTGTGAAGAATGTCACTGGTGTTTTGATTGTAGTTCACTTAGGGTAGTATAGACATTTTAACAATATTAATTTTTATCATCCATGGCATGGGATATTTTCCATTTTTCATATCCTCTTCAACTTCTTTCATCAGTGTTTTAGTTGCCTCACAGAGATTTTTCACATCTTTGGTTAAATTTGTATTTTGATATTTTTGTAGCTATTGTAAATGAAATTGTTTTCTTGATTACTTTTTCAGATAGATCTCTGTTGGCATATAGAAACACTAGTGATGTTTATATGTTATTTGTATCTTGTAATTTTACTAAGATGTTATTTGTATCTTAAAATTTTACAAATTTTCAGTTCTAAAAGTTTTTTGGCAGAGTCTTCAGGTTTTTCTAAATATAAGATCAAGTCTTCTGCAAAAAAAAATAATAATAATTTGACTTCCTGCTTTCCAATTTGGATGTCCTTTATTTCTTTCTCTTGCCTAATTGCTTTGGCTAGGATTCCCAGTACTCTGTTGAATACATATGGTGAAAGTGGGCTTCCTTATCTTATTACAGATCTTTGTAGAAAGGCTTTCAATGTTTACTCTTTCTGTATGATTTTAACTGTGAGCTTGTAATATATGGCCTTGATTGTGTTGAGATATGTTCCTTCTATACCCAATTTGTTGAAGGTTTTTATCATAAAGGGATGTTGAATTTTATCAAGTGCTTTTTCAGCATTTATAAAAATTATCACATGGATTTTGTCCTTGATTCTGTTGACATAATGTATTGTGTTTATTGATTTGTGTATGTTGAACTGTCTTTGCATCTATGAGGTGAATCCCACTTGATCATTGAGAATGATTTTTTTAACGGGTTGTTGAATTCTGTTTGCTAGTATTTTTGGGGGCATTTTTGCTTCTGTGTTCATCAGGGATACTGGCTTGTAGTTTTACTTTGTGTGTGTGTCTTTGTCTGGTTTTGGTATTAGCTTAATGCTGGCTGTATACAATGAATTTGGAAGTATTCCTTCCTCTTTAATTTTTAAATGATTTTAGTATAATTGGTATTAGTACTTCTTCAAATGTTTTGGTAGAATTCAGCAGTGAATCCTTCAGGTCCTTGGTTTTTCTTTGATGACCAAATTTAGACTACTGCTTTAATCTCATTATTCATGATTGGTTTGTTTAGGTTTTCTATTTTTTCATGGTTCAATCTTGGTGAGTTGTATGTGTTCAGAATATATCCATTTCTTCTAAGTTTTCTAATTTTTTGGCATATAGTTGTTCATAATGGTCTCTAATGATCCTTTGTATTTCTGTGCTAACCATCATAATGTTCCTTTCTCATTTCTGATTTTATTTATTTGGGTCTTATCTCTTTTTTTCTTAGTTGATCTAGCTAAAGGTTTGTCCATTTGTTTATTTTTTCAAAACCAGTTTAATTTTGTTAATATTTTGTATTTTTCTTTTAGTCTCAATTTCATTTATTTCTGCCCAGATCTTTGTTATTTCTTTCCTTCTACTATTTTGGGGTTTGATTTGTTCTTGCTTTTCTAGTAACCTGGAAGTGAATTGTTAGGTTAATTATTTAAATTTTTTTTATTATTTGGATGTAGGCATTTACTGGTATAAAATTCCCTCAGTGCTGCTTTTTCTGTATCTCATAGGTTCAGGTGTGTTGTGTTCTGTCTTTATTTGATTCTCGAAATTTTTTATTGTCCTTCTTAATTTCTTCATTGATCCACTGGTTGTTCAAGAGCACGTTGCCTAATTTCCATGTATTTGTATGGTTTCTGAAGTTCCTCTAGCTATTGATTTCTTGTTTTATTTCATTGTGTTCAGAAAATATACTTGATATGATTTAGACCTTTTTATAATTTGTTGAGACTTGTTTTGTGGTCTAACATATGGTCTGTCCTGAAGAATGTTTCATGTGGTAATCAAAAAAATGTGTGTTCACATCCAACTGGATGAAATGTTCTCTAAAGGTATGTTAAGTCCATTTAATCTACAATACAGTCAAACAGCAATGTTTGTTTGTTGATTTTCTGGCTGATCTGTCCTTGCCAAAAGCGGGGTGTTGAAGTATCCTACTTCTATTGTATTGTAATCTGTCTTTCTCTTTAGATCTATTAATATTTTCTTATATATATGAGTGCTTCAGTGTTGGTTGCATATGTATTTACTATGGTATGTCCTCTTGCTAAATTGACGTTTTATCATTATAGAATCCTCTTCTTTGTCTCTCTTTTCAGTTTTTGACTTAAACTCTATTTTATCTGATTTAAGTATAGACACTCCTGTTCTTTTTGGTTTATATTTGCATGAAATATCTTTTCCCATCCCTTCACTTTCAGTCTATGTATGTCTTTTCAGGTGAAGTGACTTTCTTGTAGGCAACATATAATTGGGTCTTATTGTTTAATCCATTCAGCCATACTGTCTTTTAAGTGACTAATTTAGTTCATTTACATTTAATGTTATTATTTATACATTAGGCCTTACTACTGCCATTTTGTTACTTGTTTACTAATTGTTGTCTAATACACATTTTTATATTTTACTATGAAATATAAAAATCTTATTAATTTTTTGCTCTTACCTTCTCTAATTGAAATTGATTTTTACTCAGATATCTACCCAAATATGAGAAGAAAAGGGGAGTATCAACAACTCAACTCATTACAGAAGGTTTGCTCAAGGAATTCTGGGGCCTATGGAAAATGTTGTAGTAATTTTTTTTTTATTGAGAAAGGGTAGTTCTTTTCATTAGATATTGAGGTTCAATAGACAAAATTTATTTCAGAGGTGCTCAACTTCTCTCTAAAATGATGAGAATATAATTTCAGGTCAATGCTGATCTGAAGGGCTTTATCTCTCACCCAACTCTTCAGGGACATTGTCTGTATATACCCTATCTAAAGCATATGTTGATTTTCTTGAGTTCTCTCCAGGAATATCCTCAGATACCAATCTTCCTGAGAAATACAAGACAGAAGGGAAATCCCACTATATTGTCTAATAAATTCCCTAGATCCATCCTTCTACCCAGCAGGAAATATCTGAGGGCTCTGAAGGTGCTGAGGATGCAGACACAGTGAGATCCTGTGTAGCAGTAGCTACCTACATTCATGAAACACAGCAGAAGGAACTTTTATGGGCATAGCAGGCATAATTCCATGAAAAGACTGGCAAGGAGAGAAAAGGCACAATGAAGGTTCAAGATCATAGCTCTGCATCAACCTCAAAAGAAATTTAGAGCTCACTTTTTTGTATATGCTCCTTATTTTTTTAACCTTGCTTTTATCCATTACACTAAAGATGGTATTTTGGGAAATAAGCATTTAGACACTTAACTGCGAAATAAAGATTTAAAAGATGTTCTAATTTAGCACCTTGGCTAAAGCATATTGATATCTAGAAGTAACTAAAAAACTGCAAGAGAATAACATGTTTTTCTAAGTTAAGTTTAGTGGCTTTCGGAAACCTTGTACATTCTCAATTTTCATCCGAACTTAATTATTTTGTGGGTTCCATTTCTGTTTCCAGCAAAACACAACTTCCTTGTACTGCGGAAGAAAAGACTTATAAAATGGGTTTTGTGGAGCTCAAATAACTCTTAAAAACAATATCCTGATGAGTTAAGTGTAAATGAGCCAAAACATATGGATTAAATGTCCCTTTAAATACACATGCCTTTAAAAATTAAGGGAAAAAAAGTTTTGGCAAAATGTGTTTCAGATTTGGTTGAAAGAAAACATTTGAAAGAAATTGTTTGAGGGACTATACTAACCCAAAACATACCTGAGCTCTTCTACTACAGTACAACCAACTCTAAAACATATGGATTTTATACGATAATTCTTCTACCACACCCACCCTGAGTTCTGAGTTCTAAGTTTTTCTTCCTATGTTGGAAGTCATTAAAAACAGTCGTGGTGTCATTACTGTCTTGGAGAGAATATAATCTACTACTGCAATCAGTTTCAGTCAAATAGACGGAATGGCATATTGGTCATCACTCTTCAAAAATTAAAATAGATCTTATTTCAAACCTATGATACATAATTCTCACCAGCACTCATTAGACAGTATGACTGCAGGAAAATTATACATTGAGATAGATATAGGACTAGGCCAGAATATGAAATGATAGGATATCCATGTCATAGCTCTTTACTCAACCAAAGTCAAGTAACAGGCAAAGGTCAACAGGAGAAACACCAAAGCACAGCTTGAATAATGTTAGGTCATTTTCACTTTCTTGGGATATTCCAAAATGCATCTACTAGATGCAGGTGACTAAGAGCAAAAGCAACTGAACAATTCAGAAGTGAGTCCACAGAGTGACAGGTCCTTGAACCTGTGCCACCTATGCCTTATGTTTGTCTTCAAAGTTGTTGCCACCTCATACACATACAGATGATAATGCTGTCTTTTAAACTCTACAGGCAATGAGGTTTAATTCTAACATGTTTGGAGCTAAAACTGTTAAAAACTGTGGGTATCAAATAGAAAACTGCTAACTGCAAATCTGTGAAATTACCTGTGTTGTCCTATTTGTCCCCATAAACCTGTGGAATTCCACTCTCTCTATTGAAGGTAGAATGGGTATGCATTGGCACTCTCTCCCAAATTACATTTGAAGAACAACCAACCATGAATAAATGACCCTAGTCATTATGCCATTAAGTTGCCCTAATTAGTATGCATCCTCATCCAAGCAACCTAGTTACTATGCCAGCAAGGCATATTGTATTTATTCAAAGGCTGAGGTTTTATATCATACTCATCAGAGCAAATCTCCCCTTCAAAGACCATTTTTGAGGACTTTCTTAAAAAAAAAAGATAATCAATGTTTTAAAATTCATCACAAAAAGCATTGTGATCTGAATTAATTTGCTAGAAAAACAATGTCTAAAAAAATTATATAAATTGCTACATGCTTTTTGAGGCCTGGAAGAAAAAATCAAGAGCCTGAAACTGATGTGGTAGTGGGGTGGGTGGGACAGGAGGTAAACATACTTAAGGACTGACAGCAGTTGAAGAGATGAACAGGGGATTTGTCTCCAGGAGGGGCAGTCTGGCCTCGTTTCTGTGCTCTAATTTCCTTTTAAAGGCGTGGTGTAACTGCAGCTTTATGTGTTGAGTTGAGGATTTACTTGAAATATACTTAGACATACTGTTCTACACAGGGGAATTGATGCAAGTTCTTAAAATTCCTGCAGTTCTCTCTTTGGGGAGCAAACACTCTATAGCTAAATCCCATAATGCACCACCCTGCCAATACTGCTAAGCCCCAGATCAGTTATCTCCTCTGTGGACTGAGGTCTATGGGGGTGCAAGTTTTAAACCTAAGAGTTATCCAGACTGTGACATGGTCAAAATTTGCTCTAACACCAATTCTCTTGTCCAGGATAAAATAATTCTTATATTTCATGCCTGTCTGTTGTCTTCAGACATGAAAGCTATTATTATCCTTTCTGTGGTAGATTTTTTTAAAGTATATTCTGCTTCGTTTTTCCACAGACAAAGTAGTTTTCAGAAATGTGTTTGTCTATGTCTGCCAAAGAAAATAAATGTAAATATCTACAAATATCAACATAAATAGACTTGGCTCCAAGCAATAACACTTCCCACTGCGTGCTTCGTAATTATAGAAATTCTCCTGAAGGCTAATAGATAATAACCAAAATTGTTCAGATGTTGTCTTTCAAATGTATTCATAGAGAATACTCTGATGGCACCTTTCTTATGTGGAGGAGCAAAGGCTCATATTTACCTCGGATTCAAGCATTCATCCAGAGTCATTTGTCACTGCTAATGTTTTCCCATGGAGTTGGATGGCATGTGAAGAGAAAAATCCCTTTACCCTCCTGGAAGAAATCTTGAGAGTTGACTGCTGTGTGGTTTGCTGGGAGGTTGTGGTAAATGTTGAGAACCACCATCTCATAATCATATGCTTGAAGCTTTAAATCATGACTCTGTCAAAAATTCAAAGTTGGAAAATTGTGTACCACTTTGGAGAATCAGAAGTGTACTACAGACTAACAAAAAAAAACAGTAAAACATACAAGGAACCTCTGCGTTTTATCCATTATCACATTCTTCTTCTCCAGGCACATTGGAGCACACACCCTACAGGCAGAAGAACATTCTGACTTCCCGTTCTGGCTGGGCAGCCTGCTGGCACGTTATTTAACCTCTGCAAAACTTAGTTAAACTTTGGATTAAATCAAATAATAGTGATGAAGGATTAAACGATATTACATATATAAAAGGATTTTGTATCCATTGAATTTCTATGTAGGTGTCAATTATTATCTTCCAAGGCATACTTCTCCCTGATATCTAGAGCACCACATCGAGCAACAGTGCAGACTCCTTGAGAACAAAGACCCCGCTGTTGTTCTCTTCATATCTTTCTCTCTTCTACCTCCAGTTGGATATATTTTCTCATATATACAAAACTAGAACAGAGCTTATCACAGATGAAATGCTCAATATATTTAATTTTACTTATAATATACTGAACTGAACTGATGGACCTCTTAACTATGCCAGTGTAACATTCATCATGCTCCAAGCAAAAATGAGGGCTATGGAAAATGGGACATTCTCATGCTGAGTCCTCCATCTCTATGCACCAGGTGTCTCCATCTATTGTACTAATGAGTTCTATGAGCATGGAAATGGCAAACACCGAAGTCTCTACATGGTCCCTCAACACAGGACAGTGAGCCAGAAGCCAAAGATTAGTTGTGTAAAAACAAACACACTGAGCAACACAGGGTAGGGGATACAGATAGAAAATTATAGACTACAGTGTGTGAATGATCAGAGATATTCTGAGAACAGACGGAAATACAATTTTATATAATGCTACTTTAAAGAGGAATGTAGCCTGGGCAACATAGTAATACCTCGTTCTACATAAAAAAAATTTTTTTTAAATCCAGTCACGGTAGCACATGCCTGTCATCCCAGCTACTTAGGAGGCTGAAGCAGGAGGATCACCTGAGGCTGGGATATCAAGGCTGCAGTGAGCTATGATTGCATCACTGCACTCTAGCCTGGGCAAGAGTGGGAGACACTGCATCAAAAACTAAAAATTAAAAAATAAAGAGGAATGATATAAAATAGATTGAAAACCCATAGTCGGTAAAGTTCCTGAGTCAGGCACCATGTGAGGGGTTGGTTTGTAATTTTAACAACTGGAAATACACTAACATTTTCAGCAAAGTAGTAAAATAAAAAGTTAACATTAGTGAGTATTCCACATCAGACACTGTTCCAACACTTCACATGCATTAACTCATTTAATCCTAATCACAACACTAAAAAGTAGGTATCTCCCATTGTATACATGGGAAAGCTGAGCCACACAGAGGTGAAGTAACTTATCTCAAGTTGCGCACATTGTGAGAGGTGGAAAGAAAGGGGACAATGTCAGAGAGAGAAAAATCTCTCAACTTACTGTTAGAGATATGAGAGTTGGCAGGGGCTAGAAATCCAGTTAACTTTGGCTTCTTCATTTTATAAATGAGAAAGCTAAGACCAGAAAGGCTTGGTGCTTGGCCACATTGCTAGTTCGTGGTAGAGCTGAGACTAGACCCAGGTGTCCTGACCTCTTTTATAGCTCCTCATAAGCTCTGGAAGCAATGGCTCTAGACAACAAGAAAAAGTTGTCTGCACTTGAAAGCTGTGCAAAAAAAAAAAAAAAAATCAGAAAACAAAAATCCTTTTAGGTGCATTTTCTTTTCTGCTGTGCTCCTACGTGTTCAGAGTAATCAGGTTTTTCTTCTTCTCATATAATGGTCATGATCAATAACTTCCAAAGCAAGTTCATCACAATATCACATGGGATATTTAATGAGTACTGTCATATTAACTGCTGGACCAAATATGTAGTGCATAAGTGAAGGTGCTTATTTGTGATTTGAAATGATTTCAAACCACAAACGTCTATTGAGAATCACCCCACGCAGGAAAGGCAGTAGGTATTGTGGGGATTACAAAAATGTGCAAGGAAGATTCCTTTTTGCCATCCACTGGGGAAAACACACATATTTACATATAACCATGCTCTAGTTAAAACACAGTAAGTGGTCCAAGGACATGGGAGAAAATGGGAAGAACCCAAATTGAGAAGATTAGAGAAGACTCTGGGGAGAAATACTAATAAAAGTGAAGTTTATCTCATGTGAAAGAAATGAGGCAGAATTATTCCATTATAGGTCCTCCTAACAGAATTTTCCAGATTTAGCATATTCTTATCTCTAAGTGATGATATAAGAGGAATATTTATATCTTTTCTCTACCAATTTGGAAAGAGAGAAGGAAGAAAATGAATATATATTATTTTCATCTATAAATTGGGGTCTAGAATTAGATGACATTTGTTATGAGCTGACATTTGTTATGTTCTCATCTTAATTCACTCCAATGATTAATTTATGAAAAAAGCAGCCACATGTATTCCAACAATGTGTAGTGGCACTTGTTGACCAATAAATATGTCTAATTTGTCTATATGAGTAATCCATAAACAGATCATATCCACATATTAATATTGCATTATTATCACTACAATAGGCAGAATTAAATCCATTCCGCTAGGCTTTCTAAAGCACGTACAATATTGTGATTTTAATTTTTAAAATGTGCAGGAATCTCCTGTCATGACAATTTTTAAACACTGTAGAATCCCAGGATAGAGGGAAATCTTAAAGATCATCTGGTCCAATCACCCTGTCAATGAGTCAATCCCTTCTACAATATCCCCACCAAGTGGTCATCCACTTTATGCTTAGTTGCATAGAGGTCCAGACTATTCTCCCTCACAGAAAACTTAAGATTTGGACGAGATCGGGCGCGTTCAGCAAACACCACGTGTTCTCACTCATAGGTGGGAATTGAACAATGAGAACACATGGACACAGGAAGGGGAACATCACACACCGGGGCCTGTCGTGGGGTGGGGGGAGGGGGGAGGGATAGCATTAGGAGATATACCTAATGTTAAATGAAGAGTTAATGGGTGCAGCACACCAACATGGTACATGTGTACATATGTAACAAACCTGCACGTTGTGCACATGTACCCTAAAACTTAAAGTATAATAAAAAACTTAAAGTATAATTAAAAAAAAAAGATTTGGATGGCTCTTCTTTAAATAAAAAAGAGAAAGAAAAAGAAAACCAGAACCCAAATATATCTTTCTGAGGTTTCTACCCATTGAGTCAACTTCAATCCTTTGGAGTCATTTACCCTTTCTTCCATGTGACAATTTGATAGTTCTGATGACAGCTATGTTCCTGCCCTCTCTCAAACTACCACTCCCGACCCCAAAGTCTCCTCTTCTCCAAGCATACTCTTCCCTATCTTCTCAACTACTCCTCACATGGGTGCCCTTTGGGTTCCCACAATCCATCCTAAAGGCTCTCCTGAGGACAACCTCTAGTTTATCTGCATCTCCCTCCCTCCTTTGGTGGTATGCATGGCAAAGCACAATTCTCAGAAGTGCACTGAACACTGCAGAGAAGGAGACCGGTCATCAACCTCCTTCTTCTAATATTGTTCTCGACTACAACACCCTTGAATTATATTTGATTTTTTGTTGAGTGTATATCTCTTGAAGAAATTAGGCAAAATACAAGGGCAATAGGATTATCAGAGGAACAAAGATTTATTTTTTTCCTAAGGAAGAGAGGAAAATCCTTATTCATGTATTTTCATGGGTGGGAAGTTCACTTCAGTGTTCAAATCAATCTTAATATCTCAACAGTATTCTGCTCAACTTGGATAACCATCACAGGACCCTAGGGTTAACAAGATATTTGAACCCTCTTTTTTGATCTTAGGAGGGGTGGTTTAAGCAAGGCTGGACCAGGCAAGAGCCTGCAGAGATGCAGTTCTGTTGAACCACTAAAGTTAATCAGAGGCTTATGGGACTAGAAGAATGAACCAGGCTGGGATCTTTAAGGGATGCCCATAGCCCAAATGCCAGGGAGAGAAAACATGAAGACTGCTTCTGAAGGCACAGCGTGAGGTTTGATAAATGGAGCCATGGGTTCAGAACTGTGTGGAAACTGGATCAAAGTGAAAACAGGGCAGAAGCAATTCAGAGGAGGCTGTAGACCAAGAGAGCAAATGAGTCCAGTGAGTTAACACAAAGGGCCAGAAATCAAATAAATTATGGATTTCACAAAATGAAACATCTAAGAAGGTCAAAGCTAGTTGAGAATCTGCAACCCAGTCATTATCAAGTACTGTTGTTACTTCATTTAGTTTTCAACAACTAAACGTTGAAATATATTTAAAATCTATGACTAAATGTGTATATGAGTAAATACATTAATATTTAAGAACTTCTGATCTATAATATCTGGGAAAAATATAATGTCTCATGTCTTTGAAAGCTACAGGTTAACAGATTAGTATTCCTTTAGGAATTTTTTTAAATAGCACTGCCATTTCCTAATATCTAAAGCAGGTGGAAAACTTCAATGCCCATAAAGGCCAGACAAATAACACAAATGTATAAAACTTTCTTACTATAATGGGAAGTGGTGGTGTCCTAGGCAAATTACACAGACCATGCCCATCTAAGGAGGCCAGCCCATACTGAGTTCTGCTTAATATCATGTAGGAAAGTGGCCCAATATTGCAGTATCTTGATTTTTTGAAAGAAGCGAGAAATCAGAATGTGCATGCATGTGTGTTTCGGAGAAAGAAGAGAGAGCTCTTAATTTTTAAATGTTGACAATATAGTCTAATTTTTTTTAACATTTCATCCTACACTGAAGATCCCAAGGCTTAAAAAGGGGTAAGTTACTGCCCAATATTTAAATTGACAACTCTGTGATTCCACTCTTACGCTGGCTCACCACACTATAAACTCCAGTGAACAACGGAGGTAGGTGATGGGTGATCTTAGGATATTTACTAAGACAAGGCAGAAAGAAGTACTTCAAGAAGACTAGTGATAAACCACTATATCATAAGTTCCTTAAGGACAGGGACCATGTCTGTTGTGTTTCCCACTGTTTCACTAATGTTGGCACTATACGTGGCCCATAATAGAACCTTGATAAATATCCATGAAATAAATTTATATATGAGATTCAATGAAGAAGAGAAAAAGCATTGGATAGGAGCCAATTATTATTATATTAAATTATTCAGAGAGATGTTTATAATCATGCCATTTAACACCCTGAAGTAAATCACACCTACCAGATGAACATTTACAAGTGAAAAAAAAAGTTTTAAAGTCAAGGTGAAAAATTAAAACCTGGAGACATTTCTGGCTAAACATGGAATGTAAAAGCACATGTTTACCCCCACTTCCTCCTAAAATTTCTTCATATAAGAGGAAAAAAACTAAAGAGCCCAAACCCCACGGGCAAAGTGAACCAAGGAGGGTATCAACGCAAAGAAGAGTGAAAAATAAAACCTCTAAAAATGGAAAGTGTCTGAGCATAGACCAGGTCAAAACCTGGCGCCTGCAGAGAGAGATTCAAAAAGAAATGACCCCACTTGAGCCACAGGGCCCTGGAAAAGCTCAGGAATTGTCACATCAGAGATCGAGTATGGAGCCCAGATTAATTAAAGATTAATATAAGGTGCAGTTTGATGTCCTGATCCCTCCCTACCCCTATAGCTTGGTGACTTCTCCCCAGTCTGGGCAAAAGACAGGAGGTTAATTTCTAAAGAGATTTGCATCTGAGGATGGTGGTGAAACCCTGTAATTATCTGTTATGCCAATAATGCTTTATAGCAAACAATCACATAACTCCAGCGGTATACAACCATAAAACAGTATTGCTTAGGAATATGGTGTTAGCTGAAGATTGGCTAGGAGGTGGATCCTGTCTGCGCATGCTCACATGCTGGAACATTGGTTGGTTGATCTAGGCTGGCTTTGGCTAGGGTGACTATGTGGACTCCACTCTGATCTACAAGCCTCTCATCATCTGGCAGCCATGTTCAAAATGTTCTTATGCCAGTGACAGGCCTGAGAGAACAGACAAAAATGCACACTTTTTGAAGCCTAACCTTGGAAGTGATACAGTGTCAATCCTGTCATATTTTATTGCCCAAAGTAGAATAGACTCGGGACCCCATAAAAAGACCCCACCTATTCAGGGAGAGAAACAGCAGTCTCACAGCAAAGGATGTGAATACAAGGACGCATGCAGAATTGGTGCTGTTATTGCAATCTATGACACCTGCACTAAAAAAGAGGGCAATTAAGTGAAAGTCTGAATGCTGAAGAGTGAGACCACTCATTCCATGCCCACATTCAGCTCTGAGAATACTGCCATCCAACCTAAGACCAGCCAGATAGAATAAAATTCCTCTCCAGAGAAACTAACGGACCCAAGAGAAAAGAACTAAGACAGACATTTTGGGGATCTCCTCCCATAAGAAAGTTTGCATACTCTTTGTTAATATGCTATTAAGCCTATTACCAATACCTTTTTAGTACATCATTTATAATTATGAATGGACAGTCTAGGTTCTCCAGACATTTGAGGAAATCCCCTAACAAAAAATGCATGAGCCACAATCAAAAGACAAAACCAAAAAACCTAGAAAGAGACTCAGAGAAAACAGTGCAGGAAGCAGAAAAAAAATTTTTAAACTAAGTAAATCATCTCTTAAATTATAAATTAAAAATATTATTTTAAAAACCCAGATATTCAATCAAAAGCTTAAGTTTTTAAAAAAACTCAAAAAGTACAACAGACAATAAATGGAAATAAGTGAGACAGAACAACAACAACAAACCTAATCAATCAGTAGAGAAGTTTCAATATATGAAAGTAAAGGTCTAGGTATTATACAAGAAGAAAGTCCCTGAAATGTTAAAATGACTTAGCCATAAAATATAGACCAGATAACCAGAGCAAATTATATACTTCCTTTATTTTTTTAATATCAGAAAATCTGTTTACTTGATTATCCATTCAAGCATGCCTCTTTATTCCTCTTTTATTAAATACCCATGTTGCAAATAGAGGTAGGAATTACATCTGAAAACAGAGATAGTCCACTATCAGGAAGTTCTTATGTTTATTTACATGATTAGCAGTGTCTGAAAAAAAAATCCAGTGAAGTCAAGGTTGAAGGACAAGATTTCTTAGGCAGAGCCATCACTTCCTTTGTCTATGTGCTGGGAGTGTTCAAGTCTGTCCTTACTCACAGGACGCTCCTTATCTCATCTGGCGTCTGGCAACTTTTTCAGCGCACTGTGTTCCTTGACTAGTGCTGTTAACAAATCCAAACCACTATAAGGCACAAATCGCCATACACTCCCTTCCTGCCCCCAAAAGATGGCTCCAACTCTACTACAGGAGCTTCATTTAGTTATTGGAATACTTTGGCTCAACATAGTCCTTTAAGAGCTCCAGCTTTTAAATCAATTAATTGGGAATTGCTAGCTTTTGTTGAGGGCTTACTATATACTAGGCACTGTTTTAAGTGCTTGTTAGACATTAGCTCATTTTATCCTTAAAGCAAGGCTACAAGGCAGATATTATCATCGCACATTACAGATAAGAAAACTCAGAAACAGAGAGGTTAAGTATAGCAGCAGGATTTTAAATCCAACTGGTTTCGGTTCTGGAGCCCACTAAACTTTCCTGCTTTATTAGTAAGTTATGCTTTAATTATTTAAGAGGTTCACAGATTATATATGTACAGCCAAATACGATTTCACTGCAGAAATTCCTTCAATATTCCAGCTCAATGTGAGAACCAGGGCTCTGGCCCCTAGAGGTTTGCTGAAAATCACTGATATGAAGCAGACTGATTAACAAAAGAAATGGCATATAAATTTATCTAATGTGTATACATGAGAGCCTTCATAATTAAAACCCAAAGATATAGGGGAAATTGTCCATTTTTATGCTTAGATTCAACAAAGTATGAGCAGTCATGTAGAAATATGCCTGGACAAAAAGGGTAAGATCTAAAGCTAAGAGAATGAGTGGGGAAGCCCAGCAGGGCCAGCCAGTCTAGATTCTTCTTGGCTTCTCTGAACATGCATTCCTTCCTTCTGGTGTGGGGCACAGCCCTCTCTGAAATGGCAGTCTTATGTCCTAGAATCAAACAATGTGGGTCAGATAATTTCTTTATGGTCAGTTCTTACATATAATATTTTCAGGATTTATGGCTGGCTTTTGGGAAAAGAGGTTCTGCTTTCTATGACCTTCCTTGGGGAAGGATTCTGGTTTCTATGCCTAGCCTTGAGGAAAAATGGGACTGAGAGATAGGAGGGCAAGAGAAGGTCAGAGAAAAACTTTTTCTTCTAAGGCTGCTGTGGAGGCTCTCATTTGGAGGTATTATTTTCTGAGCCTGTATTAGTCTGTTCTCATGCTGCTAATAAAGACATACCCGAGACTGGGTAATTTATAAAGGAAAGAGGTTTAATGGGCTCCCAGTTCCACATGGCTAGGGAGGCCTCACAATCATGGCAGAAGATGAATGGGGAGCAAAGTCTTACATGGCAGGCAAGACAGCATGTGCAGGGGAACGCCCCTTTATAAAACGATCAGATCTCATGAGACTTATTCACTATCACAAGAACAGCATGGGAAAACCTCCCTCCATGATTCAATTATCTCCCATCAGGTCCCTCCTATGACACATGGGAATTATGGGAGCTACAATTCAAAATGAGATTTGGGTGGGGACACTGCCAAACCATATCAGAGCCCAACATCAGTATTCCTACAAAATTTTCAGATGAGCTGTTTGTGTGTCTGTGTGGCGGAGTGGGGGGTGGTTATGAGAGTAGATTGGTGATTTCAGAATAATAGACCCAGAAATTAACTACCCTGCAAAGTCTAGGGGATATAACCCTGACTTTCCAAGAGAACATAAATTGTCCTGGACATGATGGATTCTCTGTCCTCATGAGCATAGAGACTTAAATCTGTGTGCCAGATACTTTGCTAAGTGCTTTCATACATCATTTTATATAACCCTCACAACAGCACTAGGAGACAGCCATTAATTAACTAATTCCACATTTTGAAAGTAAGGAAACTAAACTTGAAGAAGATAGAACATTAACCCAAAATTTCACTGCCAATAATTGTCAAGATTAGCTTCAAACCCAGTTCTTTCTAACACGAAAGCACAGGTTGTTCTTCCACACTACTAAAGATCAATAAACCATGGTAGAGCACCCTGGTAACTTAAGTTTGTAGCTCTGTGCTCTATGTTTTTGTTTTCTTAATAGTTTATTCTAGAAAGATATTTCATCAAGAAGTTTTGAAAAATTCATTGTTATTCTTACTTGTGATTTTTTAGAGCTAATAAATGGGCATCATATCTAAATGGCATGAAGTGAGACAGTCAGACTTTGGGCCAGCCAAACTAGTACCTGATTCATTAAATAAACAAATTCAGTTCTGCTAAGATGGGCAAGACATGGGGAATACAAAGTTGAGTAAGGCACAGCAGACCTTGTGCTTAAGAAATTGATAATCTAATAGAGTTAATATGAAAACACCATATAAGTGTGCCATGGAAGTTCAAAGGATGGGGAGATCACACCAATTGGGGGCAATAGTAGAAGTTTCAAAGAGCTATTACCTAACGTGGGCCTAAGAAACCTGAGATAGGAGAGGTTTAAGATGCATTCCAGGTGAAGGGAAGATCACCAAAATGGTACCAAGGCAGTGAGGCCAGACCTGCTCTTCAGATATATCTGAAACATGGGAAGCAAACCAAACTTAGGGAAGAAGTTTGATGACTCAAATCTATGTCCAGTGAATAGATGAAACTATTTAATATAACTTTGGGCTGAAAGAGACTTATTCCACAGGCTTCCTTTGCTTCTGGCACATTTCTACCATTGTCCAGTTCCAGGGGAAAAGCTTAGAAAACATTTCTTGATGCTAACCTCCATCTAACTTTTTAGTCTCACATTTGGCAATAGAGAACTACAATACTATCCAGAATCAAACATCAGGTGCCAAATGTTATTCTATGCAGACATTTTATATAGAATTACAGCCCTTAAACATAAAGGACTCATATATGAGAGAAAGTCTGACAGGTCTTTAATTATCCACTGGGAAATAGCTATACAGCTGAAGTCAACCTCCTTAGAGGACATCCATATTTTAGGTTTGTAACGTTGACACAAACATTTGCTTTTGGATGAATTTTTAAATAACTTTTTTGTACCTAAAAGTAATAAATGACCATTCTGAAAAATTTAGAAGATATGAAAAGGAATAAATAAAAATAGCAATCATCCATGGACAACCACTATTAAAATTCCTTTCTTTTACCTATTTTATATGTTTGAGATCATATTATTAGCATATTTTATATACTATATTTTGAGATGGAATCTTGCTCTGTCACCCAGGGTGAGTGCAGTGGCGTGATCTCAGCTCACTACAACCTCCTCTTCCCAGGTTCACGTGATTCTCCTGCCTCACTCACCAGAGTAGCTGGGATTACAGGCATGCGCCACCACACCTGGCTAATTTTTTTTATTTTTAGTAGTGATGAAATTTCACCATGTTGGTCAGGCTGGTTTCGAACTCCTGACCTCAGATGATCGGCCCACCTCAGCCTCCCAAAGTGCTGGGATTACAGGCATGAGCCCCTGAGCCAAGCTTTATTTGGTCACTTTTACAGCATAAATTTATTTCCATAGTATTCATTTCTCTATTAATAAACATGTAACTTGTTCTAATATTTTTGCTATTTTAAATAATGTCCCAGTGAACATCTTTGGGTTGAAACGTGTTCATTGCTAATTGTTTTTCTTAGGATAGAGTCCTGCAATTGAAATTTTTGGTTCTAAATATATGTAAGTTCTTTATCCCTTTGATAAATATTTCCAATTTGTTTTTCCAGAAAGATACTCTCAACTTACACTCAATTTGCAGTCAGCTTTAGTGACTTCTATAATGTTCATAGGATATATGTTCCATAGGATCGTTCCAAAAGCTAACCCAGTAAACAGGCATATTTGAGTCCTCACTCCTAAATTCAGAACCTGACTCACACCGGTCCATTGGTACTTTACCATCTTTCCATGCATCGGTTTTCTTCTTTCATTCTTTCCACACCTTTCCCCAACAGCCACCAGTTTTCTTGTCTTAGTCTTTTTTTTTTTTTTTTTTATCAAAGAAGAAAGGATCTTATGGTGTCAAGCACACTGCACACTAAGGCATCAGGACCTTTCCCAGGACTATGGCCATTTATTAGAGAAACTGCCCTGGAGAGGCCAGGTTTCATCCACAGGAGTGATACACTATGAAATGTAGAGCTCAACAGGGAAAGTAATGGGAACAGAAGGTTCAGGATTTCTCAAATCACACCACATAGGCAACCATGAACTTTTAAGGAAAATTGGACCTGCTCTTTTTGTAAAGGACAAGCCTCTGTTTAGGGAGCTTTCACTTTGCAAATGGACCCATTCACATGTTTATCTAGTGATTAATCGCTGTGCTAAATGTCTCATCAGAAAGGCCTCTCTTGGGCCAGTCTTCAGAGAGATAACAGGACTAAATATGGGAAGTGAATGGCATATATTTGGACCCAGGGATTTGGATCCAGATCTCTATGGAAATAAAGTGAAAGCCCATGTCTGTCAACTTGGCCCTTTGGGAAAGTATATAAAAATCCTACCTAGCTAACGAAATGTTTATAAAAGAGATTTGGCAGCCTAAATAATTGTCATTCTGCTTATTAATAAATAGTGATATATGCAATTTAGCTTTACAAAGGGGGAAAAGAAATGTCTCCAAAGCAAATAGCTGTTGAAATATAATAAAGAGATCTCCCTCTGAACTTTAGTGATTTCTATAATTTTTCACTTGGTAAGTTCTTAATAGCTGAAATTTCTATTATGGATGGGATAAGGAAAGTTTATTTTTAAACTCTCCTTGATAAATCAGAAGAAAATAAGAAACAATGTCAGAAAAAAATCCATTCAAGCCGAATGTAATTGTTGAGTCATATATTTGAAAGCTAGCCATGTATTCAAGAAATAGGAAGAAAAAAAGTAAATTCTTCCATCTCCCTAGGAATCAATGCTCATTTTCCAGACAATATCACTTCATCAGACTTTTATCCCAAAACTGCCAGACAGAAACATTGGTAACCATAGCAATTCTCTTCCACTCAAATGATAGACTTCATTAGAATTGCGCATGCCTGCTTGTTTAGTATTGTTTTAGAGAATTTTGCTGTGGGAAGGGGGATTTTTTTAAATAAAGAATTTATGTGATTCTTCTCTTCCCAGGAACTTTTAGAACTTGTAGAAGATAAGGCAACATCCCCTGAATGACTAGAAATGACTAAGGACTGACAGCCACTTAGAGTGTTATCATTTTCCGAGAGGGCCTGCTGCTGGTTTTGTGGGCACTATCTCCACAGTAGCAGCCACTTAATCGTTCAATGTTATTTGAAGAGGTTTAAGAGGTGCTACAGCTGCTGCATCTCAGGGTTCTATTTTTAATTGGGATGAACTTAACTGGGGCCTGAATCTCTTCAAGAGAGAGACTCTCAGGAAACATTTATGGCAAATCTACTGACAGCAGCAGAATAGAAAGATAACTCAATAATCAAATCCTCTGAGAATAAAACACTTTTCCAGAAAGTCAACCTGAACAGACGAGTTGGAGGAATTTCCAGCCTCTGTAAAAGATCCTTGTCTGTAAGGTGGACAAAACGCATATTATAACTTACGTTTTGCATTATGGAATAGGAAACTAAGGTTCAGAGAGGTTAAGCGACATTCTATGGTCACGCAGTTAATAAGTGGTAGAGCTTTGACTAGAATCCACATCGCCTGACTCCATTTACAGTGATATTTCTACTATTCAGTGTTTTCTGGTTAAAAACATTTTTGAAGGGCTTTATTGCCTTTGTTTGTTTCCTTGTTTTCCTAATCAGATGGCGGGGTTACAGTTGGTCATTCATTCTCCTTTAAGTTAGTGGATGGATCTGTGGTCTTACTAAATAATCATGGTCAGAATGAAAGGTTCAACTGAAGCTCTAGATCACAAAAAATGCAAAAAAACTAATATAATCAACATTAGAGTAAACTAGGCAATATTACTAATACTGTTTGACCTACTCATTCAACGTGAGAGAAGGATGATTGCTCTGATTGCTCACATGCAACAGAAAGTGACTCTCCCTGTCAAGGACGGTAAAAGACATTCTTTCTGACACACAGAGAGAAAATGTTGATCCCACAGAGAAACAGATCCTACAAAGAAAAAGATTCATCAAAGAAAAGCAGATGAGACTATTTGAACTAAGAAAGAGAGCTGCAGTGTTGCTCAGTATCCAGATTCTAGAACTAAATTTTTTCTGGAGTTAATATAAGTATTCAAAACAAGAAATAAAGATCTCATTGGAGACCAGGAGGTGTAGAATACACAGTAGAGCCTCCAGGCAGTAGTGAATTTCCCCTCAACACACTGGCTACTAGTTACTTCACCTCTTTAGCGAGGATACAAAAAGCAAATGTACAAAAGTAACCCCCAAAAGTCCACCTTTGTTATTGTTTGGCCCACCAATTTGAATCGTGGACCATAGTCAAACTCCTAGGCTACCAGTTGATCCTGGGTACTTCATCTTAGCAAGGCCTAGTTTTTCTTTACATTGTTGTATACGCAAAAATTCTCAGATGGTGACTGAGAACTTTTTGGAATTTTAACACAAAATATCTCCAAAAAGAGAGCTAATAATAGGAAAGTGTCAAGACAGTGAAGGAGTCTAGGAAAATGGTGTGTGAATTTAAATCTCCCTCATGAACATCCAAATTCTACTCATTACAGCTCATTGGTTAATGTATTGCTTGTATAAAACTGTTTGTAAAGTTAAATGTATTAGGTACAGTAGGGACACTTGGACCAAGTGAAACCATCCTTATTTTACAGTTAAAATACTACTGACCAAAGTAGACAATTCTGAAAAAGCAAATCCTAAATGGCTGTCTTAATGAGATACATATCCACGTGGATTTATGACAGGTTACATAAGAACAGACAGGATGGTCTCCAACGTGCCACTCGTGGCACTAGGAGTAGTGAATTAACTATTTGCACTACCCTATTATTAAGGACAAAACCACATATGCTTATGTGTGGACAAACTGTGGGCTTATGGGAAGAAGAAGAGATGGAGGCCAGAAGATTTGTATTATTAATAAATGCCACTATGGATTACTATAGACTATTACTTACTTCCCATTTATCTCTGATTAATACTCTCAGAGTCTCTCAGCTAAGACAGACCTAGCAAAATAATGAAGGTAATAAAGTTTGTATCCAGTGCGCTTTCCTCCCCTATGTCTGTCCACCTCTTCATTCTAGCATCTTCTTCTCACTCTTGTTCCTTGGAAGACTTCCAGCACACTCCCATTGCCCCAAAATGGAGACAAGCCAACCTGAGCCTTCTTGTTATTTGCCTTCCTAGAAAGCTCACCTTGTTGCAGAGCACTGGTTGTTAAATGAGAAGGCATTTTGAGTTAGGTACAGTCAAAGGAGAGAAGAATAGATGTTTCCATATAGCAATTTAGTATAGGAAACTTGCTGGACAAGCATTGAAAATTAAAAAAAAAAAAAAAAAGGACCCTAAGGTAACAGCATTAATAAGCACAAGGGATTACGAAAACCCAGAATCTTGGAGGGGGGAGCCCAGAGCTGGGACTCACACTTCATTGCTGCTGGTATCTCTCAGGGGGTGCAGCAAGACTGATTTGGGGAGTACTCAAATAATCTAGAAACTTGCCTGCCACTCCAGGGTGAAAAGTCACTGCTGAGGTGACACTAATGGGAACAGGAAGAAGCAATACTCTCCTCCCTCTGGCAGGCTTGTGGTCCTCTTCTAGTGCCACCTAAGAGCTAGATGGTGAAAAAAACCCAGAGTCACAAAGTAGAATACAGAAAGGTGCTTTTGAAATAGAGACAATAGCTTAATAACCACACAGGTGATAAGTTGAGCAATGTTCTAATGTTTCTTCTTCTTGAGTAACATGTACATTTTAATTGCTTTACTTCTGATTAAATAGCAATATAAATATTTTCAGACTTGGGCAGGGATACTAAGGACTAGAAAAGAAATGAACATATTTTGAGGGCTAAGGAAATTACCTAAACTTCAAATATCAGGTGACTGAATTTTCCTCTAAGCAATAGCATTCAATCTTCACTGCACATTGGAATCATCTGAGAAGCCTAAAAACTACAAATACCTTTGTCCCACCTCCAGAGATTCTGACTTCATTGGTTTGAACTGCAACCTGGACATGGGAAATATTAAAATACCAAGTGTTTATAACGTACAGGCAAAGTCAAGAACTACAGAGAAGACGAATAATAGTGAGCACAGCTGCCTAGCACTAGCATTTGTGGAAAGGAAAGAGATTTGGAGGTGAAGTATAGGGGAGGAAGCCCTCTGCCTTGAAGGCACTCTCGCTGTGCACAAATACAGCTAATACCCTCCTGAAGGGTGGCTGGAAGGTGGGTATTTAGGCTATGTTAGTACAGTCCCTTAGTGAATTAAGGAGCACAGTATATGGAGGGGGAAAGACACGTGCAGCAATAAATGATTGGCGGTGAGAATGCAAAGGGTAGAAACATAATTCTAAGAGAGAAACTAAAATTGAACCAAGGGAAATGGAAAGTTAATCAATACAGCATAAAACTCGGTGCCCAGGGTGACTTATACCTCTCTTACAGCTCTGTAAATGTGATACCATTTAGTCCACAAGTGTTTGTTTTTCACAGATTTGCTCTTTATCAAGCCTGTTCATCTGTGTGCCTTCTAAAACTGATGTAATATAGCTGAGAGAAAATCTTCTTTGCTGAATAACAAATAAAATATTTGTTAAGTGAATAAACTTACTGAATATCTGCCATCTCTAGATATTGGAGTAGGCCCTAGAAAAAAGCAAAGATGAATAATACATGATTCCCAGTGGAAAGACAGAAAAGACCTCATTTGTTACATGTGGTATATTGAGTAGTATGAAAGATATAAAAAGTCACAGTACACTGCGGAAACTCCCCCTGCGGGAAAGGCACTGTTTTAGCCTCTAGGAGTAACATACAGGTCCCACCTTCAAGGAGCTCACAGTCCAAAATCTTGGGTCATGCAAAAACCTAATGCCAACTGGTACAAGCCACTAATCATGGGCATCTCATCATCCAATCAGCACACAGCTGTCACCCCTAGTAGAGGATCTTTCTAGCCCCACTGTTCTACTTTTTCCTGGATGTCCTCACTGGGATTCTGGATAGTTCTAATATTAACAGAACCCCTTTGATCTGAGCTCTCTGTTCTAGACTGGAATCACTTCTGAGGACTTCTTTCTGGCCTAGATAAGCTTGTCTAGAACAATAACTTTCAAACTGTTATCAGCTGCGACCCGTATTAAGAAATACGTTTTCATCAGAACTCAGTCTACATACATCTGTGTTTGTGTCTGTGTGCAGATGTACAAAAAGCTGATTCAAGTTTCATGCAACAATGCCTTCATCATGACATGAAATGCACTCTGAATTGTTTGTGTACTCTATCCTATTTTAAAATATTTTTGAATGTGCTAGTTACAACTCACTATATTGATTTCATGACCCACTATTGGGTTGCAACCCACATTTTGTAAAGAACTGGGGAAGTCCCTTAAAGTGCGATCCATGGACCAACAGCATTGACATTGCCTGCGAGTTTGTCAGAAGTGAAGACCCTAGACCAACTGAATCAGAATCTGCTCAGATTATTGAGGATCTTTTGAAACTGCAGATTCAGATTCAATAGGTGTGAGGTGGGCCTAAGTTCTCCATTTCTAACAAGCTTCTGGGTGACACTGATGCTGCTAATATTGAGAGCCTACTTTGGGTAGCAAGGATTTAAAGAGAAGACACAAAGCAGATGGATAAAATTGAAATCACTTTTTGAGGCTCCACTCTGTAAGTTCTGTGGGGGCAGAGATATATCTATATAGATCATCACTGTATCCCACGTGCCTAGTAGATTGGCTGACACACAATCAGTGCTCAGTAAATGTAGAATTGATTCATTGAGTAGATGGATGAAGGAATGAATAAATTCCAGTTAGGCTATAGAATCAACTCAGTCTCTCATGTATATGCTAAAGTACAAGTATCACTGTTGGTGAGAAAGGTGAGTCAGATCAGGAACTCACTCCACTGCCTCAACCACTAATGTAGAGGCAGGCAACTCAAGAATTCTTAATAAATAGAAACATATTTGCTCACAAATTAAACTAGCCTCCTATATTGGTTTTTGATTTATAAATAGAAAGACCATACAGTTTATCATCCACATAGAGACTCCAAGATTAAAAGAGGGCCCTGTTAATAAATCAGACTGCCTGGACATGCAGAGACATACAGGTACTCTAGAAGCAGTCAAAATACTACAGCTTCAGGTCAATATGGGGGAACATAACGCCCCTCAAACCACTTTGTTTATACTTTAGTGATAGCACTTAGCACATTGTATCATGGTTGTTTGCTTAATGCCTAGGTTCCCAAATGCAATGTGAGTACCTGAAGGCCAGGGAGGGAGTTCACCTCTATGTCTCCAGTGTCATCTAGGACCTGTCCACTCAGATGCAAAAAGGTCTATTGAACAGATTTGGTGGTCTAGAAACACACAACCTACCTTAGTAATAGGTTATCTTGACTGTAGCCAACATAGAAAACCAGAAGACATTGGGATAAACTGATTCAAGGAGACTTGGTTTCTTTTCCCTATAATAAAAAAAGAATACTAAAACTCTGATTTCATGAAAAAAAAAATCTCAGTAACAGTCAATGACTGAAAGAAAGACAATGAAGTAGAGGAACATAGGCAACTAACGATCTGTAGGGGATTTGTGGTAGAAATGACAGATGAGAGAATGCCAAGAAACAGGATCTAGACAGAGTTAGCTAGCAGCCAAGCAAAAATGCAGGATAATTAATAAGTTTCACATTTTCAGAATTGGTTAATTGTGCACCCAGAGATTGTTATTACTACAACCGATCATTGCAGATGGCAAGGCCAGGCTATCTGTAACTTATCCTACAGCCAAAATATCTTGGAGGTACTCCTGACTGGCATCTAGCCAAACTGTGTCAGTTGAAGGAAGCTTCATATCTCTACCATGTCAGAATGGAACCAACTGCCTTTTGAGATAAAACAGCATTCAAATAGAAAACCCTTCAAAAAAGAAAAGACAGAAATAATTTATGGATCCAAAGATCCAAACAGTTGATGTAACCACAGGAATTATTTCTCAGATCTACAGGGACTGAACCATTCCTAGTAGATGTTAGCACAGTGTTGCTGACTGAGTTGGGAGTTTATGCAGGCTCAGTGCTGAATCCAGAGACGTGAATCACTGAACAAATAGCTCAGGTTCTCTAATGGGCAGGTGGTGGCACCAGTTCACTAACCAGAAAGAGATGGGAAGGAGGGTTAAAGCTGAGCTAATAGTAGCTCCCTTAAGACAGCAAATCTTCTGCAGAATATACTCCAGTTTGGGCTTCTTATTCTGGATTTTGAGCTGAATGGTCTGTGTGTCATCTTTTATGCCTTCTCAGCTTAGTTCTTAGGAGTTTAGAAGAGACAGAAATGGAGTAGAAAGAAACTAAGACCATCATTCAGTAATAACTTACCTTACGGCAAGTGCCATATTGTATCACCTCATTTAAGATTCAGAGCCACACTAGAAATTAGGCATCATATACCCAATTTATATACAGTAAGCCAAGAGGCAGAGAAGTTACTTACAGAGAAGGCAAAGAAGATTTCATGTAAGTGGGAAGTTATTGTGCCAGGCATCTGAACTTAGGTCTCTCTGACCCCAAAACTCCATTTGAAATTTCCCCATAGAGTCAGTGGCTCTACTGGGAAAGCCCTACTCACTCCATTCCGCCTTGGAATGATGTGCCCTTCAAACCCAGATGGTACATGTCCTGTGTGAACTGCAGAAATAATACGTGAGTACCCTGGAAACCTGCAGTTTATTATTTCTGTCTTACACTTAAAACACATGGTGGCCACAGTAGTTGGAAACAAATAAGAGGTGATCTGGTGCTGGGAAAGTGAGTAACCATGTAATTAGCAAAGCTAATGTTGTGCAGTTTCCATAAATAACATGCTGTTTACTTTTGTTATTAAGAGACTTTTAATATTAAAAAGTGTGGGGGGTGTCTAAGGTAGACAAGAAAGATGATATCAGGCACCTGGCAAAGGAGGGAAAAAACTTACTCTGAGAAACTATCTCTTCATTGTTTAATGTTCTTTACATCCTTAAAAATAATCCCCTCAGTTTTCCTTGCAGCTTGAGAACTTGATTATTTGTTGCATTGGTTATGAGAGTGGTAGAGTGAGACTTCCACCTGAAAATTTGCCTACAGAGAAGACAGCTTGTTATTATTATCCAAGACAGGGAGTCTCCTCATCAAGATTCCACCCCATGGGGTCTGAGCCATGGCAGAAGAGGATTAAAGTGTTAGATCATGCAGCACAAGCAGTCCCTCCCAGGGTTCTTGGAAATGGCTGCAAACCATCTCTAATCTAGACATTTAAGTCTCCTCCCATATCCTTCATTCCTAACTGCCTGGGTCAAACTCATTTTCTCCTTACCTAATTTTTCTGAAAATGCATTATTCAATATTTCTGTTTTGGAAGTATTCTCATCTTTTTCCATTTTGTGGCTTTGCTATCTAATTTCAAACATAAATCCACTAAGTAGAGTTGACATCTAGTTCCAGGGTCTGTCCAGGGGACTATAGGCATGCAATAAATGTTAAATCATGATGACAATAGATACAAATAGCAATGTGATCACAGTGAAACACTTCATTTTCCTAGTTGCATGAACTCTACAAAGCTTTGACCCCAAAACAGCTTTGTATGCACGTGTGTGTGCACGCACATGCACACACACACACGCACATGTTTCTATGGTTTCTGTTACCATAGGAAGCATTTCCATTCTGCTCCATTGTACGTTTATACAACACCTCATTGCTATTGCTATGGTATCCAGAAACATTGCTTAAATTAAATGAATAGAAAACATCAGGGAAGAAGAAAGGGATTAAAATACAGACAGTTGAAAGAGAACAGAATAACAGAGGGTAAGAATGGGTGATGATTTTTAGAAGCAATTATTTTCTAATGTAATTTTATTCTGGTACATTTCTTTTTGAATACATATTTCACTGAGCATTCTGATTCTCTTCATCCATGTAAAAGCAACTTGGAGGTATGGAAAAGAGACCATATTTCTCAGTCTTAAGATATTCCTGGGAAGGATATGGAGCCCAGGCCAAATCATCCTATGTGTTTCTCAGCACTGCCCAAGTGATGTATAGTTGAAGAATAACCTTGAAAGCAAGAAATTTTCATTAAATGCCCCCCAAAAAAGCCAATAATAATGCCTCCATAGCAGATAAGGTGGGTACAACTGCTATTGCTGATTGCACAGTTGCTGATTAAGAGTCTCAGGTCTTTAGCAGCATCAGCTGATCATGCCATCAAGCTCAGTCCACACACTGTGCCCTGCTTCTCCGCCAGCTGAAATCTTCTGATTCTCTTCCTCAGTCTCTCAGACCCAGCCAGATTTGAGGCTAAAAGTTTAACTAGCTTTCTAGCCCCATCCTTGGTGCCTTCTTCAAGTCATGCTTGGTGCCAACCCAGACCTGGTCTTGTACAATAATTCTGCCATTTTCTGGTTTGTTCCCTGGAGTTAGAGTACCAAGTTCCTGTGTCTGCTTAATGTCCCAAGACATTAAGCAATACTTACATGAGGTTCTCAACATATTTGACCTAATAATACTAATAGATGACATTTGTTCAATGCCACCTATGTGGCACATAAAATATAAATGTATGTGCCAGGCACCACTTTCCATGACTGATCCTGATACTTACAGATCAGGAAGTTAGCTTTTTCAGAATACCCAAAGCTTCTTAAGCAATGGACTTGATTTGAACCCAATTCTGAGGAAATTAGAATCTAAATCAAATTTTAACTTTAGTACATTGAAAAATTGTAGCCTTACATTAGAGCAATCTGTTAACATCACCAATAGCTGGACAAATTAGCATGAGGTGCATCCTGGTATGATGCACTGAGAACATAGCATCACTTCAGTGTCATTCCTGCCCAAAGGGTGTAACTTCGGTGCAATCATGAGGAAGCATCAGGCAAACTCAAATTGAGAGACAGTCTGAAAGACAGTTGACCTATATACCCTTTCTAAAAATGTCAAAATGAAAAATCACAAAGAGAAACTGTTCCAGACTAAAAGAGACTAAAGAGACAACTAACTGCAACATGTAATTTGATTGGTCCCTGAACATCCCCTCCCAAAACCTTTTCATTGGGACAACTGGTGAAATACAAGTTTGTACTTTAGATGTTAGCATTGAATCAGTATTAGTTTTCTGATTGCAATAATTATAATGTGGGTATATGAGAATTTACTTTTTCTTAGAAAACACACACCAAAGTATTTGAGCATGCAACTTATTCTCAAATGATTCATAAAATAATAAGTGTCTATATAGAGAGAAAATTATAAAAATAAATGTGGTAAAACATTAACAATTAGGATATTATAGTTGGAGGGATATGGAAGTTCCCTGTACTCGTAACTTTTTGGAGAGTCTAAAATTATTTCAAAATAAAAAATTACCAAACGATTAATTCCATATAGTAGAAGAGTGTCCTTTTCAGGTATCAGAAGGGTCAAATGACCCATCCACATCACTAGCCATTAGCAAGGCACCTGAGAAGCCAATTAAATTCAAGAGCCAGTTGTACAACTAATAGTCCCTCAGATCAATTGCTGGTAGAATGTCATGCTGTCCATCTTTCTACATTTAACCTTATTTCTTCCCATTTTCCTCCTCTCTTCTCTCTTTGTTATGCTCATGTTTTCTAGAGCACCACATTCAATGAACTATAAATTAATGTTCTAGAGAAGGAGTGCAGCTCAGTGAAGAGTGGATTGTTGGGGTGCAATTTCCAGCTCTTCTGTTTAGTAGCACTGTATCCCAGGGTAACTGATCTCTAAAATGAGTGTGATAATACTACTTACCTCATGAGGTTGTTATGATGATTACATAAAGTATAAATGTAAGGTGCCTGGCACATACATTTATATTTTATGTGCCACATAGGTGGCATTGAACAAATGCCATCTATTAGTATTATTAGGTCAAATATGTTAAGAACTTCATAAATAAGTTGGCACTATCCTTAATGAGTTCACATCACAAAGGCACAAGGGGCTAGAATTCAAAAGGGAATGTGAAGTGGAGCAACTATATAGCCATGACTGAAGTAAGAAATGCCCCAAATTCAAAATAACAAAAGACATGAGCATAAATAAGCAACTTAATTCCATTTTAGGGCTGTGACAAATCTAAACAAAGTGGAAATTACAGGCAAGAGCAGCAACAGCTTAAGGAAAAATGAAACCTAAAAACAGTTCTTTGCCTCCCAGGGGAAGACTTTAAAAAGATAGGGAAGAATATTTGAATATGAGACAAAAACATGTGTTACTTTCTCATTTCCTGCTCACGAGATGCTCTGTCTGCCATTATTTAAGCTGTGTCGAGGACATATAATCAGAGACTAAGCAGATATAAATGCTCAACAGGATGATTCTTTATGATTCCTTGGCACCCTATGCCAAACATTAATAAGGTTTGTGAGAAGCCAGTGAGCACTATAAATTGCTCTCCTTCTAATATGAATCACGCGACAGACTTCATTTGTTTCCTGCATGCTGACCTGACAATGAGAAATAAATCTGATAAAGTTCTCTAACTTGGAAAGGATTTGTTTTCTGTCCAGGGAATCTATCTCAATAAGGAAAAGGTTATTGGGCTTCGAGCCACGGGCAATAATATGTATACCTGAACCGCTCCTTTGGTATTCTGAGCATTGTCACACAGGATTCCTTGCTTATTCAGCCTTTTTAAATGGTCCCAAAGGAATGTTTTTGTGCAAGCCGCTCAGCCCACAAACTCGCCTGCTGTGCATGATTTAGGACTGAAATGTCTTTAAGTGAGCCATATTTTACTCGCAAGGGCTGGGTGGCCATCACTTTAGATCCTCTGTCACCCCAAACTCCATCGCTTATTTACATTTTTCATATTTAAGGGGTAAATAGTTCCAAGACACATACTCCAGTTCATACCTTGTCAGGGTATCCTGCAAGCAGGTCAAAGAAAAGGGAATTGGCTTCAGCTTGATTTTCGAGTATTTCAGACTGTTTTGCATTCTGACGCTAATGATACTCTTCTTAAAACAGTAGTGTGCTGTATTATAATTGCACATAGGCAAAGTCATAACCAACAACTGTCAGGAAGGAAATTTTCCATCTTGTGAAAAAACATAAATACCAGATGCTTCAGCACTATATTCTCATTTTTTTTCTAAAGGACTGAAATTAAATAAAACTACACTTAGAAGTAATTAGAAATCCAAGCAACGCTCTCTATCCAAAATGGTGAGGTTCTGTTAATAATATTAGTGATACTCTTTTCTTTTAACACAAGGATCTCAAAATATATCCTGAAAAGCTAAAGAAAAAGTTGTTAACTAAATAAATTGTATATAGGACAATAATCATAGTGTCCCCACAGAGTCTGATTTTTTTTTTTTTTTTTTTTGAGAGAGAGAGGTCACTCTCTGTTACGCATGCTGGAGTGCAGTGGCCAGAATCTGAATTTTAATGCAAAAGTAAAAACTGTGGCAATTACTGATGTATACACCAATACTCCTAATAATAATTAAATTCAAGTCATAGGT
Source organism: Homo sapiens (assembly GCF_000001405.40). NCBI lineage: Eukaryota > Metazoa > Chordata > Mammalia > Primates > Hominidae > Homo > Homo sapiens. Next base: position 126,106,797 of record NC_000006.12, on the reverse strand, counting down.
AACATGTATTGAATACTTAATATATGCCAGCCCTGGGCTAAGCTCTTTATATGGATAGCTGCTTTGAGTCCTCACTTCTACCCTAAGAAATAAGTATAATTATTATCCCCCATTCTACAGAGAAGTAAAGTAGAGCTTAGCAGGAGGAAAATATTCCACCAAAGGTCACAGAGCTTATGTTATAGAGGCCGCATTCAAACCCAAGTCTCTCTCCAGAGCTGAAGCTCAGCCACTTTGCCATACAACATCTATCTTCGAATTCTAGCCTATTTCTGCAGCAGCAAAACCCTTTCCAACAGCGCGAGAAGTAGTGAGGCCAAAAAGCTAGCAATTTCTTAAAAGATCCATCTGGAGGCTGGGTGTGGTGACTCACTCCTGTAATCCTAGCACTTTGGGAGGCCGAGGCAGGCAGATCACTTGAGGCCAGGAGTTCGAAACCAGCCTGGCCAATATGGTGAAACCCTGTCTCTACTAAAAATACAAAATATTAGCCAGGCATGGTGGCAGGCGCCTGTAATCCCAGCTACTTGGGAGGCTGAGGCAGGAGAATCACTTGAACCCAGGAGGCAGAGGTTGCAGTGAGCTGAGATCATACCACTGCACTCCAGCCTGGGTGACAGAATGAGACTCAATCAAAAAAAAAAAAAATCCAACTGGAATCCTAGTCAAAAAAACATTAAGATATAAAAAATAAGGATGTCACATGGACCAGGAGTGGAAACGGAAACACCAAGATCCCAATTATGGCCAGTAGCCCATCTGTTGGATATCAAACAATTATGTATTGAGCACCTTCCGTGGGTCTGGCACTATTCCAGGCATTTGGATTTGTGGGAGTAACCCGACTTTGGATTTTTCCATATTAATTCAACACTTTTATCAGAAACCCAGGTATCAGTTTCTCTGTACTGGGAGCCAGGGCCTCAAAGTTAAATACACAGCCCCTGGTTTCAAGGACCTTATAATCCAGTGCAAACCTCACAGACAAGAATCAGGAGTACTTTGCTCTTTTACATGGTTGTGCTTTCCCCTTACTCTCATACCTTCTTTCCCCTAAAAAATGAAAGCTAACTCTCCATATTGAAAATCAAACTTTTAAGATACATCATGTTGGTTTTCATAATTACCCTTTAAAAAGAAGCAACAAGGCAAAAACCATCTCAATCCATAGAATCAAAATGCATGAGAGCTAAAAAAAAAAAACAATCTTAAAGATCATGCATGCTCTGAGGAAACCGAGGCCTCCGTCTCCGAACAACTGGGGGAGCTGTGCCTCTACCCCGCATCATCTGGCTTCCAGGTACTTGGTTCTTCCCCAGTGCACCATGTTGAGCTACCTCCTGCGTGATCAACCCACGTCCCTTCTGACTGCCAGAAAAATGAAAAGTTTTATTGTTCATAATTTTGGATAAATTGCAATATTGTAGGTTCATATAAATTCACTCACAAATTACACTCAATAAACCCCAGTGAGCAATTTAAAGGCATGATACCACCCCGTCTCTTGCTGGGAGGGCAAGGTGATGATGGAGCAGGAGGGAGGAGAATGAAGAAAGCTCATAAATTAAGAGAAGCAAAGGAGTGATTTCATCAAAGTGCCAAGCTCAGTCCATGGAATGTTTCAATTGTATAAAATTTATAATGTTCTGAGGGGGATGATTTACGGGTCCTAATTTTTCACAATAAAAAGCTCAGTGGGGATTCTGTGAATGAAATATCTTTTTTAAAATAAATTAAAAATGTAGTTTGAAATGAGGGTCAGTGGTGCCACGTCTGGAGAATAACTCCTTATCGGATCAGCTCCAAAAATGAGTCACAGGAGAAAGGCCCCATAAAACATGTATTATTTAAAAAGGCATAGGAAGGTGTATGACAAATAAGCAATATGCAGAAAAGCATATCTGATCCAATTTGTCCCATCAATAGGATAATATCTTTATCATTAGGTTTCAATGAAAAAAGAAGAACTCGATAGAAATCTAAGGGTTTTCATGAAGATTAAGGTCTTTAAACAATGGGAGAAGAAGAGAAAGGAAGGCATAAAAATGAAATCTTATAAATAAGTAAATGTGTCTCATATTTAGGAAAAAACAAAATGTAAATATGTACTGCTTCCTGCAAATTTGACCTATATGGAATTAGAACCTAAATGTCATGCAATAATTCTTAGACCCTTCCTTCAGTGAGGTCTTCTACAAGGAGAACATTAAGAGCTTCCCCTCTGTCCACAGGTGCAGCCAAATGATAGTCCTATAAATGGGGACAGGCCCACTGAGCCACAATCCTACATTAACTGGGCCCACCTGTATGTTGGTCCATCCATTCTTCACAGCTGTGGCTCAACCTCAGCTTCCTGATAGTGACTGAATCCTTCAAGAGGCTATATTCCTGTTCCTCCAGGTTGGGTTCTTGACCAACTACCTGGACTTTCCAGTTTCTCTCTCTGAAAGGCTTACTGAACCCCAGTCCTAGTACACCCAGTTTCTTGCCACCCACTCCTGACTAGTTGGCCTTGTATCTCAGCTCCGGCAAGAGTAAAGCTTGAGTTGACTACATCACTTTGAACGGCGACTATTCATAGCAAGTTATCTCCCTCAATACACACCTCCTAGTTGATGCTTTATCTCCTGGGCTCCATCTCCACAAGCCAAACCTGCTGTTTAGCCAAGATTATTCAAATTTTGATGGTGATTATTTAGTAGTTGAAACAAGGAGATCAGAATCAGTTTTCTAAATTTGTAAGTGCTATTTTTAATTTCCTAAGTGAAATATAATTGTCTCAAATCTTTGTACATTTCTTGCTTCTTTCATTTCTGTGGTGGATAGGCTCCAAGGTGGTCCCCCCATGACCCCAGATTCTTGTTGTTCATGCCCTTGTATAACCCCATCTCCTTCAGATTAGGTAAGACTTGTGACTTGCTTCCAATCAACAGAATATAGCAAAGGAGATAGGAAGTCACTCTCATTATGACATTATGTTATGTAAGACTCCATCTTACCAGCAAATTTGCTCCAAAGACTCTCTCTCAGTAGCTGTCTTGAAGAAGAAAATTGCCATTTTGTAAAAAGGCATATGAGAGACAACCTTGTAGCATGGACCTGGGGTGGAAGGGGCAGCCAATAATTGCTGAGAAAGGCTTAATCTGATAGCTAGCAAGAAGCTGGAGCCCTCAGTCTTACAACCACAAGGAAATGACTTTTGCCAACAACCTAAGTGAGTTTGGAAGCAGAACCATCTCCACTTGAGCCTCCAGATGAGAACTGAGCCTCAACTAACACGTTGATTGCAACTTTGAAGAGGACCAGTTAAGACATGCCCAACACCTGACCTACAGAATTGTAATTACAGAAATATATGTGTGTTGTTTTAAGCCACTATGTCTGTGGAAATTTGTTAAGCAGCAATATATAACCTATACAACTTTAACTCAAATAAATACAAAGACAACTCAATTGTGCATTGTGGTGAATAGTATAAAAGACTCACTTTTAATCCTTTAGACACAGCCAGAAACAAGAAGGAGTTTACAATCTGGATGGAAAGATTAAACAAAATTAAACAATATCATATGACAAATGAGAATTAGCGTAGGACCATTTATGATCAATTGCCAAATACATGAGGCAGGCATAAATTCTCCAAGTATGCTGTGGGAAGAGAAGTCACTGGGTCCCAGGAAGAGTTTACGATGGAAGTCGAGGAGGTTCCACAGTTCTTGCAGGATAAATAGAGCCTGCTTTGGCAGAGATGAGGAGTAACACATTTGAGACAGGAAATAGAAAACAACACACTCTGATCTCTGTAGAAATGAAAATGCCATTCTCTATGGGATGAACAATTATATAAGACAACAATTATATGACTTTGGCAAATTATTTTCTCTCTCTAAACCTCAGTTCCCTCTGCTGTAATACAGGAAAAGTAATGGTATCATCCTCAGTAAGTTGTTTTGAAAGTCCAATAACAGAATTAAAGTGCTTAGCACAGTAAGAACCTGATACATGTTTGCTATTATTATTGCCAGTAGAACTTTTTTATACTTACTAGAAGAGAGTGCAGTTCAGTAAAAGAACTGCCATTATACCAGACCCTTTAAGTCAGCTCAGAGTCAAGGTAAGAGTCTCAGCCTCTTCTCTGGGCCATTCCAAGGACACATTGCCCTCAGTTCCTGCTTCCTGCCTTCCTGCCTAGCATTGTTAGGCACTTTTACGACAATAAAGATTCTCATACTAAATCACTGGGCAACTTGAGAACAAAGGGCTTGTTTATTTCATCTTCTTAACTCTCACCAGGTCCAAAACAAAGCTTGGCATCTAGTAAATCCTCCTGAAGTGGTTTGCTTTTGTGTTTTTTCAACGACGAGGCCAGCATCGCAGGAGGCTGGGGACTGCGGTGGGTGGCAAAGATAAAGATATTGCTCAAAATTCATCCTATGTCCTTTGAAGTGTTTTGCTTAAGGTCTTGGAATTTAATCCCACCCTGTCCAGCTTCAGGCGAATTTTTCTGGCCCAGTTAATATAGTTAGTTCAAACTTTATTTAATATAGGGTTGGCTACCATGGACACATTCTTTTCTTCTTTTCTTTCAGAGTTCATCTCAAGAGATGTTCCTTGTTTGCAAGTCTCTCCACAATAACTGATTGCCATGATCAGCAGCAACCTGAGGAGGTCCCATTCATTTGTATGTTTGCAAGCTGCACTGCCTCCATGGAGAGAGCACCCATCCCCTCTCTTGCACCAAAAATTCAAATTTAGAACGCACTACATCTATCGGCATTTATAAACATGAGGCATATGTGAGTCTTCTGGTTAGCTGATGGTATTTACAGTCTTCCTGTTGTTCAGCACTGACACTGGAACATAAGTCCCAGGAGTTTACTGGAATATTCACATATGGTCAAATATTAAGGCATCTTGGTATATTTGAGATGCAGTGTGTTTTCACACAGACAATTGGCATCTGGCTTGAATGTTGAAAGGTATGGAGGGAAACGGAGATGCCAATAGGAAATCAAAAGAACAGAAGAGCATGAAGAATGGCCTTTCTCTCAACCAAAAGAGAACTGGAAATGCGGCAGCTTCCTCAGATGATCAGCTGTCCACGTCTGAAAATTCAGTGTGCCTCCAGGGTATTTTCACTTAAAATTAATCCAGAATGTTGTTTCCTTCAAATAAGTGAAAAAGACCTGAACAACTGAGTTGATTTATTTTAAGAACTGAAGCCTATAAGAGCATGTGGAGGAAAGGCTTGAATTCCATCTCTACAACTTACCAGCTGTGTGTCCTTGGGCAAACTGCATAACCTCTCTGCACATTGGTTTCATCATCTATAAAAATGGGAACAGATACACCTGATGCTTTACTGCATTGGGTAGTTGTGATTCTGATTAATATGAAGTAACATATATAGTCTTATAAAATATAGAATAGTATTACTATTAGCTTCATTGAATCATTTTGCAAGTGGAATATATATAATTAATTTCAAAGTTATTATTAATTGTAGTAAACAATTTCTTGTCTGCCTAAGAGCACGTCTTTTCTGGGAACTGCCCCCTCGACTATCTCCCTCCCAGTCCAGACTTCATCAGCTTTGTAGGAGTCTCCATGTTGAATAACAAGGGTTCTCTACCCCTGGGCCACAGACCAGTACCTGTCCTTGGCCTGTTAGGAACCAGTCCGCACAGCAGGAAGTGAGCAGTGTGCTTCATCTGTATTTATAACTGCTCCCCACTGCTCACATTACCCCTGAGTAATGTGAGTAACCTCTACCTCCTGTCAGATCAGCAGTGGCATTAGGTTCTCATGGAAGCGTGAACCCCACTGTGAACCGTGCATAGAAGGCATCTAGGTTGCATGCTCCTTATGAGAATCAAATGCCTGATGATCTGTCACTGTCTCACATCACCCCCACAGGAGACCTGTCTAGTTGCAGAAAAACAAGCTGAGATCTCCCACTGATTCTACATTATGGTGGGTTGTATAATTATTTCATTATATATTACAATGTAATAATAATAAAAATAAAGTGTGCAATAAATGTAAAGCACTTGAATCATCCCAAAACCATTCCCCCGACTCTTGTCTGTGGAAAAATTACCTTCCACAAAACTGGCCCCTGGTGCCGAAAAGGTTGGGGCCTGCTGTTGTATAGCACAAGTTCAGCCTGGCCACAGCTTATTGGGATGATATTCTTAAGGCTTAGCCATATTCCTGTCCTCAGGGTATGTGACAGCACATTCCTTGTAGCAAATCCATACAGCACATTCCTTGTAGCAAATTTTCTTGCTCAAGCTTGTTCAGGTCGGGTTTCTGTCACATGCAACAAGAAAGACTCCTAACACAATAACGAGCTAAGAATAAAAAATGGGGAAAATAATTTTTTAATGGAAAATAATGGAATAAGAAATGAGAAATAAGAAATGAGACTGCCTAAGCTATTTGGTTCCAGCTATTGAAATCTCAGCATTGTGACTAGACACGACACAGCAAATCATAATCTCATAGTGCCTTAATCCTAATCTATAAAATGGAAATTCTCACCACCCTCAGGATGCAAAAATGATCCTCTTATATCATCAAATATAACTGAAACCAACTCAAGAATCTCATACTGGCTTGGTCCTCCACGTCTCCTTCCTCTGCATCATCTCCTGAGAACCCTAGGAGACTTAAATAAATTAAAGAGAAGAGTCACCTAACTTTCAACTCAAAGCATGCAAAGAGTGTCACCGGTGGGCATGGTCTCTGGAAAGAGGGAAAAACTGCCAGCAGCACTACTCCCTTGGCAGCATACTCCACCCAGGCTGCTGAGACCTGCCAGGCTCATGCTCAGCCAGGCCCCTCTGAAGTCCCAACTACCTACCAGGCTCCACACCCAGTCTGGTGCAGGTGCCCAGCTCTTCCAGACCCACAACCACTTCTTCTCTCATTCCAGTTTCAAAAATCAACTCAGGAGTCTGACTGCTTTCCTTTTCAATCTCTGGGATTTAAAAAATAAAAATAACAATTGTTTATTCTACTTCTTTTTTGTTTGTTTGTTTTGTTTTTTGAGACAGAGTCTTGCTCTGTCACTCAGGATGGAGTGCAGTGGCACGATCTCAGCTCACCGCAACTTCCGCCTCCCCTGTACAAGTGATTCTCTTGCCTCAGCCTCCCGAGTAGCTGGGATTACAGGTGGCTGCCAGCATGCCTGGCTAATTTTTGAATTTTTAGTAGAGATGGGATTTCACCGCATTGGCCAGGCTGGGCTTGCACTCCTGACCTCGGAAGGTAGAGGGATCCAACTTGCCATCCATGAAGTAGATCAGAGTCATCTGGAAAATCTCAGCACTAAGTCACAACTGTCAGTACACGGAAAGTCAATTACCTAAAGCCCATTAGTTATCACAGCAGGTCACAGGTAGGTGGCCAAATTTTGATTGATGCACTAAATTTATTTTCATTTTAATACAGGATATGTAGAGCAAAACCATTACCCAGAGTCTTGCTGAGCAAGTAGAGAATGTGTAAGTGAAAGCAAAGATGTGCGGTATTAACACCACACCAAAGTGCACAGATTTACTGAAATCTGGGGAAAATTTTCTCCCCTGAATTCAAAATACAGCACGTTTGAAGAAGTATACAATTCTATATAAATGCAATATATTCCTGAAGGACAACCAAATGATAAGAAGCTAACAATGAATAATTTAAGAATGCCACCAAGCTTCTAGCAATGAGAAGTAACTTCCAAAAGTGGGAGGCTGAGAAGCAACTCCTAGGTAGATTTAATCCTATGTGACAGCTACCTAATTATGTACCTACCAACTGTGAATGACACGTAGCCAGTTCTCAATACATATTTGTGGAGTTAATGGATCTTGTTGAATGCCTACATTTTCTGAATTAATTAGTAGCTTAAACCCATAATTTCTTACCTACTTTAAAAAAAATCCCCTTTGTGGAAATTTCCTAAACTACTGAAACATGAAAGAACAAAATGGTGTACCCATCTGTTTATCTAGGCCCATGTGACAAATAGGAAAACTGATCCTTGAGTGATCACTAGAGTAAGGGAATGTCACAGAGATGTTAATATTCCTTAGTCAGCTTCTACTAACTACACTCTTCTCCAACTTTTCATAGCCCCTCATCCCCCGCCAATCTCATTTCACAGATTTCTAACAAGAGAATAAAGAAAGGAGGTAATTGCAACAATGTTGGAGGTGAAAGACAGAGAATTGCTGCTGGGGAGAGGATGCAAACAGGTTGTACAGTCACTGTGGTCTATAGGGAGTGATTTGAGGTACTTTTTAAAAGCTCAGACCTTTATGGAACCAGAAATAACCACCATTCCTTCTTTTCCATTATAAAAATGCATCTGAAGTATGCTTTTATAAAAGGCAAATATGTCTAAAAGGAACATACAGGATTCACATAGAATTATTCTTCAAAATTTAAACAGCATCTGAAACAAAGAGAAGACAAATTCTAAGGAGAGTGGAAGAGTTAGGAGTGGGCAGGACTGGGAGGAGGTGTCAAGACCTGTGGGAGAGCTGTGCAGCGCCTGCCCCCAAGGAAATGAACGCAGCAGCAAACACATCAGGAGATCAGAGGTGGGAAGTGAGTGGACGCCAAGCACAGTAAGTACCTCAAACTTAGCTTAGCAGGTAGGGAAGGCAGGGAGGAGGAAAGCATTTTTTCTCCAGGGTGGCCTTCTGAGGCTAGAGGTGTGACCCATCCAGAAAAACAGTGGGGAAACTCCAGGCTAGACCACATGCTCTTCCAGTTAGTGTTCTGGAAGAAATTTGGAATAATTCTTCAGGTCATTAAAATCCAGGGAAATTTTCAGGGAAATTATCCTACCCAGCACTTTGTAAAACCACTTACCATAAGAATAAACAAAAAGAGTATGGAGATGTTTCTTTAAAAGAATAAGAGGTATTTTTAAGTACTTTTCCCCACTTCCTCTTCCTACTCCCCACAACCCCAGCCCCTGCCCCAAGAACACACACATATTGAAATATAAAGATAGAAAGAGTTCAGGAATACAGGGCTTAAACAAATTTTAGTCTTCATTAGCCAACTAAATCTTTATAGGCAAAATAAGTAAAAATGAGATAAAATCTTGGTTGAAGTTCAGATTTTTTTTAATTTCAATTGATTAAACAGTTTGAGAACACGAGAATTAAAAAAAAAATTCCTGAACCATGCTTCAGACACTTTTAAAAATAAAGGAAAATTTCATGCTTGATATGCATGCAATAAAATAAAAATTGTGTCATGTTTCTCAGGCAAGCACCACTATATACTATTGCCCTAAGGAAAGAATAGCCAAAATGATGTAAAATGCTCCCTTTATTCATCAGCCTGGGACATTGAAAATGTATTCTTTGGAAGTTTGCCTTCCCTTGAGTATTATTTAAAATAATTACCATTTATTACTGTATGGTCTTCTTGATGTAAAATATAGGTCTTGTGATGTAGGCATTATTTATTGCTATGTTTTAGCAGTTAGTAGGTCTCCAACAATGCTGATAAACAGAGTGGCTGAGGCAGAAAGATTACCTTCCCAGGAAGGGAAGTCATTTTCTAATTGAAGTATTCTATTAGAACTCCTAAGTTCACAAACTTCTCTCCTAACAATACTATCAGAAAACTCCTCTATTTCATATTACCACCCTCAAATCATACATTTCGGGGGAAAATAGAAATGTTTGATATGTTAACATCAAAGTTATGCTGTTTGAAAGAAGAAAAGTCTGCAATCTAGAATAGTCTGATGAGACAAATAATGTTCCCTGTAATTACAAATGATTCCAGCCATTGACTGTGGTTATAAACCCCAAGCTTATATCTGCAGTAGTGACTCACTGCCTTAAATTCTGTTCTCCAAATTTTGGTCCTTCTCATTTCTGTTATAATGAGCTTCTTTCCTAAGGAAATTGTCCAAGAAAGTTGAATGAACTTAAATCAATTTCATATTAATAGATAATACAAAATATTAGCAAGAGACAGATTCCTGGTACAAGCCAAAAACTATTTATAGGAGAAATATGACTGTGAAATCATCCCTCAGTGAACAGTTACTGAGTTTCTACTACAGGTACAGGATCATTCTAGGGACTACGGGGGATACAAAGATTAAGAAGACTCATCCTGACTTACAGAGGCTTAAAGACAAGACTGCAATCAGTACCAGTGCCCTAATGCCCATGGTGAGCATGCTATCTAAAGCATTTGATTCTCATAAAAAAAAAAAAGCTAAAATCTAATTTATTTGAGCTTTTGAAATTAGAGGTAGCATGACCTAATGATGTAAGCAATGGGCTAGGATTAAAAGAACCTGGAGTCCAACTTCAATCTGCTGCTGAGAGTTAGAGACAAGCTGGTTACAGAAGTAGAAAACACCACAGAGGGTGACCTATGATCTACAGAATGGTCTTCCATTGTGCAGATCCAGAAAATCAAGTTTCCTGGAGATACCCATAGCTGATCAGATCCCAGAGAAGCCTGAAGCTACAAAATTTACAACAGAATGAATGATAAACTAGAGCACCACTTTACCAATCAGGTTAATTGCCAATGCACCAGGAATTCTATGGATCCACTGGCCCTAATGAAAGGCTATACATAAAACCCAAACCTCTACTCTTCCATCAAGTTACCTTCCAAGAAAAACAGAATTCTCCTACTGGTTGGACACACCAAACTCTTCTCCCTCTTATGAGAAGAAATGAAATTAGCTCTTCATTTTCTGCAGAACAAAACCCAAAAACCTTGGCCTGGCAATCAAAGTCTGCCAGTGTCGGACCATGTGACTCCAGTGTTACCTCTTTTCTTTCTCCTATCCCTGCTCCTAGGCCCCCAGAATCCAAGCTCCAATCACACAAAACCTGGCATTCTTTCTCAATAAGCTATGCTTTCTCATGCCTCTATGCCTTAGAAATGTTTGATCCCACTTAAAAAGCTCTCTCCTTCTCTCTTATACTGTGAGAGTCAGATTGTCAGCCCCCAGGTAAAAAATGTTCTGATTACTTTGTCTCCCACTTAGACCTGGGCCCAGCATAGTTAGTTGCTTCCATTACATTCTGTTCATACCTTTATTATAATAGGTATCTCATTTTTATATGTTTGGTTTCTCTCCCCTCCTCCAACCCAAGTAGACCACAAACCCCACAAGGACGAGGACCACATTTCTCATATTTGAATGTATGAAGCCTAGCATTTGGCAGACTCAAGAAATGTTTGCTGACTGAATAACGTGATCTACATTGAAAGCCAAATTGGTATCAGAAGGTTATACTGCAAAGAAAGAAACAAAGCAAGGGTGTTAAATATTCCCTGTGAGCAGGTTATCCAGCAATTCTAGCCTATGCAATCAACTCCATCCTAGGGCAGGATCTCCCACAAGGACTATGGTGGCTCCCTCTCCCTTAGACTACATTTAAAACCCTGACAGATTCCTACAAATAATTCAACTGTTCATCAATCATCAGTAGGCAATATAGCTGAGGAGATTATTTTTCAGATCTGTACTCCTCAGGTTACCTGTCTCCTTGGGGAAGATTGGTTGCTTAAATTATCACTTAGAAAGACCATTCTTATCCATTGTGTGTTGATTATTACTAGTATCCATTTCCAAACATTCCTGGTATCCAGCCATCTCAAGTATGTTGTCCTTAAATTCTAGAGATGCATGCTATTACAAGGTCAGCGCCAGACCTAATGAAAAATGTGACCTTGAAGAAATAATCTCTGAGTTTCATAGTTCGTCTTAATGTAGAATGAAAACAATGAACATTTTAGAAGCATCATACTTGAAAGTTGAAAGTGAGGCTATAAGGTAGTCACTAGAATCTAGATCTGATTCTCAAGCCGGCTTCTTTCATTATTTCAAAAAGCAGATCTCCATCTGCCTTACAAAATGATTGTGAAGGTAAAATAAGGTAGTATGTGTTGGTAGAGTTAACACATATGAGAGTTCTTTGAAAAATCTCCACATAATATACTTGATTAATTAGGTAGAAAATAGACCATAGTTAATATGACCTGCAGTGTTTGTCCCAAGAATGTTCCTGAACATTCAGCTCACACATCAGTAATTAAGAGCTACAAAAAGGAACCATTGTCTTGCTTCTTTCTACATTCAAACTCAGGCCAGGCCTAGACGAAATCCTTGGCATTCTCTATGCCCGCCAACCAGGAAATAGTCTTGCCTCTGAGACTAAAGGAAATGTGGAAATGTGTGCCTATTGTGGCCTAAGGTTTGGGCAGAAAGTCTGACGAAACAAGCCAAAGGTTTTTTCTTTCTCTATGGCAAGATCAAGAATGGCAAATTCAGGTGACCAGGGCCGCAAATATTTAAAGCTCCTTAAGCCTGTGTCAACACTGACACAAAAATTTGCCAATTATATATGTATGATGGTGCCATGTGACATTGTAGCAATTTTAAATGAGAAAATTCTTTTTCTAAAAGAACACACTTTTCCATCCTATTGCTGAATATATGTTCTTTGATAGAGTTCTTAGCTCCATGCAGGATTTAAGGATACTACCATGCTCTAAGTGACACATGAGATTTTGTCACTGTGGAAAGCACACAAAATTCAATAGCTATAGTTAGGAGAATACACCCCAGTCATTTCATCAAAAAAGAGGAGTCAGAGCCAACAGCAATAAGATGGGTCTAAGTTTGGGGTGTGTGTGTGTGTGTGTGTGTGTATCACATTTTCTATTACACTGCTTGGCTTAGATAATCATGAATTAAGGACCAACTGCTCAAGAACGCATTACTCTGAAAGTCAGCTGAAAGACATGGTTCCATGAAGCATTCAGTTCCCTTGCCACTCACATTATACTGTGGAAAAGCTCTGAAGCTGAGTAAAGCATTTTGTTAAGTCTTTACTCATTCAGGAAATTTGCAATTATTCATTGCTAGTATTTAGAAATGGAATTTATTTTTATAGGCTAATCTTATTCCCTATGAAGTTGCTAAATTAACTTACTAGTTTTAGAGTGTATACATGTACTATAAGCCTCAAGCTACTTAAGTGCCTGATTAACTGCACTCTCCCACTTACTGTGTTAATTTTATAACACTCTAAGGAGTTAATCTTATTTTCTATTTCTAAGCTCTTGAGCAAGTTCCAGCACCTAATTGATCCTCCAGGACTGGGGGAAAATATATATATATATATATATATATATATATATATATATATATATATACATACATATCCTGTTACCTACACTAGAGTACCAAATAAGACAATTTGAAGATTGAAGCAGCATCACCCCAGTTTTTCTCAAACACTATTATAATCATAATAAGAAAGCAGTTACATGTCCCTTCTGCTTGTCTCCAAACTTCTCATCTCACATACTTACATTGGAATTAATTATTGTTATAGTCAATTTACCTTAAAATTTCAAATACGTAGAAACCGGAGAGTATGAAATGAGGAAAGAAATCTTGTAGTGCCACAGGAAGAGCCAATAGTGTTTACTTCTGTCTCTCAGGTGTCTGAAGTTCATATTAAGCAATGTGATAGAGTTAATATGCTAAGTTAAGCTACCAATTTGTTATTTGTTTTTATTTTACCCAGATAACTCAGATTTATGTCTAACCAAATGTGAGGATAACTTATAAACTGCCTAAATTATGTTTGGACTTGGAAGGAAATAATTTAATACTTTCTCCAAAAAGACTCCCTCTTTCCATCTCCATTATGTAAGTAATGTGAGAAATATTTCATAAATAATAAACAGTTCATGAGGCAGATTAAAATATTACATTCCTTTTCCCACAAATTCCAGCACTTAAGAACTTTGAACAAGGGATCCAGAGTAGATTGAAATAAGCTAAGAATTCTTGCCCAGTTTCTAGAACTGTGTCATTTGTCTCCATCAAGATAAGCAGAACTCACTTTCTGAGTCACAGATTAAAAGTATATCACATTTACTTATTGGTGATAATTCCATATCCAATTGATCAGCCAGCAAATAATCTTTGGAAACAGAAACACTGGATTGGTAAAAATTCCTGACATTTCTAGAAATCACCAAGCCAAATGCAGAAGTTGCAATTGCCATGGATTCCAAATATCATAACAAAAGTAAAGAAATAAAGAAACAGACCAATCACCAAGAAGAACAAAAAGCTCAGGTTGTATTCATTGTGTTCTCTAGTTCGTCTATCTAACAAAGTTAGAAAACCAGATGATACGGTTTGGCTGTGTCCCAAACTCAAACCCAAATCTCATCTTGAATTGTAGCTCCCATAATTCCCACGTGTTGTGGGAGGGCCCTGTTGGGAGATAATTGAATCATGGGGGCGGTTTCCCCCATACTGTTCTCATGGTAGTGCATATGTCTCATGAGATCTGATGGTTTTCTAAGGGGTTTTCCTTTTCACTTGGCTCTCATTCTCTCTCTTGCCTGCCACCATGTAAGATAGGCCTTTCTCCTTCCACCATGACTGTAAGACCTCCCCAGCCATGTGGAACTGTGAGTCCATTAAACATCTTTTTCTTTATAAATTACCCATTCTTGGGTAGGTCTTTATCAGCAGCATGAAAATGAACTAATACACCAGGTGTGGTAGTTGAATTAAAATTAAAACTAAATCTACACAGAGAATTCAACCACTATAAGTCATCGTAATTAAACACACCAAATGAAGTTATTACAAGACTACTTTAAATCTGAATCATCTGAATAACTACCTTAACTGGCCGTTTTATATTTCTCGAACAGCTCCTTAAATTTTAAAATCATATGATTACATGCAACTTAAATGTTTCTTAGGACTCGTAGACGTAGGTGATGAGTTATTTTTAGCACCTCAATCCTAAATCATTTAAACACATGGGATATATATTAACATTTTAGGAAGTCAGAATTTGAGAAAACTGAAAAGATCTCAAGAAATTGAATGAATTTCCATGTGGCGATTTTACGGCCAGAAAAGACTAAAGGAAAGCAATCAATGTGTCATCAAGCTGCACGGCATTCTTTAGACTGAGAGATAGCTGCTGGAGTTTTACTATTTCAATGTCAAAGAATGTAACTAGTGCTCCTTAGGCTTCTATGCAAACAATAGAGTTGCCATGAGAGACATCAGGCCTTTCCTGTTGAGCATCAGCACAAAGGACCTAGCACAAAGCCAGACAAATAGGGTGTGACCGAGTGCACCCAAGACTGTTAAAAGAGAAACTTTGGACAAATTTAACGTAACTGAGTTTAAGAGAGCAAAGAGTGATTCGCAAATGGGGCAGCCACCTCCCCCAACACAACCAGAACAGGTTTAGAGAGACTCTGGCACTGCAACTTGGTGGAAGATTTATGGACCGAAAAAGGAGTGATGTACAGAAAACAGAAGTGAAGTACAGAAACAGCTGGATTGGCTACAGCTCGACATTTGCCTTATTTGAACACCATTTAAACAGTTGTCCACCTGTGAGTGGCGAAAAGTCGGTGATTGGTACGCGTAGGTTACGGCCTGCTTATACTTCCAGTTAGGTTACACTTCACTACTTATGAAGTAACGTTTAAGCTGAACTTAAAATATGTAAGAAGGCAGCTCTAAGCTAAATTTTTTTTTTTTTTTTTGAGATGGAGTCTCGCTCTGTCACCCAGGCTGGAGTGCAGTGGCGCGATCTCGGCTCACTGCAACCTCCACCTCCCTCAGCCACACCCCCTGCCAACCACCCACGTAGCTGGGATTACAGGCGCCTGCCACCGCACCCTGCTAATTTTTGTATTTTTAGTAGAGACTGGGTTTCGCCATGTTGACCAGGTGGTCTCGAACGCCTGACCTCAAGTTATCCGCAAGCCTTTGCCTCCCAAAGTGCTGGGATTACAGGTGTGAGCTATCGCACCCGGCCTAGGCTAAATTTAATTTAACAAGATGCCCCAAGTCTCTCTTCTTGGTAAGAGAGAGGACATCTGTTTCAAAGAAAAGCTTTGAAGAAAGAGGCTGGATTCAGATACTGTTTCCCATATTAACTAACACCCATACCGCACGTGTATGGATTGAGATTCTCTCTCAAAGTGGTTATTTCAGTCATGGAAATGCCGCAAATGAATGTCAGAATGAACCAGTCTTATGTATTAGAGCAAACATGTTCTAAGGATGTCTTGGTGTATTAAATTTTAGTATTACATAGAATCTCAAATTTTCAAGAGAGAGAAATGACTCCATGAGGCCAAGATTTACATTCATACACTCCCACATACATAAAACTGCTACCAATGGCACTGTAAATCAACTAATTGCTTCCAGAGAAGGCTTTGTCTATGTTCAATATTAAATTGTTTACTTGTATGTGTGTACATATACTTCCCTTAAAAAAATTTAGGAGGGTGACAGGTTTTCAAATGTAGTAGAAATCTAATCAGATCAGGGTGAAGGCTTTTCACAACTTTCACAGCATGGTCTGTTAGGGAAATTGCAATTTGTCTAAGTCATACTTCACTCAAAAGTTCATCCAACTGTCTATTGAACGTATACTCTATGCTCAGCACTGGGGATACAAGGATCAAAAAACAGTCCTGCACCAAAGAGGCTTCACTCTTCATCAGACAGACATATGAGAAAGAGTTGCCATGAGATCTGTGAAAACTGTAAAAGAGCAAGTGATAAGGTACAAACTGAGATAGGGGTGCAAAGAAAAGTTTAGGCTCCCAGGGCAGGGGTGAAAAGAATTCAATAAGGGAAAGATGTCTGAGCGTCTTGGAGGACTGGCTGGCATTTGACACACAGACATGGCCAAGGGGAGGAAGGATACATGGCCAGGTGGAGCAGACAACATGTGCACATCACAGAGGCATGAAATGGCATGTTCAAGAACCAGGAGTTGAACTGTCATTGGATTTAAGCTGAAGGTAGTTGTATTAATGTAGTCTATAATTTCCTTATAAATAAACTGTGCATTAGCACCACATTGCTGCTCTTTCTCATCTTTTAACATTGGAAAAAAATCCCATGAATTTTCTGTGAAATTTTACAAGATCATCCAAAACACTTTCTAGTGGAAAGTTACAAACACAATTACAGTAGACATAAATTCCTAATGACTTACAGTTGAACTTAAATTAAGAAGAAAACCTCTACCATTTATTTTTTTTCCATCACCCTTGGATTTCAGGTTAAGCATTTCATTCAGTTCTTCATTCAGCAGGACGAGGTGGCAGAAGTTATTACTGGGAGCACAGTGCAGAGGACAAGAACTTTGCAACTGAACAGACCGGAGTTTGAATCCTGCCTTTGTTTCTCAGTAACCATGTGACCCGGGGTAAGTTTCTTAACTACTCCAGCCTCAGTTTCCTTGTGTGTATAACAGGTGTTATACTAGCACATGATTCAAATAAATAGTCTGATAATTAAATAACATTACATGTAGGGTGGGTGCGGCGGCTCACTCCTGTAATCCCAGCACTTTGGGAGGCCGAGACAGGCGGATCCCGAGGTCAGGAGTTCAAGACCAGCCTGGCCAACATGGTGAAAACCTGTCTCTACTGAAAATGCAAAAATTTGCTGGGCACGGTGGCAGGCGCCTGTAATCCCAGCTACTCAGGAGGCTGAGGCAGGAGAATTACTCAAACCCGGGAGATGGAAGTTGCAGTGAGCCAAGATCGCGCCACTGCACTCCAGCCTGGGTGACAGAGCAAGACTCCATCTTGGGAAAAAAAAAAAAAGATTACATGTAAAGAGCTTTGCAGAGAGTATAATATGTAGTGAGAGCTCAATAAGTAATTTTAAAATTACAAAATAAGACAAGGTGATATTGGTCTGTAAATAAATACAACCAAAACTAGCAATTTATGCAATTATCCAAATAATTGAGAACTAATTCTCATTCTTGAATTAGCTAGCTAATTTGAAATAACTAGCTATTTTAGATATAAAAAGTGATGTAGGTTTCAGATGAAAACAGTTTGGGATTTGATTTCTCTAGCAATATAAGTCAATTCTCTTTTTCCCTTTAAGTATATAAAATCAATCTAAATGTCTGTTCTCACCAAACCCCCTACATTTCTTGGACTTTGGTTCTCCCATTTTACTCTCTAATTAAAAGATGCTCATACTGTTTACTGTTCACTATAAAGAGATGTCTAGAAGGAAAGTACCTACACACAAAGTGGACATTTGGATATTTGAGAAGCCTAAAAGTTCATATATAGCTTTGCACACTTAAATTACTGGGCAGTTGATAGAAACCCACAGGAATAGTTACCAAGGTAATCTTGAATAGATTTGCCCTGGTGTTCAATAAATGCTACTGATTGACTCACTTATCAGTTGGTATAGTCCAGTGCTTTTCAACTCCGTCTGCATGTTAGAATCATCTGGGATCTTTTAAAACTCCTTACACCTGCTGGTAGATTGGTCTAAGTAGCGGCCTTACCATCTGTATTTTTTTTAGTTCTCCAGGTGACTCAAATGTACATCCAGAGTTGAAAACCACTGGTGTGGCATAAGCTTATAATTTGAAAAAGGAAAAAAGAAAATACTTGTTATATACAGGGATGATGAAGACGGTCACAGTCTGATTTTTGTTTCCATTAATAGTTTTGAAAGAGGAAAATAATCTGTCATAAAATTTAATTCAATTTAACTTTAATGCTTACTGAGTGCTTACTATATACTATAGAGAGTATATATACTATATATAGAGAGAGTATATATACTATATAGACTATGTACTATATACACTATATACTAATATTGCACATTGTGCTAATAATGGTCATTAAATAATTTTTTAAAGTGAATAACAGAGTTATTGGCAGAGGGAATAATCTAATTAGAGAGGCAATGCATACACACAAAAACATCATTAGAGATAACTATAACAATAATATGAACAATTAAATAGTCTGATTCCAAAGCTCTTAAGGAGGTCAGGAGAAATGGCCAAAGTGGTCAGAATCTCTGGGGAAGCTGGAAGCTTGGGAAAACTAAGGTCTTGAAGTGGTAGGATTTGCAGAAACAGAGAGAAAAGAGGAAGAAACTTCAGCATTTCTTTTGGGATGTGTAATACGTTGGGAAGAATTCAGTTTTCAAGTTGTTTTTCTAACTGAGCCTTATTTGTGGCTACCTAGTTTAAAAGCAAGAACAGCCTGGCCCTGCCTCCTACAAGGCTCTCCTTTCTTCATAATTCATTGCCTGTGTGGCACGTGAACAAACACACACCATGATAAAATGACAGCCTCTTCCTGCAAAGGAAAAGTTTCTGAGATCAGCTTATGGAGAAAAACAAAAACAAAGAAGCAATCCTATAGAAATCAAATATTTTTAAAACTTGAATTTGTTTCATTTTCACTCATTGTTCAAGTGGGCTTCTTGACATTTTATTTTCTTGGCTAATGTTCTTTAGTTTACCATTTGTCTTCATCCTTTGATTTGACTGTGCCCTCCCTTTAAAGTGTTGGCAGTACTTACTTTAAAGTAGGTTTTAATCTTGGTTTAGAATTTTTTTTCTTTAATTTGCAATTTGTGGTTGGGAAATGATCTGCTTTTTGTTTCAGGTTGTTTAATATTTTCCAATATAATGTTCTTCCTGCACTCCAGTGGGTTCATTTGCAAAACATTTAATGTCATTTGTGTCTTTGAAGAACAGTGTATTCGGTTAGAACAAAAGCGAGCTTCTGCATAGAGCTTATGATGGTTTATAATTGGTAAACTATTAATTTGACCACGTTTGTGAACTAATAAAGGGAGTAGGAAACTCTTAGATATTTACTCTTTTTCTTGTATTCATTAATTTATTCATTCAACAGCTCCTGCCTCTAAATAACTTATAATTCTTTGGAGGATTGGAAAGCAGTAGAAAAATATAAAAGAGAACCAGAACACAATATGAATAATACCATGATAAAGGTATGCACAGGGAGCTATGGGGAGGCCAGAGAGGAAACCCTTCTCAGAGTGGTGCCCCCACTATAGTCAAAGCAAAAGGTTATAGCTGAACAAGTAAAAGAGAAAAGATCACCACAGGCCTTCAGAGGAAGAAATATATACAAATACTTAAAGTCACGTGATGTAATGAAACTTAGAGAATAGAGGAAGTGATCAAGATAAGACAAAGAAGTGAACAGGAATCAAGTATGAAAGACCTAGTATGCAATGCCAAAGATCATGAACTTAACTCTGTAACAACATGGAATTGCTGAAGTACTGTAGGCAGGGAAATGCACGATCTGACTTACCTAGGTTGTGATTTGGAAAATGGACTGAAGGCAGGGAGACGGGATGAGGTAGACACAGCAATCTGCTTGAGAAATAATGAAACTATGAACCATAGTAGTAGAAATTCAAATGTAGAAAAAGGGATGAATTTGAGAGGCAGTAGGAGGTAGAACTGACAAAATTTGGTGAATGACTTGATAAGGATAGGTATGGGAATGGAGAAAGGGCAATCAAGAATGTTATCTCGGTTTCTAGCTCGGGACACTGGATGGATGTGATGCCTGTAACTAATCTATCCACTCTTACACTCATTGTGGCTTCAATAGATTTTGCTAGGAACTAAGTGAAACAAATATGTTTAGGTAATAATGGATGTTTAAGTAATTCATTCATGATCTGATGTATTAAACCGGGCAAATTTTCATTCACACTTTTATCTAGATAATATCTGAATTGAGTCGTGCTTCCTTTTAATCTGTTAGTTTAAAGTAAATCAGCCTAAGAATTAGAGACTAGAAAATGCATCCTTTTAATATGAAGCATCTAAGGACATTTTCCTCCAACTGTTAAAACCATAGACCTCTGATACCACTTCTCATTCATTTGTTTTGTGTTTTGTTTTGTTTTGTTTGTGTCATTTTTGTTGTTTTTAGGAAGATTTTACTTTTTAGAGTAGCAGTAGGTTGAGAGGAAGTTACAGACCACACATGCATCATCTCCACTGTCATCAATATTCTACAAGTGATACATCTGTTACAATTAATGAAACTACATTGACACATCATCGCCCAAAGTACATATTTCTTTAGGATTCAATTCTGATGTACAGAGTGTTTGGACAAACGTATACTGACATATATCTATCATGATAGTATCATACAGAGTATGTTTACTTCCCTCAATCATCCATTTGTTTTAACCTCTGAGTCTAGAAAAGAGACAACAGGCAGGCATCACCTTGAACTCAGACAGGATGTCAACTGACTGTTGAATTCCACTGTGCCAAGGATTTGCCTATTGCAGCTTACTGACACTGCAGGTCTTCATGAGTACATGGAAGACATTAAGGCACGATCAGGGCCGGAGGAAACAATTTTTCTCATGTTAAATATGTTATGCCACCTCACATAGCAAACATTTTTCTAATGTTTGTTATGTTCAGAAGTTAAAGGAATTTGAAACAGCAAGAGACCAAAAGAAAATGGGAAAAAGGCCTCCTATGAAATTAGAATAGGTTCATTCCCTAAATAACTAATGATCTAGAGTACTGCCTGGCACATGTTAACTAATTCTATATGTCAGAAACCAAGTCAGATCCCTGCCCTAGCAGAATGTACAGGCTAGTAAAAAAGATGAACATTTTTAGGGGAATAATTTTTTTCAGCTTTACTGAGGTATAATTGACAAATTAAAGTTATATATGTTCAAGGTGTACAACATGATGTTTTGATATTTGTGTACACTGGGAAATGATTACCACAATCAAGCTAATTAGCATACCCATCACCTCACATAGTTACCATTTTGTTAGGGAGGAGCAAGAACACTTAAGATCTACTCTCAGTAAATTTCACATAGCAGAACATCATTATTATTAACTATAGTCATCATGCTGTACCTCAGGTCTCCAGAACTTATTTACCTTTTAAGCAAAAGTGTGTGCCTTTTGGCTAGCATCTCTGCATTTCTCCCACCACTCAATTTCTGGTAACCACCCTTCTACTCTCTGTTTCTATGAGTTTGACCCTTTTAGACTCATAGAGATCATGCAATGTTTGTCTTTCTGTGTCTGGCTTGTTGCATTTAGCACAATATCCTCCAGGTTCATCCATGTTGCCACAACTGGTAGGATTTTCTTCTTAAGGCTGAAACAAAATTACTCTTATTTTACACCATATACAAAAGTCAACTCAAAATGTGTAAAAGACCTAAATATAAGATTATGTTTTCTTAGAAGAGAGGAAAAGCTCTTGGACATTGGCCTTGGCAATGATTTTTTTGGTATCATACCAAAAGCTCAGGCCACAAAGCAAAATACATAAATGAGACTACATCAAACCAAACAGCTCTGCACAGTAAAGGAAACAACCAACAAAATGAAACAGTAGCCTATGGATTGGAATATATCTGATAAGGGGTTAATATTCCAAAATTTATAAAGAACTCATACAACTCAAGAGTGAAAAAACAAATCACCTGATTATAAAATGGGCAAAAGACATTTTTCCAAAGAAGACATAAAAATAGCCAATGGGTGTATGAAAAGGTGCTCAACATCATTACTCACCAAGGATATGCAAATCAAAACCACCATGAGATACCACCTTCCACTGTTATGATGGCTGGTATCAAACGGTCAGAAGATAACAAATGTTGGTGAGGGTTTGGAAAAAAGGGAACTCTTATACACTGTTGATGGGAATGTAGATTGGTACAGTCATTATGGAAAACAGTATGGAGACTTCTAAAGAAATTAAAATTAAAACTACTATATGACCCAGCAATCTATTTTCTAGGCATGTAGCCAAAGGAAATAAAATCACCACCTTGTAAAGATACCTGCACTCCTGTATTCATTGCAGCATTATTCACAAGAGCTAAGATATGGAAACAACCTAAGTATCTGTCAATGGACAAATGGAAAAAGAAACTGTGGTGCATATATACAATGGAATATTAGTCAGTCCTAAAAAAGAATGAGATCTTGCCATTTGCCACAATATGCATCAGACTGGAGAACATTATGAGACACAGAAAATAATTTCTCTTATATGTGCAATATTTTTAAAATCAAATATACAGAAAGAGAGAGCAAAATAGTGTTTACCAGTGATTGGGAGGGAAGGAAATAGGGAGATGTAATTCAGAGGATACAGAGTAGCAGATATGTATGACGAATAAGTCTAGTGATCTAATGTACGACATGAGGACTTTATGTAATAAAATTGTTCTGTATGTGAAACTCATGCTGAGTAGCTTTAGCTGTTCTTGCCACAAAAACAAAAACAAAAATGGCAAAGTGTGTGAGCTGATGTATATGCTAATTTGCTTCACTATAATAATCTGTTTACTATCTATATGTATCCCATAACATCATGTTGTATACCTTACATATGCACAATATAATGTATTTATAATAAATACACTTAACCAATAATGAAAGTTTGCTGAAAATTCAGAAAAGGAAGGTATGGAATACTATGGAAGTAAATAGCAGATTACCTAACTGAAGGGATCAAACCTAGTGCAAAGAGTCATAGATCTTCCAGAGCAAAAGATATTAATGCTTAGGCTTAGGTACATTGGGGTCAGGGAAATGAACAGTACTCCAGGCAGAAAGAAGGGTTAGAGACTACTGTTGGTAAACTCAATGATGGCACTTCAGGTTGCCTCATAGAGAGAAACCATGATGGGACACCAGTTTGTCAGGGACCGAAAGAATGTCAGAAAAGTGAAACTCTCCAAATAAGCTGAAGCTTCCAGCAAACAATCATGGTTAAAAACAAGAAGAGGTTTTAATATACCCATTAGCCATTTTTATGTCTTCTTTGGAAAAATATCTATTCAAGTCTTTTGCCCATTTTATAATCAGGTGATTTGTTTCTTCACTCTTGAGTTGTATGAGTTCTTTATAAATTTTGGATATTAACCCCTTATGAGATATGTGGTTTGCAAATATTTTTTTCTCATCTGTAGGCTGCTGTTTCATGTTGCTTATTGTTTCCTTGTTAACCACTACTTTAACCACTTCTTATTTTTAACTATAATTTTTCAGTGACGCTTATTGTATTAGGGTGAATCTTTGTACCTGCTTCTTTATCTGTTGAAAACAATGACCTTTGAATTAAAAGCTAGAGAACAATTTAAATAGGACATAAAATTCCAAAATGGCAAAAAAATAGAATAAAATAAAGTCCCTTTTATAAATTTGATTAAGTTTCAAGGCTCTATGAGTCCCCATTATACATTTGATAAAGTTTCCTGGCTCAAAACTAGAACACTGAGAAACCTGACATAAAGTAGATCACAATTTGATTATAAATCATTTTAGAGCATAGAGGATATGCCCTAAGACTAATTTTCAATGTGAAAAAGAAACTATAAAAAGTAAACATGATAATGATTTGGGACAAGATTCTGCAAGGTGGCAACCAAGTCTTCCAACAAGAGAACACAAAGTGAATGGTCCATTGCTATTACATTATTACACATGTATATTATAGTGCACAATTGATATTACATTGTAATATATAATATTAGTATTTTAATAAAATACACAATATATTGATAATATAATACAGTATATTACATTACAGCAATATTATATATTCTATTAACCAGGGTTCAAAGAAACAGAAACAATAGGACATACATATTATCAGAGTCACCCCTAAGGCTGTAACAATGGAGCTGTCCACTTTCGGTGGTATCGGCATAATATGCAAGACCGTCTCTAAACTAGGCTCAAGATCTGTCATTTAATTGATTGTAAAGAATGCCACTTGAAGATAGATTGCACTGTCCACACTCAACCTTATGGCTAGGTGCATCAGACAACGCTGAATTCATAATGGGAAGCTCACATCACATAGTATCTTGGTGTCCCATGGTTAGGCATTTAGTCTTTGGGTGGTCCAGTAGCAAGCCAGAAACTGTTTTGAAAAGGAAAATTATTACTTGAAGAAGAGAGCACAGATTAGTTCCAAAACCCTACAGATCTGCATTATGATTCTCCTTTCGGTACTTGCCAGAAGCTCCAAACAGCATCCCTATTTGCTATGCACATATTATCACTGGATCTGCTGGAACATAAGGCCCAGGTGTTAGGGCAGCAGTCACTGAAGCTGGAATTGCTGCAGGGCCCCCTCTCTCTCTGGTCCACAATCAAAACTGGCAGCCTATTGGGTAACTCAGTAAATAGGTGGGAGTAGTATACTCAAATGTAGTATATGTGACCTCCAAAAAAATTGTTTTAACTGCTTACAAAGCATTTTACCTCTTTATTCATGGTAGATGGTGTTAGATCCAGAAACTTATCCCCTTACTCCAGACCACTGAGTCCCCAGAACCTCACTGAAGGCCCCTGAATTTTTGTAGGGTTTATGTCCCACTCTCTAGTTTACATATGTCTTACTAAGGCATCTGATGCACTACTTTCTGCTTATTAGAGCCAGTCAATATCGTAATGTAGAAGACCAGTGTCCCCTACATTTTTGTGCAATGTCAAGCTAATCAATTTCTCTGTGGACTGTATAATAGAAGAAAGAATTGACATAGCTCTGACTCAAGAGCGTGAAGTCTACTCTTGGCTGTGCCAGATAAAAGCAGACTGTTTCCAGTGGCCTTTGCATATTGGTATGGAAGAAAAGGCATTTTTCAGGTCACTAGCTACACACCAAGTGCCAAGGGCTGTGTTTATTTACTCCAGTAAAGATACCATTTTTTGGATAGCAGTTGAAATTAGAATTACCTCCCGATTAAATTTATGGTTCACAGTCATTCTCCAAGATCCATTCAATGTCTGTAGAGACCAAACAGGTAAGTAAAATGGGTATGTGGTAGGTATCACCCAGTACATTTCAAGTCTTTGGCAGTGGCACAAGTCTCTGCAATTCATCCCAGGGATGCAATATCACTTCTGGTTTACTATCTTTGTAGTAATGGGAAGTTCCAGAGGCTTCCACTTTATCCTTCTTACCATAATGGCTCTAAACCTAGGGGTCATAGAGCCAATGTGGAGATTCTGATAGTTGCCAAGTATGTCTATTCCCATTATACATTCAGGAACTGGGGCAATAACTACAGGGGGGTCAACTGACCAACTGGGCCCACTGTGAGTTAAACTTGGGCTCAGACATCATCTGTATCTTGAACACTGAATGCTCCCGTTTTAACTAGTGGGCTACCGTGAGTAGTTTAGGTCACAGGAGTTAACATAATTAAGAGAGAGTATTTAGTAATTACTGAAATATCTGGGCATTTCCTTTTCCACAGTGCACAGTCACTCTAACAAATAGCTACAGGCCTCTTTGAGAAAACACGTGGATGAAGATTTATAGTATTTACTCGCAGCAATGATGCAGAATCCTTCCTCAAGGAGACCTGGACTCCCCTTCAATCAAGGGGCTCTAAATCTGTGAATTAGCTTAGGTCAGTATACTTGGTGAGTGACCCTGACTCTCCATTATGGAAACTTAAGTCAGATTTTTGGCTGTAAGAACTAGAGTTTTTCAGGCTGTGAGTGGTGGTTTATGCCTGTTGATTCCCAGCACTTTGAGAGGCCAGAAGTTTGAAACCAGCCTGGGCAACACAGTGAGACCCTTTCTCTACCAAAAAACATTAAGACAAAAAAAAAATAAAGCAAAATAACTGAATGCCTGTAGTTCTAGCTATTCAGGAGGCTGAGTGGGGAGGACCACTTGAGCCCTGGAGTTTGAGGTTGCAGTGAGCTATGATCACGCCACTGCACTCCAGCCTGGGTAACAAAGTGAGACCCTGTCTCTAAAAAAACAACAACAACAACAACAACAAAACAGAACTAGAGTTGGTTTTCTTTTTCCTGTTATGTAGATAAAAAAATACACTAGCAGACTGCTCACCTATTTCATTTTTAGAATCACCCTGGTAGTTAGCCACCACCAAAGATCTAACGCTTTCTGATCACTAGTATGTCTGCTGCTCTTTATAGTGAATGTGCATACCTTGTGTTTGGTGGATCAGTGCTGCTACTTGGCCTTTTACTACTCCAGGAATCCACCATCCCTATTGAAATCAGAATCCTCATATCAATGGCACATCCTCCATGGTCATAGTTAGCTTACCACGGAGCTTTGCAAGGATGCTGGTGATCCCTTCACCAACGCATAGTTCAAAATCTTTTTTTTTTCTTTCCATTTTCAACTTTTATTTTAGGTTTGGAGGTACATGTGCAGGTTTGTTACTTGGGTAGATTGCATGTCATTGGGGTCTGGAGTACAAATGATTCCTTCACCCAGGTCGTGAGCACAGTACTCAATAGGTAGTTTTTCAGCCCTTGCCTTCCTCCTAAGGTACTACTAAACTAAAACAAAATAACAAGAAATAAAATTTTTAAAAATCGAAGTCTTAGTGAAGAAGATATCTTGTGGGCTTTCTAGAGGAATGTAGTCGGGAATGAGTGTGCAGTTAGCATGATACAGCCACTTCAACATTCCTATTTGTCTGTCTTCAGATTCCCTCCTCCTCCTCATGCCTTGGAAGCTGTGGCATCTCAACCTCATTAAATACGGGCAGTAGTGTGCTCATGCCAGCTCACTCCAGCTCACAAGAGCATGGTGTTAAATTTGCAGAAGTTTCATGAGCCAATTGTTGAATACAGCCATTATTTTTAAATTAAACATATAAACTTATAACTTCAGTAAAAAAATAAATCCCCTACCGTAGAAAAATAAATAAATAAATTAGGAGCTTAGCTATCTTGTCCTGGGATTTTCATGTTTAAAATGATTCTCTCTGGAGACACTGTAACATAGGCCTACCTCCTGAAGGCTTAGGGTTATGATTTATTTTACCTTTATGGTCCAGGGACTCACCAGCTGAGAATTTAACAAGCAACTACATCTTTCTAAGTCCATAGTTTACTCATCTAAAAGACATAAATACTATTTCCCCCCGAAAGGGTTATCATGAGAATTGAATGTGACAATGTATTTTAAAAGTTGCACAATGCAGAACACGCAGAAAATTCTTAATAAATATTCGCTGTTACTATTATCCTATGAGAGAAAAACATGACTCGTTACCATGAGTTCTTCCTACAAAAGTGTGACGTGGCCATCATACACTGTCCAGAGTGCCAGGACAAGAGCACTCAAACTTCAAAATCTCCCAGGGTCACTTTTTGCCCCATGACTTTTCTGAAGCAGCTGTGGTCGCTCAAGTTGACGGAAGTTTTATACCTTCGGCTCCTCTGATGGGGCTACGTGCATGCTCACGGCACTGGCCAAGTGTGTCCTCAAAGCAGCTTGACTCTCTAACCTTGAGTAAACTCAGCAATCCAGGGCCCATGACAAATGCGCAGTAAGGACGACGTTACAACAGAGGCGTTGCTTGATTTATTGTGTCTTATGAAATAGAAACCTCTTCACATCATGGGAATTAGTGATGGAATTTTAAAAAGAATAACAAAATGAAATCAGGAACGGAAGAAAAAAAATGCCTGAGTCCAACTCAAAAAAAAAAAAACCTTTCTAATAAAAAATGCAAACCAGATGCAGTTAGAGATGACTGATAATTAAGGATGATAAATGACTAATGTTTTCTATTGAATTACCAAGTGCACAGCATTGTTCCTACATGAGGGAATGATTTACATATGGCTGCTGGGCTATCTTTTCGCCTAAATTTGATTTCACAGGCAATTTTCCCATTCTCAAAGTGCCCTCTCTCTCCCAGAGTCTTGCATTTCCCTCAGGAAAGTGACTCTTAGCTTTCAGAGGTCTCTTTTATAAGAATGGATGGGCTAGATTGTGAGTAAATATTCTCTCCAATGAGCATAAAATTTATGCAATGAAGCCACAGTAAGTAGAATACAAACCCTGTTTCCTCAGTGGGGTGATGCATTAGCACAGAGCTACCCATATTCCCAAACCCCAGTCTGTCTTGAAACTAAGGATGTGTCTTGTTCAGCAGGGGGATAGGTACACAGTCTATGATTAAGCATTTCTTTAAAGCCCAGAAGGATCTCTGACTCTCACCATATTTATGATTGCAGCCTCTTTTCTGAGAGTTCTAGTCTGTGCCACACAACTTAGTATTAATAATATACTGATTTTTACTAGTAACAATTGCTTAATCTATACTAACATTATCTCACCAAACTAGGTTGTGAAAAAGGTAGAGACTTGATATGCTGCCTGCATTCACTTAATGTAGCACGAAGAATATCCTCAACAAATACTCAATGATTGGTTGACAACAGATGTTGTTCTAACATGATCACTAGGATTATAAATTGTCTGGGCGTGGTGGCTCATGCCTGCAGTCCCAGTTCTTTGGGAGGCTGAGGCAGGCAGATTACTTGAGGTAATCTGTGTTCCAGATAGAGGTTTCCAGTAAATGTTGACAGAATTAGATGAAAGAAATTACACAAGAAAGGAACGTGATCTCTTGGAGCCTCTTATCTCCTTTGTGTGTCCACGTGCCTTGTTTGATTTTCTAGTCACACTCTTTCAAAGCCCAGTTGTTGCACATCTGGAACAGGGCAGGTTGGATGCTGTAGTGATGACAAAGTTAAAGGAAAGTCACTCTTCAGTTCAGCATCAGACAGCCAAATTGCTCTGTTAGTTTTACATGTAAAAATTGGCCCCAGCTGCTCCAACTTCTTTTGGCTCCTGATTTAGAACACTAAATAAAGACAAATAATTAATCAGCCCATTGGAAAGAAAGTAAACAAATGTCATGTGATTTAGGGACTGAGGTTGCAATAGTTTGGGTCACCAGAAAGTTATTGCATATCTTCTTTCAGACTTTTCTTGTGAAGTGTTGGGTTAAATAGGGTAACTGAGCCAAATCCCCTGAAACACTCCACAGAGTTTGGATCTGGCTGTGGGATCTATGTCTTTATGCTGCCATGGCCAGAGAAAACATTACTCAGATTGACTTTTGATATTTGCAAAACCTTCTATTGACTAATAGTCTGGTTTTTGTGGAGATGATCAGAATAGAGGGGAGTCTCTCCCTTAATATTCTACAAGCTTTTTTTCTATTTGATTCCTCACAGGTGGAAATGATTAGCTGCCAAAATTAAATCCATTTTAATTCAGGTAGTAATTAGCTGACTGCTAATTAAAAAAACTCTTCAATGGTTGAACTAGGGTTAGGAGAGACACACACAGGACATTAGACATTTTTTATTTATATGGTAACTGTACCATAAAAGCAACAATTCTACCATGTAAAGGTAGAGGCTATAATCAGTACTTTTTTAGGCAATGGGTAGTTATTCGAGTTTAGAGACAAAGGAGTGAAAGGATGGTGTTTTGAAGTTTTGTGGAGTGAAAACCACTAGCTCATCTTTTTTATTTGCAAGTTGCAGAAATCCAACTCAACCTAGTTCAAAGTAAAGGAATACCTGGCTGGCATAATTGAGGAAGTCAAGATAGGAACTGGCAGTGCTTGATCCAAAGGTTCTATCTATCAATGCCATCCAAATTATCTCTTTTCTCTTGGCTCAATGGTCTCTTGATTTGGCTTCATTTTCCAAAGGACACATTCACTGATGGCATTATATGGGCACAATTATTGTCACATAGGCAGATATGGCCCCGCCCTTCTGTCCTACAATGATCTCTGGTTGGTCAGGTATAGGGCACATGCCCAGCCCAGGGAACAGTCAAGCCAGACTATAAGAGCTGTAATTGGAAGACAGACAGTTCTCATAAGGAAATGTGGGTTCTGCTACTAGAAAAGATAGAAGACATCACTATGCATATCCTTGTATCCTGTTTCTCCCTACCTCCCACCCCCAACCCCCCACAACCTACTAACCTTAATAGCACACTAAGTAGAAAAAGGGGATGCATACAATTCTAGTTGACAAAAATATAGTGGCAGAAGCAGTTAATGTTCACTAACCATATGCATACTCATAAAATACATTTCCCAGCCTCCCCTGCAGTTCCTTGGGGCCCTGTGATTAGATCTGGCCAAATATGCTGAACCACAGTGACACATGTCACTTCTGGGCTAAGGCAGTTAAAAGGCCATGTGCCTTTTCCACCTTCCCTCTCCTTTGCAACCATGACCTTGGAGAATCTATGGTCCAGATGGATGGACAAACTGGACCCACATGAGCAAAAAATAAACTTTATTTGAGTGGGAAACTTGGGGATTTGTCTGTTGCAGCAGCTAGAGGTAATTACCTTCACTACAATATTACCATTTCTCAGCAGCCTGTATCAGTCCATTCTCACATTACTATAAAGATCTACCTGAGACTGCATAATTTATAAAGAAAAGAGGTTTAATTGGCTCATGGTTCCACAGGCTGTACAGGAAGCATGACTGGGGAGGCCTCAGGAAACTTACAATCATGGAGGAAGGCAAAGGGGAAGCAGGCAAGCACCACGTGGCTGGAGCAGGGGGAAGAGAGATAAGTGGGGGAGGGAGGCTGCTACACACTTTTAAACAATCGGATCTCATGAGAACTCACTATCACGAGAATAGCAAGGGGGAAATCCGTCCCCATGATCCAATCACCTCCCACCAGGCCCCTCCTCCAACACTTGGGATTACAATTCAACATGAGATTGGGGTGGGGACACAAATCCAAGCCATTTCACAGCCCCTGCAGAGCAATAAGAACTAGCAGTTAAATAAAACCTTATTTATGGATCTCACATAGTTATTTCAATGTAAAGACTTCTTTACATTGACACTTTCCTTTAATAAGAGAGTGAAAAGCAGTTGTTTCAAGGTATCCTGCATGTGTCTTCCTGATTAATTTGCAGACAATATGTGTTTTTCTTACACAGAGCACTTAATTGGCATTTAGAACACAATAGCAGAAACTCGACACCCTGAAAAGGATGTTCAGCTTATGTTAAAATGATTTTTTGAGGTCTTATGAGAACTTTTCTAAAATGTATTATCAACTATTATTTTTAAAAAATTAATAAAAATTGTGCAGACGGAAGACAATCATGAAAATCAATTATTTTTATATACTTCAATAAATTAAAAAATGAACTGAATGAATACTGACTTTTAGATTTTTTTCTGACAGCTAGTCTTGAAAATAATTGTTTAATTATTTGTTCTTTTTATTTCCTTTTTTTCCCTAAAGTCTGATGCAGGCAGGATCCAGTTCACTGAGGATTCTGGTGAATTAAGTAAGTTACTATTTACATAGGTTTCATTGAAATAAAAAATTGAGACTTTGTCATTTTGGATGCACATTCTGTCTGATTGAGGAAAATAACACATAAAAAAATTCTTAAGAAAAAAAGCGTGACAAAGATATTTTACACTAAGAATGTAGAAAAACAGACATTGCCCATGGCCTAACTAGCAAAAATAATAAAAAGCTAACTCCTAGGCCCTAGTGTCTTTTCTCTCCATTTGAATGGCCTTCTTGGTAATTTTTCTTAGCTCTAGGTGGTATTTAAAATATTTGAGCTTAGATATTTCCACACCTACCCCAAGAAGTCTACCTTGATGAGAAAAGTCTAGATATAACTTATTTATTCAACAAATATCATGCTCCTGTCAGAAGAAACAAAACCTGTGCCCTGTGCTTAAGAAAGCTTCAGTCCAATGCTATCCAGCGGTTATGGGTAATAAGAAGTGCTTTGAGAGCATTAAACACAGAGACACATACAGGAGTTGGAGAAGGCATCCCTGAGGGAAACAATACCTCGGCATTGTCCTCCGTGTTTCATATTGTTCACTATTAAATTATTTGTTAAGGAGAAATACTGATATTCCTAATATTAATATCCAAAAGAATCTCCTGGAGTGATATGGTTTGGCTACGCCCCCACTCAGATCTCATCTGGAACTGTAGTTTCCATAATCCCCACGTGTCATGGGAGGGACCTGGTGGGAGGTCATTTAATCTTGGAGGCAGTTACCCTCATGCTGTTCTCATGACAGTGAGTTCTCACGAGATTTGATGGTTTTATAAGGGGCTTTACCCCCTTTGCTGGGCGCTTCTCCTTGCTGCTGCCATGTGAAGAAGGAGGTGTTGCTTCCCCTTCTGCCATGACTGTAAGTTTTTGAGGCCTCCCCAGCCATGCTGAACTGTGAGTCAACTAAACATATTTCCTTTATAAATTACCCAGTCTTGGGTATGTCTTTATTCGCAGCGTGAGAACAGACTAATAAACAGAGTCCTCCCTAAGACACTGAAAAATAATATAACATACTTTTAAGAATCACAAAAGTATCTTGGCTTAGTATATAACTAGTCAACTTTTTGATATCCACTGACTGTAATAGAGGACTAAAAAAAAAACTAGGAACAATTTTATATTCATGTCACATGAATTGTTTGATTACTAGGTAAGTAACTATTCCAAAGTGGTCTCATGTTGTGACTGTGATTTAAATATCCGTTTGAGAATGGATAACAAGAGTGGGTCACACATAATTTCCCATTAACGGACTCCATTAAGTTAAAAAAAAAAGTAATTTTCCCTGACACTTAAAAATTAAAAATGGAATTATCAATATGTATTTGGCGTGCTGCATTCAATGATTTAGACTGTATTTTCCAAGAGAAAAGAGTTCAATAGTCTCTCTCTTTTTGGTAGTCTCTCATTGTAGTAGTCATAAGGAGAGCAGAGACTGTAGGAGTGCACTCATTCTCCTGGGCTCAGAGTGGACAATGCTCCATCTGTAGTGGTACTCAACTTGGGCCCACAGTGTATCTGCTATAATATAAAGCTGCATTTCCAATTGCATTTGACACCCGGCCATTGATAACTACAGGGAAAATGCCTTTCACAGAGGCATAGTGCTAGAAAGTTGCTCCTAGAAATCTTGGTCAGGGGATCACTAAAATTCAAGTAGGATCTTCCATAATCTGAATCCCAAAGATTGCATCATTTCATGTAACTTTTGTGAAGATTAAAGAAGACAAATATTTGTTTTCCAACTCTGTTGAAATCCTAAGACACACTGCTATGGACCGAATGTTTGTGTCCCCCAACCAAAATCCATATGTTGAAGTCTGAATTCCAACTGTGATGGTTTTGAAGGTGAGGGTCTTTGGGAGGTAATTAGATCATGAGGGTGGAACATTCATGAATGGAATTAGTGTCCTTATAAGAAGAAACATAAGAGAGAGGATCTCTGCTCTCTGCCATGTGAGGATACAATAAGACACATCTGCAAGCCAGGAAGAAGGTTGTCACCATAAACCAGATCTGCTGGCACCTAGATCTTGGACTTTCCAGCCTCCAGAACTGTGAGAAATAAATTTGTGTTATTTAAGCTACCCAGTATGTGATATTGTTATAGCAGCCTGAACTGAACTAAGATACACATATAAAATGTAATTGTTCTGATTATTTTTATATACTCAATATATGCTATTTTACAGACGAGCTCTTGGTATCAAGTTTAAGTTGTAATTTTCAACTCAGTAAGCATTTTTTGAACACCTACCATACTCAAGACATTCTGTTAGGTGCCGTGGAATCCACAAAGATAAGAACACAAGCATGGGATTTGCAGAAATAACACCGATTTCCTTTCATAATACAAGTGTTGAAAGAAAATATCAAACCACAATATGCTGTGCTCAATGTTGGGGCTTTTACATTCATATGAGGATCAGACTCAGAAGCATGTGTTCTATGACCTTATGCTAAAGGGCAGCATTAGTTCAACTTCAGAGCTCCCTAGAAATAGAAAATGCCCACCAATTTTTCAGGAAAAGCAAATCCTACTCAAACTGGAAGGAACAGTGAGTAAATATTTTTGTCAGCTGGGATCCTAGTAGATGCTGTTAACTATATCACAGTGGCTCTCAGTGGTTTCTAAACCTGCTCTGAACTAGGTGCAAGTGATTCAAGGAGACAGAGCCATGAAGTGCTCAGTCACACAGCTAGTTAGCACTGAGCTCAGATTGAAGTCAGACCCTCAAAATTTGGTGGCAGCAGCATCAGCATCATCTGAGAAGTTGTCAGAAATGCAAATCTCTGGCTCCATCCAAGACCTACTAACTCTGATACTCTGAGCTGGGGCATAGCTATCTGTGTTGTAAAGAACTCTCGAGATGATTCTGATCCATGTTAAAGTTTGAGTATCATTGATATACCATGACATGGAGGAGATTTTAGCTGAGATTTATTTTCTGAAACTGTTCTGACACTACAATTCAACACTAAAGGACAATTGTAGTGTGACTTCTAATCCCACATTCTTCTTCCCGATTCTTGGAAGAGTTCACTTTAGCTCCTGAGAGAAAAAAAAAAAAAAAAGCAAAGCAAACCCATTTACTCTCTCGCTGATCATCGTGCCAGCTTATATTCTTAGAACCAGGCCTGCACTGAATTATCTAAAAAGATCTCAAAGATCTTTAATATTCCACCAACACATGGGAAAATAAATCACTGACAATGTGTCAATGCCTTTTGTTTTTGTTTTTGCTTTGCTTTTCTCTGATTGAGTTACTGAAAACAATTTATAGCTTTTATAATCC
The DNA here is from genome assembly GCF_000001405.40 of Homo sapiens. Classification (NCBI taxonomy): domain Eukaryota; kingdom Metazoa; phylum Chordata; class Mammalia; order Primates; family Hominidae; genus Homo; species Homo sapiens. The sequence continues at coordinate 126,071,434 of NC_000006.12, read as the reverse complement.
CAAGCTCTGTGGACTTACAGGAGATCTACTAAAAATGTCATAAACTCAAAGCAATTTGGTAAACAAAAAAAAAAAATAAAAAGAATTCAAGCCAGGACATGAATGCCAATGGCCCAAGTGGTTTATGATTAAAACACGATGTCGACTTTTTCATGATTTTTACAGCTAATTAGAAAGATTTATCAGCATCCAAAAGAAGCACCCCCACCCCCCCAAGGAAACAGGGCTGCATACAGTGATTAATGATAACCAGTTTTCACTGAGAGTGGAAAACTACTGCATCCAAAGGCTCACGTGTGGGAGGAGAAGAACTGTTACTTCTGAAGGAAAGAACTGATCAGAGTTGAGGGCGTAAGAAGGCCATACATGACACTCACTTGCTCCCTTCTTCCACATGTTCTTCATGACCAGCTCAGGTCCCACCAACTCCGAAAAGCCTTCCTCACTGACCTTTTCTTTCATTCTCCTACAATCAAAATCACTGTGGCCTGCCAGGCACAGCGAATGGCGTAGTGGCTGGGAGTCAGACCAGTCTGACTCTTCACTTGGTAAGTGTGTGCTGTTAGGCAAGCTCTTAATCTCTCTAAACCTCAGTTTCCCCATCTGTAAAAATATGGTGAATACTACTACTGACATCACAGAATTGTTATTTTCAGAATTAAATGAGATGACATATTTAAGTTGCTTGGCACATTGTTTCAGTAAATGCTGAATACATGGTGCTATTATATTGTCATTATTGCTCACATTTGGTTTATGTAGGATGGTGTCATTAACTAGATGTACATTTCTGGAGAATAAGCAGTAGGTCTGTGACTTTTTGATATGAAAGAAAGGCAGAAGAAAAGAGAGGGAAGGAGAGAAAACCACTCAAAACCCTCCCACTAACGGGATGATTCCTGGAATTCTGCCTATGGAGTTTTATTTCTTCATTTCAGGTTTCTGATCTCATGAGTCCATCTGATTTTGCAAATATTTCTCCCTTAGGATGAATGTAAAATCTGAGAGTCATTTTTATTCAAGTTTGGAGAAAGAGAAATGTGTGAGAGTACCAGGTATATGGGAGGGGGCAAAATGAAAGACAAGAAGAGAAGAGGGTGTCTGTGCTGCAAAGTCAAGTCTAGCACACTGCCGAAGTTCTCTGAACTCTCACCACTCACAGCAAACTGGAAACCACTATAGGAACCAACTCGTCTCTTGATCCTGATATGGGAGTCCCAGAAAGAAAGCCAAAAAGTGAAAATTCCTTGGTTCTCTGATGGGAAGCACACCTCAAGCACTGTCTCCAGATACTTATCTCTTTCCTGCATTTAGTTTCTAACCAGAGAAATCAGAAAAGGAAAGGTAGCCCATGGCTACTATTTAATGTGTCATTTGTATGTTTGGTTTTATTTTGATTCATGTCATTCTGCTTTCACAGGACCCTCTAACTGCTCCAAACCCTCCCCGGGAGACCAGTTGGAAAGTAGCCATATCTTAACTCTTCTATGTGACTCTTCAAAAGTAAGGGTGATTTTAAAGGACATTTCTGCTGACAGATTCTCATTTGTTTCAATAAACCTAAAAAAAAAAAAAAAAACCTTCATCTACAGAAACCAAAGGTATCACTACTGTCAACCTCTCACATCATATCCACAGTTACTGTCTTGAAAAACAAAAGGAAAAGTGTTCCTTCAAAGTCTCCAATAACCAGAGAAGATGATGTCTCTGAAGGCTGGCAAGTCCCGGATGACATGGTCTGAAAACAGAGACACTCTGCTGGCGGCAGCAACTGGAGAGGGGCCAACACGAAGCTGTTAACAAAGGGGAGTTAGGATAACACGCAGCTTCGCAGCTTGATGACTGTTTCCAAGTGCATGGCTCGGACAAGGGTCTGACAGCAAAACCAGGCATAATTCAGTGTTGGAGTTTTGTTGTTTTGTTTGAGAAGTTGACTTCATTAAAAAATAATAATATAAAGAAAAAGAAAGAAAAAAAAGAAAAGAAAACGAGATAGAAACCAGAGACACCAAAATGATTATTGCTTTGGGGATATTTTCAGAATTTGCCCAGAAACAGTAAAGATAATGCAGGGCACAGTCAATAGACATTTGTTCTGGTGGTGTTCACAGCTTTGTCTCCTTGGCATCATGGACAACATGGCAGAGCCAAAAGAATTTCCTTTCCCTGATCACAAACTCCAAAGCCATTGGTCTACTGCTGTTGTAGCATGTGGCCCAACATTTATGGCCTGGTTCAGCTGTGTGCTTAGTCAAGCACAGCCTTACAGGTGGTTAAGGCAAAGCCAAGGAATGGAAGGAGGTCAGTTATTTACTGAGCATCTTCTGTGACTTGGTATTGTTTGGGGCTTCATTCCTTCAGTCATCATGGAACCAAAATGATTGGATTTCCTCAGCTTCAAGGTGTATACCCTGGTACCCTAAATTATAAAGAGCAGATGGCTTTCAAGCCTGGACAACTGCTGGCCCAAAGGCTAGTTCCTACAAAAACCAATGCCAGACTTCTGTTACAGCCATCATTTCTAGAGTGCACCTGAACTTGGTAGACCGGGCATATTGTCACTCACTAAGTAAGAAGAAATAATCTTTTTGGGATTCACTTAGTAAAAAACAGAAAGAAAAAAAGATGGATACAGAAAGTCAAAATTCAAACATATTTTGTGGGACTTGGTTTTAAAATTTACAGGAAAATGCAAAGAGTTAAGAATAGCCGATACGCTCTTGAATGAAAAGGAAAAATAAGAAAAGGTAGGATGACTTGCCTAGACAGATATAAAATATCAAATCACATCTAAAGTTACAATGATTAAAACAATGTGGTACTGGCACAAAGATGTACTATTGTATTGATGGAATAAGAAACAAAGCCTTAAAACAGACCCATGCATAAACTGATACTGAATTATGCCAAAGATGGCACTGCCAAGCAGTGGGACATAGATGATGTTGACATCCCTAACTCACACCACACATTAAAATTACCTCCAAATGAACCACAGATCTAAACAAACCTGAAAGGCAAAACAACAAACTTCCTAGAAGATAACATAGGAGATTATATGTAACTTCACGACCTGAGTCAAGAGAATACAGTATTTCTTAAACAAAACACAAAAAGGTTCTCACCATAAAGGAAAAATAATGTTTAACTGCCACAAAAATGAAAACTTCTGCTTATCAGACAGTATTATTAAATGAGTAAAAAGCTATAATACAAGTAGAAGAAAGGCTCATATGCAGAATATTTTTTAAAAACTCTTATGAAACAATAAAAAATGATGGACAATCCAATAGAAAAATGAGCCAAAGACTTTAAAAGACACATCACATAAGAAGAAATCCAAATGATCTATACACATGGGAAGAGGTTCTCATCATTAGGAGTCAGAAAAATAAAAATTATAAGCAGTAAGTGATGATTACACAATTCTGTGGATATGATAAAAACTAACATGCTAAAGAGTTGTACATTTTAAATGCGTGAATTGTATGGCATGGAAACAGTATCTTATTAAAGCTATTATTTTTAAAAAACACAAGCAAAAGTAGTGTACACCTACCTACTCAAATGAATAAAATTTAAAGATTGCGTCAGTTAGAATGTGGAGCAATTAAAACTCTTAACCACTCCTGATGGGAGTGTAAATTGGCACAACCACTTTGGAAAATAATTTGGCATAATTCATTAAAGTAGAAAATAGAGATACTTTATGTATGATCTAACAAGTAAATTCTGAGGTATCAACCCAACCAAATGCACATATATGTTCACCAGGAAACATGTAAAAGAATGTTTACAGCAATATTATTCATGAATGCCAAAAACTAGAAAAATGTAAATGTCCATCATCACTAGAATGGATACAAATCTTAAACTACAGTATAGTCACACAGTAAAATCCCACACAACAAAGAACATGAATAAACTTCAGCTAGAAGCAACAATATAAATGAATCTTCAAAACTGTTGAGCAAAATAAGCAGCTAAACTCTGTTTGAAGATGCCATCTTAAGTGGTAAAACTATATGGGTAAGCAATGAAGGATTATCTAAAAGTCAAGATATTGCTTACACTTAGAAGGCACAGAGGTGATTCTGAAGTAGCACTTTGGCAATACTGTATTCTATTTCTTGATCTAAGTGGTGATTACATGAGGTTAACTTTGTGACAATTTATTGAGCAATAGGCATATTTTATGCATTTTACTGGCAAAACAACTTTTTTTTTTTTTTTTTGAGAAGGAGTCTCACTCTGTCGCCCAGGCTGGAGTGCAATGGCACAGTCTCGGCAGCAATTCTCCTGCCTCAGCCTCCTGAATAGCTGTGATTACAGGCGCACACCACCATAACTGGCTAACTTTTGTATTTTTATTAGAGACAGGGTTTCACCATGTTGGTCAGGCTGGTCTCAAACTCCTGACCTCATGATCCGCCTGCCTCGGCTTGGCCTACAGAAGTGCTGGGATTACAGGCGTGAGCCACTGTGCCCGGCCCTTATTTTTTTTTTTTTTTTAAGTCATGAATGAAGTTGGTCAGTTGCCCAGCATTGCAGCCATTAAGCAATTCACCCTTGTTTTTCACTGTGGCTAAAATCCAGACACCAATGTCCTGGCTGGCTGGGTGGATGGCACCCCCCAAGCCTCATCACTGATAAGCCATGTGACTTGTCCACTGCCCTGCCCTCAGGACAAGTGTAACAATTCACCTAGGGCTTACAAGCATCTCTAGGCAAAGGAATGGAGTATCCTGACTACAGGGTTATAACTCAGTCCGTGTTACAGACTATATAATTGTGTCTCCCCAAAATTTATGTTAAAACCCCAACCCCCAGTGGGATGGTTTCAGAGGTGGGGCTTTTGAGAGTTAAATGAGGTCATGAGGGTGGGGCCCCCATGATAGGATTAGCGTCCCTGTGAGAAGAGAAACAGGTTAGAGCTCCCTCTCCCATCTTCCCTCTCGACATACATACATGCACCAAGAAAGGCCATATGAGGACATAACAAAGAGCGCCCTTCCCAAGAACTCAGCCATGCTGGCATCCTGATCTTGGACGTCCAGCTTCTAGAACGGTAAGGAATGGGTATTTGTTGTTGATGTCACTTGGTCCATAGTATTCTGTTATGGCAGCCCAAACTGAGTGACAGTCCATGTAAGGCCACACCCAAAGGGCCTGGACTTGTGATTCACTCACAGCCAGGCCCAGACAGGATGAGTTCTGACCCCACAGGATCCAGCCACACCCTGGCCTGGAGGCAGAGGTCAGCTTTGGTCCTGGCGCTCAAAGTGAGTTTCTTCTAGAGGGTTTCCTTGCTCCCCTACTTTCACAATCCAGCCTTGATCATTGCTCCCTCCAACCGTCAAACAAAGGAAAGGGTCTGAACCCTAGTGCCTTTCCCTAAGAAGCCTCTGCTCCCATGCAAATGTAAATAGCTATGCAGGCACCGAGGATATTCCCATCTTTGTCTAGCAGCATTTGAGCTCCGGTTTTCTATAGTCTGAGCATCTGTCTCAGCAACGGTCCTTTTATGATCATGATAAATTCACGATAGGTACTATTATTTTCATTGTACACGTGAAGGACAACTTCAGTCTACAGTCATACCACCCTCAACGCTCCCAATCTCGTCTGAAGGACAACATCAGAGAAACAAAGCAACTTGCCCAAGAGTATACAGCTAAAGAATAGTAATAATATAATTTCTGTTATTATCTATTGAGTACTTGCTATGTATCAGGCACTGTTTTAAATACTTTGCAAGTATTCATTTTATAATTCTTCCCACAATCCTAGGAGACAAGTACTTCTATTATTCCCATTTCACAATTAAGAAAACTGAGGCACAGAGAAACTGTCATTTTCTCAAGATCATAATAATTAATGAATGAAGGAGTCAAGAAATGAACCAAGGTTGCTTAACCACAAACTTTAGCCAGCAGTTCCCCAGAATTAAAGTGTAGGTTATAAGGTTTTGAAGTTTGAAATCTCCAGATGTACCAAAAGCAGGTCACTACCAGTGAGTGAAACACGAAGAGGGTATCCTACATGCTGCCTGAAGGCGTGGCTCTCTGTGGTTGCCTCTCAGCCTGCAGGACTCAGCTCCCACTCCAGCCCTGCCTCGTCATCGTGGCAGGAGTTCTCCAGCAGTGGACACGTGATAGAAGAACAAGATTATTTGACCAATTATCTTCTCTCCTTTACACTACTCTAGCTAACATATTCCCTTTTTAGTAGGTAGACTTGTTGAACTATATACCTAACAATAAAAGAAAAAGTTTCATATTCAGTTCTCTGGTTTTTTAGCTCTCATTTTCATAGGCAAATGGTTCACGTTTTGTGAGTGAGATATTATCCGGTGGCTCTATACACTTCTGCTGATAAGGACTCAGCTGTGAATGGAAATGCTCCTAGACTCAAAGCAGGATCACCAACGCTGCCTGGGGGATCAGCTCACACATCTAAAGTAAAAGCAGTTTCTGTTCTAGTATTAAGTAATTACAGCTAATTATACTTTTTAATGATCCTTGCTCCACACCAGAAGGTTCTAACTAAACAAACATAAAACAAGGCTGCTAAACAAATGATTAAGATGTGGAACATAAAACAAAAACCACCTCTGGGTGGAACAAATTATCACAGATTTTTAAAGTAAACATTGACCTTAGGATAAATCTGCAGCCTAAGAGCTGTCTCCTTCCTTTTCAATGAATCTGGGCCTAACTTACATGATTTTTTTTGGCCTACAGAAACCCTGTGTCTGACCTGGTATTTGCACTTTATGGTTTGGGCGTTTTTATCTTGCCATAAATTGTCATGGTTATTAAATACAGTTTCAAAATTGTCTCTAATCTTTCGTGGTGACTTTTTTTTTTATCTTGGAGGCAAATTAATTTTTTCCTGTGAGACTGTCTTTCCAGTTCAGAATGCAAGTCAGTCAGGAAATGTGATCTAATAGCTCCTGCCTCACTTACCCTTACACAGCCTCAATCCAGGAGCCCAAGGCTCTTGGCTACCCCAGCAGCTGTGTATTACATTTATTTGAATCCTGTTTTGAGAATAGAAGGTACTAATCCTTCTGGAGCTGTTTACAAGTGCTTAAAGGGGTCCACAGAGCTGTGGTTTAATCCAGGGTATCGGTCATCTCACAGGCAGATTTTCAGAGACACGTGGGCTGCCCTCAGACACATCAGAGGTCAAGGGTCCCAAATTGTTGCATGTGCGCTTTCTCCCTCCACCCCATGCCCACCTTTGCTCATGAGTCAGAACCAACACTCAGAGCTCACCCCCATCTTCTCCCTCCCTCCCCCAGTGCTCACGACCCACCATTCTCCTAACTTCTCCTCACCAAAGGTTGCCAACCTCTAGCTCCTTCTAATCCACTGACTGAAGGAACCCTGCAATGGCAGCTTCAGAAATGTAAGATGCCAAATCATATTGCAGGACACAGCAACATCAGTGACATGGCCTTGCTCCTCCTGTGGTCCTTCCTCGGCCCACTTCCCTGTTTTGATCCAACATCCCATGCCTCACTCTTGCTCCTAGATCTCCGACCCCAGTCCCACTCTGATGACACATTCAAGCTTCAGACCCAGAAGGCTCGGATCCTCCCAGATTTCTACCCTGGGCTGTAAAAGCTTTTGCTCACCGATTGTTTATTTTTCCATGGCTCAGAGTGATTTACAAAGTCATTAGGAATGACAACTTCTGTCTAGAGACCCTTGCCTCTCAAAGCATGGCCCATGAATCAGCAGCAGCTGGCTTCACCTCCAAGCATGATGGAAACAGAGAATCTCAGGCTTCACCTCAGACCCATCTGTAATTTCACAAGATCCCCAGGGGATTCGTCTGCACATTAACATTTGAGAAGCTCTGGTCTAGAAAGCAGAAATGTCTGTTGTAACACAAAGTTTAATTTATCCTTTTAGAAAAAAATCTCCAACTGTAAGATCTCTTCACAAAATCAAACAGAACTGTTACAGAAACGTTTTCTTAATTTAAGTTCCATTGAATTTGGTTAATTAAAAATAAAAGCTAGTAAGACTTTTCCCACATTCTTAGGGAAATTTAGTTTTTCTATACTACTCTGCATGGTACAACATGGTATAGTCTGGATATCTAAACTTTAACATATCTTCTCATATTAATTGATGCACAAAGCCCACTGAGTCCTTATTTTGAACCAAAAATAGCCTTTTCCTTTTTTCATGTTATAAAAGCAAAATGTATTTGATAATCATAAAATACATATCACTAGAATGAAATAAACAAGTCAATAAAATAAAATAAAGCAAAACTACTCAGAGATAACTATATGACATTGGAATACTTTCACTTATATGTAACATTATTATAAATAACGGATTATAAAATGTGATCACATGATATATACCCTTTATTATTTATCTATTATGAAACATGTCCAATAAATATTAATTTATGATATTGTTTAATGGCTGAAGAGTACTGATGATACAGGATATTAAATCAGCCAGTGTTTCACCAGAATCCATTGCCATCCTTTTCCAAAAGCATTTTGAAAATAGGATAGGAGCTATATGTTAGTTGTTCTTGAGGCTTGATTCAATTTATTTTTTATAAGGCAGTATTATTTATTCATTTAGCAAATTTACATCAGCTTCAGTCCTTTACATTCACTAATAAAAAATAAAGAAACACATTTACGGGAAAGATGTGTGAATTTTTATGCCACTCTATGAATAATAAAACTAAAAACCTGTCAAGTAATATCTTTTGACAGTCATTAAGTGGATTAGCCTGTATTAACATTGCTATTTTCCATATGATAGATTGATAAGTTATTCATTCATGTGTTCTATTTGATTTGGGGCCAATTTTCAACCCACTTGAATGTTCTAAGAGCACCTGAAGACCTAAGTCCTAGGTTTAAAAGCTAAAATAAAACCACACCAAAGTTAAGTTTGAAGTTGCCACGAAAGTAGGCTACCTATATTCTGATGATTATTAATCAATATTAGTCTTTTCACAGATATATACATATTACAATAAAGTACCTCAAGGCAAGGGAGAAAACCTGTAAATAAAATTGGAACAATAACAAAGTGTAAAGTTGTAGTGATTCAAAAGTGCCCTCCCTCTACGCCTTAAGAACAAAATTGGTATTTTTCCACAACATGAACTATATTTCGATTCCTTTGCTCAGCTACGATTCTTTGGTTTGAATCAACAGAAAGAGATCCTGGTTGCCTTAGGCAAATAAAAATGAAAAATATTGGCCAGGCATGGTGGCTCACACCTGTGATCGCAGCACTTTGGGCTGCCAAGGTGGACGGATCTCTTGAGGCCAGGAGTTAGAGACAAGCCTAACATAGTAAAACCTCATCTCTATCAAAAAAAATAGAAAATACAAAAATTAGCCAAGCGTGGCAGCGTGTACCTGTAGTCCCAGCTATTCAAGAGGCTGAGGTGGGATCCATTGAGCCAAGGAAGTGGAGGTTGCAGTGAGCTGTGATGGTGCCACTGCCCTCCAGCCTGGGTGAGAGAAGGAGATCCTGTCTCAAAACTGAAAAAGACTGGATATAGGCTAGCATAAAGGAAAAGCTGAAGAGCCAGGTCTTGGGCAGGATGGTGATCCAGAAGCTCTGGGATTGAGGCAGGAAATGGTCCTTTCAGCTAGCATGCTAGAGCAAATGAGCTTCATCAGAGGGTGTCCAGTTAACCTCACTTTGGAGGGGCCATCGGAGGAGAGAGGACTATATGAGACAGCTCCACCAGCCTGCTGGCTTCTGACGAGGAAGGTGCCATTACCAAATGAAGGAGAAATAGGCACCTGGGCAGATAACAGCAACAGTCAGTATTTTCTAATGTCAGATTGAACTGTTTACAGGTATTAATAGCTAAAAAAAAAAAAAAAAAAAATTGACTGATCCTTAATTCATTCTGAGAACTGTCATGCAAGTAGAAAGTAAGGAAGCCTGTGAATTTAAAACAGCAATTTACTGAGAGGCAAGACAAATGATTTCAGAGAAAGCAGGCCATTTTACTTTAAATAAACAAATAATTCACCTAAATAACAAAAGTTTAAGAACTATATTAATGACTTTAGCTATCTTTCTTCTCTGCCAGCAGACAATAGCTGTAGCATGTGTGGTATCTTGTTTTGAGTTGGGAACCATATTTCCCAGATTGTAACATCCACAGAAATCACCCGGGCATCTTGTTAAAATAAAGATTCTGCTTTGGTAGGTCTGATGTGGGGCCTGAGATCCTGCATTCCTAAAAAGCTCTGGGGCTTCAGATGTGCTGGTCCATAGCCAACACTTTGAATAGCCAAGTACAGGAGGACTGAGACTCTGCTCCCGTGGGGATCTGTGATTCTCCCCTTCTGTTATGCGGGCCCTCTTTTAGCCACTGTACTTCTCACCAGCACTTCCAGTTCCTAGAAACCACTTGCCTTTTGGCAACTCTTAGAAAGATTTGATGGGGAAGGAAGTTGAAACTGCCCACTCCAATAAGTTTTGTGTATTTCACTCATGCCAGTGATCCCATATCCCTGAGCACAGAAACTACATAAACAATGCATTTGTTCTCTGATCTAAAAGCAAACAACAAGTAGTCTATGTTGTGTTCTCAAAATGCTGCAAGACTCAGAAATCTAATATAGTGACTTACCCCTAGCCCTTCAAATGGGGCACTGTTCTGTCATCAGGGTTGGGGGATTCATTTCTCAATCAAAAGAAAAAAGAAGAAACTTTGAAACTCAGCTATTGTGTGCCTTCTGGACAGAGCCCAGGCCTTGTCCTCACCTCCAGCAGTGACTAGCCACATCCTGTGAGCAGGGCCAACCCAGACTCTCTGGGTGCTGTGACGCCCTTTGATCTGCGTTGTGTCACATACGCACTGAGTGATGGAGCCATTCGTGAATGGACTATTCTCTCTGGAGAGAGGGCAGAGTCAACAGGGCTCTTAGACTACACTCGGTCTGAGTTGCCTGAAGGAGAGGTGGGGGTACTGCAAGGCCCCTCTGGCCTTTCACTTCTCTGGTGGACAGCTTGAGCCAGAGAGCCCGTGATAAGATAAAATTTAAAAAGAAACAGCGGATGTCAGATTCTGAGGCGAAACATTATTTTTAGAGACTGTAATAGAGCAGCTATCACTTACGAGAAAACAATCCTCAATGTTGACATTTGAGTTCTTGACCTAAAATTCTGAATTGAAAAAGTCTAATAAAAATCCTGCAACCAGGTCCACCGCATGAAGAAAGGAAGAATAAAACAGAACCTGCTCATGAAGAGGAAAAGTCCCCGTGCTTTTCAGGTAAATTCATGGGGTTTATATACTCTTTCTCTGGTTCTTGATGGTTCTTGACAGTTCATGTTCACTAGAATGCTGGAGCATAGCAGACTAGTGACAACATCATGGTCTGCAGAAACAGTTCTTGCCCACGTTTCCATTGACCATGATTTTTATCCTTCTTTTCCTCCAGATAAATTTTCTGAGTATTTCCTCAGAGCTGTTTTTGGATGTGGTGACATGCAGTTCCATGCCAATGAATGCCTCAGGGTTTTGTGAAGGAGGATTTAATTTCATTCAACCAGACACTATGATTAGACATTGAGATGAATGGGCCAGGGTCTTTATCCTAGAGAAACGTACTTACTGTCTAGAGGAGATGAAAGCCAATTGCTATTGATAGTAGAGTAAAACGGTCAGAAGCACAGATCTCATCAGTCAGATATAGGTTCAAATCCCACCTCCATATTACTCACTATTAAACACCTCAAGTTGCTTAAGCTTTGTGAATTTCCATTTCTTCATCTACAAAATTGATATAATAATTCCTAGGACATAAAATGGTTATGAAGATTAAAGGTCACATAAAATGCACTTATCACAATGTCAGATACTTAGCATATACTAGTAATGATTAATATAAGTACTGCAGCTAAGTGAATCTCTCACTCCCAGCCTCTGCCTTCCATGAACTGCTTTTCTTGCTGGTCATGCTTTTGTTGTTTATAAAAGCTGCCACAGATACTCCTTTTAGCCAAATAATGCCCAGTCCAAAGTATATCAGGAGAGTAAGGAGGATCACCCTGAACAGTGTGATTTGGTCTTGGCATGCATCAACTCTGGGATCTTTCAGGGTCCAGAATCTTAGAGAGGATAGAAACTCAAAAATCTAGTAACTAACTCAGTTTATAGTAAAGCTGTTATTTGTTCCAACTCCTGGGCATTGACAGGGAGACTAAGTGTCCTAATAAAGAGTAGAGGTAGGCTGGGTGCAGTGGCTCATGCCTGTTAACCTAGCACTTTGGGAGGCCAAGGCGGAAAGATCACTTGAGGCCAGGATTCTGAGACCAGCCTGGGTAACATAGCAAGAACCTGTCTCTACAAAAAAAAAAAAAAAAAAAGATAAGTAGAGAGAGAGAAGAGGTGCAAGGAGCCAATTCATTCTTCGATTCAGTCTCCAGGGGAATACAAGAGAATAATCTCAAAACCCAAGGCAGGCTCCTAGGCCTCTCTGAGGTATAGAGGTACAGTAACAAAATCCAGCCAGCTCAGTCATCTCCGTGGGCCCTATCCTTTTGAAATACCACTGGGGATGTATATGTCCAGGAATTTATCCATTTCTTCAAGATTTTCCAGCTTATTTGCATAGAGATGCTTACAGTATTCTCAGATGGTAGTTTGTATTTCTGTGGGATCAGTTGAGATATCCTCTTTATCATTTTTTATTGTGTCTATTTGATTCTTCTCTCTTTTCTTCTTATTAGTCTGGCTAGCGGTCTATTTATTTTGTTAATGTTTTCAAAAAACCAGCTCCTGGATTCATTGATTTTTTGATGGGTTTTTGGTGTCCCTATCTCCTTCAGTTCTTACACTGTTGGTAGGAGTGTAAATTAGTTCAACCATCGTGGAAGACAGTGTGGCGATTCCTCAAGGATCTAGAACTAGAAATACCATTTGACCCAGCCATCCCATTACTGGGTATATAACTAAAGGATTATAAATCATTCTACTATAAAGACACATGCACATGTATGTTTATTGCAGCACTGTTCACAATAGCAAAGGCTTGGAACCAACCCAAATGCCTATCAATGATAGACTGGATAAAGAAAATATGGCGCATATACACCATGGAATACTATGCAGCCATAAAAAAGGAGGAGTTCATGTCCTTTGCAGGGACATGGATGAAGCTGGAAATCATCATTCTCAGCAAACTAACACAGGAACAGAAAACCAAACACCGCATGTTCTCACTCATAAGTGGGAGTTGAACAATGAGAACACATGGACACAGGGAGGGGAACATCACACACTGGGGCCTGTCGGGAGGTGGGGGGCTAGGAGTGGGATAGCATTAGGAGAAATACCTAATGTAGTGTCGGGCTGATGGGTGCAGCAAACCACCATGGCATGTGTATACCTATGTAACAATGCTGCACATTCTGCACATGTATCCCAGAACTTATATAATTGAAAAAAAAAAAGAAAAAGAAAAAAAGAAATACCACTGGGGAGATGGAGCTGTCTAGCTAAGCCTTCCAATCCTTGCCAGCCCTTTAGCAAAGCTGCTCTAATAGAAAGACTCTGAAGACAAAGGCAATGAAGAGGTAATCTCTTAGGCCATTAGGTCTTGACCTAGGTTCCTTGAGCCCCAGTGCTGTCAAAATGCTAAAACCAACTCACACGCAGACGCCGTGTTTGACGGACTGAAGGCAGTGGTGTAGATGACACATTTTCTGTGTTTTCCTGAAGACTAATTACCGCCTAGGCAGAAGCATTTTAACTATTTTAATGGTTGCCAAACATATTACAAAGCTTCTGGTCTCAGTGAATTTCAAGCAACTTATTTAACCAAGCCTGTTTGGTTCATTGGACAGAATGATTTCTCCTCAAATTACAGAATTATAGTGTTCAGAGCTCTGATTTACATTCAACACTGACCATAAAGCCACTAATCCATTCCAATCAATAGGGTACTTGAAGTTTCTCTAGACATCCCCTAATAGGGCAGCTAATACAATCAGTGCCTCCAGCCAAATATCCCACCATAATTCATCGACATTGATTTTTCAAAAAGTACTGACTTTTCCCTAATACAGAGATAAGTAGCTTCAAAGATAACCTAAGACATAAGAATTCAATTCAATTCCTGGCATCAGAAAATCAAGACAACCATAGACACCATCAGATTACTTCTTGCCATGGAGGACTAGGTGAGAGGAAAGAGGAAGAGAGGAGAGCCGCAAAGGCTTGTCAACCTTGAACTCTCTCCCAGAAATCCTGCAGCTTTGCTCAGGCTGCTTTGCAAAAGAAAGATAATGCTCAAGACAAGTTTATTATTTACTGGGCCTCTGCAAATAAATAATTGTCACTTAAAAAAGGAAGAAACATACAAAAGGCATAGGCTTAGGGTTCCTTTGATAAAATTGCACCAGAGTTCACTGAACAGAAGGACATTGATCCCTTCCATAATTACTGCACCAAGAAAGCCTCAGTGGGCCCAACCCAGAGCTCCTATCTCAATAGACACAGCTTTGGGGCCAGGTGGAGGCACACAGAAGTGAAAGCCACGTTATCACCGTTCTTTGCTTCCTATCTTCTGTGGATAAAGAAGGGCTCCAGCCCCCAGCTATCAGGCCAGTTCCCCTTCACACATGCACATTTAACCGCACATCAGAGTCTGCATTCCTTCCCAAGCAAAACTTCCTCTGAAGTAAATGGCAAGCTCTGCCTCAAGGAGGATGGTGACATCAGTCCTGAAGTAATAGCCTTACAGCAGTCTGTATTTTCTCCCAACTTTCACGCCTGGCCTAAGTCTTTACTTGATGGGAAACCACTCTACAAACAAGAAAGGAGTTGAGTAGCCCAGGAAATAAGCTTCAGCTGACCCCAAAGGTGGCCAATCAGGAGGCTGCAAAGGAGGTCACATTCTTTGCTTAGGTATGCACCTAAGAGAGGCTACCGCTTCTGGCTAGGTGATGGCAGAATTCAAGAGAGGATCTGAAAACTGGCAGAAAATAAATCTACCTTTTATCCTTCCCTATTGGCCCAATAACCTCCCCACATCTCAGCAGTGGAAGCTTTGAAATCAAATAAAAGGACTTCTTGGGCAACATCTTGAACAATTTGACTCCTTACCATGATTCAACTCCTCGCCTAATGGATTTAGTTTTAGGCTCTGTGTTTTCTCTTCCTTAGTCTTTATAACCCTTATAAACTTTTCCAAATGCATTCATACAAATCATCCCAATAGTTCTCATTCCAAGAGAGATAGCTAAGGAAAGGTTATTATCTTATGTTAACAGTGCGAAATAAGACAAAGATGAATTCAGAGCTGTCCTGGGAGGACTGGGAAGGGACATCTTACTCCTGGTTCTTTGCTTTTGCCATTGTTTCACATGGGTGCTTCAATGATGGCTTCACATTGGGACTCTCTTGTATTGTTTGACATTGAGCTAAGCCATCTGTGACAGTGGTTGTCTCAAGGCAGGGAGCTGGGTGTCTCAGAGACCCACGAGAAGGAGAAGAAGAAAGAGGGAAACTTTTCATTGGGTATACGCTTTTGAACTGTTTTGAATTTCAAACCATGTAAATTTATTGCTTATTCAAAAAATTTAAATAAAAAGCTTTAAAAATGGACTATAGAACTTTATAGAACACTGAGGAAGCATGAAAAAGATGGCTGTAGAACTTTATGGGAGGAAACATAAACAAAGAAACGGGTTTAGTCATACAAAGAAATCGTATATACTAAAGGGAAAAAACGTCAATTCCTTTATGATCAGATGTTGCACCCCATAAAACCTCTCTGCCCTTCCCAATCTCACCCAGTACGTCATCCAGAGAACAGTGTATTGAAAGTGGTATAGTCTTGTTTTTTATTTTTTATTTTTAAGTGCCAGAGTTTGGGACTCAGAATAAATGAGTTCTTAACAATTTAACAAAAATGAGTTTAACCAAGAACTGTGTACAACTGTTCAACATAAGACATGTATCTTTTATTCATCTGATGTTCATAGTGGTTGCTGGCTGGCATATGCCAGGCATGCAGTAAATAGTGAAGGAGAAGCAGGCAGGGAGTGTTAGAGAAAACCAGGCGGGCCACAAGCAAGGGCTAGAGGATTCCATGCTGTCCTTCCTCTCATCCTCATTAGTAATGGGTTTTTAAAAGGTCGTAAAGGCCAGGCACAGTGGCTCATGCCTGTAATCATAGCACTTTGGGAGGCCGAGGCAAGGGGATCAGTTCAGCCCAAGAGTTCAAGACCAGCCTGGACAACATGGAGAAACCCTGTCTCTACAAAACATATAAAACTTAGATGAGTGAAGTGCCATGTGCCTGTAGTCCCAGCTTCTCAGGAGGTTGAGGCGGGAGGATTGCTTAAACCCAGGAAGTTGTGGCTGCAGTGAGCTAAGACTGCACCACTACACTACAACCTGGGCTATAGAGCCAGACCCTGTCTCAAAAAACAACAAAAATGTTCGTCAGCATATGGTGACTCAAAAAGCCTGGTTGCTCTTGGTAAGAATCTTCAAGGAAAGATGCGAAAGAGACGTGTTGGGAGTTCTGAGCTGTTTTCTTTCAGGGAGCACCCTGTGTCTCAGAAGACAGCAGAGTGGGCTCCAAGGTGAAGTTCTGAAATAGGCAACAGTGCTTGAATCACAAACTATTTTTTATTTATGACAGATTCCTTGAGGTTGATCAGTAAAATATCCTTTATGTATATCACCAGATTTTAAAATCATGACACTTCAACAGCTCATTTGTCTTGGAGCGGAGAAGCAGCTCCCTGAAACAGTGTTTGTATTTTGCCTTGGAGATAAGGACAAACATGAGCTGGCAACCCACAATCTTTATTTTCATCAGCTTGCTCTTCAGCAGGCCTACACCGTCAGCACTGTGTGAAGAGCGAAATCAATAAAAATCATCTCCCTCGGTGCAGGAGGCCAACATGTGACTGTTTCTTGGCTCTGGAGCAAGTATCTGTCAGTCAGGGTCAGGAAGGTTTCTACTGTACTTATCTGGGCAATCTCTTACCACAGTGTAACTGGGCACCTAGGGGGGCTCTATAGATGGGGAAATGGAAGCTTTGTGGTGTCAATGCCTTAATTCAAGCAGCCTCAGCTATGCAATTCACCCAACTTAGAAGACAGCATTAACTGAGACCTAGAACCAAGGCAGAAACAGACCCTGGAGCAAAGGCAAAGCCACAGACTCCCTCTTTACAGGCACCCTTTGTCAAGGAACTCAAGCACTTCAGCCAAGGACACCATTTTGAAAGAAATTAAAACTTCCCAAAGAGCCTTGGCATTACCAAAGGGGAGAGGAGGTCACAGGGAGTGGGCTTCTCCCAGAATTAAGTGCAGATTCTGCAGCAGGGCGTATGAGTCCTTTAGGATCTGGCTCTCATGACCTGTCCAGCTTCATTTCTCCTCTTTGGCTAATGCATTTAGCTCCTGGCACACCAACTAGTTGAACTGTTACCCAAATATGCTTTTCCAGTGCTATTCTCTCTGCCTGGAATCCCCCTTCCCGCCCTCACCCCCTGACATGATCACGCAACTTCCACTTCTTTAGGGGTTAACTTAGATGTCATCTCTCAGGCTTCTTCCTTGATCCAGTCCTCTCTCACGTGTTTTTAAATGTAGGTTTTATTATTATTCAGGTATGGTGAGACCAACAGATCACAAGACAATTTTAATTGAAAAGACAGTTTGTTCCTCGAAGCTCTCGAGAGGACACACCACGCCATGCAGGGCCATGTGGGGAAGGACCAGGGTCGTTCAGGAGGCAGAGGGGAGGGGAAAATGTGGACAAGAGCCTTTATTGTGGTTTCCAGAGGAAGGAACAGGTAAGGCAGGATAAGCAGGCATAGGATTAGCTAGTTTGAATAATCTCAGCAGGCTCTGGGGTATAGGGGTTGTCCCTAAGTTACCTGGTACCTGGCCCAAAAGTGATTAGGTCTGAGAAATAGTGACCCAAAGCATAAAAGCTGTATAAAAGAGGAAATAGAGTGAGTGGACTCTGGACTGTTTAGTTTCTATAAAAGACACACTTGAAGGAAGGTGAAACCTTTATCTCTAGGAATTGGCTGGTTCTGGTCTCTCCAGGGTCAGCAAAGCCCCAGATGTCAAAACATCAGAAACACATGGTTAATACACTACCACTGTTAGAAGTGGCTAGGTGCTCCTCTTAGACTCACACTGGGCTTGCCCTGTGGAAAGACGGATCACACTATTTTAACTGACTACTTACCTCTTTGTTTCATACCACCGCCATCCTCCAGACCATGAGCTCATTGAGGATAGGACTATGTCTAATTCCTTGTTGAGAGGCAAAAAAAAAAGGACACAGAGATGAACTTGGTACACTTCAAGGTCTAGCCTTAGGTTCCAATGCATCAGGTGACATCCCCCGCCATAGGAGCAAGTCTTCTGGGCCATTTACCCCTAGCAGAAATGGGTCAGGTCTTCCCCAGAAAGCTGATTCATCACACAGCACCAGTCCTGCCCTTCTTGTTTCCTTAGGAACCCACTTAGGATCATGAAAGAGCTTCTCTTTGGGTTCAGAAAGACAGACTGGAGGCAAAAACATGGTTCTCCTGTTTTCAGGTTCTTGATCTGTTTCTCCAAAACTAAGAGAGAAAACAAGCTAACAAATGCAAGATCAAAAACTAGATCTTTGTTCATTTATTTTGGTCCAAAAGATAAGACTGTAGACTTAAATGTCATCAGACCTCATGACTTTCCTGGCAGCATTTCTGTGTGAAGCTTTTAACCAGTCAGTTTAATCCAAATTAGTAGGAGCTTCAGAAAAGGCTTTTGGCCGGTCCACAGGTGGAAAGACATTGTCATGAGCTCTGCCAAATGCATAAGGATATATAAAAAGGGGGGCAGAGGGAAATTGGGATTTTTTTTTGGCCAAGCATTTTTTAATAAATTAAAAAACAAATGAAACCCCAGATTTAATTAAAAATTTCCCCATATTCTGGCCTACTCTGTAATTTTTATGTTGCTGCCTGAAAGGTATTATGTAGTTACTTAATAAGAGAGAGGAAGGGGAAGTATTTTTAATTTTAAAGGATGAGAGGAAAGGAAAACCCTTTGGGTTTTTCTTTTTCTGCGTCTGGAGCCCAAACAGCGGCAGCCTGCGTATTTCTTTAGCAGGTTTTTCTTAGAGACAACTAACAACAGCTTATCAATTTCTTTACATCCTAACTCTACAATGTAGCTCACTAACTTATACGGCAAATAGAGCACGTCCACCCATCCAGTTTGGGCAGAAGCACATCACCCAAAGCCAGTGTTATTCTCGCAGCTTCAAGTGGCACAGTGGAGAAATTTTATCTCATTAAGTAATTCTAGTATAAATTTCTTGTAATAAACTTGGAATGGCCTGATCCAGTCTCAAGAGTATTGGGTCATGTCAATTCTCTTTGCCAAATATATATATCATGCTGGGGGAAAACGGCACAGAAGGAATCTTGGAGCTGTACAATGTGTCTTGACTCAGTGGTTTTCTGTTTGTTTTGTTTTGTTTTTTGTCCCATACAGGGATCTTCTGCTTCTTGCATAAGTAATCATTGCCTGGCTTTGCTCTTGGATACTCAAAAGCCTGCTATGCAGTTCTTCATGCTTGTACCATAGGCTCCTCTTGTTCAGGATGTCCAAACCTAAACTCATCCTTTTCCCATTATCATCTATTCCAGTTTGTACCCACTCAGTGCCCTAGCTGGAATCTCAGATATCATCCCTGACTCCTCATCTGGTTCCCAACTACCAGGACCTGCCTGCTCACTCACCTTCTAAATATTTCTCCATTGAATCCCTACTACCACTGTTCTCTAACCTGGATGACTGCATCAATCTTCTGATCAGCATTCCAGCTTCTATTCATATCTACCTCCATGACAAACCACTATCATCAGAGTGATGGCCTGACCAAGTCTGATAATATGGCTTCCCTAGTGAAAATCCAGGGTAGGGGGAGTGGGTTAGTATGCCCAAGGTAATCAAGCAGAAATGCAAACCCCTTCCTGCCTTACTCTCTGACTTTATATTGTTGATCCCCAGTTCACACTTCAGTGACCATGAACTGCATGCAGTTTCCCTACATACCATGCTCTCTATTCCTTTGCTATGTCCTCTGCCTCACACATCATTACCTCCTCCCGGATCTTTCCCCAGCTTAACCTGGCTAACTACTACCTACCCTTCCAAACTCACTTCAGGGATGGTGCTGTAGGGATGTCCCTGTGTAATTATTCATTAAACTGTACTTATGCTTTATGCACTCTTTGGTATAAATAATATATCTCACAATACAGTTATTAAACCCAATATAAAAACTTCAAAAGGCAATTCAGGAAACACCTCCTCTTGGAACCATCTCCCACGCCCCAGCCCCAGGGCAGGCTGGATTCCTTGCCTGCATGTTCCCATAGGGCCCCCTGTATCTCACTGCACTTGATGCCTTGCTAGGATTATTTATCTCTACAACTACTGAAGGTTCCAAGCTTCTTCCAGGTAGGGATTATCATTTCTAATCTTTGACCCTGTAGTGCCTAGCATACCAATGAGGACAAAATATTTGTTGAATGAATGAATAGATGAGTAAAATGTCTTCCATCTGTCTCTATTGTCTATTCCCACTGTTGGTTCAGATTCTCACATGGACTGTTTATTTACCTCCTGGCCTGTCTCAAACACATCCTACACTCCATTGCCAAAATCACTTTTTTTTTTTTTGAGACCACATCTCACTGTGTCACCCACACTGGAGTGCAGTGGCATAATCACAGTTTCCTGTAACCTTGAACTCCTGGGCTCAAGTGATCTTCCCACCTCAGCCTCCTGAGTAGCTAGCACTACAGGCATGTGCCACTACACCTGGCCCATTTTATTTTTGTAATTACAGGGCCTCACTATGTTGCCCACGCTGGTCTCGTAATCCTGGCCCCAAGTGATCCTCCGGCCTCAGCCTCTCAAAGCTCTGAGAATACAGGCGTGAGCCACTGCAACTGACACCCCAAATCACCTTTCTGAAATCAGTCCCTATTCTCAAATCTTTAGTCCCATGACAACTTTCTATTGTCTATTTTTTTTTTTTTTTTTTTTGAGATGAAGTCTTGCTCTGTTGTCCAGGCTGGAGTGCAGTGGCACAATCTTGGCTCACTGCAACCTCTGCCTCCCAGATTCAAGCGATTCTCCTGCCTCAGCCTCCCAAGCAGCTGGGATTACAGGTGTGTGCCACCACGCCCAGCTAATTTTTGTATTTTTTAGTAGAGATGGTGTTTCATCATGTTAGCCAGGCTAGTCCCGAACTCCTGGCCTCAAGTGATGTGCTCACCTCCACCTCCCAAAGTGCTGGGATTACAGGCATGAGCCACCATGCCCAGTCCAATACAAATTCTTTAGACTGACATTCAAGGTCTTTTGCAACATGACCCCAGCCTACCTTTTTCAAAGTCCTTTCCCACCATCATACACATGAACCCTTCCCTCTAGTTAAGTCTAGTTAGTACCTATCATCTTCTGAACTTGACTCACACATTCTCACATCTGAACTTTCCTCACACTATTCACATAACACCCCCAATCTGAAATGTGCTTCTTTCCTCTCTCCACTTAACTGAATTTTTAAAAAATTTGTAATGTTCTGGCTTAAGCACCACATCTTCTGTGAAATCTTTATTAAATATTCTACTCTGAAGAAAATTCTCATCCTTCCAAACTCCATTGAGGCTTCTCCTGTGTACTTAATTCATTCTACTTTGTGTTAACTATCTTTTTATGTGTAGGTCTCATCACCCCAACCAGACTATAAATTCCTTTGTCATTATTTAAATCCATGCATGGAACTCCCATAGACATCAACCAATCACCAATAGACAAGCCTTAGAACATGTATTACAGGAAAAATAGAGTAACACATACAACTAATACAGAGGAACAACAATTGACATTAAAATAGAAAAAAAAATTAACACTCTTGGAATCTATAGAAAAATGTAAAGAGAAAGAAAATTGAAGATAATACGTCAACTAGAATATTTATTTGCCTGCTTCAACATCAATAATAAAGCATACTAGGTAAAGTGGTCCTTTTCAACCGATTGTTACAACTCTCTCAGGTGCTGGTTTTGGAAAATCTTCTTGGCCTGAGACTCAAACTATTAATCACCAATTGTCTGAGTTAAAACCATCAATTAAAAGACTTATGCATCCCACAAAGAACAGAAGACTGCCCTGTTGAGAGGTAACTTTGGAGCAATGTGCTGAGTCTTTCTGTGAAGGTTTGGTAAAGGGCTGCCAGAGAAAATATAGAACAAATGTAGAGCAAATTTCAAAGCTCATAGATTCCAGATGCCTGTGGATGGCAGGAAGTATGGAAAGTCTGTCAAATGTCTTGACTGTAGCCCATGATTGAGTGGCTTTAGCAATAAAAGGCGTATCATTGTCATACCAAATGGTCCAGAAAGCCAAACACATGACACAGATTAGTTTCAAGGGCCAAAGTGGTGTGGCTGGAGTCAAATGATTGCACTGGAACAGCAAGCCTGTAACCTGAGAAAGTGTCAATAGTATTCATGAACAACCAATAGCTCTAAAGAGGGGTGGAGGAAGGTCTGAGGTAATCAATCTGCCAGGAGTAGTGGAGACAACACCCCATGCAGTGTGTTCGTCCTTACCAAGAGGCAACAAGGTCGACTTTTGGCAGGAGTCACAAGTCTAGCACCAAATGGTAGCCTTTGCATCAGAAACATCAAGTACTTTACTTGTGTCCTGTCTATAACAGCGGATGTGTTGCCATGTCCAGTACAATAATGGATCCAGGCAGCAATGATGGCAATCTGGATGGTGCTAGCTAACCGAGTGATTCTAGCTGGTCTCATCAGAGAATGAGATTTTAAAATGGATGTCAATATGAGTGACCCCGACAGTTCTATCAGCCGCCACAATTTGTTTCCACTGTTTGAAGCCCCTAAGGAAGGATGTCTTCAATCTGCAAATCTCTACTTTTCCAAGTGGTGGATCAAACCACAGGTCTTTAGCAACAACCTAACAGTCAGTAAAAACATAACAAGGCTCCTCAAGGAGGGTATTGGTCAGAGCTTTGAGAATGGCCTTGAATTCTACTTAATGACCAGACCAACTACTTCCATTTTCAGTTCTGCTTACCTGGCACTGAGGTTGAACAGCCATTGCAGTCCATTGAAATGGCACTGGTTTTCAGCTTAGCCAATCTATCAGTGAAAGAAGCAACAGGCATTTTGAGGAATCTCCTAAATGCCACCTAAATGTATTTTTAAAGCCCCTATATGTAACCTTTATGAAACAAGGGTGCTGAGCCAGGGGCTTTGTTTCAGGCAGCAGAATGGATGATAAAGTTTTCCCCCAAAGGATTAGCTGCCACTTTTTCATGTAAATCCAAGATGTCATTGAGGGTAGGTCTGTTGCATTAATGATTATTACATATAATGATTTTATATGACAAGCAAGGCTAGTTGGGCCCTTTCCACTTTAGTAGTCATGAGGTCTGTTTGATCTACTCCAAAAAGGGAACAGCAGGCTAGCTGGCTTAAGTGTTCAGTTTTGACAGAAGCCCAGTAGTGAAACAGGAGAGTTGCCTGACTCCTTCGTGGAACTTGTGACAGGGGTGTGCTCAAACCCCTTACGGGAAGGGGAGCATGCAGACAGGCAGATGCAGGAGCTGGGCGAGCGCTTTTGGGCTCCAGCCCCACGGTAGCATCTAGGACTGTGTTACGATTAATGGTCTTTTAGCAGTTGCCGTCTGTGGACAGCTAAGTGTTAAACCAGCTCAGTGGAGAGTCAGGGTGACAGCCTTTTACACCTTGCCCTCTTGATACCCGGGTCCTTGTCCAGCATGCAGGAAGAATCAGGTCACACACAAACTTGAAGGATGGTGAATACGGGGCTTTAACTGAGTGGTAGAGGTGGCTCTCAGCGGGATGGATGGGGAGCTGTAAAGGGGATGGAGTGGGAAGATGATCTTCCCCTGCAGTTCAGCCATCCTGCAACCAATCTCCTCTCCAACCATCTCCAGCCAAACTCCTCTTGATGTTCAGATGCTCCTTCTCTTCTCTCCTTCTCTGCCACTCTTCTGCTTGTGGAGCCTGGGGTTTAGGGTTTATATGGGTACAGGATAAGGGGGCATGGCAGGCCAAAAGGCAACATTTGGGCACAAAAACAGGAATGCCTGTTCCCAATTAGGGCCGTGGGTTTTCAGGCTTGAGGGTGGGGCCTTTGTCAGGGCGCTGCCCTCTTCTACCCAGTATTTCCCTGCCTCCTGTCCATATCAGTAGTAGCTAATACTTAGTTGTTTTTCAGAAGCCGTGTATCTGGCCAGCCATGTCAAGGAGTCCAGGCATCCAAAACTCCAAGGGCACCTCTGGATGAAGGGTATCTCCTTTTACCAGAGTCTCCAATCAGCAAAGTAATCAGTTACAGGATATTCTATAGCTCAAAGGTATCATTAGGTTTCTGTAGCCTTAAAGACACTAGTACCTATCTAAATGGGGCTCTTTCTGGTTGGGCTCTAGCACTTATAGGGCAGAAAAGTTCAAGCATATAACATGTCATTTTTCTGCTATATATTCAGATGCAAAAAGAACAACGGTGCATTAAATTGGTTCAACAGGTCATACCCACAAGTTGACCTGTGGTCATGTTAACTTTCCTTTCCTATTATGAACCTTGCCCAAACCCTATCAGTTGAAACCGAGTGGACCCTTCCCCCACAGGACTGTGTAAGATGGTGAACTGGGCACCTGTATTCAACACAGCCATACAAGTTTGTGCCCCTTTCTCCTATAAAGTCCCCCAGCATATTCAGATGGGTACATGTGGTGGCTGAGTCCTGGGCCCCATCCCTAATCATCTTTCTCCTTAAAGCCACTGAGGTCAGGTTAAAGGTGGAGGGAGAAACAAGGGAACATGGGGTTGGAGTGGGAGGCTCCATGCCAGTATGCAAGGCTTTACATCTACTTTTAGTATTTAGTATAGCAGCTGCTTGGAGCTCAAATAAATGAAATTCCAATGATTTTGGTCCCCAAAACAAAGCAAAATCCGACAATGTTTTGGCATTGGGGACCCTTTGACTCAGTAACCATGGACACATGGTCTTCAGACTGAAGCCACTGGGTTTGTGTCCTTTGTCTGACTCTAGCTTGACTTACATTGACATTTTTCTTTTTTTAGGAGTTCATCTTAATTGACAGCATCTTCACCAGTACCAAGAAATATCTCTTAAGTTCTGGCCCGGTTTTAACATAAAAGGTAGAGCACTTTTCCAAGGTTGGGGGGCCAACTCCAAGAATTTATCTAGAATTCTCTGGGTCAGTTTCTCATTCTTCAGTAGGTCGCCTTCATCAGAACGGTAAACTCAATTCAGGGCAGTAAAAGACCAAATACTAGTTAATGCCTCTTCTATCCCTTCCCACAGGAGTTTGTCTCAGGGATATATCCCTGAGATGCCAATGCTCTCTGAAAGCAACCAAGACCCACTGGAAAAAAAACAATCCTTTATTATTTTCTCTGAATGGATATTAAGTCTGGCATGACAGACTGCCAGGAGGAGCTGAGCCATAAAATAGCCCACTTGTTGCCCATGTTCCTTAACAACCATGATGTGCCCTGCCACCATATGTCCCAAGCAAAACAGCCAAAGTTCTAATGATTCACCTATTGTCTAAGAAGGTACACCCTTCAGCCCACTCAGGATATATCTTAGTACTAATTGTTATAGTGGGGTGGACTTGAAGCTAACTGGCAAACTGGTGAGGAAACACCTCTCCAAACGCCCAGAAAAGGGTTAGCAAAAAACAAGGAACCATTTGGGTAACTATCACTGGACCTACTTTCTGATACTTGGCCTGCAACCACTGCCCCATTTGCTCCTCATTAACAGGCAATGAAGTTGAGGACCATGTATCATCAGGTTGATCATGAAATTTGGTCAACATGCTTGCTAACAATTACTAAGGACTTCCTATGAATCCTGTTAATGAGCCCCAAAGCCCTCCTCCTCTTCCAGAAAGCTATGTGTCTGTCAGCATCCCATCCTCATGATCAAAAACCATCAAGAACCATGAAGGGTCTGAGATTTTGCTCTATTGCAAGCGCCTGACATATTCATTGAAACTGGTAAAAGACATACTCCTAGGTCACATACAAAGAACTTTATTACTTATTGTACAGTAAGCAGGGCATGACAATCTGCAATTTTTTTTTTTTTTTGAGATGGAGTCTCGCTCTGTCACCCAGGCTGGAGTGCAGTGGTGTAATCTCAGCTCACTGCAATCTCCACCTCCCAGGTTCAAGCAATTCTCATGTCTCAGCCTCCAGAGTAGCTGGGATTATAGGCGTGCACCATACCATGCCTGGGTAATTTTTGTATTTTTAGTAGAGATGGGGTTTCACCATGTTGGCCAGGCTGATCTCAAACTCCTGACCTCAGGTGATCCACCTGCCTCAGCCTCCCAAAATGCTGGGATTACAGGCATGAGCCACTGTGCCTGGCCTGATAATCAGCATTTTAACAATCAGTTCTTCCTTATACCCAAGTCCCAGAAGAGTGACCAGATTAGGCCCAGATGGGTGCCTGCACTTACAGTAGGTTGTATTAGAAAGAAGAAATATTAAGCTTAGGGAACCCAATCTTTTATAATGGGCAGTAAGCATGCCTTTACTCTGAAAGGAAGACACTATCTTCCAAGGTTGTACACAGACTTAAACCTCTGCTCCAGAAGTTAAAAGCGAGGGGGAGACAGGGGAGAGAAAGACTCTATATCTTCCAAGATTGTTCACTATACAAATATCCTCAAAAACACAGTATAGGACACAAGAAGTCTGTGCCTTTCTTAGAAAGACATATAGAAATGCAAGAGATCTATGGAGAATTGCTTCTCAATTGGTATGTAGAAAAATGGAGGCATCATGCTACCTGACTTCAAACTATACTACAAGGCTACAGTAACCAAAACAGCATGGTACTGGTACCAAAACAGAGATATAGATCGACGGAACAGAACAGAGCCCTCAGAAATAATGCCGCATATCTACAGCTATCTGATCTTTGACAAACCTGAGAAAAACAAGCAATGGGGAAAGGATTCCCTATTTAACAAATGGTGCTGGGAAAACTGGCTAGCCATACGGAGAAAGCTGAAACTGGATCCCTTCCTTACACTTTATACAAAAATTAATTCAAGATGGATTAAAGACTTAAACGTTAGACCTAAAACCATAAAAACCCTAGAAGAAAACCTAGGCATTACCATTCAGGACATAGGCATGGGCAAGGACTTCATGTCTAAAACACCAAAAGCAATGGCAACAAAAGACAAAATTGACAAATGGGATCTAATTAAACTAAAGAGCTTCTGCACAGCAAAAGAAACTACCATCAGAGTGAACAGGCAACCTACAGAATGGGAGAAAATTTTCACAACCTACTCATCTGACAAAGGGCTAATATCCAGAATCTACAATGAACTCCAACAAATTTACAAGAAAAAAACAAACGACCCCATCAAAAAGTGGGCAAAGGATATGAACAGACACTTCTCAAAAGAAGACATTTATGCAGCCAAAAGACACATGAAAAAATGCTCACCATCACTGGCCATCAGAGAAATGCAAATCAAAACCACAATGAGATACCATCTCACACCAGTTAGAATGGCAATCATTAAAAAGTCAGGAAACAACAGGTGCTGGAGAGGATGTGGAGAAATAGGAACAGTTTTACACTGTTGGTGGGACTGTAAACTAGTTCAACCATTGTAGAAGTCAGTGTGGCAATTCCTCAGGGATCTAGAACTAGAAATACCATTTGACCCAGCCATCCCATTACTGGGTATATACCCAAAGGACTATAAATCATGCTGCTATAAAGACACATGCACACGTATGTTTATTGCGGCACTATTCACAATAGCAAAGACTTGGAACCAACCCAAATGTCCAACAATGATAGACTGGACTAAGAAAATGTGGCACATATACACCATGGAATACTATGCAGCCATAAAAAATGATGAGTTCATGTCCTTTGTAGGGACATGGATGAAATTGGAAATCATCATTCTCAGTAAACTATCGCAAGAACAAAAAACAAAACACCGCATGTTCTCACTCATAGGTGGGAATTGAACAATGAGAACACATGGACACAGGAAGGGGAACATCACACTCTGGGGACTGTTGTGGGGTGGGGGGAGGGGGGAGGGATAGCATTAGGAGATATACCTAATGCTAAATGATGAGTTAATGGGTGCAGCACACCAGCATGGCACATGTATACATATGTAACTAACCTGCACATTATGCACATGTACCCTAAAACTTAAAGTATAATAATAATAAAATAAAATAAAAAAAGAAAAAAGAAAAATGGAAAAATGCAAAGGCAATTTGGCTCTTTGTGCAGAAGTCACTCCAACTTGTGGTGAGATACTCCAAGATTTATACACAAATTTTAAGGGACTCTTAAAGATTTTTAAAACTCATCAATAACAACTCAGCCCATATTGACCCACTTCACCAACTTACAACACATTACTTTGGCAGTCCATCAAAGCACAACTCCAATATCATAAGTACCATTTACATTTTCAATTTTAATTTTCTCCTCAGCCTTTTTCCTTTTCTTTTAATTTGACTAACTTCACACATAAGCCCAGCTAATCTTCACTGCTGCATGTTAGCCAAAATAGAGTTCTTCCGATAAATCCTCAGGAGAGAGCCAGGGAAGCTTGATTAAAGGAGAGATTTTTAAAGTCATAGAGGTCAAAACAGGTTCCTTTTTAGGCAATTCAGTTTGGCATGACTGCAACATGATTATCTTAGTAAGAACTTCCAAATTTTAAAACAAAAATATACTAAGCACATCTTAATATCACAAGAAATAGGGCTAGCAGTTACATAAGGGAAGCTGACTTATCTTAACATTCATCTATTAAGCCCTATTTTGTTCCATGACCCAGGCTTAAAAGACTGCCATTACAATTAAACCTCCATCCCCCAAAGAGCCCTGTCTACAAGGGCTTATAAAGGAAGGGATAAGAGCCAAATTCCAGGTTGGCCTCAGTTATGTCTAAATGTCAACTTGCTTATCCCACACAGTGAAACATATGAACATCGTAAGGCAGATCTCTTTTAAGGGAAAGGGGTCAGGTTCCCTAGTTTTTCACCCCAAAGGATAGACAGGAATGTGCTGGTCTCTATGATTCTATGACCAGATAGAATCACAGTATGTTTACCATTCCATTATAATTCTTTACACTCTAGACACTATGTTCTCAAACCACTCTGTTTTAGAGAAGATCTCAATGTTTTAGTAAAGTACAAACACCATCAGTCTGCTGTTATTGTCTCCATGTGTATGTTCTGGATTAAGGCACTTTTTTTTGTTTGGATTACAAACCACATTACTTGATAAATATCTGAGAAAAATGGGAGTGGGTAAGTCGGAAATCAAAGTAGATTTCACTTATTCTATGAATACAGTCCTTCTAAGAACAAAGATTCTTGCAAGTGTTTAGTTTTCTAAATAACTTTAAAATGGAACAGAACCATAGCCCAGCAAAAAGAGCCAAGGTTCTTATTTTGGAATAATTTATTCTCTTTTGGTCAAGCAGGTCAACAATAAGGTCATCAATTGCCTTGGCAACACTCACCTCCATTTCCACCACTGCAATGCATTAATGAGTTTATTTATGCCTTGCTTTATCTACAAAGAATTTTTTTCCTGTTAGAACTATTAACATGAGCCTAGTTCCACTGTGCTTTTTCAAGGGAGATTTATTACAATGGGATGGAAAATAAGATCATTTCCCAAAAAAGTCACCTTCAGTTTTCAACAGAGAAACATTATGTTTTATTCCATATCTCTTTGGATAAGCAATATTTGATAATATTTCCAGCATAAGATGTCAGCAGTTCTTCTAACACCAAACGACTAAGAACTTTTATTCAAGAGCCAGAGTTGCTTATATTGGCATCTATATAACACAACCTCAACGTCTAATTTCCTGGTGTTGAAAAAAAGTCAAATCCCTGCTTCTTTAATTTACGAGTATAAAACATATTACCTTAAAAGCTATTTCCATGTCTCAAACTTTTAAAGCACAATTTTAACCCAATAAAATAAACACACCCACTACAATGCCTCCCGTGATGTTAACACATACTCTACTTTCCCCTACAAAACTTGAAATAAGGTTGTTGTTGTTGTTTTTTGTTTTGTTTTTACTTATAATTGCCATCCTTCTTAAATATGTAGGGAATCTCAATATTTGAGTGAGTTTTCTCAACAAGGAAATAGTGGCAATACTGACTTACCTCCCAGAGCTTAAACAGTTTGAAAATGTTTTATTGCTCAATCCTTGTATTTAAAGAGTTAGTCATAAGGAAATCAGTGGCAAGCTGGCCCAAAGCTGGGTCACCCTGGGCAGGAAGTGGCTGAGAAAATTGTAGCAGATTTTAAACTTTTCAAAATCTGCTGGCCACTTTGGCTAAACACAAAGACCACCTACTCCACTATTTCCTCCCAGCTATTAGAGCAAAAAGTACTCACCAGAATAGACGGGAAGGAGGCACCTCTGATGAACACCACCAAGGTAACCGTCTGGAGTTTATGGATATTTAATATATGCCAGAAACAAAATTATACATTTTGTCATATTATAAACATTAAAATAGGCCAGTCCACAGACCACCTAGAATTCCTTCACAGATTATACTGTAAATCCAAACTACAGGACTTTCTGAAATGCAGGCAATTTGCTAGGTGATATTGTTGCTGTAAGCACATGAGGAATACAGTGGTAACATAGAAAACCAGAGCAATCCTGGAAAGGATCTGCTGTAACTTACGCCGAAAGTAATAAGATCCTAACGCCAAAAAATAAAACTCTCTCGTTAAAATAAGAGGGCTTGAGACCTATGCTCTAAAACCAAAATAGTTTGGAAGTAATCAGGTTTCTTTTTTATTTATAAGTACCAACTAAACAAATTATACTCTGAGCCTAGTGACATTTCAGGAATGGGAAACTGAACTTCCTGATTAATACAAAAATAAGCCTCATAATAGGAATCATAGTTTAGAAGACCTCAATTAGTAGTAATAACAAATAATTTCAAATATTTTTTAAGTGTTGGATAATTTTTAAGGATAATGTGACTAAAATTAATATTCCAACTTTCCAGAACTATTTGGACTAATCTTTGTGACCACCCAAAAAAGGGGCTAAGCTAAAATCTCATATTCCAAATTGAGTCAGTGACAAAGTTTCAAACTCACCTCCCATATAACCTCGAAACATTTTAAATAAGATGGTTTAAACAGAAAAACTGAAAATAAATCATCCTTGAATACTTTTAGATTTCCCCCCAGTGTACCACAAATCACATCCAGAAACCCAAACAAAATAATCAGTGAAATGTTTGAGATCTGCTGCTGAAATCCTGAACTGCAAGACAAGAAAAAGAGAGCAAAGCAGATAGCCTGATGTCTCTTTGCTTGGGCAGCACTATACTTTTAGAGGTCCTAAGCTGTGCACATTAATACTCTGAGTCCATAAAAGTCAGCAGTAACACTAAAATAATAATAATAATAAATACAGGCTCTGGTTAGAGAGAGAGGATCCATTTACTGCCACCCTGCTGAGGTACATTTGACCACCAAAGGCAAGAAAGCTATTAGCATCCTGAATTAATGGGTATAGTGGTTTTCAAGCAAGATATTTTCATGATGGACACAATGTGGACTCAGCAAAGTTTCTCCTTCAAGAAAAATATAGCTTCTATTTCAAAGGGCACTGATTAGGCTTAATACCATTAAGGAACCATCAAGCATTTGTGTTGCTGTTACTGCTTTTAACTATCCGTTACTTTCTAAACCAAAAATTGTGGGTAGTTAACTTGAGCAACAGTCAACGGTTAGGAATGCAGGAGCAAATCCAAGGTACAAAAGAGCTTCAAATGTAGACAGGCCTTAAGGAGTTTGGAATCTTTCTAGGTTGTCAGGTCTTAGCCTTTCTTATCATCACTATTAGCATTGTTATTCCTTCCTTGTCTGGAATTTCTAAATAAAAATTTATTTCCCTCATCACATCCCCCATGAAGACAACTAGATATGACACAATTTTAGAAATTCTCAATATGGTTTATTAGTGGCAATGTAAATCGATGACAACCAAAAACCAAATAAACATATCTACCAAATGAATAAATTCTTAACTACTATTAATTGCATATAATATATCCAGCAGATGTTTTAAAAGTCAACAATATTAATTCCCTTTGTAGATTAATTGTAAAAAAATAACTGTTTTGAGTCTATCTCCATCAGTACTTGAAAGTACAAATATACATTAAATAAGATTATAAAGACTGTAATACATACAACAAAAAAGTCTATAAAACAAAGATAACTTTAAAAGCATTGCTCAATTTACTTTGTAGCTTTTCTATATAAAATATTTTAAAACCGTACCTATTTTCTGGATCATACATGAAAGTTCACATCCAGATGTCTTTTTAAATCAAATTCTTATTCTTTCTTCATTGTCAAAATCTTAATTTTCATTCCTGGGTGGATTTTTCTTCCTTGGCAATTCTTTTTGTTACCCCACTAAAATATTTCTCACGGAAGGAATTATGACCTTGGTATGGCAGAAAATGATCACTTAGCAGATGTGAATACTGGTCCCGATTCTGTTTGGTTGGAAAATACAAAATGTAAAAATTATTTCTTTAGTTAGCTTATACCAAAGCAGTTGTTTACCTTAAGCAAAATCTTAAGCAAAATCTCACTCTCTAGTGCATATTTATCTTCCTTCACTACTTGAATTAGAAATATACCATCACTTTACATCCTTATCATGCTTGGATATCCAAAGTGTTTTCATTTACCTCATTAAAGCCTCACAAAAGACCTCTGTACAGAGGACAAATTTCTTTTTTTCTTTTTTTTTTTTTTTTGCCTCAGGGCAAAGAGAGTGGTTCCAAGTAACAGAGTCAAGGCTATAACTTTCTTCTGATTCCCAGTTCAGCACACACTGAAGTCATCTGTGCCTATGGATAAAAAGTACTAAACAAGGAAGCTTCTACTCAAGAAAAACATGTGAACCAACAAAATAATGCATTTGTGTGAGGTCATACAGACACACAAAATTGTCTGGGGGTATTTCTATATTCAGTTAATGAAATAAACAATTCGTGGAAACTTTAAGTGAACATAGTAGATGAAGATACAGGCTAAACAAGAGATTTCCATACTTGTAGACTTCACAGACAAGTAAGGACTACTGCTCAGACTGACGTCTAATGGTAATAGCAACCTGGGTTAATGTCAAACATATTTTGGCTTAGAAAATTGAGGTTCCTGGCAGGAAACACTGAAACACTGGCTTCTCATCCAACTGTGAAAAATATCTAATTAGACATAAAATTTCATTTCCCATGTGCTTCTATAAATTCATATTCAATTACACCTGGATTAATGTGATTTTTGAGGACAGGTATGGAGACTTAAATGGAAAACATGAAGCCTAATTTTTTATCCAGATTTCAGTATCAAAATGGTAGCTAAAAATATAAAAATATATCTGGAATATAACAATCCTCAAAATATTTTTTCATTTTTGCAAAAATATTTTTGCCTGTATAAAATGAGTACCTTCATTTTTCCATCATACCTAGCATTAATAAAAAAAATCCAGGTTTAGCCAAAATAATGTTGGCACATTTGTTTATTCAGAAACTGTTTTTGCCACATATATTTTTAAAATCACACCAAAAACCCAGATTATCAAAAATTAAACATGCCCAGATTTCCTGATTCATCAAAGAGAAATAGGTAGCTACTGAAATTTTATGGCACCCAAGTATATTACAGTTCCAAATTCCTGCAAACACATGAAAACATGTTAAAGGTTACTATTAATAACTTCAGTCTACATACAATCCCCAAAAAGATAAATTTTAGAGAGTCAATGTGTAGGTATACAACTAAAGATACCAAATGAAAGGTAACATTTGCTGGTTATTTTGTATGGACCAAAAACAATACTAAATGCTTTATATGTACGACCTAACAAAACTTGTCAGCTCTAAGAAATAAGTAAACGATTAGTACCACTTTACAGATGAGGAATTACTTAAGAGTACAGGTCCAAGATAATACACCTGGTAAGTGGCAGAGCTAGGCTTTGAACACAGATCTGTTTGACTCTAAAGACTGCACCCTTAATTACAATGTAATGAGGTTTTCTCCAAAAGAGCTATCTTCTTCCCCAACTCAAGAAGCAGGAGGAGCTCTGAGAATATAGGTGATGGACTAAGGCCATGACAGCTGAGGAGCCCACCAAGAAAGAAGTAGAACTGGATGAGAGGTCTTACTAATGAAGGCCTATTAACTAAGGATATATTTCAATGGCACAGACTTTTCATATCAAGAGGAGGTGTAAGAGCCACAGGGAAGCTGAAGGATAACAAAACCCTGAAAGAACAGATGACTCCACAGGTAGACTCAAGTCTGGTCCACATATCAGGACTGTGCCAGGATAACGGCAACACAGAACAATGTTCCACCATTTAACGTCAACTACTTCAACTTTCATCAAAAGTCTGACTGAAGTCCATCAACTACTCCTCCAGGTATTCGAAATTCTGTCCTTATGTCAGTAAGATCACTAGAAAACTTGATCACTTCCTAAGCTGTGTTAGCTTAATCCTGGCAGAATGTTTTTCTTCGGTTTTTATTTTAAAGCTATGTCCAGATGCTGTCATCTTTTCAGCTACCATGTTGATCCTCACAATTCTTGGCATTGTTCCCCATCCAGTCATCAAAATCAGAAACCTGCGTCAAATCCCTCTTCTCAGATTTGGTCAGTCCTAAAATCTTAACTCGTATATCCTAAACATCTCAAATCCACTTCTCTCCACTCATAACTCCAACATTTAATCTAGGCCTCCCTCATCCCCGCCTCTTTTCCGTAAATGGCCAGCTGCCCTGCCTCCAGTGTTTCCTTCCCTAGTGTATTCTCCATACTGAGACCAAACCTAATTTATTAAAATGCAAATTTAATATGCCAACCGCTTGGCTAAAATCTAAATAAGTTCAAATTGTCCATAATTCTCAGGCTTTCCCTTGATATCTGGGGCTTACATTCAATTACCTATCACTTTGCAGAATGACATCTCACTTTCCTCTGTACAAGGGGAATCAGAATGCAGTCAGGTATTCTAGCTCTGCCCTCATGTCCACTATTCTCCTCATGGCCCCTCTAGGCCATGCAAGATCACCTCCCCCTCAAACTGCCTGTGGATTACTTCATGGAATATTCTAGAACTGCAGTAGTAAGGAGGCTAAGGTAGGACAGAAATGTGATTCCAGCAAGCTGACCCAGGCTCAATTACTAGCGTGCCTAGCTGACCTAAGCTGTGGTTATGCAGCTCACAAGAGGGAGGCAGAAGACAAAGCCCAAAGCACAATGGAAGATGGGCTTCCTCTACGGACCAAAGGAAGGGATTAATAAAATAGTTTATCTTTGACCAGAGGGATAGAAATAGGGCAACTATTGGTAATAAAATCAGAGAATATAAAGATTAGAGTCAGAGACTGGGAATGAACAGCAAAAGCCTGAAAAATCCAAAAGTAATGATTAAAATGTATGCTAACGATTATTGAGAAAACACTCACTACTTAAGACATTCTTTTCTGTAATAGTTTAGACCTCTCAGAATAAAGGCAAAATAAGCCCTTAACCGACCATGTGTTCTATTCAGTGCTATGGGGACACGGTGGCAAAGACATACATGCTACTGGAGAAGGTGGGAAAGATCATTAACCTTAGAAATGCAACTCCTGGGGAGAAAATGCTATTTTCTTATTTCCCAGGTAGTAGAGCAGAATCAGTGTGAAGTGTATGTTTGGGTTCTGTGCTAAAATGTCCCCTTTCTAGAAGACCAAATGACTCCTGATTGCAAAACACAACATCTATCATTTATAACAGAAACTCTGGAAAACCCAAAAGCTCCAAATCCCTTACACAGCCAGAGATCTGGCAGGCGCCAGTCTATTATCTAGCAGCACAAGTCCTGCTTCGAGTAAGACATTCCAAGGACTTTGGCTACTATTTTCACTTAAGTGGAAAGACCATAGTTCATAAAATATTTCTCACGAAACACTCAGTATGTCTATGGTCCAACACATATCACATATAATCATACATATAAATACCACATATCTATGAACAATACACATTTAAAATATACCCAGACCATACGAAATATACTATACTCTATGCAGCATTCAGAACTTTTATTACCTTAATGCTAAAAAAAAATGGCAAACTCATTTTTTGTTTTCTCTTTTCTCTCTACCTCTCTTTCATCCTATCTTTGGTTTAGTTTGCCAGGGCTTACATCTGAGACGATGATATTCAACTCTACATATTTTTCATCACCTTTTCATGACTCTTCTCTATTCACATTCCCTGCGCGTCTCAACCAGGAATATCTGCAAGTTGTTTTTTTTTCAGCACAGTATCTCAAAGGCCAAAGTGCTTACTTAAAAGGAGAAGAGTATCCTCAGCAAACACAATCTTTGATCTCCCCATTAACTCAAGCTCATCCCAGTGTTTGACTTTTGGTTTCGCTAACATTTCTAAATCTGTCTACCACTATTCATTGTGATATCACCTACGTATCATAAAACCCGAGTTCTGCCAAAGTTTAGTAAGCAAAACCTATTTGATGGAAAAATAAAAACACACAAGAATTAGGAAATGGCAAGAGAGAAGACTATGGTGATAAAAAGACTACAATTTCCAAATTTCTTAACCATTGATAGTAATTAAGACGATATGAATAAAATATTAAGACTATTGACTATACTATTATCATTTTTTATAATCAGAAGAGTTTCTGTAGGTAAATTTGTGCTAGCCATAAATGGCTACATAAGGAAGACATACAGCATTCAGCCCTATCATTTATCCTTTTAAGACAATCAGCAATTGTAAACATTATAAGAAATACACAAGTTATGATTCAAGAAAGGAAGATATATTTCCTACCAAACTATGTGTTATTACATAATTATTTAATTTTCCGTATCTTTTTGCAGAAAAGTATCATCTAAATTTTACAGATAGGGACACAAGGGGGCTAAAGAGTTTAAATAATCTACCACAAATCACACAGCTGGTAAGTAGCATTGCCAGAATTGTAGCCTAAATCAGACTTCAAAACTCATGTTTTTCCCATTGTGATTCTCTTTTTTTTTTAGTAGAAATTACATCAAAACAATGGCTAAAGAGTTAATTTCCCACATGGTGGATTAGTGGGTCATTCAAAATAGAGTTTGACATTTAGAGGACATTCCTCACTGAACAGCAACATTATGGTAGCACATATTTCAGATCTAAAGTTTTAGGCAGGACTCCTTTAACCACTGTCCCACCCAGCCAATTTCCTGTCCTATCAGTACTGCTAATTCTAAACATAAACCACTCG
This sequence comes from Homo sapiens, assembly GCF_000001405.40. Taxonomy (NCBI): domain Eukaryota; kingdom Metazoa; phylum Chordata; class Mammalia; order Primates; family Hominidae; genus Homo; species Homo sapiens. The sequence goes on along the minus strand of NC_000006.12, from coordinate 126,033,898 downwards.
AGGAATTTTAACACACTTGCCAAAGAAACCAAAGGAAGGCTTACAAATTGGTAGTTAACTTTCATGTGTACACTACCCTCTGCTGGCTGGAGCATAGCAATCCTTCTTTAGAGTACTTCCTGATGTGAACTGAAATAGCTTACAGCACAGCAGACCATGCATCTGCCAGGAGCACCGTTTTGATAGCTGTTTGTGAGTCCCGGATTGCTGTAAACATCGAGAGTCCCACAGTCCCAACATGACCAGGCTGGCCTTTTCCTCAGGGAATGTTAGCATTTATTCACACCATTTCATTTTTAAATAATGATGGAGAAATAGACAACTACATATTCACCTCAGCGATTCTAACGTGTAACACTGTCTCAGTGTCCGACCTAAAATTCCAAACTACTCTCTAGAACAAGAAAGAAAGGTATATAAACGTGACCTTATTCAAGTCAATCTATGTTTACAACTATATATCAAAAATACAGCATTAAAAAGAACCCAAAAAGATGCTAAAGCGATTTCAGCCACTTATAATAAATTTTAATCTAATGGGGAATTCATTCTCAAGAAAATAAATCAAGCTGTATGTTCTGTAGTCACATTTGAAACTGCTGCTTTAAACACAACTCATGACCCTCTGGATTATACTGTGAGAATACATATATAAAAAAAGTTTCTCAAACTGACCATCATAAACTGCTCAGACTTCCAACATACGAAAGATTCTTCATTGAGAATTCCACTTAGATAAAACGATCCTCCTAATTACTGCCTTCTCCCAGTATTTGCTATTCTCTTTTATCACCTCCTTCTTAAATAAAGGGAAGGTGTTATAATTTTCCACAATACGTCAATTCAGCTGCTTTATTGGTTTGCTTCTCATGAGAAATGAGGCCTAGGGATCATAGGATTAAAATGTTTTTGTCCCACTGATTTTTGAAGAGTAGTATCAGGGTAATGATAAAATTCAATGTATTTTCAAACAGAAAACTTTTGGCTACCATAACTATCTGTTCCTACTCTTCCTTTAAATGGATGATTTAAATACCACTGATGTGATTGTTTTTATTCTAGAACAGCCTAGAGTAATCACTTAAAAGTCAGTATTCTTTCCATAAATATTTATTGCATTGTGAGCAAAAGAGTCAAGTTCCGTGAATTCACAGAGCTTGTACGTACAGTGGTGGGAGAGACAGACATTAAACAATGTACATCCAGACATATACTTACAAACTGTGATTAAACACTGGCAAGAAAAGAATATGGGAAGAATAGAAGGAAACACCTATCCAGAAGCGGTGAAGGGAAAGGACAAGAAAGGCTTCTCTCAGGAAGTGACATTTATCTGAGACCTAAAGGATGAATTAAATTTACTCATATGAAAAGAGGGGAAGAAAACATTCTAGGAAGAGGAAACACAGTGCGTGTGAGAAGACTCTGAGACTAAAAGGAGGTAAATCCATTCTGGGACCTGAAAGACTACGGCCAGGGTGGATAACAACTGGTAAGCAAAAGGGAAGGTGGCACAAGATGAGACTGGACAGGCCAGAAGTAGATCAGGCTGACATAAAGGTTATGTAAAGGATTCTGAATTTTATTCTAAATTCCGCAGAAAGCCATTGATGAGATTTAAGCAGAGGAGTTTCCTTATCTATTTATATTCTGAAAGATACTCTGGCCACCATGTAGGGCATGGAATGGAGGGAGAAACTGCAGAAGCAGAGAAATCAGTAGAAGATTATTACAGCAGCCTAAGAAAGCAGTACTGCCCCATGGTCCTGGGAGTAGGGATGGGGAATAAAAACATATACAAGAAAACAATCATCCGCTCAGTTGTCCCAAGCCAGATTTCTGAAACATCACCCTTAGCTCATCTCCCTCACCCCAATTATCCAATTAGTCACCGAGTCCTGCCATATCTACCTCCCCGCAAAATTCTCAATTCCAACAAGTCCCCTACAATCTCTATTCTAGCTTCCTTGGTTTATAGCCTCACCATCTTTGCCTGACTATTCCAGGAGCCCCCTCAGTAGTATCACAGCTAACTTTCCACAGCTCAAATTCACTAACACAGTGAAGCTAGGAGGACCTTCACAGAACACAGAGCTTCTGCCACTCTCCAAACATCCCTATGGGCTTGCCCTTTTACCAACAGGATAAACTTGAAACTGTTCAGTAGGTAAGGTCCCTCAACACTGGGCTTCCCTCTCTTTAGTCTTCCAGGTCATCTCCAGCTGATCCTCCCCCACTGCTCAGTATTTCCAGCTACACTGAAGTCCAGGGTTCCCCACATATACCACAATGCCTCTCATGCTTCTGTATCTTGCTTAAATTTTTGGCTTTCCAACCAAATTCCCCATCTCTTTTGCCTCAAGCACCATCTCCTTAGGTAGGTGCTTTCCTATGTTCACACAACACCTCTCACAGATCACTACAGAACACAAGATGCTATGTTGGAATATGGTTTGAGTGGCCATTTCTCCTGATGTGCAAGTTTTCTAAGGATAAGAAGCCTTAGTCTGTTCAGCCCCAACACCTGACACGAATGGTCCCATAAACACATGTTGCGTGATGAAAACTATGGCCTTCCTCTCAAGGAACAGGTAATTAAGTAAGAGAAATAAAGTATACAAAAATAGGAAAAGTATATGAATGTAAAAATTGTTAAGCAAATGGCTTTTTTTCCTATTTCTCATAGTACCTTTTCTAAAAGTTCACCTGTCCTCAATTCTTACATTTAGTATCTGCTTATTTACTCAGCAAAAACAAAAACAAAAAAACTTGCATCCTTCTTTACAGAGCAAACAGCAGTTATCAGATATGAATTTCCTCAACCTCCTTGCCCCAACCACCATGCCCATCCTCTACTACAAACTGGCTCCTACTCGCTTCACTGTAAAGTCTCATCTCCTGCACCGCTCCCTATCAATATAATGATCAAGTCAAAATTCTCTCCTGGTGTCCCTTCATTGCCAAGAGTTAATTTAATAGAATTCCTGAAACTTCAGTGAAAATATCTAACAATGGTCATCAATTTATAAAATCACTATTCTTTAAAAATAAGATATTTCCACTTTCTAGAGGATGAAGTTGCAGAGCTCTATAGTCATTCAGCAGAAAACCAAATGGCTTCTATTTTAATTGTAGGTCAGGTTTAAGCTGTCCTTTTACTCACTGACAGTTCCTGATAATGATATAATGATTTCTTCTACCTCCCTAGTATTAACCTTAAGTCATTTATAGTCTCAAAGTGACAGTAGTTTATACAAAACAGCAGCTTCATTGCAAACGCTTGAATACAAATGGCTTATGAAATTTATTCTATGATAAGTGAAAACCAGTGATGCTGTCACCATAGTGAAAGCCACCAAACTAGAAGTGTTCATCCAATTTTGTGGGGAAAAACTTTTTAGATTCATGGAACCGATTAAAGCTATGATATACATTCTTAAGTAAGGTGTGAGGAAGAAGGCAAAGAGATGGAAGAGAAAAACAATGGGTCGGTTTATTTTCTTTTAATCAGCAGAGAGTGAAATGAAATGTAAATGACAGTGCTGAATATAACGGGGCTCAGTTCAGCTTCAGGGTAATTACCCATGTCCAGCTTTTGTTTAAAAATCCTGCTCTCCTTATCAAAGCTTCCCACTGTTCTACATCTGGTACTGGACAGTAGCTATAGAAACCACTTGTGCTAAAGTTATACAACTATAAACAGCACCAGGCCATTTCCAAACCAAGGACAAGCAGGTCAAAAGTCTGGCATCCAATACTATTAAGAGAAACCTCTAGCATTATTCTTAATGAGAACAAGGTACCATTGGAAATCTTCATCCTTGAATTAGGTATTTACATATAATCTATACTTTTTAAAAATTTCACTACATGATAGTAAGTTACCTAAAATCTATGAAAGTATTTTAATACGTATTAAAATCTTCATATCTAGAGTGCTCAAAATGAGTGACAATGATTAAACTTTGACATCTGGCACTCAACATGTAATTTCTTAATACTTATAAAAAAAACATTGGGGATATTAGTCCTTATCATGACAACATAGAAGTATTAACACTTTCTATATGCTATCTACTAGAATCTGTACTTTATAAAAGTCAAAACTTTATCTTAAATGATAAAAGAATACAAAGTCAACACACTAAACATTTAATGACTTGTTAGTTACTGTATCTAATATTTCATTAAAACTAAAAATCTTGTTTAACACCTTCTTGAGTAGCAATAAATGAGTAGCAGACCAAAACATGTGCAGGCATGCACATATATATGCTCTCACTTTAATGTAGAGACTATTCCTCTCCTAGGTGAGTTTTTTAAATTTCCATAATCCATTAAAAGGATAATTAATAAAAATGAGTATGCATTTATACAAAGATCAAAACCAGGCAAACCTATATTGCTTAGGGATGAATTCAATAGTGGTAATATTACAAAAGAAAAGCAAGACAATGATTATGATTACCGTAACAGTCAGAATAGTGGTTACATTGCAGGGGGAGGTATTTATGATCAACAATGGCCACAAAAGGGGGGATCTTCTGGAGTGCTGCATTACTCTATAACCTTGACCTTGGTGGCAGGTACATGGATGTTCACTTTATAATTACTAAAGTGTACATTTATGTCTTATGTAAAAAATACGCATTAAAAATCTCAGAGTTAGATTCTTAGAAGATCATAAAGTGGAAAGAGGACATAAGTTTACATGTGAATTTGAATAACACCAGAAAGATAACTCTAAGTTAAATAAACATATGACAAATAAGAAAAATACAAAAGTATACAATGAGGAAAATCTGTCACTCATGCAAGAATTATAAAAGAAGCTCTAAAGGATTATGTTGATTCCACATAGAAACTTCCCATTTCTCTAAATTATTCATACCTTGGAATCCCTGAGTTATATTTATATTTTCAACTGACCTATGCCTAAGATTCTTATAACACTAGTACTTTAAAAACTGTTTTACTGGCATAGCTTAAAAACATGCTGGAACCATAAAGACATGTGTTCTCTCAGGCTTCAGAGAACTGCTTATTTCTGCAAATAAAATAGTTATTTCTAAACAGAACCATAAGATGCAGGATCCAGATATCTTAAATGCCTGCTTTCCTGGAGCTAGTGGGGAAGAGTTTTGCTTTTTCATGGTTTATCAAAAACAATAGTTTAAAACTATTATGATAGCATTAACTTTAAAAATCCCGTTTGACAAAATCATTTTATTTGCCTAAGTATAAAAGAAAAATGATCCTCCACGATGTAAACTCAAGAAAAAGTACCACAAACAGCAAAAGAAAATTCATTTGGAACTAAGTAGACCAAATGAACCTGAAAACTGAATTCAGGCAGCATGATATGCAGCATCACCAGGCTACTGTCTGCTTCTCCGAGTCTTTTTTAAGTACCTCAAGTCAAGTCATAATTTATAAATAATGCAAATTGGTTTCTGACTTGCTATGCAAAATAATTTTTAAAAAGACTCTCTCTCTCTCAGATACACACATGAACTTTGATGGTGATAAATACTGGATTGTATGAAGACCTAGAATGAGTTTATGTCCAATACGTCTTTAGTGTCACCATGCCTTGTTTTTCTCACCAATAAATGAGGTTATTACCTATATCTATCTTACCCTTTGTTTTAAATGCTTCATATCTAATCTCTAATCTTTTATACCTCTAATCAAAAGGGAACCCACAGTTTTGGGAAGAGACAGGCAAAAATCACAATATATTTCAGAAAGAAAAGTCAATCAGAAGAGACTCACTTTAATTCAAATAGCTGTGAAAGAAAAACACAACTAACAACATTAATCCTGAGAAAGGATAATGTCTAATGGAAATAGGCATCAGCATTATGCCAGCAAAACACCAGAGTTTATGATCAGCAACACTACTATCATTCTAATATGTAAACTATCATAAAGACTAATTTCTTCCACTTCAAGCCATCTATAAGTCATTTTCTGAAGTGACCTCAGTGTCTATTATCTCCTTTGTTTAAAAAAATACTGTTATAAAGTTAATGGTTCTTTTGTACTTCATAGCTTCAAAATCTTTCAGTCCTTTAGTTAAAACCCTCAGTTTTGGCCACACTCCATTATGATTAATGCATTCATCAGCTTCATGTTACTGGACTCTTTCATTCAATCCAAAATAAAAAATTACATAAACTGTCATCAACTGCCACTGTGACCTTCCAGTATTCCTCTTTTAAATAATCTAAACTATATGATGTAGCTATAAAAAAAAAGACAACTGATTTATACATTAAACTTTAGTCTGAATTAATAGCCATATAATACCTTGAATTAAACGTACCCATACTTCAAAACTTCTCAAACCACTAGGAATATAAGGTAGCATGTGAAGTAAATAAACCACAAAATAAATAGGGCACATGATGGCCCACTTAATGTAATAGTAATTTAAAATAATTTTTTATTTTTAATCATGTATCTATTATAGAGTAGACTATAAAAGTTGCATGAATTTTTTGAAAAGATTTCAAGGAAATCTTGAAAAGGCTACCCTGGGTGCTCTTTTCATCTGTTCAAGTAGATTCTATGGAGAAGGTTGAGAGAGAATTGCTTCAGGTGACCGTCATTGAAAACGTAACTATTATACCTCAGTCTGTTGTGGACAACTCTGGAGATCAGCCTTTTATCCTATACATTTCATATAAGAAAAATGTTTTATAGAAGTAACCACTGTGACTACAACCACATATAGCAGCATCAACTACACGTTGTGTTAAGTGGGACAGCAAGATCTAGTAAAACAAACGGCCGGGCGCGGTGGCTCATGCCTGTAATCCCAGCACTTTGGGAGGCCGAGGCTGGCGGATCACGAGGTCAGGAAATCGAGACCATCCTGGCTAACATGGTGAAACCCCGTCTCTACTAAAAATACAAAAACGAAATTAGCCGGACGGGGTGGCAGGCGCCTGTAGTCCCAGCTACTTGGGAGGCTGAGGCAGGAGAATGGCGTGAACCCGGGAGGCGGAGCTTGCAGTGCGCTGAGATCCCGCCACTGCACTCCATCCTGGGCAACAGAGCAAGACTCCGTCTCAAAAAAAAAAAAAAAAAACCCAAAAAACCACATTCTACCATGGCCCCAAAAGTAACACTAGCTATACAGCAGGACAAGGAAAGACTATCTTTAAAAAAAACTAGTAATATGTCACTCAAGAATATTTACCTTTTAGAGCCGGGCGCGATGGCTCGCGCCTATAATCCCAGCACTTTGGGAGGCTGAGGTGGGCGGATCACGAGGTTAGGAGATCGAGACCATCCTGGCCAACATGGTGAAACCCCGTCTCTACTAAAAATACAAAAATTAGCTGGGCATGGTGGCACACGCCTGTAGTCCCAGCTACTCGGGAGGCTGAGGCAAGGAGAATCACTTGAACCCAGAAGGCGGAGGTTGCAGTGAGTCAAGATCACGCCACTGCACTCCAGCCTGGCAACAGAGTAAGACTCTATCTCAAAAAAAAAATTAAAAAAAAACATAAAAAGAATATTTACCTTTTAATCTTGGCACATTCTAAAGGTAGAAATATGCTTCGGTAGAGAGGCAGCAAGATGTAGAAAAAAACGACACAGAATTTCAAGTACAAAGAGGAGTTTTGGTCTCAACTCTTCCACTTACTATTTAAGCAAAATAGGATAGTCCCAGGCTACTCTTCCTCATTTCTAAAATGGGGAAATTAATAAAGTCAAATGGATAGGGAAGTTTTATAAACAATAATGCATTATAAAAGTGTTACTCATCATTCACTTGGCTTTCAGAATATATCAACAAGGAATAATGAAAAAACCTGGCCCTTCTTATCAGGCAATTTCAAAATTTTAATACAGTTGTCAAGAATTTTCTTCTTTACTACATATGTGCCATAAGCAAGTCTGAAAACTATGACCAATAATCCAAAACTTCAACATTTTATAAAATATCAATATTGCTTAGACAATTTTTGTTGTAACTTACATTTACACTTTTAAAAGAGGGATAGGGAGAATACTTTATAACAGCATACCAAGTGGGCCAAAAGTTATACTGAAGTTAAACCTAACAAGTGACAAATCAAAAATGAAGAGACACAGTATACAAAAGTGTAAAAATCTAAAACTAACAGTCTTCCATTGCCAAAATCAACAATGCTGAACAAGCCCAAGAATAATTTGTTAGAGGTGTGTGAGGACTGTTTGACAATTTTATGTCACCACTTGCATTATAAAGGATTGAGATCTTGCTGCAATTATATACATTCCTCTCCACACAAACAAAAGGTAGAAATGAAGTAATTAATTAAAAACCAAACATGATTAATTTAACATGACAAAGTATTTTTGGTTACAGTAAACATCATACTAGTAAAAATTCACTAGTTAAATTTGATCTTATATAGGGAAGACCATTTCAAAAAATTACTTGAGGCTTTTCCTTGTTGTTGTTTTTTTAAATCAATTGGAAAAGAACAAAATAAAATGATAAAAAGTAAACCTGACAAAAATGAGCACTGCCTTTACAGGTTTAAAAATACCAAAGGTGAGTACCCTCATTTATCATTTTAATATAGGACAAAAATTCTCAAAAGCCCAGTTTTCCTTCAGTCTCAAATAAATTTGCTTAGGGAAATATTATAAATCTGGGAAAAAATACCAGACTTTCTTAAACAAATAAAACTCAGTGGAAAGCAAGTATAAAAATTAGTCCACAATGGGTCTTAATTTTTAAATTTTTCCATTAAAATAGAATGGCTGATTTATTATATGGCTCCATGAATTATTAAAGAGTCTCCACAGCTTTGTCCTCCTAATTCTTTGGAATACTATTTATGTAGGCCACACAATAAAGAATGCTAATGCCATTTACTTTACTTTCTAATATCACGACTTAAAACTGCAAAATCTACAGGTAATGTTTGTTTTTTACATGTATTACTCATGTGCCTGGCACATAAATGTTAGTTACTATTATATTACTAACTCAAATGATTCTATTAAATGCTATGATTTCTAAGAGCTGTAATGTTACCATCTGAATTATCAAAATGCCTTACTTCCTTTAAAATACCAAAAGACAAACATATACATGAGAAGTAAGTGACTAGGAGAGGAGACAAAAAAGCATCCTCTAACGTACAACAGACTCCTCTTATTCAATGTGATGGACACTGGTGATGGTTAGTGTAATGGAATGAATTCTGTTCTACCCTAAAATTCATATGTTAAGGCCCTAACCCTCAATATGACTGTATTTGAAGACAGGGCCTTTAAGGAGGTAATTATGCATAAATGAAATCTTAAAGGCAGGGCCTTAATCCAATAGGACTGTCATTCTTTTAAGAAAAGGAAGACAGTCGGGTAAGGCTGGAGGATGGCTTGAGCCCAGGAGTTTGAGGTTACAGTGAGGTGTAATAGTGCCACTGTATTCTAGCCTGGGTGATAGAGTGAGACACTGTCTAAATCCAAAACAAAAAGAAGAGAAAGAGACACCAGAAGTGCAGATGCACAAAGGAAAGGCCTTGTGAAGACAGCAAGACAGTGGACACCTGAAAGAAGCCAAGTCTGCTGACACCTTACTCTTGAATTTCCAGCCTCCAGAACTGTAAGAAAATAAATTTCTGTTAAGTTGCCCAGTCTGTGGTATTTGGTTATGCCAGCCCAAGCACACCAATACAATTAGTTAACTGGATAAGGTAAATAAAAGCAAGAAGAAATTAAAATGCTTTGTAAACATATTAAACTTATTTTAACTTAAAAAACAATATTCAGTTGTATATATTCATACAGAATCAAGACCTATAAAGAATTCTAGTTTTGGCTTCTATAAAATGATGCAAGAGCTTACAAAGCAATCAGGGTGCAAAAACCTAGATTGCAATTACTTTTTTCAAAGCCATTTCCAATTCAAGTCTTTTTTTTAAGCAACTCACTTTGTTCTTTCTAAAGCATTAACTTAGTTTTTATTGAAATTACAACTGTATTCGTACACAAATATTTCACTGGTCTAACTAGTATTTAAGTAGATTACACAATTACTGTAACAAATATAACTGGCATAAACAGCTCTGAGAACACCACAAGAGACTCTTGTTAAACAGATAATTCAGCTGATAGAAGCACAAGTACTGTATATAAATATAGTAGAGATCAAGCGACTCACCAGCTGAAAGTATTCAACATACAACATATTATTGCATCAGGCAGTGTGGTTTTTATTTTTTTTGTTGTTGTTTGTTTTGAGACAGAGTCTCACTCTGTCACCAGGCTGGAGTGCAGTGATGCAATCTCGGCTCACTGCAACCTCCACCTCCCCGGTTCAAGTGATTCTCCTGCCTCAGCCCCCCAAGTCACTGGGACTACAGGTGTGTGCCACCATGCCCAGGTAATTTTTGTATTTTTAGTAGAGATGGGGTTTCACTACATTGGCCAGGCACGTCTCGAACTCCTGGCCTCATGATCTGCCCACCTCGGCCTCCCAAAGTGCTGGGATTACAGGCGTGAGCCACCGCGCCTGGCCCAGGCAGTGTGTTTTAGAGAAGGAATGGCCAGTATTGGTTAATCAACGGGGTTTGAAATGGACGTTAAATAAGAGGGCTTCTACTGTACACCCAAATAAATGTTAGTCATTTAAAATTTTCATTCTAGAAGGCTGTAATGATGCCAAACAATTTGGAAACTATAGAATTTCTGAATCTGCAATGTTTTTAATGTTTAATGGTTTAATGGCAAATCATCATCCTTGAAATAGAATTTGATTTCCAAAAACGACTTTAAATAATTAGTCTGGTATAAAATAAGAGCAGCAAAGTCCAGTAAAATCATTTTAAGAAAAGCAAGGTGTTACTATAAAACAAAATAACTGATTAATAAAAGAATACTTCTTTAAAGGCAAATCTTAAAGGTAAAGTTTCAAGAACATGCTGAAAAATTATGACAGAAATAGAATGAGTACAAAGATTCCACTCCAAGGATGTCATTTGAATATAAACTTCTAGTATTTTTGTTTTAAAAATGACTGCCATACATTTTCATTTTAATTACACCACATATACCTATACATCCATATGTTTATATGTATGTACACGTATACCTATATATACATATAGTAGATACCAATCAACTACTTATATAGATGTATAGGTTAGCTTTTTGAAATGCCCTGATATTGGAGCCTGATTACAGAAGATAGTTTATGTCACACTGAAAATTCTGAACATTTTTCAGTAATAAAAAAAGATTTTGCATAAGGTAGTGACATAATGAATGCAGTGTTTTTAGGAAGATTCATTCAACATATAAACTAGCGGTATGAAGGAGATCATTTAGGAGACTGTGAACATAAACCAGGTGTATGGTAATAAGGGTCTAAATTAGAGACAGCAAATGAAAATAAAAAGGACGAAAACAATGATGTAAAATAATATATGCAAAAGGCACTGTACAAATATTAGTTTTCATTACTATGAAATAATCCGTAAGATGGGAACTATATAAAAACAAATCAAATGCAGGCTAGAGATGGGTATGAAAAATCTTCAGTCTGGACACGGTGGCTCACGCCTGTAATCCCAACACTTTGGGAGGCCAAGACAGGCAGATCAAGAAGTCAGGAGTTCAAGACCAGCCTGGCCAACATGGTAAAACCCCGTCTCTATTAAAAATACAAAAAAAAAATCAGCCAGGCATAGTGGCAGGCACCTGTAATCCCAGCTACTCAGGAGGCTGAGGCAGGAGAATCACTTGAAACCAGAAGGTGGAGGTTGCAGTGAGCCGAGATTGCCTGGGTGAAAGAGGGAAACTCCGTCTCAAAAAAAAAAAAAAAAAAAAAAAAAACTAAGGAAAAATCTTCAGACACTACCACCTTTCTTCTGCTTACCTTAAAGGTCCAAAGCAAGAATGGGGGTCATCCAAGTTTCCAGTGAATTTAAGAGAGCTTTGGTTGTCAATCGACAGAAGTACAGCCCAAAGAGCTTTTGTAGATTTAATTAAGCTCCATTATGAGGCACTATTCATGTCAACTCTCGTCTGGGCATGAAATAACAAACGTTTCATTCTTTCTTAAGCTTAAATGAATTTTGTATGTAAGAGAGTATGAATTTTATAAGAATGTAATGAATGTAAGAGAGTAAGAATTTTGTATGTAAGAGAGAGACAAAGAGAGAATGTGTTGGGCCCTAACAAACTGGGGACATTTACTTTCTCTCTTTATTTATAAAGCAACATATTCTCTTCATTACAGTCTGCAATCAAGTAGGTTCTGCTTTTGGAGAAAAATGGTAACTAGGACATTGCTAATTAGATAGCAGTTGTTTAATAATGCTGTTTTATAACTGAGTTAGCAACAAGGATATCAAATAAAGCCTGAGAAGTGAGGGTCAACGTCTATTTGAACTCTACTCAATGTCTATGTCTATATCCAACTCCTACCCTTCAATCCCAACTGGATGCCACAAATCTCTTCAACTTCTGCCTCTTCCTAAATTGATCTGTAATTTTTAAAATATCAAGGAATAACATTTCCAAACTCTATCACAGGAAAACTATTTAGAAACAACTACTTTTGATTCTTTCAGAATTTATCCCAAAAATACTGAAGCAATTTACCTCAAATTTCTTCACCTTTTCCATTGTGATCAAGCGCCTTGATGTGTGACTGGAAAGCTTCTGCTCGCAGTTGCTAACGAGTTCCAGGCAAGGGTGCCAAGGCACCATCTCTTCAGTGTATCTGAAGAAAGAACAGCTGACTGTTAGGAACACTCACATGTGTGGGCCACAAAGAATCATGGGGATCGTCCAGTGTAGTGTGGGATGTTCTTCCACTACATGCTCTTTTTCCCCACATATGCTAACTGTCCACATGATCCATAAACTATCTATAAGCAAAGTAGCTTAATTTTATCATATCCCAAAAATGCAGTTAAATTTTTTACCTGTAGAATAAGAGAGAGAGAAATATTGTAAGTACATTTTGTTGAAGAATGCCAAACATTTAAACCACAAAAGTACAAGATGATTCCACCCTACAGAATTCCACAAGAGTAGACAAAAATACACTCAACAACATCCCTTGACATTCATGAAGGACTGATTCATCTGTAGATTTTTATAAATTCCCGAAGTGTATAATCCACTACAGCATATACTTTCCCCTCTAAAATGAAGTGCCCGTAAAATTTTAATAACGTCTTGTTAAAATTTAAACGTCTAATTTAAAAACATCTCTATTACGTTTGTAAATACAGAACTAAAGTTATTTGTAAAATTATTCAAATAAACTACAACTAAAATAAACACTACAGATTACATCAGTCTTCTGGTCATATGAACCAGGAAACAAAATGAAAATATGCCAATGAGTGGTGGAGACTGCTACTGTACAGCACATGTCCTACATGGATGAAGATGATGACAATGTCTAGAAAGCAGGAGTCAATAGCAGGAGTTCAGAATCTGGCATCTGACAGGTTGTTAGCATCAATCTTGGCCAAAGAAATAGGTAACAGAGGTGGGAGAAACAGCTATGGAACAGAATGTGAAAGAACAGCAAGGGAGGGGACTCACTAGGCATGGGTACTTTTAAGAACACTGTGTTGGCCAGTATTTATTTTTCCTTTGCAATTTTTTACACCTTTTTGGATGGTGTCTGCACACATTTATTATACAGGTAATCTTAAAGGTCTGCTCCAAAATAGCAAAGGTGCTGATTAGTTTTTCATGTAAAGGACCACAATCTCAGCTACCTGTTTTAATGCATCAACACTGTTTTCACCACCACTCTTTCATGAACTTTTCTAGGTCCCACTGACCTTCAACGAGCTCTCCCTATTACCTCAACCATATGCTCAAACCCATCATCACCCACTTCCCAAGCATCATTCATAATGCACTTCACTTTATTATCAGTGGAAAGAATTATCTTGAAGTCATTCTCTGACTTCTTCCTAGAGCTTTCTAACAAGTAATGAGCACTTCAGATTTCACCTCATCTAGTAATTCTTTAATGTTCACTACATAGCCAGAAATGTTGTACTTCTTATAACAATGACATCAAATTTTGAATCTTCATGCAATGCATTTATGACATGAAAGAATAAATTCTTTTTTTACTTTTTCAGAGAACGGATCTTGCTCTGTTGCCGAGGCTGGAGTACAGTAGAAAGAATATATTCTACACCATGGTTGAGACTAAAATAAAAAGTGCTAACAGAGAGAAGATATAGCCTTAACCTTAAGCTTGCAAACCGTAGGATCTATAGATGCTGGAAACAGTTTGTGTCAAACTAAGTAATATACTAATTTTTAAAGGAAAAAAATTTTTTACTTCCTGGTGGACTGACTTAAAGTATTTTTTTATTAAGGTGTCACTTAAATATGCACAAGCATAAATTAGATATAAACTCTTCATGTTTAGATCCCTAATATAACTATAAAACCCAAAAAGCAAATTTATCAATCAAATCCAAGGTACCAACACAATTTTAATTAACATCTATGACATGAATGACGCTAAACTGCTAAACTAAGTTGCTGCATTTGGTTTTAACAGCAGAAAAACATATTTGCATGTTTCATATTATCTTTTTTGACTCGATCTTAATTCATTTTTAACAATTAATCTATTATATTAATGAGCCAATTAATTTAACAATACACTCCCAAAGCACCATACTAAAAAGATTAAAAAATAGCAGTTAAAAAATTCTTCAGCTGGGCGTGGTGGCTCACGCCTGTAATCCTAGTGCTTTGGGAGGCCAAGGCAGGTGGATCACCTGAGGTCAGGAGTTCAAGACCAGCCTGGCCAAAATGGTGAAACCCCGTCTCTGCTAAAAATACAAAATTAGCCAGGCATGGTGGCACATGCCTGTAATCCCAGCTACTTGGGAGGCTGAGGCAGGAGAATCGCTCAAACCTGGGAGGTGGAGGTTGTAGTGAGCCGAGATCACGCCACTGCACTCCAGCCTGGGCAACAAGAGCGAAATTGTCTCAAAAAAAAAATAAAATAAAGTAAAATAAAATTATTCACTGTATATTTACCAATATATTTCATTCCAATGGAATGTTCGCAAGTGGTTAAGTAGAAGGCATAAATCTATATTTTGCCTGGACCATTATGACAGTACTAAATCCCATCTTAATTCCCTGTTTTTATTAATATCCCCCTACAATCCAAGTTATCTATTTAAAAACTAAATCATCCTTAATAGGCAAATCCACAGAGATTGACAAGTGGTTGACAGAGATAGGGGGGTGGTAACTACTAATGTCTGTGGGGTACTTCTCGGGGGTGAGGAAAATGTTCTGGAATTACCTAGTGGTGATGGTCACACAACTTTGTGGATAAACTAAAAACCATGAAGTTGTATACGTTAAGGGGGTGAATTTCATGGTATACAAATTCTATGTCAATTAAAAAAAAATAATTGTGTACATAGGCCCCTAGATTTTCCACGAATCAATTTTGACTGTCACTCATTTTCCTGTGAATCTTCCTGCTTCAACTACTTCCCAAATGTCACTAGAATTTCAGCTCCCATTTGAGAAACAGATTTTGCATTGATTGAACATTTACTAAAAACAGCTTAAAAATCACTTTTTCCTCTTTCCTAAGTAAGAGATGAAAAACATGTTCTCTTCACTCATTATAGGCACTGCAAAGTTCACCTTACTACAATCAAAATTTATTTCCAAGTCCTACTTTGGGGCACATTATTAGCTTCTTTCTCACCTTTTTAAAAATTTTTAATTAATGAATTATAATTGTACATATTTGGGGGGTACAATGTGCTATTTTAATATAAGTATGTCATCATGTTATCACTAACACTAGCAGCTGGATTTCTATAAAGGTCATCATTTATAAAGAAACACTGTTTCTAATCACTTCAAGAGTTATCTGTGTACAATGAAATTAGATAAAGCTAAATGGATATATGGAGCCTGGGCAAACAGCTACACTCACTCAGTAGCACACTGGCTCCTATGACATCAAACACCTGGATTGTATGTGTACACACTGGATTGATGCCCTGTACACATGATTGCAACACATAATCTGGGTCATTTGTAAGTAGTCAAAATTGTAAATAATAAACTCACAAATACCAACAGTCTACAGTAATTTTATGTGTTAAGTCTCTATAAGCAGTAAAAACAAGCTATTATGAGAGCACAGAGGATGGACTGATTAATTCTGCTGAGAAGTATCTGAGAAAGTGTCACAGAAGTGGTGACAATTAAGCCAGGCCTAGAAAAATGACTAGATTTTTACCAGTTGAGGAAAGAAGAAAGGGCATCTCAAACAATGGGGACAGAATAAACAAAAGTGAAAAGACATAAAATGCACAGAGTATCTTGATGCTGGCAAAAAGTCTGATATACTGGAGTGGGGAGAGTGTAGACTAGAAGGAAAAAGAACAGCAGAAGTTTCTGAGTAGCAGTTTCTTTACTGCAATTTAAATTGTCAAACAGTGAGAAAATCCTTTTCAATCATTAGCTCTCACAATTTTCCATATACAACTAAGCTTTTACGCAGTATTTTGCTTTTATGTCTTATACTTTTCAATCAATCCTGGGTTAAAATAATACCTGAACTTGGTTATAATGTGTAACTTGAATCATATAACAGGGTTTGGCTGAGAGTAAATTAATTCATTAATAGAACTAATAGCCTACATTCACCACACCAAAAATACAAAAGACTTAAAATTAAGCTACACTAAGGTACAATTGTAAATTGAATTCCTTTTTATTCCCGGTCCAATATAAAGCTACATTTTCAATATAACATAGTTAAACTATTCTAAACTGTTTAATTCAAATGAATATTATTTCAAACTTTTACAGATGACTTTAGACTCAAATTCATCTTGATACTGTGTTATTTTCAAAACAGTAAAGAATTTTCAAAAGAGTAAAGACCTTGAATATGAAAACAGTTCATGTTTCTAGCATAAACTCAAGACAAATTTAGTTCACTATTAATAATTAATAAGATCGCTTTAGGCTTAAAGAGAGAAGACACAATTGAGGTCTAATAATGAACATCAGGGGATCTGAAAATAACCCTCTCCAGGGGCCAAAAACTCAGGGAAATAAATGCCACCATTGTCTTCCCACATGTGTTAGACACGTAACTAGAAGAAATCTATCCATTGATAAAACATCTAAGACAAAAAAAAAAAAATCCCTAAAACATGTCTCCCTTTTCCCTTTCTAAAACATCACTTTGGTTATATGTATTTGGAAATCTTCCCTCATCTAAAATTACTAAAATAGAGAAGTCATTGAAGAAATATCCAGTGGCCACTTTTTAAAGTCTTTAGAAATACATTCAGTTTAAAGAACCTCCAATATTACTTTTTATAAAGGAATAAAAGAACTCCAAAATAAATTCTCAACCACATATGATTTTGATTATAATTAAATAATAAACTGCAAAACAGTGAACAGTCAGATATGCTAAAAAGGAAGGACTTACATAAAAAACTACTGAGGATATTTCAAAAGGACAGAAGAGCCAGCTCAAACAAACTCCCACTGGTCAAATCTGGGACAATTTGAGCAACAAAATACTGCTACTAATAAATTACAACCCAATGAATAATATAGGAATCCATGACTCCATACCACTATAAATAAATTAATGAAGTAAATGGGGCAGAAAGAAAAGCTCTTTCTTACAGAATACCAACTTACAAATGCAAAAGAAATGATGGAAAAAAGAATCACTTGGCAACCACCTCAGAAGTGGCTGTCAACAATGGAGTCATTAATCTGAGTAGTGGTTTGATGAAAAACAAGATATTAGTGTAATCTTATTTCCCCATAAAATACAAATCAAAGAAGAAAATGATGATTCAGAGAGGAGAAATCTGACAGAGAAGAGCCCGACCAGACAATCAAAGTTAACATTACCAGGAGGAGTGGCTTTGTGTGCCATATGATGTGCTGCAAAGATCATGTTTGTGGTATTCCTACCAAGAAAGCATGACCTCATTCTGGTCATAGAAGAAACATCAGATGGCCCCGGTTGAGAGTCAACACTCAGAATATAAGCCATGTCCTCTACAAAACTTCCAAGGACACAAGAGATATGGAAAGACAGAAAATATTCCAGACCACAGAAGACCAAAAAAGGATAGGATAGATGATTACAGCACAGTTTCCTACATGGATTGCAATTGGTAATATTTGAATGGTGTCTCTGATCTGCATGGAATAGTGTTATAAATGCTAACTTCCAGACTTGCAGGGTGGATCATGGTTAGATAGGAATGTTCTTGTTTCTGAAAAATACAATGACATATATAGAGGTAAGAGGGCACCATACCAACAACTTCTCAAATGGTTTCAAAAAGATTAGTGATAGGCTGGGCGCAGTGGCTCACACCTGTAATCCCAGCACCGAGGCAAGTGGATCAAGAGGTGAGGAGATCAAGATCATCCTGGCTAACATGGTAAAACCCTGTCTCTACTAAAAAAATACAAAAAATTAGCTGGGCGCAGTGGCAGACACCTGTAGTCCCAGCTACTTGGGAGGCTGAGGCAGGAGAAATGGCGTGAACCCGGAAGGCGGAGCTTGCAGTGAGCCAAGATCATGCCACTGCACTCCAGCCTGGGTGACAGAGTGAGACTCCATCTCAAAAAAAAGATTAGTGATAATAGATATGTGCAGGAGTCGGGGGGAGGTAGATATATGTTAATATTGGAAAAATCTGGATAAGGGTAGAGATGGGAGTTTTCTGTATTGTATTTGAAACTTCTGTAAGTTTGAAATTACTTCACAGTATTTTTTTTTTTTTATTTTAGCCCTACAACTTGAATTAAACAAAAAGCAAGTAGCTTGTTGCTGGAATTCAGTTTGGCTAAGGCAGCAACCCTTTTTACAAAGACATGAACAAATATACTCTTATCTGAAAATACTAATAAAACCTCACCTATCATTTCATGTACTAAGTATACGAGATCTGGCAGGATGTCGAATTAAGTGAATACAGCACTGGGAATAAGGAAACAAATTAGCTAGCTGGCTTTTAACTTTAGATAGGTCATTTCACTCCTTGGAATTAAGTTTCCTCATTTCTAAAAGAGGTTAAATGAGATGATCATTAGCAACAAAAAAAAACTCAGTGTTAAGGGATCTGGGTACAAATGTATTCTCTCTTATCAGCTGATAACGAAATGCATAACTAGAGTTAGGCCATGGTAATTTTAAATACAGCATTTGTAAAACAAACAACAAGAAATAGCTGAGGGTCCCAAAGCCTGAGGGACTACCAATCTTTGTAGAAAAAGACAGTTACCACTGTATAATTATGTATAATAAATATAGGAATTGGCCGGACACGGTGGCTCACGCCTATAATCCCAACACTTTGGGAGGCTGAGGTGGGTGGATCATGAGGTCAGGAGTTCAAGACCAGCCTGGCCAACACAGTGAAACCTCGTCTCTATTAAAAATACAAAACTTAGCGGGCCGTGGTGGCGTGCACCTGTAATCCCAGCTACTCGGAAGGCTGAGGTGGGAGTATCGCTTGAACCCAGGAGGTGGAGGTTTCAGTGAGCTGAGATGGTGCCACTGTACTCCAGTCTGGGTGACAAAGTGAAACCCTGTCTCAAAAAATAAATAAAATAAAATAAAATACAAATACAAATATAGGAATTAAAATAATTGTATTAAAAATATATCTATGTCAGATTGAAGAAATAACCTACTGAGCTTGGCAATACCTTTCAAATTTAAACATTCCATCTTGTTCAAACGTCTTGTCTTTTACTGTTAATATATATAGCTTTATATTTAATAGTTACTGAATAACAAAACTCAAAGCAATAATGCTGAACATAATCAGGGCTTTAAATATATGCACAGCTCTTATTTTGGTCTTAGCTTTTGATTTATTGTACTTAAGATAATCATAATAGCCAATATATATTAAAGCTAGCATTAGAAGGTAGCAGAAGCGTGAATCCTTTAGCTAAGCTGTTGAAAATTACATCTATAGACTGGCAAAAGAGCTATAAAACAGCTGTGATCCATAGGTACTAAGCTAAGTGTAGGGTACAATAAGGGCTGGCAAAACTTTTTCTATAAAGGGCCAGAGAGTAAATATTTTAGATTTTGTGGGTCACATACTGTATGTTTCTGTCACACATTATTTTGTGTGGATATTTTTTAACAACACTTCAAAAATCTAAAAACTAGTCCTAGCTCAAGAACCTTATAAACACAGGCTGAGGACCATATCTGGCCCATAGGCCGTGGTTTGCCAACCCCTGATATAAAATAACAAGGTCAAAACAATTCAGTTGATGAAAAGAAGGAGGCTGAGTACAGTGGCTCACTCTTATAATCACAACACTTCAGGAGGCTGAGGCAGGTAGACTGCTTGAGCCTAGAAGTTTAAAACCAACCTGGGCAACATAGTGAGACTCCACCTCTACAAAAAATAAAAATAAAAAATAGCTGAGCATGGTGACGCATGCCTGTAGTCCCAGCTACTCAGGAGGTTGAGGTGGGAGGATCACTTGAGCCTGGGAGGTCAACGCTGCAGTGAGTCACGATTGCACTACTGCACTCCAGCCTGGGTGACAGAGCAAGACCTTGTCTCAAAAAACTAAATAAATAAAAAGACTATTTTATACACATTTGAAGGCAAACAAAGGCTATTACAAATTAAATATAAAGATGCACCAAATGCAAGAAGAGATAAAGAGAAAATTATACTAGATACGCAAACATTGTAAGAAAAATGAAATTAAAAATAAAATTAAGATTACATACTCTGGCGTATACACCGGTAACCAATAGACTAGTCTTCCACCTAAAACGAGGGTCTCAGCTGCGAAGTTTAACAGGTCAAGAAACATATCACTCAGATGATAACTCAAGGAAACAGGAACATGGCTTTCTGGACTACACAAAGAAAAGAAAATTTCAAAATCAGTGAAAAATTTTAAGAGTGCTAAGTTAACGGGGAAGCCACATGCCTCTTCTCAAGGTAGTAACACATCATATTTAAATTTCACTTACCATTTTTCCCATTTTTCTATCCCCTTTGGTATCTCCTTCTGTGAACCTGTTCTTCTTGTAGATTCTCTGATACCATATGGAGCTAGACAGAAAACAAAGGTAACACAGATAGTCAAAAGTCACCAAATCATGGATCAAGGGCAAACAGCCATGCTGCCTTCAAATGTGACACCCTGAGAAGAACACAACATCACCAATGCACAAATCCAACTGAAAATGTACAACATAAAGACTTGGGAGAGGAGCAACTGTCTTCTTAAAATATGTCAATGTCATAAAAGTCATTGAGAAAAGCTGTGGAAGTGTTACAAATTAAAGGAGGCCTAAAAGATATCATTACGAAATGCAATACCTGACTCTAGAGTAGATCCTGTCCTAGAGGGAGAATATATGCCATAAAAGCTATTACTGAGTCAGTTGACAAAACTGAATGGCAAACTGTAGATGAAAGTATTTTATCAATTTACTGAACTTGATAACTGTATTTTTGCTAAGAGACTATCTTTATTCTTAGTAAATACACACTGAAGTATAGGAGTAAAAGGCCACAATGTATACCACTTACTCTCAAGTTGATCGGAAAAAAAAAATGTATTTTATATAAGTAAACACAGAGTGGGAGAGCAAATAATAAAGCAAACTGTTAATTTAAAAAAAACTAAATTTTCATAAAGTATATTCACACTGAAACCATAAGGCCTTGATAATTTTTCTTTTGTTACATTACATTTGACAAAATCTAAGTTAGTAAAGAACTAAAGAGAGCTGAGATAGAAGGGCTGAACTTTGCCACTTTTTACAGATTTACTGTCAAATACTATAGAAAAGGCAGATCTATTCTTAGATAGGCTGCCTAAAAAACTCACGACCTCATGAGGCATGGGAAAATAAATTTTCATGCACATTCCTGAAGCTCAGTAGGTTCACAGGCCCAGTGGTTCCACAGAACCCCAAATTTCTTGTAATGCTAGAAAGGAGATGCCAGTGAAAACAGGCACTACAAAAACACAAATGCTTACACATAGAGAAATGTGTGATATCTGAAACTCTGTTCAAAATTTGACACCATAATTGCAAATGACATGTGAGCTCCAGTTGGTATAATAACCAATTATAGTCAATACAAAAACAAATACTAAATATATGCCTCAAAAAAATAAGCTGAAGGGAAAAACGGGTGACAAGTTAATATAAAAGGATATAACAGGGGATGGCAAGCCAATATATTTGTTTAAAAAAACAAAACAGTAAGCCCTTAACAAGGTAGTTAAGTACCTTCATAACTTTCTCCTTACAAGATGAAGAAGCTGGGGGTAGATGGGAGAAATACTGACAAGTTGGCATTTTGTGCATGTGTTGGTAAATTTTGTACTTTAAATGTAAATGATTTTACAAAACGAATCCTACTCCTACTTTTGTATAAAAATAAACTTACGATCAGTAATGATTGCATCAAAATATGTGCCCTTCCTCCAGGAAGGTTTAGATGCATCTGAAACCAGGACATCAAGGTAATACTTCTCTAAACCATATTGACGAAGATTGGCCCTAATGTTTTCATCTGGTCCTCTCCACTTCTGGTTTTTCCTAGTAGCCTTTCCTGAAGGGAAAGAAAAAGGAAGAGAGAAAGTATTAAACAGAGTATTCTTATTTTCTGTCATTTAGGAAAAGTAATGTTTTAACTCACTGAAACCTACATTTATTCAAAATTTGCTTTCATTTAAAATCTTAATTTTATGTATACAAGTAAATAGTTATTTTAATTTCAACATAACAGTAAAATGTACTGATGTCTAACTTATCTTGTTCTGTCAACTTCCAAGTAAAACTGCCTTAAAACACTCATTCGATATTTTCAAGTACGAAGATTTTTGTAGTAAGATAGAGTTGAAGAGAATATGGTTCCTTTCTTCCAGCAGTAAACAGTCCTGTGTAGAGATAGTATGAATCAGATAAATGAAACAGAAATGAAGAGAGCGAACTTGGGAAATGCCGCAGTTGTGACCATGAGGAAGGGAGGCAAAATGGAGACATTGCTAATGAAAGTTAAAGTGGGAGTGGAAGGAAGGCTAAAGAAGCTCGTAAGTTCCTTGTTTAGGAGACATGATAGTTTAGGATGATGACACCAGTGATTAATATCAGAGAAACCAGGAAGAAAAACAAGCTTAAGAAAAAAGATTAGATTCATTTAAGATATATCAATCTTGATGTACCTTGAGGTACCTGCAGAACTTTCAGAAAAAGATACGCAGTGGGGACATTCAGCAGGTAGTTGAAGGCCAGAATATACAGACTTTGGAGTTATCAGCATATAATCTTATACTGACTCCATAAGGCTGAATAACATTCTTTTTGTTCACTTAGGAGGCAGTTACATGTTTGCTCTATAATTATTCTTATAAAATCAAAAGAAGAACGACATGACTCTGAAAAACATGCAGTGTGACGGAGAAGTGCTCAAAGATAGGTAGACGCCTGGAAAAAAACAATATATAAACATAAATCAAAGAAAATTGCAGGGCATCAAGTAGACTGAGAAGAAACAAAAAAGTAAAAGTACCACCTGCCAAGACCACTGTCAAGGAAACCAAGAGCAGCTGTATGAAGGTCAACACTGTCAAATGCTATAAATCTGTGGCCTTTGTTAGCGTTTTCAACAGAATGATAGGCACAGAAGCTGGAAAATAATGGCCAGAAGAGAGTGAAAGATGAAGAAGAGGAGACAAGAAGTTATACTAGTTTTTCAAGAAGCATTTTGGCAAATGGAAAAGGAAAACAAAGTGGTAGCTAGAGAACCTCTACAGATTTGCCAAAAAAAAAAGTTTTGTACTTTTAAAACAGGAGAAACTTGAGAATATTTTAGGATAAAGTAAGAGTTCAGAACCACAGGAAACAGAGGGTATACCTAACAGTATCTTGGATAAGCTCTAAGGGAACTACCTCAATCAGAATTCTACCCCAGTAGACTGAAGGTTACAACATAAGTTTCCAAACATAACTTTAATAAATAAAAATTCAAGTAAATTATATAAGACAATTTCCTTAAAAGAAATATACTGCTTCTACTAAAAGCAAATTGGAATAATTCTTAGTACTTTTTAAAACAGATTTCAGATAAAGAATATCTTTTTCTTGCTAGCCCATTTATATACACCTAATAAATTATAACTCATTTTCCTAATAAATGTTACTAAATTCTTTACAGTCAAGGTAGGGAAAAAGACAGGTCACCAGTACAAGATATCAAATTACTTCCACAAAAGAAAATAAAGTATAATAAATGCTCACCAATACAATAACTTATACTGGGTGAGGAAAAGGAAAAGAGTATTATAAGGGCTGATCCCAGTTATTATAATGAATACCAACATAAACACAAATAATCTCAAAATCATCAATAAAATGACATTTTCAATACCATTAAGCTATAAGGAAATACTTTTTCAGTTTGATTCAATTCCATCCAATCACACATCATTATTGAAGCTTCTAGAGTTTAAAATATTTTCCATAATTACCTGAAAAGTAAAGCAGATGACTGTTTCAAGTACTCTCAGTTCAAGGCAGAATCTTTAAAGTTACTTTAAAGAGGTTTTGGTCAGTTATAAAATTAGAAACATAAATAGTACCTCAAAGACTAGTTATTAATCCAGTATATAGTCAATGTATGATTAGTGAATAATTTTGGTGATAATCTTTAAATGAGTGGTGATAATCTTAACCAAATATGTTTCATTATCATGTATATTTATTAATTAGTTATAATTAATAAATTATAGGTCTGAACTGGTCACTGGGTTATCACTTTCCTGCACTTCCTTAAAGCCCTCTGAGAGCAGGACTTTTTCTCATTCACCTTCATGTTCCCCCAGGAAATCACTCTGTACACAATGGATCATAAAAGTAGATACCCAATGAAGTCTTATAAAAACAAGTAAAATTATATCACAATTTTGTATTTGAAGATTAAAATAATGCCATATAAAACTACAGTTGACCCTTGAGCAACATGGGGTTGGGGTGCCCACTCCTCACACAGTCAAAAATATGCATATAACTTTTGACTCCCCCAGAACTTAACTACTAACAGCCTACTGTTATACTTACTTTATTCAGTAAAAATAGATTTACTATTCATGAAGTGGAAGTGGATCATCATAAAGGTCTTCATCCTCATCACCTTCATGTTGAGCAGGCTGAGGAGGAAGAGGAAGTGGAGGGATTGGCCTTGATGTTTCAAGAGGGCAGAGATGGAAATAAATCTGAGTATAAGTGGACCTGTGCAATTCAAACTTGTGTTCTTCCAGGGTCAACTGTATGTTTAAAGGTACATTTGGCACCACAGCAATGACTATAATACTGTCTATAATCTCTACTCACCCAAGCCATGAACTGTGTTGTAGTCTATGTCTGTCCCATACACATATGCACCAAAATGAGCACATGCTATCAGCAGGCCACCTGAAAAATCACACAATTTTGACCTGTTAACCAGTAAGTCCCAAACTCCTGTTTGTTCCTATTTAACTTCATCCAGTCTTAGAAACTAGCTGCAGGCAGAGTATCCTGGAATGACATTGGTCGTAACATATTTAGTAAGCCTCAGGACTGAAAAAACAAACCCCTAAGCTATAGTCACTAAACTGGTAACAAAGTAGAGAAATTAATGTATACCCTGGCATCATTATTTTAAACAGCACTATTTTATCTTTTTTTTGGTCAAAATAATGTATATTTAGACATTTTCATCTTATTTTTAGAGCTCTACACAAAAACATTTTGCTCCTTTCTTAAAAATGAGCATATAAGGCTGTTTATACAAAGAGCTGGCAATAAACAGAATAAATTCTGATGACTAGGCTCAATTCCCACTGAAGTCAGAGTTTCAAACAAATAGGGCATAATTACTATGTGAGACATTAGTTCTTACAGAAATTAAAAGGTTAGGACATATTTTAATTTTTGTAAGAATTAACTATTTTAATATAGTTACTCCTGTAACCAATCAAGTAATTATCTCCTGTTTTAAACTGTAAATACAAATTTCTGAGTAACTATTATCAAACATGCACAAAATAATTAATAAACTGTTTTTATTAGTGCTGTGACCAAAGTAAGAACAACTGTCCCAATACAATCTGACCAGACAAAGTAATGTGACAGATGTGACCAGCTCATGCATGAAGAGAAATCTTAATAAAGGTTAAAATAATAATGAAACTCTTTAAAATGAAAGGTAATACTATTTTTAAATTAAGAAAAAATTGTACACAATTAACTGAACTTTTAATAATTGTACTTTTAATTAAATTCACTTTTTTTAATCATTCAAATTAAAATGCTTTTAGTGCTTGGGCAAGTCTTAATTAGCTATACTCTAGGAAGGCCTGCTAGTCAAGCTGAAATCATAAATATATTCTTCAACTACAAAATATGCACAGACTTGGACAAGGGGAAAAAATACTGGGGCTCTTTCCCTTATAACCTTTTGAGATGTAATCTCTGTAACTAAGATGGGTAGTGCCTCTGGAGGGTCAAGATCCATAAATTAATGATGTTCCTTCCATAGCCATTTAAAACATAGTCTGGTAGCATGGAATTAAAAATACTTTGTTCATGAAAATATTATAACTGACTAGTTCTTTTTAGAACCCATGAAGAAGAGAAATGAAAGACTAAAAGTACAGCAGAAACCAAAACCTATGTCCTCTCATACTAACTACAAAAAGCATTTATGTGAGAGGGAAGGTTAAAAAGTCCTCATAATTCTGACTCTGGAAATGGAACATTCCATATTTAGAAAAAGCAGCATAAGTGATGACTTGGAATACTCACAAAGTCACTTCACCCAAATTACAAGGAATTACTACAATTCTGCCAATTAAGGCAGATACTCACCTAGAAGAACTAGTTGTCAAGGGGAACAGAAAAGCTTTCCTGTGCTTCCTTAACAGAACCTTATCCATTTGGTTAGAGTGAGTTTTGAGAAGACCCAATTTACAAGTACACTGCTGAAAGGAGATGAATAATCTGTTAGACTGCACCTGATACTTAACTTCGTGCCCTTTAAGCTTTTATTTTTTTTTAAATAAAATCATAATAAATTAGCTTATCTGAACTGGTCACTGGGTAATCATTGGTAGTCATCTAGTTGTTCTTTTGATTAAATTGAAGCACTTTTTACATTTAGCTATACCTCAGTTGGAGTTTTTTAGGGGATCTTTTTGGTGGAAGAAGGGGTGCTAAAAAAAAAAGGAGAGTGAAGTGTCAAGGAGGCAAGTAACATGACTCACCCATTTCTTTTTGCGTTACCAAAAGTAAAAATACTGCATATGTGATCTATGCTAGCAACTCGGTGTTTCAATTTCTCATTACTTAAATAGTAAGCACTTTAAGGTTAGGGTAGTATCTTACAGGCAAAATAATACAATAAGAATTGAATTTATTCCATGATGTAAAAACTAATTCATGATTTTCATCTTTAAAGAACTAACTGGAAAGCTTTGCAAACGTGGAGAAATGAGAGACTGGGCTTTGGTTTTGCTGAGAGAAAAAAAAGAAAGAAAAATGGCAATATTATTGCATCTATTTTATCTTTTTTAAAAAAAGAATTCTACTTAAATAAATTAAATTAGCAGGCCGAGCAAAAGAATACTGCTAGACAATGGGACTCCTACTAGACGAACCATGGGATTCCAGGAAAAGGGGACTACAAAGGGTAGTGGGAAAAAAATGCGAAAGAGAATATTATATAAACTACAGAGATCCATTATCTCACTCTCCTAACCTTCTCTTTTTCTCCCCATTTTCTCTTCCCAGAACCAGGACAGTCAGTTCCTTAACACCTGGTTTCTGCGTCCACTATTTTACAATGATAAAACTTCAAAAGGAGCTACACTCCTTTCCTTCCACCTATGGGTCATCTGAAGGTAGACATGGCCAAGGAGTATACATTAGTCTTCTGGGTGAATTCTCATTACTGGAGGAGCTGACTCACTTGACAGAGGGGATGAGAGGGGATCAGATCTACGGCTGCAGAGTTCTGTGCTACCTAAAGCAACTGGCATCCACTTGCACATATTAATTATAAACAAAGAATTTGACATTTATAATTTTATATTTCAATTCCCTTGCCTGCTGCTATAACCTGCCAACAGTTGCAAATTACTAATATCTTGGAAATTAGCCAAAAAGAGTACTAGAAAATGAGTTTATGGTCAAATTCTTTATCATCACCATTTAATATTAGCTACATCTAACATCTTTCACCAAAAAGGCATCTAAAATATCATCAAAATAATAATCAAAAAGTAATAATGATAACCATTACAGTTCACTAAATGTCTACCACGTGTCAGGCAACTTCCTAGAAATATGATATACACATATTGCCTCACTTAATCCTCACAATATATTAGTATTACCATTTTACAAATGATAGACGTGAAACCCAGACAAGTTAAGAATCTTGCCCAAAGTCACATACTAATTGGTAAAAAGATTTAAACTTTGCTCTATTTATTCTTTTCTTTATATCATACTACCTCCTTTGGGATTAGCACCAATTGAAGTAAATACATATTCACTCACCAATTAGATAAACAAAAGCAAAATATGCTACTAAACAAATTACATTAAATTAAGTAAAGCTACACACTCTGTTAATAAGAGTGTTATATATGCCATTCACAAGTCTTGTACTGTATCACAGACAGGGCTGTGCCATTAATAGGTATTCAATAAATTCATGATGATCATTCCTTTAGCCAAACTCACATGAGAATAGTAGCACTTCCTAACAACTAAGAGATGACACAATGCTATGTCTCTTCCCCTTTGGGAAAGTGGAGACACACACTTTAAAAAAAGAATTTTTACTAAAATGAAAACCAATGTATTTGTTAAAATTGAAAGAAAAGTGTGTTTCTGCCGCTCATAATGTCATTCTAAACAACAGTAGCAAACAGTCTAAAGGAAAAAAGGAAAAGTATTTAGGCATGAAAAGATTATTTTTCTCCTTTCAGTCTCCCAGAAGCTTTCTACCCTACTCTATATCCCTGAGAAAAATCACGAACCATGAGTAGTAAGTGAGCAATACATTTGGGAAACTACATACATTTCAATTTTGTACCTTTAAAATAAAAAGGGGATTAGACACATGAATTTTTTTTAAAAAACTATTTAAAAGGCAACCAAAAGAAAAATATCAACAAATGTTTTGTGAAAACTATGGCCATGGAGAAGGACACAGAGCTACGTATTTCTCCAGTCCTTCAGAAGGTACCACCCATCGATGAGGCAAAAGGCCCAAGAGAGGACAAACTGTGCTTAAGACCTGTGTCTATTCACAATTATTGGTTATTATGTTTCAAAACAAAAGCACCAAAAATTGACTGATGTCCTAAAGCTATACTTAAACTACAAACACAAATTACGAAAATATATTTCAGCAGCACCTTTGCAAAGATCCTCCTCTCATTTTCTATTAATTGTACTATATGAACAGTCAGACGTTCCAAATATACTACCCACTGTGAGGAGCTGCCCTAAAGCAAACAGAAGCAGGTCTCCTTGCCCCTCAACACACTATAAATGGTCCATATATTGACAGCTGTGAAGATAATTTCAAAATCTAGCCTCATCTACTCAACAAAAAAATATTACCCATACTGGCAACCATATTTTTTAACTCTGTGGTCTAGTCTATGTGTATGTATATATATTAATCATTTTCTACATGTATATATCTAAAAGAATTATTCTCAATTGACAAAAAAAGTTTTTAAAGTCCAAGAACAAGATTAAGAATAAAAGCTTTAGCATTTGGAAAAAGGTAAATTAAATCCATTCTTCACATCATACTGGAGAATAATCTCCAAATGAACCAGAGATCTAAAAAGAAAAAATGTAAAACTACAAAAGCACTAGAAGAAAACACAAATGAATTCCTCTATAACTTGAGTGTGGGGAAAACTTTTGCATGGCAAAAATCAATTAGTAGCAAAGTCAAAAGATAAATGACAAGCTAAGGGAAAATACTGCAGCATACATCACAGAAAAATAAGGGGAGTGTGAGGAGGTTGTATCTCAAGCTTACAAAGGACCTTGAAAAATCAGGGAAAGAGACCAAAAATGCTATCAAAAAATGGGCAAAAGACAAAAAAAGACAAATCAAAGAAAGTCATAATGGCCCTTAAAATATAAAAAATTGTGATACTTCATTCGTAACCATAGACATACAAATTAACACTACATTGAGATATCATTTTTCACCCAACAGAACAAGCAAAACTTCAAAAGCCTGAAATATACTCTGCTGGTGAGACTGTGGAAAAACAGGGACTCTCCTACAACTGTTGGTAGGAATCCAAAATAGTATAATGGAGACAAATTTGGCAGTATCTAATGAAACTGCATATGCATACACTCTTCAACCCAGAAATCCTACTTGTAAGAATTTACCCTAGGACAGAGGGGTCCAATCTTTTGGCTTTCCTGGGCCACATTCGAAGAAGAATTGTCTTGGGCTGTACATAAAATACACTAACACTAATGATAGCTGGTGAGCTAAAAAAAATTGCAAAAATTCTCATAACGTTTTAAGAAACTTTACAAGTTTGTATCAGGCCACATTCAAAGCCATCTGGGCCACATGTGGTCCATGGGCTGCGGGTTGGATAAGCTTGCCCTAGAGCTACATCTCCAACATTACAAAGGTATATATTCATAAGGTTAGTCATTTCAAGCATTATTTGTAACTGTAAAATACTGAAAACTACCGATGTCCAACTATAGGAGATTGTTTGAATAAATTACGGTACATACACTCATGAAGCAAAACTAAAACAGAATAAAGATAAGCTCCATGAACTGACAGGAAGTGATTTCCAGGAAATACCATTAAGTGAAAAAAGCAAAGTTAAAACCAACACACACAGTATGATACCTTTTGTGTAAGAAAGTAGCGAAAATAAGAAAATGTATATATTCCATTATGAATCAGAAAATGTATTATCATTACAAAAAGAAACAGGAAGAATCAACTAGAAAACAATGAAGTTAGTCACCTAGGATAGGTGGGAGAACAGGCTGGAAGCGTTATAAAGGTAAAGTGACATCTCTTTGAGTACCACTTCTTGTGTAGTTCTGACTTTTGGAAGCAAGTTCATCTTATACATATTTGAAAATAAAAGTAAATCAATAAGGAGTGGGGGATAGGAGATAAAAACCTAAAACAGAGGGCAAACTGGAACAAATGAACCCAAATGAATTTTAAATGAAAAGGGAAAAAGCAGGCACAGTATTTGACTTTACTGCCCCTTAGGGTGAAGAACTGAAAACACATCCTGAACTCTTATTCACAGGATATTTTTAAGTGGCATAAGCAAAACAACTGTGAAACCATTTCAGATATAGGAATGAGGAAAAGAGTAAATGTGTTGATGTAGCTAGGAATCAGGGTTCTCACTGTGGAAGAAGGTACACATAAACATAGAATAGGGTAGTCAAAAGGAAATCTGTAAGGATTGACTGCAATTTATAGTATATGTGCAAATTCACAGTGTCTAAAATACGTATATGCATGTGTATGTGCATACGCACAGTATATAAGAATAAATACATGTATATTTGCACATGCACTTACATGCATATTGTGTATATATGCATATATATTTTCTAGTTTGTCCACTGAAAGGATCTATAATCCAGATTTCATTTCCCTGCTAAAAGAAACAAAAATTCCTTGGAAAAATGACTGATACCAGAGCTTGAACAAATAGAAGAGAAAGTAAGGAAGTACTCCAAAGAAAAAAGGATAGGAACATGTCACAAAGACAGATTCAATGTGAAAGAGCTCTCACTGGGCAAATCACAATTTGAGGAACAAAAGTAATTAAGAAAATTAAGAAATATAATGAATTATAGACCATCGGGGTTAAAAAGGAGAACCCATTAGTTCATATTAATAACAAATAGAAAAACAAATACATGGAAGAGAGGAAAGGGCTTTTGCTTACAGTAGAATAATGAATGTCGACTTGTAACTGTGGAGGGAGCACTGGAGTTGGAAAATCATCCCTTTGAAACCATCAAAGTAAAAACTGGTTCAGGAAAGAATTATCAATGGCTACTAAACCTGACGACCTGAGTGGTGAGAGGAGACTGGATAAGGAATAGAATACTACATGGCCTTAATGTGTCTCTCCACAGATTGCTTAATAGCAAGAAAAAAAATAAAATAAAATAAAACCACCAGTAATTGTACTGTTTATGATTATGAACAGAAAAAAATCAAACACAACCTAGACCAGATGATCAAAAATTACCAATACCAATGCAGGGCAGAAGGCCATCATGTACACACCCCTGAGAAGGCCACAAAAGTCACTGATGTAGTGGTCCAGCTGGGAATGTATAACCTAATCCTAATCTTGAGGAGACATCAAACAACCCAAAATGAGGAAAAAATTAGATAAAAAATAAAGGGAAGAGAAATAGCATCTTGAAAAGTGCAAATTTCATAAAAGAAAAAAAGACTTTGGCTGTGTTCCAAATCAAAGACATCAAAGAAATATTAACAACAAAATATAATACCTGATCCTAGCCAGGAAAGGGAAAAGGATGCTGTCAAAAATATTAATATTACTGGGTAAACTGGCAAGACTGAAATATGAATATCAAAGTACTGTATTAATACATCTATTAACACTGAAAACAGTACTGTGGTTATGTAGAAGAATATATCCTCATTCTTGAGAAATAATTACTTGAAGGGTAAAGGGATGTGATGGATACAACTTTCAAATGATGCAGGAAAGAAAAGATTATGTAAATAGAAACAAATAGAACAAATGATAAAACAAATGAGGCCAAATGTTAACAACAGCTAAGTTAAGGATACATGCATGTTCTTTGTCCTACTTTTATTCTTGTAGCTTTTCTGAAAGTTTGATATTATTTCCAATAAAAAGTTTAAAATTTGGGGTGAGTTACTTAGGATAATGAGAGTGGGGAAGAAAAGAATATAGAGTATGCTGAGGGTAGGTGATATGGAGAAACTGGCAGAGAAGAAAGACTCACCAGTGAATTAACTCAACAATAAACAGAGAAAGTTATTCCATCAATTAGAAATTTATTGACCTTGATACTACTTCTTCCTAAGCATATGTGGTCATATTCCTTAAGTTAGTACATGGTGTAATAGCTGGTTGGCAGATCCCAATGCAGAGAGAGGCAGCTCAAAGTTAAGGGCATGAGCTCTGGAGTTGGACTGCTTGAGTTTGAATCCTATGAAACCAATATACTGTATAACCTTGGCCAAGTCACTGCACCTTTCTCTCTGCCATAATTTCCTCAAGCAAATTTTTAAAGTATCTCCATGTTAGTTGTTGTAAGAATTAAACTAGATAGTAGCATCAGAATGCATAGCATAGTACCTGATACATTTACTATTCAATAAACGTTAGCTCTGCATCATCACTGCCCAAGGGGAAAGATGGCTACAGGGACAGGCTCCAACCACAAAATGAGCCACAATGAGCTTGGTCAAACAAATTTAAATACAAGTATTTGCTGGGTATGGGCAAGATCCAGCAAAATTGAGTGGAAGTAGGAAAAAGTCTGCACAGAGTCAGATGGAGTTTTAGGACTTCCATAAAAAATTATCCCAATCATATGCACAAAAAACCAAGGTCACTGCCACAGTGACCAGGCTATCTAGCCCATTGATACTTTGACACTTTTCTTATTTCACACTTACTTATAAACCTCCATAAACCAACTCAAAGATAGGATATATTAACTATTTTCTCCATCCACATATACAGTTATGAATTTAAACTGTATGAGTACATTTAAACTGGATGAATACATTTTTTTGATCTTGTCATCCAAGTCTTTCTTTCACCAAGAGTTTTCCTATTTAAATAAACTATACAGCTTTACAACATTTCTACAATGTATGGTATTGCAAGTTTTTCTGCTACAAAAAAATTAGATGGATGCTCCCTCCTAGTGGTTTATCTGGAATAAAACCCATACAATTCTATCAGCATCATCTTTGAAGTGGCATAAGTGTTAAATACTAGCTATTACACAAGTATGTGGTTGTCTGTTGGCCACTATCCAAACACAATTAAAAGATTATCCATTTACTCTTTTAGCAAAAATATTACCATGACCTTCATTAATATAAATAAGCAACATCTCTACACTAGCTTAAAAGTTAAATAAAAATACCTGTTCCAACAAATGGATCAAAGACAATATCATTTTCTTTCACTTTTCCATGGTTAGCCATAATGAATGACAAACCAGCATCCATACTTGTATTTCCAATAAAGTGTCTCTTTTTGACACTGTATGACTCAATAAGCTCTCTCTGTCCATCTGCAATCTAAATCAGAGATATTTCTTATGTTAGTATAGCCATACAGAATAGACTTAAGATAATCACTCACAATAAGACCATTGTATTTTGCTGATAAGAACTTCTTTCCACTTATTACTGCTCTAAACTTATTTATTTAAAATAATGTAATTGAGGTAGTTATGAACAAAGCCTTTTATTGCTTAATGTCATTCCATTTACTTTTTCTTTTCAAAACAAGTATGAACTGCATTTGAATGCAATTACTCCAGAGGTAGGTGTTAAGGTATGCCCATTTCTTTGTTCTCCTACATAACAATAATCTCTAACATAAGTCACAACTTCCACTCACAGCTTCCAATCACCCATTTAAAGCCTCAGAGAAGTCGGCAGAACTGCTTTACAGTAATTCCATTTCTTTTGGAATGGAAGGCCCAGATTGGGAATCTCCACAAATGAGATTCCTCAACTACCACAGCACTCTGTGTTTTCTCTGCTTTATAAAAAAAAAGAAACAAACAAAAAAAAAAAAAACAGTCCAGATGTTCTGGTAAGTCTTGTTTCAACATTTCCAGGTATACCAACTCCTCCCTATATCTAACAAGCCTCTTGCACTTCATTTAAGAATCTCTGGGAAAACACAAAACAAAACATAATCACATACTCTTCACCAATTTTAATCCATTCAGTAGTTCTGACTCTTCAGCTGCTTTAAAGTTCTACATAGGAGTCAACAAAAGGCCTAATAAGTAGCTTTCAAAAAAACAAACTGACATAGGTAGAAAGAAAACTTGCTCACCCATCTACCAAAATAAATATTATGTGGATTCTCAGGGATGCAGTTTGGGTCTAAACCATAATCCTCCAAAACAGAAAATACATGTTGCGGTTTCTTTAAATTCACTTTTCCTTCAAATGGCAGAAATTCAAGTGCCTAAAAGAAACAAAAGAAATGCTGATGTCTTATAATAATTTACAATGAAAAATGGCGCTTATCTAATAACATTACCTTGTAAGCCTGGAGTCAACATTAAATAAAACATGAAAAGCACTTAGCACAAAATGTGGTACAAAATAAACACTTCACAGACATTAGGTATTCCTATATATCAACAATGGCCAGACTGCATTCATCATGTAGGTTTTTTGTTTTGCTAAATTTACTTACATCTATTCGCTTGATTTTCTCTTCTTGTGTCAATGTCTTATTAAAAGTGTGAATCTTTATTTTATATGTAGAGTCCGAATGTAGAAATGGAACCTAAAATAAAAGGAAATCAGTTTTTTGAGTATTTTAATTCTACAGAATCTGCACGCATGCCTATATAAAACCACATTTTACTACGCACCATCTTCTCCACAGGGTAGTTTTTAAGAGAACTGTACAGCTCCTCAGGAGATTGTCCATGACCCCATAGTTCAAATATAGACCTAGGAAATAAATGATTGGTACTAACCTCAGTAAAGAACTTAGTTCACACAGGAATACATACAGTCATTTTACTAGTTCTTTATGCACACTCCACTGATTATTGCCTATGTTTTGCAAAGTATAAATGAATCGGTTATTTTAGATAAATGGGTAAAAAGCTGCAGAAAAGCCAATTATTCCCAATGTCTTCTCCATAATACAAAAAGACTAATGACCAAATAAAAATGTTATTAACAATTAGCTGGCCAGGCACAGTGGTTAACGCCTGTAATCCCAGCATCTTGGGAGGCCGAGGTGGGTGGATCACTGGAGCCCAGGAGTTCAAGACCAGCCTGGGCAACATAGTAAAACCTTGTCTCTACAAAAAAGGCAAAAAATCAGCCAGGCATGGTGGCACACACCCATAGCCCCAGCTACTTGGGAGGCTGAGGTGGGAGGATCACCTGAGCCCTGGAACTTGAGACTAAAATGAGCCAAGATCATGTCACCGCACTCCAGCATGGACAACAGAGTGATACTCTGTCATGCATGTGCGTGCGCACGTATGGACACACACACACAATTTTAGTAACTAACTTACCCAAAATGTTGAGGTCTAATAAGGCATATTCCTAGGTACTTGTTATATTTTTCACCTTTTTGTCGCATGCTCAAAATATTTCATGTTAATAATAAATTAACTTTCAATCCCTTCTAACACAGAAAAATTTGAATTTAAGTTGGTTTTGAATCTATGCTTTTATAAAAGTCTATCTTCATTCTGATACAGTTAAATTGTAATTTTTTTCCTTTGCAAATGATTTCTTCCTTTTCTATTGAATTTACAGAGAAAAGGCTTCTACAATAATATTAATCTCACTTAGCTATCACTTAAGGTATACCTCAGCTACACAAAATATATAGATAATAAAAAGCAATTAAAAATTATATTATACAACTGTTAATTGTGCCATTAATCAAATATATGAATTAGAAGAGTTATGAAAGAAGCATACAAGTTCTTAGTACTCCAGTGGCTATTTTAAACCTAACAAGCAATTATTCAAAAAGAGTTTTTTAAAAGTTATGTTTCTGTTTTCTAGTCATTTTTATTTCATAATAAGGCCTGTTAACGACCTTCACTGTAAAAGATTAAAGGCTGCAGGTAGTTCTCAATAGGATGAAGTTAACTAAATATTGGGTTGTGTCCAATTCCGTAATACAACAATTACATATGATGATATAAAACATCGCTAACCATGTTAATAAAACTAGATATATGTAAATTCTTATTTGCATTGCATTAGCAAATATAATTTCTACAGAAAGTTTTCAGCAATCTGCCAAAATGTTCAGGAAGAAAAAGCAGCTTAAAGATAACACAAGCTGTTTGATATTTAAGATGCTAGTTAAAAATACAGTTTAATTTTCAAATCTGATGACAGAAAATTTTCCAACAGTATAAAGAAAAAAGAAATGAAAGAAAAGAAAAAAAAAGTGGATGCCAATGATAAAGTCTAGAAACACTGAGGATAAACAATGAACAGCATCATTACATTAATTCACACCAAGATTTGGTACTCATAATTATTTTCTCTACCAACTGAAACAGTAAAACATGTCTCACGGCAGTCCTCACTTTTTGTTACCTTACACTTCACTAATCTGCTCATCCAATTAAAAACCATCTATGAAAAAAGTATTTTTGGATTTTCAGCACTTTGGTTATAATTATATGTGGCATCTATCCTGCGTAAGAACATAGTGTTTATATCTCATACTATACTCCCGCATAATACGGAAGTTTTAAAAAATTATTCTAAAACAAATGTGTCGACATTTCCCCAGAGATTCTTTCATCCTTGGTTTCGGCAGGTAACCCTCCTCTGGTCCCCCACCGCCACCCAGTGGCAGTTGTATGTAACTGCAAGCTAAACTGAGCCTTCACACTGCCCAATATAGCAAAAAACAGGATTGAGTGGTTATGAGAAGTACCAGTATATTCATGCAGGAGAACATAAGTTTCTCTTACTTGGCACACACTGTCCGTTTCATCAAATTTCTTGCAATATCTTCAGAGGGAATGCTAAGAATCCAAAATGGTGACTAAAAGAAATAACAATATGCAACTTAATTCTAAGTGGCTACATGGCCTCATATGCTTTTATTCAAGAAGTCAATAAGGAGAAGTGCCTATTTGCTACTTTCATGTAAGAATATCTGATCTGACTGTAACCAAAATAAAAATCGTTCCAATAGTAAAAAAGTAAATTAGAATAATATAGTAAAAACATTTTTATAATGACCCTATAAACGAATATATCCTCAAATGAAACATTAATTTTGTATCTGCCCTTTTATGTAGCTTTACGAAAGGAATTAATGCATATTATATCCCAAAGTATAATCTTGAAATTCATCATGGCTAATCATCCCTTATAATACAGCTATTTCATTTTTAATTTCTAAGTAATGTATTTCTTAGTTGCTACATGAGACCTTTTTCTAGGTAGGTGTGGCCATCTGAGGGTGAAGGAGGGGCCCTTTGAAACAACTATGATAGAAAATCATGAGGTACATTATTAAATTCTCATTAGCTTTTACTATTTTATATTTTATCTAGGGGAAAAAAGCTCCAAGTGCATCAGGGGTGTTTTCCCAATCCTCTATCCCAACACCCAAGATTACAGGCACTGGTAAGCTGCAGCCAGATAACCTCTTGCCAGAACACAGCAAAATCCAAAAGGATCCTGACCTCATTTCATCACCCTTAGCCAATTATATCCGCACTCTCCTTCCTTTCCTCCTCCCCTCAATAAGTGAAAGTCATTCAGGAATAAAAGTCCAACACTACAGGACTTTCAACTTTAGCTCTTTCATCTTTTGCAAGAAATCCTTCCTGTCACACCTAGCTTTTTTCTTTTTTCTTCAACTTTTAAGTTCAGGGATACCTGTGCAGGATGTGCAGGTTTGTTGCATAGGTAAACGTGTGCCATGGTGGTTTGCTGCTCAGATCAACCCATCGCCTAGGTATTAAGCCCAGCATCCATTAGCTATTCTTCCTGATGCTCTCCTTCACCAGACTCCACCACCCCCAACAGGCTCCAGTGTGTGTTGTTTCCCTGGACATGTCCATATGTTCTTATTATTCAGCTCCCACTTATAAGTGAGAACACGTGGTGTTTGGTTTTCTGTTCCTGCATTAGTTTGCTGAGGATAATGGCTTCCAACTCTATCCATGCCCCTGCAAAGGACATGATCTCATTCCTTTTTATGGCTGCACAGTATGCATGATCTCGTTCCTTTTTATGGCTTCCATGGTGTATATGTACATTTTCATTATCCAGTCTATCACTGATGGCATTTAGGTTGATTCTATGCTTTGCTATTGTGAATAGTGCTGCAATGAACATATGCATGCATGTATCTTTATAATAGAATGACTTATATTACTTTGGGTATATACCCCGTTTTTTTTCTTCCAATATTTACCCTACCCAACAGAAAAATTCAAAATAATCCAAACAAGAAAAAATATTTTCATCTTAGTATTACTTTTATTGAGAAAATTTTTAAAGCAACCTGAATAAAATGAAATGGTTAATTATGGTAGAGCTAGTCAATGAAAAATATTATGTAGCTATGTTAGAGATAAAGGCCAAGTAACAACTTAGGCCTATATTGACACTATCAGGTGAGAAACACAGACTACAGAAGTAGAATTACAATAGGGAAAAAAAAGTACACGAAAAAAAAAAAGACTGGAAGGCAGCATCCCCAAATTATAAGTCACGTCAAGAAGGAACTGCAAATTATTTTTTCTATTTTCCAAACTTCTGTCAAACACTGATATAGTTTTATGCAAAATACAAAGCTCATAAATTCAGTCTTATACAATGCACAATTTCAAATTTTAAAATGATTCTCAACACGAGCCCAACATTCTGCCAAATTCTAAATTCAAATTCTAAACACAGCTCACCAATGGAGCACAGCCCTTTTTTAGGTGAAAGGACAAATTATGACACAACTGTTGACTAAAAATGTAAAACAAATAAAATACTAGAAATAAATCTAAATTACTTAACAAAACCACAAATTTTCCAAAAATATCCACTTTATTCCACTGCCTCTTGAAACAGATACAAGTAACCATACAAATATAAATTTAAGATATGCACTTCTTCTCTTCAAACCCAAGGCTCTATTTCTAAGTATACTCCATATGGTCTAATGAAAATTTAACTTACCTTTCCATAAGTTTCTTGACTGCTGGCAAACTGACCTCCAAAAAGCAAAAGCAAAGACTTTATTTCCTGTATTGAAAATATTACAGAGAAAATACATTTTAACAAAAAGGAACTAAAAATGTACTAAGGGAGACAGGTATTACATGACTAAAAAATAAGAGTAGGCTGAAGATCTAACTGAGGCATTTAAGCTTCAACATCAGACAATTACAATTTAGGGTTCAGAAATAATCTAATAATAAAAACCACAGGTAAGTAATTTCTGAGAAATTTTCGACAACAGAAGAGTTAGCAAACACTTGATCAAAAAATTCCCTGATTTTGGAAAGGAAAAAAACAGGTTACACAAAGTGCAGATTAGTAAGACTGACGATTGATGAATAAAGTTAAAATGAAAATCAGACACATGATTTGAAGATGTTTGGAAAAGAAAAAAATAATCAGCCAGGGCATACCACTATGTATTCATTAAGCACAAATAACTATCTCATCTTCTTTCTGTGTAAAGTTACAGAACTAGAAACAGAACTAACATAATAGATACTTTAAAAGCATCATTCATGCAAAGTTGAAATCTGTCCAGAGAGTGTTTATATTCTTTGAAGCAATCACTTTGTACTGATAAACCCAAATAATTATACAAATTTTATAATTTGTATGACTAACAAGTTATCTCCTTAAATCACATAAAACAGGTAGAATCACACTCTTCCATATAGGTCTCATGGAGGATGGAACCTAATGAGAGGTAAGTGTTCCACTGCTGGCTACCTACTATCCCCTTTCCTCCCAACCAGAAGGAAGAGCCTTTAACACCAAGCCCACCGCCATCAAAAGGGAAACTATACCCAGACCAGGAAGTCCCCCACTCCAAGACCAAGAAGAATGAGAAGTTCAAGCTACTAGTGCCATTTCTATTTTGTCTATGCAACAAATCATTTTTTAAAATTCAGTGTTAGAAGGGGCTGAATTCAGTCCAATCAGATGGATCGACCAAGAACTATCACAGACTACTGATAAATCAGTGAAGGCAGCCCAAAGGTTATTTTGCAGCAAGGAAAACACAAATCTGAATAGGAGACATCATGAGACTTAGAAATTAAATAGACCATAATCTGATTTTCAGCTCTTCCAAATACTAGCGATGTGGCTTTATACAAGAATCTTAAATCCTCCAACTTTTAGTTCCCTCAAATGTGAAACAGGAATCATAGCTACCTCATCAGGTTAGGTGAACTATAAAGAGAGAAGCATAGAACCTAGGTGGTTATTAAGGGAATCAAAATGATGAGGACCCTGATAACTGTCCTAGAAGTCCAGTGGCTCAAGAAGTCAACCAAGACTGATAGAGTTATAGCACTTAAAAGAAAAAAAATAAAGTTATAGATTAAATTACTTCATCTTGCATGATTGTTGTTTGTTCTATATTAAAGCATATTGTAAAGTCAGTTTTACATTTAAAACATCCAACTATAACCAAGTTAAAACACCAAAGTTTGCTGCTCCTGGAATATACTGTTAAAAAGCTGCAACAAGCTAAAACACAAAGATCCTAAGAGTTAGGTGGGGAAAAAAAGTGAAAGATTAAAGTTTTATGGCATAGCATTATCTCTACTACCCAAAGCTTAAGCAGCCACCTAAAACTGAGAATAAATATGATAACCCAAGTTTCAAATTGAAAAGCAAAACATGTTTAAACCACTTCATCAATCTACTTGGAAAAAGCAAAACACAAAATGTTCATTAATCTTATGGCAAATTCAACTTTCCAGTTGAGACTCTTTCTATATTAGGAATAAAAAATAATTTATATTGAACATTGGATATAAAAATGTAGCATGATCTGGGGCATGTGTGATGCGTTAATTCCATGAGCTTTTCTATTATTTCAGCTACTTGCTTTTTCATCCATTTAAAAGGTTGCTTCAGGACAAGCAATAAAACCCAGGAGTTTGAACTTTAGTAAACACTATTTAGTACAATAAGTACTACATTAAGTAGCTGCCAACTATACTTAGCCCTGATTAACTCTATCAGAGGTAAAACTGGACCACACTTATATTCCTGATCTCTCATTTTAATTCATAAAGGCAGCCATTCATTATAGCTTCCTTGCTTATCAGTTCTAATGCAGTAGCTGGGCCCAAAAGGATAGACTGTCCTTTGCATTGCCTTTCCCAGAAGAGATTCTATATCACTGATTTTAATATTTTAAGCAGCCAGGTATGGCGGCTCCACCTGCAATCCCAGCACTTTGGGAGGCCGAGGCAAAGAGATAACTTGAGACCGGGAGTCTGAGACCAACCCTGGCAACACAGTGAGAGCTCCCAAGACCCCCTCCCGCCCCCTCACACCAACACTCAGCCTCTGATTAACACCCGGCTCCACAAAAATAAAAATAAAAAAATTAGCCAGACATAGTGGTGCACCTGTAGTCCCAGCTACTCAGGAAGCTAAGGTGGGAGGATGGCTTAACTTGGGTCTTTGAGGCTGCAGTGAGCCACGGTCACGCCACTGCACTGTAGCCTGGAAAACAGAGAGAGAACAGTCTCCAAAAAAAATTTTTTTTTTTTTTTTGAGATGGAGTCTCACACTGTCACCCGGGCTGGAGTGCGATGGTGTGATCTCGGCTCACTGCAACCTCCACCTCCCAGGTTCATGCGATTCTCCTGCCTCAGCCTCTTGGGTAGCTGAGATTACAGGCGCACACCACCACATCTGGCTAATTTTTTGTATTTTTAGTAGAGATGGGGTTTCACTATGTTGGCCAGACTGGTCTCGAACTCCTGACCTTGTGATCCGCCCGCCTCAGCCTCCCAAAGTACTGGAATTACAGGAGTGAGCCACTGCGCCCGGACCCCCAAAAAAATTTTTAAGCAACTAATATGTGCAAGTCCCTGATCTATGTAAAAATACACACACATTTATCTTAGGGAAATTATGGTCTAGTAGAACCAACAAAACCACCTCACAACTGAAATGTAAAGTGTAAAAAACAGTACATGTTCTTAAACAGGTAAAAGCAAAAAAGTATTAGAGTACAAGAGAGTAAAAGATTACTTCAGTTTGAGAAGTAAAGTTTCATGGAAACTGCCTCAATCCCTGAAAAAAATCTAACCCAATGACAGGAATTCAACTTCCAGGTATGGCAAAAGAGGTAATTCAGATTAAGCTTCTTGCTGAAAAGAACTAGAAAAGCTGGCCATCTAATTGAAGGCATAGAAAGATAACAAAAATTACCAAACCAACATCCAGGAGAGGACAAAAATTCCAAGGTGGAGCCACTTTTTCCCTGAGACATTTACAAATCCAAAAACAGCTGCAAGAGTGAACAGCCCTTCTGAGTGCCCGATAGAAAGGGAAAAAAAGAGAAAGGGCCCCCCAGAGGAGAAAAGGATACTTGATGAACCACCTAATTTACACTAGGATGTCAAAAAGCTACACTCTGTGAGTACCTGGGAATCAGAACACAAACAGGGCTTAACACCTGAAAATGAGTTAAACCCAACCTAGATTCCTCATGCTCCTATGCGTTCCTATCTTCTTGAAGAGGATGTACATCATCCCAGCCCTCAAATTATTTTTTCAAATAAATTTTCAAATACAACATCTGGCATATATTTTAAAAATAGCCCACTATATGAAACAGAACAAAAAGAAACAATAGAAACAGACCCACAGGATCCCTTTTATCATATACTTTAACATAACTACGCTTTCTACATTGAAGGGGATTCAAGAAAAAAATAAGAATTTTGGCAGAGGAGGAAAAACTACAGAAAGGGAACTGTGGATCTGAAAAATAATCATGTAAAACATATAAAGCTAAAAGAAATAAACATGTGATTAACTCTAAATGAATACTTCCTATGTAAAAATCAATAAAGAATGGGAAAGACCCAAACCAGACTAAAGGGAGCACAGAGAGCAAAGGTGAAAGCAGGAATTCAGGGAATAATGAGTCAGTTTTGGCAGCACTAAGGACTAGGTGGGAAGTGAAAGCACAAAGGAAAGAACCATGCAGTGATGGACTTTGAATGCCCGACTAAAGATTTTCATCTTAAGAAAAATGAGGGTGTAAAACAGAACAGAG
Source organism: Homo sapiens (assembly GCF_000001405.40). Taxonomy (NCBI): domain Eukaryota; kingdom Metazoa; phylum Chordata; class Mammalia; order Primates; family Hominidae; genus Homo; species Homo sapiens. Next base: position 125,989,729 of record NC_000006.12, on the reverse strand, counting down.
TTTTTGGAAGAATAAACTGGCACAAGTGTAATACACTAAGAAGAATTTACGACGGAAAAAACAAGTAAAAATCACCAAGTACTAAGGTTGTTATTCTGGAGACCACAGTCTAACCACTCCATTGTCACTGCATTGCCTTACTTTACACAGTCACACTCCTGAGCCTCTCTAGTTCTGGTCCAGTATTCTCTAAGTGGTATCTTTTCTCTCGTACTTCAGAATGATCTTTCTAAAACACAAATGATCTTGTCACTTCCTGGCTTAAAATGAAAAACAGTCAGTGGCTACCCATTATATCTAAAAATCCAAACTCCTGGCCAGGCGCAGTGGCTCATGCCTGTAATCCCAGCATGAGGCAGTCGGATCACAAGGTCAAGAGACCGAGACTATCCTGGCCAACATGGTGAAAGCCCGTCTCTACTGAAAATACAAAAATTAGCTGGGCATGGTGGTGCAAGCCTGTACTCCCAGCTACTCGGGAGGCTGAGGCAGGTGAATCACTTGAATAGGGAGGCGGAGCTTGCAGTGAGCCGAGACCGCGCCACTGCACTCCAGCCTGGCAACAGAGCGAGACTCCGTCTCAAAAAAAAAAAAAAAAAAAAAAAGAATCCAAACTCCTTAGAATGGTGTCAAAACATTTGCAAATCTAGATCTTACCACCTCTCTGGCCTCAATGCCCACCACTTCAACCTCCCTCCCCAAGCCTTCCAAATTACCATAACCAATCACACCTCTGTGCCTTTAAGCCTGTTTCTGTTTCTCACAGAAGGGGGCTTTCCAATCCTCTTCACCAACAGAACATGTCCTTTGTCAATTAAGACTTAATTAAAAATTTATTTCCTCCAGAAACTCAAAACATTAATACTGCATCAATGCCACAATCTTCCTTCATGACTCCTAAGGCCAATGAGTTAAACACAACTGAAGAAAATCACAGAATCTTAGCATGATTACAGATATACGACTTTCACCTTCAGCTGGTTTTCAGCATTGCTCTAATACCTATGCTCTTCTCCACTCAATCGTTTTACTTTTCCTTGTCAACTCTCCCCTTTGGTCTCAATGACTATTTCAAGTTTTACTATTTGTCTCAGTTTCCCCATTCAACTGCTGGCCCATCATCTCTCAAGAAATAACTTCCACTCATTCATTACCTACAAAACAGGCCCTCAGGCAACTACTCCACACCCACCCTAACTTTCCTTGTCCAATCTCCCCTCCTACTGAAAAGAGAACCCCTCCCACCATGCCCTTGTATCCCTTCTCTTCCCATCAGCCTACAAATACACTCAAGCTCAATCTCATTCTCTCCATGGGGAGAATCCTCCTTTCACCCTAGGTCCTCTTCAAACTGTTAACCAATTTCTTACTTTCCCTTATGCTCTAGCTAAGGACACTCAGTCTATCCTATCTCCCCTTCCTCACTTTCCAGTGATTACTAAACCAAGCCACCTGGCTTCTCCTACTAAAACTCAACATATTCGCTTTAGCAAAAATCACCAATTAATTATCTTCTAATTGAGACTATCAATGACACTTTTTCATTCTTTTCTCACTAAAAAGCAACTGCATTCGACATTTATCCATTTGTCCCTGCTTCCTAAAACTTTACCCTTCTGATTTCTGCGGTCTCACATCCTTCTGGCACTTGCCCATCTTCTTCATGGCCTCCTCCGACTTTCCCTTAATATCAATGCTTCCAAGCATCTATACTTGGCCCGCTACTCTTTTGACCTTATCCTTTGAGTAATTTCTTCCCCGCTCCTAGTTTTCATATGAAGAAGACTCCCAAATATTTATCACTAGTCCAGATCACTCTGCCATACTCTATGCATATTCATATATCCACCGCCTCTTGGTCATCTCAGGTTGATGTTACACAACCACATCAAATTCAGTGTAAACAAAATTTAAATCTTACATCTGCCTATGTTCTCTATTTTAAATGGAGACACTCCTACCTATATACACCCCAGGAGTCATACCTGACTGGTGCCCCTTTCCCACATATTCAATCAATCCAGCCTTAATGACTGTATGGCCTAAATATTTTCCCAGTCTATCCCATCCTCTTACTCCTTGCCCTAGGTCAGACCTTCTTAATCTATTAACAAGACTATTCCCACAGACTCCTAGTCTCTGGCTCAAGTCTTATTCTTTTCAAATCCATCCTCCATAGTGTTGTCAAACTGATTTAATTTTGTGGTCACTTTTTTACTTAAGGCTTTTCAATAAATCCCCCTTCCAAGCTCCAGGGTACTCAAGGTTTTCATTTTCTGGCCTCGATCTACTTCCCTTGCTCTCTTCTTACCACTCTGCCACATAACTAGTGATCCAGTAATAATGAACACCTTGTAATTCTAATTTACTGATTTATCTCCTTGGCCCTCTAACTCCTATTCATCCTTTATTTCAAGTGTCATCTCCTCTGGAAGCCCTCTTAAAGGCCAACATCCCCAACCCCTCAGGTAGATTAGATTTCCCTTCCACGTGCTCTCATATTTCCATGTGCATCTATCACTGCACTTACCGACGCTCTTTTGTCATTCTACGCCTATGTGTCTGCTCAGCCCTTACTCTAAACAGTAAGCTCCTAGAGGGCAGAGATTGCTTACATCATCGTTACATGCCCAGCGTACCGATCTTCGACTACATGCATTCTGAAAACGTTTCTTGAATAAATAAAACACTCTTCTCAACTTCTCCATCATCTAATCCCCACCACCATCCCCTCCACTGAGCTTGATCCGCAGATTCCAATACTTCAAACACCAGCCTGAGCATTTGTTAGCTGTCTCTATTCTCCGCTAGACGAAGAGCTCCGGGAGTGAGATGACCGGTCATATTCACCTGCCTAACTCCGGTACTTGATACACGGGCAAAAGAATGAAAAGTTTAAGCAGGCCGAGGGGTTTGGTCTCGGACTTCTCTCACACACACCCTCCGCCAAGCTCACCCCGCCCGAGGACTGGGGACGCGTGACCCGCGCAGACCAGCGAAGACCCCCGAATCCCAGCTTCCTCGGGCTATGCAGATCACCTCCACCCACTCCACTCCACTCCAGCGTCCTCTTCCGTCGGAAGTTCCGGAGGGCGCTACGGACTCACCGGCAGGCGGAACTCCAGATGCTCCTGCGCCATGAGGAGCAGATACCTGTTAAGGGTACACGACAGCGCCATTGCAGCTGCCCACCGTGCGCCTGCGCGGCCCGCGCTAGGTCCCTCTTTCTCCCTCCCAAAGCCCAGTCTCCACAGAGACAGAGCCTGAAGGGCCGGAAGCGGAAGCTCTGCGAGGCAGGCGCTATCCCGACGTTTCTCGCGCTCCGAGTCCGAAACTCCGGCCGCTGTGGGAGGGGCTTCCTCACCTGTGAATGCCTGGTGGTTAGGGGTCTCCCAGCGCTGGTAGCTGGTGAGCGGGGACGCGTGGCTTTCAGGAGCAGCCTGTGATAATAAGACAGTATATTTCCAAGTTATCGTTCCACTTGGAGTGTGCTTCCAGCTTTCTCTACAGCCCTTCAAAACCTGTTCTTCAAAATTGGACTGAAATTTCACCATTTCCTTGGAAATTTCACCATTTCCTTGTAGGTTTGTCTAACCAGCACAGCTTTGGGAACTGATTTAGTTGGGCCAGTCATTTAACAGTATATTTTTCGTATTTATGTAACAACTTTTCGAGAGCACATGCCTTATAACCCAATTATAATAAACTCTTGAGGTCTGATATAATCTTTTATGGTTCACTCTATTCTTAACAAAAACCAAAAGAATATCTTCCTCAAAGTAGGCAATAATTATTAGGTTGTGTTATTTGTTAGACTCAGGACTAAATCCACAGCCAGCCATAAATTAAAACTTGGAGAAAGCTCACACTGGCACAGATTTCATAGCAGATAGTTTATGAAATATATTTTAATTGCATATTCTATGTATATATGTGACTTTTTTTTTTTAAGACAATCTTGCTCTGTCACCCAGGTGAGTGCAGTGGCGCAATCATAGCTCACTGTAACCTTGAACTCCTGGTCTCAGGGGATACTCCTACCCTAGTCTCCCAAAGTGCTAGAATTACGGGCTCAAGCCCTCCCTCTGGGCTATTTCTGCTTTTGAGAGTACCGAGCCCTTTGCCCTATTAAAAATTATTTATTTTGCATTTCTCTGTGGTATTGTACAAGGTGCAAAAGAGTATGTATCTGGCATATCCCCAGCGGCATGTGCCAGAAACGTAGTTGATGCGCAGTGGTAGTGATTAAGAACATAGGCTGTGGTGTCAATATTAGATTCAAACCTCACTTCCACCATTTACCATGTATATGCTCTTAACCTCTCCGAGCTTGAGTTTTCTTTTAAAAATGGAAAAACACACTGCCTCCTGCAAAGGATTGTTACAAGGATTAAGTGGAATAATGTTCATAAAGTGTTGAATATAACATCTGGCATATTGAATGGGGCCAATAAGTGGCACTTGACATTTTTCTTAAGAAAATCACATGAGAATTTTTGTTAGCAAGAGATCTGTTTTTGTTAGGAATATGTCTCAAGTTCACTTGTGCTAAGTGACTCTGAGAAGCATAGCTGTCTCTTGACCCCAAAACTTCAGAAAAGGGGGTAAAAGTACTTTGAGACAAGAAAAGTTGTTTACTATTTGAGAAGAGAGGCCAAGGTTGGGACAGAAAACCAATGAGATGTTGGGGAAATGATGTGCAGTACTTGATATGCCCCATCCCCAGAACTTGTCAAATCTTCAGCAAAATTAATATGGAATTTTGATGGGGCAACTTTATAGAGAATATCAAAGAATTGCTGATTTTCATGCCTGGATTAATATGATGCTATATAGAGACAAATGAGACTACAAGGCCTGGAGAACCCAAATGGAATCAGGTGTCACTGATTTTTCACCCAGCTCCTTTGTGCTACAGTTCAGGACTAAATCTATACTAAATCTCCACCTCAGAAACCAGCAGGAGAGTATTTACATCATGAATCTAAATTGTTGGATACCTGGTCTGGAGAAGTAGAGATTAACCTTGCACAGGCCACTAGAGTTAGTGTGGAACTACTGTGACATCAGTGAAACTGCCTTTGAGGGACTCACAGCCAGACCTGTTCAAAGTTCTTGAGCTTACAAGAGTGGTTAAGAAGCAGCAGGAGAATAAGGACTTTGGAATTTGGTGATCAAACTGCATCCAGAGACTTGCTTTTTTTTTTTTTTTTTTTTTTTTTGTACTGTAAGGAGCAAGGAGGTTCATAGTCTGGCTTCTGGGAACTGATCCAAAGTTCCATCCATGTTCCATCTTCTAGGGCAGACCTCTTAGAACCTGTCTCCTTCTGTGAGACAGCTGTTGTGCAAACGTTAAAGCCTCTGGTATAGGCCGCCTGTTACTAAAAAATCAGAGGACATTCCTGGGAAGTAAGGATCAGAAATTGGAAAGGGGAATTTTGAGTTTTGGTTTTAATATGCCACTTAAGTATTGAGGCTAGTAGGACACACTCAGAGAAATGAATAGAAAGTTAACAGGTCCCAGCAGCAGAGGTCACATGTAATATCAAAACTGCCCATGCATCTATCTCAGGCTGAACATCTAACACTTGAAAAGGGTCTAGGTATCACAGAGAACCATAGGGATTTGTACACCAATAAGAGGGAGAAAAGTTATCTTCATATGTATTAAGACTATGATTTTTGCAATTAGTAAAAAGAGGCTTCTGAATAGTTTTGAGAATAAAATTTTATTGGAATAAGTTATATAAGAATTGCACAAACTTTACTGCAGCAGAGCATTACTGAGGTTTGAATTTCTTGATGTCCCAGAGGGGTCTCCCCTCTTGTCAATCTTAATGAAAATAATTTAGGAAAAGAGAGAAATAATACTGCCTACTCTAAGGAAACAAGCCTGTATGAGTTGGAATTCTGAGGCACCAATTCAGACTTAAGCAGCTGGAGTTGATTTAAGTATGACTCAGCTACTTGAGGTCAAATTTCCAACAAGATCCCCAGAAGCAGAGAAATGTAGATCCCATCCTCTTTTCTAAAGACTCCCCAAAACAAACTTGAAGCCCTAGTTACAAACGATGCCCTCTAATTTGCTACCTGGAAAGCAGGTTCTATGCATAGAAAAATATGTGCAGGGAAACAGGCTGGAGACCCAGTAAGTCTTTGAATGGGATGCCATTTATTACTTCCCTTGGCAGAACTTGTGAACCAGAGGTAACAAAGATTACAGTACATTTGCCTCATTTGAGCCACGTCTTTTGTCCTCCTTTCCTTCCTTAAATCAGAAGCAATCATGATTTCTAAACAAAGAAAAGCTTCTGGCAAGTCATTTAAAGTAGGTATGCCTGTCATCTTCTACACGCTTGTTAAATCACACAGATTCTTGTTTAACCACAACTCCCAGTAATCCTCATCTCTTGCTCCTATTTGCTTCCCATGAGTAGGAAAATTATTATATATCGTATAGTCAGTCTCAGGTCCCATAAAAGAGATTTTCTTGAGAGTCTACCATAACAAGGCCCAAAGGGGAATTGTACTTAATCCTATAGGGCACAGGTTCTCAAACTTGGCTGCACATTGTAATTACCTGAGGAGTTTTTTAAAAATACCGAGGCCTGGAATCTATCCCCTGTGATTCAAATTTTATTTGGCTGGTGTATGGCCTTGACGTAAAGATTTTTAAAAGTTCCCCAGTTGTTGATTTTATGTGCAGCCAAATTTAAGCACTACTTATGGCAGGAGTTGTCAAAGTGTGGTCCTAGGTCAGGCAGTATCAATATCACCTGGAAGCCATTTAGAAATACAGAATCCTCCCCGACTCCCAGACCTGCTGAATCAGAAATTCTGGGAGTAGGTCTAGGAGTGTGTTTTAAAGAAGCCCACCAAGTGGTTCTGAAGCACATGAAAGTTAAAGAGTAACTGCCTGAGGAAAAGGAGGATGGATGGACGGGCTGTGAATCCCAGGAGGCTCAGGTACCACAGATAAATAGCATGTTTTATTGTCTTCTAACTGCCTTTGAGGAGTGAATTTATGGGATAAATTTGCAAAGTGTTTCAAATATTTTTCTCAGAGGAAGATGTAACAAGAAGAAAATCTTCTTCTTTTACTAGCTAGATTGATAATCTTTTTGTTGTTGTTGTTGTTGTTGTTTGAGATGGAGTCTCGTTCCATCGCCAGGCTGGAGTGCAGTGGCGCAATCTCGGCTCACGACAACCTCCGCCTTCTGGGTTCAAGCGATTTTCCCGCCTCAGTCTCCTGAGTAGCTGGGACTACAGGCGGCCACCACCATGCCCGGCTAATTTTTTGTATTTTTAGTAGAGACGGGGTTTCACCATGTTGGCCAGGATGGTCTCGATCTCTTGACCTCCTGATCCACCCACCTCAGCATCCCAAAGTGCTGGGATTACAAGCGTGAGCCACCGCACCCAGCCAATAACTAATCTTGAGAGAATCTCTTTAGCTGAGAAAATATCTAGAATAATCCTACTTAAGTTAGGTGATTTCCTATGGGTTAGGTATGTTGGCTAGAACTAGGGCTTCAGAGAAAGTTAAAACATGTCTAATGAGAAAGTAAGAGAAATGTGTTCCAAAAGCAAGGAGTGAAGTAGAGGAAGACAGCAAGGAAGACGGCAGGAGCTATACAGCCCTGTAAAAGTTTGGCTATTAAATTCTTGAACTATCTAGTGTGGGTGAATTGTTTGGAAACTCAGACATTTCACAACTAAGTTATATATTGATCATGGATACTGACCTGAAGGACATAATGCCAGGAAGGTGCAGCTGACATCTAGGTTATACCCTTGATTTTTGGATTGAAAGTTGCCTGCAATCAGGGTCTTCAATCAGATTTTGGTCTATTATGGTAACATTTTAAGGAACTCAAGAGATTACAACAGATTTACTTACCAGGAATATGAGTCAGTCACTAGGCTAAGGCAATGGAGATGCAAAGACAAATTTAAAAATAAATCCCCCAGCCACAAAACAGCTCAAAATCCAGTGGCAAGAAATATCTTACTACATCTTGGCTAGATTGTATAAGGTTTATTCTAGGAAGATAAACAAAATACCATGAAATGAAGCTGAAGAAACAATACTGCCGAGGTTGGGGATGAGAAGTTTCAGTGAAGACTTCATGGATTAGGAAACATTTGAACCTGGACTTTAATGGAAACAGATTTTCAAAGGTGTGCCCAGTTTAGTTGTAGTAGTAAAAATGGCTAGTACTTTGGTATAAGAGCAGGAAACAAAGCTGAAAAGGCTGATAAATTATCTTCAGGGTAAATGGCGAGATTTTCATAAGAAAATTGCATGATCAATTTAGTAATTTAGTCAGTAATTTAGGAAGAACTCTGATGAGGCTATGTTAGAAAGGGAGCATCTGGGGGCATGAAATCCAGTCAAGAGTTTCTAGCAACATTCAAGGAAAGAGAGAATGAGTATCTGCAAAGGCAGAGACACTGGGCACTGAAAAGAATGAACTGATTTCTGTTTCAGGTCCCTTCAAGGGGACAACCCGGTGCCAAAACTTTTTGTGTGTATCTGAGGGCAGTGTTTAGGATCTGTGGGTCTGACAGAACACTCAAGCATACATGTTCTGTTTGTTCAATGTGTAAATGTGTTGAGAGGAGACAGTAGGGTGGGAAAGGACAAAAGCAGGGGGATAGTGAGGAAGCTACTCCTGCAATCTAGATAAAAGATGATGATAACTTGGCCAAGGTGATAGCACTGATGGGAAGTGGTCAAATTCTGAATATATTTGGAAGGTACTGCCAACAAGGTTAATAGGTTAGATATGAAGTGTGAGAGACAGGACTCAAGCATGACTCCAAGATTTTCACCCTGAGCAATGGAAAGATTGGAGTTGCCATTAATGAAGATGGGGAAAACTAAAAGGAACAGGCTGGGAAGGAGGAACATTTTAAGCTTGAGATGTCTATTTCATAGGAATAGAAAATATTATACTTAAAAGATATTTGGCTTAAGGATTGGTTTAATTAATGCATGATTGTTCATTGTGAATCTGTCTCTACTTCTGTGATTTTAAATAACTAATCATGTAATGAGGATCTCATTCTCCTCAATCAGAATTGGACTTAGACATTTTCATTAAGTTGATTTCAGCTGAGTCAGATCTGTTGTTTGTATTTATATTGCAAGGATAAGAGCTGATTCATAAATAGGTGAATCAACAAGTATTAGTTTCATTTTAGTGACTTGGAGTACTTGTACCTAGTACATACTAAAAAATTAATCAAAGTTGTGGGCACCAGCTTTTGTAAATGACTTTTTCATATCAAAATCTAGAAGTATGTAAGTTATAAGTGTTACAATAATAAAGGCTGTGCTCTTAACCTTGGATTCTTTATATGAAAGAGGTGTGTTTACATCACTACAGTATACCTTTCATACACTGATCAGCCAATTTATAAAACATCTTTCATTTGAATTTCTGTTTTTAATACTACTTAAAAAGTCCAGACAGGCAAAATTTGACAGTATTTTTCCATTTTTATTTCATTTTCTTCTAGCAGTTTGAAATAGCTCATTAAACAGTTCCACAAATAGTATCACAACATGCATAAACAATGCTCTTGATACCACTTCAAACATTTTTAAGACAGGTTATGAATTAGCCTTGTTTTGAACTAGTGTTATAGATGGCTAGGGAGTTACCAAATATTTAGACTACTGAAAAGGCTAAATGGATATTAATTGTAGTAATTTGATTATTAATCTTTATAAGTAAATAAGAACCTCTACTAAAAGATGTGTTTCCAAGGGTTTTTAACAAATAGGTTGTCTACGGCCATACCACCCTGAACGCGCCCGATCTCGTCTGATCTCGGAAACAAATAGGTTTACATGAGAGCATATAAACCTATAAAAGTTGAATCAATTGGCTAACCACATTTTTGAAGAGGTCCATAAGGCATCTGAGAATTCCTTAAATACTTTACCTATTATTGTTTTTTTTTCTTTGAGACAAAGTCTCACTCTGTCACCCAGGCTGGAGTGCAGTGGCACGATCTCGGCTCACTGCGACCTCCGCCTCCCGAGTTCAAGCAATTCTCTTGCCTCAGCCTCCCCAGTAGCTGGGACTACAGGCATGCGCCACCATACCCGGCTAATTTTTGTATTTTTTTAGAAGAGACGGGGTTTCACCATATTGGCCAGGCTGGTCTCGAACTCCTGACCTTGTGATCCACCCACCTCGGCCTCCCAAAGTGCTAGGATTACAGGCGTGAGCCACCACACCCGGCCTACTTTACCTATTATTGTTAAATAATGTTGTCAATTATATCACTGCAAGTTCCCACAGTAAAACAATCAAAGATTGCAGTTGTTGAAAATTCCTTCCCTGAAGCTAGTCATATTCTAACTGATTTATGGAAACTTGTAACTGTTAATCTATGTAAGTGCTCAGTGAACTATATCATAAAACAGTGATAAAAAAATCTCTCTAAATCTACTTTTGAGAGCCCATAACCCCTACTTCCACATCCTTTCTCCACCTTCAGTAAATAAGATGAAATCTGAACTTCATATCCATTGTAAAGTAAATAATAGTGGAAGCAGAACTCAACGAAAATACTTGTAAGTTTCTCAGCCTAACCAGTCACTGTCTACCTGCCTAACATTCAGTCTTGAATACTCAGTTCTACTACCACCCACTCTCAGAAGTGTTTATCCCTTCACAGCCTCTTCTGGCTGTGAAGGCATCAGGGAACTTAACGCACTAAATTCTAATCACTGATTTTGTTTGACCCCTGTACTAGCAATTGCAGTCTGAATGTCCATTTTTAGTTCTTTATTTCCTGATCCTGGCAATATCTGGTACACATTAAATGTTCAACAAATGTTTGCTGAATGAATAAATTAATGAACAAATAAAACTATTGATTCCACATGTTGTAACTTTGTAATAAGTAATTTGTTACTTAAAACTATCTTTAATATCATGCCCCCTCTAAAAAAGAAAGAAAACTAGTATCTCAGCCTATTTTCAACAGTTCGTTAATCCTCATGTTCATTTATTCATATTCATTTACATGGTACTAATATACACTGGCACAATGTAGGATTAACTTGCAGCACCTACTCTTCATTCATATTCACTATTGTGCCTATAGATTAGCACCAAAAAACCAATTTCTAACAAAATATACCTATGAAATATCAATAGTATTAACATTGCGTTATCAATTTTTCTCATCTAAGCCTATCTCTACCTTCAAATCAGGCCCTTTTCATGATAAAAGCAAAGTTTAACCTCTGATTTCTCTTTGATACAAAAACATGCCATAAAGCAACATTTTCTGCTAGTTTTATTAAGAGAACCACTTTATGTTTCTTCCCCCTTTATGTTATTAGAGGCAAAATTCCATTACAGTGAATTCTGATAGCCAATTTGATAGTTATTGTAAATTCATTGATATAAATTATATATATTATATAGCTTTCAGGATAGATTTATTAAAAAGATGCAATGCTTCAAAAAGTGAAAACTGGCATCTGAAATTTGAGGAAAAAGTGGCACATATATAATTCCTTCCCTCAGCAAAATCAGAGATCATTGTGTAGTATGGTATTCTTTATTTTGAAAATTTATGTGTATAACTATAGAACTGTCAAGAAATAGCTATTTTTCTCCTTCACAGTAATAAAGGTTCCCACAAAGTACTTTCTATAGTAGTTTATTCTTCATAAATAAATCACTATTATAACTGACTACTTACTGAGAAATGAAAATATTTTAACTTAAAAAAATACAGAGCCCTTGTTGATTAACAGAATTTGTCTTAAATAGGATTTTATCTATAGTATCATATATATAAAATCCTTATACAAGTAACCATTGAAACAAGTCAGTAACAAAATATTCACATAACTGTATCACAGATCTTAGGAAACAGACATTCAGAAAAGATTTAAGGCCACTAAGTAACAGCCTCTCATAAAACCCAACAAATCTTAAAATTGCAATTAGACTTAAAAGGGACCTAAATACCACTTCATGCTGAACCAAGATTAGAAAAATCTTCCACTCTTGACATTTTCATGTTCTTAGTTTTTCAATCAAGTGATCAGCCTGTAATTAAAAAACATACTTTTTAATTCTAGATATCATAGTCTCTATCAAATAATTCTACTGGTATCCCTATTATAATATGCCACATTAGAAGAGTTGAGTACTATATATTCTGTTCCTAAAAATATCTTACAAAAAAACTCAGTATAATATCTATATATAATTATTCTACATTGTATGTAAATAGGCAGATTGTTGCCTACATTGCAAATTCATTAACAAGTTTCAAGAAGAAAAGGAAAATAAATATAACACTAAAGTTTTAAAAAGTAAAATAAGACCTGAAATGCATATTACTAAGTGAAAGAAGCCAATCTGAAAAGGCTACATACTGTAGGATTCCAACCATATGACATTCTGCAAAAAGCCAAACTATGGAGACAATAAAAAGATCAGCAGTTGCCAGGAGTTAGAGGGGAAAGAGGGATGAATAGGCAGCATACAGAGGATTTTTAGAGCAGTGAAACTGTTAGGTATGATGCTATAATGGTGGATACATGTCCTTATACATTTATCAAAACCCACAGAATATAAAACCAAGAGTCAACTCAAAAGTAAACTATGGACTGTGGTGATAACAATTTATCAATGGGGTTCATTGATTGTAACAAATATACCACCGTGGTGTAGGATGTCATAGTGAGGAAACTGTACATGTGGAGGGGTAGGGGGTGCGTGGGAACTCTGTAGTTTCCACTCAATTTTGCTGTGAACTTAAATCAGCTCTAAAAAATAAAGTCTATTTTTTAAAAAGGTAAACTAAAGTCTGTGAGTTACATCATTTCAGTGTTTTTCTCAATCACACTATATAATCTGGATCATTATATAAGATTTTGAAATTAACTTCAATATCTTTATCTTGATTTTTTTCAAAGTCTCATAAGATACGCTAACAAAGTCAGATTTAAGAAGAGTTCAGATTCTCAGGATAAACCAACAACATATTTTATAAGATGTTTTCCAAGTAAAAAAGTATTTCCTATAAGAAAATACAGTCAAAACATTACAAAAATGTATTTTCATTCATCTTTTATTATAAAGGTATAGCTCTTATAGAAAATTAGAAATACAAATATAAAAAAAAAGCATTTTCTATTACACAAACTTTGCAAAAAAAAAAAAAAAACCCAAACCAGCTGTCCGGCAGAATATCCCACTTTTTAAAATTTCAAATACATACACACACACATACATATATATGTATCTTATATATTATTTAATTTTTTATTATTTTTTGAGACAAGATCTCACTCTGTCACCCAGGCTGGAGTGGAGTGGCATGATCACTCACTACAGACTCAACATCCTGGGCTCAAGCGATCCTCCTATCTCAGCCTCCCAAGTAGCTAAGACTACAGGCATGCACCACCATACCCAGCTAATTTTTGTATTTTTATATTATTTAAATGAAATCATCTGGGCAACAAGTTGAAGACAGGGATAATATGTTTGAAATATGAAGTTTCTAGAAATCAGACACTTTTTAAATTTTTCTGTACTATGACTAGAATAATACCATTCATTAACTAATGATAAATAAATACTATTGGATGATTATTCAGATATGGCAACTACAGATCACTTTGTCATCATGGACACATAAAATAACACCCTGGTAAATTAGTGGTCAATTGGCCTTAGAGGGACCCCAGAGTCACTTAATATCTAAGGGCTGACTTTCAGACCACAGGTGTATAAACAGCTGAACTCTACTCCACTTTTGCTTTGGAAAAGCAGAATGCTGTAATTTTTTAGACTCAAAACTTCAGGCCAGGCACAGTGGCTCACACCTGTAATCCCAGCACTTTGGGACACCAAGGCGGGTGGATCATGAGGTCAGGAGATAGAGACCAGCCTGGCCAACATGGTGAAACCCCATCTCTAATAAAAATACAAAAATTAGCTGGGCATGGTGGCATGCACCTGTAGTCCCAGCTACTTGGGAGGCTGAGGCAAGAGAATAGCTTGAACCCGGGAGGCGGAGGTTGCAGTGAGCCAAGATTGCACTACTGCACTCCAGCTTGGTGACAGAGTGAGACTGTCTCAAAAAAAAAAAAAACAACTCTTCAGCCACAGATCTGATAGGTGATGCTACTACTACAACTCTTTTCTAAGGAATTTGAACTATCAAAAACTACAAAAACTCAATTTCTACAATGATGTTGATGATACAATAGAGGTAGCAGGTAACATTTCCTGACACTTACTATTTGCAAGGTACTGTTTTAAGTGCTTTTCACATAAGTTACCTCATCAACTCTCTTATCAACCCTAGGTATAGGCACTGTTACCTATATGCAGGTAATAGATAAAGACCTTGAGCCTTAAAAAATGTAAGTAACTTTCACATGGACCCTCAAGCAAGCACTGCAGCCAGAATTTGAATCCAGATCTGACTCCAGAGTCAGAACTCTGAATACCATGGTTCTTCTATATCGTATCTGCTACTTGCAATGGGGAAGATTTAGCCATAGCTTCTCTTCCTACAGACTGATGATCTTCAAAATCCCCCAAATTAAAAATATTATTTTGGATATGTGCAAGCAGTATGTTAAAACAGGTAATCAAGTCTATGAGAGCTGTAAGTGCCTACTGTTGAGAAGAAAAAACTACAATGAAAAGGATATTTTAAATATTTTTGTATGCTGCTGACATAACAAGAATACTCACTGTGATAAACCAATAGGAATTGACTCTATAAACCAACTTGGATAAGAAGCCAAGCTGATCCACTGGTGCCAGAACATGAAGGTGCAAGTGGGAAATGGAACAGAATGGTGGCATATGAAAACCCATCCTAAAATAGAAAGTAAAGAGATGATTGACAAACCAGTTCTAAAATAAAGTCATTTTTCAGGTGAAAACACATAAATTTTAATGAGATCCAAAATAAGTACCTAAGGTAAATAGACTGTCACAAATCTCATTAATGTTTCTCTTTATGCACTTCAGAGGATTCACACACTTCCTCTTCTTTTCATGTTGAAGTTCGTAGTAACATAAGCTCATCATCAAGGAAGGCCTTAACAGCATATTACGCCTCAATATAATCTTTATGAATTCTGAGTTGGCATAATGTCTTATCACTTCAGTCTTTATCATCGTAAGCTTTCATTCTCTTAAAATATGCTCTTGCAATGAATTTTTAAAAACATCACTGGACACTCAAGTAGTCGTGTTCCTTTATTCAATACATAGCCAGTAGATGGCACACTTTTTCCTTTAATAAAGTACTCAGACATTTCCCACCAAACCAACAATATTTCAGTAGTGAGATTAATTATGTCATCATAAAAAACTTTCGTCATCACCCAGGTTTCTTGTTTAATACTTAAAATAAGTTAGATGATAATGATAATTATGTGCTTCCTAAAAGATACACAAGAATTCCTTTAAATGGTTACAAAGTTTTTAAAATATGATTTAAACTCTTAAAAATAAGCTTACAAAAATTTTTGCAAGTCCACCTATGCTCAGCAGAGCAACACACACCTGTAACAATAATCAAAGCCTAGAAATATTTGCCTGTTCAAGGTATCAGTGAGTGGAAGTGTGGAAAGGAGGCATAGAAGTGCTATACTGCAGCAGTGATCCTCTGGGACTAGCAATGTGGAGTCAGATATGCAGTACATACTTTAAAATTTCCACCACCACCTAGAAGAGGAGACTAGGTTTTCCTTCTGCCAAACAGTCATATAATGTAGAATCAAATAATCTAGAAGCTTGAAGCAACTCAAAGGTTCACTCAATCTTTTCATCTTAAAGATGGAGAAGCCATGATCCAGAAAGTTTAAAATATTCCCAAGGTCCCAAAGTTAGACAGTCGTGGAGCTGGAGTTGAGACTCAGGGCTCTCAATTCTTTGTCCAGTGTTCATTCTTCTAATAAGTATCCTATGACTGTGAAGGAAATGTGTGGCTTCTGGCCAAAGGGTCTCAAACACCATTTGTTCCTTGTCATTATCACACTTGGTAATACTTAACAGTTTTTGGAGGATTTTTCACACAGAGAATCTCATTTGCACCTACCAGCAGGCAGAGCAGGTATTATCTTGGAGAGGCTAAATGGCATGTCTAAACTAATACAGACAGTGTACGTAGAGTACACCACAAGTAGCATGGATGGCATTAGAATTCAAGTCTATTCTGAATTCTAGGTCAAAAGTGTTAGAAGTAATCTCCATTATACCTGCTTGGGTCACAGAAGCAAAATTGGAAACCTTTTAAAAAGAAAAACATTACTTAGACAAATTAAAACATTTGAAAAGGCCCGGCGCAGTGGCTCACGCCTGTAATCCCAGCATTTTGAGAGGCCAAGGCGGGCGGATCACTTGATGTCAGGAGTTCGAGACCAGCCTGGCCAACATAGCAAAACCCTGTCTCTACTATAAGAAATACAAAAGCTAGCCAGGCATGGTGGCATGCACACACAATCCCAGCTACGTGGAAGGCTGAGGCAGGAGAATCACTTGAACTCCGGAGGCAGAGGTTGCAGTGAGCCAAGATCGCACCACTGCACTCCAGCCTGGGGGACAGTGCAAGACTCCGTCTCAAAAAAAAAAAAAAAAAAAAAAAAAAAAGTTGAAAAATTGAACATCATGTGCTTACGCCAGAGTTCAGCAGACAACAAATTCAAGTTAATTTCACGTTAGAATTATAATCATGTGTTTTTAAATCATATAAAATTTTTCTAAGAAAATTCAACTTGCATACAGTTTTATAGGAATGCCCATATTGAACAAAGAAAAGTAGATTTGCTGGGTGTGGTGACTCACACCTGTAATCCCAGAACTTGTGTGAGGCTGAGGCAGGAGAATCACTTGAGCCCAGGAGTTTGAGACAAGCCTGGGCAACATAGGGAGACCCTGTCTCTACCTAAAAAATTTTAAAATTAGCCGGGTGTGGCAGTACTTGCCTGTGGTCCCAGCTACTCTGGAGGCTGAGGTAGAAGGATACTCAGTCTGGGAGGTTGAGGCTGCAATGAGCCATGATCACACCACTGCACTCTAGCCTGGGCAACACAGTGAGATCCTATCTCAAAAATTTTTTTTTAAAAAGTAGACTTGTAACTATTTTACCTACCCACTGCCCATATAGACTTGTCTGTCCAAACTTCAAGTGGAAATTATTGGAAGATATTGAGACACAAGAGGAAGTTTTATTACATTTATACTACCAATGAACTATATTCTCACTTTCAGGAAAACTACATTTAAACCACAAACTGCCACCTCTGTTTCCATTTTCCATGGAGAAATGACATTTTGAAAAACGTCAATAATGTATAATATTGGTTTCCATCTGGAAGTATACACACCTCACATTCGTGAAGTCAGTGAAATTATTTCTTTCAAGAATGGTTTTTCCAACAGTTACCATGTTCTCAACTGTAAAACAGAAAAGACACAACATTACACTAGAGGAGACATTAAGGTCACAAATTGCCATTGATCTTCACTCTTGTCCTATCAAATGGGTAAACATTTAAAGACACATTCAGGCCAGGCACAGTGGCTCACCCCTGTAATCCCAACACTTTGGGAGGAGGATCACTTGAGCCTAGGAGTTTGAGACCAGCCTGGGCAAAAAGGTAAGACCTCGTCTCTAAAAAACATTTTTTAAAAAGTAGCTGGGTGGCCAGGCGCAGTGGCTCATGCCTGTAATCCCAGCACTTTGGGAGGCCGAGGCAGGCGGATCACGAGGTCAGGAGATCGAGACCATCCTGGCCAACATGGTGAAACCCCCATCTCAACTAAAATACAAAAAAAATTAGCCGGGCGTGGTGGTGCACACCTGTAGTCCCAGCTACTCGGGAGGCTGAGGCAAGAGAATCACTTGAACCTGGGAGGCAGAGATTGCAGTGAGCCGAGATTGAGCCACTGCACTCCAGCCTGGTGACAGAGCAAGAGTCTGTCTCAAAAAAAAAAAAAAAAAAAAAAAAAAGGTAGCCAGGCATGGTGGTGCACACCTATAGTCCTAGCTACTCGATACGTGGAGGCAGAAGGATTTCTTGAGCCCAGGAGGTCGAGGCTGCAGTGAGCTATGATTGTGCCACTGCACTCAGGTCTAGGTAACAGAGTGAGACCCTCTCTCAAAAATAAATAAATAAAATAAAAAATAAAGACATTCAGTAGCTTTAAGTCACTGAGAAGTTTGCTTATCAACAACTGAAATAAAGTTTCAAATTGAGCCTCAGTGCAACATCACTATCACAAAATCTCACAGATAAGTAGACTTTAGGACAGCTGGCTATTTAGGACATCTGATCATATGAGGACTAACTCTCATCAAGAAGACCAAGTAATTAAACAGAAATTGTTTGATTTAATAAGACAAGAAAACTTTGAATTTGTCTTTGAGCCCAAATTAAGGATATGGTATCCCTTCCAGTCAGCCTATCCTTGACTAGCCAAAAATTTGTATAATGACTCTGGCTTCCAAATTCCATCTCCTTTATCATCTTTCTTCTCTTGGTGTTTTATGGCCTTCAGGTGGGAATAAACCTGTCCACCAAAAAAATTTTGGTCACCTGGGATCTTCAAAGCACCATGCCAAATGTTAGGCCTCCATAGTTTCTAAATGGTGTAATCATGTATTTGAAAGACGAAGAAGTAAAAACATCTACAGAGGATAGCTGATATATTGAGACTTACAAAATCATTGTTAATGTTTACTTCTTTAAGTCAGGTTTGAGCTGGGAGACTGCCAGCCTTCCAAGACTAGGTCAGTACCATAGAGTCCAAAAAAAAGCTCCAAATTACTTCAAGCCAGACTATATCTTTTTTTGGAATTTTTTCTTTTTCTAATTTAATTATACTGTCTTTAGAGAACATATTTATAAGATTTCAATCATTTGATATGTATTGAGCTGTATTTTATTGCTCGGAATATGGTCAACTTTGGTGAACATATGCTTTTTAAAAAACATGTATGCTGTATTTAAGTGGAGTTCTGTAAATGTCAATTATAGTCATATTCCTTGATAGTGTTCTTGAACTCTTCCATATGCTTATTATTTCCTCAACTTTATCAATTATATAAAAATTATTAATTTGCAACAACTTTTAGTATGGAAATATTCAAATATAACACAAAAGCAAAGAGGAAAATGTAATGGAATCCCAAATACCTACCAGCTGCTTCAAAATTAGCAATATTTGATTTGCAACATTATAAAAACTAGTTATAACAGCCTCTATTCTCCACTTCTGCTGAATATAAATTGAAAAATTCCTAAAAAGCTAAAGTGTGAAACCCAAGAAATAACTACAAGAATGAAAATAAAAACTTTTAATAAGAAAGATGAAATGTTTCAATCAGGTAAATCTAAATTGGATCTAATTGTTATAAGCTCAAATGTACAGTACAGGGTACTGTAGTTATAAATCATATATGTTCTCAAATGTACTGATAGAACTTCAAATGACTAAGGAACTTAGCTGTATTCAGAATCGACAGTTTAAAAATTGTTAGTTAATTCACTAGCCTAAATATTAATGAACTACACATCAAGGTTTTCCATTAAAGTGGTTTCTTACCTCTTAAAAATCTAGCCCAATTGATCTATCATGTAGGCTACCTTAAAATATTGATCAAACTAATCCCAGAACCTCATGACAAAGCCTTTCCAGATTTCAGAAGTCCTAGCCAGAGCAATCAGGCAAGAGAAAGAAATAAAAGGCATCCAAATAGGAAAAGGAGTCAAACTATCTCTCTTCACCAACAATCTGAGTCCATACCTAGAAAACCCTGAAGACTCCACCAACAGGATCCTGGAACTGATAAACTACTTTAGTAAAGTTTCGGGATACAAATTCAATGTACAAAAATCAGTAGCATTTCCAAACACAACACTCAAACTGACAGTCTAAATCAAGAACACAATCCCATTTACAATAGCCACACACACACAAAAATACGTAGGAATACAGCTAGTCAAGGAGGTGAAAGATCTCTACGAGGAGAACTATAAAATGCTGCTGAAAGAAATCATAGATGATACAAACAAATGAAAAAACATTCTATGCTCGTGGACTGGAAGAATCAATATTGTTAAAAAGGCCATACTGCCCAAAGTAATCTATGGATTCAACACTACCAACATCATTTTTCACACAACTAGAGAAAACTATCCTAAAATTCATATGAAACCAAAAAACCCAAGTAGCCAAGACAATCCTAAGCAAAAAGAACAATGCTAGAGGCATCACGTTACCCAACTTCAAACTATACTATAAGTCTATATAACCAAAACAGCATGATAGTGGTACAAAAACAGACACACAGACCAACAGAACATAACAGAAAACCCAGAAATAAAGCCACATACCTGCAGCCATCTGATCTTCAACAAAGTTGACAAATATAAGAAATGGGAAAATACGCCATATTCAGTTAAATGGTGTTGAGATAGCTGGTTATCTATATGGAGAAGAATAAAACTGGACCCCTACCTTTCACCATATACAAATATTAACACAAGATGGATTAAAGATTTAAATGTAGGACCTCAAACTATAAGAATCCTAGAGGAAACCCTAGGAAACACCATTCTGGACATCAGCCTTGGGAAACAATTTATGACTAAGTCCTCAAGAGCAACGCAATAAAAACACAAATTGACAAGTAGGACCAAATTAAAGAGCCTCTGCACAGCAAAAGAAACTATCAACAGAGTAAATGGATAACCTACAGAATGGGAAAAAGTATTTGCAAACTATGCATCTGACAAAGGTGCAATATCCCGGATCTGTAAATAAATTATTAAACAATTAAACAACCAAAAATCACCATGAAACAATGGGCAAAAGACATAAACGGACACTTCTCAAAAGAAGACATACAAGAGGACAAAAAAATATGAAAAAAATGCTCCACATCACTAATCATCAGGAAATGCAAATCAAACCCACAATAAGATACTATTTCAACACCAATCAGAATGGCTATTTTTAAAAAGTAAAAAAATAACAGATGCTGGTAAGGCAGAAGAGAAAACATAACACTTACATGCTGTTGATGAGAATGTAAATTAGTTCAGCCACTGTGGAAAGCAGTTTGGAGATTTCTCAAAAAAATTAAAATAGAACTACCATTCGACCCAGCAATCCCATTACTGAGTATATATCCAAAAGAAAACAAATTATCCTACCAAAAAGACACATGCACTTGTATGTGAGTCACAGCACTATTCACAACAGCAAAGGCATGGAATCAACCTAGGTGCCCATCAGCAGTAGACTAGATAAAGAAGATGTGGTACATATATACCATGTAATACTATGCAGCTATAAAAAAGAATGAAGTCATCTCCTTTGCAGCAGCATGGATGCAGCTGGTGGCGATTATTCTAAATGAATTACACAGGAACAGAAAACCAAACACTCTGTGTTCCCACTTATAAGGAGAGGGTAAACACTGGGTACTCATGGACAAAAAGATGGCAACAATAGACACTGGGGACAACTAAAAGTGGGAGAGAGAAATGGGGGCAAGAGGTGAAAACCTAACTGTTGGGTACTATGCTCACTACCTGGGTCACAGATCATTTGTATCCCAAACCTCAGCACCACACAATATACCCACGTAATAAACCTGCTCATGTACCATCAAATCTAAAATAAAAGTTTTATCTAAATCTTCAAATCTAAACCGTCAAATCTAAAATAAAAAATTATCTTTTTTAAAGGCAGATTTGAAGTAAGCTTAGAAATGTCTTAGAAAATGATAGGTGACAAGCCACAGAAGGCATGAGTAGGAAAATGAGCAATCATCCTTAATAGACAAGATTCAGAATCTCCTTTTCAGAAGCTAGAAGTTCATCACTAAAAACTCATAATTAAATTTTGGTGCTAATTCATCTTCACAGGATACTATAAGGCAGGTACCAACATGATCTCACCATAAGGCAATATGAGCTCATTTGTCATATCGTAACTTGTTTGTTTATAATTTTTCATAGCACCTTTCATTTCAGAGTCAAGAAAGTCCATCATTTAAAAAGTCATAGAAATAGGCCAGGCACGGTGGCTCACACCTGTAATCCCAGCACTTTGGGAGGCCTAGGTGGGTGGATCACCTGAGGTCAGGAGTTCAAGACCAGCCTGGCCAACATGGTGAAACTCCGTCTCTACTAAAAATACAAAAATTAGCCAGACATTGTGGCGCATGCCTGTAAACCCAGCTACTTGGAAGGCTGAGGCAGGAGAATTACTTGAACCTAGGAGGCAGAGGCCGCAGTGAGCCGAGATTGCACCACCGCACTCCAGCCTGGGTGACTGAACAAGATTCTGTCTCAAAAAAAAAAAAAAAAAAAAAAAGTCATAAAAATATATTATCTTTTGGACAGTTTAAATGTTAAATAGCATGATGTCTGGTTTATGCTTCACAATCACTGTGGGAAAAGGTTAATGTATTTTTTAAAATTGTCCATGAGTTCCTAAATGTGGAGGCTGCATAATGAATACACGAGTATTATACTATTTTTTAATGAATTTAAAATTCTTTATAGTGAAAATTTCAAAAAGTCATAATGCTCCTTTTTCACAGTACTTAACTAGACTTTTTCTTTTTAATCTTCACTGCCATCACTGATACCAACTGAAAATGATATAAACATGAAGAATACTGCCATCATCTTACCCAGTTCTACTTGATCTTTCCTTAGAGTTCTGCAGTTTCCAATATGCTTCTTTGGCACCACAAGATAATGATGAGTTGCTGCTGGTTTGATATCTTTGAAGCAAATTAGGTCCTCATTCTAAAGGAAAAAACATTTGTTAGTGAATTTTTAAAAAGAATTTCTTAATGCTGTTCTGGCATGACTTAAATATCATTAATCTCAGTCTGACAGGGAAATGATACTTATGTTACACCTAACCCCCACTGGGCAATTTTATAATTACGCATTAAGTTCATAACACTTCCTTCATGAGATGCTTATTGATTCCAGAGAATAAAAAAGACACATAAAATCAATTTTGGGGAAACAATTATGAGTAAAGTTCACTAAAATTTCATTACCAATAATCTCAGAGTTTATTATTTCATTACACATTTCTCTATCCCTACCCTAAAGTTTTTTACCTTGACACATATTTTTAAAGGTTTGGCTACAGAATCACAACAAGATAGATAAATTCCTTTCTACATTTAATTTTTTTCCCAACGTAGCATTTTCCTCAATTATAAAAAGAACACCAGCTAGCATTTACATGTCCAGGGATTGCATTTTTTAAACACTTTTTAAAGCAATTATATCCAAAGACTTTTTTACTTGCCACTTTACAGTATTAAAAAGACTGAAATGCTGAAACAAATTCCAGTATATTGTACTAATTTATGGGACCACTACACTACATGTATGGCATCAGTTTTCTGGTTTACATTACCCCACACAGTAATCTACAGAAAAAAGAAAAGGAAAGGAAGAGCGTGTTTCAACCTATTAACATTTGAATTTCGAACTTTCCTAAAAGAAAATTTATATTCACTAAATAACCATATTAAATATCTGATAGTGAATATCTTATTCAGTATCTTATACTGATTTTAATTTTTACTTTACATTAAATAAAAATTAATTAAAATCAGTGTAAGCAGAGTTTCCCTTAGAAAAAATCCATGAATGCAATGCTGCTCAATAGTTCTCTGTTCCAAGAGCCAAAATTCAATTCAAACAAGTGCGTCATATCCATTCCAGTAATCCTGGTTATCCTAAGATAACAAACATGATAATTATATATCAATTTTAATCCATTTCTATCATTTTTATTATGGTTTTTCTGTCTAGTATTAAAATTAAAAATTGATATCCATGGAATGTTTTAGAAAAGGATAAGGTCAAGGACTACACTGTTTTTTATTGTTTAAAATTTTCCTTTTTTCCTTTCTTTCAGACAGGGTCTCTCTCTGTAGCCCAGGCTGGAATGCAGTGGCACAATAATGGCTCACTGCAGCCTCGATCTCCTGAGCTCAGTTGATCCTCCCACCTCAGCCTCCCAAGTAGCTGGGATGCACATCACCATGCCAGGCTATATATATATATTTGTAGAGATGGAGTCTCCCTATGTTATCCAGGCAGGTCTCAAACTCCTGGACTCAAGCGATCCTCCTGCCTCAGTCTCCCAAAGTGCTGGGATTACCATTATTTCTTTAATACTTCCAGCTCAGAAACAATTAAAATTGGGGGTTAAATCTAGTACAAGAAAATTGCCACAATCCTACTTCCCAGATTGATTCATAACACAATAATGTTATATATCTTTATTTCCCCTCAATTACGGCATTAATTTTTTAAAATCCAGAGGTAATTCTGGTACAGAATACAACCTGGTTAGTTTGAGATGATGTAGCTGTACTCTACCTCACAGCAGGAATGACACTTCTTTAGATTAACAGAACTAGCAAGTGCCAGTCTAATGGCTAGCAGGAGAAAAGCTAAAGCGGTTCCTAAAAATCTGCTGTCTCATACTGCATAACTTAGCGATAAGAATGAACCAAAATGCTTAGTTTTGTCTTCCAACCTCTATATTGAAAGGTTTTGGTTACTAACTCTCATATATCAATAATTTATTTTCCCAATCTTAATTAATTACACAATCCCAATCCTAATAAAAACTACCAATCAACATGACTCTTATCACCAGGAATAGATAAAATTCCTCTCAAAAATATAGAAACTTGATGTTTTAGTTAGCCTACACCCTGACTAAATTAGATTTCCATGAAGCTTTCTGAAATATTGAAACTAGCTCTGATGTCACCCTTTGTCCCATTCCTACTGCTGATCCAGGCATCATTTACATGGTTCATCTTAAGAAAAATGATCCTCCTATTCCATAGATACGCTGGCAAAAATATGAAATGATTGTGTGTGTGTGTGTGTGTGTGTGTGTGTGTGTGTGTGTATAAAACTATTCTTTGCAGCATTATTCATGATAGCAAAAGACTGAAAAATAAACCAAACATTCATAATGCAGCTGGGCGACTGGTTTAATAAATTATGGCAAATCCACACAATGGAGTATTGTGTGGCTCTAAAAAGGAATGAGGAAGATCTTCATATACATACGAAATTATTTCTAAGATATATTCAAGTTTTTTTAAAAAACAGCAAGGAGCAGGAGAGTGGTTAAGCTATCTTTTGTGTGTAAGAAAGAAGAATACAAATACAGACATGTGAATACCTATTTACTCACAATGGAAGGATAAACAAAAAAGTTTTTAAAAGTTTCTTATGGAGAAAGAGACATGGTAGAGATGACAAGAGAATGGATGCTAGATTTCTCCAAATGTACCTTGCTTTACAATTTTGACTCTGAAAACATGTAAATATTTAACATGTATACATCACACTTCACAAGAAAAAAAAGCAATCCCTAAAAATAAAAAACAAACAATAAACCTAACTGGATGTCATGTTGGTAGCATAATCATTCCATTCAAAGAAGAGAATGATTTCAAGTGACTTAAAGATACAGTATTTTGCCTATCCATCCCTAATGACATCCACTAAAGAGCATTTTCATTCCTGCACTGAATTTGGATCACAGGGAAGCTCCTCAAGTGTGGGGCATGCCATATTCATCTTTGAACTCCAAGTGAATAACAAAGTACGCCTGCCAAACTGCTGAATAAATAAATGACAGATGCTTCATAGAAGATAAAGTTACTGATACACCCTTCTCTACCCCTTAAAAAATGGTGTGTCATTTGGGTTTTCAGGTATTTTTCCAGGAACAGAGATGGATTTTCTACGATCTTTCAGTTTCTCCTTGCAAAACCCCTTCTTAAATTGGAATTGTGGCCATTTTTGAATTAGATCAGTGTGTCTCAACCTTTTCTCATTAACACCTCCCTAAGGAGACTTTATAGATGTTTTCTGATTGCCCCCTCCCATGATGTTTTAATGGCACAGATACAATGTATATATGTTTATGTTCTGTATGGTATACCTATGCTTTACATATAAAAAGAATAAAAATTGTTTTTCTCCTGCCACCTCTGCTCTGCCCCAGGGAAGAACCAACTTTTATCCTTTTGGAAATGCATGGATTAGAGGAAGAGCTAGCCTATCCTGACTTCATTATCACCACTGACTCTAATAAACAATTTAAATACAACGAATAACTGTTTCAGATTTCTTTAAATCTGAAAACCCAAATAGGGCAGACTGGCACTCAACCTCCATTCTAAATATTTCTGTGCTTTCTGTAATGCAGAACTAAAAAAGCTAAAAATCCCAGAGGGAATTTAGATCTTGCCAATCAAAAAGCCATGTTTTTGCTGCTTCTGTTATCATCCATCTAGCAAACTTGGCCAGCTTTAAGACTACAAAGACAGGTTTTCTTTATCTTTCTCCCCCTCCCCCTTTTGAATACCTTATCACTAGCTTCACGGATGTCAAGAATGGCAAGACATCTATTTTTTGTTGGGAAAAAGCTGCCAGCGTGGACCCAGCAGATGGAGTGTGGCTCTGAAGCAGTGTTTCTCAACCAGAGGTGGAAATACATAGACGCCCTTTTGATCACGCATACTGCTAAAATTTGGTGCGCCGAGATCGGGGATGCTAACCATCTTCCAACAGGGGACAACGTTCAAGTTAAATTGGCACTGAGTTATTTCCTCAGTATAGTTCCAAGCAAGGTAAATTCTAGTCCAGTGTTACTCAATTACTTTTTCATTATTTTTTATCTAATGAGCCTTTTAAGACTTTTTTTTCTTCTAATCCCATCTCCATGAGATTTTAATACCACAGCTACACTCTCTGTTTATGTATATCTGTGCCTCATACATGAAAAAGTAAGATATTGCCCCACCACCACCAAGAACCAATTTTCACCCCTTTGGGAGTGTCATCTGCCCCATTAAGAATGCATGGTTCAGCCTTTGCTTAGTTTTAAATCTGCAGTATACAATTAGACAACACCATATGGAGGTTTATGGAGTGAAGAATCTTCTACAGCTTTTGCTGGAAAGGTTTGCCAGACTAACCCCTCATGATGCTGGTAACTCCAATTTTTCCAAATGGAAATTTTTCTCTTTTGTACCTGAATTACACTTTATATAAACCCAACAGTTTCTAAATGTTTGCAATGAATATATTTGAATGAGTATATGAATGTATGATGTAAACCATCGAATTATGTTATGTAGTTATTCTTTTTAAAAAGATTAATCTTTACCCTTTAATGAGTGAGCTCTTGTACATCAAGTCATCTTAGATTCAATTTGAAAAAGATACACAACCTTTGGGAGCACTATTATACACGCATCTGTATCTTACGTTTTGTATTATACGGTTATGTGTGTGTGATATATATATATATATATGTGTGATATATATATATATATATGTGTATATATATATGTATGTATATATATATATATGTGTGTATATATATATATGTGTATATATATATATATATATATGTGTATATATATATATATATATATGTGTATATATATATATATATATATATGTGTATATATATATGGGTTTCCATCCACGATTCCTGGCTTATAACTCCCAATGCCCTTGTTACAGTCTTTTGTTACCATGTCGAGGCATTTTAGGCCTCAGAGACAGGCCTCAGAAAAAGAATCTCTCTCACAATCTCTCTGCCCTTCTTTTGCCCTCCCCTCACCTGCCCAAGTCAGGACTATAATCTTCCCTGACCTTTCTGATTGTGGGTCATAAAACCCTCATTTCTGAAGGGATTCTGCCTCATACCCTGGAGGAAGGAAAGCTTCACAGAGAGGCCAAGAAGAATCTGGACAGGCCTTGCTGGGTTTCCCCACTCAGTCTACTAGTATTAGATCATACCCTTTTTGTCCAGTCACATTAATACAGAATTGTCAGTCAGGCCTATCCAATGAAGACTCCATAAAAGGCCCCAGAGAACAGAGTTTAGAGAGCTTCTGAATAGCTGAACTCATGGAGGCTCCTGGGAGAGGACACGCCTGAGGAGGACATGGAAGCTCTGCCCCCTTTTCCCCATACTTTGGGCTATTCATCTCTTCAGCAGCATCCTTTGGTATATCCTCTATAATAAACCAGTAAACCTAAGTGTTTCCCTGAGTTCTGTAAGCCACTCTAGCAAGCTTTAGAACCCAAAGAGAAGCTTGTGGGATCCCCAACTTCAAGCTGGTCGGTCAGAAGTTCCAGAGGCCTGGACTTGCAACTAGTGGGAAGGGCAGGCCAGTCTTGGGGACTGAGTCTTCAACCTGCGGGATCTGATGCTATCATCAGGTAGATAGTATAAGAATTGAAATGGAGGACAACCAGCTGGTGTCTGCTGCAAAACTGATTGTTTGCTTGGTGTGTGGGGGAAAACCTCCATACATTTGGTCACAGAAGTGTTCTGTGTTGATTGCTGTTGTTGAATGGGAAAACAAAAAAAGCACAGTTTGTGTTTTTCCACTGACAATGGGCTATTGTATATATTCCCCGTTTCCCTAATTTAGGGTGTAAATTAGTTGAAAGTACTGATCATGTCTTATTTCTACCATGAAAATATCCCCAGTCTCTTCATATTGTTTACTTTGTTCCTAACCAAGAAAAATTCTCACCTTGGATGTGATAGAAGTCTGGATCCCACCCCTTTTGATGACTATTTTCAGACAAAGCTTTCTACTGCTACTAGTATCTATTTTCTATTAGTTTCATTATTGGAACTGCAGAATACAAAATTTAAAAGCAGTTTCTAAGGATCTACTAAATATTGAACTCTGAGTTTAAAAATGCACTTTACCTCTCTTTAGCCTACTTTTATATTTAGTAAAATAAAGGGAGACTGAAGAGGCAGAACTAGGTCCCTTCTGACTCTATGGGTCAGTCCAACAAAGGTCTGCAAACAGAAAACTGATGTGCGTATTCTTTCTCCCTGTCAGGTGCTGTCTTTACTTCCTTCTCCTATTCAGCATATATTCCATGGTCTACCACTTCAGCCACTTGCTTGCCCTAACTTCTTTTTTTTTCCCCCCCCCCAGAGAGAGTCTTGCTCTGTCACCCAGGCTGGAGTGCAGCGGCGCGATCTTGGCTCACTGCAACCTCCACCTCCTGGATTCAAGCAGTTCTCCTCCCTCTGCCTCCCAAGTAGCTGGGATTACAGGTGCCTGCCACCACACCCAGCTAATTTTTGTATTTTTAGGAGAGATGGGGTTTCACCATATTGGCCAGGCTGGTCTCGAACTCCTGACCTCGTGATCCGCCTGCCTCAGCCTCCCAAAGTGCTGGGATTACAGGCGTTTGCCACTGCGCCCGGCTCCATAACTTCTTAACTGTGTCTCACTACACTTCTATAACAACCACATGGCAAAATCCCAACCCTGGGTCAATACAACTGCCTACCTTGTGTAATCTCAGCCTTTGGCTGCTGCTGGAAAGTGGGAAGAAAATCACACAACTAAGCAGACTGGTATGACCTGAAATTGAATGTCCTCAACCTCACGTGACCCGCTGTACAACAATCCTTGTTTCCCTAATTCTCTCTCCTAGCCTTCACAGGAGCTACTTCAAACCTTTTACTTGTAAATAACCATATAACCATATAATTGCTCCTTCTCCTTTTTCAAGGCTTAACCCAAATGTCACCTGCTTAGTGCAGATTTTCCTGACTAAAATTTTAAAACTGCATCCCCTTCCTCTTTATTTTCTGCCATCTAATAAACTATAAATTTTACTTATTGTTTTGCTTATTATCCTTTTCTGCAACGACAATGTGAGCTCCACAAGGGCAAGGAGTTTTGCATGTTTTGTTTACGGCTGTATCCCCATGCCTCCAACAGTGCCTGGCACACAGAGAGTGAGGAATGAGTTTCCTCTTTCCCAGGGTCAACATTCTACCCGCCGGGCCATTTTAAACCTCTCTCTATAGGCATCTTCCCACTGGGATTTGAACACACAAAAGGTTTCACTGTTTTAAAAGCTTTCTCTTAATCCCCAACTTCTCCTGTAGCTACCACTACCTTTCCCTCCTCCCCTGGATTGCCAAATTCCTGTGAGAGTTGTCTGTATTTGCTGTCTTCACTCCTTCCTTTCCCAAGTTCTTCTCAATCAACTGCTATCTGCCTTTTGCTTCACCACTTCATGAAATTGCTCTCCTCAAGGTCAATGAACATCACTTTGGGGACACAACCAGTCCTGCTCTGACTCTGCAAGGACATACAAGGGTCATCTAACCCAGATTTGAGGATGAAGGCAGGCTAATATTGCTGCTGACATTGCTGGCAATTCCTTTCTTTTTGACATACTCCCTTCTCTTAGCCTTTCCAGCGTTCCTTCTATTTCTCTGTTCCTTCTCTATTCCCTTTCCAGGTCCTCTTCCTCTGTCTGTCCCTTATGATGTTAGTGTTCTTCAGAGTTCTGTGTAGGCCTCCCCTTCACTTTTTACCTCATGGGTGATCTCATCGCTTCCCTTCTTTTTCAGTTTCCATCTATAAACCGACAGTTCCTGTAATCTGGGTTAGAGATACAGATCCCTCTACAGAGTGCTAGACTATCCAACCATTTAAAAGACATCTCTACTTAGATGCCTCAAACTCACCTCAAACTCCACAACTCCATAGCTCAACTCATCGCTTTGCTACCTCCCACCACTCCCCTGGCCATCTTTTCTCCTCCTGTGTTCCCGAGCTTAATGAAATGGTACCACCACTACTAGTTTACCCTAGCCAGAAACCTGGAAATCATCTTTGACTTCACCCTCTTTCATTTCCTTATCCTCTTATATCTAAATCAGGGTTTCTAAACCTTGGCACTTCTGACATTTTGAGGGCTGGATAAGCCTGTTTTATGTGTGTGTGTTGATGGGGTGGTGGGGGTGCTGTCCTGTGCACTGTACCATGTTAATAGCAACCCTGGCTTTTATCCATTATTTAGGTCCCAGAAGCAACCCCTAGAAGTGCCAGAAGTTGTTACAATCAAAAGTATCTCAATACATTGCAAAATGTACCCTGGGAGGGCAAAATTGCCCCCAGTTGAGAATCACTGACCTGTATCCATCAAGTCCTCCCTGTTTTACCTCCTGAATACTGTATCCCTTAAATTGATATACTTTTCATAATCTCCTCTACCACATTCTCATTTCAGGCCATCATCAGGGTAGATTAATCTACTAGCCTTCTAACGGGTCTCCATACCTCCAGACTGGTCTCCTCCAAATCATTCTCCACAATGATGCCAGAATGACCTTTCAAAGATCAACCCCCTTCCTATAACTCCGCAACATCTTCCTCCCAACCCACCATTAAACATTGTGAAGTTTCACTTTGCTCTTCAGATAAAGACAAATTCCTTCACATGACTTCCAACACACTTAATAATCTGGTCCCTTGTTTACCTCTCCAGCCTCGCCTTTCATCCTCTCAAACTCTATGCACTAGTTAGACAATTTCTGTTAGTTTTTCTATCACACAAACTGAACCTCTCGGGGGGTCTCTCAACCTGGGACATTATTCTCTCCATTTCCTCATCTGATCAACTCCTACTTATTTCTTCATGTCTCATTTCCTCTGGAAAGCCTTCCCTAATTCTTCAGAGCTGGGTTAGATGCTCCTCCCACAAGCTTACAAAATACTGTAAAATCACCTGACCACAGCACGAGGCATTGTAACTGGCTACCTCCTCTGTATACATTCCGCCCTTTAGATTGTAAAATCGGGACACAGACTGTCCCTTATCTTGCTCAAAAACCTCCAAAACAAGGTGCTTAGAAGGAATTATATTTATTTTTTAAAAAATAAAGGAATGTTTACTACAAAAGACACAATCTTTGGAGCTAATTCTCTCAAAAAGTTGTTTCTATATGGACAAGTAAAACCAACAGAATAAAGTGTGTGCCAGATTATCCGTTTAAAAATATCTGGGCAAAGTCTTCATGCTCTGAAAATGTCCACGCATCCCAACTGACAGTGGAATTCAGAGGCAATTCAATAATAGTTTGACCTCAGACCCACTCCCTCCAGCCTATTTTCTGCCAATCTAACAAACAGCTTTCCACAATTATCATTACCTATTTTCTACTAGTTTTCTCATCAGTATCGGTATTAGAGTGTGCAGGATTTAAAATCAGTATCTTGAAGGTGGAGAAGAATCCTTGTAATAAAAGCAGAGGCCACAAAATGTTATTTGTACCAACTACCTGGGTACCTGCAAACATAGGCCAAAGCATTCGGCCCTGTCATTCACTCTTTGCCCCTGGGAACAGCAAAGATACCGCTGGAGCCACTGCCTGTCAGTCCCCTAGGAGTGAGTCTGTCATCAGCACCCGGACCCTGCAGAAAGGCCCGTAGTGGGCGTATCCCCAGCTTCCCCGAGCCCCATCCACACAGAGCGGCCCTGCCTCTGCGAGCTGAGTAGCGATCGGGATCCTCTGCACCCGCTCCACAACGGCGAGGCCTCCCTGCCGGAGCTCCGAGGGGCGGCCAGGTCCTCACCCACCCCCGGCCGCGCGTCGCCGCCCACCTCGCAGTGCAGGAGTTCGGTGCCCGGGTCCTGCCGCCCCGCGATCCGGCAGAACACGCAGGTGCTGTCGTAGTCCTTGGGCTCTGGTGACTTGCCAGCGGCTTCACAGGTCCCCACTGAGGAAACCGTAGTTTCTGCAGTCGCCGAGGCCTCACAGTCGGGGGCCAGGCCGGCGCTGCGGTTCACCTGTTCCTCCGCCATTGCACCCGCCCCTCGCGGCCTAGAGCCTCGGCCTCTCCAGGGCTACCGGGCCCGCGCAGTCTCCGCGTCCCGCACCTCCTCCGTTTTACCTCGAGACGTCGCCCCTCGCCTGACGCTGGGCGGTGATCCAGGCTTTGGGGAGAGGGAAGGAGACGCGGTGAGGAACTTCAAAGCCGGAGGCCGGCCTCAAAACCGGCTGCCACTAGAGGGCGCGCAATGGCGCTGCCGAGAGTCGTCCTGACCCCTGCGCCTCGTTGGTAATGACGCACGACGTCTGCCAAGTCGCAGAGCGCCCAGCGCGTCGTGGTGACATCACAGAGGCGCGGGAGCGTTTGACATAATGGAGCTTGTTGGGTGTTCTGGACAGGCGTTCTTCAAAGCCCATAGTATAGCGTGTCCAAATATTGTATTACGCTGCCGTTTTTTTAAAAAAAAAAACAAAAAGTTTTTTAAAGTTTGATTTTTAAAATTCGTAGGTTTTTAAAGAATGAGCAAAATTCCTAAAGCCTTGTTTTCAACAGACATCATGTTTGCTGCTTTTTCAGCCACGATAATTGTAGGAGTTTAAACTCAAAATGTCCAAAACTGACCTTTACATCTCTGTTGACTTTTTATTGTTGTTAACAGCACAGTTAGATCAAACTAGCGACCTTTTTTTTAATCTCACATTCCTCATATACAAGTAGATGTGGAGTCCTATAGTCAATACTCTGAAATATCCCAGAAATTCAATGCCAGTGCCTCATAATGCCTCACCTAGACCAACGCAATCACCTTCTAACTTACTTATTGATTTTCCTGTCACTCAGACAAAACCTTCTGTAACTATGTGCTCAAAGAAAAAGTACCAGTTCCTTAGCTTGGTGTTCAAGGTGGACTCTGATTTGACCTCAGCTTTTCGTTTTGTGATACTTCCCACTTGCTGAGCATCTAAAACATGCCATATATTTCTCTAATTGTCAAAAAACGCAAGGTTGGTTTTATAACCACCGCTCTAGAGATGAAGGACCAAACTCAGAGTTGCCCAGTCCCACACAACTAATTAATAGTGACAGAGTTTAAGATCAAGGTTTGTCTAACTCCAAAACCCACCAACCTTTTTGACATACAGCACTCCTTTTTTAACACCAAAAAATTTGTTGGACTAGCTCACTATAGTAGTTACACCCTTGGTATTTGCTGATTTAGAAAATACATAACAAATTGGGAATTCAGTAATGATTTTTAATGGATTTATGTTGTAATAAAAAGTGGTTGTATGTGTTTTGAATTGTTGTACATATACATTCAAGACATTTTTCATTCCTTTTTGTAGTTGGCCCGTAGTTTGGGGAACCACTACAATAGCTTCACTGCCTTTCAGCACCCCAAAGCAGAGTTCAGAATCAATACATTAGAGTTTTGCCAAATTTTAGTATTCACAATTTCCATGCCTGTACTACACCTTCACATCACTGCTTTTATTCACACAGTTCTCTCTCAAATATTCTTGTTTCCATCTCTTCACTCCAAATTCTACCTTCCAAGCCACCCCTCCAATGCTACCTCCTTCATGAAATTTTCTTTAGCCAAACTGACATAAGCACATCCTCTTGCAAATTCATATAACAGGTTTTCAATATTTCTCTTGTAGGATTTGTCTCTTTGTATCTTATAGCTATTTATGTACTTATTTATCCTGCTAGGAATTATGTTTCTTGGCAACAAGATTGGGTGTGTGAATCTTCCATAATGCCTAGTACAGTTGGAACAGGAATTAAAGAATATGTAAGCAAAAACTCAGTTGTATGTAAGAAAACCCAGTTCCCCCTGAGGAGGAGAAAGAGGTAGAGTCCTTTAAAAATTAACTGCCTGTTTTTCTATCTGTGGCTAGTGAGCCTTATCTCTCCCTTTCCCAGGCATTGTGAAGACCCTGTTTCTCTAGCTGTGCAGCTGCAAAGTCACTAGACAGATAAACTCAAGTCATAAAATATGTTTTTCCTTGAAAAGTAAGAAATTATGTAATGCATATCTCAATTAAATAACTGTCATTTTTCTTACTTCTGTAATATGCTTCCCCCTGCACAGATCTCCCCCCAACTGCCCCCTGCCCACGAAATGCTTAAAAGGTAACCTGACCCTTTGTTCGGGGCTCAGCGGATGTTAATCTGACTGTGCCGGTGCACCTAAATAATAAATCCTCCTCAACCCCTCGGTCTTTCTGATTCCTAAATAATCCTGCAACACAGTGCTTTGCATGGAGGTAGACATTTAACAATTTTCTAATGAAGAATGGTTAGGAGCAAGGTCACAGCATGAGAGTGTTCAGGTTTCACAGTGTGCAAGGATACTACAGATAAGAGTGTGCTGATTCATATCATACACATGTATTAACTTATGGAAAAGCACATACAGAACTGGAGATTCCAGGCTAAGTTCTGGAGCGGTGGAAAGCTGATTTGTATATAAACCCCCATTGGGTGCATATGGCCACACACATACAGTTAGGAGACCATTCACTTACACACTAGCACACACACCAGCATAAGTTGCATCTGTTCTGACTGCACTCCTAGTGACACCTGAGATTTCTTCTCTCACTTACCTGGGACTTTCCAAGGCTTGCTTCTCATTCCTCAGCTTTGAACTTGATAATTTTCCCACTTTGGAAGTGAGGGGAGCAACATGAAGTACTTGAAAATTGTGTAGACGATGTGTCCTGTGTGGAAGCAGGCAAAAATACAGGCACTTGTATGTACATAGGCAGGACTACTGCCAGTGGGTGTTCTGGATAACCCTCCTGGGGAACAGCCATTCCAGTTCCATAACAATATACTAACTTAAAATCTGCTTGTGAAATCAGGTGCTATTGGCTAACTTCACAGGGCTACCATATGGGCTAGCAGGAGCCCTGCTTCAGAGCAGGCTCTGGAGTCAGACTACTCTACAACTTACCATCTGCAAAAACTTGGGCTATGTTATTTTCCTTTCTCTGCTGAGACACAAATTATTTATCTTCCTGTGCGGAGGTTTTCTGTTCATTCATCTATAAAATGGGGATAATAATGATGCCTAATGCGTGATCATGTTGCATGTAGAGTTGTCACCGATGCTTCAGGTGGTGCTTCACCAGCTGGAAACCCCTGTGGCCAGCAGCCCCTCTGCTTGAGTTTTGCTCATGCCCACTGGGCTTGTTCCACCCACTCGGACCAGCAGGCTGCGCTCAGCTCACACAACCAGCCTTGGATCCCACACCTGCCAAAGGCAAGCCAGGTGCAGAGCAGCGAGGGGTGTGTGTGCAAGCACGCTGTTTGGCCACTGCACACAGCCAGGCATGCTGGCTGCTGCGGAGGGGCAGGCAGCTCCAGGCACCCGCACAGGTGCTGACTCTGTATGAGGTTGCGGCTGGACCAGACGTACCGCAAGCGGCTTCCACTGCGGGCACCAGCATCTGGATGAGGGAAATGTGGTGATGCTGGAAAGCTCAGAGATGCCAGGAACCACAAAGCCCCAAAGAGGGTGTTACAGTATGTCACAGCCCTGGCTCAGGGAGCTCCAAGATCTGGGCTCCAAGAAGGGCCACAGCTCTTCTCTCCTTCACATCTACTGCAGCGCAGCAAGTAGGGGTTCATGTTCGGGGTTGGGGAGTGTGTTTCAGCTGATTTGTGTAAAGACTCTTTCAGTCCCATTGCCCTGCTCTGGCCCATGACTCCTGGGCTGGCCCTGCCCCTCCACTGCTTCTTGTTGCATGGGGTGGCCACCTGGCACCAGCAGAGGGCAGGAAGGCTACAGTGTTACAGCTCTGGCACAGGGATTCCCAAGGTCTGGGCCCCCAGAAGGGTTGTTACGTTTCACTCCTGCAGCCAGTACCATGCCACCGCCTGCAGCTCAGCAAGCTGGCCAGGAAAGTGTTATAGCCCCTTTTAGCTCCCACCCGCAGCTCAATGAACTGGCCAGGAAAGTGTTACAGCTCCTTTTGCTCCTGCCATTTGTCAGGTCCCAGGTTCTTGTCCCACATCCAGGAAGAATGAGGTTAGGTGGACAACTGGAGGGTGAGCAAGGTGGAGAAGAGCTTTACTGGGCAACTGAACAGCTCTCAGCAGGGAGATCTGTAGTGGGTAGCCTTCACTCCAGGCCATGGATTTCACCCGGAGCTGGAAGCCCAGGCCCAGCTGGCTTGTCACTGGCTTGAAGTTGAGGTTTCACCCGGGACCTGCCCCTTCCCACCTAGGAACCTGTCTGCCTCCTGCCACCATCAGAATGACACATCAAATTACTTGTTTGAAAGTAATTTAGGATATGGATATAAATCTTATTGTTATCAGTAACACACTCTAAGAACCAGCTTTGAACATTGCTTTTCCCATCACTCATGGATCTATTTTTCTGCTCCTCTTTGCAACAAAACTCCTCAAAAAAGGTATCTGTTTGCTTCCCAATCTGTCTTCTTTTCTCTCTCACACTGCCTCCTGTCAGACTTTTAGTGCCACCAATTGGTCCAAACTACTGTTATCATCAGTAACTATATTACTAAATCTAATGGTCACTTCTCAGTCCTCATCTTTTCAGCAACAGTTGGTCATTCCCTCTCCCTTGACAAACTTTTCCCCTCTTGATTTCCTGGACACCATACTTTTTTTTTGTTTGCTTTCCTCCTACTTCACTGGCTGTTTCTTCTCAGATTCCTGTGCTACTTCCTCTTCTTCCAAACCTCTCTCATCATTTAAGGGCTTTGGTCCTAGGTTCTCTTCTCTTTAGCTGCACTCACTTTCTTGGTCGTCTCATGCAATCCGTGGCTTTAAATACCATATATTTGCCAATAACTCCAAAATTTAAATCTGTAATATAGACCTCTCCCCTGAACTTCAGACTCAAATATCCAACTGCCTACTAAACCACCCCATACCCATGTTTAATAAATGTTATAAATTAGCCTGAATGAGCTACTATGGGGAGAGCTCCTCTTTCACCCCACCAAAACCTGCTACCATCTCAGCTGAGGGAAACTTCATTCCTCCAACTGCTCAGGACAGAAACTTTGAAATCATACCTGACACTTCTCTTTAACTACTCTTAGCCAATCCATAAAGAAATTCTGTAAAATACATTTAGACATTGCTGTTATCACTACTATCACTTTTGACTGAGCTACCATCACCTCTCACATGAATTATTTTGACAACCTCCTAATTAGTCTTATTACTTCCAACCTTACCCTCCAATCCCCATTACTGTCTAGTCTCAGCACAGCAGCTAGGGTGATCCTTTTAAAATGTAAGCCAGATCATGTCACTCCCCTGCTCGACATCCTCCAATAGTTCCCTAGCCCATGAGAGTAAAAGCTAAAAGTACTTACCTATGAGGGCCTGTAAGTCCCTGCAGTGTATGCCACCTGCCCACCCTTTACATTCTGACATCAGCTGCCACCAACATTTCCATTGCTAACCCTGTTGCAGCAACACTAGTCTCTTTGTTGTTGCTTGTATAGGCCAGGCATGCTCCTGCATTTGAGCTTCTGCACTGGCTGTTGCTCTGCTTGGAACACTCTTTCTACCACTAGTCATATGGCTTACTCCTTTCATCTCTTTCAAGTCTGTGAAAGATAAAACACAGCTGGACATTTGGTGAAAACAGATTTTATTCAGCAACTACTGACAGAAAGGGATAGAGTTGAGCTCCTTTCTGATTTGTGCAGAGGAGACTGAGTGTTTAGAAGGGAGAATTGGGGGAATGGGAGGGTTAAAGGAGAGTCAGAGAAGTGAAAAATTACAAAGGGTTGGTCAGTGTAAATGGGATTAGGCCAGCTGTGTCTGCTAGCTGGCAATTATCAAAATTAGGTTCTATCCTCCCACAGAGACTTGGGAGACAGGGGCCCTATATTAGTCTGTTTTCATGCTGCTGTTAAAGACACACCTGAGACTGGGAAGAAAAAGAGGTTTAATTGGACTTACAGTTCTACATGGCTGAGGAGGCCTCAGAATCATGGCAGGAGGTGAAAGGCACTTCTTACATGGTGGAGGCAAGAGAAAATAAGGAGGAAGCAAAAGCAGAAACCCTTGATAAACGCATCAGATATCGTGAGACGTATTCACTATCACTAGAATAGCACAGAAAAGACCAGCCCTCATGATTCTATTACCTCCCCCTGGGTCCTTCCCACAACACGTGGGAATTCTGGGAGATACAATTCCGGTTGAGATTTGGGTGGGGGCACAGCAAAACCATATCAGTCCCTATCCCTCCTGATAATTACATTGCAAAGAAATGGCTTTCGAGTCCTTGAAAAAGACACTTCTGAGTTACAGGAGATACAGATTCACAATTGTGAGCCCTTTTTAGTAAATGGTCTAAAAAGAAAGGACAAGGGCCTGTCATCCAGGGTTGACTAGAACACACAGTAAATTCTTCTGGCAGCACTGGGCTTGGTAATGCAGGCATTTGCGAGGAGAATGGGGGTGGCGGGGTCATGTTAGGGGCGTGGCCTTACGCTGCTAGAAGCAATGCTGCAGTTTAGTCATCTCTTAGTGTAGAGGTTTGGGCAGAGTCATTACATGCCAAAAGTTCTGCAGCTCTCAAGTCTTTGTTAAAATGTTTCTGTCTCAATCAGTTGAACTCGGACTACCCTTGCAACCTACACCCTTGCTGTCACCCTAGGTACTCCCTTCCCCTTTAACTGGCTCTGTTTTTTCCATCTCATGCGTTAACTTCTACACATTTAAATATTTAGTATTATATAGTAATATGTATTACATATATTGAAATCCTCATACTCAACTTATTATGCTTGCTCATTTCATTATTGTCTGCTTCATCTCTATTGAATGTAATCTCAACAGGAATTTTTATCTGTTGTGTCTATTGTGTTCATTGATGTATTTTCAGTGCCTATATGTGGAGCGTGAGATTCAGAGAGTAATCAAGGACAATTCCGACTTTCTTAATCTGAAAACTGGAAAGTTGAAACTGCTGTTCACCAAGATGGGGAACTCTGTGGGCAGAGCAGTTTGGAGGTTGGGCAGGGAAGATCAGGCATTCAGTTTTGGGTATGTTAATTTGAGATGCTGTGTCATTCAGTTTAGGCTATGTCTCTTGCAGTAAACAACTCCAGGAGGATAGAGGCCCTCGCTGGCATCCCCATGTATCAAAACCAGTTCACGGCCTGGTACTGGCAGATGTCCGTGGTCAGCACCAGGACCTTGGTGCGCTCAATGTTTTACTTTGGCCAGAAAAAGGAGAAGCCAACAGGTGATGAAGTAGAACAAAAGGATGCCTCAACAAGTGAGGTACCCCGTGAACTATCTGAATGCCCAAAAGGGTTTTATATGCAAACGATGGTCACATATAAAGAAGATTTTGTCCCAATTACTGAAAAGATCCTCACCTATTGGAAATCATGGACTAGTGGCCCTGGTGCAGAATCGTGACTGGCTGCTGAATTCTGAAAACCAGGACTTGGTTCAACATGTAAATTTGATAGCTGCCTTGATTCCCATTTTGTGTTTGTGAAAAGTGTGTATATTTTATTTTGCTGTAAAACATAATCACTAATAATATGCAATAAACATTTTCTTGAAGGAAACAAAACAACTCCAAAAACCTTAATGCTTTAAAGCAAAAAAGTTTATTTCTTGCTCACTCACATTTGTGTCTACTGCAGGTCAACTGTGTCTTCGTGGACTTTATCTCATGACCCAGGCTGAAGGAGCAGCCTCCATCTGGAATGTTTCTGGTGTCAGGGCAGAGGGAAGAAATAACACAATGGAGCCACATGATGGCTTTTAAGGCTTCTTCTCAAAAACAACTTAAGTCAGTTGCACCGCATGTCATTGACCAAAGCAAATCCCAAGGCCAGCCCTGACATCAGCAGAACAGGGTAAGTATAATGCTGGCACTGGACAAGGCAACAAATATTATGAACAATAATACACTCCACTACAGATGCCTATTTGGTACATCTAAGTGACAATGTCATTAGTAATTGGACATATGAGCCTGAGGTTCAAGACAGAAGTCCAACCTGGAGATACACATTTTGGAATTTTCAACATATAGTAAAGTATTTACATTCACAAAATTAGAAGAGATCATCCAGGGGGTAAGTAGAAGTAGAAAAGAGAAAAATTCCAAGGACCAAGCTTGGAGCAGTCTAGCATTGTGAAATCGGATAAATGACAAATAATGAGACGTGAATGAGAAAAAGTGTCCTATGACACAGGAGAACAAGGAGAGAATGGTGTCCTGAAGGCAAAGCAAAGAGTGTTTCAAATAGGAAGGCGTGATCAACTATGCCAAAGGCCAGTAATAGCATGAGAAAGAGGAAGACTCAGAATTGACCTAAGGTCATTGGAAAAGCTGATAAAAGCAGTTTTAGTGTTAGAGGTGGGAAGAAAGGCTGATTCCTGTTGGTTTAAGAGAGAATGATAAAAAAGGAATTTAAGTCAGTAAGTTAATAACCAAAGAGATTATTCATAGGAAAAAAGAGAAGTTATGTAAAAAATATCAGAGACTATGAGCTACACTGATAAAGGCCAGAAGAGGTAGAGATACCGGAGTGGCTGAGCAAAGTGACTGTTACCAACTCAAAGTAAATAAATTTCTTTCATGTTAAGTTGCTCAGGTGTCTCCATTCCTTGAAACCTCAGGAAACTCAACTAACTTACCATTCTTTCCCCACCAGCTTTCTAACTCTACCTCTATCACATTTTAAAAATTTTATACACTTGCTTCAGTTTGCAAGCTGTGTATCCTGGTATGTTAAATGGATTGTTAAATTATTCCATTATTATATGCTGTTTAAATCCTATACATAGGATGATGCTTTCTAGATGTTCCTGTCAGCTCCCAATACTTATTTGAATGTAAATTCCCTGTGGGTGGGACGTGGTCTTGTTTATCAAAACATCCAGCCTGGTATCTGGCACACAGTAGGCTGTGGAAAAACATTAATTGTGGGAATGGATAGATGGATTGTACATATTTAAAAATGTACAGTGAAATCTGATTTTCTCAATGGCATCACTAATGGCATAGCTACTGGTATTGTCCTTTCAAATTCAACTTTTCTTTTTGTGGGTTTTTATTTCTCTCCGTGATGCTAAATGCATAATACTCTTTTTATTGCTGCTTCAAATACCAGTTAATATCAGTATTCTGGGTGGAGCTGTTCCTGGCAGGCTGTCATGAACCTAAGAGGCTGCCTTGGCACAGAGGCCCAACCTAACTGATGACCAATCCTTTCTCAAGAGCATTCCAGGGCATCTTCTCTCAGCAGGAAACTGCTGGCTGGGCCGTACCCTTAGAAAGGGATAGTGGACCCTTCTAGTACAAGAAATTAGCTCATAAAGACAGTTGTGACAACTGGCCACCATTTCAGGGGGCAAAAAAAATTATATCTCTTCTTTATACCATGCACTCAGATATACTTCTGTTGAAATTAACTATTTAAATGCAACAACTGAAACCAAAGAACTGTTACGGGTTTCTTTAAGATGTGGGTGAATATTTACTTTGCCTTGGGGGTGGCAAGGAAAGGGCCTAAGTGCTCAAAATGGATTCCATTAAATAAATTACTGATTGATGTAAAATAAGATTTTTTAAAGTATGTAAAAGTGCCAAAAACTGCATTGAAAGAAAAGTGGAAATTTGAGTGAAAATATTTGCATCATGCGTGAAAAATAGTATTAATAAACTTATCTAGGAAGAGTTCTTACAAAACAATGAGAAAGAATTGAGGCCAGCACAGTGGCTCACACCTGCAATCCCAGCACTTTGGGAGGTCGAGGCAGGTGGATCACTTGAAGCCAGTAGTTTGAGACCAGCCTGGGCAACATGGTGAAATCCTATCTGTACTAAAAATACAAAAATTAGCTGGACATGGTGGTGCACGCCTATAGTCCCAATTACTCAGGTAGCTGAGGCAGGAGAATCGCGTGAACCCACAAGGCAGAGGCTGCACTGAGCTGAGATCATGCCACTGCACTCCAGCCTGGGCTACAGGGCAAGATCCTATCTCAAAAAAAAAAAAAAAAAAAAAAAAAAAAAAAAACAGTTGAAAACCCTAGCAGAAAAATAAGCAGCTTTTATGAAAGTAATTAATTAAAAGAAAAAGTACCATTTAAAAATGTGAAGAAAATATTCATCCTTACTAGAAATTGAAGAAGTCTACGTTAAATAACAGTGAAATAAGCCTTTCCCC
Source organism: Homo sapiens (assembly GCF_000001405.40). Taxonomy (NCBI): domain Eukaryota; kingdom Metazoa; phylum Chordata; class Mammalia; order Primates; family Hominidae; genus Homo; species Homo sapiens. The sequence continues at coordinate 125,946,803 of NC_000006.12, read as the reverse complement.
AATTAAATTGGCAAAGATTCCTTTATGCAATAGCATTTGTATTGCGAGGGCACAGGAAAATAAACACTCTCCTACACAACTGACATGATGCACTCTACATTTCTGATAACGTAAAGAAAGAGTTTCAGGAGGGAGGATAGGAGACCATTTATGGGAATTACAGAGCTCTATGAGGGTTAGAGAGCTGGAAATAAGGGGTGCCCTGGGACTCTGATGCTTCCCGTGTAATTCACATGAGCAAGGATAAAGGGCGTAATGGGAAAATTGAAGCTCTCAGAAGAGAACTTCAACTGACTCCCTCCAAAATGATGACTCATATACTTGGCCTTCCTGACTGATACCAAAGATAAACAGTCTGTGCTCATATCAAAACTAATTCCTCCACTTACATGCTAGATCCCATTCCTTCTTGCTCACGCAAGAACACCACTTCAGAAATTCCCCTTATGTCTTACATCATGTATTTTATTATCTTTACTGGATCATTCTATCCACTTACAAACATGCTATAATTTCTTCCACTCTAGAAAAATGAAATGAAACTTTCTTTTGAGCCTACTTTTCCCACCAGGACCTGTCCCATGTATTTGTTGCTCTTAGCAGGAAATCTTGAAATAAGTGTCCATACTAGCTCTCTCCAATTTCTTTCCTCCCGTTCTCTTGTAAACCTTCTCTTCTTTCAAGCTTTTCTCTCCACACACACTGCTCTTGGGTGACCTCCACATTGCCAAATTCAATGGCAATTCTCAGTCCTTTTCTTATCTGATTAGCAGCATTTGGCACATTTTAATAATCCCTGTCTCCTTAATACACCTTCTTCATATGTTTCCAGGTCACTGCATTCTCTTGTTTTCCTTTTTTCCTCTTAAGTTCTTTCCCTTCCCTTTGTATCTCCCCTCTAAACTCTTAGTGTTGGAATGGTCCAAGGCTCAGTTCTTGGTCTTCTTCTCTATCTACAATTGCTCCCTTGATTTTATCCAGTCTCACTGCTCTAAATATCTATAGGCCCATGGCCTACACTTGTAACTCTTCATGCTTTTCTTCAAGTCACAATCCAACTACATGCTTGATATTTCCATTCAGGTGTCCGATAGATTGAACTGCTGATTTTTTTTTTTCCTAGAAATCTCTTTTATGCACAGACTTCCAATGTTGGCTGATGACAACTTAATCTTTGCAGCTCTAGAGCCTTTGACTCCTCTGCTCAAAATTCCATTCTTATCAGCAGGTTGATTAAGTAACTTGTGCAATGTCATCCTATTAGTCAGTGACAGAGCTGGAACCCAGAGCCAGGCAGTCTAATGGGAGCTTGAATATGTTAAATAGGTTACAAAAGAGTATGGCTAGTATGATTCCATGTTTATTAAATATAATTAAGGATTTATAAGAAAATGCCTGAAAAAATAGATTCACTCTTGGTCTGTGGATGGACATATTATGGCTGGATGTTTTTCCTTCCCTTTTATCTCTACATTTTATTTATTCAACAATACTTTTGTCATAAGTAAAACATCCTGATCAACTTTTTTTAAGATTCAGGATTCCAGATGAACTTCATTTCCTCTAATAATTCTCTGCTTTATAAATAACCCTCTTCCATATATTTTTGAATTGTTCATGACATGTCAGAAGATATAGGGCATTTTCATGCAGATTTCATGGTATTTCTGGCAGAGGTGGACTATTGAGCTGCTATGACCATATGCATGATACAGTGTCATGTTTCTTTCCATTTTATACTGAGGATATGGAAAGTGTGTTTGTGGGTTTGTCCTAATCTGATAAAATATCATCTTGACAATAGGTATATCGTTTTCTGCATCCAAAATAGAAATTTCCTGAGCATGAATACAAAGACTATTCCTGTCTTATATTTAGTAAATACCAATAAATTTTTGCTCTTTCACCACTGTCTGAAGAATATTAGATTTTTCCAAAGGTAAAAGAATAACAAGCATGAAAACATTTCTCCCTCCTTAAGAAAAATAATAAAAGAAATACTTAAGGCTAAGGTGGCTGTTGCCTGGTACTAAATGCTGCGTGTATATTGGCCTCCATCCGTTGCAAGGATTGTGAAATGTCTGGGCAAAATAAGGGGAGGAAGTAGTGCTTGTGTGTGGGAAAAGAGAAATTTCCAGTTTCTGATTACTGAACTACCGTACAGCTCTCTTTGAACAAATACTGGCCGGTGGCCCAAAGTCCCAACTGTAGCTCTTTGAGCTTTGCTAAAGGACATTAAGGGAAGTCCTGATCTGTTGTTAAGTGGAAACAGTGTAAATTATTTCTAATGGAAAGAATGACAAAAGCAAAACTTCCCCATCCCTGCTATTTCCTTGATAAATTGCTTTGTTTACTCGTCTACAGGATGTAATGCAGACATTTCTGTTTTTTATAATCTTTCTTAAAAACCATGTCCTTAAACAAAGCATTGAAAATAATCTCTTCTTTTTTTTTTAAATCAGGAACAAGGCTACACCTGGACTTTGTATTTTTGATAAAGAATTCAGCATAAACAAAGTTGGGTGTGACTAACACCATCATATTTCTAACTTACTTTCATCTGGCATTTTACAATTTTCTAAGACACTTTCATATGCACAAATTGATTTTCATGTCAACTGAGAGAAAAGGATATTATTATCCCTATTTTAGAAATGGAGAAAATAGGACACAGGAAGATGAATTTACTTGGTGGATGATAGATGGGTCTGTCTTGCAGGCCTTTTAGTAGCACAGTGAGGCATTTCTTATCTCCTCCAAAGCAGTACGAAACAGCTACCATGTAAATCAGCATAACTCTGACATCCTGAAGTTAATGTCAATTTTCTTGTCAAGCTCACACCTATATTTCCTCATCATCTCAAGGCCAATGTATCTTATCCACACCACTAACTCTTGTTCTTATTAGTTACCCTCGAGGTAAAAATTTCTCTTTACTCATACCCAAACTTTCCCATGCTTCTTTTCCCCAAACTTTTTTCACTGCTAACCTCCTTTGAAGCTCTTTCCACTGTAAGAAACACAATTTCTTTGTACTTACTCAAACCTATATCCTCAACCTCTTAGCAGAGCGAAATCTTCACCTTCTTTCCTTAACTGAAACTTGGATTTCCTGCAAGAATATTATTTCCCTTGAGCTTTGACAAGCAAAAACTGCTTATTCTCTCTTCCCAACACACTGAGAGATTTGGAAGCAGGGCTGGCATTCTCCTAGCTTCTAAATGCCAGCTCCAGGTGATTCCATTCCTACCCAAGTGCAATGGTGCGATCTCAGCTCACTGCAACCTCCACCTCTTCGGTTCAAGCAATTCTTCTGCCTCATCCTCCCAAGTAGCCGGTATTACAAGCGTGCGCCATCAAGCCTGGCTAATTTTGTATTTTTGGTAGAGACAGAGTTTCATCAGGTGGGCCAGGGTTGTCTTGAACTCCTGACCTCAGGTGATCCACCCACCTCGGCTTCCCAAAGTACTGGGATTACAGGCATGAGCCACAGTGCCCAGCCCTCTGCCCTCTTTGGAGTCTCGTGCTATAGCATGGAACATAATCACCTTCATCTACCTGCTTCTAGATCACTCCTAGATTCACAGAGAACTTCAGCACCTGGCTAACAAACACTGCCAAGCTCCTGCCGTTATCTTAGACAACTTCACTGTCCATGACTCACCGCTTCTCAAACTCCTGGATTTCAATGCCCTTTGCCTCTATTCCTCTTTAACACAACTCACCCCTGTGGCAAATCCAAACTTTATAATCACTGAGATTATCTGGAAACCTGAACAATGACTGTTCACAGCTCTGTCAGCACATGTCCTAGCAACTTTTATACTCTCCTGACATGGTAGCAATTTCTGTTCTTGATCTTTCTCTCTTTAACTCTTCCAGCCACCCTCCCATCTTTACTTCCTTCTCTAACCAGCCTACTCTAGCGGCCCACCAATTCCCTGAATTCCGTCTCACCACAGCCTCCTGCTTTCTGCTGTACTCCCCACTAACTTGCTATTTCCTGTAGTTATCCTGGTGGTTTAAGGCATAGACTGGGGGATCCAGACTCCCTTCATTTGAAGCCCATTTCTACCACTTAGTAGTGATTCCACTTCAAATAAATCATTTAATTTTTTATGGCTTCCATTTTCCTTAGCTGGAAAATAATAGTAGTACCTATTCATGACTATCACAAGTTATTATGAAGACTGGAGTAATATACGTAGAGTGCTTAGAATAGTACCTAGCACATAAGTGTTCAGTAAATGCTTACTCTTATGACAACTGAACTTCTGGATGCTACTTCCTTAAAAAAGTCGTATAACCAAATTAATAAGCGCAAATATATGTCCAGATATGCAAAGTAAAACACAAACTGACAAAAATCTTCTTTTTTCATTCCTCTCTCTATATATTGCCTGTTTAAGGGAGACTTTTGAGAAAATACCCTGGTAGGGCCTGAGACTCTCTGACACCATTATGTTAACCGTTTGTCTTCCTCACCAGAAGTATATAAGATTAACAGACTGATGAATGTCTATTATTTTTAAGGCAGGAATGGCAAGGACATTAGGTGACCTCTTCCAAGAAGACAGACTTTAAAAACCAGGCAGTTTGGGCACAGTGGCTCATGCCTGTAATCCTAGCACTTTGAAAGGCTGAGGCTGGTGGATTGCCTGAGCTCAGGAGTTCAAGACCAGCCTGGGCAACATGGTGAAACCCTGTCTCTACCAAAAAACACAAACAATTAGCCAGGCGTGGTGGTGCGTGCCTGTGGTCCCAGCTAGGTCTCAGGAGGCTGAGAAGTGGGAGGATCACTTGAGCCTGGGATGCAGAGGTTGCAGTGAGCCAAGATCGCGCCACTGCACTCCAACCAGGGTGACAGAGTGAGACCCTGTCTCGCCAAAAACAAACAACAACAACAACAAAAAACTCACCAGGCAGAAGACATGAAAAGAGATCTCACAAAAGAGAAAACAAGAATGGCTAAGAAACACATTTAAAGATGCTCATCCTCATTAGTAATCAGAGAAATGCAAATTAAAGCCACAGTGAGATAACATTACACACGCTTGAGACTGGCAAAAACTAAGACTAACAATATTGGGTGTTGGACAAGATACTCTGATAGGCATATAAACGGTGCAATCACTTTGCAAAACTTTGTGAGGTTATTTACCTTACAAAGCCAAACATTCACATACCCCCAAAGCACAAAACTGCAAGCAACCTTATCACTGACAGGAGAGTAGATAAATAGTGGTAGAGAAGTATGTTCACATGAGAAATAGCAAACACACACACGTACACAAGTGAAACGTATCTACATTAATGACATGAATCTTAGAAACAGTCTTGAAGGGAAAGGAAATGAGTATGTTTCTAACAAGGAAAGCTATATAATGTAATGACACTTTATATATATTAACCCATTTAATTCTCTATTCGAGGTAGGTAGTATTGCTCTCATTTTATAGATAAGGAAACTGAGGCAGAGAGAGCTCAGGTAACTTGTGCTAATAAGTGAAGGTGCCAAGACCTACCTAACATTTCTTTCATGCTTACACAGTACTAGGTACTGTACTGCTTTGCCTAGATTATCTGTTTCATGAAATATGCTTTTTATAAAATGTCATTTTTTTTTTGCCAGATACATCTTCCTAAATTAACATAACGAGTTAGGACTGGAGAATCCAGTTAATCACATGCCTTTGCACTCTTCTCCCAACTCTATCATCTAAGTGTAAAATGAATTGAGAGTTTGAACTTCATTTAAGTAATCTTCTGAACCATTTTCCAAGCATGATTTTTGGAAACCCAGAATGTGACTCACTGCCAACACCCTAACGCCCTGAGGCCCTGGAATTTTCCTTTAGTCTACATTTTTCAGAATGCTAATAACTTAATAAGAGACATGAAAATAAAGGAATTCTCCCCGAGGACAACCATCACCCAGAAATCTCCTCCCCAGCATTCTTTTACTTTCACCCTTAAAACCTTAAGGGAAGAACTCCAGCAGCTAGAAAGGGGATCATTCCTTCCTGCATCGCAGTACTTCCTCTCAAGAATAATCCTTGTAAATCTGTAATTCAGCAATGTGTGTGGGGCAGGGGAGGAGAGCTGGGAATCCAAACCCTGTGTTTTAGTCCCAGCTCTGCCCTTTAGCTGTAGAATACTTGACAAATCCATTAACTTCCCTGGGGCTCATTTCCTTTACTTCTGCACTTCCATTCTGTTAAACCCGACAAGCATTTCTTGAAAGCTTCCTAAGTGCCATGCACCCTACCAGGTTTTGGGGATATAAAGATGAGTAAGACACAGTTGGCCATAGAGGAGTTTTCCAGCCATTCAGGAGCTTTCTTTCTAGAGTAGAGAACTGTGCATCATGGTAACTAAGGTGGCTAAGCAGAATGTGGGTATCCAGGTGGTGGAAACATTGTGAAAAGTGAACAATGCTAGCATACTATTATAAAAGAGGTCAGCTCTGGGGCCCAATGTAATAGCTCTGGGGCTCGATGTAACAGAGATATCCTCACTGTGACCCTCATTAGTTTTGTGATATTAGACAAGTTACCTAACCTGAGGAATCAGTTTCCTCACCTCTAAAACAGAGATAATAATTGTACTGTCTTCTTTTTGCAGATCAAATAAGATAATGTATGTAAAAAGGATGGTTGATAGTCATCCTAAGTAAATGTTACCTGTCCTCCTCCTCCTCCTCTTCATCACTATTATTAGTATATAAGTTGCTCCTTAGCAAGGCATTGTGACAGAGTCTGGAGATCTAGGTAGACATCTGTTCATCAACCTTGCTTAGCTCTAGCTTACTCACTAGAGGATGTCACTGAGGTGAACATTCATTTCTTGCCCTCAGATCTTTCCTGAAGATGTTCACATGCATTAAAGGAACGTTAAGAGGCCAGTGCAAAGTAAAATTGATTCCGGGAAGGTTATTTCTCAATGTTCTGAAGTATGAGTAAGATGCAATTTATCATAGAAGAAGCAAGAGGATGCATTTTGATAAAGATGGTGTTAGTTCATAATTTTGGGAGATGTTTGAGAAGTGAAAATCATGCTGAACAAATTTGACTTGTTAATGAAAAGAGTCAAACTCTGTAAAAAATATTAAGAGATTTATTCTGAGCCAAATATGAATGACCATGGCCCATGACACAGCCCTCAGGTCCTGAGAACATGTGCCCAAGGTGGCTGGGGTACAGCTTGGTTTTATATATTTTAGGAAGGCATGAAACATCAATCAAATACATTTAAGTAATACATTGGTTTGGTTCTGAAAGGTGGGACAACTCAAAGCAGGGGCTTCCAGGCTATAGGCAAATTTAAACATTTTCTGGTTGACAATTGGTTGAGTTTGTCTAAAGACCTGGGATCGATAGAAAGGAATGTTCAGGTTAAAGATAAAGGATTGTGGAGACCAAGTTTTATTGTGCAGAGGAAGCTCTCAGCAGCCTTCAGAGAGAGCAGGTTGTAAATTGTTTCTTATTGGACTTAGAAGCGTGCCTGACTCTTAGTTGATTATCTCCTGGATCTGGAAAGAAAGGAAGGAAAACAAAGGGGGAAGGGGAGGCTCTATAGAATGTGGGTTTTTCCCACAAGAAACTTTGCAGGGCAATTTCAGGGTATGGCAAGGAAATATATTTTGAGGTTAAATATTTTTTCCTTGTCTCACAATGTTATGCCAGAGTCAGATGGAAAAGTAAGTCACAATATATAGCATCAAATAAAACCATCTGATGATAATTTATGGTTTGTAGGGCTTGACTCCCCAGACCCCTTAGGTAGGAATTTGGGTAAGATGAAAAAATCAGAGCTTAGTCCTCAGACTTGAGTTGAAAAAGTATGGTCTAGAAATTATAAAGGAAATTATAAATCTGACTACAAAGAAATTATTATAAACTCATGTATAAAAAAATTGTTTTAGGCCAGGCGCGGTGGCTCACGCCTGTAATCCCAGCATTTTGGGAGGCCAAGGAGGGTGGATCACAAGGTCAGGAGATTGAGACCATCCTGGCTAACATGGTGAAACCCCGTCTCTATTAAATATAGAAAAAATTAGCCGGGCGTAGTGGCGGGCACCTGTATTCCCAGCTACTCGGGAGGTTGAGGCAGGAGAATGGCATGAAGCCAGGGGGCAGAGCTTGCAGTGAGCTGAGATCGGGCCACCGCACTCCAGCCTGGGGGACAGAGCGAGACTCCATCTCAAAAAAAAAAAAAAGTGTTTTAAAAATATAAGCTAGCAAAATATTTCCAATATATATGACAAAGGACTAAGTTTGTGAATATACAAAGAACACTTACAAATCAGCAAGAACAACTGAATAAAAAATTGACAAAGGACATGGACAGACTATTCAAGAAAAAAGACATACAAATAGGCAATACATGTGGAAAGATGTTCAACCTCATTTATGATTAAAGAGTGAAAATTAAAATAGATATCATTTGAGCAAAGAATAAAAAGAGATTGACATAACCTGTATTGGTGAGGGTGTGTAGTAACTGGCATGCTCATACACAGTTGATGTAAACTAATGTAATTTATTTATTTTTATTTTTATTATTATTTTTTGAGACAGAGTCTTGCACTGTCACCCGGGCTGGAGTGCAATGGTACGATCTCAGCTCACTGCAACATCTGCTTCCCGGGTTCAAGTGATTCTCCTGCCTCAGCCTTCCGAGTAGCTGGGATTACAGGCACCCACCACCATGCCCGGCTAATTTTTTGTATTTTCAGTAGAGATGAGGTTTCACTATGTTGGCCAGGCTGGTCTTGAACTCCTGACCTTGTGATCTGCCTGCCTCAGCCTCCCAAAATTCTGGGGTTACAGGTGTGAGCCACCGTACCCATACCCGGCCAACTAATATAATTTTTGAGGAGGAATAATTGATAGTGTGTTATAAAATAAAAGGTGCTTTTACTCTGACTCACTAATAAAAATTATCCTAAAAATATACAATTCATAAATGCACAAAGCTCTAGATACAAGGTTGTTCCTAAGAATTGTTTGTAATAGCCAAAAAAGGGTCCATTAATGAAAACTGTTTAAACAATGATAGACCCATGCAATGAAGGATGAGATGCCTACATATATTGATATAAAATGGTCACGTCATATTGTTAAAGAGGCAAACCGAAGAATAGTATATAGAGTACATTTCCTTTTACATGAAGAAGATATAAATTAGCTTATATATGCATAATAATGCTCTATAAAGAAACAGAATTTTTGTGATTGTTACCACTGAAATTGTAGGAAGGGAAACATTGCCTTTTACTGAATTCTCTCCTGCACTGTTTAAAAATTTTATGGTGAACATATATTACTTGTAAATTAAAAAAGAAGGAAACAAAACCTTAGTTAAAGACTTTAAACAGCAAATAAGAGGCATTACAATATTTCTGAAATTAGTTTTAAAAACTAAATAAGTTATTATCTTAAAAGTTGAACTTTCCTTTGCAACTGTTAGTTACATCACTAGGTGATTCCTCCATAAGATGAAGGAATTTCTCCATTATTTTATTTATCTAGTGCTTAGTAATGCTTACTTTATGCCAGGCTACTTTAAGTGCATTAATCATTGTATAATTATGAGTGGTTATTACTATTATCCCCACATTACAGATAAGAAAATTGAAGCACAAAATCAATGTGCAAAAATCACAAGCATTCCTATACACCAATAACAGACAAACAGAGAGCCAAATCATGAGTGAACTCCCATTCACAATTGCTTCAAAGAGAATAAAATGCCTAGGAATCCAACTTACAAGGGATGTGAAGGACCTCTTCAAGGAGAATTAAAAACCACTGCTCAATGAAATAAAAGAGTACACAAACAAATGGAAGAACATTCCATGCTCATGGATAGGAAGAATCAATATCGTGAAAATGGCCATACGGCCCAAGGTAATTTATAGATTCAATGCCATCCCTATTAAGCTACCAATGACTTTCTTCACAGAAGTGGAAAAAACTACTTTAAAGTTCATATGGAACCAAAAAAGAACCTGCATTGCCAAGACAATCCTAAGCCAAAAGAACAAAGCTGGAGGCATCATGCTACCTGACTTCAAACTATGCTACAAGGCTACAGTAACCAAAACAGCATGGTACTGGTACCAAAACAGACATATAGACCAATGGAACAGAACACAGCCCTCAGAAATAATACCACACATCTACAACCATCTGATCTTTGACAAATGAGACAAAAACAAGAAATGGGGAAAGGATTCCCTATTTAATAAATGGTGCTGGGAAAACTGGCTAGCCATATGGAGAAAGCTGAAACTGGATCCCTTCCTTACACCTTATACAAAAATTAATTCAAGATGGATTAAAGACTTAAATGTCAGACCTAAAACCATAAAAACCCTAGAAGAAAACCTAGGCAATACCATTCAGGACATAGGCATGGGCAAAGACTTCATGTCTAAAACACCAAAAGCAATGGCAACAAAAGGCAAAATTGACAAATGAGATCTAATTAAACTAAAGAGCTTCTGCACAGCAAAAGAAACTATCATCAGAGTGAACAGGCAACCTACAGAATGGGAGAAAATTTTTGCAATCTACCCATCTGACAAAGGGCTAATATCCAGAATCTACAAAGAACTTAAACAAATTTACAAGAAAAAATCAAACAACCCCATCAAAAAGTGGGCAAAGGATAAGAACAGACACTTCTCAAAAGAAGACATTTATGCAGCCAACAAACACATGAAAAAATGCTCATCATCACTGGCCATCAGAGAAATGCAAATCAAAACCACAATGAGATACCATCTCACACCAGTTAGAATGACGATCATTAAAAAGTTAGGAAACAACAGGTGCTGGAGAGGATGTGGAGAAATAGGAACAATTTTACACTGTTTGGTGGGACTGTAAACTGGTTCAACCATTGTGGAAGGCAGTGTGGTGATTCCTCAAGGATCTAGAACTAGAAATACCATTTGACCCATTTATAGACATGTGCTATAAAGACACATGTACACGTATGTTTATTGCGGCACTATTCACAATAGCAAAGACTTGGAACCAACCTAAATGTCCATCAATGATAGACTGGATTAAGAAAATGTGGCACATATACGCCATGGAATACTATGCAGCCTTAAAAAAGGATGAGTTCATGTCCTTTGTAGGGACGTGGATGAAGCTGGAAACCATCATACTGAGCAAACTATTGCAAGGACAGAAAACCAAACACTGCATGTTCTCACTTATAGGTGGGAATTGAACAACGAGAGCACTTGGACACAGGGTGGGGAACATCACACACCGGGGCCTGTCATGGGGTGGGGGGAAGGGGAAAGGGTAGCATTAGGAGATGTACCTAATGTAAATGACAAGTTAATGGGTGCAGCACACCAACATGGCATATTTATACATATATAACAAACCTGCATATTGTGCACATGTACCCTAGAACTTAAAGTATAATTTAAAAAAAAGAAAAAGCAATAAAAGTTATGAGTTGAATCATAAAAAAAAAAGAAAATTGAAGCATATAGAGGTAAAATAGCTAGTCACATAGCTAGTAAGCTCTAGAGCTGAGATTCAAAATTTGGACGTCTGACTCTAGAGAATCCATACCTTAACCATGCTTTGTTGCTTCTTGAAGTCTTTTTTTTGTTTGTTTGGGGTTTTTTTGAGACGAAGTCTCGCTCTGTCTCCCAGGCTGGAGAGCAGTGACGCGATCTCGGCTCATTGCAACCTCTGCCTCCCAGGTTCAAGCGATTCTCCTGCCTCAGCCTCCTGAGTAGCTGGGATTAGAGGTGTCCGCCACCATGCCTGGCTAATTTTTGTACTTTTAGTAAAGACGGGGTTTTGCCATGTTGGCCAGGCTGGTCTTGAACTCCTGAACTCAAGTGATCTGTCCACCTTGGCCTCCCAAAGTGCTGGGATTACAGGCGTGAACCACTGCACCCAGCCATGTTTCTTGAAGTCTTTAGAAATTTTTAGCATAGTCTACCTGGGTGACCTAATTATATAACCTGCAAAGGTGCTCATATCATATACCCCAAGCTCTTTCTAGGATACTTCCAGGTCAAACCTATCCACTTTTCTGACCTTTTGGAGGATCTAATAGAAAAACAAGATGCTACAAGAGAACAAGTCTGGGCCTCGTTGCACATGGAGTAATAGGGCCTTTTAACAGCTCTCAAGTTCGACACAAAACCTCAACACAGCATAACAGCATATCTTTGTTGAAACATTCTTCTTAATTGCTGTCTTTAAACCTAGAAGGGCTGATCTCAGGCAACTGTGGGGTAAAATGTGACTGATCCATCAGCCAGTAGAAAATAATGTTAAGCCAAGAAGGACTGCCATGGAGATGGAAAGCTGAATTGTTTGACTGAATTCCTGTATTTTCAAAGTGATGTCAAGGTGAAGATATTTTTTTAGCTGCAGAGGCACAAGAAGACATGCTTTATCACCTAAGCTTGTTGACAGTGAACATGTTTCTTGTGTTTCTTGTTTAGCATTTTCCTCAAGGGTTATGTCAAGCTAGATCAGGGTTACTTTTTCTAACCCTAGAAATGAAGAGATTGATGAAATGATGGGCCCTTGTTGATGGTAAATAGGACACTAAAGTTATCTAATGGGTTCTGCCCTATGGCTTTTGATTGCCTTTTATTCTAACAAGTTGCTATTGAAAACTTTCTCCATGTACAGGCAGGTTCTTTGAAGGGCTAGTGGGCATCCCAGGTGCCAAACTTGGTAAGGAAGGTTGATCACTGAATTTTCATTGGTCACTGAATAGCACCGTGTGAGGCATTCTGAGACATTCCATTATTTCTGTTGGTTTGGGACTGAATGCACAATTCTATGTAAGGAATGGGTTGTTTTTATTTTCAGTGGACCATCGTGCACTGTAGAGGGTGCCTGGTAAGGGATATGGTATGCTACAGTGCTGCCATAAGTGGAGGAATGCCCAGCACAGGAACAAAAACACGTGATGAAGGCCGTGTCAGGAAAACTTTATGTCAGACAAGGCCTGGGCACTAGGAGAGGCTTTCATTACCTTTCTTTTTGTTGTTGTTGTTGCTGTTGTTGTTTGTTGTTGTTGTTGTTTTTGAGACGGAGTTTCGCTCTTGTTGCCCAGGCTGCAGTGCAATGGTGCAATCTCCGCTCACTGCAACCTCCGCCTCCCGGGTTCAAGTGATTCTCCTGCCTCAGCCTCCCGAGTAGCTGGGATTACAGGCAGGCACTACCACGCCCAGCTAATTTTGTATTTTTAGTGTTTTGTAATTTTGTATTTTTAGTAGAGACAGGGTTTCTCCATGTTGGTTAGGCTGGTCTCAGACTCCTGACCTCAGGTGATCCGCCTGCCTTGGCCTCCCAAAGTGCTGGGATTACAGGCATAAGCCACCGCACCCGGCCTCGTTTTTAAGAGAAGGGGCTTCACTCTGTCACCCAGGCTGGAGTGCAATGATGTGATTTTGGTTCACTGCAGCCTCAATTTCCCAGGCTCAAGCAATCCTCCTGCCTCTGCCCTGAGTAGCTGGGACTACAGGTGCATGCTGCCACACCTGGCTAATTTTTCTTTTCTTTCTTTTTTTGTAGAGATGGGTTTTCGTCATGTTGCCCAGCCTGGACTTGAACTCCTGAGTTAAGATGATCAATCCTCCTCGGCCTCCCAAAGTGCTGGGATTAGTGTGAGCCACCACACCTGGCCAGTTTTCATTACCTTTGATTAGAGATGGGGACCTGTAATCCTATGTAGATCCAATTTTTCAGTTTAGGGAGACTGTTAGGGAACTCAGCTCTCTCGTCACTTTATAAGCTGACTACCTAAACAGTGAGAGACATAGTAGATAACCTTAGGTGGTACCAACCTGTATGAAGATCTGTAATGGCATAGACAAAGTGCTTGGAAGTAAAGGTTCTCTTCTGGTGAAGGAGTCATAGTCTGACTTAATTGCCAATGAAAATATAATTTGGCAATAACATCTAGATCTAGAGCTGTGCTGTTTAATGTGGTAGCCACCAGTCACGTGTGGCTATTTAAATAAACTAAAATTAAATAAAAAGTTCAGCTCCTCAGTCACCCAAGGCACATTTCAATTGTTCAACATTAGTATGGTAGCTAGGGGCTATCATTAAGGACAGTGAAAATTCATGAAACATTTCTATCATTGTAGAATGTTCTATTGAACAGTGCTGATCTAAGAGAGAAACCAAAAGTCCTCAAAGATATTCTATCAAGAGACAACATCTTGATGGCTTGATTGACCATACCAGATAGCTCATATCTCATTTTTATTCTGAACCACTAGAGATTTGAAATAGAAAGGGAATAAGATCTTAAGAGTTTGGTGTGAAGAATGAAGCTTATTTTTTTTTCAGTAAAAACACCTTCTGTTAGGGGCTCACTATGGATAATGGTCATAGGCCAGGAGGTGACAGAGAATGTGATGCTTTGAAGTCAGGGCTTTCTCTGATTAAGAGTAAGTGACCTCATTGGGCAGAAGGAAGTGGTCAAAGGCACTTTTGATACATGCACAAGAAATGAGTGTGGCTTCCCTTGAGTTTTCTGGAATTTCCCTTGGTTTCTGACCTCCTTACCTTTCTGTATCGAATTAAATTGGTAAAAATAGGTTAGGCATCCTAAGAAAAACATGAAACGTAACACTCCTTTCTGGCTTAAGAGATTCTCAATGGCTTCCTCAAAAGGAGAGTAATTCTTTCATTAATGCTGTTTCATGTGTGTATTAGTCCATTTTCACACTACTATAAAGAACTACCTGAGACTGGGTTATTTATAAAGAAAAGAGGTTTAATGGACTCACAGTTTCACATGGCTGGGTAGGCGTCAGGAAATTTACAATCATGGCAGAAGGCAAAGGGGAAGCAAGGCACATCTTACATGGCAGCAGAAGAGAGGGTGAGGGTGGAACTGCCAAACATTTTAAAACAGATCTCATGAAAACTCCCTCACTATCATGAGAACAGCATGGGGGAAACCGCCCCCATGTTCTAATCACATCCCACTAGGTCCCTCCCTCAACATGTGGGGATTATAATTCCAATGAGATGTTGGTGGGGACACACAGCCAAACCATATCAATGTGTCTCTAAAACTTTAAAAGGCATCAAGGAGAGGGAGATCAAATTAAGGGAAGACATACTTATAATAGTGCAGGATGTCTCTGGTGGCTTGTAGCACGGGGATGCATCTAATCATTTTCAGTAGAGTCTGAAGAAACATTTGGTTGCCTCCTCCCACCCAAGTCCTTTGATATGGACTTATGAACTGAGGAATTATGAAGCAATGAAGACTGCTTGGGGTCTTCATCTAGCCCAACATCTAGGGGCTAGGTGTCAGGATGCCAAAGAAAATTTATCAGAGAGTAAAGTGTCCCTTACGGAAATTATGAAGTAGGTTAAGACAGATGTTAAGAGGAGGAGGTTGTCATTCATTGCACAGCTAGAAAGATTAGAAGAGACTGGTAGATACAGCCAAGAGTTGTCTCTGGTAACCATAATGAGAGCAGTTTCCGTGAACTGATGAGACAATTAGGAGGGTGGCTACAGGGAATGAAGAGGGAGTTTCCAGGGCAGCAGTGAAAACATGAGCTCTGGACCTTGTTTAGTCTTGGATATTTCACCATCCTCTCACAAAAATAAACACTCTGGTACCCAGTAAATACCTGATGAATGAATCTTTGGGAAAGAAAATCACTGAATGCATAAAGTCCTTTATTGAAAATATTGGGATAGCACTGCATTACATATAGTCAATATCCATAAATGAAGGGTCACACATTTCTGAATGGACAATACTGTTTTACATAGAGAACACAGCATCTGGATATGCTCTCACAATTATAGTATCATGGACTAAACTAGGTCAGAGTGAAGTATATGCAAAATGACCATTTTGTTTTTTTCCATTTTATTAATAGCATATGGTTGCAGATGGTGTAAATGGTAAACGTGATATCATGAGACATTCCTGATATCTCACACCAACACATTATTTAACGAGCAGGTTAAGGTGAAACTGCCAGTATGCTGTTAGTCAAGAGTCCTCAGTAGGAGAACTTGAGTGAAACGTACACCCAGGCTACAGATTTAAAATTTTATAGCATTCATTTAAATTTGCATGGAATTAAGGAGTATAATAATTGTTGATCTGACAGGAGGCCACTGGACAATTTGTTCTCTTTCACAAAATGTCTAAAATAGGAGAATAATGTAAAGGAAGTATTCTAAGAATTGCTTTTTTAAATGCAGATATGTAAATAGTACTTGTTATACATTTTTCCTTTCAAAAATTACCGGGGAAATAATTTATGACAGACCATTTTTCAGCTTTGGTTATTATTTGAAATTTTTTCCTACTAGCAAGCAGTCTTTGGCTTTCATAAAAGTCTGGTAATCAATAATATTGGTTAAGTAAGTCTTTATTATTATTATTATTGTTATTATTTTTAAGACAGAGTCTCGCTGTTACCCAGGATAGAGTGCAGTGGCACGATCTTGGCTCACTACAACCTCTGCTTCCCGGATTCAAGCAATTCTCCTGCCTCAGCCTCCCGAGTAGGTGGGATTACAGGTGCCCGCCACATAGTCGGCTAATATTTGTACTTTTAGTAGAGATGGGGTTTCACCATGTTGGCCAGACTGGTCTCAAACTTGTGACCTTGAGTGATCCACCTGCCTCGGCCTCCCAAAGTGCTGGGATTACAGGCAAGAGCCACTATGCCTGGACCTTTATTTTATGTAATAGATGTTTTATGATGTGAAAATAGGTTGATATCTTAAAAATAGGTTTTCCTTTCTATTCCAATTTTGATATGAATGCATTTCTTTGTATTGTTTTTTTCTCAAATAAATGAATCAAGAAACCAAGACAATTGGTCCAATTTGACGTTTTTCATTTGATTTAAAAAATGCAGAAATTAATATACTGAGTCCCTTTTAAGACAGAGGCCTGCTCGTTAATGTAAAAGCTTGGAAAAGTTATACAAAGAACACTCCGAAAATAAAGTTTTTGTTATTAACACAAATGATTTTGTAAGAAGCAAAACATTTTTTTTCAAAAGCAGGATTTGTTCTAAGTCTAGGTTCACAAAGGTATTCATTTCTATAAATATCAACTTAAGACTGTGAGAAATGATGTATTCTTTTTCACACGAATATGTTCAAGGTAAGTAACTAAAAATGTACGCTTTTATTGACTAAATGGAAAGCTGGCCTATAATAGTCAAATTGATGAACATTCATAATGAGTTTTTAGAAATTTAGAATTATACACTCATATATATGTATATGTACATATACATACACACACACATATATCTCTATATACCCACATACAGATATATAGATATATGCTGCTTAAGACCTATCACCCTAAACAATCAGGGCAAAAAAAATTCAATATAAAACTATATAAATCAAACAGATTTGTTCCCAAAACATAGCACAAAATGTATACATTTAATATTTCAAGATTTGACACATTAAAAGAAAAAAAACTGCCGACACATTTCAGACAATATACTACAAATAATAAATAAAAGTTTTTTTTTAAAAAAAAAAAAACCTCATATATTCCCTTTAAGTGCTGTGCACTTTCGATTTTTCTAAATGAGACTAACCTTTTCCATGGCAAATAATAGCTGTACATTTTGGTAATGAAAATTATGCTGATAAATACACAAGGCATGTATATATCCACAGTATCTTATTTTTCACAGTTACCAAAAATAAAAATTGCATTCAACTCATATATCTATAAACACTCTGATTCCTCACTGTATGGATTTGGAGGAAGTGGGAGTACAAAGTCTTTTCAACAACCTGGATTTTAAGTTTCTTTCTTCAATGTCTGCCCTCTACATGGACCTTCCAGAATCTTTCTGCAATGTGATCATGCTCTGAGATGATGGCAGAAAGGAAGCATTGGGGTGGGATGAGGCAGGCTGGGCTGGGGCTTCTTTTTCCAGCCAGCTTTAGGAGGGCTGATCGAACCCAGTCTTTTTAATGTTATATTTTAAGGCAGTCTGAATTTCAATCAAATGCCCACACCTCCAGATCCTGAACTATGAAGTCTTCCTTTTTGGAAAGAATATCATTATTGAAAGTGCTGCAAGAGTTGCTTCGTCCGTGGTATAAATCAGCATCTAGCCATAAACCAAATCGTCCCCTGAAAAGGTTAAAAAAAAAAAAAAAGGTAAAAACACTTCTATGTTACATGACACACTATTCTCTCTTGCCCCCATCTTCTTTCCTTTATACTACTGACAGGCAAAATTCTAAACTGCTTATAAAACCAGGATACATTTCCTTTATTTCATTTAAATGACCAGTCTTCCTAAAAGACAAGTGGTAACAGTCTCTCATTAGACACATAAATATTCTATCTTTGATTCTTAGTTAGGCCATTCTGTGTTAGCCTCTGTCCTAATTCATCTAAGCACATGGACTAGCTAAAATAACCTGACACCGAAGTTTTAACTACGTAGGTCAAAACAGACCCACTCAGGTCAGGTGGTAAAATAACAATAAGAAAACAAAAACAAAAAAAACCTTACCCTCCACCACCAAGTTCTAAAGAACTTATGTCTCCATTGATAAAGTATGAATTTTCTCCACTCCACTTAAAGACCTTGGGGAAGAAACACAAAAAAGAAAACAGACATTTTAATCTGGAGAATTAGCAATGAGGAAATATGAAATAGTATCTATATGTAAAAGGGAACCACCTCACCCCATTGACGGAGGAAGTTCCTGACTGCCAGACCTGGCCCACACCAGGATGAGATCTCCCAAGGGGTTACGAAGGAAGGAAGACCTTTCAGACACGTGGTGGCTCTGACCTGCGACTCTCTGGATCCCAGCCTGAGCAGCCCAGAAGGCCAGGGACGCTAAGCAGTTTGCGAGCTACAGTCATAAAGGGCTGACCCAGCCCGGAGTCAGTTCAGGAGAAGTTACAGGACAGCTAGCTGCCCCAATGCCTATCCCCTTCCCCAACTGAGGACACTGTGACATATGGGAGTTGGATATTTCTCCTATCTAGGTACCTTAAAATGAGGGCTGAATGTGTAGAGAAAAGTTTCGCCTGTGCCATAATAGTGGTCACTGAACTTGAAAGGATGAGTTGCATATGCTCCAAAAATCTGTCAAAAGAAAACAGAAATGTTACCTACATTCAAACCTAAATCCCCAAAGCAAGGCTTTCTGGAATATTTTTGATACATCATGTTCTGAGATCTATTTCAGCAAAGATTATTACTAAATTGGCACTCAAACTTAAAAAGACCACCAATAAAAGAATAAACAAATATCCCCAGCTCTAACTGGAACCCAAGTAGCCAGACTTCCTGGTGCACGCAAAATTCATCTGACAAAGCTTAGACAACTTGTTTGTCAAAGGCCAACAATTTGTTCCAATTTTAAAAGATTTCCAAAGTTCACTATGGAGACAAATTTCTGTTATTGAATATACATAACATAATAGAAACATTAAGCCACAAGAAGATACATCTTGCTCACAGAAATGAGTGCTTGGGACAACACAGTCACATCTCTTATGTATTTTATAAGTGGAGTCATGGCTGGGCATTTCCCCAGAGAAAATAAACTTTCCTTTCTTTTGATTTGTAACAATGAGTTATTAATATGCTTATTAAATTAAAATTATATCCTTAAAAATGACTGACTTACTATAGTTTAGTTCAAAGTGACTTTTAAGAAACAAATAACCCCGTAATATCATGGAGTTATTTAGATCATGAATATCATGAAAGGTAACTTAGATGTGTTTAAATCAATGGTTCTTGTACTTTTTCTTATCGGGGGATGGAAGGGGAGCCAAGCTACATGAGGAGTAGTGTTTTCAGAATGTGTACGCCCACTGCCTCAGCATCTCATCCTTCTGTTCACATCCTGATCAGCACTTGCAGGGGTGAGCATATGTATTCTGAAAATGTCCCTAGGTGATTCAGACATTCTTTCTATTTCAAATCCCATTTGAGGAACATTGCTTTAAATGTAGGTTATCTGGAAAATGTCATAGCATTTTTCAAAAATTATTTCAATTAGATCACAATCTCTGTGTGCTGTCTTCTTCACCACTTACACTCAGTTCCTGGCTATACTTGTAACACTAAGTATTAGGTAGAAGGCTAGAAACTCTTTCTAACCAGTATTTTTCATACTTCTTGCTACCAAACCTTTCCCTAGAGCTGCTAAGAACAAAGAAATATAGCACAGTAACAAAACATAAAAAATCCTTTGCCCTTCTTCTGGTAATCTTCCAAAAAAAAGAACCAGAATACAATCAAAATAGGCATCTATTTTTAAAAGCATGGGGTTAAAATATGACAAAATATGACAAATACGTGGAAGAAAATGAGTTCCCTCTCTGATCAGTCAATAAGTTATCTTTACTTTCACACCCTCCATAGAATTTTAAATATTTTCTTTTTTAGCTAAAATTCCACCACCCCCCTCCCTTTTTTTTTTTTTGAGATGGAGTCTTGCTCTGTTGCCCAGGCTGGAGTGCAATGGCATGATCTCAGCCCCTCTGCAACCTCCACCTCCTAGGTTCAAGTGATTCTCCTGCCTCAGCCTCCCGAGTAGCTGGGATTACAGGTGCACACCACTATGTCTGGCTAATTTTTGTACTTTTAGTAGAGACGGGGTTTCACCACGTTGGTCAGGCTGGTCTGGAACTCCTGGCCTCAGGTGATCCACCTGCCTCGGCCTACCAAAGTGCTGGGATTACAGGTGTGAGCCACCACACCTGGCCTTTTAGCTAAAATTTTCTTAGCAATTCTGGAAATGCATTTAAAGACTAAGGGCTGGATGATATTGGGGAATTACTGTTAATTTTGTTAGATCTATTGCATTGTGATTATGAGAAAATGTCTTTTTTTCTATTAATGTATTTAAAAAAATTGTATAAAACAACTTTTATATAATAGTGTTGTTCAGCCTATACCATATAAAAATGTAATACATTTAGCAATAGCAGAACAAAGGAATCCAAGGGAATAGATGAAGAGCAACCCAGAAATGATAAAAGGAAAGTCATATAACAAAACATATAAATGTACATTTGCTCTTCTTCTCTCAACTTCCTTAGCAGACATAAAATTATGTAACATAGTAATCATAACAATCTATTGCTATATTTGTAATATATACAGATATAACATTTATAACATTAGTACCACAAAAAGTTAAAAGATGTAATAGAGCAAAATAGGAGTAACATTTCTATACTTCACTGGAAGTTAGTAATTAGTCTCTATTAATTGCCTGATGATTGTTCTATTGTTGTCAACAATGCCTGGTGGTGTAAATTATTCCACAGTCTGATTCAATTAAATGTAGGTTCCTTTGCATGGATAGTTTCTTTGGCCAGACTATGAAGTTTACCCTGTCTCCAGAAAGGCTCTCCATAGCTGTCTCTTTTCTTGGATCTCTCTGGTAAAGTAGATGGTCTACAGTTTAATTTGTTGCCTTCATGGCTACAGCCTTCTTCTTAACACCAAAATTCTCATTGTTTTCTAGAGTGCCCTTTGGCTTGAACTTCCCCAAGTGTGTCTAAACAAAGTCAGTTCCTTTGGGTAGAGCTTTAGAACTCTATGTCCTGTGGCCTGCCTCTTCCCCTGGGAAAAAAATCTCTAACCCACTGCTCTGAAGCTAGGGACTAGACAGTGACAGCAGCCTCTGGTCTTGGCTTGCCTCATCTGGTGCAAAACTTCTGCCCTGTGAGCTGAAATGAGAGCAGGAGAGACCCCTGTATTCTCAGCCTGCCATGCCTACCGTAGAGCATGGCTCTGTGAGTGGAGGGTGGGTAGAAGAAGAAAGCCCCCTACCTCTAGGCCACACTTGCTTGGATTTTAGCCTCAGAAACACTGATCTTGGGTGGGAGATAAGAAATACAGGGGACCCACAGTGAGAGAGGGTACACCATAACCCTTGACTGGCAGCTGTGGGAAGAGAGTGCCCCATCTTCTTGGCCATACATGCCCAGAGTGGAACCACTGTCAGTCTCAGCGGGGGGTTAGGGAAGGGAGAGAGTTGTGCCTCAAGTGCCACAGAGTCCCACTGTTATAACTGAGATTAATTAGATTTTCTTGAATAAATATTCCCTCACTGGCTTAGAATAATTTCCAGAGACTTTAAGTGATTGTTGTTTTTGTTATTTCTACCAGCTATGGTTCTTTCACTGGGGACTGATTCTGCAGAGCTCCTCATTGCTGCCAGTCTACATATATAATATTTTTATATTAGAATGTCATATAATTCATTTTCAGACACATTTGCAGGTGTTGTTCTATCATGTTCTCAAACACAGCAAAGCCACAGTTTCCCCTTCGGGGTAGATGGGGTGCAGAAAGCAAAGTTAGTGTCTGGTTGTCCTCAAATGACACAAGTGCCTCCAGGGTACATGATTCAGCAAGACTCCACCCAGTGACAAGACTGCAACCTTCAGTTGTAGGCCTCCTTTACAAATCGCACAGGAAGTTTGGTAAAACTGTGCTTCATCAATACCTGTTCTGTGTGAACCATCACATTCCTCAACAAGTGTGATATTTTGGTAAGTAAATAGGACAAATAATCTATACTTAGGTGAGAGTCTGTATGTGTGCTCTAAGATAATATAGCCATACCTCATCCAAAATATAACATCCAATTCTGGAACATTTCACTAAATTCCTAAGTCTCTTTTAAACCAACTGTTATCATTATTTTAATTTTTTTATCTTGACTCTACCCACCTTTCAGCTTGGATCTTTATTAAGCAAAATGTCAGCAATCAGGAAATAACAATAGTAACAATGACAGCTAAATTAATTCCCACAACTCTTAAGCTACAATAATATTACGATAAAGTCACAAAGATCACTGCTAAGAAAGACAGTGTCTTTGGTACCCCCATTTGTTCCCTAATTTTTCCCAAGGCAAATCATGACAGCAAAGTTCTATTTCCTGTAAAATGATCCCATGTATATGGCTCATTACAACGTGGACATGTCTCAGTATAAAAATGTTGTGCTTCACAGTAAGCTCCCCAATGCTTAACAGTGCCTAGCGCCTAACAGGCTCTAATTAGATATTTGCTGAGTGGATGAATAAATGAATGAATGAATGAATAAATGTTGAGTAAAATCTGCTTCAGTGACAGAAAATCTGCTCAATGCTGCATCTTAAAATCTTAGAGGAATTTCTAACAGAACACAGGTCAAACTGAAATGAGCAATGAGCAGATGTGAATGATGTCTTCCTTTCATGATGCAAGAGACTGACAGGAAAGTGACCGAAAAAAACCTGGACAGATTCCACTCCCATTCTGAGCTGACTTACGGGAAGAGATAACAGTGCAGGGACAAGGGGTAATAACTAGTTTTCACTAGTTCCTCCAAGAAAGACCAACTGTAACACAGGCAAAAGTACAATCAAGAACGGTACAGTGTATTCTCTGTGGTTTCTTAACAATTGGGCCCCTCAGGCACAACACACTATGGCCTTGACTGACTCTCCATCACATCCAAAATGCAGGCAAGGTTTGTGGGCACTACTTTGGCTACCTGGGAAAGGCACTGGTATGGCACTGGAACTTATTTCTGCAACTGTTTCCAAATCCAGATCTCACTCCACCCCAACTTTCCAGTTTTTAGGCTGTGGGATATCATTATACTTTTCCACTTCATGGTGATAGAAAAAAGCTCCTTAGAATGTGACTGTATTTGGAAGTATGATCCATTTGCATTTTGGAGATGATCCTGAAATATGTAGGGGTGAAATGCCATAATGATTGGGATTTACTTCAAAATATTTCAGCAGAGAAAAAACAAAGATAAAAGACACAGAAGGCAAAATCCTGTTAACTGTGGAATCTGGGTGATGGAAGTATATGGTACTAGTCTCTCTACTGTTGGGAATTTTGAAAAATTATTAAAAAATATTCTTTATGAGAGGGACAGGCCTCACCTGATTATCCATATCTTTGATGACCAATAGGACAGGACTGTCTAGTGATGCCGATTTCCGGTAGAGCGTCTTTAAGCTGGTCCCGTGCTCTAACGTGCTATAGGCCAGTCTCCATGGATACCCTTGCACCCTTGCAGGAAGGCGTCGGGCCAGCTACAAAGCCAAAGGAAGAGATGTAAACAGAAGGTTCACCCACAAATTGCTCACGAACATGTGGCACAAAACAAATGCCTGTTATTCAAACTCAGTATCATACACTCACATAGTGCCCCTCCTTATTCTGGCAAATATTTGCTATTCTAAACCAAGAAAATGATCATTTGACAGTGTTTACCTTGGCAAGGATACTGGCCAGGAGGTGTCTTCCCATTCAGGGACATGACTATGGAGTCCCTATCCTGCTATATATTTGAAGACACAGATCAAGCTGGATAAAGAGGCATAAACTAGACACATGCCCTTCCTTTCCACTTCAACCTGGCTTTTACCAAACAGTTCATATTTTCCCAATTTTTCTTTCTAAACACTCAGAGGCTCAAAACTGCTACTGAGAGCTGCAGCTTTGCACAGAAGTGAGGGCAAAAAAACAGGGACGTTTAGTGTTAGAAGTCAGGTGTCATCTGTTCTTATTGCACCTATATCTTTTACCTGCATCAATATTTAAACTTGGCCATAAATAACCAATAATGTATATCTCTTCAAGAATATTACCAAAGGAGGCCATGAAGTGCTGAGTCTTCAGAGTGCTTAAAATCAGTTTCAGTGTCAGTGTGAATCCCACACTCTATAATTACTTGGTCAAGCTTCTTGGCTGTCTTGGGTCTTTACTGGTTCCTCAGTAAACTAGGGAGCCAAACTTAATGATTATTTAAGGTCTCTAAAATTCATGTCTCTAAGCTGACTGATGAGGGAAATGCCAGGGATTCCTTACTACAGTTCAAACATAAGTGCATTATAATATTTCATGAATTTCAAGTAAACATTCAGAAACTAAAATACACAAAGAAAATCATAGAAAAAGGAAAAATTGTCCTGTAGGTAGGTATTTTTCATAAAGCAAGTAGAGTGCCTTTGCTGTATTACTTTTATTGAGCCCTATACATCAAAGCTATGGGAACTCTGCAATAATTACAAGGATAAATTTGGATCCTTTTTAAAGCATATTAGGACTATGGTAGGACGCTTAAAATTTTTATTTTTTTAAGATTAGAAATGGCTTTTTCTTCAGGTTTGAGAGAAGGATGTTAGTGTCTGACCAACTCCTCATACTACTAAGAAGTCAGCAGGGAATGCGACTTTTCAGAGGCAGAGCAGGGGGCACTGGCCTTAGTGGGCTGCTGGTGTTCCTCCTTCCTCACAAGCCTCATCCTTCAGCCCAAGTGAGAAGGGCAAATGCATTCAGGGATGGGAATTTTTTTTTTTTTTGAGACAGAGTCTCACTCTGTTGCGCAGGCTGGAATGCAGTGGTGCGATCTTGGCTCACTGCAACCTCCACCTCCCAGGCTCAAGCAATTCTCCTGTCTCAGCCTCCTGAGTAGCTGGGATTAGAGGCATGTGCCATCACGCCCGGCCAATTTTTGTATTTTTAGTAGAGATGGGGTTTTGCCATGTTGTCCAGTCTGGTCTCAAACTCCTGACCTCAAGTGATCCGCCTGCCTTGGCCTCCCAAAGTGTGAGGATTACAGGCATGAGCCACTGTACCTGGCCAAGGGAAATATTTCTTAAAGCCTAGGAACCCCCACCCTTGGTGGCCAGGGCGAGCCCACCTGCTCGATGTGCATATTCTCCAGGAGCGCGCTGTGGGGCCGTAGGACAGGCAGCACCTCTTCGTCCTCGTCTTCATAGTAGCTGCATGTGCTCTTCCTGCGCTTTGCCTCTTCAACAGTGATGATCTGAAATGAGAAAACAAGCCAAGAAAAATAACTTATTGGCTTTTCTTCTAACTGCTAATTTAAAAAATCACTCTAGGGACACCCGTGCTTGAAAAGGTGACGCTTCGGCAGCAGGAAATCAACTGAACAGGACTTTGGGGAAATGGCTAATTTTTCAGTTTCAGAACAAATGCACAATTAAAGACAGTACAATCGAGGCAGTTAATATGTATAAATTAAAGTCACAAGTCACAAGGCTAGACGTGGTGGCTCATGCCTGTATGCCCAGCACTTTGGGAGGCCAAGGCAGGAGGAAGATGGCTTGAGCCCAGGAGTTTGAGACTAGCCTGAGCAACATGATGGGACCCCTATCTCCATATAGAAATAAAATAAATAAATAAATAAAGTCACGAGTTTTCCAGTTTTAGTATAGCTGCTGATTGCTCGGTCACTGAGAATAGTATATAACACCAGAAGATTTCTACCTTTGAAATGCCCTAAATGATTCTCTTTTAGCCTTTAGATTTAGGATCTGAATTGTTAAAGGACTAATCGGAGATCATTCAGTAGGTAAGTCTTCTATAAATAGGGAGTTTGCGGTGATGAGGATAGTTTTTAATCAGGTTCCTGATGTTTTCTCTTAAGGTTGTGCACATAGAAACCACTTCTGTTAGAAATAACGAATGATAACAGCTACCAGGAGCATGAGTACAAAGAAGTGTGAAGCTTTAGTCTAAATTACAACTAGGTTACAATTATTTATGTACTGTTCAGAGATGATAAAAATAGTCTCCCCTTCTAAACCTAGAAACATCATATTGTACAAAACATTTATTATTTAACTCTAGCTATGCTTATGAATTACCAAAGTTCATTTTACTCTAAAATCCATTTTTGGCCCTTCTTAAATTATGGATAAATCACTGGATTACTTTCAGATTGAAGAGTGTATATTAGGCTTCTTGGCCTTTTGTGTAAGATCAAGTGAAGGATTATATTAGACAACTAATTCACCAAAATGTACTAGTATTAATGATTTTATATTATAGAGAAAAACATTTAAGTTAAATCCAGTGCAAGTTGTCAGGCAGTAGTGCACTACTCAATTTCCAAAATGCACAATGACAGATACAAAGTACCCGCTGGCGTCTGAGCCAGATTTACAAGTAAGAAAATTAAGCTTACTAATTTTACCATTTTCTGGGGGAGTGTTTCCGTAGTGAAAACACTATCAAGAATCACAAACCAAGCATTTTAAATGAATGAAATAAAACACTCTGTTTTCAGCAAACTCTGTGTTTATCACAAGTATAAAATGAGGCTGTGGAATGAAAAAAAATCAAATATGGATTTCTGGCTCCAATGAGAAGAGGCAACCACACCATAACCCTCTCCGCAATGAATAAAACACCTGCTGGTAGAAATGTCAGCACAATCCTTTCTAATTAGAACGACTTTCAAAAGAAACTCGGAGGTACATCACTGAGAATTCACCAGCACCTTATTAGCCCTCGGGACGCACTCCAACATACCTTCACAAAAGGCTCTTCGTCAGGTCTGGCACAATAGAAAATCTGGATGTCCAAGGGTAATCTTTGGCCTCTCATTGTGAGCAGTGAG
Source organism: Homo sapiens (assembly GCF_000001405.40). Taxonomy (NCBI): domain Eukaryota; kingdom Metazoa; phylum Chordata; class Mammalia; order Primates; family Hominidae; genus Homo; species Homo sapiens. The sequence goes on along the minus strand of NC_000006.12, from coordinate 125,919,343 downwards.
AAGTGTGGCTCTCTCTCTAATGAGGAACAAGTTTTCTCTCTACTCTGCTTCCACACCACAGTTACTTGTAGCCACGCTGAGCTACAACTGTTTTCTCAGTATCTAGTTTCCTGCATGATTGAGTTTCTGTTTCCCTCAGGAGAAGTTTCAACATTTCTACAGGAACACACCCAAATTAGGATTTAGAGCAAACACACTTCCTGCCAGGCATCGCTGTGAGACTGTAAAAGGACACTTTCACCTTTGAAACGGTGGTTTCCCAACACTATGATAAAACCCCATTGTTCATTTTTTTTCTTTTCCTTCTTATACTTTTTTTCCTAATCGTCCCTCCAGTGAACCTAGCTTTTCTAGCCCTGCCTTTTCAGAGTTTTTTTTCTTTTTTTTTTCTCCCCCGCCCCCAGCACCTTCTTTAAGGCTAAAGCTCCATTTAAAATGGTACGTGTGATCCCTGGTATAAGCTTGAATCTCAAAGGAAGGATGAAAAGGAGCCTTCGGTGGAGGTAGGCTTCATTACAGTTAGAACAAACGGCATTTCACTTCAATACTATGTCATGTTTGTTGGTGGGAGGGACTTAAAAGAATGGGAAAACATCTGGTTTACATGAGGTTGTGAAAGATGTCATCTTACATGTAGTTTTATAAAACAGTTGGCAGAGTAATACTTATCTTTTTACATTTTGGAATTAGTTTTAATGACTAATAAGCAGGATGAGTCCTCCTCTACACTTCAGATCACATGTCAGGAGGTTAGAAAGAAATACAGATCAGCACTGGATCAATTTTCAGTGATATTTCTGTGATTCTTCCAGATCCGAAGTGGCCTTTCAGTCTTGGGCACAGCTGCGGGGATCAGAGTGTATTGTATTGCTCACACTGGGGGTTATAAAGAAGACTCTAGCAGATACTTAGAGACCAGTCCACGGCCAGCAGAACTGACTCTCAATGCAACAGCCTGAGCACAACCTGGGACAGAATGCCAGCAAGACAACACTCTCCTCTGGGCCCCTGGGACTCCAGGACAGCGGACATTTATTATTTCCTATATGATGGTGGGTGCCAGGTGCTTTGCCAGGCACAGAGACATAAAGCTGCTCACAGTCTCCAGCAGGTGAGGAGACAGTAGAGAAACAATTCTAAATAAATGGGTGCCATTCCATGTGATTGTAAAAGGAAAATAAAATCTTGGGATCACAAACTCACTACAAAAAAAGGGAAAATTAAGCTTTGAAACTGAGCCACACAAACAAAAACCATCTTTCCTTTTGTTTCTAAACAGCTGTCTCCCCAGGTGGTCTCCCTCACCTGGACAATGTAAATTAACAGCTTATTTTCACAAGTCGGAAACAAGAGCAGACTAGAAATTGACCTTACTGCTCACCTCCAGACCAATGCATACTGGACTTCTTCCACGACTCTGTTTACTTCATCTTATGTAAAGTGCAGATTTACTGCGCACAAGGCATACATGATTGAGGGTTCCTCTACCCTCTCCTTTGCACATGCAACATTTGGATTCAGTGCACACTAATCAAAGACTCACAAGAAAGTAACCGTTTGTCTCATTTTTTCTACCCTCCTCTTTTCTCCTTCCTCTCCAGCCCACTTTTCCCCCTTTAAATACTGAAGCCCTCAAAACCCTCTTTGGAAAAAGTGCAGGACACAGATCCTACTGTGGCTTGTGTCTCTTTTTCCCTCCCTAACCAGATGCATCCTCAACCTTAGCAAAATAAACCTCTAAATTGATTGAGATCTGTCTCAGGCATTGTTTTTGGTTTATAGGATACAGATGCCAAAATCTACAGCAGACACTCAAAGGAGGTTGGGGTGACCTGGGGGGTTCTGAGATAGCTTATTCACAGAGGAGATGGTGCTTCAGTTTGAGAGCAAGGATAGGGTGTGAGAAGATGTTCCAGGGACAGGGCACAGCAGGAATGCAGAGATGGATTCTGGGTTCACATTGGCTGGAGAAGAGACAGCAAGGAAAGCAGTGATGAGGAAGGTAGATGAGACAGAAAAGGTAGGAGGAGCAGAGAAAAAGAAGAGCCCTGATGCCACGAAGGAGCTTAAAACTTACCCTACAGGTCAGTGTTTCCAAAACATAACTGTTTGGAAATCATCTGGGAGCTTTGAAAAATACAGATTCTAACATTCCTCCCTCCAGACCTACTGAATTAATGTCTCTAGTAATAAGGATCTAGGATTCAGTTTTTTAAAATTCCCAGGTAGTTATTCTAACAGGTGGGTAAGAATCAGCAGAGTCAATAAGGAGGCCACTGAAGCTTTTAAGCACAGAGTATCCAAGCTTGCTTGTATATTTAAATGACAAGTTATACAGCCCCACAGTCCATATGTAAGATCTTTCAACATGATGAAGGAAACATTGGAAATCATTAAATAGTGCTGGAAAAAAATTGACTATTAAAAATATCATCTACCATACATCAAAAAAGCAACTACAGATTGAGTGAAGAGTTTAAATTAGTATTGCAGGGCCACTTATACATGGACACAGATGAATTCAGAACCATGTATTTGTAATGGCACCATTCTCCCTGGTGGACAGGTTCTCTCCAGCAATGCTTGGCTGCCTAGGAGCAGAAAAGTGTGAGGGTGGGTTCATCCAGGATTGCACGCAGGCTAGATGGGTGCAGTAGATGGGAGAGGGGTGGAGGAACTCAGGAGTCCTGGTAAGGATGTGTTTGAATTCATTTACCATCTGTCTAAGCTGGGAAAGAAGAAATGCTAAGTGGGGTTCAAGAGAGCAGCAGAACAGGAAGGAGGGGTAGACCTATTTTTCCTAGTCTCATCTCCCAATTTCCCAGTGCTGCAAGCTTGTTAAGTATTGAGAGCCTATGTTATCCATCATTGTATTTCCAGGGCCCTCGCCTAAAGAAGTACTTGATACATGCTTGCCTGACTGGATGAAGGGAACTGAGGTCTGGCAAACTACAGCTTGTGTATTAGTCCGTTTTCACACTGCTATAAAGATGCTACCTGAAACTGAGTAATTTACAAACAAAAGAGGTTTAATTGGCTCACAGTTCCACATAGCTGGGGAGGCCTTGGGAAACTTACAATCATGGCAGAAGGCAAAGGAGAGGTAAGCACCTTCTTCACAAGGCGGCAGGAGAGCGAGCGAGCGTAGCGGAAACTGCCACTTTTAAAACCATCAGATCTTGTGAGAACTCCCTCACTATCATGAGAACAGCACGGGGAAACTGTCCCCATGATCCAATCACCTCCCACCAGGTGCCTCCCTTGACATTTGGGGATTATAATTATGATATGATTTGCATGGGGACGTGGAGCCAAACTATATCAGCTTGTCAGCCAAAGCCAGTCTACCACCTGTTTTTGTATGGCACTTAAGCTAAGAAAGATTTCATATTTTTTAAGGGATTCAATAAAAATTAATAACAATATTTTGTGACACATAATAACTATGTGAAATGAAACACAGTCATGCTCATTCATTTACATACTATGGTTGCTTCTGTTCTATAATGGCAGCTATGAGTACCTGCAACAGGAACTGTATGGCCTACAAAGCCAAATATATTTATTATCTTGCCCTTTACAAAAAAAAATTTGCTGAGCTCTGAACTAAGGCATGGAGCTATGAGTAAGAATATAAGTAGATTCATCTAGTGTGGTCAGAATGAACTGTGTGCCTGTGTACATAGCGGTGGTGCTGGTGGTGGTGTTTTTTTTCAAACGGAGGAATAAAGTTATTTTCCTCTGTAATTTCATAGGTGCACAGGGACTCTAGTTTCTTACCAGCCTGTTACATGGAATCTGAATGCGAGACTGCTTACTGTACCTTAGGAACTACGACGGTCTAACCCTGCCCAAGTGCTCACCTCCCAGCTCTTGGTTGTTGGCTCACTGAAGAAGTTGTCAATCATGTTCAGTTCTTCCTTCTCCACCACCACAAAGCCTTGCTCTTTGGCATCTTTTCCATAGACATCGGGAGACCACTGAACAAAGAATGTGTACAAATGATCCACCCTGAAAAACACGTTTGTGACAGATGTTAACACCATGTCCACTTTCTTGGCAGGTGCTAGTGTGGACTTCAGTACATAAACCATCTTTTCCCTGCTTGGCAAATCCATTTTACTAATTTGAAAATTTCCCATTATCAAGGTTATCTCTACTTCCATACTCAAAATTAAGAGCCAACAAATAAAGTAAAAGTCCACAGGCACTGCGAAACTGTTAAAACTGTCTTTCAATTTGAGGGAAAGATCAAGAGATGGAATGTAAAACTGAAAAACACAATGAAATATTTATACCAAATATTTTTTCCTCATTGAGTCTTCATTTATTGGATACTTGTATTCATTGAGGAAAAAAATGTAGATCTGAAGCTTTAGCTAGGAACAAAGATAAACAATACTACAACGGGTCTTTATGTAGATCAAAGTACTATTGCATTGTAATTGTAATAAAACATCTTTGACAACTAGAAAGTGTCAGGAATAATACTGGCTACTATTTTAATATTAGAAAGAAATCTAATTTTATTGACGCAGGAATGTTCTTTGCTTCCAACTTCTCTGCTGTCTTATACACATTTACTGAATGAAGTTTCCAAAGTATCTTTCCAGGCTTAATCAATAGAAATATGCCTAGTTCCTGGGAAGAGAATGAGAGCTGTGAAAACTGCAGCTCCTGAAATATCCTCCAAGGTTCATACTATAACCATCACAACAGGAGAAAGGGCAATGAATATAATCAAATGATTCTTAAAGTATCTTCTAATCACTAAATGATAATTTGAATTTGAGGCTACTGTTGGGATAACGTTAACTTATGATTTTTAAAATTTATAATTACATAAAATTGCAATAATATTAATAGGACTAAAACAAAAACAGAAATACCACCGACAATTCTGATATCCTAACAGATCAAACCATTTTTAAGGTTTCTACATTCCTATCTGTTCTTGTCCACAAGTGTACATCGTTTATACAGCTTTCTTTTCATTGCCATCAGAGCCAAGCCATAACTGTTGTATTTAACATTATATACTTTTACCACATTGCTAGTCCTTGTAGTCATGTTTAACAGCTACATTTCATGAAGTTAATAAACCATAATTAGCCTGTATTCCTATGCTGTCAGGATATTTAGTTTGTTTGTATTTCTTTAATTGTATGAATGACGTTACAGTAACTATCCATACAGTGTAGGCCTTTCACTATGGTTCGAATTATTTCCTCAAGATTAGTTCCCAGAAAAGGGATTACTGGGCCAAGGGGCATGATTTTATAGCTTGTGATTCATCCTGCCTAATGGCTCTTGAAAGACTGACTAGTTTGCTGTGACGTCAGCATTGCAGTTTGTGTCTTAAGTTTCATAACAAACTTGCTTATCCTTTTAGTTTATATAAAGTTTTACCTGACTCCATTTGCGTTCCTTTCAGCGTTAAGGGCTTGAACATTTTTCAATATTTTCTTCCTGTCTGTAGCTTTTCTTTTGTGAACTGGATTTCTGTGATATGTGGTATCAGTGTTTTTCTTTTTTTCAATTTGTGGGAGTCTTTATGTAAGGTGGACATTAATAACTATCAAATGTGTTTCCGAGCTGTTGTTTCCCTTTTTATATTAATCATGTCTTTTCCCCCACAGTACAGACTTACCAATTTTCTTATACTTTAAAGGTGTATTTCTTTAGAGAGTTCTCCTTCAAAACATGGACTGTTGTTACCTAAAACAAGGTGTGTATCAGTGTATATGACATGTTACCATTTCTATTACAAAAGTAAATATAGATATTGATAGATACTATGATTGTACATGGGTATGATGGTTATGTTTCAACTTGGTGTGGCCATCCATGGTACGCAGCTTTTGGTCAAACAGCAGCCTTGATGTTGCTATTAAGGTATTTTAAGATGTGATTAACATTTATATCAGTAGACTCTGAGTAGAGCAGATTATGCTCCATAATGTGGGTGGGCCTCATCCAATCAGGTGAAGGCCTTAAGAGAAAATCACAGAGGTCTCTTAAGGAAGAAGGATTCTACCTTCAGACTTTCTTCAGGCTTGATACTGCAATACCCACTCTTTCCCCAGTCTCCAGCCTGACAGCCTGTCCTGAAAATTTCAGACCTGCCAGCCCTTAACAATCACATGAGCCAATTCTTTAAAACAGATCTCTATGTATAATACACACATTTTGGTTCTGTTTCTCTGAAGAACCTTGACTAATGTTATACAATAAACTACTCTGAAAGGCTATAAAAGAAACAGATCCAAATGGTTACTTCCAGGGAATGGAATGGGGTGGGAGAAATACATTTTATATTGTATATATATCTATCTTTAAATTATTTTAATATTTGGAATAGGTAATACATTTATATGATTCAAACATCAAAATTATATTTTAAAAGGCATATAATAAGAAGTTTCCTTCTTACATCCCTGTCTACCCCAAGCCCCATAGGTGACCACTTTATTCACTTCTTATATTTGTAGTGTTTATGTAGATATAAATATGAATATGTATTTTTTGTCTTATTATTATTTGTTGGGAAAAAGCTGAGTGTTGGGAGGGAAACTGAGGCAGGGCTTGCATAGTCCTTTGGAATGTGTCTAGACTTGCTGGCTCCTTGCTTCTAGCCCTCCTAGGCTCCTATTCCTATTATCTCAAGTAGCAGAACATGCTCCATATAAATGCTAAGCCATCACAGCTGTAAATCATGTGCTTAATGCAACGTGCTCTTTTGACCTCCACATTCTCACCACCTGTTTCTTTGTTGGATTACCAATAAATACCGTGGGCCCCCAGAGCTCAGGGCCTTCACAGCCTCCATACAATAGTGATGACACCCTAGTGTCCCACCTTTTTATCTCTCACTGTCTTTTTCTCAATCCTTTGACTCCAATTAGGAGAAGGAAAACGAGTAAATATACATATAGACTCTTAGTATGCTTACCTAGTCCTCCATGCCCACGCAGCAATATGGAGAGAAAGGGAATTCCTAACTTCCGAGGGAACACCTATCAATCATTAGGAAGCCATTAGGCCCCCAAAATTTTCCTTACCTCTGAATCTACTTCCTCCAATCCCTGCCTAAAGATAATTTTATGGGGAAGAGGATCTGCTTGTGTCTCTCCAGGTGACAATCAGGTGCCTGTGTGGGTGCCCACCAAACATCTGAAGATCTATCATGAGCCACAGCATCTAGTGGACCCGCCTGTACAGCACGAATTGAAGGTCTGAAAAGCCTCGATTTGCTTTCTCTATGCCTTCTGTTAATCAGAGAAGGCCTGTTTCTCATTATCAGTAGAAAGTTTTACCTCACGGTAATTAACCAAAGAGGCAGAAACCGAGTTAACGAATGTTTCAGCAACGGCATGCCTCCTAGCTACAACCACAACAAGTTTTTGCTTCTGTTTCAGTAGATTTACTAACGTGGGGGAGAGGGTATGCTTGTGTTTTTGCAGGAGATGAACAAACCGTGTGGATGCCCTCAAGATGTGTACGACCATGGAACGGGAGCATGGATCCCAACCATGGACCGGGTTCCCCCAGTACGAGCCATGAGCCACTTGAATCTGATTGCGAAGATGGAACGAAGACCGACCAGAGTCACGATGCTTAATGGACCAATGCTTTCTGACTCAGCTCCTCTCTACCCTGAATAAAAGAGACCCTAATAATTAGGCAGGAGTATCATTGCCCCTATTCAGCATGAAGAAGTTACAGAAGATGGACCTTCATCCTTCTGCAACCCCTAGGATTAAGGGTCCTCCTGTAAAAGGGAAAGGGGAGGTATGTGGTAAGCATTCAAACCAGAGCGACTCCAGTTTGAATAAGGGCTAAGAAAAATGAAGCTGGATCACCGACTGGCAATAAAGGGCTGCACAGCCTGCAAGTGCCTTGCTCAATTAAAAGAGGCCACCTCTTATGCTAGTAATAATGACAGTAATAATGATAGTTCCTCTTTTACAAAAAAGAGAAGGGAGGCATGTTGCGAAAAAGCTGAGTGGTGGGAGGGAAACTGAGGCAGGGCTTGCATAATGTCCTTTGGAATGTGTCTAGACTTGCTGGCTCCTTGCTTCTAGCCCTCCTAGGCTCCTATTCCCATTATCTCAAGTAGCAGAACATGTTCCATATAAATGCTAAACATCACAGCTGTAAATCATGTGCTTAACGCAATGTGCTCTTTTGACCTCCACATTCTCACCACCTGTTTCTTTGTTGGATTACCAATAAATACCGTGGGCTCCCAGAACTCGGGGCCTTTGCAGCCTCCATACAATAATGATGGTCCTCTGGTGTCCCACCTTTTTCTCTCACTGTCTTTTTCTCAATCCTTTGACTCCGCTGACTTTGTCACCCCCACGACCTGGTGTTGGGTCTGATCACCCCAACATTATTCTTTATCTTGCTTTTTCATTTAATAACATATCCTAGATAGCTTTCCAAACCAGTATATAGACAGCTCCCTCATTCTTTATTTTACAGCTACATAGTACTTTACTAACTGGATTTATTATAGTTACATAGCCATTCTCTGGGTTGTTTTCAAGAGTGTACCATAACGAACAATGCTATGATGAATTAAATTTGCATGTGACTCATTTCACATGTGTACAGGCGAAGCCACAGGACATTCTCAGAAGTAGGATTGCATTGTGAAAGCAACAATTCAACTTGTCATTTTCACATACAACCTCACATTCTGCTGTATAGGGATTATATTATTTTTACCCTCCCACCAGCTATCTCTCTCTCTTCAACCACTGAACTATTTTTGCCGTGTAGAATTAACTTCCCTATTAAAAGTTAACTTAGAAAACATGAAATAAATCATCACTCCAGAGAGGTTTGACAAAGATACAATTATAAATCTTAGTTTTTTCAATACTTAAAAATTTAGTCCATCTTAAATATGTTTTGAAATAGAGTTGAGAATGAACTATGCTTCACTATAACTTTTGGAAAAGGAAATATATATTATGTGCATAGCCACACTGGATAAAATGTATGGGCATAAGTGGTTCCTAATAGGTTGCTGGCTAGCTGACTTGAGAGAAAAAGGCATGCAGTCCCTAATATCTGAGAACTAGCCTGGTACTATCAGCCAGGCCTCAGTGTTACTAAGAGCCGGCTTAGCATTCACAGCTATGCCCGATGTTTTCCTATTTAATATAATTTTCCAGAACATCCACACTAAATAAGGCCATTCTATGACCATGATGAATCACAACAAAAACAAGACAACTTTGTAATCAGAGCTGAACACAAACAACACAAACATTATCCAGCCACAAAAATGACCAAACGTCTCCCTAATTTGGGTAATGAGAATGACTGTGCTTCCTTCCCAATTATAGCATTAGTCTCTCCAGTCTTCCTTCCTTCTAGATAGGATTTAATAAAATACCCAATCTTAAAATTACCCCTACTTCCTGACAGCATCCCATTTAGAGCAAGGCCCTGCTTCCTTGAATCCTCCCTCAAATCACCTAACACAAACCAAAATCCCATAAGTCCTTTCTTTTTTTTTCTGAGACACGGTCTCACTCTGTCACCCAGGCTAGACTGGAGTGGTGCGATCTCGGCTCACTGCAACCTCTGCCTCCCGAGTTCAAGTGATTCTCCTGACTCAGCCTCCTGACTAGGTGAGATTACAGGCATGCGCCACCACTCCCGGCTAATTTTTGTATTTTTTAGTAGAGACGGGGTTTCACCATGTTAGCCAGGATGGTCTCGATCTCCTGACCTCGTGATCCACCCACCTCAGCCTCCCAAAGTGCTGGGATTACAGGCATGAGCCACTCCTTTCTAACATCCTCTGAGGTAACCCATGGTTCCCTATATTGTGTGTGTTCTCCCTCACTGCAACAAGTTAACCTGACTTACTCAATTACAGGTGTGTTCCTGCTGGTCTTTGTCTAGAGGGCATTGCTTCCTTTGACAACACTTCCTGGGCACCCACTGTGTGCCAATGACCCTGCCTTCATGAAGCCTCCCTTCTGGAATGTTAGAGCTGGACACTGGATGGCATTTCATTCAACTGACTTTCCTTAGGTATCAGAGAATGAGGGCTCTGAATGAAAACATCAGGATCACAGCCAGGACTAGATCTCCTGAGGTGGCAATCAGCGTTCTTTCTATCACACTAAAAAGTCCTCCTCTCATTCCACAGTGGTTTCTGAACCATTTCCCAGTTAATTTTCTAGTTACAACACAAGACACATTTTTAAATCACTTTTTGGACCCACTTTCCATTAGGCACTACTCATTTTTCCTCTAACATTTTACTCTACTTTGGGAAAGTCTTTGGACAATCATAGACACCGAGTGAAAAAGGAAATGTTCTGAGAATGCTGAGTTCATGCAATCAAATATTCTTGTGCAAGACTGCAAGGGAATGAAGAATCAATCACAGATTTGGAGTTAAGCTTTCATTTCTTCTTAGACATTGCAAGAAAACGTAAAGTGTGAAAAGTGCAGGTCAATTAAGATTTTAGGGAGAGAAACTATCTTAGCAATTGCTAGTCATTTCCCTTTCTGGTGACAAAAACATCAAGTTGCTCAGGGACATGATTATATTGTCCTGTTTAATTATGCAGATATAAGTAGGACTTAGTATTCTGGAGAGAGGTATGACTGAGTACACCCTGTTTGATGAAGACCACTCATCATTCCTACAACCCATCGGGAAGGTGGATGGGGTAGTAGGTCAGGGAGAAGGAAGATTTATATAAAGTCTGTAGGATTTCCTGAGGAGGAATCAAACGCCTAATACCATCTCTTTTGAAGATCTCAATATTATTAGAGCTTCTCTGATGAATTAGGGTGGTCCTAGAAAGTCAACAGAAAAAGACAACATCCCTTTCTCTATTCCATTGTTCCTGAAGGGAAACTCTCCAAAGGGGTTAGAGAAGTGGTCGGGTCTTGCCATAACCATTTTAGGAGCAGACAAATTGAGGCATGGTGTGCTACTGATTCTGAAACTTAGATCAAGCCCCCTGCCACTGTGGGCATGTTATGGAAGGAAATGGCTGCATGTGCATATGTGTGTGTTTCTTAGGTTTAACAAGAAGATGTGAGATGGAGTGTACTGGGGTGTCAATTTTGGCATAAAGCATTCTTACCTGCTGGTGCCATTTTCTCTAGAAGAAATATCTCAGCCTAGGACAGGAATCTGGGGTGACCAGGTAAGGGGGCATATCCCAAGCCTACTCTTTTGGAACTGCTGGGTTTTCTGTGAGTAGTAAATCTAGGCTCTGGGTTTGCTTGTTCCCAGAGTGGACTATTTTGCAGCAGCCATGGCCAGCCCTTTAAACTGAGTAAGCACAGGCTTTCTTGGGACTTACCACTGGAGGAAGGTTTCTAGAGAAAAGGAAAAAGCACTTTCAATATATCACACAATAGAGGCTTAGAGTCGTAAACACTTAACATTAAGCAGAAAAGCAACCTTATGTTTTAACCAATGCTGGTAAAATATACCATCTACCTAAAAAGAAAAGCTGTGATTTCCTGCCTCAAGGACCTTACATTGTACAGTAACTCTATGAGGCATGTATTACTGTGCCAAATTTAAAGTTAAGGAAATTGAGAGTTGGTAAGACTCAATAATGTGCCCAAACACCCCATCCCCAGGAACGTTCCAGTAATTCTAAGCTGTTCCCCAACCCCCGCTTTTTTAAAATAAATGCTAAGTCCAAGGAGGTGGGGAACATTTTAGTATCTGTCCATAGTCAGATCTCATGTCATAGTATGGGCCAACTACTTCCTTGGCTTTAGGTTTCATTAATAAATCTAAAGGAGTATTAGTGAGATGTCCCGAGTGGCCCTTAGGGCACATGCAGCTCAGTCCCTGTTATTCCCGCTCCTGCACCTTCCGCTGATGAGGGACTCACAGCACCACCGGAGCCAGCCCGTCAGTGCTGTGCTCTGTGTTTGGGGAGTGTGAAGGGGAAGCCGCCCTGAATGCTTCCCCCATCGCTCAGGTGGTACCCTCTGTCTCTGCAGTCACTAGAGTCGCCCAAACCTTGGGCAGCCTCAGCGGAGGTGAGATGGGAAACCTCAAAGGTACATCTGCAATGGGGCACTCTGCCAGCAAATGCTTGTTCTTCTTTCCTCTGAGATGTTCAGGGCACTGGCAGACTCCTATTTCCCTCAACAGTAGCCTCCCGCATAATATCCCCTCATTCTCTCACGTAGACAGGGCCCTCATGCTATGCCTCTGAGGGAAGAGGAGGAGGAATGAAGAAGGGACATGGCCTGTCCCACAAGAGGATATTAAGATTCATGTAGAATCAATTTGCTTACTTAAGTTCTAAGTCCTCTGGAGACGAGGTGGAAGGAGTCAATGTCCCTCTTCCCAGCAATCCTTCCGCTCAATTCTCTATCTTTTGTTTAGGTTATTTTTACAATTTACCTGGGGGAGAGGATATGACTTCATAGTTTTTCCTTCTAGGTTAGGGTTGCCTTGTTTATTTAACCTAATTATTGGAATGTTCTTTTCATTCACTGGGTTTTCCTAGTGGGTCATTTCCCAGAACTCAACTCTGCCCTCTGGAAACAGACCTCAAGCTCTGAAATTCCCCTTCTGATCCCTCTGCCTTCCATCTAAACCACATCTTTCTCCTGGCTATACCAGCTATGCTCCCGCCCTGACCCCTCTTCCTCCTCTCTCCCCAGTCTTCAGCCTCTTCTGGGTTCATATACTTTAGGATCTCTCTTTCAGGCTCACCCTCACCAGTGCCCCCTAGAGGTAGGCCTACAGCAGCGATCCTTCTGCACCTGCCCTTCCAAACTTCCCACAGAAACAAACACAATAATCTTTCCAGCTCTTCTCTTGGGATGATGAATGTAGCTAGGTTTGCTTATTTGGGCTTAATGGGTCCACTACAAAGGCAGCTAATCTTGGCTAGGAAAAACCCTCTCCTGGTGCAGCTCCGTACTCACCTGTAGCTTTTTTTCTTTCCTACTCTACACAGTACATATTTAGCCTCTATTTTTTCAAGCTCACCCCACTCTCCTACCTGCCTCCTCTCGGAATGGAAGATTCTCTATTGTACTGTTCTTAAAATGTGTTCCCTCTGCCATCCCTCTTAGCACTCTTTTTCTTCAAAAGGAGTAACTGCTCTTTGACCTGTTTTAACCCTCCTCTCTGTACTTTTAAGGGTCCCACTCCCTGGTGAATTTCCTCTATTATTTCCACCACCCCACCTTGCGACCTTTCCATTCCCCTATCTCCTTCATCTGGATCCATAAATTCCATGCTTGTAATCCCAGGACTTTGGGAAGCCGAGGTGGGAGGACTGCTTGAGGCCAGGAGTTTGAGACCACCCTGGCCAATACGGTGAAACCCCATCTCTACTAAAAATACGAAAATTAGCCAGGTGTAGTGGTGCACACCTGTAAAATCCCAGCTACTCGGGTGGCTGAGGCACAAGAATTTCTTGAACCCAGGAGGCGGAGGTTGTAGTCAGTCGAGATCATGCCACTGCACTCCAGCCTGGGCGACAAAGCAAGACTCTGTCTCCAAAAAATAAAAATAGTAAAAATAAATAAATAATTTTAAAAAAGGGTTCGGATTTTATTTATTCCCAAAGTCCCTCCCACACCTCACTTTCCCTTTAGAGTGTATTGTTGACAACTGGGCTGGCAGATTTCCCAATTTCTTTTCATTCCTGAACTCTTCTATTCTGATTTTGTTCACCTTTCTGTATATGCCCTTTGTTAAATCGAACCTGGCTCCGGTATTTTCTGGAAGGTGGCAGGTTTTAAAATCTTATTCCTGACTGGGTGCGGTGGCTCACGCCTGTAATCCCAGCACTTCGGGAGGCCGAAGCAGGCAGATCATTTGAGGTCAGGAGTTCTAGACCAGCCTGGCCAACATGGTGAAACCCCATCTCTTCTAAAAATACAAAAATTAGCTGGGCATGGTGGCATTACAGGGGTCTGTAATCCCAGCTACTTGGGAGGCTGAGGCAGAAGAATCACTTGAACCCCGGAGGCATAGGTTGCAATGAGCCGAGATCGCACCGCTGCACTCCAGCCTGGGCGACAAGAGTGAAACTCTGTCTCAAAAAAAAAAAAAAAAAAAATCTTATTCCTTCCCTCACCACTCTAGTGAAGCTGATCTTCTCAAAGATCATCCACTGTAAACATCAGCAGTATCTCAGTCATCACCCGTTTTAACCTTGGCAGGTCTGTCAATGGCTTTTTGGAAACTCTCTGTGACTCACGCTGTGGTCTGGATGAACCACTGAGCTTCTCTGGGCTTCCACTACCTCAGGACACTAAGCAGGGCTGATGGATGAGTGAACAGAATTACTAGTAATTACTCACCCTGGCTGCTACCTGCTGCTGAAGCAGTGGGTGTGTGGTAACACCCATGAACAGAGAACTGGGTCAAGTACTGGGTCCCAAGAAACCACTAATATTTAAGGAGAAAGCAGAGCCGTCCTAGCACAAGGCCAAGAAGAAACAGCAGACAGGCAAAATCGAGCTCATAAAATGCAAACCTGAGCATTTCACCTAACTGCCTGTAATGTTTTCCCAATGTCTCCTCATAGGTTTTGGGATAAATGTGACCTCTTTGGGGCTGCCTGGGAGCTTTGTTTTGCACCAGTCTCCAAAATGCAGCCAGTGTCCATTCTGGCTCTGTGCTCACACTATTGCTTTCTTTTTAAATTAAGAATCATGGCAAAGGTAAGCCCAGTGAAGTGTCTAAGGCTGGGGTAGGGGAAGGCTTCCCAGGGGCCATGGTTAAACTGGGTGTTGAGGGAGGCAGAAGAGTCCATTACAGTAGGAAGGAGAAACAGCATTCTACTGGAGGGAACCCATGCAAAGACATGGCATTGGAAGACCAGGGGGATGCTGCAGTGAGGTCAAAGTGGACATGGCAGAGCAAAAGGAGGACAATGCCATCAGATCACTGGTGATTTCTGACAAAGAATTCTGTAAAAAGGACAGAGATGCAGGATACCCAGGCCCTGCCTCAAGGTGCTCAGGTGGTGGAGAGTAAACAAAAAAATGTTAGCACAGTGCCAACACAACAGCTGAGGGGCATCGGAGCTGGGATGTTGGTGTTGAATAGGAACTCAAGAGGCAGGGAAGGAATTCCTGAGAGGAGGAATAAAAGAACAAGACTTACCATTTGCTTAATGGAAAGGTAGGAGATAAGAAGAAAGAAGACAGAGCAGGTGGGTCACTAGGTCACAGAAAGTCCCAAGCATAAGATAAAATACTTGGAACTCAGCCTGTGGCCACTGTTTCCTGAAGTGTGGTGGGGCAGTCCCAGTGACTTCAGAGGGTATGCAGAAGAACATATTTTAATACTTACATATGTACTTAAAGGGTAGTGGCTCATGCCTGTAATCCCAGCACTTTGGGAGGCTGAGGTGGGCAGTTCATGAGGTCAAGAGTTCGAGACCAGCCTGTCCAATATGGTGAAACCCTGTATCTACTAAAATTAGAAAAAAATTAGTTGGGCATGATGGCACACACCTGTAATCCCAGCTACTTGGGAGGCTGAGGCAGAAGAATTGCTTGAACCCAGGAGGTGGAGGTTGCAGTGAGCTGAGATCATGCCACTACACTCCAGCCTGGGTGACAGAGCAAGATTCTATCTCAAAAAAAAAAAAAAGAAGGTAGTAAAAATAAGTACTACTAGCATATTATTTTTCTGATTTCACAGATATTGCTATTTAGGAAAAGACTAAGTAAAAAAAATTACTATTTAAATCCTTTAAAGACAACCATTAAGTAAACAGTAGTATAGATGGTAGGCAGATCTAGGGATATTTGTGAGGGAGGGAATGTATGTGAATAGCTGAAGCTGCCATAGGAAACCACAGGCACAGGGAGGCCATGCGTTCATAGCTTTAGCAGGAAGAGACATGGACAAATCTGTGCTTGAGAAGGACTGCTGTGGAGCCAAGTAGGGAAGGCCAGGAAGAGACAGGATCAACTAGAAATAAAGGCCTTGTTGCTATGGCTGCAATGGTGATCCAGGCAGGAGATGGTCAAGGCCAGACCCCAGGTGTGGCAGAGGGCATGGGAAGAAACCTGCCATACATGCTCTGCCAGGCACAAAATCAACCCATCTAAAATCTGGCCCTCACCTTTGTTTAGGTTTTCTGTTTAATTACAAATTTGGCCTTAATCAGATTTCTTCATACACCTCAAAGGTCTTTATCTTCAATACAAGGCTCCTTTAGGGATTTATCCCAAAGGAGACACCATATTCAAATTACAAATCCCTGTTTAGCAGATAGAGTTGTCATCTCTAAAGAAGAAATTCAAAGAAGGTAAATGATAGTTTCTTGGAAGGCAGCACCTAACTCAGGCAACAAAGCACAACAGATTGAAGGAGAGGTAATAGCAGCAGCAGCAGCAACTAATTTTCATTTAATACATGGGCATGCTAATTTATTCTCATTATAATCCCGTGAGGTAGGCACTATTATGATCATTCCTATTTAATGCATGAGAAACAGATGCTTACATAGATTAAGTCACCCAAGGTCACATAGCATTTTAGGGGTGGACCTGGGACGAACACAAGGTCAGTTCATGGTCTTAAACAATATGCTTTACTGTTTCTTTTAGGGTCACTTCCACTGTCCTGGTTTTGCTAGTTCATAAAAGCCTGTCACTGACAAAGCTCCAGGGCTTAAGGATTGAAAATCTGATGAAAAATTGGAGAGTTGATGCTTGAAACAAACCATATATCTACCTACCATTCATGCCTTAGGTGTATGGACTTTAGGTAAAATTACAATCTAGTTTATTGAACAAGATTCACTACTAGTTACGGTAGGATTTAATTTACTGTTGCTTCCCTTCCATCCCCACTTTAAAAAAAAAAAAAACATGGCTATGAGTTAAAGTTTAAAAACCATACATTTCTAAGTCAAACACTTGAATTCCCAAGTTGGTTCCGCCTGTTACTAGCTGGAGGTTTTGGGAAAGTTCCTTAACCTCTCTGAGCTTCCAAAATGAAGATAAGAAAACTTAGCCCACCCTATCAGTGTTTGGATTATTAAATACGCAAGGAAGTTCATTCTACTTTTGGACAGATCTTTTAGAAAGTCTCTTCTACATGAGGATCTAAAATCTTGCTGATATAGACAGGAGGCAGAGAAATACTAGGTAAAAAAGGGTGGGGTCTCTGCAAGGGTTCCACCCTCAAGCCTGGACCTGTGGCCCTAAATGAGAACTTCACATCCCCGTTTTTCCCCCCAAATGTTACTTTTTGGCCTGCCACACCCCCTACCCTGCACCCATAAAAACCACAAGCTCCACTGGCAGAGAAGCAGAGTGGCTCAGCAGAGGAAAGATGAGAAGAAGCGCCTGAATGCTGAGAGGAAAAGAGGCAGCTGGACATTGGAGAATACAGTCAGAGAGAAGTTTGGTCGGGGACGGTCGGAGGAGTTCAGCCAGGTCTGGCCAAACTCCAGGGGAAGACTATCTTCCCACTCCATCTCCTTTCCAGCTCCCCATCCCACTGAAAGCCACTTCTACTGCTCAATCAAATCTCCACATTCACCATCCTTCAAGGCCATGGGACCTGATTTCTTCCTGGATGCTGGACAAGAACCCGGGTACCAAGAGGGCAGGGTGAAAAGGGCTATCACCCTGACTCTCCACTAAGCTGGTTTAACACTTAGTCATCCATGGATGGCAAATGCTAAAAGAGCACTGTTTGTAACCTATGACCTCTGGGGCTCCAGTGGTCGTGGGCAACCCCTAGACGCTACTATGGGCTGGTACAGGGTTCATTCCCACTGGTGCCCAAAGGCACCCGCCCCAGCTCCTGTACCCACTCACCTGCGTGCTCCCCCTCCTGCAAGGGGTTTCAGTGCAGCAGCTGAGTAAAGGTGATATCCCTGTTGCAAGTCCCACAAAGGGGTCAAGGGAACTCTCTCATCTCATTGCCATTTACATTGTTGTAAACCAACAAACGTACTCAAAATAACCCAGAACAGTTAAGGAATTATTGCCCTATCAAAAGCTGCATGACTGGTAGGAAAAGGAACTGGGGGCACACACAGCAAAATATAATCCCGAAACTCACTTGACTTAAAACTGATAAGCAGGAACCATTAAACAATTTAATAGCTATTACATTAAAAACATACTTCAGAGTATATTATGGCACAGAGAATGGGAAATACTGAAAGAGGACATGTAAAGAAAGGAAAGAAGAATGTGCCCTAGAAAGTACTGAAACGCATATGCATGCAGTTTCGTTGGTCACTTGTATTGTCCATCATAAATTATTCAAATGCATGTCTGTCTAAAACTTCTGGGGGTTCCATTCTGAAAACAGCTACAGAAGCCCAGTAGGGCAAAGCAGTTTTCACCACAGAGGTTGCTGCTAGAAAACGACTGCCTTTAAAAATCCAGTCCTAATGGCCTGGCTGGAAATTCTCATGTGAAAAAGGTAATTTTCCTTGCACTGTAGGGCCTCTTCCAGTTTCAGTATTCTAAAACTCCAAATTAAATCAATGGTTAGTAATACCCAGGTATAATGTCCATTTTTAAAGGGTCTTAGTGTGTCTATAAAAAAAAAACAACTTTATTTATTTACAAACCAACTACTCTTCTTTGAATCTAATGTACAACAATGTGACTATAATTAACAATGCATTGTAGACAGGTCCTTTTTTGCTAACGAGTGTTCTTACCACACATACCAAAAAAGAAGAAAATGGCAACTAACTGTGTGGTAATGAGGATGTTTAATTAGCTCCATTGTGATGTATATTTCACAATGTACACATACATGAAATCATCAGGTTGAACATCTCAAAAATACATAATTTTAAGTTGTCAACTCTATCTCAATAAAGCTGGAAAGAAAAATACTCTTTGGTTCACCAAAAATAATAGGAACGCTCTGTTGAGAAAGCTCAAAACAGCAGTTGTGGTTATAAAAAGGATTACTTGAAAATGAATAAAAACGTAAAAGTTTATATTAATATCAATGCCAGAGGCCTCAGGCTGGCAGCCCATAGCGTGGATTCAGAAGTAAATATGTTTTCTTTGCTCTGCTCACTATCTTTAAAATTAAACAGTGGACAATACTTAACAACTGGGGAGATTTAATATATTTAATCGATATTTCGGCTTCCTTTTTGAAAAAGATGAGAAGATGTAGCAACACCCCAGGCCTGTGTTCCCATTCCCACCTAGCTACAGAGGTCCACAGCCCCTACTGGTAGAGAAGGAGCTCTATAATTAACCCTGGCCTCATGCTTCCTTTACCCCCATTCCACAGCCCCTGCAGGCATTTAGGTTTGCAATCATTACTGTTTCTGCATACTTACTCCCAAACACTGTGTGCAGCACCCATTGGCAGGGATTAGTCTGCAGTGGAAATGGACCCTCAGCTATTCTCCAAAGCTACTTGTCTCCAAGCTTGCTCCGCCACCAGAAAGCACTGTGAAGAGCTCACTTACAAAGAAGATTATTTTTTCATGAGCTTACGTCTGACTGTAGAGTGAATGATTAACTCAAGGTATTTGCCAAAGCTGGTTACTGAAGTTACTGGGGGGTGGTTGCCTAAGAGGGTGTTTTTGGAGGGTAATGAATTTCTGGAATTTTCAGTTGATGAAAAAAAGGTAAAATAATCAGGAAGGGAGAGCAAGCAGTGTCACTTTAAAACATAAAATAATCAATAATTACATATTTGTTTAGGGGTTTTCCAAAATTCATACTAAATAGGAAGACAAGAAGACAATTCTTTCAGGGATGTTTTGGAGATCTTGTTTGGGTTTTTTCTTTACTAGTGACTTTCAACTTAAAGAATCATCATAAAATTACAGTATAACACATTGGTAAGTGGTACTTACGAATCACAGGGTTTGTATTCTGATATATACCTGGTATGGCTGAGTAGGACCTCAGTTGTTCCAGCAAGTACAGTACTAAAAAATGTTCAAGATTATGGTCTTCTTGGCACCAGGAGGCATTAAAGATTCCAGGTTAGCTGTGATCCCAGTAGAAGCAAGGTGACTTTTGATCAGAAAATTCCACATTAACTATGGTTAAAGATTTCATGCTAGAAAACTAGGTCAGTTTGTAATTCCTTTAATTCATCCCTTATTTCTAAGAAAAGGTGCTGTTAAGAGCATTTTGCTGTCTTCATGAAGGTCCTTAGGATTTGAACATCTTTCCATTGTAAAACAAGTTTAATAGGGAATCAATTTTATTTTTTATGATTCTCATTATAAAATAATTCATGCTCACTAAATGCATGTGAATAGAATATTTAATGGCAGAAAAATACACATTTTTAAGGAAAAGCAATTTACATATACTATATATGTATGATCTATATAGTATTATTACATTAATCCATGCATTGAAAGAAAGGCTAAAAGGCTATACAGATAAAATGAATTGTAGTTAGTTCTCTGTAACAAAACTATGAGATTTCAATTTTCTTCTTTTTGCTTTTCTGTATTTTCTAAATATTAGTCTGTATAATTTTAATTATAAGAAATAACAAATACATTTTTTATTTATTAGATTATAAGCTCATTTATTCATGAACCCATCCAACTAATGTTTAGGAATATGTATTATAGGCTGGGCACAATGGCTCATACCTGTAATCCTAGCACTTTTATGAAGGGTTTTTAAAAATACAGAAGGGGTTTAGACATGAGTCCTGAAGGCTTAAGATATTTTTGTGGGAATGAAACAAGATCAGAATAGTTTTTTTTTAGAAGATTATCATAGACATATGGTACAAAATAGGTTTTAAGAAGAGGAACTAAAGAATAGGAAATTGTTATTTTCAAGTACTACATTCACAATCAGAGTAGCACAAAGTCAAGAAGGGCATCAATTTGTTGCCCAATCTGCTCTCTTAATGCTCTCTGATTTAGCTCTGGGCAAACTGATAGCTGAGGTAGTGGGTTAATTTCTTTGATATTCCTCTTTGAGTTTTTAAGAGTAGAAATTCTCCTTGGGATGATGAAGATAACATGGGATGATCTTTGTAAAAATATGTGCTCAACCAGAATAATCTGATGCTTTTATAATGTTGCAATTCAGGCACCTGAATGACATCAGGGTCCAATGAAGCTTAGCACCCATAGTTTTAAAAATGAGTAAGATTTCAGATGGATGGCACATCATGAAAAGCTCAGTACTCATGACTTTCAGGCTTTGCTCTAAATGTTCCAGAACCAAGAGTGAATAGTTTAGAAAAAGAAAAAGAAGATAGAAAGAGAGTTGAAAAATCCTGACTATGATCGGTCATCAACTAGTCACTCCTAACAATAAAATATAGCTTTTGTGGCCAAAATGTTACTACATGGTCTTAGTATGTATGGATGCTACTACTCAACATGTCAAAAAGGGGCTGGGCATGGTGGCTCATGTCTGTAATCCCAGCACTTCGGGAGGCCGAGGCAGGCGGATCACTTGAAATCAGAAGTATGAGACCAGCCTGGCTAAAATGGTGAAACCCTGTCTCTACTAAAATGCAAAAATTAACCAGGCATGGTGGCAGGTGCCTGTAATGCCAGCTACTTGGGAGGCTGGGGCAGGAGAATTGCTTGAAGCCAGGAGACGGAGGCTGCAGTGAGCCGAGATCATGCCATTGCACTCCAGCCTGGGTGACAAGAGCAAAATGCCATCTCAAAAAAAAAATGTGAAAAGGGAAATACATCCCAATTTGCATTTACTATAGTAAAGAATTTAAAGCCAACAGAGAGATTGAACTAACATGTCTTTAAATATATATTGATATGAAAGTAATCTCATAAAATCAAAATGTGATTAGAGATAAAGTAAAAATTAACTGTGTGCTATTATGCCAATTCCAGGAAAAATAATAGAGAATAGAAAATAAAACTAAGAAATCCTTAAAGAAGCCTATTTAAGGAATAAAAACTATGAGCTTAAGGCTCTGCTCTACACAGAGCTAAGAACTAAGTATGAAACATATTTAACTATGAAACATCTATTTTCTAACCCATTGCTTGTTCATGGGACTAGCTTTCCATTGAATATCCTGGGGGAAATGTTGACTTAAAGAAAAGGTACCATTTCTTAAAAAGGGGCCTTGAGCTCTTGGTTCTACTCTTTGGTCCAGGCAACCATGGAGAACTCTGGGTGATGAACTATACTACAGGAAATACTACTGTTAGTCTCAAATTGGACTATCAGGTATATACACGCAACATAGATTATACCTTTTAAACTGACAGATACCTGTGTGCGCATGTATACGTTACTCATTTTTATTGTGAAAGCACAAAAATCCCAAATATTATAATGAGATAGTGAGACTTTGAATTATGCTTGACATTATGTAATAACTTATCATGCTTTCTAAAACAGAATCAATTTAACTTATACATAATGAGTTTATCCTAAATACGTGTGCAAACACAAAACATAACTGTCTATTGAGTATAAATGAGTTTGCTGATCCTAAATAGAAGCCAATTAGAGAAACAGCACTTTAGAATACTTTTTAACAAATAAATGTATTATACATTTTTATATTAAGGTATAAATAATCTTTTTATTTTTATTTTTGGAGACAGGGTCTTGCTCTTTTGTCAAGGTTGGAGTGCGGAGGCGTGATTTTAGCTCACTGCAGCCTCAGCATCTCGGGCTCAAGTGATCTTCCCACTTCAGCCTCTTGAGTAGCTGGGAACTACAGGTGTGTGCCACCATCCAGCTAATTTTTGTATTTTTTTGTAGAGATGTGATTTCACCATGTTGCCCAGGCTTGTCTTGAACTGCTGAGCTCAAGCAATCTGTCCACCTTGGCCTCCCAAAAGTGCTGGGATTACAGGCATGACGTACCACGCCCAGCCATAAAATCTATTTATTAAAGGAATCACACAGAACCAAAACTCTCCGGCCTCAATTGGCCTTACCTTATATCAAACAGATGTTATATAAAAAGTGCTCACTCACCTTTAAAATAAAACATTTTATAGCTACATTTGTTTCTTTATTCATCTACTGACTTAGATATAAAGAATCATAACACTCAGTGTTCCAAGCATCTGGAGAAAAGGATACTCTTATGCTGGTGGGTGTATATATGGTCACACACTTTCATGTGCAACATGTATTTAAAGCCTTAAACATATTCTTGGATTTCATAAGACTCCCTGAAGGATTTTACAGATACTTTTAATGTAACATTGCTTATAATGGCCAAAAATTCAAAAGAACCTAATATCCAAAGTAAGTACATGATTAAATCAATCAGAAAACATAATGGTGTGCTAACTGCATTATATATATATATGTATTATGTATATGTATTATGTATATATATGTATTATATAATATATATATATTTTATATATATATACACACACAGACACACACACACACACACACACACATATATACATATATGAACTAACATAGCATATGATATGGTTGAGATCTGTGACCCTGCCATATCTCATGTCGAAATGTAATCCCCAGTGTTGGAGGTGAGGGTTGGTGGGAGGTGTTTGGGTCGTGGGGGCAGATCCCTCATTGCTTGGTGCTGTCCTTGCTGTAGTGGGTTCTCCCGAGATCTGGGTGCTTAAAAGTGTGTAGCAACTCCGCCCACTCTCTCTCTTTTCCACTCCTGCCATGTGAGAAGCCTGCACTGTCTTTGTCTTCTGCCTTGGTGTTGTAAGCTTCCTGAGGCCTCAACAGAAGCAGAGATGGCCAGCACTATGCTTCCTGCACAGCCTGCAGAACTGTGTGCCAGTTAAACCTTTGTTTCTCGTCAATTAACCAGTCACAGGTATTTCTTTATAGCAACCCAAGAATGGCCTAACGCAGCACATGATGTGGAAAATGTACACAGGATATTAAGTGGGAAAAAAGCCAATTGCAAAATAGATTTTTTCCCCATCTCCTTTTGGCTTATCTGTATGTTCAAGTGTTACTAAAGTTATCTCAGCATAATTTTTTTTCAAGTTAAACAAAAATAAAAATTTAAACCCCATGAGCTTTCCTTCTCCTTCTCTCCCTTCGCTTTCTTATTAGTTTACTTATTATACAAATCACACTAACCAACTTAAAAAGTTTGGATTAAACATTTATGCATGGCTTGAGAAACTCTACATAATTCCTGCTACTTAACACTATTTCCATCTTATTTATTTTAAAAGCTGGATAATATAGAATTATTATAAAACATTTCAGAGATTAAAAGGCTATAAATAATTGGAAAAAAGAGAAAAGTTTTACTTTAGAGAAGAATTATTGGTTCTTTCTAATCAAGGACAATCTGTCAGCATTAAGAAAGGGAAGGGGGGAAAAAGACAATTGAGGTTTTTAAAATATAAAACAGTATCCAAATTCACGGAATATTATATCTCTACAAAGTGTTAAGAAGTATCTTCAATCACTTTTCATAAGGTTCTCAGGATAGGGTCCCAGTCTTATTTACTTAAAACTAGGTAAATAAGTGCCTGCCAGGAAGTATGCACCAAATAATTATTTGTTCAAATATGATCTAATTACTTAATGCTTACAATCATCTACATTTTTAAATTTTTAAATATTTTAACCCATTTCCCATTTAGGAAAAAAAAAAAAAAGTACAGCTTGCTGCCAGCACAGTATTCTTGGTGCAAATGGGAAATCGGTTAATACAGTCCAAATCAGTGTGTCTGGTTCATTTCAGCTCCTTCACTGCCAAACCAGGGGTCAAGGACTGCTTTAGCTTTTCTGCCTTCTCCTTGTCTGTGATGATGAATGTGTAAGGTATCCTCTGCATTGAACTTTAAACTTCACGTTGTCCTTATTGATCTATTTTTTAAATTAAGAAATTATGGTACAAGGAGATAAAGTATCTCATTCAAAGGCCCATACTTCTGGGGATTCCCATTCACATCTGCCTGGTTCTGGGGCTCATTATTTCAGCCCAAGACTCCACACCTCTTCTAGGGAAGGGGACAGTAGTGAAATCTCTAAATTATTTAGCTATTGTGGCTTTCAACCCCACTTTCAGAATGGTACAGAGGCCCGAGTCTAGTACGCGACCAGTGGTTCTCAATGTGAAGTGATTTTGTCCTCCAGAGGACATTTTGGCAATGTCTGGAGATACTTTGGTTTACCACAACTGGGGAGATGCTATTAGCAGATAGTGGGAAGAGGCCATGGAGGTTGCTAAACATACAATTCACCCCCACCCACCCCCTCCAACAACAAACTACGTAGTCCAAAATGTCAATAGTGTTAAGGTTGAGAAATTTTGTACTAGATGATTAAAATATGGTGGAACATTGTCCTTATGTTTAAACTAGCACCAAGAGTGAAAGCAGGAGGAGCCAGCACCTCCCAGGTTTATAAGTAGAGTTGTGGAAACTGCAGATCTCCCCAGCACACCACTATTATCTTCAGCTGTCTCAAGAGAATGACCTGATTTTGCAAGCTGCACTGGAGACAGGGAGGACATAAGGTTGACGAGTATTTAATTCTCAGTGAACCTGAGTATGTTTCAAGTCGTAGTGTACAGGTGTGCAAGAAGAAACTGCTGGCTTTCCTGGATTCATGGAGGTCTTAGATCTGACAACTTCTACCAAGGTAAATAAAACTATTACGTATTTAGGCAGTTTTTAACTACTTCACATCTCTAATTTCTAGTATCTAAAACTTAGTAAGAATTGCCACAGAAAAAAACACCTACCCAAAACAAAGGAGATTAACGGAGACTATGCAAGGTTTCCATCGTTGCTGTCCTTACTACCACCCTCTGGCCCCCCCACAGCCCCGCCCTCTCCATGGTCTTACTTGGTAGATTATTCATTCAGTGATGGAGTTGGGAAACCCATAGGGTACATTGTAAATAAAGAAGGAGAGATTTGGTACAGTTAACTTTTTAGTAGTAATAATAATAAAGGAAAAAGTAAACATTTTTAAAAAGTATTAGGAACAATAGAGAGAACAGTGAAACATATGTTTGTGAAGTTCACCATCGAAATTTAATTATCCTGTGACAAGGAGTTTTAATTTTTAACATAGTGGATAAGTCAAAGAGACTTGCCTAAATAGAACAAGTTGTCACATCTATAAGGTCTATGAAAAGGACACTGTAACCCACGAAGGGGAAGGGAGCCACTCCTAGGGTGGCTTCACTCTGCAACTGAAACTCCAGTGGATGCATGGATCCATTAAACAGAAAGGCAAGTAGAAACATCCAGTTTGCTGCAGCAAGGGAATCCAGAAATTATAACTGAAGTGAGAAAAGCTGTACATGCCACTTCTTAGCTCCCCCTTAAGGACTTCTGTTGAGCCTTAAGTCCTGAAGAATTTCATGGATTAGAAACAAAAATAAATATTTCTTACTGTGGAGGTCTGGATGAGAATTAACCATGGGACTGCTTCATCTTCCCCCTACTTAAACTAAAATGTAGGTCCCTTCAGGGGAGGTAGACATGGAAACACATGAAGCAGTAATTACCACAAAAAAATTCCTAACATCTACACAAAAAAACTATTGTCATTAACGCAGTGTAATATAACACTTCCAAGAAAATCTTTGGTTGATTCATAATTAGTTCAAGAAAGAAAACTAAGTATTCCAGGTTATTTGCTACCCGAAGGTAAACAAGTAATGGACACTATAAAATACAATATAACAGAATCCCACAAGTGACCTGCTTTTTTTGTTTGTTTATTTGTTTGTTTTTTGTGACAAAGTCTTACTCTGTCGCCCAGGCTGGAGTGCAGTGGCGTGATCTCAGCTCACTGCAATCTCTGCCTCCCAGGTTCAAGCGATTCTCGTGCCTCAGCCTCCCGAGTAGCTAGGATTACAGGCACCCACCACCACGCCTGGCTAATTATTTTTGTGTTTTTAGTAGAGATGGGGTTTCACCATGTTGGCCAGGCTGGTCTCAAACTCCTGACCTCAGGTGATTCACCCGCCTCGGCCTCCCAAAGTTGACCTGCTTTTAAAAGCTCACAAAAACCACTTGAAGTGGTATAAGAAGTGAAAGAGAAGTACTATTTTACCATTAAAGATTTCTTCTGGGTTAAAAATGACAGTAAAATAATTACATGTGTGGGATTGCTTCAATTATTCTACGAGAGTCCTTGGTGCAGACAGTTGCAGCAAAGATAACACAATTGAAAAAAACACAATTGTCTTATATTATAAAGAATACATTTTCCCAGAGAAAAAGTGATATATATGATAGGTAGTTTTTCTGATAGATGATCAAGTTTACACAACCCACAATGTAACTGAAAGTTTCAGCGCTTTGTTTTCCTCACCTAGAAAATCAAGAATGGGCCTAAATCTCTTAGATATTATTCAGCTGTAAAATTCTAATTCTAGGACTCCAATTTTAACAGAGCTTCAGAAATCTGCACTGCTTCTGTTGAAATATTTTAAAATGATAACAAAAGAGACACATTTTCTCCTCATTCTCCTCAATATCCCTAAATTTCCAGGAGATGCTGTGGGGGCTGCAGGCACAGGTGATGGAGTATATTACATAAATGCAAAACAAGTTATGTTTAATGCCTGGGTTAATGTGGGTTTGTGTCTAAGGCAGGTAAAAGCTATTAGCAAATTCATTAATAAAAAGCCTATTATTTTTCACATTAAACTATAATTTATTAAAATGAGACAACTCTCCCAATAAGAATGATCATTCTAGGTAGTAGTCAGCCAGAAGGTGCACTCTTGCTTAGAATTTAATTTTGTTTACTGAGAAATCATGCTATGGAAGCTTGCTGAGTGTATTTGCTCTTGGCAGGTGTGTTAGCCAGAATATCTGGCTAGATGATGATGTTTTTAAGGGGCAAGATGCATGGTTTTAACAGTGTTGAAAACTAAGTGCAAGGACTTTATAAGACATTTTTATTCTACCACATATATGAAATAAAAGCAATTAATTGTTTTCTAAAAAGAATATTCCCTAATTATTTTTATTATAAAGACATCCTCAGTGATATACTGTTGAAGAATTTCTATGCCACTATCCCTCCTATCCTAGACTGCCACATAACCAAGAAGGTATCTTCTTTGGTGAATTGAAAATATAATTTTTTATAGGAGTATACAACCCTTGAGACTATCCAGGGGATCACATTTCTTATGCTGCTGAGCTACAGATGCTCCCTCCATAAGGACAATAAATCTTTCATTCCCTAGAATTATAAGCACTTTGAAAATTATAATCCTGCCTCTTTCTTGCACTTAAGAGGTGTTTGGATCTGCTCCATAGTATTCCTTTATCCTCAATGAAAGAGCACTTCTAATTACTGGTACTTGAGAACATCAAATTCTTCTTTCATTTAAAAATCAACTAGGTAGAAAGTTATGAAAGCAGTTCAGGACATAGTACCTATGATGACTCCATATTTGTTATATTAAAACCACCATTTAGCAGAAAGTCCCTTTAAATAATATCCTTCTAGAATTCTAAAATCTACAATTCAGATAAAGCTCTTATTCAAGAATAAAATTAAGTATTTTAAGATAAAGAATATCAAAACGCCATCCAAACCTAACAGACCCACAGACTTTCCATTGTAGCCCATACTCACCTCTCCCGAGGAACAGCAAACCAGTACTCTGGCTGCTTTCTCCGTTTGCCGTACTGCTGGACCATGGCTGCAGTGTGAGTGGCAAAGGATTTTCTCATTGGTTTTCCCACTTTGATGCACAGGAACATGGGTGGGGTCTTGCTTTTTTCTTCTTTTGAAGGAAGTATATCTGAATCACACACGAAAAAACTGTTCCTCAATATTGACAATATTGGTAATAGCAGAATTTTTCAACTTAAAAAAAATAGTGCACAATCCTCTCTTAGTCAAAACATTGCAGAAACATCCTACAACATCGTATCAGGACTAATAAATTTTTCAAGCCTTCTTTAGCACACAAGGAAAAAGCTTTGGTTGTTTCAGGTTGAACTACATCCCATGAGCTGCTACATACTGAAAATAAGTTTAAAAACCAATAGAATAGCAAATAATAGAGAATTGGGACAATTCACAGGAATACATATTAATGAATGCTACTGAGAACACAATATAACATAATGCAATTCAGTTTAGAATTGAGATTTCTTCAAAAACAGTTTAAACTCCTCTAGATTTAGAAAATAAAGGTAAAAAAGGAAAGTAACTTGAAAGATTAAAAGTAAACGACTTTTGAAGTAGGTATCTAGAGATCTATGTCACAGTCCAAGTTCCAAAATAGATACCATATCTTGTAAATTTTCTCCCCAATTGTTAATGCTATCAGCAAAGATACACTCTATTGAGAAAATACTGTTTTCAAATAAATGTACTAATGTGGGTATTACATGTGCAAATTGTAGAAAGGCAATTATGCAACAGAATATAAAGGCATTAAAGAAAAACAGCTTACCTTCAATGGGTACCTGAATTCTCTTTAACAGCCACAACTGAACTTCAGATTTATTATCCATTTGTGCACCTTGACAGCTGTTGTCCAGAGTAGATTCCAAAGAGGAGTCTAGAGCCTCTTTAATCACATTTGCTTCTGTAGAAGAGTTCAGTTTTACCGGGAGGGGCTCTCCCTTTTTCACCCAGGTCTTATCTGGCTCTTTATTGCCCTCAGTTATGGGATCACCCGCCTGGGAAAGAGAACTACTAAGGGTAATGTCTATTCCCCCTGGTTCAATACTTTTTCCATCACTTAATTCTGTTTTCTGCAAATTTTCAGATACCTGTGGCCCTTCTTTGTTCTTAGTCAGGTAATATTCAATGAGTTTAACTTTATCTAAATCTTCATGTATGTTCAGTGTGTTTTCTACTCGGCTTTCTGGCGAACCAGACTGCTTGTCCACTTCTGGCATTATATCTTGCTTCTCACAGGTTTCTAAATCTAGCGCCCCCTTCAGTTCAACATCATTCTCTGTTCCCAAAAAGGCTAGGGCTGACTGCACCTGCATTTCCACGGCAGAATTGTTTATTTGTGACTCAGCTTTCTTTCGTTCCTCTGGGTCAAGAGAAAGGCACTCCTTCAAGGTGTCTTTTTTGTGCATTCCACCACCAGTTTGAGAAGAAAGTTCTTCCAAGTCAACAAAATCATCATCTTCCCCTAGAAAGTTTTCTTTGGCTGTAGATTCAAATGCAGAAGAAGTGTCGGAAGGTTCCTTGCTGAGCTTAGTCACTGTGGGAGAACCATGGGATGTCTCCCTAGAGGAGTCCAGTTTCTTTAATTTCTCTGACACAGAGCTGCCTGAGGGCTTTGTAGGTGTATGTCCTGTGGACTTCTCCAAAGGTACTATTGGTCTGGAATCCGAAGTCATAATTTTCTCTCCATTCTGCTGTCGTTTTTCCTTGTTGATAGATTTGAACTTACTGAATGGGTTGATATCCTTTTCTGAAGCCAGGTCTTCCCATTCTCCAGGCCTGTACAGAGGACAAAGATCCTGAGGTAGGTCACTGTTGGGGGAGAAATGGTGGGTGCACATGGAATGTTAAAAATAAAACCAAAAACAAAATGGAGGAAAGGCAAAAAACAAAACAGAAACTCAACCAAAAACCAATACATAAATATATCACAACTTAAATTTATGTTCAAATGATTTCAGAATAAAAAAATAAAATCAAGAAATTGATTTCAAAATAAAACATAGGTCAACTAAAGGAAATGGAGAAAGAATGAACCATGAGAGTTGCATATCCTACTGGAAGCACATGATGGAATTGGAAGTTATACATGAACATGAAGATGTTACCCATAAGATTTCTAAATATGAAATAATAATGTTTCTGACTTTCATGAAGGAAAGGATAAAGGAGAGGAAATATTTTAGTACCAATGTCTAAAATTCCTTAAATGTGCAAACATTTTCCTTTTTATCAAATAGTGTAGAAAACAACTACATTAATTTTGAAAAGCTCGTTGACTTAGTAGCTACTCACTTAACTGCTCCATATAAAGTCACTGACCTTGAACCCTGATTCTGGGTTTCATGGCTTAGGATCTGATGCTTCTAATCATAGACAGCCCTCTACTCCCAAAGGAGATGCAAGAGGAAGCTTCCACTATTATTGTGGGTATACGGCAGTTGCTCCATCTTATAATTTAAAAATGTATAGAAAAGTAAATCTTATCTAAAAAGCTCTTATGTATAGTACTTACATTTCTTAAGTAAATATTTCATAACAATATCGCTTTACTTTATAGCAATGGTGCAGCTCGTTTATCAGCTGAAACATATTGTCCTGGGATGCAGTCAATTATTTTTCCTTAATAACAGATGCTTTACTTCCCAGATCGGAATTACATGAAAATATTGATTAAACATGTTCTCCCAAGTGTAAAATAAATGATCAAGAAATACATTTAAAAAAAATGACTAGAGAGCAGCAAACCACCATGGCATGCACCTATGTAACAAACCTGCACATCCTGCACATGTACCCTTGAACTTAAAATAAAAGTTGAAAATAAATAAAAATAGTAATACTTTCAAATATGTGTAAGAAAAAAATATGACTGGAAATATCTTGAGTAAACCCATCCACTTACCACTACTACTAGTAGTACTATTACTGGGTTGAAATGCAGAGATATAAAAACCTTTTAAAGAATAACATTTCAATTTCAGAAATAATTGTATTTTCTAAAAAGGTCAGATCATCTTCAGATAAAACTTTATCTGCTATTTTGGCTTTGACATAAATGGTTATGACAATAAAGCAACAAAGTACCAGGAAGTTCTGAAGTTCCAAAAGACTGTCTTCCCAAAGTGATTTTATAAATCATCTGCATGAAAGGTTCATGCTTTTTCCAATAGAAAATAAAAGCCTATGTAATTGGTTGGCTCCAACAAATGCTTTAAAAAGCCTTCATAATTTATAATTCATTTCAATTTAATAAGCATTCATTGAGCCCCTAAGTGCTATATTCTGAAATACAACTGTGAAAGAATCTCTGTTCTGCAGGAACTTGCAAACACAAAATGTTCTGCCTAACATCAGCATCCCAGGAGATGTCAAAAATGCTTCCATCCTAGAGTCAAACAAGTTAGTGAAATGTAGCATAATCTCCCTATTGGAACTCAAAACTGAATTTGGCATATTAAAGCCTGTAAGAAGTCCTGCAACAAAGAAACCCAACTTTCCACATACTTGATTAATAAGCAAAACTTTCTTCACCTTCTCTACCTAGCTTGACCCCCACAAAAATACCTTCAACTGCACTCTAATTAGCTTTCTAGATTACCTTGTCTACCCCTTTCTTCTTTTACCTAATCCAAACTGTCCATTCCCCACTTGAGATTAATTTCACCATCTGCTTTTTCTGCAGTGCAGTTGCCAAGCATACATAATGCTGTCAACTGGCTAGTTTGTTAATTAATGTTTTCTAGACTTAGCCTGGCACCTAATGATGATCAACAATCCTTTCAGTTGTTACCTTCTTACTCACTGTGGCAGCCGGAGCTACAAAACGTCCTGCACGTGTGTGCACGCGCACATACACACACTCTCACACAAATACCAAACTTGAAGGTGAGGATGGAGGAGTTTTACACATACCCACTTTTAAAAACTATTGCACGTTGCCACTGGGTAATTTGTACTTATTGTTTTATCATTAAACTTTTGGTAATAATGATGTTTTAAGTAATTTTTAACTTTTAAACAACTTATGAAGTTCTGAAGACAATACAAAGTTTATTTCACACTGACTCTCACACATTCTTGTTCATTAGACTAAAAATCCTTTATATACCTGTATCCAAGGCAGGAATCAATGTGCAACCCTGAAATAATTTCAACCCTGAAATAATTTCAAATTAGAAGCTGATTCTTAACTCTGCTCTTTTCCTGTAATCATGGCATTATCCCTTGTAATCGAGATCATTAAACATAATCTCACATTGAGAGAAGTTTTTATATAAAGATGTACTGTCTATTATTAAATAGAATACTTAATATCCTAGGCTGAAGATGTGCAATGGTATTACTCCATTAGGAGCCCTATTTCAGTAGGGAATGCCCCTATTTGTTTGGCCACCCATTTAGACACTTCTGGCAGCAAAATTTGGAAACTACTTCAGGGCCCATGTTCTGGTGATATCTTAGTGGCTTGAGGTTGGGGAAGGGCTGAGTGGACCAGATTCTAATGGCTGTAGGAGTCCAGGGGAATCTACTTGCATAAACCTCCAGGGATTTCCCTAGTAACTTCCTTTTTTTTTTTTTTTTTTCATATAAGCCCCAAGGGCTAGTTTCCCTCTTTACTGTTAGGACCTACTGCTTTGCCTCTTCCCATCACTGAAGGTTTTTAAAGTTTTTTACTGCTGGCTTTTATAGAGAAACAGACACAGTAGAGCGAAAGGACAGTAAAAATCAGATTATCTGTATCAGTTAATCAATTTCCTGAGCTTTCTTAATGCTTTCTCTTTTTTCCTGGGGAGCTTCCCTCTCTTTTTTACAATAAATCCAGCATTATAAGGCAAAAGTAATCAGGACTGAAGTTATATTCATCTGTATTTCAGGGAAAAAGCAAACTGGTATTACTCCCTCTTCACAGCATGAGAAGGTGGCTACCACTACACTGTAGACCCAAACCCCTCTCCATGCAGGACTGAGGGAGGACATGAATCAGGGAGACTGCTTTTCCTAGAAGTTAAATGAAGACAAACATAACTCTCCTTAATTAAACCCAGAAGAAAACATTATTCTCTTATTGATAATTGGATAAACTTCTTTCAGAGAACTGCCTTTCTTCCTTCATAATTTCATTAAGAACGTGCACTGCTTTTTAGAAAAATAAGCCCAACAAATACTATTTTTACATGACGGCTTCTTTGTTTTTCTCCTTTAATCTTTATATGTTCAACTTTTCCCATCATTGATTTTATTCTTTTCATTTCTTCTCATTTTTCTCATTTTCTTCAGTGCACAAGTCTTCCATCTTCAAAATCACCTCTACACAATCCCTCAATCATGCAAATGCCCTCATTTTTAAGCTACATTTAGCTCTCTCAACACCCCTTTTTTCCTGGTAAACAAATAAATGTCTTACGATGGCAAGGCATCTTTGATCTTCATGTGAGAAATGTCATTGTAGAGCGCAATGGAAACAACCTCTTCCATGGGGCAGATGAGACCATACTCCTCACACCCATTTTCAATAACCAGAGGATCAGATTTATGAGGGTCAAACATGATGTTGTTAGGAGTCACTATCATAACACCGCCAACCACACCCTGCAGGAGAAAGCAACAGGACAGAATCACTTCAGGCAGAAATGCTTTCAGCAACTACCACAGAGCTTTAATTAACTCAGATGGCCACTCCATGGACTTTGTGAACCACAGTATCCTATGTGACAATTACATCCCCTTTGTGAGGACCAGAAAAACAGGCTGAAGAAATGCAATGCTAGGTGGTGAGGCAGAGAAAACAGATGTGGCTCACTGAGGCAACCAGCTGAGCCTGGTTCTATCACAGCTGCTGCAACAGCACAGTTGTGGAGTGATCCTGGTTCTCACATGCACGTCTCAGATTTCCTAGATTTTCTAGTTCTCTGTCTGCAAAATGGGAGGGGCTGCCCAAGTGCTTACCCGATCGAGAATACAGGGCTTTACAATTCACTCTGCAAGTCTTCACCATGTGTCTGACAAGTGCATGGTTCTGTGCTAAGGGAGCAGCTGTTTCAGAGTTACAGTGCCAAAGAATAGTCCCAATATTTTTCTTTAAAATATTTAGAAAGCCCATATCCAACAAAAGTCAAAGTAAATAGGAACATGAAACTTTTGTAGCCAGAGTGAATATAGCTGAACTATGGAGATTAAAGCAAAAAGTCGTAGCTTGGTGAAGTCTTTGAAGTCTGAAGCTTGCTCAAATTATAAAAGAGACCTTAATGGCCATACGGATATTATCTACCATGAACAGCAGGATACAGATAACTTCCTTTAGGCAAATAATTTATTTTGGTACTTTTAATGAGTCTAGTGATTATCTCAGTAAAAAGTTTTGTAGATTCAGCAATCTCATTACTGGGTATATATCCAAAGAAAATGAAATCATATCTCAAACAGGTATCTGCACTTGCATGTTTATTTGCAGCATTATTCACAATAGCCAAGCTATGAAAACAACTTAAGCATCTATCAATAGATGAATAAAGAAAATGTGCTATATATACACAAATTATTCAGCCATAAAAAAAGAATGCAATCCTGTCATTTGCAATAACATGGATGAACCTGGAGAACATTATGTTAAGTGAAATAAGCCAAACACACAAAGATAAATACTGCATGATCTCACTCATATGTGCAATCTAAAGAAGCTGATCCCCTAGAAGTAGAGAGTAGAATGGTGATGACTAAGAGGTATGGGTGGGCCGGGTGTGGTGGTTCTGGCCTGTAATCCCAACACTTTGGGAGGCCAAGGCAGGTGGATCACCTGAGGTCAGGAGTTTGAGACCAGCCTGGCCAAAATGGTGAAACCCCGTCTCTACTAAAAATATAAAATTAGCCGGATGAGGTGGTACACACCTGTAGTCCCAGCTACTCAGGAGGCTGAGACAGGGGAATCGCTTGAACCCAGGAGGCAGAGGATGCAGTGAGCAGAGATCGCACCATTGCACTCCAGCCTGGGTGACAAGAGCAAAACTCTGTCTCAAAAAAAAAAAAAAAAAAAAAAAGAGGTGTAGGTGGTTAGGGGAAAGAGAAGGATGGGGGAGATGTTGGTCAAAGGACATATACTTACAGTTAGATAGAAGGAATAATAAATTGTCTAGAATAGGCAAATACAGAAAGACAGAAAGTAGGTAAGTGATTGCCTCCTGGAGATGAGGGTGGCAGGGAAGGGGAAAGAATAGGGTGGGAGAGTGTGAAATGGGGAGTAACTACTAATGGTTATGGAGTTTCTTTTTAGGTAATAAAAATGTTTTAAAATGGATTGTGGTGATGGTTGCACAACTATGTGAAGAAACTAAAAATCACTGGATTTTACACTGTAATTGGGTGAACTGTATGTTATGTGAATCACATCTCAATAAAGCTGTCTTTTAAAAAATTTCTTTATGTCAAGCATTATTTATTCTTGTTTGCAAATTTTATAAATGCACATCAATAACATATTTTTCCTATTATCTAAAACTGGTATGAATTCTCCTATGACCACAGGAACTCACTGGTTATCAAGATAGTCCCTTCTCCAGAGGCTCAGTAAAAGCTGAATTTGTTCTTAGTGAAAACAAAAAAACAAAAACACACAGAAAACAATCAAGCAACAACCAAAAAACTAAAAAGAAGATACAGCAGATATTAATACCAATATCATCAACAGCAAACACAGCTTGAGAGCTTACTATTTAGCCAGATTAGGTGCTAAATTCTTTACATAAATTATCACTTTTCATTATCATATCCTATTAGTTAAATTTTTTTATTGTTTCTATTTTATGCATGAGAAAAATGGGAGCTTAAGACATGTAAATACCTTGCCCCTGGTCTCAGAGTTAGTGGGTAGTGGAGTTGGAATTTAAATTCAGTGAGTCTGACTCCAGTGTTTGCTGTTATATGTACAGTATATTGTCTCCCTAACAATTCATAGGCCCAAACTAAAAGAAAAAAACAATAAATCCAAGATCACAAAGAATCACATTTCCACTCAGTGACAACATTTACCTCAGTAAGTAAAATTCCAGGCATCCAACAGAAGAAAACTAATGGATGCTTGTCAAACCTAAAATTGACACTTTGGGTAAGATCTTTTAATGTAGCCTCTGTTCCAGTAATTTGTAACTTTGTTTAGTTTTTCATAGATTTCAAGGAAAGGAAACAAATTACATTGCTATATACCTTTCCATCGGTGAAGTATCGACAATTCATTTTTAAAAATTTCACCACACCTGGCTCATCTTCTTCAGAAGTAGACGATAAGACTCTTTCAATGGGTTTCAAGGCCTTTCGTGCTAAGTCAGCATCCTTGTGAAAGCAAAAAATTTCAAAATCAAATAAAAGCACTTTTCAAACAAATTATGTGTATAAATCAAGCCCCATAAATTCCCTGTGAGTATACTATTTCTATTTAAGTGGAACATTAAAAAGGCAAATATCCTCTGTCCTTCAAAAATATCACAAATGTAATAACAGATACCCAAATCAAACTGTTTTTTTTTTCTTTTAAAAAAAGCAAAGGCATATGTATGAACCCATAAAACTTACTCATGAAATGTCTTTAGAAACTAACCTAAATGGGCTGGGTGTGGTGGCTCACGCCTGTAATCCCAGCACTTTGGGAGGCCGGGGTGGGCAGATCACCTGAGGTCAGGAGTTCGGGACCTGCCTGACTAATATGGTGAAACCCTGTCTCCAGTAAAAATACAAAAATTAGCTGGGCATAGTGGCCGGTGCCTGTAATCCCAGCTACTTAGGAGGCTGAGGCAGGAGAATCGCTTGAAACTAGGAGGCGGAGGTTGCAGTAAGCGAAGATCGTGCCATTGCACTACAGCAGTCTGGGTGACGGAGAAAGACTCTGTCTCACACACACAAACAACAACAACAAAATAAACACTAACCTAGTAACCTAAATGAAAAAATTCATATTAGACTCATGACTCAATTTGTTTTTTTTTTTTAAAAAAAGGAGGAATACAAATAAACTATCCATGTCACTGGAAATTTAACTTCATACTTTTACACAAGGCATGCATTTTTGCCTTTTTTTTTTTTTTTTTTTTGAGATAGGGTTTCACTCTGTCACCCAGGCTAGAGTGCAGTGGTACGATCATGGCTCACCACAGCCTCAACCTCCCAGGCTCAAGTGATCCTCCCACCACAGCCTCCTGAGTAGGTGGGACTACAGGTTTGAGCCACCATGTCTGGCTAATTTTTAAAATATTTCGTAGAGACAGAATCTCACTATATTGCCCAGGCTGGTCTCAAACTCCTGGGCTCAGGCAATCCTTCTGCCTCGGCCTCCCAGAGTGCTGGGACTACAGGCTGAGCCACTGTGTCTGGCCATTTTTGCCTTTGAAACCTTAAATGTGAATAAGTTTCCCTTGGAGAGGATGCATTCTCCAATTACCTAATCTCAACCATCTAGGGAGAATTTCAGATGTAATCTTGTGAAAAATAACATGTTGAATTCTACAACTTAAAAGAAGTCTCTTTAATAAAAATGAACTTCAGTGCATAATATACATACAGGCAATTTATCATATTCTGCATCTGATGATGAAGGAGAGACAGTAGCACCAGGACTGGATGATGATAGCCTTAAGGTACTGGAAGGAGAGTTGGCATCTGGCACAAAAAGGACCTGAGAATGGGAGAGAACAGATGGGTGAGTACCAGCAACCAGGCAAACCACTAGTGAGTGTTTGGAGAAGTTATTCTCTACACAGTATCATGTTCAGTGCATGATTACGACCTAGGTTGCTTTCAAGAAACTCATAAGCAACTTACGGTTTTCTAGACTAATCCATGAAATGATACTCAGCATATGAATGTGTGTAGTACAAAGGGTACAGAACATGCCTGTAGACACTGCAAGAACTCAAAAAGAAAGGGAGAGCAAGGCCAGGCACAGTGGCTCATGCCTGTAATCCCAGCACTTTGGGAGACCAAGGTGGGCAGATCACCTGAGGTCAAGAGTTTGAGACCAGCCTGGCCAACATGGTGAAACCTTGTCTTTACTAAAAATACAAAAAAATTTAGCTGGGCATGGTGGCTCGCACCTGTAGTCCCAGATACTCGGGGAGGCTGAGGCAGGAGAATCTCTTGAACCCAGGAGGCAGAGGTTGCAGTGAGCCAAGATCGTGCCACTGCACTCCAGCCTGGGTGACAGAGGGAGACTCCACCTCAAAAAATAAAATAAAATAAAATAAAATATAAATAAATAAATAAATAAAAAGAAAAGAGAGAGCAAGGTGGGTAAGTATTCTGGGCAGGCCAAGTGAAGCAAGTGGGTCCAACTGAAGCCTTGAAGAACAAGTAGAAATTGGATAGGAGAGAGGGAAGAGCCCTCCAAGGTGGGAGACTAATAGTATAAGGGAAATGAGGAGAGAGAAGCATGGCTTCTAAACTTAATATCTGTGCCAGGTAGAAATGGAACAAACCCAGCTTGCTAACTCCAAGCAGGCTCTGAGTTCTAAAGCAGTAGGTCCTTATATGATAAATTGTATAAGGTAATATCAATAAAATAATCCCAATATTTTCTCTTCCAACAGTGTCTGGGTTATGTGTAACTAAAAACTACCCCCACCCCAAAAAATTATACAGAATAGCAACCTCTGCAAAACATTCTGGTTCTCAAAACATTACTACAATCCTGTCATTCAATATTCTTTTAATGAGACATGCTACATTGTGGCATGTATCAAATATAATCTTTTGTCTTTTTCTGAGATGGAGTTTCACTCTTGTCACCCAGGCTGGAGTGCAGTGGCATAATCTCAGCTCACTGCAACCTCCACCTCCCACATTCAAGAGATTCTCCTGCCTCAGCCTCCCAAGTAGCTGGGATTATAGGAACCCACCACCAAGCCTGGCTACTGGCTAATTTTTGTATTTTTAGTAGAGATGGGGTTTCACCATGTTGGTCAGGCTGTCCTTGAAGTCCTGACCTCAAGTGATCTGCCTACCTTGGCCTCCAAAGTGCTGGAATTACAAGGATGAGCCACTGTGCCCGGCCAAATATAATCTTAAAATGATGACCTTTAATGTTATAAAACAGAATTCAGAGCTAATCATATAACAACTGATTACTGATCAATATTGTTATTCACTGTCTCCTATCTTTCCAGTCATTTAAACCTCACTTCAATCCAGAAAATATTTGAGACAACAATAAAAAAACACATTAAAATAAAAGTGGGAAAATCAAAGTCAAGGGGGGATATAAGATGAGGACTGATAACTACTAAAAATATATGCACCAAAACTGGTAACCACTCATTAAGAAGTGGGCCATAAAAGTGACTCTGAGTTTCCATATAATTAATGCAAAGAGACAACATCATTAGTTAGCAGAATTCAACTTCCATGAGATAAAA
Source organism: Homo sapiens (assembly GCF_000001405.40). NCBI lineage: Eukaryota > Metazoa > Chordata > Mammalia > Primates > Hominidae > Homo > Homo sapiens. Next base: position 125,879,354 of record NC_000006.12, on the reverse strand, counting down.
ATGAAGTTTCTCAGAAGTACAAGTACTCTCCTACAGAATCTCATACAAAGGAGCATCCTAGACTGAATTATTTGTCCTCTATGATGCACTAACAGTAAATACAATAACCAGTTTTGGAGTATTGCCTTTTATAGCATCTTCAATATGGGTCAATGGAAATGCCAAAGTTTAGAGTTCTGTAAAAAGCAATTTACAAAGGACTAAAATTTTGTGATCTTGGTATATAGCTCTTATTTATCTTATATAGCTAAACTAGAGTAATGGATGGATGATGTTTTTCCCAAGCAATTCTCCACTAATAGTAAATTTTTTTTGCATCTGAACTCTTAAAAAAAGTATTAGGTAACATAGATTGCGATTCAATTGTCTGAACATTCCAAATGTCAAATCTAAGGAGTAATTCCTGTGCTTAAACAGTTGACTGCACTGTAAAGAGAGGTGAGCAGCCGCCAGAACATGTGCTACCTCAACATGGAAGTGAGCCTGGATCATGGGCAGGGGTGAAAGTTTCCTATTGCCTTCAGAAAATAATTTTGGGTTTGCTCCCAACACATATGCCAATCAGGATTTGAGGTCTTAAAGTTCTTAACCATACAGCAATGCTGTCATTTCAGCCTGGAAAAAAATTTTAAGCATGTGTAGCCAAGGTATCCTGTGAATATGAAAATATCGTAAAGTTGAGCTGGGTGCAGTGGCTCATGTCTGTAATCCCAGCTACTTGGGAGGCTGAGGTGGGAGGATTGCTTGAGCCCAGGGGATTGAGGCTGCAGTGAGCCATGATGGTGTCACTGCACTCCAGCCTGGGCAACAGAGCAAGACCCTGTCTCAAAAAATAAATAAATAAAAATAAAGGAGAGAAAATATTGAACCAAAGCACATTATCATTTATCATAATCCTGTGACAAACAATAGTGAGGCACTGAAAACGGCAATAAAAGATAAATGCAGAATTTCTAGAGTTATATCCAGTAAGAGTATAATTACCTGGCCTGGAACAATAGTATGTGTGAAAAGTTTATTCAGTTCCACCAATTTATTGGGAGTGATGTTAAATTTCAGTGCTATGGAGTTTAGGGTGTCCTGGTTTCCAGCCTAGAATAATCAAACAGGTAAGAGTCAATAAATAAAGCAAAAAAAATTACTTTTGATAGATACTATTAATTTATCTGCAATATGAATAAATAACAAACTAATAGTTCCATCAAGATAGACTATAAGAAAGAATGAATACATTGTCAATTCTTAATAAAATCATTTTACAGCAAAGTCTTAAATGCAATTCATTTCTGGGCTTCCTCATTTTCAAATTTCACTGTCCCCTAATAGATTTCTAATTTTACTTTGGTGCAACTGAGGCGCATGAAGTAAAGGTCCGTGAGCTGTAATGAAGACTACAACAAGAAAAGAAATACGATGTACACAGAGTCCCCACCCTCAGGGGAAGTGGGGCTACTTTCTCTCTTATAATTTTCTGTCTATTTGCATGACTTTTCCATATACTATAAACTGCTGGCTTGTATGGCAAAGCTGGCAAAATGTTTTCTCCTGGGCTCAGCACACTGCTTGATACATGGAGGGTACTCAAAAAGTTGATGAATGAATACTGTGAAAGCAAGGAAATCAGAAAGAAATTCAGATTAGCTACCAATAATTGTTCACTATCATTAAAACCACACTTTTCTATGGTCAAATTAGTGTTATTCTCTAAATCTGTAAAACTTGTGACATATGTCCCAGGTGTACACTTTTCTTTCCTTCTGAGGAGGAACAGGAATAGAGGGCAGTGAGGAGATGAGAAACTTCACAGGAAAACAGCTCTACCCAGAAAAAAAGTTGGCTCCCTGATGTCATGTCAACATCCCAGGACAAACTCCCTGATCAGAGCTGCCAGATAGACTTGCTAGTGGGAGGTCACTCTGATGAATGTCACTGAGAAGTTCCAATTGATAGCCCTGGGTCAAGACTGGTATAAGTTCTTTGTAAGCAGAACTGGCTCCACCAGGTGAGCCTTGAATTATGTGGAGATGTGAGGAGGCTGAAGGAAGATGTGGACTGGTGAAAGGGTAGAGATGTAGGAGGAGAATTAAACCCATCGCTGCCTTCAGTATCAGAGGTCCAACTACTAGATGAACTGTCTCAGACTAATCAAAGGTTACGGTTACAGATTACATTGAAACAGCCTCAAAGCCCTTCTGGAACAAGTTAGGATATATTATATGTAGTATGTATAATTTTTTAAATCACTAAAGTAAACAACATATGCCACTACTTCTACCCTAGGTAAAACCATCTCCACTAAAAACAAAGTTAAAAAATATTTTTAATACTGTATTATGTATTTGTATACTATATTCATATTGTTATGAGTAAACTTGTAAAACATACACTGTATAGGGGGATCAGAGTAAGAAAAACTTTAACAATCTGCAGTTATTAAAGACAAGACATACATGTAGAATTAGGGCACAGACCCCGAGAGGGATGTTGGTATCATCAAATGACTGAAACTAAGCCAGAATGCTTGATCATCCACAGCTCAGGAGTAGTAAAAGCAATCGGGTAAGTGCTAGCAGGCTCTTTAAACACAAAATTATATGAGTTACCTTTTATTTCCAATGACAAGCACAAAACCAACTTGTCAAATAAAATTAATCTCCATAACATGAAACAGAGAGGTAGGCATACCTGCATTATTGACTTGATCACTTGTTAATATTTAATTAATTCGGAGTTTGATTTTTTTTTTTTTTTTTACTGTCACTACATTATTCAGTATATACTATATGAAGTAACTCCTGGCAAAAGCACCTCTCCATTCTTTGGAGGAGCATGTGAATAAAGGTGCTAGACACATACAGATCTTAATGATTATGGCTTTAGAAGTAATATTGTTATTAATAATAAATAATTGAGTCCAATACTTCTTGAGTGCCTATTTTGAGGTAAGGCACTATTCTAGGTGTTATGAGAATCAACAGTATATTTTAGACAATGGTAATATAAGATATAATCATCCCAAATCCTTTCTAAAAATGACTATGCTTATACACTTTAGAAAGATGTCTAGAGACGTTCACAGGGCATTGATCATGAAAGCCTGTGACAGAGATCTTCAATGTGACTCTACAGAGGCTTGCAGATTTACTATTGCAAAAGAAACACCAGCAAAGAATTAGATCTTGCTGCCTGTCTTATATAGGGTCTGGCATTGCTTACAAATAATGACTATAAAATAAGTACACATTAGGAAAATACAACCAGGCAATGGCAATAGTACTTAATTTCTTCTTAGAAGTCAAAGAGAACACTCCTCAAGAGTGCTACTTAATAGTGAATTAAAATATATCTACAACTGAGTCCCCACTTTGTGCCAAGCCTAGGATACATAAGATACAACTCCCGGCCTCCAGGAGCTTATGATGCAGTGACAGAGATGAGCACATGGCACACAGTGTGGAGTTGTAGTAATGAACACACACCTAGCATTGTTCATCTACTGCTCAACAATATGGAGATCTATACCCTGCAAGTTACCAGGAATATAATGGTGAACAAAGAGATGTCTAATCTCTCTTCATGGATATATGAATTAAAGCATGAGATAGAGATTAAAATAACAACACGCTAATGAATTAATAATGTTAAACTGAGATAAATTAAGTTAAGCAACATGATTCTACGAGAATGTTAAAAAAGGGATATGGCCTAGACTGGCTGGAAAAATCACAGAAGGTAGTAACGAACATGGAGAGTAAGGGGATGAAGATGTCAAGAATTAAGTTCTAGCCTGCACAAATGTAGGAATGATGGAGCCATTGTTTCTTGAAAGACGACCAAGCATGGAGGACCAGGTGGATATGTTGAGTAGCCAAATGAGTACATAGCTTTGGAACTTAAAAAGAATGTCTGGGTTGGTGACCTAAAAGTGGTAGTCCCTGTTTATATCAAAAATAATTCAAGTCATCAGTTTGGAGGTTCTAACAGGGCAACACAGTTACTAGAATACCCGTGACCCAAGAAATGTCCTCCTCTATTGGGGAAGGTCATCCTCTTCATCCAAGCTCCAGAGGGATGCACATGGAGTGGTGGGGGAAGAAAGGGATACCTGCCTAGTCAGCCAGATCAGCCTAAACAATGCTGGTGGTCAACAGGGTGATGGATGTTGCAGCCAGATCACCCTCACATTCTCAATTCACTGGTTTATTTGAGATTGACCAGGGAGAAAATATGGAGGAAAAAGAAATGACCTAAAACTGGTCTTAAGAAGCTTGATTGTTTAATGGGTACACAAGAGGAATGCAGCCAAGGGGCAGGATGTGTCAGGGAAAACCATTATATAAATGTAGTGCTATTAACAAACATTTATACCACCTTGGTTATACTCACAGTGTATTCCATAGTCCCATGGGGCTTCTGAACCACCATCTTCTTCTCTTTTTTATCATGTGTTTTGTTTTGATTGTCATCTGAAGAATAAATTGTATGTAAATGAATAATTTCATTTTCAGGGACTGAAGCCAGGGTAAAACTACCATATATAGAAACCCACTTTCAAATCAACTGACAAAAAGACACTAATAGGAAAATGGACTCAGGGCACAAATAGATCATACTCATAAAAGCACACTATTCGTCCTGAATAAATGATTAATATTAACTATAATTAAACAATATAAATAAAAACAATGAGGTAATGTTTAGTTACTAATGGTTTAAATGATAATGTATAATGATTATGAAGTTAGAGTAAAACCAGTAGAGTTACCATATAAATGATGCCTAATGTAAATGAGTACAGTCCTTTTAGAAAGTGATTTGGCAATATGTAACAATAGCCATAGAAAAGTTCATTCTGAATCAGTAATCCTTCTCTTAGGAATTTATCCTAATGACAAATTCAAAAGAAGAAAAAGGCTATATATCAACATATGGTCACTGCAATACTATTTATAACAATGAAAACAAAAAGAATACGTCCAACAACATACTAAGTTGGACCACGGATTTTACTATTTTTCGGGCTTTTTTTGAGACAAGAGTCTCACTCTGTCACCCAGGCTGGAGTGCAGCGGCACGATCTCGGCTCACTGCAACCTCTGTCTCCCGGGTTCAAGCAATTCTTCTGCCTCAGCCTCCCGAGTAGCTGGGATTACAGGTGTGCGCCACCATGTCCGGCTAATTTTTGTATTTTTAGTAGAGACAGGGTTTCGCCATGTTGGCCAGGCTTGTCTCAAACTCCTGACCTCAGGTGATCCGCCCGCCTCAGCCTCCTGAAGTGTTGGGATTACAGGTGTCAGCCACCACATCCGGCCAGATTTCACTGTTTTTAAAGGTCAAAAATGGCCAACATTGGCACCTGCATATGATTCAACCTAACTGTCAGGGTTAAATACATCTCAATATATTAATTCAGATATCAGAAACCCCAGAACCGTACTGCAATAGATAAAAATGTGACAAAAAGAATATAAAATTGAATTAACCATGAAAAGATGCTCCAACCTGTATGTGATCAGAAAAATGCAAATGAAAACAATGTATCATTTTATACCTATTAGCCTGGTAAAATCAGAAAGCTGTATAATTCCAATGTTGACAGAAATGTGAACCACTACAAGGAATGTAAACTGTTCAGTCATTCCAGAGAATTAAGTATATATAGCTCATATGACCTAGCAATTTAACTCACAGATAAGCATCCTCTCCCAACAGGTATATACTTTATGTACATCATAAGGGACCTGCTGAAGGATGTTCATCACAGTATTATCTATGGCAATGGGGAGCTAGAGGGTAAATAAAGCATGATAGGTAAGCTCTGAGATTCCAGAGCAATTAGATTCCAGCAATTAGGAATAACAAGCCAGAAATATACACCAAAAGGGTAAACAGGTTTACATCAAGAAAAACTGAATGGGATGTTAGTGTCCATCTGTTTTAAACATACATCACAGATGGACACTAAAAAAAACACATAAATAATTTTCATAGGTACATAAAAATAAAAACCTATATACATTGAACACAATAGAATAGTGTGAAGTGGGGGAAGAAATGGGAGTGGAGAATGAGAATAAAAGGGAATGAATGATAAATGACAAGAAGCCCGGCTTGGACCAGTAATGACAGACCACGATCTGAGAAGGTTGATTAACTCAGCCCCCTATGTCTGAGGTCCTACCAGCACACATACACACACACGGAAATGTCTCAACGATATCATTTCATCTATATCACAAACATGGGGGTCCTAGATGAAGACTGAGGGGTGACATAGAAACATGAACATAGTTGATTCACATAGGATTTATCTGACTTTTAAATATTTCCTTTAAATTATTTAAAAATTAAAGCTACGAGGAAAAAATAAATTTAAATAGATGCTTCCATTACAGTCCTGTTCTAGTCATCCGTATCTTCAAATCAGAACCATTCACAGAGCCAAAGAGACCCTGAACATTCCTCTAGACTATAAAAAATGATCTCCCTGCCTACAGGCAACCACACCTAAATTACTTCAGGAAGACAGGACTATTGACTATGTTTTTAGATCTCCAGATAAGGAGATTCAAAAGTGCAATCACCATATTTTACGAATCTTATGACAGAACAAATGTAAAAACTAGTTTGTGTAGTTCTTGGCAGATAAGCAATAAAACATTAACAATACTCGTCTTTCTTTCCTTCTAAAGAATCTGAAAAATTTCAATTGTTTGTTTTTGCTTTGTTTATGTGGTAGATGAATACCCCAGGCTAATTCTTCCCATAGTTCCTTTTGGGATTAGGTTAAGTGTTGTTCATTCCTTTTAATATCTCAGCTCCATTTTCTTTGTTGCATACTTCTGCCCTTCTTGCTGTCATCATAAACAGCTGTCACTTTAGGTCTTCGTGCTTTCAGAATAGTCTCTTTATATAATTTTGTAGGTAGCTTCCTATTTCTAGAGCCCACAATATGCTTCCTTCTTCCCATATCTGGCAGCTTCTGGCCAACGCCCTTCCATAAGCTGTAGCTAGATATCTCTGGTCCCAATGGGGAGCGCTACTAAAAGCCACCAACTGGTGACAGTTTACATATTGCACAGCTACAAAAGAAAAATATGTGTTTGCTGAGCCTTTCAGGATAAACTTAACTATGTTCACCTGAATTAGTACAAAAATTAAATTACCTTCCTTTGCCACAGGTGGGTAGGCTAGAAAAATGTCAAGCATGTAATATTACTAAAGGAAAAACAAAACAAAACAAAACAAAAAAAACGCCTTCCCTTCAGAGTCTAAGATGTTGAGATCATGGAGGTAAAGACCGTGATGATGCACCCATCCTTAAATGTCTTGTGTCTTTTTTTTTTTTTTTTTTTTCTGAGACAGGGTCTCCCTCTGTCACCCAGGCTGGGGTGCAGTGGCACTAACATGACTCACTGCAACCTCCACTTCCCAGACTCAAGCAATCCTCCCACCTCAGCTTCCCGAATAGCTGGGACTACGGGCTCATGCCACCACACCAGATTAATTTTTGCATTTTTTTGTAGAGACAGGGTTTCACCATGTTGCTCAGGCTGTTCTCAAATTCCTGGGCTCAAGTGATCTGCCCGCCTTGGCCTCCCAAAGTGGTGGGATTACAGGTGGGAGCCACTGCACCTGGCCTTGTCTTGTATTTATAGTTGAATAAACCTTCCAGTACAGATGAATAAGCCTGATGAGTTTGATTGTGAGGCAACACTTTTCACTGATGTAACATCACACCAGGCAAATCATGTGCACCTGCCAAAGCCACAAGGCAAATACTATGTTTTACAGTTGGCTCAATAGAGAAGCAAAGAGGATATAATTTAATTGTCTTTATATCATTATAGCTCAAGGCAAGGTTTCATATTACTTCAGAAATAATTGTTTTGCAGTGAGTTGAAAAGATGGTTAACTATGTGTCTCAATGAGTGAAGTCCTGTGTGTCTGGGACTGGGTGCTGCAGCACATAGTCCACAAAGCACTGGAGGTGCTTCTGGCCCTGGCGAGATCTAGGACGAGGCATGAGCTGCCATGGGAAAGGACTGCTCCATTGTGCTTTAGAATGGTGCTCCAACCCTAGTGTTTTAGGTAAGGATCCATACCCATCCCAAAGAGGGCAACTGTCTTCCAATGACACTGACCTTTCCAACTTCAGGTCTCCTCACAGACCTTTCTACCTACCCAAATTCTCACCCTCCCCGTGTACAAGAACCTAAGGCAAATGACGCAAAAGTATCTACTGCCAAGGGAAAAGTTGGCCAAGTGTCCCTCAGAAGCCATTTAGAGCAAACTGAACCTCATACTTGCCCACCTCTGAAATAAAGTCTTCAGAGCAGGTTTTCCCTGGTCCCATAAGGAGTACCTGTAACAAAACTGACCAAACCCCTAGAGGAATAAAACACAGGTCCTTCAGCCTAGCCCATTTCTTTCTGCATAAATCCTGGAGGTAAGAGCTGGAATGGGGAGGAAGAATGGGGTACCTGTGTTGACCTCAACCCAAGTGGATCTTGGTGCCCTGTCCATAAGTCCTGCCACCTCCCTTGCCACACCATAAAAGGGCCTGGAGTGTCCAGAACACAAGACTCTAAGATCCTGCATCTGAGATAATCCCCAATACAAGTTTACAGAAAGAAGACTCCCCTCTCTCTCTCATGAACTGGGGCTAAAAGAAGATGTTACCTAGCAGTATGCCTGGGGCCTGGAGGGGCATGACAGCCAGATGTGAAGATATCCCTTGTAGTGGTGATACTGAAGTCTTGGATGAAGCTATGACATCAAGAGAATGAATAAATTTTAAAAGGAGGCCTGAAGTTTGAGAACAGAAACTAAGGAAGGCTTAGATTTAAGGACTGAAAAAAATATGGCTGATATAAAGGGGGAAAAGCAATTAGAGGGATGGGAAAATGAATGCAATGTCACAGAGGCCATGGAAAAAAGGAAGGTGGTGTTGACACTGTGAAATGCTGAACAGAGGTCCAGAGATGGAAACCCAGAAATGGATGACTGGAATTCACAGAGAGGTTTTGAAAGTAAAGGGAGCTCAAGACAGATGCTGTCAACATCACCAGTAGAGTAGGGGTAAGGTCATCTACTAAAATGTAGTGGACTAAAGACAGGACTGAGGGAGTAAGAGTAATGAGATTTGGAAGAGTTACCATGGCAAAAATGAGGTTTCAAAAATGTGAACATTAAGAAGTAACACTATACTCTGGGGTGGGGGTCTCAACACCGGGGTAACAGGCCACATAAGAAGTAAGCAAATAAGCGGCTACCTGTATGGTTATGATGCACAGAGCAAGGCAGCTGGAGCTGGATGAGCAGTGGCTGAGATACAGGTAGTGAGATGTTGGAATAGTTAGGGGAATGGCATGATGAACTAGTTTCCTACTGTTTCTATAACAAATTACTACACATTTGTGGTTCGAAATAAAGCATAAACACAGATTTATTATTTTACAGTTCCATAGATTAGAAGTCTGGCATGGGTCTCACTACTTTCCTTCTGGAGGGAGAGTAGGGGAGGACTGGTTCCCTTGCCTTTTCTCTCTCTTGGAAGTGGGCTACTTTGGGCCCTGGAAGCAGGGCCTTGAGCCCTGGTTTTTCTCCGAACCAGCATATCTAGCCAGTTCTGCGTCTGCAGGAAGCTTCAGCCAAGGCCCTGCTTTCACCCGCAGAGCCAGCAACGCTGCCTGAGTAGTCTCACGTGCTCTCTCCTGCCTCCCTCTTTCACTTTTAAGGTCCCTTGTGATTGCACTGGGCCACGTTGATAGCCCTGGAAAATCTCCTTAAGGTCAGCTGATTAGCAACCTCAATTTCATCTATAGCCTTGGTTCACCTTTGCTATGTAACCTAACAGGTTTGGGGAAATAGGACATGGACATCTTTAGGGGGTCATTAGTCTGCCTGTCAGAATTGGAGAACAGATCTGTGGGAAAAGACAAAAAAAGAAATTGAGATTCAAATAAGAGATTTTTGAGTACCAAAGTAGTGATGTGAGATGTGGACATTGAGTATGCTGGTGGGGGGGAAGACTGGGGAGGGTGTCAAGAAACGAACTGGCTAGATATGCTGGTTCTGAGAAAAACCAGCAAGAACAAGTCAATACATAATGTCCTTCAAACCGGAGCATCTGGCTCCTGTCACAGGCCCCTGGGGACTGGGTGAACTCAGGACAGTGGACATGATTCATTATTGTGCTTGAAAACAGAATCCGTACAGACATCTGTGAATTCTCTGGATCTTGATTCCATAATTTCTACTTAGATATAGGAAGGGAAGAAAAGATAGTACGTAGCCTTTTTTTCTGTTATTAACAAGTATCTGAACAAGCACAAACAGAAGTTTGGAAAATTATCAGGTTTTTAAATTATATCAGGACCAGTTCTGCATGGGGCTTAAACTTACTATGTGCCCCTTCTTTCTTTACTCACCCATGAACGACCAGCTCTCTCCTCCATCTATTTCTATCATAAGAGCATCTGAAGGGGGTTCAGGAGGCTGACAGCACAGGACCATCAGTAACTCTACTAAAGAGGGAGGATGGTTTCTATGACATCCAAATGAGGGGAATTCAAAGAGGCAAAAATTGTCTGTGTCTCTATAGATTTTTCAAAGAAAGGGGTACCCTGATTTATGAACAGGAGAATCTGTTTCCAATGACAGGCATGTCCCTATAATGGAAACAGATCCATTCAACTATGATTGCTGAAGCAGTTTGATAGTATTAATTATAAAATCAAGTCATGTACCATCTCACTTATGTCATCAAACACCTTTCTGATCACAGGTTGGTTTAGGGGTCAAAATGAGCTGGGTTTAACTAGCAACCATGACACATTTTCATAGCCACGTGATATTAATCAAGTTAGCTAAATCTTTGTGCAACGGTTTAGCTGTAAAATGAAATGCTGAGAAAATTAAGCTGATTCATACAGTGTTCATCTCAGAGCCTGGCACAGAGCACATGCTTAACAAATGCTATTGTTATTTATAATAATGTAGTCAACACAAGTAAATAGCAATGTGAATAGAGTAGTATGTTAAAACAATTATAAACCATGAGCAAAAAGGTTTCATCCAGAAATACAGCAGTGATATAGTATTAATATGATAAAGCTTTATAAATTGTTTAACAGAGAAAAAGAATCTGATCATTTTGATACATGCTAAAAAAGCATTTGACGAATTAAACAGCCATTATTGTATTTTTAAAAAGAACAAAAAAATTCCAACTGTTAGAAAACTAAGAATAGAGTGAACTTCTTTAATGATGAATATTTATTCTTGATATTCACTAGAAATATGCTTCTGAAAAAGCAATGCAACGCTAAAGAGTATATACGAAAAGGAATTTCTTCATAGGAATGAAAACTGAATGACTTCACGATGTCACTTCCAGGTCTATAGAAGCGGGCTTATTACCGAAACACCGCACTGGTGAGGCCCCACCCCCAGCTTTCTGGAAGGAAGATTCCAGGTGAGCAGAGGGAAAAATAGCCCCAGGCACTGCATGAGCTCCACCCCCTTTCTTTGGTTCCAGTTGTGCCAGGAAAGGCCTAAATTGCCTAACAGCAATTCTAGCACAGTGTTTAAGGTTTCTGGGCACGGTATCCACCAATTTAGTGGTATGCACTAAATTACAACATAGAGGCGAACCTAATGTGAGGCTAAACCACAAGTATTTCAGGTCATAAAGAAAAAAGCCTTGTAGTGGAGATAAAAGCAGCAACACTACAAACATAATGGAAACTCCAGGATAAAGAGGGAATCCCTGCCATTCATCAGAGGCTACCTTGCACAGCACCACAAGGCAATCTCTGTGCTTGAATGCACTACAGGTACCCACATGCTCAACGTCTCTTGAGAAATTAAGCACTATTCTAACCTCTCCTAAAGTACACCTGTATAAACTGAGATGAGCTCTTATATCAGAAACCAAAAGGAAAAGAAGTACTTTTTTTAAAGTAAAACATTACCAATATCAATTTATGGTTTATACCCAACTTGGTTCTGAAATCTAGTCAAAGCAACAGATGAAAAGTTTTAAATACTGAGAAGAAATGAAAATGTGGTCATTAGCAGATAACATAATTGTCTGTGTAAAGAACCAATATTATCATGAAAATGTCAAAAATTCATAAAGTTGTTCACTAAGGTGGCCAGATATCATAATTTTTAATTTTTGTAACAGAAGCGTAATTGGAAAAGTCCCAGGTAGAGTGGTATCAAACTATATGACATCTAGGAATAAATATAACAAGACAATGACAAGATATACATAAATAAAATTAAAATGCTTAACTGAAGTGTCTAAATGGATATAATACTCCTAAGTAGGAAATCTCATCTTTAAATAAATATTTCACTTTTTTCAAATTAATGTTTAAATGCAATTTAAATAAAAAATAATTTTTTATGGCAAAGGAACAGTTTCCAAATTGAAAACCATGCTTATCTAGAAGCACAAATACATAAGACTATCCAAAATTATTTTTCAAAGAGAAGTGAGGGTAAGCACACTCTAATGATGTTGAAACACATGATTATAAAGCCACAGCAATTAAAACATTGCAGTGACATCACCAAAAAACAGAAATTTGGTGAAAATAAAAGCACCATTATAAATGAGAGGAGGCTGGATTTCCCCATAAATATCATGTAACTTAATGTTGGAGGGAAGGTTTTGGCATCAGATGGACTGTGAATGAGAGTCCTGGTCTACCATCTGCTCACTAGGTAACCTTGGGGAAGTAACTTAAAGACAGTCTCCCAGTGCACAAAATGGAGATACTGCTGGATTCCCAAAGAGTTACCCTAAGAATTTGATAAGGTGATTCAGAAAAAGCACTTTGCAATGTGCACAGTAAGGGTTCAAGGGACTTTAAGGATTATAATTAAATGAAGCTAGGTGAATAATGGCTAAGATTTGGAGAAAAATTTGGACCACTCTCAAATCAATGCAGAGAGATTCAAGACTGAATAGCAAAAAATAAAGTTATATATCTTTTTTTTTTCTTTTTTCTGAGACGGAATTTCGCTCTTGTTGTCCAGGCTGGAGTGCAATGGCGTGATCTCGGCTCATCAAAAACTCCACCTCACGGGTTCAAGCGATTCTCCTGCCTCAGCCTCCTGAACAGCTGGGATTACAGGCATGTGCCACCATGCCCAGCTAATTTTGTATTCTTAGTAGAGACGGGGTTTCTCCATGTTGGTCACGCTGGTCTCAAACTCCTGACCTCAGGTGATCCGCCCGCCTCAGCCTCCCAAAGTGCTGGGATTACAGGTGTGAGACACTGTGCCCGGCCTAAAGTTATATGTCTTTGAAGAAAATATAGCACTTATATCTGCCTAAAGAATGTCTTCTTGGCCAGATGCAGTGGCTCACACCTGTAATCCCAGAACACTGGAAGGCTGAGGTGGGAGGACTGCTTGAGGACAGGAGTTCAAGACATGCCTGAGTAAGATGGGCAGACCCTGTGTCTACAAAAGAAAAGAAAGAAAGAAAGAAAGAAAATATAAAAATTAGCCAGGCGTGGTGCTACATGCCTATAGTCCCCGCTACTTGGGAGGCTGAGGTGGGAGCATCACTTGAGCCCAGGAGTTTAAGGCTACAGTGAGCTATGATTGCACTACTACACTCCAGCCTGGACAACAGAGAGAGAGAGACCCTGTCTTTAAAAAACATAAAATAAATAAACTTTAAAAAGAAATAACACCTTCTCTATTGGCGATGCACACATCTCAAATTATTGACCTGACTCTATAAAAAGCACAATTAAAACATTCAGTATTGTTAGGTAGCACTTTAAGAGAAACCTAAAGTATAAGCTGTTATAATTAAATTAAAAAAAAAAAGATGTGTCAGGGAAGAATGAACCCTATACTCAATATGAACTCTGTTTTAACCTGTGGCACAAAGGAAAATGTCATGCAGTACATGTTACCTACCTTCCTTCCTTCAAGCAAGTCACAGGTAACATAGTTCTCGACTAAAATGAGTCATACTGTGCTAAAATCTAAAATGCAAGGCTTAAAGCACAGGGAAGTTACCAATCTTATAAAACGTTTTGCTCTAGAATCTACTACTGCACTCAGCATGGAGAAGGTCCTCCTCGTTTGTGGAAATAAGTCAGGCTTTGGTGCCAAAGAGGGCAGGGTATGAATCCTGGCTGCATGCTAGCCAACAGTGGATCCCTGGCCAGTTACTCAGCTTCTCAGTTTTTACGTTTGTAAAATAGGCTACATTTTTTGTAGCAGATCATAAGTCCTAAATTAAATAGTGAAATAAAGGATCTAACACAAAGGAGACATTCATGGAAAATAGTTCTTTCTGCTCTTCCTCGTGTCTGATGTTGCTTCTCCTCCTCTTCTTACCCTCTTTCCCACCCTCCAAAATACTTTATTGAAAACAGCTTTTTCTTTTCATAAATGGATCAAGGACAATAATTGTGCATATGAACACTTCAGAAGAAAACAGAAGAAATATGAAAGCCAATTTCACGTGAATCAAAACTATATACAGCCATTGTCTTAGTATATTCAGGCTGCTATAACAAAATACCATAAACTGGTGGCTTAGAAACAACAGTAATTTATCTCCCAGAGTTCTGGACACTAGGAAGTCCGAGATCAAGACACTGGCAAACTCGGCGTATTTTTCCCTCATCCTGGCTCGTAGATAGCGCATTCTCAACCAGGCAGCTCTCTGAAGTCTCTTTGCTAAGAACACTAATCCCAATCATGAGGTCGCCACCCATATGGCCTCATTACTTCCTAAAGGTCCCACCTCCTGATACTATCACGTTGGGAAGTAGGATTTCAACATGTAAATTTGGGGGTGGGTGGGGGGACACAAATATTCAGATCATAGTAGTGATTTTAAAACACAAATAAATTTAAAAAAAAAATAAAGGTCATCCATTTTCCCTCCAATCAGAGAGACTGATGTTTGCATTCTGGTGAATACACTTCTAGAAATTCTCTATACCTCTTTTTATATGCATGTAGGTGAATTATTTTTTTAAACAAAAATGGAATCATAATCAGTAACTATTGTCAACCGACTTTTTTACTGTAGTATTTGGTGAAAATTTCCCATATCATTAACTATTTTTCTACTTCATTTTAAAATGGCACATAGTATTCCATTTTATATCATTTATGTTATTTTTCATATTCCTGCTACTTTAAACAATGCAATGATAGTTACTGCAGTTAAATCTTCTAATATGCTCATGACTGTTTGCTTAGGATGAATTTCTAAAAACAGAATTGTTGGGTCAAAGAGTATGCAAAAAGGGTCTTGATAAAAACAGCCAAACTGCCCCCCCCAAAAAAACCTGACCACATCACTCTTCAACCATCAATGTATTTGCTAAGATTTTAATGTTATGTTCCCCCAAAATTCATATGTTGAAATCCTCACCCACAAGTGTGTGGTATTAGGAAAAGGAGCCATTGAGGGGTGGTTAGGTCATCTTGGCAGTACTCTCATGGATGGGATTATTGCCCTTATAAAAGAGGCCAAAGACCCCTCACCCTTCTACCATGTGAGCTCAGAGTGAGAGGATGGTGGTCTATGAGGATATGGGCTCTCAACACACTCCACATTTGCCAGTGCCTTAATCTTGGACTTTCCAGCCTCCAGAACTGTGAGAAATACATTTCTGTTATTTATAAGCCACTCAGTTATATGGTATTTTGTGGATCGAGCAGGCCGAAGACAGAATTAGAGTATTTTTCCTCTTTTATCCTTCCTAGTTTACTTCTAATTTAATTTTTCAAAGCTTAAAACCCCTGACTGTACTTAGTTTATTTGTTATCTTTCCCTCAGCCCAAACCACATTTGGGCATTTCTCTTACAATGAGATTTTTTATAATGCAAGTGAATATAACAAGACAGATTAAGTAGGGTATGAGATTTGCATTATGCAGACTACTATGATTATAATGGAACTAAACTCTGAGTTCAAGCTCACACACAGTACAACAGGCTTGTTAAGATACAGTTGCTTTTGTATAGTGACTGTACCTTTTTGTTTCAACAATGACAAGAATGGGTTACAAAATATTGTGTTAATTAGAGTGCTGGGGCTGTGAGAGGTCAGGAAAGGAGTGTCCCTTGAAACAAAGCTGGTGCAATCACAGGTGTACTCAGGGGTGTTTGTTTTACAGCTACTTAACTGTGAACATTCATGCTCCCTAACTACTGGAGTTTCTAAGGAAATATAACTGATTTCTAGATTCTAAATTCCTTTTCCCTTTTGGAACAATTTTCTACAGAACACAGTTTACCATATTTTTAATATTTTTAGTTTTTAAGTAAAGTAGGGTTTTTTGTTTGTTTTTTTGTTTTTTTGAGACGAAGTCTCACTCTGTCACCCAGGTTGGTATGCAGTGGCACAATCTTGACTCACTGCAACCTCTGCATCCTGGGTTCAAGCGGTTCTCTTGCTTCAGCCTCCCCAGTAGCTGGGACTACAGGCATGCACCACATGTCCAGCTAATTTTTTTGTATGTTTAGTAGAGACAGGGTTTCACCATGTTGGCCAGGCTGGTCTTGATCAGGTGATCTGCCTGCCTTGGCCCCCCAAAGTGCTGTGATTATAGGCATGAACCACCACACCTAGCCACAGGTAAAGTAGTTTTTGCCAACAGTGTGAATGGAAAAGTCAATAATGTTGAAAATGTTATCAAACATTTTCAAAAGTGATGATGTAGAAAACAGAAAAAAGAGAGAGAAAAAAAGCAGCAACAGTCCACTGAAGCCCACAGTGGCAAAAATGCCATTCACGTGGGCACTGCCAAAATGACCTAATTTGTTCATAAATTTGTTTAAGGTAATCTACAACACAAAAGGTCTCTTTCTTGAGTTCTTCTATGTCTGAGAATGTCTTGTCTTTGACCTTGAAAAACAGCTTTTGCCTCATAAGTCTGAAGAGATTTTAATTCCTCTGGCATTCACCACTATGAAGAAGTCTGTTTCTTTTTTCTTTGCTCCTTTGTAGATAATGTTTTAAAAAGATCATCTCTTTATCATTTATTCATGACCTGTAAACATTTGCTACAGTTATTCGGAGGACTGAGTATTCCCCATAATTCTGCCTAACTAAGGTAAGCTCTTATTTCTCCACTTAGGCATGAGTTTTAGCTCATGAAAGCATCTTCTTATCTGATTCCAGCTTTGATGACTGTTTTTACTCCCGTGGTTCTATCCTCTTCACCAAGAACACCTTTGATCCTCAGACTCTTCATTCACGTCTCCCCTACCTGTCATCTTATCACTTTCTTTTTTTTTTTTTTTTTTTTTTTTTTTGAGAAAGAGTTTCACTCTTGTTGCCCAGGCTGGAGTGCAATGGTGGAATCTCGGCTCACTGCAACCTCCACCTCCTGGGTTCAAGTGATTCTCCTGCCTCAGCCTCCTGAGTAGCTGGAATTACAGGCATGTGCCACCACGCCCAGCTAATTTTTGTATTTTTAGTAGAGACAGGGTTTCTCCATGTTGGTCAGGCTGGTCTCGAACTCCTGAACTCAGGTGATCCACTCACCTCCGCCTCCCAAAGTGCTGGGATTATAGGCGTGAGCCACCACGCCCAGCTTCTCTTATCACTTTCATTCCTTCAGCCACACTGCATGCTTTCTGGGGGCACACCTCAGGTTTGTCCTCTCACCACCCAGGTATGTCACGAAAACACTAATTTGACTTCTTTGATGGTCCCAAGAAGCACAGGCCTAACTATTTTCATCCAAATAATTTCCATTTATTTTATACCCAAATCTCATTCTGCTTGATTAAAAAAATATTAATTGGATTCTTGGCATCCTTTTTCTACATGAAAATCCATTTTAATCCTATATTCTTTGATGTTTTAAGATCTAAAGTACCAGGACGATCATTACTTTTGAACAGAAGAGCAATGTTATTAGACATTTGTGGCTTGACCTGTTTATGTTTAGAAGTTTATTTATCAAATATAACATAACTTTGGCTCTTTGAACTTGCCAAGTAAAACGAAGACAAATGATGGACATGAAATCTTCACATGTGTAGTTAGGAAAAAAAACATTAAGAAAAAGTAATCTGTGTATGGAAAAGTGTTGGGCTGCCTTTGTGAGAAATAACTTAGTAGTCTGTTACTTCCACATTGTCAAAAAACCAAAACAGACAGCAAAGGAAAAGCAGAGGATTTCATTTATTTTTTTAAGTTTCTTTTGAGTTCAGGAGGGAAAACTATGATTTGAAATGATTAATATAGACATTACACATTTTATATTGGAAGCTAAATTCATTCTTTGTACTGCAGAGGTTCTCTTTAAATAAATCTTTGACTACGATAATCACAAAATGAGCTATGCTCTCTTATTTAAGTCTTTTATGTTTGTTATAAGACCTCCCAAGTATAATTTTCTTAAAATTCAACTTCACTATCCAAGATCTTGGTATTCACATTTTATATTAAAACATTACATAATCATAATAATATATTTTATCCCAATTTAGTCTTGTCCCCCCTTATTTATAATATGTGCCCATCTCTTTCCAATCTTATGGCTGCACAGCTATGTTTCAAATGAAGAACTTCCCGACACTGAAATGTTACCCATATTTGTAAAATTTCCATTTCTATCTCCATATTCTTAGAAGCAAAGATGTTCACTATTCTAAGTTTAAGAAATAATGAATTCCTTTAATATAAAAGGATCCGGGCGGGGTGCTGTGGCTCACGCCTGTAATCCCAGCACTTGGGGAGGCCGAGGTGGGTGGATCACTTGAGGCCAGGAGTTGGAGACCAGCCTGGCCAACGTGGTGAAACCCCGTCTCTACTAAAAATACAAAAATTAGGTGGGTATGGTGGCGTGTGCCTGTAATCTCATCTACTCGGGAAGCTGAGGCATGAGAATCACTTGAACCTGGGAGGCAGAGGTTGCAATGAGTCGAGATTGCACCACTGTGCTCTAGCCTGGGCAACAGAGCAAGACTCTGTCTCAACAAAAAGAAAAAGAAAAAGTATCCTATGATATAGTTCATGTCAATTTAATTATTTTGATATTGTAATATAGACCAAACATCTTTTAATACATTTATAAACATTCCAAGGTGCTTGTATCAAATTTAACTTAATAACTAATTTTGAAAAATATATTGACACATTTTCACCAAAAAATTCCTTAAGAGTTTACCCAAACAGAATAAATGAAAAAGGAGTACTTTATATATTAGTAAACACAAATGAAAGCACGAAAGGGCTCAGTTCACTCATTCTGGAAGGTTTTTTTGATGCTTAATTTGTGCCAGGTGCTGCGCTAGGTGTTGGATCTAGATTTATCTGATGCCATCTGCCTCAATGTAATCACTCTGCTTCCTTTCTCCTACTTCCCTCTCAAAAAACAAGGCATTTTTAGAATTAGCACCATGTTGTTATGAGGCAATTCTAGTGACTCAATCTTTCTGAAGCATCCTTTATTAGTATCTGAACTGTTGTGTTTTCCTAAGTGTCAGGAGATAGCAATGACTTATTACCCAAGGATTAAGTGAGGCACAGATAAAAGTAATTTCACAAGTAAAAACATTATTTTATCGAAATACACTTCTTTGGATCAGGCAGATGATGTTATAGATGTGGAATAGATACCTACAGAAAGTAATTATTTTGTTATATATTGCTTATAGAACTTCGTATTTGTCTAATGCTTTTGATTTTTGCAAAGCCCTTACTTTTACTTTATTTTCAACTCTATTTTCTGATTATTAATATTAAAAATAACTATGTGTAATATACAAAAAAACTGCCTCAAAATTTCTGTAACCAGAGAAAACAACTATCAACATATTGTTACATATCCTCCTAGTCTTTTTTTCGATACATTCATTATTACTTGTTGTCCATTAACTTTTCATTTTGGCTCTCTGTGCATTCACTGGATTACTTTTGTTTTACACATGCAGATTCTTCTGATACCTGTAAGTAGCAATTTGTAGGCCTTTCACATGAAATCTAGGCCCCTCTAGACAAATCTACCTGGCAGCTCAAAAACATCTCCAAACAAATTCATTATCTTCTTTCCTCCTTCTTGAGCTTCCTAGTCTGTCAATTTTTGCCTCTGTTTTTTTTTTTCCTCCCTCACACACTACACTGACCATCAAATGCTGCTGTGTGCCCCTTCGGTGTGCCCCTTCCCCTAAGCCCTAGTCTCAGACCAGCACAGCCTGCCTTCTTCATATCAGATTCATCACAGAGTTGATGGTAAACTAAATGTAGAGCAAACAAAAAGTAAAGAATTTCCTTTTCCCTTGACATTCTCCTCCAATGGCTCTCCACTGACTACAAGGTAAATCCCAAATCCTTAGCAAGCCAATGAGATCCTCCCATTTTCAAGTCTCCCCTTCCCTCCCAGACTAGAGCCACCAAAAGCAGCAGTGAACTGGGATGCTCTTGACTTGAGGTCTGATGCTCCATCTAGCGGTAGAGAACATCGCCTTGGGATGGGACTGAGAAACACGCCAGGTCAGACGCTGGGAGAGCCAACAAACCTGCCAAGATGAGAGTTTGTCACCTCTAGTCAGATTTGGAAAGGGTCTAGGTGGAAAGGTGAATTCCACCTAGAGGTTTTATCTAAGCACTGGCTTCTCCTGAGGAAATGCCTCAAACCTCCAAACCGGTTGCTATCATTGTTATTCTTGAGAGATGGTAAGCTTTAATGGCATTTCTTTCTTTTTTTTTTTTTCAGAGACAGTGTCTCGCTCTGTCACTCAGTCTGGAGTGCAGTAGATTTGTGCACCTTCCAACTCCTGGGCTCAAGCAATTCTCTCACCTCAGCATCCCAAGTAGCTGGGACTACAGGTGTGTGCTACTATGCCTGGCTAATGTATTTTTTGTAGAGGCAGGATCTTGTACATTGCCTGAGCTGGCTTTGAACTCCTGGCCTCCAGTGATCCTCCTAACCTTAGCCTCCCAAAGTGCTGGGATTACAGGTGTGAACCACTGAGCCTGGCCACATTTCTTTACTTACTGCTACCAGATAAATCACAGGATACTTCTGACCCAATGACTACACTATTATCTATGTTCTTCCAGAGTTTTCTTGAAACTCCAACAATTAAAAATATTCATTTATCTATGTATTAACTATTCCTTTCAATGCACACTTAAAGAGCACACGTCAAGCTGAAGACACTACACAAAGCTAATACTCTAGGGTCTAAGTCACCCCAGCCTGTACATAGGTAATCAAATACATCCATGATAACAATGCAGAAAGGAAGTCTAACCTGGACAGGGACAGGGAGGGCTTCTGGAAGAAATGATGACTGAGCTGATTTTGTTAAGTCAGGTAAGAGCCAGTCAGGTAAAGAGTGAAGCACATTGTTTCAGACTCAGCATTACACACGCGACAGAGTATACCACATAAAAAGGTTATCCTATTACAGCGAGAAATCATTTAAAAAAAAAAAAAGCATACGCTTTGGGCTCGGGTGCAGTGGATCATGCCTGTAATCCCAGCACTTTAGGAAGCCAAAGTGGGTGGATCACTTGGAGTCAGGAGTTCAAGACCAGCCTGGCCAACATGGTGAAATCCCATCTCTACTAAAAAAATAGGTGGTAATAAGTGCTGCATTGCTGAAAATTAGCCGGGCGTGATGGTGTGCACCTGTTATCCCAGCTACTCGAGAGGCTGAGGCAGGAGAATTGCTTCAACCCCAGAGGCAGAGGTTGCAGTGAGCTGAGATTGTGCCATGGCACTCCAGCCTGGGTGACAGAGCGAGACTCTGTATATAAAAAAAAAAAATGCTTTGGGAGGCCAAGGCAGGAGCATTGCTGGTCGGACTTCGAGGCCGGAAGACTGCTCGAGACTAGAAGCTTGAGACCAATTTTATAGTGAGAACCCCATCTTTCTCTCTTAAAAAAAAAAATATATATATATATGTGTGTGTGTGTATGTGTATATATATAGCTGAGTGTGGTGTCATATGCCTGTAATCCCAGCTACTCACGAGGTTGAGGCAGAAGGACTGCTTGAGCCCTGAAGTCGGAGGTTGCAGTGAGCTATAATCCTACCATTGTACTCCAGTCTGGGTGACAGTGCAAGACCCAATCTCAAAACAAACGAAAGATATGAAATGCAATTTTCCTTAATCCTCTTCCTCTTTTTGGAAATAAGGGATAATATTTAATATTTACATTTTAAAAGGAAGTTTATTAATAGTACAGAAGTATCTTTCAACAGGTTGACAGTTATAGCTTTTTATAAAATACTGAATAGCTTGAGATTAAAAACATCCATTAAGACATGTAATACATTATACTATCATCTTAGCCCACTGTAAAGCTACAAACCACATGCTTTCGGCTGCCGATAGATCATCTGCCTGTACGGTAGCAACATCAGCAATGCAGCTTTTATTACTACCTCAAGGGCAGTCCATTTTATCTTGGAATACTGTTCAAACACTGTTGGAAGGTTTCATTAAACATGGATACAAGGTATGTTTCCCTTACCTTGGACCAAGTTTAGGACACCCCAGAACAAGTGTCATTACTCTGTTACAAGGCCACATTTCATTTACCGTATTTGCAGTGTGTTCTTAGTGACTGCCCTTTGCTTTCTCTCCCTTTCCTAGCAATCTCAAGTATGCCATGACCTGTATGCCATGCCATATGTCTTCCAACACTGTTGGAAGGTTACATTAAACATGGAGACATGGCCAGGCATGGTGGCTCACGCCTGTAATCCCAGCACTTTGGGAGGCCCCATCTCTTAGATCACGAGGTCAAGAGATCGAGACCATCCTGGCTAACACGGTGAAACCCCGTCTCTACTAAATATACAAAAAATTAGCCGGGCGTGGTGGCGGGTGCCTCTAGTCCCAGCTACTCGGGAGGCTGAGGCAGGAGGATGGTGTGAACCCGGGAGGCAGAGCTTACAGTGAGCCGAGATCGCGCCACTGCACTCCAGCCTGAGTGACAGAGCGAGACTCTGTCTCAAAAAAAACACAAAAAACAAACAAAAAAACATGGAGACATAAACATATGTCTTCCTGTAACTTTGGTATTAATGAGGACCAAGTTGAGGGTGGCCCAGAACGAGTGTCATTTCTCTGCTATGAGACCACATTTCATTTACCGTATTTGCAGTATGTTCTCAGACACTGCTCTCAGTTTTCTCTCCCTTTCCTAGCAATCTCAAGTATGCCATAACCTGTATGCCACGCCAAGTTCTGATTCCTGGTACCCTTATTTATTTCATTTATTTGCATTCTCTTTGAAACAAAATCCATGTATGCATGTGATAGAACAGTAGGTGTGAGATGGGTGATTCAGGTCAAGCTAGATACGCCACTTCTGCGAATGTAGTTTCAGATGCACGGGTTATTCTGAGAAACTATATAACACTATGGACTCATTTCAAGATTCCCTTTAAGATTCTCAAGTGTCTGAGGTCAGGAATTCAAGACCAGCCTGCTCAACATGGTGAAACCCCGTCTCTACTAAAAGTACAACAAATTAGCCGGGCATGGTGGTGGGCACCTGTAATCCCAGCTACTTGGGAGGCTGGGGCAGGAGAATTGCTTGAACCTGGGAGGCAGAGGTTGCAGTGAGCCGAGATCATGCCATTGCACACCAGCCTAGGGGACAGAGCAAGACTCTGTCTCAAAAAAAAGACTCCTAGGTGTTTTTTTTTGTTTGTTTTTGTTTTTGTTTTTTTAACAAAACAAAAACAAAAACTTGCTAGGCCAAGTCTCCTCCATTTTCTACTGTCTAGCAAATGCCAAAAAGTACAGGCATTTCTATCAGCATATTTATGAATATGTCTACATACATTAAGAAAAATATTTCTCATAAAGAGAAAGTGACTCTTCATTAGATAAACGTTTAGTAGTACACAATACATTCTGGGCACTGTGCTAAATGCTGGGAACACAAATTTAAATGAGACATTATTTTAGTGTGATCCCCTTACACAAGATTATGTATGTAAAGCAAGGGCCAGGGGCACATAGCAGCTGCTCCATAAACTGTTACCATTATTATGATCAATCACAAATGATAGTCTTTTAAAAATTCTTATAGATTTTTTAAATGAAAATACTGCAGTAACGCCATGAATACTCACCAATACTATAATATCTCTTTAGTTCTGTACGCCTGATCTCCTTTAACTGATTACTTTTTCTCTTTTTTTTCTCATCAGTCATATATTCCTCTTCCACAGCAATGTTGCACTTGTCTGGCTCTAAAACTACTGTATTATTATCTTCCTTCCCAGTATGAGTCCTTGTAGCTACAGCTGAGGCTGTCTCTGCATTTTGTTTGGCTTGTTTTTTCTTTTTCAGTCTAGGAAAGAGGGAAAAAAAAGAAAAAACATTGGAGAGATGATTTGCTGGTAGAAATCATATTAATTTCACGCTGCTGGACTTTGAAAACTAATGAACTGATACAGAAAACACTTTCCTTATAATATGGTTCATTACATGTATTGTTCTTTTTTCTTTTCCAATAACTTACAAATTCTTACATGGAGATCTGTGGCCTTTCTTCAACTTGATATAGTCAATACTATATCTCATAAAATTATTGAGAACTGCCATAGGCCTGAGGAAAAATGAGATTCTTCCATAGGCTAAGAAATGTTGAGTATTTTTAAAAATCACAATATATGGTTATGCTACTAGAATGCCATGTTTGGAAGATTACATTTTAAGAAAATGTTTCTGGTTTCAGTGGTACTTTTGACTGATGGGCAAGCACATTTGTAAAAACAAGTCCTTTGTAATTGGCTCACATACTGAGTAAAAGGATTTGGCAAGGTGTGAACTGGGTCACATAGGAGTAATTCTTTTCCTTTAAACATATGGCAATAGTAGTGAAGAAAGAGCTGCATTTCCTAAAATAGAAAATGCCATAATGACAATACATGATTTTCATTATGATTACTGATAGCTGACTGATTATTTGATTATTAGTTAACATATTTGATGTTACAAATTCTTTACTCCTGAGCCAAATATGTGTAAGAGATAAAGTTAGCATAATTCACTGAAAGCCAATACCTCAAAATATTTTCAGTGGACACATCACTCTGTAATTAATTGATATGTCACTCTGTACTTGATAGTCGAGAATGTTTTTGCCTTATCAGAATCTAAGTGCTTTGAGAACAAGGGCCTTGGCCTCTAGTATATGTTGTACTCTACTCATATATAAATATGTATTTTAAAATTATGTCCCTTTTCCCTGTGCCTAGATAGAAAGTATCTAGGCACAGTTAGATTTCTCTCATACATTTCTATTTCCTTCACCCTTTTGAGCATATGTCCAATTTGATGTTGGGCAATGGATAAGGACCTGTTTGGGTAGAAAAATGAGATAACTGTAGGATACACAGGGACTGAAATTTGATATTTCACTGCATTGTTCTGTGATGTCAAACAAATCAATTTGGCAGGCTAGAGAGGTCCCTCCCTGAGGCTACAACACTTAAGAGAACTCTGACCTCAGGCTAGGAATTTCACGCCTTGAACCTTAGTTTTCTTATATCTTAAATGGTGATAACTGTACTTCCTTAGGTCTCTAACAGGATCTTTTATTAGGCTTAATTGACATAATACATGTCAACATATAACACAAACAGAAACAGAAATAGTAAAATATCCCCTAATACAATCATAAAGACATGACAACTAAGCATGGTAAGAAAAATGAGACATTCAGCTTTGGAGATAAAGGTCCCATATTCCAACAAGGTATTTTAATTAGGCTATTATTTACTGAACACTGAGCAGCCAGGTTCTTAGATATTCATTGGCTAACAAATTAGTATATGGCATAAGAGACAGAGCAGCAGAGGAAAAGTCATAGATGAATATACTCCCCATCTCTTAGTTTAGCTATCTTTTAATGTTTGTTTAAAAGACCAAAACTGGAAGTCCTAGCCAGAGCAATCAGGAAAGGGAAAGAAATTAAGAGCATCCAAAATAAAAAAAGAGGAAGTCAAACTATCTCTGTTTGCCAATTATACAATCAAATACCTAGAAACCCTGAAGACTCCTTCATAAGATTCCTAGATTTGATAAATTCAGTAAAGTCTCAGGATACAAAATCGATGTACACAGATCAGTAGCACTGCTATACAGCAACAATGACCAAGCTGACAATCAAATCAAGAACTCAAGGACAGGCAGAGAAAAAAGAAAGAGAACAAAAAAAAGAACTCAAAATATCTCTATAAGGAAACTTACAAAACACTGCTGAAAGGAATTGTAGATGACATGAACAAATAAAAATACACCCCATGCTCATGGACTGGAAGAATCAATATTGTGAAAATGACCATACTGCCCAAAGCAATCGACAGATTCAATGCAATTCCTATCAAAATACCAACATCATTTTTCACAGAATTAGAAAAAACAATCTTAAAACTCATATGGAACCAAAAAAGAGCCCAAATAGCCAAAGAAATCCTAAGCAAAAAGAATAAATCTGAAGGCATCACATTACCCGACATCACATTACCCAACTTCAAATTATACTACAAAGCTATAGTTACCAAAACAGCATGGTACCTGTATAAATGTAAATGTATAGACATTGCAATGGAACAGAATAAAGAACCCAGAAATAAAGCCAAATACTCACAACCAACTGATCTTCGACAGAGCATACAAAAACATAAACTGGGGAAAGGAAACTCTATTCAATAAAGGGTGCTGGAAAAACTGAATAGCTATATGCAAAACAATGAAACTGCATCCCTTATCTCTCACCATACATAAAAATCAACTCAAGATGGATTAAAGACTTAACTCTAAGACCTGATACCACAAAAACTCTAGAAGAAAACCTAGTAAAAATTCTTCTGGGCTGGGCGCGGTGGCTCACCCTATAATCCCAGCACTTTGGGAGGCCTAAGCAGGCAGATCACAAGGTCTAGAGTTCGAGACCAGCCTGATCAACATGGTGAAACCCCATCTCTACTAAAGATACAAAAATTAGCCAGACATGGTGGCACGTGCCTGTAGTCCCAGCTACTCAGGAGGCTGAGGCAGGAGAATCGCTTGAACCCAGGTGGCGGAGGTTGTAGTGAGCTGAGATTGTGCCACTGAACTCCAGCCTGGGCGACAGAGAAAGACTCTTTCTCAGAAAGAAACAAACAAACAAAAAAACTCTTCCGGACATTGGCCTAAGCAAAGAATTTATGACTAAGACCCCAAAAGCAAATGCAATAAAAACAAAAATAAATGGGACCTAATTAAACTAAAAAGCTTCTGCACAACAACAACAAAAAGAAAAAGAAATCATGAGAGTAAACAGACAGAATGGGAGAAAATATTTACAAACTATGCATCTGACAAAGGACTAATATCTAGAATCTATAAGGTATTCAGTCAGCAAGACAATAGCAAATAATCCCATTAAAATGTGGGCAAATGACATGAATAGATATTTCTCGAAAAAAAAAAAGATATACAATGGCCAACAAACTTATTTTTTAAAATGCTCTATATCACGAATCATCGGGGAGATACAAATAAAAACCACAATGAAATACCACCTTATTCTAGCCAGAATGGCTGTTATTAAAAAGTCAAAAAACAATAGATGTTGGTGTGGATGTGGTGAAAAGGGAACACTTATACATTGCTGGTGGGAATATAAATTAGTACAACATTTGCAGTATGGCAATTTCTCGAAGAAATTAAAAGTATATCTACCATTCGATCCAGCAATTGCATTACTGGGTATCTACCCAAAGGAAAAACAGTCATTATACGAAAACAATACCTGCATGTGTAAGTTTATTGCAGCACAATTCACAATTGCAAAGAAATGGAATAAACCAAAGTGCCCATCAACTGATGAGTGGATAAAGAAAATGTGGTCTATATACACCATGGACTACTACTCAGCCACAGAAAAGAACAAAATAATGTCTTCTGCAGCAACTTGGATGGAAATGGAGGTAAGTATTCTAGGTGAAGTAACTTAGGAATGAAAAATCAAATATCACATGTTCTCGCTTATAAGTGGGAGCTAAGCTATGAGGATGCAAAAACATATAGTATGATAATGGACCAGAGGAGGGTGGGATGTGGCTGAGGGATAAAAAACTACATATTGGGTACAATGTACATTACTCAGTTGACAGGTGCACTAACATTTCAGACTCCACCACTATATGATTCATCCACATAACCAAAAACCACTTGTACCACCAAAGCTATTGAAATAATCATATAATTAATAATAAAAAAATAACCAAAAATCACCAAACAATTGGAGACTCATAAAAAGGAATTATTTTCATTAAACATATTATTTTCTATCCTGATTTTAACTTATTTTTCTGGTAAAGGAGTAGGTTGCTCTAGCAAAATTCAGATAATGCCCCTAATAAAACAATTTCTCTCCTGATCAAAATTTCTCTTCTGATCAAAAGTCCTGCGTGAGGCTCAAATTATTCTGCAGCAATCTAGATACCACACAGAGCTTGTCTCTTTACATTGGGAGGCTTATCTATGCAGAGAGCTCATCTCTTTCTCCAAAATGATGGGCTGATTCTGATGTATTGGCTGATCAAAAACATGTTTGGGATTAACTTTGTTGCCCCCTTCCGAAGGTGATTCCTTCTAGATGAAAAGAGATGTCAAATACTAATATTAGTTCTATGCAGCCTGAGATATGCTGCTTCTTAATCTTTTGAATTTTTCCACTTTAAGTTGATTTAAATGTCCTCCTTTCACTGTCCCCACGATAATTAAACTCACTCAGATCTGGGGCATGTGCTTTGATGAACGGCAGCACTGTTTGGGGACATCTCATTAGAGACTCATTTTCACTCATGGAAATAACAAAATGGGATACATTGTTTTATTCTTTTTCTCCCTTTTCTACACAGACTATTATTATCAACACATATAGCCAAACACAGTTGTTACTTCAGAAAAAAAGCTAGAAAATAGCAATCCCAAAGTTGTTTAACAGCAGAGTACCATTTAATACCTTAGAAATTCTACAATCAGATAATCTTTTGTTTTGACTAAAGTACTCATGAGACTTTGTTTCTCTGGAGATTATCAATATAACTAGAATATTCTGATCTTGCAACTGGAAATCAGATGTGTTTCTGGAAGCCCTCTGTAAAATCCTTCCTTCCAAGTATAGAGATCAATTTCTAACACTTTTTACAAAGGAGAATAGCTGCCAACCTGAGAAATTTGGTATAGTTAATGCTCTTCAAGCATTCCTTTTCAGGGCTTTAATCTTTCAGTCCTTACCTTTTGTTTTTACGTCAATATCTATCTTGTTAAGATAGTCTCACAATACGGATTTGCTATCATTAACTTAAGATAAACTGAAAAAAATTGGTCTTGCAGAAAAATGAACTCCCATTATTTCATCTAAGCATTTTTCATGACCTCAAATATAGACTGATTTTATACTGTGGACTAAAAATACACTTGGCAAATCATCTTAAATGATGAGTGACTGAAAAATAATGAAGTACATTTAAGATTTGATTGCTGTGAGTACAAGTGGGAAAAAAACCCAAAACCTTTATTTTGCATTTGTATTTCTTTAAAATACATCACAATTACATAAAACAGGTGTTTTAAATTGTAGTCAAGACTTGTCAATTCTATCTTCTAATCCTATCTTTCCCACTCCAGTTTACCTTCTCTTCATAATCTCTGCTTTGTCAGGCTTTCATCATCTCTGTGGCCTGGACTACGTTTTATGATATTATATTTTTCTTCTTTTATTATGAAAACAAAACATGTCATAACAGAAAATTTTCAAAGTGCAAAAAAAGAATAAGACTTAGAACAAATGCAATGCTAACATAAGAAGCAATCACTGTTTGGGGAAGGCAAGGTGAAAGCCAAAAGAAAAGACAAATTACGCTATGGGCTTCCCCAAGGGCAGAAGAATGAGGCAATGTGGCTTGATACCATGATTGCGAGCTTCTTATTTATACCTTTCCATAAAGGAATATTAAAGAGCTTTTTTAAATTCTGGAATCTCTTGGCTTTTTTATATTATAATGGTGTAGGCACTTGTAGAATGCACACATACTTCACTTTTTCCCTACTAGTGTTCCAGCCCAGAGTTAGCCGACTGACTGCAGAAGTGAGCAAGGGGCTCCTGCTAAAGAAATCATTTGTAGTAGCTGAATGAAAACGGGTTTTCTTCTGAAGCTTTTTCTTTTACAAAAGGAAATGAGTTTGGGGCACTGGCAGTAAGCAAAGCCAGGGTCTTGGGCAAGTTCCTTTCTTACATGGCACACATTAGGTACTCAGTAAATATTTCTTGAATAAATTAATGGATAAATGAGCCCATGTTCTGAGATATGCTGCTTCTTAATCTTCTGAATTTTTCCACTTTAAGTTGATTTAAATGTTCTGATTTGGTTGAGATGTGCTCTTCTACAAACAGCCATTTCACAGCTTTCTCTGATTAGCAGCATGGTCTCCAAAATGAACTCCCATCTTCTTATTTAAGGTATTTGATTTTAAAATAAAGTTTATTAGCCACACATTATTTATTTATTTTTTATTATACTTTAAGTCCTAGGGTACTTGTGCACAACATGCAGGTTTGTTACATAAGTATACATGTGCCATGTTGGTTTGCTGCACCCATCAACTCGTCATTTACATTAGGTATTTCTCCTAATGCTATCCATCCCCCAACCACCACCCCCCGACAGGCTCCAGTGTGTGATGTTCCCTACCCTGTATCCAAGTGTTCTCATCGTTCAATTCCCACCTATGAGTGAGAACATTCGGTGTTTGGTTTTCTGTCCTTGTGATAGTTTGCTGAGAATGATGGTTTCCAGCTTCATTCATGTCCCTGTAAAGGATATGAACTCATCCTTTTTTATGGCTGCATGGTATTCCATGGTGTATACGTGCCATATTTTCTTAATCCAGTCTATCATTGATGGACATTTGGGTTGGTTCCAAGTCTTTGTTATTGTGAATAGTGCCGCAATAAACATACATGTGCATGTGTCTTCATAGCAGCATGATTTATAGTCCTTGGGGTATATACCCAGTAATGGGATGGCTGGGTCAAATGGTATTTCTAGTTCTAGATCCTTGAGGAATTGCCACACTGACTTCCACAATGGTTGAACTAATTTACACTCCCACCAACAGTGTAAAAGCATTCCTATTTCTCCACATCCTCTCCAGCATTGGTTGTTTCCTGACTTTTTAATGATCGCCATTATAACTGGCGTAAGATGGTATCTCATTGTGATTTTGATTTGCATTTCTCTGATGACCAGTGATGATGAGCATTTTTTCATGTGTCTGTTGGCTGCATAAATGTCTTCTTTTGAGAAGTGTCTGTTCATTCCTTTGCCCACTTTTTGATGGGGTTGTTTTTTTCTTGTAAATTTGTTTGAGTTCTTTGTAGATTCTGGATATTAGCCCTTTGTCAGATGGGTAGATTGCAAAATTTTTCTCCCATTCTGTAGGTTTCCTGTTCACTCTGATGATAGTTTCTTTTGCTGTGCAGAAGCTCTTTAGTTTAATTAGATCCCATTTGTCAATTTTGGCTTTTGTTGCCATTGCTTTTGGTGTTTTAGACATGAAGTCCTTGCCCATGCCTCTGTCCTGAATGGCATTGCCTAGGTTTTCTTCTAGGGTTTTTATGGTTTTAGGTCTGACATTTAAGTCTTTAATCCACCTTGAATTAATTTTTGTATAAGGTGTAAGGAAGGGATCCAGTTTCAGCTTTCTACATATTAGCCACACATAATTTAAAATGTACTGAACTACAGACTGCTTTAATTAGTATTAAATTCACAGTTATATATGACTCTGTTCTTAATTTTAAAATTTGGGATCCATGTGTTTTTGAAAAATGCACACTTTTGAAAAAGACGTAAATACCTTGTATGGCATTGCTCAATGTGGTAGCCACCAGCCAGTCACCGATAGTTACTACATTTAGTTAAAATTGAACTTAAAATTATTCACTTGTAAGAAATACATTTCTAGACTCATGTCCTAGTGGTTACTCTATTGGACAACACACAATACAGAATACTTCCAGCATCACAGAAAGTACTAGACAATATTGATCTAGAGCTATAGTTAGTCCTATTTGCAAGAGATTAGAGAGAAGGCTAAAGATACAGTATTTAAAATGTAACAAGTATATGCAGAAAATATGTGTACAAGGGTACATACACACACACACAAATACTTTTTATTATGTTCTCATTTGTACATTTTGAATTTTATACCATGTACAATTACATATTAAAAATATTTTAAGTAGTCTTTGAAATCTCTCTCCTACTATAATAATCTAACACACAAATATTGTCAAATTTTTTAAACTGAATTTTACTTTTCAAAAACTTATGACAAGCTTTAAACAGCTTTCTTCTAACAGGAACTACTAAGTTGACTAAGGAACCAGGCACCATGCTATGTACTTCACAAATATTAGCCTATCCTCACAAAAGCCCAATGAGGTAGGGAGTTTTATCTCTATTTTACAGATAAGAAAAGGAAGGCTGAGAAAAACTAGGGCCATTTCCCAAGGTCACAGGGCACAGTTTAGTTGTGGAGCGGGAATTCACAAGCCTAGGTTACAGCCAACTGCCACAGGGCCTCCCCGAAGCCCCTCTAAATGTGGCTATGGCATATATGTAAACGTCAACTTTAAAATAAAATCCAGTGGACTCTGAAAATTCTACAAACTATGTGGGGGCCTGAAAATTTAGTGGGCTTCAATGGATTGTGCACTCACAGAAAGACTGGAACACAGATTTGGGTTCTGGGCTTGGCTTTCTCTGTAATCAGCCCTGCAACCTGCATTGGAAATATGATAAACCCCCTGGGACTTCTAAGTAAACAAAAGCAAGAGGCTAACATGATTTTCAAGGTCCTGTCTGGCTCTAATAGTTTGCCCTTGGCGGAGAAGAGTAGGAAATGTGTTAAAGTTGTTTTGATTAAAAAAAAAAAAAAAAAATTTTTTTTTCTTTTTTATATCCAAACTAAACCATCCCAAGGGTCTTGCACTTCCCTATGTTTTTTCTAAGTCTCACATTTGATTACATTTTCCTTCCACTGCAGAATTTCTAGCCCTGGAAAAGTCCAGAAGCCAAGACAGTCAGAAGCCCATTCCTCTACAAAGGCTATTAAAAGCAAAAATAAAAACAAACAAAAAAACAACCAAAACCAAACCAAGAACAACAACAAAACACTGCTCTATAATTTGGGGCTAATAGCTCCAGGAAGAAAACTAGAAAATATCAAAATTGACCAGCCATGAGAACAGACCCATGAAAGTCTTCTTTCATACAAACTTTCTCCTTAAAATCGCCTCTGTAGGGAAATAGAGTACTAATATAAAATATGTAGCTATAGCATTATTTCATGAAAAAAAGATGTAAAACAGTATTGCAGCATGACTCCATTTTTGTGGAAAAAACAACAACAAAAAAAGCAAAATCCCTCAAGACCAAATATACACATAGATATGGATATATACAGGTTCGGTGGATGTATGAGAAAACGGTTGGTCAATGAGTGGGGAGAGAAGAACTTGCACTTTTTTGTTTTTTTGAGACAGAGTCTTGCTCTGTCACCAGGCTGGAGGGCAGTGGCGCGATCTTGGCTCACTGCAACCTCCGACTCCCTGGTTCACACGATTCTCCTGCTGAGTAGCTGGGATTGCAGGCATGCAGCACCACCATGCCCAGCTAATTTTTGTATTTTTAGTAGAGATGGGGTTTCACCATGTTGACCAGGATGGTCTCTACTTCCTGAGCTCGTGATCTGCCCACATCAGCCTCCCAAAATGCTGGGATTAC
Organism: Homo sapiens; assembly: GCF_000001405.40. Taxonomy (NCBI): domain Eukaryota; kingdom Metazoa; phylum Chordata; class Mammalia; order Primates; family Hominidae; genus Homo; species Homo sapiens. Next base: position 125,845,517 of record NC_000006.12, on the reverse strand, counting down.
AGGCATGAGCCACCGTGCCCAGCCAAGAACTTTTACTTTATAGGTATGTAATGTGGTGGTGTTGAATCTTTTGTACGGTAAGCATATATTACTTTTGTAATTATAAGGTTAACAAACAACAACAAAATTAAATATCTGCAGCTATGGCAACATTTTGCTACCTCTTGTTTAGTGGTTCATTCTTTCTCCTGAGTCCAGCTAGCTTAGTAAATTGCTGGACTGCAATCCCACATCACTTTTTTTTTAAATCAGATAGAGCTGGTCTGCCTCCCTCCAGGGACCTTCTCTTGGTTCTTTTCTTGGCTGTTCTGGCTGCAGCCTTGTCATTGCATTGTTCTGACCTTCAGGGCCTAGGCTGTTTTTTCCTGGTCGTCTAATTCTGACTTCTGCCACCTCTGACAATGGAACGAGCTCAGTCTTTGGGCAGAAACGTTTGTGTTTGAATCGTCTTGTACTTTGGATGCACATCCTTTGGCGAGTTACCAAATCTAAGCCTCAGGTTTGTTGTCCTTGACATAAAAATAATAGCCTCCAATGGGTTTTTAATGGTGATTAAAGCAAATGGTACAGAGAAAGCTTACTTTACTATTAAACACAACCTGTGCCTGGTTTCCAGGAAGAGCTTAATAAACAAAAGTTACTAATTTGTTGTGCTGCTGCTGTTATTCTTACTTGGGGATTTCAAAGAATCCAAGTAAATGAGAGAACATATAAAGCACAACATATTTAACACAAAAAAGAAGGTATGTGACAAATGCCAGGTATTAATATATGTTCATGTCCTTTTTCTCACTCTACATAAATATTAATTGTATTTAACTCTATGAATTTAGTCATCAATACAAAGCCACTTATTATTTCTAGAAGAACATCACTCTTTGAACTCCATTTCATTTTGTCATTTCATAGTTTTCCATTTCCACTGAAAATCCCCACTTATGAGCCATTATATGCCAAATTAAGTCAAACTTAAAGGCAAAGGGAGAAAAACAGTTAAAACAACAACTCACTTGAAGAAAATTTTCTCTTGGAATTCTGGCCAAATAAAAACAAAAGATTTAAGAGTAATCACTGGAAAAACCTGTGGATGTTCCTGATTCTAGTGTAACCCATGGAGACATGCATTCTTTTTTTCCTTTTTTCTAATCGTGATAATGAGATTCTTCCCACTGCTAAAACTGAAATTCATCAGTTAAAACGAAAATACTCCGGCTTCAAAGAACCAATACAGTTAGGAAAAGAGATTCTTTGGCTTTGTGTTCAATAACTAGCAATATATCCTTCAGATGGGTACACATACACACAACAGCATTTCCCCTAGCCTCAAAGAACAACCACATTCTAATAAAGACAGATAAACAGAATGCCAATCAGGGGAAACCACAACAATTCAATTTTCCTTTTCTAGGATTTCCTTGTACTGTTAAAACAGTGGTGGGTCAGCAGGTCTTAGAAGACCCCGGTAACCAAAGTGTGGGGGCCAGAAATGGCCAAAACCAAATTCTCTCTCAGAGAAGCCTTGGGGTGGGACATTTCAGAAAACCTTATAAGCATCCCCCAGTACCAGGATCAAAATGACACTGCTGCAAAATGGATGCACACTGTGTAGAATGTCTACATTGTATTATTTATAAAACAAAACAGCCCTTTGTTGAATGTACACATTGCCCCATGTGAGAATTTGGTTCCCTTTTCTAGAAGTCAGAATGCTGAGTCACGGCCTAAAAATGGTTTGGAGAAATTGATGGTGCAGACAATGGTAATATATATCTCATCTATAAATTAAGGAAGGGAACCAGAAAAGGGAACTCACTCCAGGTAATAAGAGAATTGTGTTGTGCTATAAGTCAACAAAAAGGCCTACAAATATATTTAAATATTAGGAATTTTACTGCTTATCAACCAAGAATAAGCTGACAAACACCGCAACTCAGAAGTTAATCAAATTTGGCAAAGAGAAATTTAAAGAAAGTATTTGGAAGTTGTTTATTCTCTTTTGCTTTACATTGATATTATGCACGTAGCTTATTTAACATAGTTAAATTGACTGGATGTATTAATTCCCTATGGCTGCTGTACCAAATTACCACACACTTGGTAACTTAACACACATTTATTCTCTTACAGTTCTGGAGGTCAGAAGTCTAAAATCAGACTCACCAGGCTGAAATCAAGGCGTCCACAGGGCCATCCTCCCCATTAGAGGTTCTTTTCTTGCTTTTTCCAGCTTCTAGAGCTATATTACTGGTAGCCCCTTCCTCCATTTTTCAAAGCCAGCTGCATGGCACACTGCTTTCTCTGCAGTCAAACCTCCCTCTTATATGGACACTTAGGATTGCATATAGGACCCATTCAGACAATCCAAGTTAATGTCCCTATATCAAGGCCCTTAATCACATCTGCAAGATCTCTTTGGCCATAAAAGGTAACATTCTCAGGTACCAGGGATTAGGAACTGGCTATCTTTGGGGGTCACTATTCAGCCTACCACACTGGCTAACTTAGCTTTTATGTTACAAATAATTGCAAACTGAGCATCATATCACATTAGTGTCTTAGTGTCTATGTCTAAATCATTACTATGGCTATTCAATGTATTGTCTATGATACTTGAAAAAATTCACTACTGGCAGTGAGTAGCAATAAACATATTTCTAAAGCAAAAGCAAAAGGTTTATTCAAGACTACCCTGAAATCTGCAATTAGAATATTACAGATGTGAATTTTTTATTTATGGTGGATGACTTCAAAACAGCCTCTTGGAAGTGGGAGTATTAGAAGGAAAATTTTAACAGGTAGGATTTCTAAAGAGTTAAGTCTCATTTTCATATCTAATTACTTAGATCTGCATTGAATCAGTTCATCATTGTTTATAATCCCTTACACAAAGCTGTTTATAATCCCTTACAAAGCCAAGAAAGTCTCCCAAAATATTTTTTTATTTTGCTAGAATTCCTTAGTAAAGGAAACCTTTTTAAATTATTTTTTTAGAAATGCTTTTTACTCAAAATGAACTGTATTCTCTGACTACTCAATGAATCTTATAGAAAGCAGCATTGGCATATATTTTCGTGACACATATATTTTGCTACAACAGCAATATATTGCAGTGACATAATTCTGGAAGAACAGCAAAATGTTGTTTTCTTGAAGACATTTTAGTCAAACACAAAGCATACTATCTTGAAAAATCTCAAGCAAGCACAAACTCAATGATGCCAGCGACTCTGTCATCCAATTTTAACTGACTTTCCCGTTAACTACTTAAACTGTAGAAATATTGAGGGAAATAAGGGCTAAAATACAGAATCCTGAAACGAATCAGTTTAGTATATAAACTAATACTCTACTGAAAGCCTCGTAAGGGAAACATAGTTTATGATCAGCAGAAATGGCCTGATGACAGAAAACACTTATAAGTAGCATAAAATTAGAATATGTTCTAGCTTAACTTCTCTCTCCTCTCAACTTTAAAAAATAAACTCTTATATTAATCTGACATTGCTTTTGAATAATTTTAGACATACGTACCCTTTTATGATAATATACTTTCATTGTCATAAACTAGAAGTGACCTCATAAATCATTCTGTCATTACAGGTACTTTCAGAAAGAATAATCTAATATCAGGTATGAAATTTTAAAACTTATTTTGGCAGATGCTCTCAATTTAGTTGGTTTACATCCAACATGTCCATTCAACATCTTAGAGGTATTTTTTCCAATTGCTACATGCTGGCTACTGCTTGGGAAGTGATGTTGCTCAAAAACAGAATTTCTGGGGTGGTAGACTGGTAGTACCTACTCTAAATTTTTTTCCTTCTAAAGTTAGTGCAGAACTCTGAGTCTGGATAATTCATTCACATGTAAAGGCAAACCCAAAATAGATTTTGAAGAAAAATCTTGGCCTTGCTTTCATCTTTCTGAGGGTGCATTTCCATGACAATGACCATCCAATCACAAGACGGTCTTGATCACGCTCTTAAAAAAAAATCCAACAATGGCCACCTCTCAAGTTACCAGTTTGATTTTAACCAACCACAGGTTGTGGTATAACAAAAAATAAATAAATATAATCATGCCTTGCTAAACGACAGGGATACATTCTGAGAAACGTGTCATTAGGTGATTTTGTCATTATACAAACATTATAGAATATACTTACTACAAACCCACATAGAATAGCCTATGACACACCTAGGCTATATGGTAGAACCCATTGCTACTAGGCTACAAAACTGTACAGCATGTTACTGTACTGAATCCTGTAGGCAGTTGTAACCAGTAAGTATTTGTGTATCTAAACAGGTGTAAAAACATAAAAGGTAGGCCAGGCGCGGTGGCTCACACCTGTAATCCCAGCACTTTGGGAAGCCGAGGCAGTGGATCTCTAGGTCAGGAGTTCAAGACCAGCCTGGCCAACAAAGTGAAATCCTGTCTCTACTAAAACTACAAAAATTAGCTGGGCACAGTGGCAGGTGCCTGTAATCCCAGCTACTCGGGAGGCTCAGGCAGGAGAATCATTTGAACCTGGGTGGCAGAGGTTGCAGTGAGCCAAGTTCATGCCACTGCACTCCAGCCTGGGTGACAGATTGAGACTCTGTCTCAAAAAAAAAAAAAAAAAAAAAAAAAAAAAAAAAAAAAAAAAACCAACCAAACAAAAAAAACCATAAAAGGTAAAATAAAAATATGGTATTAAAAAATGGTGTCCAGGCACGATGACTCAAGCCTGTAATCCCAGCACTTTGGGAGGCCAAAGCAGAAGAACTGCTTGAGCCCAGGAGTTTCAAGACCAGCCTAGAAAGACCCTGTCTCTACAATTTTCTTTTTTTTTTATTTAGCCAGGCATGGTGGCATCCTGAGTAGTTCCAGCTACTCAGAAGGCTGTGGTGGGAGGACCACCTGAGCCTGGGAGGTTTGAGGCTACAGTGAGCTATGATCATGCCACTGCACTCCATCTGGGGCAACAGAGCAAGACCCTGTCTCAAAAAGAAAAGAAAAAATGATATACCTGTATAGGGTCCTTACCATGTATGGTTGCTGCTCTTGGGGAGTCAGAGAGTGAGTGGTGAGTAAATGTGCTTACTGTGCTCTACTGCAGACTTTCTAAACACTGTATACTTAGGCTGCACTAAATTTATATAATTTTTTCCCTCATTCAATAATAAACTACCTTAGCTTACTATAACTTTTTTACTTTATCAGTTTTTAAATAACTTTTTGATATTTAGCTAAAAATATAAACACATTGTATAGCATACAAAAATATTTTCTTTATATGCTTATTCTATAAGCTTTTTTCTATTTCTAAAATTTTTAACTTTTTTGTTTTACTTTTTAAACTTGTCAAAAGCTAAGACATAAACACAGAGGGTCTACACAGGGTCAGGAACATCAACGTCATTGTCTTCCACCTCCACATCCTGTCCCACTGGAAGTTCTCAGGGGCAATAACACACAGGGAAGTATCCTCTCCTATGATAACAATGCCTTTTTCTGGAACACCTCCTGAAAGACCTGCCTGAGGCTGTTCTGTTTAGCTTTTTTTTTTTAATAATCAGAAAACACTCTAAAATAATAATAACTAGTGTAGTAAATACATAAACCAGTAACACAGTCATTTATCATCATTATCAAGTATTATGTACCGTAAATAATTGTATGTACTATGCTTTTCCACAGCTGGCAGTACAGTGGGTTTGTTTACACCAGCATCACTGAGTAATGTGTTGCACTATGACGGTGACAATGTTACTGGATGATAGAATTTGTTAGCCCCATCATAATCTTATGGAACCACCATCATAAATGAGGCCAGTGGCTTATGTGGAACATTACTGTATTTGGTCTTTGTCCCCAGGTTCCTGGCACAGACTTCCTAAAACACTGGAATCTCGTGAGTGATAAAGAGCGTCTTTTGTATTCTCATGAGATGACTCAAAGCTGCGGAGGGAGGGAGGTGCCTCGAGAGCTTCTAGATGGGGTCTAGCCACCAGAAAGATCCAGCCAGGATTAAAAGGTTGGAACTTTCAGCCCCACCCGACAGTCCACTTCTCAAGAGGGGAGGGGACAGCAGATAGAGTTAAATCACTAAGGCCTAGGCCTCGCGCAGTGGCTGACTCTTGTAATCCCAGCACTTTGTGAGGCTGAGGTTGGACTGATTACTTGAATCAGGAGTTCAAGACCAGCCTAGCCAAAATGGTGAAACCCCATCTCTACTAAAAATACAAAAATTATCCAGGCGTGGTGGCATGCACCTGCAGTCCCAGCTACTTGGGAGGCTGAGGCAGGAGAATTGCTTGAACCCGGGAGGCAGAGGTTGCAGTGAGCTGAGATTGCTCCACTGCACTCTAGCCTGGGTGACAGAGTGATACTCTGTCTCAAAAACAAACAAACAAACAAACAAAAATCACCAAGGGCTAATGATTTAATCAATCATGCATAGGTAATGAACCTCCAAGAAAAACCCTTAAATGTCGAAGTTCTGAAAGTTTCCAGGGTGATGAACACACTATGCGTCTGCGAAGGTGGTGCACCCAGAGAGGGCATGGAAGCTTGTTGGCACCACCCCTGAATCCCCCAACCTACCACCCCTGAGTCCCCCATACCTTGCCCTCTGCCTCTCTTCCATTGGGCTGTTCCTGAGTTATATCCTTTATAATAAACTGGTTAAGTGTAAGAAAAGTGTTTTCCTGAGTCCCCTGCGCAGTTCTAGTGAACTCTCAAACCTGAGGAGGCGGTCATGGGAAACCCCAAATTTGCAGTCAAGGTGGACAAAAGTACAGGTGGTCTGGGGACCTGGGACTTACAACAGAGCTCTTAAATCTGTGGAGTCTGAGGCTAACTCTGAGAAGTTAGTGTCAAAATTGAATGGAATTGTTGGACACTCAACTGGTGTTGGAGAACCAGAGAACACCTCTAGTGAAGGAAATAAAAGCATTTCACTCCAGAATATGCTTCTTTGACATGTTTTGAGATGGCTGTTCAGAGGGCTTGCAAACAGAAGTACCCCTGCAAAGCTGTCTTTCATGGGGGAGTTTTGCATCAATCCAGCCAGGTCTTCCCTTGTCCTGATCTAGGAAAGATTTAACTGAGAGTCGGACACCTTTAAAGATCTGAAAGAAGCATTTACCACCTATCCTCTCTGATGGCTGCCACCTATCAGGTTTCATCTGTATAACAAGACTACCTTCACAAGCCAGGCCTCCTCCTCTTCTTTCCTTCCCCATAATCTATCTTGCCACTGTAATCTTGATTTTTGGCCATGCCCTGAGCCCCATTCTTTCCGTGACCTCAAGATGGTATAGAAGCTTCTGCACCCCATTGTAGGCTTGGGTAAACACTTCATGGTCTCCCAAACACTTGGGTTCTCCTCATGAATGTTAAAAAAAAATTGTATGCTTCTCTCTTATTAATCTGCCTTTTATGAGTTCATTTTTCAGTGAAGCTTCAGAGGGTGAAGGGGAAGTTTTTCCTTAGCCCCTAGAGAGTTAAGGACTAGGAAGGGCTTTGTTATCAAAGGGACTGGCGTGTGCTCTACTCATTAAGAGGAAGAAATATGGGAAGGAGTCCCTTTTTAACACCGACCATGAAGTAGTTCTGCATCAGTCATACAACTAAGAGCAGCATGCAATTTACTGTCCCATTTTTCATGCCAATTTATATGTTCCCTGGTCTGGACTTTCCATTTTTAAATAGTATATCGTAATTTCTTTAATAAGTGCAATGATGAGAAAATATAATAGCATATGGATGATCTCAGCCTCCTTCCTCATGCTGCCTCCTAAGGGAACTCTGGGTTTGTTTCCTTTTCCTGGTTCTGAGCTTATGAACACAGGTGTGGGAAATGAATTAGGGGGAGAAGTGGAAAAAGAAATATAGTGAGAGAAGAAATAGAAGAAAATAAACCTAAAAGGAAAGAAGGGGAAAAGGTAAGGACATGAGGAGATACACTGACTGGATATGGGAAGGGTTTCAAAAAGGAGAAAGAGTTTGGGGAAGTAGCTGAGAGACATGTAAAAGGTCAGAGAGATGGAGAAAGAGGATTTTAAAGTTTTATCAAATATATGGCATTTATTACCCCCTTGGATGTTTTCTGAAAGGTGAAGTAAATATTTATTTTCAATTATTTTCTCTGATATACTTATTTCTTTGAATGTGACTTAATCCTGGGACTGGACCAAGGCATGGCTGGTTATACACAGGTGACACACGTGTACTTTTCTGAAGATGCCTTAAAGGTGGAGCATGTATGAATGAATGAATGAATGAATGAGAAACAAACTTCAATCCGGGAAAGATGAAGCAGGCTAATTATAAGTTATCTATGTCAAATTTCATAAATTGATATAAACCTTGAATCAGACCATGTTACATAGACTTTTAGGCTAATTTCTCAAGCAAAGTCGCTTTACACACATACAATGAGAGAAATCAAACTTCACTCAACATTTATCTAATTTAAAGAATAATGTAAGGTATTTTGTGAGGAGATAACTACCCCAAGACCTAACAATTCCCCACTGCTTGAACACTTTGCCCCAAATGGAGAGCTGGAATTTCCTATCATAAATGTTTCTTCATACTTAATATGTCACCTGGCACACACAGGTGCAACCAACTTCCTAATATGAAATTAACTAAGTTATCAAGCACCCTCTCCAGTAGCAGACTTTACCAAGAAAGTTTTGCTTTGATTTTACTACGTGTTCTTTTTTATTTTTTAGTAGTTGTTGATAAAAGGCAAGGTAATTTCTCATAGATGTGTACTTGTTTATGTGGTTTTAAATGTTCTGCTCCCAGGCATTCCTTTTAATTTCAATACAGTTTCTAAAACTCTCTTGAACATTTGTAATGTTGGAATAATAGTCATCCAAATTTCCTGTGGATTTCCATACTCCTGCATTAAGCCATAAGAAAACTCAGCTGGACTTTATTTTGGCTGAGTTAAAGGCGGTTTTGAAGAAAACCAAAATGGAATGATAACAATATTTTATCAGATGGGGGAAAATAAATATGTTTTTAACTATTACTGAGACTCTGCAGGGAGTATATCAGCTACAGTTCAAACAAAAGCCAAATCAGGGAAAATTTCATTGCTGTTTGTATGGATTAGACCAAAGAATCTTCAATCTTTAATCATCTACATCAAAGGGTCCCTTAAAAAGAGGGGCTCAATATTTTAACGCATGTATACATTACAACTTCACAATGGCATCAGCAAAAATGAAAATTCATATTTACCAACCATTATGTCCCTGGCATGACAACTATACATTTTTTAAAGTGCTCTTTATTCATAAATTAATTTTTCTATATTCAGATACTGTTTTAGTGGAGTTGTGGTATTAAACACTAAATTGAGTTTTCTGAATTCTACATAAAGCTGTCACAATATTAAAAATTCTAAAACAGTTTAAGATGAAAATATAATTACCTAAACTAATGAAAGAATTTGTACCTTTTCCATTTTGTTTCCAAGAAGCGTAAATCATAGAATCTCAAGTAGGAAAGTTCTTTAAAGGTTATCTTGTCAAATCATCCATTCAATGATGGAATTAACTATGATATTTACAGTGACATGTACAGTGTCTAAAAACTCACTGAGACTCAAAGCATGTCATTCTCCTTTTTAAAAGCTTTAAATCCAGTGCCTAGTACAGTGCCTGACATACTACAGAAAACTGCAGTAGATTTCAATGGCCTCCCTACAATCTATTCCTTATTCTGTAATACCAGATCTGGGTAGGACTCATCCTAGCTCCAGGAAGGACATCTTTATGTGGGCCTGTCCAATCAAAGCACTGAGTCTCTGCCTCTGCCAGTGGCAGCCACTACTCCAAAACCTAGCACCGGCTCTAAGTTGGTCCAATCCCTGTGAGTCTCAGGACTTGTGAGACCTAATAGCAAGCATTTGCTTTGCCTGCTGTTGCATAATAGAGATTCTGACTTAGCAGCATTTATCAAGTAAAGCCTGAAAAAGGAAGCTAAAAGAAAGGAAGGATTTAGATACAGACAAACTGAGTCATAATGACATTATTTGAGTCCCAAATCCAGGCATTCCTGATGTCAAATCTTATCTGGGACTTTTTACTTATGTGAACCAGAAACTCCATATTCCTTTTTTTTTTTCTCCTAAGGTAGTCTGATCTGTTTTCTGTTACTTGACCTAGAAAGGGGAAAGAGCTTCCTGACTATTACAGGAATTTGCGTAAGTAAGGTTGCTCCATGCCAACAACACAAAAATGTGGATTGGCTGAGCTGGGTTTGGATGATACTTGGAAACTTAGCAGTCTTTATCACATGAAAATAACATGGATAGCTGTTGTATCTTAAGATTAGATTGTGTGCCTATCAAGGCTGCATTATTGGGGAACTCAGGAAATTTTAAAGATTCTGGAATAAGTGTTCTACCTCTTTTAGCCTGAGAAAAGAAAAGAACTTTTATCTGGGAAATATACATCCTTTTAAATTATCAGGCTGCAGAGACACTAAAATGAGACTGCAATCACATCTTACTTCCCGCTGGAGCTATGTATTCATCTCCAGAACCAGCCTGCTATTGCCACAAGCAGCTATAAATTAATCTAATAATGCCACACCAGACACTATAACTTAATGCATAGCCAATCACTAATCAATGCTATTTCTGTAAGCCAACAAGAATTCCTGGCACATCACTTTGTATCAGCCCACTTCCTATCTCTTTTTTGCCTTTAAAAATCAACTTGTAACTGCTGCTAATCAGAGTGTATATTCAGGGCATCTTCAATCTATGCTCCTGGGCTACAATCCTCAAGTTTGGCTCAAATCAACTCTACCTGCATTAATTTTGCCTCAGCTTCTTCCTTTTAGGTCAGCAAGACTTCAGTGAGGTCTTAAAAGAAACACGCAAGCTTGAGATATCATTGGTCTGCTAAAGTAGAGTGAGATGAAAGCACAACTCTGCTAAGAGAAAACCTCTGTCTGTGGCTTGCAGCAGCTGAGAGTCTGGTGACCCTGGTTAAATAACAACCTCTTAAGACCTCAGTAGCTCACCTCTACCAAGAAGTTAGCTTAGGTTGTTTTTAAGATATTTTCCATCCCTAAATGTCTATAACAATAAACAACTAAGTAAATAAATGAATCTAGATCATATGGGGATTATCTGATGAACAAAAATCTTCCGTTTTTTTAATCAAACTTTAAAGAATTTTCTTTTACCTACAAGGGATTAATTATACTATGTTCACATGTATTTAATAAGTATTATTTACATTTTAAAGTCACTTTAGTTTTCTCTAGTGATGATTTCAGACACACAAATAATTGTATCATGAGAACTTTTTATGGTTAAAACCAAATATTTGTTTTTATTAAAACAAAAACAAAAATAAGCTGCCCACATATTTCTGTTAATACTCTTCCACTGTGTATGAAAGTACATCTTATTTTTAAAGATCATTTTGTCACGTCTTAATAATCCTACCGACCAAATGTTTTTGCAAGCATTACGATTTTAAAAAAATAATAAAAGCTTTGCAGTTTAACATGACAATTTTTTTAAATTCTATTATTATTTCTCAGAGGAAACAACACTGTAGAATCAACAAAAAGGAAGGAAGAGACAAAGGGAAGAAGGGCCTTACTTAAGCTAGTGTTAACTTTATAATTTCTCTGCAGTTAGAAGTTAGGGGCAAAACTGAGTTTTGGGGGAGTGAGAGGAGGTCAGGGATATGTCTTAAAGCTGCACCAGCTAAGCAACCTGACTCCTTTTATTAGAACTGCATGTTTATTTGGGGTGGCCTGTGGAACGTGCTGATGGCAATGGCACAGGTGAATGGAGAGAGAAGCCACAGCCCCCAAAGCACCCCTTGCCACCACCCTGATTGAAACAAGACATCAGCCTCATTTATTCCCTCCCCCTGTCCCTCCCCCTCCCCCCCTCCCTTTCCTTTCCTTTTCTTTTGACAGAATCTTGCTCTGTTGCCTAGACTGGAGTGCAGTGGTGTGATCTCAGCTCACTGCAACTTCTGCCTCCCAATTCTCCTGCCTCAGCTTCCCGAGTAGCTGGGATTACAGGAGCCTGTCACACCTCGCTAATTTTTGTATTTTTAGTACAGACAGGGTTTCACCATGAGGCCAGGCTGGTCTCAAACTCCTGACTTCAAGTAATGCACCTACCTCAGCCTCCCATAGTCCTGGGATTACAGGTGTGAGCCACCAAGCCCGGCCAGCCCCATTATTTCCAAGAGTTTTAGCTGTCTGCCTACTCAACTGTTTTATGTTTGATCTTCATAATAAGCAAATTTATCTGTCCTGGTTTCCACTTTTTTCTTAATTTCTCATTTTCTCTTTAATGAGGTTAAACTATGCAAATCACTTACAATTTATGACTTCAAATTCACAAATTTCTAGTGCCAATAGTTTCACTCTGCGGCAACACAAACTGGAGCAGAAGTTTTATTTTGAAGATATGTTTCATTAAGCATGATTTCTGGAAGTTGAAAAATAACTTACATAATATGCAAGAAAGAAAACTATTCTGAAGTTCCAGAGAGAAACTGAAACGATTTGGTGGGCAGAACACATGGCAGGGGAGAAAGGAGGTCTGGAGACCATGCCATGCTGTGACACAACAGTGTGGCGATGTCCCACAGACCTGAAATCTGGAGCAGCCGAGGCTGCAGAAAATAACAAGGTGGCTGAGAGATCCAGCGGTTCCTCCTGTGTCCTGCCAAAGAACATCCACTTTGTAGCAGCACTTCCCCAGGAGCTAAGCTTGGTGCTGAGTTTCACTGTAACTGGCTGTGAATTCTGAACAGCCCACCAGCCAAAGCTGATATAAAACTGTGATCTTTGAGCATCCTTGGTATGCTAGGCCCTTAAGGGCCCTAAGTGAAGGCTCTTCACTGCCCCATGACAAATGGGACTAGTTAAAACCAATCATTTGTGGCCTTATGGACTCATTTCCTCTATCCAGGCTGCAAACTTCATTTCCCCTATCCAGGGTACAAACTTCAATCTCTAAGTAGCATTACCAATGAACATGTGTGTGTCCTCTTGCCTGGCAAATAATAAAATAATTTACTGCTTGTTTTGTTCATCCCTTAAGTAGTTAAAAGAGAGTAAAGTATTTGGGGGCTCCCTAGCAGGGGGATAAAAGCAACCAAAATTTGACCTGGGTAGGGTTAGGCAGGTTTAGCGCACAAAATGTCAAAGTGGCAGAGAGCCTCCTAAAAATTATTATAGCCATCACTCAAGAGGAAATTGTCCAGACACATGATCAAGAGATTGACTGTCATGGAAGAAACCTGAAATGATTCCCTAGTGCCTTTGAAATTATTGGTAGAAATTTTGTAGATTTGGATTAATTATTTTTTTTTATTTTTAGGTGAAGATTTTAACTGTCAATCAAAAGGGAGATACGGAAGAAGTATAGAGCAGATAACACTGTGAAAGAATTGACGCAAACAAGCCCAGTGTGGCGGCTCATGTCTGTAATATGTTCTTCCGAAACAAATTCTGTCAACTCCATCACAAATGAGTCTGTGGAAGAACCAATGCTGAAAGCATCTCAGTAAACAAATATGGCCCAATAAACTCAAGTTTCTAATGGGCAGGCATATAGGGGATGGCGAGAAGGCACATAATAGAGCTCAAACGAAAGCAAAAAGCAAATGACAGAAGTCTATAGGAACAGGCATAGAAAGTGAAAGCTCAGCATATGCAGAAGTTTGTAAACAATGCAAAGGAAAACTAACGAGAAAATTATAGGGATGTTGAGAGGCTGAAGAGGCAAGAAGCAATAGGCCCACTGGGTGAAGTTAAGCTGTAAGAGAGAGAAAACAGGTCTAGTCCAATCCTATTTTTAGCTTTAGCAAAGAGAATAGGCAAAAAATTAAAAAGGATGACATATCCATGGCTAAGAAGAAAGTGAAATCCAGGATGAAGTCTCTAGTCCTGTCAAAGCAACCCTCTGAGTTGCAGTACCATTACCAGTAATCTCAAAAGAATCACTGAGAAAGAAAATTGGAAGTAGGAAAAAAAAAAAACAAACAAACCTGGTTTTCAAAAGAAATAAAAAATTTGGAAATGACACACCGAGTAGCTTGATATCAACTGTCAGAAAAATAAACTGATAGCTCATTAATCATTTGTGATTACCTGAAGATAAATTATTGACTTCTAGGAACCACTATAGGTACACTAAAATGAGTGACTCTAAATGAACATAATTATCTTTTTTGGTTGGGCTAGATTTGGCATATTGATGGGCCAGTCACAGGAGGTAGTATAGAAAGATTTCACTAAGGCCCCTGAAAATGTCACTACTTTTCTTAAGGTAAGATGGAAACAGCTGGACTAGAGAATTCGGTTAACTTAGAGGAAACTGATTTATAGCAAACTGAAATACTTAACGATAACTATTTCATGTACTGACAGTACTAATATGCCATAATGCATAAAGCTTTCCAATTCAGCCTTTTAATCAACTACTTGGATAAGAACATAACACATGCTATTCAAGTTGCATATCTGACGCAATCTAGGGAGGGCAGAAAATATGTTCAATGTTAAAAATCAGGCTTCAAAATTCCTGGAAAATAGAATAATAGACAGAAAACAAACAAGACAAAATTCCAATTCAGATGGAAAAACACTTTTCCCCCCTCACTATGAGCATAATTTCTGTCAACAAAATAATGAAATGTGGTGTTTATTAATAAAAGTAAAGGATAAGTATATATATCTATACACACACACACACACACACATACACACACACACACACACACACATATATATATATATATAAAATATATAGAGAGAGACACAGGGCCTCACTTTGTCACCCAATCTGGAGTGCAGTGCCATGATTAAAGCTCACTGCAGCCTTGACTTCTCAGGCTCAAGCAATCCTCCCACCTCAGTACCCCAACCCCTAGGCCCCTGCCAGTAACTGGGACTACAGGCACTCACCACCATGCCTGGTAATTTAAAAAAATTTTTTGTAGACACAAGGTCTCACTATGTTGCCCAGGCTGGTCTTGAGCTTCTGGCCTCAAACAATCCTTCCACCTCAGCCTTCCAAAGTGCTGGGATTACAGGTGTAAGCCACCTTGCCTGGCCTAATATTCTTATATTTGCATTAATCAGGTCATATCAAGATGGCAAAGAATCTGAAAACTCCATCTTAGGTGGAGAGATTTAGAAACTTATGATACTCATCCTGGAAAAGGTTCAGGGATGGAAAGGTACGATACTCATCCTGGAAAAGGTTCATGATGTTGTCTTTAAACACATGCAATGATAATATATGAAAGATGGATTTGATTTATTCTGTATGGATTCGAAGTAACAAGGAATAAATAGAATAAGCTGAAAGGAAA
The DNA here is from genome assembly GCF_000001405.40 of Homo sapiens. Taxonomy (NCBI): domain Eukaryota; kingdom Metazoa; phylum Chordata; class Mammalia; order Primates; family Hominidae; genus Homo; species Homo sapiens. Next base: position 125,830,146 of record NC_000006.12, on the reverse strand, counting down.
TAAAATTTAACCAAAAATTTAAAAACAACTTCCCTCTAACAAGAGTTTTTCAAGCAAGAAATAAGCAGCCTTGAGGGTCCTTGAGACATTGTTATAGCTCGAAAAGTTCAAGTCCAGGCTGAAAACATTCTATTTGTCAAAGGCAGTAGATATTCCAAACCTAGCATGGTAGCCCACACGACCTCCATATTTCGACTAAAAGATTTTATAATTCTGAAATTAGGCATGATGCCTGTATTAAGGAGGTTAAGTGGAAGAAGAAAAATATCAAGTTAACATGAACCTGACACTTAGAAAAGAAAATGCTGTGTTTTCTTTCTAATCTCTCAATTACTTCTTCTAGGATTCCAGGGCATTGTCTGATTACTATATTACCTGGTGCTTCTATACTCTTAGAGGGGGACGTTAGTTCCTCATATGATATGACTATACAGCTAAAGCCACTGTGAAACAGTGCACTAAATTAGAATTTTGAATGCAGGAAAAGAAATTTACTAGTTGTTATCAGATCTACACAGACATAACCACTTCACCGCAGGTTGTTTACTTGAGAAAACACAGGAACATCTTTGCTAGTGGCTTCCTTTGCTGGAGAGGATGCTGCAGCACACCCAACTATTCTCAACAAACACAACGTATATCAAGTTCCTACACCGATGTCACTGCTTACAGCATTAAGATTAGCATCCTTCATTTAAAACAGATATGAATGATTGGTCCTCACTTAAAACAGGATAACTATACTAATACACTAATATATTAAAATCCAGTCACATAGTTTATTTTAAAAATTCCTATTAATAAGGAAAAACTTAATACCACCAAGGTGCTCTAACTCCTAGCATTGTACATCTGTCTCTTAAAATAATATGTAAAAGTTCTACTAAAAAAATTGAAACAGGAGCTCAAATACTTTTGGACATAGATTATAAAGAGGACATATTATAATAATTTGTTACCAATGGTTATAAAAATTTTTTATGGAAAAATGTCTAAACTTTAAAATTTTATTTTTAGAGATTAAAATTTTAAATATAAATTCTAAAATTTCTAAATTAATGTTTTCATCTAAGATATTACAATTAAAAAATTCTCTTATGGAAGAGAATGTTCTAATTATTTTTACATTCTATTTAAAGGGCACTATGGAGGTAGCAGTTAAGAATAAAGGCTTTGGAATTAGATACAAGTAGGAAGAGACCCTGGCTCCATTATTTGCTAGCTATGGAACTTGGGGAGTTATTAAACCACTCCAAGCCTGTTTCCTTGCCTATAAAAATGAGAAAACTAATACCATAGTGAGGTCATATTTGTAAATCTCCTGGCACAGCATGAGTGTGCAATCAGCAAAACAGAGCCCACAGTGCCACCAATCCGCACAAGTAAAACTAAAACACATTACAGGTCCTAGACAGCCAGCCTAGGTGCATGTATCCCAGTATGGCTCCTCTCCTGCCTTGCTTCTTTGCTAATATCCTCATGGCATTAAGTAACCACCAGTCTTCAAGTGGACATCCCTGAGGGATCCCTTTCTGATGCACCATCCTCATTAGCCAACAAGCATGCTCTAATGCCTCCTCTTCCTCTTCCATCTTCAAAAACTCACCATTCCTTGACTCTCACATCTTCCTCCTGCCAAGGCCTGAATATTTGGCTTCCCTTCCCAGCCGATTTCCCAAAAGAATTAGCTAGAAGCTTGGTCTCCACTCCCTTACCTCCTATTCACATCAAACTGGCTTCTCCCACCACTGTGCTGAAACTGCTTTTATCCAATCAATTATCAGTGACCTCCAAGTGTCAATCTTAATGGATACTTTGCAGTCCTCATCTTAATTTACCTCTCAGCTACTTGCAAACCTGCTGATCATTCGCTCCTTGAAATTCTCTCTTCTCTCAGCTGCAGTGATTCTATCTCTTCTGAGTTTCATCCTACTTCTCTTTCTGTACTAGACCACCAAATGTTGAAATTTCCTAATTCTGTTCCCATTCTTTAGTTCTGTTCTTTTTTCACTTTATATGCCCTGCCTATATGATGTCATCCTTTCCCATGGCTGAGGCCAACAACTCTGAAATTTCCATCTCAGTCCAGAACCTGTTTTCAATCCAGATTTACACATACCCAATTGTGTATTTAGTGGTTGTCTTGTAAGCATCTCAAACTTAACGTATTAAATTCTTGAGATACTCTCTCAAAACTGTTGTTTTTCTAGTTTTCCCATTCCAGATAATGGCACCTCCATCCATCTAGCTGTTCAATCCAAATTCCTAAACATGGCCAAGAAGGCCCTGCATGATCTGCCTCAGCCTACCTCTTAACATTGCCTGTGCATTTCTCCCAAAAAAGCACTGTGTTCAAGGAACATTGGCCATCTTGCAGATCCAGGAAGCTGCCAAGCTTTTTGTCACTTTAAGGACTTTTCATCCAAGGATTCTCCCTACCTAGAATATTCCCGTCCTTCCCTCTCTCCCTAGCCCTTCTCCTAAACACACAGATTACCTGGTGAACTCCTGCTTGTACCCAAGATCATTAAAAGTCATTAACACATGAGTATTAAATGACCTTTAAATGTCATTTTCTCCAAAGGTCCTTGAACATAACTTGTGTCTAAAGTGGATACTACTTTTGCACTTCTCTTTTATGATGTCTTGTTGCTTTCCCTCACAGCAAATACAGCCATTTATAATGACATATGGATTTGATGTTCTTCTTTAATGTCTGCTATGGTTTGAATGTTCCCTCCAAAACTCATGTTGAAATGTAATTGCCATTGTGACAGAATTAAGAGGTGGCACTGTTAAGAGGTGATTAGGCCAAGTGGGTTCCATCCTCATTAATGGATAAATGTTATTATTGTGGGAGCATGCTGGTTATTAGAAGAGTGCATTTTTATAAAAGTGAGTTTGGCCCTCTCTTGCTTGCTCACTCTCACTTTTTTTTTTTTTTTTTTTTTTTTTTTTGAGATGGAGTTTCACTCTTGTTGCCCAGGCTGGATTGCAATGGCGCAGGTCTCAGCTCACCACAACCTCTGCCTCCGGGGTTCACACAATTCTCCTGCCTCAGCTTCCAGATTACAGGTGTGCGCCACTACGCCCAGCTAATTTTGTATTTTTAGTAGAGACAGGGCTTCTCCATGTTGGTCAGGCTGATCTCAAACTCCTGACCTCAGGTGATCCGCCCGCCTGAGACTCCCAAAGTGCTGGGATTACAGGCATGGGTCACCGCGCCCAGCCCACTCTCACCCTTTCTTGCCCTCCCACCTTCCACCATGGGGTGATACAGCATGCAGGCCCTTGTCAGATGCTGGCACCATGCTCTTGGACTTCCCAGACTCCAGAACTGTGAGCCAAATAAATTTCTGTTCATTGTAAATTACCCAGTCTGTGACATTGTGTTAAAGCAACACAAAATGAACTAAGACAACGTATTTGTGAAAAGTATTCTCCATAAGGGCAAGGACCATATTTGTTTTGTTTACCAATCTACCGTCTGGGCTTAATAGGCACAGGCACATAAGGTCTCTCTGAGATGCAAGCAATGCATATGTTTCTCTTCATAACATAAAGAATATTACCTAAATTCTTACATTTAATTACATGAAAGAACTGAGAGAAGTCTTAAATATCTAGTTGCATCGGCTAATATAAAAACCAAAATGGTCATTATTCAAAATCACAGAAAGGTTTTCCTATGCATTAAAAACAAATAGGAAGAAGGAGGTAAAGATTACATATATTGGATTTGTAACCCAATTAATTTTGTAATTTTTCATTTTAAATGATTCATTAAAATAATGCGCTTTTTTTTTTTTTCTTTTAGAGACGGAGTCTTGCTCTGTCACCCAGGCTGGCGTGCAGTGGTGGAATCTTGGCTCACTCACTGCAACCTCTGCCTCCCAGGTTCAAGCAATTCTCCTGCCTCAGCCTCCCGAGTAGCTGGGACTACAGACACACACTGCCACGCCTGGCTAATTTTTTTTGTATTTTAGTGGAGATGGGGTTTCACTGTGTTGCCCAGCTGGTCTCGAACTCCTGAGGTCAGGCAATACACCCGCCTTGGCCTCCCAAAGTGCTAGGATTACAGGCGTGACCCACTGCGCTCAGCCAAAATAATGCCATTTCGTATAAAGTGTGCTTAAATATGAATACATGTGAGCTTACAACTAATTTTTATATTTTAAAAATCCATATACTCTTTTCAAAGAAAAATATGTTTGCATATGTATGTATGTGTGTGTATATACCTGTTTTTACATTTAAAATATATCTACCCTTATAAAATAAGAATATCGTTTATATAAACTTAGAGTTGTGGTTTAAAAAAATTAAATTTCTCTTATTGTCTAGTGACAGCAGTTGACTTGGCATAGTAGAAGAACTATCTCCCCGCCCATCCCCCTTAAAAGACAAAAAAAAAGATGTTGGAGCCATGGAAATGGAAATTGCTCAGTCCCCAGTGACCTTACCAGCATCTGCTGCAATTACCTTCTGAAAATAAAATAACCAAATTACTGTTCAGCTTTCTGCTGTGCTAACAAAATTAATCTGAAATATCAAAATTCATCTGCTTTATATTATGTATTATGTAACTTCTAAAACCAAAGCTCTTCTAGCTCTAAATCGTGAAGTACATGCACCACAGATGTCATAATCAACAGTAATATATTCTCACATACACAGGAAAAATTAATGGAATGATTAATAACTTCACTCAAATTATCCATGACAGTGATTTGATTTAAGTCACTCCACATATTCAAAAGTAAGATCAATCAATTTTATGTGTGGTTTGGTTTTTTAAAAAAATTGTTGGGTTTTTCTTGAGACAGAGTCTTGCTTTGTTGCTCAGGCTGGAACGACATGATCATAGCTCACTGTAACTTTCAATACCCGAGCTATCTTTTCACCTCCACTCCAGAGTAGCTAGGGTTACAGGCATGTGCTGTCATGTCTGGCTTTTTTTTTTTTTTTTTTTGTAGAGACAGGGTCTCACCATGTTGCCTAGGCTGATCTCAAACTCCTGGTATCTAGCACTCCTCCCACCTAGGCCTCTCAAAACGCTGGGATTACAGGTGTGAGCCACTGTGTCTGGCTGATCAATTATAATTCTTTTTGAGATGGAGTTCCCTCTTGTCACTCAGACTGGAGTACAATGGCTTGATCTCGACTCCCTGCAATGTCCGCCTCCTGGGTTCAAGCGAATCTCCTGCTTCTGCCTATAAAATTAGCTGGGTGTGGTGGCAGGTGCCTATAGTCCCAGCTACTCCAGAGGCTGAGGCAGGAGAATGGCGTGAACCCGGGAGGCGGAGCTTGCAGTGAGCCGAGATCACGCCACTGCACTCCAGCCTGGGCAACAGAGCAAGACTCCGTCTCAGGGAGAAAAAAATTAAAAAAGAGATGGAGGAGAGGAGACAGTTTAAATCACTTTTCTTTCCCTGGAATCTGTCTTGGAGTCTGGAGTATTGGACCTTTCACTGAAGCATATGACTAAAGCAGGTTTACAGACAAGTTTTAGGGGATTTATAAACTCCCTGAAATTTACCCAACAGTTGTATCTATATATTTGTATTTTTTCTCATTTATTCCTGTATTCACCATTTAGGGAGCAAGCTTTTATATTAAAATTATTTAGTGCTTATTTTTTAAAGTATTATTCTAAAGACTTCATATATTTTAATTCATTCAATCCTCTCAATAACCTTATAAGGTAGGTACTATTATTCCCATTTTGGGGAAAACTAGACCCAAAGCTCCACAGTAGTAAGTAGTTCTATAGAGAAGAAACCTGCAGGAGGTCCAAAAGCAAAAGTCTCCCAAGTTTCACCACAATAGTTCCATCTGGGGGTTTTGTGAGATGACTTTACTGTTCTTGAACCAGGATTTGGAATGACCAATCAGTCTGGGATTTCAGGTTAAACAGAAACATGCTTGTGATTATTCGTTGAAATTAGTTTATAGGAACCCATTAAACTGTAGTGTGGGTAAGTATATTTACTGAACAGGCACTTTATGGACAGCTGCCAATCAGCCAATGTGTGTTAGATGAATAATTTTCAAATAAATTCATTTTTGAATGATAAAAAAAAAACCCTCACTCCCAATATGCTAACAATTAAGGAATCCTCTAAATCAATGGGTCTTTTTTTAATGCTGGCCCATAATAAAAAAAATTTAAACTGTGATTCAATATGTACATACTTAACATTTAAAACACAATTTTCATAAACAAATATTTATTCTTACTACATACAACACATTCTGATATTTTCTATTTCAGTCCAGCTTAGTCCAGTCTAATCTATTCTGTTCTGTTCCATTAAAAAAAAAATGCTGTTTCTTATCCACTAAACTGATTTCATGAGACCCTAACGGGTTATAACCCACAGCTTGTAGTATTTTACACAGAATTAAGTAACTTAGCCTGTTCCTCAAAAACGAAGCAAAAAGCATGAGTCTAACTATTAATGGCTAAATGTTTATAAGCCTTTTTTTAATCTTTAGGAAAAAGTTAATGATTTCCTGAAAACATTAGCAGATAAAACTTGACCATGGATATTTTTCCCAGTAATGAATGTCAAGCAATTTGTAAATACTCACTTAAGAGTTGCCTGGTCTGAACTCAAATGAGAAAATACAAAATATAAGCCTTAACATCACGGCTCATACAACAGTTTAGTTAGTAATTTGTAATACTGTCAAATAAGGTACTAGCAGCTTTTTCATAGAAAATGGTTTTGAAATATTCTCAATATTTTTAAGATTAATAAAATTGCTGAATACTGAAAAATTTGTAGTGATAAAAATTAAAATTCACAAACCATTTATATCCTACATTAAAGAAACTGTTTTGAATATTGTGTCAGTTGATCAACAAGTATTTAACACTTGCTGTATGCCAACCACTATTGAATAGGCCCCTTGAAAGAATAATGAACGATTGGAGAGTCTCCACCTTCCAGATGTCCATTTGCGGGGGGATTGACTGTAAAACCAATAAACAAATAAGAGCTATGGAAATCATGCAAGAGAGTGTCCTTGAGCAGTGCTGTGGATCGCTTCATCTCAGGTGGATGGCGCTTTGAAATTGAAATCCAATGTTTCTGGTAAAGTCAACTGTAACATTCTCCTTCCATGCCCATATATAATTTTTTTTTTCTATTTATCACATTATGATGCTAACAGCATGTTTTTTTTTGTTGTTTTTTTTTTTTTTTGGAGATGGAGTCTCACTCTGTCGCCCAGGCTGGAGGGCAGTAGAGCAATCTCGGGTCACTGCAACCTCTGCCTCCTGGGTTCAAGTGATTCTCTTGCTTCAGTCTCCCATGTAGCTGGGATTACAGGTCTGTGCCACCATGCCCAGCTAATTTTTGTATTTTTAGTAGAGACGGGGTTTCACTATGTTGGTGAGGCTGGTCTCAAACTCCTGACCTCAAGTGATCTGCTTGCCTCAGCCTCCCAAAGTGCTGGGACTACAGGCATGGGCCACCATGCTTGGCCCTAACAACATGTTCTAATCCCCCTTTCAGACAAAGTAGACACTAATACTTAGTGCAATGTAAACTGAGGTAACATGAAGAATAACACTCAGAGATACAGACACAGCAGACAGGGATTTGGGGCTCAGGCCCTCCATTTAAAGGCTAAGTGATTTGGGGTAAGTTATTTCACCTCCTGAACAACAGATTCATTACCTGCATTTATATTTATTTGTAGGATCATTTTAAGGATAAACAGAATGCTTGTGAAATTACTTCATAAAGTTCCAACAACTGCTATTATTATTAACGTGTATTAGAATCAGTAGGCATAGTGAAACTGATAAAATAAAATGACCAAATATTAAAAAAGTATAAAGCTAACATTTAGCAAGTACTTAAAACTGTTCTATTTGCGTTTTATGTATCAACACAATTAAAACTGTGCTATGACTGAGTATCTGAATCCAACAATGGGCAATAAATTTCTCCTCAAATGCCAGACATACTAAAGATGATTTAAGATGATAAATCTCTAACAGCCCTTGGCCAGCAGGAAAAAACAATCTACAGTTAATTAAAGAAAGGGCAAGAGTTCACATCACACCACTCCACCCACGTGGTATAATCATTCTTGGCACTGGCACACCACAAAGAGATGGCTGCTTCCTAGGATTCAAAGGTTGCCTCTGTGGGGCTGGAGACAAGGAGCATAACACTTTGTGCTCCACCAGTGCTGCAGATCAACCACCCAGATCCATCCACGTGATGCCTTCCACTGGACCTCAGACTCTGTATTTGACCAAGAGGACAAAGGAAGGCTTTTTGTACAGAATTATTTCTGCATTCATTTCTATCATGGGCAACTGCTCTTTTCAGACAACATGCAACCTTAGGGAGTAAAGTGGATCACTGTAATGCAACACCCTGACTTACACAGGTGAAGTATTACAGACTGCCTGCTTCCTATTGTCTTGGTAGGTTAATACTCTGACATTAACCATATTATAGATGAATAAGTTGATAAGACATGGATTATGGGATGTTGTCAAGTTATAAACAAATTATTTTTGAAAAGGTCGCTTATAAGTTAGACCTTTAGAACCTATGATGCATTTCTCCAAATTAATTTACACTGGTGTAAATTAATGTTCAGCTGTCAAGACTGCCCACAGAAATCTATGCAACCCACACTGTGAGTAGCAGCAGGTCAGGTGACCTGTGTTCTATAAGCCCCGTTTTGCAACTAAAGGGGCACATGGCAGCACTGCAGAGCATAAGCTCTGGATGGAGAAGGGAAGACCTGAGTTCAAATCCTGACACGCCTATCTTATCTCAGTGAAGTTATTCAACCCCTTTGAGTATAAATTATCATAGCAGTCAAATTATATTTAGGGATGAACTTTTTTTAAATCAGATGTTTGGTATGAAGATAATCTGGATCACTTTTTACAAAAGCCTTTTTCATATCAAGGCATGCAGAAAGATGATAATACTTCTACTCATCCCTGGGGTAAGATGCTGATCATAGCTAAAGATGACCAGCCCAGGTCTCTGACAAACCCAATCCCTGCCTGGCCACTCTGAGGACCAAGGGGGCCAGTATCACTGGCACGCCGCTTGACATGACGGTTCATCAAGCCACTCAAGTGGTGAGGCTCTGATTACCAATTAATATATCTAAAAGTACCCTGGGATAGAGCCAGCCTATCATGGACCCTTTCACCTCATGGGCTTAGGGTCCAACTGTTAAATAAAAGACTGTTAGGTTTCTCAAGGCCCTTTGACTATATAACTCCACTTCATTATATCCCAGAACCTAACTAACTGTGCTTATAGCAAAGTATCTTTGGGAAATGATATGGTTCCAATTTGGATTGTCGTTAAGTGTTCCTTCTTCCCTGATCTGAACAACAGGAGCAGCTCATGGGCTGAAAGTGGGAGGTCAAGATGAAAATTAGGTGAAGATGTAGGTAGACACAGAAGTAAGATCAGGAATGATTTGTTATTAAAGGAATGTGTGAGTACTCACTGTATCAGGTACTGTTCGTATATTACCCTCAATCTTCATAGCCATCTTGGTTTCATTTTACTTGAACACGAAAGCTACAAAGTGTACTATTCACACAACAGAGAAAGCTATACAGTGGGTTCAAATCTCCTCTGCCATGGAAAAGAGAATAAGGGGACCAGCTGTTCAGCTCTGGCCCTCCTTGCTGGGTCCCATTTGAGCTTCTCTCCAGTTCTGGCTGGTTGGGATGTCTCCTTCTTCAAAAGCATCTTGTTAGTTGGTTATTTTTAGCAACATTTAACAACTGAAGAAATGTAAGGTAAAGGAAGCTTAGAAGACTTGCCAGAGGTTATACACTGGAGTGAACTGCAAACACTAGGTGTTCTGCTTGTGGGTCAGAGGTTCAAGGGTGAAGAATTGCCAGGGCAGAGGCTGGAGATGGGAGCTAAGAAATGTTCTACACTTTGCATCCTTTGTCACTGAGAATGATGACAGAGGTGGTGCTGGCTCCTACTGCTGCTCTGAAAGGCTGGGTTAAGAGGAAAGCGGAGGTGGGAGCAGCAGTTCTGCTTTTCATGACAACCAGGGAATAGGGGAGGTGGGAGCCAACAAGGGACCTACATGAACACCCAGTCTGTGTCTTCGTCTATATTACTCACTGTTTACTCCCAGGCTCTCACACCTTATCAGAGGGGAAAAGTAAACCTCCCACAAAACACCATTTGGTTCAACTACAGATGTATTTTGGATATCTTCAATCAACGCTTGATCCTGAAAAAATGCTTTCAAAGAATCTTCAACCAATGGCATACAAGGACCTACTCGGAAATCACAAAAGCCAAATAATGTCAAGCAAGTGTGTAAGAAGACAGCCCTGTATGGCAATACTAAAGAAAATTTTGCATTCTAACTACAAGGGGAAGGAAGAGTCAGCAGGGGTGTAACAAATGACACATGATAGTCACCCCAGAGGATAGCATAAATTGTACACAGTACAAATAGTACAGAAAGTATAATTTGCTTTAGTAATTCAGTTTTTCATTTGGTTTTCAAGACCTGTCAGGGATCAAGAAATTAATATAGACATATACTAATTTTGCATATATAAATTATTTGCAAAACCATTTGTGAAAAAGTTTCACAAATCATTCAATCTAGATTTAACAACTGTTATAAAACTATCCTGAAGCACCTGAAAACCAGTTGGACCAGGGTCAGAAAATCCAAAAAATTCATCAGGTCTTATCCAGAATTACTCTATCTAGTAGCAGTATTAATCCACCCCTCTATTTAGAGTTACACAGGCATATTTCAAGATAAATTATAAGAAAGGAAAGACTGGGTGACCCTCAAATCACTAATTTCAATCCAAAATTATTAAAATAGGGTATTTTAAACTCTATTTTGATGTTAAAGAGCGAAACGTCAACAAAACAGGTTTGGCAAAGGACTATTTATCAAACACAGTCACACAACGATTATGAAACCACATGATAAGATAGCACACAAAGAAAACATTGGCTATTTAACTACTCAGGAGGAAAAACTAGGTGTTCCTAGTTTTTCCTAGGTGGAAGGGGGAAGCAGGCTAAAAAGCAGTTTTTAGGGTTTCAGATATGTAATTGTGGCAGCAGGCACAGCATCAGGGTAAATCTTCCTTTTGACTTCCTCAGAACACCAGTTGAGATTTATGTAAGGTGGTATAATTTAGTTTAGAGAAAACTGAGATTGCATCAGTTTGGCCTCACCCTTGGCCTGACATTTTATCCTTCTCTCCAGAGATCTTGCTTGGACTGCCCTTAAGTACGCTGCTCCAGAGAACTCTGCTCTACATTGTCAGAAACCAGCTTTCAAGTAAGTTCTGTTGCTAGTTCCACATGGTAATTCCACAGTTAAGTCAGAAGGCATTTGAAAAGATGTATAACTTTGGATGGCTCTTTTCTGATTATAGGCTGAAGGGGGTTCTTTTCTCTTTGGTTTGCCTTTTGCTTTTAATAGCTTGACCATTTCTGGCTTCCACTGCATTGTAAGAGCTAAACTACAGGTTTGTCAGTCAGTGTTTCTCTCTCTGTCTCTTTCTCTCTCTCCCTGCTCCTACCCCCTCTTCTCTCCATTCTCCTCTCTCCATCTCTCTCATTTCCTAGTTACAAATCATGTTGTCTTACTGTCTTAAGAGCATCACTGATTTCATCCTTGTGCCACTGTCCCTATGCTCCCAAGATCACATTTCAGCATTTTAGGATACGTTTTTTGTTTCATTTTTAGAATACTTTTCAGAAGAGGTCATGATAAGCAAGACAATTTTACATTTCTGAGTTGAAAAAACTGTGCTGCTCTTCCAGAACAGTTTTGGTTTGTATTCTCAGTTTCAGGGGCTCCCCTGACTCTACATTTTAGGAACAAGAAGAGGTTAACATTGAGCAGGTTGTTCATGAACCGGCAGTTACCTTTACTACAGGAATCACTTTGGATTCAGGCTGAGAAGGCACTATAGCTCTTAAAATCACTATGTAGGGCAAGTGAAGAAGAAAGAAAAGAAAGAAGAAGAAAGTAAGGAGGAGGAGGAAGGAGGAGGTGGGAGAAAGAAGGAAGGGGGAGAAGCGGGAAGGGGGAGGAGGAAGAAGAGGAGGAAGAGGAGCAGGAAGAGGAGCAGGAAGAAAGGGAGGAGGTGAGGAAGGGAGACGGGGAGGAAGGGGAGGAGAAGCATGACCACCATTTTGACCTAAACTCATATCTTATCCACAAATAAATTCAAAATGGATCACAGACTTAAATATAAAACATAATGCTATAAAATTTTCAGAAAAGAAAAACAGGAGAGAATCTTCAGAACATACAGCTAGGCAAAGAGATCTTAGAATTCAGACCAAAAGCACAATTCATAAAAGGAGAAACTGATAAATTGAACCACATCAAAATTAAAACCTTTTGCTCTGCAACTCTGTTAACTGGATGAAAAGACAAACTACAGTCCGGGAGAAAATATTTGCAAATCACATATCCAACAAAAGACTAGAATGTGTACAATTCAACAGTAAAAACCTAAACAATTCAATTAGAAAATGGGCAAAAGATAGGAAAGGAGATGCCACTAAAGAAGATACACTATGGCTAATAATAAGCACATGAAAATGTTAAACTTCACTAACCATTAAGGAAATACAAATTAAAACCATAATGAGATATCACTACATACTTATCAGAATAGCTAAGATAAAAATAAAAAATATTGACACCACCAAATGACAATGCAGACAAACTGGATTACTCAGACTTTGCTGATGGGAATGTCAAATGTTACAACCATTCCAGAAAAGAGTATTGCACTTTTTTATAAAACTAAAAATACACTTATCTTTTGACCCAGCAATTGCACTCTCAGACAATTATCTCAGGGAAATGAAAACTCATGCTCATACAAAAACTTGTACATAAATGATTGTAGCATCTAGCATCTTTGTTCATAAATAGCCCAAACTGGAAACAACCTAAATGCCCTTCAATGGGTAAATGACTAAAAAGCTGTGATTCATCCATACTATGGAATGCTACTGTGCAATAAAAAGGAACAAACTATCGATACATGCAACAGCTTTGAGGGATGTCAAGGGAGTAATGCTGAAGGGAAGAAAAAGCTAAATGCCAAAGGTTACATACTATATGATTCCATTCACCTAGTATTCTTGAAATGACAAATTATAGTGGTTGTCAGAGGAGGCAGGCAGATGGAAGGAGTGAGTAGGGATACAAAAAGGTAGCATGTGGGATCCTTTTAATGCAACTGTTCTGTATCTTGACTGATGGTGACCACAGAAATCTACATGTGATATAACTGCATGGAACTAAATACACACAAACACACATACAATGAATGCTCTGAATAAGGCTGGTGGATTGTATCAATATGAATTTCCTAGTTGTGATACTGTACTATGGATAAAGAATACAGGGTATCTATTACTCCTTACAACTAACTACATGTGAATCTAAAATTATCTCAAAATAAAAACTTTGGAGATCTTATTTATTCTAAATATCCTATCTTTCTGGTGCCTCATCCATTAGATGCCTGATGTCTTCCTTCCCTAATCTGGTTACTCTCTGTAGTCATAATAGCAGAAAATATTTTACTACAATTGGTAGTTTAACTTGTGCTTCCCCAAAACCTTATTCATGATTTACTATTCCTAACTGGAGCATGCCTTTTGGAGATGGCCTTATGTTTAATACTGACTCTTATGCTGCATGAAATGGACAAAATATTTTCTGAGTCTTAGTTGCATCACTGGTAAAATGGAGATAAATTAACCGATGTCATAGATTTATTTTGAAGGCAATTAAAATAATAAGTAAAACACTCAGTACATAGTAGGTCCTTAAATTGTTTCTGTCCTTTTCCCATTATCAACCTAAAATCTAGCTTAATTACTAGATAAAAACATCAACAACAAACTTTGGTTTTGGCTCCAAGGCTCATGTTTAGAAAATAATAAATGCATCTCTAATGAGCACAGCCTGGGGACTGGGGATGGAATGAGGCTAAATTCAGTTCTTAACATGTATTTCAATTTAGGAGAAACATAATGTTTTTAAGCCTATGTTCTCTGAGTCTGAAAACATTCTGGCTTATCAAAATGTTTTACAAATGTTTAGCATATAATTCATTTTATTATGTTTAGTGAGTGCCACATAGACATTTAAATCTGTAAATGGTAACCAATCATATACTACATTACTTCTATTCAGATATCAACAAATTTATTTATGTTGGACAAGTTCCAGCCTTAAAAATGACTCTGATTCAAAAATATAATTTCACCCATTTCACCTACCTACAAAAATATTTCTTAGTAATAGACTCCCCACAAGGTGATAAGCTTTAAATGTGTCAGAGATTTTCAGTTATAGTCCAACCTATTAAGCTACAGAACAGTAGGAACAAAGCACTTAGGATTTAAAATTCAAGGTAGGTTGCTAAACATGGGATTTGGAGCAATTTGCAGGTCAGAGCATGACAGCTGGATTCGCTGAGCAACACTGGCCTGAGAGAAGTGTCAAAGCTAGAAAGAGAAGAACCAAATGTTACACTCCTCTAATATGAATAAAATGGATGAAGCAAAGTATAGTTTACTTCTCCTGGTTACCTGCTCTATTTATGAACAAGCACAAAACACAAAATGCGAAGTAATACTTGAGGACAAAGTCCCCTCAAATATTTCTTTAAAGTACTGATAACAATTTTGTAAAATGAATGCTTACCGAGCAAAATAACTTTGTTTCCGTTCCTTCTTCTCTTCCTTGGTATCCATAATACACAATCAAAAGTGCAAAGTATTTGAAAAAGTCCCTCTTTTTAATCAGTGAGTCGTAACCCTGTAAGAAAAGATAACAAAGCAACTGTAAACTTAAAAGTTTACACTGGCCAATGTGAAAAATAAAATGGAGTAGAACTACATGGACTAAAACAAATGAAAAATAAACTTTAACCAGGAAACAGTCACATGAGTCAAATATGAAATGCAAATGTCCATGGGAGAAACTACAATCAGAATGGAGATGTTAAACTATAAAGCAAAACCTGATGGAAAACCAAACTGCAGTATTTTCCTCACAACTAACAACTATTTTAAAACATGCCAAAATAAAAACCTTCACTGACTTTGGAAGATTGTAGCCTAACTATGTAGATGCTAATTATTTAAAAAAAAATTGAACTCATAATCACTCTTCCCAAGCAATTAATAAGGCATATGTCTCAGATAATTATGTAAAATGGCTCACTTAGGTGTTTTACAAGAATGTTTTTTTAAAAAAATAAAAATAACTTCAGCACTCTATTTTATTTTCGGAAACATGCCAGCAAGTACATCCCACTTGAGCAAATGTGGAAATGAAAGTACAAAGACACAGGAAGCTGTTCCTCAGCATGGCTTTAAACCCTTGCGTCTCCCTCTTCTCCACCCCTGCGACCCTCACCCACGCTTGCCAGCAGTGGCTTAAGCCTATAATATAAAAAAAGGTTGTCTCCAGATCAAGCTTCCTCAAATACCACTTTTATCATGCCACTCCCCTGCTCAAAAATTTCCAATTGTCTACTTATTCAGTGATTCACCAGTCTAAATTTCTGCAGAGCACTAACATTCCTAAAATTTGTCCTTTCACCCTGAAGCAATAGTTTGTTCACCTATCAAATTTAAATCAAAAAAAGCAGGCTGTGCGGTGGCTCACACCTGTAATCCCAGCACTTTGGGAGGCCGAGGCAGGCAGAACACTTGAGATTGGTAGTTTGAGACCGGCCTGGCCAACAGGGTGAAACCACATCTCTACCAAAAATACCAAAAATTAGACAGGCATGGTGGTGCACGCCTGCAGTCCCAGCTACTCCGGAGGTTGAGGCGCGAGAATCGCTTGAACTCAGGAGGCAGAGGTTGCAGTGAGCCAAGATGGCACCACCGCACTCCAGCCTGGGTAACAAAGGGAGACTCTGTCTCAAAAAAAAATTAGTAAATATAAATAAATAAAGCAAAGTGTATTCACAATCAAAATTATTTACTAATTCATTTCAATTCAATAAACAAATTAATCCACAATACATACTACATGAAAGGGAGTGTGATAAGTCCCAGAGGTCAAAGATAAAGACATGATATTTGCTCTAACAGTATATATTGTCTTTCAGGAGAGACACTTAGGATTTCAAGACAATGTGATATGTACTGCTGAAAAATAGACCTCAGGAATACTTAATTAGCTAAATTTAGCCATTTTCTAATGTATATTTTCAAAATATCATTAAAAAAACATATATATAATTTCTATTTGCCAATTAAAAACAAATAACACTTAACACTATGCAAGGCCCACCCCAGGTATCCTGAGCACACACTAAGGTTGTAGGTTAAGAATGGATTTCCGGCCAGGCGCAGGGGCTCACACCTGTAATCCCAGCACTTTGGGAGGCCGAGGTGGGTGGATCACCTGAGGTCAGGAGTTCGGGACCAGCCTGGCCAACATAGTGAAACCCCATCTCTCTAAAAATACAAAAATTAGCCGGGCGTGGTGGCAGGTGCCTGTAATCCCAGCACTTGGGAGGCTGAGGCAGGAGAATCATTTGAACCTGGGAGGCGGAGGTTGCAGTGAGCCGAGACCACTCCATTGCACTCCAGCCTGGGCAACAAGAGCAAAACTCCGTCTAAAAAAAAAAAAAAAAAAAATTGCATTTCCCAGGTAAAGGGTACGAGCAAGCAGGTTTCAATTGAACAAAAGCAAGAAGACAAAATTGTTCCCTTCTGTTCCAGGGTAAAGTGAGCTGAGGATGAAGACATGGGCAGGATCTGGGTCACGGAAAGCCTTGTATGCTGCTCTAAGGAGCTTGGACTTAATCCTAGCTGGCTATGTGCAGCCCACCCCCTTCACTGCACCTTGTCAGAGGCCATCAATTGCTCATGCTGAACCCAGCGGCAGCATTTGCAGAGCCATTACCAAATCCATCAGAGCTGGTCCATGAGATAAAACTAATTTTCTCATCCCCAAGGTACATGGAAGGGCGCCACCAGAGGGTTCTCCATGAGGGAGTGTAGCATAATCAGACGGCAGAGGTAGAGGATTGACGTGAGAGGATTTAAGGACAGGGTGAAGTAGATTCATTAAAAAGAAATTACAGTCAAACTAATTGAGGGAGGAGCACCCAAAACTAGGCAGCAGTAGTTGACATAGAAAGAGGAGGGATGGACTCAAGAAATACTTAGGAGACTGATGAGTTGACATTTGATGAGTCATGCAGTGTAGATAACAAGGAAAGTAAGGAATGAAGGATGTCCTCCAAGTTTCTGCTTCAGGAACTGCGTGGGTTACGGCACCGAAGATCTAGTACAATATACATGAAAAGGGCAGGCTGCATGTAGGACAGGGGAGCAGAAGGAGGTAAGAAATCGGTTGTGGACATTGTGCCTTTGAGACGGCTATGGGATAGTGGAGTTGGAGACATTCACCAGACGTTTGATTACACTGAAAGCACAGAAGGGCAGTGAAGGCTAGAGGAAAGGAATTAGAAATTATCAGCATATGCTTGTGGTTAGGAAGAAAAGGAGAAAAAACAATATGATGATGAGATCACCTTGGAAGCCTGACAACTATTCATTCAGCCCTGTACAGAAACATGGGAGTACACAGTCTCAGCTCTTACTAGTTTATCTTCACATCCCTGACTTGGGCTTCACCCTCAAAGAGTTTTCCATCCAGTCAGGAAAATATGACTGTGCAGATAACTAAACTGTAGGGTAGTAACTTGGGGCTGTCCAATGAATAATACTAAGTAAGAATCCAAAAGATGTGAAGTTCAATTCTGCTTGAGGTGATAAACCTTTCAGAGTGGTTAGGATTTCAATGGGTAAAGTGGTTAGGATTTCAATTCCAGAAAGTAGGAATGCCAGAGCAAAGGGATAGAAGTGAAAGGGGCTAGGCACACTCAGGCAAGGAAAGCATGGCTACCAGGTACGGAAAGGGAACTAATCTTGATGCCTGCCTACCAACAGCCATTTACTTCAACATATTATCCCTATGTTATCTTTTTATCTTTCAACCACACTATGATTTAGATGTCCTTATTTCCATTAAACTGATGCTGAGAGGTACTAATTAATTTCCTTAATTCAACAGCACTAGCTGTGGTGCGGCAGCAATTTAAATCCAGTCTGGTATACACTCCAGTGTCTTTCAATAACCTTTGGAGCCAGAAAGCATTTGGAGATGAGCTAGAAAAAGTAGTCCGGAGTCAACAACATCCAATGCTGCAGCACAGAATTCGCAAGTTAAGGCACATGTACCTAGCCACTGGGACAGGGAGGTCATTGAGGACCTCCAACGGGACTGCATTAGTGACGTATTGGGAGTGGAAGCCATGCTACCATGAGTTGGGGTAGTTAGTACTCATTCAAGAATTCGAGTGCAAGGAGAAAGAAGAAAAAGGAAAGATGGCGGCTGAGTGTCTAACTCTCATGAGCTCAGTTTCACACTGTGGTTTGAACCCCCTGGGCGTCTCCCCAACTCTGCACCTTTATCCTCACTCTTTCCTCAGGCACGAGGCAACCTTGCTAGGCTCCTCCTTCTGACAAGGCCCAATTCTACTTCAAAGCCTTCCCTGACCACTTGTGTGCGCTCCTCTCCCCTAAAGAGCTTATTTCATATATCACCTATAACTTACTGCAAGGCACTTAATCATATACTGTGTGACAACAGCATTTCAATTAGTCTCCTCGCCCCAACCATAAATTCCTTCAAGTCAAATAACACCAAGTTTCACTTTTACTATACTTCCCTAAATAACTGGCACATAAGTAGGCAGAAAATCCATATAAAAGCTAAGCAAGGAGGTAAATTAATCCAGGACTGGGGATAACGTCAATTATATGGCAGACCAATACAAATCCAAAAATTCCTCCCAAATTAAGAATTACTTAGGGATGGAGGATGGAGTCTCATGCCAGCCTCCCTCAGACTCCAGGAAAGATCAGAATCCTAGGCTCTCTGCCCTGCCCTGGGTCAGGTGGTTTATTTTAAAGTTCATCTCCTACATGTTACAAAAGCAATGATTTCTATTAAATTTCCAGTCATGAATAAAAATTAAGTTACAGCAATCTAATTGGAAAATTTTTATACTGCAAGATGAGCCAGAAACTAATATTTGGTTCAAGTAGAAAAATATTAATGAAAATATGCACAAGAGAAAAAGATTAAATGATCCAATAGTTGACATCTGGTGCTGCTGTGTCTGATTACAACCAGTAAGGCTTTTTTTATTTTTCAATATCCTATTAGGTAAATGAAAAATATGCTAATCTTTGGTTTAAGTTTCTGGAAATTTTTGTATTCCCTAAACATGATAGATGCAGTTCTTACAGGTTTAGACACACCAACAGATTAACCAGAAGGAGCTCAGTAGAGAATGCTATAAAAATGATTTGCACAGAACACCACACTGCAGCCTTCATGCTTCAGTGAAGAACCAGAGCTCCTTAAATCAGTCTCTAATGGGAACTACATTTTCCATTATAAGTGGTCATAATGGGCTTCTTAAAAGCCCTTCATTCATTTAATGTTGACTTTCCTTCATTCAATACACTCTAGACTCATCTAAATGCTGACTTCTAAGAGTCTCCTGCATTTATGGTGTATTGCAGACCAAAAAGAATTTCACGAGAAAGCACAAGATGAATCTTCCATCTAAATATTTTTTTTTGCAATCTTAAATCAGGATAGTCAATTAAACTTAAATCCAGTTCATTATTCAAATAAAAATAGCACATAAAAATCCTTACCTCAAAAGAGCTGTGATGAAGACAAAGTATTTTTTGAATCATCAGAAAAGTGTTCCTTGTTTGTACACATGGCACCATTTAAAAGAACAGAACCAGCAGAGACCCCTTAACTACACCAAACTGACCCACACAGCTGTGGGTCACACAGCTGGAGGTCCTCAATGACCTCCCTGTCCCAGTGGCTAGGTACATGTGTCTTAACTTGCAAATTCTGTGCTGCAGCACTGGATGTTGTTGACTCCGGACTACTTTTTCTAGCTCATCCCCAAATGCTTTCTGGCTCCAAAGGTTATTGAAAGACACTGGAGTGTACACCAGACTGGATTTAAATAACTGCCGTACCACAGCTAGTGCTGTTGAATTCAGGAAATTAATTAATACCTCTCAGCCTGTCAGCTGTGGGTCACACAGCTGTGGACCCACATAGCAAAGCATGGCTTTTTGGATTCACCTCCAACACACTGCAGTTCCTTGAATATTCAAGTATAACAAGTCAGGACTAGAAAAACAGCAGTATATCCATGAGGCCCATCAGCTGTTTTCCCAACAACATGTTTCTTAATATACAAATGAAATGATGTCAGGAGTACACATTGAGGCTTGGTCACACTGTGTTTGGTCACGTAAGGAACAGATCAAAATGGACCTTTCTATGCAGGCATTTCCTCCTAGAAAATAGTTATATTTATACCAAAATATGACAGGTGTTCAGTCTCTCAAAGCCACACTGTCATCTAAACAAAGCAAAAATATTCAAATTTCAATGTTACACAAGGTCAGAAATTTGAACACTCCCTGTAACAGTAGAGAAACCTGGGAAGGACGCAGAACCAGATACAAACGTGTGCCACAAACTTACAAGGGTACCCAGACGCAGTGGCTCATGCCTATATTCCCAGCACTTTGGGAGGCTGAAGCAGGTGGAAGGCTTGAGGTCAGGAGTTCAAGACCAGCCTATCCAACATGGCAAAACTCCATCTCTACTAAAAACACAAAAAGTAGCCAGACGTGGTGGCACATGCCTGGTGTCCCAGCTACGCAGGTAGCTGAGGCACGAGATCAACCTGAGAGGCGGAGGTTGCAGTGAGCCTAGATTGCACCACTGCACTCCAGCCTGGGCGTCAGAGAGAGACTCTCTCTCAAAAAAAAACAAAAAACAACTTAAAGGAGAGCAATCAGATAATACCCCCCAAATAAATAAATACATGTTACAAAAACAATGCAACAACAACAAAAAAACAAAAATGAATGATTCAGCAACAAACAACTAAAAAGTTATTCCTGAAGCAAGGTGATGATCAAGGATGGGCTCCGGATCTGCTATTCGGGAAAGGGTTTGACATCTTTGCATGGCAAAATGAATGGAGAACTCATCAACTCCTATTCCATTATTCTCTGCCTAGGGTGCTCAAATTTGACCTGAGAAAAATTAAACAAATGTGAGTTTCCTTGCCCTTTTACCTAAGATGAGTCAAGAGATGCCATCAAATCTCCTACATACTCTAAATGAAGACCCATCTCTGGGCTAGACAGATCATTTTATAAGTTCTCTCTTAGAAAAGAACATGCAAATGAGATTTCTAAAAAGTCACTGGCAGGGTGAAGAACTGCAGAAGGTGTAGAAAATGCCAGAAGCCTGAAAACAGACAAATGCATTTTAGTTTAGAAAGGGTAATTGTGCAAACTATACACTGAAGCATATCATCACATAGATTCCCAGGAAAATTTTAGAAATGATCATTTAAGGCAGTTTGGTAAGAAAACAGAGGGAGGGAGCTGTGGACCCTGAGATCTAGAATGATCCCACAAAGCCAACAATTCAGCAGGACAAGTGGATCACTTTTGGAAACATCTATCACGGACCAAGTATTCTGCTGCAGACACAAAGATGAAGACAGCATTCATCAGCCAGGAAGCTCAGGAAGAAGAGGCAACTATAACTTATCAGCTGATTAAATGAGATGTGGTGAGTGCTCTGATACTAGTGGTCACAAGGAACCACACAGCACAGAGCACTGAGCAACTTACGCTGCCTCAAAGGGAAGGAGTGTCCCAGCAATGTCACAGGTGATGCCAGTGCTGGGCTGGGAAGGAGATGCAGGAGTTTCCCAGACCGTGAATGCAGAAGAGGTCAGGCTCATCAGGCAGAATGAGGATGTGCAAGCCACTGGCAGGAATGTGTGGTGTTCGGGGAATCCTGAGTGATCTGGTAAGGCTGGAGTGCAAGGGCTGGTAGACGAGAGGACATTCAGGGAATGCTGGCTTAGTCAAATCACACTGTCCTAATTTCCCTCCCTGACATAGCTGCTATTCTAGTGGATCAGGAAAATGAGGAAAACACATGTAACTGCACTTAAGAGGCATTTGATAGATTTCTCTTGTCTGCTTATGGATAAGATGGAGAAATGTGGGTTGGGTGTGTAGGTAGATGTTTATATGATTAAATGAATAAAGGAAATCACTGAATCACTGTACCAAGAGGTATGTGTTGACTGACTGACCAACCTCAGTTGCTCTGAGAGCTGAAATCCATTCTGAACCTGGAGGGAGAAGATTAATAGCTTAATGCAGTATTTTTTCTTATGCCCTGTCCTCATGAGTATATTTCCCACTGACTTGAACAAAAATATAGAGGCCTCCCTTATCAGCCATTTGGAGACGTAGGTACTTAATAACATCCTGGATAGCAGCATTAGGGTTCAAAAGCCCTCGGCTGTCTGTAGAAAGGAGTCAATTATTATAAGGTGGAAATTTACCCCACATGAATCTGATGTTTTACTGGTGAGGTACTAAGAAATGAGAGCGGTACAGTTTAGTGTTAGTGCAAGTGAATATGATTCATATCTGGAAGATTCATATATGGAATTACAGTTGGGTAATTCCACTGTGCACCTTCCTCCCCCTCACCTCGAAAAAACCCACTAGTGCTATCAACCCAGAATAAACAGATTATAATAGTCTGTCATACCCTTTTTGAGGATTAGACTACATCAAGATTATTGCATTTAGCTAGGGATCTCACACTATAGGGAAATTAGAACAAACAGGATGGTTAAATGGCATGAAACTAGATTTTAAGAATATTAGTCAAAGGAGTTGGTCAGGAGAGAAGACTTGGATTAAATGACAGCTGTTTTTAAACATCTGAAGGATCTTTATCTAATAGATGATTTAGGCTTGATAGACAGATCTTCAAGGGGTATACCTAGAATTAGACATTAGATATGGAGGGAGAGAGGTCGGTGGCTCAGTATAAGGAAGAACTGTCTGAGAGGTAGGTGCAAACAGCTGCCTGCAGATGGAATGGCTTCCTCATCTTCAAGAGTGACAGGGCACATACTGAGCAACCGTTTTATATGACTACTGTAGAAACGCAGTTCTCAGCCTTATCAAATTCAACACCTCACCTAAATAAATATGTAAAGCATTTTATTATACGCCCTTCATAATATTGAGATGAAATTCATAGATCATGTAACCTACTTACACACTTAATTTTATAAAATCATCATGATGCCCCAAAGGAAAGTACTTGATCACAGGTATTTCAATATGTAAATTCTCAGACATAAGTTCATTAGAAGACATAATATAGATTCATATTGCTCCTACAGAAGAAGATACGAAATTCCCAAGTACAAGGGTCAATTCTTCATTTTCTTGGACTGCCTCACTCATTGCAGGGCATTTGGCACCTCTGCTTGCCCCCAACTAAATGCCAGTAGCGCCCTTCCCACAACCACGCCAACCAAAATGCCCCAGGAAAGGGTACCACAACCAATGAGAATCACTATTAAGAGGAAAATCAAGCCCCACGGGTAAACTAGTATTTTAAATTAGCTTTTAAATTAAATGTTTTTAATTTCAAAAATTCCCTTAAAGCCGAGATTTTATAAACTTCATATACCTGAGAAGTTCTGTTTTCCATATGCTCTGTGATTCATCTGAATAACACTTAACCCATGCTATTAAGGCAGAAGGGTACCTTTTATTTATTTATTTATTTTGAGAAGGAGTCTCACTCTGTCATCCAGGCGGGAGTGCAGTGCCACGATCTCGGCTCACGGTAATCCCCCCCTCCTGGGTTCAAGTGATTCTCCTGCCTCAGCCTCCCAAGTAGCTGGGATTATAGGCACCTGCCACCATGCCCAGCTAATTTTTGTATTTTTAGTAGAGATGGGGTTTTGCCATGTTGGCCAGGTTGGTCTTGAACTACTGACTTCAGGTGATCTGCCCACCTCAGCCTCCCAAAGTGCTGGGATTACAGGTGTGAGCCATTGTGCCCGGCTGAAAGGTACCTTTAAAGTAAGACAGGCCTGGTTAAAATCCAGACTCCACCACCTACAAGGTATGTAGCCTTGGGTAAGTTACCTAATTTCTCTAACTTTCAGTTTCTTTATCTGCAAAAGGGCTGTTACAGAGACTCAATGTGTAAAAAAATCAATGACTAGAATCTGGTGCCCCATGGAACAGAAAATTCTATCCATTGAGATTTCCATGCATCCAAATATGCAAGTGTTCATGAAATACCATTTTCAATACCACCTGAAGAGCCACATTCAAATCCGCCCCAAATAGTAAACTAACAAGCCAGGCAGACCTAGTGAATACAAAGATGACAGGAAACAGTTAAATATTTATTGAACATTAACCATATGCACCAAATTTTTTGTTCAGTACTGTTACACACACTGCTTGGTTTAATCTTTATGACTGCATGAGGGAGTTAATCTCAATTCTTTCCAGATAAAGAGTCTGAACTTTAGAACAATTAAAGAATTTATTCAAGGTCAAATAGCCATAAGAGTTACAGCCAGAATGATCAGCTCTGTCTGACCCCAAAGAAGGAACCACTAATAATGGCCTGTAAGGGTGGGCTATTACTACACATAATTTTCACATCAATGCCTGGTTCTTCCTGGATTTAACCACAGTTAAAAAGAACAAGACAGGGGCTGGGCACAGTGGCTCATGTCTGTAATCCCAGCACTTTGGCAGGCTGAGGCGGGTGGATCACCTGAGGTCAGGAGTTCGAGGCCACCCTGATCAACATGGTGAAACCTCATCTCTACTAAAAATACAAAAATTAGCCAGCATGATGGCGCATTCCTGTAATTCCAGCTACTCAGGAGGCTGAGGCAGGAGAATTGCTTGAACCTGGGAAGCACAGGTTGCAATGAGCCGAGATCGTGCCATTGCATTCCAGCCTGGGCGACGGAGCGAGACTCTGTCAAAAAAAAAAAAAAAAAAAAAAAAAAAAGAACAAGAGGGTGAACCCAGCTTTATGGCCAACTGTCTTTAAGGATGTAAATACTGACCTGTATTCAGGTTAGCCATTACTATTCATACTAAATGCACTTTAGTAAACATGTCAGTACATTCAACAACTATTTATTGCACTGAGTAGGTTTTTAAAGAGCTAACCGGAAAGCACATTCTCTTAATTCACTAAATTAATTACCCCTTACGTTTTGAGAACAGAAGAAACCAATCTATTTCCTCACAGAAAATGGAATTGGTAAATACAGACAGTCAGAATTTGGAATTTTTCTTTTTTTAAAAAAAAATTTATTTCTTTGTTTCTCTTAAATTATGAAAGCCATCTTTTTTCTAAGCACTAAAATTATAGCTCATTTTTAGAATTAAAAATTTATAGTTCTATAACATTTCTACCAAATATTTTTAATATATTGAATGCATTCTCTCATTAATACTCATAAGGTATAAGTCAGTTTTGAAGTTTTCTACCTGCACACAAAGATTAGAAGGGCCAAATCTGCATTGTCATACAGAAAGTTACTGGAGGTAATGAAAACAGAACAATCTATCTGCTGATCTCATCTCCTAGTCATAAGAGACATCCTCTTTCTCACCATCAATCACTACTGGGTACCTGTGACATGCTTTTGATTACCTGTCACAAGAGGTGTGAAAAATATGATGCCTGCCTCACCCACAGTGGAGTTTCTGGAGATACCCCCTACTATGCTGTGGCACCAGAAGATCACTTCAGATCATCTCTAAGACAAATCTAAAGACATTAGGCTCCAAGTAGCATCAATAAACAGGAGACATGGAAAGAAAGTTTGTTTTCAATTACTTCTGGAATTCATTTTAATACTAACAGACAGATTCATTCCTAAAACCATAGACTCTCTGGCCCGTTTGATTTTTTTGCAGACATATTCTAGCTCCGGTCCAAAGAAAATAAGCTGCAAACTTCTGGAGTCTCTAGACTGGTACAGAACTCAATCTCATTATCCAAATCCTTGCAGAGAATATGTGCCAATGTGAATCACTGTGCCAGGGCCCTGTGCTCACAGTAAATGCCATCATGGATGCATGTGTCCTGGTCTTAGACTGGGTCCCAATGCATCAATTTCAGGAGAGGAAAAAAAAAAAATGTGAGCAGTAGTTACCACTACTACTATTACTACTTATTACTATTTGTTGGGGGCTACTTTGTGGATCTGAATTAAGAGTTAACTGATAAAACCAACAAAATTGGATAGATGAAAGGCGTTAAAAGATAAATGGAATGCCTTTCCAAAAACATACAGTATATAAATAGCAAACACTACTTTTCAAGAATTAAATTTGAGTGTCTTCTGAGATGTTATCAGTGAGAGACAATTTACCATTAAACTGCCATTTCACTAAAGAAAAGGCCATGTACTTCTTTGCCTTCTGTGGATGAGATCTGCAATTGAATGCATTTTCAAAATATACTGGCATACATTCATACCTGTAAAAATGCAAAATAAAATAACTGAATTATCATTTTTTTAATGTGCTTTCAGCATATTTACATGGAGAGTATGTGGCAATAAACAACTTATGCTTACTCCTAAATAGTGCCTTGTAATATATTTATGAGTAATTTTCTTCAATTCAGTAAGCACTTAGAACCTGTTTTGTGCCTACAACTGTACTATTTATCTGAAGCCTGTGACTATAAAAAGGACCCAATGTGCTCTAAAGAAACTTCAATTTTTGACAAGGGAGATAAGATTTACATAAAATAATCAGGAAACAGGGGCATGAAAAAGTTATGCCAAATAAAACGTATGACACACAGAGGAAGTGCTAATGGGAAGTAAGAAAATGGCTGGGTCACACGGACCAGTGCTGGTAGGGAAAGTCTTAAAAGTGGGACATCCCTGAAAACCACAATTCAGGGTTATATTTCAATAGTGCCACACAATCAACAATGAAATCTGTAAACCAGAAACAGTCTTATCCCCAGTGAAAATGTTCTCTATCAGAGCACACTCAAGACAAAAGCAATTCTACCAGATTCTGCCTCAGATGTCTTGGTAACAACAGAGAGAGGCATGTAGTATTGTGGTTAGCAAAATATGGACTGTGGTAAATACACAAACGTGGGTTCGGGAACAAGACATAAGAAAAAGTGTCTAAGCAGCAGGGAATATGCCAAGTGTGAAACTAAATCAGCATGGAGAAGTGCAAGGATCTCTTCTTGGAAAAAAAAATTATGTGTGTAATATTCAACTATAAATTTCTAGCAGACTGGGTTAAGAAATCAAGTCTATGGTATACGTTCTTTTTCTTTTTAAGGTTTATTGAGTTGCTTGTCATAAAACTTGTAGAATTCAAAAGAAAATGGCTTTTTGGTAGACTGGATTGTTGTTCCTTATTAGGCACTTCTTCCCTTGCTGTAAGATAATTATACATCCGTACCCTTTGCTGTGCAGCTCTGTGATGCTTTGCACTAGTACACAGAGTATATGACCCCATCTGATTTTTCATGTGACTTGTTTTGACCAATAGACTGTGAGGATTAACAGTCATATTCATATTGACTTGAAGCACTGAGAGACCTGGCAAGTTTCTGCTCTCCACCAGCAGAGTATGCTCCAGGTAGCTGCTTTTCCCTCTTCAGCTTGGGTTCCAGGATGAAGACATGTGGAACAGAACCCGAACTTGAACCTCAGCTTTGGCATCCGGCTTAACCTTTGCCAAGGCCAGCCTGCAGAACCCAGCCAGGAGTAGCTAAACCACAGTCAACCTGCAAATCCATGAAGGTGAAATACATATTTGTGTATATAACCCACTGCGGTTTGGAGACAATTATGCAACATTATCACAACAAAAAACCCAATACACCCTTAGAACCATCCTGATCCACAAATTACTTCATGGAGTCTTACCAGAAAGATCAAAACCACATAGTACATATTATTGTTTATATGAATAATTCTACCAAGGCCTGAGATATCAAAGCCCGGAGACAAGACAACTGACAAAAATAGCAGAGGAGGCTTCATTTTCTTCCAGTTGTCATTTACCCCATAACCACTTTGCATGGCTATGGGGTCTTAGCTGAGAAGGCATCATTTGACAAGACATTGTGCATTGTCTTGGTATATCTATACGTAATGGTTGATATTACTTACTGTTATAGGTTAAATTATAGCATTCCAAAAAAGATATGTTGAAGTTATAATCCTCAGTACTCCAGAATGTGATCTTATTTGGAAATACAGTTAGTTAAGATGAAATCACACTGGAGTGGTGTGGTGCCCTAATCCAGTATGACTGGAATCCCCATAAGAAGATGGCCATGTAGTGATAGAGACACAAAAGGAGAATGCCATGTAGACACAGGCCACACTTGGAGCTATACCGCTGCAAGCTAAGGAACTCCAAGGTCCAGCAAACCAACAGAAGTTAGGAAGAGAAAAGGAAGGATTCTTCTACCAGTTTCAGCGGGAACACGGCCCTGCTGACACCTTGATTTTGAACATCTAGCTTCCAGAAAGTGAGAAAATACATGTTTAAAGCCACCAGCTTCTGGTACTTTGTCATGGCTCCCCTAAGAAACTAATACACTAATTTTAAATTACTTTTATACACTATCACTGTTGCAATAGGATACTGCTCCAAAAACTTTATTACTTTCCCAACATGTCCATTCTGCCACGTTCTCTTATAATTTAAAGGAAATGCAGGCATGTCATTAAGAAAATTGGTAAACATTATTTACCAATTGCCTCCTGGGCCTGGATGTTAACTCGATGAGCTTTCTGTTCATCCAGTTAACATCTGAGCCCAGGAGACAATTCAAGCACAGCTTATTTGGGTAGATGGACTAAGAACTGACCTGATTATCAAAGAATTATTTTATCCTGCAAGAGTCTTTGGAACATTCTGAGAATGCAGCATCACCATGTACTATGCCACTTCTATCACGCTTTCTATAGCAATTTTACACTAACAAACTCATACTGCTAAGTTTCTCAGCGCACACTTATGCTACCTTGTGTCATTTTCTTTATGTTATTTCTTTTTTGAGATGGCGTCTCACTCTGTCACTCAGGCTGGAATGCAGTGGCACGATCTCAGCTCACTGCAGCCTCTGCCTCACTCGTTCAAGCGATTCTCCTGCCTCACTGCCTCACACTCCCCAGTAGCTGGGATTACAGGCGCGTGCCCCGACACCTGCCTAATTTTTGTATTTTTAGTAGAGACAGGGTTTCACCATGTTGGCCAGGCTGGTCTTGAACTCTTGACCTCAAGTGATCCACCTGCCTTGGCCTCCCAAAATGTTGGAATTACAGGCGTGAGCCACCACACCTGGCCCCTTGTGTCATTTTATAATTATTGTTCCTTATGCCCACATTCCTTCCAATCAGACTGTAAACTCTCTAAAGGCAAGGAATGTGTCTTATGCTGTTCATCCATGCAGAGTTATGTACACTAACACACATCACAACTCTTTGTTTAGGCTGGACACAGAATTTATGTTTAATAAGTTGATTTTTGACTTGTTATGGCTAAGTAACAGAAACTGACTTCAGGTTATGAAACGGTAAGGTCTTGCCTTTTATTTAGATTAGTGGTCTCCACTTTTTATTCCACATCAATAAAAGTATCTGAGCATAAAACTCTAATTACTTTTACTTATAAAAACATGTCCTCTGTACTAATAATTATAAGGCACATAACTAAAACAGAAGTCATGAAAATAAAGACATTCCAACAATTTCTTTCTGTACCTTCATGTGGTACATGAACTTCACTTTAGAAACCACCAGTCTAGACTATGACAGCAGATATGTGACAACATTCCCTGGGATTTGGTCCTTTCCAGAAAATGCAAGATCTATAAAATTCTAACACTTTTATAAACTTAATAATTCTCTGACAGATTCACAAAATTGTCTAGATCAAACAAGCAATATTTTAAAATTGATAGTGTTGTCTTTGCAACCAGGATTAATTTGTATATTATATTACTAGCCCCCTATTATAAATGCATTTGCTAACTGTGGTGCTCTCTGCAATTAAACCCTTTAAGTTTCAGATGTTAGAAATGAAAATCTATTATCAGGTCTTCAGGCAAATATCTGTAAGACTGAGAACCTAAATGATATAACATTCTGATTTTGAAAACAAGGAAAATAGAAGGATGAGCAAAGGGGATCATGAAACAGAACACTCATACGTTATCTCTAAGAATGTCATCAACACAACAACATCCGATTTTCCTGTGTTCTATGTGCATGTGGATAATGCTATGCTAGAAAATAGAAGGACATTGAGTAATATAAAACACAACTTCTATAAGCTTACTATAAGAACTGGCCCGGCAAAGCGGTTCATGTCTGTAAACCCAGCACTTTGGGAGGCTGAGGAGGGCGGATCATTTGAGGCCAGGAGTTCGAGACCAGCCTGACCAACCAGGTGAAACCCCGTCTCTACTAAAAATACAAAAAAATTAGCTGGGCGTGGTGGTGCATGCCTATAGTCCCAGCTATTCCAAAGGTTGACTCAGGAGAATTGCTTGAACCCAGGAGGCGGAGGTTGCAGTGAGCCGAGATAGCGCCACTGCATTCCAGCCTGGGCGACAGAGCGAGATTCTATCAAAAAAAAAAAAAAAAGAACAACTAAGCAATAAAGTAAGCCAATATTTAGTTCATTTGTGGCACAAATGCTTAAGTGCCAAAAGAACTGAAGTCAGCATACAATAGATGGGTTGGAAAGTATTCATGGAATTAAGTATAAACCTGGTGTGGAAGACTGATTTTAAAGGAAGAAATGTGGAGGGAAATTCCAGCTAGCAAGGACAGCAAAGGCTTGGGAGGCAGGAATTACTCTCCTGTATGTGTGGGATTACTGAGGATTCTGACCCCACTGAAGTGCCAAGTTCATGCAGGGGAAGAGTGGAAGAGCAGGCTGAGTGCATGAAATGTAGAGAGGACACAGTGCCATCATCATCTAAGCCACATTCTTGGGATTAAACTTCCAGGAGAAAGCCACCACCACTAAAATCTCTTCAGTCATTTTACTTGGTCTGCTTATTCTTGAAGAAACAGGCTTGGGGCTGATCTATACCTAAAGCAAGAGAGCTAAATGCAAGAAAATACCAAGCAGATGATGCGTGGGTGAAGATTTTGAGGAAGTGAAATATTAGTAGCTTTAAAAGGAGGAAGAGAAAGTACAATATGTCAAAATGAATATGCATTTGCTTTAAAAAAGTCAAAAATATAAAAATCGGATGATACATAATTGTAATAATGTTCAATAATTATCATTATAATACATATGGATACCAAATAAAAATG
Source organism: Homo sapiens (assembly GCF_000001405.40). Taxonomy (NCBI): domain Eukaryota; kingdom Metazoa; phylum Chordata; class Mammalia; order Primates; family Hominidae; genus Homo; species Homo sapiens. The sequence goes on along the minus strand of NC_000006.12, from coordinate 125,798,759 downwards.
TGAAAAAGAAAAACATAAATCTCTTATAATCCCATTAGTGAGAAAAAAGTAAGTTTGTCACTTTCCTGTTTTCTATGCAAATGCATCTTAAAATCAAATTAGAATTTTTTGTATATACTGTTTATGTTTAACTCAGTTATTATAAACATCTCCCATATAATTAAATATTGTTCAAAATCATTATTTTAATGGCTAAATATCTTATATACATTTACTATCACTTAAAAAATGACTCTACTGTTGAATTTTTCTCAAATTTTTACAGTAACACCCTTGATAATAACTAATACTTAGATAGTTGCTTACTCTGTGCCAGGCAAGGTTCCAAGTACTTTACATAAATTAATTTACCTAATTCTCTGTACAATGTAGGAGGTAGATACTATTATTATCTTCATTTGACAGATGAGAAAACTCAAAGTGTGGAGAAAATAACTTCCTAACTGCACAGAGGTGGTAACTGGTGGAACAGGATTCCAAGCCACATAAGTGGCTCTGGCATTCCTGCTTTTAACCTTTCTACTATATCAGTAGCCTCTCAGAGATCATGGGCTCATCACGGAACTTCAGCTTCATGTCTGATTGTTTCCTTAGGATATACTCAGAGAAGAATCACGAGTGCCAAGAGAGACCATGAGGCAAACTGCTCTCCATTGAAGGTATACCAGCCTACCCTTCGTGAGCTAAACACAACCTCACTCTTGCCAGCATTGTAACTGACTTTTTAAATCTAGTAATCTGCACTTCTTTGATGCCATGAAGTCAGTATTATTTTCATGTCTTGGCCATCTTAAGTTCCTGTTTTGTGAATATTCTATTCCTATTCCTTGTTATAAAGGTTTTCAGAGTTAAGACATGTTAAATAGAAATTATTTTGGAAGGTTCTGTGATTCAAAATATCAAAGAGTATTGCTGACTAGTTGTTTCAGTGGGACCCTACAGACAGGCAGAACCCTGGGGGAAATCACCGGAAACTAGGGATGAGGGCTCAGCTGTAAACACCTGCAACCACAGAACTGAGCAGACCTTCCCAGCAGACCCATGAATAGCCTGAAATTGAGATTTATCCCATACTGCAGGGGTGACACTTATCCAATGGCTAGAATATTTATCACTGCTACTCAGAGCACTCTCACTTCATGATATCAGCATGCCTGGGGAAACAAGTCAATAAATTCAATGTTTGTGTAGCGAGGCCAGAATCACAGAAGAAACATGAAAGCTCTTAAGGGATCTCAGACCTTTGGATTCATCTCACAAATTATTTCTATTCTATAAGGCATACCTGGTTAGTGATAAGAATAACCCACTAGTCAGAAATTCCACATGAACAGTGTTGAACAAACACTATTAAACTCTTATTTTCTAAATCCTCTGTTAATCAGCTATCAAAAGCAAATTACCTCATGCCAGGTACTTTGCAATAAAAACCAAGCACTTAAGGCCTCTGATTACTTGGGTTGGAATTAAAAGTATTTCATTCACCTACTTAGGAGTCACTTCTTAGATTGGACCACTCTCTCCAAATGGCTCATGTCATCTATCAGGGTCAATGTTCAATCCTTTCAATGTCTTAAGAGTACCCTTTTTGCCTGGCTAATCCCCAAACTCCAGTGACACCCTATTTGGAGGCTTTCGTCCCTTTATGTACCAACTACAGAAGAAAACTAGAGTGGGAGGAATAAAAGACACTCTCCCAGATGAGTGTCATAATAAATACCAAAGCTATTTTTAATGGGTGTTAACACAATGTTTGAGAATTAGTAAAGTAAGCAAGGGCTGCTTTAAAAAGTTGATCTGGACATGCACAGGTGGCCCTCCATATCCATGGGTTCTGCATCCATGGAATCAACCAACCAAGTGCATCACTTGAGGTCAGGAGTTCGAGACCAGTCAGGACAACATGGTGAAATCCTGTCTCTACTAAAAATACAAAAATTAGCCAGGCTTGGTGGCACATACCTGTAATCCCAGCTACTCTGGAGGCTGAGGCAGGAGAATCACTTGAACCTGGGAAGTGGAGGTTGCAGTGAGCCGAGATTACATCACTGCACTCCAGCCTGGGCGACAGAGTGGGAATCTGTCTCAAAAAAAAAAAAAAAATTGAGGAAAAAAATGAATGGTTGGATGGTTGTGTACTGAACATGTACAGACTTTTTTCCTTGTCATTATTCCCCAAACAGTGTACTATAACAACTATCTACTTAGTATTTACATTGAATTGGGGTATTTTAAGTCATATAGAGATGAGTTCAAATATACAGGAGGATGTGCATAGATTATATCCAAATACTATACCATTGGATATCAGAAACCTGAGCATCCTTAGATTTTGGTATCTGCAGGGGTCCTGGAACCCACTACCTGGAACCAATCCCCTGCACGATACTGAGGGACTACTGATTTATATTGAGGTGGGTGGGGGGTGGGGAGAGAAGAAGGATGAATGATTAAATAAAATCTTCAACCCTAATTTTTTTTTATCAATCTTACATGCTATCCAAAATCATGGTTAATTTTTTACCAGAACGTCAATTTTGCTAGTAGCAAAATATAGCTATTAGCTATAACATAGCTAATATAGAAAATTACTCCTAGTATGGAAGCCTACTTGGGACACTAAGTTTCATGCAGAAGGCTCCATGAGTTTACAGAATCTCAAGGAAGAAAGGCCCCTAGAGATGACACCAGAAATGAGAGTGGCTTGCTCATGAAAATTGGACAGCATGTTCCAAGCAGAGGGAACAGCATGGAGAAGAAAAATCATACTCTATCCACGTGCAGAAACTGGCAATTAGTTTTGTATTACTAAAACACAAATGTTTAACTTGGGGGTCCACAAACAAGGATATGTTGGCAAATGGTATTTGCTGTGCATGATGACAACTTGAACTTTCATCAGGTTTTTTATGGGTCTATGAAATGGGTCAAGGGGACTTAGCTAAGAATGACTGTGGGTAAAATGCATGACAAGGAGGGATACAGACAGGAGATGAATCTCTCAGGGTCCAAGAGACCAGGGTAAGATGTGCAGATTCCTTCCTGTGTATGATGGAAATGTTTTACAGGGTCTGAAGGGGGAAGTTTAGAAGGACAGCCTGCTGAAATGGGGACAGCTTGAAATGCAGAGCAAGGCAGAATGCAGACAACACTCCAAGGCATCTAAGGAGCCAAACAGAGGCAGTGGGAATAGAACAGAGTGAATCAGAGACAGGTTAGGAGAGAAAATGAGCAGCTTCCATGTTCATATTTGCTTGCATATGCATAAAATGTCACTAGAAGATTCTCAGTTAACTAACACTGGTTACCTGTGGATTAGTGAAATGGGTGACAGGGGAATGAGGATGAGAGGGAGTACTTTCACTCTAGAGCCATGCGTACCTTTTGAACCATGAGGATACTACCTATTCTAAAAATAAATTTAAAAAAAGACATGAAGGTTATCAGAATGAGATGCCTCTATGTAAAAACCTGCCTAGGTCCCCCTCCAAACCCCCTCTTATGTTTTAAGTTGCACTTTTGAATTCAGATCATTTTTATGCCAAAGGCTACCAGACTGTACCAATGACTGACCCTTGAGAAAGGCCAATCTTTCTGCTTACTGTGGTGATAAATATATCAAGCCTAACTTATCATGTCGATGTAAATAATGAGTTACCTGGGTAAATTCAACCAACTTAACAATTAGGTGTCAAAACATCAGTATGAAGAATTAACTCCAGGAGCTCAATCTTTTAAATTTCATGGTAAATAAAAGAGGCTCAGAGAAGACTCTGATTTATTAAAACAAGGATAAATCACATGAATCACTGACGCGAAGGTCAGATTGTCGATTCACTCTGGTGAGTGTTATGCTAAGTTAGGCTAGCCCTTCAGCTAAAAATGACTTTATTCTATTGAAACTCCTGTTCAACCTATATAGCGTTTAAGGCAGGTACTCCAAATATAATTGACTTAAATTGAATGGCTTTATTAATTTCAAATTAGTAATGAGTGAATATAAATGTAAGAGTTTAAAAAAAAGTTTTGTAAAACTATGTAACATTGTTTTCCATTTGGCTAAGTTCAAATGTACTAAATTTGCAATTCTTGTTCAAAACATTTAATGTAACCCATTAAACTTGTTCATCAAAAACATACTGTGTCCAGAGATCAATTGTGCAATGGCTTCATTTATTTGGTTTTATGTTTTATAATCTGCCTTGTTCCACAAAGGATATGAGTCATCTTAAAAGAATATAATTCAATCAAATGGAAAAGTATAATTAGATAAACATCAGAATCAAGAAAAACAAGGTAGAACAGAAGCTCAAGACCATAGGAAAAGATAAAATATTGATATTAGGTTATGAATTTTTATATGATTATTAAAATTGAGTTGCAAATTTGTTCATTTCCTAGTTGCCAAGTTAGAAAGGGAAATATAATCAATGATTTGATTCTCATTTTGCATGATGAAAAGAACACACACAAACACACACACACAAGTTGTTCAGGGTAAGTAAAGCTTTTCTTTGGCATTTAAAGTTAAATGGAATTTCTTGCATGAGTCTTCAAACAGAAACTATAGAAAGTACCATGATCATAACCACATTTCGAAAGTAACATAATAGTAAGTTTCCTCTGACTGTATTAATAAAATCCCTCAGTGTGGGCATATGGGGGGGTGTTAAGGATGCAAAACAAGGTACCAAAGTACAGCTTCTGAAGATCTGGCTAGACTTCTGGTCTAACAGCTAGTATTGGAAGGGAATAGGTTGACGTCATGGCCTTTGTTCAGCCAACCCCCCGTAAACATCATTTCTCTCAATTAAGCTTCTGATCAAATTTAGCAACAGAAAATTCATATTCTCTGGCATGTACAGAAACAAATGCATTTTGTATCACTGTTGAGGGGAGACCAGTAGACAACAATCACTCTTTATGTATTCACTATATCTGAAATTCAAGGTCATACAAATTTACTTCTGTATATTTTTTTCTGCAATCAACAATTCTGATTTTAGCACAAGTGAATTGAGTGGATCCTGTTGAATTTAAACAAACAAAAAATTATGGGCTGGGATTTTAAAAACAATAGTAAATGGCATTTAGCAAGAAAGGAATAGAGGTTTCTAAAATACAGCCTTTAGGAAGATAAAGAGAGGAAATCCAGGTCTTGGATTGCATTCTGGTGGTGCTTGTGGGGGCGGAGTGCTGGGGGATCAGGAGGTAGGACCCAAAAGTGAGTCAACCAATCCCAGAGGCACTGCGCATTTGGTTGTAGGACACACAGAAGAGAAAAATACCTCTTCAAATCTGAGATTAGAGCTTTTATTTGACTGTGATTCCAAAGCCAAAGTAATAGCAGTTAAACTGAGCAGTTAAAGGCTCAACTCCTACTTGTAAAATGAACAAATAAGTGCTTATAAGTAACAAGGTAAAGAGAGCTTACTGTAACCAAAGGGGAGGGCTTTTTTGAAAAGCTTAAAGTGTGCAAGGAAGAGCCAGGTAAATTAATTGCTCAATACCCTGGGTTACAAATTTAAGAAGTGTAAAATGTAATTATCTTTATTACAGGAGGGAATTTTGGCTTTGTTTTAATAAATCATAACAAATTAATTTTTTTCATAAGTTCCCTCCCACTGTTGGTTCCTGCAGTCTTATTAACTTTTATAGGAAAGTTTTATTTCCTTATCCATCTAGGAAGAAAATAAGTAGGTTGGAGAAGCAATAGTAATAAAGTATGGCCTACCATATTGTGTAAAAATAAGTCATTTGAGTAATATGAAGTGAAGATGGTAAAGATGCATTAAAATGTCAGAAAGAAAACCTGGGAGCATGCCCAGATAATATTGTTAAGCAGAGACTGAAAGAAGTTCACACTGACTCATGAAATTCATGTGATGGAAAAAAGATGAAATCAAAACAGAAAATGTCATAGTGTAAAAATAAAGCAAATAAAGTTTGATGCAGTTAACCTTGTTTTTCTTTTTTTTTTTCAAAATGATATAACATTTTAAAGCAGGAAGACACTGTATCTTGCAAACCCTCATTTCACAATCCCCTGGCTGTCAAATTTGGAAACTGATGTGTTTCTATACCGAGGAGAAAACAGTTTAAATTGTGTATCTATATCACACATTTTGAATCATTTAAGAATCACAGACACTTCTACATGTTTTATTTCTACTTTTGCCTGTGATAAAAGACATGATAATTAGATCAAACCTGAAAAACTCAACTCTAAAATAAGTGAATACATCACTTATTAACCAAATCATTGTTTCCTCTGGCGTAACTTACAATTTTCTTTAAAACACGACTTTTACTTTTTAAATTGTGTTTGAGAGCACAGTTGAAGTTGGCATGATTACCAGTGAGACTGGAAATTTTGCAAGCTTAGACATGAAATGAACTTAAGAGTTGGGGAGAATTACCTCATAACCTTGATGACATATTACAGAAAGATAGCATATGGTCCTAAAGATGTCAGAATTGAAATATAAATGTTAAAATAACTGAGTTTGCCTATTTATACAAAGAGGCAATTTTTGAAATTCAATTAAATTTCACCGGCTACAGAACAATTCTGTGATTCTAAATTGTGGTTTTTAGATGAAAGCTTGAAACACAGTTCATTCATTCAACAAATAACTAATGGGTACTTATTCTGCATAAGATGCAGAAGATTACAGGATTTAAAAAAAAACAGATTCAAGATTCTGTCCTATTTGAGCTTATACTGAGTCACTTCTCCAAATCTCTATACCTAAGTGACTATAAAATTGGAGCTTACAGTGATGCATTTTTCAAAACTTTAAGCCTTATTGCTGAATATAAAATAAAAAATGATAGTCTGGGAAGAGGGAATCTTGCCAAAAGCTCTGATGTATAAACTTTACACCTAGAGGAGAAAAAAAGCATTAATACATAACCAGTTTCTGAGAAATACAGAGCATAACATCGAGTTGGAAGTTAGGCTGGGCACAAGGCTGCCTCTGCTGGCTGACCCGGTACATCTTTCCAGCAGAATCTCAACTCCCGACACCTGTATCAAAGTTGCCACTCTTAAAACACATCCCTTCACGTAAGCAGAGGCTCCTAAATACTCAGCACAACAATATCCCAGCCTCATCGATCTCCAGAATAATCTGACTTCTAGAAGGACCTTCTCTAAATTGGCCCTAACGTGTTGACGGTAAGGGTTTGCCCCATCGATTTTATATACCAACTAGCTAGCTCTGAAATACACAAAAATCCACAGCGACTTCTACATGCCACTAATAACCCTTTGCCTGTCTACATGTTTTGGCTAGAAAGATGGGAAGAACGCATCTGCTAATCCAGCCGGAAAAACACAGTGACATATTTCCACCTGAGCTGCTGAAAATCCAACGGTCTTCTCCCCAAATAAGCCCCATGCCAACCTGTCCTCCCCACTCTCGTACTGGCGCGCACCCCCACGAGCCCCCCAAGGGGTGGGCGGGGAAGGGTCAATCTCTCCTTCGCCCCCGCTCGGCCTCCCGAGCTCAAGCAGAGGTTTTCAGGTTCACAGGGGGCTACGCCCAGCGCCATTAGCACACCTCCGAGCGCTCCACCGAGCCCCCGGCGGGAGGCAAGTTTGGCCGGTCCTGGACCCTGCTCGCGGCCTCTCGGCGGCAGCATCAGCGGCGGGCGGCGGCGAGGGCTGGGCCCCGCCTCACCACCTACCTACAGGGCGGGGGCGCCGGCTCCTGGGGTCCGGGAGAAGGGGATCGGTCGCATGCATTTCTGGGAGCGGTGGCCTCTGCTGCTGGGCGCCGGGGAGCGCATCCTCTCGGCGGGTGGAAGGAGGGGTCAGGGGAGGACCGTACGCCGAGGAGGAGCAAGAGGAGGAGGCGGGAGCTCCGAGGCGCGCGCCCGCGGGGCCCCGCGTCCGGATCGGGTGTGCGCAGCCGCCGCAGTCGGGGTGTCTTAGGCCTCTTCCCACGCGCGACGCCTCGCCAGCCCCGCAGCTGCGCCCCCCGTCAGGGCATGGGCCGCTACGGGGTCCCGGGCCCGGCTGAAGGCGGGCAGTCACGGGTGGCGCGACGCTGTGCAGACGCCCGCCTCTAGCTCCTCCCGGCCAGTGGCGCGCGCTGCGCCTCACAGCGGTTGCGGGGGCCTGGGAGCTCGCGCCGGGCTCTGCCGCTCGGACTGCAGTTGCGGCATCCTCCCCGCCCCCCGCGACCTCCGAGCTGGGAGGCTGGGCACCCCGGCTACCCGCGGCTGCTGCAGCCTCCGCTGCCGCGATCCCGGCGGCTCCGCCCCGGAGAGCTGCGCGTGCGGCCTCCGCAGGCCTCGGCCCTTTGTGGCGCCTCCCGAGTGCGGGCGCCTTGCTGCCCCAGCGAACCGCCGCCTGGCAGCGGCACCTAGGAGGGTCCTCTTACCTCACCCCGGGCCGCTTCCCCCTTACAGTTGGCCCGCCTGGCCCCTACTCTTCGTGGGAAGTAAGGCTTTGACAGCAGAGCAGGAGTTAGAGCTTTTCCCCAGCTTTAAAGCCCTTTGACTTTCCTTCCAGCTCAGGACCGATGGCCACAATAAATTCATCCTGTGTCCCTTCTGGCGTTGCGTTTAACAGAGGGGCCCACCATCTCCTTCCCCCTCCCGTTCCCGGTACACCATCCTGGATGCTGCCAAATTGCAGTCATTACAGCAATAAGAACATAGCAGTTGGGCCCTCCAGCCGACTCTTGGCAGAGACTCGAGAGAACCTTGGAGGGGGAAGGTTTGCATCAGCTGCGGGGCCTGTGCCTGTGAGCTCCCCATCCCCAGTTGGGTGCTGTTCCCTCTGCGGTCCCATGACCAGCACTGCAACATGACTAGGAGGATCTGGCCGTGGAGTTCATTCACTCTTATACGCAGAAAAATATCCCAAGGAAGGGCCTGCAACTACTCTGTTAACAGTGTGTTACAGGCCTTCCACACAGATAAACTAGATAGCAGCCTCCTCTGGGTTGTTGACGCAGCTTAAGCTGTAATAACCTCTCTGGAAGGCGGAGCAAAGCGTTAACAGTGGTGGCTTTGGCATTTCAGCAGCAGGTGGTCATGTTATACTGTCTTGCAAATGTGGAATAATTGCCCAGTTTTGCACTAAGCACGTATTAATTTAGACGTCAGGTTTATATCTTTGGGATTTGAATGTAAAGATGTTGGATTTTTTTTTTCTGTAGCCATTGTGTTATTTGTAAATTGTTTAGCATTTAGTAAGGGAAAATTAGGTTCCTAAAGTATAAAGAGCTGATTGCATTGTATCAAAGGAACATGGTTTGAGATCTCCAGGGAAGCTGAGCTGCTCTCACAGTTCTTTGATGAGTGCTTTTATGATTTTGCAATCTAAGGTTATTGAAAATCAGGCAAAAGAAAAACATGTTCCCTGGCAAGGACAAATTGTGACTAAATAGCTAAGATTTTTTGAGATAGTTCTTTTAAGCAAATTGAAGGTTGGGTGTGAGGCCCTGTGGGAGCTGCACTGCGCTTGTCCAGGAAGCACCCAGTGGGGTGTGACTTGGCTGCTTCCTGACACTGGTTGATCTAGAGCCCCACTTTATTTTCAAAAGATAACTATTATTATTTATGATATTTTCCCAAACTTAGAATTACTTGATTATAGGAATATGTATGTACATATCTGATGTATAAGTAACACGTTGAAGTCACTTAGGAGAATTTGGCAGTTGCTTACTCTTTAACAAAATTTTTAAGTTTTGAATGTAGTTTCTGAAGGAAGTGTCCATTGACTTACAAGTTTTCCCTGTTTCTCATCCTTTTACTATCAAGAGGCCCCTGTTGTTTTTCTCTCTATGGACTCCATGTTTTGTAAATAAATTAAGCAGTGATGTTTTTATTAGACAAAAACCTATAACTGAGTATGAATTTTTAAAGTTGTGACCATCAATTATAAAACGTCAGTCTTCTGGCCAGGCGCAGTGGCTCACGCTTGTAATCCCAGCACTTTGGGAGGCCGAGGCGGGCGGATCACGAGGTCAAGAGATCGAGACCATCCTGGCCAACATGGTGAAACCGCATCTCTACTAAAAATACAAAAAAAAAAAAAAAAATTAGCTGGGTGTGGTGGGTCCTGTAGTCCCAGCTACTTGGGAGGCTGAGGCAGGAGATTCACTAGAAACCGGGATGCAGAGGTTGCAGCGAGCGGAGATTGCACCACTGCACTCCAGCCTGGTGACAGAGCGAAACTCCATCTCAAAAAAAAAAAAAAGGTCTTCCAAAGATATTGCAAGGAATGTAAGAATCCATCTTTATGAACTCCTCTAGGACTGCATGCTGTATCATATGCTTCTTATAACATTTTTATTATACTGAAAGTCCTGATATAATAAAGATTTCTGCTCCCCAGCTAAGGGAGTACAAACTCCTCCTAAAGATTCTTCACTTGTTCCTTTCCATTAACTGATTTACCTAAGCCTTGGCTTTATAGATAAATCGGAAGAAATGAAACTCTTCCTTGCATGTGTTGTCCAGTACTGTATGCCTTAGCTACTTGTAGCCGTTTAAATTTAAATTATGGCTAGACTGTGCTTTTGGATAGCACAAACTAGAACATTTTCATTATTGCAGAAAATCCTTTTGAACAGTGCTGCCCTAAATAGAAGGTCAAATTTTAATTGGGAGATAAGATATAATACATGAAATAATTTGGGAAATCTTAGTATACTACAGATCAAACCTCAGTAGAAAGTGTACTTCTTAAGAACATGGTAATCTTTAAGAATTCAGGCTCTGGCTTCAGACTACAGCTCCACCACGTGCTGACCTTGGGTAAACTACTTAACCTCAGTTGCTTTATCCGTAAAGGATATGCTTTATCCATAAAGAATGGTAACAGTACCAACTTTATAGGGTGGATATAGGAATTAAAGGAGATAATCCCAAGTGGTTCTTAAAGTCTAGAATGTGGCCATCAATCAAAGGTATTACTAGAATAATATACTTTATTATGATAAAGTTTTTAAAAATGGTATCCCTAACACTTTTCACTGTTCTTGGCTGCGGAAGTTACTTGGTAAATGCTGAATTAATGAAAAAATATAATACCACACTGATTTTATGGCTGTGAGGGCCACCTTTAAATATGAAAACTGGCCTTTCTCTGTTGAAGGGTATGGGCCATTGGAGGATAATTTAGGTGGATTTGTCATTTAACTTTTGCAGGAATAAACAACCTTTGTATGATGAGACTTTGGAGTAGATAAGAGAAGCAGAGATCCCTTCCTCTCTTAAAGGAAGAAGAGAGGGATCACTTCACTCCGCCATTTGTTTGTTTCGCTGAGCCTGTGGGAGGCAGCTGGATCTCTGGGTTCAGGCAACAGGATTTCTCCCAAGTGATTTTCTAGAGGGCTAAGGTAGGCGGGCTTAGAGAAACATTGCCAAACAGTGGCAATCCTGCAAATGTGTTCGGTATTTTTCTTACCTATCTATCTAAAGACAATTCTTGTAATGAAGAAGCATGATTAGTATTTCTGTTTTTGAATACAACACTAGTAATGTCTCATGAAACTAGAATTCTAAAAATATTGGCAAATATTGCTGTAACATTGCCCAAATGAAAGGCTCCTGAGTCTCTGGTTGATCTAGAGCTCTACTGTATTTTCTTTTCTGTTTTTTTTTTTTTTTCTTCCAGACAGGGTCTCATTAGGTCACCCAGGCTAGAGTGCAACCTCCAACTCCCAGCTCCATTGATCTTCCCACCTCAGCCTCCCAAGTAGCTGGGACTACAGTCATGTACCACCACACCCGGCTAATTTTTGTATTTTTTGTAGAGATGGAGTTTCGCCATGTTGCCCAGGCTGGTCCCAAACTCCTAGGCTCAAGCAATCCATCTGCCTCAGTCTGCCAAAGTGCTGGGACTACAGACATGAGCCCCTGCGCCTGGCCTATTTTCACACCTGTAATCCCAGCACTTTGGGAGGCCGAGGAGGGTGGATCACTTGAGGTCAGGAGTTTGAGACAAGCCTGGCCAACACGATGAAACTCTGTCTCTACTAAAAATACAAAACTTAGCTGGGTATGGTGGCACATGCCTGTATCCCACCTACTTGGGAGGCTGAGGCAGGAGAATCACTTGAACCCGAGAGGGAGAGGTTGCGCTGCGCTCAGATCGCGCTTATGCACTCCAGCCTGGGCGACGGAGCCGGACTTCATCTCAAAAAAAAAAAAAAAAAAAAAGACAATGATTATTGTGTATGATATTTTGTCCCAAATTTAGAATTACTTGATTATAGGAATGTATATGTACATATGTGATGTATAAATAACAGGATGAAGTCACTTAGGAGAATTTGGGAGTTGCTTACTCTTTAACAAAATTTGTAAGTTTTGAGTGTAGTTTCAAAACTGGTTAAGTAATGACCTTGGAGCTATTGAAAATATTGAAATGTCTTTGGAAGGTCTCTCAAAAGCTGTGGGAGAGGAGTTTTATGCATTAAGTGATGAGCTTAGGCTACTAGCACCAAGAAAATTCACTCTTTAGTGAACCTATCCTTCTTTCTCTAGCGCAGAGAGAAACACCTCTTTTCATACACTTACTTGACTCAGGCCGGTTGGGACACAGGAGGCAAATACTGATGATCATGTGTGGAGGGATACGAGTAGCCATCCTGCAACTAAAGAGGCAGAAGAGAGTTTATTATTTAATAGTATTTAAGGCAGTGGCTCATTTTCACAAACTGGGGTCATTTGTCTACTGGTTAATTATGATAATATCTTGAGTTTTGAGAAAAATGTAAGTGTCCTTTTGTGGATAGACCTATGTTCAGTGTTTCATTTGGCTTGTTATAAATCTGAAGAGGAGTTAGAAATCACCTTTTTGTGGCGTCTTTGTGGCGTCTACCAGAGTGTACTGAGAAAGAAATATTGCTGTATATAGACATGGATTGTTGTCCGCATAGCTGTCATCATGTCATACTTATGGCTGATTATTTAGAGTTAGCCCAATAAATTTTTCCTTTTCTTTTATTCACAGCTAATTTAAAAATATCTGCTTTTGAATAATTTCCTGTTGTCTTATTTCTTCTACGAATAGTCTGTTCAGTAGCTTGAGAATTCATTACATAGTTTTTACACTTTCTGAAAAACATATTCAAATAAGCTGCTACAACATTGGTGCTAAAATATAATTTAAAATTTTGAAATGAATCCCTAAAAAAGTGACATTATGTGGTGGTGGTTTGTATTACTGGGTAAAAGAAATTTACAGTGATTATGCTAATAGGGGTTTTTTTCAAGGGAAATAATTACAGATTAATAAATAGTTGTAAAAAATGTACAGGGAAGTCCTGTGTTTCCTCCTAGTTTTCTCCCCATGATTAATGTCTTACAAAATTACATTACAATATCAAAACTAGGAAATTGACATTGGTACAATCTTGAGAGCTTATTCAGATCTCACCAGTTTTTTTTCTTGAGACAGAGTCTCACTCTGTTGCCGAGGCTGGAGCGCAGTGGCACCGTGTTAGCTCACTGCAACCGCCATCTCCTGGGTTTGAGCAATTCTCCTGCCTTAGCTTCCCGAGTAGCTGCGATTACAGGCGCCCACCACCACACCCGGCTAGTTTTTATATTTTTAGTAGAGACGGGATTTCACCATGTTGGCCAGGCTGGTCTCGAACTCCTGACCTCAGGCGATCCACCTGCCTCGGCCTCCCAAAGTGCTGGGATTACAGGCGTGAGCCACCGCATCCAGCCAGGTTTCACCAGTTTTATGTACATTCATGCATGTTTGTGTGTGTGTGTGTGTGTGTGTGTGTGTGTGTTTATATGCAACATTATCATATCTTGTATCACCACCACAATAAAATACAGAGCTATCACCATGAGGCTCCCATAAGCTACTCCTTTAGAATCATACTGATCTTCCTCTTCACCACATCCCTATTTCTGGCAACCACTAATCTCCCATCTCTATAATTTCAAGAATGCTATATAAATTGAATCATATAGTACGTAACCTTTTAGATTGGCTTTTTTCCTCATTCAGTATAATTCCCTTGAGATCTATCCAAGTTATCACGTGTATCAATAGTTCCTTCCCTTTTCAGATAATATTCCAAGGCATATCGATGTACCACAGTTTGTTTAACCATTCACCCATTGAAGGGCATTTCAATTGTCTCCAGTTTTTGGCTATTATGAATAAAGCTACTGCTATGAACATTCATTTGCAGGTTTTATGTGAACATAAGTTTTCATTTTTCTGGGATAAATGCCCAAGAGTACATTTGCTGAGTCATATGGTAAGTGCATATTTAGTTTTTTAAGAAACTGCCAAACTATTTTCTAGAGTGGCTATACCATTTTATATTCCATCAGCATGTATATGTGATAAAAGATGGATTTTTAATCTATTAAATAAACTTATTATGATGATACATTTCTCTTATTATACCATAATTGCTTGGTTACTTGAACTCTACCAGACTAAGTTTTAAGGTCAGGGATCCTGTTTTGTTCAGTGTGGTGTCCTTGGTGTCCAACATAGTACCTGACATATATTAGATTCAATAAATGTTTATCAAATGAATGAATAGCTTAATAAACAAAAGAAGGACAGCTGACTCAGGTTGAGATCAAATTGAAAAACTGTAAATAAATTATAATGATAGTTGAATATGAATTGGATGCCATGATTTTTCTTCTAACATTTTCAAATCAGAAATTGGCACTCTATAAGATGAATCACTTGTGGGCAAGTTAATAAAAATTAAATGTTAAATTATGTTGTTCCAAGGTTATTTTTGGCTGTACTTTGGTAACAGCAGAAGATTGTAAACAATCTAAATGCCCAATGATATGGAACTGCTTTAGTAAGATATCTATACAGTGGAATACCTACCCTGCAGTTGTCAAAAACAATGAGGAAACTCCATTTAAATAATGAACACCCTCTAAAAGATATTAATTAAAAAATACAGAAAATCATGTAGAGTATGCTACTCTTTGTGTAAAAAATTTAAAAAGGAAATTAAAGAAAAATAGATATATGCATGAAGATGTTAATTCTTCCTGTTATAAAGTACAGGCTGTACCTGGGCCATGTTGTGCTTGAAAGTAAAGAAGTGCTCAAAAATGTATAGGGACATTCCAAAAGAACACAGGAGCCAGTTTGAATAGACTCCCTCTGGCTGAATTTGGGACGATTTAGGTTTTAAATGAATAATGACAGCAACAGAATATAACACATTGAATAAAAACTCACTAAAACAGAAAAAAGAATATGAGTCCAGGCTGATATTTAAAAATTAAATAAAGAATACAAAGAGGGAGGAGAGGAGGGAAAGTTCTTTTCAGAAGAATGATAAAATATCACCATTTTGCCATCACTATAGCAATAATTGATTCAGACAAGGATCATCAGTGAATGCTAAACCCATTGGCTAAAAGTTTGCTGAGGAACAGAATGGTCTACAGTCTCAAAGAATCACTTCCACCATTGATATTTGCTTTTTCCAACATTTGCCAATTAATTACAGTTATAAAAGGTAGCTTTATGATGGAGAAATATAGCATACACCTTAATCAAATGACGGTACGTAGCCACTAAATTAGGGACTTAAAGCCATACAAATTTATTATCTTACAGTTCTGTAGTTCAGAAGTACAACGTAAGTCTCAGTGGGCTAAAGTCAAGATGTTGGCAGAGCTGCTTTTTGTCTGGAAGCCTATGGGAGAAGAGGAACCGCCTGCATTCCTTGGCTTGTGGTTCCCCTTCCTCCCTTTTCAAAGGCAGCAATGGCCAGATGAGTCTTTTGCACATCACATCACTCTGACCTGACTCCTCTGCCCCCCGCCTCTTTCACTCATAAGAACGCTTGTGATGACTGGGGCCCATCCAGGTAATCTAGGATAATCTCCATCTCAAAATCTTAATCACATTTGCAAAGTTCCTTTTGCCATGTAAGGTGACATGTCAACATGTTCTGGGGATTAGGACAGTGACATCTCTGGTGTTGTAGGGTGAAGTGGACATTTCTGCCTACCACACTTACCCATTACAGGTAATGTGATACACTGGAATTATGTGCATTCTGATATAATGCACATATCACTTAGGATAGTTGTCCTGCCAGAAGAAATATTTAAATTGACGAACTTTCTGAAACTATTGTCCTCCACTATTCAAAAAGGTCAATGATGTAAAAGAAAAAAGGCTGGGGAAACTGTTCCAGAGTAAAGGAAGGAGACTACAGATACGTGACAACTAAATGCAAGGTATAATCCAAGAGTGTAGCCTAGATTAAAAGAAAAACTATAAATGAGATTATTAGGACAACTAGAAAATTTGATTATTGACCATATAATAAATGACAATGTGGAATTAAATTTCTTGAGTTGATAATTATATTGATTGCTCTTAGTAGATGCATAATACGGTGTTTAGTATGTATGATAAAGCATCATGCTGTCTGCAGCTAACCCCAAATGGTTCCAAAAAAAATAGAGAAAGCATATATGGAAAATATTAATAATTGATGAATCTAGAACAGTACTGTAAGATAGAAATATAATGTAAGGACATGTATAATTTTAAATATCCTAGTAGCTACATTAAAAAAGTAAAAAGAAAGCAAAATTAAGTTTAATATTTTATTTAACCCAATATATCCAATTATTCTCATTTAAAAATGTAATTAAAGTAAAAAGTATTAACACGATATTTTACATTTCTTTTTTTTAAATACTAAGGCTTAAACATACAGTGTGGATCCTGCATTTACAGAACATCTATTCATACTGGCTACATTTTAGTGCCTAATAGCCACAAATTGCTGGAGCTCTAAATTGGAAGGCAAAGGTATGGATGAAGGGTATATGTGTGTTCAATGTTCTATAGTTGCAACTTTCTGTTGCTTTGACATGTTTCGAAACCAAAAAGTTGGAGGAAAATGAACCAGATATGTGTTGTATGTGCATAGATTATTTCTGGGAGATACAGAAGAAGCTGGTAACACTGGTTACTTCTGGGAAGAAGAAAGGAGTGAGTAGGAGGATGGTTTTCACCATACCCTTTTGTACTTTGTGTAAAATATTGTGACTAAACCTATACAAATTTAAACTAATATCTGCTTAATCTTTTTATTCAAAACCAGATGGTCTAATGCTGAGGTCTAGCAACCCCTTAAGTAAGAGTTAAGAGCTCCACCTACTGAACTTGATCTAAGATTCCTTGGGATAGGAAAAAAGGGTCCCACTTAAAATACAATAAAGTGTAGAAATTTCTTCTGATGATTTTTCTATCTTATTATCTTAATAACCCCTTTAAATCTTCCTGTTCTCATATTATTACATATTTTCAGATAAAGTATATCAATGATTTAAACTCCATCTCTGAGCTGCTGAAAAAAAAGAAACGAGATTCAAGCACAGGCTCACCTAATTTTGTGGTAATGGATGATGACTGCAAGTCACAGTGGCGGCGGATGTTGTGAGCAAGTTCATTACAAATTTATGTCTTACTTAAGCTTCCTTCCATCTTGCAGCGGAGCGAAGTCTCTTGGGTCAGATTTCTTCAACTATAACGGCTGACATTTTCAAAGTTGAGTTATATCTTACTGCCCTCTGCATCTACTTTATGAGGGTTTCTGAATTAAGGCTGGGCTGTAAGGTGTCTTGACTCCTTTGGTAATTGCATCATTTCCTGGCCGTGTCTAGTATATAACGCGGAGAAGTGAAGCAATTGCCCAGATAATAACACAGTTTGGAAAGTAGGAGGATAACAAACACAGTGGGTTTGAAGGACTTGCTTGGAGCCTTGGGCAGATGTCCTGATCCTTCACTAGGCATACCACCCACAGCTCTCTCAGCCTCGTTAGCCTGCGTGTGCCAAATAAATAAAATAGAACCGCGTGCTATGAGGCTACGTGACCCTTCATCACCCATATTTGTTGAGCACGCGCTCTGCACCCAGGACAGCGCGTCGCTCCGGCTCTTCGCCGAGAAACGCTCTCAGCTGGTGGCAATCTATCGTTAGATTTAGTAAAATGTTTAGAGGGACTTAACATCCGCGTGACAGAGAACGAAGAAAGACGGAGAGGGACAGAACTTAGATTTGGAAAGAGCAGCTAAAATGGTTAATAAAATAATAAAGCAAATTACAAGGCTCTGGACAGTACGCGTCCAGACAACACTTGTCTTGGTAAAGAGATTTACATGTTACGTAAAGAATGAGAATTTCCAGGATATATTTTCCAGCATGGCAATAGGAAGAGGATTAGATTTGGAGGGTATAGGTTTTTTCCTTAAGGGGCCATCCCGGCGCTTCCGAGAATTTGCTTCAATTTCAGGAAATAGATTCAGGGACCAGGACTCAGAACAAGAACAAAGTGGGTGTGGCTTAGACGCAATACTCTATCCCCTACTGGTTAGAGGAATTAAGTGCAGATTTTTAACACAACAAATATATTTAGGAAGAAGCGTTGTGCAAGTTCCCTGGTGGTCTAGTGGTTAGGATTCGGCGCTCTCACCGCCGCGGCCCGGGTTCGATTCCCGGTCAGGGAAGTCTTGTTTTTCTTGACATTCGTATCCTTCATGCAATTTAGAAGTCAAGAGTTTTGTGTAGTTTTCACTTGCTGGTTGGGTTTTTTTTTCATAGTTTTTTTTTTTCTTTATAGTTTTTTTTTTCTTTTTAAATCATAAGTTTTATGTACTTTTCATTCGCTTGTTGGGGTTTTTTAATCATTAAAAATTGACCGTTTTAAAAGTTTATTTAATCTAAGGCTTAAAATACGCCATCTCTATTTACAGGTAATGTAATTTATAATCAATCAAATAACATAAAGTTCTGTGATTCTAAAATTGTATTTTTCAGTTTTTAAAAATAATTTGGATGTGTTTACAAGCAGTCAGTTAAGCCTTTGTTTAACCTTGATTTTGTTTGACTAATAAAAGAGGAAGATAGTTTTATGAGGAATAATACTTATTCAGTATCATGCTTAGAGTTAATTTTTAGTTTTTCTGTACATTAAGATTATGTACTTTGGAGATTATTTGCCTATATTGGAGCTATTCCTACTCTCATCTCTATAAATATGAGATCTTTTCTGAGATGTATGGTTGGACATAGCTAGTTTATTGTGTTTTAATAACCCATTTAGTTAATGTTTTTTTGGCTAACTTTAAATTTTCTCTAAGAGATTTACACAAATATGGTAAATGTGTTACATCCAGAGTATCAATTCCCACTATATAAACCATATAGGCCCCTCAAAAATGCACCTACTTATCATTAGTAATTCCCACATTCAGGGTAAAGTAGAATTCTGGGAGTTCCTCAAAGGAAAATATGGCAATGTTGGAGTCAAAAAAAGAAAAATAGTGTTATATAGACATTAAGGGTTTTTTTGATCCTGAAAGTTCTAAACCATCCTAACCTTTGCCACTTACTGAGCTGTTGGATTTTTTTTTTTTTTTTTTTAATTTGAGACGGAGTCTCTCTCTGTCGCCCAGGCTGGAGTGCAGTGGCGCGATCTTGGCTCACTGCAAGCTCCGCCTCCCGGGTTCATGCCATTCTCATGCCTCAGCCTCCCGAGTAGCTGGGACTACAGGCGCCCGCCACCAGGCCCGGCTATTTTTTTTTTGTATTTTTTGTAGAGACGGGGCTTCACCGTGTTAGCCAGGATGATCTCGATCTCCTGACCTCGTGATCCTCCTGTCTTGGCCTCCCAAAGTGCTGGGATTACAGGCGTGAGCCACCGCGCCCGGCCCCGCCTTTTTTTTTTAAGGAGAAATTTCATCATAGCATAGAAACAGACTGAAAGCTTGATTGCAACTAAAATGAGTTTGTTTTGCTCTCCTTTTAGCTGTGCTGAGACTGATTGGGAAGAGGAGAATGCTGAGTACTTAATGTTCCAGGAAGTCCATTGTGATAGGTGCCATGGGGTTAAGAAAAGATGTGATTTTTGGTGCTTAAGAAGCTTTCACTTCATTGGATAATTAAGACAAAAATATGTTGCCACCATTAACAAAAATAATTGGCACCATTCATTGATTATTTGCTGCATATCAAGTACTTCAAATAATCACGATATATGGTAAAAGAAGGGAGAAGGAAGTGAGCACTAGAATCAAAATAGAGCTTGAAAACTGTTTTTCAAGCTGGACCTAAAGGCTAGAAGTATCCGGAATGCCTGAGAAAAGGAGAATGGACATTGCTTCTAAGGGATCCAGGATGACCATGGTCTAGTATTTGCAACGAAAAGGACTAACTGTGTCAGACTGGCTGTAGTAGGGAACCTGCGCTGGGGAACAGTGGAGATGAGGGCAGATAGGTGACTGCAGCTAGATTATGGAAGACCTTAAGACAAGTCAAGAAATTACGAAGGGAACCCAAGAGGACTCGATGTCTGATAGGATATAAAGGGTTAAGAATAGGGAGGAATCAGTTATGAATCCTTGATTTGTTCTGTGTGGCTAGTAAAACTGGGGTGGCATTAAAAGTAATAGGAAGGTTGAGATGGAGAAACTGATGAAGAAGAGAAGGTAAGTTCAGTTTGAGCCCCACAGAGGCAGCACAACTAAATGTGGTTGGAAATACAGAATGGGAATTTTGGTGATAATTAGGGTAGAAGGGAGAGATTTTGGAGCCATTAACTTAAAAGTTTGAGAAGATTTGAGCTCTTCCCAAAGAAAAAACCTATAAAAAGGAGAGAGGACCAAGGAAAAAACCCAGGAGAGTATACATTAAAGAAGAAGGGGAAGAGGTAGAAAATGGTGAAAGAGTAGTCAGAGAGGGGCCGGGCGCGGTGGCTCACGCCTGTAATCCCAGCACTTTGGGAGGCCGAAACGGGAGGATCATGAGGTCAGGAGATCGAGACCATCCTGGCTAACACGGTGAAACCCCGTCTCTACTAAAAAAAATACATAGCCCTTGTGGTGGTGGGCGCCTGTAGTCCCAGCTACTTGGGAGGCTGAGGCAGGATAATGGCGTGAACGTGGGAGGCGGAGCTTGCAGTGAGCCAAGAAGATCGCACCACTGACCTCCAGCCTGGGCGACAGAGAGACTCTGTCTCAAAAAAAAAAAAAAAAAAAAAAAAAAGGAAGAGTAGTCAGAGAGGTAGTAATAAAAGGATAAGAGAGCTTCAAGAAGGAAGTAGCGGTGAAGAAAAGAGCATACTGTAAAGAGATCAAGGAGAAAACGGAGGAGATTAAGCACAGTCAGATGGTAAGACAGTGACTGTTGGGTACAGAACAGACTGGTGGAGCCCATACCACAGTAAGGAAGTCTATCCAGGAGATCATTGCCAGAAACATGATTCAAGGTGTTGAGGGACTAATGTGAGAGACAACAACCTTATTTATGACCTACACGCTGCAGAAGGGCGAATATAGCGAAGAAAAAGAGATCTTATGAAAATAAGATCTGTTATTCCAGAGCCAGAGACTGTGAATTAACCCTGACTGTGCCAATATCAGCTGCATTATCTGGGTTAAGTGACCCAGCTCTCTGAGCCTCTGGATCCTAAGGAGTACAAGAGAGACACTAACTTGCATGCATCCGTGCATACTTCACAGAGTTATTGTCATTCATTCATCAATTTAGCAAACACTTATGTAATTCTTACTCCATGCCAGTCATCTTTGCATGCACAGGTATAGAAAAGTGAACAAGACTGTTTCTATGACAGTTGAATAGGAATCAAAGGAGAAAATCATTAAGGTTTTGATCATGGCCTATTAATTTAGAAAGGGTGCTGTTTGAGACGGGGGTGGGGGTGGGCAATAGAGGAAGCCATGTTGCATTTAGATTTGGACTGAAGAGAGGTCACCCAAGTGAAGCTGTCTTGTACATGGGTTGATATGTTTGACTAATGATGATAGATTTCAAGTAGATCCAGCTCTGCAGTGAGAACTGAAGCCTCAATAGTGGAAATGATTGCCAAGAGATTGGTGCAGAAAAAAAAAAACAAAAAAAAAAAACAAGGGGGCCAAGGTGTGGGGAAATGAAAGAGAGATCAGATTGTTGCTGTGTCTGTGTAGAAAGAAGTAGACATAGGAGACTCCATTTTGTTCGTACTAAGAAAAATTCTTCTGCCTTGGGATGCTGTTAATCTATAACCTTACCCCCAACCCCGTGCTCTCTGAAACATGTGCTGTGTCAACTCACGGTTAAATGGATTAAGGGCTGTGCAAGATGTGCTTTGTTAAACACATGCTTGAAGGCAGCATGCTCGTTAAGAGTCATCCCCACTCCCTAATCTCAAGTACCCAGGGACACAAACACTGTGGAAGGCCGCAGGGACCTCTGCCTAGGAAAGCCAGGTATTGTCCAAGGTTTCTCCCCATGTGATAGTCTGAAATATGGCCTCGTGGGAAGGGAAAGACCTGACCGTCCCCCAGCCCGACACCGGTAAAGGGTCTGTGCTGAGGAGGATTAGTATAAGAGGAAGGCATGCCTCTTTGCAGTTGAGACAAGAGGAAGGCATCTCTCTCGTGCCTGTCCCTGGGCAATGGAATGTCTCATCGTATAAAACCCGATTGTATGTTCCATCTACTGAGATAGGGGAAAACCGCCTTAGGGCTGGAGGTGGGACATGCGGGCAACAATACTGCTCTGTAAGGCATTGAGATGTTTATGTGTATGCATATCTAAAGCACAGCACTTAATTCTTTACCTTGTCTATGATGCAGAGAGCTTTGTTCACGTGTTTATCTGCTGACCTTCTCTCCACTATTATCCCATGACCCTGCCACATCCCCCTCTCTGAGAAACACCCAAGAATGATCAATAAATACTAAGGGAACTCAGAGGCTGGCGGGATCCTCCGTATGCTGAACGCTGGTCCCCTGGGCCCCCTTATTTCTTTCTCTATACTTTGTCTCTGTGTCTTTTTCTTTTCCAAGTCTCTCATTCCACCTAACGAGAAACACCCACAGGTGTGGAGGGGCAACCCACCCCTTCACCAAGGTTTGCAGGCTTGACTTTGGCTGGAGGAGGACATAGGAGGAAAGTCTGAAGGATGAGAGTCAGGAAAACTCAGGTCAATAAAGACAAAAGCAAATACAGTCTGGAGATTGCTGTGTAGTCATTAATAGAATCCAGCATATGTCATTTATTTGGTTAATTTTTAATGGAGTTTTTTTTTAAGGTTTTAGTTAATATCTTCCTTGTTGTGTTTTACTTATTCTATTGTTATTTTTAGTCAACAATTGATATTGTTATTTAGACACAGCAATAGATTACATCACCTACACACAGCTCAAAGTTGCTGCTTTGTAGAGCCAGAAAATTGTGCTCTTCTTATTCTGTGCTTGTGAAGAAGGGGAAAATGCTGAAGGATTATTTGCAGAAATATTCCACATGTGAACAGGTGCTTCAAAGGTAAAGGAACATGAATTATTTAACCTGCACAAAAGAAAGCAAAGGTTATTTGCTGTATATCAAAAATATTTTTCCTGGACTTGTCCAATTATTTTGTTTTAAATACAAAATTGTCATTCATCTAGAGTTGGACTACTACAGTGAACGGTGATTTGGGCTGAGGCATACTGAGAATTGTAAGGATGCCTGAGAGTAACCAGGAGTGAGGAAGGAGGAAAGGAAGGACTTTTACCCGCATCTAGTACAGTGTTTTACATATGATTAGTATTGAATGAACAAAAGAAATTATCAATTAAACCAAGAAGTAGACTTCTAGGACTTCACTTGAAAACAATTATATGCAGGCTGAGCCCATCATAATGCTATTCTTATATGAATGACAGCGCTACATTTCTGCTGAGAGAAGAGCAAGTGGAAATAGAGTTAAACTGAGTTATTGTGAATAATGTCTGCCTTTTATGGAGTTATTTTAGATACTGAACACTGAATTGGGTCCTTTGTCTACACCAATCAAGTAAATCTTTATAATAATTATTCTTGCATTGTGTGGCTTAGAAAACATAGATTCAGAAAGTTTATGTAAACCTATCTAAAGTCACACAAGTATGTGGAAGAATCAGAATTCCAAACAGGATATGCCCAGCCTGAATCTTGTATTCTTTAATACTCCCCCAATTATAACAAATTGTCTGATAGCACTATGGAGAGTCTCCTTTAGAGAGATTATTACAAATAGGGTGGTTTGTGGGGAGTTTTTGCATAGAAGCAAAGAAGAATCACTGGAAGTTATTTTTAAAATGTATAATTGAATTCTATGCATTACCAAGTTTGGTGAAAGTTAATCTAGTAGCTGCTTATTAGGAGATATTAGATTCCATAGAAAGAACTGGGAAATTTTCATTAGTAAGTTTAATGACAAATACAAGGTACTTGCCCTTATGAATAGGCATGTTTGTATGTGACAGTGGTTTATTCTTTAGCACAATTTTTACCCATTTAAAAATAATCTTTGCCACATCTTCATGTTGATTATTATTTTATTGACTTAAAAATGGTTCTTTACTTTTTTATCTTCTTACTTTAACGAGTAGACTATAGAAAAACATTTTTCCATTAGTTAAAAAGAAACACATTTAAATTTAAACTATGGATCTACTTGATCAATTACCTCTTCTTCTGCTTATTATAGCCTCTGAATTTCTGTGGTATATATAGGACTTTATATAATTTGTTATTGTTTTGTGTAAGTTGTGCTTTTGTAAATTCCCTGAGACCAGAGTTCATAACTTTCTATTACTTTGTGTTAAAGTGGTAATTGTATAATTGGTGCTCAAAAATTTTTCCTGTTTTTTAGTCTTCATTTGATCGCTGAAGGCAACGAAATGATAGATAAGCCAAGAGCTCCACAGCAGAGGGCAGGGTCTATGTTGTATTCATTTTTGTATCCTCCAGGCTATGATAGTACTTGGCATATAGTAGCAATTCAAATGACTCTTGTGTGAAGAAATGAAAGAATGAGGCAAAAGACTGAAACTGGAACTTTTCAGAAGAAACAAGGGTGACCAATAAATCTTTGAAAACAGAATCAACCTCTTTTCATGATCAGGGAAATGCAAACTAAAACAAAAGAGATACTGTTTACACTCATCAAAGAGGCAAAATGGAAAAATCTGGCAATATCAACTGTTGCCAAGAATATAGAACAATGAAAAGTCTCATACACTAATGGTGGGAGTATAAATTGGCATAATAAAATAAACTGGAAAACATTTGATATTATCTAAATTTGGAGATTCCCACACCCAGCAATTCAACCTCTGGGAAATCCCCGCATGTGTGCGCCAGATGTGTACAAGAATGTTCACAGCAGCACCATTCATAATACACCCAAATTGGAAGCAAGCTGACTGTCTATCAAGAGTAGAGTGGGTAAATATGTTGTGGTATAGTCATACAATGAAATACTACAGAGTAGTAAAAAAAAAAAAAATGGATTGCATCTCCACTTATCAACATGATGAATTCCAGGAAAATAATGTTTAACTTAATAAGCAAGTCAAATAGAGTATAATCCCATATTATATGAAGTTTTAAAATGCTAAATTAAAAATATTGTTCATTGATAGACATATAGATGGTAAACCATAAATAAAAATAAAATAGTGGGGAATGGGGAATGGAGAAGATGGAGAAAAGAAAAAGTACACAAAGGGCTTTCAAAGTACTAGTGGTGCTAAGTGCTAAGCTGGGTGGTGGGTACAAAGGTATTGATTCTCATTTGATTATTTATACCTTTACCTATTATATAACACAGCATTATATAAATGTTATGCTATTCCATATATAATATATTATATATGCATATATAATATGAGTTATATATGCTATATTTATATATGCTATATGTTATACATATGCTATATATTATATATGCTATATGTTATACATATGCTATATATTATATATGCTATATATTATGCTATTCTATATATTCTATATAATATATAATTATATATTATATAATATGATATAGAATATATTCTATTATATATATATAATATAGAATATATATATAATATAGAATATATTCTAATAGAATATATTCTATATTACATATAATAGAATATATTCTATATATATAGAATATATTCTATATTACATATAATAGAATATATTCTATATATATAGAATATATTCTATATTACATATAATAGAATATATTCTATATTATATATATAGAATATATTCTATATTACATATAATAGAATATATTCTATATTACATATAATAGAATATATTCTATATTATATATATAGAATATATTCTATATTACATATAATAGAATATATTCTATATTACATATAATAGAATATATTCTATATTATATATAGAATAATATATAGAATAGCATAACATATATAATAGAATAATATATAGGATATGTTCTATATCATATATAGAATAATATAGAATAGCATAACATATATTATATATAGAATAATATATAGAATAGCATAGCATATATATAGCATTATATATGTAGACAGAAATGTAGAGCTGTCATTCATATAAGAATAGCATCGCCTGGCGCAGTGGCTCACGCCTGTAATCCCAGCACTTTGGGAGGCCGAGGCGGGCAGATCACGAGGTCAGGAGATTGAGACCATCCTGGCTAACACGGTGAAACCCCGTCTCTACTAAAAATACAAAAAAACTAGCCGGGCGAGGTGGCGGGTACCTGTAGTCCCAGCTGCTCGGGAGGCTGAGGCTGGAGAATGGGGTGAACCCGGTGGGTGAAGCCTGCAGTGAGCAGAGATCGCGCCACTGCACTCCAGGCTGGGCGACAGCAAGAACTCCGTCTCAAAAAAAAAAAAAAAAAAAAGAATAGCAGTATGATGGGCTCAGCCTGCATATAATTCTTTTCAAGTGAAGTCCTAGAAGTCTACTTCTTGGTTTAATTGATAAATACATATTATATATTTATATATTATATATATAATAGCATAACATATATAATGCTATGTTATATATTATATATAATGTTATAATACGCTATTCTATATATTATATATTATATAGAGAGAATAGCATATATATAATGCTGTTCTATATTAATTCAATATTGAATTAAAATGAAAAATAAAAATAAATGATAGGTAATGTTTGGGCCAACTCTTTGGGATTACGGCATGGAAGCGATAGTTAAGCAAAATTCCACTCCCCTCTATTGCCATAGTTTATAATGGTGCTTTTCCTTTTTTTTTTTTTTTTTTGTTGTTGTTTTTTATTGATCATTCTTGGGTGTTTCTCGCAGAAGGGGATTTGGCAGGGTCATAGGACAATAGTGGAGGGAAGGTCAGCAGATAAACATGTGAACAAAGGTCTCTGGTTTTCCTAGGCAGAGGACCCTGCGGCCTTCCGCGGTGTTTGTGTCCCTGGGTACTTGAGATTAGGGAGTGGTGATGACTCTTAACGAGCATGCTGCCTTCAAGCATCTGTTTAACAAAGCACATCTTGCACCGCCCTTAATCCATTTAACCCTGAGTGGACACAGCACATGTTTCAGAGAGCACAGGGTTGGGGGCAAGGTCATAGATCAACAGCATCCCAAGGCAGAAGAATCTTTCTTAGTACAGAACAAAATGGAGTCTCCTATGTCTACTTCTTTCTACACAGACACAGCAACAATCTGATTTCTCTATCTTTTCCCCACATTTCCCCCCTTTCTATTCCACAAAACCGCCATCGTCATCATGGCCCGTTCTCAATGAGCCGTTGGGTACACCTCCCAGACGGGGTGGCGGCCGGGCAGAGGGGCTCCTCACTTCCCAGCAGGGGCGGCCGGGCAGAGGCGCCCCCACCTCCCGGACGGGGCGGCTGGCCGGGCGGGGGCTGCCCCCCACCTCCCTCCCGGAGGGGGCGGCTGCCGGGCGGAGACGCTCCTCACTTCCCAGACGGGGTGGCTGCCGGGCGGAGGGGCTCCTCACTTCTCAGACGGGGCGGCTGCCGGGCGGAGGGGCTCCTCACTTCTCAGATGGGGCGGCCGGGCAGAGACGCTCCTCACCTCCCAGACAGGGTCGTGGCCGGGCAGAGGCGCTCCTCACATCCCAGACGGGGCGGCGGGGCAGAGGCTCTCCCCACATCTCAGACGATGGGCGGCTGGGCAGAGACGCTCCTCACTTCCTAGACGGGATGGCGGCCGGGAAGAGGTGCTCCTCATTTCCCAGACTGGGCAGCCGGGCAGAGGGGCTCCTCACATCCCAGACTATGGGCGGCCAGGCAGACGCTCCTTACTTCCCAGACGGGGTGGCGGCCGGGCAGAGACTGCAATCTCGGCACTTTGGGAGGCCAAGGCAGGCGGCTGGGAGGTGGAGGTTGTAGCTAGCCGAGATCACGCCACTGCACTCCAGCCTGGGCAACATTGAGCACTGAGTGAACGAGACTCTGTCTGCAATCCCGGTACCTCGGGAGGCCGAGGCTGGCAGATCACTCGCGGTTAGGAGCTGGAGACCAGCCTGGCCAACACAGCAAAACCCCGTCTCCACCAAAAAAATACGAAAACCAGTCAGGCGTGGCGGCGCGCGCCTGCAATCGCAGGCACTTGGCAGGCTGAGGCGGGAGAATCAGGCAGGGAGATTGCAGTGAGCCGAGATGGCAGCAGTACAGTCCAGCTTCGGCTCGGCATTTGAGGGAGACCGTGGAAAGAGAGGGAGAGGGAGACCGTGGGGAGAGGGAGACCATGGGGAGAGGGAGAGGGAGAGGGCTGCCACATGTTCTCATAAGTGGGAGCTGAATGATGAGAACACATGGACACATGGGGTTGAACAACACACACTCGCTTTTTCTGAAGTACAAAAGTTCCAGGTTGAACTTTCTGAAGTTGTTCTGAAAGCAGGTCGAAAATGGTAAATGTGAAAATAAACCACAAGGTGGCGTCCTAGTCTCATGTGTCTCATTCTGATTCTTTAATCAAGTAATCCCACTTTTGAAATGTTGAGGATTTTTTCCCTTTAGTTTCTTTCTTCTTGTCATCAATTGTGCTTTATTTTACTTGTATATGTATATGTATTGTGCTATCAGATTAAAGACTGGGGAAAGCCATTCAAATAAATTTAATGCAACAAGTATGCTGGTTCAGCATATGACGTTCATTCATTCCTTCCTCATTCCATCAGTCATGCATTCATGTATTCATTCATTTAACCAATGTCCAAAAATATTTGTTGAGCCTCTTTTCTGTGTCAGATAGACGCAGGGCAAGAGGTCCTGGAGACTCAATGATAAGCAGAAACATAGTCACTGTCATTTGCTTTGAGTGTGGTGGTGAAGATAGACAGTAATCATACAATCACAAATTTAAATTGTGACTGACAAAGCCTATGAGGAAGAAAGGAGAAATAGGTGGTTCATATAGTTCTACAGTGAGGTTTTGAACCAGTTGGAGATGTCAGAGGAGTGATCCATTTGTTGAGATCTGAAAGATAAAGATGAGTTGCCTAGGTAAGAAGGAGAGAAAGGAACATTCACACAGAAGGAACATGTGCAAGGCCTTGTAGCAGGAGGGAGCGAGGAGAATACCAGAGGCTGAAAGAAAGCCAGGAGGGCTGGATGGCAAGGCAGAGGTATCAGAGAGAGGTGAAGAGAGGCCTGGGAAGTAGGCAGTAGATGGATCTTGCATGGCCTCGTAGTGAGGTGAAGGATTTTGTCTTCACACTAAGAACATTAAGGAGCCACAGCAAGGAAGATGAAGTAGCAGCTCAAAACCCGTGCCCAGTCACGGGTGGTTCAGTAGTTTTATGAGTACTGTATATATGAAAGATCCTGCACTGAGTATTAGTGGCCCAACTCCGTTCACCTTTGTGTGATTTGCTTTTTGATAGTGAGGGACATCACTTGAAAACAGTAATGCAATTTTAATCTCATCTATGCTCACTATATTTTTTTCTTTTGAAGAAACATGACCCCATTGTATTTATTTTGAATCAGACTAAAAACCATTGCTTTTGAAGACAGGAAACATAAAGTGTGCTATCCTAACAAACAGATAGACCTATTTAGCTCATCCACAACAAAATAAAAACCCCTGGCACCTCGAATATACAAGATATAAAAGAAAATGTTGTTTGCTTTGTGGTCACTTCACCTCAGAAAGAATCAAGTACTAGAAATTAGGAGACCTGGATCATGTCACTGTGGGAAAGATGATCTAACGTGGCTATGCCTCCATTTTTCTCATCTGAGAAATGAAGCATAGTCTAGTTTATGTTCTTCTAACTCTGAAATTCTGCAAATCTGTGAATATATTCATAAAAATCAATATGTACATGTTATTCACTTAATGTAAAGAGAATGGATATTGGGGGACTACCTTGGTATATATTTGAATGAAAGTGTCTGAGTGGGAAAGCAGAAATTGTGTATAAGACCAAATGAGGCTAGGCGCGGTGGCTCATTCCTGTAATCCCAGCACTTTGGGAGGCTGAGGCAGGTTGATCACCTGAGATCAGGAGTTCAAGACCAGCCTGGCCAACATGGCAAAACTCTGTCTCTACTAAAAATACAAACAATTAGCCAGGCATGATGGTGGGTGCCTGTAATCCCCACTACTCAGGAGGCTGGGGCAGGAGAATTGCTTGAACCTGGGAGGTGGAGGTTGCAGTGAGCTGAGATCTCACCATTGGACTGCAGCCTGGGCTACAGAGCAAGACTCTGAATAAGAAAAAAAAAAAGACCAAATGAGACTTAATGTGGATATTAAAACATCTTTAATAAACTAAATTTGAATAAGCTGCACTATCATTTATTGATAATATACTATGTGTCAGGTCTTATGAACATTATCTCATGTAATCCTCAGAAAATCCTCAGAAAAAAAATTAGCCAGGTATGGTGGCCCACACCTATAGTCCCAGCTGCTAGGGAGGCTAAGGAGGGATGATTGCTTGAGCCTGGGAGGTCAGGACTGCAGTGAGCTGTGATCGTGTCACTGCATTCCAGCCTGGGTGACAGAGCAAGACCCTGTCTCAAAACAAAACAAAACTATCTTACTAATGATAAAAACAAAGCTTAGTAATTTGTCCAAAGTTCAGTAATTTGTCCAAAGTTGCATAGCCATTAAATCTCAAGATGCATCAGGTCTGTCTGATTTCAAAACCTGTTCCTTTAGTCTTTATACTTATTATACTTTTTGAAGAATTGAGATATTTTATAATGACTTATAAATATTGAATAGAGATAAATTCACTAGAATTATAAATATGGAGTTCAAGTTGTTTATAAGTGGTCTGATGAATAAGCACCAAGAATTTTAAGAAGCTCCCACATCTTAAACAAAATTGCTTAATAAACTTGATTTAAGTCATTAAACATGCATTTTCCTAGATATGGCTGTGAAGTTGCTGTATTATTAAGCAAACAACTTCCTTGTTAATGTCTTTACTGTATCAGTAGAAAATATACACTTACACAATTTTTTTTTTTTTTTTGAGATGGAGTCTCGCTTTGTTGCCCAGGCTGGAGTGCAGTGGCGTGATCTCGACTCACTGCATCCTCCACCTCCTGGGTTCAAGTGATTCTCCTGCCTCAACCTCCCAAGTAGCTGGGACTACAGGTGCCTGCCACCACGCCTGGCTAATTTTTGTACTTTTAGTAGAGATGGGGTTTCATTGTGTGAGCCAGGATGGTCTCAAACTCCTGACCTTGTGATCCGTCCACCTCGGCCTCCCTAAGTGCTGGGATTACAGGCATGAGCCACTGCGCCAGGCCGGAATTTTAACTCTTAAACTATACATTTAAGCATAACAAACAAATAACTTTCACCACTTCTCTCACTGTGTCATATCCTAAAGACAAACAATTTGTGAACTTTGTTTCTTCTTTTGTCCAAGCTCCTGATATCCAGAGCAAAGGGATTGTCTTGTCTGCTGCATCTTGGTGTTTGGAGAAGTGGCTAAATGCATTTATATCGAATTATTGTTCCTGTGTTGTTTTGTCTGTGGCTCCCACTCTTGGGAATCCTTGGGGTTTGAGGATCGCATCAAAAAAGTATCTCTGGTATGAGAAATGGTCAGTGTGGCCAGATAATTCATGGGTTGAGCACTGAGACTCGTTTCCCATGATCATCTTGGTCAGGAGGCACTTGGTGTTTTAAGCCTATTCTCTTGATGCAACACATATGCCTTAAATCTGTTTAATGATTTAGCAGTGATGGACTCATGAATATATTTCAGATGGGCCCAACAGCCTCTCAAGCTTCCTTCCAAGTATCAGTAAAAGACGTGTTACCACAGGCAAGGTTTTTCCCCTGAGCTTGGCCATACCCTCATCTCGCTTATCTGATGGTCACCAGCTTGCACAGGTCTTTTTGGTTTTTGTTTTTGAGATGGGACCTCCCTCTGTCACCCAGGCTGGAGCACAGTGGCATAATCATAGCTCATTGCAGCCTTGAACACCTGACTCAAATGATCCTCCTGCCTCAGCCTCCCATGTACTTGGAACTACAGGCACATGTGTGCTCGGCTTGCACGTGAGTTTTCATGAGTTACCACACCCAACCATTTGTACTATTTTATGCTTATGTTTTCATTGTCAGAAAGATGTCAAAACAATAAAATAAATCTAACAGTGGCTGCTTGTAAGATCAAAATGTGACTGGCTTAGTTCTCATTTAAGAGTGGCTTGTGCCTGGGACAGAAATGTGTTATCATGAGAGTCATGGTCTATGTGCCTCTGTGTTTTGCCCTCATGACTGCAAACACGTCTCCATCATCTTGCCAGATCCCAGACAAGCCAATTTGATGCAGCTGTGCTGGGACAGACTGGTTAGGACAGGGAAAGAAGCCAGTCATTGCTGGCATAAGGGAAAGTCTACCCAAACAGAGCTATGCAAAGCTCCAGGCACATTGTTTTGGTGGAAAAAGAAAAAAAAAAGTCTTTAGGTTCTCTGCAATTAAGGAAAAAGGTTAAAAAAGAAGTGCTGAAAGACCTAGGAAGGTAAATCCTGTTCATCTTGATAGCTTATAATCAGGAAAGGAGGGGTTAATGCAACTAAGATATTCATTTGTGTTCAGAGTCATAATTTATTACTACACTTATACAAGTAAAACATTACGAATAATAGCCATTCTTTGCAAAATACTTTTTCTTCTGCATGAGAAAATGTGACTTTGTTTTCATTGTAATGAAAACACAAGACTTACAATGCAAACTTGATACAAGAAACTTTAGAGTTAAGTGCCAAGGTTATTCAACCTCTTTCTACCCCTTAAAAAAACTTATAATACATTCTGTTACATCCATGTCACACTTCATATGCATGAATCTCTTCATTTCCACACACTAACAGAATGACAACAAAGGTCAAGAAAACCAGATATTTATAGAAGGCTAAGAACTTAGAGGCATCTAAAAACGTCTCTGGGCATAAGATTTTTGAAAAATTATACACGTATTAACTGTTAACTGCTATCAAAAACATTCTTTAACTCTAGGCTGAAGAGTTAGGTCAGTTAAAAGGCCCTTTCTGATAACAAGAATTATTAAAGTGAATGGGTTACTGGACAGGTCTTCATAGGTCAAATGAAGAATTTTGTTTTATGGCATATGGACCTATGGTGTATAAACATTCAGAATAATCCAGCATTCTCCCTAAACAACAACAACAACAATTTCTTATCTTTTAGATATGGAAGATTGGAAATGATTTTTTTTTTCAAACTCAATTTGCTTAGTACCTTAATACTTCACCATTTTGCCACACCTTTGTCAACCACTTTGAGTGAGATGATAGAATTTTCTTTGGTAGCCTTTAAAGATTAAGCTCATAGATGAAGAAAAGATACGTGTGACTTGATTGAAAGTTGAGTTAAAACTAGAGAACTGCCAAAAATAATTTCCCTTTTATGTTGCATTATAAAGTGGAGTTATTCCTTTTTTCATCCTTTCATATATTAAAAGAGTGAGATGGAAGTGGTTTTACGATAATACTGTAGCTGGATTTACTGTCATCTTTAGTCCAAACTGATCCTAGGCAGGCTGAAATCCTGGGGGAGTCTGGATAACTCTGAGACCAAAAAAGCAGTGTCAAAAGCCACAGCCTAGAGGTCAAAAGTATGAATTTAAGTATCAGATAGTTTTCAGATAGTTTAACTCAAAGCTCAACCTGCTAGGAATGGCCTTGGACAATTAAGCTTTATTCTCCAATTCCTAATATGTAAGTAAGTAAACTATTATCTACTCTACAGGACAGTTATGAGGCTTAAATGAAGAAACAGATTTCAAGCACTTAGCATGGGGCTTAGTATAGAGAACAACTGACCAGTATTAGCAGTTAGTATCATAATTGATTTTCTTTTTCAGACCTGCACCTTACAGTGGGTACTGGTTCCCACAGTCAGAGCAGATTCCCTGACCACTTCCTTTCCTTTCCTTTGAAGTTAGAAGTAAGGGAGCCATGGGAAAAAGCACCACCTCATGCCTAGAGAACCATTTCCCGTCTGCCTCTGGCCCCTCACGCAAGACTGTCTATGTAAGCTCAGGGGCTTTTCTTCTTCTTAAGATCTCCCAACCAAGTTCAAAGATTTAGCCTTCCAAATAATATGAGCTATAGTCACAGTTTATGATGTCATGTTTGCTGCAATGCTTTGTTGTAGTTGCTGAAATATTCACAGCCTCAGTCAGTGCTTAGATCTTAAAAGAATTATAAGGGGAAGTCAAACTCCATTCTTCAGTAAAATGCAGCAGAACAACTAGAAGCAGTCCCATTGGGCAATAAAAAGTTTAAAAAATGCATCTATCTTTAGACCATTAGGCTTACAAAGTCAATCTAGATTCTTTGATTTTACTAGGTAGGACTCTATCTTATTGAGACATTTTAAAAGTAAGCTAGAACAGCCACATTTTAATCTATGTACAACTCTAGCCATGAATTTCTAAAATTGCATTGGAGTACAATACTGTGTTATTGTATTGCCTAAAATCCGAGATGCCATTGAAATTTTTTTTTTTACATTCTAGCAATTAGGAAGTTTTATGGTCAATGTGTAAATTTATGTTGTAGTGGTTCTTTTTCTTTAAAAACTGATCTTCAACCAATAGTGTATCTTGTAACTAATGGAGTCTTAGACTCACGGAAATATAGAATTCTAAAATCATATTGCTTTCTCATGATGTTACCTAAGGTGATTAGTCTGACTTTGTGGTAACTTAATGATTGGCAAAAAGAACAATTTGAATATATAAGAAAGATAATCCAAAAGGCTTCATTATGTTTGATAATACCTATGCACAGGTGCATAGGAGAGCCATCTCTCTGGTTAATATTTGAACTTTTCCCTAGCTGCTTGGGAGGCTGAGGTGGGAGGATCACCTGAGCCCAGGAGGTTGAGGCTGCAGTGAGCCATGATCACACCACTGTACTGCAGCCTGGGTGACAGAGGGAGCCCCTGTCTCAAAAAATATATATATTTTGACTTTTTAATGTTTCAACATCACTTTAAAGGTCTCTCATATTTCTTCAAAAATGCAGTATCATATTTGTGATAGTAAAATATCCAAAGAAGAGCAAAAAGCCTCCTCCCCCTAGCTCCCAGAATCTCCTTTTGTCACTTTTAGTGCACCTCCTTCTTTTGAGAACCCCTGTGAATAGCTAGGGTGGCAGCCATACCTATCACTATCAGTCTATAGGATTGTACTTTGATGTGCTACTATACACCATGCAAAACTCAACATATACAGTGCAATGCTGGGCCACATAACAGTTATTTTAAAAAAATACCTTCTGGCTCACTGACGTGAACTTTAAACAAAATTTCTAATTAGTCATGCACATAGCTTTAAACAGTTGGAAAAACACAAATTTCTAAAAGTGTTACCTTTTTCCTTTTATCTTACTAAAAATCCTTTGAGTTAATTTTGGGACTTTTACACAAATAAAAGCAACCATCAATAAATCAAACCCTGAAAATTCTTTTTCCCTAAAATAACTTTAAAGGGTATAACTCTTTTTCTATTTTGGTAGCAAACATGAGAATTACCACATCTGATGGTGGAATACCACCTTCACAGAACACTTGGATGGGAGATGGCAACCTCCGGTGGTCAGGTTAATATAAACAGTGAGATGTGATGCTACAAGTTGATCATATGAAACATTGATCATAATTAACTTGAAATGATTGAATTACTGACAACGATTATCTTTAGGAACACTTTCTTATTAACTATGTTGCAAGTTCATTTGCAAATATTTTAGTCAGTGGAATTGAAAAATAATAATCTGGCTGGGCATGAAGGCTCATGCCTATAATCCCAGCACTTTGGGAGGCTGAAGCAGATGGATGAATTGAGCGCAGGAGGTCAAGAGCAGCCTGGGCAATATACTAGGGCCCTGTCTCTACAAAAAATACAAAAATTAGCCGAGTGTGCTGGTGCATGCCTGTGGTCCCAGCTACTCGTGAGGCTGAGGTTGGAGGATCACCTGCACCTCGGAGGTCAAGGCTGCAGTGAGCCATGATCACACCACTGCATTTCAGCCTGGGTGACAGAGTGAGCAGAGTGAGACCCTGTCTTGAAAAAGAAAAAAAAAAAAGAAAAAAGAAAAATAATAATACATATATAACCTGCAATAAAAAATGTAAGAAAAAACAAAAAGTAAAAGAAAGGGAGGGAAGGAGGAAGGAAAGGAATTTATCTTAAAATATTTAATTCAAATAAATTTTAAATTCCTGATCTCTAAAAGTTTACATTTCAAAAAAGGAAAAGAAGTTCTCTGAATGCTGACATTACAATAGGAATACATTCAGGTTTTAGATCTTAAAGTAAAAATTATATGGCTGTTGTCCACAAATCATGATTATAAAGCAAACACCTAAGACAACGAAATCAATTTTCTTATTTGCTACCTCATTCTATTAGAGCCAGCTGGAAAATATAAGAACCACAAGGCTTATAGACACAAGAAACAAGGTGATTTGCTTTTGCCTCCCCTCGACCTTTTCATTACCCACTTACAGACAGAAATTAAACTACTTGCTGGATTTTTCAAAACCAGAATATAAAAGCCCTCCTTTTTCCTTTGAACAAATTGATAAGCATAATAAAAATCACTTTCATTCTTTTTATGTTGTTTGGCCCAATAGCTTCAGGAGCTCTATGATGGTTTATTTAGGCCTCACTGAAGCAGAGGCAATACCCATACAATCTCCACAGCAACAAAAGAAATTGTCATTGAAGCACAAGGGATTTATCATTAGGACGTATGTACACGCCTATCATGTATGTATGTGATGTTTTTAAAACACTCTACAAATGTTTTTGAATTACAACATGTATGACATGTTCTAGCTTATTATCCTATATTTGGTATACCATTTGGAAGTCTTGAATTTGCACTTTGCCAAGAACTGTAGTTAAGAATAAAAGGCAGAGGAAACTGATTATTTCTTGCCTCCAAGTATCTTACTGCCTATGCTTAGTTTACAAGCTCAGATAAATGTTATTTTCAGGCAAGCTGTGAATTATATCAAATGATTTTGAAAGACATAAAGAAAAGCCATAGCTTGGATCGTTAGTAAATAAAGACCTCTTGAAATTCATGTTGACTTTCCACATAGAAAGTGGAAGGAAACTTTTCTGCAAAGCAACTCATCCACATAAAAAATAGTCAAAAAGGACTTCATTTAATTAGTGGTATGTAAAGACTCTTGCATAGAAAAAGGTTACAAAGTAATGCAAAAAAGACTAGGTACAGTAATTTCAAAACAAATATTTAAAAGTATAATTTTGCATAACGTTTAACATTCTCATAATGTTTATTGCTTTCTCCACACAGTAGAGAAATGAAGTGCATAATACATGCTGTGTCTCTTATCTTTTAAACAAAAACTCTCACGTGCTTGATTTCAGCATATTAAGAGATTATTTTGTCATTAAACGAAATCGAAAAAAACAAAACCACAACCCCATTACATAGCACTAGTTTAGGCATGGGCAAAAATAACTTATGTACATCCCATTGCATACATTCATCTTGTTTTGGGATCAAATGCAATCACTAACTTGACAAAGAGCTTTAAAAATTGTAGCTTTTCTCTTCCTAGTGCTCCCTCCTTGCTTCATCACCTCCAGAAATGTAACTTCTCCCAAAGGGTGACAAGAATAGATGTTGCATCATTAGGAGAAAATGAAGAGGATAAATATATAAAAATAGTCCTAATGAAACTGAATAAATTAAACCAAACTCCTACAAACTGGAGAGTTTTCAAGTTGGCAT
This sequence comes from Homo sapiens, assembly GCF_000001405.40. Taxonomy (NCBI): domain Eukaryota; kingdom Metazoa; phylum Chordata; class Mammalia; order Primates; family Hominidae; genus Homo; species Homo sapiens. The sequence continues at coordinate 125,760,657 of NC_000006.12, read as the reverse complement.
GAATTAAATAGCCTCTGGTGGACACATGGTAGGCAACTGCTCATAGGTGCACTATATAAATGTAAGGTTTATATAAAGCAGCACCATATTTTGAGCCATCCAAAAAAAAAAGTGCCTGGGGGCCTGCAGGCAGAGCAGAAATGCTTGTTAATCTGAGAACTGATGAAATAATTGCTTATACCAATGCACTGCTAAATGTCACCTCTTGGCATGTCTGTACAAAGAAGGCAAACTAAGATAAAACTAGATCTTTCAACTTGAAAATTATTTTCAGCAGTCATTTTGACCAGTAAAACCTGTTGGTTTCAGCAGAATACTCTTCTCTGGCATGGTATTAAAATGTCTGCAGCCTATTGCAAGACTTCTGTCCCTTTCCTTTCTTAACCTATCCTCCACACTCGTCTTCCCTTGTGCAATGTTATATATCCAGAAGAAAACTTCCTAAGCTCAGGCACTTACGAAACACGACTCTCTCACTCTCTCTCTATATATGTATGTCCCATCTAGTCTCAAGAGAATTCAGTCAGGGCATTTTACTTCCCCAATTCAGACATACTGATGCACTGCTGGATGGTACGGTCCATATATTTTCCAGGAAACTTCTAAATGGTAACAAGTGTGAAGTTTTCAAAAGTTGCTGATGTCAGTTACCGAGCTGCCTTGAACCAAACAAAAAAGGGAGAGAAAAAAAAGAGAATACCACATTTCCACTCGTGAGGTTTGTGTCTCAAATAGCTTTATTGTTCCTTTGTGGATCTGTCGGCATCTGTATGGCTACCTTCAGGGTGCAGAGGTTTTAAGCTGACTCTGAAATGGAGGACATTCAGTTACTATTGCAAGAAGTTCAAGAAAAATTTAAAAAGCTCCAACTTCTGTCCCCCAGGGTCGGTAAGGTTTATTGTTTGTTCCACTGCTGGTCTGCTGAGGACTGGACGTGGCTGATACTGACAAGGGCGGGCTGATGGCTGTGGCCGCGGCCACTGCTGCTGCTGCGTTTGGGGGAAGCATGGGGAATGCCCCCGCGAAGGACAGAGGGAAGCTGTGTGCAGCCGCGGTGGCTGCTGCGGCTGCGGCGTGGACGGTGGCAGAGAGGGACAAGAGAGAGGTGGAGAGAGGTGGCACGCAGGGGGCGACGCTGCCCGTGGATGGCATTCGGAGGGCTGAATCCGCATGGGCAAACGTGGCCGTGAGGAGAGCAGAGCCGTGGGCAGGAGGCACTTCTGAAGTTGTGGAGAGGCGACAAGGGGTTGACTCTGAGGCATGGAGGCCGTTGGGCTGGAGCAGGGCTGCGGGCAGGTGGTGGAAGGCGGCGGCCCAGTGATGCGGGTGGAGCGGATGATGGTGGTGGGCCATGGAGGATGTCATGGCCGCCGCCTCCCGCTGGGTGGCGCAAGTGCTGAGATGAGACACAAGCCGCACCCGCAGCGGATCCGAGGAGTCCAGGCCTTCCACGGAGCTCAGGTACCGCGCAACTTCTGTTAGGCACTCTCGGAATCCTATGCTCATGAAGTCCATGGCAAGAGCGTGTGCGTCAAAGTAGCCTAAAAGTGGGTTTGAGCAAAGTAGGGAACAGGAGAGAGATGGGCGGGAGGTAGGGGTGAGAAAATGGTATAGTCAACAATAACCACCCACTGATGTTCCACTCTGTCCTTCAGAAGACTGAAGTGGAACGATAATCCTTTCTGGAAATATTGCCAGCTATTTATGGTTTTAATTTTTTGCAGAAGTTAAGAAAGTATACTTTGCCACTCACATGTGTGACAACTCTGGCAATGCAATATGCTACAGTTGTTCTTGCAGCTAAATATCACAGTGGGGAAAAAAATTAAGAACATCCGCGTTTCAAACACTTCCAGAGAAAGAAATGGGGTCTCTCCCTTTGTATTGTGGGATAGTGAAATTCTCCAGGAAACTTTTTCATGGAAATACAGAGTTCCAGTCTCTCTGTCTCTGTCACATGAGTTGGAGATTAAAGGGCTTATCTGAAACATCTTTACTCTCTTGGCATTTTAACAGAGATGCCAAGTGCATCTTAGCAGCTTGAGGACTTTAGAAATGTGCTAGAATCGCAATAAATTCATAACTGCTTCTTGACTAACAATGTTTTTTATCAACAAAGTGAAACCATCTTGTCATAACTTTGTATAAAAAATTTAATGAAAACAAAATGAGTTTTTAAAAAAAATTTGGTTTCTTACTTGAAGATCTTATATTTCTGTCAGTAATATAAGGCTAAGTTCCTGATATGAAAATACTATATGTCAACGCCTAGTTTATCTGAAGTTCAAATATATGTCCTTACATTTTTCTAGCATACACCCAAGAAAAAAAATGTATATTAATTTTGTCAGTGTATATGCATGCACTCCTATACCTATGGTTACTACCATAAAAATGGCTAGAGCTTGGTCACATTTATCTGAGTCTCTGTCTGAAGATAATACATTAGAATAGAAAATAATAATGTCTAATTATTGGAGTGCCCATGTAGGGCATGTAGGGCACAATAATAATCAGACATATGGAGAAATGTTGCCCACTTTGAATGAGTGACGTCTGGTATATAAAAACAGATTATTTTTCATTTACAACTTTTTAAAAAGTAATTTCCAAATCAAAAGTTTGGTCTATTCATTTTGGGGATGTGTATATACATGAATAAGAAATATCACATTCAAATAAGGTTATTTATTAATTTATTTATCTTTGAGACAGGATTTCACTCTGTCACCCAGGCTGGAGTGCAGTGGCCCAATCACAGCTCACTGCAGGCTCCATCTCCTGGGGTTAAGTGATCTTCCTGCCTCAGCCTCCTGAGTAGCTGGGACTATAGGCATGTGCCACCACACTTGGCTAATCTGTGTGATTTTTAGTACAGACAAGATCTCGCTATGTTGCTCAGACTGGTCTAGACCTCCTGAACTCAAGCCATTCTCCTGCCTCGGCTTCCCAAAGTGCTGGGATTACAGGCGTGAGCCACCACACCCAGCAGTTATTTTTATCTAAAACATTTACATTATCTATGTTTTTGCTGATCAAAGCATTACCTGTTTATTCATCACCTATTAAAAATTTGGCTATCTTAATCTGTAATCAAAGAACTTTGGAGATAGTAGTCACATATATTAAGAGTCCTAAAGCTAAAATTCCAACGATTTGGAAGTTCCCAAAAGATATTTGTGGCAAATATATACACTACTAAAACAGAAACAACAGCAGTACAAAGCTGATACCAAGAGAATATCATGAAATACGGAAGATCAGCAGCAAAAACAGTTATCATCCCAGGACTCTGACATAGTTAACAAACAGAGCCTCTTGGATTAGGATGAAAAGCTATTCCTGAAGAAGAGGTATTCATGGAAAGATTTCACATTTTGGTCCTCAGGGTTCTGTAGGGCTTTGCAGACTTCTGACTCCCATGAGAGAAAGACGGGGGTAATGAATAGAATAGACAGAGTCCAGAAATCCAGAGGGATTTCGAAACTTAGGTTATTCTACTAAATCCTCTCTAGATACTATTGTCATACCAAGACAGACTATAAAGAATGAACTAACAGAATTGGAGCCCCAAGAGCTTCTAAGAATTTTCATTACTGGTCATGAAGTAATTGAAATTTGTGGTTTGCCTGCTATGTTGTCATATATGGCTGAGCTCTCTGTTATATCTTAAAGGAATATAAATTATGCAATTCCTATCCTATTGTGGACTTCAGAGGGAAATGATGATAAGTAGCTCCCTTTTGTGAATGGATCTTGGGCCAACAGTAACATACATGTCCATACCACTCCCTCTACACCAGCACTATTCTATCGGCCTTAAGTGAATTAACTTGTAACAGCCTTATGAGTTATATAGTATGGACACTACAACTGTCCTCTTTTTACAGATGATAAAACTGGACCAGCTCGCAGGGGGTAATTTGCCCAAAGTCACAGAGCTAATCAGTGGCAGAACCAGGATTTGAAATCAGGCAATCCAGCTACAGATACGATGCCCTTCACCACTGCACTATGAGGCAGTTGGTATTCTTTTACAATGTTAACCCAAACAGCCAGCTCCCTTCTTTTTATTTTTTCTATTTTTTTTGAGATGGAGTTTCACTCTTATTGCCCAGGCTGGAGTGCAATGGCGCGATCTCGGCTCACCACAACCTCTGCCTCCCGGGTTCAAGCAATTCTCCTGCCTCAGCCTCCTGAGTAGCTGGGATTACAGGCATGCACCACCATGCCCAGCTAATTTTGTATTTTTAGTAGAAACGGGATTTCTCCATGTTGGTCAGGCTGGTCTGAAACTCTGGACCTCAGGTGATCCGCCCACCTCGGCCTCCCAAAGTGCTGGGATTACAGGCATGAGCCACCACACCCAGCCGCCAGCTCCCTTCTTGAAGGCCATTCTCCAGTGCAATGACCTCTTCAATGGCCTGACAGTCAGGTGACGTGTATGGAGCCTACTTGGAAATATCTGTTCACAAACTATTCTGGGACAAATTTTAGGACTGTCTAGGTGGCCAAGAATAGCAACCAAGATGGAACTTAGTTTTTATAATAAAGCCTAAGAACAATATTACTCTTTAGAAGTACAGCTCATGCCAAATATTTGAAACCCTAATGAGAAAACTTAGCCTTGTGGCTAACAATGCTAAGGGAAGTAAAGCAATCAAACAAATTTTCTTGTAGCATGACTAATTCAATCAGTATCCTAACATCCTGAGGTAGCAGTTGTAGAGACAGAATCATGGAGCTGCAGGGGCCCTTGGCGCTCATGCTGCTAGTGTAGCCCTCAAAGTGCAGCCCAGACTTTTTTCTTAGGTCAGAGGCACAGCAGTGGTCAAGCTAGGCTGGATCATTGGCTTCTGTGATTTAATCCAGTTATCTTTTCTATTATGTAAGAATGTTTGCATTTCATGCCATCATTCAGGATGGTTCCTTGAGAAGGTACAATCTGGGAAAAGTCAACCCATTGGGGCTTCTCTGTACAATGGTTACCCTCCCTCCCTACTAGACGCAGGAAAAAGATGGTTAAGATCAGGGCTGATGTTCTAGAGATCCTCAATGGTATGGCCATACAGGAGTTAAATATTGGTAACAGTTGCTTCCCTCCAATGTCCTGCCTCTGCCCTGATCTAGGACCCGTATACAGTGTAGTAAAAGGTTAATGCTGAGCACCGGGAGGCCTTCAGGATTTAGTTGGAGCCCTTAAATCCTTCTGATACCTTCTCCTTATTCAGTTGTTAAATATACTGAATAACACCCTTGGCTAAGGTGAATATCAAAGGATTCTTTGAAGGATGAAAAAGATTCAGAGGAACAAAATCAAGTCTGAGTTGTGATGTGTAAGTGGGATAATGAAATCTGAGTGAACTAGGATCTCAAGGCTGTTTTTAGCATGAGATGAGATCCTCTCTCACCACCTCGACAATTACTCCCTAAGTCACTATCCAGTACAGAGGACACCTCTCTAGGGCCCTGGACCTGGAGTGCCTGCTCCTGTTTGCTTTCCCCAAGAATGACTCTGCTCCATTAATGGCTTCTGGTGTAGAGACTTCCTACCTGCACTTCAACTGTTCTGTTTGGTCTAAATTCAAGACCAAGCAAAAATCTGAAAACAATAATGAAAATAACTCTAGAGTCAATTCCTTTGGAATAGCTGAATTATTTTCAGTCTTAGCCTTCATTTAATGAAGACAGAGGAGGAGAAGGAGTAGGAAGAAAGAAGCAGAAGGAGGAGAAAAGGATTACCTCTAACCTCCTGTTTATGTTTGGATGTTTGTGTGTTTGTTTTTTGTTCTTTCTGTACAGATTCCAGCATGCGCTTCTTAAGTCCTAAACAAATCTCTGACCAGGCTGCTGTGAATGAAGCTTTACTCCCACAGTATTATGAAAGCAAACACAAGCCCAGGGTCAAGTGCTTCTTTTGTTCCAAAAGTTCTTTCCCACGAGTTCAATCCTGCCATTAGCATTGATTTCCATGGCTTTAATCTGGGGCCTCCTATCTCAGCTTGTTAAAGAACTGTTCAGCTATGACTTCCTTACAATATTAGGGGGAATAACATGAAAAGAGAAAGGTAAAAAAGGCAAAAAAAAAAAAAAATGAAGTCATCTACTTACCTTTACCCCCTGTTGCCTGAAGCATCTTCAAATGATCCACTGTCATTTGCAATATTTCAGCTTTTTCTAACTTTGCAGATCCCTTCATAAATAAATAAATAAATAAATAATCCTATGTCCTACAGAAACTAATCTGAAACATTATACACTGAATTTAGCATTATGGCTTCAATTTCCCTCTCACTAGACAATCCCAACTTTTATTTTTTCACAGAAAACTTCGAATTCTTTCCAAACTTTACATGAAAGCACTAATTAATGTCATACCTAATGACAAGTATTTGCCATTTTAACTTTTAAAGACTAAAAGAAACTAGAATGACTTTTTTAAATCATAAGAATAATTATTCTCCTAAGATCACCACAGCAAAATGATTTCAGTTGTAAAAATCTCAAACTTTGCATTCAATCTGTGTCTTGGTTAATAATATGTTTTACTATGGGGCATCAATAGTCTTCTATAAAGCCAAAGTCTAGAGGAGTTGCATAACAACTCCAGAAGATAAGGAGATAGGATTTTAGCAATTGATTGTTAAATATTTTTAAAATAGAAAACTCCAATAAGTCCTTTCACAGGCCTACTAAGTCCTGAAATAAGGTATTCACACTAGAACCATATAATTGGATCTGCATTTCAAGCAGATCCAAAAATTTTAAAAAGGACGACTTTTAAGGTTTTTTTCCCCAATAATTACCAGCAGGTGTCACTGTGAATTTCTAAGCTCACAAACAAGAAGCAATAATTTACTGCTTACCTAGGAAGCATCATAAATGCTTAAGGATTTTTGAACCTTTTAAAATAGTTCTTAATAAAATTGTCTTGCAAATATATTTTTATGTCCCTGCTTTCAGAATAAGGAAACCTCTGGTAACCAATTGAAATACAAATGTGCCATTTCAAGCTGTCTCGGGGACTGTGGGTGGCTTCTCATTTCCTGGAAGAGCTAAATAATTACCAATATGTTCTCTTTTTTTTTCTTTTTTAAGGACACTAAGGTTTATTTCAGGTCCCTATGCTTTACTTGTTTTGTAAAAATTATCAGCACCACGTACGGTGAGAGTGCCAGAGTTACTTAACTGCTCTAAAGAACACTTTTCTAATCATATTGTGACAGGGCCAACTCACTTGGGTTGGTAGCCAAGCTCTGCAAATGGGAAAGCTTGTGTTTATGGTAACTAACTGCCAAACAACTGATGTTTGCTTTTAAGGTTTAAGTCAACATTTAAGAAAAAAAAAATCTAACAAACCAAGAAAAAAAATCAAACAGACTTCGCCTCATAACTGCAGACATTTCAGTACTTCCAAATTTTAAAAACATCATTGATTACTGACATTTTCACTTGAAGCCTATTTGGCACTGAAAATGCTACTAATCAAAACTACAATTTCCACATTATTTTTAGTTTATCAAACACAGTCTCTGCATATAGATTGGGTGTGCTTTTTGTCTTAAAAATGTATAATCAGTAGCATATTATGTTTTGTATTTGGTCAGCGTTTAATTTTTCCATGAAAATGGTACAAGCAGATTCAGTAAAGTCACTAATAATTGAAACTGCACTTTCTGGATAATTTCCAAGGACTTTGTAGGGCTTGTTTTATAATGTTTGCAGATTCATGAAGTAAACAAACAAAATGGAATAAACAAACAACTGTTGTCTTATTGGAATTAAACTGAAAGTATTTTCAACAAGGACATGCTGCCATATCCTTTGAAAGATACTCTTAGAAATCTGTGTCATTAACCACTGCGGCAGGGGGAGAGCCATGACTTCTAAAACCACAAAAGATTTAAACATTTGGCTTTCTACTTTTCTAAGTGTGCAAAATCTTTTTCTTTCTTTCTTTTTTTGTAAAGGAATAGGTAACTATGAAAAGGGGCATTTATGATTAACTTCATTTTTACCAAACTTCTAAAAAGATGACCCAAATCAAATGGCATTCTACCAACCCAGGGATTAAAAATGAAAGCAAATGGCTTGGTAAATAAATTTTAGTGGTATTATCATTTAGGAAATAGAGCTAGAGATGTTACTTCTTGGGCTCTGATTGTTTTTTAATTAAAAATATTACATTTTAAAAAAATTTTGAGAAAAAAATGGTTTTTTTTTTTTTTTTGAAGGATACGGTATACAGCACAGTTTTAAATAAAACCACTACTGGTATTCATAGAAAGAACAGAGAAAGCATGAACACTGTTACCCTTAAGGGGAAAATAAGCTAAAGAATGGAAATGTTTTTCAACTTCATGATGGATTATGTTTTTAATAGTTTTGCCACAACAAAGCATTTTATTGAAATAGCTGCTCTGTGCCAGATCAGGGCACATACACTATTATTTTAATGAGCTTTAACAAGAACCCACATTCCCAGATGAGCGAATCAGATTGTGTTTGAGCTTTTTTTTGGGGGGTGGCGGGGTGGGTGGGGGGATTCTGGGGAGGGGATAGCTTACTTGTTTTTCAAAAGCAGTTGGCACAAGTCTTCTCAACTCAGATAAACTGTTATTTATCCGATCCCGACGCCTTTTCTCTATAATCTATCCAAAAGAAGCAAACAACAAAAGTTTATGAATTCACAAATGATAAAATTACTCAAATGAAAAAATGTAACTGTTACACAATAGTATAAGTTACATGAAATAAAAAGGGGGAAAAATCACATACCCCTCTCCTTTTCTTTCTTGCCATAATCTGAGATGTTGTTGTTGGAGAATTCAATCTAATCACAGAGCTAGTACTTTGCCTATGAAATAAGAAGAGTATGTCAGGTGCTGCATTAACATAACAATAGTTTCTTCTGGGTACTTGTGGCACCCATTAAATATTCAGAGTGATTGCACAGTTCAAGTCTGTGTTATTTTATTCTTAGTTCTTGTTTCACTCTTAACGGACTTTGCTTTCAGCCCGGCTGTCTCTTTTCAGGTAAAAATTACGCCTTAATTTGTAATCCAGATGCTAACCCATTGGCCAAAATGTCCCACAATTTTTACTTGAAAGTCTCCCAGTGAAATAATTACCGGCAGTTGGGCTGAGAAGTTAGATATTAGCATTTCCTAGTTCCACTCATATATTTTAAAGTCAACTAATCTCAAATAGCTTTCCTTCTCCCTCCTGTCAGGCACACTGAACAAAATAATGCCACTTTTTCAAATCAGGGTTATGTTAAGCACCACTATCAAACAGATGTGCAGTCGTCATACGTCAAACTCTTGTCTCTAGGTGCAAACTTTAAAATAAATAGAAGTTATCTTACTGTTTCAAAACTTCAGTTAGTCATATATTGCAACAGGAAAAAATTGACAAACTTGATGTTTTGCATACTAATCTTCCAAAAATATGCCCTAAATATGCCACTGATAGGAAAATTAAAACTCATTTTATTACTAGGTGAATGTTTTACTTTGAAAATGAAACTGTAGGTGTGTCTCAGACTTTAGGCTAAGCTTAAATCTCCAGAAGCTGCAATGCACCTTGGATTTACTAATGAAAATATATTTTTATATTGAAGGTTCAATCAAAGTATTATTTGGTCACATAATTTTTACAATCCTTTCTAGTTTGTATCTGTTTCTCTTCATAATTCATGGATACTATGCTTCTTTGTGTTCTCAAATTCCCCAGGTTCCTGTTATTTGTTCTCTTTCATTTTAGAAATGCTGCACACACCAGGTTGCTATTACCTCACCTTCTCACTTCTGGATCTTATTTCTGAATTACCTGTCCCCCTCATTTTCACCCCTTCTTTACGGGTTTCACCTTTCACGTGATAGCTTCTGTTTTTCAGACCTCATTTTTAAAGACGGCACAACAACACTTTAATGATCAGATACTTAAACCTTTGCTTTCGTGTAAATATCTTTGCTCTTGCAGATTTTGTGCTTTGCTTTGTATGTATTAGAATAACAATATGAAAGAAAACCAGTTTTCCAAAGGTAGGAAGAATTTCCCTCTTTGAGTGACAGCTGCAGATAAATAATTAAGGTGCTTCTGGGGATGCCAATTAGAAGCAATTATCATTTGACCCGCCTTGGCTCTAAAATGCCTCGGTAATCTCCCTCTGTCACAGGAAAGTGGAGGTCTGGCTTCTGTGATTACGACGCCGATCTCTTCCAGACTTGAGAACAAGCAGTCAAAGAAATGATGCCCTTTCCGATGCTTACATCTGTCACTCACTCTTGCGTTAGCCAAGTCACACACGGTCAACCTGCAAAGTTCAACCTACGTAGCCTTGACATCGCAGGTTGCTTTAATTCCTCCAAAAATCAAGTTGTGATTTTGGTATCTCTAAAAATCAAAAATCAAATTGTTTTTATTTTCTCCTGATCTATTTTGAAAGTGCCCCCAAATACGGTTTCAGTGGCTGGGACATCGCCTGTCGCCCAGACGCTGCCGTTCGCGCGTCCAACTGTGACAGCCAGGACCCTCCCTCGCCAACTCCTGCGCTCTGCCTTTCAGTGGCGTCTCCCATCCTGGCTACTCCACCCCTACGGTGAAAATCCACATCCCTTGCCCCATCCCAACTCACGCTCTGCGAGCGCCCACCACTCAAACTTTCTCAGGCCAAACTTTCCCTCTCTACCTAGATGCTGCGGAGACCAGCCTCGGGATTTCCAGGGAGCCACGCATTCACAAAGCTACCCCAAGCTCCCGAGCTGCGGGCCGCTCCCGCGGAGCCCGCGCTCACCCCGAGTAATTGTTCTCGCTCCCCACGTCGATGGTCTCGTCCATGTCGCTCTCGGAGGTCGTCTCCTCGCAGGGGCGCTTCATCCCGGCGAAGACCGCGCGGGGCACAGCCCGGCCGGAAGCTCGGACGCCGAGCGGGGCGCAGCACCCTGACGCCCGCCTCCTCCCTCCCCGGGCCTGGGCAGGCGCGGCTCCGGCGGCGGCGCGGTCTGCTCCTAGCGGCTCTTTCCCACGCCGCAACTCTGCTCGGCCGCAAGAGCCGGCGCCGGCCACGCCCCCCCCTCGAGCGGGTGGGGCCACCTCACCCGCCCCCGCGCACCGGCCCAGGCCTTCCGCCCGGCACCTCCCCCTCGCTGGTCGGCGTGGCTCGCGATTGGCTGGGCCAGGGGGCGGGGCCGCGCTCGCCAATGCCCGCCGCAAGGCTCCAGCCGAGGCGTGGGAACGCGGCCGCGGACCTGGTACCCCAGAGCAGCGAGCGGGTGGGGAGCAGCCGGGGCGAGAATGAGCGCAATCTTGCTAACCCCTGCGGAGGGAGCGCGCGGGCGCCAACGCGGGCGCGCGGGGGCGGGCCCTGGACCTGGACCTTGGGTTTCGGCCCTCCTCCGCGCCCCGCGGTCTCGCGGGCGAAGTTTCAGTCCTGAGTGTAAAGAATAACCCCAAGCGCGTGGCTAAGTGCGAGCAGGCGCGTGTGACGTCGGGAGGCGCCGCGGCTCCTCGGCCGCCCCACTCGGTGGTCCCCTGTCTGGATCCAAACTGCTGACTGGCTGACCCGAGTGGTCACATTTGCCCTCTGGGGCTTTTGAAAACCTTAAATCAAAATTGCTTTTGAATCTGACAACTCCTGAGGCTACTTTCGCGGCCTCGGGGCTGTTTCATATAAGGACGCGAGTTTTCCTGATCAGGTCTGTCGGCCACGTTACGATTTCCAATTTGCGATCCATCAGTTACTTCCATTGGGTCTTCAGCCCCCAGGGACTGTGGATCCTAGACCCCGCGGAGAAGCCCGTGGACTGGAGCTGTGTCAGCTCTGATGGTAGGAAAGACTAGATCAATGACGCGGGCATTTCAGGACATAATCGTATATTTTCAAGTTCGAGTTTTTCGGGCTTGGATTATCCAGATAATTGCCTCCAGTCTCCTCCAGTCCCCCTGGTGTATGCACTCGCAGCCGCAGAGTTAGAGTCCGGGAGGTGAAGATTGGCGCTTGGAAATTAGATTTGGTTTCTAAAGTATGAATTCGTGTCCAACAGTTCGTGCCTTGGACAACGTGGGTTGTATAAAACTCAAGCTGTGTGTTTAAAACAGGTTTTCTAGCTGCTGGTTCTCTCCAAGTTATGTAGGACTTTTGAACTGGCCACCCCGCTGTGCGTCTGCGAGGGCAGGGACTGAGCGAGACCCAGCCAGGGGCGCCGGGAGACTGGCGGCGGCTGGGTTGGGGTCCAGCCGGAAACCACACGTTGGCAGGGCCGCTTGGTCAGTAGTGGAGAGAGCCTCTGAGAAAGGGCCGTCTATCGATCCCCAGACCCCTCCGTCACGGAGGGATTCATAGCTTCCTGGGGATCGGCCCAGGGCGTCCCTTTGACACTCCGTTCTCTGTCCACACAAGCCCGGCGCGGGGCGGGGAGAAGAGGAAAGGACGCGACTGGGAAAGACGGGACCCTGGCGGGGTTTGGCCCGGGGGAGAGCGGGAAGGAGCCCGGTCGGCGCGGAGGACCTGCGGCCAGCGTGCTAAGCCCTTATTAGAACAGAAACCCCTTTCCCCCCACACTCTCATCTCTTTTGCGCGGTCCCCACCGCCATGCCTTCAATAACCTTGTGAATAGAAACCCGAATCGTTCCATCTTGGCTTCTGAAACTTAACCCCAGGCAAAGCACACACTCGGCGGGGCCAGGTGGGGCTGGATGGGGTCCGCGCCCGACGGCGGGGCCGCGGGGGTCGGTGAACCCCAGCTCCCCTGTCGGCCTCAGGGCGGATGGCTGGGTCGGCGCGGGGTTCGGGGCCTCCGATCGGCTGCACGAGGGCGGGCCAGGACCCAGACCCCGTCCCCGCTCCGGCCCCGCAATCCAGCGGGTGACGAGCCTGACGCGCGCCGGTCGCCTGCCACCTCCCGCCCCGAGCGCCCTGGGCCAGTACCTCCCGGCCGCAGGTGAACGCTCCGCGGCCCGCCAGGCTCAAGCTCGACCGTCACAACTTTCCGTGAGGGCTGCACGTTTTTCTGAATTCAAATGCCTGCAGGTGCAACTCATGTTTGCCACACGGGCAATTAGCGGGCGCGTCCAAACGCCTGAGGCAAAACCTGAGATCATCACTGAAAAAAAAAAATCTAACAGTTCTTTGCCACTATACTAGTGTATTTAATTATGATTGCGAAAAATTGCAGAGGGAAACGATTTGCTGGCAATTAAGTAGCAACTGGTTAAAGTTTTTTTTCAATTTGTCTTTGAAGACAACTGCTGTACTATGTATAAAGAAGAGTATAGCAGGGAAGTTCGAAAGCACACACGGAATTTTAAATCTGTTAAAAATATTTTTTAAGCAAAGAAGGTGGTATTTTAAAAGCATTTAAAACAGCGCCTGGTATATAGTAAGCGCCATAGAAGTCTGTTAAGAATGCATAGGGCAAGAGAGCTCAGGGTTTTGAACGCTATCAAAATAATATGCTTATTTATCTGCAAAACACAATAGCAATTAGGCAGCACGAGATTTCCCCATTAGGTCGTTTATTCTCCTCAGCTGTTTATTCCATTTGCCTGTCCCTTGGTTGAGCGCCTTGTCTGTCTATAACCGAAAGTGCGTTTCGGGTCAGAGAGACAGAAACAGACACAGGAAACCCTTTAAAGCGCCCCCGCCGACTTAAATACGGTAGTGGATTGGAGGTGGGGAGGTGTAGGGGAGGCGTTATGTGGAGAGAAAGAAAAGAGAAAGAATGAGGGAACGGCGGGATTTCAAGCCTCCCCGCCCTTCTGCGACAACCTTTTCAGCGAAAGGGAAGGCTTAGGAAGAAAAGATGTCCGCGCGTAGAGCAAACCGCAGTTCTTTCCTTTCTTTTTGAAGGATTTGTACCATGAGTTAATTACACCAAAAGATACGAGGGACTTTATTAGAAAGGAGATGCCGTTAGGAAAGAAAGGCCAGGACGGCCGATCTAAAGGGAATGGAGAAGGGAAGACTCAGACGCCCTCCCGAAATTGGTGGTCTAGCCTGTGTTTTGTGCTAAATGTTATTTAACTTAATGGCGTGGGAGTGAGATGTTGAATGCAGAGATCTGGAAATACCAGATTTAGTGGTCCTGTTCCTCCTCCCCGACTCTTTTCACACCCATTTAATAAAAAGTTACAGTTTTTACACCCGTATTGATAAATTTGGCGATGTTGGCCAAGTATTATCTCGCCCCGCAGATTTTGAATTTTGTTGCACAAACCGATGAAATGATTGCTTTGCTATAATTGTAAAACTTTTTTGGAACGAACCTGGATTTTTTTTATGCCTCTTCATCTACTTTTTGCTTCATTAGAGCCCTCTGGTTTTCCAAGATCGACTGTCACACTTTGTTATTTGTTGCTTCTCTAAATCCTTTGAGATGCTGCTCGCAGCTACGTAAAAAACGTTGGCCACTCAGGTATTTGATGGGCTTAGAAAGTCACCAAGATGTGACACCATTTAAAAGTTTTAGCTTGGTTTCTCAGTGAAATAAGGGCATCTCTGTTAATTAGAAAACTTTGTGTTAGTCTGAGATGCCTAAGAGCATAGTCCAAATTGAAAATTCCAATATTTTGCCACATCTGAAATATAATTATTTACACAGCCTTCTCTTTCAAAGGGAGGACAAACAGGTTGCCTTGAGAAGAGCTATTCTATTTGCAATTGCTGGGGCAGGTGACAAACACGTGTGTATCTGTGGGCAGCCTTGTTGGGCTGCCTTCCCTGACTACAAGGCTTTTGTGAGCTGGTAACGCCTTAAAATGTGTGAGAATGCTGCGCCCTAGGAGTGGAGGCCAAGGGCAAGATCCTTGTACATTTCAATACCTTTTCCAACATCAGGCTGGCAGCAGGCAGGCCAACCTAGGGTCACTGTGTGACACATATTTGCAAGCCAGTAAAGCAAAACAAAGCTGAAAGCAAGTGCAAATTTAGGCCCACCAACCTTGAAGTCATCCCTGAAAGGGAGCTGCTTTACTAGTTAATTTTTCTTGCCCAGTCAGCCACACAAAATGCATTGTATTTCTTGGCTTGCCCCAGTAATTGCGACTTACTTGTTACAGCAGAAGCTTCAAGGTAGGAAATCTATGACCCAAAGCTCTCTCTCGAAAGTTAGAATGTTTAAACTGATCTTTAAAACTGTTGTTGAGGGGCAATTTATTTAAAAGCTTTTATTTTATGGTGTTGTTAGTGCTTAGCATGCCTCAGGATAAAGACTAGTTTTATTGCAGGACCCTTGAGAAGAGGGGTGTATAGCAAGTAACCAGTTTTCCGTGTGCCAGTAAGCAACAGTGAGAACACTCAGTGTATTAGCTTAACTTTTTGTGGGAGTTAAATTGATGTTGGCAGGCTTTGCCTTTAAGGAAGTTCTTTTAAATTTCCATTTTCTTGAAGTTGGTTTGATTGGCAGATTTCCCCCCTCTCTTAAGGATACAATGAAACATATTCACTTCTCTTATGAAAATATTCTTTTAATAAACTACATTCCCATCCCCTAGAAAAATGCCCAGCACACAGTAGGGGTACAATAAATGGTTTCAGATTAATTTCTTGTTAAAATTAATGAACTCTCTGCTTCTTTACTTGTATATGTAGAATTTACACTCATTGGAATAATAAAATAGAAGTAAGCAACCGTGCATTAAAAAGCTATGAAAAGATGAAGAGAATATGCCTTCAAATGGGAAGGAATACTTAACTGTGAATAAGACCTAGTTCAACATGGAACTTCCTGGTGGCCAAGTCAGAAGAGAAGCACAGTGAGTTTTCTAACTTTCATAATGAGAAAAGAGAAAGCACACTGTTTTTCAAAAAAGAAAGTTATTACCCAGTCACTGAATTCTAAAAGAACTTCATGCTTGCCTTGTTCATGGACTTCAAATAATTTAATTATTTAAAATAATTATTTTGTCTAAAATTCTCATGTGTCTCTGTTAATTATAACATGAATAATAGCATTTACATTATGCATAAATGAAGACAATAGTATATCTTCTAATAGCTGTATAAACCATCTACTAAGCTGTCAAGATTAATTGACATTAATAAAACCACTGTCTCACAGAGTTCCAAAAATATGGATTCTCTGTAAGAAAGTTTCTTCTTTCAGTGTCAGAAGAAAAAATTAAAGATTCCTGGATCTGCTTGTTTGGCATTATTTGATAAAAGTGAAAGAAAAGAAGAGGCTCTACAGGTTTCTGAAATATCAAATGCTGTGGAAATATTTAAGGCTAAATGTCTTTTCCACTAGACTACAAATAACAGCTATATTTTCTCAACACTTTTATTGAAATATTTTTATTAGATGTGTGCACATTTTTGCCCTTATCTGATTATTTTAAAATTGGCAGGTGACTTTCTGGGGAAAAAACCTTCATAGACTGGAAATAAGGAATTGCTAATTTTAGATTTACTGTGGAAAAAAATACAGGCTATTTTTAGACCTCCATATTTTACAAACTTATTGAAATATATACTTTACAAGAAACAGAAACATAGCAGTTTTTTTCCCTAGACGGGACTGGATTGATTCTACTAGAGAAGAATTTGACTACATTTTTCTGGATTTAGCCTTCAAAATAATTTAATAATATATTAGTATATTGAGAATATTGGACTGAAAATTTTTAGAGACCGATTTTGGTTTTGAATAGTAGCTCCTTACATTTCTGGGACATGAATACTTCAAAGAAACGAATAGTTTCTTGAGGAATTGCAGTATTCATTAGGGCAACACAATCTCTTTGGAAACCAAATGTCATGCTGCTTAGCAGAGAACAACCATGCTCAACTGCACAGTGGAGAAGGGCAGTGTACTGTGCCTTGAATATGGAAGAAAGGGACACTGTACATTTCCACAGCACTTTTAATCTGAGAATCCTAGGTCATTATTGAATCATGTATCAAAACTCACAGCGCTGCAGGATTTACTTGTCAAGGCTGGCTAGCAGGATTTTGCTAGAATAACAGTTGTAATGGGAACATTAATAAAGCCTGAAAATAGAAGACAAAATATGAATAGAAAATAGAAGACAAATATAAATGATGTATGTGGGTATATACTTGTCTGTCTGTCTATAGATGTAAAAGGCAGAAAATAATGAACGGTTTTATAATTAACATGACTTGTTAGTATATGAAGGACTAGGGTAATATCTGTCAGAAGACAGTAGTTCAAGTCAGAGAGGAAAATGCTGCATTTTGTAATTAAACCACCATTTGCAAAACAGAGTTTATATATTATATGTATTTGCATATTTTCTCTATTTTTGAAAATTGCATTCACTTTATTTCAGTTTATTTTATGTTTTGTCGATTCTATTGTCTGTGTTTTAAATAACTTTCTTTATGCAGTTTTTAAAATGTAGACCTTTAGAAAAACAGACTAGTATTTTAAACCTCTTGGTGTGATGGAAATAAAATTTTTATACTAAAGGGTTGGGAGAATGATTTTCTCTGATGTTCAGGTAGTACACCTGAAAAATCATGTCCTCTTTGCATGGACCCATGAAATATTGCTAAATTAGATAGTATACTTGTGAACATAGATTCTAGTTGAGATGAAAAAGGCTCAATTCAAATTTTAACGTTTTAATCATAAATTTATTTCTGTGCAATGTGAATTGGAAAAAGAATGTCCATTCTTTAATTTGATAATGAACACTTTGTTGTTATTCAAAAATGTAGTTTGAGAACTAATAGGAACATCATAGTGGGGACTACTTAAACAGAACTGTGGGAGAAATGATCAGAAAATGAAACCAAAGAGCTATGGACAGAGATAACTGACAAACTGTTAGTGTGTGCACTTGAAAGTGATAAGACTAATTTTCATTAATCATGGCTTGATTTTTCAGACTGTACCTCTCTTCATTCATTCATTCTCATTTCCATGCCACTAAAATATTGAACACCTACCTACGTTGAGCAATACTGTCTGCTAAGTAGTGTGGTGGTACCTGGTGAGCAAGATTTAATTCCTGCTCAGGAAATAGCAGGGAAAATAATACGGGAGTCTAAACAAACAACTGTTAGACAAGATAAGATGTGTTCAAGGCCAAAGTAAACAGCAGACTACATGCCATCGGCACAAAGAGAGAGAAGGTTCCTTTTTAAAGGAGAGTTCAGCAGTGATAGCTCCAAACTTTTTGTATAGAATTAGAGGCAGCAATCCTGTTGGAGGGCCGGGAGTGGCCCAAGGATTTTTGTTGCCAAACTCCATTTATATAACAAACACACTATTTTTACTTAGATATTACATTTATTGGAATATCTTTCTATTGTTCTTAAACTTTATAGGTATCTAACATCTAATCTGTTCTTTGGTGCAATTATGGGGTTAAGGGGAAAAGTGGCCTTGAGCAGGGCCTTGAAGGATATACCAAATAGCTACAATTGTAAGTAGACTTTCTTGGAGAGGGACCAGCATTTACAAAGAGACACAGAAGCTGAAGAGTGCATGTGATTCTTAGGGAAAGATGGATTATTCTTAGTTGGAATGAGGGGAATGGAAGGAAAGAGCAGGAGAGAGTTGTCTTGGGAAAATGAATTAGGCTATAGGCAAATCATGGAGGAGCTTGCGTTCTGAGCAGGGTATCTTCTTGAAGTTATTTGAGAGCCACCGGAGGTTTTTAAGAGAAGTGACAGGTTCACAGCTATTAATTCATTAGATATGCTTGTTCAATCTAGCCAAGTTTCTTTCTTTTTCTAGTTGTCACTAAATCAAATTGAAAACATTACAGTAACAGAAAAATTCCAGGACAATTTGCATTGGTAAATGGAATTTTTGATATTTTTTGTTTCTCAGTGCAAGCCATTTGGCCATTACAATAGCATTGTTAGGTAGGACTGTTGGCTCAGCACTTGGGAAGCTCATTGCTTTTAATTGGGTTGCTTGGGTTTATTTAATATGACCAAATTTATATGAAAAAAAAAAAAACATGTACACTGCCTACTTGGTGGAGTAGTCAAATAATTATGCCAGGACTTGCACATCAGCTTTTACAGATTTATTTTAAAATCCGCCATGTCATAATTAAAATCAGAACATGGTTATATTCTCAGTGATTAAGAGAACTTTCTAAAGTGAGATTTTCAGTTTCACTGACTTCAAAGTAACACATAGTACATTAACACTGCTGGGTATCTGGGACTTACTCAGATTAAATACTTTCAGTGAAAGATTGAGCCATGATTCTTTCCTGCTACTTTCTTATTGAAAGAACTAGGTTACTGTTATCTTTCTACAGGGTGCCATAAATAAATGTTTAAGGATTTTAAAACTCAGGGGTCATTTAACTATTTTTAGTCACATAAAGTTACGCCCTTCCCTGAAAGGCCTTGTTGAAATGGAGGTAACTTGCATTTAAATATTGAATATTCAATCAATAATTAAAGTGATGTTTAATAAGGAAATGCAAGACAGCCTTAAATGGTAATTTTAAGTACCCCTTTCATAGATGAGAAAAAATAAGATAAAAATAAGGCCTCTATTAGTCAATACAAGTTAATCAGGGAGCATTCTCGTTGAATTAGAGAGGGTATTTTGCAGCACTGAGAAATTCTTGTCAGAAATTACCTTACTTCCAGCTTTATCCATTGATCAACCATTTATTGAGCTCTTTAGGGAATTCAAACGCAATACAACATGCGATTATTGCCCTTGGGGGGATTTAATATCTAGCGAATACATTAATAATGATCATCATAGATCCCCTTTATCTAGTGCTTGCTATGTGTCTGACACTTTTTAAATCCACAAAGCACCACGTAGATTAATTTATTTAATCTTCACTAGAACAACCTAAGGTAGGTACAGTCATTACCTTTATTTTACTGGTGACGAATCAGACCCTGTGAAGGTAAGTAGTTCATTGGTATTAAAGGGTAGAGTCAGGTTCCACCAAGGGAATCTAACTATGAGCCAGTGCTCCTACCCATTACTGGATATTGCCTCCAAGAATAATAATGCATGTGACACAGACATAAACAGTGTAAACAGTCAGAAGCAACACATAGGTTAAGAAAAAATTGCTTCCCAATGGCCATTTATAAGTGTGGTGTTTAGCATGCCAAACATTTATTCACAGAAACTATGTGATATGTGGCAGTTAGTTTTTTGGGTCTATTCTCATAACGCTTAACTACTCCACAATAAACCCCAGGAAAATGCTACACATTGGGTAAAGTATATATTGCTCAGGTGACGTGACACCAAAATCTCAGAAATCACCACTGAAGAACTTATTCATGTGACCAAACACCATCTGTTCCCCAGAAACCTATGGAAATAATAAAGAAAGAAACGCGCTTTGGAATCAGATACCACGGGGGCCGGTCATATTCAGCTGTCACTAGCTGCATGACCTTGAGTGTGCTACTTTTTCTGAAATCTAGACCTCATCCAAGAGGTTAATGATACCTAACAATAGAGTAAAGCTCAAATAGAATAATGCTTTAAAACTAGTTTGACATATGGAAAGAGACAGATATAGCTGACCTTTTTTTTTTTTTTTTTTTGAGATGGAGTTTTGCCCTTGTTGCCCAAGCTGGAGTGCAATGTCATGATCTTGGGTCACTGCACCCTCCGCCTCCCAGGTTCAAGTGATTCTCCTGCCTCAGCCTCCCAAGTAGCTGGGATTACAGGCACATGCCACCACGCAGGGCTAATTTTGTATTTTTAGTAGAAACGGGGTTTCAACATGTTAGCCAGGCTGGTCTCGAATTCCTGACCTCAGGTGATCCGCCTGCCTTGGCCTCCCAAAGTGCTGGGATTACAGGTGTGAGCCACCATGCCTGGCGATATAGCTGATTAATCCTGACTCCCAAGAACAAAGGACAAAGTTGCCTATTATTTTTGGTTTCCTCATTAAAAGCATCTTTTATTGCTTTTCTATCATAATATCAATACATGTTAAATGCAGAAAAATTAGTAAATCATGTTAGCAGTAATAAGAACATTTAAATTGCCACTTAATTGATAACCAGAGACAGTTACTGTTAATATTTCATTGATTTTCCTTCCAGCTTTTATGATTTTTTTTCCTTTTCACAAAATATGAGATCATTTTGCCTCATACTGTTTTGTAATCTGCTTGGACATTTAATGAGATGGACATTCCATCTCATTAAATATTCTTTTATAACATAATTTTCTCCCCTGATAATATAGTAAATCTTGGTATGAATGTATCATACATTTACTTAACTAGTTGTTATTATTGGGCATTTAAATGGTTACATTTTTTCTATTGTGGACCGAAGAAATGTATTGTGCTGAAGAAATCTTACAGGTTAAAAAAGTATACATGTTTTAGATTATTTTAAGTCTAAATTATTAGAAATAGTCAGGTGACCAAATGGTGTTCATATTTTAAACACTTTTTGATATTTTCTGCCAAACTACCTTTCATAACAGTTGACTAACTTATATCTCTGCCAGCAAAGTGAGAGTACTCAGTTCTCTGAATTGTCATCAATACTCGATAGTTCGATAGTTGCCAGCCTGATAGGTGAAACAGGATCTATCATTTTAATTTTAGTTTTTTCTTACTATTAATGATGTTAGAGATTGTTTTCATAGTTTTTATTGGCTATTTATACTTTTTTGACTATTAGTATACTTAATGTTTCTGAAATAATTGTCTTGTTATTAGTGAGTTAAAGGTGGTCATTTTAAATCAAGGCACTTAATGTTTGCCTCATATATCACAAATTTACATATGTATTTATTTCAGTTTGCTCTTTAAAAAATCTTATTTATGAACTTTTTGATATGCAGGTGTTGAAATTTTTATATTCTAATTTATGAAGTTTATCTGTTTTTTTAAATTATACTTCAAGTTCTAGGGTACATATGCACAACGTGCAGGTTTGTTACATATGTATACATGTGGCATGTTGGTGTGCTGCACCCGTTAACTCGTCATTTACATTAGGTATATCTCCTAATGTTATCCACTCCCCCTCCCCCCACCCCCAAGTTTATCAGGTTTTAATATTTTTCCCCACTTAAAAAAACTTTAGAATTTACTTTGGTATATTTTGTGATATAAGAGTTATTTTTAGTCCATTAATTCAAGAAAACATTAACTGCATGTGTACAATGTACCAGGTATCATGCTTTTGCCTGGGGAATAATTGGTGCATGACACAGGCAGAATTCCTATCCTCATGAAGCAGCTGCTCCTTCAAATGGCTGGTTGTGTCATTATCAACTGTTGATGCCCATGCATGACTTTTTCACTGACTTAAATGTCTGCTTCATTACATACCAAATTCATGTGGAGAACTGGGTCTGCTTAAAGACCTACTATTTAATTCCATTCATTTGTTTCTCTGTATCTGTGTCAGCATCTGTTTGAATTATTGTAATTTTAAAACAATGTATTTTAATAGTAAGGCAAGGGCTATCTTCATTCCTCTTACTTTTAAAATTTTGCCTTGACTTGTCTCTTGCATTAGAAAATATTTTTATTGTGGTATAATATATATACATTTGCTATTTTGACCATTTTTTGAATGTACAATTCAATGGCATTAATTATACTCACAATATTCTACAACCACCACTACTATCTATTTCTAAGATTTTTTTGTCGCCCCCAAACAGAAACTCTGTACCCATTAAGCAGTAACTTCCCGTTATTCATTCTGTCAAGCCCCTGGTAACCTGTAGTCTACTTTCTGTCTCTCCCAATTTGCCAATTCTAGATATTTCACAGAAGTAGAACCATACGATATTTGTCCTTTTTTGGTCTGGCTTTTTTCATTTAGCATAATGTTTCCAAGATTCATCCATGCTGTAGCATGTATCAGAACTTCATTTATTTTTGTGGCTGAAAAATATTCCATTGTATATATATATACCACATTTTGTTAGTCTATTCCGCTGTTAAGGACATTCCTTGTATTTATACTTTTGGAACAACTTTAGAATAATTTTGTTGAAACTCTCCCAAATCCCCTAATTTCTTCTTAACATCCTTTCATGTCCGTTTCTATCTCTATTACAATCTAGTAATGCTACTCAGGTTTTTCATACTGAGTATTTTTATCCTGGCCCAAGCCAAGTCTTGTACCCGATCCCCGAACCTCTCCTCCTCTGAAGCTACCCCATGCTTCAAAATTATTGACTTCCACCTTCGTTCTTCTAGTAAAAATAGGCATTCCTTCAGTGCAATTGATCTCATAGAGGTATTGGGAAGAAACAATCTGACCGAATTGTCCCTAGGTTGTGAATGTTACATCCTCTTAGCCCTCTTGGTGAAATGTGTATTTTAGGAAAAAGATGTTTGCGAATTTAAATTATTTTCTATTTTGTAGAATTCCAATAGTATAATAAAGTATCTTTTAAAATTTTAGTCTACACATGGGTAACATATTTTTGAATTGAGGGCCAGCTTCTTGCATCGGCTGCCCATACATGCTATCTTGAGGCATTCCTGTTTTTTTTTTTCCAGAAATTGTTTTTATTTTCACTAACGAATCCATTGATTTTATTTTATTTTGGAATTCCTACCATAATACTGACATTAGTGACCTCAGTGATGGTGGAAATGGGAGGTGGTTTGCATGTGTGATTGGCAGTGGGTAGGTATAAATAAGGTACTATTTTAAGATGAAATCTTCCTGTAGGTAACCAAATGCTCAGTTCTATATTGCAGTCCACAGATCAGGGATGGGAAAGAGCAATGAGGGTTGGCATGGCATGAGACAGCTTCATGGATAGTTCTAGAATAATTTATTTGGAAATATGAGTTATAGAACTTCTGTTCTTTTTAAAGGTAAAGATAAAATCCTAGAAGAAAGAAACTTAGATGGGTTAAATTAGTTCATCTGCTTTGTATATATAGTGGGAAAAGCATTGGTTTTGGAATCAGAGACCTGGGTTAAATTCATGGCCCTGTCACTAAGTAGCCTATGTTATCTAAGCCATATTAATTTTTCTCTCTGAGTCTTGGTTTCCTCAACTAAAAAATATACCTCACTGAGTTGTTTTAAAGATCAAATAAGTTAAATGTGAAACTCCTGGCAGTATATAGTTCATTGTATATATGCAATGAAGATCAATTTCCTTTTTCTTTCTTTCCTAAATGATAACAACAGTAGTATAGAGGAAAGATTTTCTAGCACCAAATGTCAACCCTGCTTGGATTAATGGCTGAATAAAGATAATGTCTTAACTTTCCTATGTGTAGCTTTCATTTCATGCTTCACTAAATTATGGTGGTTGCAAGGCACCTCAAACTTTTCTAGTACAGAGCATACTGTAAGCAGGATAGAATTAACATTATCTCTGGTCTATAAAGTATGGTACCTAGTGATTGATAGGACATATGTTGATGTTGCCCTGGGCCACATTCTTGCCTGAGTCCTGCAGCAGTGTTTTGCCACCTGTAACTGTGCTGAATAAAAGTGGTTCCATCTATCATTGCTGTAGCTTTTCCTCATAGAAACAGTCTTGATAAGGATAACAAATCCAGGACATCATAGTATCAACAGTCCTTTCCTCTTCAAAGGCATCTTTCAGACAAGGCTTTAATAGCCCTGCACAAACATTAATTATATAAACCTTGCACACTATTGCTTTGTGGGAGGTGAAGTGTTGAGTAAAAGTGATCATCGGAACACAGGTTGGCATATGGGGGCGTTATGGAAATAGGAAAAATGGGAAGTGGCTGCTCGGCATGTATTCATTGCTGATTAAAAGTCAGCAGTGTGGCGCTGGCTGGTCCTATGTATACTTCTGCTAGATTTCCTACCCGTGTATGAAATGCATGCCTTTCTTTGTTAAAGAGAAATTTGTGAGTGATATGAGCTGCTTGAATACTAAAGGTGTTAATTTTTATGATTAAGTCAGCATACTGCATACTCAGTGGCACCCTGACGTCTGGGGCTAAGTTACTCAGTATCATCTGATGAAGAGACAACCCCAAATTGAGCTCAGTCTGATTCCTGTGCTACATGGTGAATAAGAAACTTGACGGTTTATCATCAGAATATATCTTACCACCAGGAAATGATTTAGTGGAGAATAGAGCCTCAGTGTTTGTAGGAATAGTGTCTAAGATTTATATGATACTATCGTTGTTACATATAATATGTAGTATATATGTGTCTGAATTTTTTTTGTTTTATTTTGATCATAGTTTTGCATCATTAGTGATTCAAAATGGTAGTTATGGATATTTTTGGGGAAAAAAGCCGTTACTTCAAAATGTCTAAAAGAAATTACACACATTTATTTAAATCTTTAATAATGCTTTTTAGACTACCATAAATAATATATCTATTTATATCACAATGATGCTGAATACACCACTAAAAATGCCAACTCTTTTTAATGTTTCAGCACTGGTTATTTTTTACCTTTTAGGATTTCTTATAATTTATATGTCTTTGATTAATCTTTAATGTGGGAAAACAAATTAATTGTTTTGCGTTTTGATAGGCATTTTTAAATGTAAAATTAATATGAAAAATAATAAAAAGGCTGAAGTAGGAGGAATGCTTAGGCCCAAGAGTTCAGGGTTATAGTGTACCATGATCGTGCCTGTGAGTAGACACTGCACTCCAACCTGGGCAAGAACTTAGCATAGTACCTGGTACATGTCAGCATTCCATTGATATTTGTTAAATGAATTGGAATTACTATCATGAGCCATTTTCCTTGGTTGAAATCCTTGCTCATTTGATTCCTTGACTTGTTTCTGATAAAGATGATTTCTGCATTTTAAAAATCTTTGCATAATTCAGAATGGAAGAATTCTTTTTTTTTCTTCCCAAGAAAAGTCTTATTTCATAGTTACACTTGCCCAGAAAATATAGGAGCTGCTGTAATAATTGATAGGAACTACCTGTAGTAGACGTTAATTATCTTCCCAGCATCCATTACCCACTTTCCTTCCTTCCTTGCAGTATTCAGATTTTCCTTTGAAGAGCCACCCCTCCATGTAGCAGCCCTCAGTTTGGGTGAGATTGCGTGGACTCTAGTCCAAGGTGGATGCTGAATTTATATTACCCAACCAATCAGAACATTCCTCCGTCACTTACTATAGGCTTATGTATGTATGTGTGTCAGTTCCTAGGCCATTAGGGTGGTTTAGGAGGAGTTCAATCAGTGAGAGAATTAAGAGATGTGAATGAGAATACATGAGACCCACTTTCGTGGGAGACACATTTTGGAAACAGGAGGGAAACCTGAGGGTGACATATGGAGAAGGGCAAAACCTAGAAAACCACAGAGAAACAGAGCCAGGTCCCTGACTGAGCTGCCCCCGAAGCCAGTCCTACCTCTGAACTTCAGTGGTATGTGAGAAAGTCCCTTTTGTTTTATAACTAGTTTATTTTTGGTTGTAAAGGGGAAAAAATCTTAACCAATATGTAGCCTTATCTTGATCTTATTATTTTATCTGAAAATATTAAAATACTAGATTCTTCACAAAATATTTTGATTAAGTTTTTGCTTTTAGAAGGAGATACAATTCATTCCAAAAGCACAAAAGTTCTTCTCTGACTAGAAGACAAAGACGCATTTGTGTAGTTTAGATGACAAAGCCACTGGAAAAACTGGTAAAGTTTATAAGAAACTCATAAATGTTGTCCATTTTTTGATTATCACAAGTATCCAAGATATTATGGGCTTTTGCATGCCACATTCAATTCATCCATGTTTCACACACCTGATATTTATCATTGTACCCTGTAAGCACTGTTTGTTAGGAAAAAAACCCATTACAATGGAGGTTAGAAAAAAGATAACCATGTAAACAAAAGTCCATTCAGATTACCTTTGGTGAGTTGTTTTTTCATGCCAACAAGTCTTTATTGCTTTATATTCTGCCTTGGTTTCCCTCATTGTTCATTTTGAAACCTCCCAAAGTTAAACCTTCCGTGAAGAGTCATCCAAAACTGAGAATATATTTGGAATTCTGCTTCTCATGACCTAGTTGTATCGCAAGAGGGATCAAAGGGGTTTTGTTCTGTTTCTATAATCAGCTATTTCTTTGAGAGGGCAGATTCATAAGAGTTTGAATTATACTTAGCAATGCATACAAGGCAAGTAGCTACATGGCATTTTAATTACCTCCCTCCACTCCACTGAAAAACAATGCCAGGCACAAACAGATGTCCAAGGTTAAATTCAGTTTGATTCTCTTAACGTAGCAAATAATTTGACAGTCTCCTTTCTTCATAGGCTTTCTTTTTTCCTTTTTTCCAATCTTGGTCAGTTTGCTTCCCCACCCCTTCCTTTTACTTCCTAGGGATCTACCTTTTGCTAATGGTGAGATAATTTCTACTTGACAAATTTTTCTCTCTGCTAGACTTTATATGGCATAATATTAATACTCACAAAGGGAACAGATGGCTGTCTTTGGAATTAACCAATTATAGTAATACCTTGCTTAATCTGAACTGACTAATTAAAACCCTCAATTAACTGGTATTGATAATTCAACATATGTGACCTCTATGGTGACTTAATGATATAGTGAGTTTGCAAATGGGTATTTAGAATTTTTTTTCTGCCCTTTGTTGTAAAGAGACAAAAGCAAAGGGCAAAGAAACAGACTTGTCTAAGGACTTATTAAAACTCTTAAAAAACTCAAAGACTAATATGCAGGGTTTGCTCTAGGGTCAGTATACATTTAACCTAAGTTTTCATATTTTCAACATCTTTATAATCATCTGGATTCATCACTAATACTCTGAAATTTTTTCATTTTTCAATTTAATTTGATGAACATTTATTGACCTTCCAAAATATTCTAAATACTATTCTGTCAAAGCAATAAAAAATGAGTTTTCCAGTTACTATTGCTACCTAACAAATTACCCCAAAACTTGAAATAACAAGAGTCATTTTATTATGTATGATTACAGATTCTGGGAGACAGGAATTCAGAAAGGGCTCCAATGAGTGATTATAGCTTGGGGTGTCTCACATGGTTGTAGTCTAGCAGTGGTTGGAGCTGGAACAGCAGGGGGCTTGTGCAGCTGAGGACTCTATAGTTGTGTAGCTTCAGAGCCTCTCCAGATGCTCTCTCTGAGCTGACTAGCTTGGGCCTCCTCACAGCATGGCAGCTCTGAGCAAGTGTTTGAACTAACAGTATAGAAGTTATGTCACCTTTATGACCTTTAGGAGCCTTGACAGTCATGCAGTGTCAGTGCTGCTGCATCCTATTGATTACAAATGAGTCACCAGTCCCTCCTAATTCAAGAGGAGGGGAATTAGACTTTGTATCTCATTGAGATAGTGGTGAGGTTCTAGAAAAGCATGTAGGACTAGAAATATGGTCATCTTTGGAAAATATAATTTTCCATAATGCACATCTTTTCCAAAGAAGCTCACAATCTAGGATAAACACATGATTCTCAACCTGCATATTGAGACACCCCAGATTTCTGTGACAAACTCACAGGGTAACTGAAGGATATTTTATATTTTTGAGGGAAACAAAGCGACATGTGTCACACCATGTAAATTACTTCTACTAAGTTGTTTGGCCCTAATTACTCAATAAACAGAATGGTTAGGCATTTCTTCTGTCCCATCTATGCCATGAAAAAATTACAGAAACACTAAAAAATTATAGCGACAAAGAAAGTTTAGGAAACTATGAGACAAAATCAAGACATAGGAATGCGACTACAGTTCTAGCAGGCCCATAACTAACATTTGTAGGGTTCAGGGCATGAGTACAAAGGGAGCCACTAGCCTGCCCCTTTCTCTTCCCCTTTACTTTTGTGAGATCACCTGCACGTGTGCATGGATAGCCCAGCTTTCATCTCCGAGCTCTGTACTCTCTCTCTCTCCCACCCTAAAGAATAGCCTCTTCTTCATCCTGGGAATGAGCGTACCAGAGGCAAATCAACCCTCTGGAGGAAGGGTCAGGGGAAGAGGTCCATGTGGAAGCAGACTCAATATAGATTTTAGCAAGGAATTCTGGAGTTACAGGTACCCAGAATGTGACTTAGGAAAAGATACCAGGGACATGGATAAGCATGGGCCCTTGGCCTTGCAGACCCTCAGCTCATTTGGAGGAATGTGGATGGAGGGGCCTTTTAAAATATTTAGAAATACAGGTCCTAGGCAAGGCCTGGTCTAAGAGTGGTCCTGAGACTCAGCACAGACCCCAGCAAACAATGGATCCTCAATATATATTTGATAGATAAGTTAATCTAGGGCAGATTCTGATAAATATGATAGACAGAGGTAAATATTGGCTGTTGTGGAAATTGAAAAGAGAACCACTAATTCTGACTAGGTACCTTGCAAAGGTTTCTGTGTATATTGCATTCAAGGATGAGGGGGAGGAGGAGAAATGGGAAGGGAAGTCTGTAAACTGCAGGGATTAATGAAGCTGCTATAGGCAAGTGTCAAAAGAACACTAAAATTATGCTCACTATCAGGGTGAATCTGGGCTTCATAGCATCCTAAAGCCTATGCAATTTGAGAGGCCCTCTTTCAAAAAAAAATAATGCAAAGGTAGGTACAAAAAAAATCACAAAAACAAATTTATAAAACCTCACAAAGCTACAAATCCAAAAAAAATCTAGAAAATTTATTTTTTCATTAATTAACCATCTGCCACACCTCTATACTATTTTTATACTGTTTTTGGCTGTATACTCTTTTATTGCCTCTTTGCTAAATATCAATTATATATTCTGTAAAGAAAATGGAAATATAACTTACTCTAGTATGATTTAATATTTAAAAAATTGTTGATAGCTGACAAATTTTTAGCCTCATTATTAGTAATCTGTGAAATTTTATGACTTGTCAAATTGGGAAAACCTCTTATTATATTGTTGAATTGTTATAGGCCTACTCTGTTTTCGGTATAGTTACGGATTTGTTCCCTTCAAACCTAGTAACTCAGATAAATTCTATTTCACACAATTACCATAAATATATGAGAAATCTGAGATTTTATAATTATATATACTGCACTATCAAAACTATTTCTGATAAGGAAAAAAATCTGTTTTGATTAGATTTTCACAACAACCAAATTCTCTGTTAAAATTATACACACGATGATTGGAAGAATTTTCTACAGATTAGCTTCTACTGGCTTCACGCAGTTTAACCTTGCCTCTCCTCCATGACTTTGCTGTTACAGCTGCACACCATAGGAATTCACCACTGGCCCACACCTTCTTGTCAGGAGACTGGGAGATGGCATAGTGGGCAGTAAGGGTATTCTTGGAATCTGTTCCTACCCAGGGTTAGTTGGCAATAACTTTAATGGAAGTATCTGTACACTTAAAAATATATGACACTATATTGAGATCATATGTATCCCCAACAAAATAAACCACTCCTTAGTCATATCATCAAAAAGTACATAGCTACCCAGTGCCACTTAGTATGTAGGGAAGTTGGAGTGGAAAGAGAGAGTAGAGTGGCCTTAACCTGTTGCAGTTAAAAAAAAAATAACTTTCGCAAACTGTACAAAAGTCATGTGTCCATGTGAACCTGTTGCTTTGCAAAGGGTGTGTGCAAATTAGGCACTTGAAGCTTAAGCTTCATTCACTTACAGTCACCTCTGCTCACCACTCTATATTCATGAAGGCAGAGGAGTAGCCCAAACTGAGAAAGAGTATCCTGTAATAGAAAGAACACTGGACTGGAATCGAGAGGATTGGAGCTTTTGTCTTAGTTTTTCCAGGCTCTGTTGATTTGGGCCACCCTCTGGAATTTACTATTATTTGTTAAGTCTTAGCCTTTCCTCATTTACAAAAGGAAGTGGGAAATATGAAACCCTTAGAGGTTCCACCTGTGAGATAAGTCATATTAAATTATGCAAATTATGTACATTTTAATCCATATTGTTTCCATCAGTCCTGCCATTTCTATAACTCTCGTTAATGTTATATAAGCACTGAGCAAGAACTTAAAAATAGTCTAACTCTGCCATAGAGAGATGTATCACCAAAAAGGCAGTGAAATGGGAGAACAAACAAGTTATCATTCCGAGTGCTATCACTAAAAGTACATTGGAGCATTTTTTCCAGTTAAAAAAAAATGTTTCAAGAAAAAAGTTGCAGAAGTCACACAGCTTCTTATAAAAACAATTTGAACGCAGACATTTACACAGCAAAAAAATAGAGGTCTCATCTCCAAATTTCACTACAGAGGTGAATTACTGCTAATCATTGAGACAAGTATGTAGCCTTCCAGAGCTGTTTTATACACATACAATGGCAGGATGACATTTTAAAATATTAACTGAAGTATTTTTTCCCTCTGTGTTTCCTAATGGTCCTGGCCTTTTACCCATTCCATCAGCACATTCTGCATTCATTGCCTCAGAGAAAAGATGACCCAACTGAACGTATTATAAAAAGGGAGCCAATAACTTTTCAGTGTCAAATTTTTGAGTTTCTAGTCCTTGTGGGAATAGAAAAAGACAGATCATAAAAGGAGATTTGGAAGAATATATGATAAGTCATAAAAAGTCTTAGAGATTTCAAGATTAGATAAAAAAGATTTCAATTCTTAGGAGGAGAGAGAGGAAAAAGTACCTCTGGCAATTTATACTGCTTCTTTCCAAAAATTAGCAAAGCCCTATTTTGGTGACTAAATTGCAATGAGATGCCTTGCTGAGTGGATCCTTGCCAGAGGCAGTAGCTTAGAGAGCTGACAACACCTTCATGTAAAGACAAAGGCCCCTCCTTTTTCCAGCAGCCCTGGCTTTTTGCCAAGGGTCCTGACCTTCTAGATTTCAGCCCCAGTCATTCCCAAACAAGTACTGTGTGCAGTGTTCAAACCACACAACTGTATGAAGTATGCTTCCTTGTGCATTCCTGAGAAAGAAGGTCCTCTGCCCTGTTTTCCCAACTTAGAGGAACTTGGTAGTGGAGAGACGGACTGAAGCATGCTTAGAGAATCTGAGGGTAGAGAGGTTGTGTCTGCTTTCCCGGTAGACCTTCAGGCAGGGGTGGTGGCAAGGCCTTAGGAGCAGGAGACAAGGCAGTAGAGTGTGTTGAGACCTACTGGGACTTAGACAAATACTCAGAATTTCCTGCAGCCTAGCATGAATGAAATGACTCTTGGAAGCGCATGAAAAAAGCTGAGAAAGCCACACCTGGGAAGAGGAGGACACAACAATGACTTGCATGATCCTAAGATGGGTGACCAGACTGGAGAATCTATCTGAGGACATGAGTGATAGATGACAAGACCAAGGACAAGATGTCCCCTTGCTCCCATATTGGTGCTATAGAAACTTTCCTGGAACTCAAACACATTAGGAATTAAATTTCTATCATCACAGAAAAATTGAGTTAAAATAGAAAATAAGCTCATTATCTTAGCCAAGTTACATTTCTTGTGCATTTGAGTTTGTAAACTGAGATTTGTACTACATTAGCATTGCAATGCTAATAAAATTGCATGTATATTTGACAACATACCTGGGACAGTCTTCTATATCAGCACATATAAATCTGCCTCCTTTAAAAATGTCTTCTTAAGATGGCACGATATAGGATTTATCTAATCATATGGCTGGATGTTTAAGTTATATCAATGTTTCACTCTTTGGAATGTTGCAGCAGTAAATACTCTTTTACATAAACCAACTCTTATGAGCACAGCCTCTTTAAACAATCTTTTTGTGTACCTAGATACCAAGTGTTGAATTACCTTCCAATTGGAAACACCTCCTCCCCTACCCATATGAGAGATCATATGCTAAAACTCATGTTCAGTTTTCAATTATTTTAGCACTCACATTTTTATCAAATAAAATAGCATGTAATGAAATATGTGGCAAGTCTACATTTCAAAGAAATAAAGTTGAGGAAGTCTGAACGGGAGAAGGTAGAAGTCCAGAAGCTCTGCTGCTCTGCTGAAATTTCTCCCCACCTTGGGGACTTACCTTTCCCCTGCCTCTGCCTGTGAGTCAATTTGAGGAGACAGGGCTGGATGCTGCACCCCGCCTCATGTTCACTGGTCAGGAAAATCACAGACAACATTTAGGATTTGGGTCTGGCAAAGCCAGTTAGCCCAGGTTTGCTTTATGGCTTTTTTGACTCCTGCTTCTGTGATTTAATACCAAGTCTTGTAAAGTTAGTTGTGTTTTCTTTTGTCTTTCCATAATATATAGTATACAACTCATTTATAGCACTTACCACTTTGTTCTTTCTTAAAAATGCTGTTCCAGAAGAAGAACATTTCCTTACTTAGCTTTGAGATCTACAGCACTTATTCATAAAATTTGGCAAGGACTAGTTTTTCCATAAGGCCTTCTGAATGAATACATGAATCACACATTTGCTTAACAACTTAAATATAGTAGACACAAGCTCATCTTCAAGAATGTAGATACTTTAAAAAGGTACAAATGTACCTATTTTGGTCTCCTCTTGTCTTCTTTGAACCAATTATACAGGTCTGTAAGTGTTTCTGCTTTGGAATGGCCAGTTTGCTTTATATAGATTCATTGAAAGGGCTGGAATTGACCCAAAGGTCCCCCATTATATTCTTGCAGCCACCTTTGGTGGATGATATAATGAAAGCAGCGTATGTACCTATAAAAACTGCTACTGTATATGAAGATGGGCTTGGGAAATGTTGAACAAAAATGGAAATATGTCTGCTTTTTACATCTGAGTGAGGAGAATCAAAAGCTGCCCATGCTACCCAAACTCTCAATTTTGTTACCAGAATGAGCGGGTGGGAGACACAAGAATGAAAGAAATGAAGAATGAAACACAAAAGGAAATAGAGTGGAGAGCACGTGATAACTGCCAAATACATAGTGAAGGAAATCAACCACATGAAGATAATATAGTTTCTTTCTTTAAAATTTTTATGCTCACATAATTTCAGACCTGTACGTTCTCAAAAAGATGAAAATTAAAAGTTGCTGACATGATGCCACTTACCTGTAAATATTTCAGGTCTATATCCTAAAATCAAGAACCTTCTTTTATATAACCAAGTGTAATATTAAATCAGAAAATTAACATTAATACATGACTGTTACACAGATTTTTCAACTTGTTCCAATAATTCCCTTTTATAAACAACAAACACAAATGACAACAACAACGGATTACACATTGCATTAAGTTTGGTCTCCTTTAACCTGGAATAATTCCTCAATCTTTCCTTGTGTTTTATGGTACTGACGTTTTGGAAGTGTACAGCCAGCTATATTGTAGAGTGTTCCTCAATTTGAATTTGTCTGATGTTTCCTCGTAATTAGATTCAGGTTACACATTTTGGCAGGAATTCCACAGAAGTAATGCTGTGCCCTTCTCAGTGCCTTGTCTTAGAAGGTACACGATATTGAAAGGTACCATTACTGATGACGTTTAATCATTTGGTTAAGGTGGTTTCTGCCAGATTTCTCCACTAAATAGTTACTACTATTTTTTTTCCATTGCAATTAATACATATTTGAGAGAGAAACTTTGAGACTATGTAGATATCCTGTTGCTCATCAAATTTACACATTCTAGTTTAGCATCCATGAATGATTCTTGTCTGAATCAATTATTACAACCATCGTTGCTAAATGATGACTTTACAAGTTCATCATTCTTTTCATATTTATTAATTTGCTTTGTACTGTAAGAAGGAGCTTTCTCTTCTTTTATAGGCATGTATGTATGTATGTGTGTGTAGGTAGCTCATTATGAACTTACGGATTCTTATTTTATTCAATGAGTTATAATCAGTTACTGTCATTATTATTTTGATACTCAAATTTCCAAGATTTGACTAATGGGAAGCCCTTTAACATGGCTTTTTGGCTTTTTCTTATGTACCCACAATTCTTTGAACACTTTCTTTTTTTTGGCTTATTATTTCTTTTTCTTTTTTTTACTATTATACTTTAAGTTCTAGGGTACATGTGCACAATGTGCAGGTTTGTTACATATGTATACATGTGCCATGTTGGTGTCTTTGAGCACTTTCTTACTTTCCGGCACAAAAAGATATTCCAGACTCAAGTTGTACTTTCCCTGCCCTGGATATATTTTAAGGGGAGTATGAGTGTCTTTTCTTCTAGGCCTTCTCAGCAGACAGAGCTGGGAAATGGAATTACACAACACACACACACACACAGAAACAAAATGTATAATCTTAAGTTCGTACTAATACCTCCAATTTCTAGTCAAAGCCACAGAGATCAAAGCCTTCCTCCTGTTCATATTTGTAACACTTTTGACAGTGAGAAAGCTGACTCCCATTGATTGTAATATATTTACTTATTTGCCTAATCCTGGCATATACAGAATGTAGTTTCAAAATTGATAACTCATATGCCTGTGAGAAAAAACCCACTGATTGGACTTCTGTAATTGTTTTTTTTTTTTTCTTTTTTTTTCTGTAATTGTTATCAATTCTTTTTGTCTTTAGCCTGAAGGTATACAGTCCAAATATTCCGCTCAAAAGTTCCTTGAGTTAGCCCTCCCTGGTCCCATTTGGTTCATTCATTTGTTTATGTTCCTTTCGTTTTTTTTTTTTTTTTTGAGACAGAGTCTCACTGTGTCACCCAGGCTGGGGTGCAGTGGCACGATCTCAGCTCACTGCAGCCTTGATCTCCCAGGTTCAAGCAATCCTCCCACCTTAGCCCCTCAAGTAGCTGGACTATAGGGGCACCCCGTCACACTCAGCTATTTTTGTATTTTTTGTAGAGACGCGGTTTTGCCATGTTGCCCAGGCTTGTCTCGAACTCCTGACCTCAAGCGATCCACCTGCCTTGGCCTGCCAAAGTGCTAGGATTACAGGTGTGAGCAATCGCGCCTGGCCTGTTTATGTTCCCTTTTTGAGGTCTCTCCCCCATCTTTACCTTCTTCAGCGTGTGAAACATTAAACGGTTTACAAGTCAGGATTATATAAAAAGGGGTGTCATTTTCCACCTTTCCTATTATTCTTTTTACTTAGTTTTTGCTGTATCTGCCTTTAGGCATATGTGTATTTTCTAAATTCCTCTTTTTCTTACATAAAAATAGCTTACTATAGATATGCTTTACTTCTTTCAACTAACAATATATTCTGGAAGTCATTCCATATTAGTTCATAAAGATCTTACTCATTCTTTTTTTTTTTTTTGAGACAAAGTCTTGCTCTTTTTGCCCAGGCTCTGGAGTGCAATGGTGCTATCTTGGCTCACTGCAACCTCTGCCTCCTGGGTTCAAGTGATTCTCCCACCTCAGCCTCCCGAGTAGCTGGGATTACAGGCTCCTGCCAACATGCCTGGCTAATTTTTGTATTTTTACTAGAGACGAGGTTTTGCCATGTTGGCCAGGCTGGTCTTGAACTCCTGACCTCAGGCAATCTGCCCGCCTCGGCCTCCCGAAGTGCTGGGATTACAGGCATGATCCACCGTGCCCGGCCGATCTTACTCATTCTTTTTTTATAATTGTGTAGTACTCCGTTGTGTGGATATACCATAGTTTATGTCACTACTCTCCTATAAATGGGCATGTAGGTTGTTCCCAATATTTTACCATTATAACCAATACTGCAATAAATAATTTGAATAATATTGTGCAGACATATTTTTGTGTTGTTGGAGGTATATTTTCAAGGTAAATTCCTAGAAGTAGGATTGCTGGGTCAAAAGGTAGACATATGCCATTTTGTTAGACATTGCAAATCCCTGTCCATAAAGAGTTTTGTGCATACCCACCAACAATGTATGAGAGCACCTCACCTATAATTACTATATGATAGATGAGAAATATTATCTCATTGTGATTTTAACTAACATTTATCCTATTTATCTTATTAAACCTTTTTGCCTTTGGTTTTATATATGTATGAATGATATATGTTGCAGATATTTTCTTCTAGTTCTTTGATTGTCTTTTGATTTTGCTTTTTTATGTTTTTTTGTCATGCTATTTAAAAATTAGATAGTCATACTTATCAATGTTTTTTAAATTGCATCTGGATTTTGAGACATTAGAAAGCTTTTGCCTACACTCATGTTAAAAAGAAATCCCTTCATGTTTTCTTCTGGTACTTTCAGAATTTCATTTTTTTAACATTTAGATATTTAATTTATTTGAAATTTATTCTTATGATATCAGGTAAAGATCTAATCATTTTCTAAATGGCTAGCCAGTTGTCTCAGCACCATTATTTAAAAGTCTGTATTTTTTCTGGACCCTTGAGGGGCACTTTTATTATAAACTATCTTTTGGGTCTACCTGTGTGCTTTCTATTATGACAATGCTGTTTAATAGAATAATACTTAGTTATCCCATGGAATAAATTGAATATTTATGAAATAAATATGCTCACCTTTGAACATTATTTTAGAGTGACCAACTCTATGTTCAGGGAATTGTAGGTTTCAAAATCATTGATTCTCTACTTGGAAATTTCCTTATCTGTAATTCATTGTTTACCATTCACAGGACTCTCTCTAGCTAAGCCATCTCAGAGAGAGGGGAATTTACCTTGGTTAAAAAAATATCCAACTCAGAAAGTTTCCTAACAACTATAGACACTGGTCTAATGTTTGCAATTGAATTTGGGAAGTCAAGGAAGAAAGAATAAATATAAGAGCTGGATTTTCCACTTAGTTGGGTGATTGAATTAGCTGACCTTTAAGGTCTCTTCTACTCTGAGTTTTATGATTCCATGAATCATTCCTCTGACTTGGGCCAAGTTAGTAATGAAATGGCAAGGGAAGTGTGGTGGTCAAAGGTGAGTTGGAGATGTGGTGAGTGGGTGAGAAGAAGGGTAAAAGGGGAGGGATTTTAAATAACAGAGTATAGAATTAGGAAATAAATAACTTTTTTTCCCCTTTCAACACCTGGTATCATGGAAGAGGGAGCAAAGATGTGCATTTATGGAAGGAGATATTGGATGGATAGGGAATGACATAGGGGTGATGGTGTGGTCATGATAAGGATGGATATAGAGAGTCGGACAGGATTTTGAGGATAAATAAGATAACAAAAGCATCACCTTCTATTGCTCCAACAGTGAGAACAGAGCAGCTATGGGTATGCACAAGGTCTTTAGAGTGTTTTTGCCTTCTTCCAATCTCATGTGCTTTGGATAAGACACTCTAATTTAAAACCTATACAATTTTCTGAATAGAAACAAATACACTGTATTTTGGAAACTATGTTTAAATTTTAAGGCCATTCTCAGGGGAGAGACATTAAAGGAAAAAATTTTTTAAAGAGCTTCTCTATATCAAGGTATTTATATGAATAGACTAAAAATATTCTGGCCAGGCACAGTGGCTCACGCCTGTAATCCCAGCACTTTGGGAGGCCAAGGCGGGTGGATCACCTGAGGTCAGGAGATCGAGACCAGCCTGACCAACATGGAGAAACCCCGTCTCCACTAAAAATACAAAATTAGCTGGGCATGGTGGTGCACACCTGTAATCCCAGCTACTTGGGAGGCTGAGGCAGGAGAATCACTTGAACCCGGGAGGCAGA
Organism: Homo sapiens; assembly: GCF_000001405.40. Classification (NCBI taxonomy): domain Eukaryota; kingdom Metazoa; phylum Chordata; class Mammalia; order Primates; family Hominidae; genus Homo; species Homo sapiens. The sequence continues at coordinate 125,722,226 of NC_000006.12, read as the reverse complement.
GGTTGCGGTGAGCCGAGATCACGCCATTGCACTCCAGCCTGGGCAACAAAGAGTGAAACTCTATCTCAATTAAAAAAAAATTCTGAAGCAGTTTATTGTTATTTAACTGTTCAATCAATGGTAGGAGATATTTTCCTTCACTAATTCAGGTGACTAAGGATAGGCTGAATTTGTGAATTGTTGCATGTGAGAGTGGATGTGCCAATTTAATTTTCTTAAAGAAATCCTCAATACTATAAAAGACCTGAAGAGTGAGAATGAGAGCGGCACTATGGTGACTGGAATGGGTATGCCATGTTTGCCTGTTATTGCAACAATAATAATTAGTCAAAAGATTCACTGGAAAGTTTGAGCTTTTATGCTGCTGTGATGGAATCTTTCTATTATCACAGGCGTGAAAAAAAAGAGAGTAAAAATTTTTGTGCAAGCAGCACTATAGTAGTACATATAAGGAAATAATGTTTACCTTGAAATGATCCCATGTTTTGCCCCTCTGTGTTTGGCTAACTTGGCTTCACTTTACTCAACTTCTGAATGGCTGAGCTGTAAAAGGTAAAAAAAAATCCCCCCATCCCAGCCTGCTGTTTCCCGCAGAGCTCTTTCATTCTGCATCGAGCAGAGGGAACAACACAAATGTCTTTTATTAGCATTTTGGCTCTTATTTCTCTTTTCTTTTGGACAAATGCATTAATTTAACCAAAATTTATTGAAAATCTACTCTGAGCCTTGCACAGGAATAATTTTCTACAGTACTTTTCACTGGATAATCTCATGAATATTTATGTATTTTATTACTGTCCATAAAAATGCTCCACATATAAGCTCCAAGAGAGCAGGAACTTTGTTTACTGTGTTATTCCAATGCCAGAGGAGGGTCTAGTCCACGATGTGCACTTAATATTTATTTAATGAATGAACATATGAATTAATGATAGACTGAATAAAGAAAATGTGGTGCATATACACCATGGAATACCATGCAGCCATAAAAAAGAATGATATCATGTCCTTTGCAGGGACATGGATGGAGCTGGAGGTCATTATCCTTACCGAACTAACACAGGAACAGAAAACCAAACACCACATATTTTCACTTACAAGTGGGAGCTAAGTGATGAGAACACATGGACACATAGAGGGGAATGACGCACACTGGGGCCTACTGGAGGGTAGTGAGTGGGAGGAGGGAGAGGATCAGGAAAAATAACTAATGGGTACTAGAGTTAATACCTAGGTGATGAAATAATCCGTACAACAAATCCACGTGACACAAGTTTATCTATGTAACAAACCTGTACATGTACCTATGAACTTAAAAGTTAGAAAAAAAGAATAAATGGATGAATGGAAGGGGATATAAGGATGAATAAGATAGAATATTTTACCTCTAAGGATCTCACAGTGGTGAGGTAAGGGTGGCAGTAGACACAAGACAAATAATTGTAAAACAATATGGTAGTTCAAGTGATGGAAAACACGCAAGAGATTTAAAAAACCCATTTCCCAGCCTGGATTGGAGGTCAGTGTGATGGAAAAAATATATAAATCTGACTGTATTATTAATAGCACTTGTATAATTTTGTTCACTTTTTCTTGTCTCCACTAGACATTCATTGACTAGTCTCATATTCCCTAGTCTCTAACATTTTTATATTTTAACTCATTCAATTTTCATAACAATACTTGGAAGTAGTTACAGTTATTGTTCCCATTTTACAGGAACAAAAACGGAGGCACAGAGAGGTCAATTGATTGGTCTAATGACACAGATCTAGCAAGTGGTGGAACCAGGACTGAATCCAGGTAACTTGCTCCTGATGTTTGTCCATTGGTGCTCTCATACTTTTTTCCCTCTCTCTTCCTGTTAGAATGTGCTTCCAGGACTTTGTTTACACTGGGGAATAGGTGTCTAATAAACTTAACATGCGTTTATTACGGGGGTATTTACAAAAGCAGAAGCATTAAGACAAAGGAATAAACCTCTAATTGTAGAATTCTAGTCACCAGCCAATGGGCACATTTTTTTTGTTTATTTTTGGGAAAATAATCTTTAATAATGCTTCTCAACTCACATCACTCTATCCACTCAATTATTAAAGATTTATTGAGTACATAATGGGCATGTCACAGCTTGTGTTTTCTGGAAGCAGTCACCGAGATGGAATGCGGGGTGCCGGATATTCATTAGGGATCAACACCTGTGAAAAGGAGTGGGTAGAGACAGAATTGGGCCAAGGGAGAAGTCACTATCCAGAGTAGGGCTGAGAAGAACTTGGCCCACTTGATAGGGAGCTCTGGAGTCAGAATTGGCCATCAGAGGGGTCCCTGATTAGCTTCAGGCCTTTGTCCCCTTCACTCTCCCCTCTTTGCCCCTACCCCCAACTCCTTTCTCAGTTATTGGATACCAGCATGACCTGAAATGAAGCAGTTTTTATTTACAGCTGAGGCCAGCTCTTACAGAGCTGATTGGAGGCTGGAGGCTGACTGCACCCCAGCAGCTGAGCAGCAAGTCCTTTTTTGAAGGGGGATCTAACACATCTTTGTCTATCACAAGTTGCTAGACCCTGGGCTAAATGCAGGGAACACGCAGATAAAGAGGACACAATCCCTTTGCTCAAAAAGTGATTGTTCCATCTGATTTATCAGTGGTTACCTGTAACGATTTTTCCTTCCAATAATTCTTGATTGCTCAAGGCCCTAGTTGAGGGTTTTTCCTGTTCATGGACAAATAGCAACGGTATAGTAAAAATAGCACAGACAGACCTGGGTTTGCCCTTGAGGAAGTCATTTTTCCTGAGCCTTAGTTTACTTATCTATATGATGAATATGACCATATCCTTTGGAGAGAGTTCTAGAAAGGAGACAAGGTATTTATAAATTTCCTAACAAATAATTTTAATACTTAGTAAGTGATCAATAAATGGCAGTAATTAGTTATAATATATTATTACTACCCTACTCATCCTCACTGACTGCTACCATTGGCCATAAGTTTCCTGTGGGCTTCTGCCATCTCTGTCCTTTGTTTTGACCAGTACCTCTCTTCTCAAATATGTCTAGGTCCTCACATTATATTTCAAAGCTCTTTATCTCTCTGCTTCCTATGAGTTGACTTCTGTCTGCCTTTCCCACCCTTTCTGCCTCCATTTTTTTCCTTTCTAGGAAAATTTTCCTTAATGCTTCTATTCCATCCTTAAGCTTTATTGCCTTGGCTACAACTTATGTCTAAGAAGTGTGCACTGTTTGGCTCAGCAGATATTCTTACATATCAAACCATTTTATTTATTTATAAATTCCTCTAGAATGACTAGAAAAGGCAGCAAATTCTCATTATCCTTCACGATTCCTTCTTAGCTATTAGCATGCTTTCTATTTGGCGTACATATACCATTCATAAGAACTCATTATTAGGGCCAGGCGCGGTGGCTCACGCCTGTAATCTCAGCACTTTGGGAGGCCGAGGCCGGCGGATCACGAGGTCAAGAGATCAAGACCATCCTGGCCAACATGGTGAAACCCTGTCTCTACTAAAAATACAAAAATTAGCTGGGTATGGTGGCAGGCGCGTGTAGTCCCAGCTACTCGTGAGGCTGAGGCAGGAGAATTGCTTGAACCCGGGAGGCAGAGGTTGCAGTGAGCAAGATTGTGCCACTGCACTCCAGCCTGGTGACAGAGCGAGACTTCGTCTCAGAAAAAAAAAAAAAAAAGGAACTCATTATTAGGAACAGAGAACCATTCAGTTGTAAAGCCAGAAGTAAGGTTAAGAACTTTTGGCCTCGTCTTTCTCATTTAGAAGTAAGGAAATTGATCCTAGAAAAATTAATTCAAATACTCATATTTACACAGCTAGTTAAACAGACACTGGAACCCTGGTAATTAAAGTTGTTCAGCTGTATGCTATCTGTCTATTCTTTGTTTTCTGTGTCAATAATGCCATATTGTTTTATGTTCCTAGAGTACAAATAAATGAATCAATATAGTCACCAGAGAATGACTCTAAGAGCTTAATAAGCACATGAGGGTAGATGGTTCTCACTCACACGGTTTTTTGGTAGATGAAGCAAAGCCTTTGGAAACAGATGAGAGTAAGGGAGATATCATTGTTTTCTCAATTGGTCACCCCAGAATGAGGGGAGATGGGTTGGTCTTGAGCAGGAAGTTGTCTTCATCTTCCTTCTTTCTTCTTCCCTCTCTCCACCCTTCTGCCAGGGGTCAAAAACCACAGGCTAGGCTCTCTCTCTCAGATAATGCTTCAGGAAGAATTGGGGCCAATTGCTCAGCCTCAGGTTCTCACCATCTTCAATCCTAGATCTTAGATAACAGTTTTCTAAAGCCTTCCTTTAGGATGAAGACAGGGCCCTTCTCAGAGCAGATTGGAAATGGACCCCTATATGTCCAGCTAGTGCTCTCAAAGCCAAGTTTCTCTGGGGAATTCACACTCAATCCAGGATAGAGAAAGGGAAATAATTCCAGTTTTCTGCTGATCAAAAAGTTTTACCTGGGCTTGGATGGGCACAGTCTAATAAGGTAAATAATTCTTGGTTGTCTGTCTTCTCCCTAAAACAACTCACAGAACTAGTGGCTTCAGAGGGCCTTGGGGCTCTCCCTTTATTCAGGCTGTGGGTCACGGTGCTCTTTGTTGACAGTTTAATGTATATTTAGAAAAGTTTAGTTCGGCTTGGGCCAGTTCCAAACCACAGACCTTCTTTGCATTCTTGCCCACTCTACTGTGTCCTTTCTGTTGGATTTGCAGAGGAGGATGAGACAGTCTGGAAAAAAAAATTCTGTTTAATAATAATAATAATAAATAAATTTGTCAAGTTGTGAAGTTCATCTTTAAGTCAAAAGCTACATCCCAAAGACCACTTACATGAGAAATTACATTATCTCAGGTGTTTCTGAGTGATGAATTTTAGGCTTACACAACTGCCTCTGAATAACTCAACAAGTTTCAAATTGAGTGTCCTTTCAGTATAATGGTTGTTGGGGAAATTTTTATTTTCATTAATTTTTAAAGTAACAGGTTCAGTGAGCATATCTTTTTCATTATTGTATGAAGCCCAAACACTGTTTTCCCCATTAATTGATGATAATATGGTTTATATTATTAAGAGGTTACTGGGAATATAAGTGGTAATTTTTTAATTCTCAAAAGCCACAGAATTTTAACTTGCTATTCTTCATAGTACCTAAACAATGAAGAGGTCATTGAACACTTTGTCCCTGTTATAAACATCTGCTTACAAGAATGGAATGGAGATTAATAAATGAACTGTCCTGGGCCAAGAATGGTGGCTCACACCTGTAATCCCAACACATTGGGAGGCCCAGGTGGGAGGGTTGCTTGAGCTCTGGAATTCGAGACCAGCCTGCACAACCTAACAAGACCATGTCTCTACTGAAAATCAAAAAAATTATCCCAGCATGGTGACGTGTGCCTGTGGTCCCATCTACTGGGATGCCAAGGTGGGAAGATTGCTTGAGCCTAGGAGGTCAAAGCTGCAGTGACTCGTTCTGTCACCCAACTGCACTCCAGCTTGTGGGGGGAACAAAAAGGAAAAGAAAAAATAGAAATGGACTGTCCCTACTCTCCTAGAATTTACAGTCTGGAAAGCAATCAGATGTTTCACATCAGAAAGGCATCACCTCCTTATGCACTGAAAACTTTTGTTTAATAAGATTACATTGAACCCCAGGTAAAAATTCTTAGAGAGTGGCCAAGAAGATAAATGCACAAATATTTCAACCTATGTTGAATATGGTGATGATTGATTAATAACTCTCACTTAAGAGGCTTAGAGAAGAAAAGTAGAAATTTTCACAAAGATAGCTCTTGTTTTTGAGATTGTAGTTCCTCCTGTTCTCAAAAGAAACCTAAACAATGGCCTTTGGGCTTTGGTTCAGAGCACAAGTATTTAATCTGGTTGCTCCTGGAATGGCCTGAGAAGTCACAGTGGGCAGGGAGGGAATGTTGACCTGGCTTCATTTTTGCTTACACATATTCAAAACACTTCTTTTCATAGGCATTGAAGATATTTTATTTAAAAATATGAATTAATAAATAAGAACAATGAAAATGTCAAGAAAAGAGGCTATAGCTGAATATCAAGGAGCCCATATTGGCTAGATCTGCTAACCTCTGGAATAGCATCTCTAAGGAAATATAAGAAGCCCTGCTGCTTGATATCATTTCAAACCAGAGGGACTAATCTGATAGTGAAGCAAAAGAAAACCATAGCTTGCACTAACAAAAGAATAGATGAAAATACTTTGTAAAGATTTTCTACCTGTAAGTTTTTTTCTATAGTTTTTTTTACTGAATTGTTGCCAGCATAGTAAGGATCATTATTTCCTAGTTTAATTAGTTTCTATTGGCTATTCATTGTCATAAACCATAGTATAACAATAAAAAGGAAACATTTCAAAGTTATTACATGACAATAAAATTATAGTGAGACATGTACTCATGTATATATGGAACAAATACTCAGCATAAAGGAGAAAATTGGGTGAGATTTTTAGTATATTTTAATTTCAGAAGGTAGATATATCACATTAGAGTCCTCTTTTTTTATCTCATAATGGATAGAAACACTCAAAGGTGGCGCCACAGCATCAACTGTAAAATTGAAGCTGGACTCTTCCCCCATTCTCTGCTTTCACCTTTTGCCTACACTTAATAGCATTTTTGGAATTCAGCTCAGGATGCAAAAGGCAGATTCACCACATTGTACACTTTCAGAGTGCATTGATGTCACTTTTTTTTAAAGTTTCAGTTAATCATTATCTGTAAAATAAATGTAGGAGAATATTTGCCTCTATATAGGGAATGTTGAAAAAATAATTGTGGTGTTTGTTTTTAGAATTCTTTACTGGAAGGAAAAGAGATGAACCTGAAAAACATCTAAATAATTTGAATCTGGGATATAGTCTCACTAGCAAGAGAAAGTTTTAGCATTTAATCAAGTCACAGAGGAGTCAGTCTTTGGAGTAAATCAAGAGATAGTTCTGAAGGATCCAGATCAGGTAGTGAACTACAACAGGCCAGGGCAGTTGATGAAGTTCTAGAGAGAGAGAGACAGGGCTGGACTTCTTAGGGAGGAAGTTCTCAGGCAGGGAAGGGTTGGGCATCTAAGCAGGAATGATGAACCAGGTCCTTTAGACAGAGGTCAGCAGGCCCAGCTTCTGGGAGGCCAGTGCATCAGAAGACACCCAAGGTGAGTCACGAAAAGAAGACAGAAGTGATTTGTTCTTGGTCTCCTTCTGAACTCCTGGTATGTGGGTGGGCTAGGGCTCACAGGTGTCAGTAGCCAGGAGAGATAGGGCCTCACTCAGATCAGCTTTCAGTTTTCTGATATCCTCACCTCTGGTCTCAAGCTATTCAGCCAATATTGCATCTTTAATGGTTAAGCTTTGGGGCAGGTGGCTATTTGTAAGGCTACTAATTAGATAAAGGGACTGATTTGCACCAGGATGCAGATAATGCGTGGAATTGTGCCAGGACCCACAGCTCAGGAGTTTATGACCCCCTAGCTGCCATGGCAACCATGCCTATTCAGTTGGGGAAGTCTTTTTGTTGTGGGATAGGAGTCAGTGCATAGGGCACAGCATCAGCTTCTGTGGGGTGTGAAAATGAAAACTGAAAATGGAAGTGAAAGGACAAGAAGGCAGGAGGGCACTAGATTTTCCATTTATACCCAAATGGATAGATTGTTCTGTGGGTTTGCTTCTACTTGCTTGTCATAAAAATCAGGGCCTTTCCTTTCATGCAACTGTCTGATGAGCCTAATGTTTGGAAGGAAGCATGTTTTGTGAATCTTCTTTTTTTGGTACGGTCTTTACTGTTCACAGCTTCCACCTCAATGTCTTTGTTTTATTATGCTTCCTTTTATTTTTCCCAAATGTTTTGTTATGTTTACTAAGCAGAACATACTGTAATCAGCAAGCTTGAGACTCTAGAAAAATCTGAGATCCGTTTTAACATGTATAATATAACACAGCATTCTAGAGTTAGAATAGCTCTTGAATGACTTGAGAGATAGGTGGTCATATGCCCAGTTTATCTGGGACTGTCCTGTTGTCCTGGTACAATAATTAAGAGCTCTTTTCACTCTCAAAAGCAACCTGGTTGGTCAATGGTTATCCTACTAATATCCAGCTCTTTATAAATAAAGGCCCAGATTATTCTAAAATCTTGATAACCAAGCTGAGTCAGAACTCACTGAAACAGAGAGAACTATCAAGGAGTGGCATAAGAGAGGGTGACATGAACAGCTGTAGAATGTAGGCTGGATTGGGAAGAAAATAAAGCCAGAAAGTGATGAAAGATTGGGAGAAACAGGAGCAGGAGATGGAGAGACTGGACAAGGGATTCAAGAAAGAACAGGCAGATTAAAAGTCTGGGAAGTAGAGAACTGAAAGGATAGGAAATTGTGGTCAGAGACTGGGATGTTAGGTTTATGATTTCAGAGGTGGATCATGAACAATGTGGCCTGGGGTCACATAGTCCCCAGCAGGAAACAAATGATCCACTAAAAAAATAGCTGAAGAGAGCATTTTTTTTTTTGAGTTGTTTATAGAGGTGAGGGTAGGGCAAAACAAAAACTAATGATAAACCCAGAAAATCACAGTAATGGATGTGATTTTCAGGCCAAGTCATTTTTATCCCCTAGGCCTGAAGAATCAAGTAGAGAGAGTAGTGTTTTAGAACCTGGCAAGTGTGGTAGCTATGGGAAAGGGAGTGCTCCTAGGAGCTCTGGCCATAAATAGATGAATGCAGCTATTACTAAGACTTTGGCTAGAAAAGAACGTGTGGGGATGGGATCATTGGCTACTACCCTTGGACCTCCTGGTAGGGCCTTCTATTGGTTAAAACTAACTGGAAGGCAGAAAGAAGAAGAGAAGCATAAAGAACAGACCTGGGGTGAACAAAAAATAATCAGCACTTTGAAGAACTGTGAAAATAGGGTTGTAGCAATTGTCTGTAGATACTGTTTCTATCCAGAATTGAAATGGTTTGGCTGCGTCCCCACACAAATCTCATCTTTCAGTTCCCATAATCTCCACATGTCATGGGAGAAACACAACGGGAGGTAACTGAATCATGGGGGTGGTTTCCCCATGCTGTTCTCATGATAGCGAGTGAGTTCTCACGAGATCTGATGGTTTTATAAGCATCTGGCATTTTCTCTGTTGGCAGTCATTCTCTCTCCTGCCGCCCTGTGAACAGGTGCCTTCCACCATGATTGTAAGTTTCCTCAGGTCTCCCCAGCCATGCAGAACTGTAAGTCAATTAAACCTCTTTTCTTTATAAATTACCCAGTCTTGGGTATTTCTTCCTAGCAGCATGAGAATGGACTAATACAAGGATGATGGTGAGATATGGGGTGAAGAAAAGATATAATATTCTCTTCTATAAGTTTGTATATATTAATTGTTATTCTAAAGAACTATAATAAGTGATTTTTAGAAAAATGACCAGAAGGTAACCTAAGTCTAGAGTCTCATAAAAAAGTAAACTAGTTTTGGTGTTATCAGTATTCTGTATTTCTTTTATTTACAAATTATAAATTTTTGTATGGGCTGTTATAGAGTAACAGGGACTGGATATACATTCCATCATAAACAACTAGAAAACCAAGAATATATATGAAACTATGGTTTTCAAACATGGTCAGCAGATAGCTCGGGACAGTGCCCAAGACAAAGGAAACAAGGAGAACTCTATGATTTCTACAATTAACTGTTTGGGAGGGTATCTAGGCTGCAATCCAGGAAAGAAAACTCAAATAAGGCCTAGATAATTTGCTGAATTATCCAGAAGACAGATTTTGTAGTTCATGAAGGTCAAACTGGCTAGAAATTGCAGAACAAAATTAGAGAATTGAGTAAGAGAGTGAGAAGGAATTTCAGAGATTTGCAGAAGGGTTTCCTCAAGCATTTGATGGAATACTTTTCTGAGTATGCACAGAAGAAAATGATTCCAGGCTGAGGAAGGAATCGCTGCAAAGAACAGGTAGAACAATCTTGGAGCTTAGACAGTCTGGGAATAGTTCATGTTCCTACCAGCCACAGTGGAAAGATCTCCTGATACATGGGCATTAGATAAATTCCTTAGAAAGAGCCAGATTAACTCCTGAGTAAAATGGCTCTAGACCTATTCTAACATGTAATAAAAGCAAATATTGATAGAATCAAACTAATTCACTGTAACTAAACTGATTCACAGTAGCTGTCACAGAAAAAGCTTTACAATACTAAAAGAATATTTAAAAATCCAGCAACCAACAACATAATGTTTTCTAGGTCTGTCATGCAAACAAAAGATTATCAGACATTCAAAGAAACTGGAAAATGTGACTCATAAGGAGAAAATAAATCAATCATTAAAAACACACTCAGAAATCATGCAGAAGATAGACTTAGCAGATAAAGACACTAAAACTGCTATTATAAATATGCTCTATCTATTTAAAAAGATTAAGGATAATACAAATGCAATATGGAAAGAAATGGAAAATATAAAAACCCAAAAGTGGATTTTCTACAGTTGAAAGATAAAAAATTTGAAATAGAAAGTACAGTGGAAGTAATTACTGCATGTTAGACACCATAGAAGAAAAAAATTAGTGAACTCAAAGACATAATAAAGTCTATCCAAAATGAAGCACAGGAAGAAAAATGACTTTACAAAGTAAACAAAGCATTAGTCTCCCATGGAACACAGTATAAAAAAAAATTGAGCTATCCAACATAGGTGTAATTGGACTCCCAAATAACTGGATGACAGAACAATTATTTAAAGTAATAATTGCTAAAATCTCTCTACGTTTGCTGAAAACTGTAAATCATAGGTCTAAGAAGCTCAATGAATCTCAAGTAGAAGAAATATGAAGACAACCACACTAGGGCACATTATAATCACATTAAGTTACTCAAAACCAGCAATAAATCAAAATTATTAAAAGTCGTTTGTAGAAAAAAGACCTATTAAATACAGAAAAACAAAGATAAGCGTGACCACTAATTTATCATTGGAAACAATGCAAGCCAGGAGACAGTGGAGCAATGTCTTTAAATTGAAAGAAAAAATGGTCAACCCCAAATTCTTTGCCAGTGAAAAGATTACTCAAGAACACAATGATAAAGACTTTTTCAGACATACAAAGTTAAAAGAAGTTACTAACAGCAGATCTACACTACACTTGACGCCAGCACATCTTAGAGTCTCACTCAAGGCCCATACTGTGTACTACCTGGCTACCACTGTTGATTATTCAGGACCCAAGGACTCTTCAGTCAGCAGGTGATGAATCCTGCCAGGACTGGGTCTTTCCCCTTAAGGTAGCAGGTTACTTTCTGGCCCAGGGTGTGTCAGGAAATGTCATCTGGGAGCTAGGGCCTGAAATGGAGGCCTCAAGAGTCTACCCAGTGTGCTATCATAGTGCAGCTGAGCTGGTTTCCAAGTTCGAGACAAAGTCTTCTTTACTCTTCCCTCTCCTCTTTTAAACAGAAGGAAGGGATCTCTTTTGGAGCTGCAAGCTGCACTGCCTGGAGTTGGGAGAGGGGTGGCACAAACACTCCCTTAGCTGCCCCTGCTGGTGTCTCACTAGGTCATGTGCCCCCAAAGTCCACTGGCTCAAAGCCCAGCACAAGCACTAGGACTTGCCTAGGAGTTGCAGTCCTTTTGGCCTCAACTTCTTCCATGTTTATTAAGGACCTTAGAGCACTTTAGCCTGCAGTGGTGAGGCTTGCTGAAACTCAAGTTTTGACTGCTGGGATGCGTGATTCCCCTCTGTCTAGGGCTGGTTTAAATGTTCCCTCTGTGGGCACCAGTTGAGTTCTGCATGGTATTGGCAGCACTGTGTACCAATGAAAAGTCCCACAATTCCTGCGTTCTCCCTCCCCAAGCAGTCAGATTCTCTCTCTGCAACATGCAACTGCTGCTGAGGGTTGGGAGAGGGGCAGTGTCAGTGATTCAAGACTGCCTTTCCTACCCTCTTCAGTGCCTTTTTCAGCAATATGAAGTTAAAACCAAGTACTGTGAGCACTCATTTGAGTTTTGGTTCTCATGAAAGTGTCTTTTTTTGTGTGTGTAGATTGTTATTAAATTTTGTGTTCCTGTGGGGAGGAGGATCAGTGGAGGCTTCTATTCAGCCAATTTGCTCCACCTCCTCTCAATGTGATGTTTTGATCTATGTATAAACTATTGAAAGATTGAATCAAGCTAATTAACATGTCCATCAACTTATTTTTTTTGTGGTGAGAATGGTAAACATCTATTTTAGCAATTTTGAAATATGCATTACATTATTATTAACTGTAGTCACCATGCAGTGCAATAGATCACTAAAACTTACTTCTCCACTCTAACTGAAACTTTGTACCCTTTGATCAACATCTTTTCTTTCCCCATCCTCCCTTCCCCTGAGCCTCTGGTAACCACCTTTCAGTTCTGTTTTGATGAGATCTCATATGTGGAATCTAAAAAAATTGATCACATTGCAATTTATACTAGTTGTATTTCATTGCTCCATAGCCACATGTGGCTAGTGACTATCATATTGTACAATTTAGGTCTAAATACTCCAATTAAAAGTCAAAGATTGTCATTGAATTAAGAGAAGCAAAACTTAATTTTGTGCTGAAAGCCACTTTATATGAAGACACAGATAGGATAAAAGTAAAGGGATGATGGAAACATTCTATATTATGATAATGATAGTGGTTACATGACTATACATTTGTCATACTTAATTGAATTATTCACTTAAAATTGGTGAATTTTATTATATTTAAATTGTACTTCAATAAAGGCAGAGTAAATAAGAAAATTTTGAGCTACAATTGATGTCTTATAAGTTAGCTTTCAAAAATTGTATGAGTATATACACTCATTTAAAGTCAAACAGAACAAAGGGTATAAAATGAAAAGCAAAAGTTGTTTTCCCTTCAAGTTTCCACTTCTTATTCATATTACTTAGTATCACTCAACAGACATAATTTCTTATGTAAATTTCCAAAAGTCTTTAATGTACAGTATAAACAAACATTGATCAGGTATGCCTATGCTTTAAAAGTTTTCTTTTCTCTTTTTTTCTTTTTATCCAAGTAGACTCATATTCTATGACTAAAAAAAAACCATGGACACTGGAAAGTCAGGTTTACTTTCTTTTTTCTTCTTATTGGCTGCATATTCTTCTATTGCATTGATTATTCTAATTGATTTAGGCACTCCTATACTGTGAGATATTCAGATTTCTTCTACGTTCTGCTAAAATAAAAAATGTTACAATAGATACTCATTGGCAGATATTTTTCATATCTTGTGCTTGCTCTTTAAGATAGATTCCTAGCCAAGGACTTGTGGGGCCATTGTTTATATAAATTAGAAATTTTGATGAATGTAGTCAAGCTGCGTTTCTGAAAACTTATTCTCTCCAACAATACCGGTTTATACATATTCATGCTGATTTGGGGAATTATCAGACATTTTAATCTTCACCAATCTGAAAGGTAAGAAAATGCTACCTCCTTGTTTTTCACTAAATTGTGACATTTTCCTTGCAATAAAATAGGATAGAACTGTTAGGACTGTCTTTGATAACCAGTAGACTTCAGAATGGATATATCTGCCTCCTAGAACCCCTAACTTCTGATGAAGACCTAAATGATTTCTACAGCTGCTGAGATAAATCATCTTCTTTTTTTTCTTTTTTAGGAATCTATCTTCTTTTCCTTTCATGGTCATATTGCAGTATGTTTTCTGTATAGATCTACCACTTTAGAGCTTACAGAAGTAGAATATGTATTCACATGTATCTTGGAGTTTATGCTTTTAGTCTCTTCCTTTAAATAGTTTTGCCCTCCCCAGTGTTTCCTTCCCCCATGGGTATTTAATCATGTATACGACAAACCAGCACTACATGTGATTCTCCTAGTAATGCCATATGGTTTCCCTGAATGGGAATAGATGGAGGAATTTATTGACTTTGATCATCGCACTATAACAAATACAATTATGGCACAGGAAACTTCCTACTTTAGTTCAAGAGAAAATGGTGTAACCCCCTCCTTTGGATGATTTGTGTGTCTGAATGAATCAGGAGGTTTTCTCCAGATCCCATCCTCTTTCATACGCAATCATTGAGATGACATGTCCATATGCATTACTAGTGAAGGAGTTCTCTCCACCCCCACCTTGCCAATCAAATAATCACTGCTTAAAACAGAGGGAATGATTTAGCAGTTGAAGTGTTGGCTTTGAAACACTTAGACTTGGTGGCATCTTTTAAAGTTTCATCAGGATTGACTTAGTCCCTCATCCTGGGAATATCACAACCACATGGAACCCTAAGTCATTGCAGAAGAGCTGTTTTTGTAAGAAACCCCAAACCTGGAGGCCCCATTTTCTCTGAGATTGTTGAACATACAAAGCATGTGTTTGTGAATTGTGGCCTTAACTGTCAGGCCTCTGAGCCCAAGCCAAGCCATCACATCCCCTGTGACTTGCACGTATATACGCCCAGATGGCCTGAAGTAACTGAAGAATCACAAAAGAAGTGAATATGTCCTGCCTCACCTTAACTGATGACATTCCACCACAAAAGAAGTGTAAATGGCCGGTCCTTGCCTTAAGTGATGACATTACCTTGTGAAAGTCCTTTTCCTGGCTCATCCTGGCTCAAAAAGCACCCCCACTGAGCACCTTGCGACCCCCACTCCTGCCCGCCAGAGAACCCCCCTTTGACTGTAATTTTCCTTTACCTACCCAAATCCTATAAAACGGCCCCACCCCTATCTCCCTTCGCTGACTCTCTTTTCGGACTCAGCCTGCCTGCACCCAGGTGAAATAAACAGCCATGTTGCTCACACAAAGCCTGTTTGGTGGTATCTTCACACGGACGCGCATGAAATTTGGTGCCGTGACTTGGATCGGGGGACCTCCCTTGGGAGATCAATCCCCTGTCCTCCTGTTCTTTGCTCCGTGAGAAAGATCCACCTACGACCTCAGGTCCTCAGACCCACCAGCCCAAGGAACATCTCACCAATTTTAAATCAGGTAAGCGGCCTCTTCTTACTCTCCTCTCCAACCTCTCTCACTGTCCCTCAACCACTTTCTCCTTTCCACTCTTCAATCTCTCCCTTCTCTTAATTTCAATTCCTTTCATTTTCTGGGAGAGACAAAGGAGACACATTTTATCCATGGACCCAAAACTCCGGTGCCAGTCACGGACTGGGAAGGCAGCTTTCCCTTGGTGTTTAATCATTGCAGGGACACCTCTCTGATTATACACCCACGTTTCAAGAGTGTCAGACCACGCAGGGACGCCTGCCTTGGTCCTTCACCCTTATCGGCAAGTCCCACTTTTCTGGGGAAGGGGCAAGTACCTCAACCCCTTCTCTCCTTGTCCCTACCCCTTCTCTGCTTTTCCGGGGACAGGGCAAGTACCCCAACCCCTTCTCTCCTTGTCTCTACCCTTCTCTGCTTTTCTGGGAGAGGGGCAAGTACCCCTCAACCCCTTCTCCTTCACTGTTAGCGGCAAGTCCCGCTTTTCTGGGAGAGGGGCAAGTACCCCTCAACCCCTTCTCCTTCACTCTTAGTGGCAAGTCCCGCTTTTCTAGAGGAGGGGCAAGTACCCCAACCTCATATCTCTGTGCCCCAATCCCTTATTTCCGTGCCCCGACCTCTTATCTCTGTGCCCCAATCCCTTATTTCCGTGCCCCGACCCCTTATTTCTGCGCCCCATCCCTTATTTCCATGCCCCAACCTCTTATCTCTGCACCCCAACCCCTTTTCCCACTTTTCTGGAAGGTAAGAACCCCCAAACCCCTTCCCTTCGTTTCTCTACTCTCCCTTTTCTCTAGGCTTGCTTCCTTCACTATGGGCAACCTTCTACCCTCCATTCCTCCTTCTACTCCCTTGGCCTGTGTTCTCAAAAACTTAAAACCTCTTTAACTCACACCTGACCTAAAACCTAAATGCCTTATTTTCTTCTGCAATACCACTTGACCCTGATACAAACTCGACAGTAGTTCCAAATAGCCAGAAAATTGAACTTTGAATTTTTCCATCCTGCAAAATCTAAATAATTCTTGTCGTAAAATAGGCAAACAGTCTGAGGTGCCTGACGTCCAGGCATTCTTTTACATATCAGTCCCTTCCTAGTCTCTGGGCCCAGTGCAACTCATCCCAAATCTTCCTTCTTTCCCTCCCACCTGTCCCCTCAGTACCAACCCCAAGCGTCACTGAGTCTTTCTAATCTTCCTTTTCTACAGACCCATCTGACCTCTCCCTTCCTCCCCAGGCTGCTCCTCGCCAGGCCGAGCTAGGTCCCAATTCTTCCTCAGCCTCTGCTCCTCCACCCTATAATCTTTTTATCACCTCCCCTCCTCACACCTGGTCCGGCTTACAGTTTCGTTCCGTGACTAGCCCTCCCCCTCCCGCCCAGCAATTTACTCTTAAAAAGGTGGCTGGAGCTAAAGGCATAGTCAAGGTTAATGCTCCTTTTTCTTTATCCCAAATCAGATAGCGTTTAGGCTCTTTTTCATCAAATATAAAAATCCAGCCCAGTTCATGACTTGTTTGGCAGCAACCCTGAGACACTTTACAGCCCTAGACCCTAAAAGGTCAAAAGGCCGTCTTATTCTCAAAATACATTTTATTACCCAATCTGCTCCTGACATTAAATAAAACTCCAAAAATTAAATTCCGGCCCTCAAACCCCACAACAGGATTTAATTAACCTCGCCTTCAAGGTGTACAATAATAGAAAAAAGTTGCAATTCCTTGCCTCCACTGTGAGACAAACCCCAGCCACATCTCTAGCACACAAGAACTTCCAAACGCCTGAATCACAGCGGCCAGGCATTCCTCCAGAACCTCCTCCCCCAGGAGCTTGCTACATGTGCCAGAAATCTGGCCACTGGGCCAAGGAATGCCCGTAGCCCGGGATTCCTCCTAAGCCGCATCCCATCTGTGTGGGACCCCACTGAAAATCGGACGGTTCAACTCACCTGGCAGCCACTTCCAGAGCCCCTGGAACTCTGGCCCAAGGCTCTCTGACTGACTCCTTCCCAGATCTTCTTGGCTTAGTGGCTGAAGACTGACACTGCCCGATCGCCTCGGAAGCTCCCTAGACCATCACGGACGCCGAGCTTCGGGTAACTCTCACAGTGGAAGGTAAGCCCGTCCCCTTCTTAATCAATACGGAGGCTACCCACTCCACATTACCTTCTTTTCAAGGGCCTGCTTCCCTTGCCTCCATAACTGTTGTGGGTATTGACGGCCAGGCTTCTAAACCTCTTAAAACTCCCCAACTCTGGTGCCAACTTAGACAATACTCTTTTAAGCACTCCTTTTTAGTTATCCCCACCTGCCCAGTTCCCTTATTAGGCTGAGACACTTTAAATTATCTGCTTCCCTGACTATTCCTGGACTACAGCTATATCTCATTGCCGCCCTTCTTCCCAATCCAAAGCCTCCTTTGCATCCTCCTCTTGTATCCCCCAACCTTAACCCACAAGTATAAGATACCTCTACTCCCTCCTTGGTGACCAATCATGCATCCCTTACCATTTCATTAAAACCTAATCACCCTTACCCCACTCAACACCAATATTCCACCCCACAGCACGCTTTAAAAAGATTAAAGCCTGTTATCACTCGCCTGCTACAGCATGGCCTTTTAAAGCCTATAAACTCTCCTTACAATTCCCCCATTTTACCTGTCCTAAAACCAGACAAGCCTTACAAGTTAGTTCAGGATCTGCGCCTTATCAACCAAATTGTTTTGCCTATCCACCCCGTGGTGCCAAACCCATATACTCTCCTATCCTCAATACCTGCCTCTACAACCTATTATTCTGTTCTAGATCTCAAACATGCTTTCTTTACTATTCCTTTGCACCCTTAATCCCAGCCTCTCTTTGCTTTCACTTGGACTGACCCTGACACCCATCAAGCTCAGCAAATTACCTAGGCTGTACTGCTGCAAAGCTTCACAGACAGCCCCCATTACTTCAATCAAGCCCAAATTTCTTCCTCATCTGTTACCTATCTCGGCATAATTCTCATAAAAACACACGTGCTCTCCCTGCCAATCATGTCTGACTGATCTCTCAAACTCCAGCACCTCCTACAAAACAACAACTTCTTTCCTTCCTAGGCATGGTTAGTGCGGTCAGAATTCTTACACAAGAGCCAGGACCACACCCTGTAGCCTTTCTGTCCAAACAACTTGACCTTACTGTTTTAGCCTAGCCCTCATGTCTCCGTGCAGCGGCTACCACTGCTTTAATACTTTTAGAGGCCCTCAAAATCACAAACTATGGTCAACTCACTCTCTACAGTTCTCATAACTTCCAAAATCTATTTTCTTCCTCATACCTGACGCATATACTTTCTGCTCCCCGGCTCCTTCAGCTGTAGTCACTCTTTAAGTCCCACAATTACCATTGTTCCTGGCCCGGACTTCAATCTGGCCTCCCACATTATTCCTGATACCGCACCTGACCCCCATGACTGTATCTCTCTGATCCACCTGATATTCACCCCATTTCCCCATATTTCCTTCTTTCCTGTTCCTCACCCTGATCACGCTTGATTTATTGATGGCGGTTCCACCAGGCCTAATCGCCACACACCAGCAAAGGCAGGCTATGCTATAGTACAAGCCACTAGCCCGCCTCTTAGAACCTCTCATTTCCTTTCCATCGTGGAAATCTATCCTCAAGGAAATAACTTCTCAGTGTTCCATCTGCTATTCTACTACTCCTCAGGGATTATTCAGGCCCCCTCCCTTCCCTACACATCAAGCTCGAGGATTTGCCCCACCCAGGACTGGCAAATTAGCTTTACTCAACATGCCCTGAGTCAGATAACTAAAATACCTCTTAGTCTAGGTAGATACTTTCACTGGATAGGTAGAGGCCTTTCCTACAGGGTCTGAGAAGGCCACCGCAGTCATTTCTTCCCTTCTGTCAGACATAATTCCTCAGTTTAGCCTTCCCACCTCGATGCAGTCTGATAACAGACCAGCCTTTATTAGTCAAATCAGCCAAGCAGTTTTTCAGGCTCTTAGTATTCAGTGAAACCTTTATATCCCTTACGTTCCTCCATCTTCAAGAAAAGTAGAATGGACTAAAGGTCTTTTAAAAACACACCTCACCAAGCTCAGCCACCAACTTAAAAAGGACTGGACAATACTTTTACCACTTTCCCTTCTCAGAATTCAGGCCTGTTTTCAGAATGCTACAGGGTACAGCCCATTTAAGCTCCTGTATAGACGCTCCTTTTTATTAGGCCCCAGTCTCATTCCAGACACCAGACCAACTTAGACTGTGCCCCCCAAAAAACTTGTCATCCCTACTATCTTCTGTCTAGTCATACTCCTATTCACCGTTCTCAACTACTCATACATGCCCTGCTCTTGTTTACACTGCCGGTTTACACTGTTTTTCCAAGCCATCACAGCTGATATCTCCTGGTGCTATCCCCAAACTGCCACTCCTAACTCTTGAAGTAAATAAATAATCTTTGCTGGCAGGACTATGCTGAATCTCCTTAGGCACTCTCTAATCAGATATCCTGAGTCGTCCCAATTCTTAGACCTTTTATACCTGTTTTTCTTCTTCTGTTATTCCATTTAGTTTCTCAGTTCATCCAAAACCGTATCCAGGCCATTACCAATCATTCTATACGACAAATGTTTCTTCTAACATTCCCACAATATCATCCCTTACCACAAGACCTCCCTTCAGCTTAATCTCTCCCACTCTAGGTTCCCATGCCGCCCCTAATCCCACTTGAAGCAGCCCGGAGAAACATCGCCCATTCTCTCTCCATACCACCCCCCAAAAATTTTCGCCGCCCCAACACTTCAACACTATTTTGTTTTATTTTTCTTATTAATATAAGAAGGCAGGAATGTCAGGCCTCTGAGCCCAAGCCAAGCCATCACATCCCCTGTGACTTGCACGTATACACCCAGATGGCCTGAAGTGACTGAAGAATCACAAAAGAAGTGAATATGCCCTGCCTCACCTTAACTGATGACATTCCACCACAAAAGAAGTGTAAATGGCCGGTCCTTGCCTTAAGTGATGACATTACCTTGTGAAAGTCCTTTTCCTGGCTCATCCTGGCTCAAAAAGCACCCCCACTGAGCACCTTGCGACCCCCACTCCTGCCCGCCAGAGAACAACCCCCCTTTGACTGTAATTTTCCTTTACCTACCCAAATCCTATAAAACGGCCCCACCCCTATCTCCCTTCGCTGACTCTCTTTTCGGACTCAGCCTGCCTGCACCCAGGTGAAATAAACAGCCATGTTGCTCACACAAAGCCTGTTTGGTGGTCTCTTCACACAGACGCGCATGAAATTAACCATACAAACTAAGAACCTAAAATTCAGGTCTTTGTTATGCCTGGCCAGTTTTACAATTTTAAATAGACAATGTAGGCTGAATAGTTAATTCAGTTTTTAACTTACAGTACTATGAGCATTTTGACATATTCGGAGTTCTTTCATTCTTTTTATAGTTCTATACTTGTCTCTAGGAGTAAATAAGTCACTTTGTTTCAATAAATTACCAGTTGGGTGTTGTTTTCTGAAACCTTAGCAAAATTAGCCTTCTCCTTACTTTGAGTTCTTAAGGAAGGGAAAGGAGAGAAAGTAAGTGAACTTCGAAACAGGACACCCAGCTGGAATTCCTGCTTTAAGCACTGTTTCTAATGAAGGCAACTGTCATGGAGTTACATGCCCCTTTAGCCTTGGCCTAGGCTCTTTGAGGACTGTCACTGTCACTATTGTGACCTATAGTTTGGTCAAATAATAAAGAATGAAAGAAGTCTCCTTTGCCCACAAAGCAATGGTACATGTAACGTAGTATCTGAGGAAGGCACTTAGAGGTGGAAACAAGGGGTCGAAGCAAGGGTCACTGGAATACAAGGAAATGCCTTTGTGTGGGAGACACAACCTGCTGTGTGACTGCCAAGCTCTCTCTGGAGGAGAATCAGGCAAATTTGTTCTCACACTTGATGGGACAGGAAGGGTCCCCAGGGGCATGCAGTCCATCAGGAAGCTGGGTTACTGAGAAACACAAGAGCCCACTTAGCACAGATCTGAATGAAAATCCTTTCAAACAACAAAAACTTAGCAGTAAGGCCCTCTGTTTCAGGCTTCATTTAAATGGCAACAGTTCTGTGTCTCTTGGCATCCCTGAAGCTTTGGCCCCTGTTGTCCCCTAAGTCTGGCATCTCACAGTGTTAGAGAGCTGCTTGGACAATCATTCTCCTGCACTCCCTCTCCGAGGTGGCTATCATCTGGGGTTCCTGGGCTCCTGGGTAATTTCTCATGTGTTTTTTGTCTGTGAGACCCTGCTTGTGTTCTTGTTGTCTAGGGAGTCTGTGGCAAATCCTCCCAGCCTTGGGAACAAAGGGGGTTCTGATAAGTGTCTCATCAGCAGCTGATCTCTATTAAACAATACATGCCTTTTCTTTTTGTTTTTTTTCCCTAACATCCTGCTGGTTGCCAATGGCACTGTGTCCCCCTCATCCAAACACCACTAAGGAATGGGATCCTTGTGACTTTTCTTTACAAAACAGCCAGTAGGTCTCAATAAGGGCTCTTTCTTGACATCAATCACTGTCCTGTTGAGAGTCCTGGACAGGCCATTTTAATTGACCAGAACCAAATCCAGTTGTTCGGTCATGGAAAATGAATGCCATTAGATTGGTTTTCCTTTACACACTTTGCAGAGTTAATGGTTAAACATACAAGCACTCTGTTAATAAAATGTAATCAACCAAATAATTTCAAAGGCTTTCTTAATCTTAAAAATTAGATGGAATTTCAGACATTATGATGAAAATAATCTTTGTAGTAATAGAAGGTTCTATGGCTCTTTTATTTTTCCATTACATAACTGACATTGAGTTAGTGTGGGCAGGTGGTTTAGGGAACTGTTTAACCAGATTTGCTAATTTGGACAAACTTTTGAGCTACACAGAAAACTCAGTCCTCTTATTTGTAAAATGGGGATATTAATATCACTTATCTTCCACAGATATCATGAAGATTTAGTAAAAAAGTAAATGCTAGCCAACAAAAGTCTCCTTAGTACAAAGTATGCAGAAATTTCACAGTTGGCTAAATGAATTTGATTAAAATAAGTATATGAAATTAAGGCTTTAAAAATTACAGAGGGAAAAATTATAGTGTTGTCTACATTTGGTGCATTATGTCACTATGCTAGATAAACACTTTTTTGTTATCTTCTTCTTCCATTTCTACCTAGGCTTGATGTATTCAGTGTTTAATTCCCCAGGGAGAATCAGGGAAGTACATGTGACTGATTTTTTCACCCCCTTCTCTGAGCCCATGCCTCTCGCCTGTGCATATATTTCTCATAGCACTTACTAAATTGTCTTGAGATTATCCATTTACCTGTCTGAATTTCCCGCTAGGACAAGAGCTTTTTGAAGGCAGAGTCTGTGTCTTATTTATCTTTGTATCACGAGCACCTTTCATAACACTTGGCACATAGAGCTGTGGTAGGTCCTGAATAAATGTTTCATGACTGACCGAATGTATTTTTAAGGACTTTTTGCCAGCTTGGAACAGTACTTAGCTATTATTAACTACAACTGGAAAAAATTTAAAAAATACTGTGTTATTACAGTGAAAAATATATTTTAAATATCAAATAATTTAAAAATAATTGTTATATTTTCAAATGTCTCAAAAATACGGGAAAGCTTAACAAAGAAAGTAACAGATGCCCATACATCTGTCATTAAAATTAAACATATAAATGCTTTGCTTTAGCTTGTTTTCTGTGTTTATAAAAAGTATAATATTAAAGATGGGGCTACCCTCACCCACTTCAGCTCCTCACTCTCTTCTTCCCATTGCTTCTCCCTCCTCCCTTCCTCTCTGGAGGTAATTACCATCCTGAAATTGTGTGTATTCTGTCTACAGTAAAAGTATAAATCAACCAGATGTTTTTTTCTTTCATCAAAGTAGAGATTTTTTAAAAATATGAAGTCTTTTAAAATTTTCTCTCTTTTTCTGGTAAAATGCTCTTTTCTGTTAACCCAAAAGCCATGCTAACTAGAATAGGGGAAACTGTCACAGCATGTCTTTGGTTGGAGAGCCTGATTGGAGAAGGGTGCAGATTTTAAACATGACCATCTCATGACTTTTGTTTGCTTAATAAAAAAGTGTGATCTGGGAATTGAGACACCTTGCATTTCTTGGTCTTAAAACCACAAATGGTATATCTAAGAACTAGGCACTTCATTTTTCACAATCTACATACATTCTGGAAATAGTCACTAACCTTCTTGTCATGGGTGAATAAGAATTTTTCTGCTTGAAGAAAAAAATATTTATTTTGTTCATTTTCCTAGCCATATACCTTCACCTGTTCTCTTTCACTTTACTTCACTTTGTGCATGTAACATAGCAGAGTACACCTTAGGATTTAGTGTAATTTTACACAACTTGTTATATCCCAGATTCAAATTTTTTTTTAAATTCAGGCTTAACTCACATATTATGAAATTCACCCTTTTAATGTGTACAATTCAGCAGATTTTAGTATATTTGTAAGGTTGTGCAACTATCACCACTGCCTAATTCCAGAACATTTTCTTATCCCAAAAAGAAACTCATACCCATTAGCAGTCACTCTCTGTTTCCTCTCCTCCCCTAGACCTAAGCAATCACAAATCTACTTTCTAGTTCTATGGATTTACTTATTCTGGACATTTCATACAATTGAAGTCATAGAATATGTGGGCTTTTTGTGTCTGACTTCTTTCACTTAGCATAGGTTTTCAAATTTCATCCATATTGTAGCATGTATCAGTACTTCATTCTGTTTCATGACTGAATAATATTCCATTCTATGGATTTACCACATTTTGTTTGTTTAATCTTTCATTGGTTGATAAACTTTTGTGTCGTTTCTACTTTTTGGCTGCTATGAATAGTGCTGTTATGAGTATTAATGTACAAGTTTTTGTTGTCAGTTCTCTTGGGTATATGCACGGGAGTGTTATTACCAGGTTGCATGGTAACCCCATGTTTGACTTTTTGAGGAACTGGCAAATTGTTTCCCAAAGTGGCTGCATCATTTTACACTTGAAAAAACAGTGTATGAGTGTTCCAATTTTTCTACATCCTTAGCAATACTTGTTATGGTTTGTCTTTTTGATTATAGCCATCTAGTGGGTGTGAAGTGGTATCTCATTATGATTTTGATTTGCATTTCCCTAATGACTAATGATAGCTAACATCTTTTCATATGCTTATTGGCCACCTGCATATATTCTTTGGGGAAATATCTATACAAATCCTTTGCTCATTTATTAATTGAGTTATTTGTCTTTCATTGTTGAGTTGTAAGAGCTGTTTATAGAGCTCTTACAACAATAAAGGATTCTGGAAACTAGATTCTTTTCCAGATACATGAGATGTAAATATTTTCTCCCACCTTGTTGCTGATCTTCTCACTTTTTGATAGTTTTCTTTGAAGCAAAGTTTTTAAAATTTTTGATGAAGTCCAGTTATCAATTTTTTTATTGGTTGCTTGTGTTCTGGTTTCATATCTAGAAAAGCATTGCCTAATCTAAGGTGGTAAAGATTTAATCTCATGTTTTCTTTTAAGATTTTTAATAATTTTAGCTCTTATATTTAGATATTTGACTATTTGGAGTTAATTTTTATATATGGCATAAGATTGACATTCAGCTTCATTCTTTTGCATGTGCATATCTAGTTGTCCGAGTGTCATTTGTGGAAAAGCCTCTGTTTTCCCTCATTGAATTGTCCTGGCATCCTTATCAAAATCAATTGACCATGAATGCATGGGTTTATTTCTGGGCTCTCTATTCATTGATCTGTAGTTCTATCTTTATGGCAATACCATACAGTCTTCAATACTGTAGCTTTGTGGTAAATACTCTAGCTTTGAAATTGGAAATTGTGAGTCTCCAACTTTATTATACTTTTTCAAGATTGTTTTGGGTATGATAGGTCCTGAATTTCCATATGAATTTTGGGATCAGCTTTTCAGTGTTTGCAAAAGAGGCAGCTAAAATTTTGACAAGGATTATATTGAATCTGTAGATCAATTTGAAGAGTATTGCTGTCTAAACAATATTAAGTCTTCCAATCCATGAACATGGAATGTCTTTTCATTTATTTAGGTATTCTTTAATCCTTTTCAATGATGTTCTGCATTTTTCAGTGTGTATGTCTTACATTTCTTTGGTTACATCTATTCATAAGGTTTATTCTTGCTGATTCTTTTGTAAATAGAATTATTTTCTTAATTTTATCTTTGGATTGTTAATTACAAGTGCATAGAAATACAGTTAATTTTTTTGTATTGTCCATGTATCCCATAACCTTGCTGAACTCACTTATTACCTCTAATAGGATTTTTTGGGGGGAGGGGCAGGTGTGGATCTCCTAGGACTTTCTGTGTATAAGATTATGTCGGCCGGGTGGCTCATGCCTGTAATCCCAGCACCTTGGGAGGCCAGACGGGTGGATCACGAGGTCAGGAGATCGAGACCATCCTGGCTAACAGGGTGAAACCCCGACTCTACTAAAAATACAAAAAAAATTAGCCTGGTGTAGTGGCCGGCGCCGAGTAGTTGGGACTACTACGCGGGAGGCTGAGGCAGGAGAATGGCGTGAACCCCCGGGGTGGAGCTTGCAGTGAGCTGAGATCGCGCCACTGCACTCTAGCCTGGGTGACAGAGTGAGACTCCATCTAAAAAAAAAAAAAAAAAAAAAAAAAAAAAAAGATTATGTCATCTGCAAATACAGATAGTTTTATTTCTTCTTTTTCAATCTAGATTCCTTGTATTTCTTTTTATTGCCTGACTGCCCTGGGTAGAATCTCCAATACAATGTTAACACATGTGGCAACAGTGAACATCTTTGTCTTGTTTTGGACCTTAGGAAAAAAGCTTTTAGACTTTTGCAATTAAGTATAATATGAATTGTGGGTTTTTCACAGATACACTTTATCAGGTTGAATAAGTGCCTTATATTCCTAGCCTGTTGCATGTTTTGCTTTTTAAAATTTTTAGTTGACAAATAATAGCTATATACATATGTGGGGTTCAACATGATGTTTTGATATATGTACATATTTTAGAAAGATTAAATCAGGCTTATTAATATATTCATCACCTCACGTACTTATCTTTTTTAAATAATGAGAACATTTAAATTTTACTCTTTTAGCAATTTTGAAATATGCAGTATGTTAGTATGGTCACCATGCTGTGCAATAGATCTCTAAAACTGCTTCCTCTTGCCTAACTGAAACTGTGTACCTTTTCACCCATGACTACACTTTCCCCACCCTCCCCACCCCAGCCTTTGGTAACCACCATTTTACTCTCTGCCTCTATGAGTAATGATTTTTAAAATTCCAAATATAAGTGAGTTCATGGAGTGTTTGTTCTTTCCGGGACTGTCTTATTTCACTTAGCATAATGTCTTCCAGCTTCATTTATGTTTTCACAAATGGTAAATTTTTTTTCATTTTAAAGGATGTATAGTATTCTATTGTGCATATATACCACATTTTCTTTATTCATTAATCTGTGGGGCTAATATGATAAATATTTGAGGAACTCAAACAACTTAATAGCAAGAAAAACAAATAACCTGATTTAAAAATGGGTAAAGGACCTGAACAGGCATTTCTCAAAAGAAGATATACAAATGGCCAAGAGATACATGAAAGGTGGTCAACATCGCTAATCATCAGGGAAATGCAAATTAAAACTACAATGAGATACTACCTTATACCTGCTAAAAAGGCAGGTTATTATTGATTATTAGCCGAAAAGACAAGAGATAAGTACCGGTGAAGATGTGGAGAAGAGGGAACCCTGGTACACTGTTGGTAGGAATATAGATTAGTACAGCCATTATGAAAAATGATGTGGAGGTTCCACAAAAAGTTAAAAATAGAACTACCATATGATACGCAATTCCTTTTCTGGGTATGTATCCAAAGGAGCTGGTGTGTGTGTGTGTGTGTGTGTGTGTGTGTGTGTGTGTGTGTGTGTGTTTCATGGAAGCAGGTTGAATTTCATCAAATGCTTTTTTGTGTGTGTCTATTGAGATGATTATGTGGTTTCTTTGGCCCCATATTCTGTTAATATGGTGTATAACATTGATTAGTTTTGATATGTTGAAACAAACTTGTATACCTCAGATAAATCTCACTTGATTATGGCATATAATTATTTTTATATGTTATTGAAATCAGTTTGCTAGTATTTTGTTGAGAATTTTTGTATCCATATTTATTACATTTATAAGAGCTACTGGTCCGTAGCTTTTTTTTTTTTCTTTTGATCGCTTTATCTAGTTTTGGTATCAAGTAAATACTGGCCTCATAGAATGATCTGGGAAATGTCTCCTCCCTTTCTATTTTTTGAAAAAGTTTGTGAAGAATTAGTGTTATTCTTATTAAATATGTGGTAGAACTTACCAGTGAAGAGATTTGGTTCTGACCTTTTTTCTGGTGGCAATTTTTTTGATTATTAGTTTAATATTTTAATTTGTTATAGATTGACTCAAATTTTCTATTTCTCCTTTAATCAGTTTAAGTAGACTGTATTCTTTTAGGAATTTGTCCATTTCATCTAACTAATCTAATTTGTTGGCATATGATTGTTCATAGTATTCTCTAATAATTCTTTTTATTTCTCAAAGATTGGTAGTAATATCCCCTTTCATTCCTGATTCAGTAATTTGAGTCTGTTTCTTTTTCTTTTTTTTTTAACCAGAGGGTTTATCAATTGTGTTGATCTTTTCAAAAAGCAAACTATCGGATATTGGGGGAAGATGGCAGATAGGAAACAAGGCTAACGTGCAGCTCCCACATGAATGGTCACAACAGTGTGTGCAGACTCACACTGTGAACTTTTCTCCAAGGATCACTGCAGGAACATACCAGGAAAACTGAAAGAATTCACACTTTGAAAGAAGCAGCATGCCACTGCAAATTCCATGAAACAGGTGAGAAACTGTGAGTTCCCAAAGTGTGAGGTGGGAACCTACCTCCAAACACACATTCCACCTGGGGAATCTGAAAATCCAGATCACAGGAGAAGGATTCAACCTTACCTAGAGATGAAATGGAGTTAAGAAGTCACCCGAAATATAAAAGTAGAAGTAGCAGCATGAAGTGCCTTGCACTTACTCCCAGTCTCTAGCTAAAGTCCAGGGGAGCTATCCCTGACTAAATCTCACAGGGGCCCTTTGGGAAGGCAGTCAGCAGAATTGGGGAGGGGTTGCAGAGAGAAGGAAACTCTCAACTGTAATTGGTAGTGGTTTAGACTGGGAACAATTTTTTTCTTAGTGGAGTCCAGGGGATGAGTGGATGCTGCTGTGGATATGAGCAAGCACAGGAGCGCAGGAGCTGCTGCTGCTCAAATAGGCAGACAGGGAGGGATGAGGTCTAAAGGTCACCTTGGTTTCTCAGTAGGGTAGCTCATGGTGCAAGGTCTGAGCAAGGCACTGCAGGAGTGAGACCAGCCTCACCAACTTCATGGGAGCTGAGTCAGGCTTCTCACTACTGGGTATCCCCCACTTCTATGGTGAACTATATGATACAGCAGAGGCAGCCAAGATCCCCTCTGGAATATAGCCCCAATGGACTGAGAACCCATCCCCCCAACAGTGACCATGGCAGGCCCTGCCCAAAGAGAGTCTGAGTTAAGAGCCACTTAATCCTGCCCTCACTTGATGGTATTTCACTACCCACCCTGGTAGCTGAACACAAAACCTAGAAACTCTTGGGAACTTTATGACCCTGCCCATCACTGGAGAAACCAAAATACCATGGTCATCTTATGGCATGCTTAGAACCCCCTACTACTACCACAGCTGGTGCTCTCTTGAAAGTGCCACCTCCTGGCTAGAGGCCAACCAACTCAGGTCATTAAAGCAACTCATGACAGAATAAACCTGATCTCAGACAGGAGAATCCAACACATAATTCCACTGCTTACAACATCCCGGCTAACCAGCGGTCCTGAGTGTGTCCACATGATAATTTCACAGCTAGCATAACCAGCATTCAAGAAAGCCAGTACACTAAACATATCTGCAACCAAGGACTCTGACAGAGTCTGCTTCACTCTCCTGCCATCTCTACCAGAGCAGATGCTGGTATCCATGGCTGTGAGACCCGAATATGGATCACATCACAGGACCCTTTGCAGATATCCCCCAGCAGCAACCCAGAGCCTGGTAGTCCCACCGGGTGGCTAGACCCAGAAGAGCAATAACAATCACTGCAGTTCAGCTCTCAGAAAGCCACATCCCTAGAGGAAGGAGGAAAGCACCATATCAAGGGATTACCCCATGGGACAAGAGAATCTAAACAACAGGACTTGAGTTTCAGACCTCTCCACTGAAATAGTCTACCCAAATGAGAAGGAACCAGAAAAGTAATTCTGGTAATATGACAAAACAGGGTTCTATAACATCTGCTAAAGATCACACCAGCTCCTCAGCAATGAATCCAAACCAAGAAGAAATCTCTGAAGTGCCAGATAAAGAATTCAGAAGGTTGATTATTAAGCTACTCAAGGAGATACCAAAGAAAGGTGAAAAACAACCTAAAGAAATTTTAAAAAGATACAGATACAGATGAAAAATTCTCCAGAGAAATAGATATGATAAAAACAAAACAATCACAACTTCCAGAAAAGAAAGACACACTTAGAGAAATACAAAATGCAGTTGAAAGTTTCAACAGTAGACTAGAACAAGTAGAAAACAGAATTTCAGAGTTTGAAGACAAGTCTTCCAAATTAACCCAATCTGATAAAGTAAAATAAAAAATAATTTTAAAAAATGAACAAAGCCTCTAAGAAATTTGGGATTATGTTAAACAGCCAAACCTAACAATAATTGGTGTTTCTGAAGAAGAAGAGAAATCTAAAAGTTTGGAAAACTTATTTGAGGGAATAATCGAAGAAAATTTCCCTGTCCTTGCTAGAGATCTAGACATCCAAATACAAGAAGTTCAAAGAACACCTGGGAAATTCATCACAAAAAGATCTTCACTTAGGTACATAGCCATCAGATTATCTAAAGTCAAGACAAATGAAAGAATATTAAGAGCTTTGAGAAAAAAGCATCAGATAACCTATAAAGGAAAACCTATCAATTAACAGCAGACTTCTTGGCAGAAACCTTACAGGCCAGAAAGGATTGGGGTCCCATCTTTAGCCTCCTGAAACAAAATAATTGTTAGCCAAGAATTTTGTATTCAGCAAAACTAAGCTTCATAAATGAGGGAAAGATAAAGTGTTTTTTGGACAAACAAATGCTGAAAGAATTAATCACTACTAAGCCAGCACTACAACATGCCTAAAGAAGTTCTAAATCTTTAAGGAAAACCTCAAAATACACCAAAGTAGAACCTCCTTAAAGCATAAATCTCACAGGGCCTATAAAACAATAACACAATGGAAAAAAACCCAAGGTATTAAGGCAACAACTAACATGATGAATAGAACAGTACCTCACATCTTAATACCAACGTTGAATGTAAATGGCTTAAATGCTCCATTTAAAAGATACAGAATGGCAAAATGAATAAAAATCCACCAACCAAGTACCTGCTGTCTTCAAGAGACTCACCAAACACGTAAGGACTCACATAAACTTAAGGTAGTGGAGTGGAAAAAGATATTTCACACATATGGAAACCCAAAATGAGCAGAAGTAGCTATTCTTATGTCAGATGAAAGAGACTTTAAAGCAACAACAGTAAAAGAAGACAAAGAGGGACATTATATAATGGAAAAAGGAATAGTCCACAGGAAAATACCACAATTCTAAGTATATATGCACCTAACACTGGAGCTCCCAAATTTATAAAACAATTACAACTAGACCTAAGAAATGAGATAGATGGCAATGCAATAATAGTGGGGGACTTCAGTTCTGCACTGACAGCACTACACAGGTCATCAAGACAGAAAGTCAACAAAGAAACAATTGACTTAAACTATACCATAGAACCTATGGACTTAACAGGTATTTTCAGAACAGTCTACCCAACAACTGCAGAATATACATTCTTTTCTTCAACACATGGAACATTCTCCAAGATAGATCAGATGATAGGTCACAAAACAAGTCTCAGTAAATTTAAGAAAATCAAAGTTATATCAAGTATCCTCTCAGACCATAGTGGAATAAAACTGGAAATTAACTCCAAAAGGAACTGTTAAAACTGTAAAAATCCATGGAAATTATATAATCTGCTCTTGAATGATCTTTGGTTCAACCATGAAATCAAGATGGAAATTAAAAAATTATTTCAGCTGAGCAATAATAGTGATACAAGTTATCAAAACCTCTGGGGTACAGCAAAAGCAATGCTAAGAGGAAGGTTTACAGCATGAAGTGCCTACATCAAAAAGTCTGAAAGAGTGCTAATAAACAATCTGTCACACTTCACAGAACTAGAGAAATAAGAACAAACGAAACCCAAACCCAGTAGAAGAAAATAAATAACAAAGATCATAGCAGAACTAAACAAAATTGAAACAATAAAATAACACAAAAGGTAAATGAAACAAAAAGCTGGTTCTTTGAAAAGATAAACAAAATTGGTAGACCATTAGTGTGATTAACCAAGAAAAGAAGAGAGAAGATCTAAATAAGCTCAATTAGAAATGAAATAGGAAATTTTATAACTGATATCACAGAAATGCAAAAGATCATTCAAGGCTACTATGAACACCTTTACACACACAAAGTAAAAATCTAGAGATGGATAAATCTCTGGAAATATGCAATGCCCCCAGATTAAATTAGAAATAAATAGAAACTCTGAACAGATCAATAACAAGTAGCAAGATTGAAACAGTAATAAAAGAATTGCCAACAAAAAAAGTCCAGGACCAGATGGATTCACTGCTGAATTCTATCAGACATTGAAAGAATAATTGGTACCAATCTTACTGAAATTACTCCAAAAGACAGAGAAAGAGGGAATCCTCTTTAAATCATTCTACGAAGCCAGTATTACCCTGATAACAAAACCAGGAAAGGACACAACAAAAAAAGAAAATTAGAGACCAATATCCCTGATGAAGATAGATGCAAAAATCCTCAACAAAATACTAGCTAACCAAATCCAACAGCATATCAAAAAGATAATCCACCATGATCAAGTGGGTTTCATACCAGGGATGCAGGGATGGTTTAACATATACAAGTTAATAAGTGTGATACACCATATAAACAGAATGAAAAACAAAAATCATATTAGGTAAGTGCAAAAGTAATTGTGGTCTTTGCATTGTTGAAATTTGCTGTTTGATATTGGAATACATTCTTAAATAAATGTGGTTATGTTATACATCATTTTAATGGGCATATCTTACTTTATGATTTTTTTGCTAGTGACGTATTACTTGCTGTTTATTTTATGTTTATTTTAGACTGTGGAAATGATGTTAGAAAGCAAATTTAAGCTAATTTCTTATTTGTTTTCAAAATGGGTTGTATAGCAGTGGAGACAACTCGCAACATCAGCAACACATTTGGCCCTGGAACTGCTAATGAATGTACAGTGCAGTGATGGTTCAAAAAGTTTTGCAAAGGAGACAAGAGCCTTGAAGATGAGGAGCATGGTGGCGGGCCATCAGAAGTTGACAGTGACCAATTGAGAGCAATCATCGAAGCTGATCCTCTTACAACTACACAAGAAGTTGCAGAAGAACTCAATGCCTACCATTCTATGGTCACTTGGCATTTGATACAAATTGTAAAGGTGAAAAAGCTGAATAAATGGGTGCCTCATGAGTGAAAATCAAAAAAATCATCATTTTGAAGTGTCATCTCCTCTTACTCTTTGCAACAACAATTTGCAAGAACCATTTCTTGATCAGATTGTGACATGTGACGAAAATTGGATTTTATACAACTGGCAATGGCCAGCTCAGCAGTTGGACCGAGAAGAAACTCCAAAACACTTCCCAAAGCCAACCTTGCACCAAAAAAGGTTATCGTCATTGTTTGGTGGTCTGCTGCCAATCTTATCCACTACAGCTTTCTGAATCCCGGCAAAACCATTATATCTGAAAATTATGCTCAGGAAGTCTATGAAATGCACTGAAAACTGCAATGCCTGGAGCTGGCATTGGTCAACAGAAAGGGCCCAATTCTTCTCAAAACAGTGCCTAATCACACGTCACACAACCAACACTTCAAAAATTGAACAAATTGTACTATGAAGTTTTGTCTAATCTGCAATATTCACTTGACCTCTCACCAACTGACTACCACTTCTTTAAGCATCTCAACAGCTTTTTGCAGGGAAAACACTTCCACAACCAGCTGGATGTAGAAAATGCTTTCCAAGCATTCACTGAATCTCAAGGCACAGATTTTTATGCTACAGGAATAAACAAACATTTCTTGTTGGCAAAAATGTGTTGATTGTAATGGTTCCTGTTTTGATTAATAAAGAGGTGGTTTGAGCCTAGTTATAATGACTGAAAATTCATGATCTGAAACTGCAATTACTTGTGCACCAACCTAATATGATCATCTCAATAGATGCAGAAAAAGCACTTGACAAAATTCAGCATCTTTTTATAATTAAAACCCTCAGCAAAGTTGGCATAGAAGGGATATACCTCAAGGTAATAAAAGCCATCTATGAAAAACCTACAGCCAGATTATACAGAATGGCGAAAGATTGAAAGCATTTCCCATGAGAACTGAAAAAGACAAAGATGCCCACATCTACCACTTCTATTCAATATAGTACTGGAAGTCCTAGCCAGAGCAATCAGACATGAGAAAGAAATAAAGGGCATCAAAATCAGTAAAGAGGAAGTTGAACTGTTGCTGTTTAGTGGTGATATGAATGTACACCTAGAAAACCCTAAAGAGTCATCCAAAAAACTGCTAGATCTGATAAATGAATTCAGCAAAGTTTCAGGATACAAAATCAAGGTACACAAATTAGTAGGACTACTATACACCAACAATGACCAAGCTGAGAAACTAACCGAGAACTCAATCCCTTTTACAACAGCTGCAAGAAATTAAAACACTTAGAAATATACTTAACCAAGAAGGTGAAAGATCTGTACAAGAAAAACTACAAAACCTGCTGAAAGAAATCATTAATGACTCAAACAAATGGAAACACATCCCATGCTCACAGATACGTAGAATCAATGGTGTGAAAATAACCATACTGCCAAAAGCAGTTTACAGATTGAATGCAATTCCATCAAAATACCACCATCATTCTTCATAGAACTAGAAAAAACAATCTGAAAATTCACATGAAACCAAAAAAAGAAAAGACCCCACATAGCCAAAGCAAGACTAAGCAAAAGAACAAATCTGGAAGCATCACATTACCCAGCAAAACAGCATGATACTGGTATAAAAATAGGCATGTAGACCAATGGAACAGAATAGAGAATCCAGAAATAAAGCCAAATACTTGCAGCCAACTGATCTTTGACAAAGCAAACAAAAACATAAAGTGGGGAAAAGTCACCCAATATCAACAAATAGAGCTGCGATAATTGGCAAGCTACATTTAGAAAAATGAAATGGATCCTCATCTCTCACCTTATGCAAAAATCAACTCAAGATGGATCAAAGACTTAAATCTAAGACCTGAAACTATAAAAATTCTAGAAGGTAACACTGGCAAAACTCTTCTAGACATTGGCTTAGGCAAAGAGTACATGACCAAGAACCCAAAAGCAAATGCAACAAAAACAAAAGTAAATAAATGGGACCTAATTAAACTAAAAAGCTTCTGCACAGTGAAAGAAACAATCAGCAGAGTAAACAGGCAACCCACAAAATGGGAGAAAATACTCACAAATTATGCATTTGACAAAGGACTAATATCAAGAATCTACAAGGAACTCAAATCAGCAAGACAAAACAAATAATCTCATCAAAAAGTGGGCAAAGGACATAAATAGACAATTCTCAAAAGAAGATATACAAATGGCCGACAAACACATGCAAAGATGCGCAACATCACTATCAGGGAAATGCAAATCAAAACCACAACGAGATACTACCTTACTCCTGCAAGAATGGCCATAATTAAAAAAAATAATAAATAGTAGGTGTTGGAGTGGATATGGTGAAAAGGGAACACTTTTACACTGCTGGTGGGAATGTAAGCTAGTACAACCACTGTGTAAAACAGGATGGATATTCCTTAAAGAACTAAAGTAGAACTACCATTTGATCCAGCAATCCCACTGCTGGGTAGAGAGTCTACCCAGAGGAAAATAAGTCATTATATGGTAAAGACACAAGCATATGCATGCATTATAAGTAAGAGGTAAGCTATGAGAATGCAAAGGCATAAGAATGATATCATGGACTTTGGGGATTCAGGGGGAAGAGGGAGGTGAGGGATAAACAACTACACATTGGGTACATTGTACACTGCTTGGGTGATGAGTACACCAAAATCTGAGAAATTACCACTAACGCATTAATCCATGCAACCAAAAACTACCAGAAAAGGATTGACATTAAAAAAAGTTAAAATAAAATAAAAATAAACTGAGAGGGAGGAAAGCCCTTTGATTTATGACACAGAAGCCATAAACAATATGACTATAGGATAATATGTATTTTTAATTTTTTCAATCTTACTATATCAGAAAATTATCAGACATTTGATAGTACATCCTCCCCACAAGAAAGGTGTGGGAAAACATCATGCATTCTTGGACTCAACAAAAATTTGCTTTTAAATACTAATTTTAGAATTATAATTGCACATTTAAATGAAACATATATAAGGTCATTGTATACTTAAATACTGCTTATAATAGCAAAAGACTGCAAACAACAACTTAAAAGTCTATCAGCAGGAGTCTTGTTAAAGTATTATATAAATTACACAATGAAAAACTAAAAATTGTGCACCTGTATAGAGAATACCAATGCTCTCTAAGCATGGTGGAAAATTGTGTTCATATTATGCTAAAAATTTTATGGGGGAGAGAAAGAAAATATATACCTATAAAATTTGTAGACTGTTTCTCAAAGGATACATGAGAAACTTGTAAGAGAGAATGCAACTGGGGAGGAAAAATGGGTGGTGGAGTAGAGGAAAGGGAAATAAACTTAGTTTTCATTATTTAAAAAACCATCTGTTTTGTTGATTTGCTCTGCTTTTTGAGTTCTCTATTTTATTCATTTTCACCCTATTATGTATTATTTGCTTCCTCTGTTTGCTCTGGTTTTAATTTACTCTTCCTTTTCTAGTTTCTTTACCTTCGGGTTTAAAGTATTGATTTGAGATCTTTATTCTTTTTGAAAGTAAGTATTTACAGTTATAACTTTCCCTCTGAACACTGCTTTTATTGCATCCTATGCATTTTGGTATGTTGTGTGTTTGTTTTCATTCATTTCAGAGTATTTTCTAATTTCCCTTGTTATTTCTTCTTTGACTAAATAATTATGTGAAGTGTATCATTTAACTTCTACATATTTGGTAATTTCCCAATTTTCCTGTTGTTACTTATTCTAAATTTACTTCTGTTGGGGTCAGAGAGCACACCTTGTACAACTGTAGTCTTTTAAAATTTATTAAAACTTGTTTTGTGGCTTAGTATATGATCTATCTTGGAGAGTGTTCTTTTTAATCTTGAAGGGAATGTACATTCTGCTATTTTGGGGTTGAATGTTCTATGGATATGTTAGGTCTAGTTGGCCTGTAATGTTGTTCAAACTTCTGTTTCCTTGCTGATCTTCTGTCTAGTTTTTCTCTCCACTATTGAAAGTGGAGTATTGAAGTCTGCAACTCTTATTGTTGAATTGTCTGTTTCTGTCTTCAATTCTAAAAGTTTTTACTCCATGTATTGTAGGACTTTGTTGTTAGAGGCATATATATTTACAATTGTACAGATTCAGATTAAGACGGCATCAAATCATGCAAGATGAAACAGTCATATATGGGCTCATATAATATTAAAACTGGTGCCCTCCTTAACCTTTATTTAGTCACCTTCCAGATGAGAAAAAACTAAGATACACAAAAATTAAATGACTTTCCAAAGTGGTAAAGCCAGTAGTTATTACTAGAGGCAGGATTAAAATTAAGGTCTCTTGACTCACAATCAGACACCCATCTCTACTAGGGCCCAATAGCAGCCAGGAGCTGTTTTTTTGAACAGTATACATATATTGCCTTATTATTAAGCATATAAATTAATCTTTTTAGGGTTAAAGAGACAGATGAAAAATTATTTGTCAAATTTTCCTAAAATGAAAAGTTTCATGTAAATATGCAAGTTTTAAATCAAAATTACATGGAAAAGAAATGTGGCTGAATGATAACAATGGATTTTTGTTCCTAATGGAAAATCTGAATTTTAAAAACAGTAAATGAAAGATGAAACCAAGACTAAATTGTAATAACTAGCTCTTATATTCCAGCCATATTATGTTAAGAAGGATTTTAACCTAAAATATTTTTTTTCAACTTATTGTCACTCATTGATATGAGTTAATGGTTTCTTTTTTGGTTACTTGTTTGTTTTCAACAAAACTTAAGAAGTAAGATCTTTGAAATGTGGATCAGCAAAAGCCAACTAATTCAAATTTAGAGATAAGCTTTTCTACTGGGGGAAAAAAGACAAAAACAAAGAAACAGATGTAGCAATAAGTATTGAAGTAACATTAATTTTCGGTTTTGACTAATGTAGCTGTGAGATTCTCCTCTTTCTTAAAATTTACCTTATTCATTTTCAATGGTCTGTGACTTCAATTAAATGCATTAAAATTCATAGTGATTTAAATCCCAAATACACTTACTCCTGTTTATTTTCATAGTAACTTAAATATAGTTGACTGGGGATGGCTGGGGATTTTTTTTTCCTATTCTATGTCAAGTGGCCTTTGTCTTAGTCAGCTTGGGATGCTATAGTAAAATATCGTAGAGTGAATGGCTTAAACAACAGACATTCATTTCTCACAGTTCTGGAGACTGGGAAGTCTAAGATCAAGGTCCTGGCAGATTTGGTTCCTGGCCAGAGCTCTCTTCCTGACTTGAAGACAAACTATCTTCTCATGGTGTCTTCACTTGGCAGAGAGAGCTCTGGTCTCTTCTTCTTCTTGGAAGTACACTAGTCTTATCATGGGAGACTCAGCTTCATCTAAACCTAATTTCCTCCCAAAGTCTCCATATCCAAATACCATCACATTGGGGGTTAAAGCTTCAGCATACAAATTTAGGAGGAATACAACCATTCAGTCCATAACATCCTCTTTCTTGAGAGGTGTGGATTTCAACTAGAGTCAGTCATACTTCATGCATGCTTCATAGTTATATTTTTATCTAATTATACCTTTTCTTTATAACCTGTTTCTATTCTTAAGGACATGATGCAGACTTGAGTTTTTCAAAGTTCATCAATATTTTTATAATCCTTTGCCTTTGTGAACTCTCAGTTTTTGCCTGAGTGACTTACTTGTGATTGTCCTCCTTCTGGTGACCATTTGTAAGAACCTGAGTGAAGAACAAGAAAGTCTAGTAAACCCAGGACTTGTTGGAAGATCTGGCTGAGATTAAGGATCCATGTAAATAAAGGATTATTCTTCATTTGCTCAACAAATATTAAAAGAACTCCTACTGTATTGCCAGACACTGTTCAACAGTTAAGACAAAAAAAAAAAAAAGACAAAGGTTCTGGCCTCATGGAGCTCACATTCTAGTAAAGGAGAAAAGAATAAAGAAAAAAGTGAACAAATATGTGTGTCCTATTTTAATAAGTTCTAAGAATAATAATAAAGCACATCAGGGATAATATTTAATAACATTTAAATAGATACATGGTCAGGGAAGGCCTTTCTGATAAAAAGTCATTTATCTGAAACATAAATAAAAAGTGATTTTTCTCTATGAACTTCTTGAGATGAAAAAGCAGGCCTTTGAGCTAGGAGTGTGCTGGGTGAGTTAAAGGAGCAACAAGGACCCAGTCTGACAGGAAATGGAAGGGGCAAGCCAGCAGGCAAGGGCAGAGGGTTAACAGGGCCAGGTCAGTTAGAGCTTTGCAGCCCATGGTAAGAACTCTCATTTCATCTGAGTTGGGTGGGAACTGTTGGAAATTTTCAGCAGAGGAGTGACAAGATCCAACTTAGGCTTTAAAAGGATCAGCTGGCTTTTGTGTGGAAAACACAATGTAGGGGGACAGAGTTAGAAGTGAAAAGACAATTTCTAATTTAGAAAACCATGTCATATTCCAGGCAAGTTATGGTGCTGGTTTGGACAATGGTGGCAGCAGGGTTCTAGTAAAGAGAAAGGAAATAGCAAGTGCAGTATGTTTGGGATTGTGAGATGGAAATGGCGGGGCTAAGTGACTTTTCTTGCCACTTTTCTTTTTAATTATGTATAGAATCTAGAGGAACAGTGTAAAGATTTACACTAAAATGAACTCTTGAGTATTCATTACCCAGATTAAGAAATAAAAATATTGCCAATACCTTGAAAGCCTTTGTGATCACCTCCTCAATTACATTCTTCTCCTGTCTGCCAGGTGTAACCATCATCCTGCCTTGTTTTGGTAAATCTTTTGTGCTTCTTTATGGATTCACAAGTGACAAATATATTCCTACATGATATATATATATGGCTTAGTTTTGAAAAACTCTGTAGCAAGCACAAACCTACCTTTGAGAAAAAAGATGAGAGAGGGTTCTCGGAGAAGATGACTGAACAGAATTGTATACTCACAATCTGGCTTCAGCTCCTCTGAAAGTTTGTAAGATGTCCATCTGGGGAAGTAATCAGGCAAGATCTTGAGCAAATCTTGGGAAACATTGGGCTGGTATACCAGATTTGGGCCAGCAAGCCGGATTGTTTCATGGGCTATGTACCTATCTAGGAGTAAAATTATAGAGGAGTGAATTGTTCTGTAGTTTCTTCTTCTCAGCTTATCACTGCTACTAAGCTTCTAAGCCTACCTCCTGCTCTCAGGAGCAGATCTAAGTGGCACACGTCTGTGGAGTGAACTGTGTGTTCTCAGCTGATCTAATTCAGCTGAGACCATAAATTCAGCAGGTGGTTAAGACAAGCCAAATACAAATAAAAGCCTGGGCTGGCTCACCCAGGCATTTTCAACTCATGATAAAAAGGAGATAGATACATGGCAGAGGTGTCTTGATGATAAAGTCTTCAATGTGCTTGTGTATCTTGAGTCAGTCTCTTTCCAATCTTAACTAATTTCTTTCTCTTTCTGGAACAGCTGTCATCCTGGGATCTCCCTTCACCATACTTCTTGGGAGTTCCTAGAATTTTATCCTGTCCCCTGCATCCCATGGTTTTTGAGGTTTGGGCTTAAATCTATCATTATTATCCTTTTATAGAGTCAATAATCATTTAGATTAACTTCCATATATACCAAATTTGATGCTCCTTATTCCTTCCTGTATCTTCATCTTTGCATCTAGGACCACTCTCCTTTTGTGTAAAGAACACCCTTTGGGCCGGGCATGGTGGCTCACACCTGTAATCCCAGTACTTTGGGAGGCCGAGGCAGATGGATCACCTGAGGTGAGGAGTTCGAGACCAGCCTGGTCAACGTGGTGAAACCACATCTCTACTAAAATTACAAACATTAGCTGGGCGTGGTGGCGGGTGCCAGTAGTCCCAGCTGCTCTGGAGGCTGAGGAAGGAGAATCACTTGAACCCGGGTGGCAGAGGTTACAGTGACCTGAGATCATGCCATTGCACTCCAGCCTGGGCGACAGAGACAGACTCCGTCTTAAAAAAAAAAAAACCAAAAAAACAAAAAAACACCCTTTGGAATTTCTTTGGTGCATGTCTGTTAGAGGTAAACTCTTCTGAGTTTCTTCTTATTATTTAAAGAATATCTTTGTTTTACCTTTATTCTGCAATAAGAATAATCATAAGAATAAATTTTTAAAAATTCATATGAAAATTTATTGAACTTTACATTCTTTCTTTCAGTGTTATTTGCATTAACCTGTTTGACCTGCATGAGTGACTCTTTTGTGCCTCTCAGCCCATCCACATTCAGCCATCTGGCTCCTCTAAAAATGGGAACTTCAGCATCTTCTCATCATTTCTACTCTCCCTCCCCTTTCCTCACTGGCTGGCCCTGTTTCATGTAGAGGTGCATGTCCTGATCTTCTAGATTTTCTGGGCCATCTGTTTCTCTTGCCTTCGGACCTCATTTTACATTCTCCTCCCTAGTGTTCCTGGTTAGGCTCGTGTCTCCATCCTTGACTGCTACCCAAGTTCCCTTCCAGCTATGCTGCCATCCAGCCACCCTGGATAAATTTCTTTCCAAGTGTGGCTTGAACCCTTGAAGCTCTGACTTCAGAACAATTTCTGTGGGTACAACTTCTGGTAGATTGGTTCAAAAATTAAAACTCTACTGACAACACATTTAATAGAAAAAGGGACAGAGAGGAAGTTGAGGAGCTCTCTCAAAATTTATCAAGGTTGAAATGTAAACATTACTTAGAAGGATCCAGTGAAAGTTCCAACGTATGCACAATAAACTTTGGTTAAGTAGATATAAATTTTACCTCAAAAGTTTAAGTGATTTCCCTGTATTGGGGGTTTAGTACAATGTTTTATGATTTTTAAGTCTCACTGAAAAGAAGTAAAAAAAAAATTCTCAGATAATCAGATATGATTAGACCTTGCCACTTTATTGAATTACTGGAACTAAAATGTGAGTTGCTAAAGGGAAAGAAATATTACCAAATGATTTTCACATTATTACAAATAAAATCTGGCCTAAAACATACATTTTTCAAAGCACTATTGTAACAATTGATGTTAGAACATCTCTGTTTGACTGATTGAATACTTTTAAATAAAAGTTCTAGAATCTAAATTCAAGGTAAGATTTATCCCCAGAACTGGGCTTGAATCTATTTTCTTTTTGAAAAGAGCATGCTATCAAGAAAATGACTTTTGTAACAGGTTGTGGAAAAAAAGTTGCAACTCAATTTGTGGTTCTGATTTTCTATGTGTTAGCAGGAGTTACTTTATTGGCCTGGATCTCAATTTCCCCAGCTATGAAATGGGGAGACTAATTGTTGCAAAGTATTTTAAGAACTTAAAATGAAAGATAACTATCACAGTGCAAAGAATAACCAGACATTTTACTACATTTGTCTTAATCTGATTTTGAAATTTTTGCTCTTTTTCCAGTCTCACACACACACAAAAAAAACAACATCTGCATATTTCGTCCTGTGGTGATGAATTGTAAGAAGGGATGTGGAAGTCAGCTCTGAATTTCCTTTTCTTTTGGTGTGTGTAAACCCAGTCTTTAATGTTATTGCCCTGTTATTTTTGTGGTTTCCTTTCTTCTATGTCAACTGCATTCATGTGAAGGGCTTTCTCCAAGATTAAATGTTTGCCTCATTGGCTGTATTTCTGAATTTTCATCTGCCAAACTCTTCACATGCAGACTTCATAAAGCCAAGTTTTTCCAACTGAAAATCTGACTATATCCTGGCGCCTCATTACGGTCAGAACCTTGACAGAAATCAGGCAACTGTTGTAATGCAGTATTGAATATGAATTTGAAATTGTGTTGTGGAGAGGGAGGTGGAAGAGTACAGAGAGAAAATCCTTTCCATCTAAGAGTCTCTGATTAGACAGAAAAATGGTGCCAGCAAAAAAAAAAAAAAAAAGCCTGGAGCTGCAAAAGTCAGGCAAGTTAGGTAAAGTGTGTATGTTTGGGGTATTCCTCCATTCAAGAAAGTTGCTCCACTCGTAAACTGGAGCTAGTCTGAATTTGTGAGGTTAGCGCTGCAGCTGGGAGGCTGAATCTGTGGGCTCAGTGGAATGTGCAGAATGCGTTTGATCAGTTTCCCTACTTGGGATTGAATGAGAGGGCATAAAAAGAATGTTATCAAAATAGGCTGAAAGGACTAGTCGAATTCTGGGGCTAAATCTTAGCTTGAATTTCCCTGTTGATATTATTTGCTACAGAAAAAGTGTGACTTTTTATAATTTTTGATATACAAAAAGTGCATGGAATATTTTAGTATCTCTACCAGCCTTTGCAAGTCTCCTATTATTCCCTTCCCCCTGCACCTCAAGGAATCTGACACCAGCTCTGCCATTTGGGAACATAATATGGAAATGAGTATGAAGACGGTTTTAATGACCTTATTGTGTCCTTGACAACCAAGAGATGTTAGTCAAAAATGGCTTTAAGAAAAGCAAGGATTGGAAAGCTCTCTTTTTCTTCTGAAAGAAACTTTGGTAAGAGCCTATTTATAAAGTTTATTGGCCTTATCCGTCCTTTCCTCATGTGTTCAAGGACTCCACAGATAGTTTCCCTCACAACATACCCAGGCAGTAACACAGCTGATGCCAAGAATATCCTCAAGGTTGTCGATCTTTATTCTGTGGGTGGATCACTAGCCCAAGGTCCTTGCATCGTGGGAGGAGAGACTGGGATCAAACCATAGCCCTGGTCTCAAGTAACTGTATACAAATAACTGTCAGCAGATGTCCTAAAACATATGGACAGCTAGCCGATGCAAGACATTCTTACAATAAAGAAGGAAGAAGGCAGCCATACAGCTAGGTACTTTTATTTGTGCAAAGAGTGCCCAAGGAAAGAGATTAGCCTGTTGGACACTGGAGACCCAAATCTTGAACTGACTCTGTTGCTAGCTGCTCTGGTTCTGGACAAGTCATTTAGTTGTTCTGTGTCTATGTCTACTCATTCAAAAATGATCTTGGCAATGTTTGATCTATCTAAATAGGATTATTTTGAGGATAAAGGATGATGTGAAAAGTGAAGCATTATATAAACATGTAATATTTGGCGTTGGCATTATATTAAACAAAGGCAACATAAATAATCTCTTTAAAGCAAATTTGCATTTAATAGGCTCTAATAAGGTTTGTTAAGTGAATAAGAAACTGCAGAATGCTGGAGGAGGAGGGGGTCTGGGCAGTCATTTTATAGATTGGGAAACTAAGGCTCAGAATACTTTTTTTTTTTTTTTTTGAGATGGAGACTCGCTCTGTTGCCCAGGCTGGAGGGCAATGGTGCGATGTCAGCTCACTGCAATCTCTGCCTCCCAGGTTCAAGTGATTCTTCTGCCTCAGCCTCCCCAGGAACTGGGATTACAGCGCCCGCCACCATGCCTGGCTAATTTTTGTATTTTCAGTACAGACCGGGTTTCACCATGTTGGTCAGGCTGGTCTTGAACTTCTGACCTCAAGCGATCCACCTGCCTCAGCCTCCCAAAGTGCTGGGATTACAGGCGTGAGCCACTGCACCCTGCCAAGGCTCAGAATACTTAAGTGACTTAAGTGGCTATCCTAACTTGTTCACGGCAGGGCCCCCATCATGTTCCCATGTCCTGATTCCTAGTCTGTTGCTCTGATAGATCTCATTGCCTCTCTTAGGGACTTGTATGGTTGCTTATATCCTAGCTGCAGAATTAAACAAGAGGAAATCTAGCTATAGGTAATATCTTTTAAAGATTTTAAAATTACCTACATGAGCCATTTTAAACTTTCTTAATCTGTTTTTTTTTTTCTACAGCTCTGTTCCCAGAGAAATACTATAAATACAGGCATGAAGAAACAAACATTAACTATAAATTAATTGTTATTTACATTTCAAAAAGTTGTGAAAGGTTTCTGGAGCTCCCCAAGATTCATCCAAGTTGGCTTCTAAAAATATTTTCCTATAGTTCTAAAATATTTTCCTAAAATTGTAAACGTAATTACAGGTATAATGGGAGGGACAAAGATTATTTCAAACTTT
Source organism: Homo sapiens (assembly GCF_000001405.40). NCBI lineage: Eukaryota > Metazoa > Chordata > Mammalia > Primates > Hominidae > Homo > Homo sapiens. The sequence goes on along the minus strand of NC_000006.12, from coordinate 125,677,373 downwards.
TCTCCTTAGTTTCTTCCTAATTAAAAAATAACTTAGAGTATAAAGTTTGTTCAACAATACAATGTTTATTATCTAAAAATATTGATGTAACATTAAAAGATATTGGTAAGAGCTGAGTAAGGTAGAACATGCCTGCGGTCTCATATTCTTGGAAGGGTGAGGTGGGAGGAGCACTTGAGTCCAGGAATTCAAGTCCAGCCTGGGCAATGTAGTGAGGGTCTGTCTCAAAAAAAAAAAAAGCATTTTCAGTTAGGTTTATTCTAAATTCAGGAGAACCAAATCCAGTTTAAACCCATCGCTGATAAAAATTCATCTTATTAACCCTTTAGCTCAATTCATCATATGTCAGTTTTGATTCTTGATCATGAGGGGATTTCAGCACACAGTAGTAATGATTCCTCGGTCCTATTCCAACTACACTTAAGGATTTGTTTTTTGCTCCATGACTTAGTATCATGTGACACTGAAAAATTAGGAAAATAATCCACAGAAAGAGGCAAATATATTTACCTTAATTGAAGAGGAGCCGTGATATGTATACAACATAAAAGTAAATATCTTATTCATTTAAGTACACTTAGGTTTTTTTTGTTACTGACTAGAAATAATTAAAAATCTTGACCTCCTAAGAAATTTGTTGAGGGAGAGAGAAACTAGCTCTCTCAAATCAGGGGGAAAAAATCCAAACAACCAAGCTAGAAATATTGGAATTTCTTTAAAGTTCTGAGGGAAAACATACAATATAACATTTATAGCCATCTTTACATTGTTCAAAGTATTGCTTCTTGGATGGATCTGTCTCAGGCATGAAGTGAGTTCAACACCATAACTCCCTTTTGGTGTGGCAAGAACAGAAGAAAAAATGAACAGTTCTCACAAAGGCACTTCAAAAATGAGGATCATAGGATAGTGGTGTTTATTTAAAAGTTTACATATTCTGAGCCCTTTTAAAAACAAGATGAACCAGTAATGTTTTGTCTGTGCTGTTACTGAAATCTACAGTTTAAGAACTGAGCCTATGACCTGTGGGCTTCTAAGATCCTATTCAGCCAAGGTGAGCACTCTCAAGGGAACAATTCCTTATACTTGGCTTTCACTTTTATCTGGAAAATCAAGGCTGGGGCCATAACACAGCAGTTGTGGCAAACGGTGTCTAGATGGTCACTATCCACTATTCCCTAATTGACTGAGGCTCTTGGAGTCTTAGGAATGTAGAAGCAGTGATGAAGGTGAATAACTAGCAACAGCTTTGAGACATTCCCACAGTTTTCTTGGATGGCTGCTAGAACCAGACTCCAGAGACAATAAACAAAAAACTGGTAGTAAAATGGGAGGAGATAATGTTCTGAGCTAAATACAGTCTGAAAGACTCCATGTCTAGAAATAGGGTTTTATATGCCACTCAGGAGTTCTTTGGATCTCTTTTTGAAAAATGAACTCATCGTCTAGCATTTGAGGCACTTGTTCTTTGAGCCAATTTAGGTCTGCCTTGAAGTTCTCCCATTCTCTCTGATGGATAGCTCTCTGATCTTTATTGAAGATCAAGGCAGTGAGGAAATAGGGTTGACTATGGTATACAGAGCTTGAACGAGAAATAAAGTTAGAACATGGGTTGCCAGAGCCAGGCATGCAATCTATGCTTGCAGGTGAGGAGACACCAAGATCTCATTACATGGATGGTTTGCATATTTGGAAGGGAAAGCAAGAATAACTGACATGGGAAGGAAAGGCAAATCTAGAGAAAAGAGTAAATGCTTGGAATTGCTTCTGGGAGTGAGGACCACCAATTCATGGTAAACTGTCTTACCCTCTTGAGTTAAGTTGCTCTAATTAAGCTTCCAGAACAGAAGGTGTTGAAGGAGTTAGAAACTAGATCACCAAGGTTTTCTTGTTGTTTAACCTGATTTGCATGACCTCTAGAAGATATGTTTAGCATTACAAGCCTCTATGAATAGATATTTTGTCCATTTTTCCTGAAAAGGGGTGTTATAGTTTGGGTTCCCAGGAATCAGACTCTGATACACTGAGATTTGTGTACAGTGGGTGTGTTGGGAAGGGTTCTTGGCAACAATATCTTTGAGGGGTAAAGAATGCAAGATTAGGCAGAGAAGAAGCTGGATTACAAAGATGTTGCAATAAAAGTCTTAGCTATTCCTATGGGGAGTGCTGGAGCTGGGGTAGTCCTTGGGCCGAGGACGTCAGTTCTTTATAAAAATCAGTCACCAGATGAGCAAGTAAAGGATTTTTATCCCTATTGGGCAGATAAAGAAACAGGCACAGGGTTGAAAACTAACTGCCCAAAGTCACATAACTTTTAAGAGGAATAGCTGCAGGTTATTTCTGCTGAGGCCCAACTCCAGACACATGGTTGAGCCAGATAATACATCACCCCTGGCAGAGGGGTACAGGATATGGTCTCCCATCGAACAGTGACCTAAGTAAAATAAATGTGCCTCTGAATTTCTGTAAAATTTAAATGTGCATATCTTTTGGTTTTGCATAATATAGAAAATTTTATATATTTAATAAAAAATTATTTTTGACTGGTAAAATTTTCAAACAATTTTTTTGACACCAAGATTTTGTCTTTTGACTTATAGCTTAATGGTAACTTCAGAATAATACTCTTCTTAGATCTCATGTTAGCTGACCTTTTCTTAAAAATAGATCAGAAGACCATCTCAATGTGCTAAATACTGTCCCTTGAATTAAAGTACACCAAAATAATAAATGTTGTGTAACTTTTATAGTTTATAGAGTTCTCCACATAATCCACACAGTGTGGGTTTGAGGTAATGTTGCCAGAGCATAAATGTGAAATCCATGGCTGTGAAAAGTTGTGAGATTTGCCTGAGGTTACAGTCATTGCAGGTGATCCCGGCCTCCTGTACACCTTACCTGGGTCTGCATGTCCCATGTGCTCCATACGCTGCCTCACTCCAGCGAACATTCCGCGATGGCTCTGTATCCAAGAAGTAGGGTGTTGTACTTATGAATCAATGGAAGGACCAAGGCCCCTGTGCTTTCAGTGTGAGAGGAGCAGCCAAAACCACTGCAAAGAGGGGTTGGAAATCTGATCTCCCATGAGAGCTGAGGAAAAAAATTGCTTCTGGAAAGGGATGAAAGGTTTTAATATAACTCATTATCTGTTTTCTTTGGATGAACTTTCTGCTATTAGTCAACGTGATTTGGGCTTGGATACCACATTAGAACCGGTAACAGAAAATATTGATCCTACAACTTGTGAGAAGCCTGAAATGGGTATGAGTTTATCTCAACACTTCCATAAATGGCAACTTGCATTCCAGTTATTTGAAACTTTCTTTATTATTATTATTTGAAAGGGATCCAGCTAAAACATAATTTGTTTGGATTCTTGGGTCAACGATTTTACTTCTACTGGCAAAAAATATACTACATAAAATGGCTATGTATATTTTTCTTAACTTTCCTTTCCTTTTTGGTCACTTAGCCAGAGTGAGGTCCTGGAGAATATTCTGCACATGCTTTAGTGTGGGGAAAATGAGTGTATGTGTGAGAGACAGAGCAAGTAAAGGGAGCTGGCTGCATCTCAATGTGTTAGATAACGATGAGCTTGGCTTGTTAAATAGACCAAACCTGTGAGGAACAGCTCTGAAAGTGTTTGGCTAGGGTTTGCTCTCACAGCGCTTAGTAACACTAATAGTGCTAATAACACTTAATAGCACTTCGTAATACTGCTTAATAAGTGTGATGTAGTGATGTGTGTATCAACTAGTAAGTGTTGGAAGATGACTTCCTGGAGATAGTGGTCGAGACCATGGCAGCACCCAGACTCCTTGTCCTCCAGAGTGGTTGTCATGGAAAGTGCCACAAGGCTGCAGTACACTGCTAGGTGGGTCTAACCTCTGGTCAGGCCAGGGTAGTGCCACTTTTGTTGGGGACAATGACCAAAGTTGTGTTGCTGCCAATAATAAAGATAGACATTTTTAGAGCAGATGAACAGGACAAGAAAAGATGATGGACAGTTCCTAGGTTCTCTATGGTTACAATGAAAGCAGTTTTGTATAGAGTTGAAATGTCCATGGGTATACAAAAAAATTTACTAAGTGTTGTCAACGAGTGAAAGCACTAATTATAACAACTTGGGAAATAAAATACCAGTGTTAGAAGTCTTATCATATGACAATTGTAGTAATTTTAAAGAGAATTAACAGGTTTTGGGGCTTGAGGGTTACAGAAAATATTCAGGGCTGAATCCAATAATTGGGTTGCAGGTGTTAGTGCTGAAAACCTTAAAAATGTTCATAAACTTGATTGAGCAGTTGCTTCTGGGAATTAATCCTAAATAAATAATGAAGAATACATGCAAACAACTACAAGAATTGTCTTTGAAACTTGTTTATATTAGTTAAAAATTGGAACAACGAAATGTTGAAAACCAGAGATTTGTTAAATAGGTTATGATATAATAGAATCTCATTTAGTCATTAAATATGATGAGATAGAAATATGCCTAGCTGGGTGTGATGGCTCTCGCCTATAATCCCAGCACTTTGAGAGGCTGAGGTGGGTGGATTATTTGAGCCTAGGAGTTCAAGACTAGCCTGGGCAGCATGGCAAAACCCTGTCTCTACAAAAAATGCAAAAATTAGCTGGATGTGGTGGTGTGCATCTGTGGTCCCAGCTACTCGGGAGGTGAGGTAGGAGGATCATTTGAACCTGGGAGGCAGAGAGTAGTGAGCCGAGATCCCACCATTGCACTCCAACTTGGGCAACAGAGCAAAACCCTTTCAAAAAAAAAAAAAGGCTTAGTATCTGGGGTGACAAGAAATCTGTACCACAAATTCCTGAGACATGATTTTACCTGCATAACAAACCTGCACATGTATTCCTGAACCTAAAATAAAAGTTGAAAGAATAATAAGGAGAAATATGCCTGCTTACATGTTACATACATATGCCTTATAAATAACTTTGAGATATTTCAAACTCACCAAAAACTTGAAGGAATGGTGCAGTGAATATGTGTTAACAACATGTCTCTGTGGATAGGTTCTTCTTTTTGGCCCAGCCTTCTGAAAGTAGTGTACCAATGTCATGAAATTTCACCTCTTAATACTTCATTTGGCACTCCTTTCAAGAGTAAGAGTATTCTCTCTCACAACACCATTACCACACCTAAGAAAATAATCATGGATTCAATAAGATCATTTGCAAACATACTTAAATTGTCCTAAAATATTCCTTATAGCTTTTTTTTTCTGATTCAAATTCCAATGAAATTTTACTCATGACGTTAACTATTATATATCCTTAGTAGCTCTCAATCTTTGAAAACTGTCTCCTCTATTCTTTGATGACTTCAAATCCTTTGGGAAGTCCAGGATAACCATTATGCAGAATGCCCAACATCTTGGATTAGCTTGTTTCATCATGATTAGAATTGGTTAAACATTTTAGGCAAGAACACTTAATAGGCGATGTGCATACTTCTCACTACATTGCATCAGGAAGCATATAGTATCAGGCCACCAAATTACTGGCAAAGTCAAGCTTCGCTGGCTGGAGGATAACAGATGCTTTTATTATAAAGGCACATTTTCCCCTTTATAATTAAAAATAGGTGATATTTTGCAATGTAGATGTACATTTTTCAACATAGAAAATTATGTTCTATTAAGTATAGATAGAAAATTACAAATTGTAGGCAGCTTAATTTTGTTAAAATGATATATATATACATACACACAGGGCAAGGTTTGGAAGAATATATATCCCAAATCATTTACAGTGGTTATGTCAAGATAGTGTGATTATATGTGAGTTTAATTTTGTCTTTTTTATTTGATTATTTTCCTTCTTTTTATGATGACTCTACATAATTTACATTATTTTCAAAGTGAATAGAATGAATTGGCTGTGGCTGATGTGTTATACTCTATTTTAGATAAGTGAATATGGTATATTTGTTTTCATTGTGTCCCTTCCCTGCTTTGGTGACACTAACGTTGAAGAGGTTGTCTGCAGGGCTGAAGTTATTCTCATTTTAATGCCAGGTCCTACTGGGCATATTTCTCTAGGAGAAAACAGTTACATTAATTCAAGGGTGGAATTCTCACACTGGTCTTCTCTCCAGAATTTTCAACACATTTATTTTAATAAGTGCAGTGTAAAAGTGACACAATTTAAAATAAAGTCATCACAGAATTTAAAGCACTTGTTTGCTTCTTGCTCCAGGATGTGTAAAAAATGTCTTAATTCTGAGCAGCATTTTTGCATTTTGCCTCCAAAAGTGAATATATTATGATTATGACCTACAGTGACTTGACCTCTTTGCAGATGTCTTCTGGTAATTTCAGTAAAGGAAGTAAACTTTATTCAGCACAGTCACAGATCTCTTGAGTCAAGGAGATGGGAACTTAGGCTCATCTTGTCTGCTGACACCTAAATGTATGCCAGGTAGTAGGGCAACCAAAGACCAGAGGCATAGTATCTGGGACAAGGCTAGGAAACCATGTTGGCTAAATGACAGAGTTGAAGACGGCCAGATCACAGCCTCTGGCTGCCTTTGTTATGGATACCAGCCTGTTGTTGCTGGAAGCAAAGGCTGCCACAGGCTTTCAGTGGAAGCTGACCAGGCAGGAGGAAATAATGTTGGGTTCTCTCCTTGGGGAAAGCTTCGTTTCATCACTCGGAAGGCAGACAAGCTGGTGCAAAAGGAAACCCACACCTAGTAACTGATACACAGCAGTGACGTCCTGCTGGGAGATCTGAAGAACAGGGCAAGATGGAATTTTGCATTCCATTAACTGTAAGCAGGACGTGAGGGATTAAAGGGGACTTGGAGTGCGCAGCACAAAGCTAAAAATTATTTACTAGCCTGAAGAACTTAAGACAGTATCATTAGTATGTATTTGTAAGAGTAAACCCTCTGATATATTTCTGGAAAATATAATAAGGCTGGCTCCAGGCAAAACTGGTGAATGGGTGGTGTAATTTTATGATACGCTACTTCTATTTCAATACTTATCTGTACCAACCCTGGCATCCCATTTTCTTACTGCTATATTCTTTTCCACTGAAGAATCTGCTCTCAATTTTATACCTTTGAATTCAGGTAGTAAACTTGCCCTTGTAATCCTTGGAACTGAAATAACTCTAAACTAAGCATCAGAAGACTGGGCTCAAGTTTCAATTCCTTCACATACTGGTTACATGAACTTGATCGGACCTGTTAACTTCTCCGAGCCTCAGTTTTATCATCTGTAGATGGGAATCATAAACTGATATGTAACTTAGGTCTCCCTGTATAGAGAGAAGAGAAGAAGATGGGAACTAATGCTTGTTGAACGTCTCCCACATGCCAGGCTCTGTGCTGAAATAACTTGTGCAGCAGTGGTCTCTGTTTGAGCCCAGGCTACAGTCACCATTTGGAGTCTGGAATGTCCATGCATGTCTGGTGCCCTGGCAAGATGGACCTTCCAGCGTTTGAGGGAACTAAGAAGCATCCTTGAAGAGAAGTTATCTCAAAGGAAGAACAAATTCAACAGACAAGCTTAGTTCTATAATACCTTATTAGCAGGGAAGAGTTTCTGAGTAAAGCATAGTGTTTGTCACTTACAACATTCATGAGTCCAGACTCTCATGGATTTACATCTGAAGCCTATGAATAAATGGAGCTATAAATGAAAAAAAAAAAAACCTCGTAAAAACAAAGCTTTATAAGAAACCAGGGAGCAAACAGCACTGCTTTCACACCTTTGTGGAAAAACATAATGCTAGAGGAAGAGTTGCATTCCCTCTGTGGTAGTTTATATACAAGATGGCTACCATCAATTCTTTCTATTCTTACATGTCATTCCCCAGCCAAGAAGTGGAATCTATTTCTCCAATTCCTTTGAAACTGGACTGACTTTAGTGACTTGTTTGACTACTGGAACTAAATAGAAGTAATTTTCAGGGATTTCTGAGCCTTACTCATAAGAAGCCTCGAAGCTTCCATTTGAGTCTCTTGGGATGATTTTTTCTCTGAATTCTAAGTACCATGTAAGAAGTCCAACTACTCAAGATCATCATTCATGAAAAGTCCAAACCATATGGATAGGCCCTGGAGGCTGAGACAGCATGTGGAGAGAGAGATAGGCCAAGGAGCACTGAAGCATCAGACATTTTAACAGCCAATAATGACAGAAGAAGAGTCTCAATTCCCAGCTGCCCAACGGGGATGGCACTGGGATCAGAGATGAGCCACCAAGCCCAGCTCTCCTCACAAAGAGTAATAAACAAAACATTACAGTCATGTAAAGTCACTAAGTGGCTTTAAAAAGAAGAGAAGACCACATGTGTGCAAGTCCTGCAAGTGTTCTAAAAATCGTGTCTGAGAGCTATTTTGTAAAATAAAACAAATTTCAAAGGTTATTTCTGCGAAATAATAGAAAAATTTTATGGATGGAAATGAGGGGATGGTTAAGGTTGGTCACTCATGGGAGAGAACAAGCAGACCGTTGTTTAGTTGGCTATGAACATTTTAACCATGACCTGCCTTCTGGTCATGCTTGGGCTCCCATAGGAAGAAATTTCAAATTAAGTCATGGGGCAGATGGTATCTCGGAGGCCTGTGGATGAGCTTTCATAGATTCCCTCAGTCGGAGTTCAAATCAAGAAGGCTTTGAGAGAACCTGCTCCTTCATGTCCAGAATTGGCCCTGGCATCCCAAGTTATATTGGACTGGGTTATGTTGAAATGGCTTCAGGGTATGGACACAAAGAATCTCTGGGGCAACAGACAAAGTCAATATATACCTATGAATTATGTTATTTGTTCAGAATAAATGCTTCTTTACTATGTTGATGACCCAGCTGGGACGTCTCCTTATGAGAGAGTTAAAATGAAAACAAAAACCAGGTGGAAATGATTGAGTACAAAGAGAGAGATCAGGTCCTTTTGGCCAAAAACCTGGCCCCTGTGTGAAAGACCCAGGATACTACATCAGACATTCTGTGGCCAGTGAGCTAGACATGGTCATGCAAGGCCACCACCACCCCGTTAAGGGTGTTAGAACTCATTGAGTGGCAGTACACAGTCTATGCTAGTCATCCTGCGCTTTGGCAGGGGGTGAGGTTCTGTCGTTCGAGAGAGGCACTCTTGGCAAACTGTGTTCCTGTTTGAGGATTGAACAATTAACAAAGCGATAATTCTCCTTCAGTGTTGGAAGTACAAGGGAGTCAATGTACTGACGCTGAGTTGAAGCAGACGTGTCGGTAGATAGAGTGATACATTTATTCCAGGAGCCATGAAGAGGTTATCATGGCTCTACTATATTACAGGTTTACATCAGGTACTTTTTCAAGGAAACTTTCTCCCGCTAGTTGGTTCAGGTGTGGAGATATACAAGTCCTGAAGCAGGAGATCTTTGGGTCAGTGGATTCAAGAAGGTAATTATTCACTGAGGTGCATTTCTTACACTTGGTCATGCCTTACCCTTGGGCATTGTATGTGTTGAATCATTTTCTTTTTATTAGCCATGAAAATAATCACTCTGTGTTGGGCTGTCATTGTGTTCTATTTTTCTGGCATTTTAATTTTTTAAAAATTGCCTTTCGCTAACTTGAAAACAATGTGTTTTCAGGCTCCAGGTTGTCTGCTCACTAGTGAGTGGGGTCTTGGGTCAGGTCATTCAGATTCCCACAGGATTCATTACTCACCTACATTGTGGTCTGCCAATGCACACCATATACCAATTGCAAGTAACTATATAGCAGGCTTTTGTCTCTAATAAAGGAGCAGGAAATCAGAGGCAACAACTACTTCCTGACAAATTCAGTTCTCTCTCTTTCACTGAGTAGATGTTCTTTTGATTACTTAAACATAGAGGGGAAAAACAAGTTCCAACCTCTGTGGGCAAGCTTTGGCTAGAACGCCATCCAAACCCTGCGGGGCCGCTCGTGAGGCCTTGTTTTTCTCCGAGTCTATTGCTGTGTAATAGAAACCTTCTATAGGAAATTAATGATTAAATATATTCATTCTCAGAATATGCAGGGAATTTTGTTTAAAATCGTTTCATAAAATGAGGGGCAAACTGGGTCTTCCCTTTATTGCTAATATCCCTGAGATCAGTACTTGGACCTAGGGCAAACTTGACCGCACGCCTATACCATTGTCTGAATTGAGGGTTTTGCCTCTGTGAGGTTTGCATCCATATAGATGGAAGGTATGTCTGGTCAGGTCTACATACCTGGTGAAAATGAAAAGGTTGCATACATTCTCCTCCCACCTGCTCTGGAGATTTGGGACTAGAAAGGCAGATTAAAAAATTTGCACTGGTATGTAGTGAGACCAAGCCTTCATATAATAGGGAGATAGTCAGCTATGTAGCTGTGTCAATATTGCTGGGCTTGGGTAGAGGAGAAATACAGAAAATAAAACGTTCAGATTTACACATACTTGGAAGAGGAGATCAAAGAGCTGCATCTCAGATGAATGTTACTGTTTGGTTTATGTGCAGAACTTTCTTGGCACTTTGAGGTTACTTCTGCAAAAATGCAAGTAAAGAAAATAAGAAACCAGCAACTCAGGAGAGATGCAGGAGCATGTTCAAGGGATCTGCATCAATTGGCAGAGAGTCTGGCAGGTGAAGATATTTACTCGAACTTCTCGTAACTGAGATCTCTTATCCTGGCGTGTTCTGAGCAAATTTGAGGGAGGATAAAAATTATCCTTTGGAAGGAAAGTATGAAAGGGAGATGGAAGATAAAGAAGGACAAGAAAGGGAAAAGGATGCTATATTAAAACTTCTTATTCCAGACCCAGAAGCAAAAGGTATGTAGTAATTATATCCAAATCCATCTATCCATCCATCCTTTTTGACATATGTTCATGCAGAAAAGAGAATAAGAGACCTAGGCTTGCTACTACATACCATTCTTTGAAAGTGGTTTGCCTCAATTTGATGCCTCCCAGATGGATCCGTTAATTTTTTTTCTTTTTTTGTAGAGATACAGTCTCACCATGTTGGTCAGGCTGGTCTTGAACTCCTGGGCTCAAGCCATCCTCTCCTCTTGGCCTCCAAAATTGCTGGGATTACAGGTGTGAGCCACCATGCCTGGCCTTCAGATAGGTGCTTTTAAAAGTTCTGTGTGGCCTCTTCACAATGTAACATTTGAGTTGTTAGGTGGGGGCGGAGTGCAGGGTATTCAGTCTGAGAGCCAATCTTTATAACCAATACTCTTTTGTTGTGGTGAAGCTATGAAGAGAAGCAATGAGTCAGATGGTGAAAGGATCCAGCTTTCCCTTCTACTTTAATACCTGGACTGGGGACACATTTGGTAAAGCCCAGTGGAGAAAGGTATCCCTGTCAAAGTTGTATCCATTGTATGGATGAATAGAGAGTTTTTGTCTCTTAGGATGTCAGTCCAGCACCAACCATCAGAATTAAGTTCACTCAAAAATTTAAAGCAAAGCACCCCCTGCAACTTTTCCTACATCCCTGCAGGATTATATTACTATAATCAAAGAGAATCCAGAAAGAAACGGCCTTGCAGGTTATCTGGTTCATCCTCTGTTTGCAGGTTTCCTCCTTCAGCAGAGCCACTACTGTTTGGCTCTGTCCGGTTTCCAGTGTCCTGAGTGAGGGAGCTTCCCGCCTTTCCCTTGGGAGGCCATTCTCAAATCCAGCAGTTCTCACTGCCAGGAAGTCTCTGATAGGCATCTAGAATTTTCCCTTCTTCAGCTGTATCTCATTATACCCTCTCTCCCCTCTCTGGCTGCATGCTGTTTCCCGCCTTGGCCTTCGTGGGCTACACTATATGAAAACTCCTTTCAGGTCATTCGTTTTCCTTTACACATCCTGCTTTCAGTTCTGAAGATGGCAGAGGTTCCTTTTTGAGACTCCCTCTACCATATTTTGTTTGCCTCTTTCTGCATATGTGAGCACAGAATGTACTGTCTCATCTTCAACATAAAGTTGGGTGTTACTAACAACTTGTTTTTGTAGCTTTTGTCATTCTTTTTTCCTCCACAGAAACTAATTATAATCTGACTATGAAGCTTTAGTGTGTTTTCCCAATAGGTTTACTCTTCACAGGGTAACTTTGTGTTAACTTTGAGGATTACAAATCAGCCTGTGCAAAAATGGGAGGAAGAGAAATTTAGTCAAGAATGACACATGCTCTGAAGCAACAAGATGAAAAATCAACTTCAGAGGAAAGGCTTGCAGAATTGTCTGCAGTGTGGCTTTATCAGGTTGTGTGTTGTTAGGGATCTTGAAATAAATGTCCTTTCTATTGTGCATGATGGACTCAGGAGCTGGACTCGGGGGTGGACTTTGGTGCACATCATAGGCTTTGTGGTCATTGTGGACCTAGGGCAACCCAAGGATAACTCCAGATTCCAGAGTGTTTCCAGGTTATCCCAGCTGGACTCTCTAATTGGGAGGCTTCTATACGCTACATCTGATGTGAAGGGAAATCCCCTTTCATCTGAATATCAGGAGACAAGGCAATTGTGGCAATGTTCTTAGTAAAAGTCTAGGCTCTGGAGATAGACTATTCAAACCCTGGCTCTGTAAATTTTGTAGGAATTAAGGCAAGTGGATTAATCTTTCTTCTGCTCAGTTTTCCTATCTGTAAAAGGCAATAGTAATCAAAGATACACCATGGGATGTGGGCAAGGATTGAGCTGATAATGCTAATAAAATAGTGCACACTGGCACGTTGTAAACACTCACAACATGCCCTAAGTGTGCCTAGAAAATATTTCTGAAATGGCTTTGCCAAATTTATGTACGAGGTTACTCATTGCAATATTATAGTGGTAAAAAATTGGAAATAACAAACATATCCAGGAATACAGGCTAAGAGTCTAAAAAAATTTGTTAACAAACAATTTAAGTTACTTTAGAAGAGTAGAGTTCCATGCAAATACACAACATACATGTGTTGATAGATACTGGATGTGAATGCACCAAAATTTTAACATTTTGCTTATTCTCCCTTTCCCCGTCATTAGCAGGCATTACTTTATTTTTTTTTCCAGAAATGGCATGTTTTATAATCTCAATCTCTGTGAAATAATATGCCTAATTTCTGTTTAGGAATTTGTGTCATTTAGAATGAGAAATCTCCTCAGCCTAAGCCTCTGCAAAGCCCTGCTTCCCTGCATTCAGCACCTAGACATATTTTTATAATCAGCAAAAAAGAGGTGTAAAAAATGATTTCCTTGATAAGTAGTATCTTGCAGGCTGTTACAACACAACTCATTGGAGGTAGGCAGGCCGACCCACGGCAGATTTCCTGCCTCTGAGCTCTCTCCACTTTCTGTTCTTGGTAAGCTCTCAGAGTGACCTTGTCATCCCCTCTGCAGAAATAAAAATTGCTTACGGTCTTTAAAATAAATGTATCTGAATTTGAATTCAGATACATTCCTAGCCTTGTTGCTCAAGAGTTTTATGTCTTTGAGCATGAAGAAAGAAGGAAGCAGAATCCATATTTATAAGGGGTGTGCTGGGATACACTTTACATAAAAGTTAAACTAGAGGCCAGGCACAGTGGCTCACGCCTGTAATCCCAGCACTTTGGGAGGCCGAGGTTGTTGGATCACTTGAGATCAGGAGTTCGAGACCAGTCTGAGCCACATGGTGAAACCTCGTCTCTACTAAAAACACAAAAATTAGCTGGTCATGGTGGTGCTTGCCTGGGATTCCAGCTACTCGGGAGGCTGAGGCACGAAAATCACTTGAACTTGGGAGGTGGAGGTTGCAGCGAGCCAAGATAGCATCACTGCACTCCAGCCTGGGTGACAGAGTGAGACTCTGTCGCAAAAAAAAAAAAAAAAAAAAAAAGTTAAGCTAGAGACCACACAGTGGGACAGTGTGGTGGAATGGTGACTCAACCCCAAGTCTTCACACTGCACATCCTCTGCTTTTTTGCTCTGCCTCTAACAGTTGGCCTGGTGTGAATTGGTTTTCTTGTCTGCAAAGTGGGAATAATAAGGGGATTAAATGAGGTAGCCTATTTGGAAGTGCATGGAACATGATACATGTCCATCTTGCAACCGCGTGATAAAGGTCTTGGATGAAGAAACCAAAAGGGGCTTACCTAAAGCTGGGAACAGAACTTCAGGGTTCTGATTTCTAGGTGGATAGTCTCTCTACCAATATACACACTCTGATACATACTGTAATTATTTCCATGAAAAAAACAATTAGAAGTAAATGCATTGTTCCTGTTTTATGTTCAGGTCAAAAGGATTTCTTGATCCTGATAAAACATTTACATCCCTAGTTTACCCTATTTTGTGTTCAGTGTCATACCATGAAAGATATCTCTAAGTGAAAGAATTGACTGATGTTGATGATTTTAAAAGTGAAACCATATGCCAAATTGCCTCTCAAGAGCTAAGAAATAAACTCCCGCTGATGTTCTCTCAGCCTTTGTCTTGTTTGAAATATTTAGATCTGATAGCAGAAGGGCCAGGAGCTGGGTCTTCTCTACATTTTGCCAATGCCAGTGAGGTACTTACTGCGGCATCAAAGTGAATGATCAGCAGTTCTGGGGGCAACCCATCAAGGGGTACAGTTAGCTGTAGTTTCACTTCATCTCAGAATAGGAGACATTTCACAAATTATATTTTGCAAATGAGTTATTTTAAATAGCGGAGATGCCCTATCTGATATGGCCCATGGTTGTGATATTTACATTATGAGCAATATCATTTTCCTTACTTTTTATTATAATCTTTTTTTTTTTTTCCTGCCAAACCCGATGGCTGAAGGAGTACCTCTAGCTCCCGCAGTGGCTCAGGGCTGCAATCTGCTCTGTGTCTGCTCCCCTGACCGTGGGCACACAAAGCAGGCTTCTAAAGATTCCACTGTTTGCTTCAAGCCTCACGCTGAGTCCCTGCTGTTGACCACATTTTGAATGTTTTTCTAATAATTTTTCAACTACTTCCCTGAAAAAAAAGTTCATTTTTGAAATCATCTGTTGGTAATTAGGGTGACCAGCTACTTGCCTTCTATTATAAGGCCTAGATCAGAATTTCATGGGCAGTGGCATTCAAAGTCAACTTTGTATTGCAAAGGAGTGCAGGTTCATTGGGAGAGTTTTGGAATCACTGTGATTCTACAGTCTGGAAGCTTTTGGTCAATACATGGCAAAGTTGTCGATAATGAAGACAATTGAAATTCGTAAAGTGACGTATAGTTAAAAAGCAACTCATGAAACCAGCAATTCATCCACCAGAATTTCCTAAGGATCTGCTACATGGTCTATTCTCAGAAAATTCATAGGTAAGGAAACTATAATAATTTCTTTGGTCCTCATGATAACTGTGTGAGGCAGGATTTATTTCTCTGAGATATGATTATTTAGGGTGGGAGCAATTGATTTCTGGGAACAGTGAAATTGATGTCAGTATTTTCACACATGTATAGGTCAGAGCTGGTCCTCAAACCCAGGACCCCGTGCTCCAAAGTCTTGCTCTTTCCCATGAGCGTGGACTCTGGACTCAGACACCTGCATCTCATTCTGATCTCCAATGCTACATAGTTGGGAGACTGCAATCATTACTTAGACTCTTAGCTTCTGCCTCCCCATCTGTAAGATGAGGGACATCATTCTGGTTACTTTCTAGGGTTATTGTCAGGATTATAGGAGCTATGCATGTGGAGAATTTAGCACAGTGCCTGGCACATAGAAACATCTCAACAAATGCTCTCTGTGAGAGGAATAACAAGAATGATTATGAAAATCATTCATATGATTATAGCTACAGTATGAAGCTCACCTACTGGACACTCTTACAAGATCCTCGAGAAAAATATCCCACAGATGTGCAGTGAAACCAAGGAGGTTATGTCAGTTTCCATTTTTTTGCTAGCGATTATAAAATTAAAAATGTGTCTTAATTAGATCATGTATTTATTCAACAATGAATATTTCCTAAGAATATATTGCGTGTCAGGGCCGGGCATGGTGGTTTATGACTATAATCCCAGTACTTTGGGAGGCTGAGGCAGGAGAATTTCTTGAGCCCAGGAATCAGGAGTTTGAGACTAGCCTGGGCAACATAGCCCTGTCTCTAGCTAAAAAAAAAAAATATATATATACATATATATATGTATATATATATGTATATATATACACACACACATATATATGTGTATATATATATATATACACACACTATATATATAAAATGTGTCAGATGTGGATCTAGATGCTGGAAACTTACATTCTAGGAGCTAATCTTTAATCTTCAGAATAGTATAATATGTTGAAAATTATCCATATTAGTATTTTACATGTGAATAAAATGTGACTTGGAGAGATATATAATTTGCCTGCAGTCACCTGGCTGCTAAGCTGCAGGGCCAGGATGCTAATTCAGACCCTTTGCCACCAAGTCCAGGGCTGCTGCTGTTATTGTCTGTAGCAAGAGAGCTTCTTCATTCCAGTGTCACCCTTCCTTTCCTTGATGAAGGGGTGGAAGTGACTGTAGTATACCATATACGTTAGGCAAATCTAAATTCTTAGATTATAATTTATTCAGAGAGGCCCAAATAGGAAATTTTTTATAAAAAGAAGTAAATAAGAAACAGATTCATTGAGAGGTGAAATGGTAGATTCCGCTATTTCCACATAGATCTGTTCTATAGACAGGTGGATGTTTACTGTTAAAATCATCAAAAAAATACTCTAAAATCATTTTTTTTGCCTCACAACCAGATTCACTAGTAACATGCATGCACAGAAGTACACTTTCTGTGTGCAACATAAATATCTAACATTAACTCAGGCAGTCACTGGCTAACATGAGGCTTTTACATTGACACTCAGTATGTGTTAAACTGAATTAAATTATTTTACAGTCTAAAATAACTGGAATTAAGAATCAACTGATGTCTTCTCATAAGATAATCATTTATATACAGTACTTGAAGAAGCCTATTTCATCCAGATTTGTTCTCCTTTCTTTCAGTAAATGAATTCTAAATTCCAGCCATTTCTTTTTTGGGTGCTATTTATTTATTTTACCATTTTTAATTTATATCTGAAATTCAGCACCAGTCACATACCTGATGTACTTAATATCAGGTACTTTTGCCAGGAATTTCAGATAGACTTGTTCCCTGTCTGAACCTGTACTTTCTTCCTTATATCCTGGGCAGCAGGGTCTGGAGCAACCACTCATAAAGGTGTAGGTTTGTCCAATACATGAAGAAGTAGGAGGGGACTCAAGAGCCCACAGATAAACTATAGGGTGAACTTTAAAAACCCTTAAGAACCAAAATCCTACCATAGGATCATCAGGAGAATAGGACTGCTTCATCATTCATTCATTCATTCATTCATTCATTCATATTTATATTTCTTTAGCTGGGCTTTTCTGTAGAACTTTTTGAAAACCTGTTACCAATCCACCTACTTACCATACAGTAGCACTGAATTCCAGGTAAGTGTAGTGGGCCCACCACTAATTTTTTACGATTGTGTTGAATCCTAATCCTGAATTCTAAGCTTCAAAATCAGTGGAAAATAAGTAGCATATTTTTTCTTTATTTGTTTGTTTGTTTGTTTATTTATTTTTAGATGGAGTCTCGCTCTGTTGCCCAGGCTGGAGTGCAGTGGTGCAATCTCACGTCACTGCAACCTTTCCCTCCTGGGTTCAAGCAATTTTCCTGCCTCAGCCTCTTGAGTAGCTGGGACTACAGGCTCACGCCAACATGCCCAGATGATTTTTCTATTTTTAGTAGAGATGGGGTGTCACCATGTTGGCCAGGCTGGTCTCGAACTTCTGACCTCAGCTGGTCTGCCTGCCTCGGCCTCCCAAAGTGTTGGGATTACAGGTATGAGCCACCGCGCCCCGCCCATATTTTTTCTTTTTTACCTAGTTCACCGATCAATATCTCTAATTGGCCAGGGGCAGAACAGAACTCCTACAGAACACCAATCAGTGTAAACTGGTCTTTTCTAGTCTCCCCACCTGTGGGTATAGATGGCTCGTAATATCATCAAAGCTCAGATTTTGCTGGCTCTTTCCTTTACTTGGTGATGTATGCCCCTCTCTTCTCAGATGCTCCTATGAGTCCCTGTGGGTTTTGTGCATGTGCTTAGCATAACCTCCACCCCCACTCTTCCAGGCACCATGCCTGTTCTGCCTGGCATTGTTATGAATTCCTGAGGTGCCCAGCTATGCAGTGACGTATGGTGATGTGGGAGAGTGCTGTCCTATAGTTGGCTACAGGAATCTTAAAAGAACCCTTTCTGTGGTCCAACATTTTGCAGAGTTTTCAAAGAAAGAAGCCTCCCTTCTCTACTCATAATCCTCTTGCTTTCGTGGTTGAAAAGGGTGGATACTGGGCTGGTAGGCAAACTGCAGTAACACAAATGTCAGCACTATCCCTCCCCTTCAACCAACGCTCTTGGCTACACTCTGAGGTTGTGAGACCTCCCAGGAGGTGCCTCAGGCCACAGACAGATGGCTTCAGAGTCCTTCCCTACCACTTGGCCACACAGACCCAAATATATATGAATCCCACTTAGACTCAAGCTCCAATCTTTACTGCATATTCCCCAGTGGAAGATAAACTGTTTTTAACTGCTTTTTAGAAAAAACCTGTTTAACTATAATAGCAGTGATCTAAAAACTTTCACATGTGAATTAAATGACGCCTCAGTGGGGGCAGAGAAATGAAAGGGACTAAAACTTCTCTGAATTTCAGGATGATTAAATAATAATAGTAGAAAAATGGACAATTCTGCATTCAATACAAGTGAGACTTCTACTTAACAAAAACCCCAGTGAAATACTGCATATTCTTAAAGCAGATGAACAATTATACAGGAAATAGAGAAGTCTAAACCTTGTAGCCTGTTATCTATCTTTACCTTAAGTCTGAAAATGTCAAAAGACAATTAAGAAATTATTAATCATGGTGTAGAGTAATGGAGGATGTTTCTCACAAACATCGTCTTTCCCTCTCAGTGACCTCCTATTTTGGGAGGTGGTCATGAACAAGCATAAACTTGATACCCTTATCCATATGGCTGAGCGGATTAGGATGGGTGTCAGGTTGTGCCAGGAGTGAGTGGCTAGAAGCACGTCTGCCCTTGATGAGCAGAACTGAAATCATCACTCAGGCAATCGCTAGTGAAAGCCTTGAGTGACTACCTCTAAAACCCCAGTCTCCATTGAAAAAGGAATTGCATTTGACACTGGAAGCACACTTCATGGATCTCGTGTGGATGACTTTCCTTTGAGGTCTGCAGTGTTCACTGCTGTGCTGCACATGTGCCCAACTACAAAATGTAATTGGGATGATCCAGAACTTTAGTCGGACCATGAGAACAAATCATGAGCAATCAGGAAATAGGATAAATTCAAAAGTTCCATAATGTGGGAGCCTCAATCAGTTTTCCCAAAAGTATGTAATAATACCCAATTAGTCTCAAACACACTGTCATTTTGATAGTTACCACTACAATCATTTGTAGGAATATGAAGAATTCTTATGCATTAAATTGCTGATTTTCCATGAGAGGCTTCTTTTGGTAATATTGCACTCAGCTTGCACATTCCTTGTTCTGTTTGTCTTTTCATCTAACTTGACAGGTTTATAGAATCAGTATTGAAAAACTGCAAGTTTAACCTTGGGAGTGTATATTGAAATTCTGGGCCTCAAATAACAATTTTGGGACTCCCAGGCTGCTGCTTCTTTATTCTGTCCATACCTGCCTGTCATCTGTTCAGAGAGTTTGTGCTATTTCCCCAAGGTGGCCCAGTATCACTTGGCTCCCACACCTGCTACCTGGCCATTCTTCTGTTGTATGATGTGACATTATTGGACTTTGCATTTGTGTGTCTATTTTTGGATTGGGTTTCTGAACCTTTGTTGCCTACTCTGAGCAGGTTGTTTTTGCTTCCTGTAGAGAATCTGGAAGACTACTCTGCCAAGACATCTCAAAAAGTAAGTCTTCAACTAAGTGTTCATTGAATTCAGGGAAATTGGAAAGTTTTGTAAAAATAAATTGAATTACCCTTTTTTTCTGGTGTTTCTCTTGAGGATAATACATCAGAGCAATTAGTGATTTAGTTATTTGGAAAAAGTGAGATTCCTCATCTATGCATAAACTCTAGTCTTTAAAAAAAAAAAAAACTTGGTGTGCCTGAGGTTTACACAGCTTTAGTTAAATAACCCTGTAAATCTACATTAAAATCTTTGCAAAATTATAGAAGAAAAAAATAATGAAAGAAAGAAGGAAAAGAAGAAAGAAAGGACACCTCTTTCCCAGTTGGTCCCCCAATCCTCAACACCACCAAAAACTTCCAAAGTTCTAAATTTGCTTTCCATTAAGACAGTGGTTAGACGGCAGCTGTTGAGCCTCTTAAGCGAATACACGATATGGTAATAAACATCATTTCAGAAACAGGCTTTTTGTTCACTTTACTAGGAAGCACAATAATGAGCTCTGCATGTTCACTACACGTTTTATACCAGATCCTGACTTTAACAAAGGGAGGGGTGTCGCTGCGATTGTTTTACTCCCTACCTAGAAAATAGAAATGTTTGTTTTGTCTTTGAATTCCAGTCACCCTTGACTATGCAGTGCATTGTAAAATGCTCTTTGAAGTTCATGTGTCATCCATTTAAAATGAACACTACAGGTTATCGTGTGCTGCTTTTCCCTCCAATTGTGCTTGGTGTCCCAGTTTCTCTGGGGAAGGTTCAAATCTGACAATACCCTTACCTTATTGTATAGAAGTCCATGCATAATGCTGGTTTTGCCAGATGGAGTCTGAACGTTTATGACTGCTAGCTTTCTGTTTGTGTAGGAATCCAATTTATATGGAAATAGAGGGTGATCATTTTAATGCAATCAAATGTCCTGAAAAGTACTCCCTGGATGTCTCATGCTCTATGCTCAGCTGGCTGTGTGTAACAATTGACATGTCTTCTCTTTTTCTATAGCACTGGGCAGTCCTGGGGAAAGTAGGGAGAAGACAGTTGTGGTTCAGAACCATTGTTTGCTGGAGGAGATATGCGTGGAAGGGAGAAAAAACTGGAATTTAAGAATATCCCAGTGTGTGGTTTAGAACTCTATTTGGGAGTCCACAGAAGCAACCAGATATGTCTTATATACTAATGTTGAGTCTGGACATCTTAAAAGTTACACGTAAAATATTCTTTCGGACAGCATGTACTCTGCTCTATGTGGGCATAACACTTTATGGTTTACAAGGCGCCGTTGGTTTTTTTTTTTTTTAACATTCATTTAATCCTCATAACATTGCTATGAAGTTGAGACCACTATTTTTCTTTTCTAAATAAGAAGAGAGCGCAGGTTTTGAAAGAGTGATGTTGCGTTCAGATTCCTGTTCTACTATCTCACTTTACCCCACCTAGGGATTAAATGAGACAACTTTTGAAAAGTGTTTAGGGGCTCAACGAAAATTTTTTTTGCCCTTTTCCTTCCATCCCATCTTTACCAGCTAGATAGATTAACTACAGGGAAAGTGATCATGAGACTGAAGCTAAGCATTATTTGTATATCGAATAATCAAAGGAATGAATTCTTTAGACTTGCTTCTGTTGATAATCAGGGTTGTATAGAATTGGGCCTGTAAAGCTTAAGGGTGAAATTAGTCATTGAAGAGAAGCAAAATGCAGGCTCCAAATAATTTGAGGGATGTTGCTTTAGATTTTTGACATATTACTTAGGAATGAGTTGATGAATCATACTTATCCTATTATAAATTTAAATCTGTGATCCACTCAAATCTCTGATCTTGAGCCTTTCACTTGTAAAGTGGAAGGATCTAAGCAGTCACTATGACTTTGAAAAAAATACTGAAAATCATCTTGCCACCCCTTTCATTTTACAGAGGTAACGTGACTTGTTCAAGGTCAAGCAGATGAAACTGGACCTGAACACAGTTCTTCTTTTTGCCACATGACTTCTTAACCCTTGGATTAATACACTTTCCATTATATTTTGTAATTAAAATAAACTCATTTTGATAAGTTAAAATGAAGTTGTTATAAATGGCAATGTGTGGACCTTATCTGGATGCTGATCCAAACAAACAAACAAGTTTTAAAAATGATGAAATTCAAGAGATGATTGCAAATGAAAACACTGAGCAGATATTAAGGAATTATTATTTTGTTTTTAGATGTGGTCATGGGATTGTGGTTACGTTAAGAAAAATGTAGAATTATTGTTAAGAGATCCATAGTGAAATATTAATTAATGAAATGATATATTTTGGATTTGCTTCAAATCATATACTGGAGGTGGGTACAGAAGAAACCAGATTTGCCTTGAACTGGTAATGTTTGAGTCGGGTGATGAGTATATGGGGGTTCATTATGCTGTTCTATTTTAATGTGTGTTTGAAATTCTCCATTAATAAAGAAAAATACATGACCAGTTATATTTCTGTGTGTACTTGGTGTTTCCACTGTTAGGCTTTTCATTTGTCTTCTGATCTTGTATGCACAAGGAAGCGATAAATTATTGTTTATTCTTCTCCCAAGAAATTGGTTTGCTTTTTTCTGAATCATAAAATTAAACTTATCCTCCTTTTTGTTTTGGATGTTAGAAAACTTAGGACAAAATTTGTGGCAAATCACATTCATTTATTCTTTTATTTATTCAACTGAACTGAAGTGATGCTAAGATGGACTTATTTGTCCTCTACCTAGTTTTTCACAAGCAGGGATTCTAGACAGTTAATGTTGGAGGGTGCATGGTGCCATGGTTTAAGTCCCAGGATTAGACTGTTTGAGCTGGTAGCTCACCTTTGCCATAATTGACAAACTTGCCTCTGAAACTCAGGGTAAGCATTGTACAATGGAGATAATGATAGAACTTACCTCAATAATAAATGTGAGAATTAAATGAAACAATACTTTTTTTGCCCTTAGAAACAATTTATAAGAAAAAAAAAACCCATCAAAAAGTGGGTGAAGTATATGAACAGACACTTTTCAAAAGAAGACATTTATGCGGCCAACGAACATATGGAAAAAATGCTCATCATCACTGGTCATTAGAGAAATGCAAATCAAAACCACAATGAGATACCATCTCACTCCAGTTAGAATGGCAATCATTAAAAATCAGGCAACAACAGATGCTGGAGAGGTTGTGGAGAAATAGGAATGCTTTTACACTGTTGGTGAGAGTGTAAATTAGTACAACCATTGTGGAAGACAGTGTGGCGATTCCTTAAGGATCTAAAACCAGAAACACCATTTGACCCAGCAATCCCATTACTGGGTATATATCCAAAGGATTATAAATCATTCTACTATAAAGACACATGCAGCACTGGTCACAATAGCAAAGACTTGGAACCAACCCAAATGCCCATCAATGATAGACTGGATAAAGAAAATGTGGCACATATACACCATGGAATACTATGCAGCCATAAAAAATGATGAATTCATGTCCTTTGCAGGGACATGGATGAAGCTGGAAACCATAATTCTCAGCAAACTAACACAAGAGCAGAAAAACAAATACCACATATTCTCACTCATAAGTAGGGGTTGAACAATGAGAACACATGGACACAGGGAAGGGAACATTGCACACTGGGGCCTGTTGTGGGGAGGTATAGCATTAGAAGAAATACCTAACATAGATGACGGGTTGATGGGTGCAGCAAACCACCATGGCACGTGTATACCTATGTAACAAACCTGCATGTTCTGCACATGTATCCCAGAACTTAAAGTATTAAAAAAAAAGAACAAAAAGAAAAGAATCAGGGTTGAGTATATGGGAAGCACTCCATCAATTTTTGCTTTTATTAATATTATCAACAAATAATTATTTAATACCACTATATGCTAAGCAGGAGACTGGAGAGGGAGATTTCCACAGTGTCCCCTAATTTCATTTTGGATTATATCTTAACTCTGTCACCTTTTCTTCGAGTTCAACATTATTTAAATTCATCTTTTCTTGTTTTATGTATTTATATAAGCATTTATGCATTATTTTAAGAATAAGGTAGGATATAAATAAAAATGTTGTTTTTAGGATTATGTTCATGCCTAATTCTAGGCATATTTAAAGTAATAATCTGAAAGATAAAGTATTTGATAAACTAATTACCCCCTGAGAGCTGCATGATTTAAAATTCAAAAACACAGTAGTGAGAAAACCAAAATCTGAAGTCAGTGAACGCTGAAATTTGAGAGAGACTTTCTAAGTTTCTAAATTGAAATTATCTCACCGGGGCACGGCGGCTCATGCCTGTAATCTCAGCACTTTGGGAGGCTGAGGCTGGCGGATCACTTGAGGTCAGGAGTTCAAGACCGGTCTGGGCAACATGGTGAAACCCTATCTCTACAAAAAATAAAAAAAGTTAGCCGGGCGTGGTGGTGCATGCCTGTAGTCCCAGCTACTCGCGAGGCTGAAGCAGGAGAATCACTTGAACTCAGGCGGTGCAGGTTTCAGTGAGCTGAGATCGCACCCCTGCACTCCAGCCTGGGAGTGCAAGACTCTGTCACAAAACAAAACAAACAAAACACAACAAAACAACCCTTTTAGTTGTGTGAACGAAAGTTATCTGAAAAGCGAATTTGGAGGAAAGAGACTTTATTTCAGTGAACAGTTTGCAAACCAAGGAGATGAAGCCTTTGGTGTAAAACAAAGGTGCGTTTCAGAGAACAATGGGAGGGTTTGGGTTTTATATCAAAAATTCCCATCAGGGTTCCCAATCAGGTATATTTATACAAATTAAGGTTTGGCAAACTTGTGTAGTTCTGATCGGTCTCTATAGCTGGGTTCTGATTTGTCTGTATAGCTGAGTTCTGATTGGTTGATACTACTGAGCCCTTATTGATTGATACAGCTGAGCCCTGATCGTTGCGGTAGGTGAGCACTGATTGGGTTGGTTCAGGTGAGCTCTGAAAATCCCAAAGTTAAATAGAGGTGTGGGTTTTTGGGGAACTCAGAGAACCTGTGTGACCTAAGTCAGCAAATGACTGCTTGTCTCAGTTTAAAATTTGGGCCCAGATAACAACTCAGGATCTGTCTTAAAGGATTGGCTTGTTCAGGTTCATATTTGGTCACAGCTGGTACTCAAATTCCCTGCCATAAATCACCCTCTTCATATCTTTCACATTTAGTTAATTTCTATTCTTCTTATTTAATTTTACCTACTTAAAAAAATGTGAGCAGGGAAATCAAGTGTGTTATTATGCCAACAGATCTTCAGTGACTTAATAAGGTTTGACCCACCTGTTATTGTACAACTTTTCCCGCTGTTCTGGGATCTGTTGATAGATATTAGCTGTAGTGGTTGGTGTGGGCCTGATAAGGCATTCTCAGAGTGCACAGTAATGTGTGAGTCTGTACAGGCACCAGACCCTAGATCAGCCTTAAATTATAACTTGTTCAGCATGTTATTTAGAAAAGTGGTGGGTTTATATTAAGGCCCAATCAATTGGGAAAGAAATCACATTTAAAAGCCATCATTATTTTAAAATTAGCAGACTTCAACAAAGTCTATAAAATCAGTATTCTATTTTTTAAAAGGTAATGCCAATTTGTTAATCCATGATATTAATGTTAATTTTCCTGATTTTGGTAAGTCTACTGTGGTTACATAAGAGAAAGACCTTGCTCTTAGGAAAGGCATACTGAAGAGTTTAGGAGTAAAGGGACATGATGTCTGCAACTTACAAATGGTTGAGAGAATGAAGGACAACAAATGGGAAAAAATATATAAACAATTTGTTAATCTGGGTAAAGGATATATGGAAATTCCTTTTCCTACCTATTTTGTAACATTTCCATATATTTGAAATTACATCGATATAAAAAGGTTTAAAAGGTAATGAAAGAATTCTTTACTTAAAATAGTGAGATATTTTTGGGAGTGATGTTTCAGTCTAGAAGATATTTTTTCCTCCCTGATTTGTCATCACTGCTACAAAGAAAAGAAGATCTGCTTCTCCGTCCATAGGCAGGGGAAAATGCCTAGAAACACTTGTATATTCTGGCATACAATATTAAGCTTAACTTAGAAATGGAACATGAAAAAGGATGCAGAATATGTCACCTTTCTGGCATTTCAAGGCACAGTGAACTCTTAATGATGAAACCATGATCATCGCAAACCAGGAACAAAGATAGTCCTCATTCATATATTACAGAGTTAGAAAGCTTAAATGAATCATTCTTGTGATTCTCCCACAGAATACAATGTTGTGATAATGAATCTGACAACAACAAACCATATTCTTCACTTAAAGTTAAGTGTCAGCCTGGCCAACATGGTGCAACCCCATCTCTACCAAAAATACAAAAATTAGCTGGGTGTAGTGGCACATGCCTATAGTCCCAACTACTTGGGAGGCTAAAGCAGGAGAATTGCTTGAACCCTGGAGGTCAAGGCTGCAGTGAGCTGAAATCATGCCACTGCACTCCAGCCTGGGTGACAGAGTGCACCCCTGAGACTCTGCCTCAAAAAACCAAAAAAATGTTAAGTGTGATGTTTGTGCTGGATAGAGGCAAAAAGACTTCCCCACCCTCCACCACTTTCTTCCACAGCAAAGCTTTTAGAGTAAATTTCAACCCATATCTGAGGCTACAAATTGAGAGGGTTTCTCCAAATTGTCTAATTACCTGACTTTTTCATCTTTGGAAAGATACATGGTTAGAGTAAAATCAATGATTTCCACTTGACATAAGGACTTCTACTTATGCATTGAGTTCTTATTTTCATATCATTGTGCAAAGGGATATGCAACTGGTGGTCTATGTCAAGGCTGGAATTCTTTGAAAATACATGCAAATAACTGGAAAAATTACAACAAAGTCTTGGACGTTGTAGGTTAAAATCCCAGTGAAAGACTGATTAGTGATAATTTCAAGCATTTATTGAAATAATGATAGCTCCACACATAAAACTAAGAATATGTGGCATAAAATGTGCTATAGGAGAAATGAAAAGGAAGAATAATATTAATACATAGTTCTTAAGATCAAGTTGCCGTGATTCTAATGGGGATATAAGATGAACATCCTCAAGGCAATAGAAGACCAAGTATGGTGCATTGATGAGAACACCAGTCCTGGAGTTGGTGATCTCAGCTTGGTCTCTGATTAACTGACCTCAACACAGCTCTCTACCCCCACTTGTTTGCAGTTCTCTTACCTGTGCAATGAGGGGTTGAGCTCCAGATTCTCTTCTAATGCTAAATTGTATTTTCTATAATTACAACATAAAATTCAACTTCTCAAGTGGTAGTAACATTGTTAGAAATGCGTTATATATGTGAAATAATTGTTCAAAGATCTAGTCTTATACAATATAAATAATTATTTCTGAGATTTTCTAAGTGACAGAAGGCCAATCTCCAAATATTTTAGGTAATCTTTGCTTTAGAAGATGAGAAACTCTTTGGATTTATAATTTTAGCTCATTCTGGCATTTAAGCCCTGAGTCATTCTATTTGAAAAACACATTGGTTTTTAAATGTCAGAATATGAAATATTTATAACACATATCTACAATGATTGAATAAGCTATTAATATAATGCTAACACAAATAAAACAAGGTGCATGTTATTACAACCCTGGAGAAAGGAAGGGAATTAAAAAATTCAATTATATTGGAAGAGTCAAAAGCTCCCATGAGCGCTGACAATAATTACAGTAGTTACATCCTGACAATCTGAGAATGCTGGTGCTGGGGAAAGGGTGGGTGGTATGCGGAATCCTTCCTCTCCAAACAAACAAACAAAAATACAACAAAACGACTACAACAAAAGAGTCGGCAAATCATGCCTGAATTATGGTTACTTCTTTCTTTATGTTACAGATCATAAACTTTGGTCTGCCTTTTTGCTGATTTTTACTGTACAGATGGGAGTGCTTTAAGAAATTCTGATCTCCAAAAATCCCCACTTACACAACACATCAGTTCTGGAATGATCATTTCCTTGGCAAGGTTACTTTACACAGCCATCAAAGTAGCCATAGGTTACTTAGGTATAAAATAACCTTCCTTGGCAAGGTTACTTTAAACAGCCATAGAGGCAGCCATATGTTACTTCTACGCACATATAAAGTATAATTTGATTTGCCAAGCAAATTCACTATTAAAACTGAGACTATAGTAACAACCTCTTTTTGGAGATTCTCCAAATCAAGCAAACAAGCAAAAAACAGACACCAAAAGAACCTCTTCAAAACTTAAAGATGATAAAATACAGAATTATTTAGTAAATTTATTATATGAAGAGTCTCAAGACAAAATTATTTTCATTGGCAATACGTTAGGTCTGTAATCTCTTAGAAACAATTCTGAAGTACAAAAAAACTTGGAACACTATTTTTTTTCTCCCCTCTTTATTTGATAGCAAAACTTGAGCTGACCTGAACAAATTTGGTAGGAAACCTCATTTAATCTGATGTCTTTTTATAGTCTTATTTACTATATGTAGGGTGAATATTTGTGATTTTCTCTACAGAAATATTAATGGTCTTAATTATATAAGACTATGCCAGACTCTGCTGATGTGATATGTTATATGCAGCTGATGTACTGTATTATCTTTCTAAAATTCAAAAATTTCTGAATTTTGAAGTATATATGGCTACACAGATTTCAGATAAGGAATTATGGACTATAATATTTGAATTTAGTTGAGCTGACATTGAATCCTCCATTTATATGGATTTGTTTTTTAAATCATTAATGCTGTAGGTTTGTTTTTATTTATAGATATTCCTTCCTTTGCCTCTTTCACCTTCCTGAAGAGTTGACTATAAAGTGAATATTTCAATGTGACTCATATTTTCCCATGGATTGCCTTAGATCCCAAAGATACCAGAAGCCCATAGATACTACTAATACAGAATACCTATGACTATAAATGAAACAGGTTGGGTTTTATAATAAAAATAACTTAAAGTAACATAATTATAAAATCATGTAATTAAAAGGGGAAGTTAATATTATAATATTAATCAAAATAAATTGAAAAATCTGAAGTATATGAATATATTTCTCCAAATCTAAAAGTTTACCCTTTGGGACTCAGCTCACATAAGAAAGAGATTGGTTATTGCCTTGAGAAGCTTTGCCTGGATATTTCTGTTATTATTCCAAAGTGAAGATATACATTTGAAATATAAAGTGTTTAGTAGCTTGCAACAGAAAACAGTGTAGATAAAATACTTTCTTTTGACCCTGCTGCAAACTTTCTGAGTGCCCTTAACCAGGCTACTTTTCTCTCTTTATAATGATAGATTATATTTAATCTCTTTCCAGATTTAAATCCTATAGACTTACAATCTATTTTTCCATATTTCAATTTAAAAAGGTTATTATGTCCTGGTTAACTAAGAAATAAAGTGCTGATATTGTCTAGGATTTTAGAAAAGTCAATTTTTTTCCTTTGGGATCTGTCTTTTTAAAAATTTTAAATTGAATTTAATTTTATTATAAGTTCCAGGATACATGTGCAGGACGTGCGGGTTTGTTACATAGGTAAACCTGTGCCATGGTGGTTTGCTGCACCTATCAACCCAACCTTGGTATTAAGCCCAGCATACATTAACTATTTATCCTGATGCTCTCCCTTCCCCAACTCCTCCTTGCCAACAGGCCTCAGTGTGTGTTGTTCCCCATTCGTGTCCATGTGTTCTCATTGTTCAGCTCCCACTAATAAGTGAGAACATACAGTGTTTGGTTTTCTGTTCCTGCGTTAGTTTGCTGAGGATAATGGCTTCAAACTCATCCATGTCCCTGCAAAGACATGATCTTGTTCCTTTTTATGGCTGCATAGTATTCCATGGAGGCTTTTACACTGTTGGTGGGAGTGTAAATTAGTTCAACTAATTTGAAGAAGTGTGGCGATTCCTCAAAGAATAGAAAAGTCAAATGTTTTTATCATGAACTTGAAAATGAGACGTGCTGCCCAGGGAAGTGCTGAATGAGTATTCTACAAGGCTCACAGGGGATTTTTCCAGGGCACAGAGCTCAAAATGCTGGAAGGGTGGGAACAGGAAGGGACATGTGTAGTGTGGTGGAAGGGCTAGCAAAGGTAGGTCACTGGGCAAACATTAAATAAGGCTAATTATGTTCTTTCTTTTAGGGCCTCCAACCATAAAAAGGAAAACTGAAGAAAAGCAAAATAGATGGGTGTTAAGGGCATAGAAATGGGATGAATCTTTTCTTGAAATAGACAGAAAACAAACACATATAGTTACTTTTTCAGAGCCATTAGAAGCACAGTAGAACAAAGCCTGAGAGGTTTCAGTACCTGAGAAATGTGCTAGGAGATTCTCAAGGTATAGTAGCGACTTGACTAGTCTAAGGCAAGCTAAGGAAGATGTAGGGTCAATTAAATTATTTAAAGCTGGCAACCAGAGCAGAAGAGATTAAGCAGTAGTTGAGAGCAATGAAAGGATATTTTCTGTATTTCTTGAAACCTTTCTCTAAATAGTGTATATCGTCTTTTAAATCTTGCCATTCTATGTAGACTGTGCTTATATGAAATGAAATATAGAAATGTACCAGTCATGTTAAAGTGAAGAAAGAAATGTAAGTTGTCTGTAAGTGTATGTTTAACTTTTTTTAGAAACTGCCCAACTGTTTTCCAGGGTGGCTGTACCATTTTATGAGTGATTCAGTTTCTCTGCATCCGTTTGATGTCACTACTTTTTATTTTAGTCATTTTGATAGGTGCGTAGTGATATCTCACTGTGGTTTTAATTTAATTTGATGTTTATCTTATATCCTTATCAGCTTTAGAATTTTGGGGGATAGATTTATTGGGATTTTGTACATAGACAATTATGTAATCTGCAAATAGAGACATTTTTATTTGTCCATTCCAATCAGTATTGTTTTCACTTACCTTTCTTGCCTTATCCAGTGGCTAGAACTTCCAGTACTGCGTTGAATAAAAGTAGATATTATTTCCTTGTTCTGGATCTTAAAGAAAAAGAGTTCAATTTGTCCTCGCTGAGTATACGGTATTAGCTGTAGGCTTTGTCAATGATCTTATCATGTTTAGGAAGTTTCCCTTATTCCTAACTTTCGGAGAGTTTTTATCATAAAGGGGTATTGAATTTTATCAACTGCTTTTTCTGCCATCAGTAGATATCATTGTGTCATTTTTATTCCTTTGCCTCTCAGTATAGTGGATTAAATAGATTGGTTTTCAAATATTGAGCAAGCCTTACATCTCTGGAATTAACCCACTTGGTCATGATCTACAATTCTTTTTACATATTGCTGAATTCTATTTCATAATATTTTATTAAGAATTTTTGTGTTTGTATTCTTGAGGTATAGTGGTCTGTAGTTTCCTTTGTTTATGCTGTCTGGCTTTGGGATCAAGGTAATACTAGTTCACAAAACACCTAGGAAAGTTCCTCCTCTTCTACTTTCTGAAATAGATGGAAAGAAACTTTGTTAATTCTTTAAATGTTTAATAGAATATTCAGTGAAACTATCTGGGCCTGGAGATTTCTTTTTTGAATTTTAAAATTTTGAATTCAATTTCCTTATTATGATAGGACTATTCAAATTACGTATTTCATATTGGATAAATTAAGGAAGTTTGTGCTTTTCCAAGAATTTATTCATTTTTTTAAGTTTTCAAATTTATGTGTGTAAAGTTGTTCATAGTATTCTTATCTTTTTATGTCTCCAGGTGTGTGTCCGGAATTGGTGGGTTCTTGGTCTCACTGACTTCAAGAATGAAGCCGCGGACCCTTGCGGTGAGTGTTACAGCTCTTAAGGTGGCGTGTCTGGAGTTTGTGCCTTCTGATGTTCCGATGTGTTCGGAGTTTCTTCCTTCTGGTGGGTTCGTGGTCTCACTGGCTCAGGAGTGAAGCTGCAGACGTTCTCCGTCAGTGTTACAGCTCTTAAGGCGGGGCGTCTGGAGTTGTTCCTTCCTCCCGGTGGGCTCGTGGTCTCTCTGGCTTCAGGAGTGAAGCTGCAGACCTTCCCGGTGAGTGTTACAGCTCATAAAAGCAGTGTGGACCCAAAGAGTGAGCAGTAGCAAGATTTATTGCAAAGAGCAAAAGAACAAACCTTCCACAGTGTGGAAGGGGACCCGAGCGGGTTGCCACTGCTGGCTCCGGCAGCCTGCTTTTATTCTCTTATCTGGCCCCACCCACGTCCTGCTGATTGGTAGAGCCCAGTGGTCTGTTTTGACAGGGCACTGATTGGTGCCTTTACAATCCCTGAGCTAGATACAAAGGTTCTCCACGTCCCCATCAGATTAGATACAGAGTATGGACACAAAGGTTCTCCAAGGCCCCACCAGAGCAGCTAGATACAGAGTGTGGATTGGTGCACTCACAAACCCTGAGCTAAACACAGGGTGCTGATTGGTGTGTTTACAAACCTTGAGCTAGATACAGAGTGCCCATTGGTGTATTTACAATCCCTGAGCTAGACATAAAGGTTCTCCAAGGCCCCACCAGACTCACGAGCCCAGCTGGCTTCACCCAGTGGATCCTGCACCGGGGCTGCAGGTGGAGCTGCCTGCCAGTCCCATGCCATGCGCCTGCACTCCTCAGCCCTTGGGTGGTCAATGGGACCGGGCACCAGTGGAGCAGGGGGTGGCCCTCGTGGAGGAGGCTCGGGCCGCACAGGAGCCCACGGAGCGGGTGGGAGGCTCAGGCATGGCGGGCTGCAGGTCCCAAGCCGTGCCCCACGGGAAGGCAGCTAAGGCCCGGCGAGAAATCGAGCGCAGCGCCAGTGGGCTGGCACTGCTGGGGGACCCAGTACACCCTCCACAGCCGCTGGCCCGGGTGCTAAGCCCCTCATTGCCTGGGGCCGGCAGGGCCGGCGGGCTGCTCAGAGTGCAGAGCTCGCCAAGGCCACGCCCACCCGGAACTCCCGCTGGCCCGCAAGCGCCGCCCGCAGCCCTGGTTCCCGCTCACGCCTCTCCCTCCACACCTCCCGGCAAGCTGAGGGAGTAGGCTCTGGCCTTGGCCAGCCCAGAAAGGGGCTCCCATAGTGCAGCGGTGGGCTGAAGGGCTCCTCAAGTGCCGCCAAAGTGGGAGCCCAGGCAGAGGAGGCGCCGAGAGCGAGCGACGGCTGTGAGGACTGCCAGCACGCTGTCACCTCTCACAGGGTCTGTAGTGCTTTCCTGTTTCATTCCTGACATTGGTAATTCATATCTTCTCTTTTTTTTTAATTGTCAGTTTTGCTGGTGTTTTGTCAATTTTATTATTCTTTTCAAATAATTAGCTTTTTGTTTGATTGATTTTCCCCATTATTTTTTCTGTTTTCAATTTTATTGATTTCTACACTTATCTTTATTATTTTTCTTTTATACCTTTGAGTTCATCTTGGTCTTTTCTAGATTCTTTAGGTGGGGGATTAGATTATTGATTTGAGACTCTTGCTGTTTTTAATGCTACAGTTTAGTGCTATAAATGTTTTAGCATTGTTTTAGCTCTGTCCAGTGAATTTTGTTATGTGCATTTTTATTTTCATTCAGTCAAGTGCATTTAAAAATTTTCTATTAAGATGTCCTGTTTAAACTATGTCAATTATATTTTTTAAAGTGGTTTTTGGGGTATTCCCAAGGCTATACAACCATCACCACTAATTCCAGAATATTTTCATCAGCCCCTAAAGAAACCATGTACCCAATAGCAGTCACAGAGCATTCATCCCTGCTTCCAGTCCCTGGCAACCACTAATCTATTCTCTGTCTCTACAATTTGCCTATTCTGGATGTTTCATATAAATAGAATCATACAATATGTAGCCTTTTGTGTCTGACTCCTTTTACTTAGCGTAGAGTTTTCAAGGTCCATCCATGCTGTAGCATACATCAGTACTTCACAGTTCTTCATGACTGAATAATATCATTGTGTGGATATAACACATTCTGTTTATGGATTCATCAGCTCATGGACGTTAGAGTTGTTTACACTCTTTGCCTATTTTGAATAATGTTGCTATAAACATTCACATACATGAATGCTTTTGTGTGAACTTACATTTACAGTTTCCTTGGCTATATTCCTAAGAGTGAAATTGTTGAGTCACACAGCTATCTTTACCTAACAAACTGTTGTCCAAAACAGCTGCCCCTACATTCTGTTTAAAAAAAATGATTGCATATTTTCTTCTTGAACTTTAAAAAATATATCTGTGTCCAGGCACGGTGGCTCACGCCTGTAATCCCAGCACTTTGGGAGGCCGAGGCAGGTGGATCACAAGGTCAGGAGATCGAGATCATCCTGGCCAACATGGTGAAACCCTGTCTCTACTAAAATACAAAAAATTAGCCGGGCGTGGTGGCACATGACTGTAGTTCCAGCTACTCAGGAGGCTGAGGCAGGGGAATCGCTTGAACCTGGGAGGTGGA
Organism: Homo sapiens; assembly: GCF_000001405.40. Classification (NCBI taxonomy): domain Eukaryota; kingdom Metazoa; phylum Chordata; class Mammalia; order Primates; family Hominidae; genus Homo; species Homo sapiens. Next base: position 125,643,018 of record NC_000006.12, on the reverse strand, counting down.
GGTTGCAGTGAGCCGAGATTGTGCCACTGGACTCTAGCCTGGCGACAGAGCGAGACTCCGTCCCCCCACCAAACTATATATATATATATATTTGTATTTTCACTCCATTTTAAAATATATTTAAATCTTATATTTATCTGAACTTTGTTTTGAAATTAGAGGTGAGGTAGGAAAATAAGTCATATTTTTTTCTGAAAGGGCTGTTTATTCATCTGAGCAACATCTTTTTATTACTAGTTTAAAATGTCACCTTTACATATACTAAATTTCCATAGGTAATTAGATCTATTTTTGACCTTTTTTGTTTCATTATTATGGATTTTTATTTATGAACCAGTACCACACTGTTTTCATTATTTTATTTTTCTAGTATAATTTCTGACAGGATTAGTTCTCCCTCATTATTTGCTTTTTCAAAAAGGTTTCCAACTCTTCTTGCTTGTTTGTCCACTCTTATTGATGTAGTTTATTTGCCACTAGTAGTCCTTGGGGAGATTCACTTCTATCTCTCAAAAAGCAAGTAAGAAAAAATTTACAGAGTGAAGGAAGATGATGTTACTTGCTTTGCTGTGGAAGTTATGGAATATGATGTTAATTTAAATCATAGTTCCTTTAGCCTGAGATCTTTCCTGATTGTTGCCTCATCTATTTACCATTGAGCTAGTTGGCAGGGATGTGGGTAAAGGCTAAACATGTAGATTTGAACAACATATCCTATCTTTCCTCTACTTAGAGCACTAGGCTAATGATTCCAATTTTTACCTCTATCCAAATCAGGTTCATGGTTTAAAGGTATTAATTCAGAACTCAAATAATTATCTGTAAGTGATTAAACCAACTCTATAAAAGCAAATACATACAATTTACTAAACGATTCACTAAATTGTAATAACAATAATTTAATAAGAGTGTTAAATACTGTTTGGCTGTTAAAAGATTACTTATATGTAGGTTACATCTGGGGTCTATGAGTGCAGTCCTTCTGCCTTCTCCTAAGAATCACCATGAAGTTGTTATTGGTTCTTGAACAGGCCAATGATTTATTTGAAGTAATTCCACTTTACAAAGAAAATGTGACAATCATACATTGCCAAGGTGAAATGGAAGAGAGGCTGGACACCTGCAGGCCAGTTAAAATATGTGACAGAAGCAAAGCAATTTATGGCCTGCTGGTGGGAGAGGAAAAACAGGTTTGAGAAATATCACAAAAGGAAATTTGAAGGTAGAATCAAAGGAGCTTAATCATTGGATGTATTATTTTCAGCATGGGATATAGTACGTGGAGGCGTTAACAATAATTTCTTCACAGTTTGCCTCTCCTAGGAGGCCTGTTTTCGTGAATGTTGCTCAGCTCTGTTTTGGCCTGTGCTTCGTTGCCCTCCGTTCGCTTTATAATGATGTTTTACACTGCGGTACGTCGCTACTTTCACACAGTGTCAAGTGGCCTCATGCTTGTGCGTGATTTCTCCTAAAGCAGTCTGTGTGCTTCTCATAGGCAGGGAGCGTCTTGCTTATTTTGCGGAATCTAATGGAGGTATTCTAACTATGGTAGGGTTTTAATAAATATAGTTGACTGATAGAGTGACCTGGGGAAAAAGAAAGTGCCAAACGGGGAAGTGATGCAACACAGGAAGATTCAGGAAAATAGACATGGTTCCCAAGTGTCCTTCTGATGACAAAAGTAGAAATAATCAAAGGAGACCCCCTGTGTGAGGTGGATTCTTCTAGAACAGACCACCCCACCATTTAATCAAGTCTGGTCAGTGTCCGGGGAGCTGTTTCTTCAGGCTACAGCTGGTGCACACCCGGCCAAAGGCCTCCCACCGTCTTCATTAACACATGGACGACACGTGCACACACACACACACACACACACACACACACACACACACACACCAGTTGGGCAAAAAAAAAAAAGACCCACCCAATGAGAAAAAAATTCCAAGAAAAAGAGATAGTTTATATGTTTCAGTTTCTCAGCATCTGCAGCTGTCATCTGTTTTAAGTTTGGTAATTTTTATTAAGGCAAAGTGGCGCATGCTGTCATAGGACCTGCTCCAGCTCACGCTCCCCAGCAAGTCACCGGGTATCCCCTGGTGTGCTGAGACATGATATGTTTCCTGCCAGTGGATGAGGAGGAGGGAAAGCTCTGCTCAGCATCAATTTCTAGTTTAACACGGAAACAGAGAAGCCGTGGGTAGACCTGTGAAATGCAGAGTATAATTACTCCATTTAAGGAGTTTGTCCATTAATTTCACAAGTGATTATTAAGTACTCATATTCCCTCATAGTGATTGTATCTCCCTGTGGAGGTTAAGATAGTTGGCTTGCTATCAGAAGGGTGACTTGGCCTATGATTTTCATTTGTGGTCCATTCACATGCCCCATCTGTTCCACCACAACCCAGTCTGCATCTGGGATCAAGATGCCTGGGTTTGGGATTAGAGCCCATATAATCAGAGATGAGAACAGGGCTAACTGGTCCACATTTCAACCAAATCAGTAGTTCTGAGCTTCATTAGCACCAATTAAGTGAATGGATGAATGGACCACAATGATTTGGAGGTGAAGCCTGGCCATTGAAACTCGATCTCTGGCAAACTCTGGGACTAATTCCATTTTTACATGCTTTGAAGGAATATCTGGTAGCAGTTGTGGTAATATATGTGGATCTTCTTCCAAAGACATCTCAGTACGCTGTAGTCAAAGAAAAATGTTGCATGCACCTTTTCCTGGAGTAAGAACAGTGGCTCATGTCACCCACTTGAGAGTGATCCTGATGTCTGCCTAACACTGAGAAAATGAAGAAAAAATTAAGCAGGGCCTGAGACTGGAGATTTCTAGATATTTAACACCCATTGGGTGCCCTGTAGGACACGAGGCAACATGAATGCTCTCAGAAGGCAGACATTGGAGTGTTCTAGACAGAGACTAGCAGTAGCCTTTTAATGACAATCAGTCTCTTCTTGAAGGATGGATTGGGCAATTTGGCTTGAGCTGTTTCTCTTTAAAAACAAGCTGAAACCCTCTTGCAGGTGCTTGAGAAATTGTGCCAAAGTCCTTCCATTGCTGCTGTGACAATGAGCTTCCTAAGTCTTTTGAATTCTAAATGCTGAGGCTCTTCTAGAGACTTCCTGTACGTAGCTTGGATCCTGTGACAGAAGACTATGACTTCACCATTTCCTCAATAATGAGCTACCCTACTTGCCTGCCTGATCCTGCTGTCTCTGTCACTCACCAACTCATTTGACCTCAGGGCAAGGCTTAATCTCTGCGAGGTTCAGTTCCTTCTGTGTAGTTCTTCTGGAAGCAGGAAACCAATCTGGATTGAAACTCTTGGCTGAACACAGCTGGAATATAAATAAAACAAGATATATGTAGTGTGTATTGCGGTGCTCTGCCCAGATTCCCTCCTTAAGGCTGACATACCCAATGCCCTGCTTTTGGGATTAACAGCTGCTGATGGCTCAAAGCAGCTCCCTTTGCTGGAAATTGCCCTCAGCAGCAGAAAACTGTCTCACTCAATGTTACATTTCCTTCCAAGGGTCACTTGCAACCAATGATTTGCTTCTGTAGGTTGTCATAAGCCTGTCCTCCGTGGTTCATTATGGGACAATTCTGAAAGGCCTTCTGAGTTCCAGAGTTCACTGTGAAGCCTCTGGAGTTCTGTTGTAACCTCATGTGGGCCAGCTTCTCACCCTGCCCAATCCTACCTTTTTCACTTCCTAACAGGTGTGTCTTCCAAAAACATTTCTAAAAATATCTTCTGCATGCAATGGTTCATTTTCAGAGTCTATTTCCAAGGAAGCCAGTTGAAGACAGTTGGAACCAGGAGTGGTCATAGGAAATAGATTCTAAGAGAAAAATCTTTTGCCAGCTGAATGACAATGAGGACCCCATGACTATTTCTAAGTGAAATATGGACATTCCTTGCTGTATCTTACTGGTGTAATTGTTAAAACTTTTACTAGTGGTAAATTGGGTTGGGATATTGGTGGAAGGAGACAGACTGGCTGGTGCAATATCTCTGGTTCTTAAGAAGTAGAGGGAATTGTAATTGCAGTGACTTTGGAATTGGGCGGTGTTACTGAGCAACACATTCATCAAAGAGGGATAATGATGGGCTCAGGTGATTACCAATTCAAGACAAAATGTGGAAACTGGAGGGCCTCCTTGGCAATATTTAAGGAAATCCTAATCTCTTGCAGCTGGAGGGCAGACAGAGCGGAGGACCAGGCTCAGGATTTAATCATAAGAAGAGTGGAGCTTCAGAGAATGTTAAACTCACATTCTGGCAATTCTCCTGAGACAGTGTTAGGGCCCAGATAGAAGAAAAATGGAATCCTGAGACTTGAGCTGTGGATACCTGGGTAGATGAGGTTGTAAACTTTGAAATCCTCAATTTTCTTAAATCTGCTGGACTTGCAAAGTGACCTACCTTCCCTTGTGAGAAAATAGTGGCTCTACTTAGCTTAAATAATATGCAGAAGTCTTGACAATGAGGGAAATAGTTACACCTACCCCCACCCCCAAGATCTACCCTCTTTTTATTCCTGGCATTCAAATGATGCTGGTAAATCCTCAGCACAGCCTGAGTGAGGATAGGTTGGGCCAGCCAAGGGAGGAGACAGACTATACATCAAAGGAGTTGCAGGATCTGGATTATAGAGATCAGCAAGGGTGGAAAAGTATGCATGGGTCTTGTTCTTGAGGGTTCTGGCTTAGGGAGCAGTGGAGTATACAGTTGGATAAGGGGGAGTTATTCATACAGGAGCACTCTCCCATAATACAGGATTAAACACCCTGGCAAGGACTCTGGGTACAGTGCTTATATGCTGCTAGGATGGCTCTTTAAGCTTGGAAAATGTGATGGTCCATATTAAGTCAAGTTGAGACAGAACTTTCCTGCCACATGGTGGAGGAAGGAATCAAAAGTCTCAGAGTATCAGATGTGCTAGAGTGGATATATAATGTAAGGCCAAAAACCCCTCAGCTGGCTCTGCTCCATTGGAGGGTCTGGAGGACCCTGTGTTTGACAATAAGGAATGTGCCTGAGAGAGGAACAGCAGCAATGCTGGGAAGACCAGTAGTGCCTGACCTCTGTTGGCCAGGACTGATGACAGGAGATGCTGTGAGAATACTGGGCTCTCTGAGCACAGTGGAGCTGATAAGATCTCAACATAATAGAGGATAGGTGGCAGCGCCTAACAATCAGAAGTAGGTAGGCAGTTATTACAAGGAATTGCAATGTTGAAGAGGCAGTCTTGTGGCCCAACCTGCAGAGAGCTGTGGAGATGGATGGTCAGGGGCTGATAGCTGTCTTACTAAAAGTTTCGAGACCTTATGCAGTTCTCAGATCTGGAACCCACTAACTGATGGAGAGGTTAGGTCTTTATGAGAAGGGACTCTGCCACACGGTCTGCAACAGTGTCACAGGTATCTTTAGCAGTAATTGCCCCATTCTTTACCCAAAGAGGCCTATGCCTATTTACTTGTGTGCATTAGGAAAAAGAGAATACCTAGACCTTTCAAAATTGTTGGTCACAAGATCTGAACTGGCATTGATGCCTGACCCAAAATGCCATTATGACTCACCATTAGAATGAAGACACATGGTTGTCTCGTAATAAGTGGCATTTTGACTCAGATCCATTCACAGTGAATCCATTCAGTCAGTGGACCTACATAATGGTTACTTCCCTGGCCCCTGAGTTTATAACTGTAATGAACATGTTTGATAGTTAGTAGAACCCTCACACTGGTTTATTGGCCTGTGGTTAAGAGGTATCAGAGTGTGAAATGCCAACTGGAAGCCATCAAAACAGCCTTTTTAATCCCTTAGCAAAGATAATAAATCAACATCAATAATACATTCTAGGGAAAATAGTAGACATTAATGACACCTTTAAAGATATTAAGAATGCACAGGCAGTGGTCTCTGTCATTTCTTAATTTAATTAATCATTCTGGCCTTTATAAAAATTGGATAGCTTGACCAAGTTGTACCCTCTTGCAGCAATCTCATGTAGAATCTTTGCTGGAGCAAAATAACATGGTATGCAGCCACTGATCTGGCAAATACATTCTTTTCTAGTTATCAAAAGGATTATTGTATGCAGTTCCCATTTGTGTGAAATAAACAACAATATGCATTTACAGTCCTGCCTCAGGGCTTTGTTAATTCCTCCACTCTGTCTGAAAGAACTGGGGCTATCTGGGCATTCCTCAGAACATCATGTTGGTTCTCTATACTGATGACATTCTGATAATTGGAACAGATTAGCAAGAAATGGCAAGTATGTTAGAGGCTTTGATAAGACGGCCACACCAGAGAGTGGGTGATAATCCCTATGAAGATTCAGGGGCCTACTGGATCAATTTTATATATATGTATATGTGTGTGTGTGTGTGTGTGTGTGTGTGTGTGTGTGTGTGTGTGTGTATGTATATATATATATATATATATATATATATATATATATATATATATATATAAAATAAGTTCCGGGATAAATGTGCAGAACATGCAGGTTTGTTACATAGGTATACACATGCCATGGTGTTTTGCTGCACCCATCAACCCGTCATCTACATTAGGTATTTCTCCTAATGCTATCCCTCCCCTTGCCTCCCACCCTCTGACAGGCTCCAGTGTGTGATGTTCCCCTCGCTGTGTCCATGTGTTCTCATTGTTCAACTCCCACTTATGAGTGAGACCATGCAGTGTTTGTTTTTCTGTTCTTGTGTTAGTCTGCTGAGAATGATGGTTTCCAGCTTCATCCATGTCCCTGCAAAGGACATTAACTCCTCCTTTTTTATGGCTGCATAGTATTCCGTGGTGTATATGTGCCACATTTTCTTTAGCCAGTCTAACACTGATGGACATTTGGATTGGTTCCAAGTCTTTGCTATTGTGAACAGTGCTGCAATAAACATATGTGTGCATGTGTCTTTATAGTAGCATGATTTATAATCCTTTGGGTATATACCCAATAATGGGATTGCTAGGTCAAATGGTATTTCTGATTCTAGATCCTTGAGGAATCACCACACTGCCTTCCACAATGGTTGAACTAATTTACACTCCCACAACAGTATAAAAGTGTTCTATTTCTCCACATCCTCTCCAGCATCTGTTGTTTCCTGACTTTTTAATGATCACCATTCTAACTGGCGTGAGATGGTATCTCATTGTGGTTCTGATTTGTATTTCTCTAATGACCAGTGATGATGAGCTTTTTTCATATGTTTGTAGGCTGCATAAATCAATAATATTTTTTAGAAATTCAGTGTTCTGGGTTATGTTGGGGCATCGTCTCCAAATTAAGAACAAATTGTTGCATCTTACACCTCTCACCTTTATAAAAAAAGCATAATACTTACAAGGTTTCTTCAAGTTGTGGGAGCAGCATATTCCATATTTGGAATATGTCTCAGACCGATTTGCTGCATGGTAATATGAGAGGTTGCCAGATTTGAGTGGGGCCTAGAGCAGAAAAGAGCTCTGCAGAATGCTCAGATCATTCAGCAGGCTCCATGGTGTCAAACATCTATCTGTGGTGGAAGAGGATGCCATGTAGTGTTGATGGCAAAGGCCAACAGGAGAATCACAGTGTAGGCTCATAGGGTTTTAGAGCAAGGCCTGTCATACAACATTCACAAAAAACAACTCCTGGCTTGCTACTATGCCTTGATAAAGATGAAGCAGCTGATCATCAGACATCAAGTAACCATGTGGCCAGTACTGTTCATCTTAAGCTGGGTTCTGACATTGTCACTGTTGTACCAGCACCTCTCCCACAGCTCTCCCTATGGCTGCATGGGGGTAGGGAGAAGCCTGTGGCCAGTTGGTAGAGGAGGAAAAGTCTGAATGTAGTTATGGATCAGCTTGTGTGTACTGATGCAAACTGAAAATGCTGCTACACTACAACCCCACTTAGGAGCCCCTGAAAGATAGCGTTAAGGGAAAAATCTTCCCACTGGGCAAAGTTCTGGGCGGTGCATCCATTTTATGTGGGAAGAGAAGTAGCTTGAAATAAGAATGTACATGCACCCAAGCAGTTTGAAAGATTATGGACAAGGGGGTCTGGGAAAGTGACCATGGATAGACCTATGAGAATGGGCACAAAGTTTTAAGATCTTTGTATTAAAGCCTACCTAGATGCATTCACCATGGGACAGGGATTAAACAACCATGTAAACCAAATCACTCATTAGTTGACATCAGAGACTGGCTGATCAGTCTCTGACAGTACAAGGACAATGGGAACATGAATAGAGTAGTCATGGTGGCAGGGATAGGGGCTATGATGGCCCTAACAGTATGGACTGCCTCTCGTACTCATCAAGACTGATCTAGCTACTGCTGCTACCAAATACCCAACCTTCCTCTACAAGCAGAGCCTCTAACAGCACTATTTCTGGAGGGGAAAACCAGCCACTTGGTGGAAAGTTGATTACTTTGGAGCTCTTGCACACTGGAAAAGACAGCAATTCATCTTTACCATTATGTACACATATTCTGGGTGTGAATTTGCCTTTCCTGCGCACAGAGCCTCTGCCCAGCACCATTATCTCAGGCTTACAGAAGATTTGATTCATCAGTGTGGGATACTGCACAATATTGCCTTTGGCCAATGCACCCACTTTACAGCAAAGGTTGTGTGGCATTGGGTCCATGACTTGGGAACCTGGTCCCACCCCACAGGAGACTGCTGGCCTGATGGAGTGGTATGATGGATTTTAAAATAAAAGTGAGATTCCCTCTAGGGATGGGGCACCATCCTCCAAAATGTGGTATTCACCATCAGCATTAGGCCCTATGCATTCTGGCTTCCAGAGAAGAATGCTTTCACCAGGAAACAGTAAAAGCACCATGAGCTTGAAAGTATGGCTGCTGTCTGGTCCCTTCAGGTTCCTTGTGCCAAGAGGACAACAGGAAAGGAGTCACTGTACTGGCAGGAGGAATTCTTCTTGATCATCGGGAGGAAGCATGGCTGCTGCTACAGAAAGAGCACAGGAAAGAATATGATTATTGCTCACATATAATACCCAGTCGTAACAGTAAATAAGCAATTATAACAGCCATGGCCTATGGAATACATGGTGACCAGTGATAAGGGTTTGGGTCACCATACCAGGAGTTGTCTAAACCAGCAGAGGTTCTAGCTGACAGTGAGGGGAACCTAGAATGGAATGTGGAGGAGGAATGATGACCATCAGTTATGACTTGGAGGTCAGCTTCAGTAGCAGTATTTTAGTTCATTTCCTGTTCTTTCTGAAAAGTCCCTGGGAGAACAGATCAGATAGAATGTGGAGAAGCTGTAACTAGATGAGGAAAATTTATGATAAGAAGCAAGTGGGTCTGAATGGTGCAGGGGATAAACCGTAGTGGACACTATGGTGCTCTGCCTGGATCCCCTTTTCAGTTTATGTATCGGGATTCTCTCCCCCACCGCAGTTTCCTGGTATAGTCCCTCACTGGTGATGTTGGCTGCTGAGGACTCATAGCTGTGCCCTTGCAAGAGTTGTGCTTGACAGCATGGAATGCCACATCCAATGTTACATTCCCTCTCAGAGGTGGTCTCTGGCCAATAACTGCTTTATGTAGACATGCAAAATCCAACCCCTTGCCTCAATCTGGAGTATCTCTGAAGGGCATTTCCGCTCAAAAGCTTTCCAGATGATAAGCTAGAAACTCTTATAAGTAACTCTACTGTTACTTCATTGCAGGTCAGCATCACTCTTGGTGTGATCCTAGCCTGCTTACTTTCTTGTGGGTGTATCTCTGAAAATATTCTGTAATCAGACTTCTGCATGCAATTCTCCATCTCAACATGTGTTTCCCAGGAACTTGAATGAAGACAATGTATAAAGTTCCTAGCACAGAAGACACCCAGTAAGTGTCAGGTCTGTCTCTTTCCCTCTCTTATTCCTTACTGGAAACCACAGCCGTTGTCTGTAATCTCATGAATATTTACCAAACAGTCATAATATAATTGATCCTGGTAAGAGGGAAGGATGAGGATGTAGGACATGGTAAGCTGTCAGGAGGCACAAACCCCAAAGCATCACAGGATGAAACAATGAACTAAAGCCTGAGCACGTGACATGGCAGGTATTTTACCATGCATGTTGTGTACACTGCCAATTTTACACTCAGAGGTGGGTATGATTCTTCCATTTGACAAAGAAACTGCCACAGAAAAGGAGAGAAACTGCCCACTCTCTAGCGTGCCATACTGCTTCCTCGAAGCCTTCTTACTTCACAAATGGTTTGATTTTCCTGGCAGCTCGTCATTGCCAAGTAACCCATGGATTGCAGGAAGCAGCGCAGATATCCTGCTCTATAGTGCGCAGTGATCTCAGAAAAGCAGGAATGCACTACTACACCCTGAAACTGTGCTCTAAATGCTGAAGGACAAGCGAGAGAGTGAGCTTTCCCTCCTAAGCTCTAACTCTAATAAAGACAATTGTATCAGAAAATCAAACTTTTTCTTTTTTCTTTTTTTTTGACAGAATTTTGCTCTTGTTGCCCAGGCTGGAGTGCAGTGGTGCTATCTTGGCTCACTGCAACCTCCGCCTCCCGGGTTCAAGTGATTCTCCTGCCTCAGCCTCCCGAGTAGCTGGGATTACAGGCATGTGCCACCACGCGTAGCTAATTTTGTATTTTTAGTAGAGACGGGGTTTCTCCATGTTGGTCAGGCTGGTCTCGAACTCCCAACCTCAAGTGATCCACCTGCCTCAGCCTCCCAAGTGTTGGGATTACAGGGGTGAGCCACCGTGCCCCGCCCAGAAAATCAGACATTTTAAAGTGGTACAAAAAATAGAAAGGATGAATAAGACCTAGTGCTAGCTAGTGTTTGCTAGCACAATAGTGTGACTTTTTAAGGGGTACAAGAAATGTAAAGAATGAATTAGACCTAGTATTTGTTAGCAAAACAGTGTGATGATAGTCAAAAGTAATTATACATTTTAACAATAACTAAAAGATTATAATTGGGTTGTTTGTAACACAAAGGATAAACGCTTCAGGTGATGGAGACCCCATTTACCTTGATGTGATTATTACACATTGTATGCCTGTAGCAAAATATCTCACATAACCCATAAATATGTACACCTACTAGGAGCCCACATAAATTAAAAATAAAAAATTATTGATGAAAAGAAAATTAAACTTTTTCGAGGTCGGGGGTGGAGGTAGAGTTAATGTGTCACAGGGTACTCTGGCTGAACAGAAATAGTGTGACTACTTATTGGGACATTGTGATCAAGGACATATGGAAGGATTAACTGCAAGAATCAGTTTCAGACATGATCTTCCCTGGAGAATTCACTACAGTTTATTTCTCTGTCTTTTCACGACATCAGAGTCTGATGGGCAATATTTTCCTGAGTGACATGTGCCTAGAGAGGTATTGGAGGATGTAGAGAGACATCTGTTTTGATTTGTGACTTATAATATGCAAAGAACTGCAGAGAGAAAAGAGAAAGAGAGAGAGAGAGAGAAGGAGAGGAGAAAAAGAAAAGAGAGATCCAGTAGAGGGAAAACATAAGTCCTTGTTTTCTCCTTCTCTGTGCCAAGTAGGTATATGCTGCTGCTAGGACCATTTGGCCAGACTGGCAGTCAACAATGACAGCAGTCTAGCTGTGGCTTGGGGCCAGTGGGAGGCAGGCTGCGTGGCAGACTGAGCATGGGTGAGGGGCAGGTGGAAGTGGGAAGTACTAGAAGGAAATTGTTGCAGCCAGCATACAGATTTGGAAATTAAAGTTTAAGATCTGTGTGGCAAGGAATGAATGACCAAAAAAAAAAAAAAAAAAAAAATTCCTCTTCAAGCTGCTATTGGGCTTTGAGGTGAATGTGTTTCTGGTACATTTGCTGAAATGAAAAAAAATTAAGATGATAGGGCTATCCATTTGTGACCCATGTGGCTGCTCATGGACAGCCCCTATTTACGTAAACTAAGGGCGTGAACTCCTCCTCCTTCTTCAAGGCCACCTTCCTCTAGCTCATGTGGATAGGATGGTCTGCGTCTTTTCTGCTCCAGGTCACTCCAGGCCCCAGCTTGCTTCCGCTCTTGCCTTCATCTGCCCACTTCACCCTGGGCCTCTGCTGCCTTTGCCACTCTTGAAACTTGGGACAATCCCTCTCTTGCTTTATTTCCTTTATTCCCCCAAGTTATTGCTGCTACAAGGGTTTGTCATGCAGCAGCTTTCACTGAAGCTTTGGGGACAGAGGAGAGGGGTCACAGAATAGGCAATAACAGGAAACCCCTCCGAGAGTGTTCTTGCCTGTGGCCTTCACCAGCTGCTGTGAGACATGGCCTCTTCTTACTCGCCCTGTGGTGATGTTCTCTTTTTCCTGTTTCTTGTCTGAATTCCAGTCCTGCCCCACTCCTCTATCCTCAAGGACTATGTCTTAGTCCATGTAGGCTGCTATAACAAAATACCTTAAATTGGGTAATTAATAAATAATAGAAATTTATTTCTCACAGTTCTGGAAGTTAGGAAGTCCAAGGTGAAAGAGCTGGCAGATTTGGTGTCTGGTGAGGCTGCTGTCTGCTTCCAAGATGGTGCCTTGTTTCTGTGCCCTCAGGAGGGGACAAACACTGTGTCCTCACATGGCAAAAGGGACAAAAGGGCAAGGCAGCTTCCTGAAGCTTCTTTTATAAAAGCGTTAATCCCATTCACAAGCGCAGAGTCCTCGTGAGCTGTCCAAATCTCCATCTTCTAGTATACCATCACCTTGGCAATTAGGTTTCAACATATACATTGTGTAGGGACACATACATTTAAACCACAGCAGGCTGCAATTAAGCACCAGGTCTGGGGTCCCGACTTTCTTTGTGGCTGATCTTCTACTACATTTGGGGCCTCCAATCAATCTCTTCACCTCATTCAGAGTCCCTTTTGTGTAGTGAGGGTTTAATAGTGATACATATCACCCCAAGCAGGTTCCTAACTTTCAGAGTGAAACTTGAGCCTTTGACTTCTAATTCCTCACTTGACATTTCCTCTATTCACTTTTCTTTCCCCATTCTGAGGGTCACTGAGCCTTCTGGTTTACATCAAGCTAATCTCTGTAGACCCATGTTGAGGGCATCAGTTCCTTTGTATGTAAAATGAGAAATCTTTAATCTGGAATCTTTCTTTACAAGTCTAAACCAGAGCCCAGAAAAATTGATATATATGTGTGTGTGTGTGTGTGTGTGTGTGTATATAATTTACATATATGCGTATGTAAGATTATTCATTTTAGTTTAGGTTGTGATGGAAAAAGATAGAAAAGAACTTAACTATCTATCAATAGAGGAAAAATTAGACAGATTATGGTTCATAATACAATAAAGTACTACGCAACCATGAAAAAGAATTAAGAGTCTCTATGTTTGCTTTTCTTGAATAATGTCAGTAGTTTATTATAAATTGAAAAAGCACCATCTGAATCAAAATGTAGAACATGATTTTTAAAAGTCTCTCCCTCCTTCTCTCTCTGTTTCTCTTTCAATGTAGAAATAACTTGATAAACATAGAAAAAAGTCGAATGGGAAGTCTTCAGACTGCTTCTCACTGATGGAGTGGGAGAGTAGTGCTTTTAAATCTTACTTTACATAATTTTCCAAGGAGGTAGTTAAGTTGCAGAATCATGAATGTCCCTTTTTAAAAATATTCTTCAAGTTAAAATATTTACAAATATAGCATAATAGGAAACCAACTGATAAAAATGAAGGGATTAGGCTAAATGTTCTTTAGATATTGTCAAGTTTTATTATTCTGGAATATGTATTTCCAGGTCAAAGGCAAATAAGATTTTTAAAATATAAAATGCCTAAAATAATTTCTAGACTATATTAAGCACTTAAAATATGTAACTCCTATGCGAAAATTTAATTTGATCCTTTAATGTATCCTTGCTTCTTGTATTCTTTTTTATTTTTAAGATTTTTGATGTTCATTGGTTTGCAAGCATTAGTGAAATTAAAATTTTTCTCTGGAAACTTCATAAGTAATTAAATGTATACTTACACAATAATTCTTTCTTGATTTGTTTAATATCTAGCCAAGTGCAAGTAATGGTATTTAATCATCTTTATTCAGCCAGCAAATTAACCACACGACATTCCTGTGATCAAGGTGAGGCACAGATAGGGAAAGAGACAGCTTCTAACCCCTCGGCCCACAGCCCTGCAGTCTCTTTACACTGTTTAGCCCAGGTTGTAGTCTTGCCACATGAGGCTGAAGCTTTTTGGTACCTGCCTGGTTGGTCATCTCCCCCTCTTTCCACCCAAGACCACTGAGTTTTCAGAAGTAAATGAGCATGAGAAAAAATACAGGATTTTGGCCTTTGGGGTGTACTCATCAGTGAAGCCACTGACCCTCTGCTACAGGTCTTTATTGCACTCTCTGGCCACCAGACCGTCCTCCCTTGATGCCTCGTGCACTTGTGATAATCCCAGGTGTGTCCCTCTGGCTTGTGACCTGCCTTCTGTTAAACCCCTAGTCTTTCAGTTTATTCAAAAAATACTAGATTTGGCCCTTTAAGAAACTGAATTCACTCTCCCAGATCAAGACAAGAGTCTACTTATTCCATGGAAGAAGTAATTCAGTTATAGTTGTCCTGGTGGCCTAAAAATGTCAGTGCTGCTTCCAGAGGTGCCTGATGTATTCCCTGAATGTAATTTATGTACTGGGAAAATCTGATTTGGTGAGTCTTTGTTCTGTGAAACTCAGAAGCAGGTCAAAAATTGAGAATTCAGTGTATGACCTCAGAATATGTGGCAAAGATGCAACACCACTCAGTATGGAAATAAAAAAACTTCCACATTCCAGAGGAGATTTTTTGTGTGTGCCTTTTTCTTCTGGTTTAGTTTTGCGACCCTTGATCTAGGGAAGAGAGTTTCTCTAACACGAGGCTGCTCCCAGCATAACAATTCATTCCCACAATATCTTATGTAACTCAATCGCCGTGCGACAGTTTCTGAAGAAAGAACTGATAGCAACGACCCACATGGAAAAGCTTTTTTACTTCTGGAGTACAGTCCCTTTCCTTTCACTCATTCTCTTGTCATGTTTGTTTTCAATCTGTCCAGGGAATATGTTAGAGATTTGGAGTTGAGTGTGTATTGTCACTTAAGTGGTGAATGTCCTCATTTTTCATCTCACCAAAAATGACTGGAAGTATTAACCAGGAGCAGAAGATAAAAAGGTTGTAGTTTGTCACCAAGGAATCCTCCTCCCTCTGGGACCCGCCCTCACCCTCTTACCCTCCATCTCCCCTACAACCCCTGTCCTTCTGTCCCTTAAGCTTGATTTTCATGTTAAGAGGTTTTGTGACTTGATGGAGAGTGTTTCTTTGAATTAGGCATTTTAGGTAGCATGAAAAAGAAATAGAATATGAGGTCCTTGCTTTCAGAATGCCTAAAATCAAAAGGCTCTGTATCCTGTAATCTTTTCTCTTTCTCTTTTGAAGATTTTAAGCATAGTCACTCAACTGTCCTCCTCCCTTTCTTGAGTCTGCCTTGAGGGGACAGTGAGATGATAACATTTGATTTCTCATTAGGAACATATGAACAGGCTCAGACACTTTTAAAGTGTTAATTAGTAGCAGCCAGTACCGTATGAATTCATTGTACCATAGGAATCAGGTAGAATCTCATACAGCTTTGGGACCAAGACCTTGGGTAACAGGGAATTTTGACCAGCATGGTCAATGAGGGGAGCTGGCAACTTCTTTTTTAAATCTGGAAAAGCTCAAATTAAGCTTCTTTTAGTTTTGTCACCAGGCTGTTTGCTGGTAAGTTGGATTTCTGAGCCAGATAGTGCTACATTTAGGGAAGTCAACAGAGCTTATTGACACTGTTTTCCAGGTAGTGGTGCTGTATTTAAGCTTGCAAAATTCTTTTTTCTATGTCCTAGGAAAGTCAAGAGGAAGTTCATATCTCTTAGACTCCTTTTTGATGCTTGGCATATAGTAGGTGCCCAAAAATATATTTGTTGATTAAACCAAATAAAATGCAGGAAAAGAAACTAACTTCGATAGCTCTAAGACAGTCATCCCCTCCTTTAAGTGAGCAAGAAAATCAGGCTCCATTTATTTTAAACCTCTGCATACATTTTTCTTTCTTCCTCATATTTGCTGGTTAGTGACTATGCTTTGAATTAGGAAGAAGATGGGTGAAGGGATGAGTGAGCCCTGCCACATTTAGGTTTGTTGAATATTGCAAATTGCTTTGAGTTAAAAAAAAAAACCCAGAGCGTGTTTGGCAAAACCGTTTCCCCTCAATGTTTTAAGAGCATGTGGACTTAGATGGAAATTTAATCTGTATGTTCATTTACACGTAACTCATCAAAACATTTTAAACAATATTTTGAAGTTTGCAGAGCCTTTTCAATCTTTTTTATGGAATCTTTTGAAGCATTTTGGGAGTTTTCATGGAAATCTCTATTTGGCTAAGACCAAGCATACTGGACCCTCTTCCCACACTCCTCAAATATTTCATATCAACCCATTCCTCCATTTCTAAATGGATGTTTATTAAACTTTATGGAGAAATAGACAAATAATTGAAATTTGAAAGGAACAAAAACACTGTCAGCCTTTGATGGACAAAAGCTGGACAAAGTCAATCTCTGATGGTGTTCTAATGGAGGGTAAAGGTGCCATGGGCAGTTCACACTGGCCCTAAGAAAAATATTTCTGTTTTGTTTGAGAATGACTCATGTCTCTATTAGTTATGAAACTCAAAATGCTAGAAGCATTTGTTGAATTTCAGTTAGATTTTTTAAAATATTGACAAATTGCTGGCAGAGAGGACATGGTAGTGGTTGCATTTTGGATAGGAGATTGTTGCAGCAGTGGAGGATGGATCCCAGGGAGGCCTGGTTTAGATGCGTACTGCAGTGGTCCAGGTGCTGAGGTGGGCAGGCAGGCACAGATCTGAGAAATATTTAGAAAGTAATTTAGTAGGAGTGGATGATGACAGATTGGCTAACTTAGGTGAGTAAATGGATAGCAGTGATAGTAAGTTAGGCTTGGAATATAGGATAAAGAGCAGTGGTATGGTTTCGATCTGTGTTTCCACCCAAAACTTATGTCAAATTGCAATTCCCAGTGTTGGAGGTGGGGCCTGGTGGGAGGTGATTGGATCGTGGGGGTGGATCTCTCATGAATGGTTTAGCACCATCCCCTTGATGCCATCCTCATGTCTCACAAGATCTGGTTGTTTAAAGTGTGTGGCATCTCCTCCCTGGCTCTCTGTCTTGCTCCTGCTATGGTCATGTGACAGTGCCTGCTCCCACTTCACCTTCCGACATGATTGTAAGTTTCCTGAGGCCTCCCCAGAAGCCGACCAGATGCCAGCATCATGCTTCTTGTATAGCCTGCTGAACCCTGAGATAATTGAGCCTCTTTTTTAAATGAATTACCCAGTCTCAGGTATTTCTTTATAGCAATGCAAGAATGGCCTACTACAAGTAGGTTTGGAAAGAAAGAAAGATGATAATCTCAGTTATAGACATACTAACTCCTACATGTAAACGGAGATGTAAGGAGATATTCGACTTACGATTCCGAAGCTGTGGGGAGAGATCAGGCTGGATAACAATTTGTCAGTCACCAGCTTATAGCTAGGTACTTATAGGTGAGAGGTGGGTAAGCCCAATTGTGAAGGTTTATAGACCAAATCTATACTTATAGAGATGAAGGAGAGCTGAGGGGAGGGCACAGCATAAAGGGAGGGAGCCTTTCTGGGTGGTAGTGATACGAGCATGCTTTTAGGCTGAGGAAAGTGAGCCTACTTAGAGAATGAAATGTTTGAAGAGTTAGGGTTGAGATGGGATTTCTCAGGGAAAAAATGGTAGGAACAAGGTGGAGGACTGGGTCAGCATTAGGTAGAGTTTTGGCAGATAGGAGAAAGAACCTTTTCTCTGAAACCAAAGGAGAGGAAGGAGATAAAATTTTAAGATGTATGCAAATGTATGTATGTGTGAGTGTATGTGCTTTAATTTTTTCAAGAAGTAGTAGTCAATGTGGTTGTCAGCAATTAGAAATATGAACTGGCTTGAAATATTAAAAAGTTAGAGCAAAATGGAGAATAGTCAGTGTATATTGATGTGAAGTAAAACATATATGTAATAATTGCTCAGAGAAATAAGAGGCAACTGGCCTTGAATTAATCATTTGCAGTGACTCTTACAGTTGCAAATAACAAAAAGCCAACCAAGGATTAAGAAAAACAAAAGTATATGTGTTGGCCTACATGGTTAGCCATCAAACAGTGTCCCCAGAAATCTTCAGCCTCCGCTTCCCTCTGAGTTGCTTTAATTTGTAAACAGGTGCTTCTGTGTGGTAGCAGCAGATCCAGACTTATATATCCTTTTGGAAAGATAAGATTGAGTTTGAAGTGCTGGAGTTTAAGATTTCTGATGTGGAAAACTGGGGGATAATACGTTGCAGGGTCTGGCCACGCAAATGGTTAATTCAAGTAAGGTGGAGATAGAGGTAGTATGAACTGAAGAATCCGAGGAAGTGTGAGGCCAGGGTCAGGGAACTGTCACAAGGACACATTCACAATGATGTCGGGGTTGGGACTGGGAAATCTACTTTGAACTAGATGCCAGTTTTCCAGGAATGAAAAGGAGTGATTAGGAGGTTGCTTGATGACAGTAATAAGAAAAAAAAAGATACATACTATAAATAGATGTCATAAACAGGTGGCTATTTTTTTTCTCCAGTGAGGACAAGGTTTAGGTTTGGAGGAGCATTATGAATTAGAAAAATCCTGACTTCTAAGTCTTGGAACCCAGATCTAATTAATTCAGACTAAATATTGGTATATTTGGCAAAACTGAGGAGAGGGCATGGGTGGACGGAGCTGCCTGAGAGACTGGAATCTAGTATTTCCCCACAAATGACACTGTCTTTCTCTACCACTCATTTTGCATCTCTTCACCATTTGGGTTCTATTCTGCAAAAGGTGACAGCTCATATTTTTACAGTGTTGCCACATAAGAAGAACTCTTCCTCTTCTCTTAGTTCTAATGGGAAACATTTCAGGGGAGAGCTCTGGCACAGCCCAGTTAGGTGCTCACCATTGGTTCTAATGTGACCAGTGATACTGGGTGGCTATGATCGGTTCAGTTAGGGTTGAGGCCAGCCCTACACTAATTGCTATGTCAGGGAGGTGGGACCTATAAGACAGTTTTCACAATAAAACCCCAAGTTCTTCCAATAACCTGTAAGCCTACATGGTCAGATTCCCTGCTAGCTTGTTACCTTTGCCCACATTCCTGCCCCACAGATTTCACTCTCCTTCCTTGGATAGGTCAAATGTGCTTCTGGATCAGAATTTTTGCCTCTGGTGTTCCATAGAAATACTTTCTCTCCAGATACCTGCATGACTCAATTCCGTACTTCATTCAGGTCTCTATTTACAGATCAATCACTTATTCAGAGAGGTCTTTCCTGATCACTTTAACCAAAACAATTCTCCCTCCCCATCTAATCCCTAGCCTCTCTTGCTTGTTTTTTCATAACATGTGTTATTTCTTTACATATTATATATTTGTTTATCTTGTCTCCCCCAAAAGAATGTAAGCCCTGTGGGAATAGGGATACTTGTCTGTTTGATTTATTGCTGTATCTTCAGCTGTTCAAGTGCTGCCTGCTTCCTGGCCTCAAGGTGGGACAACTTTGCAGTGAGATTTAAATTTCAAAGCTCACTCTCCCCACAATCTGGCCAATCCTTATTTGGCTTCATCCCCTTCCCCATCCTGCCTCACTCCCTTTCTTACAAAAGAGTTTCTTGAGAATGTTTCCACATTGAATCACATAGAACTGAATCTCTGTCTCAGGATCTGTTTCTGGGGAAACTAATGTAAGACATTTGCATCCAAGTTACCAGCTTTATATATTATCTACTAATTATATATATATAGTGTGTATATATATATATATAGTGTGTATATATATATATAGTGTGTATATATATATAGTGTGTGTATATATATATATATATATATATAGTGTGTGTATATATATATATATAGAGAGAGAGAGAGAGAGAGATTGAGAGAGAGAGAGAGAGAGAGAGAGAGAGAGAGAGAGTGTGTGTTTCCAGGGAAACTAATGGAAGATATTTGCATTCAAGTTACCTGCTTTATATATTATCTACTGATTTTATGCATGTATATATATAGAGAGAGAGAGAGAGAGACGAGACAGAGAGAGAGAGAGAGAGAGAGAACCAGTGGCAATTTAATGTGGACTTTCTTATTTAGTGGTACCTGTTTGTGGTTGTGTTCCTTATGTTGCAAGCTCTAACCATGTGAACACTGTAGAAGCAACTAGAAAATTATCAACAGTTTTCCCAAAGGTAAAACAAGATAGAAATCACCCCTGAACAACTGAAATACAATGTAAGCCATGTATGTAATTCTAAATTTTCCAGTTAAATTGCACATATTAAAAAAAAACTAAAGTTTTTAAAAAGGTAAAAGTAGTTGATTATATATTTTATTTAATCTAATAATTCAAAATATTGCTACTTCAACATGTAATCAATATAAAATTATTGAGATATTTTATGTTCTTCATTTTTGGAATAGCTCTTGGAAATTAGATATACAGCACATCTCAATTTGGACTAGCCACTTTTCAAAAGCTCAGTAACCACAGGTGGGTATCACATTGGACAGTGCAGAAGATAGCTTGCTTTGGTCAGAATCATTTAACATTTGATTCATTCAGTCAAAAGTATAATTTCTCTCTTACTTTCTCAATTCTGCAATTTTTCTTTAGTAGCTACAAATGTATTCCTCAAAGGCTTAGCAATATGCAATGATAATGAAAGGGTCTGCAGGGCTGCTGAAGGTCTCCTGTGTCTGCCTGCAGAATGCAAAAGAGAAACAGAGTTTCTTTAAAAAAAAATTATGATGTTGATGAATACAGAGTCAGGGGCTCCCATCATTAAGAACATGGTGTTTCCCAATAATTGTGAATGCTGAATTAATCCAATGTTCCAAGTGGAAGATAGGACTGACTGTGCTTTATTTTAGCCATTCCACTGGGCTGGTGGCGGAGAAAGCAATTCTGAGGCTCCATAGCACATGGAAGCAGGCCGATGGGAAGCTGTGGAAGGTTGGTTCCAATTAGTCTGAGGTTAGCAAGAGGTTTAGCCTCATTCCTCTCTAGAAGCAGGGTTCTAAAACCCGTGTAATACAAATGAAAAAATAATGAAGACAATTTACATACACCAGACTTCTGTATATAATGCTTTCATATGTGTTATCTCTTCTTTGACTTGGCATCCAGAGATAGGTAGGACTTGTATTACCTCTCACCATTCTCTAGGTCATTGTGGTCAATACCTTGCCTCTGGTCACACAGTTCCTAGCACCTGATCCTGGACTTGAACTGGAGTCATCTGATTGTTACCTAATCCCATCACATCCAGACATTGCTCATAAACCACCTGCAATGTAGGTGCTTGGGAATACAAGAGAAGAAGAAAGCAAGGCCTCAGATCATTTGTACAATTAAATGATGTTAAATCTTTCCAGATTTATATATTTTTCCTTCCCTGATAAACTGTAAGTGGAAGGCTTTCCAGTCCTTTGACTTAGCTTTGGAAACTTGAAAAGTTCTGGATATTATGTTGCTGCAGAAATGACACATACGTGTTTCTCCTTCCTAAGCTTTTTCCAAAGGCACTAGTGTAAAAACCAAACAGCTGAGAAATCGTCGCCTGGCCTCTCTTGGCAGAGAAATCATCTCCTGGCCTCTCTTGGCAGGGCCTCCCCACTCCCACTTCTTTCCTGGGTCCAGTGTTAGCTACACCCACAACAGGGAATTTGAATTGAGATCTAGTGCTCCATTTCATTTCTTTAGGCTAAGTACAAGAACTGGAAGAAGTTAGTCTCCTCTTGAACAAGACAATTAGGCGCAGAAGGATTTAGGCAATTCCAAGTTTTCAAAGACAAAGATGAGGCCATCAGATGGCTTTTCAGTGTCATATGGATTTGCAGGATACTAGTTAAATAAATTAACTGTAAACCATAACTTTGGTTCCAAATTTTGTACTCAAACTTAGCTGCACATTAGAAACCTGAGGGAGGAGCTATTTATAAGAATATGCTGGTACCTGTGCCTGTCCTACACAGATTCAGATTTCATTGATCTGGAGTGGGGTCCTGTGCATTGGTGTGTCAGGTGATTCTGATGTGAGACCTGGGTCAAGAACCATTATAAATTTACAGGTTTTTTTGTAAAGCAAAATGTCAAATTTATATCACTCTTTCTATCCATGCAACATTTTCAGAATTTCTAGGAAAAAATCAAACTTCATTTTAAAATTGCAATTTGAAGTTTAAAAAGGAAAATGAGCTGCTTTCTGATTCAGAAAGGACTACAAATCCTTTTACAGGACAGATTAAACAGGTGATAATTTACACTGCTCTCTTGGAATGACCTTGGAGAACTGCAGGGTGAGACAAGAGTTGTAAAGTGGAGACTACTAACCAATGTTTGTATTTTTCACTCTTTCTGCTCTCTCTCCCTCTTGCTCCTTTTCTCTTTTAATCAACCGGTGACACTGACTGATAAATCAAAGTTTTTGTAATCATATTATTTGATGTTTTTGTAAAATGAAGTTTTATACCCTTGGTCTCAGTTTTGGGTAAGTGAAAGAGTAACTAAGACCTGAGTTAAAGTCCCAACTCTTCCCCTTCCGTGCTGTATGTCAATGACAAGTTCCTTAAGTCTTTAGTCTTCAATATTCTCATCTATAAAATGTCAACAATAGTAGTTATGTCATTTAGTTGTTAGAGAGATTCACTTAGACTACCTATAAAGAGTTTAACACTGAGTTGGGTGCATTTAGTGAAGTTATTATTAATTCTTAGCTTTCCCACTATAGTAAATCGACATGTAACAGACAAATGCTCAATGAATCTTAGTTTCTCCTAGTCTTCTTCCCTTCCTGAGTTCTCCTTAAGAAACCTGAAACAGTATCTCTCCACGTGCACCAGCTCTCTCCCTAACCCTATAAAATTTTTGCCATTTTCTTATATTGGCTCTCGGTGTTTTCTGAAGGTCAATGGTCAATGTTGCTTAATAGAAAAACTGCCCATTATAGCAATTTCACTTATTTTAGCTCATTTTTCTCCATTTCAAACCCCAATGTTGGTTTGTATTGTTGAGTGAGTGTTTGCATTCCACATTGCCAACTTTGGAGGCATATGCCACTGGGGCCTGCCCACTGAATTACACACGTCCTCCTTTTCATTTCTATTAGGCTGGTGCAAAAATTATTGCAGTTACTTTTAATAGTAAACTTTTGTACAGCAATTGTTGGCAAAACTGGTATCTTATGCCTCAAGAACAGCCTTCTTTTTTCAGCTCTCAGATGTATTGTTCTTTCCCCTCCCCACCAACTCCTGCCGCATCCTATTCCTCACTTCAAAACCAACTTTCTTAGTAAGATTTGCCACATAAGGCCTCCCAGATTATGCTCTGCACATAATCAGTGATAGACCATGCACATAGAGTAGGTTGTGGATGGTTCCCCCTAGAAGTTTGCAGTGTACACCCTGTATAACCGTGTGCCTGTAATATTCCTACCAAATTATTTCTCATGAGTTTATCAAGAGCCCATTGTTTTCCAAAGCAGTTGTATCATCTTACATTCCCACCATTACACATGTATGAGAGTTCCAGATCCTCTACATTCTCACCAATACTTGGCATGGTCCATCTTTCTAATTTTAACCCTTCTAGTAGGTGTGTAGTAGTATTTCATTGGGCTTTAATTTGTATTTTCCTGATGACTACTGATGTTGAGCATCTTTTCATGTGCTTCTTTGCTCTTTGTAAATCTTTGGTGAGGTGTCTATTCCAATCTTTTTGCCCATTTAAAAAATTGGGTTATTTGTTTACTTAGTATTTAATTTTCCCACACACATGTGCATACACCCCTAACATATAATGTATATGCATACTTATGTGTTATGTATATAATACATAAAATATACTTTTGAATTTTGATAATGTCTCTTTGCCAGCTTATAAATTCTTCAGAACAAAGGAGCTCCTTGAGAACAGAATACATTATAATATGTAAATCTATGGCATCCAGTTGAGATTCAATTACTTGATGGATACTTCTTAAGCATTTCATAGTGGTGGGGACCAGTCCACATGTCTTTCTCACACATTTGGAGACCATGCTGCTCAGAGTCAAATGTTTTTTAACGTTAAGGCCCTGAATTAACATAATCCTATTTAAAGAGTTTTGTATGGATAACATATGTTACACAATTTGCAACAGAAGTACTTTTAAAGTTATTTTAGAGAAAGAAAAATCAGTAGTTTTCCCCAAGTAATTAAATCAGAAAGTATTTACTTCTAAATTATTAGCAATCTGTTTAGAGCAGCAGTTTAATATTTCCAGTAAGCTATCTCTGTAGGTGATTTTAAGTAAAAATATACAATTTTAAAGGAGCAAGTGCCTGTTTACTCAAATGCAAAATGTGTCTGTATATTGTCAAAAGGAAGAATCATGGTTTCTGAAAATAATTTTAAGAGGTTTAGACCAATTGGCAACCCTACTGTGAGATATCTTACAAAGTGTAATGTTCTTTGGAATAAATGTCACATGAAAAATGAATAAGAATACTGTGTTAAACTTGTCATAGTACTTCTGCAGGTGCTGACTTTACTCAATCACATGGAAGTTGGTAGCAGCATCTCCTGTAAATTGTGAGAAAAGATTATTCTATTGCTTAAAATGATACCACATGCAGAATTTTGGCACATAGTACTAGTTATTTTAATTTGAGCTTAATTTCATTTTTAGCTCAATAATGGACAATTTCCAGTGGGTCATTGGGACCTTGATAGATTGCCCAGTTCTTCCTCACTCTCCTGGTGGGCTGTCAGCTAACCAAGCCCAAAAATTCCTTTCCCTGAACCACCCAAAGAGATGCCTCAGTTTTGTTTTATTCCCCCACTCTGATGTCTCACACCCAGGGATCATTCTGGTTACGATTTTAAATCTATTTTCTTTTGTCTCATACTTAGATCCCAACTGTGTCACCCTACCTGAATGGCATAACTTCATTTAGGAAATTCTACATGATTGAGTGCTCTACCCACTTAATAAAATGAAACTATTTTGTTGACATTTTCTTGTTTTCATGTTATAATTTACATATGGGACTCTAGGGTTTTTTTCTCTGTTATTTGGACAACAAATTAAATCACCAAAATCTTGTAACAATCTCCTTTAGTCACCACCATTTCACAGAAATTTATGGAGGGCTCATGTGAAGTTCCAGACACTTCACATGTGATCTTTAATTTTGATAAAAATTATGTAAGCTGGGTCTTAATTCACTCATTTTACAGATGAGAACATTAAAGTTACCTCCAAAGATTACACAGCCATTCAGTATCAGAGCTTTCTCTTGTTATCAGTAGCAGCAATAATATTTTTTTAACTTGTTAAAGCTCTGTGCTAAAATTTTGAAAAAAATAAATGGTGGAAGTACCACCATCATTAGCATTAACATATTTTGAAAAAAGTTAATGGTACACATGAGAAGATAGTGTAACTGTATTCATTTCCAGGTCTAAAAGATATGAAATACAGATTAAGGGCTTCAAGGTCACCCCCAGAAGAATCAAGTATTTTGATATATATTACCACCCATTTTTCTACTTGATAAAGAGATCAAATGTTTGATTACTTACATACATGAACTCCCAAAAATTATTACTTTGGATCTTTTATTTTCTGGATTGGCTGAGTGTTCTTTTTTTTTTTTTTAAGTTATGTTTTGCTAGTTTTAAAATTTCATAAGCAAATATCATAGCCTGTATAGGTATTGAAAAACAGCCATTTAGGTGACTTACAGTCATCCCATTCAGACACAAGCAAAGAGGGCAACTTCCTAAAGCTGAAGATAACCTTTCTGTGAAGGGTATTTCAGAACTCTGGAACAGACAAAGCTGTTATAATATAGACGTCATTGCTTGTGGGCGCTGGCAAGGTCAAATTAGATAGAAATTGATACCACACAAAATTTACTGATTTTTCTTACATGTTAAAAATGAAACAAATTAATATTATGTTACTAGATTATAATAGAAGTTTATAAACAATTAGTACGTAAGAAAGACATAACGTTGGGGGAGCTTTTCTTAATTAGTTGATGAGCATGACGCAGTCAAGTTCCTAAGTCCTTCCTCCCAGCCCCACTCATGTAGTATTCGTTGAGAACAAATACTTGTTCTCCTGGGACTGTGGTCTGAGAAGGAGGCAAACTAGACATGACACCCACCTGCCTCCCACAGTGGGGAAGAGGCCAGTGGCAGAGCTCTGTGTTCCAAGGATCTCCATGTCCTTCCAATTCTTGCCAGCAAGATTAAAGAAGGAGGGTGGGATAAAGCAACTAGAATGTTCATGTTATAGTCAGAATGAATAAAATGGCTTTAAATTTCCCAGAGAAAAAGACAACTTTTTCATCTGAGTTGGAGGGTCAATGTCCCAAGCTCAATGTCTTCATAGATGCTTTAGGAGAGGGGCTGTGAATTTCTTCTATAATAAACCCTGTCAAGTCCAGCTGTCTTTAGCTTTCTCCTATCCACCTAAGGTGGGGCCTGAGAAGCTATTAGGGATCCTATTTTCACTTCCTTTCAAAGATAGGAAACAGAGTGCTAAATTGAACATGAAAATCAGGGGGAAGTGTGGCTCCATTTATGAGATTTTTATGGCCATCTTAGGGAAAATATTGAGTACACTTTTAATGCAGTTAAAGACAATTGGTTGGCAACAGAAAGTCAATTCGAATAAGAATTCAGCCCAATTAAAGGAGATGTAAAAAGTAGTTCTAGCTTTGAGTGTGGAAAACTTTGTATTGGAGAAATTATTATAGACAGGCTCTTGATCTGTATCTGTATTTTAGAAGACGCGATTAATTATTAAGATGATGAACAAAATAACAAAACATTAAAAATGACACATGTGCTAAATAGAAATCCACCCCCCCAAAATAAGTATTTGGTTAAAATATACAGATAGGTTAAGGCTTTAATACTAATACATTTTGGCAGCAGTAAAGTCATGCATTATAACTTGGCATGCAGTGCTATTTTAAGCCATCTCATTACAAAAGGACTTCAAAAAAATGTGTCAGAGAAAGAAAAGATCTACAGGAACCGAGAAAGCAACAAATTCCCTCTTTTGGCATCACTCTGTCTCCAGATCTCTGAAGTTTGAGTCTGGGAAGAGGGAACAGGAAGATGGTGGATTCCACTTGCCACAGAGCTACAGAGAAAAGAAAGCTGACCTCAGAGCCTCATAGTTCTGAAGAAGGACTCCAGGGCTCTAACAGCTCCCTCATGGTACTTTTGTTGTTCAGTTTCTCCCTGTATCCCTTTATCCGGGTTGTCATTTTCACTCTCCTTAGACCCAATTGATGATTTCAATGATTTCTCCACAATAATCCTTGGGTCCTGGTTCTGATCAGCAGACTAGATGTTTGTTTCATTTTTCAGATTTTCCCTTGATTGGTTCCTGGTTCCCAGTCTCCATATTTTGCATTTTTTTAAAAAAACAGCATTTTCCATATGCCATATCAATCCTATAATTGACCCAAGTTCTTTTATATTTGATTACACCACTGAAAGCAATGCTAGTGTTATTTACACTCTTTTTAAAAAGTGTATGTTTTATTTGGGTGTTTGTATTCCAGTGCAGCTAAAATCCTTGAATTTGTGGTGTCCATAAATGGGCAGACCATCTGAATGATTAGATAATAATTTCTATCCATGCATTATTCTTATTTGAAGATCCAGTGGCCCACATTCAATATTCACAAATTCTAATTTCCCAAACTAGAGGGTTTATAGACCGAATCATTGACAATTTCAACTTTTTACAGGTACTTCTTTTTGCTTCTGTTTAAATGTATGTTTGGTCTGGCAGTAAATTTTTAAAAAAAAACTATCACCATCAAAAATATTTAATAAGTGCAATCACTTGGCACAAACATTGCTTTTTGTTACTTGGAGTAGAAAATAGGTTTTACTGATGGAAACAGTTACAGAACCAGAATTTTAGAATAAGAAGGAATTTTTGAGCAGCTGGTTTTTCATATTTCAAATGAGGAAACTGATAGGAAATAAATTGTCTTGTTATTTCTCAGTGTTTTGGTTAAGAATGAAGGTAGACTTGTCCAGGTTTATACAGTCATTAGCATCAGAGCTGAAACTAGAACAAATCCTCCAGACTCTCAGTCCAGCATTCCACCTCAACAGTGAAACAGGCAATGAATTCATTAGTCAAACATGTTATCTTTCTATATAAGCAGAGGAATGGAGAGGGAAATGACTGTAGGTGGATGTGTGAATAGTGGGGCAAGAAGGTAGATAACTAAATTTCTTTTTTTTTTTTTTGAGACAGAGTCTTGCTCTGTCATCCAGGCTGGAGTGCAGTGGCGCGATCTCGGCTCACTGCAAGCTCCACCTCCCGGGTTCACGCCATTCTCCTGCCTCAGCTCCCGAGTAGCTGGGACTATAGGCACCCGCCACCACGCCTGGCTAATTTTTTGTATTTTTAGTAGAGACAGGGTTTCACCCAGTTAGCCAGGATGGTCTCGATCTCCTGACCTCGTGATCTGCCCACCTCAGCCTCCCAAAGTGCTGGGATTACAGGCGTGAGCCACCGCACCCGGCCTCTTCCGTTTTTTTTTTCTGTGAATAAAGTAGATTTCTGAACTCACTTTAGGTGTCATCTTGACTGTGTTTAGGAAATTGAATGATAAAAGATCATGTAACACTATGTGGGAGCTGCGGTGGCTCCAGCCAGTTGTCCTGGCACACAAGGAGGAAAGGCTATGCGTTCGAGGCCAACCTGGGCAAAATTGAAAAAAAAAAAAAAAACACTATGTTCATATAAGTCTATCTAGGTTTGATACTCAAGTTGAAACCGTGTTAGTTTTCCTCGGAAGTATATTCAAGCAAAATAAATTTTCTGTTAATTCTTCTTCTGGTGTTGATTTAAGAGGAAGCAGAAGTGAGCTTACACTGACAAACTGATTAATAGCAACTGCTTTTCCAACAAAGAAATCTGTTGCTTAATCAGAAATTTAGTAGTGGTAGAGGAAAAATGGTTGTCCAAAAAGACATGACTCTCCAATGACACCTACCCATCTTCCAGATACAGGTTAAATGCAACTTTACCACTTATGTAAGCACTACCTGAATTTCACATGCATTGAGATTTCAAAACAACTCTAAATCTTTTCCTCCAGCACTATCCTCCTCACATTCTTAGACTTTATTTTAGCTCCCTTTTCAATCACCATGAATTGGAAACTCACAACTCTCACAGGTCATGTTCAGGAATAACAGCTATGAGGGACGAAAGTCTCAGGCCTTCATCTTGGTCCAAGTTCAAGTGAACACAGGATCATACGAACAAGAGTGAAGGCCAGAGGTTTACAGAGAAAGCATCCAGAACAAAGTAAGCTGAGCTTCCCTAGCGGTTCCTTTGGGCTGATCACATGTCTATAAGTAAATTTTAAAAAAACAAAGCCAGGTTTCAGGGTATTAAGTAGATAAAATGGGTACAATTTTAACCAAAATTATTATGCATCAGAGCTCATGAGCTATTGCTATTTGACAAAGCAGCTGTGGTTTCAAGTAATGGCCAACTGGCAGCTATATGCACTTTCCATGGTATGAGTTGATTTTCAATAGTGATCTATTAGCCAATCCTTTCTTTGATGGAAAAAATACAAACAGTCAAAAACCACTCTGTGGGGTGTGTGTGTGTAACGTGAACGGCTATATAATTTGTGTATGTTTAGGGGATGAGTTGACAGGGACAAGAAAAGGACTTTATTACAGGCAGTCTCTGTTGTTGTGAGGATGATGTGTTGATTATCCCTATGTTCAAATTTTATGAGTCTCAAATAAATTCATGTTATAACCTTAGGCTCTTAAAAAATGTTTTAATGTAAATTATTTTTAAAAACTGAGCTGATTTAAAAACTGTCATAAAATACAGGATGCCTAGTTAAATATGTGTCAGATAAACAACAACAAATTTTTAGTATAAGTTTATCCTAAACATTGCATGAGATATACTAAAATTGTATCATTGTTTAGTTGAAACTCAGATTTAACTGAGTATCCTAAATTTTTATTTGCTAAATGTGGTAACCAAATAACTAAGTAAATGTACAGAAGTCATTCCTTCAAAAATCATTTAGTACAGCATAGCTAGATTGTGCTATTTAAAAGTAAGGGAGCTGTTTCAACAACACTTGAAATAGCTACGATCTGCTGTTGTGTCAACACCAAAAAGCTCATGTGCCTGATTCTTGTCTCTTGTTTATTTTATTAAACAATACCACTGCAAAACCCTTGCAGTTATATGTATTTGCTTTGAAAAAGGATGCCACATTTTAGCTATTGCCTTGTCCTTGGAGACAAAAGCTCTGAAAAAATTAGGACCACGTTTGAATCCTAGATACATACAAGCCTGCTGTCCAGCAAAATGCAATGTATTGTTTCAAGCTGATTTTTCCCCCTTTTCCTTGAGCGAAAAGTACAGCATCTTAAACTAAAGCACACTTTTGCTCTTGCTTGGTGCCAGCAGCCACAACACACGGCTTTCATCTGGGCTTCAAAGTGTGGCAGAGGGAATCTGGGGGATGGGAGTGGGGAAGAAAGGGAGGGCAAGTTGAATACAAGAAGGGAAACAAACAAACAAAAAAGGAAAATGGGGGTGGGTAAAAGGAGAAATATCCTATCTTTCAAATATCATGTCCCCGTGGCTGGGCTGCGAGATGCAAAGCCTTCAGTTTCACTCCATTGTATATATATATTTTTGTTACTGCCACTTCCCATGCTGGGAAGATTCTTGTCATCTCTCACATATTTTATCCACAGAAAAGGCTGCCCTGCCCTGTGCTTGGTGATTGAGGCTGTGCCCCTGGTGTGCCACTCTATCAGTGGTTCCCAAGGCTGTCTAGCCTGGGAAAAGCTGCATGGACACGTTCCAAAATCAGCATTACATGCATTATTGTTCTTACTCTCCCTGATTAGAGCGCACACAATGAAAACAACAGCAACGGCCTCAATTTCTAACCCTCCTCCCAGCACAAGGCAGTTCTTAGTCTGTTTTTCTTTCTCTAGGTCTTCCTAAAAGTTAACCGCTTCAGTGCTGGTGGGAATCCCAGACCTCACAGCAACTGCCCCGCAAGTTTCTTTGTGATTCTGGGAGCACCAGGGCAGTAGGGAAGCATGCAGTCTTGCCCTTCTTTGGGAAATCTGGGCAGAACTAACTAATAGGGCAAAAAGTCAAAAGCTGCCTGTGGTGCAGCTTAGCGAACTACGGGCATGCATTCCAGGACAGTTCTTCCCAACGCTGAGGTTGGTTAGGCTCTCTCAGTTTCTCCTACATAAAGTGGCGACAGATGTAAAGAGGTGAGGGTCCAGTTGTTTTAACTATTAAAGCTGCAAAAGTCTGTCTGCATTAACCCTCAGTGGGTTTAGTTGTTCAGTCTCAATTATCCATATGAAACTCTTCCTAACCTTCTTTGGAACTTTTGGATAGTATCTTTTGTAAACTTTTGCAGGTATGTGGGAAAATTGGGTGGGGAATGGCAAGTTTTACTTTAAAAGCTACAGGGAAAACCCAAGTCCTGTTTCAATAAACATTACAATGAAAAAACATGTTACCCCAAAAAAAGAAAGAAAAAGGAGACTTCCAACATGCAATTTATGGTTTCTTTATTTAAAAAAAAAGGAGGACACATGACATTCCAGTGTAATTGAAGAATCTGGATGTTCCTTTGGTCTATATTATAAAGTAATTGAGCTGACTGTTATTTTTATTTATTTATTTTTTATTATACTTTAAGTTCTAGGGTACATGTGCACAACGTGCAGGTTTGTTACATATGTATACACGTGCCATGTTGGTGTGCTGCACCCATTAACTCGTCATTTACATTAGGTATATCTCCTAATGCTATCCCTCCCCAATACCCCCACCCCACGACAGGCCCCAGTGTGTGATGTTCCCCTTCCTCTGTCCAAGTGTTCTCATTGCTCAGTTCCCACCTATGAGTGAGAACATGCGGTGTTTGTTTTTTGTCCCTGTGACAGTTTGCTGAGAATGATGGTTTCCAGCTTCATCCATGTCCCTACAAAGGACATGAACTCATCTTTTTTTATGGTTGCATAGTATTCCATGGTGTATATGTGCCACATTTTCTTAATCCAGTCTATCATTGTTGGACATTTGGGTTGGTTCCAAGTCTTTGCTATTGTGAATAGTGTTGCAATAAACATACGTGTGCATGTGTCTTTATAGCAGCATGATTTATAATCCTTTGGGTATATACCCAGTAATGGGATGGCTGGGTCAAATGGTATTTCTAGTTTGAGATCCTTGAGGAATCGCCACACTGTCTTCCACAATGGTTGAAGCAGTTTACAGTCCCACCAACAGTGTAAAAGTGTTCCTATTTCTCCACATCCTCTCCAGCACCTGTTGTTTCCTGACTTTTTAATGTTTGCCATTCTAACTGGTGTGAGATGGTATCTCATTGTGGTTTTGATTTGCATTTCTCTGATGGCCAGTGATGATGAGCATTTTTTCATGTGTCTTTTGGCTGCATAAATGTCTTCTTTTGAGAAGTGTCTGTTCATATCCTTCACCCACTTGTTGATGGGGTTGTTTGTTTTTTTCTTGTAAATTTGTTTGAGTTCTTTGTAGATTCTGGATATTAGCCCTTTGTCAGATGAGTAGATTGCAAAAATTTTCTCCCATTCTGTAGGTTGCCTGTTCACTCTGATGGTAGTTTCTTTTGCTGTGCAGAAATTCTTTAGTTTAATTAGATCCCATTTGTTAATTTTGGCTTTCGTTGCCATTGCCTTTGGTGTTTTAGACATGAAGTCCTTGCCCATGCCTATGTCCTGAATGGTATTGCCTAGGTTTTCTTCTAGGGTTTTTATGGTTTTAGGTCTAACATTTAAGTCTTTAATCCATCTTGAATTAATTTTTGTATAAAGTGTAAGGAAGGGATCCAGTTTCAGCTTTCTCCATATGGCTAGCCAGTTTTCCCAGCACCATTTATTAAATAGGGAATCCTTTCCCCATTGCTTGTTCTTGTCATATTTGTCAAAGATCAGATGGTTGTAGATATGTGGTATTATTTCTCAGGGCTGTGTTCTGCTCCATTGGTCTATATCTCTGTTTTGGTACCAATACCATGCTGTTTTGGTTACTGCAGCCTTGTAGTATAGTTTGAAGTCAGGTAGCATGATGCCTCCAGCTTTGTTCTTTTGGCTTAGGATTGTCCTGGCAATGCGGGCTCTTTTTTGGTTCCATATGAACTTTAAAGTAGCTTCTTCCAATTCTGTGAAGAAGGTCATTGGTAGCTTGATGGGGATGGCATTGAATCTATAAATTACATTGGGCAGTATGGCCATTTTCACGATATTGATTCTTCCTATCCATGAGCATGGAATGTTTTTCCATTTGTTTGTGTCCTCTTTTATTTAGTTGAGCAGTGGTTTGTAGTTCTTGAAGAGGTCCTTCACATCCTTTGTCAGTTGGATTCTTAGGTATTTTATTCTCTTTGAAGCAATTGTGAATGGGAGTTCACTCATGATTTGTCTGTTCTTGGTGTATAAGAATGCTTGTGATTTTTGCACATTGACTTTGTATCCTGAGACTTTGCTGAAGTTGCTTATCAGTTTAAGGAGATTTTGGGCTGAGATGATGGGGTATGAAATGGTAAGTTTCTTAAAGGAGGACTTGTGCTGTTTATATTGTTTCGTGCAGCAAAGTCTCAGGATACAAAATCAATGTGCAAAAATCACAAACATTCTTATACACCAAGAACAGACAAATCATGAGTGAACTCCCATTCACAATTGCTTCAAAGAGAATAAAATACCTAGGAATCCAACTGACAAAGGATGAGAAGGACCTCTTCAAGGAGAACTACAAACCACTGCTCAACTAAATAAAAGAGGACACAAACAAATGGAAAAACATTCCATGCTCATGGATAGGAAGAATCAATATCGTGAAAATGGCCATACTGCCCAATGTAATTTATAGATTCAATGCCATCCCCATCAAGCTACCAAAGACTTTCTTCACAGAATTGGAAGAAGCTACTTTAAAGTTCATATGGAACCAAAAAAGAGCCCGCATTGCCAGGACAATCCTAAGCCAAAAGAACAAAGCTGGAGGCATCACGCTACCTGACTTCAAACTATACTACAAGGCTGCAGTAACCAAAACAGCATGGTATTGGTACCAAAACAGAGATACAGACCAATGGAACAGAACACAGCCCTGAGAAATAATACCACATATCTACAACCATCTGATCTTTGACAAATCTGACAAGAACAAGAAATGGGGAAAGGATTCCCTATTTAATAAATGGTGCTGGGAAAACTGGCTAGCCATATGGAGAAAGCTGAAACTGGATCCCTTCCTTATACTTTATACAAAAATTAATTCAAGATGGATTAAAGACTTAAATGTTAGACCTAAAACCATAAAAACCCTAGAAGAAAACCTAGGCAATACCATTCAGGACATAGGCATGGGCAAGGACTTCATGTCTGAAACACCAAAAGCAATGGCAACGAAAGCCAAAATTAACAAATGGGATCTAATTAAACTAAAGAGTTTCTGCACAGCAAAAGAAACTATCATCAGAGTGAACAGGCAACCTACAGAATGGGAGAAAATTTTTGCAATCTACTCATCTGACAAAGGGCTAATATCCAGAATCTACAAAGAACTCAAACAAATTTACAAGAAAAAAACAAACAACCCCATCAACAAGTGGGTGAAGGATATGAACAGACACTTCTCAAAAGAAGACATTTATGCAGCCAAAAGACACATGAAAAAATGCTCATCATCACTGGCCATCAGAGAAATGCAAATCAAAACCACAATGAGTTACCATCTCACACCAGTTAGAATGGAGATCATTAAAAAGTCAGGAAACAACAGGTGCTGGAGAGGATGTGGAGAAATAGGAACACTTTTACACTGTTGGTGGGACTGTAAACTGCTTCAACCATTGTGGAAGACAGTGTGGCAATTCCTCAAGGATCTCAAACTAGAAATACCATTTGACCCAGCCATCCCATTACTGGGTATATACCCAAAGGATTATAAATCATGCTGCTATAAAGGCACATGCACACGTATGTTTATTGCGACACTATTCAGAATAGCAAAGACTTGGAACCAACCCACATGTCCAACAGTGATAGACTGGATTAAGAAAATGTGGCACATATACACCATGGAATACTATGCAGCCATAAAAAAGATGGGTTCATGTCCTTTGTAGGGACATGGATGAAGCTGGAAACCATCATTCTCAGCAAACTGTCACAGGGACAAAAAAACAAACACCGCATGTTCTCACTCATAGGTGGGAACTGAACAATGAGAACACTTGGACACAGGAAGGGGAACATCACACACTGGGGCATGTCGTGGGGTGGGGGCAGCAGGGAGGGATAGCGTTAGGATATATACCTAATGTAAATGACGAGTTAATGGGTGTAGCACACCAACATAGCACATGTATACATATGTAACAAACCTGCACGTTGTGTACATGTACCCTAGAAGTTAAAGTATAGTTAAAAAAAAAAAAAAGAAATTTACCATTTCAGAAGGAGAGATGAAATCAGCACACAGGTGACCACAACAAACAAAACCATCACTTGCTGCACAGCAGAAGGAGGAATCTTGGAGGCTAAGAGGGAAACATAATTGGAAAGAGAGTGATTGATAGCATCAAATATTGTACAAAGACTGAATGGGAATGAGAACTGATAAAGGGCTAGATAACTTTATTTTTCGTTTGTGCTGATTTCCCTATATTTCCTTTGTTAGTTTGGAATTTACTGATTTTATTTTCATTTGTTCAATGGCCACCTTTAATTTTTTTTTTTTTTTTTTTTTTGAGACAGAGTCTTGCTCTGTCACCCAGGCTGGAGTGCAGTGGTGCAGTCTCGGCTCACTGTAACCTCCACCTCACAGGTTCAAGCGATTCTCCTGCCTCAGCCTCCTGAGTAGCTGGGATTACAGATGCCTGCCACCACACCCGGATAATTTTTGTATTTTTAGTAGAGACGGGGTTTCATCATGTTGGTCAGGTTAGTTTTGAACTCCTGACCTCATGATCTGCCCAGCTCGGCCTCCCGGAGTGCTGGAATTTAACTTTTTAACATACATACTTCACTGAACATTTTTAGACTTAATTTTTTTAGAACAGTTTTAGATTCACAGCAAAATTGAGAGAAAGGTGTAGATATTTCCCATATACTGTTTGCCCCACACATGCATAGCTTCTCCCATTATTAACATCCCCCATCAGAGTGGCACATTCGTCACCGTTGATGAACCTACATTGAGATAACATAAGCACCCCAAATCCACCATAGTTTACATTAGAGTTCACTCTTGGTATTGTGAACTGAGGCCACTAGCCTCATGACTGGAGCTGTCATAGTACTTGGGAAAGTTCAGTTCAATTGAGTGCCTAATGTGCGCCAAGCATACTTTGCAGAGTGGTATGTCAAATATGGATATAAACAGCACAAGTCCTCCTTTAAGAAACTTACCATTTCAGACCCCATCGTCTTAGCCCAAAATCTCCTTAAACTGATAAGTAACTTCAGCAAAGTCTCAGGATGCAAAATCAATGTGCAAAAATCACATGCATTCTTATATACCAAGAACGGAGAAATTATGAGTGAACTCCCATTCACAATTGCTTCAAATTGGTATTGTATATTCTATGGGTTTGGAGAAATGTATCATGAGATGTGCTCACCATTATAAGATGATATAAAATAGTTTCACTGCCCTAGAAATCCTGTGTTCTACCTATTAATTCCTTTCTTACCTATAACCCCTGACCAAAAAAAGTATTTTTACTATCTACTTAGTTTTACCTTTTCCAGAATGTCATATAATTGGAATCATGCAATATACAGGCTTTCAGATTGGCTTCTTTCACTTAGTAATAATAAAGTTTCTTTCATGTTTTTTTCGTGGCTTGATAGCTCGTTTGTTTTTACCACTGAGTAATATTCCATTGACTGGATGAACTACATTTTATTTTTCCATGCAGCTACTGAAGTACTGAAGGTATCTTGTTTACTTTCAGTTTTGGTAATTACAAGTGAAGCTGTTATAAATCACTGTGTGTAGGATTTTTTTGTGTGTTTGTGGATGTAAGTTTCAATTCTTTTGGGTAAATACCAGAGAGCATAATTGCTGGATTGTATGGTAAGAGTATATTTAGTTTTGTAGGAAACTGCTAAACTGTCTTGCAAAGTAGCTACATCATTTTGCATTCCCAGCACCAATGAATGAGAGTTCCTGTCGTTCCACATCCTTGCCAGCATTTAGAGTGGTCAGTGTTCTAGAGTTTGGCCATTCTAACCGGTGTGTAGTGTTATCTGTTTAAATTTGCATTTACCTGATAACATATAATGTGGAGCTTCATGGATGTATCACCAGTGCAGTTTCACAGGGCGCCATACTTCAAAGGACCGACCCCACACTCAGTTTAATACTCTGTTGGGGCAAATGAAATTTGTTTTAAAATTCTTAGTAAGTTTTGAACAAGTAACTCCGTATTTATATTTTACACTAGATGCTGAAGATTATGTAGCTAGTCCTGACTTTTTGTATGCTTATTTCCCATCTATGTATCTTCTTTGGGGAAGCAGGTGTCTGTTAAGGTTTTTGGCTTATTTCATAATCAAGTTGTTTGTTTTCTTATTGTTGACTTTTATGCATTCTTTGTATATTTTGAAGAACAATCTTTATCAGATGTGTCTTTGGCAAATATTTTCTCCCTGTCTGTGGCTTGTCGTCTCATTTTCTTGATAGTGTCTTTTACAGAGTAGAAAATTTTCATTTTAATGAAGTACAGCTTATCAATTCTTTTTTTCATGGATTATGCTTTTGGTGTTGTGTCTGTAAAGTCATTGTCATGCCAAGGCATCTAGATTTTCTCTTATATTATCTTTTAAGAGCTTATAGTTTTGCATTTTTCATTTGTGTTTGTGATTTATTTTAAGTTAATTTTTGTAAAGAGTGTAAGGTCTGTATGTAGATTCATTTTTTGGCTATGAATTTCCAGTTGTTCCAGCATCATTTGCCAAAAAGACTATCTTTGCTCCACTGTATTGTCTTTGCTTCTTTGTCAAAGGTCAGATGATTATGTTTATGTGAGTTTATTTCTGG
The DNA here is from genome assembly GCF_000001405.40 of Homo sapiens. NCBI lineage: Eukaryota > Metazoa > Chordata > Mammalia > Primates > Hominidae > Homo > Homo sapiens. The sequence goes on along the minus strand of NC_000006.12, from coordinate 125,604,691 downwards.
GCTTTCTATCCTGTTCTATTGATCTCTTTGTCTCTTCTTTTGCCAATTCCATGCAGTCGTGGTTACTGTAGCTTTATATTAAATCTTGAAGTTGGGTATTGTCATTCCTCCAACTTTGTTCTTCTTCTTCAATGTTGTGTCTTTTGACTCCCCATATAACTTTGCCAATGTCCACAGAATAGTTTGCTGAGATTTAACTAAGATTGCATTGAATCTGTAGATCAAGTTGGGGATTATTGATGTCTTGGCAATATTGAGTCTTCCTATCCATGAACATAGAATACCTCTTCATTTATTTAGTTCTTTTTTGATTTCTTTCATCAGAGTTTTGTAGTTCTCATATAGATCATGTTCATATTTTGTTACATTTATACCTAAGTATTTCATTTTGGGGGGATGCCAAAGTAAATGGTATTGTGTTTTTAATGTCAAATTTCACTTGTTCATTGCCGATATATAGAAAAGCAATTGCCTTTTGTACATTAACCTTGTATCCTGCAACCTTGCTACTATTGCTTATTAGTTGGAGGATTTTTTGGTCAATTCTTTCAGATTTTTACCTAAACAATCATGTCATATAAAAACAAAGACACTTTTATTTCCATCTTCCCTATCAGTATACCTTTTAATTCCTTTTCTTATTGCGTTAGCTAGGACTTCCAGTGTAATCTTGAAAAGCAGTAGTAAGAAGAGACATCTTTACCTTTTTCCTGATCTCAGTAGGAACACTTCTAGTTAGCTGTAGGTTTTTGTAGATATTTTTTATTAAACTGAGGAAGTTTTCCTCTATTCCTAGTTTCCTGAGATTTTTTTAAATTAAATGGATATTGGATACCGTCAGGTGCTTTTTCTGCATCTATTTATATGATCATATGACTTTTCTTTTTTAGCCTGTTGATGTGATGAATTACAGTAATTGATTTGCAATGTTGAACCAGCTTTGTATACCTGAAATAAATCCCACTTGGTTGTGGTGTATAATGCTGTTTGTACATTGTTGGATTCAATTTGCTAATAATTGTTGAGAATATTTGCATCTATGTTCATGAGAGATACAGGTACATAGTTTTCTTTTTTTTGAATGTCTTCATCTGATTTTGGTATTAGAGTGATGCTGGTCTCAGAATAAGTTAGAAAGTATTCTCTCTGCTTCTATTCTCTAAAAGAGATTGTACAGATTGCTTTAATTTCTTCCTTAAATATTTGGTAACATTTAGCAGTGAATTCATTTGGACATGATGCGTTCTGTTTTGGAAGGTTATTAGTTATTGATTCAATGTTTTTGATAGATTTAGGCCTATTAAGATTGTTTATTTGTTCTTGTGTGAGTTTTGGCAGATTGTCTTTCAAGGAGTTGGTCCCTTTCATCTAGGTTACCAAGCTTGTGGGCATAAAGTTGTTAATAGTATTCCTTTATTATCAATGTCCATGGGAGCTGTAGTGATGTCCCCTTTTTCATTTCTGATATTAGCAATTTGTGTCCTTTCTTCTTTCTTTTATTATAGTTAGCCTTGCTAGAAGCTTATTGATTTTTCTTATCTTTTCAAAGAATTGGCTTTTGATTTCCTTGATTTTGCCTATTGGTTTCCTATTTTCAATTTTATTGATTTCTGTTCAAATGTTTATTATTTCTTCTTCTTACTTTCTATTTAATTTGCCCTATTTTTTCTAGATTTCTAAGTTGGAAGCTTAAATTATTAATTTTAGGCTTTGTTCTATTCTATTACATTCATTCAATGCTATAAATTTCCACCTAAGCATGACTTTGCTGCATTCCAGAAATTTTCATATGTTGTGTTTTTGTTTTAATTTAGTTCAAAATACTTTTAAATTTTCTTGGGATTTCTTCTTTGACCCAGGTGTTATTTGGAAGTGTGTTGTTTAATGTCCATGTATTTTGAGATTTTCTGATTATCTTTTTGTTATTGGTTTCTAATTATAATTTTTTTCTAACAACAATCTAATGATATTTGATGTCTCATGTACCCTTATGAACCTGACAAGAAACTTCAGTGCTGACATTTTAACCAAATAATTTTAACTGACACAATTTTTGAATGAATTTGAAGAGTTGCTAATTTGAAGAAGAGATATTGAAGATATGAATTGGGTTTTTCTATTTTATTTTTTAAACATTGGTTTCAGGGCCAGGTGCAGTGGGTCATGCCTGTAATCCCAGCACTTTGAGAGGCTGTGTTGGGTGGATCACCTGAGGTCAGAAGTGCAAGACCATCCTGGCCAACATGGTGAAACCCTGTCTCTAGTAAAAATACAAAAATTAGCTGGGCATGGTGGCAGGTGCCTGTAATCCCAGCTTCTCGGGAGGCTGAGGCAGGAGAATCACTTGAACACAGAAGGTGGAGGCTGCAGTGAACCAAGATCATACCACTGCACTCCATCCTGGGTGACAGAGTGAGACTCTGTCTCAAAAAATAATAATAATAAAAAAATTGGTTTCAAATTTTTAATAAAAAAAATTGAAATTAAATAAAAAACTAGTTTTCTAATTTTTAAAAGTTCCATACCATCTTAGATGTAAATGTAAACTTGGGTACTTTAACAAAAATGGGTACATAGTTTTTGGGGGTATTTTGGGGGGTGATTTATTAAGTGAAAGAACAAAGAAACAAAAACCAAAACAGTTTCAGTGGTCTGTTTTAAATTCTATACATACCAACTTAGTATCCTAGATTTTTTGTTATTCAGTTTATATCATACTGTGAAAAGTAGAGGGGTCAGAATTATGAGCTTGAGGTACTATAGACTCTGTTGACTTTTCTCCAGTATATTAGGGTGTGAATTTATGGCTTATAGAAGAAAGACAAGGGAATGCTCATGAATTAATATGACATGAGACTTCTAATTATTTTACTGTGTGAGGTTGATATAGAATATAACAATAAATTTGTAGTTTAAGACCTATTCCTATTTGATATCTTTATTTGGGGTAACTTACAACTTAAACTCTTCAGATGTGCATAATGTTATTAGTCTGGAGAACAATTCCACACACCCAGAGTTGCAACTCCAGGTTAAGAAGAACTTTAATACACATGCAGAGAGAGGTATTATTTCTGGTGTTAATGGTGTCTGTCCTGAGACTAAACATTACATTTTATGGTCTGGATGGAGGATTGGTCATGAATTTGCCTTCAGCCCAGTCAGAAAGATGAAAGGCTGATGTTTACCTTTAAATCACTATTCCTGGCTACTAAGTACTTTTGGGACTTGAACCAAATAGAGAATGACCCTAAGCTTTGTAAACTCTTAGAAATGCAGCACTTTTCTGCGCTCTGCAAAGGTCTCCTCCTGAATGAAACTGGATGCCACTCTCCTGCTACTTTAATAAAGATCCACAAGGTTCCTGTTTAGGAAACCACTGTCATTTGATGACCTAGACCTATACAAGTGGAGAGGTTTTTGTTCTTTTCCTCCTTTTTCCTTCTCTCTCTCTTCCTTCTTTGCATGAAGCCAGATGCATGACACTTCTTTAATTAACATAATACCATTAGCCAATTTCTGATAAATGGCATTTACGGGCACATAGATAATTTTTCAGAAGTGGATTCCTCCTCCTATGCTAAATTATTGGTCAATGGTTTGTCTCCCTGCGATTACCTACACATTCTCTAGCATCTCAAAACATAAAAATAAAAATAAATAAAAAATAGAGTGAACAAAAACCCCAAATCAAAAATAATAACAGGAAAAACTGAATTGTGTCACTTGCCCAAGACATGACTTTTTTTCTCCTAATCATGAAAACCCCACAATAGGAATTGAGATAACAAATTATAGGATCATGTATGAAACCAGTCAAAACCCAGCTAGACCAGGAATAGCTGAGTTGGTTTTGGTTTCCAAAGCTACAGATAGTCCTCTTATAAAGAAAGATTATGTCTTCAGACTCAGGAGACAGCCAGGGAGGAGATATAACACTATGTCACTTTATAGGCTTTTTTTTCTCCTGTCAAACTTTGAATGTAAATGTTTATTGGAATGAATTAGACCATTTACATGGTTACATTATATCACTAGCATTTCTTTCCTGGAAACAGAGCTGCTTGCTGGTGCTCACACTAATATCTCAAGTTGACCCTTCTTGAGTATGTACTTAAGCAATCACAGTGCAGAAATCTTCTTCTTTCATAAGCTCAGCATATCCTTAAAGGTTTTCACCATACATGAACTGTTAAAGTCACTAATGCGATAGGATACAGGGAAGAGCATAGCAGTTGGAGCCAGAAGTCTTGTAATTTGACTTTGGTTCCATCACTTGATGACTTTGGAACAATCAGCTCTTTCCTCACTACCCCCACCTCCAAGAACTGATGTGAAGATTAAATGAGAAAATGAATGAAAGTTCTTTATAAAGTACACTCACATTTTTGTTAATTTTTTTTTAATGTTTAAAAACTCATTGCAAATGAAACTTACTATTGAACCAATCTGTATTCATTTCCTAGGGCTGCCATTAAAAAGTACCAAGATGAAACCACGTCTCTACTAAAAATACAAAAATTAGCTGGGTATGGTGGCGGGCACCTGTAATCCCAGCTGCTCGGGAGGCTGAGGCAGGAGAATTACTTGAACCTGGGAGGCGGAGGTTGCAGTGAGCTGAGATCATGCCACTGTTCTCCAGCCTGGTGACACAGTGAGACTCCCTCTCAAAAAAAAAAAAAAAAAAAGTACCACGATCTAGGTAGATGAAAACAACAACTTTGGGAGGCCAAGGCAGGCGAATTGCTTGAGCCCAGGAATTCAAGGCCAACGTGGCCAACATGATGAAACTCTGTCTCTTCAAAAAATACAAAAATTAGGCTGGGTGCAGTGTCCCACATCTGTAATTCCAACATTTTGGGAGGCTGAGGCGGGTGGATCACCTGAGGTCAGGAGTTTGAGACCAGCCTGACTAATATAGTGAAACCCCATCTCTACTAAAAATACAAAAATTAGCCAGGTGTTGTAGTGGGCGCCTGTAATCCCAGCTACTTGGGAGGCTGAAGCAAGAATCTCTTGAACCTGGGAGGTAGAGGTTGCAGTGAGCCGAGGTCATGCCACTGCACTCCAGCCCGGGCAACAGAGTGAGATTCCATCTCAAAACAAAACAAAACAAAAATTAGCTGGGCATGGTGGCACATGCTTGTCGTCCCAGTTATTTGGGAGGCTGAGGTGGGGGGATCACCTGAGACTGGGAGGTCAAGGCTGCCGTGAGCCAAGATCATGCCACTGCACTCTAGCTCAGGTGACAGAGTGAGACCTTGTCTCAAAAAATAAAATGACATAAAATAAAACAATAAGTTATCTTCTTGTGATCACAAAAATAAAATAACATAAAATAAAACAATAAGTTATCTTCTCATAGATCTGTGGGCTAGAAGTTGGAAATCAAGGGGCTGGCATAGTCAGGTTCCCCCTGAGGTTCTGGGTAGAATCTTCCTGGCTTCTTCCTAACTTCTGGTGCTGGCCTCCAATCCTTGGCCTTCCTTGGTTTGCAACTGCATCTTGGCAATCTCTGCTTCCATCTCACAAGGGGTTCTCCCTGTGTCTCTATGTCTTCACATATTCACTTCCATCTTCTTATAAGGACAGCAGTCCTACTGGATCAGGGCCCACCCTAATGATTTATCTGATAACATCTGCAAAGACCCTATTTCCAAATAAGGTCAACTCACAAGTAACAGGGGTTAGGACTTCAACATATCTTTTGGGAACACAATTCAACCCAATAATACCCCACCAAACAATTCCCTGTCTCACTGGCTGGGTACCTGGCTACCAGGTTGAAATTTATCCTTCATTAGCCAATTCTCTTGTAGGTAAATGAGGTAGTTGGAATAGACCATTTAAGATATTTTCCATGTTTAATGTTCTATAATTCCGTAATTTTAGCATTCTTACATCAGTACTTCTTTCTAAGACCATGGTGGTCCTCTTTACTCACCAACAAATCTATGCATGCCAAAATCTAAAGTCTGACTGCAGAAGCAATGGGTGAATTGTTGCCACCCCAGCAGAAGTATCCTTTCCTCAGTGTCATTACTGTGAATGCCTCATGCCAGGCCCTTACTTCCTCCTGCCTGGACTGTCGCAATAGCCTCTCAACTGACTTCAGTCTCCTCCTCTAACACGTCATCCAGCAGCTGCTGCCAGAATGAGCTTTCAGAGAGTAAACCTGATTGAGTCACAGTCTGTATAATGCCCGTTAATGGCTTCCCATGTGTGCTGTACAGGTCTGATTCCTGGATTGGCATCCGGGGCTCTGTAAGCGGGAACTGCTCACTCAGACATATAGACTCACTCTACCCTCAGTAAGCCTGAACCACCCATTTTTCTCCGACCACAGCATTCAATTTCACATTTCCATACCACGGTGTGTTATACTCCCTCTGTCTGTTGGGCCCCTTCACTCTTTTGTGCCTAGAGAGTTTCTATTTGCCCTACAAAATCCAGTTAAATAGCATCACCTTTGGGAAGTCATTCCTGACTACTCTAGTCAGAAGTAACCAGTCTCTTTTCTGTATCACTATTTAGCTTGTATTTATTTCTATTTTTGTACCTAACATTGAATTATGACATTTGTGTGTGTGTGTGTGTGTGTGTGTGTGTGTGTGTCCCTACTTGATAGAGAGTTGCTTAAGAGTTGGGAAGGTGTTCCTGTCTTTGGGTTAGGGCCCGTACCTTCTTTATTCCCAGGTGTCACACATGTAATAGTATTTGTAATAAAATAAAAATATTTTATTAAATTGAATTAAGTAGCTAGTGCTTGACAAGGAACTGAAACCAGCGGTCAGTTTCAAATGGTTTTTTTAATGCCAGTTGCTTTTGAATTAATGAAGCAGTAGGACGTGCTTTGGCACAGCTGTCTGGCATACCTAGGTTAAATTCTAATGCAAACAGCTGCGTTGCTGTCACTTGCTGTAAAACACCCACTTCACACAGGGCCGTGTGCTGTGGGGCCCATGGCAGGTGGCCAGGCCCAAGGCTGGCAGTTACCTGAAAACACTTGGGTTAAGTTTCTATCGCCATGGCAGTTAGGCAGCCACTTGTAATTATTTCCTTCAACTGGCAGCCTTGCTATACAGGACATATTCCGACAGGGCTGGACTCTGAGGCAACTCTTGCTTGCCTCCTTAAATGTTTCACTGCTGAAAGCTGCCTTCTAATCTCCTGGGAGCTGCCTTGGAAATAGCCTAAGGCCATGTTACAGGACTGCAAGTTATAAATTACCATGCACATTAATAAACATGGAATCACTCAGGGGAAGAGAAGTCCAATTGGAGTCATCTTTGTGGGTGTGCTCACTTCTATTGTTTTTTTTTTTTTTTTTTTTTAAATTGGTCTCTTTCTCATCATGCTGCAGAACTCTGGGGAGTGAAAGGTCAGATTCCTGTAAAGAGCAAGGCTATGGCAGTGTAGCAAAAGAAAAGGGTAAAGCCATGGACATTGTTAGAATGAGCAAAAGGAAACACATGAGTCTCAGAAGAATACAGTGCTGCTGGGGTGGGAGAAGCTGGGGACAGTGCAGAGCCTGGTTTTGGCTTTTGAAGGTGGCATGTTGAATCCGGATAGTCTCTGCTCATGCGAATCTCATATTCTCTAACGAAGGAAGCATATGAATATCAATCCTCTTCTCTTTTTTTTTTTTTTTTTTTTTGGTCAATACAAGCATCTGAACCACTTCTACAATAGTGCTTTCATTGGGGTTTGGTAAGTGGTGCCCCATGTATATGTGTTTGTCTTGAATCTACAATTAGATTGAAGCTCTCCGAGAGCAGGATCCATATCTTACCCATCTTTGTCATACCTAATAGAGTTTCCTATGCTTGATCTCACAAAACAACTTTCAAGATTACAGAACCTTGAGCATGCATATTACAGGTGTGAACCCTCACAATCCAAAGAAATGGGTCTCTTAAAAGAGGCCAAGTAATAATACAGATTTTGGAGGATAATCCTAATTTGGCAGGAGAAAAAGCATCTGTGGCTTTACCCTATTTCTGTCCTTGGCAATGAAAGTGTAATAATTATGCAGTCATCAGAAGCATTGTTAGGAATGACCAGACTTTGGAAAAAAATAAAATTAAACACAGTGATAAATGGGGTATTAGAGGGATGTGTGATAAAAGAGTTCAGAATACACTTTATTTTACATGTACCAATTGGTAAGGGCATGAGCCTGTTGAAAAATCTTATTATAATGGCCTAATAAATGTAAGGCATCATGCTAGGTCTTATAAAGGGTTAAGAATCAGCATGCGTGAGGGCCTGTTTCTGTAAGTTTTCTGTAATGCAATGTAATACTATGAAAAGGAACCTTGCCCAAACACAGGTCTCAAATCACTTGGCAAGGAGTGCTTCTCAGGTGGGCGTCACGGCTGCCTATGTACTAATGGGTCCCCAATGACATTTCTCAACTAACAAAACTGACAAGATACAACAGGCTCAAGGTACCTACAGATCATTTCCTTCCTGTTGCAAAATGCCAGTGCCATCTTACTGCCTTTCGCACACACAGCAAATTGTTCTGGCACTCTGTCATATTAGGAAGCTGCCTATCATAAAGGCCTGTGAGTCCATCCCATGAAATGTCAAATATATTGTAAATATTAGTGATGGGCCAACCTCAGAAGTGTTGGAGATTTAGTCTTGGAAAAGATCCAAAATTTGTGAGCTTATATAAACACTTTTGATCCTGAAAAATTGGTCTTGCGAGAACAGGTTCTCTTCCAAGGTTTATGGCATTATTTTTGTTCGGTGTACCTGAAATGAATTTTTGGGGGAAATTTTGCTATTTATTATTTTTTATATTTAACATTCTGACCAAAACAAAATGCAGCAAGGTGTGTGTGTTTTATAAGAAAAACAAATTGATTTTCCTTTTGCAGAAAGTCATTTATCTGAAAATTGGACTAGAGGTATTAATCAGTCCTTATTTTACTAAAATTAATTCAACATTTCCAGTGAATTATAATGCTGGCATTAAATGTTTAGAAGGAATAAAAACTGCATTGAGATTTTCATGACAAATATTAAACAGGTGTGAGCCAACTTTAAAGCAAACACAATACTGTGTTAACAGTTGGTATACTGCATTTAATTTATGCTTATTTGGACATAGTATTTTCTGTAACATCCACATACAATATGTGTATGTGTATATAAAGAGTATATCCAGTCTAACACTTATCACTGAGATTAACATTTCTCAAGCCACAGTTACATGTAAACCATGGAAATGTAGGTTTTAAAAGAAGACTCTGCTAGATTTCAGTTTCAAATCTAATAAAGAGAGCTATGATAGTGCAGAATTTCTCAAATTGCATTCTTTGGGATATAAATACATATGACATGAATAGTATTCCATGGTAATAAATTTTGGAACTGTAGTCTAAGCACATTTCTTTACTATAGGACTTCTCATACCCTTTAAAATGCAATGCAAAACTTCAATTGAATTTTTCAAGTGGAAGATCATCCTGAAAGACTAGGTGTTCATAAACCAAATTCGGGGCATACTGCTATAGTGGAAAGTGCACTCTAGTTGGGGTAAGAAGATTCAGATTCATGCCTTGATTCTGCCATTTACTTGAAGTGTGACGTTGTTATTTTCTTTATTCCCTGGAGGCCTGGCATAGTGCCTTTTCCTTTGTAGGCATTTGATAAATATTGGTTAAGTTGATCATAGCCTTTTAATTTTTAGGAATAATTAATTCAGGCAAATTTTTACTAGCTGTGTTATGTTAAACAAGTTATTTACTCTCTCTGAAGCTCAGTTCCCTCATTTATAAAATTTAGGTATTTAATCATTGGATTTCAAGTCCTTTTGATTATTAGTTAATATTATTATTAGTTAATATTATTAATATTCATGGTACCACATGGATCTTTCTTCAAATAAAACCTTATGTAAAAGTCCAACATGCAACACAGATCAAAAGTGGAACTGCTCAACTCAACCAGAGGTGAGTTCCTCACGACTGCAAGAGCCATCTCCATCCTCCCCCATCCCAGTCTACTCTGATATTTTTCCTTGCCCCTGTCCTCAGGTGTCTCTGAGGAATTCCTCAGGCTCCTCACAGCATAATCAGAACAATACTGATAGAAATAACTTCAAAAGCTGCTTTGAGGTAAGCATCTTAGATTTTGCTGGAGAAATATAGAATTTTTATTGCCAAGATTAATAAGCTTTTGGGAGAAATAAAATGTAGTTAAACCCCTCACTACCTGAAAAAAGAAAACATCCTTTTCATGAAGCAAACACAATCTGAAACAAATACAACAGAAATCAAGCATATACAAAACTTAAAAATGACAAGATCCAATTTTGGCTTCGGTGACATATTTGAAAATTGAAAAAGACATTTTTACTTCATTATGTGTAAATGACTAAAAATCCATAAGAAACCTCTATCATCCTTATAATAATCTTTATAGTCAAGACTGAAATAATGATTGTAATTTATCATGGCTTAGTAATCCCTCATCACTATAATTTTATAATCAGTTTATTAATTATCCATGCATGCAAGGATGGCTAAACATTTAGTTTAGCATTTCAATTAACATTGGGTGAAATGGCAGTGAAAAAATATATCTGGGGGACAAATAGCTGCTGAGAAATCACCAGGAAGCATGTCAGTGATGTTTTTACAAGAGGCCTTAGGTTTTCTTCCTGATGTGTACTTTTAAGAAAAGAGAAACAAGTCTAGACTCTGTGTCTGAATCAGCCTTTTGAAGGAAGACAAGCTCTTGGAGATTCAAGGATGAGTGCTGCTGATATCACAGTAGAGTACAGACCTGCCTGAAGCCAAGACCCACTCAGTCTCTTCCTCAGCACATACATGCTGTGGGAATCATGTATGTTTCTAGAGTCTCTGCCTTCCTTCCTCCAGACAGAGAGGAGTTCAAGCAGGACTGGTTGCATCATTGAAGCAATCAACTTCATCAAGCCCCATTTTCTCATCTGCAAATGACATCAAATTTATGTTAGGAGCTTATTAATTTAAAAAAAACAAGTGGCATGATGCCTTCTGAGGATGTTATTCCCATATGAAAATTTGCACCAACTATATTTCAGGATTGGGCTACAAACTCAGAGAGGGGTATTATTACTAGGTCACCGTGGCATCCTGGGGAAATGTTTTATTCTACGGGTTATGATCCTCAGATCATGTTTAAAATGAAAGTTTTAGATAGGAGAACAGAGCAAACACAAAGTGTGCAGATGCTTCTAAAGTGAACAACAGACAAAAACAAAACCTATCCAAGTTTGAGAGTAAGTGGGCAAGGAAAAGTGGTCTAATTCAAAGACAAAACTAAACCATAGGTATTAGTGCATTTTCTGTTGCTTATAACAGAATACCTAAAGCTGAGTAATTTTTTAAAAGACATTTATTTCTTAAAACTATAGAGGCTGAAAAGTTCCAATCTGAGGGGCTGCATCTGCTGAGAGCCTTCTTGATGTTGGGGACTGCTGAGGAGTCCTTGAGGCAGCCCAGGGTATCACTTGGCAAGGGCACTGAGGGTGGTACCTCAGGTCTCTCCTCCTCTTCTTATAAAGCTACCAGTCCCACTCTCATGATAATCCACTAATTCATTAACCCACTCATCTATTAACCCACGAATCCATTAATCCACAAATGACTTAATCCATTCGTGAGGGCAGAGCCCTTATGATCCAATCGCATCTTAAAGGCCCCCCACCTTTCAAGACTGCCACATTGGGAATTCAGTTTCCAACACATGGAATTTGTGGGATACAATCAAACTGTAGAACCATTTATTTGTAAATTTTAATCTGAAGGTGCAAGAAACCCCAGCAAAACTCATGTTACCCTATGGTGTTTCATTGAAAGCACAATATAGGGAATTTAGAATATAAGAGGAGAGTGTGAGATCCTTTGGATAGTCTCCATGTCTGACTCAGTGTTGGTAAATTGTGCCCTTTCCTATGCTTCATAACTTGAAAGAAACAGAATTTGCAGGGCATTCAAAGGTGATTAAAAGAATGGAAAAAAAGTCTGTGGAAGAAAGGATTAAGGAAATGGGCATGAATTTAAAAGAAAGTGAAAGGAAAGGCCCTTTGAACATGTACATATTTAAATAATTTTAAAGACTTCATTTCCATTTCTTGCTCCAGATTTTATGGAGAATTTCCTTTCAATAGACAATCACTACTATTTCATAACATTTCCATAATCAAAGTGTGAGTAACCAAACACAGCAAATGAGTTAAAGTAAATTCCAGAGGTACTAACCATGGTTGTGTATTAAGTATTTATGTAGAACATGGAATTTTTAACTTTCTAGTTGATGAGAATTAAACTATGTTTATAACATATTATGTATTTGATGGTTGGGTCTGCTGTTCTATAATTACACTGTGTTTTACTCAGATGCTGCATCAGGTTAACTTCTTTATGTGTCAGTATCAATCTGCAACAGAGAGAAAGAAGAGTGATTCAAAAATTTACTTTAAAAGCAATTGTATAACAAATTAGAAACAACTGATCTCTAAGAATTATTTAGATGAGGCAAGCACCCAATAGAATTAAAACTAGTTTACTATGGATTTATGCAATAAAAGGGATGGAGAATGCTAATATGGGTAAGGATATGATTGTGGGGCGATGTGGCTCATGTCTGTAATACCAGCCACACAGGAGGTTGAGGCAAGAGGATAGCCTGAGGCCAGGTATTTGAGATCAGCCTGAACAACATAGTGAGACCCTATCTCTACGAAATATTTGAAAAACTCAGCTGGGGGCTGGGCATGGTGGCTCATACCTGTAATCCCAGCACTTTGGGAGGCCGAGGTGGGCAGATCACCTGAGGTCAGGAGTTTGAGACCAGCCTGACCAACATGGAGAAACCCTGTCTCTACTAAAAATACAAAATTAGCCGGGCGTGGTTGCGCATGCCTGTAATCCCAGCTACTCGGGAGGCTGAGGCAGAATAACTTGAACCCGGGACGTAGAGGTTGCGGTGAGCCAAGTTCGCGCCATTGCACTCCAGCTGAGGCAACAAGAGCAAAACTCTGTCTCAAAACAGAGACAAAACAAACAAACCTCAGCTGGGCATGGTGGCACATGCTTATAGTCCCAGCTATTTGGGAAGCTGAGGTGGGAGGCTCCCTTGAGTCCAGGAGTTCAAGGCTGCAGTGGGCCATGATTGTGCCACTGCACGCCAGCCTGAATGACAGAGGGAGACCCTGACTCTTAAAAAAAAAAAAAAAAAGGATGTGGTTGTTAATCTTGGTTCTTGGTTCTTGGTCCTTGGCCTTGAGCAAGGTGCTTAAAATTCTCTGAAGCTTAGCATTGTCATCTATATAGTAAGGATTACAACATAAATCTATAAGGTTATTCTCAGAAAATGAGATAAAAATCTTCATGGGATGGTTGAAAGAATTAAATGAGACAATTCACGTAAACTGTTTCAACAATCCTGGCATGCAGTAAGCACATAATAAGTGTTAGATATTATTATTATTGTTAGAGAATGAATCTAACACTGTGCCCAGTGCCCAGCACAAAGTGGAACTCAAAAATATTAGTTAAATCGGAATCTAATAGAACAGACTTTAAAAAAGTGGGTTTCTTCAGCACAGAAATGGGAGTATCAAAGGGAAATACATTAGAAATATATGACATCTTGATGGGAAATTTTAGAACAACTTTTTTTTTAAAAAAGAATCCATTTATTCTGAGGCCCCAAGAAGATCAATATGAGAAGACTGTGGCTACATATTTTTTATGGCTTCCTATTACTTTCTGTAGTCTTCTCAAATAAATCCTTTTCCGGTTTAGAAAAAAAAGTGCAGCTCACTGCCATAGCTCATTTAATTTTACATAAACATGCTCTTTGAGGCTGAAGCAAATTCTGACTGATTTTCAATGTGAAAATAGAATATAAAAACTATTTTAGGAGTTATTTATAAACAGAACTAGCATCAGAATCGTCTGAATCATCAGAATCATCTATTTTGGAAAAGTTGGATTCATCAAATGACTCTTTGGCCAACAACTGTTGGAGAACAATGTTAACATCATACGTGGAAATGCTATGTTTTCTAGGATTTGACATTTTCAGTGATGGAGAATTACTACATTTTGTAAACACCTGGAATAGCAGTGGAAATATCACTAGTGAAAACAGAATGCTATAAATAGAATGATGCCTTTTATTTCCAAAGTCAGTATACTAAAGCGATGCAAAATAATAACAAAAGCGAGATATTTTGTGGTGAAATTATCTCAAAGAAAACACTGCAGCAGCAACAGCCAGCGAGTATTCTTGGGGCTGCCAGTGAGTATTCTTGGGACATACAGGAAAAGGCTTAAACAGTAGCAACAACAAAATATAGAGGCCACCATAAGGCAGCGGCTTTAAGATTTCTTCTTTTTTCACAGTTGTTTCTAAGGGTATTGGTGTTATTTGTTGGATTTGTGATATATATGCTTGTACTAAATTCACCTGGTATCACGATGTGGAGAAACCTGGCATTTGAAGTCTTTGAACACAGACTCAGAGGCATGTAATCTCTATGGAATTCACTAGCAGTTTTAACTAGTGCACCTTAATTTTTTTTCATTTTATATTTACACCAGTGTCCTTGTAAAAAAGTTTTTTTTACTATAATTGTAATTTTTTTTTAATTTGACTTTTGAGTTCAGGGGTACATGTGTAGATTTGTTACATAGGTAAAGTGTGTCATGGGGACCCTAGAACCCATTACTATTTTTCCTGATCCTCCCCCTCCTGCTAGCCTCCACCCTCTGATTGGCCCCAGTGTGTGTTGTTGCCCTCTATGTATCCATGTGTTCTCATCATTTAGCTCCCACTTATAAGTGACAACATGCAGTATTTGGTTTTCTCTTTCTGTGTTAGTTTGCTAAGAATAATGGTCTCCTGCTCCATCCATGTTCCTGCAAAAGACATGATCTTGTTCTTTTTTATGGCTGCATTGTATTCCATGGTGTATATGTACCACATTTTCTTTATCCAGTTTACCACTGATGGACATTTATGTTGATTCTATGTCTTTGCTATTATGAATAGTGTAGCGTAACTTATTCATCAAATTGCCAAATAGTACAGATTAAAATAGAAAACCCAAAGAGGCAATAGAGGATAAAAGTATAAATAGGTTGATGAAGGGCTCAATAAATAATAAACTCATCATGGCTAACAGAAGGAGCTGGGATGTTTGCAGCATAGTCTTTGCCTGCTGGGAGCTGCTGTCGTGGAAAGTAGACATGCCATTCCAGTCTGACTCTGGTACACTATATGGAGGAATCCAAAATCATTTGCTTTTGCTCATGTAGCATGACCATTCCTGGTTAGAGCTGGGATAGATCACCTTAGGCCATTGTTCCCAAAGAATGGAAGATTAAAATTTCCAGGATAGGTTACACAAAACTCCCTGCAGATTGACTATTTAGCAGTTGCTTTTCAAATACAAAAGGGCAACTAACATTCAGGTACCCTGCACTCTGCACAGCTTGATATAAGTTGACCTTCTGAATCTAAATGTATTAAGTTGACAGGGATAGGAATAATAGCAATATAAAAAGCCTTCCTCAAAAAGAGGAATTTGAGCTGAAAGACACTGAAATGTGACAACCAGCAAACATAAGAGATGACTCCAACAATCTCCCAGGTCCTGGTTCATAATTTGAGTGGATATTTTAATCATAGATTCACATAATGCATCAGACCAAACATTTGTCTTATTTTGGAATATAAATACACTAAAAGAAGAAGGGAGAGGATGTTGAATTCACGATCTTTCTGCAGAAATGCTAATCACTTTGATAACAACATTTGAGGGAGGGCAAGCAGAGATCAAAGCAGTCAGCAATGCAAATCAGAGAATTTGCTCCTCTAACCCCATGCCTAGAATTAGAGACAATTTACATTTAAGAATTGTTTCCAAAGTGCTATTGTCATCCTTCCAGCAAGCCAGGAAGAGGAAGAGCAAAAACTAGCTGGTGCCCATGAGGTTCCAGTCTATAAAATATAGTTTCTTTGCCACACCTTAGGATTAACCTTCAACAATGTGGAAAGCAATGCCTGTATGTATTTTTAAGCCTACTGCCCACACAATCATAATACAAAGAACCACGCCAAGCGTCAGGACAAACAGTAGATAACCAAAAGCACTCCCATCAATCATTTGCATTCTGATTGGCTCCTAGGTCTTGTCTAGGTCATATTATGACTCCTTTATTAGTGTTTAAGGTCACTAGGAGACACGCAAGTGCATCCTATCAGGAAGTGTAGTGAGTCTCAGGAGTGAGATATTTGGCTTTAGCAGGCACCATGGCTGTGACTCGGAAATCCAGGGAAATGAGTTAAGCTCAGTCAGACTCCAGGCGCCGCACTGCCTCATAGCAGATAGAATGAAGTAGAATAATAGAAGCTTTCCTGCTATTCTCAACATTAGGTTGAATTCCGGTCAGCCCTTCCAGTTGAATTTCTGGAGGGTTTTTTTTTTTTTTTTTTTTCTATTCAGCCCCCATGCTGTAGGCCATAATTCACGGGAAGGGGCTCCAGTGAAAGGCTGGCCCCAAGTTCAGGCAGGATGGTGCCAAGGGAGCCCTCCTGCAGGAAGACAGATTAAGGGGCATGTGGACCATTCGGTGGTTGAGTGCAAAATTTAGTGCCTACATTGGGCTCCCAGAGAAATTACTGCCTGGCTGATTTAGACCTGACAACCACACATAAACATGAATACTTAGATTTGCACATACTCCTTTGCACAGTGACTAACTGCATCTGCTTAAATTCAGTGGGGAAGGAAAGAAAGGCAGCAATGGCCATCTCCCCCACCCACCGGGGAGCCTATGTCCTGGCAAGATAAGCTCTCAGCCTGTCTGGTTTGAGCTAGGCTCATTCTTTCCCCCATATGATTTCTATTTGAGGTCCCCCAAAATTCAGATGACCTCACTGGGATATGAATCAGCAGCCTGAAAACTTTCCCTTTTTGGTATAATGATAAAATGCAGTTGTTAAGCGAGATGGAATATCTAGCATAAGTCACTTCAAAAAAGAAAACTCTATATTTCTTTGAACTGATAAAAGTACCACTAGTTATCACAAAGGCAGAATTGTAAGTAATGAATTACTACCTTCTTTTTTTTTTTCTTTTTTTGAGATAGAGTCTTGCTCTGTCACCCAGGCTGGAGCATGGTGGTGCAATCTCGGCTCACTGCAACCTCCGCCTCCCTGGTTCAAACGAGTCTCCTGCCTCAGCCTCCCGAGTAGCTGGGATTACAGGCATGAGCCACTGCACCCAGCATGAATTACTACCTTCTTACTTCTATGAGCTCCTTCCATCTTCCCTTTAAGACAGAAAAGCACCAGTATGTGCTGAGGGTTGAGATGAAACTGAGCACCTCAATGTGCTGAGGGTTGAGATGAAATGTTGCGCTGTCATATGTGGAGTACTGGAGTTTATATAAATGTTCATACATTTGGTCTTTGATATTGGAAACTGTTGGAGCTCAGAACACAATATTACAAAGTATGACGCCTTGATATGGCGAATATTTTGAACTGAAGGAAATTGGAGGGGTTTCAGAAGGAAGTTCTCTGTGATCTCCTGCCCTTCTGTCTCTCACCCCTTTTTCTCCCCCAAAGTGAGTAGTAGAAACCAGATTTTTTTTTCCTCCAAGGTGGGTCACAGAAACTATAACCCCTCTCCCCAAAACCAGCCATAAAACCTAGACATATTACCCTAACTTCTCCCCACCTTTCTGTGTTAGAGCTGGCCATAAAGAAACTCTCTGACCTATCAGGTCATTAAGAGCCTGGTTCCAGCAGGGTCCTGCTCCATACCCAGGAGGAAGGAATGCTGCACAGAGAGGCCAGGAATTACCTGAAGAGACAGGCCTTGTTGGTTTCCTCCCTTCATTCTATTATCCTTAGATCATACCTTTTTGGTCCAATCACATTTCTACAAGACTGTCCCTTCTTTATTGAACTGAAGCATAAAAACAATTTCCTCTAGGTCTTCGCATCTTCTCTTCTGAAGGCTCTCATGTCATGTAAAACTTTTATTAAATAAATGCATTATGCTTTTTTCTTGTTTACCTGTCTTTTGTTATAGGAGTGTTGGTCGTGATCCTGTGATGGATGAGAAAATATATTCCACCTTTCTGTTCTGCCAAAACAAAGAATAATTTGAAGCTCAGGAGACTGTTTTTCTTGTGACTGGTGAGCAGGCAGCCCTTTAGCTCTATCTGCTCAGGACCCACGTGTGTATACCTGAGACTGGTTCAGAAGGGCACAGCATCATCAGGACAGGGGTCTCTGGGCTGCCAGCTTTCAATGGGCAGGCGATCCATGAGTGGCTCTTATCAGGACAGGATTGCGTTCTGAAAACCTCAGGGCCTAGCAGTGTCTGACTCAATGTAGGTGCTCACTAAATGTTTATTGAGTGACTAATGAGTGGAGAAGCTGGCTAAGGTCATGACTACACATCACTAAACATTTAAAAGAAAGAACAAAATACAGAAATGTGATGAACAATTTCCTATTCAGATACCTGGAGAGTTAACATTTTAAAGACTACATGATCTGAAAGACTACTTCTGGTGCCCAAATCCTGCAACTGTTTTTGAAATGGTAGACTGCGTTTTCTTCTTCTGAGAGATATTTAAGCATTTTGTGGTCATTCTTCGAGAGACCTGGGGAAGTACCAAGGCCTGAGAAGACGGCAGAAAGTTTCTTATTGGTAGAATTTGAACAGCAGGAGCAGCTGAATGTGTTTTTCTCCTGATACAACAGGGCTTTCTTGAGTTAAAAACTTGTTTTGAAGTGATCATAGACAACACATGTGATGAGAATGCTTTGTGTGTGTGTGTGCTACAGGGGTGGAAGAGGTTGTGGCATCATATGTGTGGAGTGCTACATGAAAGAAGTTTCAGATCACAGGTCCCGGTGCCTAGGGACATCCATTGTGGGCATGGACCTCAAGCCAAGGTACAGCACAGAGTACATGGCCTCTGCCCATGAGCAACATGTGCAGCCTCCAGCAACGTGCCACCCAGGTCATTGCACTTTATCACACTCCAAAATCGTGACCTCATAGGGCTGAGAGCTTTGACATTTGGTCAAGCGTACCTTTCTGGTCATTTGAAACTATGTCAGGTAAACAAAATATAACTTCTTCATTATCACTGGTGTTGTGGAGAGGACAAATGGGCAGGCAGGGAAGATCTCTATAAAGACTTAAAAACCCATAAGCCATTTTGGACATCAAACATCAGTTGCAAAGTACCACTTTGATGAGTTAAGAGTAAGTGAATGAGAACCAGATGGATTAAATTCCCCTTGAAATACACATTGGATTAAAAATTAAGAGAAGTCGTGCTAGATATATCGCATTGTTTCAACCACTAGCCAAAGTATTTAAAACAAAAGAGATATTTGACAATTTAGTGACAGTTCGCCCATCTCTAGATTCTGAATTTGAATTTGGCTGCATGAGTAGTTGGAGAGAAAGTTTTATGTACATGAAATAGAAAAATATTTCTTGGAATACCTACAGTAGACCAGAGGAAAAAAATACCTTCAATATGTATTTTATTTACTTGCTTAGGTAAATAAGTGAACATAAAATTCCACAGAAAATGTTTATCAAGTTACAAGTGGGTAGAAACGAACAGTTGCATGTGTGTACATATGAACTGGCCCAGGCACTTAATTAAAGATGCTTGATCATGTTTGACAGATCTTAATAGGTACTTAAAATGCGAACACACACACAAAGACATTTACACATCTGTGTGGCGCGTCCTGACCCTGACATGTTGATCAGCCCTTCAGAGAGTTGCTTTTCTTAGTGATTACTCACTGACATGTGACCCTCCACACAGGCTGCCTGTCCCGCTGTGACAGCAGGCAGGCCTGAGCTGCAGGCACTTGGAGAACAAGATCCCGGCATCTCAGTGCCCTCTGGCTTCCATGCATAAGCTGCTGAGTAAACAAAGGGACACGAATTTTATGCCGAATAGCTCAGTGGTGTTCCTGCAACAGGGTTTGCTCTGTTTATTTACTCGCAGTTCTGCAGAACTCCCTTGGGCATGTTTGAGGCGGAGGCTCTGGATGCCCAGACAGTCTGTCTAGAGGTAGGAATGGCTTCATGAAACACTATCACCCTCACTTGGGTCTTCTCTATGTCCTTGAAAGTGCTGTTCAGTCCTTTTCCTCAGAGGGTGTGTGCCAAGACAAATGTTCTAAGTGCAAGTTGTGAACCATCCAGATTTGTATTGAATTCACAGCTCACCATTTGCTATCTGAACTAGAAAAAGTGACTCATTTTTTGAACCTCAGTTTCCTCATCTAGGAAATGAGCTTAGCAATATGTCCTCACAGGTTAGTGGTGAGAGAACATGTGAAAAGTGCCTGGGATGTGGTCCTGCTCCAGACATGGATGCCATCCATTTTATTAAGTGGAATAATCTTTTTTTCCTTTGGTCAACAAACATGGTTGGCCAAAGTGAGTGAAGCAACCTCACTGTCATATCCTCTCTTTGGTCACTGAGACCAACATGGTAAATCCTAAAGTTATACTGAGCACAGCCCCTAGAGTCACATAGTTTTGACATCCCATCAACATTTCACTGGTTGCATGAGAACGTTTGCAGTCTCCCAGCACTCTTGAGGTTCACAGTCCAGGTCAGATGAAATTCACTGAGTCATTAAAAGGGGAAGTAAGAATAGGTTACCAATTTTTAGATTTAATTTTTTGATGATTCTTGTTTTATTAGCCCCATATATAAAATATAAATTTTTACATGGATATGACACTAAAAGCACACTGAAGGAAAAAAATAAATTGAACTACCTCAAAATTTAAAACTTCTGTGCATCAAAAGACACAAATCACATAAATGTGTATAAACACTATCCGTCAACTAAAAATAAAAAAAGGAGCTGGGCGCAGTGGCTCACGCCTATAATCCCAACACTTTGGGAGGCCAAGGTGGGCAGATCACCTGAGGTCAAGGAGTTCGAAACCAGCGTGGCCAACATGGCGAAACCCTGTCTCTACTAAAAATACAAAAATTATCTGGGCGCAGTTGTGGGCACCTGTAATTCCAGCTACTCGGAAGGCTGAGGCAGGAGAATGGCTTGAACATGGGAGGCGGAGGTTGCAGTAAGCAGAGATTGCACCATTGCACTCCAGCCTGGGCGACAGAGCGAGACTCCGTCTCAAAAAAAAAAAAAAAAGGAAAAAAAAAAGACACAATCAACTGTGTGAAAAGGCAACCCACAGAATGGGAGAAAATTTGCAAATCATATATATATCTCTGATAAGGAGTTAATATCCAAAATATATAAAGAATTCCTACAACTCAGCAACAAAGCTAGCAACTGAATTAAAAAGTGGTAAATGACTTGAAAAGACATGTTCCCAGAGAAGATATACAAATAAACATATAAAAATATGCTTAACATCATTAATCATTAGAGAAATGCAAATCAGAACACAATGAGATATCACTTCACACCCATTAGGATGGTTATCAAAAAACAGAAAATAACAAGTGTTAGGATGTGGAGAAACTGCAACCCTTGTACACTGTTGATGGGCATGTAAAAACGTGTAATGGCTATGGAAAACAGTATGGTAGTTTCTCAAAAAATTAAAAAGGGAATTACCAGTAATTCCACTTCTGGGTAGGTACCAAAAATAATTAAAAGTGGGGTCTGGAAGCTATTTTTACAACCATGTTCATAACAGCATTATTCATAATAGCTAACAAGTATCCATGGACAGATGAATGGATAAACAAAATATGGTATATGCATACAATGGAATATTATCCAGCTTTGAAAAGGAAGGAAATTCCTACACATGCTACAACACGGATGAACTTTGAGGACATTATGATAAATGCAATCAGCTAGTCACAAAAGGACAAATACTGTATGATTCCACCAATATGAGGCCCCTAGAGTGGTCAAATTCGCAGAGACAGAAAGGAGAATGGTAGTTGCCAGGAACTGGGGGAGAAGGGGGAATAGGAAGTCATTGTTTAATGGGTATACAGTTTTAGTTTTGCAAGATAAAAGAGTCCTGGAGATTGGGTGCAAAATAATGTAAATGTATTTAACACTACTGAACTGTACACTTAAAAAGATCAAGATGGTAAATTTCATGTTATATGTATTTTACCCAATTTAAAAAATCAGTTTATACAAGAGAGATTCTAGTGCCCTCATGGAAGTGTCTTTGCTAAAAAGCGATGAACCTCAAAAAATATGAATACTCAGAAAAAAATATGAATACTCAACCTTAAGAAAAAGCATTGAAAGTAATGTTAAATACCTGTTTTCAATGTGTTTCCAACATGTTGATATGGCAAGAAGTGAATCCAGTTCAGAAATAGAAATTAATAGAGTTGAAATGTTGCACATTAGAGGGAAAGGGAACCGGCGGTATGGTTTACATTTGTTACCTTAAACCATCATATTTCCATCAGTAAGCATTACTTTTAGGCTATAGATGTGACTACTAAGCCTCTAGGAGGTAAGAGCACTTGTTCAAAGTCATACAGGTGATAAGTTGTGGAAACAGGATTTGGACCCATTGCTGGAATGCATTGTTAGTAAGGAGAGAAGTGAGCCTGGTTAGAGCGCAGTACAGTCATGGATAACAAAGGCTGGAATTTATGAACATATTAGGAATGTAACTGAAAGATAAGCAACTGTGACTTGCTGTTAGGGAGACCAAATATATAAACCCTAGTGCCAGTTTATCAGGAGTCATCCATGAGGTGCTCTGAGACATGATCAGTGTGTACCATAAGTCACCTACTGCAAACCTACTGCAAATATCAACCAGCTGGAGCTGGTTGGATGAGAAGCCAGTGTTTCTGGATAAAAAATTAGGCTTCATGTTTTCCATTTAAGTCTCCACACCTGTCCTCAAAATCACATTAATCCAGGTGTAATTGAATATGAATTTATAAAAGTACATGGGAAATGAGATTTTATGTCTAATTAGATATTTTTCACAGTTTGGAATGGTTAGTGAAGTTGAATGAGAAGCCAGTGTTTCAGTGTTTCCTGCCAGGAACCTCAATTTTCTAAGCCAAAATATGTTTGGCATTTTAACCCACGTTGATATTACCTGGAGCTCTGGTCTTCCAGCATCTCGGTCCAGCTGAGCCTCTCAAGCTGGGTCCACCAATTCTCCTGGGACTTGGTCAAACTCAGATAACTAGGGATAATGGTCAAGATGTAGGCTGTGGAGCCAGATTGTCTGGGTTCTGATTCTGTGTCTGACACTAGCTGTGTGACTCAGGGCAAGTTTCTTAACCTCCCCATGTATACTTCTTCATCTATAAAACGGTGATAATAAGAGCATCTTTCTCACAAATGATTTGAGGATTAAATAAATCATGGTATATAGAGTGCTAAAACAGCTTCTACCTAGCACATAACAAACCCTGGATGAGTGCAAAATATTATTTTATACCAATTGTTAGAGATATATCACATGTCAGGCATGCCTCCTAGGAAAAGCATTGTTCTTTGATATTGCCAAAGAACAAATGCATGTATATCACCAGAACAAATACATTTAACATGTAACATATAAATTATGCAACTTGTAACACATATCAAATTCTATACCTTAAGCAAACAAAGCAAAGCGAAAACCATAGTATATGGAAAATTTTTAAACATGCTTACACACAAAAGCATATACTTAAATCTTCAATGAAACTGCAATGTTCCATTAGTTTTCTTCAGCATTTCTGAATCTGTGCTTGACTTATAGATCAACTTCTCTCTCAAAAGCTAGAGCAGGTTGTGGATTGCTCCAAAAGTTGTAGTTTATTCCCAGTATACCTTCGGAGTTAGCTCTAGTTTCTATTCACTCTAGGCAAGGTGATTTAGCACATCTTTTCCTGTGAGAAACCATTACTGAGAAGGATTTTCTTACATGGGGGCAATGCTCCTTCCCCTCCATCCTCACTGCCCACTCCAGTTCTCCTAAGAGAAAAGGGCAATGAAATCACCCAAGTGAACTTTTGGTTCTACCAACCAACTAATCAAGCCCCTTTGGTGGTGGTGGTGATAAATGGTGTGTGTGTAGTTGGTTTATATTTACAGATAATTGTCTACCAAGAGAAGAGCAAGAATCCTCGGACTAGTGGTGTTTTAAGATTTTTCTATGTTGCTCATTTGCTCTCTCAATTCTATATTATTTATGAAAATAACCATTATTCACTGGACCCTTGCTATGTTCCATGTGCTATGCTAGGGAATTTATAAATACTATGTTATGTAATACATTAACACTATAAAATAGACTTAACTACTCCCATTTGCAGTTCAGGACTGAAGCCTGCAGAGTTTATATGACACAGCTTGTGAGTTCTGGAGTCATCGAGTCATGGGGCCAGTTATCTGATTCTGAAAATGAACTCTTAACCTATATGCTCTACTGCTTCCTAGTATATTCTACAATCATTGACAGGATTTAAAATGAGTTCCGAAAGTAGATCAACAGAACAAAAAATGTATCGAAATCTCCAAAACAAAAAAAAATTTGATTATCCTAAATAAAAAGTTTTCAAAGAAAGTAAAATGACATCTTATATGAGTTAGGGCAGAGGAACCACAAAATTGGAAGGAAGCTTAGACGTCATTGGATTTATTCTCCATTGCAGGAAACTCATATGAATGCTTGCCAAGCCTCTGCATGAATACCCTCAGCACTGGGGAACTCACTACCATGTGTAGAGCTGATCTATTACACAGCTAGGGCTGCTGGAAAGCTCTTACTCCTTTTCAACATAAATCTATTTTCCCAGGCTTTCCTTCCACTTTTTCTGGCTCTTCTAGGACAACACAGAGTAATTTAATCTGTCTTCCACAAGATAATCCCAATTTATCATTTACAGTTTGGTCTTCTTACATGACTGAAACATGAATTACTCCTGGCATAATTGGAGTTGGTGTAGCATAGAGGAAAGCACATAGGTTTTGCAGTCAGGAAGTGTGTTCCAATTCTGGCTCAATCACTTATTATTTATAAAATCCTAGGGAAGTTACTTAACTTACCTAGGCTTCAGTTTCCACATCTTCCTAAAGATTTTACAGGACAGTTCTGAAGGTTAGGATGTAATGATAGATATCTAGCATGTAGTAGACACTCAAATATTAGCTATTATTATAAGCTAACATTTTCTCTGGTAAAGGAGCCAAGTTTTTTACTAACGTAGGTTATTCTCAGACTGTTGGTCAAAGTAGAGGTTCTCTAGTTCGGAATACATGGTCAAGTGTCCTGTGGTGTGTTTAATATAAATAAAGCAGGTTTTTCAGAAAGATGTTAGTAGTTATATTTGTTATTGTTAGTATGATGTGTGTGTGTTTGTGTGTGTGTATGTGTGCGTTTTAGTTTCTTCAGATATATTTAACTAACTTATTTTAGTTAAACAAGTGTCCAAACAAAATTGTGATCCTATGTGGAGAATTTCAGCTAAGGTCAAGTTCCTAAACTCCCTGATAATCTGAAATCTCTCCTTAGAGAATTTCAGATAATGGTTGCCTTTTGTATTACTCTGCCTAGGTTAGTGTTGGGTTGGTAGTGGTGTCCCCAGGCCAATTTTATAGAACGGAAGTTTCTTCAGTTAAATGTTTTTCCTTCCTTGGAGCGCCATGCTTATTTCTTTAGCACAGTAAAGAATGCTATTGGGATAGAAACAGATCATTTTCCTTCTGAAATATGTTCTCATCTTCTTGCATAGTAATAGACCTACAATGGACATGGGACTATCCAGTGAGGACTGCACACACAGATCTTCTTCAACAAGGGGGTGTCATGTGACTTGGCTCTTGCCATTGGAATTTGAGCAGAAGTGAAGTGTACCACTGCTGCCTCCCTTGCTTAAGAGCAATGCCTTGGCCTTGAACTCCTACTTTTTCCCTCTTTCTCCAGGAACTGTGAAGACTAGAGTGACCTTGGAGATCTCATCTGGAAGATGGTAGAACTGCTATCAGCCTGGCTTCCCAAATGACCTCCTGGATCACAGCTACCCATGGCCTGAAATGTTGACCTTGGAGTTGTTGCATAGGAAAGAAATAAACTTCTTTGTTCTTTGAGCCACATAGTTATCACATATCTTCTTAAAGCCACTTACCCACTTGTTCTATCTCATTCAGCTCTGAAATTCTGTTTAATTTCTAGAGTCAAAACATTCATTTGTTTCTTCTTTATTTAACAAGAATCAATTACTTATTTTATGGAAGCCACTATTCCAAAGAGAAGAATCATAAAAACATTAGCCTTATGGATCTTTTGTCCTGGGAACAACACAGAGTGGAGACTACTGGAATTTTTAATAAAGTTCCTTTCCTGGGCAGTGCCAGTCCAGACCTAATTTCCAGACTTAGTTAAGATTAGACCAGTGTGCTGAAGAATCAAAACATCTAGATATTTTCCTTGCTCCATTCTGCTTACAGCCCCACAAAAACTACTCACCCCACAGGGTTTCTTGCTTGAGATTCCAGACAATTCCTGTATGTTTTATTAGAATACACTCTGTGTTTCATCCAACTAGGAAGCCTTTGGCTCCGACTTAAAGCATTAAGAACGGACCACTTTGGTATGGAAAATTATCAGTTTTGGGGGAAAAGCCCCTGTTTCTCTGATCTGTGCTCTGAATTTGGCAGCTTTGTAGGCTTTCTCAAAGAGCCGCAACTGTGAACCATGTCATGTTGTCATTATCTCTGATATGCTCTGTGCATTGGAAATCCTGTGTGAGACTGGCAGGGGACAGAGGGAATGAAGAAATCACATTCATCAGAACAAGCTGCTCAACTTCCTTAAGTAAGGAGTTTGTCTAACATCCAGTGGTTTCCTCTGACAGAGTGTGTACTTTCTTAACATACGGACAAGATTAGTACATAGCCAGAATGACTGTCTGCAGGTCCTAGGCTGCTTTTCAGAGGCAGCTTTAATCTTCCTAATTGAATATTTAGCTTTTCTAGGCCTGCACAAAATGTAAATCACAATGTTTACAATCTGTGAAATAATAGGAGAGTACATAATGTCATTGCAATATTTTGTAATCACTGTTAAATGACTAAAATCTATTAAACTCAATCATTTTAAATTAAACTTCTAAACTTCCCCATTGCAGGTGATGGCAACTCCATTTTTACAATCGCTTAGGCCAAAAAAACTTGACGTCATCCTTGACTCTTCTTTCTCTCTCATCTCACAAGCAATTCATCAGAAAATCCTGTCAGCTCTGCTTTCAAAATTTAACCAGAATCTGATTCCTTTGCATCACCTCCACTGCTACCACTCTGGTGGAGCTGCCAACATCTGTCACATAGATTAAGTCACACACACACACATGCACACACACACAGAGTGTATTCTCAGTCAAAGTGATCTTTTTAAAAGGGAAATAAGGCCATTCTACTCCTCTGTTCAAAACTTTCAAATGGCTCTCCACTTTTCTCTGAATATAAGCTCAAATCCATACAAGGACTTGTAGAGCCCCCGTTACCTTCTGACCTCATTGCCTCCTACTCTGATCTCTTATGCAGATCCTGCCCCAGTGGCTTCCTTGTTGCTCCTGGGTCACATAAGGAATGCTCTTGTTATTTGTTCCAACTCTTTCTCAGTGCCCTCTCCTTGATGTCTGCTTGGATATCTCCCTCACCTTCTTTAATTGGACCTCTACCTTTCACCATATACAAAAATTAACTCGAGATGAATTAAAGATTTAAATGTAAGACCTCAAACTCTATAAATTACAGAAGAAAATCTGGGAAATTCCCTTCTCAATGTCAGCCTTGGCAAAGAATTGATGGGTAAGTCCTCAAAAGCAATTGCAACAAAAAAATTGACATGTGGGACCTAATTAAACTAAAGAGGTTTTGCGCAGCAAAAGAAACTAGCAACAAGTAAACAACCTATAGAATGGGAGAAAATATTTGCAAGCTATGCATCCAACAAAGGTCTAATATCCAGAATCTATAAGGAACTTAAATCAACAAGCAAAAAACAACCCCATTAAAAAGTGGACAAAGGACATGAACAGACAGTTCTCAAAAGAAGACATATAAGCAGCCAACAAACATGAAAAAATGCTCACCATTGCTAATCATCAGAGAAAAGCAAATTAAAACCATAATGAGATATCATCTCACATCAGCCAGAATGGCTATTATTAAAAAGCCAAAAAATAACAGATGCTGTCAAGACTACAGAAAACAGGGGACACTTACACACTTTGGGTGGGAATGTAAATTAGTTCAGCCACGGTGGAAAGCAGTTTGGAGATTTCTCAAATAACTTAGAACTACCATTTGACCCAGCAATCCCATTACTAGGTATGTACCCAAAGGAACATATATCATTCTACAAAAAAGACACATGCACTTGCATGTTTTTTGCAGCACTATTCACAAAAGGAAAGACATGGAATCAACCTAGATGTGTATCAGTGGTGGACTGGATAAAGAAAATGTGGTACATATATACTATGGAATACTATGCAGGCATACAAAATGAAATCATGTCTTTTGCAGCAACATGGATGCAGCCGGAGGCCATTATCCTAAGGAATAGAAAACCAGGGCCGGATGTGGTGGCTCACACCTGTAATCCCAGCACTTTGGGAGGCTGAGGCAGGCAGATCACAAGGTCAGGAATTTGAGACCAGCCTGGCCAACATAGTGAAACCTCATCTCTACTAAATACAAAAAAATTAGCCGGGCGTGGTGGTGTGTGGTGGTAATCCCACCTACTTGTGAGGTTGAAGTGGGAGAATCGCTTGAACCTGGGAGGTGGAGGTTGCGGTGAGCCGAGATCGCGCCACTGCACCCAGCCAGGGCGACAGTGCAAGAGTCCGACTCAAAAAAAAAAAAAAAAGAAAAGAAAATGAAACCAAATACCACATGTTCTCACTTATAAACGTGAACTAAACATCAAGTACATGTGGAGATAAAGATGGGAGCAACGGACACTGGGGACTGCTGGGGTCGGGGAGTGTTAGAGGGGGTGCTGAGGAACTGCCTATGGGTGCTGTGCTCACTGCCTGGGTGACCAGATCATTCATACTTCAAACCTCAGCATCCCACAGTGTTCCCATGTGACAGACCTGCACACGTATCTCCTGAATCTAAAATAAAAGTTGAAATTGCTTTTAAAAAAAGACTTGGCTGAAATATCTCCTCTTTAATAAGGTCCACTGGGACTACCCTATTCCTACTGTCCCTTGCTGTCCCACTCACTTACCCTATTCAATTTTTAAATTCTTATTGCCTTCTAATTTACAAGGTAATTTACTTAATGTGTTTATTGACTCTCCCACCTACTTCTACAATACAATGAGGGCAGAGATCATTGAGCACTAGATCAATGTGTAGCACATAGTAGGCAGCTTATATAAATTTTCTGGAAGAATGAATGAATGAAACCTACACATTATGAGGTTGATTCTTTTGTGAGTGTGACATGAACTGTGACAGTACACTCCTCCAAGGTCTGAATCTGTGAAGTCACCTTCTTTCTTTGCAGAGGAAAACATTGGGGGGCCCTGAGGAGAAGCCTTTGCTGCAAGTGGACCACAAATTATGCAAGGAGTCTTGGGACAACATCCCTGGTAAACTCTTTCTGTGTTACATTTCGGGATGATGGACGTGGGTGTTGAGAACACTCTGTTTTTGGAGTTAGGACTTGTCCTTGTTTTCAATTGGAATTTGAATGACTGAGAAAAGCTGTGCAGATCGAGTTCCCTGCCTCCTGCACAAATATTTCCTGGTCCGGTTTCAGGTATCCCTTTCCTTAGGTGGGTTTGTCACTGAGGGATTAAAGCGCCTTGTGATTCAGAGCCTGGGCTGTCATGGTGGTGCTGACGCACGTGCAGTATCTTGGATCTCTATTCAGTTCCTCATTCATGCTCACCTTCAGGCTGAAATGAGGAATTTGGGCAGTGAAATCAAATGCCTGAACCTGAGGAGCACCCGCTGTTTGCCGTCTGTCCACCTCTCTGATCCCAGGACTGCCCTGCCTCTGGTGGAATGAAAGTGAGGTGAGAAGGGCAGATATCACAAATAAGAATAGGAGAGAACACTGTATACATATTAGGGAAATCTAAAGAAAAAAGATGGATGGCAAGGGCTGGAAGAAGGTGAATATATGGCAAGAAGAGATAGGTTGAAACTAGAAGGGGAGAAGTCAGGCTGAGACGCGGAGCTGACCCACAGGACTGTTCATTTGCTGTAATGCGCCCTTACTCCCTGGCATTTCCAAGCATTATGTTTCCTGGTTGCATGAGGAACATACTATTTATTTTTTTTCTTCATAAAATCTGGGAAAAGCTACTTCATCATTCAAAGTTGGAATCATTGCCAATAGGGGAAGAAAATATTTTTCCAAAATCTGCAAGCATGAGTTGCTTTAAAAATGTAGAGATTAAGAGGCTCTCAAATGACCCTCAGACCGCTAACTCACTTTCCAAGATATTCCACATTGGACTTCTAGCCATAACGAGATATATTCTTTTATACATCCAAATTGATGCTCTCCACACCACCTTTTGCAGGCTGGTTTCAGTCACTGGGAAATTTATGAACAGCAAATTACCTTTGTTCAATTGCTTCCTGAATATATGCACTGCAAGAGTAGCAGTGATTGTGAAACAGCAATGTATTGACAGAAGTCAAAAAAAAAAAAAAACTTAAAAAAAAAAAATGGAACCTATACGAAAGAGACTTTTCAGGTCTTGGGAGTGTCCAGTACAGGTCTTAGCAGCCTATGGAAAGGCCCTGTGTTGTCCAAACAGCCTCCTGTAAGGTAATGGCCATAGCAGCACATATAAAAGGAATGGTGGAAAGGTGCAAAAGTCATTAACGGGGAGAAATAGGAAGCAATCAGCAACACTTTAAGCAAATTATTACCATGAAATTACACTCCCAGCTTGAGATAAGTGTCCTGGATCTGTTAAAGCTATATACACCTCGCTGGCTTAAATGCGACTGAGGAAAGTTTTCCTCTTTGGGTTATTTATGAAGTGTTAGGTCATGATTGACGGTGGTGCTTGAGGAAAGGGGGGGCTGCCCAATTCTTCCCAGGCTTTCTGCAATGGCTAATTCCCTGTATTGAAGATTTGAGGAGAGAGGCTTTGCAAATACTTACTTGGACAAGAGGCTATCTTTCTGAAGGAAACTTATTGGACTGACTGCATTTTATTGAGGAGTTATTTTGAGTTGAAAAGTCCAGTGCTCTTTCCTGTATTACCATGGGAATAAGAATGTGGGTGTTTGCTGCTGGAGCTAACTTGGCATCCTAGTGGCTCCCACCCATGGCCCACTCTACTGTAAAGGGCTGTTTTCCTTTCTCCAAGAGTCTTGTACCTCCCCATATCCACTCCTCTGTGTTGAATATTCCTGTGACCAGGCCTTATGTTAGGTCCTATCATCATCTCTTGCTCCATCTTTTGGAATTGACTTTCAAAATGTTCTCAATTCATAATGACTCAGAAGCCAATGGATGTTTGCTTTTCTACCCACAACCCCACAAGTCTGCACATCTTGAGCTGCAGGATGATCCGGAACCAATCTCTTGCCCCCTTGATGCCCCATCAACAGCAGCTCAGACCATTGCACTTGGCGTGCAATGAGAGCACCTCTCTGCTTCAAGAAGCGTCATTCTCTGCAGCACACTTGTCTGTTTTTGAGTCTCTTGTCCGGCTGGCTGTGCTTTAACCTATTTGGGCTACACTGGTGTGTTGCTCCTCAAGGAACCAAGCTGGTACCCCGTGGCCCTAGGTGCTTTGATGGGCAGTGAGTTTTTCTGGTGCCTAACACTCTTCTATTGTATTTGTTTCCTGGATACACTATTCCAGCTCTCAACAGCCATCCTAGAGGTAGTGATAATTCTCTTTTACAGTTTCCCTTTGTTTCTTCTTGTATTAATCACAAGGAAATCTGTGAAAACATAAGGCTTTGATTTTTTTTAAGACTTTGAGTTGGATCTTGGATGTTCATTTTTGCAGAGAGGCAGAGGAGTTGGGGTACATACAGGGCATAATAAATTCAGACATATGGGGAATATAGAAGACTTGATATAAGTAAGGAATAAAGTTAATGAATTTTGATGTCATTGTAATACAGATTAGAACTGTACTCTCAAAATCTGTACAGTACTCTCTCAAAAATCTGTACTCCCAAAAATCTTAGAATTGTAAAATATTAGAATTGAGAGAGGATGTAGAAAAGATTGTGTTTAATCTCAAAATGAAAACAATAGTACCATCAACACATATGGTAAATATTGACATCCAGTCTCTCAAACCTTCTAGAAATAAGGAACTTGCAACCATACAGAGAAACCCATTTCAGTTAAAACAGCCAACATTGTTAGATATTTTGTTCTCTTATTTAAGTGCCTCCAAGTACTATCATTCTACTGCCATGTTTTGTCTTCTGGTGATATGTGAAAAATTAATAATGCAATCTTTGAATTGAAAGAGACGTGGAAAAAACACTATTACATATTACAGTTCTTTAGATCTTTTCCCCAAATGAAGCCTCTCTACTTCTTTCATTTCTTCATTATGTGACATGGTTTCAGATTAGTCTTCAGTTTGGTCTCCATCTTTGTACATAATTCCTATGAAAATTTGGTTTCCAGGTGTGATAATGGTGACAGCCACAGAGTTCAGTTGCTAAGGGAGATTCAGGGAACCTAAAAAGACAATGCTTATGGATTTATGATTTATTGTAAGCAAAAAGGTACAATATAGCAACAACATTAAAATAAAGATGTACATCACAGCCAAAGGTTGGCTCACAGCAAGAGATGAAAGTCTGGACCAAGCTCTAATTATGATCCCTTCATGTCTAGCATATCCTGGACATGCTTTCCTCTTGGATAAGAAAATACCAAAGTGTACAAAGAACATCTTGGAACAGGGATCCCAAAATGGATTCTTGGCTCAGGCTCCTTATAACTTCCTGTTCAGGTAGCCATGTTTCTTGCCTTGTAACCAGATCCAGTGGCAGAGTCCTGTAGGAATCTCACCAAGACTGGGTGCGAATCATCAATCTTACTCTTGTCAAGAAACAATGCTGACAAGCTGTTAAAACCACCCTGAAACTTGCCTTGAATTCATGGTTACAAAGCAACACTTTGTACATAAAATGTGCTTCAGCACATTTGGTGCCTGGACCGTGAGTCAGTGCTGTGTAGATACATCTCTTACTTCAGCAAAACAGCTCAGGCCAATTCCAGGTTTTTTGAATTAATACTTAGATGTGGTCTGACTAGTTCAGAATATGATGAGATAATGTCTCTCATGTTCTGGACACTATTGTCCAGCACTCATTTTAAAATATTCTCTGTGATCTCCTCTCTCAGCAAAAATCTCTGACACCTCTTCCTATTGGTTCACACTAAGGATGAACCAATCTTATTGAAGAAGGAAGTTCAACCAAAGTATTATTTTGCTAGCTAGTGGGATCTGAAAATGGTCTTGTCCAGCAATCTGGAGAGATTGGGTGATTTCCAGGGAGCCTCGTGTCTACTTGCCTTTGCCTTGGTTCTGGCCCCATCTGGACTTCGTCATGTATTCTTCTTCTGGTTCTTGGTCCTTTGCTTATACTGGAGTCCTTTCTTAGGCCCCTAGTTGACATGGATAAGTCTGAGCGCCTCACAACATTTTTGATAGCCTCAGATCTTAGCTCCATCCATACTGTGAGATCTTGCTGAGGATAAACTTTTTATCCCAAATTGAGACTCTATTACCTAGTGAGGGGGAACCACCCTCTTCCCAGTCCCCACGGGCAGAGCTCCTTGTATGGCCACGCTGGTCTCAATCAGTCCCCCAGGGTCCTGGGCCATAGAATATCCAGCTGCCTGCATGGGGCTGCTCCTAACTGGCCAAATTCCAGGACTCTCCCTCTTTCTTACCACTCACTCTACAAGATAAGACCCTGGCATGACTCCTGTATGAGCAATCCTGGATTAAAATAATAATTCAAGCAGAAATAATCTTTCAGAAGAAAAGCTAAAATAAACCTGCAAACTAGATGCAAAACAATCTTAAGAGACTTAGAACTGGAAGGAAACTCAGAGAGATCAGCTAGCCCCATGGTTTCTAAAGGTTTTTTTTTACTTTTTAGGAACTGAAATGTAGTATTGTGTGGATGTATATGTGAAATTAATCAAAATGGATCTGCTCAGAGGAGGGGATAGGTATAGGAATTAGATTCACAACATGTAGACCATTCGGGCCCCCATCAGGCTTTCTCCTTTGAGGAACCACTAGGTAACCCCTGTAGCACAGTTTGAGAATTACTAATCTATTCCAATGGCTTTATTTTAAAGAGAAGTATTTGAAGACCACAGATATTCGAGATTTTCATAACATCAGTCTGAATGCTGAAATCATTTTATGGTGTTTGTTCTTCTTAGGGTTCAGGAAAGCAGAAGTACCAGGCTGTGACCAAACCTGTGACTTACTTCTTTCCGTCTATCAAATTTATATTAATTTGCATTTTTGAGTACATATTGCATGCAAGATGATATCCTAGTGCTGCAGGACAGGCAAAGAAGACTAAGACATAGGTGCTGCCTTTTGTGAGCTCAAGCATCAGTGGGCACATACATAACTATAAAGCCAGACATTAAGACTCGTGTAATAACAATTTTCAAAATGTAAATAGGATTTTTAAGGCAGATGGATTAGTCAGGTTCTCCAGAGAAACAGAATAGAGAGAGAAAGAGAGAGAGTGTGTGTGTGTAGAGAAAGAGAAAGAAAGAGAAAGAGTGAGATTTCCCTCTTCCTCAGGGGAGGTCAGTCTTGCCTCTTAGGACCTTTAACTGATTGACTGATTGAATGAATTGCCCACCTACATTGTGGAGAGCTGTCTGCATTCTTAAAAGTCTACTGATTTAAATATTAATCTCATCTAAAAATTACCTTCACAGAGATATCTAGACTGGTGTTTGACCAAATATCTGGGTACTGTGGCCTCGCCAAATTGGTACATAAAATTAACTATTCCAGTAGAGAAAATTTTGTCTTGAGGAAATAAGGACATCCTCAGGCATGATAAGTTATGTGAGGGTTAGGAGAGTTAGGAATGAAAAACATTCTAGTGTGGGGTAGTGTGAGCTCAGACAAACATCTGAGAAAACAAGAGGCCTGCACAGCTAACACTAAGTGGTTCACTTTCAAAAATCAATTTAGGAAGCAAATGGACATGATTCCTAATGCATGGACTAAGGCTCATTCTAAACAAACAAGTTTTAAACGCCATTACATTCAGGCATTAACTAGAAATGAATTAATTTTACTGAATTCTAGCATCCTTCCCCTCATGCCTCTAACTGGTTAATGTGTAAATATTGCCTCCTAGTCTTATCCCTAGAAATTAGACTGTTCAGTCACAAGTTGTTCCTTTGTGTGGGCACTAATTGAAAAATCTCTTTGTGAAAAAGAGGGATCAAACAATCTTTGATTAGGTGAAAGCTCACGTTTCCTTCCCAGTTTGCTATATAGCTAAGCCGTACACACACACAAACACACACACACACACACATACATATATGTATTAGTCCATTTTTGCACTGCTGATAAAGACATACCCAGGACTGGGCGACTTACAAAAGAAAGAGGTTTAATGGACTTACAGTTCCACATGCCTGGGGAGACCTCATAATCATGGCAGAAGGCAAGGAGGAACAAGTCATATCTTACTTGGATGGCAGCAGGCAAAAAGAGAGCTTGTGCAGGGAAACTCCCATTTTTAAAGCCATCAGATCTCATGAGACTCATTTACTATCACAAGAACAATGTAGGAAAGACCCGCCCCCATAATTCAATCACCTCCCATGACACATGGGAATTGTGAGAGTTACAATTCAAGATGAGATTTGCGTGGCGACACAGCCAAGCAATATCAATCTGTCTCTCTATAGATCCATCTATCTTCTATTCATATTTATATATGTATATATAAAAATGTAAGTATTCTTACCAATTTTCTTGATGTTCCGTAACAATTTGCTTCCAAATGCAGGCAACTCCTAATTTTATCATATGCAAATTTAGAGGATGAAAATATTACTCCTTACAGGCCAGGTTATCTACTCATTTCTGTTACAATTTTTTTGTGTGTACAATTGTGCTTGTTTTATGTTTTCACTTTCAGTGTTATCAGATCGTTGTTTTGACTACTTTTGAGTATACATTGATAGTATTTCTAATGATTAAAGAGTGGTAAAATTTAGTAACAGCAATAAGACTTTGATACATATGACAACAATGTGCTGCAATACTTTTCTGGATAGTGACTGAAGAAGGTAAGTGTTATGAGCTGAATACTGTGTCTCCCCAGAATTTATATATTGAAGTCCTAACCCAAAAAGTGATGGTATTAGGAGGTGAAGCCTTTGTGGGGAAAATTAGATTAAGATGTATTCATGAGTGTGGAGCCCCCATGATGGGATTAGTGCCTTTATATGAAGAGGAAGGGACACTAGAACTTCTTTCTCCACCATGTCAGGATATAGCAAGAAGGAAGCTGTCTGCAAGCCAGGAAGAGAGCCCTCACTAAAACCCAAATCTGCCAGCATCTTGATCTTGAACTTTCCAGTCTCCAGAAATAAATATCTATAATTTAAGACGTTTAACTAGGTCTGTGGTGTTTTGTTATAAGAACCTGAGCTGATTATGACAGTAAGATAGATGCATTTTTAAATTATTTCTTACACATATTTTTGAGATCTCTCATCTTCTAGCCTCTGGAGTAGGTCCTGGGAAACAGAATAGCAACGAGAAATTGACTTAATTTTAAGGAGTCTGACATGAGAAAATTATTATTGGAAAAATAGAATTCCAGAACCGGGGGACACAGGACTGGGGTGACATACTCTACTGGCCTCAGGTTGGCTAGCCACAATAGTCAAGGACTGCTATCCAGAGGAGGTGAGGCTACACTGGGTCTTGGAGGAGGAGTGTGCTTTCATCAGAAGGAGGAAGGGCTGGCCTTCTAGGCAAAGGAGCTAGCATGAGCAGTATTAGGCAGGTGTGAAGCACATGGTGTGATCAGGGAAAGCCAGCCAGTCCAGGGGGCCTGGAGGGTATGTGGAGGTGAAAGGGAAGGAAATGAGACTAAGAGGCAGAAGAGCCAGGAGAGTCTGATTGCTGATCATTTTAATACTATTCTATTTTTTCCACATTTGGGTCTTTATCTTTTGATTTTTACAAAAGTAATGCATGTTAATGGTAAAAATTGGTATCTCTCTTAAATTTAATTCTTTCGTAAGGTAAAAGGGGCTGAAACCTAACCCATCTTTTTGGGTTGAAATTCAGTAACCCATCTTTTTGGGTTAGTGCAGTGGCTGATTTTAGCTGGTTTGACCCAGAAATATGCACATCTTGTACTTTCCATAGAAATCCCTACAATGCCTTCTCTAACGGAAAATAGTAAAGACAACAGAATACTGAGTAGCATTTGGTGGAGCAAACAGATTGCCATATGTTTGGATGTTCAGAGCTAAGTATGTACAAATAAACTCTTATCAGACAGCCATATTGTACCACCTTAAGTAACTCCTACAAACAATTAAATAGCAGTTTATAATGGATTAAGCGCAAAATAAATGTTCTCTAGTACTGCAGTAACAATTCCAATGCAATTGGAAATAGCCATGTTTGTTTGAAATTATTTAAATATAAATTCACTATTGAACTATTTGTAACATTTTAAACCATCCTGTGAAATGAAATAATTGTGTTGAAAGTATCCCTAAGAATTCATTCTGTTATTTGGACATATCCACATAAACGGAATAATTCATTCAACAATAGAGAGAAATAGATTCTACAATTTTCATAAATACCTTAAATAATCTCCATAGAAATACAGGCTTTTCTTTCATTTCACTCACCTATGCTATGCCATAGCTTAAATCTCTTTGCTCTTTTTTAACAGATCTTAATAGAGATGGAGTATATTTATTCGCATCCTCTAACAAGGAGGTTGTATCTGCTTATCTGTCTCCACCTACCTGTCTTCACTCTGTGCCAGTGGGCACAAATTCATATTGACCAATTGCTTGATTACAAATTCCCTCTTCGAATTCTCTCCCTTTGGGAGTGACACATAACTACTATCCTTTCTATGAGTAAAGAAATTGAACCACAGAAACAAGTCAACCTACAAGAGACAATCTGCAAATCTCTTTGAAGAACAAAAGTTTATGTCGTTAGTCTCATTAAACATATTGCCCCACACATTAGTTGCTCCTGAGAATCACAGGCTGTGGAATAATGAACAAGTGTAACCACTGATTGCTTTCTCTGGAAAGTAAGTTATAGAAGTGATTTGAAGAAGTTTTGGAAGGAGGAGACTACACAGTTCTCAGTGAGGCTGTGTTCTAAAAATATTGCAGAATAAGATTGCTATAGAATTTGTTGTTTGTCGGAAAGCTTCTAATTGTGGGTTGATGTTTCAGTGTTATCAGGGGATACTCTTGAATCATTATGCACAGTGTATTCATTTATTCCTTTTTTTTAATGTGGAAGAAGTTTAAGTGTGAAGATTTTAATATCAGTTTAAGTCCCATTACGTTAGATATTTTCTTAGACCCTAGCCAACAGAAACAGAAAACATATTGAACTAAACAAGTTAGCATTCAGATGGATACCCCATATCCTGTACCATATTTAAATAATTTAAGAAAAAGTCTTGATGCTTGCTTTCTCCTCTCCTATACCTTTTCCCATGGCATTGACTACCATTAGATATTCAGTATTATGATATATTGCTACTTTTTGAAAAGGATAAATATCCAAAATTTGTACACAGAAGCTTCTAATAGAGAATCTGAATGTACCAACTGAGTAACTGAGGGAAAGGGGATGATTCCTTACAAGGTCCTGAGTACTGTTTTTACCCTCAAGCATAATGTGTTTCTCAAGTGTGCTGTGACCTTGGTACCTGTCACATGCAGTGTGGTTTGCACAGGAAAAGCCAACAAAGACATATTAGGGAATCCTTCCTGTTCATTAAAGCCCTTCTATTTTGTAGAAGGTATTTCTCTTTAGTTAGGTAGGATCTGAATCAAAAGAGTGGATTTGAATGCTCCCTGGTCTAATTCCAGTTCTTTCAATAGGCCATGTGGTTGCTCAGTCCATTCTATCAGGTAGTGTTTCTGATTCCTCCTCTTACCTATGACTCCAAAACATTATCATGAGATCTTCTCCTGAAGCAGTTTCACAGTTGGTTGTAATAACCAAGGTCCGAGCTGTTAGAGACAGGAA
Source organism: Homo sapiens (assembly GCF_000001405.40). Classification (NCBI taxonomy): domain Eukaryota; kingdom Metazoa; phylum Chordata; class Mammalia; order Primates; family Hominidae; genus Homo; species Homo sapiens. The sequence continues at coordinate 125,565,371 of NC_000006.12, read as the reverse complement.
TTTTATGCGCCTGGAAATAAAAGACAACCCCCACGCTCTTCTCTGTGATAACTGAGAGAAACAAGATGGCAGATTCCGCATTCTTTTCCATTGTGTGTGGGGAGTGGGGAGTGAGTGGAGGGTGGAGTGAAGGCAAAGACAGGATAGAGGAAGGAGACTTAGGGAGGAGGAGAGAGACTGGAAAATCAGCCCAGGGCTGGTATCTGGGGAAGGAGAACCAATACCTCTTTTGTTGTCAGGAAAACCCTGGGCACAAAGGGTGAGTTTGAGTTTCACTTCAGGTCAGTTGAGGGCATTGTGAAAAGGCAGTTTTCAGACGGCCAGCTTGACTGACTTACTCTGAGGTAATTAAATCACTACGTTAGGCGGCTGACCATGAAAGCAGAAAATACAAGCTCACAAAAAGAAGAAAACAAAAACTTTACATTTGTATTTAATTATATTATTAAAATGTTTACCGTTCCATATAATCATTACGTGGGTCATATTTGATCACGATGGAGTTTCTCTAATTGGTTAAAAGTTTTCTCCATTCTTCTTGTGGGACAAAATTTGGTTTTATTTAGTCGTGTTTTATTCAGGCATGCAAGGCTTCCATGCCATCTGACTTTGTTTTATTCGGGCTGGGGTTTTGGCAACTTCTATGGTAATTTTCTATTTTATTTCCTCTCCTCAGTGATGTCTGTAGTGATGGGCAGCCAGTTACCTGAGAAGGAATTATTTCTCAGTCCTTCATTTGCTTTCCTAACAAACATTTTGTTTCTCAGACTCTGAAATGCACAGCAGGCATCATACCGGAACAGTCATCTGCTGTGCTCCCGAGAGGTCCTACAGAGGACCTGTTGGCCTCAGCACTTCCATTGTGACTGCCTCATTTTTTCCTCCTCTATCATTATTACTTGTGTTTCCTGCACATTTAGATCTTGATTATTCAAGGACTGATTAATTATGTTGCAAATCATCCAGGCACTCTATTTCTTTTCCTTCCCACTTCCTATCTCTTTTTGATTTTTTAATTTATCTATTCATGTTTTGCCATTTTACAGATTAACTCCAACAGTCATCAGAATAAGGCTTGTGGGAAGAGAAATCATAAAGGAAAAAGCAGTCACATGTTCCGTCATTTGTTCATTGCTCTGATTCATGGTTGTAGAAGAGAGTATGCCAACATTTAGGACTAAAGTTAGATTTTACTTGTAGCTGTGGAATTCAGTGATCTATTATCTGTTACTCTAAATAAACAGTTTGGTGGGGAAAGTGGCTTTCCCAATGGTGTGTTGAGAATGTCTAATAATCTAAGTTGGGACAAAAATGGCTTCCCTCATATAAGATAGTTACCACTCCTGATTATTTGTAGTGGAGCATCCAGAAAGGAAAATTCCCAGTTCTCTCTGGGAATATAATTTGCCAATCATATAACATGCTCTTTTTATTGGGGGGAAGCACTATATCACTTCTTGGATGCAGAAACCTTTCTCCAATCAGAGAATGCTTAGACAATAAAGGTGGGTGACTTGGCTACTCCACTGAATTCTGAGAATGAGGTGGGGTGACATAGAGGGGAGGGCAGTTAGGAGACAGATTCATGATGGAGCTATCAGAATGAAGAAACAGTTGGAGTTTTTGTCCTAACATACACCTTTCACTCTGGTGCTTCATTCTACAGAGAAGATTCTTGGTATTTTTCAAGTGACAATAAGATGAAAAACTATTTTTTTCCTCCTCCAATGTGCTTATGAGAAAATATTACAGCAGTGGTTCTCAACCAGGGGCAATTTTTCCTCCCAGGGGACATTTGGCAATATCTGGTTAATATAATTGAAATCATTAATGACATCAAGTAGAGACCAGAGGTGCTGCTAAACATGCTATAAAACAGAGGACAGAACAACACAACAAAAAATTATCCAGCCCCAAATATTAGTAGTTTCAGTATCAAGGTTAGAACTCCTGAGCAGAAGCATCCATTTAGAGTTCTTAACTCCCTGCCCAGGTAATAGATACACTTTAAAAAGCCAGCTTTTCTGGAGGCATTTCTCTATCCATCTCTCAGCGTGGGTAAGAGAAAAAAAAAAAAAAAAAAAAAAAAAAATATATATATATATATATATATATATATATATATATATACACACACACACACACACATCTACTCCCTTGAGGAACCTCATGGGTGACACAGTGACAATGTCTTCATATGAAACCAACTTCAGTAGTGATTATGATCACCAATATTTCCTGGAGAGCCTAACAGAGAAAATAAAGCATTTGGTGTGGTTTGTTTTAACTTGGTTGGCATATCACAGGCAAAGCAGTGTGATAGGTACAGCAAGGTAACAAAATGTTGGGCATACAATGGCTAAAAAGACAGACATTGCCACTGACACCAACTTCTATGGGAGAAAAAAAGCTACTTCAGAAATGATCATGGGGGAGGTGAGAGTGCATGGGCACATAAAGAAGGACGTATGTTCTACAGTTTAGGGGCTAGAAAGGACATCAGGAAGAAAAACAAAAAAGTGGACAAATGGATAAATTGTATTTAGTTGCTCTTGGTGGGCTGCAGTAGATAGTCACTGACATCAGTAATAGACCCCATCTGGCCTGGTATACATCATACTACAGAGAGTTAGAAAACACAAAATATATTGTTTACCCCTTTTTTTCCTGTGAAAAAAGTCTACTGATATCTCTGGGGATATGGGTAGACTTTGGGGATATTGGTAGACTTTTTCCCTACTTGTTGCATCATTTGAAGTGTGCCCTGTAATGATTTTAATGTGTTTTTTATGGGCTAAGATGCTAATTGTAGTATCTCTTTTATTGTAGCTTTCAAAGTTATTTCACGCATTTGCTTTCCACCTTCTCATTTTTAGCCTCCAAGAATTTCAATAATAATAAACTGTAATGTCTTCAGTATAATGCTTTGCTGAGTAAGATGTTCTGGCCCTCAGTCTGTTAGAAAAATATCTAATTGCTGGTGAGGCTGTGCACTGTTGGTGGGAATGTAAATCAGCATAGCCATTATGGTAAACACTGTGAAGGTTTCTCAAAAAACAAAAAATAGAACTACAATATGAGTCAGCAGTCTTACTACTGGATATTTATTCAAAGGAAAGGAAATCAGCTTATAAAAGGGATATCTGTACTCCCATGTTTATTGCAGCACTGTTCACAATAACCAAGCTATGGAATCAACCTAAGTGTACATTAACAGGTGAATAAATAAAGAAAATGTGATATATATATATATAAAACATTATATATATAAAATGTATCACATATATATCACATTATATATATATCACACACATATATATCACATTGTATATATCATATATACACACACAATAGAGTATTATTCAGCCATTAAAAAGTATAAATGCCAGCTGGGGGCGGTGGCTCATGCCTGTAGTCCCAGCACTTTGGGAGACCGAGGTGGGTGGACCACAAGGTCAGGAGATCGAGACCATCCTGGCTAACATGGTGAAACCCCGTCTCTACTAAAAATACAAAAATTAGCTGGGCATGGTGGTGGGCGCCTGTAGTCCCAGCTACTCGGGAGGCTGAGGCAGGAGAATGGCGTGAACCCGGGAGGCGGAGCTTGCAGTGAGCCAAAATCGTGCCACTGCACTCCAGCCTGGGCGACAGAGCGAGACTCCATCTCAAAAAAAAAAAAAAAAGTATAAATGCCCTGTGATTTGCAGCAACATGAATGGAACTGGAGGTCATTATGGTAAGTGAAATAAGCCAGGCACTGAAAGACCAGTATTACATGTTCTCACTCAGATGTGGAGCCAAAAATATGGGTGTCATGGAGGTAGAGAATAGAGTGATAGTTATTAGAAGCTGGAAAGAATAGAGGTAGGAGGGAAATGAAGAGAAGTTCATTGGTTGGTTAATTCATACCAACATACAGTTAGATAAAAGGATGTCCTAGTATTTGAATGGCACAGTAGGGTGACTATAATTCACAGCAATGTACTGTATATTTTAAAATAGCTAGAAGACTTGAAATGTTCACATCACAAAAAATGGCAAATGTTTGGGGTGATGGATATCCTAAATACCCTGATTTGATCATTACACATTGTATGCATGTATTAAAATATCACATGTACCTCATACATATGTATAATTATGTACTAATAAAAACATTTAAAAAGGAAAATATATAAAGAAATTTATTTGTCTACAAATGGGAGTAAAACTAGGTGATTCCTTCATCTTGAAAAAAATGTAAGTTCACCCAGGGAAGTTTCATATGTGGATATATTATTCTATGGGAGCATAGATATATCTGAGGGAGGTCAGTAAGATCAGGCCATCAGTCAACAAATGTTATTGGTAATTCCTTTTTATGAAAATGAAAAGTATATATATATATATATACACACATATATAAAAATTATCTTAATATATATTTCACATATTACACATATATATGACAATATTTTACTTATTGTCAAACATCCTATGGGGGGCAAAAAAATATTATATACATATTTTCCCCCTCAGGCCAATTTGTATATAAGCAGTGTTTATGAAAAAAGTCAATTCGCTAAACTCATTGATGACTCCTGATATGGTTTGGCTGTGTCCCCCCGCAAATCTCATCTTGAATGGTAGCTCTCATAATGCCCACATGTTGTGGGAGGGAACTGTTGGGGGGTAATTGAATCATGGGGGTGGGCTTTTCCTGTGCTGTTCTTGTGATAGTAAGTCTCACGAGATCTGTCCCTTGCACACTCTTGCCTGCCACCAGGTAAGACATGCCTTTGCTCTTCATTTGCCTTCCTCCATGAGTGTGAGGCCTCCCCAGCAGCCATGTGGAACTGTGAGTCCATTAAACCTCCTTTTCTTTATACATTATCCAGTCTCAGGCATTTCTTCATAGCAGTATGAAAATGGACTAATACAACTCTAAGTTTCATCTTAAAGCTCTTTCTTGGCCTAAATGACTTCATACTTTATCTGTTTCACCTGCTAGCCATCCAGTGTCTTCACCCAAAATTTTTAACTTGTAGCCTCAGGGGAGAAACCCAGATGCCAAGCTCTAGTTTTCCTTGTTTGTCATAACAAATTACTACAAACTGGGTGTCTTAAAATGAGAACAATTTATTGTCTCACAGTTCTGAAGACCAGAAGGCCGAAAATTCAGGGTCAGCAGGGCCACACTCCCTCCAAAGGCTCTAAGAGGATTCATTCTTGTTCCTTTCTTTTTGCTGCTTCACGTGAGCGTTGGCATTTCTGACTCTGGCTTTACATTGCCTTCCCCTCTGAGTCTCTTTGTCGTCTCATCCCCTGTTTCTTATAGGAGTGAACCCTAAATCCAGGATGAGCTCATCTGGAGTTTTTTTTTTTTTTTTTTTTGAGATGGAGTTTCTCTCTTATTGCCCAGGCTGGAGTGCCGTGGTGTGATCTTGGCTCACTGCAACCTCCACCTCCCTGGTTCAAGCAATTCTCTTGCCTCAGCCTCCCAAGTAGCTGGGATTACAAGCATGTACCACCACGCCCAGCTAATTTTTTTTTTTTTTTTGAGATGGAGTTTCGCTTTCGTTGCCCAAGCTGGAGTGCAGTGATGCAATCTTGGCTCACTGCAACCTCCGCCTCCCGGGTTCAAGTGATTCTCTTGCCTCAGCCTCCCGAGTAGCTGGGACTACAGGTGTGTGCCACCACGCCCAGCTAATTTTTGTATTTTTAGCAGAGATGAGGTTTCACCATGTTGGCCAGGCTGGTCTTGATCTCCTGACCTCGTGATCAGCCCGCCTCAGCCTCCCCAAGTGCTGGGATTACAGGTGTGAGGCACTGCAGCTGGCCTCATCTTGAGATTTTTAATTACACCTATATAGACCACTTTTCCAAATAAGGTCACATTCACAGGTTCCAAGGATTAGGGTATGGACATTTATTCTGGGGGGTCACCAGGCAACCTACTATAGTTACCTTTCCCCAAACCACACAGTCATCTATGCAATCTTGCTAACTCACAACTAGGATGACCATGAGAGGTTTTCTGGGATGTGGGAGTTTTAGGTATGAGGTATTTCCTGGGACATAGGACAGTAGAAGGAAAGTTCCAGGCAAACCAGAATGGTTGATCACCAAATAGCAGAACAGAGCCTGAGTGACCAACGTGTCCATCCTGGAGGCTCAGAAGTCACTGTAGTACAGGTTGTGGGGACAATGTCAAAACAAGAGGAAGCAAATACCTTTGAGAAAAAGCAGCCCCAAGCTGCTCCTTCTCCTCCTTCTGACCTTTCTTTGACAGCTGTGATGAGTCAGAACTTCTGCTGGAAGGTGAGCCGGTGAGAGAGAGCATCTGTCTGTGAGAGCCACTCTCCCGACATAATTTCTGCTCACCTCATTACCTGTTGTCAACCCTGCATTTTCCTCAGTTGTTTGTGTTTCTCAATGCTGCATGGCAGGGGCAGCTGGCTAGTTACATTTTAGCCACTATGGCCAGTGATACTTCAGCATAGTGTTTCTTGGGGAGCTAGCAATGCTCTACATTGTGCTAAAATGCCTTTCCTTTTTTCTGCCTCCACCCCTCCCTCATTAACCAGCTCAGCCTCCTGAGCAGGAGAGTTGAGAGAAACAGTGAGTTAAGCTGGGCTTTGATCTTCCAGAGAGGCAGTGTCCCTTTCTCTGTCTGCTTGGACCAGGGGTCACTGGGTGAGCAGCAGCAGAGCTGACCTCAGCCAGGACCTGCATGCTTCAAGTGGCCAGCTTTGAAGAGTTCATCCCAGCCAGGGACAATGGAAGGGGTCTGGCGTTCGTGCGCCGTGGAGACGCCTGTGCACAGCAGCCCTCTACCTTGTCCTAATGACTCTGTCTTGAGAACAAGATAATCCTGCCTTCAAACCAACTGTTTGAGCTTCTGGCACTGCATATATCCTCTTCTGAACTGAAATTTCCCGGCGATGGGCTGGATCTGGTTGCATTTTTAACCCCATTTTATTTTCCATGCTGAAAAAGATAAGCCTCCTTGTGGGAAAGCAGCTGCTTTGGATCAGGTTAGAGGCAGTAAATTTAAAAACAAATGTTAACATGAGTGAAATTATGAGTTCAGGACATGATTGTGATTATGAAATGCCCAGGCTTTCTGCTTTTGACACAGTCAGGCTGATTTTACCTTTCATTTACAATGATTTTGTATTTTTTCATGATTAAAAATTTTCATCATCTTATCCAGTGATTTACAAAAGATCCTTTGATCAGCATCACGTATCATGACGATGTTAAAAATTTATATGCAATGATTTTTTTGTTGTTGAAAACAAGCCTCTTAAATTAGATATTTCTGAGAATGAATTTCTATTCATTCATTCCGTCTTGATTTATTCATAGTGTTATTGAGTACATAGCTTTGTATACTTTTGAGTGGTTGCTGTCCATATTACAATATGCACGTATAACATACTACAGTCTACTGTTATCAGTTTTACTACCTCAGGTGAAGTGTAGAAAGCTTACTTACATTTAGGTCCTTACTTCCTTACTTTTTTTTTTTTTTTGAGACAGAGTCTCACTTTCTTGCCCAGGCTAGACTGAGTTGTATGATCATAGCTCACCACATCCTTGACCTCCCAGGTTCAAGTGATCCTCACCCCTCAGCCTCCCTAAGAGCTGGCGCTATAGATGTCCACCGTGCCCAGATAATTTTTAATTTTTTTTTTAAAGAAACGAGGTGTCACTATGTTGCCAGGGCTGGTCTGAAACTCCTGATCTCAAAAGATCCTTCTGCCTTTGCCTCCTAAAGTGCTGAGATTATAGGCATGAGCCACCTTTCTCAGCCCTTAGTTTTAATATATAATTCTCTTTATTTCGTTTAAGTATATTGATGACCACATCAGGTGGTCTTATAATTTTTGCCTCAAACATCTATTATAAGAAAGTCATGAGGATAGTCTATAATATTTACCCTTTTTACCTTTTATCTATTTTTGGCTGAAGGATGGTTTTGGGAACAATACTATGTTGTATCAACTGAAATATTCTTCCACTGATCTGGAGAAAGAAAGAAAAAAAAATCTCAATGCCTCTAGGAGAATAAGGTGGGGCAGAGTTGGAAGCTCTTAACTGGTTAAAGAACTGCAACCAGTTCTAAGGGGAAAACTCCCACCTCTACGAGGGTGGCAATAGCCATGTGAGCTTGGCAAGTTACTTAACCAGCCTGAGGCCCAATCTCCTTACTTGTAAAACAGGGATAATAATACCAACACTGAATGGTGGTTGTTGGAATTCAATGATATTGTATGTGAACAACCTGGTAGAATAGTTAATCCCCTTTTATCTGGCCTTTCTTCCTCTTTCCCTTCCTTTGGTGAGCCAAAACTCTCATGGTCATTACTGTTTGAAATACTTAGTTTTAGATACACAACTCTAGACACAGTCAGAAACTTGCTGATTTAGCATGAGGAACCTTTGGTTTACAATCAGAATGACTGATGGTGACACCTTAGTTCTAGTCTTTCGGGCCCAAACCTTGGAGTCATCCATGACCCACCTCTGTCTCTCAAACCCGGCATCCAGCATAAACCAAGTTATGGGCTTTATCTTCAAAATCTGTTCAGAATCTGACCACTTCTCATCACTTTATTGCTAACACCTGGAGACAGCCATGTTGGTCTCTTACTTGAAATATTGCAATAGATTCCTAATTGGTCTCTACGTTTACCTTTGTTCTCTTCAGTCCACCCATTCTCAACACAGCAATTAGAGGTGCTTTTGTGCTTTTCAAATATGATTCATATTGTGTCTTCTCAAAGCCCTCTACGGCTCCCCATCTCACTCAGAGTGAAAGCTAAAGTCCTTACAATGGTCTTCAAGACCCTCTACAGTCTGGCTCCCTTGATTTCTCTGATTTCATCCTTTACTATTGCTGTTCTTACCTCATTCGCTTCCACCTACTCTGGTCTTATATTTCCCAGAGCATGGTCTGGTATCCTCCTGTCGCAGGGCGTTTGCATCTGCTGTTTCCACTGCTTGGGATGCCTTCCAGGGCTTGCTCCTTCATCTAGCAAGTCTGGGCTCAAATGACACCTCTCAGTGAGGCTAACCCTGACCATACTACTAAAAACTGCAAGATTCCACTTTCTATTCTTTATCTTTGAAAATACTTCCTAATATCCTACTGTATTTTGTTGAATCCTCAGTGTTATCAATGAAGGTTTATGTCATTATTTTATGGGCCACTGTAAAGAAAAATATCAACAAGTAACATATGACTCACCATAAATTTTAGAATGTACTAATTTACATGTTTTAAAGTGTGGGAAAAAAGTGTGTATTAAAAAAATCAATAAAACATGATACTCGATTTACTCATTTATTTTGTTCTGTGCCTGTTTTTGCTATGAAAATGTAAACTCCAGGAGAGTAAGGAATTTTGTCTATCTGTTTACTGTCTAGCACAGGGCCTGAAACCTACCAGGTACACAATGCATATTTATTGAATGAATGTGTACGACATGAATCCCACCAAAAGTAACTGTGGTGATAAGACATAGACTTTCTAAAATAGGCATTGTATAATGAGAGCCAGTTCAGTAGCAGTGCCCTAAGCCTGTGCTCTGCAAATCCTCAAAGGAAAGGAGCAGAATATTCTTGCTGAAGCTTTTAATTACAAACATATTGTGTAGCTAAACCTGATATGTGTCAATAAGTAGCAATAAGACCCACCTCCATTCTTCCCTTCACAGCACGAAAGGATATTTAGAAAGGAAAAGGAAAGAGGATTTAGGAGTAGGTTAAGGGTTCACTTTCCCTGCACTATATAGCATAAACATTTTTTGTACTCATGTGCCTACACTTGACCTCTTCTTTCCCTCTTTCACCCCAGACCTCTGTAACAGCTCCATGACAAGGGCATCTAATCATTTCTAGCATGCAACAACATTTGGTTCAGATTCTGTTATCAGTATTACCTTTTCTTCTCTCCTGCGTGCCCCACCTCTGCCTTAAAGGAGACCTGGAATGGACCTCAGAGATCAGTGACACGTCCACCACTTCTTCAAACACTTCATGTAGAAAATCTTTCAGAGATGTGATTGTGGGACCCTAGACTTGGAAAATAACTGTCATCAAGCCCTTTACGTCTGTGAAAGGAATTTATTCCAGTGACATTGCTTGGCCCCTGGGATATATTTTATTGTTGGAAAAAAATTTAAGTATACAATTATTATGGACTTTTTTATGCAGTTAAAATTAATTCAGCTAATCTCGATTTATTTCCATTTGGTAATTATAAATTCACTTATTTAAGTAATTTGAGAACTCTAATTTAGTCTCTCTTGATAGTACAATATGTATAAAAGGTTTTTGAAAAGTTGATTTTTGACTTTAAAAGATGTATGAATGGCATTATAGTAATTTGTTAACATGTTGCATAGAGTCAATGCATTTTCATTATGTAAAAGTTATATAAAATTAAATTGTTTCTAGTATATTATTTTATATTTCCCACCATCATCACCTTATTAGTGTTCAGGGTAACAGCTCCAATTAAAATGAAACATCAAACATGGCTTTTAATTGACACTTAGAAAATTGAAGCTGCTTAAAATGTTGCCTTTTAAAATCAGAATTACTTCCAGATTTCTATAAAAAAAAGTACAAATTATTGTGTAGGAGCGAAAACTGATGTTTTTTCTCTCTGTTGACCTTTGAAGACATTCTTCATGATTCATTTGAAAAAGTATCACTTCTCTGAAAGTTAAGCAATTAGCTAAAGCTCTATGTAAACCCATGCTAGCTGATTCACTGTGATCCATGTTCCTTAATTAAAAGCAAGTGTTAGGAAAATTCCTCAAATATAAATGTAAATTCTCCCTGCACCAACTCAGCCTTTCTAAATAAGGTAAGAAGATATAATTACTATTAATACAATTAGTACAAAACACAGGTAATGTGTGTTCAATTCACACAGTTCTCAGAAGTCTTTAAAATTTAATCTTTCAATTTTTTTATGAAATTATAAGATGAGACATACATATTTCTTAGTATTAATTGTGATTCTTTGTATAAGTGGTTTGTTTCCTCCAATTTGTTATACAAAATATAGCAAGGTGAACAGCAGACAGGTGGAGAAATCTGAAATATTGAAAGCACAAACAATTTTTGGTCATTTAAACATTTTGGAAAAATTTAAAAATTTGAATTTTAATTGTTGTAATGGTCTTTGTTTTAAAGATTGTTTTCATTTTAAATCTATCTCCAACTTTAAATGTTTTTAGAGGTAGTTGCAACTACCATTAAATATTTTCTAGCTGCATTTTTAAAGAACATTTTTATAAAGATAAAACTAGAACCAAATTCTAAAACTAAGAGGTGTGTCACAGTCTCTAAAATGATGCCAAATTTAAAAGAGAAAAAGTTAAACAAGGACACTAGGAATGAAATAAATGTGAATCTTAATGATATTTTAATCTCAATTAAAATATATATTTCTCTTGAGCAAAGACTTACACATACATTTGAAAAAAGATGGTGCCTATAGTCCCAGCTACTCGGGAGGCTGAGGCAGGAGAATGGCGTGAACCCGGGAGGCGGAGCTGGCACTGAGCCGAGATTGCGCCACTGCACTCCAGCCTGGGTGACAGAGGGAGACCCCGTCTCAAAAAAAAAAAAAAAGATTTAGTTACTGTAAGTTATCTTCTTTTGATATTAGAGTTAAGTAGCATTATTTATTACATTGCAACGTGTATTTCCTATTTTAAATGTTTTTTTATAAATTAGTGCTTTAGAAATCATAAGAAAATATTTTATTTACATATTAGACACATTTGCTGAACAAAGTTTTTTGAGCAATAATTATTTAATTGAAAAAAATGGGAATATAATGTCAGCTTAGGGAAGAAAACCATTTTAAAAATTAAATGTCAAATACTGATGCAGGAAAGCCTGAATATATTTACCAATACATAAATTAATGAAAGCAGGTATTAGAATCCCCTCCAAAAGAAAACTCTATAAAGTTACTATTATTTTCACCAAAAAGGTAAAAAGACACCCTCCCATCACTACATTACTGAATATCTGATTTCAATTCTCAAACTGTATCATGTGTATAATTGTAAAAATTATAATTGTTACACATGCTTTATCTTTTCAATTTCCTAGCTACCTATATTTGGTAGCTCTTTCCTCTCCATAATTTTTATAATGTTTCTATTGATTGAATAAAAAAATCTAAAAATTCTATAAAAACAAATATTTCAAGATTGTGATGACATAAACTCACAGTTGGAAACAAAATGCAATTACTTTTCTTTTAAAATGCCTTTATAGTCTTACAATCATAAATTTAATAGCTATGTAGCCTACTCAAACATGTAACTGATAAGGAGTCTTATGTTTCTATGATTGGTACACATGCTTTATCTTTTCAATCTCCTATCTACACATAGGAAATACATTTCCTAGAATTTGAAGCAATTTTTTGCCAGAGTATACATGCATTAAATTTGTTAATTCCTATGCTATCGATTCTAGTTAGTTCTCAGAGGGTAAAAAGATTGGCCTGGTGAAGTAGGAGATTGTCAGACCATGTTCTCATTTCTCTTCCCTTGTGGGCATGTTAATCTTTCTCTTATGATGGACTACTGAGTCCTAGAATAAAAATCATTGGATTTTTTTTTTTTTTTTTGAGACAGAGTCTCACTCTGTTGCCCAGGTTGGAGTGCAGTGGTACTATCTCAGCTCACTGCAACCTCTGCCTTCTGGGTTTAAGCAATCCTCTTGCCTCAGCCTCCTGAGTAGCGGGGATTATAGGGGTGCACCACCATGCCCAGCTAATTTTTGTATTTTTAGTAAAGATGGGGTTTTGCCACATTGGCCAGGCTTGTCTCGAACTCCTGACCTCAGGCCGCCCAAAGTGCTCAGATTACAGGTGTAAGCCATCTCGCCTGGCCTGGACTCTTAATAACAGGAGTAACTACTACTATTTGGCCCTATGCCATTTTGTCACTTTAATTCCTTTAATTCTTACCACAGTCCTGGAGCAGGTATTATCATTCTCCTGTTGGAGTTAACAGAGTGATATACTTTGGCCAAGGTCATACATCTAGTAAAAATTGGAGTAGACATCCAAAACAGGATCTGACTCCAAAAACTGTGTTCAACATCACTGCCCCCTCTTGAGTCTAAAATATTGTTCTCAATTAAGGATGTCATTTGACACAAAGCCTAGAGTATTCTTTTTAAGTCCTATGTGATTATTGTTCAAAAAGTCTTCAAACAATATCCCACAATGTGCATTTCCTACTAGAATTGGTTAATTGATAGCTTGCTGTCTATACTCTAGACTGAAATTCATGGTAGGTCATCTGAAAGAAAACAGTGACTATTATTTATTGAGCTTTACTATGTGCTAGATATGATACTAGGTCCTTGATATACATTATCTTATTTAATATACACAAGAAGCACATCAAATAGTCCTGAAGGGATTTATAGTCTAGTTGGAGAGATGAGATATATATTTGAATGCAAAAAAAACATTAAAAAGGAAAATAACAATGATTGACAGCATCAAGCTGCATGTGATTAATTTCCAAATGAATCGTATGAACAACATGTGATGTGTTTAGAGAAGGGTGTGATCACTGTGAGCCGGCCTAAGTTATTGTGGACTCATTGAAGACGACTGTCTTATTGTATTAAATAACAAAGTTTATTTCCATTTGCTAAACTGCAGAACATGAAATCTAGAAACACCCTTGAGAGATCATTGTCTAGTTTGATTATAGGCTGAACACCTTTATCACCTGAGTGAGGTGGGGTAATATCTTATTACTCGAATAGTCAGTGACCGTTTACACAGTACTTTCATTTACACTGATACTTACATGACTTTATTTGATTGTTGAACCAATCAGGTGGAAAAAGGCAGACCTAGGAGTGTTTGCTCTGTTTTCCGGATGAGAACCTGCAGTTCTGGAAGTTTACTGAGTTGCTTCTGGTCACATAGTAATGGAAAGACCTAGAGATTTCCAGGTTTCTTTCTGCTGAATGCTGTTCATCTCCAATGCGCCTCCTCTGTAGAAAGAACCCAAATCCCTGGCAGTTAACCATACTCTGTCCATTGCTGGAGTCATAATTTCCATATCAGCGCCAGAAAGCTTTATTTGGAAATAAATGTAGCATACAGAGTCTTTGTTTTGTAGATGTGGAAGTAGTCGTAAGAATGGAAACTCAAGAAAAGAAGTAAATAAGCTGGTCACTAATGGCAACCCTTGAGTCACCAGCTTTGTTGAGGATATAATCATCAGTGCCTTTCCGTCCACGGTGAGGTGAGCTGATGCTGGCCACTTTTCCAGACTACGCTCATTGGTTTAATTGAGTAGTGCAAAGCACTGATAAGTTATCAACCCGCAACCCCAGTTTCCAGCCAGATGTGATCTAAGCTTCCAAACATTTGCACAAGGGGCCATTTTGAAGTTATTCTACCTTTACCCCCAATTTCTGGGTTTGCCTTTATTGAAATCAGCAAGTAGAAGTTTAAAGATCTCACAATTCCTCTCTAAGCCTATACGTGGGCCAGGAAGCCTGGGGCTGATGGTGGGAGTCGAGGATGGGGCAGGGCAAAGAACAAAGGCTTTCACCGAAGAGGAAACAGAGGGCATGTGAAGGGCTCTGACCTTTCTGATAAGCAGTGTCTGAAGAGGGTGAGCTTCAGTTTGTACAACACTCCATCCTCACTATCATCTCAGCAGCAGCTGCTGGGATGGAAAATATCCGCATCTTAGGATGCCAGTGCTCAGGGAAAGATGCTACCCTGCATTAAGCTTTTTGCCAAATCTGATTTTCTTCATCCCTACTCAGACAGGCTTCAAACAAAAATTCAAATCACAAGAAAGATCTGGGACATAGCTAAAGTTCCATTAACTGCTCAAACTTGAGAATCAGTGGAAAATAATCTATTTCTCTTTTAAATTTTCTTTAAATAAGAATCAACATTATTTCTCAAAGAAGTGCTTCTCAAACCTGGCAAAGCCAGCAGATGCTTTTATTTACAGCCCACATCCAACCATGTTTTTCTTCTTTCGGTTTATTGCTAACTTTAGACACAGAGTAGAATTTTAGATACATTCTAGAAAAGCAATATGACATAGAGATTCAGAGCATTGAAGCTAATTGCTAACCTTGGGCAAGTTGCTAAACTCTCTGGCTTTCAGTTTCCTTATCTGTAAGATGGGGCAGCGGTAGTACCTTTCCTGGTAGGGATGTGTGGGGAATAAAGGGTTAATACAGGTAAGCACTTGGAATAGTGCCTGGTTCAGAGCATGTACTCAAAACATTTTAGCTGCTCTTAGATCTTAAAAGAAATTCTTTTGGTTTACTGCTTTTCTTTTTCATATATTTAAAATTGTTTCTCTAATTCTTTAACATATTCTTGTATTGATATAAGAATATTATAACATTTTATTTATACTTGGTTTTGTTCTCATTTAATTTCAGCCAAGAAGTAAGTTGAGTTTTGTGGGCTTCTTGCAGGTGGAAGAGAGGATGGGCACTAACTATTTAAATGAAAGCAGGGTTTTATGTTTAAAATATTTCTAAAAGGTTGAATTCTATAGTTTGGACTCTTTTCTATCATTTGCTTTATTTATGTAATTGAAATACAACTACTATTTTCATCTCTGCATAAATGAGTCATTTTATTGATTTCAATCTACACGTCACATTTCCGGAAATCTTCCCGTTGTGGAATGTGAGGTACATTTATAGAGTGACTTTGCCTGTAGTTAGGGCTCTAATGGCAATCCTAAGCCTTGTCTCCAAGTCACCAAGCAGCAGCAAAGCAGCAGCTGCTACTCTGTTGGTATTCTTTTTTTCAAATATATTCATGTTCATGGCTGTACTCATATTGCTGCTAATTTGGAAGAAGGGCTGGGAGGCAGTTTCTTAGTCAACTAGCTTTCCTGAGTTATTTGAATTCACCCCACCACTCCCAGCAGCTATCAAGCTGTGCAGAATTATAGGGGATGGTTAACAGACAGCGGGAGGCTCAGAGAGGCCAAGAAGATGAAAAGGAAGAGCCTTCATTGCTTTTTGGGGGAGACAGAGAGTCAAAAATACATAATGTAAAATTTGCCATTTTAAGCATTTTTAAGTGTACAGTTCTGTAGCATTAGGTACATTTATATTGTTGTGAGAACATCACCATCATCCATCTCCAGAACTTTTTCTCCATTGCTTTTTAAGCCAGCCCTGCCCATTTTGGGGAACGTGGAAATCAAGAAGAGAACAAAGCAGATACATGGCTATGTCCTCTTCAGATGGAGACAGTTTTCCTTCCTTGCGATACCTATTCAAAGAAAAAGAGAAAACATAAATACTTTAACTTTGTTTCTGGGATATTCATTTGTTTTTCAAAATCTTATGATATTTCTATATAATAATTTGAAAAGGAATGTGAATTTTCAGATAAATTTTCTGTCATATATATCCCTCCTGAAGAAAACACAGAAGCATACCAGCCTCTACTTGTCATGTTAAACTTATCAGAGAGTAGCTGAGTTTTTGTGTTCTAGCTATATGCAACCTCCTTTCTCAAATCATATAAAATTATGAGAACAATCTTGCTTTATTACAGAAAGAAACTGTAACCTCAGAGCAGGTTTAGATTTACAATATGATTTTTTTTAAAATGCATTCAGAAGAACTTGCCAGGTAACCAATAAATGGTTGGATAAGAAAGACAACCTACCAGGAGAGATGTGGGAAAGAAATAACTAGAAGTTAAAATAAAATAAAAAACAAAGTGTATTTTCAATGTGTTGATGGTGCTAAAATGAACACTTAAAAATACTGCTTATAGAGAATAAATTGGTAAACCTGTGAGGAAAAAATATATATATATATATACAGACATATACATAATATATGTATGTGTTTATATATAGTACGTGTATGCATATATATGTATATACATATACATATAACCTTAAAAATGATCAAACACTTTGATCATAATTTCATTTCTAGGGAGTTGTTTTAAGAAAATGATCAAAGGCTGAGCGCAGTGGCTCATGCCTATAATCCTAACACTTTGGGAAGCTGAGATAAGCAGATTGCTTTGACCTGAGGAGTTCAAGACCAGCCTGGGCAACATGGCGAAACCCTGTCTTTACCAAAATACAAAAATTAGTCCGGCATGGTGGCATGTGCCTGTGGTCCCAGCTATTCTGGAAGCTGAGGCTGGAGAATCACTTGACCAGAAGGCGGAGGTTGCAGTGAACCAAGATCGTGCCACTGCACTCCAGCTTGGACGACAGAGTGAGACCCTGTCTCAGAAAAAAAAAAAAAGAAGAAGAAGAAAGAAAAATAAAATGATCAAAGATTAGCACACTAAAACAATTATCACAACAATATTTATGATGCCTAAATGAAATAAACAATTTAAATAAATGTTTAAAAATGGGAAGTGGTAAAGCATATTATGACTGATTTATTTGAGGTAATATATAGCAATTATAATTTGCTAATAAAGAGCTTAATGACATGTAAAAATGCTCATGCTACATAGACGGTTAAGTGAAAAAATAATGTAATTTTTCTATGCAGTGTCGCCTCAATTATGTAAAAATATGTACAAATAAAAGGCTGGTTATATCTGGATGTGAGAATCTGAGTTCCCACATTCAAACCAATAGGATTTCTTTTTTCATGCACTGAGCTCTATTTTATGAGACAGAAATAAATCACAAGCAACTGAATTAATGTGAAGAATTTGTTTAAAAATGCACATCCCAGAGTAGGTCTGTGGGGAGGGAGTTTATTCTGCAGCTCTTAAAAATGACATGTTTAATGGTGACCCTGAGGCACATTACACTCTGAGGCGCCTTCTGAATCAAGAATGGCTTTGTTCAGTATGGTTTCAGTACTAGGTGACCATATTATCTTCTAATTTTTTGAAAATTGGTGGTTTATTTATGGGATTATCCATAGCCCTTGTGTAAGCAAAAGACTCAATTAATCAGAACATCGCACTCTCTCATCTTTGTGGATAATCTAAGACTTACAATGTTGTGGCTACAAGCTCTATTCACTTAAGGAATTCAATGTTTATTAATATTTACTTAATTAGTGGATCTTACTTGGCTCCAGACTCCCACATGAGAAGGCCCACATCTGAATAATGAAACTAAAGCTGTTTCCAAGTTTCTTTAGGCAGCATGAAACGTCAACTCATGCCAACTGACGGGACAATTTCCATCATCCACACGTGGGGCAGTGAGGAAAGAGGGCCCACCAATGTGTTTCGTGCAGGCCACTGTGTCTCTCCATGAGCTTCTCCTGTGGTGGAACTTCCCAGTGCTACCAGTAGAAGACTGGCACCTCTCCAGGAAGTCAGAGGCTTTTCATACTCTGGCTGCCGTATGTTTTGAGTTGATGTCAATACTTTAAAGTGGCCACAAGGCTTTGCTGTAGATGAGCCTTTGGATCTGCTTCTGAAGACTATGTCCTTATGGCCATTCTGGGTATTTTAACAGCTTTGTTTGCAATTAGGGATGCATATTTCAGCATGGCCAAGGATCAAATATAAACTTTGAATTGAAGACAAACATTTAAATCGGCCGCCAAAAATGATTTGCTTCAAAGTGTGTCCAAAACTGCAGCTTAATTTTGGTTGGCACTTTTCTGGATCCCATAGGTAGGACTACTAAGCTTTCCAGACCCAGATACTTCAAAAATCCCTTTTTCCTGTTGGTGACCTGGCATCTGATGTCAGAGAGTTCCAAATGACTCTCAATCTTTTTTGTACCCTCCCTAGGTTTTGCCCCTTTGATACTACATGTAACTGCTCTTGAATGGATGAATCATTTGGGGTCTATGCTAGACTAACAGAGACAACAGTTGTCCTTGTAATTAAATTCCTCTGGGAGAGGAAGTGCTTTCAGTTTAGCTTGTCAGATGGCAAGCATTTTGCTGAATGTCTGATGAACAGTATGTTAATTCCAGCATGGAAGAAATGAACCTAGAGAAAAATAATGGAGTCCCTTTACATTTGAGTTGGAGGCATGTAGGTACCAGAATTGCAGAATAAGCAAGGAGATGGCTCTGTGCTTAGTAAATTATTAAATAAATGAATGAGTGTGAATTATATGACCAAAACAATGATAAAATAGTGCTAGAAGGGCAGTTCATATGCTACAAATGGACAGCTTCAGGAAATTTGGACTGTGGATGTTTTTGGAGTAGAGCTAGATTTAATTGATGCAGTTGTGGGAAACTTTAACTAGGTCTTAATGGAAATAAACTAGGTCTCTATGGGGGAGAATACATCTTTCTGCCATTGTTGAGGCCTTTCCAATTATGAGCATGACAAAAAATGTACCCTTACACAATAAAACTCCAGTATGCAGATAAGTTGCTTTCATGGATTCTTTAAAAACTCACTCTACCATTTGTCAAAATGTAGCTTTTCTTAGTGCATAAAGTCAAAATTAATTGCTCCTTCAACTGAGTCTCCATTGCACTTTTCTTCTTTTCATTAATTTATTAATTCATTTATTCTACAAATATTTATTAAGAATCTACTCTGTTCAGACACTGTGCTTAGTGCTGGGAATATGAAAAAGACCAGATCTCTTAACTCAAGAGGGTTGGTGTCTAGGGAGCATAAATAAATAGGCAATTAAAATATAATGCTCCTAAAGCATTTCTATTGCACTTATTTATTTAGATGCCTGCTTCTATTTATCCAGATGACTTAATTTGAACTATGTGAACACAAGGAATAGATCTCATATATATTTGATTCCCTAGCATCTAGGAAATATCCTCTATGCTTAAATAAATTTATTGAATTTAATTAAGTAAAATATAGTAAATGATTGATTTAGAAGTAGTATTTTGTACTTACTTTTTTGCTCATATTATTACAGAATTTTTGTATTTTGGAAAAAAGCAATATACACTGAGTCCAAATTGATCTAAACCTGAGTAAAAAATGTCATATTATTTTTAAGTTTTTATTTTAAAGGGAACAGTGTCATATGATGAAAAGAACCTGGAATTTGTACTCAGAAGATGTGAATTTCAGTTCTTATGTAAGCAACATCTTTTCTGAGACCCCATTTCCTCCTCTCTACAAGGAGAATAAAAACAAAACCTAACTCACAAGTTGTAAAATGAAATGAGATTAGACAATATGTAAAAATTGTCCTGTAAACTGTAGAGTGATGTGAAATATTAGTATCAAATCAAATAGGAAAAGTTACTGAGCAATTATTACTTTTTTGTTCCTGTTCATCCTCTCCTTAGGGAAACACTCTTTCCCCAGTCCATGTGACTTTGCTGTGCCCTACCCCAACCGCAGCAGGGGACACATGAATGAGGCTAGACCACACAGACTGTCTCCTAGTAACTGGGATCTTGCCTGAATAACCAGGTATGAAAGGAATTGGAGTGGCAATAGTGCCCAATGGCATCTACTAGCTCCTATGTATGAGGTCCTAGCTACTCTGGTTTCTGCCCTTCCTGAGGTCTGCTAGTTTAGCCTTCCTTTCAAATCTGTGAGCTGCCTAGTATTTTGTCACAGACTCTTTTCTCCTGTGTAAGTTAGTCACAGGTTTTGTTTCTTGCCATTACAAATATTCATTGATAAAGGCTCTCTTCCGGGTTGATTTTAATCAGAAGCAATATCTATTGAGTTTTTTATGTTCATTGTGTACACACTCCCAAAGATATGAGATATGCTTTCTGATTTTCAGAAGCTCATTCTCCTCTCTAAAGCATGTTTTCCAAGCCATCTCAGCAGCAGTGTCATAATCACTGCTGTTTGCAAAAGAGTCATCTTAACCACTCCTTGGCATCTGCCATTCTCTTCTCCTATTCCAGTTCATTCTTACTCAGGCAGTAGATTCTTTCACTACCAGTGCCCAAAGAGGTGGCAATGCTAGTAGTGCCTCCTCAAAACTGTTGAGTTCCTGGAGCCATGATCCTGCGATATGTGAACTTATGTGAAATGTAATAGTGATTCAAGGTAGATTAACATTCAATGTCAAATTACTGCTCCAGAGAATAAGCACCAGGAACTCCTCTAGGGTTGAGTTTGTTGGGGGAGTCTTCTTGAAGGATCTGGGGCTTCACTGCTTATCCAAGTATATGTTGGTCTTGGATAGACAGAGAGGAGTGAGGTGTGAGTGCAGGAAATGAGAAAGCTAAGATGTTGAGGTGATAATGAGTAGTGCTTTTTAATAGTTCTAGGAATGGAATGGAGGAGCAGATTCCTGTGGGCCTGCAGAGCTTCACAACCAGAAGTACTCACCTAAGTGAAGCACAAAGGTGTGGTGAAATACTGATCTCCTCAGCCTTTGCGATGACATGGAGGGGGTTGGGTTTGTGAGAGCCACTGGAGGAGCCACCTTCAGCTGTGACCAGCTCTGACCATTCATCCTACGGCACCAAGAAAATATAATATTCTATAATATATTATATATATATATATAGTGGGAAGCGCCACTAGAAGACTAGTGGAAAATGAGACAGAAAAGGTAGCATTCAGCCTGACTGCACAAAAAAATGAATGCCAGGCTAAAGAATTTGATATTTCCTGGAAGTCAAGGAACAACTACTGAAGAATTTTAATTGACCCAAGATTAGCATTGTCATAGAGCCATGAGCTTTTAGACCTAAGAAGGACCTGAATAAAAATTATTTAATCCACTCGTTCTCAATCTAAGAGGGGGTGGGAAATGCTGTGAACACAACAGTGTGACTTGGAGACTTTTTTAAAAAGTCCCCTCCTTTCCCTTTGCAGACGCTGGTACATCTGATGGGGTAGGTAGTAAAAGATGGCATTTGTGTGCTTAAAGTTTTCTCCAGGTGAATTAGTCTCCTTCCTGCTGATGAACCTAGGATTTCTTCAGATATGTAGATCAACCAATTATCTGGTAATCTGTTCATCTTCCCCATTCTTAAAGGTGCTGTGATCAATAAGTCACCACCACAGATTTCTGCAGGTTTGATACTCTGATCGCCGTTCCCTGTTTCTGCCATATTATACCATATTTACCTACTCTACCATAACAGGTAATTATTCCCTCCAAGTCTTCACATCAGCATTTCATTATTGCCACTGAAATCAGTAGCCCAGTTCTACAATATTCTCCCTCCCCCGATCTCTGGCACAGGGACACCCCTGCATTTATGTAGAGCTTTCTAAGGATGGTTACACTTCTCTGACCACAGCATTTCTTAATTGAGGGAGCATCATGCAGGTTTTCCTGAGTGGAGGCAAAAGCATGAAAAAAGTGGGGATGGTTGTGTAGATTGCACATAATAGATCCACTCCAACATTCCTACCTCCTGTATGTTTTTGGATTCCTTGTTTTTCACAATTGTCCTTGTTTTTCCAAGGACAATTGTGATATTTCCGCCTCATTTACTGGTTCTAGTAACTGGCTCAGGAAACTGTTCTGCAGTGTTTCTTAACTGGGCTATTAGAAATATCTGGGGCTATTTAAAAATTCCTGATGCCTAGATCACACTCCAGAAATATTAAATCAGAGTCTCTGTGAGTGAACTTGAGCATCATCAGTATTTTTTAAAGGTGGTTCTAATGTGGTGTCAAGGGTGAGAACCACTGTGGTAAGCTTAGATAAGTGTATTCATATTAATACATTCAATTCCATTAAAATTTATATTTTATGTTTCTTGGTCCAGTCTATTTCTACCCATGTGTCTCAGTCTGTTTTGTGCTGCTATAATAGCATAAAATAATAGAATGCCAGAGATTGAGTAATTTATAATAAAGAAAAAAATTTTGGCTCATAGTTCTGGAGGCTGGGAAATCCAAGATTAAGGCACTGTCATCTGGATGGGACCTTCTTGCTGCATCATCACATGGCAGAAGGCAAAGAGAAGAACTCTGTGCCCTCACATGGTAGAAGAGTGGAAGAGAGAGAACCCACTCTCAAAAGACCATTTTATAGTGCACTAATCAATTCATGAGGGCTCTTTCCTCATGACTCAAACACCTTCCATTACGCCTCACCTCCCAACACTGTTGCATTGGTGATTATATTTTTAGCACATTAGTTTTAGAAGGGACAAAAACATTCAAACCATAGCACTATGTTTTCCAGGATCCTGCTTGTTGTGGACCGAATTGTGCCCACTCCCTGCTTGTATGTTAAAGTCCTAACTCCAGTATCTCAGTATAATTGTATTTGGAAATAAGGCCTTTAAAGAGATAAGGGAAAATGAGGTCATAAGGGTGGGCCTCAATCCAATGTGACTGATAGATTTCTGTCATTTAAGCCATCCAGGGTGGTATTTGTTATGGCAGCCCCAGCACTGCTAATAAAAAATGTGCAAGATTTCATAGTTCCTTTGCTGAGTGAGCTGCGTCTTCTTCAGGAGCAAACCTTGCATTTCTTCTAAACCACACAGGGATTGAACCCTCCTTACGAGCCCATAGGCATTGTGCATTTAGGGGATTGGGGAAGTGGGTCTTGAGAAGAATTGGCATTACCTGAGCCAGCATCTGCTCCAGGTTAACTCACTTAAAGGTTTTTAAGTGGAAAAAAAGGCTTGCTTTTTCCTAGCAGGGAGGAGGGGCTGCTTGGCAGCTGATCTAGAGCTGTAGTTCTCAAAGTCTAGTTTTGGGAAGAGCCAAGTCTTCATCTAGGAAGGGTTCAAAATGCAAATGGTTGGGTCCACCTCCTAGCCTACTGAATCAGAGAGTTTTGGGGTCAGGCCCAGCAATTTCCTCTAGGGCAGTTGTTCTCAAATTTATCACCTGAAGTGCTTATGGAAACACAGATTATCAGATCTCATGTTTTAAATTTCTCATCCAACGGATATGAGGTGGGTCTCCTGAATTTGCATTTCTAAGAAGTTTCCAGGTGATGCTGATGCTGCTGGTCTGAGGACAACACTTTAAGAGCCACATCGCTCTAAGAATTAGTGCCCTTAGGTCTGCACAGGCAAGCGAAGGAAATAATGTTACCAGAGTCCAGTGAGAGCTGGAATCTTGTAAGAGAGTCTTCTCAACAGGAGAGAGATAGCAGAGGAGAAATACTCCAATTTCTTTCTCCTCCCTTGCCCTCTGTCTCTGCTTCTCTGTCTCTACCTCCCATTGCCCAAGAGGAAGACAGCCATCAGAGGAATCCAATGATACAGTCTACAGGGGTCAGCCTCCTGGGACACCAATCAGGGCAAAGAATGGATCTAGATGGCGAGGCTTAGAAAAAATAAGCAGCAGATTGGGCCATTCTGATATGCATCCTCAGCTGCTGCTTCACTTGACTGACTTCTCTACTTCAGCTTTTCAATTCAACCTTTTCTATAACTCAACTAAAGTCAAATAATGTATTAGTAGTAGAGCCAGTACTAGAACAAGGTCTTTTGACTCCACACACTGTGCTTTTTCCACCACACCAATTGGACTTCAGGCTGATTTAATCTGGAAGCACCAAGGGACATAAACTGGATAGATTGGGAAGTTTGTCTGTGAGTATCTGTGTGTGTTGAGGGTGGTGGTAGGAAGGTTCTGGAGAGTGAGAAATTAGTGTAGAGATTCTTACAAGGACCTAGATATGAAACCGTACTCCAGCAGTTAAGGCATAAGTGTTAAATAAATAAATAAGGGTTTGGCATAGTGGCTCATGCCAGTAATCCCAGCACTTTGGGAGACCAAGGTGGGCAGATCACTTGAGCTCAGGAGTTTGAAATCAGCCTGGGCAACATGGCAAAACTCCATCTCTACAAAAAATACAAAAATTAGTTGGGTGTGGTGGTGCACACCTATAGTCCCAGCTACTCAGGAGGCTGAGGTGGGAGGATTGTTATAGTCTGGGAAGTCAAGGCTGCAGTAAGCCATGACTGTGCCACTACACTCCAGCCAAGGTGACAGAGTGAGACCCAATATAGAAAAATAATTTTTTTAAAGAGAAGAAAAGGAGCTCTAACACACAGGACCAAGGTGGAGGCAGCAGGAGTAGAAATGAAGGAACGAAGATCCTTGAAAGGAAGAGTTGTGATCTCCTGAGTGGTGGAAAGAGGGATGAAGTTTCATCAAAGGTGACTAAAGCCAGAAGGGGAAGTCTGTGTAGGCAAATGGGGAAAGTGAACTCAGAATTAGACATATTAGGTTTTTTGTTTGTTTGTTTGTTTGTTTTTCTGAAATACAAAGAGGAAGACCAGAGTCTAAATAATAGAGAAAACAAGTCAGCCAGCCACTGCATTCCTGGAGCATTCACTCTGCAGGCTGGTTCCAGCAGAGGCTGTGTGTGCTGCTCTTTTGCTGTCTCACTTGGCACCACTCGTGACAACAGCACACTCTGGAAGGATGATACCTGGCTATGGTTCAGGTGAAGCAAACAATACAAAGTTGACTGGCTTCTACGCGACCAGTCTGTGATACCAACATCAGTACATCAGAGTAGTATCATAACAGATTTGCCAGGGTTTTCATCTCAATTCTACCCCTGGACCTAGATGACTTTTGGCACAACTGGCATCTCCCAGAGCCTGGAAAACCTCAACTCTGAAACAGGGGTAATAAATAATATCCACCTTTTAATAATTTTTAACTTTCTAACCAACTAACTTGCCACAGATTTACAACAGTGACTCCAAGGGAAATAAAGAAAATATTGGCATATCTTTTCCTAGTCCAGGAAGTGAGAAGATTTTTGACTTTTATATGAAAACACACTGACAGAAGAATCTATAAAGCAAATTTTGAGTGACTGGCATGGTGAGGAGAGAGCAATCACTAGTGTAAGAGTAGTAGGCGACAGCTTTAGCCAAATATATTTTCCTTTCCTGATACATTTAAAAAATCAATAACTGCTATCTTTTCCTAAGGTATACTTAGAAGACTATTTATTATACAGAAATAGGACATTTCACAGATCAAGCATTCATTCATGAATATATTAGGATCCTTTGGAATTGTCGAGAAAAAGGGAAATTTAGGTTTGTTATTTAGGAAGACTTCTTCACAGTGAGTCTTATCCTTTTATGGTGAATATTCTCAAGGGACAGGTTAGAAAATCAGTGTTTGTGCTACTTAAAAGCTAGCTAACCTTTATATTCAAAAGGTGAATGTGGAGGCAATTCTTGTCTTTAACAGGAAGAGTGATATTAAGACGTTCCATGTTTTTTTGTTTTGTTTTGTTTTGTTTTTGAGATGGTGTCTTGCTCAGTCGCCCAGGCTGGAGTGCAGTGGCACGATCTCGGCTCACTCAACCTCCGACTCCCGGGTTCACGCCATTCTCCTGCCTCAGCCTCCTGAGTAGCTAGGACTACAGATGCCCGCCACGACGCCTGGCTAATTTTTTTTTTTTGTATTTTTAGTAGAGATGGGATTTCACCACATTAGCCAGGATGGCCTCGATCTCCTGACCTCGTGATCCACCCGCCTCGGCCTCCCAAAGTGCTGGGATTACAGGAGTGAGCCACCGCGCCCGGCCAAGACATTCCATGTTTTCATTTCCCACATCTTTTCCATTTATTTCCAAACTTCCCATATTAGGGACACTAAGTAGTCCAGAATAAGCCAAAAATTGAATTTCAAATGATCTCAATATTATCCTGAATTTTTTAGCACTTAAATCAAGCAGGTAGGCTGTTATTTGCTAGTTCTGCAGTGCTGACTGAAGCAACTATTATTGAAAAATGACAAGTCACAAGCAAGTTAATCCATATTTACTGTAATTATCAGACATTTATGTTAAAAAAAAACCATGATTCAAAGAACTACTGATCGCTAGCTTTAAAGGCAACTACTGCATGAAACAAATGCATGTGTTGCCTCATTCAATCTGCTCAGTAACTCGGAAGTAGGTAATAAATTTCCATTTTACAGATCAGGACACTGCGGCCTCAAATAAGTTACTAACTTGGCCAAGATTGCCAGGCTAGTAGGTGGTGAACTTGGTCCTGGAACCCGAGTCTGTTGGATTATTTCCATTGCATCATACGGCCACCTTGAGAGAGCAGTAGTAGCACTGATGACAGCCATCCATACCTGGAAGAGTGTGAGTTCCAGCGGAAATGAGGATGGCCACCACATGACCTCCAGAAAAGTTGACATGAAGCCAAATAGGATCATTCATATAGAATAATGACTGGCATGAGTATATGAAAAGGAAAGGACCTTTAGCCTCTAAATAAATTTTTCTTTGGCCAATCATGTCCCTGGGTACTTGGAAATTCTGGTATTAAAAACATTTCTTTTGTTAAAATAACTTCACGAGGTATCATGCACTCAGCCCTATTTATCTATTAATATTTTTATGTTAATTAGTATTTGACACTTGTTCTCCATAAGACAGTTAGCTATAGGGTAGGTCAGGTTTTAGAAATGCCATGTGAGAAAAGTACGTTTTGTTACTCCTGATACTCTGGAAGGGGGAAAGAAGGTTTTGGAGTAGAAACTACACAAGGTTGGCAGGGCAGGCTGGGAGTGCAGTGAGGGACCTCTGCCATTCCAGGAATTAGTGGGAGGGTTGGGGGAATTGAGGGGTAAGATCAGGTAGAGAGATCACCGAGGGCTTACATAGCTACTATTTTATAATTTTTAGCTAAGATTGGTAACAAATTAGGGGTCGAGACACATATGATGGGAAATTAGGCTGGGAGCAGAGAATACTAATTAATCTTAGTAACTGTCCAAGTTAACTTGGAAATGGGTGGAAGGGCTGGGGCCTACTGCTGTCCCTAAAAGCAGACCCCTGGAGACAGTGAGCCTGGAGATTGATAAAAGGCAACCTGGTCAGACTGGAAGATGAGAAGCCCCCTGGAGGCTTGCAGAACAGGTAGGAGCTGCCTCCTGGGTGAAATAGGAAGTCAGTGAGAAGGCAAGGCAAAACCACCCCATAAAGGAAAGGCTATGCAGAAGGGAAGGAGAACTCAGAAACTCATGTCTATATTTAAAAAAAAAATTAAGCCTGGTGCTGTGGAGTGAAGAAGGATATTTCTGTTAACATGGAGCTGGGAAGAGCCAGAGACAGGAGCCGCTTGGTGTGTTCTGCTTGACCTCCCACTTGACTTGTGGCACCTTGCCTGTGATGGAGACCATGAACCACTCACAGGCCTCCACTTGGGAGTGTTGAAGTGTTAGTCCCATAATCCAGCCTACAAGTGGCCAGTGAGATGGGGGTATGGGGCACGGTGCAAATTCCAGCCCTTTTGATAAGTCACCCATGGTCTGGGGCTTGGCCTGATCAAAAGGTGCAGAATAGGATTAAGATTCCAGAAAAGTAGAATGAGTGTCTGGGGAGAGGCCCATGGAATACTTTGAGGCTGGCTGTTGTAACTTGTGGTCTTTATTTAACACACAGAGGCAGGATTCTTTTCTATTTTAGCTCAGTTTAGAGGACAGCCAGTATCCATAATGGCCTGATAGATAAATATTGCACATGCCAAAGTGAGGTATTTCCCCATGCAATGCCAAAAGTTGGTTCTTCAATCTCCTCTAGGAGGGTAAACTCTAAATACCATGAATGATTAAAACAAAATGGGCCATTTTATCTGTTCCTCATTTGGACCACCTAATGAAATTGGTTAACTGTCTATGGGGCAGGACGATCCTAATTTATTTTCCTCTGCAGTGTATTTGCTGGCAATGGATGTTTTGAGGATCTCATCACAGGGAAGTTTGAAAATAAGAAAATCATGTCAACAATTCATTATTGAACATTTTCTTGGCATATGTCTGTATAAATGTAATTGGGTAAAACAGATAAACAGGAAAATGAAATATCCTAAGAGGAAGATGTTGCGCTACCTGATTGGTCATCCAGAAATGGAAAAATCTTGATTCATGAGACTCAGTCTGCAGGAGCACAGAGAAAGAACACCGACAAGAGTCCGAGAGGTCATCTTAGAAAAGTCTTGATCTTGCATGGATCAAGAATGGTGGTCTCTGTGAGTAAAATGTCCTTTCCTCTTTCACATGCGGAGGAAGTTTACTGTTTCATAAAACAGCTTCCTCTTGATGAAGCAAATTCTGGAACACTCTTAGCTAAGTTTGTGTGATACTTGTTTGTTGTAGAGCCAGAGGTGGAAAAACATGTTTCTAAGAGATTTATTCACCAATATTGTTGTTTCTCAGAGTTCTTCCAAATCTTCTACGTAGAAATATGTAAAATGAAGAAAGTAACTGGTTCCCCAAACATTGTCACCATAGACTTCTAAGGAATGCCTTTAAGAGGCCACCCAGGTGTAAGAAGCAGTGATTTGAGAGTCCTAATTGGAAATTGTTTAGACTGGGCTATTGACTGCTTTAATAAATTCAAGCTGTTTGCATGCAGTTAGGTGATTTGCATGCAGTTAGGTGATTTGCATTTCTTCCATTGGATATCTGAAAAGTGATATATCTGCTCAGATTTTTGTATTTCCAAGAGTTCCAACACTTCTGGCCTCTGCAAGAAGATAGCACCAGAAGAGCATGGCAATAAAGTGTTACTAAATGCAGAAGTAATGATACTTAATTCTCTGTTTTAAAAAAACATGTTTATTTATGTCTTCCACTGTTCTTTTTCATTTCATAAATTGTTATTATTGAATAATTGAAATGTTCAGAAGTAGCCAGAATGCTATAATGAACCCTCCCGCACCCATCACCCCCACACACTATTAATGCCTCACCTGTGTTCTTTCATATAAACCTCTGCCAACTCACCTCTCTTTATTTTGAAGTAGAACTCAGAAATCATTTCGTTTCATCCTTATATATTGCAGCATGCTCTAGAGTTCATTTGTAACTCAAGAAAAGAGCAATAATGTAATTCCAGCAATAAAAGTCTCTTTAAAAAATACCATCTTTTGAAAAGGAAATCTCTCTCCATTAAAAATAATTCTCCACTATTTTTAATAGAATGTCTTCTCTAAAATGATTTTTATGAATCTAATTTTTTGGGGGATTCCCTGAAAAGGATTTTGTAATCTTAAGTTTGCTCCTAATACAAAGTAGTAGGGTACATTATTTTTTAAAATTGTAAATGGTGACTGATCAATATTTAAATCATGTTCCAAGATCAGTAGCTTTGTGGTATGGGGGTGGCACAGGGCACTCTTAAATCCTTTAATGAAAATCACAACTTTATTTGAAATAAAGGAATTTGATATGTTTCTTTTCCATTATGTGCTTTATAACTTTCTACTGCTTTAACAGAAACCTGGAAATTTACACGTTCCTGGTAACCACATTGTCCATTAAAACTTGAAATAAACAAAATCTCTTTGATGAGTGACCCTTAGTGTCATAACTGGCAGGAAAGGTGTAATGAAAGGAGCTGGCAAAAACCTTGAGAGTTTTATGGAACAAATGCTACCAAAATAGAACAACCGTCTTCTGCTAGGTAACAGTCAACAAAATAAATGTGCTTCAATACATCTCGTATGAAACCACGCCGAAGTTGTCTGTAAATCTTGCTCAGTTTACTTTGTTAGAGTTGCACTAAAAAGAAAGAAAGAAAAAAAAGTCCTGGGTTACAAAGCAAAACGCACGTGTTACTGGTTTAGTCCTTCAATGGGATATCGACCACAGTGTTCCTCCTGTTTATATTTGGAAATCAACACATAAACCAGGCTTTGGCATTTCAATGGTAAATAAGAAGGCATTACATTCTTCCTTCCCCAGGCCAGCTACTTTTTCAGTTCCTTCTCCCTGTGCTCAGGGAAACAACCCAAAATCTGAGCTCCTGTGAGAACCTGTCTGATTTAAACGCTGCCAAGAAAACATAAAGTAGTTTATCTTACACTACAGCGCAGGCTGGACGAATAGTGAGGCTGATCAAAACGGATAACGCAGAAGCACTGAACAGAAGCGCAAGGAAATTCATTTCTAATTAGGTATCCATGTGTCCAGCACCTGGCTTCGTATCTCTGTTAAGCTCCCCTATAAATTAGGTTTAGTTTATTTTTCGGTTCGTTTAAAAGTAATAAGGATATGTTAAAAATTCAGAAACCAAATGGGACCGTCACAGCTTCCTTTGAAGAAGATGGTTATCAGGACTTTCAGACATCTCCCATCTTCACTTCTGGGAACATGCCTTCATTTAGATAGTGCCTGAGGATTAACTGGCAAGACGCTGTCTCCTGTTACTGAGTTTCTTCCTTCCCGAGCGGCCCGGCAAACAGCAGCCCACCAGTATTCCCGGGCTCGGAGCTCGGCCCCAGCCCGCAGCCCCGCCTGCCTCAGCGTCCTCGCGCACCTACTTGCCATTCCCAGGGTCTGGAATTGTGGTTAGAAAGAAAAACAATGGCCCTCAGTGCCACAGTGTAGAATGGCAATGGGAGGAAATGACAGAGACACAGGAAGCAGGGAGAGAGGGTTTCTTACACAAACAAGCTCAGGGAGGAACAGACTAGGAAAACAAAGGTAAAGCCGGGGAAAGCAGCCCCGGGGCCCGCGGGAGAGTGCGGTCAAGGCCGGCGCCTGTGGCACCTCGGTGACCAAGTCTTGGGGGCTCCTGAAGTCTCAAGCAGCAGAGAAGCCAAGAAGGCACCGAAGAACCGACTGTACCCCTGGGTTTGGAGTCTCTGGGAAGGCCTCCCTGCGCCCCTCCACGTGGGAGTCAGGAGCAAGCTGCCTGCCCCTTTCTGCCTCCCCAAACAACACCGCACGGCATATACCCGAGGAGTGCGTGGCTCCTGCCCTGGGATTGGGACTCATCTGGAATTACCTACAGTAGAGTCATTAGAAACTCTTCTAGCCCGCTTCCTGTTTGGGGGTAGCATATTAGGAGCAGGACCACTGTCGGGAGATTCCTGCCATCTCTAATGTTCCTCTGTGGATCCCCCCACGCCCACCCCAGTGGAAGTGATTAAGACTAGCTCTGGAGGTGGCCTGGGGCAGGGGTGGTGGCTGAACTGCCCTCTGATCTCTACTGCCCTCCCCCATTAAGCAACCACCAATAAAAATAACGTATGTTTTGTATGCAGTGTGTGTGTGTGACTACTGCTGTTTTTTAAATGTAGTATTTACAAAAGCATCTTTTTCAAAAGGTGGATGGAGACTTAAAGATGGTACTCTCAGAGTGAAAGGAAGGGAGGATGTGGTTAAGAACAGAGTTACTCCCTTATAGAGGGTTTCACTTTATGGGAAATCTCCCCTGGAGCTTTGAAAAAGTCATGTTTAACACATAGTTTGACGTTTTTTGTGTGGTGAGGTTATGGAGAGAGTAAAAGATGGGGCTGCAGATGGAGACAAGGCTTGCCTCACACTCCTCCATCCTCCCTATGGGCTCTTGAAGAGGAAGCAGAATTTTACAGGGTATCTTGGGTCAACAGCAGCCAGGTATGATGTGGCCCGTGGCTCACAGTGGAGCAGGAAGGAACCCTCAGCTCAAAGAACAGTGGTCAACTGGATGACCTGAAAGCAGATGGGAGACAGAGAGAAGTGATCCTAGGGTCAAGGGAAATAACTGCCATTGGAGTAATAAATTAATTGTGTGATTAGTTGTTTAATGTATGTCCCTCTCATTAAATTAGAAATTCCATGTGGACAAGGATTATATATAGAGTTACATTCAATACATAGTTTTTAAATGGGTAACTAAATACATTGATAGCACTATTGATTTTTTAAAATAGTTTCTTATTTACCTATTCAATATATATTTTTTAAGAAATGCACATAACACATTGATTCTCCTCTCCAGGCTAAGCATTGGACAGGCACTAAGAATAATTAGAGCAAATAAATAAATAAAGCTTCCTCATTAGGATATTCTTCTCTGCTATAGTTCCCCAAACTTATGGAGCTTGCTTGTAGAATTCAGCCCTGCAAAAAGTTATTTTCATACAGTGTACTGAAAACAGCCCTGAATATGCTACTCACATTAACTGGACTTACTGATGACTTCCCTATTTCCCCCAGTTAAAATGGTCTCTTTCCTTTATTCTTACAAAGGAAATTTAGGAGTCTTAGAGACTTTAGCTCATTTATCTCTCAAATTCCCAGAGCACTTACAACAATGCCCAGTTTGGTTGAATTAAAGTAGATTTCTAAAGTTAGAACCCATCTTTAGAAGCTTGAAGAGGAAAGGAGCCTAGAATTGATAGTAAACCATTTTCTAAATGTTCTGGAAGGTAGTATAGCTGATTATCTCTTAGTCTTGGGCAAAGACTTGTAGGGCGTGGCTTTGGAAACTAGAAGGAAACTTGAAAACAAGTTATAAATATTCCTCATTTTATAGATAAGAATAGAAGACAGTAGGGTTTAGCTTCTATTTTTAGCTCTGCTACTCCATGTTTGGTTATTCTTAGACAATTTCACCCATCTTCTTAGTTTTATCATATCTGCCCTAACTGCAACACAGGATTTTAAAGAGATTATAGATATGAAAGTACTCAAGAGAAGTTTAAAGTGCCATATAAATGTAATGCCTCTGGACAACTAGGTGGGTGATGATTCAGTTTTCTAGTACCCAGAAGTGGCTTCAGAGAAAGCAAATCCTGACTATTCCTTCAAATGAGGTAATATAGGTAAAGCTCTAAGCACAGCTCCAGGCTCATAGGAGTATTTAATAAATATTTGCTATTTTTTCTTTCCTATCCTGGTAAATACAATCATTTTTTAACAGCACAAGGACCCATTGCACTTGAAAAATAAACCTGTCTTGATTTATACTGAAAATGTGAGATGTGTATGGGATATTGTTACCTTCACTAATACAACAAGCTAAAAGACAATATTTTCGGGTTGAAGGAATAAAACCCATGCATCAAGACCTGGAACTAATCCCAGGGAGCAAATTGCATATGTTTTATCCTCAGTATGTTCTTATCTTTCTTTAGGTACATTACTTACCTAAAGTACCTTGGGTTAAAACTTTGTTTTTAAGGATCAGATTTAAAATAACACTCTATGACCCTAGTGGTTTTGGTTTAAAAATTATGACACATATTTACACCATCTACCTACAAGTTCAGGATTTGGCGGCAGGGGAGTAGAGATGATTATGATACTTCCTACTTATTCATAACATTTAAATAACTAGAACACAAAGATGAGGTACCTTTTGCCTAAATAGTTGAAGCTTCAAAGAACAAATTCTTTATTTTTAAAAAAATTCATTTTAGGAAGAGGTTTGTCTCAGTTCTTTATCTAACAGCAGAAGCTGCTGAATGGAAATATATCATCTCAGTCCTCCCTAGGTGGGAACATGCAAAGGCCATGTGAATGTTCAGTTTTTAAAGTGATTCTAAAGGAAAATTATAAATAAATGTCTCAGACCTCTGCTTCCCATTCTACAACCTTTCTTTCTGAGTTGTGTTTTTTCTCTTCTTGCGCTATGAACTGATGTTTTCTTTAGGGCTTCACTATTATCCACAGTGCTTCTAATTTGATATTTGACTTCAAGTGGATTTCAATTAAAGTAAATCAAACCTGGAATGGTACGCCTTGTGAGAGTGAACTTCCTCAGTGGATGTTTACGCAGATGCTGGATGCTGAAGATGCTGAAGGGAGCATGGGTTGGGATTTTGACCTATATAGCTGATAGAATCTTTTCCAATTCCTGAGATTTTATTCTAAACATCTAAGTTGACACAATCATCTCTATCTTTTGCTTTTATTGTCTATTCCATTTGTATGAGATATTTGGTATTTTACTTAATTTTGTGCTGTTTGCTCCTTTTCTATTTATTCAGCTGCATACTTGATTTTAAAACCACTCGAGAATTGGGAATGCCTATAGGCAACTGTCACAAAGAGCCGCTGCCAAGACCGCTCAGTGGTGGAAGAGCCTCTCTAGAGGAAAAATGAGCAATTTCGGAGTGAAAAAAGGAATATGAATCTTAGACTCTAGCCAGGAAAATTGATGAAAGAGGGCATCGTGGGAAACCGAAAGATCCTAAGAATAATTTATATTGCAAATTCAGAAGCAAAAATCTAAAATGGTGCAATTTGTAAAGACAATCAAGTGTTTTCTCAAGGAAAATAGAGGAGGCCCATCTCAATCTGTGATTGCTGGGATGCACTTGTCCAATACTGCCTATTTCATGACAAAAAATGGATAGGACTCTAAATTGCCTAGCAGGGTTGTTCTACGTCTGTGTCTGCTTCTCCTCACTGTATGTATTTGAACAGAGTTTTATATTTGTCTTGGGTAAGTTAAGTTTGTGAATATGACCCTCCTTTAATTCTCTAGAGGCCTCCAAGCTTACATGTCTTCGGAAACTGGGTCCCTGGGTTATTGAGCAAATACTCAACAACCTGCTCTTCTGTTCCAAGAGTGGAAGGAGAAGCAGTCATGGCCAGTTGTTGAATGTCTTTCTTCACTAATTCTGGAAAGACTTGGGGATAGTAAGGAGCTCCAAATAAAGTTTTTAGATAAATGATAGAGATTAGATAGAAAAACTTGGTACCTAAACTATGGAACTACAAAATTTTAGAACCAGGGGATAAACCTCAGAGATGATCTTGTTCACAGATTCTCAACCCTGACAGTACATTAGAATCATCTTGGTTGCTTTAAAAATCAGTACCAATACTGAGACTCTACCCCCAGAACAATTAATTTCCTTAAATTGGGCTCAGGAAATAGCCTTCTTTTTCTAATGAAGAAGATGAAGTCTGAAGGTTTCTTTAACTGCACCAGGTTCCAGAACTAGTGGTGGCAGCAGGAGGCCAGCACCAGTCTCAGGGCAGTGAAAACACTTTTTAAAGTTGTATTTCCAGAAGACATTTTTAAAAATTGTATTTCTCTATTCCATTTTTATTCAGTTCTACATAGAAACAGCGATCCTCCATCTCTTCACTCCATTTTTTTTTAACCTCTGCATTTACCAAACACCAGCTACATCTCTGAAGGAATTCTCTCTAAAAATAACTTGGACTGTGCAGATCGTTTTGTTTATTTAAGGAGCCCCTTATCAGGGACGGGACACTTGGAGGAAACTGAGAGTGTGTGGGGTTTATATGAAGCTCCCTACATTCACGCACACGCATCTTGAAATTGACCAGACAGACGGGTTCCAAAGAATGAGAATCCTGACTGGAATGGATTAAACACGGAGGAAGAAATTCTTGTCTTCTTCCCTCTCTCTTAATTCTGATCTGTAAGCTACGCTTTAGGTAAATGGGTCACATGAGAGGCTCCCAGGTGGCCTGGCCAACCTTAGGAGGAGTCTCTTGTGGCCCTCTGACCTGAGGACAGTGTTTTCCCTTACAGAAAGGAAATGAGCCTCTAAGACTGAAAAGGGGGCATTGTCATGGGAAGATGTTTGCCTCTTACAACCCAGAGCAGAAACTCAAAGCTTTTAGTCTTCACTCTTTCCTTCCCCACCACATTTCTTTTAAAAAGCAACAAATTCTAGCTGGTTATCACTTATGCTCCACCCCATTCTTGTATGTCAGCTTTTGTGCAGGAAAATAGAGAACTGTTTTCATTGCCTTATCAGAGTCCCAGGAAAGGGGAAAGGAGCGTCTGGCCCGCTATCTATGTCTTGCCTGGGGACAATGAAATGCTGAGAGCAGGCTCCAGGGGCGAGGGGCTGCCACTTCAGACCCACAGTGTCTGCAAGGACCAGGGAAGGAGGGGAGGGAGGAGGGACTCTCCTTAGCCTGCCGAAAGCATAATAGCCCCTGGGGTGGGCTGCTGCAAACAGGAAGGGTGTGGGCGGGATCTGAGCACAGCTGCTCCTGCCGCCCATTCCCACAGCCTTTGATCAGCAGGCAAATGGCATTTTGTGCCCTGAGATAAATGCCTGGTCAGAGGGTGTGGGTGTCTGTGGAGGGGGATAAGGATTAAAGATGAAGGTATTTTATAGCCTGCCTTAAGGATGTGTGTTTCCAACCTAGGATCAGGGAGGTGCTAGGTACAAAGGAACGGAAAGGTTTCCCATGAATGCATTCATTCATTCATCAAACATTTGTTCTGTACCCAGTAAATTCAGGGCACTGTGTTGGACACAGTAGGGGATGCAATGGTAAATAATACATGTACTGTTCTAGCCTAGTATGGTGAATCTGAAGCATGAGAAGGTTATTTGGGATGTCACAAATTACAGGGTGGGATGGCAAGAGGCAAGAAACCTTTTTTTAGGATATATACATTCTCCTCACTCTAGAATCAGATACTCTGCCCCACTCCCCCTCTTTCGATCTTGCCATGTGTACCCTGCAATTGAGAATTACTATGAACAAGCAATGCTTTGGACTTGTGAACTAGGTAGAGGCAGATTAAGAAAAACAAAGAAAACTTCTGCTTGGTCTAATCGAAAAGCTAAGGCTCATAAAAAAAAAGCAAATAAAAACAAACGACCAAAGCCTACAGATACATAGTAGAGAGGGGTAATTCCACAGGGGAGAAGGAGATCATGATGGTGACAGTGGAGAGGAGAGACCCCTTCCAGCCAGGGTGAAGCTGGTGATGGTGATGTCAGACAAGAAGACTTTAATGGAAGGCATGATTCCTAGAGGAGGTCTTGAGGGAGGCATGAAGTGAAATTTAGATACATGGTGATGGGCAAGCAGTGCTGGGAAGAATGGGAAGGGTAGAAAGAGCATTTTGGGGCAAATAGAATATCATAAATAGAGTACAGTGGCAGAGATGAACACACCTGGTAGAAAATAGCTCAGTTTGACTGAGAATATATATGCTTACTCCAAGAACCAGAAGGATGAAAAGTAAAGTGGAGCCATATGCTAGAGGACTTTGAATACAGACTAAGGATTTTAATCCTGTAATCAGACCACAGTGGCCTTCACCAATCACTGACCAACTCTGGGTTGTCCTGTAGCCTGAAGGAAATCCCCAGGTCCTCTGCTTTAATGTCTTGTCTCTGAACCACACAAAAAATTTGGGTGCCACATACCATAAAAATTCAATAAATGGCTTAAGTGCTTCTGAAAACTCTAGGCAAAGGCCTCTTATCATTCACTTATCAATTTGTAAAATAAATATCTCATAAGGGCAGACTATTTGCCAGGTACTGTGCCAGGTATTAGAGGATACAACATTGAACACCAAAAAAATGCAAAGTCCTGACCCCAAGGAGCTGACATACTAATGGGGGAGAAGCAGCCAAAATACAAACATTGCAAGTCAGGGCTACGAGGAAGAACAATGCAGAATAACTAAATAGAGAGAGATGGTGTTGCTGGGTTAGTTTACATAGAGGGGTTAGGGGAGGCCTTTGTGATAACTGAGTGATATTTGGGCAGCAACAT
This sequence comes from Homo sapiens, assembly GCF_000001405.40. Classification (NCBI taxonomy): domain Eukaryota; kingdom Metazoa; phylum Chordata; class Mammalia; order Primates; family Hominidae; genus Homo; species Homo sapiens. The sequence continues at coordinate 125,527,222 of NC_000006.12, read as the reverse complement.
GACTGAGTGAGGGAAGAGTATTCCAGGTAGAGGAAACTATCTTGGGGGAATGTGGTCCATTCTATCATGAATGTGAGGAGGAGGGATGATACCAAGTCCACTTATGATGGGCAGAGAAAAGAAAGAATGAGGGGATGAGCAGGGCAAAGTCGGTGTAGTACACTTGACCAGGAAACAATCCCATGCTGCCCTCCAGAGCTTTGACACTTGGTGACCATTTCTGGGTGACCATTTGCCTTATGTAGCCTTCTTAAGATGGTAGCAGGCAAAATTTATCAAAAATATATCCATAGATTTTGATTTTAGTGAGTGATCTTGGATTAGGAAAATGTTGTGGTTTAGAATTCTTCTACAACCCTGAATAAGGTTTTGGAAGGGACTATAAAATTTTAAAAAGCCGTTGGATGGTTAGAGTTGGGGAAGGCCTTCCTCTAAGTCAGTTCCTTGTTAATCCAGAAAAGGTTTCTTCTTTGAGGTGAAGGAGAATAGTATCTCTCTTGCCAGCTGCCAGCCAATGGTTCACTAGTAACAATTTGCTAATGCCAAACAGTATCTAGCTCTCATTAGGATGTGTTTGGGTAGAGTAAAGAATGAGTATTAAGTGTGTATGGTGGTCACTGTGTACTGTTGGACTATTTTTTGTTTGAGTTTGGTTTACTGTAATGACTTGTGGGCTCAGGTTGTGTTTATATAGTACTGTAACAAACAAATTGAAAAGTGAGAAATTCAACTAACTAGCTGACTGTGTAACCTTCATGTCATACCAGTGCTTTTTATTTCCTAACTCAATCAGAATGAGTAAGTATTTTGGTGGGTAGTAGGCACAGATTTGTGTAAGTGTTCCATCTGGTGTATGTTATTTTTGTTACCATTTAATTTCTTGAAGATCTATTTTATAAGATGATATCAGTTTGCGTACTTGCACAGGGCTTGGTAGAGTTGCTCTTAATGTCAATATTTACTTTTACCAAAACTCAAAAGTCCAACCTAGAGTGGAGCCCTGGGCTCTGCAGCAGCTAGGTTCATTTACAATATAATTTGTCCCTTCTCCCAGGGGTGGAATTGCTGATGTAGCAGCTTTGGTGTTAACCATTTATGTTTATCACAGTATTGGGAAGAAAGGTATGCACTATGTTCCTGTAAAGGTAGAACCAATTTCTGGCTTCTCTTCTTCTTAAGAGAATGGTTTTTTTTTTATTTGAAAATATATACATCACATCTGCTCATGTGAGATGCAGATGGCTAAGTGATTCCATTATGTGTGGCGTCTCATACATCTCAACCAATTAGAAAGGGCTATAGAGAATTACATGGAATTAATCCTACCCAGAAGGTCTAGGGACAGTCTCAACTAGTCAAACTCTAGTTACTTGGTTTACAACATCTCAAGAGCCCCTTGATGAGATTAAATCTGGGTGTCTCTGGGCAGTTTGTCTATTTTCCTTGTGAACTCTTTGTGTGTGTGTGTGTGTGTGTGTGTGTGTGTGTCTGTCTGTCTGTCTACAACTGTATCAGAGTTTGTCAGGAGTTGATGTTAAGCTCTCACATTCATTTTAGTTCATCTACCAAGCCATATGAGCCCCTTTGAAAATGACCACTTCTTTTACATGTATAAAAACCATGTCATTTAGTTGACTTTTCTTGACTCAAGTGTTTGTTTTGAAATTTCATTTTATACAGGAAATAGACATAATCACCAATAAATGTAACTTTAATAACTTAGACCCTGGGAGCTTTTCCTGGTTGGCAAAAAATTCCCTACATGTTGCAAATCCTTCTTATGGGATATCCTATTTTTTATCTAGAGTTGAAAGTCAGGATTAATCCAAATGATTAAGAAAATCTTTCTAAAAGATACCCTGCATCCTCTTCAAAATTAAACTCTAGTTGGAAGTTTCCTTACTTTTCTTACTACAATGACAGTGTAAATAGTTAAAGTAGATCAGAGTGTTTTTGGAGTTTTCCATAGGTATTTCTAAACGTTAAAGACAGTAGGATTCTTTCCAGTTATTACACCACAAAAAGTGACATTAGAATATAACTTTGAGCAAACGAATTATTAATAACCAATATTAATTTGAAAATATAGTCAACATACCAAAGAAGCTGCAGAAGTATATAAAGAAAAGCTATAATTCTTTCATTTAAGTCACCCATTCAAAAAGCGCCCATGTTATATATACTGCATATATGTGCTTGAGCGAACACACAAAGAGTTCATTTGCTCTGTAGATTCTAAAAGGAAGAATCTTCTGCAGATAGCATTTCTGAAGGTTTCTCACCCTTCCCTTTGCTTTCTAAGGCATTGGAACAATGTGGATCCTTCCCAGACAGTCAGGCTTACTATAAAAAGTAACACCAATCATGGGAATTATAAAAGGAGAAGGGATATGCCATAAACAAGGATAAACATCTTTTTTAATGCAAAGCTGTCAGATCCACTTAAGCAGAGACCTGTTCCTTGTCCCCACAGTGGCCCCTCTTTCCTGTCCAGGGACCAACGAAGCCAGCCTTTCCTCCTAAGTTGCCCATGGTGAGAGGCTTAGATAAGGCACAAAGTTGCCCTCAATAGACTTAAAACCCCCATCTCTGGGACAAAGTGGGAAAGCTCTACTTTTGTTACCACTCTATCGAGGAGAAAAAAAAAAAAACAGGGAAAACATCCACTGTACAAAGCCTACATTGTGTGCTGAAAAACCCTGATCCTTGACTATTGTCTCCAGCATTATTTATGCAACAGAGATGATTTTTCAGAGGTTCAGTAAAATTATCAGCAGGGACATTTTAACACTCTATGTTTATTTGTTTAGTACAGTCTCCATTTTCTAGGAGAAAGAGAGCTAAAATATTTAAGCAACTCTTAAAAGTTATAGAGGGAAGAATAATTGTTCATTTCTCAATAGGAAAGCCCTTTTACTGTGAAATCCTCAGATATGATAGGCAATGTAGTTTATTCCAAGCCTTCAGAAATTGATTCTATACACACGATGTGTAGAAATGGTTTCTATTTACACTGTTAATTATATGGTATGTATAGTGTATATACTGCATATTATCATTTCAATCCTCTTTTATGTGAACTAGCCATGATAGCTGTTTCTGACCAACTCCAAAATTCAACTAGGCTTTAAATTATATATAATGCTTTTAGCTCATCAGGGAGATGAGAAACTGGGGAGATGGGGAGGGAGAGGTGGAGAGTACCAAGGGCAGAGAGATGAGGGAGGGGCAGCATGTCCTATGGGGCCCCATGCCCAGGTTCTAAATTACAAGTCCACACTTTACTCATTAATAGACTCTAGTAAGTATTATTCTGCCTTGATTTTTATAAGCTACAATATTGGGATAATGATACTTTCCTTACAGACCTCCAGTTACACATGTAAATACCTCCATTGTAAAATGGTCATGAAAAATAAGCTTAATGGTAGTTAAGTACCAAAGGTAGATAGCAGCCCAGAATGACTTAGTTTTCTGTTTTACCTCCCCTTGAGAGGCTAAAAGAGTCTTGAGAAACCTTTGCTAGATGATGCCCATGAATTTTCAAACTAGAATATACTATCCATTCAACAGATATTCATTACTTATTTTATGTCAGGCACTATGCCAGACACTAGAGGAATTCTGCAAAGTGCTTCAGGGATCCTCAAATGTTTGGTTTGAATTTTATTCTAGACATAAACTTCAACTATTTTGTAAAAAAGAATAGAAGTGGCATGTGTGTTCAGGGTACTATATATTAAATTTTAACTCTTTAATATCACTCCTACTTTATCTTGTACTCTCAGGTTTACTCATTTTGTATAAACTCAAAATACATTTCTTCTGCCTTCAGTGGAAATACTTTTACTTCTCCTAAATGTATCATTAATTAGAAATGTAATGGTGCCTAAATGTTCATTTAAAAATTTAAGACTTGCGGGTGTGGTTGCAGGGAAAAAGGAACTCTTATACACTGTCGGTGGGAGTGTAAATTAGTTCAACCATTGTGGAAGACAGTGTAGCGATTCCTCAAAGACCTAAAAACAGAAATACCATTGGACCCAGTAATCTCATTAGTGGATATATACCCAAAGGAATATAAACTATTCTGTTACAAAGACATATGCATGTGTATGCTCATTGCAGCACTATTCACAATAGCAAAGACATGGAATCAACCTAAATGCCTGTCGGTGGTAGACTGGATAAAGAAAATGTGGTACACCACATGCATATACACCATGGAAGACTATGCAGCCATAAAAAGAAATGAGATCATGTCCTTTGCAGGAACATGGATGGAGCTGGGGTTAGTTTGCTTTAGCAAACTAAGGAACAGAAAACCAAATACTGCAAGTTCTTACTTATAAGTGGGGGCTTAATGATGAAAACACATGGACACGTAGAAGCAGCAACACACTCTAAGGCCTTTTGGAGGGTGGAGGGTGGGAGGAGGGAGAGGATCAGGAGAAATAACTAATGGGAACTAGGCTTAGTACCTGGTGATGAAATAATCTGCACAACAAATTCTCATGACATAAATTTACCTATATAACAAACCTGCACATGTACTCCCGAACTTTAAAGAAAGCTTAAATTAAAAAAACAAAAAGAAAATTTAAAAAAAAAGGAAAAGAAAAAAAATCAGGACTGCTCACGTCTACTTGGGTATAACTATATAAATCTTACACTGACAATTGCACTCCATTAAATGCCAAGTCAAGTGCAAGGATCTATTCAGAACAAATTCTGTTTCCAGCATAACGGCACAGTAGTGCAAATATAAATGACAAGTTACCTCATTCAATATAGTTTGGAATACTTACTGTAAATTTTGAATGCTTCTCTTCCAATCTCTATATTTATGAGAAAGGAGCAATTTTTACATATTATTGATGATCCAATTTTTGAATAGAAATGTTCCTATTTGCTCTTTTGAGGACATCCATTTAATTGAAGGCTATGTTGAAATTGCAAGGGATGGGAACGTTGTTCAGAAGTTCCACTATTTGTAAAGACTTTACATGGTTGATTCAGGATTTTTCTCAATACTGTATAACCTAAACTAATTAAGGCCAAAAATGAAATATCGAGGCTGATTTCAAATTATTTTCTAAAACAAAATACTAGTTGTATTCAACAACTGATTTTATAAGCCAATGTTATAAATGAATTATATAGAGGAAATACACTAATAAATACTAATTTTGTCTGTTTATATTCTGGGGCATAAAGTGCTGTCAAACAAGTTTGGAAACCATGGCCGTAGGTATCACTTTCTCCAAAAGAAAGGTCGTGGTGGTCGGGCGCGGTGGCTCACGCCTGTAATCCCAGCACTTAGGGAAGCCGAGGAGGGCGGATCACCTGAGGTCAGGAGTTTGAGACAAGTCTGACCACATGGCGAAACCCTGTCTCTACTAAAAATACAAAAATTAGCCGGGCATGGTAGCGTGTGCCTGTAGTCTCAGCTACTCAGGAGGCTGAGGCAGGAGAATTGCTTGAACCTGGGAGGTGAAGGTTGCAGTGAACCGAGATCGTGCCAATGCACTCCAGCCTGGGCGACAGAGTGAGACTCCATCTCAATAAAAAAAAAGAAAAAAGAAAAGTCGTGGTGAAGAGAGGAGCCAAAGTGCTACAGAAGCTGTTTAAGACAATGATGTTTTCCCATAAAATGGAAACTTTAACCTTAAACATGTAGTTTGTATAGTAACACAGACAAAAATGTTCTATGGCACTACTGGATGTTGTATAGAATTGCAAGCGAAATTGTCTCTAGATAAGATCCCTTTTGTAAAAAAGCATTATTAAATATTCACGCACCTCCCCACCTCCAAACCATGAGTATGTCTGGACGAAGTTCATATGGGCTTCTCTGGCTCTGTGAACCTTATTTTCTTCTTTAATTAAAATGACAATTTATTCTTAATATTTTTTTAAATCACAATAAAAATAACCTGGATGTTCAGAAATGAAAGCACCAGCTTTATAAATATTCCTATGGGAACATTTCCTTGCTGTGGTCAATGTTTAGAGTGAAAGACATTCTCAGTATCCATCATTGTTCTACTGACACCAAGGAGTAAATACTACTTCCTGTTCCCAGATCTTACACATTGAAAGGGAGGGAAGAAGAAATAGGGAGCAACTGCCAGCCACTGAGGCTGATGATGAAGTTTAGATGAAGGTTATGTAATTGTCCCCAAAATGTTTTGTTGGTGAATTTCCCTTAGATGATGAAGTTTGGATGGAGGTTATATGTTTGTCTCAAGTAGTTTTTGTGTATTTAGGGGTGGGATGGAGTGTTGGAAAAGCCTTCGTTAATGCAGTACCTTTCATGAGTAATAATCTTTAATTGTTATTCCATTTATCGCCCTTGGTAGTTTAAATGTTGGACTTCACAGTAATGATTTACAATTACTCTTTGATCTGTTGCTCCTATACTAAATAATCAAATAGATGTAAATTTCTATTTAAAAACTAGGCCTGTTCATTTTCTTATTTTGGGGGTGATATCGGTGTGATAAAATTATTTTCCCAACAACTCACAATCACCTGCTTGCTTCTTCCCTTTGATTATCCTGATCTAGAGAGTTTACACCACTCTCCTGAAATCTGTTTACAAATTAGCTTTTCATTCCCCAATCTCTATCTTCCTCTACTGCCCCTTCTTCCAGTGGACTTGCCCTAAATTTTTTGTTTATTTTTCTGAAAAGAACATCATTTTCTGTTGCTAAGATTATACTCTTCTAAACTTTTCTGCCGATGTTCACAGGGATTCATGGGATTCTTCTGCACAGAGCCCAAACAGCTTGATCTAAATTGTTTCATTTTTCATTTTAAAGTCAACAGAGCCTACCTGCTCCAAGACCAGGTTAAGACAACTGGCATATTTACTTCTCCTGGCATTGAAATATTCCCTGTGGGTCACCACCCAACTAGACTGAACCTGAAGTAGTGACTAAGCAGTGAAAAGACCCTTGATCATCCGATTTCTCTCATCCCCTACACGAGACACTTGAAACAAAAGACACTCAGAACTAATCATCCGAAAATCCTGCCAGTGTAAAAACAAGCAAAACTTCAAAAACGTGTTAAAACAGGTGGAGAGGGATATATCCTAATGCTTAACTGAGTATATATTTGAAATCATTGTTTTCCTTTTGCAAAATAAATATGTGGGGGCAAGAGTAGCCTAGAGGTTAGATTTGATCTGGGTTCATGGGGGTATATGCTTGATTGGGACTTACTCTGTGTTCCTGAGCAAGTCAGTCCTTGCATCTATTTCCCTAACTATGAAATGGAAATAATACCTCCATCCCGAGGGTCCCAAGGCTTACTGTTAGTGAAGTGCTTTGCAATCCACTGCTGAAAGGTGCTCAGCAAGTTCAAAGCACCAGTATTAAGGAAGGTTTATCATATTTATAAACCAGTAAATCCTTCCCATGGGTGTAAAATGATTCTTCCTAGTTTTATTCCCTGCACAGACTCAAGAAAAGGCTTCAGATTTTTTCATACTATCAACTTAACACTGTGTTCCAGCTGTTTACATGCACAAAAAGCTTCCCATCCTCTTTTGATTTGCAGCATGCACTGAGCCCAAGACCAAAGAACATACTATTCACCAGTGTGACTCATGTGAAAATTGAAACTTCATGCTCCATTTTATGAAGGGCCTTGCTTTCTTTCTGTGGGTTAGAATAATTGGGAATAAAGATAAACACTGTAAAATAAACATGAACACTGAGTTAGTCCAATAAAGTAAACTGAATCAACTGTTCACTGGCAAACCTTGTGGACAAGTGAGGAAACCATGAGAGTCAAAAAGCTAGTGATGAACCAGATCTGTTATTTCACTAGGCACTTCCTTTAAATGCTTTATTTTAATTAATAGAAACAATGCCCAATTACAAAACACATGATGACAGTAGCAACTCGGGTTTTATTAAAGAGATTAGGGAGCTGAGATGAGAAGAGGGAAGCTGGCCAGCAGCATGGATGAAGGACAGTAGAAAGGTTGGAGAAGGCCCAAAAGAAGTGATGGTATCACAAGTTAGAGGGAAGAAAGGAAGAAAGGTGACATTCATTGTGTGCCAAGTTTATGCCAGATGCATGCTAAGCACCTTACACACACTATCTCATTTAATCCTAATAATGACTTTGCAAGATAGGCATTATGATTACTTTCATTTTATTGAAGCTGAGAGCTTATGTCATTTTTCAAGGATAATGGAACTACTAAATGACAGAAGATAAATCTTTACCTGGTTTTATATGACTCTCAGTCTAACCATTTATACCACACCCTGGTGCCATTTTGGAAGAAAAAAAATGCTGTTGATCCTGAAAACTATTGTTAGGTTTCTTATTATGACTTCTTAATAAATGCACAAAATAAGGCCATTAATTTTCGTTTTTATCTAGTGTGTCTCTTTCACTTTTGTGTGGCTATATTTCCTTTTTATAAATCATATTAGGATTGAAAGCCTGCTCTTTGAATAATTAGATTGCATTGCTTAAAATATGATGTTGTCAGTAAAAATATACACATAGTAGGTATAGTGCTTGGCGTCCTCTGGTGACAAGGATAGAGGGGTATTGAGGTGAAATTTGAGAATTTTAGAGAAATTTTGATATAAGGTATAAGAAGAGAAGATACCTTTTGGGGCTTATTTTTTTTTTTTTCCTAGGTTATGTGCTAGGAAAGGAAAACCCTAATTCTGGAAAATTCTATGAAAAGAAACTGTCTGGATTGCAACTTTTGCCCCAACCATTTCTATCCTTCAATGTCTGCTTCCAGAAGGTGCTGAGAAAGGAACCCTGGTTAGATTAGTCCCAAGCTATCCCTTGATTTACTAGTATCTCCATGTTCACTTCATTTATCTAATCTCCACACTGCCTTCTGGGTTATCCCTTTTGCTATTTCTCAGACCTCTAGACCTTCTGTTCCCTGCTGAAAATTTTTCTCTTTCCCTCTGGCCTGGGGCTATGAACTTCCTTTGGTTCTACACTGGACCCCCACAATATGACCTACTTTGGGGACTGCATATCGGTTTTCTCTCTTTCGTCCATAAGTCAAAGTGTGAATAATGGCAGCAATCCATGATGATTCTTCCTCAGTGACCAGAAGATCAATGGATTGCATCTTTATCAATACATAAGCAGGAGCAAAGCTCCAGTAGCCAGAAGTACCTATGGGGACTTGAATTTTGTTAAATTCCACAAGTCTAAACGTAGCAAGGAAGCTAGCCTTGCCATGCCCAAATGTATATTTTTGTGTCCTCATTGTTTTGAAGTACCATTTTAATTCCACATTGTTTTAAAGTGGCCTTTGTGCTCTAAAATGCTGATATCCTTTAACTACAGAGAATGAGGTAAGGGAATGACAATGTAAAGGCCAAACCTACTGCTTTAGAAGCACAGCTTTGGAAAACAACTTTGATCTCTGACATATAAAACTGTTTAAGTGCTGAGAATAACAGGGAAAGCCTATGCATAGAAGATTGCCCTCAGCCCTGTTTTAATCAAGATTTATTCCATTTGAGCATTTTCAACTTCTCTCTGATGTCTTTTCTTGTTACTTTTTTTTTTTTTTTGTATCTTCAGGTTTTATAGTTCTTTCTTTCTTATCCTCCTCATTTATTTTTTATTACTTTTATTTCTTTCTATAGTTTATCATCTTTAGGAAAGGAAATGATTTCAACTCAAGAAGAGAAAGGTTTACTATGCAATAGAACTTTCTGAAATGATAGAAAATTTCTATATCTGCATTGTCCAATACAAAATTAACTAACCAAGTGTTGCCATTCATGACTTAAAATGTGATTAGGATGGCACTAAGCAATGACAGCAAACTAGAGACTGAAGGGAGAAGTGAAAAAAAAAAAAGGAGCAAGATAAAGAAAAGGATCCTTTAATTCTATTACTAATGTCCTGGATTGGTCCCCTCCACCCTCTAAAAAAAAAAATGGTGCATTTGAATAAAACCAATCAGAATCAACATAACTAAATTTTTGAGAACTGAGCTATGGTGTGTAATATCAACCAGGCTTCAGACTGGACTCTGGGAAGCACACAGATGAAGCAGATCAAAATAACACTGCAAAGACTTTGAAAACTAAACTGAAATTCAAACCAAAGTCCATAAAAGTAAACGAAAAGGTGTTCATGGTTGACTGCCTGCAGAAGTATAAGACTTTTTTTTTTGTACTAGATTCTCTTAACATACTATTCAAAATGTTTGGGAATCAACCCAAAATCATTTGTTATACCAAAAACCAGGAAAATCTTAATTCAATGAGAAACGACAATGAACATATGCCAATGCCGTGATGACACAAAGGTGGGAATTATATGACAAACCATGATAAAAATGCTTCAACAAGCAATTAAAAACACTCTTGAAATGAATGGAAAAAAATAGAAAGTTTCAGCAAAAAATAGGAAATATAAAGAACAAAATAGAAAATTTTTTCAACTGAAGAATACAGTAATTAAAATTAAAATCTCACTGGATGAATATTATTGCAGAATGGAGATGTTAGAGGAACTTGAAGGTATATCAATAGAAATTATCCAGTCCGAATAAGAGAGAAAATAGCTTGAAAAAAATGAAGAGAACACCAGAAACCTGTGGGACAATAACAAAAATATAATATTAGTATCATATTGGAATTCCAGAGGGAGATGGGAAAGAGTGAGGGTCTAACAACAAAACAAACAAACAAGCAAACAAAAACAAAAACATGTTGTGATGCATGCCTGTAAACTCAGCTACTTGAGAAGCTGAGGTGGAAGGATTTCTTGAGCCTAGGATTTCGAGAGAAGCCTGGGCAATATAGTGATACCACATCTAAAAAGTAAACAACCAAGCAGACAAAAAAAAAGGGAGGGCCTGAAAAAATAGTCAAAGAAAAAATGATTGAAAACTACCCAAATTTGGTGAAAGCTACAAACCAATAGATAATAAACTCAGCAAAACTCAAGCATAATAAATCAAAATAAATCCACACCCAGATGACACATAATAATCAGATTTTTGAAAACTAAAAGCAAAGACAAAATCTTGAAAGTAGCCAGAGAAAATAATACATCAGTTTTAGGAGATCAATGATTTGAATCACTGTGGGTTTCTCCTCAGAAATTACAGAAGCCAGAAGAAAGTGGCACAACATTTTTCAAGTAATTTTTCTTTACAAAAACAGTTGTCAAGTCAGAATTCTATATCTAACAAAAATTTCTCTCTAGTTTGGGAAAACTTTAAGCAGGGAATGAAACTAGAGGTCTGAGAAATAAAGAAGTATCCCAGGGGTCAGTGTGGAGATTGGTGTACTGAAGTGAACAAGGAGGTACTAGGAAATAGAGACATTTTTAGATGAAGAAAACTAAGAGAATGTGTCAAAGAAAATTCTTCAGACATAAAGAAAATAATATAGAAAAAACTTGGAACATCAGAAATAAAAAAATAGAAAAAGTAATACATAAAGAAATATAATTGACCATTATTGATTTTTAGATGAAGGCAAGTAAAGAGATTTAAATGATGATAAAGCTTTTGCATTCTACTTGGAATGGTAAAATATTGATAATAATAGACAGTAATAAGTATGAATATTTTAAACTACATGAAGTGAGAAATAAAATCATTATAGAGAAATTAAAATTGAATTCTAAAAAAGTTTATATAACTCACAGGAAGGTCCAAAAAAGAAGACAGAGAAACAAAAAGCAGTGGAAACAAACAGAAAACAAATAATAAAACAGCATACCTGAATTCTAAAAAACTAACAAGTACTTCTTTTTTTTTTTTTTTTTTTTTTTGAGACAAAGTCTTCCTCTTGTCCCCCAGGCTGGAGTTCAATGGCATGATCTCAGCTCACTGCAACCTCCACCTCCCGGGTTCAAGCGATTCTCTTGCCTCAGCCTCCCGAGTAGCTGGGATTACAGGTGCCTGCCACCATGCCCAGCTAATTTTTGTATTTTTTGTAGAGACAGGGTTTCACCATGTTGGCCAGGCTGGTCTCAAATTCCTGACCTCAGGTGATCCACCCGCTTCAGCCTCCTAAAGTGCTGGGATTACAGGTGTGAGCCACTGTGCCCGGCCTCAGTTACTTTTAAAGTAAGTGGTCTACACATACTAATTAAAAGACAAAGATTGACAAAATGGATTTTAAAATCCAACTTCATGCTGCCTACAAGAGGCTTACTTCAACTCTAGGTATGTTATAGGTAATTTAAAAGTACAGGAAAATTGTACAAACATTAATCAAAAGAAATTTGGTATGTCCATATTAATATCAGACAAAGTAGACTTCACAGCAAAGAAAATTATCAAGGACAAAGAGAGACACTACAAAATGATAAAAAGAGTTAATTAACCAAAGAACACATACCAGCCCTAAACATGCATGCACCAAGCAACAGAATTTCAAAATACATGAAGCAAAAAGGGACATAACTGAAAGGAGAAATAGGAAAACCCTCACTTATATCTGGGGGCTTCTCTCAGTAATTAATAAATTACTAGACAGAAGATCTGCACAAAATCTGAACACAAATGTTCATAGAAGCTTTATTTGTAAGAGTAAGAAACTAGAAACAAATATCTTTCCACAGGTGGATGTATAAACAAATTATGGTACATCTGTACAATGGAATACTACTCAGTGATGAAAAGAAATAAGCTGTTGATATATGCAACAACTTGATGGGTATTATGCTGCATGACAAAAAAAATCTTTAAATATTATATAATGTATAGTTCCATTTATATAACATTCTCGAAAGGACTAAATTATACTTATGCACAACAGATCAGTGCTTGCCAAGTTTAGAGTTTGGGGGAAGGCATAATTATAAATGGGTGATAAACAGTTCTGTATCTTGATTACAATTATTGTTACAGAAATCTGCATATGTGATAAAATGTCATAGAACTAAACACCAAAGAAAGTACACATTAAAACTGGTAAAATCCAAATAAAGTCTGTAGTTTAGTTAATAGTATTGTACTGACTTCAATTTTCTAGCTTAGATCATTGCTCTATGGTTATGTAAGATGTTATTATTGGGGGAAACTGGATGAAGGGTACATGAAACTCCCTGTGCTATTTTTTTCAACAACTATATTAGCTTTAAATTATTTCCAAAATAAAATCAACTGAATTTTTAATTTGATTGAATATTCAGTCATTGAAATAGCTACATGTGGCCTATGACTTCAGTATTGGACAGAGCAGGTCTATATTAAGTTCTGCCAAATAACTTTACATTTTTCTTTGTTTTTACTCTTACGTTCTTGTAGAAAAGTTTCACATATGAAAATTTTATTTAACACATAATATGTAATCCATATTGTTTAGATGTCTCTGATGGAGGTATAATGCTTTATCAAATCAGAGCAGCACAGAATTTCAGGTTGGAAAGTAATGCATTTGGTCATTCTAACCCATGCTGATGACTAATGCAGGTGGCAGAATATTAATTATTCAGGTTAAGTTGTGAAGATTTTAAAGTCACAGGCTTGTTTTGTAAGCTTGCTGAATAGGAAAAAGTCTGTAGTTGTTTCGAACTTTATCTCTTTTTACTGACAAAATCTAGGCAAGTTACTACCACCAAATCCCTAGGAATGAACAGTTGGTCTTTGACTTTGTTTGCAAGAATAAGTGACTTTAAGCCTTTTGCCAGCACAAGTTAAGAGATCAAGTCTTCTCCCAGAGCCCATACAAGTCAAACTCTTTGGACTTGCAGAAAGTGTTTGATTTTGTCCTCTCTTTTCATTAATTCCCTTCTTCTTTTCTCAAATCTTAAATCTAGAGAAAATGTACACACTTACAATGAGGCAAATTATGTGCTGGCCTGATCCCCACCCCAGCCCTAGCAAAAAGTGAGAGTCACATCATGACTAGCTTCTCAATCTTGCTTTTCTAAGGGAGAGAGCTCTCTGCCTCTCTCTGTAAGGGAGAGAACACTAGTGGAGAGAGTCTTAAGGTTTATTTTAGGAAAAGTTACTCTAAAATCCTCCTTCCTGCTACTCCTAAATGGTGATACAAGATATTGTGAGCCCCAACTTTGGGAAACGCTAAACAGGGTTGTCCAAATACCAAAGGGAGATATTAATAACATTGTAGGTATCTTCAGTAGTATTTAAAGGTGGGAGGGAAGAGTGCATTGTCACTACCATTGTTAAAAATTGCCAGCACATGGTGATAATAAAAGGAACAATGACTTCTTTTATTTTTTGTCACTGTTTTAGATTCTCTACAGATAGTGTCTCCACCTGTCTTTACTTGGGAAGACCACTCATATTACCCTCCCCTCGGAAAGCCACAGGTTTCTCCCTTCTGGGCTCTCACCTTTCTAGACAAACTGAGAGAGACTCAGATGCTACTAAACTCTGAAAGGGCAGGAGACAGTCTGGCTCCCTCTTGAGTCCCTAGCAGGCAACACAATGCCCAGTTCTAATTAGTATTCAGAAAGTAGTTGTTAATTAAATGGATACATGAATTAGTTTATATTTCACGAAAAAGAAATGACTGTTTTTTCATGCTGACAAATGTTGCCACAAATTTGGATTTTTCTGCAATTAACTAAATTCCAGATTAAATAAATTCCAGATTATCACGAAGAATACTTGGTGGAAATTGATCATCCTTGAAAATCTCTTTCTCAATGGAGAAACTCTAAGTACAAAGATGCGAAAACCAAGATATTAAGTAATGTCCATTTCTGACTTTTATTTTAGTCTTTAATACTTCAAGTCTCATATTAGGCACTTTATTCTCTAAAGAGCATTCCTTGGCAATCAGCACTAGGATTCTATCTTGGGTCATGTTCTCTAGAAGCAGAGCCTGAGGCAAGAATTTTAGTGCACATAATTTATTGAGAAAGTCCTCTCAAGAGAAAGGGAGTGAGGGAAGCAAGACAGAACAAAAGAAGGAGTAAACAGGAATACAGTATCAGTTGGAGCGCTCTTCAGCCTGATCCCATGGGAGCTCTGGAATATGAATTGAACCACAGATTTGGCATAGCCCTTTGTTGACCATGTCAGTGAGTCATTGACTGCAGGCTGACCCTGTTAGGGGTGAGTTGTGTTATCTCTCAGGTGATGTAGTTCCCATTTGGTTAAGGACAATTCTCCAGAAATGGGAGCAGCTGTAATCCATTAGCAGATGAACTTACAGTAGCTGCAGGATGAGATCACTGGCCTGGAAAACAGGAGAGTTTGGCAGGGCACCAACAGATTTATGAGAGTTTATCCCTTGTACCACTTGTACCCAGTTGTTTCTCACATGAAATCTACTCTATCCAGAAAAAGGTTTTCCAGCATCTGGTTAGCCAGGAAGGTGGAGTTTAGAGGCTGACATCAACTGGCTGAGTCATTCTGTCTACGGACATTTCATGATGAGTGAATTAAATGGGACTTATGGGCACTGTGATCCATTCATCCCTTAAAGTTTTCTGGGGGTGTATCCATTTCTGCCTTTTTACCTAGGATGTGATATTGCTTTTGATGTATTGTCTTGGAAGTTTCAGAGATATTCATTTGGATTTTCCTACTGTTTTTGTTTGTTTTCACACTACTGTAAAGAACTGCCTGCCCTGAGACTGGGTAATTTATAAAGGAAAGAGGTTAAATTGACTCACAGTTCTGCAGGGCTGGGGAGGCCTCAGGAAACTTAAAATCATGGCAGAAGGGGAAGCAGACACCTTCCTCACAAGGCTGCAGGAGAGAGAAGAGAGGAGAAGAGAAAAGAGAGGAGAAGAGAAAAGAGAGGAGAAGAGAAAGGAGAGGGGATACTGCCGCTTATAAAACCGTCAGATCTCATAAGAACTCACTATCACATAAACAGCATGGGGGCAATCCTCCCTCCACACATGGGGATTACATGTCCCTCCCATGACATGTGGGAATTACAATTCGAGATGAGATTTGGGTGGGGGCACCGAGCCAAACCATGTCACCTACTATAACACATGTTTTCTCTACTACTCAATGTGAGGGTTCTTCCAAATTTTAAGTTTGTGTATTCTGATTATAAATTTTTCTAGCCAGGAAATAACTATAGGGTGGGTTCACGGACCCTGTGGACCCACTTTGAGACGGACATATGCTAGAACTTCTGACCCGTATATAGCTTTACTCTAATGAGAGGATCCATGATGGTACTTGAGGTCCCTAGCTATTGCAGTCAACTCAGATTCCTGATTAAACATCTCACTTTTCCCAGTTTATGTTTACCCAGGTAAATGGCTATTTATCCCTTTGGAGAAAGGCTGGAGGAATCACTGCTGTATAAACTTTCCATGGTGTTTTAAGGAACTTTCTTGTAGGAACTTGACCACTACTTCAAGCAATAGGTTATGGAACTGAGGACAAGCTAAGCCTGTAAACTGGGCAAGGAATCCTGACTTTCCATTGAGGTGGCTGACCTTAGTATTCTGATCATCTTTTTTTAAATATATTTGGATTGATTATATATATTAAGCAAAACACTTATTGCTTGCCCATTGATCTCGCCCTACAATCAACATATTCTACTAGCCATCTCCTTAAATCCCTACTGATCAGAGCCTGCTACGTGCTGTGCATTTTGATAATCATGCCCACCTTGCTTCTGATGGTCAAGTGCTGCCATCTGTCCTCTGCTATTTTGAGATCTTACTATTTCCATTACTGTCAGGGAGCACAGATCTATAACAGAATCAATAATGATCATCAGTACTGATCTACAAAGGACAGACACCACTGAGCTTCTTAATAAAGTTGGTGCCCCCCTCACCTAGAAGAAGTTGTCATTTTGTCAAAGGAAATTCTCTAGGGAAGGGGGCAGCCATGAGCCTTTAGCAACCAACATTCTCAGCACCAGGCTGAAGAAGAAATCTTGATAGGGCAGTAATGGCCTTCACTTCAGGGTCCTTTCTTTCTGCACCAATGCCCCCTACATGGCTTTGTCTCAGTTCTTACATTCAGTGACATTATCTGTTTATATGACTGTGTGCATCTCCCTAGAGCACACGTCTTTCCTGAGCAACTAGAGGTTCATTTCCACTTGCCTTTGTATCCCCAAAACCTAAGACAGTGCCTTTCAGGTAGTGCATACTCAATCAATACGTGTTGATTTGAACTCTCACTACTAACAAAGAAATAAAATAATGAGGTAAGAATATAATATATGTATATACCACTTCATCTTTTTGGGGCTGAAAGAAAGTAAAGTACCTACAACACAACAACTCTCAAAAAATAAAACAAACTACACACAAAACTAAGGTGCAAGTTATTTCTACAGCAGAATGTATTTTTCCAGTTGTATAAATTCTTATACTCCAATAGATACAAATGTAATTCTAGGACTCTTGTCAAACAATGTCCTCCAAATAATATTTATGATATGACAGAAGTTCACCAATAGCTCTTAGTCCATTTGGGGTGCTATAACAAAATATCGTCAACTGGGTAGCTTATAAACAACAAAGATCTATTTCTCACAGTCTGGAAACTGAGAAGTCCAAGATCAAGTTGCCAGCAGATGTGGTATCTGGTGAGGACACATTTTCTGATTCATACATGGCAGCTTTTATTAATAGCTGTGTGCTCACGTGGTGGAAGGGGCAGGGGAAGCTTCCTTGGGCTGCTTATGAAGGGCACTGATCCATTAATGAGGGCTCCACTCTTATGACCTTATTATCCTCTAAAGGCCCATCCTCCTAATACTACTCAACTTAGGGATTAGGATTTTAACATATGAATTTTGGAAGGACATATTCAATCTATAGCAAACACTCATATATTGATTCTCCTCAAATCTCTAAAAGTTCTTAACATTCTGAAAGTAAAGTTCCCTAAGTTCTGGGATCTCCTTAGGATTTAATCTTTGGGCATATCCCTTTGTACTATAGAATCTTTAAATCACTCCTTTGAAAGGCAGATGAAGTAGGAGAGAATTGCTTGGTGGAAAGGTGAAGGAGTGGGTCAAGCCATCCAGACATACTCAAAAACAATGTAGACCCTAATATGTATGTGCGATGACAGCAAAAGGACTTTGGGAGACTGCAGAAAAGAAAATTATTGTAGACACTCAAGGCTTTCTTTATGGTGTTACTTAGTGTAATGTCAATATTGAGGTGTTTTACCAGTGGAGTCCATGTGTTCGTTCTGAGCCCTGCACTGATAATGACTTTGACTAACTTAGTTTTGTTTTCCTTGTTATAAAAATTTTGCTGTTTTCTTGTTATAACAATTTTGCTGAGGTCATCTTTTCAACTTACATAGGTCATCTTTTCAACTCAGTTCATGGCAACTGACAGCTAATTTTTTTTATTAAAAAGCATTTACAATTCTTGTAGCAAATTTGAAAAATAGGGAAAGACATAAAGAAAAAATAATTTTGCAATCAGGAAAAAAAAATCCACTGTTAACACTTATTTGGACTTACTCCTCAATTTTTTCTTTTTGTGTGTACATGTATACATATACATAAATGTCTTATTTTTCATTTAACATTGGTTTATGTGAATTTTATCATGCCAATAAAAATAGTATTCATTAAGACCTTTTAAGACAACTAAATGATATATTGTCATGCAATTATAATATAATCAATTTAACTAACTTATTTAACTATTCCCTGGGTTTTGAACATTTACATTTTTCTTAATGTTCTCTTGTTAAAAATAACATTGTAGTGAACACAATTTTTGTCTACCTTTCTAGTCCCTTAATTCAATATTTGTTTAGTCACCGGATATTTACTTAGCCCCTATTATAAGCCAGGGTCACTGTGCCAATGGTTAAGCATACAGCACAAGACCAACTGGGTCACCCTCTGTCCTCCCTGTCGTCATGGAGATTATAATCTGCAAAAGAGGAAAATTTGAAATTATTATAATTATGAGTGTGATGACTATTATAAAGAAGTACAGGTAGGCTTGTGTCTTAATCTGCTCCAATTGCTATAACAAAATACCACAGACTGGATGGCTTAAACAACAGAAATTTATTTTCTCACAGTTAAGGAGGCTGGAAGGGTGCCAGCATGATTGAGTTCCAGATGGTTGGGTTTCAGCAAGAGCTCTCTTCCTGTCTTGCAAATAGTCATCTTTTCTCAGTGTGTTCAAATGTCCTCAGTCTATATGTGCTCCTCTTCTTATAAAGCTACAAATCCTATTAGATCAAGACTTCACCCTTACGACATCATTTAACCTTAATAACCTCCTAAAGGTCTTATCTCCAAATATAGTCGTCACATTGGGAATTAGGCTTCAACATATGAATTATGAGGGGACATAATTGGATTCATAGTATTCTGTTCCAACACTCCTTCTTATATGCAAAATACATCCATTCCATCCCAGCAGCCCCCAAAGTCTTAATTCAATTCAGCATCAACGCTAAAGTTTAAAGTCCTAAGTCTCATCTACATTTTATCTAATTCAGATATGGGTGAGACTCAACATATGATTCATGCTGAGCAAAATTCCTGTCCAGCTGTTAACCTATAAAATCAGACAAGATATATGTTCTAAAAAACAATGGTGGGATAGGCATAAGATATACATTCCCATTCCAAAAACGGAAAAATGAGAAGTAAAATGGGGTGAAGGGTTCCAAGCAAGTCTAAAACCTAGCAAAGCAAATTCCATTAGATCTTAAGGCTCAATAATAATCTTCTTTGAGTGAGTACTCTCCCCTCTGGGCCCATTGGGAAAGCAGTATCGCCTCCACAGGGCTAGGTAGGATTCCCAACCCCATGGCTCTGCGAGGGAAGGATCCTGCCCACAAGGCTTTACCATGCAGTTCTACCCCCAAGACTTCTGGCTAAGGCGTTTTAATCTGTTGAAACTGAGGCCGCAGCTCCAGTGATCTCTGAATCCACACGTCAATTTCTACAACATGGATAGGGTAAGAATTTTTGAAATCTTCAAGTTCTAGTTCCTTTTTGCTTAACAATTTCTTTTTCAACTCATTTCTCTCCTTTCACATTTTACTCTAAGTGGTTAAAAAGAAACCAAGTCACTCCTTCAACACTTTGCTTAGAAATCTCCTCAGCTAAATACCCAGTTTCATTACTTGCAACTTCTACCTTCCACACAACACTAGAACACAGTTTATCCAAGATCTTTGCCACTTTATAAGGATCGCCTTTCCTCCGGTTTCTAATGATATCTTTTTCCTGTCTGAAACCTTACCAGAATCACCCTTAATGCTCATATTTCTAGCAGGTACTTCAAAACTGTTCCAATCTCTACCCATCATACAGTTCCAAAGCTGCTTTCACATTTTTAGGTAATTGTTATGGCAACACTCACTTCTTGGTATCAAAATCTGTCTTAGTCTGCTCAGGCTGCCAAAACAAAATATGACAGACTAGCAGATTAAACTATATGAATTTATTTTCTTATTTTTATGGAGAATGAAAAATCTGAGATCAGGGTGCCAGCACAGTGGAGTTTCAGTGAGGGCTTTTTTCCTGGCTCGTAGACTGCTGTCTTCTCACTGTTCGCTCACATAGGCTTTCCTTGGTACATGCATGTGGAGAGAGAGGGAACAAGCTCTCTGATGTGTCTTCTTATGAGGACATTAATCCTATTAGATCAAGGCACAACACTTATGACTACTTTTAATCTTAATTAATTCCTTGTAGGCCCTGTCTCCAAATACAGCCACATTGGTAGTTAGACCTTCAATATGAATTTTGGAGGATGCAATTCAATTCATAGAATCTTGGGAGCATTTAAGGAGAGAGATAATATAGTTGAGTATTTTTATACCATGTTTAATAAATTTAGGGGTTAGTAATTTTCTTTGTAAAATTTGAATGCACTATTTTAGGATTGTCCAATTTAGTAATAAAAAAAAGAATGTCCAGGTAAATTTGAGTTTCAGAAAGACAGCAAAAAACTTTTTAGTATAAGTATGTCCCCTGCAATATTTGGTGTCCTTTATTTTTTCTAGCAATCCTTCCTTTTATGCTTTAACTTGGTCAGTGCTAGTTTTCATCTATGTAAGGAATGGGTCATATCCCACATATATGTTATTAGTGGGATACCTAGTATAGATATTTGTTGACTCAGTATGTGGACAGTAACAGTAAGTATTTCAAAAGTATCTAGGTAAAATTTATTGCTGCATTTGTCTAACATTTCTGTAGGTAGATACTTACAAGAAAAGTTATTTCTCTGCTTTTTGTTAAATTTGTAAGCTTCTGTTATCTGATTTACAAAATGTTTATCTACCCTATATAAGTTCTTAAAGCATCAAAATATATTTACTTTTCTTCACATTATAGTAAATTAAAATTTTTAATCACTTTTTATCATTTTTAAAGCATTCTCAACCTCTTAATAATTCTTTACAGAACTCTTATATTATAAAGTCTGAAAGTTCAACTTTCCTTGAAAATTTGGTGCACCTGGCAACTTGCTCTTTATAAATATTCAGAACAATGTGGCATAGCATAGGGCTTTCAGAAGACATGTTGGTTGCACCTCTTCACATTAATTCTTTGTCCCAGGGCTGCCTTTCGATGTATTTTAGGTAAGGTAGCTCTTATCTCAAGCATTGGGTTTCAGCCGCTAGAATACTTCGTGATTCTCATTCGCTTTCTGTGCCTCAAAGGTTTTGTAACTGTTCCTTGAAAAACACTCAAGCCAAGAAGGTGGCACAATTAGCATTTGCCTCAATACTCTACAGAAGCTCTCCCCAAGATAATTTTACACTCAGCCATAGACACATTATACTATTTTTTTCAAGGGATTACCAAATGGAAATGAGAGCTGAAATGTATCCTATACCCTACAATTGTACATACAAAGTACTAACATCTTAAAAGAAACAATGTCACCCTATCTATGGAATCTAGCTACCCCATGAAATATTCAGCAAATATTTATTACATGGAAGTATCTGATTTAAATGTCAATGTTCTCTAAATTACTGTACTGGTCTCCAAACTTCTTTTCAGATTTCCTAAGATTGTGTTTCCTTCTCTTCTCACCTCTAAGTCCATAAACACACAGGGCTTTGTCTCTCTTATCATCTGTAAAGAAGTAGGCTCTACTTGAATGACCCAAGCTCTTGGCTAGTTAATGCTGAATTGTAAACTCTTAGGGATGGAGAACATAAGAACCTAAAATTATGTTTTGTTTTGTTTTTTATTTTAGTTAGGTTCTGATTTCGTCAATTGAGAAAATGGAAACTGTGAATTAAAAATATTCTTGTGAAGGGTTGAGAATACCTTAGTTTTCTATATTCAAAGGAAGGATATGCTATTTTTAAAAGAAAATCTGAATCACAAATGTTTTAATACAGTTTCAGGTAACAGTTGCTTTGCCATACACTCTTCTTGGCTGCAGCTGACTTCCACACTCTATATTCCTCAGTAAGGACCTAAGCTTCATGGGGATAGGGCTTTTTATTTGCTCATTTCTCTAGTTCTAGTGCCAGAGCAGTGCCTGGTGCATGGTATATTCTATTATTGAATGTGGGAATCAATAAAATATAAGAAGAAATGTACTCTTGATTTTACCTCTCTGGTACACAATCATGAACAAATGTTTGGTGAAGTAAGAATGATACTCATAATCAGCACTAATTTCTTTCCTACTGTCAAGGTGGGTGTTCATCGGCATACCAACTCTTTCTAATTGATGTTTTGAAAAATCTCCTTGCCAAACATTAGTGACTTTTGTCCTGCCATGTTTACATACCTGAGACCAAGCACAGGCACTTTTTGAAGTTAATTAAAGATTCACTTATGTTAAACATTTCCGGATGATAGCAAGAGACCAACTTGGCAGACAATGGAAATAATCTCTAGTACTTCTCTCCGTGGTTTTTCTCAGACAGATCTTGAAGGGCCCAGTCTGAATAGGATGGATAGAAGCAAGATGGGGAGATGGGAAGATGCTGTGCTACTGCCTACAGCTAGAGAATGCAAGTGAATCCAGAGACAAAGATCACCAACTTCATCCTTTGCTTATCTGAGTGCACATTATCTAGCACAAATACAAAATCCCCTAACTGGCTTCCTCCCTGCCACCCAGTGACTTTCTGGTATGCCTTTCATTTATCTGTTATTGTGTGTTCAAAGGCCGAAAGCTCATTTTAATACCAGCTTAAAAGAAAATTTTATCAGATTGCTTCCCAACTTTCTCACCTGAAAATATCCTTCTATTTATTTTCTCCCATGATCTACCAGGTTTGGAAAGATATTGTCTGCTTAAAAACTGTATTTATAAACTAATAATTAATTTTCTATTTTTATTTTAGAAACCCTGCTTGTCAGAGTTTCTAATCAGAAAGTGATAAGCTGTTTATGACAAGATGTTGATATAGTTCCAGCTAGGGGAAAGAAACTTAGCATTCATCCTTTGAAAGTTTGTCATGGCTAACATATATGACTGAAATTAGGGTCTTTGAAATATTGAATGTAGTTACTGGGGACTCGTGGCAGGGAGGGTTGGGGCAAGATTGAAAATCACGTTAGGCTGCACTTTGCGATCAACTTGGGAGCTTAAAAATATTGGCACCCAGGCCCCAATCCAGACCAATTAAATTAAATTTTTTGGACTCTGGAATTATTTTAATGTGTAGCTAGGGTTAAAACCATGACACAGTGTGATATATCTCAAGTAAATATTAAAAACAAAACAGAAGGATAAAAAAAAAAAAGACAAGAAAGGAAAGAAAAGAGAAAGCCTACCTCTGAGCATGCATTAATAACTGTGAGAAAAGCTTTTGAAACTGTGGGTCTGGCCTTTCTTGTGCTAATAGCAACTCCTGAAAGTGAAGGCAAAGGTGCCCCTTCTCCCCCAAATCACCTTCCTTTCCAGGGCACATCTCAATAATAGAAGAGGGGACTGCCAAATCCCACAGGAAACAGGAGAGTGAGCTCCAACTCAAGATGCTGCAGGATTAAATTTCTTGCATTCAATTAAATACATGAGGGCACCATTTATTTCTCAACCCGCACTCCTCAGGCCAAAGATTCCTACGTTTGCAGAGGGCTTCCACTCCCTTTTACACAGCTTTGGTGTTGTCTCTTTCCTCAAGCCCCACGTTAGCTAACATTTCAGTGACACCTAAAGTTACAAAGCTGCCTAATAGTAAGGGGCAGATGTCTCTGCAAGGTTTTTTATCCTTGGTGTGTCTCCCTGGCTCCAGCCCTCCTCCCTTGCTCTTGACTGGTTACTCTTCAGAATTTCAAGAGAAGTGACTTGGTCACTCAAGATTTTCAATATTACCCTTAAGGTTTTGCAGATGAACAGAAGCATTCCTAGTGAGCAGGGAGGTTATTGCTGCTGGAAAAATTGCCTGTGAAGGACAAGATCGATAAAAAGAAATGAAAAGCAAAATGAATGCTGAATAAACCTTCAGCAAAATGTGAAAATTTTCAGCAAAACGTGAAAATACTCTGATTTGATATATTTGCCACTGTCTTGTAAAAATAAAGAGGACATTTCCATAGCTTCCCTTTGATAAAGTTAGCATATTATTTTGCAGTACCTTATTGATTTCAGAAAACAAATGCCATGCTTTTTCCAGCTTAACACATTTTTCTAAAAGTTCAGCACCGTAAGGACTGCAAAAGTCATCTGATTCAGCCCTCTGGCTAGGTCATGGAATGTAGAAATCATTTAGTGACTGCCCTTAGAGACCACCAAGCTGGGTGAATAGAACAAGGGCTTAGGAGAAGGCCAAGGTTGAATCTATGTTCTGCTCCTTACTAGGTGTGTGATTTTAGAAAAATTACTTAAACTTCATAAGGCTCAGATTCCCCACTGTAAAGTGAGACTGATAATACTTGTCTCATAGGGTTGTTAAGATTATATGAGATATGTCTGCAAAGCTTTTATTACTGAGTCTGTTGGCTGGGGGCAATTCATACATAGTTGCTCTTATTATTATTCAAAAAAGTAAATGCCTTTTTGGTTACTGAAAAGTTGAAGACTACTGTAGGACTTAATATCTTCCAATACTCTTTGCTATTTGATTATTTCATGAATTTTATCATATGTCAAAATACACATTTCACTGTTCCTGAAAATCAGTGAAATAGGTTTTCAGTTTCATGCATTTTTTATTCTCATTTTCCCCATATCACCTAACCAAAACCTCTGCTCTGATGGTGATCGTATTTCCACTTCTAAACCTTTGCCTTTTTTTGGTTTTTATATTTCTGATAACTTATAAAAATAGACTTTATTTTTAGGCCAGTTTAAGGTTCACAGAAAAATTAAGCAGAAGATACAGATATTTCAAATATGCCTCCAGACCTGCCTAAGCATAGCCGCCCTCATTATCAACATCCCCATCAGAGTGACTCTTTGCTTTTCCCTCTGCACCCCCCATCTTCTCCTAAGCATAAGTCCCCCTCACATCAGACAGCTTGAAACCCAAGCTCCTGTTCTGAGCTCCTGTCCCGACACACTGCTCTCAACAGCTACAGCACTTCAGTTCTTTATCCTATAGCTTGATTCTTCACCCTATAGGTCATTTTCTACTTTGTATCCATTTCTTACTTTCCCAAATAGACTATAAACTCTTCAAGGGTGGATCATTGTTTCAGATTCCTATCCTAGCCTTTATTTTGTGTAAAACCCCACTAATTTTAATTAAATATGTCAAGCTATCAACCACACACATATATACACACACCTTACTTCTTCAAATTACATACTTGGAGAAAATTGTGGCTCATTAAGATGAAGAGTTTTTAAAAATATATTTGTAGAAGTTGTTTAAGTGACTTGATCCATAAGGGAGAAAATATTTAAAAAAGAAAATGAAGTTAGGTTAAAATGCCAAGCTGAATTGTAAAATGTATATTTACATTATGGACTTTTAAGTATTGGGATTAAGCCTAAATACTGCAATCTGTTATGATGGCATTTACATATTCAATTTGAGAGAGATATATATATGGATATGGATATATATATATATATATATATATATAGAGAGAGAGAGAGAGAGAGAGAGAGAGAGAGAGGGCATAGGAAGTCTTGGAGATGTACAAAATGACAATTGGGACAAATCCTTATTTGTCCAAGCACGTGGGATTTATATTTGTACTATTTTATTACTGTATATTCTCAAGTACATAGAATAGATTAAATATATCATTGTGTTTTCCACAGCCCTGTTGACCCATTATGCAACTTGTTCAGTGTGAGATTTTATCAGTTTTCACAATTGGTCTACAGTTGCTAAGAAGGCATTTTTTTGTGTGCATGGTAAGAGAGTTTTGGTAACTGCCTTGAAAGAAAGCATTATTATTTTTTATCATTTGATCCACTATTTCTTTCACCATTTAATGATTAGTGATTTTTTGCCGTTTATCCTGACCATGGACATTATATTTTTATACACAGGCACACTTTGTTTTATTGTGCTTTGCATTATTGCACTTCACAGACATTGCATTTTTTTTTAACAAATGGAAGGTTTATGGCAACTCTACATAAAAGCAAGTCTATTGGTGCCAATTTTCCAATAGCATGTGCTCGCTTCATGTCTCTGTCACATTTTGGTAATTCTCGCAATATTTCAGATTTTTCATTATTATTATATCTGTTATGGTGATCTCTGATCAGTGATCTTTGACATTCCTATTGTAATTGTTTTGGGGTGTCATGAACCATGCCCATATAAGATGGCAAACTTAGTCGATAAATGTGTGTGTTCCAACAGCTCCACCAACCAGCCATAGCTCCATCTATCTCTCTCTCTCTTCTGGCCTCCCTATTCCCTGAGACTTTAAAATTAGGTCAATTATAACCCTACAATGGCTTCTAAGTGTTCAAGTGAAAGGAAGGGTCATGTCTCTCACTTTAAATCAAAAGCTAGAAATAATTAAGCTTAGTGAGGAAGGTATG
This sequence comes from Homo sapiens, assembly GCF_000001405.40. Lineage (NCBI taxonomy): Eukaryota > Metazoa > Chordata > Mammalia > Primates > Hominidae > Homo > Homo sapiens. The sequence goes on along the minus strand of NC_000006.12, from coordinate 125,500,363 downwards.
TTGAAAGCCAGGATAGGCAGAAAGCTAGGCCTCTTGTACCAAACAGCCAAATTGTAAATGCAAAGGAAACGTTCTTGAAGGAAATTAAAAGTGTTACTCCAATGAAAATACAAACAATAAGGAAGTGAAACAGCCTTATTGTTTATAGGGAGAATGTTTGCATGGTCTTGATAGATCAAACCAACCAAAACAATCTCTTAAGCCAAAGCCTAATCCAGAGAAGGCCCTAACACTCTTCAATTTATGAAGGCTGAGGGAGGTGAGGAAGCTGTAGAAGAAAAGTTGCAAGTTAGTAGAGGTTGGTTCATGAGGTTTAAGGAAAGAAGCTGTCTCCATAACATAAAAGTGCAAGGTGAAGCAGCACTTTTTTCCAGAAGATCTAGCTAAGATTGATGAAGGTGGCTATACCAAGCAGCAGATTTTCAATGTAGATGAAACAGTCCAATATTGGAAGAAGATGCCATCTGAGATTTTCATAGCTAGAGAGGACCAGTCAATGCTTGGTTTTGAAGCTTCAAAGAACAGGCTGACTCTTTTGCTGGGGGCTAATGCAGCTGGTGACTTTAAGTGGAAGCCAGTGCTCATTTACTATTCCAAAATTCCAAGGGCTCTTAAGAATTATGTTAAATCTACTCTGCCTGTGCTCTTAAGTGGAATGACAAAGCCAGGATGAAAGCACATCTGTTTACAGCATGGTTTACTGAATACAGAAAAAAAGATTTCTTTCAAAATATTACTGCTCATTGACAATGCATCTAGTCCCTCAAGAACTGTGATGGAGATGTACAAGGAGATGAATGTCATTTTCATCATGGCTTCTAACACAGCCCATGGATCCAGAAGTAATTTTTACTTTCCAGTCTTACTAGTTAAGAAATACATTTAATGAAGTTGTAGCTGACATAATGATTCCTCTGATGAATCTCAGCAAAGTAAATGGAAAACCTTCCAGAAAGCATTCACCATTCTAGTTATCATTATGAGCATTTATGATTCATGGAAGGTGGCCAAAATATCAACATTAACAGGAGTTTGAAAAAAAGTTGATTAGAACCTTCCTGGATGACTTTGAGGGGCTCAAGACTTCAGTAGAGGAAGTAACTGCAGATATGGTGGAAATAGCAAGATAATTAGAATTAGAAGTGAAACCTGAAGAAGTGACTGATGACTGCAGTCTCATGGTAAAACTTGAATGGATGAGGAGTTGCTTCTTGTGAATGAGTGATTTCTTGAGATTAGATCTACTCCTGGTGAAGATGCTGTGAACACTGTTCAAATGACAAAAAAGAATTTAGAATATTCCATAAACTTCTTGGATAGAGCAGCAGCAGGTTTGAGAGGATTGGCTCCAATTTTGAAAGAAGTTCTACTGTGGGTAAAATGCTGTTCAACAGCATCACATGCTACAGATAAATCCTTCACAAAAGAAAGTATCAACTGATGAGGGAAACTTCCTTGTCTTATTTTAAGAAATTGCCACAACCACCCCATTCTTCATCAACCACAACCCTGATCAGTCAATAACCATCAACATCGAGGCAAGATCCTCCAACAGCAAAAAGACTATGACTCACTGAAGGCTCAGATAATCCTTAGCATTTTTTAGTAACAAAGTGTTTTGTTTTGTTTTGTTTTTTGGCAAGATCTTACTCTGTCACCCAGGCTGGAGTGCAGTGGCATGAGCTCGGCTCACTGCAACACATGCCTCCCAGGTTCAAGAGATTCTCCTGCCTCCGCCTCCCAAGTAGCTGGGATTACAGGCACCCACCACCACGTCTGGCTAATTTTTGTATTTTAATAGAGACAGGGTTTCACTGTGTTGCCCAGGCTTGTCTCAAACTCCTGAACTCATATAATCTGCCTGCCTTGGCCTCCCAAAGTGCTGAGACTTCCGGCATGAGCCACCATGCCCAGTAAATATTTTTAATTAAGGTGTGTACATTTATTTCTTAGACACAATGCTATTTTACATGTAATAGACTACAGTATAGTATAAATATAACTTTTATATACACCAGGAAGCAAAAAAATTCATGTGACTCTCTTTACTATAATATATGCTTCATTGCAGTGGTCTGGAACTGTACCCACAATATTTCTGAGGTATGAGTATATTTTAATTTCTCATTTTTAATTTTCACTTGGATTTTTTAAAAGTTGATGCCTAATGTAAGAATAAACTTATTAAATGTGGATATTTTATAAGAAAGTAAAATATTTCCAATTTATTTTCCATCATTACCAACATGTATTAAAATTGATCTTATTAGCATAATTTCCCCCAGTGTAATATATAGTAAGGAATTATACCATAATTGGATAAGAGGGATGACTGCTGAAATTGTGTATTATGCTAAGTATGGAGTATTAAAACAAAATGTAAAATAAACTTTAAGTGTAAAACTAGTCAAGTTTAAAGATGAAATCTTATTCTGGGGCTGAGGATTTAATTGACGTGGTTGACTAGATTAGAGACAAAGAGGTAATCCACCAAGTTGTGGGGAGATGATAGAGCATTGAAGATTCAGCCCATGTGGTTGGAGGATTGGTTACCCACAGAGTATTGAGCGAATAATTAAATATATGGAGGATAATGGGATCCAGGCTCCTCACTGTGGGAGAAGAAGTTACAAATATGGAAAGGGAGAGGGCAAGAATTAACCCTGGGTTGGAATTTTTGGTATCAGTGGAGACTCATGAGTTGTTTTCTTTGATATAGTTAAATGTAGATACCGATATAGTTAAAATACCCATTATATTTGTCTGCTTGGGCTACCATAACAAAATAACACGGGCTGGGTGGCCTAAACAACATAAATTTATTTCTCACAGTTCTGGAGGCTAGGAAGTCCAAGATAGAGGTGCCAGCAGATTCAGTGTCTGGTGAGGGCCTGCTCTCTGGTTCATCTGTAACACCTTCCAGCTGTGTCCCCACGTGGCAGAAAGTACAAGGCAGCTCTCTTGGGCCTCTTTTATACAGGCACCAATCCTATTTATGAGGGCTCAGACTTCCTGATCTAACCACTCCCAAAGGCTTCACCTCCTAATATCATCTCTTTGATGAGGAGGTTTCAACATATAAATTTGGAGTAAGGAGAGGGACAACATTCAGTTCATTGCAGTAAGAAAGTGCTTAAAAATAATGACACAGAAACCAGCTTGAATGAGCTCCCACTTGCCAAATTTGAGGCAATTTGAGCAACAAATTAAATAGTGAAAGTAATGGATTATAACTCATTGAATAACATAGAAAATCATCTCTAATTATTAATATTTCTATTGATAGATTATAGATAGATTGATAGATAGATAGATAGATAAAAGGGGCAGAAGGGAAAGTTCCACCTAATAGTAGAACGATAGAATTAAGAAATTACCATTTAGCAAGCATGACTATAATAATTAATTCAGGTAAAAATCATTGGTGGTTACTAAAACTAGTTGTTAATAGTTTGATAAGGATTAAGATAGTTATAATGTCAAAGTATATCCCATCAGAACACTGGTTAATAACATATTAAAACACAGTACAACAAACCCCCTGGCAGACATCATCTTAACCAAGTAGTTAAAGTTCATATCACCCATAGTGGGACATATTGGCATCATGGATTTCCTCACATCACTGCTGTGGTATTCCTGCCATAAAGCATAAACAGAATCCAATCACGAGGAAAACTCAAACAAATCCAGGTTGAAAAGCATTCCACAAATCACAGTCCTGGACTCTTAAAAAATTTCAAGGTCATAAAAAAACAAGGAAGAACTGAAGAACCGTTCCAAGTTGAAGGAAACTAAAGTGACATGACAACTAAACAGAACAGCTAATCCTGGATTGCACCCTTAGTTTATAAAGGACATCACTGGAACAATCAGTAGAATTGGAATAGAGTGTGAATTTAGTGACCAGGAATGTTGATTTTCTGTTACTGATAGTTATTTTGTGCCTAGGTAGGAGAGTGCCTTTATTTTCAGAAAATAAACACTAATGTTTTAAGGAATAATAAGACACTATGTCTGAGACTTATTCTTGAATAATTCAGAAAAAATATTTACTTTTGTAGAGTAAATAGTATGGCATTAAAAAGATATAAGTAGAGGGAGGGAGAGGATGTGGTACAATGTGAACAATTGGCCAATGCACTAGTCTTGAAATTTTTTTGTAAGTTTGAAGTTATTTCAAAATAAAAGTTTTAAAAGTTAATAAAGTTTAGTATAAACAATTTAGGAAAGTAACTTAAATCAATTACCCAAGACCAGCAGTTAACAAATGTAGAAGACATTATCCTGAGACAATAAAATAAGTGTGACATATTGGAAATACTCATATATAATAAAAATTCTTTCAGAAAGAATCATAGTTTATTGATAAAGAACAGTAGATTGAAATGAAATAGAGATTTCAGAGTTCAGGCATAAAGATAACCCCCTTTATGGCAACTTCACTGCTGAAATAATATATGATTATTCTTTCATCATGCTAAAATGAAATATATCAAGATGCAGAATTATTGGAAAAAACATCACTAGACTTGCCTGAAAATTAAATGTAATTATTTTCTAATTTTCCTGAGTAATCCGGGAATATTTTTGCTAGGTTTAGATCATCATGCAATTACTTGGCCCAGCCCTATGTTTGTATTAGAACAGGCCCTGTCAATATTATTTCACATTAAACAGCATCTAATCTATGAGCAATTAGAAGAGGACAGTGTGAGAAGGTGGGAGAATAGGAGAATAGGAGTGCTTTCTTCTCACTGGAATAAAATCAATGGAGAGACCAAGGAATTTCTTGGAGGACGCACATCCTTTAAACTCTATTCAACAATGACAGATTGGTTGGTGCATTTAGCTTAAATTATATTCCCAGAACAGCAGCATCAGTATCACCTGGGAACTTGCTAGAAATGCCATTTCTCGGGTCACACCCCAGAACTACCAAGAAGAGTGGGGCCCAGCAATCTTGAGTTTTAATAAGTCCTTTAGGAGATCCTGAAGCTTGTGAAAGTTTGCAAACCGCTGGTGAATCATCCACTCATCAAGTTTGGAAGAACACCATCTATTAGGAATTACTCAGGCACCTGTGTTCCTCTGAAAGGGGACTAATTCCCAATTTCCTTACAGTTAAAAGCCTTCAGAAAGAATCACCATAATTTAAATGGCTGGAGCTCTTAGAGAACTGCTTAATATCACCATAAATAAAAATTTAAACACAATTAGGCACCAGAAGCTCTTTTTATCCTCTTGTGATCCTCTAAATGCACCAAGGACTTGCCACTTGGCTATTATAATTTTATATCCACCATTATATTAAGGTTCTTGGTTTGCATTATTTGCTTTTGGGAACCGAACGCCTGTCATTTTATGGCACCATAGAGTGATTAATAAAGGCTTTTATATAATGCACTGGTTTGCAACGTGAATACATCCTGTTCATTAAATGAATGTGGTTCAATATAATACCTGCAGGCCAGCAAGCACCAAAATTCTTCTACAGGGGCAAGTGGAGGTAGGGAGTCTATCTTAAGTTCCAGATAAATTAGGATTGGGAAATCCAGACAAGTTTATAAGAGATATGGAAGCGAGAGGAGTGAAGGGAGGAATGGGAGGGAGGAGTGTTTCTAAATTCCCCATCAACTGGAATGTTAGTGGAGATGGGCTCTCAGTAAAAGTGCTCTGCCTGCCACCCATGGATTCCAGAGGGTTTCAGGTATCTTCCTTGCACAAGATTGAGAAAGGGCGAAACAGCACACCAGTCACATTTTGTTCTGGTATTTCTCACACAGATAGCTTTTTCAGAACTTAGGATTCTTGTTGATTTCAAAAGACAGGATGCTGACTTAAACAATTCAGACTAGTTATTCTGTCTTGCCAAAGGACGATCCACATGGCCTGAGATCATTGAGGGTAAAATGTTTGCCTTCTAGGGAAAATTCTGCCTGAGGTTTACTGTGACAGATGGAAGAAAGTGATATTGTCTTTGTTTATAAAGTGCTCACTTACCTGTGTTAGAAGCAAAACCAGCTCTTGTAAACAAATTGACACCCCAATGCCACAGGTAATTATTATCAGTTTTATTGAACAGTCTTTTCATTGGTATCTGGGGACTCGAAGCCCCAGTGGACCCAAGATCCCACTTACGTGATGGTCCCAAGGCCTGAGATACAGGCAGGGTTGGAAGTTCCACTTGCCTGTGGTCAGTCCATTCAGGCGGGTCATCCCCAGACCACATGCTGCGGTTGGTTTTCTGAGCCCTACAACTTCAGATCATTAAAGCAGTGCCTCTCAAGGATGTTCTTGTGGGCCAGTGGCCCTGGAACTTTCTAGGCCATAAACCTGCAGGAGGACTGCTCTGTTATCAAACCCAGATCTGGAAGCCTTTCCTCATCCCTAGACCCACAGACACTCCTGGGCTTCACTTTACTCTCAGCACCTAACATTCTTTCCTCCTCTTTCTAAGGCTGAATACCCTAAATCTACACATGCCTTCTAATGGAGGCTGCCATCAACCCATCACCACCTGTTTGAGGGAGAGCTGCCTTGAGTGCCTTAAAGGTGAAGACAAGTGAAACAAGCTATAATGGGTATTCTGCTCTCTTAGTTGGAGTGATGTGCAATTTCTTGCCTACACTACAGCTGGAGAAGTGAATACAGTTCTGTTTAATTAAAATCATCCTCTCTACTTTCACCATTCTAAACTCTTTGCTTTTCTGAGAACATTCGGGAATGTACTATGCTCTTTTTACCTTTGATTATTTGAACTTATGATTCCATCATTATTTGCATCATAATTAAAATTTATGGAATATTTGCTATATGCCTGATGTTTTCTTAAGAATATTACATCATGTGTTCATTTAAACTTCATAAAACCTTTTGGGTAGTTATTATTGATATGGTCATTTTAGATAAGGACACTGAAGTTCAAGGGATTGTGTGACTTGCCCAAGGCTTCTTACTAGCTAGCTAGTAGTGGCACAAAAGTCAAACCTGGTTGTTGTGACAGGGGTGCTTCCTGCAACCCAGCCTCGCTGACTCTTACTCTTCCTTTGGATCTATTCAAGCTTTCCACGACCCCACTCTAGGACCCCTCTTCCATTCTCCCATAGCACCCTCTATCCATCATGCTGCTGGCTTTTATCTTGCACATGTTTTTCACCTCTTGCTTCTGCCTTGGGCCTGTGTTGGAGAGGGGTACTTATGTATATCAGGAGGTTCACAACATTTCTTTAATATTTTTTGCCTTTGGGATATCTGTGATTTTATACTGTAGTTGCGTAAGATGTCACGTTTTTAGCTGGACGGATGAAATGTGCTGAAACTGCTTGGATTCTATGTGGTTACCTTAGAACATGAGGTGTTTTGAAAAAGGTAGGAGATGTTTGAAAGAAGAACAAGTGGAGAGGCAGGGGGTGGTGTATAGGTTTGGGTGTTTGAAAGTCCAGATTATCTGGGACCACTATAATTCCTTTGCTATTTGAAGCTGGGCTGCTTGGCATGGTATAAATGCTGGGTTTAGAAGTGAGAGAACAGGATCCTGATTCCAGATCTATTTCTCACTGGCTGTGGGACGTTGAACAGATCATTTTAAGTTCTCTGAGTATCAATTTCCTTTAAGAACTTTTCTTTAGTTCCAATCCTAGAACTATATAATCTTGCTTGAAAAATATAGTTAATAATGCTGAGTAATGTTCAGATAATTCTGAACAAAAAGAAAGAAAAATATTGCTTGCTTTCTATTCTGTAGTCTCACATAGGATAACTATTCTTACACAACACTTCGAATTCTTTCATTATCGTTAAAAAAATTAAAATTGTGAATGGCCTGGAGGGCAAAAGAATATGTTTACTAATGACTGCTTTTAGGTGCCTTTGCATTTGAAGTTCATGCAAAAAGCAAAAAAGTGCCTTTATAGGCCTATTTAGCAGTCACTCCAAAGTGCTGAGTATGCACTTTATAGCCCTGTGATTTTTATCAGCCATATGATCCGAGTTGACAATAGCAGATTTAGCAAACTTGGTGTTTCACAGAGGTGTGGGCAGCATTCTAGATTCTGGTCTCCCATAGGCTAACTGACCCCTTCCTTTTTGGATTTTATGTACAGTTTCTCTATTAACAGTAAGCCAATATTCTGAGAAAGCCCGTAAAACAAAAAGTCCAGGACGTGACTTGGACAGATTGCTGACTGCATTTCTCAGGCTGGATTTTATGAACTCCTCCACGTATGACAGTGTTTTGTTTTGTTTTTAATGTATTCAGTGGTAGAGGAATACTGAACCAAACCATTGTGGTGAGGCTCACAAAGATTTAATAGAGTCCTCAGAAGGTCACAGAGAGGGATTCATCATGTGACAAAGACTGAGAGTCAAATTCTGTATATTCTAAATAGGATGCAGTTGTTAAAAATTGAGTTTATTGAGGCAAAAATGCTTGTGTTTATTAGCAGGTCACGCGGTCAGATGAAAAGCTATCTCAGGTGGACTACTGTTATGATGAAGTATGAGAGGAAAGGAAAATCATCATTGGGATGAATAGTATCAAACATCACCACACCCCTACAAGCTTCGCCAGAGACCCAATTCCTGGGAGCTTAAAAATCTAGAGGAGTTTTAAAATAACTTCTTTCAGAAACCAATAATCCATTCAGTCAAGAAATGTAATGGGTTCACTTTCTGCCTGAATATTGTTGGAGTCTACAAAGATCGTCAGAGTCACAATATTTCTTTTTCAAATTTTCAACCAACCACCCTGTTTGCGGAAGACAAGGTTTAGTATTTTGCTGGAGTATTTTTATGTAGCATAAACTTGAAACTTACTTTTAAGAAGCTTGAAATTTATCTGGAGAGAAAGCCTACATTTAAAAAACAACCTTTGCTATTCTTTGAGTATATACTGTTTGCCAGCACTACCAAATAGTATGGAAACAAGTGCAAATGTGGGGCAGACTGAACCCATGAGCTTTCATAAAGACACAGAATAAAGAAATGGGGTTTGTTAATAATGATGTTTTGGAAAATGAATTTTGAATATCTTTTATTCATCAGAATGAACATCAAATATTGCAAGGAACATAGAAGATTAATATATAGCAGTGAATATATTTATGCCACTTTCTACCACTGAACCTCACCCTCTTCAGAAAGTGTCCTTTGTCCTCCATAAACACACTGTCCTTCCATCCCTCTGCTTTTGCCCCTCTTCTGTGCTTAGAGTCGCTGCCTGGAAATCTGGACTAAATGGTAAACTGGTCTTAGTGTGGATTTGATTTTTGTCCTTTTCATTCAAAGGAATGGCACTTTGTGGATAAAGGGATTTATTTTCTGAGTCACTTGCTTCCAGACTAGACCATGGCCACTTCCTTCTCAATGGCCATGTTCTTCCAACTCAGACTCTGGTGACCACGTGATGGAGGAAGCCAGCACCCTCCCACCAGCACCAGGTAATCTCACCCTTTGGAATCTGCTGCAGCTTTCTGCGTGTCTCCTCTATCTCTGCCAGGCTGCTGAGGCCCTGATAAGGGGGTCCTTATCTGATCCCTGGAGTCCGTAGTGAATCTCTTGCCTTCATTCTGATTCCCTTCATTTTGCCTGCACCTCTCTCCTCAGCATTCGCCTCATCTTGTTCTCCTGACCAGACAGTGCAATTTCACCTAAGCCATTCCCAGGCTTCATCCAGCAGTCTCTGTACCGGGAATGGTCCTTTCCTTATTTTTTCTTCTTCCTAGAACCTCCCTGCTCTGTGTAAAAGTTGCTCTTTTTTTAATTTTTTTATTTTTTGAGACGGAGTCTCTCTCTGTTGCCCAAGCTGGAGTGCAGTGGCACAATCTCGGCTCACTGCAACCTCCACTTCCCAGGTTCTAGCAATTCTCCTGCCTCAGCCTCCTGAGTAGCTGAGATTACAGGCCCACGCGGCCATGAGCGGCTAATTTTTTGTATTTTAGTAGAGATAGGGTTTCACCGTGTTGCCCAGGCTAGTCTCGAACTCCTGAGCTCAGGCAATCCATCTGCCTCAGCCTCCCAAAGTTCTAGGATTGCAGGTGTGAGCCACTGTGTCCGGCCTGATCTTCTTTTTTAACAGTGCCTCTGACACTGAAAACCTCAGAGAAGATGTTAAATTTAGCAGTCATTTGTGTGCTTGCTGGTATATTTATTATTCTGTGCACTTTCCTCTTGTACAGTGAGGTGTGTGGTTATGATCTCTGCATTGTTATGTGCCCATATTGAATTTTTGATTTTCAACTTCTAGGGAGTAGGAGCTCTGTCTACTTGACTTCCTGTTAAAATGTTTTTAGCTACACTGTGTGTATTTGGGCAATTGACTCTTTTGGCTATTAGAACCAATGTAACATAATTTAAGGAAAAATAAGATGATATTAATTTTTGGACCGCTTTTATGAAGTTCATTTATTTTTCTTTCTGTATTTTGGCTAGCATGTGTGATTTTTATGGTAGAGTCATACAAATTCTAAATAATTAAATAGAATAGTCTGAAGTGATGAAAATGTTAGATTACATTCATTTTTAAATGAAAACAGTTGTATCACTTTCAAGCATGTATAGTGCTATGACTCATTTACAAAGTATTAACAATATTTCTTCAAGGAGGCTTATAATATTAACATAACAGTCAGGAGGCCATATATTATATTGAGCACAGAAAGACCTTGATGTGGATCCCAGTATTGCCACGTGAAAACTTTATGGCCCTGGACAAGTCCTTCATCTCCCAGGTTGTGCATGTCTTCTTCCAAATCAGTACTGAGGATTCTGTGAGAAAATGTAAACAAAGCACTTAACCTATATGTACTGAGCAGATGATAAGTATATCAGCCCATTATCACACTGCTATAAATAACTACCTGAGACTGGGTAATTTATGAAGAAAACAGGTTTAATTGACTCACTGTTCTGCAGGCTGAACGGGAAGCATGGCTGGGAGGCCTCAGGAAACTTACAATCATGATGGAAAGCAAAGGAGAAGCAAGCACATATTCACATGGTGACAGGAGAGAGAAAGCGCGAAGGGGGAAATGCCACACACTTTTAAACCATCAGATCTCATAAGAACTCACTATCATGAGAACAACAAGGGGGAGTCCTGCCCCCTGTGATCCAATCACCTCCCAGCAGGTCCCTCCCCCAAATTAGGAATTAAAATTCAACATGAGATTTGAATAGGGACACAGAGCCAAACCATAACAATAAGCATTAGTAAAACTTACTGAGTATTAATATTTTAACTTGTCTTTTTGAAAAGATGCTTCAAAAGCAATTAATTTCTGTTTATAATTGTAATGACATTTGTAATTTACTCAGCATCTCTTTTTTCACAGTTTTTGTGTCTGGATCATCCATACATTCTCTTTAAGAGACTTAAATTAATGTTGGGTAGGTGTAATAAGGAAAGTAACACTTTTTCTCTGCTGCTTCCTCAGCCACGTATCTCCTATAGTCTTTTGTCTGACATAAGCAGAGAACTGTAGAGGCAGCAAGTAGTAGTAGTAGATTTTATACCCTCTCCCTTGCATGGCCTGAGTATGGGGCAGAAATGGGTGGCGGTCTTTAGTAGCATGCAGAATCCAGGTAATCCTGCCTTGGAATTCCTCTTTCCTCTCCCATTCCAAGTTAATCCACAAACTTGGCCTTGGAATTCTTGTAAAAGCAGGAGTGATGACACTGTAGAGACTCCTCCCTTGATACAAGTAAGAGATGTGGCTTGGAATCCATTTTCAGGCAGAGACAAGCAGTGAAGAAATGCAAATGAGAACTTTATCAAAGAAGAAACAAGGCCACCATGCCCAGTGTATTACTATTTTTGACAATGTTTCTGACATATTTAAAATTTTTCAATGATCTTTAGGATATGTGAACATTTTCCTTTTCATTTCTTTGAAATATTGTACTATACATTCACCTGGTATTTGCCAAACCAGTTATTCTAACATGAAGACCTTCTTAATGTCCTTTCTCTCCCTCAAGTATACATGTGGCTTTAAGTGAGAACTTAAATTTCCCTTTATTTTTGTCTTTATTAATTTTTTTTTTTTTTTGAGATGGAGTCTCACTCTGTCACCCAGGCCGGAGTGCAGCGGTGCGATCTCAGCTCACTGTAAGCTCCGCCTCCCGGGTTCACGCCATTCTCCTGCCTCAGCCTCCCGAATAGCTGGGACTACAGGCGCCCGCCACCGCGCCTGGCTAATTTTTTGTATTTTTAGTAGAGACGGGGTTTCACCATGTTGGCCAGGATGGCCTCGATCTCCTGACCTCGTGATCCGCCTGCCTCGGCCCTCCAAAGTGCTGGGATTACAGGCGTGAACCACCACCCCCGGCTTTTGTCTTTATTAATAATAAAACCTTTTCTAAATACAAATTCCTTGAAATGAATTTAGGCAATGAAGTAGATGAGTTGCATTGAATAGCTTCTAGAATAAAAAAAATTCTGATAGAGTAAACTTCTAAAATATTTCTTCATCTTTCATATTCATTTTACTTAGGGTATAGACAAACATGTAAAAGTTTTTCATTCAAGTTTGGCTCAGTGTCAGTGAAAATAGACAACAGTAAAGTACTATTAGGCAAATGCAACTCTACAAGTGTAAATGTCCACATAGACCAATTTGCTAAGAATTATCTTTTTTTTTCTTTTGAGACAGAGTCTCACTATGTTGCCCAGGCTGGAGTGAAGTGGCACAATCATAGCTCAGTGCAGACTTATATTTCTGGGCTCAAGAGATCCTCCCATCTCCTGAGTAGCTGGGACCATGGGTGAACAGCTCGATGCCCGGCTAATTTTTGTATTTTTTATAGAGATGGGGATTTGCCATGTTGTCCAGGCTGGTCTCGAACTCCTGGGCTCAAGTGATCCACCTGCCTTGTCCTCCCAAACTGCTGGGATTACAGGTGTGAGCCACTGTGCCCCACCAGAACTATCTTAATTAACCTACAGTATATTTGATAGGAAAAAAAAAAAAAAACCTTTTGACATTGTTTTTACTTTAAGATCTGTGGCATCATTCCTAAGGTCCTGAAGGTCTTACTCACGTTCCTATATCCTGTACATTTCCGTGTCCCTCCACTGGAGTGTTTTTTCTAAAAGGCAAATCTAATCATGCGATTTTTGTATTTAAAAGCCTCCTATGGTTCCTCTTTGCTTATGGGGTAAACCCAAACCAGCTACAAACCAGAGCCTTGGAGAGCTGGCCTCTGCCACCTCGTCAGCCTCATGCCTTGCCATTTTCCCTTTGCCTATTGCTTCCTATGGACTAGTTTGCAAGCTTGGAAAAGTGCCCAGGGCTTTGTTCTCTGTTCAAGCTGTTCCCTCTGACAGAAATGTGCTCTGTATTAGTCCATTTTCATGATGCTGATAAAGACATACCTAAGACTGAAAAGAAAAAGAAGTTTAATTGAACTTACAGTTCTACATGGCTAGGGAGGCCTCAGAATCATGGTGGGAAGTGAAAGGCACTTCTTACATGGCAGTGACAAGAGAAAATGAGGAAGATGCAAAAGTGGAAATCCCTGATAAACCCATCAGATCTCATGAGACTTATTCACTACCATGAGAACAGTGTGGGGGAAACCACCCCCATGATTCAAATTATCTCCCACTGGGTTCCTCCTACAACACGTGGGAATTATGAGAGTACAATTCAAGATGAGATTTGGGTGGGGACACAGAGTCAAACCATATCATTCTGCCCCTGGCCCCTCCAAATCTCATGTCCAAGAGCCCCTTGATTCCTGGAAAAAAAAATCACTCCCCTGCTGAATGAATCAGTTCCATGTGGTCTAGTTGTGGTGGTTCCATTGTTGTTGGGCATAGCAATTTCTAAGTCTCAAGGCCAGGTGAAGAGTAGGCTGAAATTTAACACTCAACAGAACATTTCCTAGTTCCTTATTATTCTATTACTAGTGGACGAACAATTTGGGTGTCAAACCTCTGAAAGCCAGATGAGCCCCCTTAGGGAAAATGATAAACTGCTGACCATCAACTCTGGACTATTTGTGATTCCCTGAAACCTATGGCAGCATCACAAATGGAAGGGATGGAGACAGTCTACAAAATGCATATTAATAAAACTTATTGGTAGGGAATCATCAGCTATTATCGTAGGAGAATATTGTTTATAATCCAATTCTTTCTTTACAGACCTAATCAACTATTCATTCAACACACATTTTAGGAGAACTTACTATATGGCTGGCACTGGGATACAAAAACCAATATTGCCGCCAGATCTTCCTTTCAAGGAGCTCGAGACAGTAGAGGAGATAGGATGTAACCTAAGAATATGATGCACAGTCAGAAAAGGATGTGAAGTTATGATAGGAATAGCAGGGTGAGAGGGACAGTTCTGCCTAGGTTGAGAGAGGAAGTGCTGCTTGGACTGAATTGTAGATGAAGAGTGGAAGTTCTGCAGTCAGGCCCAGGGAAGAGGAAGTGAGGGGGAGCATGATATAGTTTGGCTCTGTGTCCCAACCCAAATCTCATCTTGAATTGCACTCCCATAATTCCCACATGTGGTGGGAGGGACCTGGTGGGAGATAATTTGAATCATTTCCCCGCTACTCTTCTCAAGGTAGTGAATAAGTCTCACGAGATCTGATGGTTTTCTCAGCGGTTTCTACTTTTGCATCTTCCTCATTTCTCTTGCTGCCACCAAGTAAGAAGTGCCTTTTGCCTCCCACATGATGCTGAGGCCTCCCCAGCCATGTGGAACTGTAAGTCCAATTAAACCTATTTTTCTTCCCAGTCTTGGGTATGTCTTTATCAGCAGCATGAAAATGGACTAATACAAGAAATTGGTATTAGGTATGGAGTGCTGCTGAAAAGATACCCAAAAATGTGGAAGCGACTTTGGAACTAGGTAACAGGCAGAGGTTGGAACAGCTTGATTCATTCAGCAGGGGAGTGATTTTTTTTTTTCCAGGAATCAAGGGGCTCTCAAAGCTTAAGTCTGGGTGGTAGAAAATTATAGAAAACTGTGTGTGTGTGTGTGTGCGCGCGTGTGTGTGTAAGAAAGAGAGATTAACTTGTGTGTCAGAGAGCAAGGAAAAATACAGATTTAATGGATTTTTACCCTTAATATGTGCAAAATTGAACTCCTGATATCTTTCCACTCCAAAATTCCTGCAACATTCCTTATCTTAGTTAATGGCAACTCCATTCTTCTGATTGCCCAGGGCAAAAGTCTTGGAGTTCTCCTTCAAGTTTCTCATTTTTTCAGGATCCACATCTAATCTGTCAGGAAATCTGTTGACTCCTCCTCAAAAGCTACTTAGAAAAACAAAAAACAAAGAAACAAACCAAAAACCTATTCAGGATTCCACTTCTTTACACCTCCCAAAAGTTGATCTCCCTTGCCTCAAGCCGCCATCCCTTCTAGATCATTTCAGCTGCCTTGTATCTCAGAGCTTCCATAATTTCCCAGCTGCAGTATATTTTCCACAAAGTAGTTAGCGTGATCCTGTTGAAAGAGAAGTCTGTTCATGCTGCGCTTCTGCTTACAACCCTGCCATGGCTTTGCATCTCACTGAGTGTAGAAGCCAAAATTCCTCCTGTTGAACCACAAGCCTCACAGGATCTGGCTCCCTCTCTTCCCCATCTTCTTCCTCAGCTACAGCCACATCCTCCACCTTGTTCCTTGAGCCTCCAGACACCTTGTGGCCTCAAACCCTTTGCACTTGCTGTTCCCTCTGCTTCAAATGTCCTTCCCTGCTTGGACAAATCCCTCACCTCTATCAGGTCTTTCCTCACTGATGCAGGTCAATCTTACTCTCCCTAGCACTTCCTATCCCACTCCCCCTCTTCCTTAGTAATTATTATCCCACATACACATTTTTCTTTGTTCTGTTCCCTGTATCCCCAGCACTTGGAACAATGCCTGGTACATAAGAGATGCTCAATAGATATTTGGTTACCTAATGTTGGATATTTTAAAGCATTATTTTCAGGAATAGAAGTATGATTTTTCTTTCGGCTGAGATTCTGAACATTATGTTCACTCTGAGACATGGGAAGCTTCCTATGGTCTATAGGTAGGGGGAAAAGTGAGAGGGAAAAGATTATATTTCCTGATTAAAATGTGTCATTTTAGGTGGTGTATACTTGTTTTTGCTCTTCTAGAAAGCTCTGTAGTGAGATCTTCTGAGTGGGTCAGCAGAAGTAAGGAGGAGGAAAATCCAACACAACAGTGTCCGCATCATGAAGCATGTATTACAAGATGTAAATTACATAAGAATGGTTTTGGTTTTGTTTCTGTTTTAGTTTTTTCTAGGTTTCCTTGAAATGAAATGTATTCTCTAGTTTTAAATCTGCATTTTACAAATGCAAAAGAAATTGTAGTTATAAAGTGGTAGGGATCAAGAATTGAAGTCTGAGGGTGCCGTCTCTGCAGAGGCTATCAGAATGTGCTGGGAAGGAGGTGAATGGACCCCTTGAGTTGAAATGATGGTGACACTGAGGGTGTCAGTTTCCCGACTTAGACCAGACGTGTTGCCACTCTTCATACCATGGGGTGGCTACCATGGGTATTTGAGGAGAACATGAAGCCTATGGAAGTTTGCTGCTTTGCTTCCAGAGATGTTGTCAGGCAGGGAAGCAGGGCTCAATCCATAGAGCCAGCTTGACTCCTATGTCAGGGAGATTGTGGGTGCCCACCCACGCTCCATGTTTCCTGCTCTGGGATGTCTTCAGAATCACTGATCAGAGTCCTCTCTCTCCTCACTGATCATGCCACAGCCACTTATTGTATGCTATGGCAATGCATTTGGGCTGTAGATTTAGGCCATGGGTTTTCTGAAAGGCTTTCAGCAACCTTGCAGCCCTCAAAGGTTGGTGGAATTCTTTGCATCTATTCTTGTGTATTCTAACTTGGCAATGCTTAGCAAAAGATGCTGTTTTCTCTGCTTTATAACTGGTCTTTGAGTACTACTTAAAATTAACTGTGAGAAAAATTGTTACGGGGGCATTTGGTTGTGTAGTGTTATTTTGGGTCTGAAAGAGCTCACAATTTTTGTGCCCTGCAATGACTCAAAATCAGTGTTCAATATTTGACTTGTGTGTGTCATGAATTTAAAGTGATATATGAAAATTCATTGTCATATTGGGATGAATGAGTTAAAAGAAGATTAAAATATTTGATTTATTTTTATTTAAGACTGAGTGTCTTTCAGGGTAAATACTGCAATATGTTGAACTTCTCCCAGGATCTCACTTCTTTGTTTAAGCTAACATCCACCTTTTCCTTGACATGCATGCCCCATATTTACTCATAGAAGTTCCATTCTACCAGGGAAGAGTAATTGATTTCAATGTCTTGCCGGGAAAAGTGAAGGTAAATTTTATTTGGGAAAGAGTTGAGTTCTGTAGCTATGGGAATCTTCCTCAAGTATGTGGTGGACTGTTTGTGGTTAAGGAATAAACAGTCTAAGTTGTCCCAAAGACAAGAGTTAAGGCATGATGTGAGAATTTGGAATAGGGAGCAGCTTTTAGTATTAACATTGAATATATTTGTCTAAATGTGGAATAGCTTTATTGGAAAGTCGTGAATGGTTCTCTGTTTCTGGAAACATGTTGGCCAAAAAATTCTGTAGATATCAAAGGGAAGAATACTGCTCAGGTGCTCAGAATACTGCTGAGGTGCATGTACACCCAATTCTAAAATTCTGTGGCAGAAATAAGATGGGCTCAGCTGAAGGTTTTTGCTGTAGGTTGTTTCTTTATCATTATGGAGGTCTTTTTATCTTGAAATTTTTGCAGTTTTCATTTTGAATCCAAGTGGAGGCCATTCCTTTATTTTTTGTTAAGCTTCATCTTGCTGTCTGGGTGGGTCTCTGGTAATGAGCTTCACTATTCTGGAGAAATTTTCCCTGAAGTTCCATGCTCATTTGTCAGGGTTGCTGCAGAGGGAATTCTCAGCCTGGTGGGAGGTAAGAGAACAAAAGGTGATGAGTTAGCATTGTGCCAGGTACCCGATACACATTAGTTTGTTTAAACAACCCTGTATGTTATGTAATATCATCTTCATTTTCCATGTGAAAAAACTGCAGCTAGGTGATGTTGTAAAACTTTCACAAGGCCATGCAGCTTCTAAATAGTGCAGTCGAGATGCACAGCTGGGCCCACCCTGCTACATGCTGCCTCTCCCAATCCTTCCACTCTAGACAAGATGCCTGCATAGGGAGGCTGGTTGGACCATTGCCGCTAAATGATTAATCAAATCAATCCATCAGTTAGTTCTTCCAATCACTTAAGTGATTTGTTCATTCCCTTGACATCTTTAATTTAGTTTACAATATTGGACAGTTGTTTTGGGGTCTTGTGGAAAACCTCTTCAGCTCAGTTGGCAATGAGATGAATTACTTATGGGCATATATCACAGTTTGACTTGGCCTTTAAACAAGAATAAACAGAGCATAGTGCATGGCTGTGTGTGCTGGAGGAAGGAACAATGATGAGAAGTGAGAGGATAGTTGGAAAGAGGCTGGGTCAGTTGGATAAAAACCGAGGGAGTAAATTCATAAAGTCTTAACATCAGAAATTGTTCACATTGGAAATGATCTTAGAAAACATTTTCATTCTGTCCTGTCTCATTACTGACAAGAGTTGAACTGAACTTCCTATATCCTACCTTAATGACAGTGCACATGAGCCACCTGTATCTGATGATTCCTCATCTGGAATTCTCTCCACCCTCAAACAATCCGCTATTAGCAAATAAGTAATTCTTTGGCAGAGAAAATGAGGGCCTGCCAGAATGACCCCAAATTAAAATAAGTGCCAGGTCATTTGAGTTATTGACATCACTCACCTGTCAGGGCCTTTGGGGGCATGTCCAATATTTTATTTATGATTTTAGGTCAGGCTGCTTTCAGTGTTTCAAAGTAAGGAGAGGCTACCTCCCTAGTAAAGCAGCAAACATCACCAACACACATATTACATCTGCTTTGGCAAAAAAGGTTGCTGAAGCAGACATTTGCATGTTTTGTTTCTGCTTTTCTTTGGGATTCTGTCCTCACCACATCCTTAGCTGATAAAGAGTCACTGATGTTCTCCCTCTCCCACAGGGAGGCATGCTTATAAGTGGAATGTTTTCTCTCTCACAGAGCAACCCCTGCTTTGGTTCTCAAGGGAAAAAAGACAGCATTTGGTTTACCTTCTATAGTGTTCTCAGTCATCATCTGCTCTGCACAGCTCTGTAAAAGTTGAAGACAAGACAGAGCAACTATAAGATTACACTCATTTCTTTCCAACTATAATAAAAAAAAGCTGTTTCCAGTGTTTCTCACCACCGTCTCTTCTCTTTAGCTCTGGCCCCAAGTACAATTCTCAGTTTTAAATGGAAGTTAGATTAAGTGTTTAAAAATATATAGAGAGAGCTCTGTAACGATTGCTTTAAGAGCAGCCATATTCTTCTCTTTATGGACCTCTGATTCGTAGAGCAACTTGCTTATAACTTGATTTCTTTCTGTAAAATGGAACTTGCTTGTCAATGCCTTACATTCTCTGTCTATATACAGTGGCCCACAGGCCTGGCTACTGCTCCCCAGAGAATGCTGACTCACATTTCCATGAGGCAAATCCAAGTTGACTTGGTGGGTTGAGTTTCAGCTGCCTAATTGCTGCTTTTGGTGGAAGAGGTCCCAGGTTTGGACCACAGTTTCTGAGCTCTTGGGAAAACTTGGCAGAGTTGAAAACTGTCTGATAAAATGTCTCCTCACACTAACTCTAGCTCTTTCAGATGAATCCTAAACCTCAGTAACCATGATGAGTTGAATTCACACACTACAAAACCCCAACATGGTTCAAATCTGATTCTGAAGTACAATCATGTAAAATTTGGATTCTAATCAGAGTTCTGGCCAGAAAGGAGCCTACCAGCTTAGCTGAAGCAGTGGTATTTAGGGGCTCAAGGATCTGAGGATGGGAAGCTCATTTGGGTATTGTAAAACATATGCATTCCATTTAGGATCCTTCTCTTGAGAAAATGGCTCTGACTCCTGGGTGGAAGGAACACGAAACTAACATACTCCTCTCAGCTGTATAAATATAATTTGGCAGAAGATATAAGCTGGCATGCCAACAATCAGAATACAGCCTTTCATCTCCATCATAGCCTTAGCTAGGCTGTCTGCCTATATTTGACCTCCTCGTGGGTTCATTTGCTTCATTTTAGCCAATAGAATGCTGCAATGTAGAGGCATAAGAAATAAAGAGGAAGCTTACAAGGAGACTTCAGAAGAGCTACTATAAGAGTGTTAGTGATGCACAGTCAGTGATGTACAGATCCTCTGCGTGGCCTCTGTGGGCATTGGGGCATTTCCCATAATTTTCAATCAAAATTTAAAAATCACATTTGGGATGCTACCTAGTTTAAGTCCAAATAAAGTCCTATTTTTCAGTCCTCCCTGCCTTAACTGGTATCCATATGGGCCAAGTTTCCCTTTATTCCTGAACTCCAAAGGACTGTACTTCCCGAGTCTCATCTAAGTACAGATGAGACGCACGTATATTTGTATTACGCATCTAGAACAGAGGTGTTGTATGAAATTTTCTTGATTACTGAGGGCACAGTGATTTTTTTACAATGTGAGTAAACAATACCCTTTATTAAGTAGATAGGTCCAAATGAGCCAATAGTAGTAGTTTGTTCAGTGTTCAACAGATGTCACTGTGTTAAAGTACTTTGCAGCATTTCTGTGACTTTGCTGGGACTCCTCACACACAGTTAGGTGCTGTACTGTACACAAGGGGGGGAGTTTGATACAGTTATTGCCTATCTTAAAAAGAGTTATTATACAACCTAGTAGAGAAAATAATAAAAATGCAGTAAAACATGTTATACAGCAAAGCAAGATGCTATACTATATTTAAGAAAGGTATTTTATCGGTCAGGAGGTTTAATTGCAAATATCAGAATCTAATCTATTGACTTTGAGTAGTAAAGGGGTTATGAAAGAATATTAAGTCACTTACAGAATTTCTAGACAGACCAGGGAAACCAGGTTGGGTGCTGCACAGCCAGAAGAAATGCGCAAGAAGACTGCAAAACCATTTAGTGAAACCACACTGTTGTGGCCTCTACTGTCCCCCATGCAACACCTAAGTAAGACCCTAGGGACTCTACCCAATGCCTCCAGAGAATAAAATTCCTCTGCCATAATATCCAAATTCCCTGAGTGTAGATGTTACTTTACAGTGGCCACTTCTGCCTTCCAAGTCTGATGTGAGCCCCAGCGCTCACTCAAGGAACCTAGATCATAGGTGGAAACCCTATAGGTGAGAAGGAGTTTTTTAGTCTTCCAGCTTCTTCAGTACAAAAAAGTAGCTCAGAAGAGGGCTAGGGTGAGTGCCAAGTAATCTAAACTGCATCTGCCATGGGTACAAATGAATAGAGTGGTTACTAAGAAAGAGCAGGAGGTCAGATTTGGTTATGCTAGAATAGGAGTCACTCCATCATGGACATAGGATTTCAACTGGGCCTTGGGAGAATGGTGGTATCTCATAGGCCAAAATTTGGGTGACCTGTCCTGGTGAATAAAATAAGACATATAATGGTGTAAAGGCAGGGAAGTGTAAGGTAAGATTCAGGAAATGGTCAGTGATATCTGTTTGGAGCATACTTTAACAAGTAAGGAGGAAGGAGACATAAGGTTGGGGACTTGGGTTGTGCCAGTGTGGTAGAAGTCTTATACCAGATGGAGGAGTCTCTAAGTACATGATAATGGCTCCCTGAAGGTTATTTTCTTAAAAACTAGATGGAATTTTAGAAATAGAAACAGAAAAATGCTCAGACATCTCCTCTTCTCTGTCTGACCTTACTCTCTGGGTGATTTCATCTGCTCCTATTGCTTTAAAGGTGTCCAGATGCTAAAGACCCCATGTTCCCATATCCAACTCAGACTCTGCAACTGAACTCTGGGCTTATCTATCCAAATGCCCACTCTCCCTGATATGGATGTAGATAGGCACTTCATACTCAATATGTCCAAAATGGAGCTCTTGTTTCTCCCTCTACCTTATAGACCTACTCACCACTGTCTTCCCGTCTTAGTAAGTTGTAAATTCAAACTTCCAGCTCTCTGGCTAAAAATCGCAGTGTTATCCCTGACTGTGTCTCTCTCTCACACTGCCTATTGACTATCAGCAAATCCTGTCAAGCTTTCGAAAGACGTTCAGAGCCTGACACCATCTCATCACCTCTTCCAACACCACCCCATTCTAAGCCACTATCATCCCTTGCCTAGATTACACAGTGGTTCCTAACTAACTTGCCAGCTTCCAAACATTCCCCACACAGCAACCAGAGTGTTTTTTTCAACAAGTTGAGTCAGATCACGCCACTCTTCAGCTAAAAATCCCCTAGTGGCTTCTCATTTCATTAAACTAAAAACCAACATCCTTACAAAGATTTATTTGGCCCTACCCAACTTGGCCCCAGCTACTCCTCTGATCTTTCTCCCTACAAGTCACTGTCTTCCTCACTGTGCTCCAGCCTCAGGCATCCTTGCTATTCTCCAAATGCTCCAAACACATCCCTGACTCAGACATTCATACTGTTGTTTCCTCTGCTTTAAATATTCTTCTACCAAAAAGCCCTGTGACTCTCACCTTTCTTCAGAAATCTGCTCCGATACCACATTATCAGAGAAGACTTCCACAATTCGCTGTGTGAAATAGCACTGAATACCCTCTATCTTCCTTAGCTGCATTTCTCACCATGTGCCACATAATATGTATGCAGTGCAATATATTATGGATATGTTTCTAATTATTGACATTTCCCATGAATTAGGACAGTGCCTGGCATACAGCAAGTGTTCAATATATATTTGATAAATAATGAAATTAATAGAGGACAGATTCACAACGAGGACATATTGTTAAATAAATAATTATCCACTAAAGTGGTAGATGACTTTCACTTCCACATCTCCCGTCCCCCACCCTATCATTTGATCCACGATTCATGCATAAACTATTTGCTAGGGAAATCTTGAAAAATGAAACAATTTGGTCACAAGCACTAAATACAGACTAGCATAGTTGGAAAACCAAACAGGTGGCCAGTTACAACTCCATACACTTTGATGACCCTTGACAGCTTATAACGCACTGTTGCATTCTTCTAACTGTATTCTCATAACAACACTAAGAATCAGTGGGTGGATTGCTTCTGTTTTACAAATGATAAAAATAAGGTTTAGAGAGAACAAGTTACTTCCCTTGATTACATGGCAAGAAGATGGCAAATGAGGACTCCAAATACATCTACTCCCAAGTTCCTGGTCTTTACCCATCACATCAGGCATGTGGACCCTAATTAAAATGCTTTGCAAAGAATGAAGCCTGTTACCTATATCCTCTGTTTCTTTTTGTTGAGCAGCTGCATGAAAGTAGCCCATAACTTTGAGGCTGGTGCAGATGCTAAATTAAAGAGAAACTGATCTGGGTAATGTGTGCTTAGTGTGGCCATGTCAGGCTGGATGTGTGAAATCGTTCTGTGTTTGAATCAACAGTGATGCCGAATACAATTTTGTTCAGACTGATTGAAAAATACAATCTGCCGGTTGGAAGAAATCTGGTGGTTAATGAATGTGAATGAGGACTTTAAGGAAGTTTCTTTGTCTATACTGTTTTCACATGCTTAAATGATTCAGTGCAGTTCTTGAGAATGAGTGCTATTTGATGGAAGCAGAGGAGATGAGCTTTTCTTAATGTATTTTTTATCTAGTTTAGACAGAAAGATCTTCCTGATGGGTGTTAAGGAGGACTTCCTGAACAGGCTTCCCAGAGTGCTTGTGGCTTACCACCCCCTTGAAAGAGAGAAAAGAAAGAAGAGTTCCTTCCAGCCCAGCCTGGCAGACACAAGCCGGGAGGCAGCAAACCAATGATGGAATTTAGGACACATTACCTTGGCATTTGAGAAGACAGTAGAAGCAGGAAGGTCACCCTCACCTTCCCCTTGCCATTCTCTCCTGAAGCAGTTCATAAGACTTTCCTTTGAGAGGTGCTCTCCCTATACTAGAGGAAAGGAACATCCTTATCTCTGAAGACACAAGGACACAGAGGAGATGTGAAAAACAGACCTTCCTAAGTTCTTCCTCGTTTATTACCATTAGATGATACCCTCTTTGTCCAATTGCACATCTCCCTGACTATTCATTTCTTCATCACACTTAACGTAAAAAATACACAGGTTTCCCTGTTTCTTTGGGGGTTCATTTCCTTATGAAGGCTCCCGTGTCACAGGAAACTTATACTAAATAAATTTGTATGCTTTTCTCTTGTGAATCTGTCCTTTGTTATGGGGCCTCAGCCATGTACCTAGGGATGTGTTGAGGAAAGGAAATCTTTCCACCCTATACTATTATCACTATGAGGAGTGGAAATTGAAGTCCAAAGGCTGAAAAGTAAATGTTTCTAGGAAAGTTAAAATTGCCCCATTTCCAATTACCTGGCACATGTGAAAGACTGAGAGAGACAGATTGCTTCCATTTGGAAAATGGGACAGCCAGAGATGGCAACTGTATGGAAAGTGTAATTAGAGAGGGTTTAATTGTGCCCTTCAATGGACAGTTTAAGCACTGACATATATCTTGTAAAATGTAGTAAACAGGGAGCTTTTAAGGAACATAACAAAATGCCATTAAGTGGCATAGAAATAATTGTGAAATTATCAGCAAAAGGTTGGTAATTAGGGGACACTCTATTTCCCTTGGACCTCATGTTCATAAAATGAATAGGATTCAGGCTATTATCTGCACAATTGAAATTTTCTACATTACCTCAATTACTGGGACTCTAAGGTGGAAGGTCTGTGATCCTAGATTATCACTGTAATCTGGAAGTCTCTGTTTGCTTTGCATTGAGAAAGTGTGTTTGTATTCCCTACTAAAATACTTTTTAAACTTTTCACTTAAATGTCTTTTCTCAAAACACTGATGCTCACACACCTCATTCCTAGAGATTCTGATATAGTAGATTTAGATGAGGTTGTAGAACTCTAAGTTGGAAACAGCTCACCAGGTAATTTTGATTTTCAGCCAAGTTTGGGAAGCACAAAACAATAGTGTCCTTTTGCTGGACCATGCCATACAGCATGCTGTGTAAACAAACCCTAGCTCTTACTTGCTTTCTTACTATTTTCCTATAGTGCTGAGCAGCAGACAATTCCAGTTATTTGAAGGGTCTGGTTAGCTGAATTTCTGTGCATTAACATGGTACTGTAATTTCCACTGGATTTTCTTGCACTGGGAGTGAGAGAATTTAGCATGGAGCGTGGTCTTTGCAGACTTCAGCCTCCACTGTCTCCAACTTCAGTACATCAAGCCTGTAGCCTAGTGAGATGACATCCCTGCCTCAATCTTTTCCTCACTCTTCAAAAAATCTTACCGGCACCGGGTGCGGTGGCTCAGCCTGTAATCCCAACACTTTGGGAGGCCAAGGTGGGTGGATCACGAAGTCAGGAGATCGAGACCATCCTGGCTAACACGGTGAAACCCCATCTCTACTAAAAACACAAAAAATTAGCCGGGCGTGGTGGCGGGCGCCTGCAGTCCCAGCTACTCGGGAGGCCGAGGCAGGAGAATGGCGTGAATCCGGGAGGCAGAGCTTGCAGTGAGCTGAGATGGCGCCACTGAACTCCAGCCTGGGCGACAGAGTGAGACTCCGTCTCAAAAGAAAAAAAAAAACTTACCTGCATTTCCATGCTTTAGTCTCTTTTAGTCTTATATTTCTGTTCTTATTAAACAACAGAATGGCCAGGCCCTCCATGGAAAAGAAATAAATAAAAGGAAGGGTGCATTTATGTGCCTCTTGAGGAAGTGGCAGATCATGAATAAATGAGAACTTTGAGTGGGATTTCAGTCTTACTCAAAAACAACAACTCTCTTTACTCAGCAAAAAGCACAATATTCAACCTTTTCATGGAAGGATTTAGTATTCTTTTCAAAGCTACATATCAAAAACCCACACACAATGGAAACATTCCCCCTCAAAGAGGCATCAAAGAAGACAGAACTTGCAGACCAGGCTTTCTCAAATGAAGTCTTTTCATTGCAGCCTCAGATTTGCTCTCTGGGGATCACTGACTCAAAACCATGTAGAAGAGGGTGAGTGGCTCTCATACCATTTCCATTAAAAGCAGTTGTTGATGGCCATTTTCCCATTTTCTTTCTCTTCTTCCCTATTCCACAGTAATGCTTGCATTCCTATAAAACGAGGCTTCCTGCAATAGGCCAGACAACACCATTCTTTCCCCAAATGCCAGTTGCTTTTCAAGTGGGTGGTGGGATAAGTAAGAACATTTGTTACTGGGCAGAGTCTCCTCAAAAACCATTAAAACAAAGTATTCTGCCCCTTTTTTATGTGGATATAGTTTTTTCCCTTTATAATTTAATTTAATTTAATTTCTTTTGGGAGAAGAACAGTGGTCAGTTAAAAGTCACAATCACTCCATCTACACAACCAAAGTAAAACAGGAATGGAGACCTTTCTATTTCACACAGAGTTCTGTCTGACTGACTTTATCCTGTGCATTTGGAAATGTACAGGGAAGGGCAGCCACTCATAAATACTTGTTTATATTTTGTTGTTGTTCTTTGCTCCAAGTGGTAATATACTGTGGTATGTAGTCTTCTAAAATGACTCCCAGCGATCCCAGCCTCCTAGCACCCATGCCTTTATGTAATCCTCACCCTTGTGTGTGAGCTGGACCCAATGACTTGCTTTTAATGAATAAAACATGGCAAAAGCGTTGGGATGTCATTTCTACAAGTAAGTTACAAAGGACCATGACCTCCATCTTGCTAGCACCCTCTCTTGTGGGCACATTCTGTTGCTATGTTTTGACCTGCTATATGGAGACACCTGTATGGCAAAGAGTGGAGGGAAAAAAACAGCTCATGAGGAACTGAGGCCTCGGTTCGGCAACTTGCAGAAAACTGAATCTTGCCAACAACCACGTGAGTGAGCTCGGAAGCAGATCCTTCCTGGTTGAGCCTTGAGGTTACCATAGCTTGTGAGAAACCCAGAGCCTGAGGAGCAAGTTAAGTCATGCTTGGATTCTTGACCCATAGAAACTGTCAGATAATAAATGTGTTCTGTTTCAAGCTAAGTTTTCAGATAATTTGTTACAGAGCAAAAGATAATTAATTCACATGTATTATTTTTATAAACATTATCTTTGAATAACAGACATATAGAAAAGTAGTGTGCAAATCAGAAGATCACAGCTCAGTGAATTTTTATAAAGGGAACACACACTGAATTACCATCAGAATCAAGAGATAGAACATTGCTAGTATCCTAGAAGCCTCTCCTGTGTCCGTTAACGCAGTAACCTTCTTCCTAAGATAATCATCATTTTGATTTCTGTCATGATAAGCTAACTTGCCTCTTTTAAGCTTTATGTATTTGTTGTTTTTTGTTTTTTGAGATGGAGTCTCGCCCTGTCACCCCAGGCTGGATTGCAGTGGCGCGATCTTGGATCGCTGCAACCTCCGCCTCCTGGGTTCAACTGATTCTCCTGCCTCAGCCTTCCAAGTAGCTGGGATTACAGGTGCATATCACCGTGCCTGGCTAATTTTTGTATTTTTAGTAGAGACAGGATTTCACCATGTTGGCCGGGCTGGTCTCGAACTCCTGACCTCATGTGATCCACCTGCCTCGGCCTCCCAAAGTGCTGGGATTACAGGCGTGAGCCACTGTGCCCGGCCTCTAATCATTATGTTTTTGAGATTCATCCCTGTTGCTTCAGGTAGCAATATTTCATTTACATTAATTTCATTGTAGAAAATTTTTAAATCCATTTTACTGTAGGGAAAATAGGCTTTAGTTTTTTTATTTTTATCTTTTTTTTACTATTAGAAATAATGCTGCTATAAACATTCTTATGCATGTCTTTTGGTATACATATTTTGCATTTTTGCATATATACCTAAGAGTGGAGTTTCTGGATCACTGGAACATGTGTAAGTCCTGCTTTAGTAGACACTACCTCATCATTTTCCAAGGTGGCTATAGCAGTTACAATTCTATCAGCAGTGTATGAGCGTTCCAACTGCCCTCATCCCCACACTTGGTATTGTCAGGCTTATTTTTAATTTTAGCCAAATTAAAATCTGAGACATATGCTGTAGAATCTCATTGTGGTTTAGTTTTTACTTCTTTAAAAATTAATGACATTAAGTATTTCTCATGTGTTTATTGACTACTTGATTATTTTCACTCATAAATATTAAGATATAATGTTATCTTTTGTAGTAAAACTTTTATCCTCTTTAGTGTAATATTAAGATAATTAAAAAATGGATACTTAATTTGCCTGTCACTCTTCAAGGATCATGATTCCCATAAAAAATGGATTCTCAATTTGTCTGTCACTATTTATTCAAGGATCATTATTCTCACTTTATTACAATGGCATTGCATCATTTTTCTAGG
This sequence comes from Homo sapiens, assembly GCF_000001405.40. NCBI lineage: Eukaryota > Metazoa > Chordata > Mammalia > Primates > Hominidae > Homo > Homo sapiens. Next base: position 125,471,916 of record NC_000006.12, on the reverse strand, counting down.
GCTGCTGTAACAAAGCACCACAAACTGTGTGGTTGGAAACAACAGAAATGTATTGTCTCAAACTTCTGGAGGTTAGTCCAAACTCAAGTTAGTCTTGGACTAACTCTGGAGGTTAGTCCAAAATCAGGTTGTCAGCAAGTTGTCGTGCTTCCTCAGAAACCTGCAGTGGAGAATCCTTCCATGCCTCTTTGTAACTTCTGGTGGTTTGCTGGCAATATTTGACATTCCATAGCTTGCATGCATCACTTCAATCATTGCCTCTATTATCATGTAATTTTCTCTCCCCATGTGTCTGTATCTGTGCTCAAATGTCATTCTTCTCATAAGGACATCAGTAATATTGGATTAAGGACCCATCCTACTTTGGTTAAGACCTTATTGTCTTCACTAACTATATCTGCATCCACCCCATACCCAAAGCAGGTCACATGCTGAGGTACCAGGAGTCAAGACTTCAGTATATATCTTTTGGGGGGACACAAGTCAACCCACAATAGCCTTTTTGTCATAAATAAAGTAAATGTGTATGTGTGGGCCTGTTTTTGGACTTTCTATTCTATTCCTGGGCTTTCTATTTTTCCCCATTGACCTATTCACCTGTTTTTAGGTAATACCTACACTACCTGAATTACCTTGACTTTAAAATAAACTTCATATCCCAATAATATAAGTTCTCCAACTTTATGATTTTTTTTGAAATATAGAATTCCAGGTTGGCCCTTCATTTTAAAAATACAATTCCATTCTCTTTTGGCTTTTATAATTTCTGTTCAAATGTCAAATAGAAATTTTCTTGTTGCTCTTTTATTGATAATATATCTCTTTTTCACTGGCTACTTCCTGAAGTTTCTGTCTTTGATTTTCAGCAGTTTTACTCTGATGGCCAGGTATGGATTTCGTAGCATTTCTCTTTCTTGGAATTCCTGGAGCTTCTTGAGAATTTGACGCCTTTCATCAGTTTTGGGAAACTGAGGAATATTTAATTATGCAACATTTAACAGATATTCAAATATTACATCGGCTTTATCTTCTTTCTTCTCAATTGGAGGAGTCCAAATACCAATGCATTAGACTTTTTCTCTAAATCTCATATGCCTTTAATCCTTTTTTTTGTATACTCTACACTTCTTTTTCATTGTGCTCTAATCTGAATATATTCTAGTGACTTATGTTGCAGTTCAAGAATTATCTCTTCTTCTGAATCTAGTCTTCTGCTAACCCATCTATTGAGTTCTCAGTTTTATTTATTTATTTATTTTTATTTTTTGAGACAGAGTCTTGCTGTGTCACCTAGGCTGTGCAGTGGTGCAATCTTGGCTTACTGCAGCCTGTGCCTCCCGGGTTCAAGTGATCCTCCCACCTCAGCCTCCTGAGTAGCTGGGATTACAAGCATGCACCATCACACTCAGCTAATTTTTGTATTTGTAGTAGAGACGGGGTTTTACCATGTTGGCCAGGCTGGTCTTGAACTCCTGACCTCAAGTGATCTGCCCACCTCAGCCTCCCAAAGTGCCGAGATTACAGGCATGAGCCACTGCACCCGGCCTCAGTTTTAGTAATTTCATTGTTGCAGAATTTCCATTTGGATCTTTTTTTAAAAAATCATGTGTCAGGGCTCATTTCATGTGCTTTATATTCATTATCTCATTTGAATTCTTACAAATACCATATGAGAAAGGTACAATTAGTATCTATATTTTCAGAGGAGGAAAGCAGAGACTCAGAGAGATTAAATTGCCCAGTGTATACAGCAAGGAGTTGTTGATACTAGGACTCAAATCCAGGAAGTCTGACTCAGAGTGGACTTTCATAGCCTTAAGTCGCATTGCTCCTGGGAAGTGCATGGTTACGATTATAATGGTCACTAACATCTACATAGGCTTACTGTATGCCAGACGTTGTCCTAATATTACCTTATTGAATCCTCTTAATGACCTAGAGATATATACTATTATTGCCATTAAACAGATGAGAACTTGAGGCTCAAAGAAGGTAAATTTTCCCTAAGGATTTTATAGCTCCTGAGTGCAAGTCAGGATTCCAGCTAATGAAGTCTGTCCCCAAAGCCCATGCCCTTAGCTACACCAAACTGCCTCCTAGCAAAATCAAGAAGGCAATGACACTTGGAATTGAGAAACATCCCTGACAAGAGAGAGAGTGAATGGCATCTCAAATCTGACCCCCGAAAAAGTAAATACAATGCTTAGAAGCAGGGAGAAATGTAATTTGGAGGGGCAGAGTAGCTAAACAATTACAAGTGTGATATAGGATAAGGAAGAAAAGAAGAGGGAAATATGAATGACAAAATAATATCACATAAATTATAAACAAGTACTTGCTGCATACAGCTTGGAAGTGGGCATTCTTTGGAATGTGATTTGCACAATCTTAATATAGAAGACACAGCTCTCAGCAGCACAGCAAGAAGAATCAAAGCTCCTTAGTGCTGAGTCCTGGCAAGTCTGTAAGGTCAGGAGGTTCTGAATGCTATGGTGGTAGCGAAGATTTGCCTGATAATTGCTAGGTTTGAAAGATAAGTATCAAGAAGGCAAAGATGTGGTCAGGATGGTCCACAGGGGTACTAATCACCAGCAGTGGGAATCTGAAAACTGGAACTAAGCATGTGGGGGTAGGCTATGTTAACTCGGGGCTATAATTATCAAACCACTTCCCAGGTTTTCTCAAAACACACACACACACACACACACACACACACACACACACACACACATTTAATAAGCATGTTAGGAGAGTTTACAAAAGACATTGTATGTGTAATAAGTGACATTAGGCAAAGTTTCCCTGTCAGCAGATAGGAATGTCATTTCTATTTCTATGTTGCTGCATGCAAATACATCTCTTCTTTTATGTAACCCGGTTGAGATTCCTGTAAACACTGGGGATAAATAGCTTGCTTTTTAGTTTTCTTGAGGCAAACCACATGAAGAACCCAGGCACCAGTGTGGCATCTGGCTCCCTCCCCCAACCTGGAAATGCAGAACTGAAAACAATTTGTAGTAAAAGCATTAATAAAATAACACTTCTCTACCAGTTAGCCCTCCTCAAAAAGGCAAAGTAGAATGTACTCTACTTCTTGTTGGTAAAGCACTCTAACATTTAGCATCCTTTGTATTAGGAAATGCCCAAATCTAAACCTTTCTGTGAAAATTGAAGCCTTTTCTCCTATTCTCAGGGGAAGCAAAATACACGATACCAGACTGCAAGTCCAAATTGAGTACCCCCTTTAGTCTTGCTCTTGTTCTCTTCCTTCATATCCCACAGCACAGTTTGTAACCATATACTTATATGTGTCTATATTTGTTTACTGTCTCTCTCTCTTCATTTATAGTCTAGCTCCTGAAGGGCAGGGAATGCTTGCTTTGTTCACTATTGCATATCCAGAGCATAATCTTGCGCCTAGTAGGCTGTCAACAAATATTCGTTCAATAAATACGTGGGAGAGAAGATAAGGTCCATAATTTTAGATTTATCCTAGTTCTTTGTTTAATGCCAGGCCCTAGAGTGAGTATTTATTTAATGCCTGCCACAGCATGTTAGATGCAGTCAATAAGTCACCTTGCTCCAGAACTGGCTCCTTCCATTCCATTTCTAGGAATTGCTCAAAATAGTCATACAAAATCTCTCCCCTGGGCCAATGAGGCCCATGCTAGCTGCTAGTTTTTCTCTTGTCGGTCTCATGTAGTTATAATCATTGAAGCTTTTAAAATACTTTTTTCAAGGCTAGAATGAGCCATGTGGTACTGGATTACAGTTGGAGACATGATTATAAACTCATATGTAGCTTAATATAGATGCTGATAGATCAATATAGAAATAATTATATATATATAAAAAACAGTTAGTATACATACATGTATTTCCCAGGTCTGTCTGCTGAGAGGACCTAGAGGCAGTTATATACCTTGGTTTTCTAATACTCTGTTCTTGAATAAAATGAATCTGGGATCTTTGGAGAAATAACTGGTCCTAAGACTTGGTGAGGAAATATACAAGATGGCCTGAATCATCTTGTAGTGCCAGAAAATAAGGAAGTGCTCAAACAAAATAAGGCAGGCGTACTAGTTTGTTTTCATGCTGCTGATAAACACATACACGAAACTGGGAACAAAAAGAGGTTTAATTGGACTTACAGTTCCACATGGCTGGGGAAAGCTCAGAATCATGAGTGAACGGCAGCACCAAGAGAAAAATGAGGAAGAAGAAAAGGCAGAAACCCCTGATAAACCCATCAGATCTCATGAGACTTATTCACTATCACAAGAATAGCATGGGAAAGACCTGCCCCCATGATTCAATTACCTCCCCTTGGGTCCCTCCCACAACATGTGGGAATTCTGGGAGATATACTTCGAGTTGAGATTTGGGTGGGGACACAGCCAAACCATATCAGCAGGTATGTCAAAGGAACACAACAGCTTACTGACAGCATTCAAAGGCCAAAGATGGAACAGTGTATGGAACAGAATAAATGAAATAGCATTGGAATTATAACACCAAATATAAAATAGGTACCTATAGGTTTAGAGTCTAAATAAATGATTGAATAAATAATAAATGGGAAAGAAAAGATAAATCTGTATGGAAGAATTCAAAATAATTTGTTTAGCTATTCTGCCCTCAAGGAGGTGGAACATAACGCTGCATTCTTTAGATGTGGGCTATGTTTGGTGAATTGCTTCTAAATAGTACAGTATTAAAAAAACAGTGATTATACATTGGAGAAAGCTGGCAAACCCTACCTTAGCCAGGTGATCAACATTAACATCACCAGTGATAAGTCATGTTGATAACATGCATCCTTAGTATGATATGTTGAGGATGACACTTGATCTATGTGCTTTCTCCCAAAAACCTATAATCCCAATCTAATTGTGAGAAAAACACCTGTCAAATCCCAAATGAGGGACATTCTATATAACACATAATCATTACTCCTCTAAATGGTGAAGGTCATCATATACATGGAAAGCCTGAGGAGGAACTTAAAGAGATGTAATGACTAAATGTAGTATGTTATCCTGTATGGAATACTAGGAGAGAAAAAGGAAAAACTAATGAAATCTAAATAAAGTATGGAGTTTAGTTAATAATAATGTATCAGTATCAGTCCATTAGTTGTAACAAACACACTGTATTAGTCTGCTTTCATGCTGCTGATAAAGATATATCTGAGACTGGGCAATTTACAAAAAGAAAGAGGTTTATTGGACTTACACTTCCACGTGGCTGGGGAGAGCTCACAATCATGGCAGAAGGTGAAAGGCACATCTCACATGGCAGCAGACAAGAAAAGAGATCCTGTGCGGGGAAATTCTCATTTTTAAAACCATCAGATCTCGTGAGACTTATTCCTTATAATGAGAACAGCACAGGAAAAATCCTGCCCCCATGATTCAATTACCTGCCACTGGGTCCCTCCCACAATACATGGGAATTCAAGATGCGATTCAGGTGGGGACACAGCCAAACCATATCATTCAGCCCCTGGCCCCTCCCAAATCTCATGTCCTCACATTTCAAAACAAATCATACCTTCCCAACAATCCCCCAAAATCTTAACTCATTTCAGGATTAACTCAAAAGTTCACATTCAAAGTCTCATCCAAGACAAGGCAAGTCCTATCCACTTATGAGCCTGTAAAATCAAAAACAAGTTAGTTACTTCCTAAATACAATGGGAGTACAGGCATTGGGTAGATACAGTCATTCCAAATGGGAGAAGTTGGCCAAAACAAAGGGCCTATAGGCCCCATGCAAGTCCTAAATCTAGCAGGGCAGTCAAATCTTAAAGCTGCAGAATGATCTCCTTTCACTCCATTTCTCACATCCAGGTCACGCTGATGCAAGAGGTTGGTTCCCATGGTCTTGGATAGCTCCACACCTGTGGCTTTGCAAAATACAACCTCCCTCCTGGCTGCTTTCACATGCTGGCATTGAGTGTCTGTGGCTTTTCCAGGCACACAGTGCAAGCTGTAGTTGGATCTACCATCCTGGGGTCTGGAGGATGGTGTCCCTCTTTTCACAGCTCCCTTAGGCAATGCCCCAGTAGGGACTCTGTGTGGGGGCTCCCATCCCACATTTTCCTTCCACACTGCCCTAGCAGAGGTTGTCCATGAGAGCTGCACCCCTGCAGCATACTTCAGCCAAGGCATCCAGGCATTTCCATACATCTTCTGAAATCTAGGTGGAAGTTCCCAAACCCTAGTTCTTGACTTCTGTGCACTTGCAGGCTCAACACCATGTGGAGGCTGCCAAGGCTTGGGGCTTGCACCCTCTGAAGATACAGCCCAAGCTATACATTTGTCCCTTTCAGCCACAGCTGGCACAGCTGGGACACAGGGCACCAAGTCCTTCGGCTGCACACAGCATGGGGATACTGGGTCCAGCCCACAAAACCACTTTTTCCTCCTAGGCCTCCAGGCCTGTGATGGGAGAGGCTGCTGTGAAGACCTCTGACATACCCTGGAGACATTTTCCCCATTGTCTTGGGGATTAACATTTGACTCATTACTTATGCAAATTTCTGCAGCTGGCTTGAATTTCTTCTCAGAAAATGGGATTTTCTTTTCTATCGCATTGTCAGGCTGCAAATTTTCTGAAATTTGTACACTGCTTCCCTTTTAAAACTGAATGCCTTTATCAGCACCCAAATCACATCTTGAATGCTTTGCTGTTTAGAAATTTTTTCCACCAGATACCCTGAATCATCTCTCTCAAGTTCAAAGTTCTCACAAATCTCTAGGGCAGGGGCAAAATGCCACCAGTCTCATTGCTAAAACATAAAAAGGGTCACCTTTGCTCCAGTTCCCAGCAAGTTCCATATCACCATCTGAGACCACCTCAGCCTGGATTTCATTGTCCATATCATTATCAGCATTTTGGTCAAAGCCATTCAACAATTCTCTAGGGAGTTCCAAACTTTCACACATTTTTCTATCTTCTTCTGAGCCCTCCAATCTGTTCCAAACTCTGCCTGCTACCCAGTTCCAAAATGGCTCCCACATTTTTGGGTATCTTTTCAGCAGTGCCCCACTCTCCTGTACCAATTTACTGTATGAGTCCGTTTTCATGCTGCTGATAAAGACATACCCAAGACTGGGCAATTTACAAAAAGAAAGAGGTTTATTGGATTTACAGTTCCACGTGGCTGGGAAGACCTCACAATCATGGCAGAAGGTGAAAGGCACATCTCACATGGCAGCAGACAAAAAAGAGAGCTTGTGTAGGGAAATTCCCCTTTTTAAAACCATCAGATCTCATGAGACTTATTCACTATCTTGAGAACAGGACAGGAAAGACCTTCCCCCACGATTCAATTACCTGTTACGGGGTCCTTCCTACAACATGTAGGAATTCAAGATGAGATTTGGGTGAGGACACAGCCAAACCATATCATGAACCATGATATAAGGTGTTAATAATAGAGGAAATTGGATGTTGGGTATACAGAAATTCTCTGTCTTTGAAACTTTTTTGTAAAATCTAAATTATTCTGAAATAAAATGGTTTTTGAAAATTGTAAAAAAAAAAATTAACCAAAAAAACTCACAAAAAATCAGCAAAACAAAACAACAAACAAACCCCCAATTGCCACATCTTACCCCATTTGAAACTGTTAAAAAGTCATAGAGCCCAGGGTAAATTCAGGTCTGTCTAGAGCCCATTGGCCATTCTTTCTCTACTTAAGCACTTGTGATTCAAATGAACAAGGCGAGATGAAGACCAATCACAAAACAGACAGAGAAACATGCCTCCCACCACACAGACATCTCCTCAAGGTCATAATTATTTTTAATCCTTACATTGACTAATTATCAAGTTTAAACCCCACAGCAGCTCTGTGAGTAAGGTATTTCTATTCTCATTTTCTGGATGAGGTTGCTCACAAACAAAGCAGGTGAACTGGGATTAGCACAAAAGCTGATATTGTTTAATTCACTCAAAAAGCATTGATTGAGCAAAGCTGACATTGTTTAATTCACTCAAAAAGATGGATTGAGTTTATTGAGAACTGAGAAGAGTCCAAGGTACTGATGTGGGTTCAGGGAACATAGCAGTGAATAAAATGAAATATATAAGATAACTGTTGTAGAAGGTGAAAATAAAATAAAACATGCTCCTACCCTCATGGAGTTTCCATTCCAATGGAGGAGATGGGGAAAAAAAGACAAAATGTTATCACTAATTTATTAGATAATATGGACCATATGTATAAATTAGGATTTCCAGTTTCTGATCCAGCATTTAAGCAGTTTGGAAGTCACCTCTCTTTCCTAATAACAAGTAAAAAAGTGAACAAGCTGAAAAATCAATAACTTTTCTAAGATCCTTGAAAGGTATGAGATCACAGGGAAAACTTCTGTCCCTGAAATTGGAGAGACAGACAGGCAGATACAGAGAATTACAACTTACTGGATCAGAAACCCCAAAACAGAATCCCACTTCTTGGGGGCACCAGTACCAAGGTAGGAAAACCTGAACTGTGATTTAGAAAGTGTTGAAGGCTTAAGTGTGGCTAAGTCTGTGAGTTAAAACACTCCAAGATCCCAGAAACTTTTGTAAGTTTTACATCTTGGGGCTCTACTAGGTTCTTACAGCAAAGATTTAAAAAAGAATCTCCTTGTGTTTATGGCAGGGAGAGAGGGAAAGAAACCATTGTTAAATGTGCCAGTGCACTCTGTTCTTCCTGTCCTCAAGAGAAACGATTTTACCAGAGCCTAAACTGCTGGGATTTTACCAGTGACTAACCAACCTGGGAAAGGAAAATAACTAAGTCCAGCCCATTTCAGCCACCCTGCTCCACCTAAGGCCAGAAGAGAAAAAACAAAACAAAACAAAACGGAGAGGTACTTATTAAGTTCACAGCCAAGGGGCAGAGGCCCACTAAAAAGGCTAAGATTTAATGATAGGACTATAGAAGACTTACCCTCCTCCTACATCTTACCACCACATTACTGAAGGCCTATGTATAACATTTCCTTTCACCTAGTATTATACATTATACCTGGCTTTCAACAAAACAATTACAAGTCATACCAAAAGGCAAAAACAGTTTGAGGAAACTGAAGCATCAGAACCAGACTCAGATATGGCAGGCACATTGGAATTATCAGACTACAAGCTTAAAACAATGATGGATAATATGCAAAGGGTTCTAGTGGAAATAAGGAGATAACATGCTAGAACAGATAGATAATATAAGCAGAGGGATGGAAAATTTAAGAAAGAATCAAAAAGAAGCACTAGAGATGTGCACAGATGCTGTAACAGAAATGAAGAATGTCTTTGATAGGTTTATTAATAAATTAGACATAGCTGAGAAAAGAATCTCTGAACTTGAGGATAAGTCAATAGGAACTTCAAAACTGAAAAGCAAAAAGAAAAAAAAGACTAAAAAAAGGAAACAGAATATTTAAGAACTGTGGGACAACTACGAAAGTTGTAATATATGTGTAATGTGAATAACAGAAAGAGAAGAAAGAGATAAAAGAACAGAAGCAACATTTGAAGCAATAATGACAGAATCTCCCCCAAATTACTGTCAGACACTGCTTTGGTTTGAATGTCTGATCCCTCCACAAGTTATGTTGAAATTTAATTGCCAATATAATGGTATTGACAGGTAGGACCTTTATTTGGTGTTAGGCCATGAGGGCTCCACCTTCATGGGAGGGTTTAACATCTTAATAAAAGGAATTTTGCCAGAGGGCTTTCTCTCTTGGCTCTTCTGCCCTTCTGCTATGTGAGGAACAGTGTTTTTTCTTCCAGAAGATGCAGGGTTTAAGGTACCATCTTAGGAGTAGAGACCAGGCCCTCAACAGATGTAAAACCTGCTGGCACTTTGATAATGGACTTCCTCACCTCCACAACTGTGAACCAATAAATTTCTGTTTATTATAAATCGCCAAGTCTGTAGTATGCTGTTCCAGCATCACCGACTAAGATGGACATTAAACCACAGATCCAGGAAGCTCAGAGAACAACAAGCAGGATAAATGCCAAAAGACCTACACATAAACATACCATATTCAAATGGCAGAAAATCAAAGATAGAGAAAAAACTTGAAAGAAGCCAGAGGTGGGGAAAAATACCTACTTATTGAGGAGCAAAGATAAGAATTACATCCTATACAAGCAAGAAATAAATCATGCAAACAAGAAAACAATGGAGTGAAATATTTAAAGTGTTCAGAGAAAAAATCCACCAACCTAGAATTCTGCTATCTTGTAAAATTATCTTTCAAAAGGAAAAGAGAAATAAATACCTTCTCAGACAAACACTGAGGGAATTTGTTGCCAGTAGTTCTGTCTCAAAAAACAATATTAAAAAAATTATTTATGGAAAAATAAATTAATATAGGTCAGAAAGTCACAACTATATAAAGAAAGGAATAAAGAATAATTATAAACAGTAGAAAAGAAATAAGTGAAGGGAAAAATCTTTTATTTTTCTTAATTGATCTAATAGATAATATTTTGTTCAAAATCATAGCAGCAATGTATTCAGTTATGTATGCTTATGTATAAGTGAAATAAATGACAGCAATGATATAAATGACTAGAGGGAAGAATTAGGAATATTTTGTTAGTATAAGGTACTTGTAACACCCATGAAGTGGCATGTTATTTAAAGTGGATCTGAATTAATTGTAAATGTTGATTGCAAACTTTAGGGCAGCCATTAAAACCAGGAAAAAAAGAGAAAATTACAGTTAAGGCAAAAGACCCAGAATAGCCCCCCACAAATTGAACATGACATTGAAGAACAAAGTCAGAGGACTGACACTACCCGACTTTAAGAATTATTATAAAGCTACAGTAATCAAGAAAGTGTGGTATTAGGAAAAGAATAAATGAATAGGTCAAGGAACAGACGAGAGAGCTTAGAAATAAACTCATATAAATATAGTCAACTAATCTTTGACAAAGATCAGTTTGCCCTTTGAAGCAAAGTCAATATGATGGAGCCAAGATAGTCTTTTCAAAATGATGCTGGAACAACTGGATATCTATATGCAATAAAATGAAGACTAGACACAGATTTTACATCTTTCACAAAATTAGCTTAAAATTTATTATAAACCTAAGTGTAAAATGGAAAACTATAAATCTCCTAGAAGATACTGTAGGAGAAAATCTAGATGAACTTGGGCATGGTGATGACCTTTTAGATACAACACCAGTGGCATAATCCACTAAAGAAATAATCAATAAGCTTAACTTTATTGAAATTTAAAACTGCTCTGTTAAAGACTCTGTTAAGAGACTAAAAAGACAGGCCACAGCTCTGTTAAGAGCTTCCTGGATCTGTGGTTTAATGTCCATCTTAGTCGGTGATGCTGGAACAGCATACTACAGACTTGGTGATTTATAATAAACAGAAAAAGACAGAATTTTAGATTCTGTTAAGAATCTAAAAATATTCTGAAAATATTTGCAGAAGACATATTTGAATAAGGGACTTTCCAAAATATACAAAGAACATCTAAAATTTACAATTTAAAAAAATGAAAAACCTGATTTAAAAATAGGAAAGGATTTGAACAGACAACTCAGCAAGGATGTATACAGATGGTAAATAAGCATATGGAAAATTGCTCCACATAATATGTTATTGGAGAAATTTAAAATGACAAGGAGACATTAGAATGGCCAAAATCCAGAACACTGATGATATGGTTTGGATCTGTGTCCCCACCCAAATCTCTTGTTGAATTGTAATCCCCAATGCTGGAGGTGGGCCCTGGTGGGAGGCAATTGGATCATGAGGGTAGTTTCTCATGGTTTAACACCATTCCCCCTAGGTGCCATATAGTGTGCAACTTCTCATGAGATCTGGTTATTTAAAAGTGTGTAGCACCTCCCCACCTCACTCTCACTCCTGCTCTGGCCAAGTAAGATAAGCCTGCTTTCCCTTTGCCATCTTCCATGATTGTAAGTTTCCTGAGGCCGTCCCAGAAGCCAAGCAGATGCCAGCATCATGCTTCCTGTACAGCCTGCAGAACGGTGAGCCAATTAAACTTCTTTTCTGTCTGAATTACCCAGACTCAAGTATTTCTTTAGAGTGGTGCAGGAACAGACTAATACAACTGACAATACCAAATACTGGTAAGAATGTGGAAAAAGAGGAATTTCATTCATTGCTACTAGGAACGCAAAATAGTACTGCTACTTTGGAACACAATTTGGTAGTTGATACAGTTTGGCTGTGTCCCCATCCAAATCTCAACTTGAATTGTATCTCCCAGAATTCTCATGTGTTGTGGGAGGGACCCAGGGGGACGTAATTGAATCATGGGGGCTGGTCTTTCCCATGCTATTCTCCTGATAGTGAATAAGTCTCATGAGATCTGATGGGTTTATCAGGGGTTTCCACTTTTTCTTCTTCCTCCTTTTCTCTTGCTGCCACCATATAAGAAGTGCCTTTTGCCTCCTGCCATGATTCTAAGGCCTTCCCAGCCATGTGGAACTGAACTGTAAGTCCAATTAAAACTCTTTTTCTTCCTAGTTTTGGGTATGTCTTTATAGCAGCATGAAAACAGACTAATAGAGTAAATTGATGCCAGTAGAGCAGGGAGTTGCTGAAAAGATAAACAAAAATGTGGAAGCAACTTTGGAACTGGGCAACAGGAAGAGGTTGGGAGAGTTTGGAGGGCTCAGAAGACAGGAAAATGTGAGAAAGTTTGGAACCCCTAGAGACTCGTTAAATGGCTTTGACAAAAATGCTGATAGTGATATGGACAATAAGGTCCAGGCTGAGGTGGTCTCAGGTGTAGATGAGGAACTTGTTGGGAACTGGAGCAAAGGGGACTCTTGTTATGTTTCAGCAAAGAGAGTGGCAGCATTTTGCCCCTGCCCTAGAAATTTGTGGAACTTTGAACTTGAGACAGATGATTTAGGGTACCTGGCAGAAGAAACTTCTAAGCAGCAAAGCATTCAAAAGGTGATGTGGGTGCTGTTAAAAGCATTCCATTTTAAAAGGGAAACAGAGCATAAAAGTTCAGAAAGTGAGCAGCCTAATGATGCAGTAGAAAAGAAAATCCCATTTTTTGAGGAAAAATTCAAGCTGGCTGCAGAAATTTGCATAAGTAACAAGGAGCCTAATGTTAATCCCCAGGACCATGGGGAAAATGTCTCCAGGCCATGTCAGAGACCTTCATGGCAGCCCCTCCCATCACAGGCCTGGAGGCCCAGGAGGAAAAAGTGGTTCCGTGGGCTGGGCCCAGGGTCCCCATGTTGTGGGACCATTTGGCTTGGGGCTTGGAGGTTTGGGAACCTCCATCTAGATTTCAGAAGATGTATGGAAATGCCTGGATGCCCAGGCAAAAGTTTGCTGCAGGGGTGGGGCCCTCATGGAGAACCTCTGCTAGGGCAGTTCAGAAGGGTAATGTGGGATTGGAGCCCATACACAGAGTCCCTACTGGGGCCCTGCCTAGTGGAGCTGTGAGAAGAGGGCCATCATCCTCCAGATCCCAGAATGGTAGATCCACCTACAGCTTGCACCATATGCCTGGAAAGCAGCAGATACTCAACACCAGCCCATGAAAGAAGCCAGGAGGGAGGCTGTACCCTGCAAAGTCACAGGTGTGGAGCTGCTCAAGACCATGGGAACCCACCACTTGCATCAGCATGACCTGGATGTGAGACCTGAAGTCAAAGGAGATCATTTTGGAGCTTTAAAATTTGACTGCCCTGCTGGATTTTGGACTTGCATGGGGCCTGTAGCCCCTTTGTTTTGGCCAACTTTTTCCATTTGGAATGGCTGTATTCACCCAATACCTGTACCCTTGCTGTATCTAGGAAGTAACTAACTTGCTTTTGATTTTACAGGCTTATAGGTGAAAGGGACTAGCCTTGTCTCAGACAAGACTTTGGACTGTGGACTTTTGGGTTGATGCTGAAATTAGTTAAGACTTTGCGGGACTGTTGGGAAGGCATGATTGGCTTTGGTATGTGAGGACATAAGATTTGGAGGGGCCAGGGGTGGAATGATGTGATTCAGCTGTGCCCCCACCCAAATCTCAACTTGAATTGTGTCTCCCAGAATTCCCATGTGTTGTGGGAGGGACCCAGGGAGAGATAATTGAATCATGGGGGCTGGTATTTCCCTTGCTATTCTCATGATAGTGAATAAGTCTCAAGAGATCTAATGAGTTTATCACGGGTTTCTGCTTTTTCTTCTTCATTATTCTCTTGCCACTACCATGTAAGAAGTGCTTTCACCTCCTGCCATGATTCTGAGGCCTCCCCAGCCATGTGAAACTGTTAGTCCAATTAAACCTCTTTTTGTTCCCAGTGTTGGGTATGTCTTTATCAGCAGTGTGAAAACATACTAATATGGTAGTTATAAACATGCTCTTACCATATAATATAGCAATTGTGCTTCTTGGTATTTATCCAAAGGAGTTGAAACTTATGCCCATACAAAAACCCTCACATGGATGCTTGTGGCCCCTTTATTCATAATTGCCAAAACTTGGAAGCAACTAATATGTCCTTCAGTAGGCAAATGGATAAATCAAGTGTAGTTCATCCAAACAATGGAATATTATTACATTAGAAGTCCTGAAAACTGTGCATCCATTATTAGATAATTCATATGTACAAAATAATATATAATGTAAATATGGAGTATATGGTATTCTGTTTTAAATGCCACATCTTAAGTGTGGGGTATAGACCAACTAATGAGTATTATGTATAAAAATAATATTTAATAATTTTTGAATGTTTGATAACATGCCCAGTATCATGCTAGGCATTTTACCTACATTCTCTCACTTAACCTTCCTAGTCACTTATGAGATGGGCATTATAATTATCCTCTAGTTTACACATGAAGAGATCAGGTCCCTGAAAAGTTAAGTAACTTACAAATAGCCATCTAACTAATAAGAGATGGAGCCAAGAATCAAATCCAGGCAGACAGACCTCAAGGCTTGCTCCCTTATCACTTCCCTATGGAACTTAGAATGGTGTTCTCTGAAGATCAGATGAAGAAATAGGAAGTGATTAACTTGAGGACAAACTGACTTGAGGACGATGATAGCTGTATCCAAAGACTGAAAGACCTCCCAGGTGAAAAAGGATTACACTTGGGCCCAAAGAATGATGTATGAAAGCCATACAAAAGCAAATTTCACCAAAGTAAAAAAGATTATTTCCTAACAAACAGGGTGGCAAAATAAGAAATGCACAATCTGATGTAAGTTCTTTACTTTTATTTTATTTTTTTACCTTTTGGGTCAGTGAGATAGGGTCTATGGACTAGATGAACTTCCTTTCGATTCTGAGGTTCTAGGACCTGTTCTCATCTTTGTCAAACTTATCCAAATAGTCTTGCTTTTGCTAGATGGAATACATAGTACATCTTACTGTCTTCTCATAAAACTAGAACCTTATGACTACTAGGGTTTCTCATACCATTGTGTAAGAATTGGCATTTCTATTTGGTGAACTACTTGAGGACACGAGCTCTGCCTTATCTGTCTTTTCTTCAGCATTTTCATGCTAAACATATAGAATGATTTTAGTAACCTATTAGAACTGAATTTTAGCTTCTTTTTAAAGAAGTTCTTTTCTAACACCTATGGTTGCTCTCAATCACCAACATGCTAAGGGAGAGCATCTGTCACAGGCATAGAACCTGTGGTGTTTATTTCATGGAAATATAATGAGAAGAAAATGAGAAAATTTGAGAACTACGTAAAAAGGGAAAATCACCATGACCACGTAAGGACTGGTATAGTCGTAGCTATTAAATATTTCCCCAAAACATCAACTCGCTGTAGTTCTATAAACAAATGGGCATAATTCTGTGCCAACACCACAGAACTTCTTCAAGGAATTGAAGAAAATGCTAATTACCAGCAGTCCAATTCTTTTTTTTTTTTTTTTTGAGACAGACTCTTGCTGTGTCACCCAGGCTGGAGTGCAGTGGTGTCATCTCCGCTCACTGCAAGCTCCACCTCCCAGGTTCATGCCATTCTTCTGCCTCAGCTTCCTGAGTAGCTGGGACTACAGGTGCCCACCACCACGCCTGGCTGATTTTTTTTTGTATTTTTAGTAGAGACGGGGTTTCAGTGTGTTAGCCAGGATGGTCTTGATCTCTTGACCTCGTGATCTGCCCACCTCGGCCTCCCAAAGTGCTGGGATTACAGGCATGAGACTCCATGCCTGGCCATCAGCAGTCCAATTCTTTCAATCGAAAGCTTCTTGTTGGCACAGAAGATTCAACAAAGAAGGTTTGCCATATTAGCGCTTATATTCCTGATGGTGGCTGTGTTATATTCGTTGCTCTTGGTGTATTTTTCACATGGGGCCTAAAACAGAACAATTTTATCTCATATTTTAAGGCATGGAATGTAAGCAAATCAATAGTAATTGAACCATCCACCAATTATACTAGCTACCAGTTAGTTGCAGAATTTAATCATTTAATTAAAGTACCTATTTTCAGGTGACTGAATATGTGGTTGAGCAACACATTTACTGTAATTTTCACTGCTGAACGTTTGTTGCTATTGCAACATGGTTGCTAACATCCACTTGGAAGATGACTACAAGTTGACTCTCTGGATGGAGGAAAAGGGGGTTGCTGAATGTCATGAAATCCATTTTATATCCACAGATATTTCTCTACAGAAATTGTTTTTGTGTGAAAATGGTAACCTTGACTTTAGTACTTAGTATCTCACAGAAACATTTTATCTTCACCCCATGGATTTACATGGCAGTTGTATAACTGAGTTGCCCAAATTGCTGAATTTGTGTAAAGCTGTGTTGAATGTACTTCTCTTCAGAATTAAGAAGTAGAGTATGCAAAAAAAAAAAAAAGAATTATAGTATGCAGTGCTTTTGCATCTTGGAAACTAGTGTTTCATAAAACACTCTATTTCTATTACACATATTCTCACATGCAACATAAAGTCCAGAGGACGATGGGGCTTCAGGGCCAGTTGATGTTTTGGGGAAATATTTAATAGCTATGACTATACCAGTCCTTAACGTGACTCAGAAAGATCACCTGAGACCAAGGGTTTTCCCATATCTTCACTCTGATATCCACAGCATTGGCAACATCATGAGGCTGGCTTTCCTCGAGGTCATAAGTTGCCCATCAGTAGCAACTGGGGCCAATATGTTCCCATTTGTACTCAGCAGGAATAAGAGAAACTTGGTTCTATTTCCCATAAAGTTTCAGTAAGCCTCATCTGGTGTTTCACTGGCTCAAACTGACTTAGATTTGCCCATCCCCAAATGAATCACTGGCAAGGGGATGGGATAACAAGACTGGTCAGCCAGTATGCTCTATACATGCTTTGGAAACAGAGGACTTCATTCATTATTTTTCAATCTTTCATCTCTTTCCAAGGATATTTACAGAGAACTGTGCTCCAGGCACAGTAAGTCTGTCCCTCCACCCACCTCAGAAACCTCACCGTCTGGCAGGAAAGGAAGATAACACTGCACCATAATTAGTATGCAAAAGTCAGTGCAGGGTCCAGATAAGGAGGGTCTAATGAGGACCTCATAGTGTCACAGGATCCTTGGGGTGTCGCTTTTTCTGCCAGACACCTCTGTGGCCCCTGTGCCTTTGCCTGAGTTTTGCTTGGGACCACTGGGCTCATTCTGCCCACTTGGCCTGGTAGGCTGTGCTCGGCTCATGCTACTGGCTTGGATCCCATGCTTGTTAAGGGCGAGCCATATGCAGAGTGGCAAGGGGTATGTGAGTGAGTAAGTGTGGGGTCTGCCCACTGCACACAGCCAGGCACACCAGATGTGGCAAGACAGGCAACTCCAGGTGCCAACCTGGGCACCAGTTCCCTGTGAGGCTGCGGCTGGACCAGGTGTACAAAAAGCAGCTTCCACATTGGCTCCAGGGAATGCAGTGGCACCCAGAATCTTGGAGATGGCAGGAACTGCAAAGCCCCAAAGAGGGTGTAACTGCCCTGGCCTAGGGAGCTCTTAAGTCTGGGCTCCCCAAAGGGCTGTATTTTTCTCTTCTATCCTTCTCATCACTCGCAGCATGGCAAGCAAGGGGCATGTTTCAGCCCTGTTTGTGTTACAGCTCTTTCAACTCTACCATTTGGCAGGTCCTGAGTTCTTGTCCCGTGTCCAGGAAGAATGAGGTACACAGACAAATGGAAGGTGAGGAAGGCGAAGGGGTGTTTTATTAAGTGACAAAACAGCCCAGAAGAGACACAAAGTGGGTAGCTCCTCCCTGCAGGCAGGTCGGCTCAGTGAAGTGTCCATTTCTCAGCAGAGAGGAGACCCCCCCCAGTGGGTAGCTTCTCTCTGCAGGGAGGTTGTCCCATTGTCTGCCTGAGTCTGGCTGAGTCTAGGGTTTTTATGGGCTTCAGAGGGGAGTAAGTGTGTGCTGATTGATCCATAGGCAGCCATGGGCAGGCCTGGAAATATCACCATAAGTTCTCACTCCATTCCACAGAACTGACAGCCTGGCCTCCAGGCCTCAGGCCATCCCTGGCCTGAAGGTGGGGTTCCACTGGGTACTCACCCCTTTCTGCACAGGAGCCTGTCTGCCTCCTGACTCTGTTATCCTGTCATCCATGTCCATGGTGTCATGATGCTCAGGCTGTTCATGGTGAGGGGTGCCTGCAGGCCCTTGCTGAACCACCCTTAGCTCCCCCTTGGCCTCTCTCCAGTGCTCATCAGCACCCAAAGTCTGGAAGGGGCTGAAGTGGCGAGGGGATGGCATGTTAGCATTGCCCTGAACTTGTGCACACCCAACTGGGTTGTGATAGTGCCCAGGCTCAGCCACAACTTCTCTCCAAAATCAGAGCAGGCACCAGGAGTGGGGAGTGATGAGGCAGTGGGAGCAGGCACTTTTGAGCCTGCAGGGGCAGGGGGCTTCCCAGGCCCCCAAGAATGCAGAGATGCCTGGGTCAGCAGCCTTGGCTGGGTGGCTGCAGCTGTGTCTGGGAGGGCGAGGCTCCTGCCACTCCAACTTGGGAGGGAGTGGGGCTTCCTTTTGTTCCCAGCTCATGCTGGCTTCATAGGTCCAGATGTGCTACCACTGCCATCAATAGGGAGGGGTCCCTAACTCTGCCTGGAAGAGAGGAGCAAATGGGACAGTCTTTCAAGTAGAAGTTATATTTTGGCTGTCTTGGGGAAAACACACAATTAGATGAAAGGAGATAAAAAGAGAAGATATTGAGAAAAAACACTATGGGAGTAGGATTAAGAGTAGATAATGCAGGCCAGGCGTGGTGGCTCACGCCTGTAACCCCAGCACTTTGGGAGCCTGGATCATGAGGTAAGGAGTTCAAGACCAGCCTGTCCAAGATGGTAAAACTCCATCTCTACTAAAAATACAAAAAATTAGCCAGTGTGGTGGGGGGCACCTGTAATCCCAGCTACTCAGGAGCCTGAGGCAGAGAATTGCTTGAACCCAGGAGGCAGAGGTTGCAGTGAGCCAAGATCGCCCACTGCACTCCAGCCTGGGCAACAGAGCGAGACTCAGTCTCAAAAAAAAAAAAAAAAAAGAAAAAAAGAAAAAAAAGAAACAATAACAACAATAACAACAGCAGCAAACACCACATGTTCTCACTTATAGTTTTGAATTGAACAATGAGAACACATGGACACAGGGCGGGGAACATCACACACCAGGGCCTGTCTGGGGGTGGGGGATTGAGGGAGGGATAGCATTAGGAGAAATTCCTAATGTAAATGATGAGTTGATGGGTGCAGCAAACCAACGTGGCACACATATACCTGTGTAACAAACCTGCACGTTGTGCACATGTACCCTAGAACTTAAAGTTTAATAATAAAAAAATAAAAAGAGTAGATAATGCAGTGCTGAGGAGACCACAAAGGCAGACTATTTCAAGAAAAAAGTGCAGTGACTAATGCAGCAGAAGGGTAAATGAGAAGAATGGCAGTGACAACTCATCAAATGTCTAGCACAGTAAATTTAAACCTCTCAACAGAGGACGAGACAGAGGCTCAAGTAATTTCCCCAAGATGAGCAAGGAATTACATCAGGATTTGAGCCCAGGGATGGCTGGCTCCACAAAGCACTCTTAAAATATTACTCTGCCTTCTAGTGAGAATGAGGATTGAAAATGGTGAGTGCATTTTGAAAATAGGAAATGCAGTGTCATTAAAGGAGGTTAAAAGCAGAGGAAGTAGAGAAGACATTACTGCAGACAACTGGGTTGAGGATCTAGAACAGTGATGAAGAGAGGAAGCCATGGCTCAATGACACTAGCTTTGTTGCCATTCTATCTTTCACTAATATGTAAAGTTTCCTTAGCAGTTGTTTATGAGGGTCTTTTTTCTTTTCTCATGCAAGTTTCACACTTTCTCTGCAACTCTTCAGCTAATGCCAGACCTGCTTATTTCTTCTTTAATGATATCTTGTTCAGACAGTCTGTCCTTGCTCTAACCACAAGCAACCTTACGTTCATACACTTACTTGTCAAGCATTTGCTCCTTGTTTCACCCTATGGACATTTTGAGAGACAGTCAACAAACTAGCAGGGGACATTAGTCACTGAACCCAGTAGGTGAGGCTTCCAGTCCAGTAGATTACAATTCTGGCTGTACACTTAAATCAGCCAGGAGCCGTTTTAAGAAATGTAGATTCCGGATTACCACTCCAGACCTCCTAAATGGGAATCTCTGGGGATTGAACCCAGGTAGCCCTATTTTTTCTTCAAGTTGCCCAGGCGAGCCCATGCAGCCAGCCTAACACTTGTCCAGAGCCCGATATTGGGATCTACAGCTCTAGCTTCTAAGCCACTCTTCTATTATTTAGACTCTGCTGCGTTCTGGGTTTTGAGAGCAAAGCAGCATCACCCTTGATGGTGGGTATTTTATTACTGTATCTCTCTTGCTTGCAGAGTTGTCTTCTGTGGTTTGGGGACATTTTGGGAAATTATCCTAGGTTGACCTTGCATTTACCACAATTTTAAAATCACATCATAATTATATCCTATCTGTCTCCTATACTTCCCTTGTCTGGAGCCCAAATCTCCTGTCACTAAGTCGTTCACTATTTTGTCTTAACCCAAAAAGGGGCACTGTTCTATACTGGCCTATTCTTAGGGTTGTTTAAAGCCAAAGTCAGGCATTCTTGCCTTTATTCCCTTAATTTTTTACCATCTTTTTTGTGTTCCATTTCCACATTCTTGGCCCCACTGGGTGTCATGGCCTACTCTTTGTCAGTAAATTCATCTTTTCTTCAGTTGAACTAGCTGTTGCCTATATCACATGTATTGGGATACAGGCTGGGGTCTAAAGGTATAAGAATGAACACTGAGGCTGGGCACAGTGGCTCATGCCCATAATCCCAATCCTTTGAGAGGCCGAGGTGAGTGGGTCACGAGGCCAGGAGTTTGAGACCAGCCTTACCAACACGATGAAACCCCGTCTCTACTAAAAATACAAAAATTAGCCTGACGTGGTGGCATGTGCCTGTAATCCCAGCTACTCAGGAGGCTGAGGCAGGAGAATCACTTGTACCGGGCAGGCAGAGGCTGCAGTGAGCCTAGATTGCACGACTGCACTCCAGCCTGGTGAACAACAACAACAAAAAAGAGTGAACACTGAGATGGTAGAATGCTAGTAGGTGAGGATGGGAAGCAAAATTACCATATGCCCCTAGGGAGCCTGGAACTTTTCATCACTTTCTAATGAGAGTTCCTAGTTCATGAAAACAAGGCATTGAGAGTGAAGGATTGGGTGTCTCCGTATAAGTCTCCAGGGTGGGGAGTCAGAGCCTTTGATGGTTTCCTAGGGAGGCAGGGAAGCTGACCTGGGAACTTGGAAGCCTTTGCTGTCATTGGCATTTCTGGGGAACGGAGTCTGGACTGAAGTCTGTGACTTCTGGAGCTCTAAAAGGGCATGAAACAACAAGAACAGGGAGTTCTAGAAAACCCAAATTCCAATTCCCTGTGAATGGAGTACTGGGTGAGCTTAGCATTTGTGAACATATTGTGTGTTGAGAGGGTATGATGGTGGGTAGGGCCAGGGTCTGAGAGAAACAAGAGAAAGGATGAAAGTAAAGGGATAGACATCTTATGGAGGAGTCAGCAGGGCACAGGAGGAGCCAGGAAGACCCGAGGACTCAGAGGATCTTTCATTCTTGAACTCTCTAGTCAGTGCTTAGTGCTCATGAAAAAGATGGTTGATTAGACCTTGTTCAGTTATGCTACTACTAATTCCTAATTCAGAATTTCTTTTTCAATAATCATGATTTCTATCTGCCTTTTTTAAGTTTCAGGAGAATCTTACATAAGCCATTTTTAGGGGAAAAAAACCTATAAAACAGGGGTCCCGAACCCCTGGGCCACAGCAGAGCACTGTTAGGAACTGGGCCACACAGCAGGAGGTGAGCAAGCATTATTGCCTGAGCTCCACCTCTTGCCAGATCAGCGGCAGCATTCGTTTCTCATAGGAGTGGGAACCCTATTGTGAGCTAATCTAGCACACAATAATTGTGAGCTAATCTAGCACACAATAATTGTGAGCTAATCTAGCACACAATAATTGTGAGCTGGGCATGTGAGGGATCTAGGTTGTGCATGCCTTATGAGAATCTAATGATAAATGTAATGCATTTGAATCAACCCCAAACCATCCTCCCCTCCCCCGTCCATGGAAAAAATGCCTTCCATGAAACTGGTCCTGGGTGCCAAAAAGGTTGGAGAACACTGCTATAGAACATTTATTTGCCTTTTCCACGTTTGCATTTTATCTATTATTTCTTTATGGAAACTCCTTGGTGACAATTTCACAGCAAATGTCATGTTGCTTTATTTTCACTTCTTCTGCAATTATTTTTTCACCCTCCTGACTTAATAGAATACTAATTTCACTGTAGAAATGTTTAGTGTTAATTCAACCAAAAGAATATTAATAAAAAGTGATGGTATTTACTTGATAATGGAGAATGATTATCATGTGCTAGATCAGCATTTATACACAGTACATTCTTTAAAAATGTATTCCCAAACTTCTACCTCCAAACTCATGGAACCAGAGTGCTGAAATGATTCTTGGCTTCAGCATGTCAGTTGTCCAAAAGTCAAATAAAATGTGATTGAAAAGCAGAAATTAACTATCTAAAATGAAAATGTTTCCACTTTTCTGTTGATAAAATGCTTTAATTCCTTCAAGTCGACAGGGACAGGGAATTCCTATATCCCTTACTATAATGTTTCTAATTTGTAAGAACACTGCAGTAAGGCCCTCACCAGATGCCAGCCCCTCAGTCTCGGACTTCCCAGCCTCCAGGACTGTGAGAAAATTTATTTTCTTTATTAATTCTGTTATGTATTCTTTATGTATTGTGTTATAGCAGCACAGAAAGGATGAAGACATGAGGCTTTGAATCAATTTGGCAGTTGTAGGAACAGAAGAGGAAATAAATTCAGTAGTCTTTTCAAATGCTTTGGAAAAGACTTCATATAAGGTAGTATTGAGCTAAAAAAATGATTCCATGACTAGGGCATGAGAAAGAGTAGGACAATTACAAATTGTTTTGTTTTATTCAGGTTTGAATTGAGATAATGATACAATTATAAAATCCTACCTACCCTTCAAGGTATAGCTCAAATTCTGTCTCCCTCTCAAGCTACCTATGGTTACCTCAGCCATGGGTGATTTCACCCTTATATAGCCCAGTTCCAGGAAACATTCAAGCTCCTAAGCTCCTGTTCTACAGCACACTGCCTTGTAGTATCTCTACAAGTTGATGTGCTTTCCCTCCTCCACTAAAGTATAAGTACCTCAGGGCTGGTTATGTCCTGGCTTAGGGTTGAGTAGTGGTTAAAACATGAGATCTGGAGTCAGATTATCTGGACTTGTATTCCAGAAAACCCCTTAATAGATTTATGTCCTTGGTAAGTTGGCCAATCCAAGTCTCACTTTTCTCACCTATAAGTTGAAATAATCTAATAATAACCATCATACCTACTTCATAGTGTGGGATTGTGAGGAATAAAGTAAGAAATGCATATAAAGCACTTACTATAGGGATTAGTAGTCACTCGGTGAATCTTCCCTATGAATATTACTCTTTGTAAATCCAACAGTACTTAACACCATGTACTGAAATAATGAATGCCCAAGCAAACACTTCTTGAATAAATTGGATACATAAATGAATTAGTGTCACCAAGGCTCCTCAGAGACTGTTACATGGGACAAGACTCGGGGTATCGAGGACAAAGGATGGAATCTGGGATGGCCAGAGGTCATAGCTCTTAAATTCCCAGTTTTAAAATGACTTCCTACCATGTAATGATCCTGCAGATTTTATTTGGTTTCCTTTCTTTTAGGTTTTACTATGTCCCAAAGTCATCTTGAGCCTTTTGGGAATCGAGAAGGCCATCCCAGAGTTTTTTTTTTTTTTTTTTTTTCACAAAGCTTTGTTTTGAGAAATATATTATACATTTCCATCTTAATCATTTGAGAGGATCTCTGTATCCATTCATCTGTTCATGCATACTGTACTTCCTGTGGATTGCCAGGGGGACATTATAGGTCTAATATATGTATATGTATGTGTGTGTATATATATATGCTTTATTTGCCAAAGCCATAACTTAAAGTTTTCCAAAGATGATTTCTCATTATTATAAGAGATTAGTATCCTTGCATTCATTAAAAAGTTTTTTTTTTGTGGAGTTTTACTTATAAGTTTGAAAGAGTATTGTCTTCTACATCAGAACCTAAGTATGTTGTATGTGTTTCGTATAAATAGCCTTTGAAGCTTCCTAATCTCCAGCCTGATCTCAAGTTCAGAACTGAGGTATCTCAGTGAGAAGAGCAGAGAGGGGCTTAGGAAAAAAGCTCAGGAGTTTCTTACAACTTATTCAATAGTCTAAGAAGTACTTGGTGTCTGCAGTGTGTTTTTGTAAAATACCTGTGACCTTTGCAGTACAGAAAAGTTGAGGTGTGCCCTTACCCTTATTTTTTCTTATTTTTCCATCAAAACAATGACAAGCAATTGGTAAGGGAATTTGCACAAACCAGGCATGTGATGCGCTCACTTGGTGATGTCATGGAGCTGCATATGACCAAATGAATGACCAGGGACAGCAAAGTGGGAGAGCTATAATCTATTCCTTTAGCAACCCCCCAGAAGCAGAATCAGCAAGCTCTGAAGAGCTTCATGGAGCCCTGCTGTACAGGTGATGAGCTTGCTGAGAATGAATTGGAATTTAAAAGGAGAAACAATAGGTGAGCAACTCAGAGACTTCCCAGTGGCCTAAGACAAGTTGGAGGAATTAGCAAGTAGGAGTGTGATGGGAAACAAGTCCCAAAAGGAAACATGAACAGCTTGAGACAGTGGCTGCAGCTCCATGGTAGCATATATCCTCCATACTCTTCACCTGAGAAATGTTTAGAATGCATCTTAAGGGGGAAACTAAACATACTTTTAATGCTCTTGGCTGAAAACAGCAAAAGCAAATACTGTAACTTTTCTCTTAATTGTTGGACAAAGGAGGGACGTGGTTCCATTATGTCTGTCATGGCCCTCTGTTTGGCATTGTGGTAATTTGCTAGGATCTGTGTCTCTATGTGAGGGACACCACATACCACCCCGGTTCCCACCAAAGTCAGCGGTCTGTTTCCTCTTTGTCTTCCTTCTGAACTGCCACTGTGTGCTTCTACCTCCCCAAATGTGCTGTCTTGCATTATTCAACTAAAAAGATACTTTAGCAGCATGAGCATCCTCAGATGTGGTTCCTTCAAATAGCATCCTACCAGCAACTAAACAGTAACCGGCAGCCATCAGCCTCTGATGAACAAGACAGCTGAGAGAGGCAAGACTGCTTCAGGCTTAAAGAAGCGACAATAAGGACATGTGCAGATTCCACAAGAACACACACTGAATTTAATAAAGGCTTGGTGCTACAAAAAGCCATGTAAGGGGATGATGCTGGAGTTCTTTTGTTTCCCTCCTGAATTTTCTTGTATAGGTTTGTCTTTAGATGCCATGGTCCGGAATCTGCACTCCCAGATGATAATGAGTCAGTTCATCTTAGACTGTGCTGCCTGTTGGTAACTAAGAGCTGGGGCTGGTCAGCTAAAGGGCTTGTTAGGGTACTGCTCAAATGAAGCCAAAATTATGAGCTCTAACACATGGGATTGTTAGGTTCAGTGTCCGCCAGCCATCCCCCAAAATGCCTGGGTTTAGTCATAAGGGGCATCAGTTTAGAAGCAGTGATGAAGCATCCATGCTGCGGTGCTTGGAGATGAGCCTTAAAATCCACACTTCCCCGGCGGTAGCTAAAGGACTTCATTACAAATCAGTAGTAGTTTTACATATAGATTGTAAGAGGAGGGAATATCTGAACGCATCCAGAGGCTTCACACAGAAGGGGATATCTGAACTGGCTTTGGTAAAAAGCAAATTAACATTTTTGTCTTATGGAGATTGAAGCAAAGCATAAGCCCAAAGAACGAAGCATAAAATTCAAGAGCACATTCAGGTTTGTCACAGTGGGTGGAGGAGTGGGGCGGGAGGAAGGAGAGGGAAGGCACACTTAGTTGAGGTGAGCTGTCAGGCGGGCTGGCTGTTCAGAGGTGGGTGCCCTGTGTGGGGAGGCTCTTTGATTCCTGGGGAGGAAGGCTAGAGAACAGGCAGCTCTTTTCTCTCTGCTAGAAAAGAGGAGGCGGCTCCTCACAAGGTTCCTTCCCACAGCTGAGCACTGCCCACAGCTGCCCTTGCCCCTGCCTTTCCACGTTGCACAAGCCCAGCGCACGGTACCCACTGGATATGCCCGAGGCCTCCAGAGGAAAGGAAAGGAGGAAAAGGGACAGAAGAAATGTTCACAGGAACTGCATATGGGCCTGCTACTTGTGTCAAAATGTGACTGAACTCTCTTCCAGCAGGTATATTGAGTGAAAGGGTTGTTGTGTGGGAGGTCGTGTGTGGAAGAGAAGGGAGGAAAAGAAGAGTGAAGGCTCCATATGGTCATCAGCGAATGGCAGCTTTTCACTGTGCTTGCCTGTGCAAATCTGGTTTCCTGTCCTTGACCCTAAATTGCTTTATCCTGTCAGGAGGCAGCTGGTTCAGTAAACTCCTGTGCTGCTCAGCAGCCACCCAGGGGTGGGGGTGGGGAGACGGGGGCAGGAGGTGGCCGCCCTGACTCCAATTTCGTCTGCCTCTGGGTTAGCAGAGGCAGCTAGAGGTCCTGTGAAAAACGTCTGGGTGGCCTCTGTTGGCCGTCCTCCAGTAGGAACTGTTCACAGGCCTGTTCTCAGGCGGCCTCGTTCCAGAAGGTCTAACTGGGAACACAAAATGCATTGCATTTTTTTTTCCACCAACCTCAAAGAGGTCCTTTTATGGACAGACCCGTGCCTGCCTCCTTTTTTAAAAAATTCCCATTGAGAAGCTGACCTCCCTTGACCTGGGCAAGGCGACAGGTGACCCCTCAGAGAGTGGGAGGCTGTCAAAGCAGCTCTGTCTCTGGGGTCTCGGCAGAACTGAAGACAAATGAAGCTTTCAGCCTGAAAGGACAGGCGTTGCCTTGGGACATGCCATTGAATTTGATGATGTGGCCGTGGTGCAGGTCTCCCCGCCTCACAAAGAAGCAGTGGCTGGTCCATAACCTTTGAAAACTCACGGGGTTTTGCATGATGATGTTAGCAAACAGGAAAGCTGGATGAGTGCCTTACTTTTAGGAAAAGTTCCTTGGGTTTTTATCCACATCTACTTGGATGTATTCGGCTTAAATGCTTCCTCTCAGTGCTGTCTCCTCTGCAGATAGTTGTGGAGCAGAGTTTCCAAGTTAGGGCAGGACTCTGTATCAGCGACTGGATGAGACATGATGCAGTAGGTTAAAGGAATTTTTCTTAAACATTGTGGTGTCTGGGATTTTTCAAACCTCAAAGAAAGCATTAATTTGATATTATCAATTTATTAAACCATAATTGAGCGTAATTACATGAAGTGAAATGAAATTGAAAATGGACTCCAGCCACCACTCAAATGTCAGCAACTTGATTTACAGATCCTGTTTTAAGGAATGAGTAACCAGACATAGATCTATATAACTGAAAGCCAAAAGTTTTTGTTATTTTTGGTGCAAATGAATTTGAGTTGTTATAATGGATTTCTTTAGCTGTGTGTTTAGACCTCCATATTTATCTTACGTTTGGAGTAATTTTTTTTAAAAAGGAGCCTACCAAAATGCTGGGATTCTTTTTCTACTGTTAGGAGATTTGAAATAGATGAATCACTTTTGCTCTTTGGTTTTTCTTTTTTTTTTTGGTCTTGGATTTATTTTAGCATTACTTATTTATATATCTTTATTAGTTTAATATGGATTTAGAACTCATACAATGTCTTGCAGTAAATTAACCATTCAAATTTGGTGTTGCAAAGCCAGAAGAAGACACAGTATTTGCCATAAGTGATCTATAAGGCCTAGAGAAAAAAATGGAAATGGTACCACACACACAGCTCAAACAGACTGTAGGATTTAGGCATGTATTAGTTCACTTGATCCAAGAAGCTGACATAGCAAGTATCATGACTTTGGGACTTAGAGCTAACCCAGACCTAGTTGTAGTGGAGTCAAGCTTCAAACCCAGGTGCTTTGACTCCTCCCCTTGTACTCTTTTAGCCATAGGTGGGAAGCCTGGAGAAAACCATCATCAATGTAAAGATAACTCACCAAGTTCTTACAGTGCTTGCATATAAAGAACTGACTCCTGAGTGGCTGAACCTTGAGTGATTGGTTGGCCCTAGGTCAAACACTAATGCTCTGTTTCTCTCAGCGTCTGCATCTGTGAAGTGGGGTTATTCAAAACAAGTTATTTCATGACTCTTCCCCAGGGATAGCATAATAAATGATAGTCATTTACATAGAGATCATTCTTTACTGTACAAAATTTCTTTTACACACAAAAGAGCTTTGAAAGGAAAAAGACTGTAAAAATGCAAATTCTCTTCTTAGAACTTCGGTTTCCCCAACAGCGAAAGAAGTGGCTCATACCTACCTCTAATATTTAATGGGAATTTGGAAAGTCACTCAATGTCACTTGGAGAGTCTTTTCTGGGCTTAAGAGATGTTTACTCAAAAAAATGTATTGAGCATCTATTATCTGAGAAGCATAGTATTCGGTACAGGGAAGCAAACCTGGATCCCACCCCTCAAAGACCTTATAGTCTAGTGGAGAAACAGACATTAATAATAACATAAGGTCTATTGTAACAAGTGCTAGAAAAACTGAGACAGCCACAAGCTCAAGGCAGCCAGAGAAAACTGTACCAGGAAAGCAGTGAAAACTCAATGGAGTGGAGATGGAGAGAAAAGACTAGAGATGCAAAAGATATTTTTGAGGTGGATAAGACTCTCACTGGGCAATCAGTGTGTGAAAGTGGGACTTTTGGTCTTTGTTTCTGTGTCCCCAGCGTGAAGCACATACTGGGGACACAGAAGAGGCTCAGTAGCAATGGTAAGAATTGACTCCATGGAGAGAGAGCGAGACAAACTTGCAAATTATAGGCATTTGAGAAGGATGTTTCTTTATTTGGGTTTAAAATCTAAGAATTAATATTTACCATTGGTATATGTGAAAATGAATGTGTGTGTGTGTGTATACGTGTGTGTGAAAGAGAGAGGGAGGAGGGGAGAGAACCATCCAACAGACATCCATTAAGCCTCTGGAAAGTTAAGAAGCATTAGTATGACCCACACTGATATGGAGATCTAAAGGGGTCGGCATGTGGCTTGCTCCTATGCTGGTGTGTCCTACAGAAACCCCAAAGGCATTATTATAAGACTAGGTAATTCAGGCTTGGGGAATCAGGGAGGGAACTTGATTCCGAAGAGAGGATAGGGGTTTACAAAAAGGAGATGATGTACTGGAGAATGGATGTACTCTACAAGAACTGTGAGCCTAAGAGTAGAGGAATAAAGCAAAGATGGGAGCACTCAGCAAGGAACCTTGTAAAGGATCTAATTCCTACCGAGCTCTCCCTTTGGATGCATTCAGGCTTGATTTTGTCTTTTCTAAGCTGAAATTTCCTTTAGAAATCTCAGGATTTCAGCTCTTCTTTAGCACCTTGTTTGTTTCTTCCAGGACACTTATTACCAATTGTCATTATTTTGTTTATGTTTTGTTATTTGTTTTTAACTTTCTCCCCAAATAGACTATAAGTTCCAAGAAAGATTTTTTTTACCACCCTATCCCTAAAATCTAACTTAGTAGACATTTGTTAAATATTTATTGACAGTGAAGACTAAATTTCACTCTCCTGTTTCTTCTGTTTTCTGTGGGTGATATTTATATCATTCAAATGTTTACTGAGGGCATAAGTACCATATGGACTATGTCCTGAATGGGCACAGGAATACAGAGATGTGCATACAGTCATGTGTCACTTAACAACAGGAATATATTCTGAGAAATACATCCTTAGGCAATTTTGTCATGGTGCAAACACCATAGAATGTGTTTACACAAACCTAGACAGTATAGTCTACTACACACCTAGGCCATATGCAATAGCCTATTGCTCCTGGGCTACAGATCAATTCATGTGAGTGTACCGAATACTATAGGCAATTGAAACACAGTGGTAAGTATTTGTGTATCTAAACATAGAAAAGGTCCAGTGAAAATATATTATAGTCTTATGGAACCACTGTAGTATATGCAGTCTGTTATTGATTGAAACGTTACACAGTGCATGACTATGCATGGTTTTTGGATTAAATGAAGGCTCAAGAAGACAGACAGAAAAGCAGATAAACAAGAGTGCAGTGCACAGATAGAGGAGGTCCATCTTGGTCAGGATGAGTTAAGGAAGGTTTTACAGAAAAGAAAATATTGAAGCTGGACCTTGAAAGCACCATAGGTAAGTGCAAGGTGGAACACAGAGGAGGAATCACACAGGCACAACCCGATGAGCTGTGCTTGGAGCCTGATGGTTGGAACATGAGATGAGCATAGAAGCTTGGTGGGAAGTGAGGTAAAATAGATGGAAAATAAAGAATTTTCCTGCCATAATAAAGACTCTGGGGTTTAACTCTTGTGGATAAAGTATATTTGAAGAAGTTTATGCACGTAGGGAGATGCGATTAGTTTTCGCAATTAGAAGGTCATTGCAATTGCCCAGACAAGAAACAGTAAGGGCCTGAACTAAGGCAATGGACAGACATGAACCATTTTAGCATATTTTTAGGAATAAATACCCATATAATTTTGCAGCTCAATATCTTAAGGTTCAGTTGCAGGGAACAAAATCTACTATTCTGGCTAGATTAAGCAGAAAGAATTTTTTTTTTAAAAGAGTATACATGGCTAAAAGAATGTTTGGAAGGGCTAAACAATCAGATCCTGGGCTGAATTTCTAGAAATAATTCCCAACGTTACACAACAGAACTTGGCTGCCAAGGGAGTCGCTTCTCTTGTTGTGAGCATAAAAACCAATTGATCAATTGGGAAGTTGCTGGAACAACCAAGTTGTCTGTTGTAAGGTACACCAGCAAAGTGGATGCCTTGTTTCCTACTTTTATCCTTTCTAAGCTCAGTTCTGAACCAAGCCTCATATAAATATGTCTGGTTAGTGGAATCTAAATCATAAAAAAATCTAGCTTCAAAGGCATCTGGGAAACGTCATTGTTTAATTTGCAGGTTTTTTTGAGTACAAGAAGACACAGTAGAAAGAGATTTGAATAGATATTGAGCATGCAAATAGCCACCAATATATCCACTATAGAGACAGTTAAATGTTGGGGGTAAGAGTGAAGGTTTAAGGATGATTTTCTGGCTCAATTCAGGTGACTGGGATACCAATAACTGAGCAAGGAAATAGAGGAAGGAGAAAGGCAGCTTTGGCTTTGGTTTCAGATATGCTTGGTTTAAGATGCCAGCAGGTCACACAGGTGGAGATTCCCAGCAGGCAGTTGGATAGACATTTAGCAGAAGTCAAAAATTTGGAGATCTTTTCTTAGACAATAGATAGAGTTAGGAAATAAACTAGATAATCCAAATAGATCATCATAGTAAAATGAAAGAGGGTCGATGATGATACCTATAGAACACCAATGTTGGATTATAGTGTTAAGAAGCAGTCCACAGTATATATTTTGGAATGATGTAATGGGGGAAAAATCAAGAAAGTGCTATTTGCTATTCTGACACCAAGGCATGAGAAAATGGCAGAAACAATGTCAAATGCTGCAAAGATGTCACATAAGGACTAGAAAAATGTCACTAGAAGATGACAATAATAAAGATGCTTGTAACCAATTAGAGAAATAACTCTGTTGGTGGAATGGCAGGTAGAGAAATCATTCAGTGAATTGTGGGGCAATTTGACAATGAAGAAGTGGAGACAAGAGCTAAAGAAGCCAAATTTAAGGAGTTTGACTATGAAAGGCATGGGAGCAATAAGGCCGAAGATGAGAAAACTGAGGAATGAAATTTCTTTTCTTTTTTCCTTTTTTCTTTCTTTCTTTTTTTTTTTTTTTTGAGATGAAGTCTCACTTTGTTGCCCGAGCTGGAGTGCAGTGGTGTGAACTCGGCTCACTGCAACCTCCACCTCTTGGGTTCAAGTGATTCTCCTGCCTCAGCTGCCAAATGATTCTCCTGCCTCAGCTGCCCAAGTAGCTGGGATTACAGGTGCATGCTGCCAAGCCCGGCTAATTTTTGTATTTTTACTGAGATGGGGTTTCACCATGTTGGCCAGGCTGGTCTGAACTCCTAATCTCAAGTGATCCACACGGCTCGGCCTTCCAAAGTGCTGGGATTACAGGCATGAGGCGCCGTGCCCAGCCAGAAAATAATTTTTAAGATGAGAGAAATTTAAGCAGGTTTACAGGCTAAAAAGAAGAATCCAGAAGAGAAGGGAACATTGAGGATGCAGAACAGAAGGGACTCTATGGAGCAAAAATCTAGGAGAGACAGTGTAGTAGACAGAAGAGTATGAAGATGTCCATGTCCTAGTCCCCAGAACCTGAGAATATGCTACCTTCCATGGTACAGGGGACTTCGCATGTGTGATTAAGTTAAAGATTTTGCCATGAAGAGATTTTCCTGGATTAGTTGGATTGGCCCAATGTAATCACAATCTTATAAAATAAAATTAAAAATGAAGCCCCCAGAAGGAGTTTGCCCTGCCAACACCTTGACTTCAGCCAAGGCAAACTGATTTTGGACCTCTACCTCCAGAATGGTTAGAGAATAAATTTGTATTGTTTTAGGACCCCCAATTTGTGGTAATTTGTTATAGCAACAATAAGAAACTAACATAGGCAGGAATCACTGAATCAAAAACAAATGTAGGCATTAGCTCTAAGAAGGTGGGAGAAAAAGTATCCTTCACAGAAAAAGGAAGAAAGAAAGTAAGGATAGGATGGGATGAAGATGTCTTTGTACATACGTAGCACTTGTGTATGGGTGTGTGTTCTACAAAAAGCAGAGCAAGGTTGGAGGCAGGAAAGATGAGTTTCTTGAAGGATGTTGGAGACACGTAATAATGATTTCTCTATTTTCTCAATAAGACAGTAAGTAAGGCTATTTTCTGAAAGTAAGAGAACAGTATGCAATTGCAATATTAATAGAGTTCTGCAAATCATACCTTGTCATTAAGTATTGGGTAAAAGGTTTTTGTTGTTGTTGTTGTTGTTGTTGTTTTTGTTTGTTTGTTTGTTTTGAGACAGACTCTCTCTTTGTCACCCAGGCTGGAGTGCAGTGGTGCGATCTCAGCTCATTGCAACCTATGCCTCCCGGGTTCAAACGATGCGTAGTATGGCAGCAATTAAGATGGAAGTAATGAGGAAAAGGAATACTTATCAATGGAGATTAGAGAGAGCCAAGGTAGGAAGATTTTTAAGAAGAATTTGACGTAACAGACGAATATTAAAACAAATAATAATAATACCTCTAATCCTTTGCATTTGACCAGTTCTCTTTGGCAGTTCTCAGTAGCTACAGAAAAGGTGAATTGCATGATTGAGATAGGATTTAAGGCATGTTGATGGCAGACAGTGAGTAATCTGGAGATCTGGTGTGCTGGTAAAATAGTTGAGTGATGTACAATGGGGTATAGTCTAGTTAAAAAGAAATTGATTAAGAGAGGACTGATAGAGAAAAAGAAGGGTCATGGGAAATGAAGTTTCAATAAAATAGGGAGTAGCTGTGTACCAATCATATGAAAGTGAAATAGGTGGATATGAAGGATGTCGTGAGGTTAGTCAGAGTATTCCAAGATAAAGAGCACTGAGTTACATGGAAGACATTGGTGGGGCTTACTCAACAGTGAGGCTTCTCATCTAATCTTTTTTTTTTTTTCCTTTCTAGCAGAAATTCAATTTTGCTCAGGTACCCTTTTCTTTGTTCAGGTAATCAGCAAGGTTGATTCCTTCCTCAGCCCTAGGGGTCAAATCATGATTGGCTAAGCCAATGGTCTCAAATTTTAGTGTACACTGGAATCACCTGGAGGGCTTCTTGAAACGCAAATTGCTGGGCTCCCTCCTGGCATTTCTCACTCACTTGGTCTTGAGTGAGGCTTGAGAATTTGCAGTTTTAACAAGTTTCTAGGTGATGCTAACGCTGCTAGTCTAGAAGTGGCACTTTAAGAATGACTGGTATAAGCCAACCATGGTGATCTAATCCCCCTCGTTAGTTTAGGCATGGCCATGTGACTAAACCCTAGCCAATGATAACCTAGGGGAAGTCTCCTGTTGAGGTTCCTAGACATGTTTTCCATCTAATATATGGAGACATGAAAGGAAAGAAGTCTTCTTCTTCAGTGAACATGTTTACTTATGAGGTCCCTGGAAGAGCTCCAGCCATTGTAGCCATGAGGACAGGAATTGCCAAAACCCTGAGGATGATGAATACATACTTAGATGGTTTTTACCCCCATACTTAACAACCTCTTTGTGCTACTGACCCACTCTGGAATCACACTTCCTCTGGGCTTGTACTATGTGAGATAATAGATCATCAATGCTTAATCTCCTTTTAGTTGGATTATCTGTTTCATGGAGCTGAGTGTATTTCATTGATACGAATATAATTTTATCTACCTGATAAGCAAATAATTCAAAGGACTAGAGTATCCATTGGCTGATAATGATGTGGGAGAAAATTTGTTGCCAGAGAGAATAATAATCTTTTAAAT
Source organism: Homo sapiens (assembly GCF_000001405.40). NCBI lineage: Eukaryota > Metazoa > Chordata > Mammalia > Primates > Hominidae > Homo > Homo sapiens. Next base: position 125,436,770 of record NC_000006.12, on the reverse strand, counting down.
ATGTAATCTGGAGGTATTTATTAAACTTAAAAATACATAAACATTTTAGTGTAAAAATCTTTCTTCCTGAAATTTATCTTATGGAAATAAAAGTACTCATATGAAAAAATACATAATTAAGAGTATTTATTGTAATTTTTGTCTAATCTAAAGTAGAAAGAAATAACATACATGTCAGTAGGGGAATATTGAATCAATTGTGATATATTTACTCTATGAGGTAGTATGCAACTCTTTTAAAAAATTATTTAGGTTTATATCTATTGACCTGAAGAGATACCCCTAATATGCTGTTAATTTGCAAAGAGGTGTATATAATTTTAAAAAATAATAAATCTCAAATATATATTTGTTTAAAATGCAAAAATTAGCCAGGCATGGTGGCGTGTGCCTGTAATCCCAGCTACTGGAGAGGCTGAGGCATGAGAATTGTTTGAACCCAGGAGGCAGAGGTTGCAGTGAGCCGAGATCACACCACTGCACTCCAGCCTGGGTAACACAGAAAGAGTCTGTCTCAAAAACAAAAACAAACAAACAAAAAAACACAAAACTCTTATCCAATACTTAATGACAAGGTCCAACTTGCAGAACGCTATTAATATTGCAAATATATAAAAATTAATGTTGCATATGGACAAGGAGTAGATGATATCAAAGGCAAATTGAAGCATTCATTAAATTAGATTATGTAGTATGGGAAAATTTTTCTTTTTGATTTCAATTATGTTAATTGGTTGCATTAAGGTGACATTAAACATGTGGGACGTTGAAATTTAAAAGTGCAATTGGCAAGGCTTAAGGTATAACAATTGGTATGGACTGGGAAAATAAAGTGAGGGTGAAAGTCCCTGGAGGTGAGGACAACAAAGACCTTTACATCTTTTGCCCAGAAGTCACCAGAGAAAATTCCTCCTGGTGATAACCTGAGCCAAAGTCCTCAATAAAGGAGGGAGAGTTTCCGGGAAAGTGATGGATGACAGAGAAGAGAAAAGAAAAATGACATGAACCTAAAACAGAATTCAGCAAGAAGCTGGGAGACTTTCATTAAGGCAATTTGCTACAATGGGCGTTTTTTGAAATGGCCAAGAATACTCTTGCTTTTCCCTCCCATCCTCCCCCATTCCCTGATTTCAATTACTAAGTGGAGTTTGGGCTCCATTGGGCTGCTCTTTCTGTAGACTCCAACAGGTCAAGTTCTATCATTGCACCTCTACCTGAGCTGCTCCCCAAATCCTATAACCCTGCTTCTGCTTTTGGGCCTACACTCATCCCTCAGGGTAAACTGGAAGTACTTTTGTCTTCATGACTTCCTTGCAGTTCTGACCCCAAAAGTGTGCTCCATATATGAACTCCTAACATAGCTTGGCACTTCTTTGCAGATGGTCATTTATTCCTCCTCAGTGGTTCTCTATCTGTAAATCTTGTTTCATAAGAGCAGTGCCAAAACTTCATCATTCTCTTCAAGCCTTTTGCTCTATCAAGTCCTCATCCTTTTTTCCTTTTTCATTTCACAGAGAGAATAAGATATCAGCTGGAAAACCTCTCACCTTTCTCTCTCTCTTCCGAGTCCTCCTTCATGTTGGCTCATCAAGGAGGAGGTGTCCCTCCATGTGTCAAAGACAGGATCTACTGGCACCTGGATTTTCTTCTGTTATTCACTGAGCTTCTTGATGTTCCAGCAGTATCCTAGTTGCTGACCAGACAGTAATGAATCACACAAATGTAGCCCCTGTCCTCACAGAGGTTAGGATCTGATGGAGAGCAGGCATTTGTAATTATAAATAGGATGAGTGTTACGTCATGCAGGGATTCTCTCTCCTCCTGTCTTCTTGGAAACTGCTAATGATTATCTCCTGCTGTCTTTATTATCTCTAAACTCTTTTCTATAACATCCCCCAAATGAACATTTATATTTGGGGTCTCATCTTAAATGTAACAATTCCTTTACCCATACTTTTCTTCAAATACAGTTCTACGTTTTCCTCCATTCCACAGCAAGACATCTAGAAAGAGTTGCTTATGATCACTGTATTCTTTATAGTACTTCTCCTTGACACTTGGCTTCTGAAACACTCCCCTGCTGCCACCACCACATCCCAGAACCTCTCTTACCAAAAACGATGACTGTGACTTTGGTGAACTCAATGCACATCTTTCAGTTCTTGTTTGACCTCTTGGCAATGTTTAATGTTGTTATCACTGCCTGCTTTTCCAAACCATCTTTGTTTGGCTTTAGATATTCCACAGTCTCCCCAATTCCTCTCACCACTTTTGCTCTCTATTTTCATCTGCCTTTCAGGTTCATCTTCCACCATTAGACATTTAAGGTTCCAGGTCTCCCTGCTTTCACTTGATATTTTTTACCTAGGCAATCTCATCCATTTGTAACCCCTAGGTTAACATCTCCAGATGACATTTCTGTTAGAGTAGGCAGCTTAAGTCAGGCATGAGCAGGGCAGGAGGGGCCCTTGCTTGACCAGGAATGTCATGAGACCATCAGGTGATGGTCAGGCGGTTGTTAAGCTGGCTCTCTAAAATAATAATTGGTTGCAGCTGACGCCAGGAAAAGGCCTTCTCTCAATAGGTGGAAAACCTGAAACTGGTGACCTGCTTCCTGAGGAGATCTCAGGAGTTGGGCAAATGGGCTCAGGCATGTGCACTAAGGGGCAAAATGGATGATGACCTTCCTCTAGGGGCACTGGATGGGTAAGGGGAAAATGCCTCAAGTGAGCATGCGTACAACTTTAGTAAACATACCATGCCCATGCTCCCCTCCCAATGCTGGCAGGCCACTGTGCATGCAGACAACCCACCCCAAGGGAAGAATCGGGGAGAAGAGATGCAAGACCCCAGAAGCATGCCAGTGAATAAAACTCCAAGCCACAGGTCAAACAGTGCACTTGATCTCTCAAGTCTCCTGCTTGATCCTCTTCCAAATGTACTTTACTTCCTTTCATTCCTGTTCTAAAGCTTTTTAATAAACTTTCATTCCTGCTCTAAAACTTGCCTCAGTCTCTCACTCTGCCTTATGCCCCTTGGTCAAATTCTTTCTTCTGAGGAGGCAAGAATTAAGGCTACTGCAGACCCATATGGATTCGCTGCCTGTAACATTTCCACATTTATATTTCCAGTTCAGATTCCCTCTTGGAATTTCAGACTAGTAAATCCAACAGCCTTTGTGCAATTCCCTCTGGGAATGTTTCTCAGAATCCTGGACCAGCTTAGGGCCCCTTATAATGTGCTCCCATATCACCTCGTATTTCACACTATTCTTGTTTTTTTTTTTTTTTACTACTTTGTTGTGACTTTATTATCTGTATTCATCCCTGGAGTATATTCTATGAAGGCAGGAACCCCAGACAATGTCTGTCTTATTCATCACTGTATCTGCAGTATCCAGTAAAGTGCTTGGTATGTAATGTTAAGTTTAGCCTACAGCTAGCTGCCTCCTTACATGCTTTAAGTTCAGGCTAATGGTTTCTGCATACAAAGTGAACTGTAACCTAACTGGATTGGTAAACAGACTGCAACCTGCTCTTGCACCAATCACTGAGTTTTGGCCAATCACAGGAAGTCAGCGGTTCAAACTGTATTCAAATAAGGCAAATGCTCAGCTGTAACCAATCCAACAATCCAACTGTTTCTGTACCTCACTTCTGTTTTCTGTACATCACTTTCCTTTTTCTGCCCATAAATCTTCTCTGACCCGTGGCAGTGCAGAGTTTCTCAGAATCTATTCTGGTTCACAAGGAGTCGGTGGTGGGGATGTCGGGGGTGGAGGGAGCTGCTGGATTCTCGAATTCTTCTTTGCTCAGATAACCTCTTTTAAATTTAATTTATCTAAAGTTTTTCTTGTCACAGTAATTACTACTGATTGAAAGCCTGGGTTGATAAATTTAACAATTCAATTTAAGCCATTGTTAGAGTTATCTCATTTGTTTTAAAGAGCATCAATATTAGCATGCATTTTATCTGTTGCAGTATCATAGTCTTTTCATGACTGATACTTTTGTCAAATACAATAAAAACAAATTACTAGAAAAATGAAGCAAACAATAACAAAAAAGACACACAAAATGCATGTCCACATTTTTCATTACTAGATTCAACAGACTTGATATTATGAAAGGTTTCTAAATGTTCCCTCTCAATTTCTGTAATTTTCTTGGTGCTGAACAGTGACAAAGAGTTCACAGACCAGCACTGGACAGCAGATCCTACTTGGAGTAGCCCTGGACTCAGTGACAGAGGTAGTCACACCTCTTAGCTTTTTTGCATTTTTCCTAGTCATTTTATTTGCTGAATAACTCCCTCTCATAATTGTAAGGAAAGAAAAATAATTTTCTCTCTACCCTGAATAGTTCTTAATCAGTGTGAACCCCTGTAACAAAAGACAGAGTAACAAGAGAGAAAAAAACCAGAAGTTTATTAGCATGTATGCCTCATATATACATGGGAAACACCCTGAGAAATGAGTAAATTACTAAAAGGTGGCTTTGAAATCAGGCTTTAATAGCCTCACCTGCTGAAACAAAGGAAGGAGGATGTGGGGGGGAGGCCCAGCAGATCATGGTAAGCAAGGGTAAGATGTGTTATGTAGATTTAAGTCAGTGCCTTTTCCATTGATGAGTCTCTAGTAATTTTTGTCATTCTCTGCTTCATGGTACAGAGAGGGAGGCATCTTTACAAATGGAGATTTCCTTTATAGAAATAAATTTCCCTTATAAAAGAATAAAAGAGTAACTTGTCCAGTCAGCCCTTCCTACCCCTGGGTTCCACATCTGTGGATTCAACCAACTCTGGTTTGAAAATATTTGAGAAAAAAACAAGCATCTGTACCAGACATGTACAGCCTTTTTTCTATTCATTATTCTCTATGTAATACAGTATAACAACATAGTTGTTTATACAGCATTTACATTATATTAGATATTATAAGCAATCTAGAGATGATTTAAAGTATATGGGAGGATGTGGATAGGTTATATGCATATATTATGCCATTTTATATCAGGGACTTGAGTATCCATGGATTTTGCTGTCCATGGGGGTCCTGGAACCAATCCCCCACAGATACTGTGGGACAACTGTACTCTGATTTCAGAGCATCTCTCATGTCTGCAGTTTCTCAAAATAATCCTTGTGCCAAAAAGGCATATTTTGAGATGGCTTGTTCTCGTCTCCTACATAGTTAAACCCTAAAGTGGCAGTGGAGGGTACAGATGTCAAGCAGGTGCTCTGAGATGGTGGGGAACATCAGTGTGCATGTGTGCCACAGGGGACCTGCCAGGCTGCTTGTGCTATGTGACTATTGTAGTCCTAATAGAGTTGCCACAGAGTCAGGGCCCACTGTTGTGCAGCCTTATCCTTGGCACTGAATGCTTTAAAACCAAAGGACTTCCTGAAAAACTCTTATCCTTTCATAGCTTATCACTACTGTCTCCAGAATCCTTCAAATATTACAATTTTTATGACCTTTAGAAAATGCTTGCACTGTTTCTAATAAACATGGGAACTGCAACTTCTCATGGAATTGCCAACTGTTTTATTTTTTTCAAATTTTCTAAGACCAAATATCTATGGATACAAAAAGTTCAGCATGACAAGATCTACTGTTCTCCCACATAATTTTTCATGGTAAGACTATGGGGAAGTTTCAACCTCTTCCCTTTTGTCAATTTTGGAGTATTTCTTTGTTTCATATTTGAACAACCAAAAAAAGCCCAGCCACACACCAGAACCTCATTTTATCTCAAGCAGAAGCTGCTGAACAGAAAGCTCAGCTTTTAAAAGTCTTGTTAGGATTGCCAGATTTAATAAATATAAATGCGAGACATCTAGTAAAATTTGAATGTGAGATAAACAACAAAACATTTAATATGGACATGGACATGATGGGCCTGTCCTTTGTGTGGAATACACTTATACTAAAAATTTATTCTCAATTTTCAGTCAAATTTAATTGAATGTCTTGTATTTTATCTGGTAATGCTGTCTCATGTAAATTATTTTGTTTAGATGGGAACGTTTTCCTATGTTACTACTGTGTGGTTTTTGTCTTGTTTTTTTTGAGGTTTGGTGGATTTTTTTCACTACTTGAACACACTTTTTAAAAGGCTCTCTGCCACTTCCAGCTCATTATCAATGACGCCATTAGCATCACCATAGCTTTAAATTATGTTAAAACAGGATTAGAACTACTGACAAATTGTAAAAGCAAGAGACTCCCAAGGAAGTAAGGATCAAATTATGATCAAGAAAGGAAAGGAAGGAAATGCCAGCCTCAGTCTGTAGATAATGCTCAGCATAGTGAATGCTCTGTGATAGAGTCAGACACAGAATACCCTTGGGAGGCCGATGGGCACTCAGCCTCACATTTCACAGATGGAGAAACTTGAACACAAAGGAAGTTAGTGGCTTTTTCAGTGGGGCAGGAAGCAGGTGTGTAAAGGAATGGGAGAAGAGAAGAGAAAAAAAGTCTTCCAAAACTCAGTCTTACCTACCAAAGCATGAAGAACACAGACATCACAAATATGTGGATATTTTTATTAAAATATTCTTCTATCTGGGCATGCTGGCATGCTCCTGTATTCTCAGCTACTTGGGAGGCTTAGGAGAGAGAATCACTTGAGGCCATGAATTTGAGGCTACAGTGCACCGTGATCGCACCTGTGAATAGTGATTGCATTCCAGCTTGGGCAACATAGCAAGACCATATCTCTAAAAAATTTTTAAATAGTTTTCTTCTAGACAGTGAGAAAGTTTTACCTCTACAGTTACCACCCTTTATAAGCACAAATCATGGAATCAACACATTCTAAAATTTGAAAGCATATTACAGAACATTTATTCCAATCTCTTCATTACGTTGATGGAGGAACTGTGAGGCCAAGAGGTTACATGGCTTTACTGAGTTTTATAACTTGTAGAAATCCACCTGGGTCCAGGACTAAGGATTTCTACAACTCAGTGTTTTCAATCCAGCTTCTTTTAAATTAACAATTGATCCATAAGATATAGAAAAAAACAAGGGTCAGTCTCCTCAACCAAGGAAAGTGACTCAAATGAATTGGGAAATAATGGGATCTTAAAATGTCCCTCTCTTTTCAGTAACCTTAGGAATTGCCATCTAAGAATAGAGTCTGATCTTTTCGTTAAAAAATAAATTACAAAAAAATAAAATTATAACACACATATATGTAAGACAAGCATACGTCAAAAATTTTATTTATTCATTAATGAAGGAATGAGTAAGATGTTACAAATAATTTAAATGGTATACAGAGATAAAATGTTACATTGTCTATCTGAATGCTATGGACTGAACTGTGTCCTCTCCTTTCCCTCAAATTAATTTTTTGAAGCACTACCCCGACCCCCACCCCCATGAAATTGTAATGGAGATAGGACAGTGATTTAAGGAGGTGATTAAGGTTAAATGAGGTCATAAGGGTAGAGCCCTGATTTGATAGAATCGGTGTCCTTATAGAAAGGAAGAGACATTAGAGATGTCTCTCTCTGTCTCTCTAGCATGTGAAACCACAGCGAGAAGGTGGCTGTCTACAAGCCAGAAAGAGACTCCTCATCAGAACCCGAGTGTGCTGGCACCCTAATCTCAGACTTCTAGTTCTAGAATTGTGAGAAAATTAATTTCTGTTGTTAAAGCCACCTAGTTTATGGTATGTCTTTATGGAAACTCAAGCTGATTAATATGCAGAAAATCCATTTGCATTGCCTTAAACAAGATCACTTGGATAGCTATGGGCAGGAAACATTTGCAGTTTTGTACAAGTTAACTTGTCTCTCTACAGAGTTGTAAAAGGCTAGTCAAAGACAGACAAAGGGACACACCCCTATAGAATCAGATAATCCCCATAGCCGATAGTGCCTGGCACACTGGAGTGCTGGCAGGGGCTATGCTAAGATACTGTTGTATAAGGGGCCGATTCCTCTCAGCCCTCAGGACAGTGGAGTGAAATTTGAAGTTCCTGAGTCCTCTGCCTCCTCCAATTATGCTAGTGTGCTTTACAAGTATGATCATTTCTACATACATCACAATGTGAAAAAGACTGAAAAGTACTGCCTTAAACAATGAACACCTTTATTACTTTACCCAACAAGAAGTATGGAGAAAAGCAAGCAGTCCAGGGGTGGTTCAGTCCCTCCATGATGTCACCAAAAGTCCACACTCTTTCCATCTTTGCCCTCTGTGACCCTGAGCACATCTTAGCTACCCTCATGGTAGCTGTTACAGTTCCAAATACCACACCCTCACAAGACTATGTGTGAAAGCAGAATAGCAAGTTGCTTCTCTTCCTTGTTTAAATATAGGAGAGAAACCTTTTCCAGAAAATACCCTAGAAGGTATCTGCTTATGTGTCATGGACTAGGTTTGCTTTCCAAGTGAATGAATTCTCATGATTGAGAATTTAAGTTAAACAACATTTCTTCTTGGGGAAGGGAAGAAGCTACATTTCCTGAGAATGGCAGGAGCCATTTCCCACAAGGAACAGATGATTGGGCATGGGATGGCTGTTGCACAAGCCATTGGTGTCTTCTCACTAATTTGTTATGTGACTTTGGTTGAGATATTTTACTTTTCTAGTTATTAGTTTTGTTGGTAACAAAGCAATGGGGTCAAGCAACATCAGGAATATTTAACTCATGTCTACATAGGCCCATGGCTGTGCCTCAGTAACTCTGTGAATCCTTAATTTATATGCAAAATTTTCTGCATGTGTATTTTTCAGAAAAGAATGCCAATAATTTTCATAAAAATGTCAAGGAGTCTATAAAAAGGGGTAATAACCACTGGCCTCAGTGATTTTTATAGCTCAGGCAGCTCTCATATTTTAAGGTTTATAGAATGAGTGAAGAATTTAGAAATGAGAAATTAGGTCTTGAAGAATCCCCCTCACTGGGTTAACTTGTGAATAGTGGCCAGTTTGTGCCTGGGATCTACCTGTCCTTGCCTGAAAGAGGTAATACTAACGCTAGAACCAACAAAGAGCTCTTAGCAATGGTCTAATGATCTCACTTTCTCAGTTTAGGTGAAATCCAAGGATGTTAAGTGATTTAACCAAGATCCACATCCAGTGCATGGCAGCTCAACTCCTAGAACCCAGGTTTTCCAACCATTTAATCTTTTACCTAAAAATGCCAGATGGTTGGAATTTCTCAATCTCTCTTTTCTCTCTCTCTCTTTCTCTTTTTAGATCAAATAATGATAATTAACTTAAAAAATTCATTATCAATTTCAAAGTCTAAGTCTACTGTGATTACCCTAAATCCTAAATTCTCCAATGTTGAGCTACACAGCGTGGGATGGATCACTGACATTTTAGTTGCTACCATAATAATAGTAGCAACAGCAATAATAAATGTCATTATTGGTCTTGTCTTCAAGATATTGCAATGATGACAGGATATTCATCATTCTTTGGCACAAAATCAAAGACTTGACAGAGAAGGCCTAATGCAGAGAAATCTGGAAATCAATCATCTATCATTACCAGCATACCTGGTCTGCAATATACAGTTAGTCTTAGGTGACATTCCTCATCCTTTTGCCATCAGCTTCCCCTAGTTTTAAAGCAAGGAGGCATGGAGAAATACACGTGAAAATAATGAGAAGGTGGAAGAAGAAAAGGTAAAAGGGCTACTTAAGAGTTATTTCAATTCACTATAGCAGAGAAATAAAAATTCTATTTCTAAAAAGATCTGGCCACCCTCTTGCATACTTTTCCCATTTTTATCATTTAGGATATTTGCAATGGTGAGTAATAGAAATCCCAACTGAAATGTCTTAAAAATAAAAAGACAAGTTTATTGTCTCTGGACTTGAGTGAGGGAGCACATAGCCCAAGAGACTCTTTATGTTGTGATCATGAGGAAAGCTGGTGTGAGAACTAAGCTGATACAAGAAGCAGGGCCGAGCTGAGACAATGTCTGAGAAATGAAGCTATTTTATTTTTTAAATTGACTTAGGTTGTGTTTTCTGTACGTACAATCCAAAATAGCCAAATGATGCATCATTTAAAGAGCTGGTCCTTCAAGTCACACAGAGCTTAAAGGTAAAATAAATGAATAAAGAGCTGGTCCTACATCACTAGAAGAAAATCATGGAAAGGTATCTGGGCTGGGACATGACAAAGACATAAAGTCACCTCTTCCAAAAATTGATAAGTCAAGGAAATAAATTAAAACTCTATAGTTAATAGCAGAGCACACTTTAGAGCACTGGATTTTTAAGAGCTCCTTTAAAATGTCACTAGCATAATCCCTAAAGCAAACCTAAGTATATTTACATGAGATACCTCAGATTTCTCTCTGATTTTCTAGTCTAAAATATTTCTACTCACTGAAATGACCAGGAGTGCATTCTCATATCTATAATACATAGAGTGTTGTTCAGAACTGTAAACTTTTTTTTTGAAACCTGAAATAAGCAAAAAATTTCCTCATCAGAATTTTGTCCTAAACATGAACCCAATCTGGGCATGTGTTCATCATTTATAAACCACAAAGGAGAAATCTGGGCCAAGTTTCAGGTGAAACTTCTTTTTTCCCACTGGTTTCAAGTCAGGCAAAATGTAATGTCTCAAGTCCATTAAAAGTGAAAGTTATTGATGTCAACTGACAGAAATTCAGATATAAGATTTTCCAACACTGCAGTCTAAGCATTGGATGTCAGAGAAAGAGCTCCATTATTCAGATCATTCCATTTGGTAGCCATGATTCTCTGAATGGGTGTTGCTTAGTTTCTGTTTGTAAACTAGACTTCGAAGTAACCAATTAAAGCAGGCAACTCATCTAAAGCTAAGAAAGTTTAAGGCAAAAGAATATGAAGATCAATTTATCAAAGCAAACCTTCAGGGTCATCATTTTAGGTATTTTAAACACAGTCATTATTCATAACAGGTATAGACTTCTTATTTGGTACACCAAGGAATAAAAATGGCCTAGGTCTCTTATTTGGCTTATTGGGATCCTACATGCTCTCAAGTGTAATAAAGAAATCTTGAATAATAACTTTCCAGAAGTTCATCTAGGCTTTTGAAGCTTCTAAATTGAAATTACTTTTTCATTAACCAGATTCATAGTCCTAAAAGGACCAAGTTCCATGCAGATCTGCAGAACAAGAGGTAAACACTTTTATCTCTGATTGTAAATTCTAAAGGGTGGAGGGTTTAAAAGGAGGAGGCTGTGCCACAGATGAAGGGTTGTGATACCTAACCCAGGGCAGCATTGTCTCTTCTCTGCTCCAAAAGAGTGAGTTGACCTGAGAAATATGTGCCTACCCTGGGGAAATTAACGAATATGTGAGAGTGATGTATGTTTAAGAAACTTCAGACGTCTAAATAAATGTTGTGTGGTCAGGAGCAAATTTCTTTCAAGCCTGTGGTTCTCAAAATTACAGTCCATCAGAAACCTCTGGAGACCTTGTTTACAATATCAGCCCCTCTGGAAGCACCTCCAGAGTCTAATTCAGTAGGTGTGGGACAGAGCCCAATAAGCCTTTTAATAGCTTTCCCAGTGATTCTGATACAAGTGAGCTGGGTCTTTTCCTCTGAGAAACACAGTTTTAGACTGGACTGCCCTAGCCCAAGCCAAACTATGCAATAGGAAAAGCTCTACTACTTGGCATCATCCTGTCTTGAATTCTGATACGCTTAGCACTCCCCTTCTATGAGTTTACTTTCCCAAGAACAGAGGCAGGCAAACCTAGGTTTAGGACCTGGCTCAACTGTGCAGTAACTGTGTGATCTAACTTAAACTACTTACCATTCAATCATTCATTTATTCATTCAACAAATATGTATGAAGGCCCTGGACCTAACATCTTGAACAAACCCTTATATAGTTTATATGAAGGAGGCAAACATATACAGAGAAAAAAATAGGTAACTTTTTAACCTATTTTATTATTATTTATTTATTTAAAAAATAAAACAGAATGAGATTGAGAATAATTCAGGGGGCAGGGAGGGGCAAGCTACTCTTTTGGATGGACAGTCAAACTCTCTTAGGTCAGATGAGCAGAGACTCAAATAATGTGAAGGAGCTAGCTATGCAAAGATTTAAAGGAAGGTCAAGAGGACAGCAAGCCCAAAATAAGCTTTATGAGCCAAGGGACAGGAAGAAGACCAATAAAGCTGGAGCAGGACTGGCAAATGGGAGAGTGGAGGAGAAAGATCAGGTCAGAGATGAGGATGAGCCAGATTACCCAGAGCTTTAGTACCTTGATAAAGTGCATCAATTCTGTTCTAATTAGAATGTAGGGCCATGGGAGCATTTTAAGCAAGCACAGTCTCTTGTACAACAGTTAGAATACATGTAACTACTTTATAGGGATGCATCACATAGTTTTTGGTTCTTAGTAACAGTTCAATAGATGACAGCTATTGTTATCCTTTCCTGGATGAGGAAAATGCGCCCACCTCAGCATTCTTTGCTCATCAGCACCATATTCCCCCACAAAGGCATCTTACTTGTCCTGTATCTCATCATCTCAGGGTCAACTAAATAGACTGAGCAAGTTACTTCTGCTGCCATGTGTGGATTTGAGGCCCCTGGAGAATGATTACATAGTAAAGATGGCTTTCCAGATGTTTTACGATACCCCTGTTCTGTCTCAGAATAGAAAGGACTTCAAGGATCATTGGTTTTAAATTGAAAAAAGCAATCCAAGGGTCTAATAATCCAAAGTTGAAAGTGTGAGTTAAGTATTTTGGATAGAATGACAACTCATATGCTTCTTCTGGCTCCCAAAAGATCCCCTTAACCCGAGGTGTATGTGAGGCAATGGTAGTCTGGTATCCTTATTCTTCTAGCCTGAACCAACTTAATAGTGTCATGGTTTCATCTTTTATAAAAACATATTAATGTTTTTAATACTATTTCATTTGTTATTTTAACTAAGAATCAAAAATAACTAGTCCAGAAGAGGCATTTGTGGTTCAAGTAATCTACCCTTGGCCAATAAATATGTATTAAGGACCTATCACCTGCCAAGCACTAAATTTATTTCATACAGTGGCTTTCAAATTAAATCTTTCAAAATAGTCCATCATGTGAAACAGATGACATGAAGCACCTTTGGTGAAAGTAGGGCCTCAGTCCTCAACTGGGGCTTTTGGATTGGCCATTGCTCTCCAGGTGGATCCCTGAAGGGTCTGAAGGAATTTGAACACATTTGAAAACTAGTGTTCTGGGTGAAAAGACTGAATAGTCCTCAGAAACTGATAGAAAATGGTTGTGATAATGGCTCAAATGTTGATTCTTCATTCTTTGTTCTATAAAAGATATTTTTGATGTTATAGGTTATATGTCAAACCCTTTAGGGTTTTACCATTTAATGTGCCTTTTTAGTCAAAGGTCCTATAATCTATACCATTCAAATAAATATCCTGAATCTTTTATCTCCCAGAAGCCCTATCCCCTTTGTTAAAAGATAAACTTCGGTACATTAAAATTTTAAAGAGTTAACTTGAACAGACAGCAGTTCATGAATTGGGCAGCATTAAACCACAAATGGTTTGGGTTTCACTGACAGGGTGCAATGTAAAAACGGTTGTAAGATGTCCTCAGAAGAAAGACAAAGAAAATATTTGATTGGCTAAAGTAGAAAATCTTTAGTTAGAATTAGCTGGTAGTTTCTGACTGGTAAAGTGTAAGTTTCATTTTGCTATTTACATTGAGTTGTCTCACTTTGCATATGTAGGAATCTAAGGCCCTAGAGCCATCTTAGCCTAAGAATCACTTGATTAGTCTGTTTAACACTTTTCAATCAGTCATCACTTCTGCATCCCACCAATAGCATCTAGGACATAAAGAACCAAAAGTCTCACCAGGGGCAAAGTGCAAGACTCCCTCACAAATATGCATGAGAGGTAGTCAGCCAGTCCCTAATATACCCCCAATGAAGTTGAATTGATTTAAGTAGGAATTTGGAAAGGTGGAAAGTGCTGTGATTTTTGAAAGTTTCAAAATTACCAATAATATGACCCAAGGCAGGTATCTTAATTTCTCAAGTTAACTGTTTTGTATTTTATAAGAGAGAAAACAAACAATACCTTTCTTATCCAAGAATGACTGATAATAGTCGATAATCAATAAAGGCCAGTTTCTCCTTTTCACTCTGATTCTCAATTGTGAAGCCCCGTACTTCTCACCTGGAAGCCTGCAGGGATGGGACAGAGATGAGAAAGGGCTGTGCTACTATCTTCCAACTACATATGCCTACTGTTTTCCCACGCATGCAGCTGCAGTTATGAAAAGAAAAAGCGAATTCACTGAAAGTGTCAACCAGATTCAAAATAGCCGTTTTTGAAAAGCAACATATCATAAGATTTGTTTTCATTCATGTAAAAGGCCGCAAAACGAGTGATATTAAGAGGTCCTTCAATTTCCAAAGACTGGGAACAGCACTGGGATTCATAAAGCTGGAAACAAAAGTGCAGCCGCCACGCTCTGCCCCTCAGTTGAAGTCATGTTGTCTCCAGAATCCCACCTAGCAGCTGCCTCTCCCCATCCCTCACTATTGGTTATCAGTGGGTAGATAAGGACAATAGCTTTGCTTTTCTTCACTTCATCTGTGGTGTTTCCTGGCTTCCTGCCTCCTCCCCTTCAGTATCCAGGTCTCTCAGGGTCTTGGGAGTCGCCTGAGCAGGCGGGGATGTCTCAGGAGTGCAGCCGGGCAGTCGGGCCGCTGAGTCACAGGCTCTATGGTGTCATTGGCCGGTAGACTGGAAGGAGACAGCTCCGTGGCTGCATCTGATTGCTAATGAGCTTTCTGGGGCCCCAGCCTTCTCATCAGCACCATTTGTTTTTACAGGCTGCCTGCCCTTTGTTGACTTGAGGCTTGTTTTCCCTGCCTTAGAGGCACTCGGAAGTTTTTCCTCGCTGGACCTGGCTGTCTCCTTTTCTTTTGAGACTTCGTGGGAGCTAAATTTAAACTTGATTAACAACATTTAGTCCAAGGAGGGTCAGGATACTATTTTCATGTTAAATGCTGCCCTTTATGTTCTTTTTTGTTTTGTTTTAAGACATAATAGGCCCTCACAATGAGATCCCTTCTGATTTTGTTGCTATGGTGTGAGAGACAAAAAAATAGTATAAAACATTTGATTGGTTGATTCTGATCAGAGGTGGAAAAAGGGATTAATACCTCTTTTGTAAAAATCTATTGACAGGTCTATTTGTAAAACCTCACAAATACTTTTAGTAATGATATTTTTACTCTTTGCTACGAATAACTTCAGGTTAATATTTAGGGATAGCTTGGAATCAGTTGTTCAAGGAAACTTCCAGACTAGACTCCAGATTCCATTCTGCAACCACTAACTTTTCCTTTCTAGCATTTTCCAAGGTGTGATTAAACCGTGAGACTGTAAGTTCCATTAGTGGAGGCACAGCATCTCTTGTGCCCCACCAAGGGGACTGAATATATAAATGGACAATGGCCAGATCACATATGAGAATAGAACTCTGACTTTCCACCTCTGCAGCAATCACTTCTCTAAGCCAAACTATAACCTCTGGCCTAGAGTGGTCAGCAGAACAGAATGGTATGCTCCCCAGACCAATCACATATATGCACCACTCCCAGAAAGCCCACCTTATGCTAGCATGAGGCTCCCCCATGCCAACAGCCTCTAATCAGAGCATACCTGAAGCCTTGCTTCTTCTTCACTAGAAAGATTTGCCAGTCCTCTTCCTGCCTTTGAGTATCTACCAGATGTGATAGTGGCTGACTTCCTAGCTATAACAAATGGAATAAATAGCCTCTGTTTGTTCTCATTTGGGTTGTCTTTATTTTCATAACATGTAATCTCTTGTAATCAGGATAGTGTCTAGCATATAACAAGCCCTTAGGAGAGACTGTCTGAATGAATAAATGAATAAACAAATGACTACACATTAATCCATTTCCGGATTAGAATTCTGTCTTCCTGAGGACCTGGCTTTTCACCTCACCTCTCTAAGTATCTGACTTGTGGCCTTGGAAAAGTCACTCAGTGTGTCTGGGTACCATTTTTCTCAAGCTGTAAACCAGCAAGTTTGGACCAAATAATACCTATGTTTCAAGTATTCCCGGATGCTCATGTTTCAAGTAGCCTTCATAAAACTTCTCTGCAACCATAGCACAGGATGCCCACCTAAATTTCCCCACCCACACTTTACTTAAAGAGGAAATGTACTGAGTGTTTTCTATGATAATCCACTTCTTCTGAATGATGGAAGGAAAAGATAGCTTTTAAGAAAATTAGCTTGTTCCCCCTGAATTATGACTTGGTGAGCCATGATACATGCAAAGTAAATGGAAAGATGATTTTTGTTGCTTATTTATTTATTTGCTAAAGATTCTGAGGAAGAATCATGCTTTTGTGCTGGAAAAACATGTTGTTAAACTCTCTGCACCTCCTCTGCCTTCCCTACACTTACTCACTTGGCTAGGATGCTCCCTCCTCTACTCTAACAATGCAAACCCTTTTGTCTTCAAGGCCTACATCACCCTCCACATTATACATTCACTCTTCCTCAACTTTTCTTGTTTCTGATAATCTTCTGTCTAAACTCCTGTAAGATATCACTTAGAGTGCACATATAGTTTTTTTCTACTGGATTATAAATTATTGAGGGAGGTAATTTGTATCTTCCTATATTTCACATGATGTCATGATAAAGCATAAAGACTATCATTGAATGAGCAAATACAGTGTACCAGCTGGTTTCATTTCTGTTATGTTATTGATTTTCTGCTACCCATGGATAATTGTTATAGACTCCATTTTAAAGAAGGAAAGACTGAGTTTCAGAGAGGTTGAGTAAGTTCTCCAAAGTCACAAGGGCAGCAGTACTGGGTCTCAAAGCCACTTCTTCTGACTTCTGGTTCAAGTTCTTTGAATATCACTACACCTTCCTCCACACTGTAATGATTAAATCTGTTGTTGTGTCCCCATTGACAAATTCAGCTCAAATATCTAAAACAATAACAAATATAGGCTGGAAGACAAAGTTCCAAAGTTTCAAATTATATTTTCGAATCAATTTGAAATTGTAAGTCACAGCGTGGGTTCTTTTTTAATTTTCCTAGAGCTTTGAACTCAGGCCTATGTACTTTTTGCATAGCAACAATAATCTTTGTCTTTATGTACTGAGTAATTTAGATACTTTAAAACTTTTTTGTAGCTATTAGGCTGAAACATAAAAACCAAAATAGACAAATCAGAAGCAATTTGGTTACAGTGGACATTCAGTTCAAAGTCAATCTATTAGATACCATGAGACCTTACCACCTCTTTTATTTTTTCTTCCGTAACCTCCATAACAGAGATGTGAAGGTAAGCTAGAAGAAAACCTAAGAGGAGAACAGATTGGAAATAGCACACCATCCAGCACTGTAGTTACTGTTAAAAGCATATTTATAAGGCTCAAGTGTGGAATTAGAATAATGATTTTATTGTTATTGTTATTCAGACCTTTACCAAAGCAATAATTCTAGCTTTAGAATATAAAATTTAAGGACCTAAGGAATTTACAGGCAAATCTCAATGGTATCCAGAAATGTTATAAATGATGAAAAATGAACCTAGAAGTTGTACTAAAGCAATTGGGATTTTTTGGCCTTTGGAATGGAAGGAAAACAAAATATTCCTCTCTAAAATACTGAGGATTTTAGTTAAAAGGTTAAATGCAGGGGTACACTCTGCCTCTCCTCTCTGCCTTTATCAGCTCAGAGACAGTGGCATTAGAGATCTAGGATCTATCTCTTCCCATAAATTTACCTTCCCACATTTCCCCACCTTTTGGAAACCTGAAGATACTCTCTTCTTTGTTTTATCACTATACAAGATTTATGGCTCTTTGTTAAAATACTATTTAAGCAAGGCCTCTAAGCCACTGCCTTGAGAGAGAAGTGCTTTTTTGAACTGAGGCCTCTTCTGTGTGATGGGTACAGCGCACATTAACAAACTTCTGTTTGTTTTACTTTTGTTAATCTGACTTTTGTTTTCCGGACAATGTTTCAACTAAGAACCTAAAAAGGGAAAGAAAATAAGTTTTCTCCCTTACAGAATAAACTCCACAACTCTTACCAAACAATGGCCTC
This sequence comes from Homo sapiens, assembly GCF_000001405.40. NCBI lineage: Eukaryota > Metazoa > Chordata > Mammalia > Primates > Hominidae > Homo > Homo sapiens. The sequence continues at coordinate 125,418,658 of NC_000006.12, read as the reverse complement.
CAAGGATATCAAGAATAGTAAATTAGACAAATGAGAGGGGCTCTCTGTTTCCTCAGAACTATTGCAAAACACGAAAGAAGTGGGCAGCTTCATCCATGTCCCTAAAAAGGCCATGAACTCATCCTTTTTTATGGCTGCATAGTACTCCATGTTGTATATGTGCCACATTTTCTTTATCCAGTCTATCATTGATGGGCATTTGGGTTGGTTCCAAGTCTTTGCTATTGTGAACAGTGCTGCAATAAACATACATGTGCATGTATCTTTATAGTAGAATGATTTATAATCCTTTGGGTATATACTCAGTAATGGGATTGCTGGGTCAAATGGTATTTCTGGTTCTAGATCCTTGAGGAATTGCCACACTGTCTTCCACAATGGTTGAACTATTATTTACACTCCCACCAACAGTGTAAAAGCATTCCTATTTCTCCACATTCTCTCCAGCATCTGTTGTTTCCTGACTTTTTAATGATCGCCATTCTCAGCAAACTAACACAGGAACAGAAAACCAGACACCGCATGTTCTCACTTGTAAGTGGGAGGTGAACAATGAGAACACATGGAGACAGGGAGGGGAACATCACACACCAGGGCCTGTTGAGGGGTAGGGGACTAGGGGAGGAATAGCATTAGCAGAAATACCTAATGTAGATGACAGGTTGATGGGTGCAGCAAACCACCATGGCACGTGTATACCTATGTAATAAACCTGCATGTTCTGCACAAGTACCCCAGAACTTAAAGTATAATAATAATAATAATAATAATAATAATAATAATAATAATAATAAAGTGGGCAGACATTTAACTGTGTCTTTCCTTGGTGGTACTCTGATACTTGACACCTACTTTTCCCTGACTACTTATCACTTTATCTTTGCCTTATTTCCTGTCTTTCTCTTTTGTCTTCACAGGGCTGTATTTTATTCATTGTATTTGTATTTAATTCTTGTATTTCTTGCACTTACAAGGAATCAAGGGTAACTCTGGTTTTTACCTGTCCAATATCTTTTTCCCCTTCTTCAGTTCTTCTCTAGGGAGCCACTCCTCCCTGAGTCTTGTTCCTTGTTGAGTGGCTGGGCTTACCTCAAAGCAGAGGGACCAAGGGACTTGCCTGAACAATCAGAGTATTCCATCCACCTTTCTACAGTGATGAGTTTGAGAACCAGTGTGTCATTCAAGTGGATGGAATGAGAGTTGATCCCCAGATTTCAGCTGGAATTTTTAGTGCTGAGAAACTTCCTTTTTGGGGTTTGATACTGGTAGGATGTAGGACTGGAATTCCTGGAGACATCCGTGTGGAGAGAAAATGTTTCAAAACAAAACCAATTTGGAGGACAGCAGAACTGAAAGATGCAAAGAGGCCAAGTCCTAACTACAGTGTTTTAGCACTTCGATCCAGCCAAACTTCAAGGTCGTCCACCCTGGGCATTTCAAGCTGTGCATCTATACGCTCATATTTTCTTATTTTCATCAAGTCTGAGGGAGAGGATGGTTCTTTTTGTTGTTGTTGTTTCTTTTTCATTTTAGAGACAGAGTCTCACTTTGTTGCCCAGGCTGGAGTGCAATGGTGCGATCTTGGCTCACTGCAACCTCTGTCTCCCGAGTTCAAGCGATACTCCTGCCTCAGCCTCCCGAGTAGCTGGGATTGCAGGCGCACACCACCATGCTCGGCTAATTTTTGTATTTTCAGTAGAGACAGGGTTTTGCCATTTTGGCCAGGCTGGTCTCGAACTCCTAACCTCAGGTGATCTGCCTGCCTCTATCTCCCAAAGTGCTAGGAAATCAGGTGTGAGCCACTGCGCCTGGCTGAGAGGATGATTCTTAAAAGAGTGATGATAGACATGGGTAGGTAACCAGGACTGTCAGAATAATAACAATGCTGAATTGGGTTTCTAAGAAGCACCTTTGCTAAGACTGGTTTTCATTCTAGGTGGGCTTCTTATGTGGTTTTCCTATCCTCACAGCTTTAAGAACCCTGTTGAAAGTGACTCCTATATCTGTATTTTTAGATCAGAACTTCTCCAGGCCCACATAGCCTACTGGCCCCTCCATGGGCGCCTCAAGCCCAATACCATTAAACCCACATGTTTTCTTCTCCCTCAAACTTATGCATCCTCTTGCTTTCCCCATTTTGCTTAAGGAATTTAAGTACCCAAGCCAGTCTTTCCTAACTAAACTACTTCCTCATGGGTAAACATCATGTTTTCCTTTTCTTTTTATCTTGTTAGCTCCAATCCTAGTAGCATGCCTGCCATTTAGTAGATGCTCCAAAACTTTTTAGCTAAATAAATTAATAAAAAAAGAATAAGATATGATAAGACTTCTCTATTATTTAGAGATAGCTAGAATGGGTCTTGCTTGAAAGAAAAAGAATGAAGTAGATGACCTCTTAGGATTCCCTCCGGCAAAATATTAAAAAAGAAAAGAAAAAAATGTCTTTGCCTTGTTTACCAAGAGAATCACAGGCTGACTTGTGGTTTTCATGGTGTTTTACAGTTAAAAAATGTTTCTTTTGTTTATATTTCATTTCTGACCCATTTAATAAAGTAAGTTAGATGACTAATTGGTGTTGATGCAATACAGTTAGTCATAGACATTGAATCTATGAACTAGTTTCTTAGTTCAAAGATTTGGTGTTGTCCTAAGTATCAATAATGCAACTTTGATCACAAGACATTCTGACCTAATTATTATATTCTTCTGGTCATTTCTTTTCTGTAGGACAAAGCCAAATGCAGTGCTTATAATAAATAGTCTCTTCTCCACAATGCCATATTTGCTCAGAATATCCCATCATAGAAAAATGTGATGGTTCATAGAAAGGACATGAGGGGCTGAGTGTGGTGGCTCACACCTGTAATCCCAGCACTTTGGGAGGCCGAGGCAGGCAGATCACGAGGTCAGGAGATCAAGACCATCCCAGCTAACATGGCGAAACCCCGTCTCTACTAAAAATACAAAAAATTAGCCGGGCATGGTGGCATGCGCCTGTAGTCCCAGCTACTTGGGAGGCTGAGGCAGGAGAATCACTTGAACCAGGGGTGTGGGGGTTGCAGTGAGCAGAGATTGCACCACCACACTCCAGCCTGGACGACAGAGCGAGACTCCATCTAAAAAAAAAAAAAAAAAAAAAAAGAGAGAGACATGAGGGAGAATGATGTACTTGGCAGCCAAGAACACAAACTCAACCTAATCTAAGTCTGATCTCCTTGGCTTAGAACTAGAACAGGACAATCAGTCTGAGGGCTCAAGGAAATACAGACAATAGTCTGAAAAGACATTAATTACACCTCAGTACTTTTTTGCCTATGGGAGAATTCTGTGTGTTTGCTACATGGAAACATTTGTTTCAATCTAGACATGTGCAGCTCAGGAAGTATGGATGAATGTGATTGCAACGGGAGCGAAGAGGTAGGGAGCTAGGAGAGATGCCAAAAAATGTGGGCACACCATGAGGTCCAATAGGAACCACACTTTAGTCAGAAGATATGGTCCTATGGTCATTCTATTGCATTGACAACCTCCCTATCCCTCTACAACACTCATGTCCTTCACTCCATAAACCTTGACCTTGTTATACGTAGCACATATATTCTTATATCTCTATCTATTAACATATATGTTTCACAGTAGGTTTAGATATCCTGTTGGCTCTTAAGAACCTTGAGGTCAACCTTTATATCTATTTTCTTTTCTTCTGCCCTGGATTACTCTATGATTTGTGGCTTTGAATAAATGTTACTGACTGATATGGTTTGGCTGTGTCCCCACCCAAATCTCATCTTAAATTCCCACGTGTTACTGGAGGAAGCCAGTGGGAGGTAATTGAATCATGGGAACAGGTTTTTCCTGTGCTCTTCTTGTGGTAACAAATAAGTCTCACAAGATATGATGGTTTTAAAAAGGAAAGTTGCCCTGCACAAGCTCTTTTTGCCTGCTGCCATCCATGTAAGACATGACTTGCTCCTTTATGCCTTCTGCCATGATTGTGAGGCTTCCACAGCCACGTGGAACTGTAAGTCCAATTAAACTTCTTTGTTTTGTAAATTGCTCAGTCTCAGGTATGTCTTTATCAGCAGCATGAAAATGCACTAATACACTGACCAAGCTATTTACATTTTGCAATCTCAGAAAATTCTTTATGAGAAGAGTAAGAATTCTATGAAGACCTGTGACTAAAAACATGATGTGAAGGACAGCTCTGGCTAACATGGCTGTGCTGTCTTATTTATGTATAGGAGTTTTGTTTTTGTTTTTGTTTTTGTTTTTAGGACAAAGCTACCAATTTTTAACCCATTTATTCATTTGTTTTTAAAACAAATATCAAGTACCTGAGTATTACTCTTAGTTAAATTCAGAAAAGAAAACTGAGATTTCTGTTTCATATACACCTTATACACACAACCTGAAGGTAATTTTATACAATATTTTAAATAATTTTGTGCAGAAAACAAAATTTTGACTGTGTTTTGACTGTGAGCCATGATAGAAGATCAGGTGTAAAATTTTTCACTTTTGGCGTCACGTCAGTGCTCAAAAATTCTTGGATTTTGGAGCATTTTGAATTCAGATTTTCAGAACAGAAATGCTCAACTTGTGTAAGAGAGAGCAAGCTTACTTTTATATACTTGTATTTCTTTCTGTTAATGTCTTATTCGTGTTCTTTGTTCATTTTTAAATCATTTTTGTTGCTCTTGATTTATAATAGCTCTTTGTATATTAAGAAAATTAGCCCCCATCTGTCATATGCATCTTAAATATTTCCTATCTGTTCTGTGATTTTCATATTCTTATTTCTTATTTATTTTATACGTTATAGAACTTTAATATTATTATCCAGTCAGATTTGTCTTTTTTTTCATTTTGGATTCTTGGTTTTATGTCATCTTTAGGAAATCCTTCTCCATTTCATGATGATTTTGAAAAATCTAGTGCTTTTGTATTTTTAGTGCCTCTTTACATACGTGCATACATAAAATTATTATTTCTCACCACTGCAAGTGAAGTGTAACAAAAGCATGAAATGGTCAAAACTTGAAGGCAAGCACTGGCTCCGACACTTTGCTGTTTCATCAAGCTCTAGTCTTCAAGCTGTTGTCCTCTCTACAAAATGTAGATCAAGATAAACATTTCACAAGGACTTCATGGGGCTTAAATTATATTTGCAAATAAAAGAAATTTATAAACAAAAAAAATCGTACGATAGCTAACTATAAGCAATACTTAATAATTGAAATTAGTAATTGTTTATGCTATGGACTGAATGTGTCTCCCTCAAATTCTCGAGCTGAACTTCTAACTCGCAGCATGATGGTATTAAGAGCGGGGGCCTTTGGGAGGTAATAAGGTTTAGATGAGGTCATGAGGGCTAGAGCCTCCACGATGGGATTAATACCCTTCTAAGAAGAGGAACAAACACCAGAGCTTCCTCTCTGTGCCATGTTAGGATACAGTAAGAAGGTAACCATTTGCAAGATTAGAAGCAGGCCATTACCAAAACCCAACCATGCTAGACCCGGATCTTATGCTTCAGTCTTCAGAACTATGAGAAATAAATGTCAGTTGTTTGAGTTACCCAGACTTTGATATAGCAGCCTAAGCAGACTAATACAATATACTTGAATTTAATAATTTGATTAAAAGTTTCCAAGGACATATTAACGTGCGAAGGCAGGTCTAGTGTAGGAGTTTGAAATACATTACTCACTAGTGGAGAATGCCTATCCCTGGTCCTGTTGCTATTGACTCTGCATGTCATACATAGAGTCTGCTTAGATTCAGGATGATGAAGAAAGGAACATTTATACTTTTACTTATGATATGCCACTAGAATACACTTCATGTCAACACGAGGCAAATTAACCAAGAGATCAGACTCCAAATTCTGGAAATAATCATCAAAAGCTAAATGGTTTGCTTCCAATTCAACACTTCAAAGATGAGCAAATTAGTAAGCCGAAATAAAAGTTTAAAAACCTCATCAGCGTAGATGAAAGAGAATTTTCCAAGATTTTGAAAAATTTAACCGGGTTCAGCTGACTTAAAGATTTTCATGACGTTTTCTTTTATTCAATTAAACCAAATACATGACCATCTTTGATGCGTTAATGTTTTGGAGGTATCCTCCAGCTCCAATACAGTCTTATTGTCATTATGAAGTAAGAGTTTCTGGGTCTTTTAACATAATTAAAAAGATGGGCTCCAGGCTCTGTCTTGGAATATAAAAGCTCATCTCATGGTACTGGGTGTATTCTTGCATTTTAAGTAAGATCTAGTTGGTTCCTTCTCCAAACTTGAGGAGAAAACGTAAGTTCTATGGTCATAAAAATAAAATTTGGTTCAATTTTTCCCTTTCCATCTAGGCTGCCCTAGAGAATGATCTGGACAGTCCAGCAACTGAGCTTGCAGATGTGGCAGCCAAAAGCAGCCTTTTGGACATCTGCATGAGATGCTGGCCTTCATGGCAGCAGAAGGCCATGAGGAGTCTTGAGCAGCAGAGGCACTTTCCCACTTTCAACCTCCTTTAAGCTTTAGTATTATTGGTCTGTGTGGCCCCAGGAAGAGCTATTTCTTCTCATGAAAGGAGGACACAGTCTCTTTTCCTTTCCTCTTCTCTGCTGTTGCCCTTGCCTGCCTTGTTTTTCTGGTACTGGGAAGTGCCCGGCTCCTCCCTTCCTCCTGGGAGGAAACAAAGTCAATTTCAAAATGACATAGTTATCTATCATTTTCTCCAAAGAACATAAAGCATATTTCTATGAAATTTCTTGTTGAATAGCTCTTGGAAACATAGATGACAAATACTAAGTTTTCAAACACGAAAAGTTCTAGCAAAAGGCTATCCAGGGACTTTCTGTAAGAGAAGAGTTTCAGAGCTATTTACTGAGAGGTGTGAATGCTTTCCTATATCACATCCCATTTACAAAATTTCTGCAATGGTAGTCTCTCTGTTCCTGTACATACAAATAAGCCAGAATACTTTTACAAATTAAAAACTGGGGTAGTAAACATAAAGAAAAGAAGTACTCCGGGCTCCTTGATATTGCACTATGCTTTCAGAATTTCTAATGGGATGTGGGCAAAGACGGATGTTATGGTGTTCCCCTTTTCTAAAATATTTTTTAAATATACCAGCTAATAAAAACAATCCAGTCATTTATGAAGAATAATTTTTTGATTACTTTTTTAAAAAATCAGATCTCTCAGGGATGAAAGGAATAATTTTGGAAATACGCTGGGTAGAAATGTGCATGTAGAAGGCCCCAGGTCAGGAAGATCCTTAAGTGGAAGGACAAGGAAGGACTGGGAGTTGGTTGACACATAAGATCCTTGGAGTTTTCCAAGCCCAGCTGTTGAAGCCATGGTCACAACTGCTTGTTGTTTCCATGAGTCACATTAAGAGTGCTTAGACGAGTGCAGTCATCAAAGAAGCTATGGCTTCTGGTTAACGCTGCCATAAATATGCCACAGCTAGCCCTTCCTCGGACTACAGACAAATTTGGTGTGCTTTTTGGGTCATTTTAGTGAAATGCTTACTTTCATTTCATGATTTTTGGCACTATTCCAATTGCTAATAAAAATAACTGGGAAAGAGACCCTTCTAAATATATACCATTAGCTCCTAAATATACATCAGCATCTCAGAAAAACTCCTTTTGGCCCTCTGGGATAAATGTTTTTATGTCTGTGTCTATGTGATAGCCAACAAATGGTATTAGAAGTAACTATTCAGACTCTGGGATCAAAGTGTACATTTCTTAATATATAAACTAGTTCCACCAAGCCAAATAACCACAATAGGCTTAACTGTCTTGTAAGCAGCCTGTACAGAGATTCTAGACCAATCTTGGATATCCAAGAAAGACAGTCCTAGAATGGAGAAGAAGCACTTTTGCTGAGGAATACATTGAGATGTGTTCAATTCTAAACAAATCATTCCATCTTTCTTTTTTATTTTTATTTTTATTTTTATTTTTTGAGATGGAGTCTCGCTCTGTCGCCCAGGCAGAAGTGCAGTGGCTTGATCTCGGCTCACTGCAAGCTCTGCCTCCCGGGTTCACACCATTCTCCTGCCTCAGCCTCCCAAGTAGCTGGGACTACAGGCGCCCACCACCACGCCCAGCTAATTTTTTGTATTTTTAGTAGAGACGGGGTTTCACCGTGGTCTTGATCTCCTGACCTCGTGATCCGCCCGCCTCAGCCTCCCAAAGTGCTGGGATTACAGGTGTGAGCCTCTGCGCCCGGCCAAATCATTCCATCTTTCTAGGGGTCATTGTCCAAGCTTAAATAGACTCTGGCATGTAATCCCACAAAATTAAACATTTCAATTCCAAAATTATTACTGAGTGCATTGGATAAGCAAGCTATGTTCTCAAACTGTGGGGTTAAAATACTGAAAAATTAGATATGGTCCCTGCCTTCCAGGATTATGCACCAGATAATGAAATAAACATGCAAATTGAGGGCCCAAATGATTATGTGGCCAGAAAAATAATTTTTAAAATGTAATTCTCCCCAAAATAAGTTAGATTTCAATTAAAAGAGGTTAAATGCACTGTTTTCTTCCTCACTTAATTTCTTTTCTCCACTTTGGTATATTCCCCTCCCCAGTGCCCTTCCTTCTGACCCTAATGATGTGCCCAGTCCTCTCCATTCTTTGAATGCTTCCTGGAATCTTTTTTTTTTCAATTAAATTTTTTCTTTATATTATATTTTCATGACAAATCATACAACAGAACCACACACAGCAAGCATATATTAACCAAACGTTAACCTATTCTGAGTTGTTATTAAGAAGAGACACATGCACATATAAAAAATAATGAGCTTCTAGATGACAGAGAAAATGATCACTGGTGCCATCATGAATTCTGTAAGAATAAGTCATGGCATATTGTATTAGTTCATTCTCACTCTGCTATTAAACACATACCTGAGACAAAGAGGTTTAACGGACTCACAGTTCCACATGGCTGGGGAGGCCTCACAATCATGGCGGAAGGCAAGGGGGAGCAAAGTCATGTCTTACATGGCGGCAGGCAAGAGACACTGTACGGGGGAGCTCCCATTTATAAAACCATCAAATCTCTTGAGACTTATTCACTATTATGAGAACAGTATGGGGTAAACCATGCCCATAATTCAATTATCACCACCTGACCCTGCCCTTGGCACATGGGAATTCTTACAATTGAAGGTTAGATTTAGGTGGAGACACAGAGCCAAACCATGTCACATACCATCTTCTTTTCTTTAGTTAGCAAATTGACAGGACAGCATTTAGAAATGCAGTAGTCAAAAGCCTCCAAAGAGAATGTTTTTAACCAGTAATGTCTGGAAGAAAGTTCAGTTAAATTAATTCTTTTGTTGAACAACTGTGCTCAATGAGCATTCAACCAAGCAAACCCGATGGGAGATTCTATTCAAGTACATAGGGCCCTATCCTCAGCTCTATCCTGCTCTACATTATAACCAAGGAGTAGGATTAGGTTATATAAAATTAGAGTAAATTTTCAGATCCTTTGAGGCTCGGAAGAATAACTTATTTTATTTTCAGAACCTGAGAGACTTTTCAGATGCTTGAGAAAAGAAATGCATCTAAGATTCAATTTTACAGCAATAAATATAAAGTCCTGTATTTTAGAGAAAAAAAACAAAATAAAGGGTGGGTGAATTATGGCATGGCAAGGTTAATGACCTAGAGGCTTTAGTTCATAATTGACTCTTGATCAGTAGAGGTGCACTATGGCTTATAAGGAAGTGATTTACCATGTAGCAGGTAAATCAAGGAGTTAACAGTTCTATTCTACTCTACTCTGGGTTGTCTATACAGACTGCGCCTAAAATATTTTCTATGGGCAATATATTTTAATAGTAGACAAATAAGATTGCATTTAATAGAGTGTCACCTACATGGTTGAAAAAACTGCAGATAATTTTACTTAAAAAAAAAGTTTCCAGGAACTAGAATAGTGGGAGAAAGACATGCACATTATGGTTGCCTACAAATACGTATGTTCTTTTTGGATTCCAGGTGTGGGGAAAAGAGTGACTTCACCTTAAATGTTAACCTGCCATGTAACTTCTGACTAATCCCAGGTCCAGAAATGCCTCCAAATGTCTCGTTGCTGTATTACTCTTTATGTGGAAACACCTGTTCACTGTAAGTTTCCTCCAAAACAACTCCTGATGCTGTTGCAGAAATCATAGGCTGTGACACCCATAGTCACCTACACATTCTCTCTAGAGCATGTATACTATACTTTCCCCAAATATAAGCCCTGGGTCTGGGGTGTTGTGGTATGGAGAGCTACCTGTTTTGCAGCCACCCAAGACCACACTTTCAACTGTAAGTTCCGCCTAGTAAATCATCCCATCTCAACAAACTGGATTTATCTGCCTCCTTCTTTGGTTCCACAACTCCTTTGGCCCTTGGGGGCCACTTTGCATATATGGCCCTTTCATAGAACACAAAGTATAAAAGAAGGCCCAGAAGATAAAAATAACAGATAACATAGAATTACTGAATAAAAATGTTTGAAAGACAGACTAGGTTGTTTTGCGGGAGCAGGGAATTCTCTTTTTGGAGAGGATTTGGGTATCTTTAGAGATTTGAACCAATGGCCTTTGGGCTAGTATCTATTGGGAGACAATTCTCCATTGACCACTCATGTTTTTCCATATTTTGTGAGCAGAGTTACTGACTGTGTTTTAAACATAATCTTGATTAAAGTATGGTGAGGCACAAAGAGAGCTGCTTTGAAATCACAGAAGTTTATTATTCTCACAGTTCTCTTAAGAGAAAATACAGCATGCCATGTGGGGCCACATAGGGGAAGATCAGGATCAATTATAAGGTAGAAAGAGAGTAGATAAGTGCCTTACAGTGGTTTCTACTGGGAGAAGGAAAGGATACACTGGGAAAGGATACACTGGGTGAAGGAAAGGATACAGTGGTTTCTGCTGAGGCAGGAAAGGATACACTGGGACTGGTTTGCTATATTTAAAAGTGTCACCCCTATAAACTCATGCGGGGCTAAGAGTGTGGGGATGTCAGGTGGTTATCTCAGGTCCCTAATTGTTTACCTAAAGTGGTTGACATTCCATCTTGAAGATGTTAATTCATCAAGTTACAGAAACTACAAAACGTGGTTTATATAGATTGCCTCTGTGCCGAACTATATTTTCAAATTTATTTATACAGCAAACAGCCTTAGAAATTAGATATAGTGTCTCCTTCCAGAGCAAAGTGTGGATTTGTTTACTGTTCAGTGTAATAAAGGTAGCTTCTCTTTTCCTGGTAAAGGGCAGGCCAGATTGCTGCCTATTATAAAATATTTGGGTTCCCTAAGCTCATGATTCCTCTCCTCTCATGCATCCACGGCACATGCAGGTATCATTTGGTCCTCTTTGTATTGCTTTGTGGGAACTGGGGCTCAGGGAACCAGAGTTAAAATACTGATACTTTGACTACCGCTATTTCTGTGAATAACAAACTCTCCTTTGTCTATGTCTTCTGCCAGCATCCAAGAAACTGCAACTGACTAACTTGTTAGCCTGCAAATAGGATAAAATTTGAGACCCTTTTTAGTTCTTGGCAGTACTTTTTGATACTGTAATTCCGTAATTTTAAAAAAACTGGAGATAATGCCTTCATGCAAACATGGTATTCTAACAGTGAGAATTCAAGTGCCTGGTATGAGAGAGAGGTGACTAAGAGTAGGCAGGACTTTGAAGAGACTATTGGGACAAATTCCATGGACCACCATCTGTTCAGTCCCTGTTACAGCCAGTTCTGCTTTAGTGGAAAATCTTTAGCATAACACATGGCAGCAGAAATACAGCCACTTCCCAGGGAAATTGTGTTATTTCAAACTTTGACTGAACAAAGATAATCTCTTTTGGAAATATGAGGTAACCTGTACTGTATTTGATTCCATACAATAATTGGTGATATCATACAAAATTCCTCTTATTTTATATCATATTGTCCCCAAAATATATGAAGGCTTATCTATATAAGGAAGATACAGATGAGAAGACACCCTCTGAACCAGCATTAGACACAATCCATGAGGAAGATCCCAATCTTTCTGGTTCTTCTGACAAATTTGACTTCCATATTTTTCATGGGCCCCATATCAACTGGCTGTGATTCTCATTTGATGAATAAATTTAATTACCAGTGTTCCCTTATCTGTTCTTTGATTCCTGGATCCATCTTATCTTCTCATTCTTTTCCCATTAGTTTCTCAGTTCAAATTGATTACCTGTTCCCAATCTCAGTTTTTAATGGCATTAACTTTCACCCCTACTCTCTCCATCCCCATTCACATCTGTGGTTCCCACCTCAGTCATAGCATCTTCCTCTAAAGACTGATGCAATAATTCACCTGCCCCCTGAGTGCAGGTGAGCCTCCCACACCAGCAGTGCTTTGCTTTGACCACCCTGTTAATATCATTCACTATGGTCACTGGTAGAAACTGTCACAGCCTGGATGTAATCACTCACATTTTGACATTTATTTATGTCTTGTACTGGAATTGGGGAAACTATTTGTTTTGAACTAGGAATTGGATTTTAGACAGAAGAAAGGTATCGGTATAAACAGTTTCATTTTTGGACAAAATGTGCAAAATGTATATTCATTAGGAATCAGTATTCAGACCTTCTCTGATCTTTATTAATTGTTGTAGCGCACCAAGTTGGTAAATTAAGTTATTCTTGGAAATGAAAGCCCACATTGGAGGATAAAAATCATGAGAAACATTTAATAAAAGTATGCAATTTATAGAAATACAGCAAAAAATAATCAGTGTGAGCCATTGTAAGATAATATATTTTAGAGAAAAAACATTTTTAAGTTAATTATGATTATTGTCTCTAAGCTACCAAAGCAACTATATGCTAGCAACTGACATAATTATTGCAGACTGTTCTCAACATCCTTCCATGACCAAAAAAAGCTGAGCAACATTGTCTGGTATGAATCAGATACAGAAACACACTGCCACCACCCACATATATGTTATCCCTTTCCTTACACAAAACCTGGTGAGTTCATACTGGATTATGATGTCTTGATTGATACACCTGACAAAAGACATGATAGAGCTAGAGAAGAACCAAAGGAAAGTAAAAAATATTCAATCTATGGAAGATTTTAATACCAAGAGAAAGTAAAAATAATTAAAATAAATGGACATTCATCTCAAAAGACATAGGGAAAGAGGACACATTTCACTGGCAACTCTTAGAAAAAAACACTTTTAAGAGGTAACAAACTAGCTGTCTTAAACCAGCAGCCATCTTTGTACTTAATGATGCCCTATTATGGGCATTCTCATTAAAAACTAGAACAACTTAAGGACAGTTACCCTAACCATTGTCATTTTTTGTGTGTTCTTGGATTTGCAGCCTATGCAATGAGAGAGGAAATAATCACAAAAGTAATAATTTTGGAATGAAGACAACTTTGTTGGTTTACTCTCTGCCATCTCCTGTCCTGAAGTTAAAAACTGCTGGAGAAAAGCATACAGCCGTGATGACTGTTCTTAGTTAAAATTTTTGCTCACTAATCTCCAGTGGTAGTTTAATGCTGCCCTAAAATTTTTATATATTTACAAATTTCATTCACTTTACCACTTTTCTAGATGATTATTTACATGTTCTGCTCTTGCTGAAATCTTTAATACCTCCTTTCCATGTCATTTTCAGGCTATTTCACTGAACTGAAGCAGTCAAAAGAGAATGCTCATGAGATCCCATCACCACCACTTTACCGAACTACTTCCATATGTGACTATTTACTCTTTCTTCTTTTCTATTATTATTGATGAACTGGCCATGTACCTAGCTAAGGTGGATCCTGCCACTTAGATATTAGATCTTATCTACCCTTTCTCACTCTGAAATATTGTTCCAAGAATTCTTTTCTTGTATCATTACTTTTCCCTGTTTACTAGTGTAATAAGTATAGAAATATGCTGTTATTTTCCCATATTAAAAATTCTCTTGAGTAGGAAGCTCAATATAGTAAAGATGTTAATTCTTTCTCAAATTGATATAAATTTATCAAATCAATTATTTATTAATTTAAATTGATCTACATTCCTCCCAAATTGGTCAGCATTCTAAAAATATCAACATTATGTGTGTACGTAAAGAGATAAGATGTTTCTGAAGTTTAATGAAATTGAATGGGACTTGAAGAACAGAGTTCAAGGAATTGCACTATTGAATATGAAAATCTATTCAAGATGAAGAGTGTTGGAGGAATTACATGATGGATGTTAAGATTTGTTATAAAGTTGCAAGACTAATAATGCTATAAAAAGTAGTCTTCAACCAGGTGCAGTGGATCACATCTGTAATCCCAGCACTCTGGGAGGCCATGGCAGGCAGATCACTTGAGGTCAGGAGTTCAAGACCAGCCTGGCCAACATGGCAAAACTCCTCTCCATAAAACATACAAAAATTAGCCGGGTGTGGTGGCACGTGCTTGTAATCCCAGCTACTTGAGAGGCTGAGGCATGAGAATCGCTTGAACCTGGGAGCCAGAGGTTGCTGCGAGCTGAGATTGCACCACTGTGCTCCAGCTTGGACCACAGGGCAAGACTCCATCTCAAAAATAAGAAAAAAAAAAAAAAGGAAACAAAAAGTAATCTTCCAGATTAACAGAGCTGCAAGAATTGCATTGCCAAATATTATGACTTATAATTTACAGAAATTGAGATGGTCAGATATTTGTGTAAGAATAGACAGGTTAATGAAACAGAACATGAAATACAGACAAATATTCACATGTATATGGTCACTTGATTTTTGACAAAAGTATCACTGCAGTGTATAAAGGAGGTTCTTTTTCATAAATGGCATTGAATCAACTATATGCTCATATTGTAAAAATGACTCCTAGCTCACACCATATACTAAGTCTCTTCCAGATGAACTGTACTCTTTCCCGTTTCAGTTAATGGACACTATGTCCTTCCAATTGCTCAGAACAAAATTTTTGGAGTCATCCCAATCCCTCTTTTTCTCTTTTATTTCACACTGAATACATTGGCAAATTATTTCAGGTCTTCCTTATAGTGTATCCAGCATTAAATCAATTATCACCATTTTAAGACTATGTGTTGGTCCTAGGTATTATTTATTCTGTCTTGCCTAGATTATTACAACAACCTCTGTGTTAGTTGGGTTCCTCCAAAACCTGACTCTAAGAGGGTAATCCCAGGAAGCATGGTAGGATAGTGGGAGAGTGTAATAGGAAAAGCCGATGAAGCGTGCATGGATGAGTGAGTTAATGCTGTTTGACACTGAAGGCTAGTTCTACAGGGCACCCTCTAATAGACTATATAGAAAACACGTCAGAATTGTCTCACTGAGGAAAATTGGAGTCTTTAGGCACCAACTCTCTTCCGAACTTGGTAAGGGTCAGTTCTAGGCATACGTCCCTGGCACTTTCGTGCTCACTGCTTTTCAGGCAGAGAAAAAGGAAGCAGTTAATATACGTGGGGATTGTCTACATACAGGTGTCTCAGGGTGAACCAAGGCTATAGGAAGGGGTGACTACAACTTCTACTCTACTTTCCAACTGGTCTTACTTCTGTCCTTTTAAATCTGGTCTTAACACAGTCAGAACCACAGAATCTATGGCATCTCATGCCACTTTTATGCTGAAAATCATCCAACATCTCCCCAAATCACTCCAAGTAAAAACTCTAAATACCATCCATAAGAACCTCCAAAATCTGATCTTTCATTACATTAAAAATATTTTATATATGACTATTCTGTTTCAGATTTGCTCTGAGTTCCTTAGTCAGAAGTTACTCTTTTAGTGAGGCCCTCTACTCCAAAAATTTCAACACCCACTCTTGTTATTTTATATGCCTCTTCTCTGCTCAATTGTTCTTCCTTTGCTTTAAGCACCATTTATCCTAGTTTATACATTATTTTTGTAAAATTTGGTTTATTGCTCTTCTCTCCTGCTGGAACTATAACCTCCATAATCTGTTTTGGGTCTTTTTGTTGTTTTTCATTTTTTGATTGCTTCAGTACTGTATTCTCAGTGCTTATTAAGTTTGGCTGACACATAGTAGATACTTACTTGTCATTGAATTAATAATGTAATTTGTATATAATATGATTTTCTTTTGACAAAATCCAAGATAAGCTAATAATTAATAAAATATGCTTGTAAGAAGCAGTTACAAGGCATAATAAAAATATTAGGCCTAATAAAAATCTAATAATCTAATTGTTAAAAGATCTAGTAATACTTTGTCAAGAAATGTCTGAGTTTATGCTAAGAGAACAAATATTTACTGAGCTATAAAAGAAGGTTTTACGATATGGAGAAATATACCATATTTCATGGAAAATGAAACATGAAATATGTTTTTCTTTCTTTTTTATTATTATACTTTAAGTTCTAGGGTACACGTGCACAATGTGCAGGTTTGTTTCATATGTATACATGTGCCATGTTGGTGTGCTGCACCCATTAACTCGTCATTTACATTCGGTATATCTCCTAATGCTATCTCTCCCCCCTCCCCCCACCCCACAACAGGCCCCAGTGTGTGATGTTCTCCTTCCTGTGTCCAAGTGTTCTCATTGCTCAATTCCCACCTATGAGTGAGAACGTGTGGTGTTTGGTTTTTTTTGTCCCTGTGATAGTTTGCTGAGAATGATGGTTTCCAGTTTCATCCATGTCCCTACAAAGGACATGAACTCATCCTTTTTATGGCTGCATAGTATTCCATGGTGTGTGTGTGCCACATATTCTTAACCAGTCTATCACTGATGGACATGTGCGTTGGTTCCAAGTCTTTGCTATTGTGAATAGTGCCGCAATAAACATACGTGTGCCTGTGTCTTTATAGCAGCATGGTTTATAATCCTTTGGGTATATACCCAGTAACGGGATGGCTGGGTCAAATGGTATTTCTAGTTCTAGATCCTTGAGGAATCGCCACACTGTCTTCCACAATGGTTGAACCAGTTTACAGTCCCACCAACAGTGTAAAAGTGTTCCTATTTCTCTATATCCTCTCCAGCACCTGTTGTTCCCTGACTTTTTAATGATCGCCATTCTAACTGGTGTGAGATGGTATCTCATTGCAGTTTTGATTTGCATTTCTCTGATGGCCAGTGATGACGAGCATTTTTTCATGTGTCTGTTAGCTGCATAAATGTCTTCTTTTGAGAAGTGTCTGTTTATATCCTTCGCCCACTTGTTGTGGGGTTGTTTGTTTTTTTCTTGTAAATTTGTTTGAGTTCATTGTAGATTCTGGATATTAGCCCTTTGTCAGATGAGTAGATTGCAAAAATTTTCTCCCATTCTGTAGGTTGCCTGTTCACTCTGATGGTAGTTTCTTTTGCTGTGCAGAAACTCTTTAGTTTAATTAGATCCCATTTGTCAATTTTGGCTTTTGTTGCCATTGCTTTTGGTGTTTTAGACATGAAGTCCTTGCCCATGCCTATGTCCTGAATGGTATTGCCTAGGTTTTCTTCTAGGGTTTTTATGGTTTTAGGTCTAACATTTAAGTCTTTAATCCATCTTGAATTAATTTTTGTATAAGGTGTAAGAAAGGGATCCAGTTTCAGCTTTCCACATATGGCAAGCCAGTTTCCCAGCACCATTTATTAAATAGGGAATCCTTTCCCCATTTCTTGTTTTTGTCAGGTTTGTCAAAGATCAGGTGGTTGTAGACATATGTGGTATTATTTCTGAGGGCTCTGTTCTGTTCCATTGGTCTATAGCTCTGTTTTGGTACCAGTACCATGCTGTTTTGGTTATTGTAGCCTTGTAGTATAGTTTGAAGTCAGGTAGCGTGATGCCTCCAGCTTTGTTCTTTTGGCTTAAGATTATCTTGGCAATGTGGGCCCTTTTTCGTTCCACATGAACTTTAAAGTAGCTTTTTCCAATTCTGTGAAGAAAGTCATTGGTAGCTTAATGGGGATGGCATTAAATCTATAAATTACCTTGGGCAGTATGGCCATTTTCATTATATTGATTCTTCCTATCCATGAGCATGGAATGTTCTTCCATTTGTTTGTGTCCTCTTTTATTTCGTTGAGCAGTGGTGTGCAGTTCTTCTTGAAGAGGTCCTTCACATCCCTTGTAAGTTGGATTCCTAGGTATTTTATTCTCTTTGAAGCAATTGTGAATGGGAGTTCACTCATGATTTGGCTCTCTGTTTGTCTGTTATTGGTGTATAAGAACGCTTGTAATTTTTGCACATTGATTTTGTATCCTGAAACTTTGCTGAAGTTGCTTATCAGCTTAAGGAGATTTTGGGCTGAGACAATGGGGTTTTCTAAATATACAATCATGTCATCTGCAAACAGGGACAATTTGGCTTCCTTTTTTCCTAATTGAATACCCTTTATTTCTTTCTCATGCCTGATTGCCCTGGCCAGAACTTCCAACAGTATGTGCGATAGGAGTGGTGAGAGAGGGCATCCCTGTCTTGTGCCAGTTTTCAAAGGGAATGCTTCCAGTTTTTGCCCATTCAGTATGATGTTGGCTGTGGGTTTGTCATAAATACCTCTTATTATTTTGAGATACGTCCCATCAATACCTAATTTATTGAGAGTTTTTAGCATGAAGGGCTTTTGGATTTTGTCAAAGGCCTTTCCTGCATCTATTGAGATAATCATGTGGTTTTTGCCTCTGGTTCTGTTTATATGCTGGATTATGTTTATTGATTTGCATATGTTGAATCAGCCTTGCATCCCAGGGATGAAGCCCACTTGATCATGGTGGATAAGCTTTTTGATGTGCTGCTTGGATTATCAAAAATAAAATTGAGGATTTTTGCATTGATGTTCATCAGGGATATTGGTCTAAAATTCTCTTTTTTTTGTTGTGTCTCTGCCAGGCTTTGGTATCAGGATGATGCTGGCCTCATAAAATGACTTAGGGAGGAGTCCCTCTTTTGCTATTGATTGGAATAGTTTCAGAAGGAATGGTACCAGCTCCTCCTTGTACCTCTGGTAGAATTCGGCTGTGAATCCTTCTGGTCCTGGACTTTTTTTGGTTGGTAGGCTATTAATTATTGCCTCAATTTCAGAGCCTGTTATTGGTCTATTCAGGGATTCAACTTCCTCCTGGCTTAGTCTTGGGAGGGTGTATGTGTCCAGGAATTTATACATTTCTTCTAGATTTTCTAGTTGATTTGGGTAGAGGTGTTTATAGTATTCTCTAATGGTAGTTTGTATTTCTGTGGGATCAGTGGTGATATCCCCTGTATCAGTTTTTATTGCATCTATTTGATTCTTCTCTTTTTTCTTCTTTATTAGTCTTGCTAGCAGTCTATCAATTTTATTGATCTTTTCAAACAACCAGCTCCTGGATTCGTTGATTTTTTGAAGGGTTTTTTGTTTCTCTATCTCCTTCAGTTCTGCTCTGATCTTGGTTATTTCTTGCCTTCTGCTAGCTTTTGAATGTGTTTGCTCTTGCTTCTCTAGTTCTTTCAATTGTGATGTTAGGGTGTCAATTTTAGATCTTTCCTGCTTTCTCTTGTGGGCATTTAGTGCTATAAATTTCCCTCTACACACTGCTTTGAATGTGTTCCAGAGATTCTGGTATGTTGTGTCTTTGTTCTCATTGGTTTCAAAGAATATCTTTATTTCTGCCTTCATTTCGTTATGTACCCAGTAATCATTCAGGAGCAGTTGTTCCGTTTCCATGTAGTTGAGCAGTTTTGAGTGAGTTTCTTAATCCTGAGTTCTAGTTTGATTGCACTGTGGTCTGAGAGAGAGTTTGTTATAATTTCTGTTCTTTTACATTTGCTGAGGAGTGCTTTACTTCCAGCTATGTGGTCTATTTTGGAATAAGTGCGATGTGGTGCTGAGAAGAATGTATATTCTGTTGATCTGGGGTGGAGAGTTCTGTAGATGTCTATTAGGTCTGCTTGGTGCAGAGCTGAGTTCAAATCCTGGATATCCTTGTTAACTTTCTGTCTCATTGATCTGTCTAATGTTGACAGTGGGGTGTTAAAGTCTGCCATTATTATTGTGTGGGAGTCCAAGTCTCTTTGTAGATCTCTAAGGACTTGCTTTATGAATCTGGGTGCTCCTGTATTGGGTGCATATATATTTAGGATAGTTAGTTCTTCTTGTTGAATTGATCCCTTTTCCATTATGTAATGGCCTTCTTTGTCTCTTTTGATCTTTGTTGGTTTAAAGTCTATTTTATCAGAGACTAGGATTGCAAACCCTGCTTTTTTTTTGTTTTCCATTTGCTTGGTAGATCTTCCTCCATCCCTTTATTTCGAACCTATGTGTGTCTCTGCACATGAGATGGGTCTCCTGAATGCAGCACACTGATGGGTCTTGACTCTTTATCCAATTTGCTAGTCTGTGTCTTTTAATTGGAGCATTTAGCCCATTTACATTTAAGGTTAATATTGTTATGTGTGAATTTGACCCTGTCATTATGATGCTAGCTGGTTATTTTTCTCGTTAGTTGATGCAGTTTCTTCCTAGCATTGATGGTCTTTGCAATTGGGCATATTTTTGCAGTGGCTGGTACCAGTTGTTCCTTTCCATGTTTAGTGCTTCCTTCAGGAGCTCTTTTAGGGCAGGCCTGGTGGTGACAAAATCTCTCAGCATTTGCTTGTCTGTAAAGGATTTTATTTCTCCTTCACTTATGAAGCTTAGCTTGGCTGGATATGAAATTCTGGGTTGAAAATTCTTTCTTTTAAGACTGTTGAATTTTGGCCCCCACTTTCTTCTGGCTTGTAGAGTTTCTGCCAAGAGATCCGCTGTTAGTCTGATGGGCTTCCCTTTGTGGGTAACCCGACCTTTCTCTCTGGCTGCCCTTAACATTTTTTCCTTCATTTCAACTTTGGTGAATCTGACAATTATGTGTCTTGAAGTTGCTCTTCTCGAGGAGTATCTTTGTGGCATTCTCTGTAATTCCTGAATTTGAATGTTGGCCTGGCTTGCTAGGTTGGGGAAGTTCTCCTGGATAATATCCTGCAGAGTGTTTTCCAACTTGGTTCCATTCTCCCCATCACTTTCAGGTACACCAATCAGATGTAGATTTGGTCTTTTCACATAGTTCCATATTTCTTGGAGGCTTTGTTCATTTCTTTTTACTCTTTTTTCTCCAAAATTCTCTTCTGGCTTCATTTCATTCATTTGATCTTCAATCACTGATACCCTTTCTTCCAGTTGATCGAATTGGCTACTGAAGCTTGTGCATTTGTCACGTAGTTCTCGTGCCATGGTTTTCAGCTCCATCGGGTCATTTAAGGATTTATCTACACTGGTTATTCTAGTTAGCCATTCATCTAATCTTTTTTCAAGGTTTTTAGCTTCTTTGCAATGGGTTCGAGCTTCCTTTAGCTCAGAGATGTTTGATCATCTGAAGCCTTCTTCTCTCAACTCATCAAAGTCATTCTCCATCCAGCTTTGTTCCATTGCTGGCAAGGAACTGCGTTCCTTTGAAGGGGGAGAGGTGCTCTGATTTTTAGAATTTTCAGCTTTTCTGCTCTGTTTTTTCCCCATCTTTGTGGTTTTATCTACCTTTGGTCTTTGATGATGGTGACGTACATATGGGTTTTTAGTGTGGATGTCCTTTCTGTTTGTTAGTTTTCCTTCTAACAGTCAGGACCCTCAGCTGCAGGTCTGTTGGAGTTTGCTGGAGGTCCACTCCAGATGCTGTTTGCCTGGGTATCAGCAGTGGAAGCTGCAGGACAGCAAATATTGCTGAACAGCAAATGTTGCTGCCTGATCATTCCTCTGGAAGCTTTGTCACAGAGGGGTACCCGGCCGTGTGAGGTGTTAGTCTGCCCCTACTGGGGGGTGCCTTCCAGATAGGCTACTTGGGCGTCAGGGGCCCACTTGAGGAGGCAGTCTGTCTGTTCTCAGATCTCAAACTGCTAGCCACCATGAATATTATATAGTACTATAAATGCTTGACTGTACATAGTACGTATAAAACCAAGTCTCACAATAATCACCTTGCAAACATGCTTACAAGCAAGAACTAGAATACCTTGACTAACTATAACACATTAAACCCACCAACCAAGAGAAATCCTTCACCACAAGCATACCAACCAGTATGCTTGGAGAACCACTACTCTCTTCAAAGCTGTCAGACAGGGACATTTAAGTCTGCAGAGGTTTCTGCTGCCTTTTGTTCAGCTATGCCCTGCCCCCAGAGGTGGAGTCTACAGAAGCAGGCAGGCCTCTTTGAGCTGCGGTGGGCTCCACCCAGTTCGAGCTTCCAGGTCACTTTGTTTACCTACTCAAGCCTCAGCAATGGCGGACGCCCCTCCCCCAGCCTCACTGCCACCTTGCAGTTTGATCTCAGACTGCTGTGCTAGCAATGACCGAGGCTCCACGGGCATGGGACCCTCCAAGCCATCTGCGGGATATAATCTCCTGGTGTGCCCTTTGCTAAGACCATTGGAAAAGCGCAGTATTAGGCGGGGAGTGATCCGATTTTCCAGGTGCCGCCTGTCACAGCTTCCCTTGGCTAGGAAAGGGAATTCCCTGACCCCTTGCACTTCCCAGGTGAGGCAATGCCTCACCTTGCTTTGGCTTATGCTCGGTGGGCTGCACCCCCTTTCCTGCACCCATTGACCAACAAGCCCCAGTGAGATGAACCCGGTACCTCAGTTGGAAATGCAGAAATTGCCCATCTTCTGCATCACTCATGCTGGGAGCTGTAGACTGGAGCTCTTCCTATTCGGCCATCTTGGAACTGCCCGAAACATGAAATATGTTAATTCTTCCCAAAGTTATTTATACATTTATTCAAGTCCAATAAAATTTCACAAGGTATACATTTATGACATTAAAAATTTTGTAAACTTCATTTTGAAGAATAAAGAGACAAACTTAGTCAAGAATATTTGGGGACAAAATGTTTTAAGAAGTTTGAAAAAGAGTAGCTAGGGAAGAACTTATGTTATAAGGTATTAAAACTTTATATAAAATTTAATATGGTGCTAAAATCAGTAGACAGATTGATGTAACAAAATACATAGGCCTGGTGTTGACTGTAATATATAAGAACCTAATATATGATGAAAGAAACATCCTAAACCAATGGGGAAAATATCTTTGAACCAGTATTTTCACTGTCTGAAATTCATTCTAAGAAGTTAGTAAAAGAGAAAGTAAAAAATTCCTGAACAAATAAATTAATCATAGCACTATTTAAAATAACAAAAGGTCAGAAAGAACTAACCCTTTTATAACAAAGCAGAGTGGTTAAATAAACTATAGCAGATCCATATTATGAAATATGCAGCAATTAAAATTATATCTTTATCAATTTTATTGATATGAGTAAATAGCTATTATAAAGTTTCAAGATACTATAGATCTAATATAATCATAAATGTACATCAGCTACATAATATGTATAAAATGACTGCAAAGATATAAACAAAAATCTTATAAATACATTTATATAAATGGAAAAAGTATGACATGTTTAAGTCTATTAAATAAAAATAACTATAAGGACGAATTACATAAGTTTATAAAATTATTAAGGGAATATATAGAAAAGTGAACACTGACTTTTCTACTAAGTCCTAGAATTAGGAAGGTCCTCCTCAAATCTTGAACATTGCACACCTAGAAAAAAAATTCAGAGCTGCTTTAAATTATGGGTATTGTAGATGCCACTGGAGATGGATTCTAGCCTTGAGAAAAGTCATTTTGGATAATTATACTGCTATATATTACC
Source organism: Homo sapiens (assembly GCF_000001405.40). Lineage (NCBI taxonomy): Eukaryota > Metazoa > Chordata > Mammalia > Primates > Hominidae > Homo > Homo sapiens. The sequence goes on along the minus strand of NC_000006.12, from coordinate 125,394,926 downwards.
ACAGTCACAAATAGTTCATAGCCACATTTCAAGTACAGATGATTCAAAAAGTTTTTAATGTAAATGGAACTTTAAAAGTTATTTTCTCCCTACTACCTTTATCTCTTTAAACACATCTGGTATCTACAGATAAGATACAAAAACAGATTCTTAATATAGTTTGGCTGGGTCCCCACCCAAATTTCATCTTGAATTGTAACTCCCACAATTCCCACATGTCTTGGGAGGATCCTGGTGGGAAGTGATTGAATTATGGGGGCGGGTCTTTCCCGTGCTGTTCTCGTGATAGTAAGTCTCACGAGATCTGATGGTTTAAAAAAAAAAAAAAAAAACAGGGGTTTGACTGCACAGGTTCTCTCTTTGCCTGCCACCATCCAAGATGTGACTTGCTCCTCCTTGCCTTCTGCCATGATTGTGAGGCCTCCCCAGCCACGTGGAACTCTGAGTCCAATGAAACCTCTTCCCTTTGTAAATTTCCCAGTCTTGGGTATGTCTTTATCAGCAGCATGAAAATGGACGAATACAATTCTATTGCCAAAATTATATTTTTATCTTTTAGAAAAATAAATGTAAATTTAGATATGCTCCTGGTTAGTAGATGCTATAAAAATTATTTGATATATTTTTTAGCATTAATTTATATGCCCCTAATCTAAATAGGGCAAATTTCATCAAATCTTCTTCAAACCAAAAGATTACATAAATAGAAAAGATTTGCATTATAATTATAGAAAAGACAGAGTTTTAAAAAATTATCTTGAACTATTATACACAGCTAAAATTTTAACTTTACCTGAACACATGGCATCACAGAATACCCTATTTTTAAATTTTGTCCCATTAAATTTGCTTTGACAGGCAAAATCCAGCCATCTCATTAAGTTTTCAGTTTTTATTAGGACCCCAAGTGTGATTTTTAAATAAAATGGTTTTAATTTAAAAAAAAAAACCAGAAAAGTGAAATTTGAACTGTACCTCTACCCTTAATCTCCATCTCAGAGAAATGATTCCACAATGTCTTTTACCTGTTAAAGAGCAATCGCCTAAAAATAAAAACATGCTTCCCCACTGCAGCCAAGAAAGCTTCTGTTCTAAGAAAAAGATGTATTTCCTTGTTTTGATGATGTTCATCTTTTGTGGCCTGTCACCGCTGAAAGAGAGCTTTCAATTCCCCCCAAAACCACAAAATACCCCACTTCTCCCTCATCATTGTGGTTACCAGTTTATTTATCAGTTGTGGCAAATGGTCACCCTTTATACCATACTTAGCTAAATATTGTTTGTTTTAGGAACAAAGCACAGAGGACAAATACTTCAATGTGGTTTTTCATTTGGGGAGGGAGTGGGACTAACACTTGCATTCCAGCTGATTCTCAGCCTCTCAGCCCTGTGCTCTTGAGGCAGCTGAAGCTTCAAAGAGTCCTCCAGACTCTGAGGAGACACTTAGGCTCTAACTTGCACAGGGGAGGCAGAATTAGATTGGGTGCAATTAACCTGAGAAGTCTATAGATTCTACGCCCTAGGCAAGGAGAAAGATGGAAAGACTGCAACAGCACCCTGGTTTAATTATCATATAAACAGATCATAAGGAAACAGTGTCTCTTCTTTTAAGGAGCCTCTGCAAGGGAGTTTTTTTGGTCAGGATTTAGGCTGATTCCAGCAAACTAAATATGGAATGAATGTTAATTCAAGAGAAATCAAAATTAAAAGAAACCACCTCTACCCAAGGCCACCCAATACGATAAAGAAAATCCCTTTCAAGCCTAAAATATTACTACTGGGGGTCCATGACAAAGGAAAGAGTATACTCTATTTTATTTGATGAAAAAATTCATTAGTCATGACCCACTGAACTGATTTCTTGGTGCACTAATGGGTCATGATCCTCAGTTGGAAAAAACACCAGTCTTATGGGAGCCCATTTATGAGTTGGAAAAAATGTAGATTGGATGCTGTGAGTGGCCCAGATGCGTAATTCTTCAAGGTAGTGTGGCCTGAGAAAGAGGAAGTATAGGGTTTCAGCGGGGCCACCAAGGAGAAAAACCTACATTTTCTTCCCCAGCATTGGATTTCCTGGTGTCAGAATCTGAGGTACAATAGTGTGGGCTGTTTCAATAGTCTTGCCCATTTGTTTTTCTACAAATCTATCTGTCAAGTTTTGATAAGACTGTCAGTTCTGGCTTTCACTGTTACCAGTGGGACACTGGGCAAGAAGTGTGGTACGAATGGGGAAAAAACACTGTGGGGTATTGGATAAAAGCATAGGCTGTGGAGTCAGACAGGCTTTGAAGCAAATTTCATCTCTGCCATTTACTAGTTGGTTACCTTGCCAATTTACTTAACCTCTCTGATATGTTTTTTCAGTGGAATTTATTGTGACACCAAAGCATGTAGCATAATACTGGGTACAGGATGCTTAATAAACAGTAGATATGTGATGTGATTCTTTTTTTTTTTTTGGGGGGGACAGAGTCTCGCTCTGTCACCCAGGCTGGAGTGCAGTGGCATGACCTCAGCTCACTGCAAACTCCACCTCCTGGGTTCACACCATTCTCCTGCCTCAGCCTCCCAAGTAGCTGGGACCACAAGCACCCACGACCACGTCCGGCTAATTTTTTGTGTTTTTTAGTAGAGACAGGGTTTCACCGTATCAGCCAGGATGATCTCGATCTCCTGACCTCGTGATCCGCCCGCCTCGGCCTCCCAAAGTGCTGGGATTATAGGCGTGAGCCACTGCACCCAGTCTGTGATGTGATTTTTAATCAAGGCTCTACTAGTAATAGCTGTGTGACCTTGTACCAATCACATAACATCTGTGAGCTGAGAGAAGCTATGAGCCTATCTTCCTCTTCTCTTTACAAATAATGCATCAATTAAACCATGGATCATTGGCCTAGAGAGAAGTAGAAAGTAATATCCTTCCTACTTCTCTCTAGGCCAGTGACCCATGGTTTAATTGATCCATTGTCTGTAAAGTGAGGGGCTTGAATGAGAGGTGTAATGTGCTCCCCAGCTTTAGATTTCATTAATTCCTCTAGGAATTTGGGAATACAGTGACCAGGTGATGGAAATGGATCTGCCAGCTAGATTTGCAGAAAAGGCCACTTTTGAGCTTTCTTCTATCATCCAGACACTTGCTTCTTTTAGAAACTGCCTTGTTTGTAAAAATTCTTCAGAACGCATTTCAGGAACAGAATAGAATTATAAAATCAAACTTTTAACTACATGTTTCAGCAGCAAAATAAGCAAGCTGCAATGACATGATGCAGTGTTGCCTAGATGCCTGATGTCATGAGAGGTTTTGCTATATATCACTGGTGAAGATCGGACTGTAAGTAAAGTTTTCCTGATCTGATTATTATGAGATCTTCTGCCTCTTTGATGGTATAAGGATTATACAAAGGTACCTTTTTTGCTTTTATATTTTAACCTCAATAATCAGTTGTTTCTCCATTAAAGAGAGAAAGGTAATCTTTACTATTAGAAAAATGATTCCTGTTCTCCTTTTATCCCAAGTGCCCTTCCTACTTCTCTCTAGGCCAATGATTCATTGTTTAATTTATTAAGTGACTCAAAATGACATCCCTCAGTTGACCCTGAGCTTTCAGTCTTCTCCTTTTCACTTTCTTCTGGCCTAAAATAAATGTACTCCTTCTTCCTATGCATTTACCTACTTTTGGTCAGAATTCATGCCCTTCTCTAGGTTGGGTTGTTTTTGCCTCATCCATGTCTATGGGATCTCTTTCATTCTCCCTCCTCTCCCTTCTCTGCACCTTCATGTTAGTGTAGGTATTTTACTATTTCTCACCCGCACAATTGAAAGCATCCTATTGGGTCAGCAAGCCTCCTTTTTCCCCTCATCTCAATATAGTCTTGCTAAAATTATTAGCCAAAACACTCTAAATAATATCACCGAGTAAGTCAAAACCTTGCTTTAAAATCGTCAATGACTTAGTGCTTAAAGAAAAGGAAAAAAGAAAAAATCCAAGCTGGGAATTCTCTATTCCTAGGAAACTCCTTATTGGTTTGCTGTTTTAAAACTATCCTATCAGGCTTCTGCTCAGTCAGATATTGGGACTAGTACTAGCTAAACTTGTGCTAAGACATAAATGACTATTCACCTGGGTAAAATTATATGAAATCACCAGTTCAGATCTTTAACAGCACGTAGCACAGTGAACTTTGGCAGAGAAGGCAAAAATGAAGGGAGCCCATGATTGTCCCAAGGTACATAATCTTAAAAGCAGACAGAAAAACACACATCACCTACAGGAGAATGATAATAACAATGACTAATAGTGATAATAATATTAATAATAATAATAATAATGCCTTCTCATCAGAAATAATGGAAATAGAATAATGAATTACCATTTTTTTCTTAAATGAAAAAAAAAAAAGACTGTGAACCTAACATTCTGTAACCAGTTAAAATATCCACCAAAAATGAAGTTGAAATAAAGAGATTATCAGACTAACCAGATCTGAGAGAATACATTGCCAGGAGACTTCAACTACAAGAAGTGTATAAAGAAGGTCTTCAGGTGAAGGATAATGATATATGAAAACTTGATTTTACACAAAGGAATAAAGGGTGCCAGATACGGTTAGTATACAGGCAAATCTAAAATTCTTTTTCATACTGTAATTTCTTCAAAAATTAATTGATTCTTTAAAGCAGAAATAACAAAATATCATGGAGTTTAAAATATACATAGCAGCTCCCTCTCCCGTCTCCCTCTCCCTCTCCCGTCTCCCTCTCCCTCTCCCGTCTCCCTCTCCCTCTCCCGTCTCCCTCTCCCTCTCCCGTCTCCCTCTCCCTCTCATGCCGAGCCGAAGCTGGACTGTACTGCTGCCATCTCGGCTCGCTGCGGCCTCCCTGCCTGATTCTCCTGCCTCAGCCTGCCGAGTGCCTGCGATTGCAGGCGCGCGCCGCCACGCCTGACTGGTTTTCGTTTTTTTTTGGTGGAGATGGGGTTTCGCTGTGTTGGCCGGGCTGGTCTCCAGCTCCTAACCGCGAGTGATCCGCCAGCCTCGGCCTCCCGAGGTGCTGGGATTGCAGATGGAGTCTCGTTCACTCAGTGCTCAATGGTGCCCAGGCTGGAGTGCAGTGGCGTGATCTCGGCTCGCTACAACCACCTCCCAGCCGCCTGCCTTGGCCTCCCAAAGAGCCGAGATTGCAGCCTCTGCCCGGCGGCCACCCCGTCTGGGAAGTGAGGAGCGTCTCTGCTTGGCCACCCATCGTCTGGGATATGAGGAGCCCCTCTGCCTGGCTGCCCAGTGTGGAAAGTGAGGAGCGTCTCTGCCCGGCCGCCATCCCATCTAGGAAGCGAGAAGCGCCTCTTCCCCGCCGCCATCCCATCTAGGAAGTGAGGAGCGTCTCTGCCCGGCCGCCCATCGTCTGAGATGTGGGGAGCACCTCTGCCCCACCGCCCTGTCTGGGATGTGAGGAGCGCCTCTGCTGGGCCGCAACCCTGTCTGGGAGGTGAGGAGTGTCTCTGCCCGGCCGCTCCGTCTGAGAAGTGAGGAAACCCTCTGCCTGGCAACCGCCCCGTCTGAGAAGTGAGGAGCCCCTCCGTCTGGCAACCACCCCGTCTGGGAAGTGAGGAGCGTCTCCGCCCGGCAGCCACCCCGTCCGGGAGGGAGGTGGGGGGGGTCAGCCCCCCGCCCGGCCAGCCGCCCCGTCCGGGAGGTGAGGGGCTCCTCTGCCCGGCCGCCCCTACTGGGAAGTGAGGAGCCCCTCTGCCCGGCCAGCCGCCCCGTCCGGGAGGGAGGCCGGGGGGGGGGGGTCGGCCAGCCGCCCCGGCCGGGAGGTGAGGGGCTCCTCTGCCCGGCCGCCCCTACTGGGAAGTGAGGAGCCCCTCTGCCCGGCCAGTCGCCCCGTCCAGGAGGGAGGTGGGGGGGTCAACCCCCCGCCCGGCCAGCCGCCCAGTCCGGGAGGGAGGTGGGGGGTCAGCCCCCCGCCTGGCCAGCCGCCCCGTCCGGGAGGTGAGGGGCGCCTCTGCCCGGCCGCCCCTACTGGGAAGTGAGGAGCCCCTCTGCCCGGCCAGCCGCCCCGCCCAGGAGGGAGGTGGGGGGGTCAGCCCCCCGCCCGGCCAGCCGCCCCGTCCGGGAGGGGGGAGGGGGGGTCAGCCCCCTGCCCGGCCAGCCGCCCCGTCCGGGAGGGAGGTGGGGGGATCAGCCCCCTGCCTGGCCAGCCGCCCCGTCCGGGAGGTGAGGGGCGCCTCTGCCCGGCCGCCCCTACTGGGAAGTGAGGACCCCTCTGCCCGGCCAGCCGCCCCGTCCGGGAGGGAGGTGGGGGGGGTCAGCCCCCCGCCCGGCCAGCCGCCCCGTCCGGGAGGGAGGTGGGGGGATCAGCCCCCTGCCTGGCCAGCCGCCCCGTCCGGGAGGTGAGGGGCGCCTCTGCCCGGCCGCCCCTACTGGGAAGTGAGGACCCCTCTGCCCGGCCAGCCGCCCCGTCCGGGAGGGAGGTGGGGGGAACAGCCCCCCGCCCGGCCAGCCGCCCTATCCAGGAGGTGAGGGGCGCCTCTGCCCGGCCGCCCCTACTGGGAAGTGAGGAGCCCCTCTGCCTGGCCAGCCGCCCCGTCCGGGAGGGCGGTGGGGGGGTCAGCCCCCCGCCCGGCCAGCCGCCCCATCTGGGAGGTGAGGGGCACTTCTGCCGGGCCGCCCCTACTGGGAAGTGAGGAGCCCCTCTGCCCGGCCACGACCCGGTCTGGGAGGTGTGCCCAGCGGCTCATTGGGGATGGGCCATGATGACAATGGCGGTTTTGTGGAATAGAAAGGCGGGAAGGGTGGGGAAAAAATTGAGAAATCGGATGGTTGCCGGGTCTGTGTGGATAGAAGTAGACATGGGAGACTTTTCATTTTGTTCTGTACTAAGAAAAATTCTTCTGCCTTGGGATCCTGTTGATCTGTGACCTTATCCCCAACCCTGTGCTCTCTGAAACATGTGCTGTGTCCACTCAGGGTTAAATGGATTAAGGGCGGTGCAAGATGTGCTTTGTTAAACAGATGCTTGAAGGCAGCATGCTCGTTAAGAGTCATCACCACTCCCTAATCTTAAGTACCCAGGGACACAAACACTGCGGAAGGCCGCAGGGTCCTCTGCCTAGGAAAACCAGAGACCTTTGTTCACTTGTTTATCTGCTGACCTTCCCTCCACTATTGTCCTATGACCCTGCCAAATCCCCCTCTGCGAGAAACACCCAAGAATGATCAATAAAAATAAAAAATAAAAAATAAATAAATAAATAAATAAATAAATAAAGAAAAAAAAAATAAATAAATAAAAAAAAAGAAAAAAAAAATAAAATATACATAGCAAACAATAATACAAAAATGGGAAGGGAGAAAATGGAAGTATACTATTGTAAGATTCTTACCATATACATAAATTAGTATGATACTGGGGGTAGACTCTGATAGATTAAAAATTCATGTTGTAAATTGTAAAGCAACTGCTAATAAAATGAAAACAAATCTAACAGAAGACAAGAAATAACTAAGATCAGAGCAGAACTGAAGGAGACAGAGACACGAAAAACCCTCCCAAAAATCAATGAATCCAGGAGCTGGTTTTTTGAAAAGCTCAACAAAATAGATAGACCATAAAAATCCTAGAAGAAAACCTGGGCAATACCATTCAGGACATGGGCATGGGCAAAGACTTCATGTCTAAAACACCAAAAGCATGGCAACAAAAGCCAGAATTGACAAATAGGATCTAATTAAACTACAGAGCTTCTGCACAGCAAAGGAAAATATCATCAGAGTGAATAGGCAACCTACAGAATGGGAGAAAATTTTTGCAATCTACTCATCTGACAAAGGGCTAATATCCAGAATCTACAAGGAACTTAAACAAATTTACAAGAAAAAACAAACGACCCCATCAAAAAGTGGACAAAGGATATGAACAGACACTTCTCAAAATAAGACATTTATGCAGCCAACAGACATATGAAAAAATGCTCATCATCACTGGTCATTAGAGAAATGCAAATTAAAACCACAATGCGATACCATCTCATGCCAGTTAGCATGGCGATCATTAAAAAGTCAGGAAACAACAGATGCTGGAGAGAATGTGGAGAAACAGGAATGCTTTTACACTGTTGGTGGGAGTGTAAATTAGTTCAACTATTGTGGAAGACAGTGTGGCAGTTCCTCAAGGATCTAGAACTAGAAATACCATTTGACCCAGCAATCCCATTACTGGATATACACCCTAAGGATTATAAATCATTCTACTATAAAGACACATGCACATGTATGTTTACTGCAGCACTATTCACAATAGTAAAGACTTGGAACCAACCCAAATGTCCATCAATAATACATTGGATAAAGAAAATATGGCACATATACACCATGGAGTACTATGCAGCCACAAAAAAGGATGAGTTCATGTCCTTTGCAGGGACATGGATGAAGCTGGAAACCATCATTCTCTGCAAACTATCACAAGAACAGAAAACCAAACACCACATGTTCTCACTCGTAAGTGGGAGTTGAACAATGAGAACACATGGACATAGTGAGGGGAACATCACACACTGGGGCCTGTAGGGGTGGGGAGCTAGGGGAGGGATAACATTAGGAGAAATACCTAACGTAGGTGACGGGTTGATGGGCAGCAAACCACCATGGCACGTGTATACCTATGTAACAAAACTGCACGTTCTGCACATGTACCCCAGAACTTTAAGTATAATAATAAAACAAACAAAAGTAAATGAAAACAAAAAAATATGATGATAAACCAGAAGCCAGTAGAGGAGATGAAATAAAATACTAACATGTACTCAATCCAAAAAAAAGGAAGAAAAAAAGGGGAAGAGACTAGAGAGAATCTGAAACAAATAAAAAATTACAAAAAATTACAAGGTAGCATATTTATAAACAATGTAGCAATTACTGCATTATATGTAAATGAAATAAACTGCCCAATCAAAGATAAAGTTCACCAGATTAGATTAAAAACCAAGGCCCAACTATAAGTTGCTTAAAAGAGACATACATTAGATGTAAAGACAAGAATAGTTTAAAATTAAAGGGTGGTAAAATGTATGTCATGCAAACATGAATTTAAAAAGAAAGTTGTGCCTATTCCATGTTCATTGAAGCATCATTCACAATAGCCAAAATATAAAATTAACCTAAGTGTTCATTATTGGATGAATAGATAAAGAAAATGTGGTATATATGCACAATGGAATAACTATTCATCTTTTAAAAAGTAGGAAACCATTTGCAACAACATGAATGAACCTGGAGTATATTATATTAGGTGAAACAAGACAGGCAAAGAAAGAACAACAAATACCATATGATCTCACTTACATGTGGAGTATAAAAGTGTCAAACTCATAGAAACAGAGTTAAATGGTGGTTACCAGAGGCTGAGGCATGGTTCACTGGGGAGATGTCAGTCAGACACAAAATTTCAGTTAGACAGGAGGAATATGTTCAAGAGATCTATTGCACATTATGATGACTACAGTTAATAATATATTGTCGATTTGAAAGTTGCCTATTTAATAGAGTAGATTTTAAGTGTTCACACCAAGAAAAATGGCATGTGAGGTAATGTATATGTTAAATAGCTTAATTCAACTATTCCCCAATATACACATATACCAAAACATTATGCTGCATACCATAAATATATACAATTTTTACTTGTCAATTAAGAAATAGTTAATAGAAATAAAAATTAAAAGATAAGAATAGGAAAAGTAGTTGTGTCCATATTAAGATCAAAGTAGACTTCAGAATGAAAGTATTGATCAAGGGAAACATTTCACAATTTTAAACAGGTCAGTTCATTAAGAGGAGACAGCAATCATAAATGGGTATTCACCTAAAAACAGAACTTCAAAATATATGAAGCAAAGAATGACAGAGCTGAAGGGAGAAGTAGACAAATCCACAATTGTCATTAAAGGTTTTTATACTCCCGTCTCAGTAAATGATTTTTAAAAAATGGCATAAATCAGTAAAGATATTGAAGATTTGAACAATACTGTCAACAAAATCAAATTGACATTTGTAGAATTCTACATCCAGCAACAGTAGAATAAATATTATTTTTAAGTGCACATGAGACATTCACAGAGATAGAGCACTTGTGTAAGCTATAAAATGTCTCAATAAATATTAAATAATTGAAACAGTTCTAAACACGCTTTGAACAAAACAATACTACTTCAGAAGTGAATAAGAAACATATATCTGGAAATCTTCAAAGATTTGGAAATTAAGCAACAAACTTCTATATCACCTATAGATCAAATAAGAAATCTCAAAGAAAACTAACAAATATGTATTTAGACCTGACTGATAATACAATATTTCAAAATGTGGGAATTGTAGACACAGCAGTGCTTTAGAGAAAAATTTATAACTCTAAATGTTCGTATTAGGAAAAAAGGTTTAAAATCAATAATATATGTTTTTACCTTAAGAAGTTATAAAAAGAATGAAATGAAACTCAAATAAGCATAGGAAAGATATAGTAAAGACAAGAATAAATGTCAATGAAATAGCAAACAGACAAACAATAGAGAAAACCAAAGACACCAAAAGCCAATTTTTTGTAGTGATTAATAATATATAGGTAAAGTAATTAGATTGGCTAAGATAAACCGGGAAAAATCCCCAGAAATTTCTAAATTCTAGAATAATGAGACTTTATTACATATTCTATCAACATTAAAACAATAACGAGGAAATATTATAAACAATTCTATGCCAATAAATCAGATAAATTGAAGGGTATGAATTCTAAAAAGTAGAAAAATACATGTAAAAGAGGAGGACATGTGTATCTTTTAGACCAGCAGAAAATGAAAGGGAAAGACTGATAGCTCAGGACCAACTAAGGAGTGTCAGTTGAATGACTTCTCAATAAATTAAACAGTGCATCACTGGCCTACAGGAAAGTGGAAAGGAACTTTCCCTTATAAAAGGAAAATAGAAATTATTTTTCCAAGAGTTAAGACTAAATTTCCTTCTTTAATAGAGAAGCAACTAATTATTGAGATACATTTTTTAAATGCCAAATACGGGTATTAGATTATTTTTTAAAAATACTAGAAAGTTTGTTATTATGTTCAAGTTCAAAAGTGGGTCAGACTGGTACTTTCATCCAGGTTAGACAAAATGTCATATTAGATGATTATATGGATTTCAGTTTGAGGGTGATATTTTTGGAAGGAAAAGGTATTTTTTAGTGGGCATTGGTTTTTTTCAATTCAGTCCCCTAAAGAGGCATATATGGGGTCTTTATGAAAATGAGTTCTGCAAGTATGTGTGTTGAGTGTTCAACAGAATGTTTTCTCAAGAACCACCTTCTATATCCAAAGAGTAGTCACCAAATTCATAAAATGTGAACATGAAGAAAACCTGCCACTATCTCTGTGCTGGAGGGATCTCTTCCACCCAGGGTCAAAAGTGAGCGGTTGCAGGTGTCTGCACGTTTCAGGGAAAGAAGAGTTAAACCCAGCATTCCCTGGTAGCAAAATGAACTCCCTCCCTTTGCTTCTCTCCTCTTCTCTTCTCCAGTCTTATTATCTCCATATCTCCCTGCTCTCAGACTCAATCCATTCTCTTCTCTTTCATATTCTAAACAGCTTTTTTTCCCTGTTGGTTTACTTTCGTTTAGAGTAAATCATCTTACCCACATATGCTTTGGAAGGAAAAAAAACAAAGAGACAGATTACAATATTATGTTCATACTATTACATTTTATTTTTATTTGTAAAGATAGGGTCTCGCTGTGTTGCCAGGGTTGGTCTTAAACTCCTGGGCTCAAACAATCCTTCTGCCTCAGCCTCCCAAAGTGCTGGGATTATAGGCGTGAGCCACCAGGCCTTTTCTTATTATTATATTTTTTATATATGCATAGAAAAATACCTAGAAAGATAGACTTAAGTTAGTCATGGCTTCCTATGGATATTAGGGTTATGAGCGAATATTCCTTTGTTTTTCTTTCTGTATTTTTACTTATCTATGTTCTCTATTTTTCTAAAATAAGTATACATTTTTTAAAAAATTAAAAATCCAAAGCTTTAAAAATCAACTAAGAGATCACTAACATTGGGATAATCCATATATGTCTTTCTTTTTCTTTTTCTCTCTCTTTTTTACTTAGCTGAACTCTCATTTTTCTAGAATAAGCATACTTTTTTAATTTAAAAAATCAAAGGCTATAAAGAATGAACTAAAAAGACATCAAAGGAATTTTTCTATTTTGAATTCTAGCTGTTTCATGGAGAGTGAAAAGACAAATACCTGTAAATAATGTCTGAAATATAAATATATTATAAAAGAGTGAAGGACTTGATATAGCCTTAGAATATGAAATAGATAATTGAAGTCCCAATCTCTTTGACTGGCTCTAAAATCACATACATTTTATTGTCTTGCCACTGTGCTTAGCTGTTGGAGAGTTTTATACCAATAACGGCATGACTAATTTGATGAAGATCTTAGGAAGTAGGGAAACAAAAAATATCTATGTGGCTGACATATGGGAAATCATATGAAAAATATGAATTTCCTTTTCCCAAAAAAGTTGTCAATAGAGGACAGGTCAAATTTCTTTAGTTAGCTCACTCTTATTGATCATATAACATGTACCCGGGACTGTACTAGACACTTAATTTAATTCTTAGAACACTATGAGTGAGGTAAAACTATTGCTTCCATTTTTCAGAACAGAAAATTGAGGCAACAACATCAAGCAGCTAGTAAGTAAAAAACTGGGATCAAATCCTGGCAGTCTTTCTCTTAACTACTGTTCCACTGCTTAGGGAAAGTTTAGCCAGACTTTGGTCCTTATATGACAATAGATGAGATGGTGGTTGAACTACCATTGTGTGTTAGACAAAATTTATGAAAAATATACAAAGAACCCATTTCATTTCAGAGAATATAGTCATAGGTGTGAAAGAAACTTTAAGATAATGGCAGTTCTTGCCTTCCAGCAGGTGAATACCTGTTTCTTACATGATCATCTGTTGTCTATTCAGTTCTAAAATACCTAATGATACAGAATTCTTTGTGGAGTGCTGCAGAAGGCAGGCTCTAAGTTGACTCCCAATGGCCCTCACTTCCTAACATTTACACTCTTGTATAATCCCCTCTGCTTGAGTGTGGGCTGCACATGGCCACTGGCTTCTGACATATGGAAGAGGGCAATAGGGATGGGATGGGATGTCACTTCCGAGATGAGGTCGGAAACACTATGACTTCTATCTTGCCCATTCCCTCTCGCTCTCTTTCATTCTCTAGCTTACTCTGAGGGAGGTCTGAATGCCATATTGTGAGCGGCCCTGCTGAAAGACCCATGTGGCAAGGATCTGAGATCATTGGCCAACAGGCTGCAAAGAGTCCTACCAACAGCCAGGCTGGTGTTCTTGGAAGTGGATCTTCTCCTACTCTCCTACTTGAGATGACTGCAGCCCCAGCTAACACTTCGATTGCAGCCTTGTTAAGATATCACGGGCCAGACACACCCAGCTAAGTTATGCCTGAGTTACTAGCCCACAGAAATGATAAGATAATAAATATTTGCTGTTTTAAGCTGCTAAGTTTTGGGTTAATTTGTTATACAACAATGGATAACTAATACAAGTGCAGTCATTGATCTCATTGAACACACCCGTAATTCTTTGGAAAAATGTCTACTTTCTCACCAAACTAAAATCCATTAATTCCAGTAGTTAGGTGTTTGGCAATGCCTTTAAAACGATGCATAGAAGTACATGGCCAGGTCTTTAAAATTGCGTTGCTAGACTGAAGAAGAGCTGTCTGACTTACTGGGCTTCCCACGTTCCTGCCTTCAGTTCCTGGGTTAGTGTCACAGGTTGCGGATTTTCCACTCCATCTCCCAGTCATGTCTCTGGCACTTCCCCCGCTTGGCTCCTAGTAATCAACTTTGGCTGACCTCTAACTCTCCACCTCCTGGACCACAAAATAAACCCAATGCTCTGATCATAGCTCCTCTGCAACTATGTTTACTCCTTGGTTTGGGATCTGCCCAGACTCTCATTACGCCTGCCATAGCATTATCCCTCTGTCCTGTACCTACGGATGAAGCAAACCATTGATTTCTCCAACTATGCTAAGTAAGAGCAAGTCATATTGTAAGTAATTTAATAATATAGAATTTCTAGAGTTATAAAATAATGAAGCAATTTTATAAAAACTATCTTTTTAACAGGTTAAAAAATAAAGCAATGTCATCATTTCCATTAAATTTTGAACAATAGAAGGCAAGCACTACTCATTTCTAAAAAGAAAGCTTGCGCTTTTGAGGATGAAAAGGTTTGAGTTAATTGTAAACCATGTAATCATATGGTTATTTTTTAGCTTTAAACTAATAAAATAATGGTGCCTTCTTATCACGGTAGGCAGTGCGTCAGTCTCATAAACTAATACAACATTTTGCTCTACAATACATTTGAGGTGTTTTCTACATCAAGAATTTGCCTCACACTGACAAAATAATTGTGCAACATATATTCGTTGAAAAGCTATAAAAGACAGGACACTGGGCTGGGCTTTATGAGAGCACAACAAAAATGAAATTAGAAAAGTTGGGGAGAAATATTTTTTAAAACTTTCCCTCCAATTCCCATCTCTCCCGTGAAATATGTTGGAAAAATATTTTTCTTCCTTGCTTATATGGCACCCGAACTGTCAATCTCTGAATACCAAAAATTAAAAATTTCTGGAAAAAAATCATTTTATATAACCTACTTTTGTTCTTCAAACTAAAAAAATCATTTTAGATTTGCTTTAAAACTACTAAAACTTATATTTTGTATATATTCCAACTTTCTTAAATGGTCAAGGATCTTAAAACATTTATTTCCTGCTTCTAGAATTTCAAAAAATCTTATCTTACTCTTAGACTTACTCAATATGCACATATATGAGAGCATTTAAAGCAAGTAATATCTGACAAATTAGTGATGTTTTAGAGCATCTCCAGTTCACTACCTTTTACTCCAAGAATGTCAAGTTCTTGAGAGAAGAAATTTTCATCTGTTTTGTTCACTACTATATCTCCAAGGCCTGGGACAGTGAATGCACAGCACATAGTAGGTGCTCAGTAAATTATGTGTTAATCGAAGGGATGACTGCACACTTTGGGAGAACGGGGTTGGGATTTTGCTAACATTTTTACTCTCACTATCCTGCCATCATGTGTAGATGAATGTGGAGTAGATACTCTTTCCTGCTGATATAATGATTCCAACTTTCAACTCCTGTAAAAGAATTATATTTTGCTTTAAATAGAAATAAATGTGAAAATATTCTCAAAGGCCTGAACTCAAAAGGAAGAAAAAAACCCTTTCCCAACCTGTTATTTACCTTAATCTTCTTTAGAGTGAGTCTTTGCGATCCTCAGTCCCTTAAGCACTTTCTAAAGATGAACTAGATCAGATTCAGGAAGATGAAAGGAAGTCAAAGCCTCAGATTAAAAAACTAGCTAACGCCCAAATAGTGGCGCTGGGCTGCAGTGTGTGCACGCAGGATAACAGCAAGTTACTCTTAAGAAGCTAAAAGACATTTGCTTGTTGGGTCTTATTGTGGCTTTCTTTCCTCCTTTGTTCCTTCCCTCTCCTCCCCTACTTTTCTTTCATCCCCCCTTCTTTCCTCCCTCTTTTCAGTCTTTCATCCTGATCTCAGGGCTTTCTAAGAAAATTGGAACCTTTTGGGCAGGGCATTTCTTCCCATATGTTATATTCCACTGTAAGACACACACATAGAAATCAGTACTGGATTACTTTTCTCTGGAATTTACTTCTAGAAAAGAAGAATGATTTTTTTGTTAAATGGCTAATGTCAGGATTTTTTTTCTCCAAAAACAACTTTCAATTTTTATCTTTAGATTGGTACACACTTAGGGCAAAAATCTATCCTTTCCTTTCTTCTATAACCATATCCACACTTCCTGAACAGTAAGAATTAGTTTTCATAATTTGGAAATACAAATTTATATATTTCTTCAACAGTTTACAAAGATCCCATTTTAATCCTCACAATAACCCTATACAATTATAACTCAATACAAGGAAAGAAAATATTATTACTACCCCATAGGGAAGTCCCTGCATTTCGCTCATAAATAAGCAAAAAACATCTTGAAAATCACATCTGATGTTTGTTGAAATTTCTGAGGCAGTTAGATGTGGGTATGAACCAGGGAATGTGTTTTCTTTGAATTCCGTAGCTCTTCTACTCATTTCTTTATATTCTTTTTATTTCTTAACCATATGTTTTTGTACTGTATTAATGAAAAACTGTGGGATCCCTTGCTGGGGGGATTAGACTTGAGGGAACTTGTTCTGTGTTTAGGGAGGGAGAGGGAGTGCTTTCTGCCTCATCTTTCTATTGTGCCCATCACGTTTCTTGGTGCCAATTCTGGGGAGGGTATGAATTGGTCATAATTGATTCTATTATAACAAGAACATGCTTTCTTTAGTACCAATACTATTTTTATTTGTTTAAATGTAGCAAGGTTTATGTTATTTGATCACGTTAAATTAAATGAAAATTATTATGCCTTGAGAAACAAATTTTAGCAAAATGTATAGAAGTTATTTCTAAATTCTTTAAATATAAAATGTTAATGAGAATCCACTCAGTGCTGAGACACAAGGGGAGTACTTAAATGAGGTTGAAAAACTTTCAGTTCTTTTTGGAGGGTTATGATTTTATTTAAATTCTTGTGATCCCTCAAGTAGCTCCTTCTGCTGTTCTTCCCTATTTTTCTCTGTCCTTACCTCTCCTCTTCAGGGTAATTTGAGAAGGCGAGTAAAGGAAAAGAAACATTATTCTAATTCTCCACTAAAATTCCATCCACATTTCGCTCCCTACTAATCTCCCAAAGAGAACAGCGTTAGCTCAGTCCCTGTTTTCACCAAGACATCTCTATGATGCTATCTGACCTCTTGCTTTCCAGATGTCATTGGAAGTGAAACCATATGTGGTTTTCTAATGACTCAGATTCAGCCCCTCTTCCATGAGAAGTCAGCCTGAGCAGCATGGGGGCCCGTATCCCTCATAAGAAAAGGAACATGAGATAAAACTCAGTCACTCCTCTGCTTTGCCCAAGAAGAAAGGGAGGGGAGTTGCGCCACATCTTGTGGGGTGGCAAAATATTTCTCCTCCAGTGTAAACATTGCGCATCCTCTTTCTCAGGGCCAGCAGCCTCCGTTGTTTGTTGTTGCTGTTGTTTGTGTTTAACATAGCCAGCTACAAGCTTCTACTGATGGCAAGAGCTTCCAGGGAGGCTGTGGAATTTTCAGTACTGCGAAGACACTGGCCTGTGAGATCCTGAGATCTGGTTTACAGTAAAGCCCCATATTCTTCTATTTATTCCTTTACTCTTTAGAAAGTTCATACCAAAGCAGCTAGCTCACTGCTTGGTTTTTTAAAAAAACTTTTTTAAACACCAGTCTCTCACATCTCCACAGTTTCCTTTGTGCTTTTAGCCCCTCATTAGTCTCACCACCTGGTCAAATCATAGGCACTTCCTTCTATTCTTTCTCCTTGATGGACTGTTTCAAAGCCATCACCCCTTCGTCTTTGTGTTTTCCCACTGTTTTCATTTCTACTGTTTTTCAAAGTGACTTTATTTTTCGTAGAGATAGGGTGTTGCTATTTTGCCCAGGCTGGTCTCGAACTCTTGGCCTCAAGCAATCCTCCCACCTCAGTCTCCTAAAGTGCTAACATTACAGGGGCGAGCCACCACAACCTGCCAGGAGTGACTTTTTACTTTTTAGTTGATCATTTACAATGGTTTTTAGGATCATATTAATTACTCACCTTCCCTTTTTCTCTGCATAGCTCAACACTGATCAAGGATGGTGGTCTTCAGCCCTTATTATGGTTCCATCAGCCTTTGACCGTTTTTTCCTTGGCTCTTCAATTACATATGGGACTCGAGGTCTAAACTGACCCTCATCTCATTTTCCCAAAGTCAAAGTTGCTGCAAGATCTTGCTAATAAAACATTGGCTAAGCAATGTGCTATCACGCAGTGTCATCTTTTTATTTAACACAACTTGGCTTTTCTAGCCATTTTGTTGTCTTATTGCTTCCATATTAGCTGTCTCTTTGAAAGAGAGCTTTCCTGACTTCCCCAAAGAAACAAAACAGTGTTCTAGGAAAAGCACTGTGAAAACTCATATTCTAATTTCACTCCTCAATGATTCATTGAGTGTAGCACCATGTTAGAGGTATAAGGATGTTGCTGAATGATCTTCAGAGACTGGATTCTCTTGCTGAGGAAATTCTCTTGTGTCAAAGTAACCAAAGATACAATGATCTGTTTAGTTAATAAACTCATTTGTTCCCCCCACTCTTTCAAGACAACTCGTGAAAATATTGGGCAACATTTTCATCCCATAATATATAATATCCCACCACACCACCCAACACCACAAACCCATCTTAACATCGGTATTCTTTTGAATCATGAAGAGTTCCACAAAGTAAACAGACAGGTTCCTATAACCCTTGTCTATTAGGTGGAATTTTTAAGACAAGGAGCCAACCAATATTCTTTCCCTCCACCTTCTTTCTTAGAGTGAGAACTGTTACTCTCTGGGCCACTTGGCCCATGTTGAATGATTCTCTGAGATAAGTTGACACTTTTCACAAGATCTCAAACCAGGAGTGCTTAGACGATAAACTGGAGTGGAAAGTATAATAGGAAGAGAGCTTTCACAGAAATTGGAGGCATTTCCATTGTTCAGAGGTGAAATACCCTGTTTTGTCTCTGGTTTAAATTTTTTACTGCCAAAGGTCACATGATGCAACAAGTCATGCAGGCAGTCTTCAAGTTGCCCAAGGGACAGAGCTTATTCTCTATGAAGTGATGTCCAGGCAAAATGCCCTTTAGAAGTTTGTGGTTTCCACAGCAAGAGGCTGAATTGTGTTTGCTGTCTGTAATTCCAGCTCATAAAAGCATGCAAAAAGATTATCCAAATCCTAGAGTTAAGGAACTATATTAAAGACAGATTTGCTTTGAACATCAGTGGCCAAAATGATGGAGAAGATGAGAGAAGACAGAGGTGGAGTAGAATTAAAATTTCTATCTATGTATTATGTGTCTTTAAGATTAAATCATTATTATGATTTCATTCTGCTTTTGTACTCAGCAGATAACTTTTGATCATGTCTGCAAAGAGACAAAACCTGAAACCTGAAAAATGGCAAATTAACTAAGAACCAGATATTCCTGTTACTGTTGAAATAATTCTGATATTGTCATTTTCTGATATTTTCACTAGAGTTTCGAGGTGCTCTTTAATTGAAGGCAGTAAAAAATCTTTGGTTGTTTGGTAATACCTATTATAGTTCCAATTGGAAATATCCTTCAGCATAGTATTTTCACCTTTGAGAATTTGCCCTAAGTATAAGTATACTTACAATATTGAAATAACATATGTTCAAGGTTACTCATAAGTGAAAAAATACAAAACATATTCTGATATATCTATTTAAGGAAATAGCAGACAGCTGCAAAAAAATGGCAAAATGCATCACTTATTCGTGTGAAAAGATTTCATATCGCTAAATGAAAAATGTCAAAGGAAAGGACAGTGAGTTTAGTATAATATGTTCAAAATAAGAGAGGAAGGAAGGAAGGAAGGAAGGGAGAGAGGAAGGAAGGAATAAACAGAGGAAAAGAAGGAAGGAGGGGAAAGAAAAAAGGAAATCAATCAAAGGAAGGAGGAAGGAATGAATGGAGAGAAAAAGGAAGAAGGGAAGGAAGGGGGAGAAAATGAAGGGATAAAAGAATAACATTTCCTTGAATATTCAGAAAATATCTCTGGAGGACTTGTCTCTTGGGACAGCAACTGTCAGCTGGGGTCATGTACTTTGTACCTTTTAAATATTTTGAAATGTTTTGTACATTAAAACAATGTTAAGCCAAGTGAATAGATTACTTGTTTTAATGTAAATGTGAGAAAGTTGCCCTACTTCCCTGTTTCCCATTAAGGATCTGGGAGTGGGCTGTGGCGTTTAATCTAATGCAGAATAAAGCACGAATATGAAAATGGCTATTTTTTTCTTTCATCTTGATAATTAGACTTTTTTTTTTTTTTTTTTTGACAAGGTCTCACTGTATTGCTTAGGCTGAATTCTCTCCCCTCAGCGTCCCCAGTAACTGGGAGTAGCGGCATATGCCATCACACTGGCTTATGCTGCCATTTGTCGTGCAGCGGAATGGGTGGGGTGGGGGGTATGGGCATTTGAAAATGTGTTTAAAGAAGCAGCTTCAAATGTCCTTCCCTTTGGGTGGTAAATAGTACGGGCAGTCAATCAGAAAAGATACTAATAAGCTGAAGAAGTGACAATACTACGAAGAAGTAAACAGCAAATTAGTGGTTTAAAAATTCTTATAAGAGGTAATCACATAAAACTGTTGAAGCTTAGGCAGTCTGAAAATAAGGCACATATCTGCATCTATGTGCAACTGAGTATAAATTGAATCGACTTCTCCTGTAGTTCTTTTTTAATATGTCTATGATGCCATGCAGCACCGTGCTATCTTTATCTATCTACACATTCTTCTGCAGTGTGAATCCCTGGAAGGCAAGATCGCCATTCTGGTCTCTTGTGGATATCAATGCTGATCTCAGCTTCTGATGCACGGCAGTCAATTAATAAATGATTGTTGCCTGAAAAACTGAGCCCCAAAACAATATTACAAGTTTAATATCAGTAAAGGATTTAATGCTTTCTAACATGAAGATACCAGAGTAAGTGTTTACAGTATTTTTCCACTAAATTCCTTTTACTAAGGCAACTACACGTTTCTAAGAAGTAAAAATGTCTAAAACTATAGCATGATTTATTTATGCACTTGGTAGCAAGTATATTTTAGAATGTAAATATTTGCTCTGTAAATTTTTTTAACATAAGCAAGTAAAAAACATGTAAGCTTGATGAGTTCCTTGCGTTGACCTTCAGCAATATTGAACATGAACATTTTGCCATTTATTTGTCAACTGATGTCACTTTACACTTTATTTGACACAATTAATGAAATGATTTAACAAATATAGAAAGATAAAGAGAGCTACCAGAGATAATGCTAGTAGTCACACTCTTTCTACAGTTTAGCGGCTGTGTTATCAATGTTTTTATTGTACATTTATTGTACTCAAAAACCACAGAAGATTTTTTTCTGATCAACTAAATTTATAGTTTAAAAAAAGGAAAATATTAAAAACCATCTATACTCTTCTGTTTTTGGTAATTGGGTATAATCTCAAACACAAATTAGCATTTGGGGCTTGATTAAATAAATATTTCTTTCCTAATTTAGCAGGTCTAAAAGTTTAGTTCTTTAAATTGAAACTTTGAATTAGAAAAATACAGAAAGTCATGAGTGATTGTTTGATTATGGGTTTTTTCCCTATCTTATTCTTTCTCCCTTTTCTTGTCTTTTAAAACAAAACAGTCTTTTCTATTCCTGGACTTTTAGAGTTGCTGATTTTTGTATAACCCAGAGATGGATTTAAATGCAGAGTGTATGAACTTCTTCATTCCTGAGGGAGGACTTATGATTTCATGAGAAATGCCCTAGGAAAGGGGCCGGGGAGACTGATGGAGAAGAAGAGTTTGGGAGGTAAGAATGGCTTTCCGTGTGTGCTTTGCAGCCAGACTGCCTGAGTCCCTCTAGTCATGTGGCCCTGGATAAGTTCTTCAACCTCTCTAGACTTAATTTAAAACTTCAGAAAATGAGGAAAGGGCTGTGTGTCTTCAATTCTAAAACATCGTTAATTGTAAATGCACTATTAATTTATATTTAACAAAGAAAGCAGAATTCAATGACTTGTCTGTTTTGGAGGATGCATCTTAATTTCAGAGATGTCAGCATGTGTGTGGGGTGCATATTAGAATCCCTAAAATGCAGTAAAGATACGTACCTCGTAGAATTGTGAGGATAAAATGATCGAATGAATGTGAAGAGTTAGCACATCTCAGAGTGCAATAAGTGCCCCATTACTATTAACTATTTTTACTATTATTATCCTAAACTTGATTAATGATTTGTCTTTGAGGTAGAGTTTAACTGGACTGAAAGCAATCTGGAGCACCGGCAAGGGGCAGAAGGAGATTGAAATGTAAAACACGTAGAATGGAGACTGATTTCATCTCTCTTGATTCTAAGCTCATTTGCAGCCATATGTGTATCCATTCATAGATGGTTATGGAAATAATCACAAGGTTTAAACTATAGAGTAATTCTTACATTGAAGTTCTACCAATGTTGATGCTATTGCTGCAAATGGGGATTTTTTCGTTCTCACTTGTCATTTCTTAAAGAGTGTTATTTAAACGTCCGTAATGGTGACAGAAAATCAAATTTTAAACATTATTGTGATTTTTATATAGGCTCAAAGTTATATAGAAACAAAACATATACGAGAATGAAGTTAATCTAGGTAAAAGCATTATAAAATAACCAAATAATTTCAACAGAAAATAATAACAAGCCCCATTACACCCCCATAGTTTTGTGCTTGATTAAAATAAAACAAATCTGTGAATTAATGGAGCTAGTTTTCTTGAACAGCTCATGTTTTTTGTTGTTGTTGTTCTTTTTGAGACAGCAATTTTGTGGGGTTTTTAAATTTTTTATTGATAGATAATAGATGTACATATTTTCGAAACACAGGCTTTAACTTAATACATTCATGTGATTTATAAAGATCAAATCAGTGTAATTGGGATACCCATCACCTTAAATATTTGTCTTTTCTTTATTGAGTAGCTCATACTTTTTATTTTTTAAAAAACTCCTCAGGTTCAACTTTTACACTGTTGGTGGGACTGTAAACTAGTTCAACCATTGTGGAAGTCAGTGTGGCGATTCCTCAGGGATCTAGAACTAGAAATACCATTTGACCCAGCCATCCCATTACTGGGTATATACCCAAAGGACTATAAATCATGCTGCTATAAAGACACATGCACACGTATGTTTATTGCGGCATTATTCACAATAGCAAAGACTTGGAACCAACCCAAATGTCCAACAATGATAGACCGGATTAAGAAAATGTGGCACATATACACCATGGAATACTATGCAGCCATAAAAAAGGATGAGTTCATGTCCTTTGTAGGGACATGGATGAAATTGGAAACCATCATTCTCAGTAAACTATCGCAAGAACAAAAAACCAAACACCGCATATTCTCACTCATAGGTGGGAATTGAACAATGAGATCACAAGGACACAGGAAGGGGAATATCACACTCTGGGGACTGTGGTGGGGTCGGGGGATGGGGGGAGGGATAGCAGTGGGAGATATACCTAATGATAGATGACACGTTGGTGGGTGCAGCGCACCAGCATGGCACATGTATACATATGTAACTAACCTGCACAATGTGCACATGTACCCTAAAACTTAGAGTATAATAAAAAAAAAATTAAAAAAAAAAAAAAACTCCTCAGGTTCAAAGTGTTTAATACATATATCAGTAAGGACAAAGGTGTATTTATTATATTTCTGTTATTTTAATAAAACATAAAATGTTGTATACATTACCTTACTTTTTCATATAATGATATTAAGACAATAAATCAATGAAGTCCCAAGTTTCCTGGGAATCAGAGCACTTGCATTCAAGTTCCGCTACCTGGTTATGCTATTTAATCTTTCTTAAGTTTGCTCCTTTAGCCCTCTCTATATCAAACTTTAGAATTCAAGAGTTTAAAGTGAGAAAATATGATTTATCTGAATAAATGGCCCAGGGCCAGGTTTATGTAAGAACGTATTTCATGTTTTTGTCCAAATAAGCTCTCAGGCTTTGAAACTTCCTTTTATAAAGATGAGTGCTATTTATTCCAGCTAAGAAAATTCTTCCCCATTTATCCATTGTCTGTGAGGGGATCATGTGTGTGCGATGCTTTAAGAATCCTAGCTCAGGAACAGAAGTTAACACTCCACACCCCACGCTTACTTGCCAAATACACTCTTTTGTTTTATTCCAAGTTGAAACACTTCCCAGGGGTCTCAAAGTTATTTCCACTGACATTTTTGAGATGGCTTGCTTTCTGCCCATTTTGCTGTCATCTGGGGGTTAAGGTCCATGCTTGGCATTTTTCTGCCTCTTAAAGCCACTTAGCAGTCTCAAGGGTAGATGATGTTCTCTTTTATTTGGTACCATTGGCTTTAGGGAAGCCCCAAGGACCATCTGCCCCATCAGAGTCACATGCAGAGGGTCCTGCTCCTGCCGTTGGAAGTTGGCTTCCTGAGCTGCTGAACGTGCCAGTCCTGCTGACCCACTCTCAGATATCACAGGCACCCGCTGTGTCTGACAGAGACCTTTCTGCAAGTACACGTGCAGGTCTGCTCTGCAAAGGCGTTATCATCTGCAGATTATTGCACAGAGTGGCTACGAGCTGTGGTGTGATCCTGTCACAGAGAGAGCCTGGTCACGTTTTCAGAACAGCAGGAAACAGGTACACCTGTAAGCTTATACTTATCAGATTTAAAAATAAAACAAAAAATCCATGCTATTCCATGAAAATCGGACTCAAATAAACTTAGTCACTGATCTGTGAAGTAAATAATCTGATGGTAATGCATCAGTTGACACTTGGGCCTGGGTTTTTAGGCACTAATGAAAGCCAGGGGCAAAATAATTTTTAATCTACCATTATTTCCCTTGATGGTTCGACAAAAGTTCTTGTACTAGAAAGTTTTATAAAACTACTTTCTGAGTGTCCTGTGACATTTCTCTGATGATATAAAAAGTCAATATTTGATAGCTTAAATATCAATATTGACAGAAATATGATTATTTAAATAAAAACACAAATAGTAAAATAATTTTATATGATACTTCTATATATT
This sequence comes from Homo sapiens, assembly GCF_000001405.40. Classification (NCBI taxonomy): domain Eukaryota; kingdom Metazoa; phylum Chordata; class Mammalia; order Primates; family Hominidae; genus Homo; species Homo sapiens. The sequence continues at coordinate 125,370,021 of NC_000006.12, read as the reverse complement.
AGTATTTTTAAAACTCTTTGGAGCAGAGATGAACTTAACATGTGGTAAGTATTAGATATTAAAACCATCACCCACAAGTTGCTTTGGGCTTTCTCCTTTTATATCCTAGTCATTTAAAAAACTTATAGTTTGTGGTCATCCAAATTTCCTTATAGGTTTAAAGTAGGAAAATGCCTATGCTTCATACAAAGCAGCTTTCTTCCTCCTTTTCATAGAAATGTATGGAGTTACAAGAAGACTCTCCTCTTAGGTATTGGAGAAACTTCTTCAATATTATTTACATTTATTTTTTAAAATTCTTTTATGTCTTTAGATTATATTCGGTTTTATTTTCATCTTTTCCTCTCACCTCCATTATAATTAGCTATCTAGTTTTAAAAATATGTACAAAATGTCAAACCTGCAAACATACTACCAAACCAGACCAAACAACTATCCATGATGGATGATTTTCCTTATATTATTTCTCCCTTATTTTTCCATTTTCTAATTTGTCTGTCTTTCCTTGCTTATTAGTTGTCTTCTCTTTTCTCTTAGTGTTTTGATTCCATTATTTAGTTTTTCTAAGAATGTTTATGGTGTCAATCTTCTTCCTAAACCATTATCTTTGGTGGGTAAATCACCGTTCTTTGATATTCTAGTTCTAGAGGCTTCTCATTATATTTTAACATAATCTGCACCCTCGTCCATGCCATTCAGACATTTCCATATTCCCCATGATTTTGCTACCCAAAACTCTTACCATATATATAACCCTGCTAGTCTCGGGGACCCTGTGTTTTGTTCTTCGATTTATAATCATTAGACATACTTCTGATTTCGATTTTCTCAGGATTTCTATTGGGCTATTTCCTATTTTCTTAGGACCTCTCAGAATGTATTTAGCATTTTTCTCTTTCAAATTCAAGTTTGTTTACATAATTTTCCTTCAAGGTAGCTAGCTGCCTGGGTTATTTTCCATATTTAGGTTTCAATTGCCAGCTATTCATCTGTCTGCCAATGTTATTTCACCACCTTGCCCCTTTCCCATTTTTTTTTCTTTGGAGGAGAATCAACTCTTTCATCAACATTCCCAATGAGAAAGTTGAAACACCTCTTTTCACAATGTCCTTTCCTCCTAGTTGAAATAGTAGCAACAACAATAACTCAAAGTCCCTGTAAAGGAAAGCTCTGAACCCATTATCTACAGTCTTTTGCTTCCCTAAGAGGAAAAGTCATTAGGATTCTTCAAAATCTATTCACCCTACCTTTCCAGCAGGCAATAAAACTTGTCAAGATGCCACACTTGAAACTAAAGATAAACTTGTACATATAACCATATGCATATAGATAAATGAGAAAGAATGTAAATAGAAAAAAGAAAAAATGTAAAACCTTATCTAAACAAGACTTGCCATGTGATTGGCAGGCAGAATATTATTTTCATGAAGTTGTTTTTTAACGTGAATCTGTGTAAACCACAAGCATATTCTTTATCACTTGAGATTTAATAGCATACATTGAAAAAATGTTTTTTGTTCTGACACAGATTTTGTATGATAATAACAACAAAGGAAAATTATACTATAAAAAGTGAAACCTTTTGTCTAAATACTAAAAGACATTCAAAATAATTTACCCTTGCAAATTTTTTAATTTTTTACAATCTTTTGACATACTATCTCACAGATTTTCCTAAAAACTTTGTGATGGAATGGGGGTAGTTATTATTATCCTCCAAACGTTTTAAATAATACAAGAAGTGAAAACCCTATAGGACTTGTCTGGCGTCACAAAGGAATTTGAGCTGGAACTTGAACAAGTTCTACTGCAAGTAAAGCCAAGGCTCTCTTCACTCTGGGACTAGGGTAGGATGCTGGCCTTTTTGTTCTTATTCCAGTTTTAAATTGGCATTTCCAGGTGCAAATTCCTTCTTTTCCCCTAACTAGCTATTTATGCTTTGGAAAAGAACTTAACCTGTCTCTGGTTCACTTTCTTCCCTCATAAAATTAGCAGGTGGTTCTCAGTGGTTTCTCTGTTCCTTTAGGCCTTCAGCGTCTCAAATGCAATACAATCAGTGTTTGTCTCTGAATACCAATAACTTTTAACATTTGGCCTCAATTCTATTTTTGCCATTACTTACTCATCTCATGCCCATATCATAGTTTCTTTTCCTGAACTCAGTTCTTGCTTGGAATACATGTTAAGGTTTACTTCCACAAATATGTATCGAACACCTGCTACCTCAGATGATGCGCTATGTACCAAGGTGACAGATCTGAACAAGGAGCATTTCTCCCCATCAAGTTGAGACAACTATCCAGGTATGCAGCACATCAGCTGTTTTCCCCTCCACTTTTCTGCTGGTCCCCAGCTGAGAGAGCCTGCATTTCCTCTCACCATACTCCTTTTTCCATAGCTTATCAAGCTCAATAGACTCCTTATTTATTTATTTATTTATTTATTTATTTATTTATTTATTTGAGATGGGGTCTTGCTCTGTTGCCCAGGCTGGAGTACAGTGGTGGGATCATAGCTCACTGCAGCCTTGAACCGCTGGTCTCAAGCCAACCTCCCTCCTAGGCCTCCTTAATAGCTGGAGTCGTAGGCTCATGCCACCTTGCCCAGCTAGACCCCCTTAAATTCACCCTCAAGCACAATCCTTCTCATCAGGGAATCAGCTTCACTGCTTTTTGTTATCTTTTCCCTTCTCTCACATGTTCTTCCCCATTTTCACTTCAGAATGTCTTCCCTGTTCCATTGGTGATTCACAGTTTCTAACACTCCCAGCTTGCTGAGCCAAACCGCCTTTTTGCCTGAGTAATAAATGTTTGTGCTGAGTCCTGGAGGAATCAAGAGTTCCTTATAAAAGTGAGCAAATGGGAAAAGTAGATGTCACAGCAATCCTGAACTTCTTGTTTTGTTTTTGTAGAGATGGGGATCTTGCCTTGTTGCCCAGGCTGGTCTCCAATTCTTGACCTTAAGCTATCATCTCACTTTGGCCTCCCAAAGTGCTGTCATTACAGACATGAGCCACTGTGCCTGGCCCCAATTTTCTTTTTATTATCTGACTGCCGTGGCAGTGTGGAGAATGAGCAGTTTCATATCAGAACTAGAATTCCTCCATGGAAAGTGCTCCCAAGAGAATTGGACTTCTGAGGATGTGAGTTCAAGTCTCAGCTCTGAGATTTTCTTCCCTAATGACCTTGGGGCAAATAACTTCTTAACATTTCTGTAACGTAGGACTGTTAACAGCATACATGTTGAATTGCTTGTTGAGGTGTAACTCAAATAAGCTATTTTATGTGGAAGTGCTTTGTGAAGGGAGCTAAAGATATTTGTCTCTGAAAGGAGCATGGGGGTGCTGAGTATCTGGAAGATGGGGGAAAGAGCAAGAGGTAGGAGAGAGATTCCGAAAGGGAGGTAAAAGAAGCACAAAGACCAATTCTGCATATTCTGTAGTTTTGCACAGGAGCTCTCTGTAGCCCACAACCACAGAGGTTGCTGCCTTAGCTCCTGCTGCCTGAAATAAAACATCCTGACTCACTGAAAGGCAGCAAGTTGCCCAGTTCAGGCAGATTCACGGAATGGGGACTTGTAGCAACATCATCTTAATTCATGTTCACAACAGGGGAGAATTTTCCTTCTTCAACCCTGTCCAGTGTTCTCTTCCAATTCCATCTCCTGTAGTGAAAATAAAAGAAAAAGAAAAGGGAGTAGTAGTTCTATATCCCTATGTTCTGTCTCTCCTTCTCATGAAGTTTATATTAGTCCATTTTCACATTGCTATGAAGAACACCACATGAGATGGGGTAAATTATAAAGAAAGGGAGTTTAATTTACTCACAGTTCTGCATGGCCGGGGAGGCCTCAGAAAACTTACAATCATGGTGGAAGGGGAAGCAGGTACGTCTTACATGGTGGCAGGAGAGAGAGAGCGAGTATAAAGGAGGAACTGTCAAACACTTATAAAACCATCAAATCTTGTGAGAATTCACTATCACAAGAATAGCATGGAGGAAACCACCTCCATGATCCAGTCACCTCCCACCTGGCCCCTCCCTTAACACCTGGAGATGGTAATTGGAGATGAGATTCTGGTGGGGACACAGAGCTAAACCATATTAAAGTTGTACATGGGGAGTCCTTTTCAAATAACCGTCTTCAGAAGACGCATCTGAGGAGAATGCAGTGGTTACACCGTGCTCCTTTGAATGTCTTTTACCTTTGGTCCCTTTCTTCCCTTTCATCTTCAGTGGTCATCCTAAAGAACTTCAATGTGGTTGTCCTTTTATCCCCTTCTTGATTGTCTGGTTCTCTCTACTGACTCTGTCGTTCCTTACCAGGTGGGACTATTTACCTTACACTAAGATATTTGTTTCTTTCGCGTCCACTGAAATTTGATAGGTTTGCACTCTCCATTCTAAAAACTTTTTTTTTTTTGCCAAAGAATCTTTTCTAGCCTTTTTTTTTCACCAAAGCATCTTTTCTAGCCTTTTTTTTTTTCCTTAAATCTTTTGTATTTAAACTTCAGCCAACATAACGCTATTTCGCCCTCCCCTGTCCCTGGCAGCCACCATTGTACTCTCTGTCTCTGCGAGTTTAATGTTTTTAGATTCCACATATGAGTGAGATCATGCAGTATTTGTCTTCTGTGCCTGGCTTATTTCACTTAGCATAATGTCCACCAGCTTCACCCACGTGACCTATTCTAATACATGTCTCCTCCACAGTTATATTTTTCTGACTAAAACAATCAAAAGTCTCACTCATCCGATTTACATTTTGCAGCATTTCTTTAGTTTCTTCTGGCAACAGTTTGATTTCTGAATAGTCTGGACACAGACAGTTTTTTATCTGCGACCTACTTATAATAATAGTATTGCAAAATCAAGCCAGAAGTTCTCTTCTTTTTTTTCCAGAAAAACTTTCCTAAGCCATCATCTATTACTCTTCTCTTAAAACTGACCTCATAGGCTCTTTTCTGGCCATGGAAATGTCTCTCAGAATTACAGCAAGTGCCAGTATAACCAAAGTTTCTAGTTGTTATCCATGTATAGTTGTCACCTACCTCTTTTTTAGGTCTCACTTGTATTTTGTAGAGTAGTGGAGTTTATTTTTCCTTTTGTAGCACTAAATGAAGCCATATTTCTCTTTGCTCATCTCATTTTCTTTCCAGGGATTTTAGAGAAATCAACTTGTTCAGTAGCAGCCATTATTCAGCACCAGCTGTATGCAAGGCACAGTTCTCTGTGTTGAGAATAAGATGTACAGCATAGTCTTGCCTTCTAGAAAATTATAACCTAGCTGAAGAATCAGATCCTGAATAAGCCATGTGATACGAATAGAATACTGAATTGGAAATTCAGACTCCTGGGAACCATTTCGTTCATACGTTCTGTCCCTAACCTAATTTTGAAAATTTGATGAAGGTTTTCTTGTATGTTCTGTGGAATCTAATCACCACCCCAGTAACAAGGATTTTTGAGACTGACTTGGGTTCAGGAGAATTACAGTGCACCTGAGGGGTCTGGCAACCAGATTACAGTAGGACTGTGCTTAAAAGGATAAATAATCTTAAATGAACTGCCAATGATCAATTGAATTATTATATATGTCTTGTTTATTTTACTAGCTCCTGAAGGAACGTTTATAGTTTACTTATTAGTAGTAAATATATGTGTATGTGAAAGAATCCTATGAAAATATATACGAATATGTATATTGTGTGTATGCTTATATTCACGTTGAAAAGTAATTAACAGGATTTTGTTCTTTAAAATGAATCGTTCAAAACACTAGCCTTCTCCCAGGGGTGGGAGTCACTGATATTTTGCCAAATGGCCCCTGGTTTATGTCGCAGAGGGCATCTGAGTATTGACGAAAAGGGGAAATTGAGCATAAGGGCAGTCAAAGGGGACTGCCTGAGGTTAGAGAGCAGGTGAGGGTCAGAGCCAGGAATAGCCGACAGCAGGATTCCTGAGCGATAATCAGGCAGCCTGACCTCCTGCAGGGTCGCCCTTGGAGACAATGGCAGGCGAGTTTATCAGTCCTCATGCCCTCCAGCCTCTCCTGAAAGAGGGGCTGTGGGCGGCTGGAGGAGGGCAGGACCCAAGGCCTGGAGTTGCGTGAAGGCGGTGGCTGCATTTCTGCCTGGGCATCCCCACCCCCTGGGTGTAGTCAGCAGCAAAAGTCAGCCCTGGCTGTTCCTACGCCTTGACTGCGTACGTCTTTGCAAGAATCGTCCAGGGGCCCTGTTGCTGGCTCTTTGCCTAAGAGCAGTGGGAGGTGCACAAGCCAGCCTGGTGGGAAGACAGGACAGACGTGCGCCTCCCTTTCAGCGCTCGCTGCCCTATCAGTCACTGTGTGACAGACGCATTGTTCTCCCGAGAGGCCGGCAGCTGGACCGGGCGCGCCGGCCACCCACACTCTCCTTCCCGCAGTCGGTGCGAGGGGCTGCGCATCCCCCCGCGGCACAGCCAGGAGGGGGCCTCGGCTAGGTCCCGGGCGCTCCCTGAACGTTTAACAACGCCTGCTAGGAGTGTTTGTCGGTGACGTGAATGAACGAAGCTGGCTGGCTGTGCGGGGAGGCCTTTATTTTTCTTGCCGTGAGGCGGGAGCCTGGGAGCCGTCCCGTGGGACCGGAAAGCAGCAAGAATGTCTGCAGGAGGGAGAAGCGAGTGCAGCCGCAGATAAAGCTCCAGCGCCTGTTAACACTTCTTGGGACTGGGCAGGGCTTGTCCTCTTCTTCTTACCTGGCACGGAAAGACAAAGACAACCCAGTTGGCTTTGGAAGGTTCATGTTACCTCGTTTGTCACTTTGCACGGAAACAATTGGCCTCACAGCAATGGAATCTGCAGTTTCCTCCAGGCAGGAGCTTCTCAGTGTGACTCATGCTCACTTTTCCCGGGAGGGAAGGACCCCGAGTGAAGGAAATTTAATTAACTTTGTAAAAAATGGACGCTTAAATTACATTAGGCAAACGCATTTCTAAATGCCTGCCGAAATTTCCTCTTCCGATCACTTAAAATAACACATGTCAAAAACTGAACTGGGTATTTTCTCTCCTCTCGCTGATTTCTCCGCTCAACTTACTAACAAAAATATTACCATAGTCATCCGGATTTGCAGATCTGAGGTCCTCTTGCCTTTGCTCTCTACCCTGCCTGGCACATCCTACCTGCTATGAAATCCCTTCCGTTACTTCTTCACACCATTTTTCACAGTGGTCTTTTCCTTTGTGTTTTCATGGACACTGTCCTAGCTCAGGCAACGATCTTTCTTCCCCTCACATACAGTTGCAACGGAGAAGTCTGTTTTCTCTGGGTCCCCAAGGCCTCCTGCCCTCCAGTCCAGGGGACATGTTGCTGCCATCTTGTCATAAGCTGATCATCTCAATGATATGGCATGATTTTCTATTCTCTATAGCAAGATGTGCACCTCCTTCGTCTGACATTGAAGGTTCTGCAACATCTTTATTGACCAACTTTACTTGCCTTTTCGCTATTCAAACTTCTTGCTTCAGTCAAAATAACTACCAAAAATTCCCTGAAAATGCCTCATCATTTTTCTGCCTTTGTGCCATGTGATTCATAAGACACTTTTCACCTGTCTATTGAAATTGTATCCATCCTTCGAAGTCCAGGCCAAGTGTCCCTTTAACTATGAATATATTCCCAGTCTCTCAGAGAAAAAGTTACATTTCTTCCCTAGAAATACCTAACACTTGCTTACATGAGTTAGGTATTTCTAGGGAAATTATTTCACATAGTTAATAATTTGTCCATATATCTTATCTGTCCACATCTCCTCTGACATACCCTGAAAAAGGTGGATGAAATGATTAGCTGCTTGCTTAATTGATGCAGCCTTGAAAATACTCATAAAGTGCCCATGAAATGCCCAATAATGTTTGAAACTATTTGTTTATGAATGAGGTACTTAAAGCAAACTAGGGCACATTTTAAAGTGTCAAAGTAATAATCACATCTGTTCCCCAGCTCCTCTCAGTGTTTTCCTTGGCTTTCTTCCTGCCACACCTACTTTTGACCAAGGGCATGCATTTGCGTAGTCCGTAGCCATGGAAGGACTAAGGAGATCAGCTAATATTGGAATACTGGGCTTAGTGGTGCTAGGCAGAAGACAAATGAACCAACCAAACACAAGTAACAAGGGTTTATGGTATGGTCTATAAGCAAAAACATTTAAATCTCAAAGTAGAACCATTTAAGAATACTGAAAAACCTCTTCAGCGATTAGATTTTATTTAATACAAGCAAAGTAAAAAACACGAATGCCTCAATATGAAATGGCTGAAAAAAATTTCCAAAGATTGATGTTCTCCCAGAAATGATTTTTTGAGCTTAATTTGCTTACCTGAACTTTGAGATAAGACAAAATCTAAAGGTCTCTCTTCAAAATGTGTTGTAACCAGAAAGCTCTGCAAACCCATGTGGAACTAAATAGTAGTATTTCTGAGGTTAGGCTGTCTGTGTGCTTTCTGGGCTAGAAGGTCAAACTTGAGTGATATGTGAAGGAGAGAGGAAGAAGCAGTATTGCGCAGTGGTCACAGTGATAACCGTGGTCTCAGGGTCAAAGGCGATGGGAATGCTGCATAGAGAGGGGAGCTGTAAGTAAGGCTTTGCAGAAGAGGAATGAGTGGTTTGACTAAAACAAATAGAGAAATATGCTCTGAGGGCATATCAGGTAGGTTTGCACTGCTAGAGATGAAGGCATGGCCTTGGGTGTGGGAAGAGATAAGAGAAATTAAGTAGAGTGGAGTCTTTGAAAAATATTAGAATGGACACTTGGTTATTTTAATTTTACTGGAGCAGTAAGTAATAATAAAGCTTTCTGTAAAAAGACCTAATCACATTCAGCCACAGTACAGGCCCCATCCATTGATGAGCATTACCAAAAGTGTATGAAGAGATAGGTGAACTAAACAGATATGCTAAAATTTAAGGAGATACCCCTGTTCTTTGGAAACATGGAATTTTGTTTGAAGCTTTTATTAGAAAAAAATCCAATTTCAGTAAAATCAAATGTCAGAGCATTATAGAAAATATCTTCATTTTATGCCCCAGGATTGCTGCTGTTAACAGGTGCGGGTACCTCCAAAGAGTTCTTCTGCATAAGCAAAGATATATATGTCTATACCATTTGCATGCAAATAGAATCATGCTACCCATACTTCTCTGAAACTTGCTTTCATGCTTTTAAAATATGAGAACAACTTTGTAAACTTATACATAACAAATTTGCTGTCATTAAAGAAATGATAAAATGAAATTGTATTGAATGAATACACTATAGTTCATTTAATTGCAGATTAAGGTGGTACTTTTCTAGGTTTTGCTTTCCCACGTTAGGAAAACAATTACGATTTGTATGTTCTTTTCAGTAATATCCATCAAAAACTACAATAAAAATAGGGCTTCATTCCTCTTAGAGGTTTTATTTTTTTCTTTCTTGAATAAAAAATAAAAAGAATATAAAAATACATTTGAAGAACAATTTAGACTAGTGCTAAGCAGGTAAACATCAGTAGACATAAATAAGTTTATAATTTTTTAAAGCTAATTGACTTAGGAAAAGCTGATTTAAAAGTGGTAAGACCACTCCAGGATACACAAACATTCAAAATGTGTGAACTAATGGTGAGAAATTGTCATTTTTAACCAGTGAGTTTTCAAACAATTTACTGGGAGGCACAGACAAAATTTGAAAGAAACTTATAAAAACCTAATTATATAAGCTAAGCAGATGTAGCTGTCTGAAAATTAGTAGTGCTTTGCTTTATCAAAATTCTTTAAAAAGCATGGAAGATTAAGAACTGTCCCAGCAGTCACAAAAATGATCAAAACACCCTATAATTTTTATTAATAACACAAGATCAACATAATACTTACTGGGGAAAATTATAAGTATGTGGAAAAACAGAAATTAGAATTATTAAATTTGACTAGCTTATCAGTTTACCAGCTGTGAAGTATCTCCTCGAGTCAGAATATCTCAGTGCGGTTACCACATGTACTGATTACAACTGGTACAGAGAAAACCTGACATACATCCCACTTACTAGTGTTCTGGAGTAACAAACCAGATGGTGAGCATAGTTGATATCTCAGTTGTCCCAAAAGATGTAAATGTACAACCTGGTACTGCTAGAATAGGAGATAGGGGTGTGTACCATAAGGAAGCAAGGAGAGAGATATGATAAATTGATTCTTCTTCTTTTTATTTTTTATCTTCTTCTTTTTCTCCCCCTCCTGTTCTCCCTCCCTCTTCTCCCTCTCTCTTCTCCTCTTTCTCCTCCTCTTCCTCCTTCTACTCCTCCTTCTTCTTCTTCTTCCTCTTCTTTCTCTCACCCCCTCTCTCTCTCCCTTTGGAGAATAAGAGTATATATGAATTGTTCACTGCTTTTTTTTTTCTTTTGAGTCAGAGTCTCTGTCTGTCACCCAGGTTGGAGTGCAGTGGCACGATCTTGGCTTGCTGTAGCCTCTGCCTCCTGGGTTCAGTGATTCTCCTACCTCAGCCTCCCAAGTAGCTGGGATTACAGGTCTATGCCACCATGCCTGGCTAATTTTTGTTTTTTTAGTAGAGACGGGGTTTCACCATGTTGGCCAGGCTGGTCTTGAACTCCTGACCTCAAGTGATCCACCCCCTCGGCCTCCCAAAGTGCTGGGATTACAGGCATGAGTCATGGGGTGCAGCCTGTTCATGACTATTGATCCTTAAAATTAATAAATCCTTTTCAGCATTTCTTTTAAAAACCGTAACCACTTGTCATGTTAGTCATTACTTTATCCTCATTTTGTTTGGTCTCTACATCTCAGAGTGTCTCCTTACCAAGCCAGCCAAACCTAGAAACTTGGTTTCTTCAATCTGACTCCTATAAGAAATGTTACAATACCACTTCACCCCACCAGGCTGGCTGCAATCCAGAAGACAGACAATAGCAAGCATTGATGATCATGTGTATAAACTCTCATCCATTGCTGATGGAAATGTAAAATTGTGCAGTGACTTTGGAAAACAGTTGGCAATTTTTAAAATGTTGACGATAAATTTACAATACAACCTAGCAACTCCATCCCTAAGTATCTACCCAAGAGAAATAAAAACATGTTCTCGTAAATGCTTGTACATATGTTCATAGCAGCACTATTTATGGTCATCAAAAAGTGGAGTCAATTCAAATGCCAGTAAACTGAAAAATGGATAAACAACATGTAGTATTTCAATACCAAAGAATATTATTCAGCAATAGAAAGAAACGACGTACTCACACATGCAACAACATGAATGAACATGGATGAAACTTAACAACATTATGCTAAGTGAAAGAAGTCAGATACAAACACACCCACTATGTATATATATATATACTATATATGATTCGATTTATATGAAAAGTCCCATAAAGGCAAATCCGTAGAGACAGAAAGTAGACTAACAGTTGCCTGGAGTTGGGAATGGAGAGTGGTTGCTGATAGATAGAAGGGCTGTTTTGAGGGTGATGGAAATGTTTTAAAATTGAATTATGGTATTGGTTGCATAATTCTATAAAAAGTGAATTTATATTATGCAAATTATATCTCACGAAGCTGAAAGAAAGAGAGAGAAAAAATGAAAGAAAAAACAAAAAGATAAAGAAAAGGAAGAGAGAAAGGAGGGAACAAATGAGGAAGGGAAGAAAGGCAAGAATAAGGAGAAGCTTCAGCAAAACATCTCTCTAAGGTAGAGAGTGTCGCCTTGTAAGCAGTATGTACAATGCACTTGACAACCACAAGTCTCCTATTTCTGGAAAAATGAGCAAGTTATGCACAGGGCTAAGGAAGTTCACAGGCTGCAAAGGGTGGAAAAAACAATCTTTCCTTTCATCTATTTTTGTAAAAGTAGCAGAAGCTATAAACGTCTTCTCTTTCCTGGGTTGGTAATTTTATCCTTCATGACCTGTCTTTAGCCCTAGGGAAGGAAGTCATTTAATTGGAGCCCTGAGGATGGAGAGGTCCTTGTAGCTCTCTCACACCCTCCTTGTCAGAACACAGCCCCTCAGTTGCTCCATCTTCTCTCACCTGCTTCCTGCGTTCATCGTGCCAATCAATGGCAAGAGAGGACAGAAGAATTAGCTGTTGGAGTGGAGACCCAACACCATGGGCTGACCTAGGGGTCTGGGAGCAGTTTATTTGTTTGATACCATTTCCTCAGAGCTGACAGGCAGCCCTTTCTTCTGAAATCACTCTTGGGCCACCAGCATACTCTGACAGCAAATGTACACAGCTGGGAGGCAGCCAGACGCATCCTACGTACTTACTACGCGTTGTCCTAGAAACAAATGAAGGGCTGTGTGGTTTCTTCGCTTCCTGGCAGGGCCCTGCCAAGATGCTGCTGCTGGGAACATGCTAAGTATATGCAAGGTCAGGACAGAGCCCATTCTCAAGCTAACAAAACCAGTAAAGAAGCAACATTTGAAAACTCTGGTGTCCTTAGAATTAAACACACACACACTTGTTCAAGTCTATACAAGGACAAACTTGTTCTTTGTGACCAAATCTTGTGCACACTGAAAACCTCCAGTAGAATGCAATGTACAGTTTATATGCTAACAATATCACCTTTCAGCCAGAGCAGTGTTTCCTCTTGTGAAGAACAATTTCCAAAAGGATGTTTTTCTTTTTCACAGCAAGTCACATATCAGACTATGTGTTTTGGAGGGGTTGAGAGGTGGGGAATATCAGGCTTTTTCAGATAACTGACTGCTTACCTTCTCATCTTTTGAACCAAATATAGAGATTTACTTAAAGATGCAGATACTGGAAGCTACACGAATGTAAATGAGCTCATTAGTAAGTGGGAACCTAACCTGTCACCCACCCCCAAGGGAGGACTGCTGAGTGACAGACAGAGGCTCGAGAATGCCGGTACATTCAGAACAATCACAGCAAAGTGAGGCACATCCTAGAAGGAGGTATGCTTGATTTGCATAGAAACTGCATAGGGTGTGAGCCCAAGCCAGGCACCGAGGGCCACGTCAGCCACTCTGGAGGAAGGAGCATGGGATACAGACACACTCAAGTGACTCCAGCCTGTAGAAGAAGCACATTTATTTGCTCTACATACTCTTTCAGCCACTGTCCCCATTCATCTAATCTTCTGCAGAGCAAAATTGCTAGAGTGTTCTTCCAATGGTAGCTGCTTCCTTCACCTGTTTACTTTGCACTTCATTCTATCTACTATTTGTTCTTAGCAATCTACTGATCCACTCTCACAAAAGTCGCTAGTAACCTCCTTAGTGTCATATCCAAAGGATATTGTTTTGGCCTCATCCAAGTCAGCTTTTCAACAGCATTTGACAGTGGAGCACTACCCTCTTCTTGTAACACTCTTCTCTAGGATTTAGGGCTACTCCACCTCACTAGATTTTTCTTTTACCCCAGTGGCTCTTCATTCTCAGTCTCTGCTATTTGTGTTTCTCTTGTACCTGAACTACATTTAAGAGTTCATTGGTTGTCTATCCTGGATGCTTTCTTTCCCTCTTTAAGTGATCTCATTTACTATTTTTTTTTTTTTTTTTTTTTTTTTGAGACGGAGTCTCGCTCTGTCACCCAGACTGGAGTGCAGTGGCACAATCTTGGTTCACTGCAACCTCCGTCTCCCAGGTTCAAGCAATTCTCCTTCCTCAGCTACCTGAGTAGCTGGGATTATAGGCGCTTGCCACCATGCTTGGCTGATTTTTGTATTTTTAGTGGAGACAGGGTTTCGCCATGTTGGCCAGGCTCGTCTCAAACCCCTGACCTCAGGTGATCCGCTCACTTCGGCCTCCCAAAGTGCTGGGATTACAGACATGAGCCACTGTGTGTGCCCAGCAGATCTCATTTATTCTTATGACTTTTAATATCATCTGAATACTAACAACTCCAACATTTATTCATTGTAATCTTCAGCTCTTCCCTAATCTCAATGGGCATATCCAAATTCTTATTTGGTATCACCTATTGGCTTATCCTCTTGGCAACTCAAATTTTATGTGGCCAATATGGGACTCTCTACTCTCACCCCGCTACCAAATCTGCACCAGCCCCAGTTTCCCTCATTGCAGTGGCTGTCCCAGGAGCATAACACCAAGCTCACCAAGTGAGGTTGCAGAAAAGTGTCCTGCAGAGGGGTGGGGGGTCTGAACTCCAACCTGCACATTTCTTAATGGACTATATGCCCTGGAGCAGGACAGCTTGCACTTGCCTAGAAGAAGGAAGCAGATCTGTGTAGGCGAGCTACAGTGCTGCCATCCACCCAGTTACCAAGGATGGAAACTTAGGGTCATCCTTGACACCAGCCACATCAACTAGCAAGTCCTGTTAATCCCACTTCATCTCCACAGCCACTACCTTAGTTCATGCCACCATCGTCTGTCATGCAGACTATCACACGCACCTCAGCAGATTCCCCACTTTCACACGGTCTCTTCTGATGCATTATTTACAAAGTAGCCAAATTAGTTGTTTAACAACAAAACCAGATGTTGTCATCTCTTTTCTTCCTTGCATAAAACCTTTTAATCCTTCCCCATTATCCTTAGAGTTGAGTTCGGTTACCTTGACTGACAAAGCCCTCCATGGTCTGGGTCTGCCCCACCTCTCTAACCTCCTCCCTTTATGTTCTCTCCTGTCCCCTTCCTCATTTATGCACCAGCAACAATGGCCTTTTGTCAGTTCTTAGAAAGGTTAAGCCACTTTATCACTTCAAGGCCATAGTACTTGCTTTTCCTCTGCCTGAAACATCCTTCCCCTGCTTTCCACAGAGCTGGCTCCTTCTCACCCTTGAGGTCTCAACTTAATCTCTCTAACAATCTAAAATGAGTCACTCTTGTAATGTCCCATTCCAACACCTTGTTTATTTTTTTCATAGAACCCCAAACAATCTCTAGTTAATACATCTATTTGTTTTTATCTGCTTTCTACACTAGAGTACAAGTTCCTGAGGACAGATCCCTTGCCTATCCTGTGTCCCATCAAAACTTCTGGGCTGAAACTTTCTGGATGGTAGCCAGCACTTAGTATGTACTTATTGAATTAGCAAATGAATTAATCTATGTTTGGAAAGATAAAGAAGCTGTCCAAGTGAGGCAGTGTTAGGGGCAGTTTCAAGTGAAAGAAACAAGTGCAGAAACTCAGGAAATAGAACGCACAGCTGTTTGAGGAGGGTCATTGGCCTGTTTCGGTAGATAAGTAAGGTTAAAATGTAAATTATGTAAATTGTAGCGGGAGAGTGATCTAAAATTGGCAGGCAGGGCCACTGTGTCTCCAACTAAATTGGAGAGAGAAATTCTGTAAGAGGCATAAGAAGGCTACCTTCCTAGAGCTAAGTGCCTCTTGATATCCATACACAGCTGAGATCTTCTGACTGGACTATCTATCAATTGGTCTTTGACACAGTTTCAAAACAGTAATAGAACACAGCAGTAGAATATTTCATGATGATGACAGCATAGTTGGAGCATTCAAGTCACTCACTCTGAGGTTAAATTTCCAAGTGTATTTTTCTCTTAGATTTAATTTCTGGTTGAGAGAACAGTTCCAAATGTAATACAGATCTATTATATGGATATAATGGTGGAATCTGTTTTTCCTGCTTCACTACTTATTTGTCAGCTAAGAATCTTGAGCAAGACAGTTAACATCTCTGACATGATCATCTTGTTTGTAGATAGGGAGGAGTTAATGATGGTATCTCAGGGATTGGGAGAGTAGCAGTATACCTATGTATATTTAAATTATCCAAAACAAGGTAAATGTGTATGGTATGCACCATATGTAAAAATGTAAAAAGGGATAAATATAGATATTTGCTTGTATTGGAATAGAATACCTCTGGAAAAATACACAATAAATTAGTGACAGTAATTGCCTCTGTGGTGGGGACTGGGGACAGAGGTGAGAGAAAAGATTTTCATAATATGCATGCCCTTTCCTACTTCCTACTCTTCTTTCTTTTCTTCACCCATCCCTGTCTTTCTTATTGCTAGTAATGGCTAATGTAAAGCATATCACTCTTTTGCATGTATCACTCTTCTCCCTGACTCTACTGCTATGTCAGAACTGGGACTTCTACTTCACAGAAAACATAGAGATTATCTTCAGATACGTCTCAGTTTTATGATCATTGTCTTAGATATCACTTGCCTTGGCATTAGATTTTACTTTGATTTCTGCCATTTCAGAGGATAAGCTCACCTGCTCTCTTTCCTCTCTTTATTTGTATATCTGTCTCTGTCCCTCTTTTTGTACATTCTCGGTGGTATTGAAGTATCCTCATATGTTTCTTATCCTTAAAAAAACCATTCCCTAGCCTAGACCTTGTTAGCTGCCATTTTCCTTCTCTTTTCCTCTTTATAACTACATTTCTTAAAGACTTTTCTGTATTTTCCCTCTCAACTTTATCATTAATAGTCACATTTTGCCCCACTGGATTTGATTTCCTGCACTCCCCTGAAACAGTGTTCCCCAAGCTCACTAAAGGCCTCTGTTGTTATTAAACCCAATGGACGTATTTTCTATCTTTATTTGACCTCTGCCCAATACATTGTCACCAAAGTCTACTTTCTTTCCGTATTTTTCTTCTGTGACTTCCATAAAGCCTTCTTCCTTTTCCTCACCCTTGTCTGAGTGGGGAGTTTATCTTACTTGTTCTCATAAAAATCTAGGGGTACATCTAGTATGTAATCATCTATGGACATGAACACGTATTTTCTCCATTAGACTGTGATATTCTGAAGACAAGAACTGTGTCATTTCGGTTTTTGAATCCTTAGTGTCTAGGACAGTGAGTTCATCAATAAATGTTGCTTTATAGAACATTAAATGAAAGAGAAAATTTTCTTCTCTAACTTTAGTTTTAATGCTAACTGTGACAGGAACAGCTTCTTGCCTCTAATATCCTTTCTCGTTCTCTTTCTTTATAATGGAAACTTAACTGTGTTCAGCTGTGAAATTACATTTCCCGGCCTCTCTGGTTTGGCCATATGATGAGGCTCAGGGTAATGGGAGGAAAATAGAAAGTACCTCCAGAAGGCACTTTAGAAAGGAGGATCATATCTTCTTTCCTTATTGTTTCTTCCACCGTGAAGTGAATAGTTACAGCTCTATCAGCCCTCTTGTGACCTTGAGAACAGAAGGCAGAACAGCAAGAAATAAGTCTAGGTCTGTGAGATTTTTGTAGGGTTCTATGGTTTGAATGTTTGTACCCTCTCAAACTTATGTTAAATTTTAATTTCCTTTGTAACAGTATTGAAAGGTGGGAACTTTAAGAGATAATTAGACTGTGGGGGCCCTGCCCTCATGAATAGATTAATGCTGTTATTTCAGAAGTGGTTTCCAAAAGGATAAGTTTGGCTCTCTGTTCTCAATCTCTCTCTCTCTTCTCTCTTTTTTCTCTTTCTTTCTCTCTCTCTTTTTTCTTTCTCTCTCTCTCTCTCTCACTTTCCTTCTCTCTCTCCCTCTCTCCTGCCCTTTCTTTCTGTCTCCCTCCCTCTCATCCCACCCTTTGCCCTTCCTCCCTAGGATGATGTAGCAAGAAGGCCCTTGCAAGGTGCCAGCCCCTCAACCTTGTACTTCCCAGCCTCCAGAACCATGAGCCAATACATTTTTGTTCATTATAAATTACTCAGTCTGTTCTATTCTGTTACAGCAGTACAAAATGGGTTAACACAAACAGTTACCACACCAAACCTGTAAAAAATACCTCTCAACTTTTAAAAAAAAAGAGAATATGCCAGGTACTATGGCACATTCCTGTAATCCCAGCTACTCAGGAAGCTGAGGCAGGAGGATGGCTTGAACCCAAGAGTTTGCTCCACTGCCCTCCAGACTGGGGGGCAGAAAGAGGCCCTGTCTCCTGTAAAAAAAAAAAAAAGAAAAAGTAAGATAATAGACATTTAAACTGTTTAAGTCACTCTAAGTAGATCGCTATTACTAACAGCTGAACTTAATTCTAACTTATGTACATCCTAAAATAAAAGTTCTTAACATAAGTTAGCACATCTTAGTGCTAGAGAATCAAGCCTTTGTTTCTCTAGTTCACTTACACCATAGGGGTAGATTTAGGTGAAACACAGAGTCTGGATGACCAGTAACATGTTTGATGTCCACAGCTTCATGGGTTTGTCCAGAGCAGTGGGCTCTTGTAGGGAAAAAGTGCGAGTTTAGCAGATTAAGATGTGGTTGTTATTTAGGAACCAATTTTTGAGGGTGAAAGTGACTTGATTAAATCTACACTAGATTATTCAAGAAGTCATTGGATTGAACAGGCCAGTTAATTCAGTCCAAATGGCTATCTTCTTTTAAATAAACCTTCAACTGGATTTTCTGCAAGTTGATAATTTGAAGACCAAATGAAATTTATTTACAAAACAGGACAATCCAACAGCACAGGAGCATGTCACTGGGGTCTAGGGAGTGCATTAGTTCTAATTATGGAGCTAACAGCAATGTCTGGAGGAACACCATGGATCTAAAAGGCCTGGACCACAATAGGTAGAGAGGCAGTCTGGGTAGCGACTAGTTTTTTAATGTCTTAGAAAAGCCTACCTTGATTTATCTTCAGGAGCATTCAAAGTATTTTGCAACCATAATTTTAAAATATCTTTTGAAATAATTTGAATACCTGAATGTATGTGAAAGAGTCCAGACTCATGTATTTACATGGCAAAGTTTGATAAGGCAGAGTTTTTCCCATATAGGCATGCAATTGATTTAACTATAGGCTTGACCCATGGAATTCTCTTGTAAACTGACAGCCATGAGAAAACCCACTCTTGCAGTAGAGCCCTCCTCCTGGAAATAGAGCAGCACTTCTTGCCCTTTCTCACAGTCCTCTTGGCTGCAGGGAAACAAGAATGCTCTTTGTCAAGGCATACCCAGGAGGAGCATTTTAGAGCTCAATTTTCTCATGGTTTATTCAAATAAAAAGGAATGAAGATAATTTAATTTGAAATATGTCCAAGTGTTTCTTGTATCATCCCTGTGCTGTGGCATGTTTCTAAAGCAAATAAGACAGTAAGAAATCAAATATGAAGAAATTCAGCTGAGTGTTTCATGTCCTAAAAATGGGCATTTATAGAGCTTACCATGGCTTTTCTCTTATCCCTTCTTTTCTGAAATAAAATGCTTCATGACTTGGTTGCCTGACAAAGAAACAAGCAGAGATGACTACCAGATCATATTCATAACCTCAACCTATCTCAACATATCATGTAGCATTTCTTCAGTAGTCCTGCTACTTAGCTTCCTTCTAGACACAGTAAATGAATCATGAATTGAAAGAGATCTTAGCTGCAGAAAGAGGACCCAGGTTAACACCCACACAGACTAAGCCTGCAGGACCCTGCCTTGGAATCTGTAAAGTAAGGGTGTTCAGTGTCCTGAAGTCATCCCATCCAGGATACTCCACAGGAGGTGGAGCTTCCTCAGAACCTGGCCTAGCAACTTATTGCTGCTCTTGGCTCTGATCCAATGTGGTACTCTAGTTGGAGGCGGCACATAGTAGGAGCTCAGTGAAGCTGAAACAATGAAGGATATGTGAAGTTTCTAGTTTCAATTAGCTTTTAGTTATCACTTTATTAGTAGATTATCTGGATAAATTGCTTGTTGCTTATTTTTCATTTCAACCCATATATTCACCAGTTAAAATCTCTACAACCAGTACTGGTCTAACGCTAGCGACTGCTCACTATTTTTAAAGGAACACATGAAGCATTGTAAATTTTGCTGAATGTAACTTCCACACTATTCACATATTAAGAAGGCTAAAATAACAGGCTATGTATTCCGACTACCTAAGATCTAATCCTACATCTGTTACTAATTGTAACAGTATAATATAAAGTTGATGAGGGAACTTTTTGATAAGGGAAAGTTATTTTCCCTAACTGAGTTTCTTTCCTCATTTGTAATAAATGGGAATAAAAATAATAGTACCTACTGATAGGTAGCAAGTACTCAATAGATGTGATTATATGTAGTAGAAGCTATCAAATATGCAGGATGGAAATTTAACTGCTACACACTGAAAAAAATCCAATGTTACAATGAATGTCCGTGAATGAGCTTTGGGCTTTGGAGTAAGAGTAATTTGGTCTGCTACAAAGATATTATGGTTATAATTATAAAGTAGTAGGATGGACTAGAAAAAAAATTAAGTTCTATGCAGAAATTTACACATAAAAAGGACTGTTGACCCTCAAAGCTGTCATCTTATGAGACATTTCTGTACATTTATCCAAATTCTACTATTGTTGCTGAAAATGTTCTTGGTTCTTCTGTTTAGGAAAGGCCATCAGAGACAATTTATAGGCTGCAGGCAAAAATTAATCAAATCTATTTTTGTTTCCCATCACATCTGATATTGATTTGTGACTGTTCTCCAAAATCATATTTAGCTTTAAAAAATTGTTAACACTAATAGAAATCTAAAGAATAAATAACTGACCCTGAAAGCAATCATATTTAGCCTTAAGCAGAATAGTTAACACTAATAGAAATCCAAAGAATAGATGACCCTGAAAGCAATCATTTTTAGCCCTAAACAGAACTGCTAACACTATTAGAAGTCCAAAGACTGAATAACTGACCCTGGAAGCAATGAACACATTTATTCCTCGCTCATTTATTCGTACATATTTATTTCAATGCGCTACTAAAGTTGATTTTATAATAGCAACCCCACTGCTTTAAGTCAATTATTTCTTCCAGTGACTATTTCAGTAAGGATGTGTATACGTTCCTGCATGTGTTGAATCAAATAAAAGCAATTAGTTTATAGATACACCTCTGACTTGAAAGGGCCCACCAACATGCCACTACTGAGAGTGTCACAAGAAAATTGTGGTAAGCATAGTCTTTGTTTTTAGTAAAAGTCATGTCCTAGATGTTGGTGAAGTAGACATTATTTATTATCACAGTGTTATTTTTAAGATCCCTGTAGTATTAATTCCTAGGACTGCCATGACAAAGGATCACAAACTGGGTAGCTTAAACCAACAGAAATTTATTGTTTCACAGTTCTGGATGCAAGAAGCCCCAAATCAAGGTGTTGGCAGGCCCTTGCTCCCTCTGAAGGCTCTAGGGAAGGAGGCTTCCTTGCCTCTACATGCCTTCTGGTGGCTTCCACCAATTCTTGTCGTTTCTTGGCTTGGAGATGCATCACTCCAATCTCTGCCTCCATTTCCACAGCATTCTACCTGTATGTCTGTGTCTACATTTCCCTTTTCTTCTCATAAGGATACCAGTCACACTCAATTCAGGTCTCACCCTACTCTAGTATGACCTCACCTTACCTTCATTTCATCTGCAAAGACCCTATTTCCAATTAAAGTCACATTCACAGATACCAGAGATTAAGATTTCAACATAAATTTTTGGGCAATGCAATTCAACTCAACACTTTATGAGTCAACTTATTCAGGCTATAGGCTCCAGTTATTCAATCAAACACTAATATAGATGTTGCTGTGAAGGTAGGTGTTGTTAAAGTCTATAATAGTTTGGTTTGTGTAAGAAAGATTGTCCTGGATAATCTGTGTTGGCCTGATTCAAGTAATTGAAAAGCTTTAAGAACAGAACTTAGGCTTCCTTGAGGAAGAGATTCTACTTGTGGACGGCAGTGTCAGCCCCTGCTCGAGAGTTTCTGTCGGCCCTTCCTGAGGGCCTGCTGTACAGATTTCAGACTTTTGTAGCCAGCTGCCACAATCACGTAAGCCAGTTCCTTGCAATAAATCAACATATATCCATATATATTTACATTATTTCTAAATATATATGTTATTAAAAATATATAATATGAATTTATTATATATTCATATTAGCTATGTATATTGATTACTAGTTCTGTTTCTCTGGTGGAACCCTAACTGATACAATACTTAAAGCAGTTACTACACTTCTTGACATCAAGATGCCCTCATGTAGAAATCATTTGCTGACACCTGCACTATTGCTTCCAGCATGGTCTAGGGATTATGTGCATGGGCTCTGGAGTTAGGCAGCCTGGGCTGAAAGCTTGGCTCCACTGCTTACTGGTTCTGTCACCTTATGCAAAGTAACATAACTTTTCATTGCCTCAGTTTCCATATCTGTATGATGGTGAATAATAATAATATCATTTTATAGAGCAAATAAAACTTGTTAATATTTAAAGCAATTAATGCCTGTTAATACTTATTATAGAACCAGTAGTTTTGTTGCAGCCAACTCATACTGGCTCAGGAAAGCCAATTGTGATCATCCCTACTCAACACTACACTTAGCTTTCAAGAACTTTGGTAGCCTGAACATGGCTATGGTGGGAATATTTACACTATGGAAATTGGCAAGCACTGCAAGTCAGGGCCTCTTTTTTTTTTCCCAACTCTATTACCAGCATAACATTGTTAATACTAGTGTCTGATAGAAAGTTAGCTCTCTGTAAATAGTAGTGATTATAACAGGTAAATTGCAACAGGAAAAAAAAAGCGGGTAAGATTCATTCCTATCCTCAAAAAGAGTGATTACTAATAATCCATATGGCCCCTTTGTACAAAAGGGACCCTTCCTTCAAGACATTTCACTAATATATGACAGGAAATCATCATATTAAATTAAATCTATATTATGAGTGGTGGCACCGAGAGTTATGTGGTGCATGACCTAGACAGCTAACTACACTTAGTGTTCCTACAAGAAACTACACCCACAGTCACTATTTCATTTTCCATCCTGTTTTAAAGGTAATTTTTTCCACTCAGTAACTATGTGAGTTGTTCCCCTATTTTCGTTTAATCCTCAAATATATCACTCTCGTGAATAAACTGCTTGAAAATATATTTCTTATAAAATAAAATATTTTCGATTCAAGGACATTTTGAAACATGTTTTCAGTGGTGAAAAGGACGTCTGCAAGAGGAACTGAAAGAGAAATAAACAGTCACTGGAAACACACGCTGAAGGCGGGGATTGGGGCACATATTAATAAAATAGCTTGAGTAAAATTGGATAATGCACAAGAACAGCAAAACAGAACAAAACAAAACCCAACAACGATGAGGAATTCATCAGTGAAGGGCTCGCGGAATGTTCTGAGAATAATTCTTCCTTGCTAATGCCCTCCAGTTTGCATTAAGATGCCCAGCAGTTCACCCTCCAGTCTGAGCCAGGCCAGCTACACAGGCTGAAAGTTTCTTAGGCCCTCGATGACGATCCTGGACAGGCACCCTGAACACAGCCTCCCCGGTACATTCTTAGTGCACTCACAGAATCTGCTGCTTCCCAGGTCTTTTGGATGTGAAATGAAACCCCAAGGACTGCTTTAACAAGGGGCAAAAACACATGCAACCAAAGCCAGCAGTTATGCCGAAGCATCCCGGATTCCCATGAGAAACTCTCTGGATCTAGTTCCTCTACGTCACATGAGTGTGCAAACAGGAGACTACAAGAGTTTAAAAATACTGGGACTGCTGGAGATTTCCCTGGCCATATATAGTTCACTTGTTTCACAGTAAGTTCAAAAGAGACAAAGGGAGAGGGAGGGAAAGAAAGAAGGCAACGGGCACTCAGCTTGAGTGAGTAGGGAACCTGATTACAATACTGTGCCACCTTCCTTCTCCCCCCAGCTCCGCCCCGGCACTCTCACCCCCAGCCCCCAAGGCTCCCTTGAGTTTGTTTTCTCTCAAGGAAGCTGCAGCCGAGGTACTCCTCCGCCATCTCTGGACATCTGCTTGGCTTGTCTATTTTCTGCTACAGGCAGAGGACAGGAAGGAAGAGTTTGTTTCCTGTAAATAGAGGGAGAGAAAATTACAGCTATTATTGTTTTGACAACGGAAGCCCTCCCTGAAACTTGTACCACGGTTCTTTCCTGACAGGCAGCAGGTCTGAGTTGCCGACTCTCGGCAGAAATTCCTCCCAAGGTGTCCCCGAGGAAAGCTGAAAGCCTTGATGGCTTTGCATTAGACGTCTAATGGCATAAGATGTAATTCTGGGCAATCTTGATATTGGGCTGTGGAAATGGAATGCAGCCTGTGTTTTGATGAATGTTTTGATACAAGCCTCTCCTACCCCAAGTGAGCATGCTGGATCCTGACCCTTAAGCACACACGCAGGTTTATGCAAACACACACCCCAGGGTGGAAAATGCCTTGATAAGGCAAATTATTTATGTTTATCTTTTTAAAATCACCCCCTGTTCCCTGCTCTCCCAAACTTTATTTCTTTTGAAGATTCCTCGACTTTTTACACTAAATATAGGTACATGTATATTCAATGCGAAGCTACAAAATTACCACTATATATAGGGTATCCTACCTTCTATTTTCAACATTTGATGTGTTCACATGTTGTTGGGAATGTATTTGACCATGATCCTCAGACATACATTTGTAATTTTTGTAAGTGTTAAATTCATCTTTTACCTGATTGGTATTGGATATCTTAAAAGAAAGGAGGCAAGGAGCTAACCACCACTATTGGGTTGGGAAACAGAAGAAAACCTACTATTAATACTCTGTCCACTTACTAACGAGAATGAGATTTGTTACTCCAAGGGATGATTATCTCCTACTGGTAGGAGAAATAAACTTAATTGTGATGATTGAAACAGAATTCTTTTTTAATCAAATATATTAAGAAGGGGTTGTTTAGATTTATTTGATGAACTTGCAACAATAATAGAACTCCTGACATAGGATTAAGTTAATGAGATTATTTTTATTATTGGCTATCTGAATACACCACCCTTTGGTTGTCCTCACTCACTGGCTGCTCCTTTGTAGTATTGTTTGCTGGTACCTTGTCCTCTGCTCTATCTGCAGATGATAGTATGTCCCGAAGCTCAATGCTGGCCCCTATTCACTTTTCCATCTAGGCCTATGGCTTCAATATCTATATGGTTTCCCAGTTTGTGACTCCAGGCTTCACCTGACACGTGAATGCCAGGTTCTTAGAAGCTACGGCATATCTGACACATCCACTTGGCTGTCTAATAGACATCTCAAACTTCACATGCCTAAAACCAGACTCTTGTTTCCCCATCCCCAAAGCTGCATCCCATCGCAATAATTGCTACCGCCATTCTCCTAGCTGCACAATCAGGAAGTCATCCCTAATTCTTCTTTTCCCCATATCTCCCTATCCAATCTACCAGCAATTTCTCTTAACTCTACTGCCAACCTACATCCTCCATTTGTCTATCTTTCTCCAACCCCACTGCTACTATCCTAATCGAAGCCGCCATTGTCTTTCACCTGGACTACTGCAGTAGCCCCCATCTGATAGCTCCACTTAGAGGCTTGCACAACTCAAATCTTTCCACACAGAGCAGCTAGAGTGATCTTTTGAAAATGTAAACGGGGACATGTCATTTCCTTACTTAAAGCCCTTCAGTGGCTTCCCATCAAACCTCAGAATAAAATCCAAACACCTCACCTTGACATAGCCCTGCCCCTGATTATGTCTTCTGCATAACATAACCCCCTTTACTCACACACTTTATCCATCTTTCTCTTCTCCAGAGAATGTTTCTCTCCCTAGAACCTCTGCTGAGAATGCTCTTCCCATGGAATTGTATGTCCTTGGCTTCTTTTGATACTCAGGTGTGAGATTAGATCTCACCTTCTAAGAGAAGCCTAGTGCTTTTCTCAATTCTTTCTATCATTGAACTTATCACTACTTGGTGATTTCTTATTTATTTACTTGTTTGTTTTCGTTTCCCTGCAACTGTATCATAAGCTTATGTGAGCTGAGGCCTTGTCTTCATGTCCAATGTTGCAGCCTAGTGCCTAGAAGAGCCCCCCTCTTCTAGTGCAGTGATGCTCAATGACTGTTGAATAAATGACAGAACCAATAAACATACTACTAGGAGCCCTGATCTGTTCTGGGATACCTGGAAAGACTTTCCTGAAGAATGTTGTCTGAGTGGAATTCTGAATGATGCACGGTAATCAATGGGAAGAATTCAGGGAGGAAAACAGGAGAGAAAAGTGTTCTAGACAGAGGAAACAATAAGTGCAAAAACCTGGAGTTGAGAGGAGCAAAGTGCATTGGTTACACCTTCATAGTAAGAAGGTACCATGTTTGGAGTGCAAGAAGGGGGACAGCAGTGTAAGCTGAAACTTACAGAAGTATTCCGGACTTCTAGGCCAAGTTGGGGATTTCAGGCTTTACTTTGAGAACTTCGGAAAACCATTGCACATTTGAACAGGCAGGTGGCATACTATTTGCTCTCCAAAAAGTTGCCTTTGGCTGCAGTGTAAAAAAAGAGGATGGGGTGGAAGTCAGTGTGGCTGTTGTCCTTCCTGCCATTAGACGGCTGCTGCAGTAATTTAGAGGAAAGATTATAGTAATTTGGACTAAACTAGTGGCGAAGGAGATGAAGAAATTAAAATAGATTCCAGAGATATTTAGGAGGTAAAATAAAATAGTGGCGTTTAATTAGATAAAAGTAGAATGATGAAGATGGAGAGAGATGGAGACGTTAAGCTTGAAGCACAGGTTTTTGACTTGGATGGAGGATAGCAACATTCCTGGAGGCAGGGACATGAAAGAGAGTTGGAATGACAAAAAATATCACCAGCTTGGTTTTCTGTATGTTCAGTTTGACTGTCTTTAAGATAGCCAATTGGGGATGTAGAGGCAGACAGTTTGATTCATCAGTAGATGCTCAAAGAAAAAGTATGTTGGGAAGGAGGTATAAATTCAAGAACACGGTGTACAGCCTATGAACACTTTGATAACAAAAACCACTCTGTATAATTTATATTTTCCATAAAGTTCAACACAAAAATATAAGCTACCGTAGCTACTGCAAATAGTAAATATGTATGAAAGGAAATGGTACAGATCATTTTAAAGAAGGAAAATAAATATTCACTGGGAAAGTGTCTTATTTAAAATATAGTTTTTAAAAGTAAATGATAGGAAGATCATATATTTAAAAACATTTTTAAATTTATTTTTTTGAGAGAAAATCTTGCTCTGCCACCCACACATGAGTGCAATGGTGTAATCTTGGCTCACTGCAACCTCCACCTCCCAGGTTCAAACGATTTTCGTGCCTCAGCCTCCCAAGCAGCTTGGACCACAGGCACACACCACCACACTCGGCTAATTTTTTGTATTTTTAGTAGAGATGGGGGTTTCATCATGTTGACCTGGCTAGTCTCAAACTCCCGACCTCAAGTGATCCGCTTGCCTAGGCCTCCCACAGTGCTGGGATTACAGGCATGAGTCACTGTGCATGGTCTATTTTAAGTTTTCTATAAACATTTTTTTTCTGCCAAAATTTGAAATTGGTTAAAAATTGTCACATTAAAAACTCCCCCAAAGCCAGGTGTGGGGGTTCACACCTATAATCCCCGCACTTTAGGAGGCTGATGTGGGCAGATCACTTGAGGTCAGGAGTTCGAGACCAGCCTGGTCAACATGGTGAAACCCTGCCTCCACTAAAAGTACAAAAATTAGCCGTGTGCAGTGGTGCATGCCTGTTGTCCCAGCTACTCAGGAGGCTGAGGCAAGAGAATCACTTGAACCCAGGAGGCAGAGGTTGCAGTGAGCCAAGATCGCACCACTGCACTCCAGCCTAGGCGACACAGCAAGACTCCCACTCAAAAAAAAAAGAAAAAAAAAATCCCCCAAAGACATCTTTGTTCATGGGCAAGTTTACTACAGTATCAAAATTAGGCTAGTAATGAGAAAAATATATGCTAAATAAAAATATTTTCTATAATCTATCACAGCTCTCTCTGGGTTGAAGAATCATAATGAAAGAGAACATTTTCCTTACTTCCAAAGCAGTGCACAAAGTAGTAATTGTCCACCTTGCAATTCTGACTAATCCTCCATGTTACTCAAAACACATACATTGATTACAGTAGGAGAGTAGGAGTGCATGAGCTTATTGTGCTTGAATTTGAATTGTTTTAAGTGAGACAGAAACCTGAGTGTGAAAGTGTGACAGAAGATACAGGAAGGATCATAAGTGTGAGGGTATCTATTTCATGAACGTGAGCTACAGTATTATTTTCCTAGGGTTGCCATACAAAACACCACAAACTGGGTGGCTTAAATATCAGAAATGTATTCTCTCTCTGGTCTGGAGTGTAGAAGTCCAATGTCAAAGTGGTGGCAGGGCCACTCTCCCTCCAAATCCTCTAAGAGAGGATCATTCCTTACCTCTTATACCCCCAGGCATTCCTTGGCTTGTGGCAGCATAACTCCAATGTGTATGCATCATCACACGGCTGTCTTCCCTCTGTGTCTATGTGTCTTTGCGTCTTCATATGGCATTTTCCTCCCTATGTTTCTGCTTTCTCTTTTTATAAGGACACCAGTCATATTGGATTAGGGCCCACCCTAACCAAGTATGACCTCATCTTAATTTATTACATCTGCAAATACCCTATTTCCAAACAAACTCACATTCACAGACACCAGGGTTTAAAACTTTAATATTTCTTTGGGGTGGGTGGCCAAAATTCAACCTGTAACATGAACCATGGATGCCAATGAAAATGTGTGTGTGAAGTTACAAGTGTGGGCTGAGTGTATGAGTGTGTGTGAGTTTTTGTGTGAAGGCGTGTGCACATAGTAAAGAACTATAACCAAGTAACCCATTCGTTGATCTCTAACCTGCTTCCAGGTTCTTGCTTTCAGTGGTTGCTTGGCTAGCTTTTATGCTGTCCCATGACTCCATTCACAATGAGTAATGGATAGTTTCCAGGCCTTCACTCCCACTTTTAATGAATACCAACGCTAATTAACTGACAGTAACATGTAGCTGCTCTTGGCTGCATGCATCTCTCACTGAGGTCATAATGGCTGTTGGTAATGTAATTTATTACTGTGTAAGGCACACTCTGGGACTCTCAATGTGAAGACTATTTTTGCAAGTGCCAAAGCATTGCAAAGCAGGCCTTTCATGGTAAGGTAATATGTTCCATAGCTTCTGGGCCTTGGCATAATGACGCATCAAAGTCACTATGACTTTGGTTCTACAGGAATCCTGTAAAGATTTCCAACCACTGTACCATCTGCTGGGAAGGACAGAAGACCACTGTTTGAAGAAGGACTATTGCTTAGATCCTGGAATCAGAAACAGCAACAGAACGTCCTAAATGATCAGAACACCACATACCATTATTATTGTTGTTGTTTGCCTTAGAATTGTTTTGAGAGTGACAAAATTACATCTCAAGGAGAAAAAACATCAAAGCAATACCAAGAATTTCTGTTTAGGGGAATAGAAGGCACTCAAGCCCTTGTATGTCCTACAATGAGGTCACTCAGGCAGCCTGCTTGAGGACCCAGCTCTGTACTCCCTGTGAACTCTACCAAATTAGCTTTACACGACGCAGCCATCTTGCTTCTCTAGAGGATCAAAGTAACTGGACCCAGGCCCAGTGTTCTGCTGATAACCAGTCACAGGATACGTTTGCACCCTGTTCTGCTCCTAGTACACCATGCTGCAGATTCCTCTGTATTTCCCAGTTTATATCCATACAGGGAACTTGGGTTCACATATTTCCTTCTATTATCTGAACTAATCTGGTGACCTGAGATCATTTATGTACCCTACACTCTTGTTACAATGCTCTGGAACTATGTAACTATTTTTTTCTCATGTATGGGGCTACTGTTCCCAACCAAGTCCTTTTATCCTTCCTATAATAACTTTTGTAATAGTAACAGCACCTCCTTGTAACACTTAAAATGCTTGTCTCACAAGGGCAGCCTGACAAGGGAAAGTATGTCAATATGATTTTTAAATGACAGCTGAATAGTGAAAAATCACAAGACTATCTAGTCAAAGTAATAACTAACAATAACAGTGAGAAAGATATATCACCATAAAAAATAAAAAATTGGAGAGAATAAGATGAGTTAGAATGGAATTTTAGCTGCTCAACAATGGGTGTCACTGGCTGATGTGCCACACTTGGCACGCTATATGAATACATAGTAACTGTGACCATAAAATATAGAAACTGACTTTTAAAAAATGCCAGAGCTTAAATATCCAAATTATTTTCCTCAACCCTGAAATCACGTGGTTTTTCCAGTGCTACTATATTTATCTAAAAGCCTTGTGAAACTACTCTTTTAGAAACACTGTTGAATTGAGTTTGTGAAAACTAAGAACAAAAAGCAGGCTCATTACTTTGTAGTCACATCTTAAATTTGTCATCAAAGTGTTTAATCATCTTGATTACTCATCATATTCAGAGAGTTAGTTCCAAGAAACCTGAAAAATCAAGCCAGATCTCTTTGAATGAACATTTACTGTCACATTTTTAACTTTATCAGATTTTCTTAATAACAAAAGTGATGTAGGCTCAGTAGAAGTCAAAAAAATGTATAAGGAAAAAATAATCTCCATTCTCTTTCCTTTTTCTAATCTTACTCTACTGAGCTAATATAATATCTATGCTAAAGAATAATTAACAGTTATCTGTATTAACCTGGAGGGATGTCAAGATATATTTTAAATAAAAAAGAAAGAATGATATATAGTCAGCACTTCACGTCTACAGGTTCCACATCTGAGGATCCAAGCAACCACAAATAAAAAGTATTTGGAGAAAAAATAAATAAAAATGACAATACAACAATAAAAATAATACAAATAAGAAAAATAAGAAAAACAATATTCTGTAACAACTACTTATAGCATTTACATTGTATTAGTATTATAAGTAATCTACAGATGATTTAAAGTATATGGGTTATATGAAAATACTATGCCATTTTATATCAGGGACTTGAGCATTGCAAACTTTGGTATCACACAGGTCCTGAAACCAATCCCCTGAGGATACCAAAGAATGACTGTATACAGTATGACTCTATGTTTTTAAAAAATTGTATCTATACATGTATAGATCTATAGTATGGATATACCAAATTTTATTCAAACACTGCCCTGTAGATGGTCAGGATATTTGCAATTTATTGCCTCTACAAGAAATGCTGCCAGAGACTTCCTTAATCATGAGCCTTTATGCCTGGGTGCCTTTATTTCTGTAGAAGAGATTCCCTAAGGTAGAATTGCTGGGTCAAAATGTACATATCATTACCCCTAGGAAGAGGAAAAATGCACAGAATTAATAAAGCGTTACTGAAATTTAATTAATAGAAAAATTTAAAGCCCAATCTGTGTTTCCCTGTGCCCATGACCAGAGAATACAAGTCATATAATTTAGTGTCTCCAACCATTCATGAGAGAGAGAATACTCTGAATACTTTGCACAATAAGAAAAGCCAAGGTCATTACTGGAGAAAGGTTCTAGTGGGCTTCATAATGTATACATACTGAGTGCTTCCTCTCTGCCAGGGATAGTCATAGGCATAAGAGACATAGAAATGGATAAACTGGTCCCTGGTCCCAAGGAGGTTAAGGGTCTGATAGAGGAGACAGACCAGGAATCACATTTACAGTACACTGTGAGAAGAGTGATGACAGAGACATGTACAGGTTGCACTGGAAACCCAGACATGGGTCACCCACAGTTCTTAAGATTGTCTAAAATACATGCAGAGTCATCACACATAGCCAAGAAAGCACATACAGCTGAATGTACAATTTGCTAAAAAGCTCAGTGATTAAGTACTAAAAGCTCAATGATTAAGTCAAGTGGCAAGACACGGGCCAATAAATGATCTAATAACAAGTTAAACTTTACAAGGTTATATTTAAGTTCTTTATTTTGAGAGGCCTAAAGACAGACTTACATATATTTATAGTGTAACTTTATAATGCTCATATTGGGGATAGGAACAAACACAACTTTCCAACTTGTAAAATCAATTTATTAAATGAAATTTTTTTTGACCCCCAGTATATCCACATCCATATAATAATAAGACATTGTATAATGGGTTTTGACCATATTTCTACAATCTTAATAAGCAAAAGTCATTGAAAACACAACTCTTACTTTATGATTTGGTTTTTGTTGACAGGAGTGGATTTCCACATGACACAACAATTACTGTTTAATTTAGCTTTAAAGATGAGCTATAAAATAAAAGAATCCAGGGAATATATTTTTAAACTGATGATGTGTTGGCTTCAAGAACATCTGCATAATCCACTTAGAAGGAAATGGTAAATGATGTGAGTGTAAAGAAGCACTTCATAAAACATTTCCATCAATGCTTTTTTTTTTTGAGACAGAGTCTCGCTCTGTTGCCAGCTGGGGTGCAGTGGCGAAATCTCAGCTCACTGCAACCTCCTCCGCCTCCCGGGTTCAAGCGATTCTCCTGCCTCAACCTCCTGAGTAGCTGGGATTACAGGCACACACCACCACGCCCAGCTAATTTTTGTATTTTTAGTAGAGACGGGGTTTCACCATGTTGGCCAGGCTGGTCTCGATCTCTTGACCTCGTGATCCAACTGCCTTGGCCTCCCAAAGTGCTGAGATTACAGGCGTGAGCCACCGTGCACAGCCCATCAATGCTTATTTTTAATCTAAAAATATATAGTGTATAAAAGCAAAAATTTAACACTTGAGCTTTTCTTTGGAAAACTCTGGTTTTCTCAGTCTCCCTGCCTATGCCCAACAGAGGAGAGAGATTTGCTCGTTTTACATTTGTTTCTATAACATAAAGAATTCTTAAATAGTTTGCTTAAGTGAAATATTGTATACCTACACTGAGCACCTTCTCACAAAGGAATTAAAAATCAGATTTTCCCCCCCAAGGTCATTTTGCAAGGACTACAGTATATCAGTGCATAGCACTTATCTACACACCCTCAGACAATTCCTTCTTCCCTCCATCTCTCCCTTTCTTCCCTCCTTCCTTCCTTGCTTCCTCTTTTTTTTCAACAGTATTAAGCAGTAACAATTGAATGCTTATCATGGTGCTATCTACACAGATTCCAAAAGCAATCTATTCCATTAAAGGGTTTCATAACACAGTGCAGTATTAGATTATAAATATACATAATTACGTTTAGAAGAGTTGAACACTTCTGGTTCAGTGTTGTTTAATAATTATATCAATAGTATGAATGATTAAATAGAAGTCTGGTTTCCTAGGAAGCAAAACTGTTCTTCTGCCCTTGAGGATAAGTTCTGAATCCCAAAAGATCATAGTAAATTGGAAATGTGGTTAGATGAAAATAGATTAAAATCAATGAGAAAAACTGCCTGCTAATTTAGAAGTAGGAAAACTATACTATTCGAATGAAATTATTCAGAATAGCTTTTTATGTGAAACAATGACAGAAAAGTATCACTTGCAGTGAATACAAAATGATTATTATAGTCATGTAGAATAGTCACTAGTCACTTTTTCAGGGTGAGCATAATAGTTTGTAGGAGTCCAGAGGTAGTTCTTGCTTGATATTCACTCACAATATTACCAAAGCACACTAATCAGTTGGGATACACTAATTCAAAGAAACACTGACAAGCTTATAGAAGACTCACAGATATGTCTATATTTGTGATATAAATATTAATTTTTTAATAGAGGCATTAAGTAGCCCCTGAGTATATTCACAGCATGACTCCACAGCGCCATTCTCTATCCCCGTTGAGGATGGACAAGGAGGTAAAGGAAACAGACAAGGAATAAAAGCTGCCTCTGTGGTTTGAGATCAGATCAATTCCTCATCTTTCTGAAATGTTTGCATGGTCCTTCCTAGAAATGGAAAGGAGCAAAAATCAAAACACTGACTTTAAAGCTATTTAATAAGCAAGCAGCTTGTCAGGAACTGTGAAAGCATAGCTATATTTCTTCCAACTTTTGATTAGAGAAATCTGTAGATATGGATTACTTACATATAACAGAGGCTTATAATGTACCCGAGGGAGAGTTTTATGTTTTATTTATTCTTTTGTTTTATAATCTTCCTTCCATCACATTGGGTTTTAAACACTTTTCAAGGATTCTGGGTAGCTGCTAGTGAGAGATGTATGGTTTTTAAATATTCTTGAGTCCTCTCATAAAGCACAGGCAGAGCAAGTATGATAGCAAAACCATAATCCCTTGGGCAATGTGCGCAGCAAACAGGTGACAAGATATCCCCTACAAACCCCTAGATACTGGGAGACGAAGCACCCACAGCTGCAAGACCAATGCAAGGTCATCCTCAATGAAGGAAGAAGTAAGGTCAACTGGGAATCGGCATCCCTGAGAATAAGAGAACCCAATGAACACTCCCTGGAGGCCCCGTGCCAGCTGAGAGAGTGGCTTAGGTTACTTTTGTTCCACCAAAGCTCCCTTCCAGGACAAAATCCCACAATGAGGAGAAATTGCTAGGGGAGAATCCAAATTGGGCAGGATGCGGCAAAAGGAACAGAAGAAAGAGAAGGTTCCGATACGTTCCATGAAAACAACAGAAAAGGGGACATTAGAGGCCTCAAATTAGAAAAGCTACCCTAACTACCATCCCACTGGAAATGATGGAAAGCTCATTTTCCTTAAAAATTAACATCCAAAAAAACATGAGAGTTGAACTTATACAAAGATATTACTTGAGACAGAGAGAGGCAAAACACCTAGGCAAACAATTAAAATGTGTCAAAAGGAATACTTACAAAAGATAAAAAGTGTAATATAATATTTAGCAGCCACTTAGATGAAACACAATAGAAGACAATAAAGAATAACAAATCAGAATTAAGAAAAACTAAAAAATGAGATAACTGAAGAAAATGAAAATTTGAAAAGGCGACAGAATTTATAAAAGATTTTAAAATAAAATAAAAATAATATCATAACGTAAGACTAAACTAGAAGGGATACAAGAACAAGTAAATACAACCAATAATACCTTTATGAATTAGATGACTCCACAAACTAGAAATAGAAGGGAACACCCTCAACCTGATGAAAGGCATTGATGAAGAACTCACAGCTAACCATACTTAATGATGAAAGACTGAAGTTTTTCCCCTAAAATAAGAAATAAGGCAAGGACATCTGCTCTTACCACTTCTATTTAACATTGTGCTGGAGGGTCCAGCCTGGAAATTAGGCAAGTGAGTAGACTAAAAGGTATTCTGATTGGACATGAAAAAATAAAACTATCTCTATTTGAAGATGACATAATCTTGTATACAGAAAATCTTAAGGAATCCATTAAAAAATGATAGAACTAATATATGAGCATAGCAAAGTTGTATGATACAAATAAGTATACAAAAATCAATTATATTTCTATAGAGTTGCAAAAAACAATCTAAAAATGAAATTAACCCAGCAATCTCATTTATAATACCATCAAAAGAATAAAATGCTCCCAATCAAAATCCAAATTACATTTTTTACAGAAATAGAAAAAAAATCCTAAATTTCATATGGAAACAAAAAGACCCTGAATAGCCAACATAATCTTGAAAAAGATGAACAAAGCTGGAGACATCACACTTTCTGATTTCAAAATAGATTGCAAAGCTACAGTAATTAAATCAGTATGGTACTAGTATAAAGACAAACATGTAGATCAATAGAACCAAATAGCCCAGAAAAAAACCATGTATATATAGTCAACTAGCCTTTGACGAAAGTACAAAGAATATATAACAAGGAAAAGATAATCTCTTCAACAAATGGTGCTGGGAAAACTGAATATCCACATGTAAAATAACAAAATTAGGCCGGGCGTGGTGGCTCACGCCTGTAATCCTAGCACTTTGGGAGGCCGAGACGGGCGGATCACGAGGTCAGGAGATCGAGACCATCTTGGCTAACACAGTGAAACCCCGTTTCTACTAAAAACACAAAAAATTAGCTGGGCGTGTTGGCGGGCGCCTGTAGTCCCAGCTACTTGGGAGGCTGAGGCAGGAGAATGGCATGAACCTGGGAGGCGGAGCTTGCAGTGAGCCGAGATCGCGCCACTGCACTCCAACCTGGGAGACACAGCGAGACTCCGTCTCAAAAACAAAAAAACAAAAAAAACAAAAAAACAAAAAAAACAAAATTAGATCCTTATCTTAAACCACACACAAAAATCAACTCAAAATGGATTAAAACTTAAATGTAAGACCAGGAATGATAAAACTACTAGAACAAAACATAGGAAAAGTTTCTTGACATTGGTCTTGGCAATGATTTCTTGGA
Organism: Homo sapiens; assembly: GCF_000001405.40. Taxonomy (NCBI): domain Eukaryota; kingdom Metazoa; phylum Chordata; class Mammalia; order Primates; family Hominidae; genus Homo; species Homo sapiens. The sequence continues at coordinate 125,333,949 of NC_000006.12, read as the reverse complement.
TATGACACCAAAAGGACAGACAGACAACAAAAAGCAAAAATAGATAAGCAGGACTACAGCGAAATCAAAAGCTTTGGCAGAGCAAAGGAAACAATCAACAGAATGAAAAGGCAATCTATAGAATAAAAGAAAATATTTACAAATCATATATCTGATAAGAGGTTAATACCCTAAATATATAAGGTACTACTGCAACTCATTGGTAAAAATAAAAAAAATCAAATAATCCAATTTACAAATGGGCAAAGGACGCTAACAGACATTTTTCCAAAGGCATACAAATGGCCAACATGTATGTGGAAAAATGCTCAATATCACTAATCATCAAGGAAATGCAACCCAAAACCATGATGAGATATCACCTCACACCTGTTAGGATGGCTATTATCCAAAAAACACAAGACAACAGTGTTGGTGAGGATGTGGAGAACTTTGAAACCCTGTACACTATTGGTGGGAATGCAAAATAGCCACCACGGAAAACAGTATGAAGGTTCCTCAATAATTTGAGAATAGAACTACCATATGATCCAGCAATCTCACTTCTGGGTATATATTCAAAAGAAATGAAGTTCGGATCTTAAGGAGATATCTGCACTACCATGTTTACTGCAACACTATTTACAATAGCCAGGATGTAGAAATAACCTAAATGTCCACTGATGGATAAAAGGATAAAGAAAGTGTGGTAGATGCATACAACGGAATATTATTCAGCATTAAAAAAGAAGGAAATGCTGAAATATGTGACAACATGGAAAAACCTGGAAGACACTATGCTAAGTGAAGTAAGTCACAGAAGGACAAATATTGCATGACTTCACTTATATAAGGCATCTAAAATAATCAAACTCACAGACGTAGAGAGTAGAACAGTGGTTGCCAGAGGCCGAGGGGAGGAAGAAATGGGGAGTTGCTAACCAATGGATATAGAGTTTCAGTTATGCAAGATGAACAACTTCTAGAGATCTGCTGTGCAACATAGTGTCTATAGTTAGTAATACTGTATTGTACACTTAGAAATCTATTAAGAGGATAGATCTGGTAAGTGTTCCTACCACAATAAAATGAAACTTTTTAAAGTTGCTATATCAGCAGATATTTTGTACTTGAGAATCTAAGTTGAACTCATTAGACACTACTCTCTGTATTTTGCAAAAATATTAACAAATACATATCTGCAAGAAAAAAATACACTTTTCCTAATTTTGCCCACTTGCAAATTCAAAAAAAAAAAAAAAAAGGTTAAACCAGTGTCAATAAGCTTTCTCAGAGCTTTAACTGAGATCTCTAAATACCGTGCCCCACTGAAAATAACCTGTTCTCCCTGGAGAAATGGCCAATTCCAAATCTGTAACAAAAAAGTATGACAAGCCTGGAACACCTTGTCATACCAGAATCAAAGTCATGTCAAAAGATACCAAAATACATCTTAAATAAGCTCCTGCTGACCAAAGATGGGACATTCTAAACATTACTAAAAATAATATCTGTAATACATCAAATATATGTATATTCGTAAGTATATGAGGTATAAAAAAACACTGATGGATAACTTCAGAGCATGTTCAGTAATCAGTTATTATTTTGAAAACTGATGAATAAACAGAAAGAGTCAAGCATTTAAAAGTCAAGCTCTTCCTATATGAATTATACATTAGTTAACCAAATAAGGGGATGTTTTCCTTTACAGAACTATTCCAGCTAAGAAATGATAAAGGAATTCTAGAGTCAGATGAAAATTATGCCAACATTAATAAAGTAATGGATCTAGGAAATAATTATTAATGGTGGCTAGCATAGTGGGAGGGTGGGGTGGATAGAAAGAGAGATTAAGACAGAAAGAGAGAGAGAGAGGGAGAACTGAAATTAAATAACATGGACATACCTATGAAGTAATCTTGCTTAAAAAATAAAACAAATCTGAATAAGCTCTAGATTTAACTATCAATCTATGAAAAATATAAGAAACATAGAAACACACACTAAACAACATTTCATGGATGAAATCAACAAAATCAAGACTGCAGGACACTCTACAGTACAAATGGCCCAATTTGTCAACAGAAAATTGCAAGGAAAAAAAAAGAAGAAAGAAAAGGAGGAGGGGGAACCAAGAAGTCAAAGGAGACTTGAGAGACCTATTAAGCAATCTCTATGTATAGACTGTATTTGGACCTTGAATCAAACAAATTGTTAAATACACACACACACACACACACACACACACACACACACACGGCAATTTGCAAAATGTGAACATTGAATATTTGATAAGAAATTTCTTATTTTTAGGCATGAGAATAATATTGTCATTATATAGTTTTGAGTCCCTATCTTTAGAGAAACATTCTAAAATATTTATAATTTATATAATGTCTAGATTTTGTTTCAAAATAATCAGCATGAGAGTGGAAATGGGGAGATGGCTGAAACATGATTAGCCATGTGTTGATCATTGTTAACACTGGGTGGCCAGCACATGGGCATTTCTCATACTATTGTCTCCACACTCAGATGTGTTTTAATTTTTGTATAATAAAAAAGCTCCCAAAAAATAAAATTACTAGAAAATAAAAAATACATTAAATGCGCAAAAAATTGCTTACAAGGATATACAAATGATGAGAAAGCATATAATAAAGTTAGACAAACAAATGAGGAAAAACAAGAATGACACAGAAAACAAGCAGGAACAAAGCTTAAAATGTATATCATAAGGACCTCCACATAGGCTACTGGTGGGTCACGTATTTGCCCAAAAGTTTTTAGTAGTTAATGTAAAAAGTGAAACTTTTGGCCAGGCATGGTCAGACATGTGCCTGTAATCCCAGCTACTTGGGAGGCTAAAGCGAGAGGATCTCTTGAGACCAGGAGGTCAACGCTGCAGTGAACTATGATTGTGCCACTGCACTCCAGCCTGGGCAACACAGTGAGACACTGTCTCCAGAAAAAAAAAAAAGTGAAATATTTGAGTTACAAAGTTTTTAATGTCAGATAAATATTAATCGCTCCGGAAAAGCTGCTTGCTCAGTAGTTTAAGCATGCTTAAAGTTAAGATTTTACCAGAATTTCTCTGGAAGAAGTCTCTTGAAGGGGACATAGTGTGCTTATTCATTCATACATTCATTCATTTATTCACTCGTTTTTTCAGCAAACATTTTTTGAGCACCTAGCACATACCAAGCTCTGTGTTAGAAGCTGGAGTCATGATGATGAACATGAAGACAAAAGGGACTCCTGCCTTCACAGTGCTCACAGTTCAGTGAAGAAAATGACAAAACAAGGAATTAAGATGAAGCTGTGATGGGCAGAACTCAGCAAGGAGACCTAATCCCAACCAAGGATAAAGGAAGAATTATTCCCTGGAGAAAGCAACAGTTTTCTTAGTTGATATCTGAATTGAGGGGCAGGAATTAACTAGGAAAGGGTAGTAGGAGGGAAGAAGTTCTCAGATGGTGAGAAAAACCAAGATGGATGGAGAAAACAGAGAAGAATAAGTTGGTGGTGATGAGGCTGAGGAGGCAAGCATCAGTCTGAATGTGTCCACAACCAACTCCTGATTTTCTCCAAGAATTTGCTCCACTTCCAGTCTTCTCATGTCAGTAATGACAACTACATCCTTTTAGTTGCTCAGTCCAAAAATCTTGGGGTCATTTTGGTGCCTGTTTTTTTGTGTGGCGGTGTGTGTGTGTGTGTGTGTGTGTGTGTGTGTATGTGTGTTTTACAATGAACATTCAATCCCTCAGCAAACCCTATTTGTTCTCAAGTAAATCCAGAATCCAACCCCTTCCCACCACCTCCACTGCTACAGTCATTGCTTCTCACCTGGATTATTTAAACAGCCCCCTCCCAAGTGATCTTTCTGCTTCTATCCTTGATTATCCACCACAATCCCCTAACCCCAGTGGCTAGTGGGATTTTTTTAAAATAAATATCTTAATTCAAACCTCAATGGCTTCTATGCTCAGAATAAAATCCGAAGTCCTTACAAGGTCCTGTATGTCCCTACACTATTGGGCCCTCACTGACCTGGTTTCCTGCTACTCTTCCCCAGCTCACTAATGGCCTCCTTGCTCTTCTTCAAATGCACCAAGCACATGTGTCCACTAGATATAGCATTTGTTCTTGCTGGTCCCTCTGCTTGGAAGGCTCTTCTCCCGGATACCCCCAAGCTTTCTTTCTCATTTTCTCAGGTGTCTGCTTAAATACTTATTTGCAAGTGACACTTTCTCTGACCATTGCATATGAAATAGTAATACCCCCTTTCCTGAATTTTTCTATATAGCCCTTGAATTAATTGAAGTAGCCATTTGCTATTGCAACAACTTCAAAATTTCAGTAGTTTAATACAACAAAAGCTTATTTCTTACTCATGCAACAGTCCAATAGGATGTTTTTTATCGAACAACATTTCTAAGTAGTTCATCTTTTAGCAATGATTCAGGTCTCAGGCTCCATTCGTCCATGACTCTTCCATCACTTTGGTCCTCTGAGTCCACTGATACTATTTGTTGCATCTGCTATCAGATAGGTGAAGAGGAGGCAATAGAGGATAACAGGGAAGTTCATTTTATGGGCCAAACTTAGGAGTGGCACACATCTCTTCTGCCCATATTCCACTGGCTACAGTCACACAGCTGCATTCACTGCAAAGGAAGCTAGAAAATGTAGCCCAGCTCTGTGCCCAGGGGAGAAAAAAGAGAGTGTGGTGAACACTTAGCCAGTCCTAGCCACAGCCTGTCTTTCATTTATGGACACCAAACACTTGTTTTGCTCATCCTGTGATATGTAGAACACTTTGCCCTTTTTCCATGGGAGGCAATTCTAGTCCCATTGAGTTACTGTATCCAGCTCAAGTCCAGGACTTCTGGGTGATGTGAAGTCCTCTCCATAGGGCTCTGTGAACCACAATTTAAATGACAAGTTACCTATCCTTTCACCTAATATTCACTTGGGAACAGGAATGGGATAATCACAATTTTTTCCTTTTCTTTGGAGAAAGTTGAATTTTAGAGCCTAATTCCTGTTGGTACAAGTATGGGGCCCAAAGATGTTTTCAGTTACAAACAGTCAAAAGTTTTGGTTTTTAATCTAGGATCATGCTTTCTTCGGTTATTAATCTTTTCAAAAACTTAGTAAGTTTTTGGTTCATTTGCTTCGAATGAGTTCCATATGCAAATAAGGACACTCATCGTTCTTTCTTAGGGATCATTCTCAAGCCTGATTTATTCCCAAGCTTTCTCACTCCATGCCTCTATTTTTCAACATGTTGGCAGTGATCCATGGTTATCTGAAACAATAGGTGGGAAAGCCACATTTTAATTTGATCTTTTCTCTAAGTCTAAGTCATTTTGTTTAATCAAGAAGTTTTACTGGTTCTTTATCTCTCAGAGCCTTTTTTGTTTCTACATCTTACTGTTGGGTTATTTAGCAGCAATTGGTCTTTCCAATGTTTCAGCGCACCAAATTTTAGGACTGAGTGTTTCATTTCTGCTTATAAACAGGTCCTTGTCTCATCTATTAATTGCAATACTTTGTCAAAGACAGCCGATGGTAGTCAACATACTTCGAACACTGATATCTTCCAATCACTTTCTCCAGAGCTACCAGTTAAGTAGGCACAAGGTTTGTCTTCCAAGTTTTCTTAGGTAATAGCTTTAACAAATGGTGAACCACTGTATAATATGGGTCATCTTAGCTTCTACCTCCAATATCAATGTTAATATTGCCCAGTAACTGGCTGCTAGGATAATGCTGCACATTCTAGTTTCTTGGTGATAGCAGCCCCCAATTCCTGGTGCTAAGATGTGTATTTGTCAGGGGATATTAACTTTCACAGAAAAAAAAAAAAAAACTCCAAAATTTAAATGGCCTAACAACATAAAAGTTTATTTCTCACTCCTACAGCAGTCTAAGATAAGTGTTTTTGGCTAGATGGCTTTTCTTTAGGGGTGATACAGGGGGTGATACAGGCTCTTTCTGTATCCAAGCTCTGACATTGTACAGAGCCTCGGAGTCCTTCAATACATTTATCCATCTGACTGGCAGAGAGGGAGAGAGAGAGATAGAGAGAGCACAGTGGAGGAGGCTTAGATAGGAGGGTTTATGTGGCCCGGGCTAAAAGTTGTGCATATCACTTTAGCCCATCTTTCAATGGCCTACTACATGGTTTATTATTTAAAATTGAAATTATATATGACAAAACTGCAGAAACTCAATGAAGTGATAGACACAAAATTCCAGATGGAAGCTACCTATGGGGATGGGAATGGAAGTGGATGAGATTTGGAACAACACTCAAGGGTCTTGCTAGGGGTTAATAACATTCCATCTCCAAAGTTTGGTCATGGAGATCCAGATGTTTGTATTGTTCATCTTTGTACCTGTCAAATATACTGAAAATATTCTATCGTGGGTGTGTTCAATATTTCTAAAAGCAATTAAATTGACTAGTACTCTGAGGCAGCATCTAATAAATGTCTAACAAAGAACACAGACAAAGTGGGGAATATTACCCAGCAGTGAGGGTGTGAGTGTTTGAGCAGTGTAATAATGTCTAATAATTGTTGAGTTCTTATATATAGCAGGCAGTATCTAGAGTATCTTATATTTAACTAGTTTAATTTTCTGAATAATCCTATGAGGTAGGCACTATTATTTTGCCCATTTTGCAGATCAAGAACCTAAGGTACAAGGTTCAGTACGCTGTGTAGGGTCACACAGTGGGTTGGTAACAGACTGGAATTTCGATCCAGACCTCCTGGTTTTAGAGTCCATGTCTTTAATTCTCAATATGCCACTCTCTCTGGATCTGCTTAGGCAGGGAATGGCGAGGTTGTGCTGTAGCAAGGTTGGGAGTCATGCCAGCTATTCAGAAGGACCAGAGGGGGGAAGGTCAGAAGTCTCATCATTCTTAACTTTCCACAGCCTCCCATTCTCACGGTAAGGCAAGAGCAGCCTGAGAAGGGCAGCTCAGAGATGAGAGCAAGCAGCTGCAAGAGCAAGAAGAGTATCTCTTGAAACGGGCTTAACACATGCCCTCCTGCTACAATCCCATCTCGGGGGACCAGGTGACACGACTCCTCATGGACAGGGGTTAGGAAGAGAAGGGCTTCCAGCTGCACCTGCAAGCAGAAGCACTATTGCAGTAGTCAAAACATAGGCAATCTAAACCCCAGTTATGGGGGTGGATATGGGAAGGAAGGAAGGACCTGACATGAGATCACAATGACTGACTGGTTATGAAATGAAGGAGCTAAAATCACCAAAAATGAGAGTTTTGAGCCAAAAAAAATAGAATAACAGTACTGAGAGAACTATGAAAACCAGAAAGAGATGTTTGCTTTGAGTAGGGTGCTATTGTGCCCCCTTTTTTTGAGGCATGGTAGTATAGCAAAGCTCACAAAATTTAAATAAAATTTCAAGTTCCTGATGTACCACCTTGAAGGCTTCAATGAAGGCTAATGACTCAATGCACAATTTTCCCTATACATTCATGGGGTTTTTTGTTTGTTTGCTTGCTTGTTTTTTGAGACAGGGTCTTGCTCTGTTGCCCAGGCTGGAGTGCAGTGGTCCAATCTTGGCTCACTGCAACCTCCGCCTCCTAGGCTCAAGCCATCCCCCCACATCAGCCTCTGGAGTAGCTAGGACTATAGGCATGCATCACCATGCCTGGCTAATTTTTGTATTTTCTGTAGAGACAGGGTTTCTCCATGTTGCTCAGGATAGTCTTGAACTCCTGAGTTTAAGCAATCTGACCTCCTCAGCCTCCTATAATGTTGGGATTACAGATGTGAGCTACCATGCCTGGCCCCACCCAGATGCTTTTGAGAGACTTTTATTGCTTTTTGGTATGTGGAAGGGATTGTATATGTAATCTACTCATATACTTTTTCATGGGATGTAATAACTAATGATATGGATTTCTTAATAAAAATAATAGTATTTATTTCTTATTTATTTTGTTCCGAGCATTATGTTAAGCACTTTATACACATTCCAGGAATACATGCTGACCATAGCACTGCACAGGCTACTATTGTTCTCATTTTGCTGATGAGGAAATTTAGACACTGAGGAGTTAAAAATGCTAAGAAACTTGTCCTAAAACACATGACTAGTAAATGGCCAATCCATGCTTTAAGCACAGGTCCCACTCCAACACATCTTATCTGTGGTTACAAATAGTTTACATTGCTTCTGATTTCACTTTTTAGTATCTGTATGAAGCTCTTGCTTTTAACTACAAGTTTTTCTCTAAAAATTAGCAGGTGGCCTTTTAACTCACTCCTGACTCACTGGCTATTTAACTGAATTGCTAATCGACCAGTTTAGCTGGCACCCTGAAGTCCTTCTTTATTTGTGTAAGTCTCTTATTAATTGAACATTTACCACGTGCCAACCTCTTCAATCTGTTGGAGAAATTGAAAACAGGGACTTTCCTTCCATATCCATAGTTCATTAACTGTAGAGAAACATATTTTGAGAAATAAAATATAGCACTCTAAAACGATGTGGACATTTCATTACACAGCAAACCAACTAGACCCATATTACAGTAAAAAATCTATTCTGGAGTCTCCACCCATTTGATTCCAGTTTGGAGAAAAGGCTACACCTTGTACACAAAATGACAGCAAGAACTGGGATGATAATCTAATGTTGTGTATTGTTTCCACCCCCAATACTTGCAAAGAAACTAAGGCAATAAATTTAAAAATAAAAATAAAAATGATATAGCACCTCAATGGATACAAACCAAAAAACAAATAATTGAGATGATTTTTTAGAATTAGTCAGGTAGAAAGCTGTTTTTTAATTGAATAATTCAAGTACTTCAAGTCTCAAATAATCATTTAAGTCTGAATGACACATGTAATTGCCTCAATTGTCTACCTTGCTTCACCCGTGGAGATTTAGAAAGAGAAGAACATTTCAGATGAAAGTTTGGGAAATAAAGGCAGAAAGGAAAAGTTACAGCCTGGGTTACTTCATCTCGAACTAGGAGCAATAATTTAGTAAGTCCTCAAATACACTAGAGGTTGATGACCACCATTCTTCACCTACACAGAGCACAGAACTAGCATATTACTTGGTATGCCGGGGCTGCACAAACGAGGCACAGGGAATGAACTGCCCATTGATAATAACAAGGTTCCTTCCAAACAGGGACAATGTAGCCAAAGGTAACTCGGTGAGAATTGTCTCTTCCCTGAAGTCTTTAAAAACTAAGAATCTAGGCCAGGTGCAGTGGCTTAATCCTAGCACTTTGGGAGGCCAAGGCAGGAGGATCAGTTGAGGCCAGGAGTTCAAGACCAGCCTGGCAACACAGTAAGACCTTATATCTACAAAAAATTTAAAAATTAGCCTGGTGTCATGGCACACGCCTGTAGTCCTAGCTAGTCAGGAGGCTAAGCAAAGAAGATAGCTTCAGCCTAAAAGTTTGAGGCTGCAGTGAGCTGTGATCGTGCCACTGCACTCCAATGTGCGAGACAGAGCCAGACCCTGCCTCTAAAAAAAAAAATAATAATAAATTAAGTAGTTAGAATAGTTTAGATTTAGGCATATTTCTTAAAAGCAGTTAAAGGACTTGAAACTAGAGTTTAAATGCTCCTAAAGTAGCATGGGACTAGAGCTTTCTCCCAGATCACAACGTTAGCCCTCTCCCCACATCCTTTTACTCCATCAGCAGGACTTCTCAAAGGGGAGCCAGTTCTGCTCTCAGCCATACCTTAGGCCCTAAGTACTATTCCCTCATGAACATTTGCCACAACGGTTAGTTACTCCCACCCATTCCATGTTCTGTCATCTCGAGAAATGAATTCACACTCCAAAATCAATTGTCAGATAGGGATTTTAGACCTAAGTGCCACTAAACTCAAAGAGAAAAAGACAGTGATTTCTTAACAGTTCTTAGTATTTTTCTCTCCAGCTTTATCTTAAAAGTGCACCTCTTAATAATTCAGGATGAATATAGAATACTTAGCAAGCCATTTTACGAATGTTCAGACTTTTGGCATTAAAAATAAAATCAATGTGATGAGGTAAATGGCTTGCTAAGAGACACGATGACTTAGAAGTAAGTTCAATGGCTTACATCTGCCTAATCTCAGTCCAGGTAATACTTTAAAAATTGTCTCAAGTTACCAGGAGAACATATCTGGTGACGTTGTCCCACTTAATAGGACATTAAATATCTGAATATCATTATTCAGAAGCATCACTGAACTAAACTCACATCCTACTATAACGGATCCCAATGTAGCTTTCAAATTAGTCATCCAGAGAAATACACTATGGATTGAAACACACCATTTTTTTGCGTGTGTTGTAGAACACAGAAGCTATTTTGTTTCACAAGTACAACATGATGGTTTTTATGGGGGAAGTGAAGAATAATTTATCCAGTGGGGGAGGAATGTAATTAGCTTGAATACAAAGTATGGGAATTTGGCCAGGACAGTAGCCCAGTTATTTTTTCTAAAAGACTCCATTATGGATTATACCAAGAATTAAACTTAAAATAGTGCCCCCTGTAGAAGCTAGTATTCTCATTGTTATTATTTTTTTTCTTTGTCCTGCAAATATAGTAAGGGAACAGATCGGTAATAGCATTTGCTGAGCATTCATTGTGTGCTAGGCACTTTGCTAAACGTTCTCATTGTTCATGGTGTCTATATGCCAGTTTGTACAGCCAAGCTCCTTCTTCATCCTCTACAAAATGCCTGCTCTTTGGTCCTCTCTTGGGCCTATGAGTGGTCCGCCAGTGATGCAAGGCACTTTCAGAACAGAGCTGGCAAAAGACCTGAACAGGTCAGGAATAGACTGGGCTATTTGGCCAGGAAACTCCACAGTCCCTGGTACCTGGACTGTGACCTAAAAGGTAAAGTGGGTGCAGGGAGCACAGGCTCCACCGGATGCTGCCCTAGACCCTGCCTGATTCTAAGCCCACAAGCCGGGAAATGGAGCCTGGTGCAGGTCCTTATGTGCCTTCTCACCTCCTGCCATGGTGAAAGCCTTGTGCTACCAACTTGAGGCTGACTCCAAAGATTTATGCTCTTAACGACTAGGCTAAATAAGCTCCATAGAACACAATAGGAAAACTGCTAACTGAACAAATGATTGCACAGAGACATGGTACTTGTCCTCTTGGAGTTTCATAGCAAAAGACTTGTATATTATCTATGAAACAAAAGTTTAGGCCAGGCACATTGTCTCATGCCTGTAATCCTAGTATTTTGGGAGGCTGAGGTGGGAGGATCACTTGAGCCCAGGAGTTAGAGACAGCACTGAGCTATGATTGCTCTCCAGCCTGGGTGACAGAGTAAGACCCTGACTCAAAAAAATAAAAATTCATTTAATTTAATTTAAAAATAAAAATTTTTAAAATGCTGTTCTAGAGAAGTAAAAGAGCTCTGGCTCTGATTATCACCAGTTTTCATACCTGTGACACTTGATTAGACTTTCCATGAGGAGCACCTGTGGCTTAGCTATTCGGCTAAGACGGCTTTTCACAGTACACAGGCTCCAGCATGCTGGCTTCTCTGCCACAGTTCAGGACTCAGCATTCTATCCATGATAATCTGTCTCAAACAAGCCCATAGGCAATACTGGGATAACAATATACACAAGAGAAGAATAAATCCAGGTTAGGTTACTTAATCTGTTGTACTCTTTCAGGAACTAAAAATCAGTCTAATCAGCATCAAAAATTATCCTCTGATGATCTCAGCAGGGCCTCCTGGTAAAAGGTTAAGGTGTTGAGTCATTGGATTGTGTTTAAGTAAAATAACCGCTACATGTAAGGGAAGTGGAAATTTAGAGTCTTTATTATTCTTTTTACGACAAAAGAAAGAAGTTTTTTTTTCTTTTTTTTTTTTTTTTATTATACTCTAAGTTTTAGGGTACATGTGCACATTGTGCAGGTTAGTTACATATGTATACATGTGCCATGCTGGTGCGCTGCACCCACTAACGTGTCATCTAGCATTAGGTATATCTCCCAATGCTATCCCTCCCCCCTCCCCCGACCCCACCACAGTCCCCAGAGTGTGATATTCCCCTTCCTGTGTCCATGTGATCTCATTGTTCAATTCCCACCTATGAGTGAGAATATGCGGTGTTTGGTTTTTTGTTCTTGCGATAGTTTACTGAGAATGATGGTTTCCAATTTCATCCATGTCCCTACAAAGGATATGAACTCATCATTTTTTATGGCTGCATAGTATTCCATGGTGTATATGTGCCACATTTTCTTAATCTAGTCTATCATTGTTGGACATTTGGGTTGGTTCCAAGTCTTTGCTATTGTGAATAGTGCCGCAATAAACATACGTGTGCATGTGTCTTTATAGCAGCATGATTTATAGTCCTTTGGGTATATACCCAGTAATGGGATGGCTGGGTCAAATGGTATTTCTAGTTCTAGATCCCTGAGGAATCGCCACACTGACTTCCACAATGGTTGAACTAGTTTACAGTCCCACCAACAGTGTAAAAGTGTTCCTATTTCTCCACATCCTCTCCAGCACCTGTTGTTTCCTGACTTTTTAATGATTGCCATTCTAACTGGTGTGAGATGATATCTCATAGTGGTTTTGATTTGCATTTCTCTGATGGCCAGTGATGATGAGCATTTCTTCATGTGTTTTTTGGCTGCATAAATGTCTTCTTTTGAGAAGTGTCTGTTCATGTCCTTCGCCCACTTTTTGATGGGGTTGTTTGTTTTTTTCTTGTAAATTTGTTTGAGTTCATTGTAGATTCTGGATATTAGCCCTTTGTCAGATGAGTAGGTTGTGAAAATTTTCTCCCATGTTGTAGGTTGCCTGTTCACTCTCATGGTAGTTTCTTTTGCTGTGCAGAAGCTCTTTAGTTTAATTAGATCCCATTTGTCAATTTTGGCTTTTGTTGCCATTGCTTTTGGTGTTTTGGACATGAAGTCCTTGCCCACGCCTATGTCCTGAATGGTAATGCCTAGGTTTTCTTCTAGGGTTTTTATGGTTTTAGGTCTAACGTTTAAATCTTTAATCCATCTTGAATTGATTTTTGTATAAGGTGTAAGAAAGGGATCCAGTTTCAGCTTTCTACATATGGCTAGCCAGTTTTCCCAGCACCATTTATTAAATAGGGAATCCTTTCCCCATTGCTTGTTTTTCTCAGGTTTGTCAAAGATCAGATAGTTGTAGATATGCGGCATTATTTCTGAGGGCTCTGTTCTGTTCCATTGATCTATATCTCTGTTTTGGTACCAGTACCATGCTGTTTTGGTTACTGTAGCCTTGTAGTATAGTTTGAAGTCAGGTAGTGTGATGCCTCCAGCTTTGTTCTTTTGGCTTAGGATTGACTTGGCAATGCGGGCTCTTTTTTGGTTCCATATGAACTTTAAAGTAGTTTTTTCCAATTCTGTGAAGAAAGTCATTGGTAGCTTGATGGGGATGGCATTGAATCTGTAAATTACCTTGGGCAGTATGGCCATTTTCACGATATTGATTCTTCCTACCCATGAGCATGGAATGTTCTTCCATTTGTTTGTGTCCTCTTTTATTTCCTTGAGCAGTGGTTTGTAGTTCTCCTTGAAGAGGTCCTTCACATCCCTTGTAAGTTGGATTCCTAGGTATTTTATTCTCTTTGAAGCAATTGTGAATGGGAGTTCACCCATGATTTGGCTCTCTGTTTGTCTGTTGTTGGTGTATAAGAATGCTTGTGATTTTTGTACATCGATTTTGTATCCTGAGACTTTGCTGAAGTTGCTTATCAGCTTAAGGAGATTTTGGGCTGAGACGATGAGGTTTTCTAGATAAACAATCATGTCGTCTGCAAACAGGGACAATTTGACTTCCTCTTTTCCTAATTGAATACCCTTTATTTCCTTCTCCTGCCTGATTGCCCTGGCCAGAACTTCCAACACTATGTTGAATAGGAGCGGTGAGAGAGGGCATCCCTGTCTTGTGCCAGTTTTCAAAGGGAATGCTTCCAGTTTTTGCCCATTCAGTATGATATTGGCTGTGGGTTTGTCATAGATAGCTCTTATTATTTTGAAATACGTCCCATCAATACCTAATTTATTGAGAGTTTTTAGCATGAAGGGTTGTTGAATTTTGTCAAAGGCTTTTTCTGCATCTATTGAGATAATCATGTGGTTTTTGTCTTTGGCTCTGTTTATATGCTGGATTACATTTATTGATTTGCGTATATTGAACCAGCCTTGCATCCCAGGGATGAAGCCCACTTGATCATGGTGGATAAGCTTTTTGATGTGCTGCTGGATTCGGTTTGCCAGTATTTTATTGAGGATTTTTGCATCAATGTTCATCAAGGATATTGGTCTAAAATTCTCTTTTTTGGTTGTGTCTCTGCCCGGCTTTGGTATCAGAATGATGCTGGCCTCATAAAATGAGTTAGGGAGGATTCCCTCTTTTTCTATTGATTGGAATAGTTTCAGAAGGAATGGTACCAATTCCTCCTTGTACCTCTGGTAGAATTCGGCTGTGAATCCATCTGGTCCTGGACTCTTTTTGGTTGGTAAACTATTGATTATTGCCACAATTTCAGAGCCTGTTATTGGTCTATTCAGAGATTCAACTTCTTCCTGGTTTAGTCTTGGGAGAGTGTATGTGTCGAGGAATGTATCCATTTCTTCTAGATTTTCTAGTTTATTTGCGTAGAGGTGTTTGTAGTATTCTCTGATGGTAGTTTGTATTTCTGTGGGATCGGTGGTGATATCCCCTTTATCATTTTTTATTGTGTCTATTTGATTCTTCTCTCTTTTTCTCTTTATTAGTCTTGCTAGCGGTCTATCAATTTTGTTGATCCTTTCAAAAAACCAGCTCCTGGATTCATTGATTTTTTGAAGGGTTTTTTGTGTCTCTATTTCCTTCAGTTCTGCTCTGATTTTAGTTATTTCTTGCCTTCTGCTAGCTTTTGAATGTGTTTGCTCTTGCTTTTCTAGTTCTTTTAATTGTGATGTTAGGGTGTCAATTTTGGATCTTTCCTGCTTTCTCAGAAAGAAGTTTTTTTTTCAACAAAGATTTTATTTTATAATTATAAAAAATGTCATATGCTCTTTGGGAATAACGTTGAAAAATTAATCTCCCAGAGATTTGTTATATCAAATCTCCCTGAGCCCCAAACAATGAAAAATCAACCAAAATTCCACTGACCAAGATCATGACTATAAATATTTTATTGTACTTTTGTAAGCTAAAATCAGTGCCAGCCACTCAATTATAGCTTCTCATTTCAACTAATATTTAAATAATTATTCTCCCTTATTATTAAGAATCTTTGGAAGCATTAATTTTAATAGCTACATAGTATTCAATCATATACATCTACTTGTTAACAATTTACTTAACAGTGACTCTGTTAGTCTCATTTTGTTTGGGGCCTTTGTTTTTTCGTATTCTTTGGCTTTGCTTTTATTTTTGATCTGATGAACTATATTGTATTTATTTTCTTATCTTGCCTGGAATATAATATTATGTATATGTATAGTTAAAACATTTCTATAGGCTGGGCGCGGTGGCTCACGCCTGTAATCCCAGCACTTTGGGAGGCAGAGGCCGGCGGATTACAAGGTCAAGCAACTGAGACCATCCTGGCCAATGTGGTGAAACCCCATCTCTACTAAAATTACAAAAATTAGCTGGGCATGGTGACGCACACCTGTAGTCCCAGCTACTTGGGAGGCTGAGGCAGAAGAATTGCTTGAACCCAGGAGGCGGAGGTTGTAGTGAGCCGAGATCGCGCAACTGCACTCCAGCCTGGACAACAAAGCAAGCAAGACTCCATCTCAAAAAAAAAATTCTATAATTCATATACATACATAAAATATAAGAAGAAGGATATGAAGTCAAAGAGGTAGACCATTATGAAGGTTCTGCTATACTGCTTTCTAAAATTGTGGATCTAGTTGAAACACCATATTCTCATTCCATGTCCCCCACAAGCACGGAATACTATCATTTGTTTGAATATTTGATAACTGAAAAGTAAATGTGGCATCCCATTATTATAACTTGTACTTACAAGGAAAGCAATTTAAATAAATGGAATCATGCCACATTTTTAATTGAAATGTACTAAAAGATCATTTTATCTGATTGTTAAAAATACATCCAGCCTGGCCAACACAGTGAAACCCCGTCTCTACTAAAAATACAAAAAATTAGCCGAGCATTGTGGCAGGCATCTATAATTCCAGCTACTTGGGAGGCTGATGCAGGAGAATCGCTTGAACCTAGGAGGTGGAGGTTGCAGTGAGCCTAGATTGCACCATTGCACTCCAGCCTGGGCAACAAGAGTGGAACTCCGTCTCAAAAAAAAAAAAGAAAAAAAAATACATCCTGACTTTCAATCAGTGGTAAATACATGATACATACCTCTGAATTTCCTTTGTTCTTAAACATTTTATTTTACTTATTGCTACTTTTTTTAAAAACAGAGATGAGGTCCTACCATTTTGCCCAGGCTGCTGTCGAACTCCTAGGCTTAGGCAATAATCCTTTCATCTCAGCCTCCCAAGGTGTATTGCTACTTTTAAAAATTCAGAGTTAGAGATGTCATTGGTTTGGTTCACAGAAAAGGCAGACTTTTGATTGCGTATCTAAAATTGGAAACTGAGTTCAAATAATTCCATTTTATAGTTGAAAACTCCATTTTTAGACACCAAAATTTAATTCTTTAATAGTCACAGTGGTCTCACACTAGCTGGAATTATTATTTTTTATCCTCAAAACTTATCTCAATTTTGCTTTACATTTATGGCATTTTATTTTTATTATACATTGTTTTTCAAAGTATTGTATGCTATATTCTTATTTTTTTAAACTCAAACCTAATTTTTGGTAGGATTCTACGAGCATTTCGCATTATCATTCAAGCTAATTGTACTTAAAAACAAACAAACAAAGAAAACAGGTATGAGGATTACCAGCTTGAAGGCAGACTCGCTCGCTAGAAAAGTGTCCACATAACCAACTTTAGCAGGATGTGGGATTTTTGCCATTGACTTTTTTCCATTCATGGTCTTACTTGTGAACAGTGTAAGTGAAATGAGCTGGTTGGTGGTCTGCGCCTGTCCGGTCATTGCTGGGAAACCGTCAGGATTACAATGGTCCTTTGTTGGCTGGCTTGGCAGCTATGCCAGGAGCTGAATGGGCCACTGAGACTGAACTAGTTACGATGACTGCTCTGTCCTCTCAAACAACCAGAAGCCCTCCCCGTCTCTTAGCCCGGCCACACTGAGATGACAGCATGGATGTGGAGATGCTCCAGTTGCCCCCACCAATATGCTTCACCGAACTGCTTAATGGAAAATTCTGGCTTTCTGATGGTCACTCTCAAATTCAGGAAGAGCGCCAATCTCACCAGAAACTTGCAAAAGAATGTAGAAAAGCAAGATAAAAAGTAAATCACAAAAAAAACTGGTATGATGGTGTGCTAATCAATCTCACTGAAATCGCTTAGTGATTGTTAGCTAAATAGCTGAGAGGAGGGAGAATAAAAGATGAAAAAAAAAATCAGAAAAAATAAAAAATTTAAAAAAAGCTCCTGGAGACAGGCAGCCCAAAAGTCTGATCTGACCAATTTAGGTCATAGTGAATTTTTATTTGTTGGTTTTTGTCATATTAGATCTCCCAGAGTCTAGATTTTTAACTTTATATGCATCCCCTACTGACAGAGAGAAGGAAACTGAAGATTATGAAGCACGTAGGATAAAAAGATGATTAAATATAAAACAAGTTGCTTTCTCTTCTAACAGCTTTCTGCTCACCCAGACTTCTGGTTTTATTTAAAAAGCCACTGCCTTTGGAAACACATAGGGTCTTTTCAATAGGAAAAGATCAAATGATGTTAATCAGGCCATGAGGCCTAATGCTTTAATGCAACTGTCTCTTTACATTATACACATTCCAGCTCTATAAGGGGGAATGATTTTTATCCTAGAATTTCTTTTTTTCTCCTTCTTCTTTTCCTCCCCCTCCTCCTCCTTCTCTGTCTCTCGCTTTAAATCTTGTTTGACCAATCCGTACAGAATATGCTTGCTTCTATAATTCTTCCTTTCCAATCCCCAACAAGGAACAATCTATTGTGTCTTACAATGAAGAAAGACAAGATGATGGGACAATGCATCCCTCTTCTCTTTTCCACGTTCCTCGCATTTTTGGTTGCTCATTTTAGCCTACATTTCAATGCACTGCACGTAGCCCAGGCTTCTGTCTTCTCATCACCTTTTCTCCTCCTCAGCTATTGGTTCTGCCTGATGGATTCAGTTCCATTTAACTACAGATGTAAATGCATTTACAGCTGTTCTCAATAGCTTTTTTTGAGCCAGTCTTTTCTTCAAGAACACAACCATCATAGTTTGAATTCTGTGGCATGTTAAGCCTGAAGATGCAAATATTGAGGGGTTGGGGGAGAAGATGCGTAATAATTGTCTTCAGATATTTGACCTGCCACCCTGTTGATGTAGGATTAAACTTCTATAGGAATATAGAGCCATTGGAGCAGTGATTCTGAAAGAGGGGCATGTGGTAAGTAGAGTCACTTGGGGACTTCCTCAGGTTATAATTCCTTTCTCTGCTGAGATGCTCATGTGCCTGCTGTAGAGTGCCACTGTTACAATGGGAATGTGATCTATTTCCTAGGAGCATTAGGATGGAAAAATTGAGAGAACTAGAGAAGTGTGCTATAAATTCCACAAGATCAGGTAAACTACATATAACTTCCTCACCTTTTTATTTGTAAGCCCTCACAAGGACTGGCACATGGCAGATGCTCAAAAAAATCTTAAAGTATTGTCTTGTTTATGAATTAAAATTTAAAACTTCAGGGAAACAAATTTTGTTTTAATATAAGGATTATCTAATAATTTGAAGCATTGTCCAAGGTGAGTTGTCATGACAGACAGAAACTGGGGGTACTGGTATATCCATGGAGAGTTGACCCGATCTATGGGACTAACAGAAGGGCAGCCAGTTTGTCCCCAGGCCAAGAGAAAACCCTAACATGTTTTATTTCATGGCCGTGAAAAGATTCATGATTCGGAGGGTATAAAGAGATGCATCCTATCATATCATCAGTTTAAATCAGGGAAACAAATCCTTATGCCTTGCTTTCTGAGGATTCTATGTTAATTTGAACTACAGTTTATTAAATTCTAAATTTCAAATTTCTATGTATAACAATTTGGGGTTTATTACTAAGAATAATACTTGTACCTTTGAAAGTCTCTGAGTACTTGGGTCTCTTTCTCTAGAGCTCTACATGAATGCTGGTACATATCAGCACAAAGATGCCTTCTGCCTGCAGACAGCAAAACCTTTTAACCTCACCTCTTTGCCGTAGTAATTTGGAAACCAAATTTGGAAAAAGCTTGATAGTGGCGCACAACAAAGTCCAACATTTTCTTGAAACATTGGAAGTCTTTTGAGGTTTTGCCCTCTTCCTCTTCCTTTTTCCTGCTCCTTTGTAATTCTAAATGAAATTCATCATCCAAGGGAATGGGGTATGGTGATAACAATTTTTGATATCAATGTATTGCACAGTCATTTGCACTGAACATCTGTGGCCTATTATAAGGAAGTCATAAAGTGGGAAGCCTCCACCAGCGTTGATGTGAGGATATTTTGGTCAAGAGCGCCACCTCTCAGCAGCGAATCAAAGTGGCCCCCTGTGGGCCAAAATCAGAGGAACCATTGGCCAGCGGAAGAGTGAATAATCTAGTCACTAGTATTTTCTCACGGCTCTTCACCCAATTACCTTTTTATTAAACAGTGAGAAAGTGCCTGAGACTGTACATCGTGTCGGTTTTAGTGGAAGCACACGGGAGGTGGATAAATCTGGGCTCTGAAAAATAGCCCTGAGTGTTCTGTGTCAATAAAAATCTACTACTAAAAGACGGCAATGGAAAATTCTTAGCTACTTATTTTAAAATGTAGATCCTTACAGAGTAAAACAAGTCTTCAGACTTTATCGAGGTTAAGAATTATTCCTTAGCATTTTAGAGATCTTAGAGTTCTTCTAAGCCCTTTTGTTATAGGTGAGGAATGTGGGGTTCAGAGTGGTGCAATGACTTCTAAGACTCCCCTATTGACTCTCCAGCCACTGACTGCTGCCCTCAGGCCCTTTCTTTTGAACTCTTTTTTTTGGATTCCCAGGATTTTACAGCTTAGAGGGTACCAGAAAATTGAGACTAAATAAAAACTAATTGTGATATCTTAGACTGTATCTGAATAGAGATTTTATCTTTATACATTTGTTGCATGTGGCTAGTGCAAATAAAGTACAAATCTCTCTATCCATAACACACACAAAACACAGATGTTGATTTCTGGATAAACTTATGTAAATCACTACACATGTGTCTGAATTTATTCATGCAAAAATTTTGAAAAAGCAGTTTTAGATTCTCCTTTATAGGGAGCTTTAAAGTGATTTAAAATATACACCTGTACGTATTAATATGATTTGATGTTCATACGATATTTTCTAAGTAACTTGTCTTTGTTTTTTTTCCTGAGACAGGATCTCACTCTGTCACCCAGGCTGGAGTACAGTGGTGCGATCTCAACTTACTGCAACCTCCGCCTCCCGGTTCAAGCGATTCGCCTGCCTCTGCCTTGTGAGTAGCTGGGACTACAGGCATGCACCACCATGCGCAGCTAATTTTTGTATTTTTAGTGGAGATGGGGTTTTATCATGTTAGCCAGGCTGGTCTCAAACTCATAACCTCAAGTGATCCACCCACCTCGGCCTCCCAGTGCTGGGATTACAGGTGTGAGCCACTGCACCTGGCCACTTGCCTAACTTTTAACAGAGACTTTTGGAGATAATGTCATGTTCTGAGTGACATGGAGGAAATTTTACCTCATTTTTTTTTTTTTTTTTTTTTTTTTTTTACTGTGAAGTGGTATTGCTGTCACAGGAAAAAGGCAGTAGGCTAAGGATGAGAACACTTAGGTTCAAGTTCAGGGTCAGCCACTTAGTAGCTCTGTGGTTTAACCCAAGTCACTTAAACTCTCCTGGGGTGTGTGTGTCTGTGTCTGTGTGTGTGCATGTTAGAGGGCGGGTGTGGTAATAAGAAAATCTAAACTGCCTTTCTCATTGGATTGTTCTTAGCATCAAATTCAATAATGTACTTGAAACTTCTTTGAAACATAAATCAAGTTTAAGTTAGTATTACAATGGCCAGAGCATTTGCTCACCACCATGTAGCATGCCAAGTGGAGGCAGTGTATTTAAAGGTTAAAAGCCAAGTTCTTTGATCTGCCAGTTTGGATGGAATCCCAGCTTCACCACTCACTGGCTGTGTGACCTCTGGTGAGTGCTGAACCTGCCTAAGTTCAACATCCTGATGGAATACGAATGTAGTATTACACATATCTTGTTGGGTTGTTATAAGTACAGTGATGCATGCAAGACATGAAGTGGGAGGTCAAGCCCATAACACGTCAATGTTAGTTTGTCTTCACATTATGAGATTCCTGGCTCTTGCTTTTCCTGGGGTTCTGGGGGATAATCAGTCTAGGAGAGTTTGGCCTGTTAGCCTTTGAAACGTTTACTTAGATCTCCTTTACTTATTTACAGAGCTAAGACGTCACCTCAAATAACATAGGACAAATTAATGTGTCATGAAACAAAATCATCTTCAGCAAAGATTCAAGAGTTTGAGGGCTAAACCCGAGAATATATATTTTTTATTCTAACTTCCTCACTCTCATCTTCAGAGCTATGTCCCTTTCAGAAAAATTCTACTTCAAGAGAAGATTTGGTTTCAGGATGTCTCCTGGACTGGAGGCATGTACCTAGTAAGTGTCCCCAATAATTTCAGACCCTTTATAAACTTGATGGATTTCATATATAACTCATTGTTTTGTATTACAAATAATTTGGTTCACTTACTCTATTTTCCCTTTCCAATTTTGAACTTCACGAAGGGTTAGACTTTTTCTGTCTTTTCTCACTATACCTAATATTTAAGTCACATGAATGATTCAAAGATCATTAATGCTCTGACATTATGTAAGCTTAGACTCCTGTTGTGTCTCACTTACCTTCTCATTGGGCATCTTTGAAAAGTTTGCTTTAATTCTCTGAATCTCAGCTTCTTTGCTCACAAAATGAAGGCAACCTTACTGAGTGCTGATGAATTTGGGAAATAATACCTGGAAAGCCCCCAGTACAAAAATAAAAGCCTTCAATTAAAGTTCCCTATTTATTTTTTACAAATAAAAAAAAAATTCAGGCTTTGGGGGATTGTTGCAGAAAAAAAGGGCCAAGTACAGTGGCTCATGCCTGTAATCCCAGGACTTTGGTAGGCTGAGGCAGGATGATCGCTTGCGGCCAGGAATTTGAGACCAGCCTGGAAAACATAGTGGGAACTCATCTCTACAAATTAAAAAGCTCACTATTAGTATTTGTCTTCTTTAAGTTGTCTGTTATGGTTATTACCAGTACGATGGCCTTCATCTCTATGCGTATGCCTAAGTATTGGCTCAGATTCCCAAGAATGAAAGAAACACGTGGGAAAGGAGGAAAAAAAACACAGGAGCATGTTGAAAGCAGATCCCTTTTGCTAAACCCAAATCAGCCAACACAGAACAATAAATGTATTCCGTGGTCCAGAAGAGAAGGCGCAGCAGGTTTCAGGAGTCTGATAAAAGAGAATACTAATGAGATGGTGCCACTTAGTGGTAGTATTCTAATACTACAGGTGGCTGCTTAGTAAAGCAGTGAGGAGTTCATGGCCAAAGATGCCTCCATGTGTTTTCCCTGTTGTCTTTATTGAGTAGGTGGGAAGAGAGGCACAATGTTTCCACACTCTTCTCTCTAACCTGCCCTGAGAGGTGCCATGGACAGCACCCATGATCTGTTTAGCAGTGCTTTGCAGCTTTGCATGCTACTCCTATGTCATAGTTAGATCCTATCTGTGCATATAAATTAGCTCATTAGCAACTCATCAGCAATTAACTAATATATTAATCAATCAAAAATAACCAAGAATGATGAGATTCTTCTTGACATTTGCAAGTTAAAATGTGACCTTGATCACCATTCAGAATTCTCTTTCCCCAGTCTGAAAAGAAAGGCCGGCGGGGTGGGTGGTGGGGAATGCTTATCGTTAATTATGAAAGCATAAGGAACAATGTTTTATCTGATGGTGGCTTCTGCAGCTACTTGCTGACAATTATCTTTTACATTCAATGGTGTGGCATGAGAAGTCCTAAAGTGCTCTACAGACATTATCTGATTCAGTCCTGAATCCCTAGGAAAGAGAAAATGAGCAGATTTAATTATCCTTGTACTTTATAGTAGAATCTATGGAGGGAAACTAAGCCCACAAATAGGGAAAAAATCCAATAGCCCAAGTATAAAGCCGTGTGTCCTTCAACTGTGAGGGAATCTTGTTTTAAAGGTTAGAATTTTAGAATTAGAAGCATTTTTAAAATTAGATGGTCCCGCTCCTTCTTTTATAGATGACAAATAGTTCTATGTTTATCTCACTCAGCTTTTGGTGATTTTGTGTTTTAACACTGATTGCCATGTTTGGTTTTGTTACAGAATGATCTGGCTCTATTAACAAGTCAGGCTATAAAACACCTTCTACAATGTGTCATTTATTGGGAGAGAGTGGGCCTGGGAGAGAATTAGAAACAGCTGAGGGCACATACAGGCCCATTGTGGCTCCTGTTTTAAAGGCAGTTTAAAAGCTCAAATGAAGAGAGAATGGGGAGAAACAGAAAGTTAGAACAGAACAGATGTTGTTCAGCTGTGGCTCTGGCAATAGATGTGCCCGGGCCTTAGAGACAAGGAAGAACCATCTCTGGCAGTATAACATGCTTTCTCCCCAACTCCCTGCCACCCCTAGCCTCACCTGGACATGGGAGAAGACAGGGACAGGAGTGTCACAATTCTGAATATGCTTGCTTTATAGAAATGTCACAACCCAGCTGGACACAGTGGCTCACGCCTGTAATCCCAGCACTTTAAGAGGCCGAGGTGGGCGGATCACGAGGTCAAGAGATCGAGACCATCCTGGCCAACATGGTGAAACCCCGTCTCTACTAAAAATACAAAATTAACCGGGCAAGGTGGTGCATGCCAGCTACTCAGGAGGCTGAGGCAGGAGAATCACTTGAACCTGGGAGGTGGAGGTTGCGGTGAGCCAAGATCGCATCATTGCACTCCAGCCTGGGCAACAAGAGCAAAACTCCATCTTTAAAAAGAAATGTCACAACCCTTGGACCAGCAGCATCTATTTTTATGGAACTTGGGAAACATCTCCCAAATAGATTGGTTTTTTGAGACAGAGTCTCACTCTGTCACCCAGGCTGGAGTCCAATGTTGAGATCTCAGCTCACTGCAACCTCCACCTCCTGGGTTGAAGCAATTCTCCTGCCTCAGCCTCCCAAGTAGCTGGGATTACAGGCGCCTGCCACCATGTCCAGCTAATTTTTTGTATTTTTAGTAGAGACAGGGTTTTGCCATGTTGGCCATGCTGGTCTCAAACTCCTGACCTCAGGTGATCCACCCACCTCGGCCTCCCAAAGTGCTGGGATTTCAGTGTGAGCCATCGCGCTCAGGTAAATGAACAACTTTGAGATCCTGATTTGTGATGCTCTACAAACACCTGATGGTGCACACCTCCTTGCCTTTGGACAAGGTGATTCTGTCCCTGAAACGTGTCTCCTTTCTAAATCCACCACCATCATCACAATTTTCTTATCACCATGTCTAGAGGAGGCCATGCTAGGTTCTATGTTCTGGAGATAAAAGATGGATCAGACACAGTGTCTACCCTTAAGAATCTTTCTGTCTAGTATCACCATCATGATAAAACTGCTTGAGAAATACTCTATGAAATCAGAAATGTACTGCCAAAAAGTGAGAGAATTCTGCAACTTCATGGTTTGTCATTTGGTACTTCCACTTTCTGAAGTCAAGTCAGAAACAAGGGCAGTCATCAAAAAAGAAACTTTACCTAACATATAAGCTAAGAAAATTGTATTTTCAATTAGGATGAACCAAAGACACACATATTTCTTGAGATGCACTTTATATGGAATAACATTTCTGCTCAGTATTCCCTTGCGAGCTCTAAAATATGATTCCTTGGCAAGACAGCCACCTCAGATTCACCCAGTATTTACATGACATGACAACATTCTAGCATAGCTCCTCTCCAATTGAAGTGTTGTCCCCACACAGAAGACCCTAATGATTGCCAGAATCTCCACATTTCAATTTTGGAAAATCCAGGAGACCATGTAGGTACTAGAAAATATATAATCCATGGTGTTAACAAAGTTTAAGTCCTGACACAGGAGTGGAACATTGAGCAAGTTATTTAACCTTTCTGTGCTGTTTCCATACCTGTGGAAAGCAGATAATGCATTCTGCAGGCTTCTGTGGATTCAAATGATATGGTAGAGATCCCAGCAAAGGGCCTGGCACAAATTAGGTGTTGTGTAAAGAAAGATATTATCATTGTCATATAAATACTTCTTGTACTCGCTCCCTGAAACTCTTGGCCACTCCCGCAACTCCTGTCCTTTCATCGACAGTGCCCAACTGTCCTGTACTTTCAGTGAAGCAAAGCATTGCCATTTTAGTAGCTGCCCTTTTATTTAACTTTTTTTCCTTGTGTCAATATCTGTTACTTGCAATATTCCCCACTTGTTGCCTTTGTTGTTTGCCATTCCCCTTTCTTATTTTCTTCTCTTTTCCACCACACTTCTACACTTCGTGGCTTGCATGCTGACGTGGTTTGACTTTTATGACTCTTATAACATTGAAGTGGCTTTATCTTTTCTGGACATCAAACCACGGAAACACTAAGTGTCAAGTGTCATTTGGGCAAAATCCAAATCATGTTTTGGTTTGATGGTTTTACTGCTGGATACTCTAGATTTATTTTTTGTTAGACATACTTTTAACTCTTTTGCCCCTTTAATTTTCTGGTTTCTATGCCCTCCCAGATGCATAATATCACTGGAATTTTGGCCTCTAGGATAACTAAGATTTTGTTGCAAAACGTACATCTACTCTTCACTAGTTAGAAATGCACTAGAACAACAACAATAACAGTATTTCCTTTGGTTAGAAGTAAAGAAGAAATATTCCAAATGATTGGAAACTGAATATTTTCAGAAATTTTTCTTAGTTCTCGTTTCATGTAACTCATTCTGCGTATTACTTAACTTTGCTGCTGTTTTTTAGGAGTAACCATATTCCTTTATATAACAGGAAAATGCTACTACTGAGTGTATGCCATTGTTTCATTTCTTTTTCTCTGCTTGGAGAAGGATTACACCACCAGGTCTAAGACATGTGATGATTCATCACATAGCAGCTGCCAGAGGCAGTGGCAGGTCTCAAAGTCCTCTGTGAAATTCACCTGAAACCCTGCCTTATTCCTTATGATGCATGTAGATAAGCAGAGTCAAACCGTAGCTGTGGTCACTCTGAAAAGATAAAAGTTTGAGTCTATCCCATATGATAAAAATGGGGTTGTAGGGTAGCTAAAGCCTGCTGTATGACTAAGAAAAACTGTAGTCACTTAAGATGGTGATCCATGGAGAAGTTCCGAAGGCTTACTAAAACACTGGTGTAAGAGATTATGGACTCAGAGAATTAAAACAAAACAAAACAGTAACGTTGTTTTTATATATGCAGAACTTCTCCACTCCATAAGTGAGAGGTGTCCAGAGGTGGCTCCAACACATCTGTTAATGGTGATTGGTTTCGAGCCTGAAGGCCAAAGTGTCATTGCTTAGCTTCAAGTTAACTGGAAGGAAGACACGTCTTTTGTAGAGCAAAGTCTTCACCATCACTCTCAGCCATCAGAGACTTGGTTCACTCTGCTGCTGCTCCTTTGAACAGAAAGCCCTCCGTTGGCTCTTTAGTGAATGCCTGATTTTATGGGGAAAGTAGTGTGCACCCTTTGACTTTTTTTTTTTTTTTCTGTGCTGTAATACTTAGCCACAGGCAAGAAAGTGGCAAAACAGAACAAAGCCCAATCTCTTTCCCTTGAACAAACATTCCTTTTGTAATGTTCCTTCGCTCCCAGACTTAATATCCTACATTTATCTTCTTTGAGCTGAATTTCTCTACTATAACCTAATTACATAAATGATCAAAGCCATCCTCTAATTCCTCTCATCTTTCCAGTCTCTGTCAGGGGTAAGCTCGAGAGTTTTTCTACACTAATTAAAAGAGGAGATACTGTGTGAAACTTATTTGCTTACCTTATAACTCATTCACACAGTTACTATATAACTCATAAACATAGCATCAACTTTCTCTGGATTATAATTTATTGATGATGTAAGGAAAGTAAGTTTAGGCATCTCATTTTTAAACATATAGAGTGTAGTCTCCCAATCGTAGCATTATTGATGTTTTGTGCTGGATAACTGTTTGTTGCAGAAGGTTGTCATGTGCTCTGCAAGAATTTTAACAGCAGCCCTGGCCTCTGCCTCTCATTTGCTCCTCTCCTCCTCTGCCTCTTTTCTGCGACAACTAAAAATGTATTCCAATATTGCCAAATGTCCCTTTTGAGTAAAACAACCTGGATTGAGAACAACTGATGTAAACCTTTTTTATCAAGGAATATGCAGCAGGCCGATGCGGCACTTCTTCCTTGAATACCTTAAAGGAACAAATCTCTTTAGTAATCTCCCAGAATGGACTTATGAATATTTTCTGACAAAATTTCTCAGATCAATCTATCACTACCTATTTTCTTGCCCAATTCTTCATATAAATAAGTTTACAAAATCCATTCCAGGCATGTAATCTCATTGAATTTCCACAACATTAAGAATTGGGTACTAATAGCCACTGGGGAGCACCAAGTGCCACAAAAAGAAAGATTTGGAAGGAGACAGGCTAGAGTTTCAGTGCTTGCACCGTTTCCTGGCTCTAAAAACTGAGGCCAATTCTTTAGCTTTGGTGCACCTCAGTTTCCCCATCTGGAATGTGGAATCATTAATACCTTGGAGTGATAATGAGAGAATAAAACAAGATGAGAGATGTAACAATGCTTCACACTAACAGAGGCTCAATTAGCTGTACCTTTGATTATTATCGCTCTGAGTCCAGAGTTTTGTGTACTACATCACAGATACATAGCAGATTTCTCAATAGTGGCAGATTTTGCCCCTGTTCTGGCCACAGACCACTTTAAGAATCTTCTAAACAAAAAAAATTTCATAAGCAACACAAGTTGTAGACAATTTCAGGGTATCCACAGGTTCCCCTGAAATGTATATTGGATCCAAGTAAAGAGTCCCTCTAACGAGAGCCTTCTAATTTCAAACATCTTTCCTTCCAATTGACTCAAGTACATTGTGCCAAATCTCCTTCCTTGCTCACTGCTTTAAAATGGAACCACCTTCTGTGGAAATAAATTGATTCCTATTTCCTCTAACCTAATGCTAGAGGAAGATGCTTGACCAACACATCATTGAAATATGTCTTTGGTTTTGTGAAATAGAAACAGGCTTTCCAATTTCCCTTCTTCAGCAGAAAAGGGGAAGAAGGGTATTTGGTAAAAAGGGATTCAGGACATCCAACATGATTATCCACTGTATTAGTTTCCTATTACTATTGTAACAAATTACCATAAACTTAGCACAAACTTATTATCTTACAGTTCTGGAGGTCAAAATGGGCTGCATTAAGCTAAAATCGAGGGGCGGGCCACACTGCATTTCCTCCTGGAAGCTCTAGGGGAGAATCTAATTTTCCTGTCTTTTTCAGCTTTTAGAGTCTGCCTGCATTCCTTGGCTCATGGCCCCTTCTATCTTCAAAGCCAGCAATGGCCAGTTGAGTCTTTCTCCCATCACATCCCTTTGGCATTCACTCTTCTCCTTCCCTTTTCCATCTTTAAGAACCCTTGAGATTACATCTCACTCATTGGGATAATCCAGGATAATCTCCCTATTTAAAGTTCAGCTGATTAGCAAAGTTAATTCCATTTGCTACCATTCTCCTTTGCCATGTAATATAGAAATATTTGCAAGCTCTGGAAAAATTAGATATCCTTAAGAGGCTACTATTCCACCTTCTAGAGTCAAACATCTTGGTCTTTAATGATATAGTAGGAATAAACCTTGTTACGAACCCTGATGAACATCTTCAGTTTACAAAAGCAAGAAGTCGGCACTATATTTTGAGTTTTCACAGTAACAATTTACTTTTAGATAGTAATGTCCCCTCCAAAAATCCATATCATCTTTAAATAGTGTCCCTCAAAAACTATTTATACTCAATTCATAATTTTTCAGCAACTTGACGTCTTCCAACTTCTGATCACTTAGGAAACTGGAGAAATTCTTTACAGCTCACTACACAAAGTTAAGATAACTCACGTGTATTTTGCAAAGAAAGTTGCAAATACAGACAGAAATACCCATGGAAACTAAATCAAGCCTGCATGAATCAGGAGGAGCTCAAAGGAAATCAATGCATTGTTGGCAAAAGAAGACAAGGCTGCTCAGAAGGAACCGTAAGGGTTACACTGCACATTCACCAGCTAGCTTGCAGCCCCATTGCTTCATGGCACCTATCTCTTGAAAGCCCCTTACTACATCCTTCAGCAAATCCAACATCCTCATCTTCCTTATTCTCCTGGATCTTTTTGGTCATTTGCTTTCGTGTTCCTCCAGTGGACTGTCTGACTTTGCCTCTGATTCTTGATCCTTCTTTTTAAACCTTGATCCCTCCATTTTTTAATTTTTAATTTTTTAGAGACAGGTTCTGTTTCCCAAGCTGGAGTGATCATAACTCACTGCAGCTTCAAACTTCTGGGCTCAAGTGATCCTCCCATCTAAGCCTCCCAAGTAGCTGGGATAAAGGCACAAACCACACCTGGCTTGATATTTCCTTTATTTAGCACCACTTACCATCATAAAAATGGCTTCCAGGTCATTATCCTAACCACGTTTAATACAAGCCCCAATGTCCTTGGCATTTATTTGGTTCTTAGTCATATTTAATCTTGTTGCTGAACCAGTCTTCAAAAAAATTATTTCATGCCTTCTTTCTCCTTGTATTAGTCCATTCTTGCATTGCTATAAAGAACTACTTAAGACTAGGTAATTTATAAAGAAAAGGTATTTCATTGGCTGTACAGGAAGCATGGCTGCAGAAACTCACAATCATGGTAGAAGGTGAAGGGGAAGCAGGCATCGTCTTCACCTGGCAGAGCAGAAGAGAAAGAGAGCAAAGGGGGGAAGTGCTACACACCATTAACCAGATCCCATGAGAACTCACTCACTATCACAAGAACTGCAAGGGGGAAGTCTGCCACCATGATCCAATCACCTCCCACCAGGCCCCTCCTCCAACTTTGAGGATTACAGTTTGACATGATATTTGGGTGGGGTCACAGAGCCAAACTATATCACTCCTTAAACCTCAAATGCCTCCTCCTCTATTCACAAACATTCTAGCCTCCTTTCTTCCCAGAGGCCTAGCAAGATTGCACTCCACAGGCCCCCTTTGAAGTTAGACGTGGCAGTGTTACTTATTTCACCAATGATACGTAGACAAAAGGTCATATATCACTTCCAGAGACAGGCTTTAAGAGCCAGAGTGCCACTTTTCTTTTTTCCAATTTTGGCAAAAGAGAGCAAAGAAAGCCTCCTAGCTCCCTGAGTAAGGTTAGAGCAAGCAGCATCCTCTAGCTGATCTACAATAGACACTTAGCATGAGAGAGAAATAAACCTTTGATGTGTTAAACTGCTGAGATACAGGAAATAAGGAGGTTGTTTGTTATTATAACATCCCAGCCTATACTTTGCTTCCTAATTTGGTGAGAAAATAGAAGCAATCAGAAGAGAACTTCTACAACCTCCCATGACCACATGTGCGACTGATTAGTCACCCTATACTCTGTCCTCCTCCAATATTTGAATGAATTCTCCATATTCCTATCTAAAGCCCATCTTTTATCTTGTACACCAGATGGGAATATTTTTCCTTACTCAAGGCCGACATTCAAATATTTCTCTTCTTTGTCTCTTACATAATCAATGTTTCCCTTTCTACTAGATCCCCTTCATCAGTAAACATACATAATATCTCCTGTTTTGAAACAATCTCTCCACTAGTTAACAGCACCCCAACCCCATCTCCAATGTGCTGTAATACTTGCTCCTATTCTCTTCGGAATTATCTCACTAGGTTCTGCTTGGCCCACTACACTGAAAACTGCTTTTGTCAGGGTAACCAATAATATTGAATTTACTAAGTCTGGAAGTCAAACCTTGGTCCTCACATTGACTTGGTTGACCATATTCCTTCCTTCTTGAAATATTTTTGTACATGGCTTCCAGGACACAACTATCCTACCTACTAATCCTCTTCCTACCTCACTGGCTGTTCCCTCTTGATCTCACAAAGCCTAAATGTTGGGGTTCAGGTCTTGGGTGTCTTTTCTTCTTCATTCACACCCTCTTGCCAGGTGACCTCATCCAGTTTCATGGTTTTACACTGTCAACTGAAGAATAACGAGGTTCATAAATTTAGAAAGGAGAGCTTTATTTTTCATAAAGAGTACTGAGTGTCAAGTATGTGCCAAGCAAGGTGTCTGCCACTGACGGAGCAATGCCCAAGCAGCGGACACCAAGGCCAAGAAGGCGAAGGCTGGACAGAAGGTCCTGAGAAAACCGTGAGAATATGGAGGAGGGGGAGGAGGAATAAGAACAGGAGGAGGAGGGGGAGGAGGAATAAGAACAGGAGGAGGAGGAAGAGGAGGGGGAGAGAGGAAGAGGGGCAGGAGGAAGAGGAAGAGGAGAAAGCGGAAGTGGGGGAGGAGGAGGAGGAGTTGGAAGGGGAGGAGGAAGAGGGGGAGCAGGAAGAGGGGCAGAAGGAAGAAGAAGAGGGGGAGGAGAAAGAGATAGAAGAGTAAGAGGAGGGGGAAGAAAGACAAGGGGAAGGGGAGGAGGAGGAGGACGGGGAGGAGCTTCGCCGCGGCCTGCTCCGCCCAGCCGGGGTCGGTGGCCGCATGGCTTCGGTCTCCTCTGCGACCTTCTCGGGCCACGGGGCTCGGTCCCTACTGCAGTTCCTGCGGCTGGTAGGGCAGCTCAAGGTGAGCGGGCACCAGGCCGGGAGGCCGCGGCCGAGCGGGCGGGACTGTGGGGCGGCGGAGCTTCCGGCCTCCCCGCTCGGCCGGCGGTCTTTGCCCTTCCTGCGCCGCGTCCGCCACGCCGAATTCCGGAAAGGCCCCAGTCCTGCGGATGCGGCCGCGCGTTGCCGACGGTGGACGGAGGAAGCAGCCGGCGGGACAGGCTGGCCAGCTGGGGCGGCCCGGAGTCTGAGCCTAGAGCCTGGCGCCGCGAGGTCCGCACTGCAGCCGCGCCAGTTCCCGGAGAGCAGCCGGCCTGGCCCTGCCTGCACTGAGCTTTTCCGGGGCTCACGACCCCAGAACTCGTGTGTGTGTGTGTGTGTGTGTGTGCTCACGACCCCAGAACTCGTGTGTGTGTGTGTGTGTGTGTAAAGCGCGGCTGCTTCTGAGCACGGGTGGGAAGAACAGAATCTGTCGGCTCCTCAGATTTTAAGTGGAGCTTTTTATGTCTGTCTCACAGTTACTTCCAGAAACAAGACTTTTCTCCCGGCCACCCCCCAAACGGGATTTAATGTAATACACACGAGTTTCATCATGTGCGTCTTCCCCGTCTCTCTCCCAAGTTCAAAGTAAATTATCCGTTTCATGCCACTCTGACTACTATTTATAACATTCCTTAGAGATGTAGAATTCTGAGGAAGAAATGCAGTTTCACAAGATGAAGTTATGATGTGAATAAAAGGAAGAGTCACGGCTGGTAGCATCAAGCAATTAGAAGTGCCCTTATCCCTTGTGCCTCAGAATTTGGAAGCCTATCACTCGTTCACGTTCAGACCCTTCAATACAGTGTTTTCTGCTTGTGTAGGATTATTTGAAGGCAAAAAGCCGCAACTCTTGTTCGGAAAAATGCAGTTTTGTTTTTGTTTAAAGGACTTGCATATGTTCCATAATTATACATCAGTAACAGAATAATTTGACGAATGGACTTTGTGACTTATCTCTCTCTGTCTTCTACCCCTTTCATTCTCTGAGCTCTCTAGTTCATTTGATTCCAGATGTCTATCATTTTAGCTAGTTTAGCAAAACATTTTGTAATAGGTTCTGAAATTATGACCCGGCTTCTGTGTGTTATATCCTGGACATCTCTTGAAGAGCATAGCAGATAGTTAATATTTGTTCTTTAAAACTTCTTTTTCTTCTTCATATTTATCAGAGAGTCCCACGAACTGGCTGGGTATACAGAAATGTCCAGAGGCCGGAGAGCGTTTCAGATCACATGTACCGGATGGCAGTTATGGCTATGGTGATCAAAGATGACCGTCTTAACAAAGACCGGTAAGCTGAGCTGGACTTTGATGCTCGTGAGAGATTCTGGTCTATGGGTGTGCACCCGTTTTTACTACTGAGACCCATGTCAAATCCTTGTAGGTTAGTTTATAGGTCAAGAAAAATTATTTGAAGCAAACCATACAAATTTAGGATGTGGGTTATGTTGCCTCAGTTGTTGTAAACTGCAATCTGGGGTTTCTGTTGGCAAGTGATAGAGCCTGCCTAGGGTATCAGGGGAAACTTAAGTGTGATATTGGGGCCTTGAAGGTGAGTGTGTTATGTCTAAAATTCTAGCATTGTATTAGTACACTGTGTGCTCTTTCCTAGTGCCTTTTATGGATAGTAGTATCCATTCGTGAGGCTTCCTTTTGGAGTTGTGTGTGCAAGACATAGCTGAGAAAGAGGTATCTTCTCCCCCTTCATTTAATCGACAAGTGTTAAAATGCTTTTTGAGCACAGAACAAAAGTTTACTAGCATGTAAGAGAGTAAATAAATCCCAAGTGAATTACGCAGGCCCAAAATAGCTTCTGTAAGAAGTGAAATGTAAGTTATGGTCGAAAATGTTAAGTATTGTAAGAGCAGGGGAGATCACCTGTTCTTGGTTGATCTTAATGGAGGAGGTGCAATCTGAGTTGAGCTCAAAAGGGTTAACGTAGCCAGAGAGGTAGGAGAAGTCACTGCATGCAGAGAGAAGGGCAGATAAACCAAAGCCCTGAGTGTAGGAAAGTAAAGGAGTATTTTGCAAATGAGAAATTAATCAACTTGACTGCAGCAAAGAGTTCATTTGGGAAGCCTGAGGAGTCCTCTGTTACTCAGCAGATGAAGTGGAACTGAGGAGGTTTTTGGCAAATGGTACAAGGTGAAAATGAAGTCCAATAGAGATGCAGTTTGGAGTAGTCTGGGATTTGAACTGGACCAGAAAGAGACTAGAGGCAGGGAAATCTCAGAGGACACTGTTGGGCCTTGTACTGCCTTGGTAGTGTGGGGAGCCTAAAACATACTGGCCCTATGGGGCATTTATCTCATTACTTGACTTCCTGTTTTGATGATGAATTATCACAACCACTATTCCTTAACCGCTAATAATCATAACCACTTATTGAATGATTCACATGTGTCAGGAACATGAAAGTTGTCAAATGTAATCTCGTTTTTTTTTGTTGAGACAGTCTCACTCTGTCGCCCAGGCTGGAGTGCAGTGGTGCAGTGTCAGCCAACTACAACCTCCACCTCCCAGATTCAAATGATTCTCCTGCCTGAGCCTCCTGAGTAGCTGGGATTACAGGTGTGTGCCACCACACCCAGCTAATTTTTGTATTTTTAGTAGAGATGGGGTTTCACCATGTTGCTAGGCTGGTCTCGAACTCCTGACCTCAGGTGATCCGCCACCTCGGCCTCCCAAAGTGCTGGTATGACAGGCGTGAGCCACCGCACCTGGCCTATTAGCCTTTTAAAGTGAGATTTCAGAGATAAACCATTTAAGAAAAAAAATTAATGCTAACAATTTCCCCTATACTCACATGTATTTTATTGAATATGAACTAACAGTTTTGATCAGAACTGTTGTAGGCTGGCAGAATATAACTACTTTAGAAAATACTACATTAAAATACTCTGTGAGGGTGGAGAAAAAATATATATATTATATAACTTTGGAAGAGTATAGAGAAGGAACTTGTAGTAAATATAATTCTGTGTAATTATTCGACATTTCTTGCCTGATCAGATGTGTACGCCTAGCCCTGGTTCATGATATGGCAGAATGCATCGTTGGGGACATAGCACCAGCAGATAACATCCCCAAAGAAGAAAAACATAGGCGAGAAGAGGTCAGTGTTGACTATTGACTGTGCAAAAAACCACCAGAAAAACCTCTTGCTGAAGCAAAGCTAAGTTTATGAGACCTGTTACAGTTAGGGAGAATACCGCCTTGATAGTCTTAGTAGTGTCTTAGGAAGGGGAAGGTCAGGGGAAGATATTTTTAGAGATTCAGGGCCTGGGCTGGAGAATATTAAGATGGATCTGACAAGTTAGGCAACTAGCTGGGATTGCACAGTTTAGGATATAATAGATTTAGATTGGTAAACATGTGAAGGAAGGTCGTAATGAGTTTTGAAGAATAAACTGTTAGTGTTGACCCAGTTTTAGGGGGTTTACAGCCTTATCTTCCAGAAGCAGGGATTTCCTGGAATAAGCAGCAGATTGGATTTTGCTTGTTGTGTTAGTCTGTTCTTTTGTAGCTTTTATAAAGAAATACCCGAGGCTAGGTAATTTTTATTTTATTTTATTTTTGTTAATTTCACCTTTTATTTTAGTTACAGGGTACATGTGTAGATTTGTTACATGGGAATATTGTGTGATGCTGAGGTTTGGAGTACAGATCCTGTCACCCTGATAGTAAGCCAATAGGTAGTTTTTTTAACCCCCCTCTCCCTCCACACTAACTTTCATTAGAATAATGAAAATAGCTGGAATTTAAATGAATTTGTAGGAATTCTCCATGCTAAATAAGCTTTTTGGAGAGAAGTTCTATAAATCACAAATCGAATCATTATTGTAATTATTATTTAGTAAATTTTAAGTTACTCCTTTAACTTAGGGGTTGAAGGTAAAGAAAAGTCAAGTATTTGTATTAGAAAGAAATGAATAACATCAATAATGTATTAAATTAACATCAGTTTGGACTCTAAACCCAAAGCCCAGGGCAAACGAGGAAGATATGTTTGAAGCAGAAGCTGGAAAATGAAGGAAGCCTTTTTTGAATGCTGAGTGGTTGGTTTTCAATTCAAGAGTTATTGCTAGCTACTTTTATTAGAGGCCTAAGAGATTGGTCCTAAATTGCTGAGTAGTAGGAGTCTTTATTGAGATGGTTTAACAGGGCAAGTGTGTTTAAATGTCTATTCTCAGAGCTGGGGAGACTGGAGCTTGTGGGGGAAAAGAAAGAGACATCAGACTGTTACTGTGTCTTTGTAGAAAAGGAAGACATAAGAAACTCCATTTTGATCTGTACACCTGTAGACTAACGGGCTCAGTAGCCAGCAGGATTTTTGCCCTTCAAAGGTAAGAAGAGCCACAAGGAACGAGAGTCCCAGTTTAAGAGTTCCAACCTACCCAAAAGTGTAGGCACAAGGGGAATAGTATAAGGAATGTGTTCTTCCTGCCAAAGTTTAGGTCCAAGATACAGGCTGACCAAGACAGGAAAAGGGGAGGAGTCTAAGGAAATGTTTCTCTATATGAATCTGCACTGCCATGAATAAAGAACTGTTCTGTTGACTGGCAGAATTAATATAAAAAGAAACCAATTAGTTCGAGATTCTTAGTTGCAGAAAGGAATTAGCAGCTGAACCAGAGGATGGTGAGTAATGAAGTATAACACAGAGGGAAAGGAAGGGAAAAAAATTCCTCAATTACACAGCTCATTGTAGGATAGTTTTATTCAAGGGTAAATCTGGACATTGTGGACGAGAAATCATATTCTAAAGTACCAGTGAGTCATTGAAGACCTTAAGGTGAAGAGAAGGCAAGGAAAAATGGGGCCTAGAGGAAAAAGACAGACTTCCCTCTGGAAGCACACAGTGAATTTGAGATTCACTCCGCAGAGGAGCAAGTCAAAACCTTCTGGAGAAGAACCAGTCAGTGTGAACCATCTCCAACAACTGGAAGTGAGGAGGACCTACGACTGTCCCTACAAGAGCTGAGTCCTGGCTGGTGACACCCCATGGACAGGCACAGAGGGGACCTGAGCAATCAGAGAGGATACTGCTGCCTTCTAGGATGCTATATCCTGGCTTTGATGAAAAACCTTTCCAGCCTCATTAAACCTCCTGACTGCTGCCCACTCCTGCTGATTCACAGGGGAATAAATGTCATAAGCAGAAGGCAATGGGGAAACATCTTAAAGAACCACAAGTTCTTGGACAAGAAACCAAAGGCTTGGAGAGCACTGATGTTCTATTGCCTCTTCCTGCTGCTGGTCAGGATTTGGGAAGAGAGAAGAAAATCAGGGAGGTGAACAATTCTTTATGCAGATGGTGTTTATGAACAAGATTTGGATGTCTGAACCATGCATTAAGATAATTAAATGAGGGTTTCTTGGCTCTGAGTGGAATTTGCCTAATGAGAACCAGGAAACCTCATTTGCCCTTGCTGGCTACATCAGTGAGCCTCTAAACTAAAGTAGGAGGGAGAAAAAATACAGTGGTCCCTCAGTATCTATGGGGTATTGGTTCCAGGACCCCCATAGATAACCAAATCTGCAGATGCTGAAGATAAAATGGTGTCGTATTTGTATATCACCTGCACATACCCTTCCATATACTTTGTCATCTCTGTATTACTTATGATACCTAATATAATGCAAATGCTATGTAAATAGTTGATAACACTGTATTGTTTTTTATTTGTATCTTTTTTTTTAATTTTTTTTTTTATCTATGGTTGGTTGAATCCGTTAATGCAAAACCCACAGATATGGAGGACCAACTATACTTGATAAACCTGGAAGGCTGATTGTTTTGGAGAAAAGTAGGTATTAAGATGAAAGGGAGAATGAGGGCATAGAAGAAACAAATTTAGAAAGGAGCCAAAAGCAATACTTGTAGTCTGGCCTCATTCCTAAACATATTAACATACACTTGATATTATGCAGGTTGATAATGCAGGTTGATAAATGATGTCTGATAAGGATCACTGTGATCTAGTGAGGTGGAACTTGAAGCTGGAATATAATGGTGGCAGGTCATATTCCTTTGCAAAGGGGAAACCTTATTGAAACAGAGGGCAGAGTCGTGGTATGCCTGTGTCTGGGAGGGTTAAAGTTGCTAAAGAACTTGGAGATTACAAAGAGAATGGAACTTTATCATAGAGTAAGTATGACAAGAAGGAGAAAATGAAAAACACAGCAAACATTTATAGAGTGCTTATTATGTGGCAGATTTATAAAGTGCTTATTATGTGCCAATAATAAGCACTTTATATGTGTATTAACTGTTTAATCCCTATGATCCCTTTAGGTAGGTACCAATATTTAACCCCACTGTGTAGATGAGAAACCTGAAGGACAAAGAGGTCAAATGACTTGCTCAGGGTTCCACAGCTAGTATTAATAAATGGCGAGCCGGGTTTGAAACCCAGTCTGGATCTGGTCTTCAGTTGACTACTACACTCTTCAGCCTCATCAGTGTCTGAATGATGAATAATACCTTCCAGTTACTTGTCACAAAACTGACACAAAATATTTGCTGAAAGCTTCATTCAGCTCGGCACTTTAGGCAGATTTTTGACATATTTTGCTAACAGAGGAAGAGGCTAGGGAAGCTGTCACTCTAAATCTATGACTGAACAACAAGGTGAAACTCAGTATAGAAGTGGAAGTGTCAGGGCTCATCGCTTGCCAGGAAGGGAAAGGCTGGCATACTCAGCTGTGTACCCTGGACCTCAGCCATGTTGATTTCAGAGGGTTCAATTAAAAAGGCATGATTCTGGCATGTGCTGCCAAACAAAGAATATTAACTCTCTACAAGGTTTCAAAAATGCTATTCTGATTGTGTGATTAACAAATATCAATCAGCCTAGATTCAGAAAATCATAGTTCAGTTTCAGGAAGAGAGCAACAACGTATTTGCTGTTTTGTTTTTTAAAGAATATGGTGATTTTGAACAAAAAGAAGCCTATTAATAACTTAGTAATTGGATGTGATCACCAAAAAGCCAATTCAGTCTTACACTGCACTTAAAGGAATATAGTATCTAGCATGAGGAAGGTGATGATTCCATTTTCTTCCACCTTGGTCAGATCATACATATATCACTGTATTCAGTTCTAGGTGTGTCATTTTAAAGAGAATAAAATAGTCTCCTGTCAGAGCAGGACTTTCATGTTTGCATTCTACAGTTGAGATGTTCATATACCTGTATGTACATATGATTTAGTTCATTCTTTTCAACTGGAAGTAATTGGCAAACTTGTGTTTCTGCAATAGTGTAGAGAAAAGGAATCTATAAAGACACAGTTAATTTGTGAAAATATAAAGTATTTTCTCAAGTATTCTTGCTGAAATTTATGAAAAAGAAACAAGGGAGAATGCATGTACAACATAAGCTAAATTCCTTCCTACTAAGGGTAGTGTGATGCTACCACTCTGTAACTGAACAAGCCATTCAAGATGGTGATGTTATTTATAAGAGTGGATTGTTGACATTGGCAAATGTGGTTTGCTCTGGAAGTGGTTGTATTCTGTAACATTTTTTTTCTCCCAGTAATAAATAAATATACACACAAATGTCCAATTTTATTTTCACTGCTTTCCTGCAACTCACTATTTTATTTTATGTAAGACCTTTATATTGCCAAAAATGGTTTTTATAGCCATATTCCGTTCAAAGAGCCTAACCTCTGTGGTTAGAAGAACTGAGGCTGATTAAAAGGTATGGGATGAAGGTGGTGAAGGAATTTGAAGCTTTTTGAGAGTACTGGAGTAATTCAGAAATAAAGGAAGGATACTGGAGTAACTCATAAATAAAGGAGAAGACTGGAGGATAAGGGTAGCTCCTGGGATCTTTGAGACCAGAAAGTACAGAAAGCCTAGAAGTACAGGACACCCTCTACTCTTATTTTGTCTCTGCTTTTCATTAGGTTTTGGCTAACTCTCAACGCTTCTCCTTGTGGTGGGGAATATGGCTTCTCTCCTAGCCTCTGCTTGACAAATGCAGATGGCCCCTGAATGCCTGGTTTGAATTATAAGATTATCTCTTAGACCAGTCACTGTGGCCACAGATAGTCCAGCCCAGCGGGGTCACTGTCCACCTGTTTGACGTTGTGTTTGTGGGTTAGAGAGGAAAGCAGGAGGGATGGGTTAGGTGTGGTAGAAGAACTACAGGGAAAATTTTCAGCTTGATATAAGAAAATAATTTCTGCCAGTACTGTCTAAGGCAGCCTCTTGAGGTACTAGGCTCCCTACCAATGCACACATTTTTGGAAAGAGGATAGAACTGTTCCATGATGCTATTGAAGGGTTCAGATACTACATGGATGGTTTAGCTAATTGCCGTTTAATATCCCTTTTCAGCCTGTGAGTCTGTGAGCCTACAAAATTCTATCATGTAACTTCGTTTATGTTAATGGCAATAATCGCTCATTTGTATTGTACTTTACATCTTGCAATAAAAACATGTTAACAATAGAAAATGAATATACAAAAAATCTCTTTGAGCTTTGTAATTCAGTATTCCTTTCCCATTCTCCCCACTCAGGTTTGTTTTGAACTCTCATATGCTTATGATTGAAATGTATGTGGGTATGTTGTGATTTATCCACAGATGTAAAATCCTTGAACACCTCTGATATTTCTGTAATTGTCTCATGACCTCCTCATTGTCCTTTTCTATGTCTGTTGTGTTGTAGACCACAAAAGAGGTGCTAAGCGAAGCCCATATGAATGATTACACTTATTTATTTAAGGTATACAACTGCCTGCCTTCCTCACAAGCTATAAATATTGTCCAGTATAGGCCAATTTACTCTGCTGCCCCTGTGAGAGTTGTTTGTAAGAATCCGAACCTATTTGTCTGTTGCAGAGTGGTTGTTAACTGTGATAAATGTCAATATAATTAAAGATAATGGTTTAATATTTCAGGAAGCTATGAAGCAGATAACCCAGCTCCTACCAGAGGACCTCAGAAAGGAGCTCTATGAACTTTGGGAAGTAAGTATATATGGTACGTTACTGTTTTTAATTTGTATCTGAATTTATATGGCTCCCTGATGTTGTACTTGACTTAGATGATCTTAACAAGCGGTCCCTAACTTATTACTGTCTGGTTTGTGTCTGTTTCTCACTTCCCAGCTGCTGCAGAAATTTCTCCTGATGGATAGAAATTTTGTATCTCTCCAAGTTCCCCATTTCCCTCGCCACCCCAACTCCTGGCACTTGACTCAGCCCTTGAGTTCTTGCTGCTTTGCCCACACCCACCCATTTTTGGTCCTTGAAAAGAACATGGACTTGGGGATAGTTCAGAGCTGGGATTGAATCCCACCTCTCCACTTTGAGGTTCTGTGACCTCGGCACGTTTCCCTCACTGAGTCTGTTGCTCATCTGTAAGACCCTGGAGGGTTGCTAGGGTTGGATGAGGTCAAGGTGAAGTGCCACAGAGATGCCTGGCATGGAACAGGGCTCTACCAGTGCTCACTCCCTTCCCAGTGCTGCTCCCTTCCCAGTGCTGCTGACAGTGAAGGGAGGTTAGGCTGGAAGGAAAGGGCAGGTTCAGCTGTTGTTTCCCATTGCTTCCCTCTTCTACTGTTGTCTTTCATTTGTGAAGGGAAAAAAAAATTCCCCTTTCCAATTACAGTTTCTCTCTTCCAGCCAGTCCACAATGGCCCTTCCTTGCTTGAGCCCTAAGCCTCCCCTTATTCATAGATAGCCTTTTCCTCCCACTCTCACTTTTCACATCTTCTTCAAAGTCCATATTCATCCTCCTGTCTTAAAGCTTGATCTTCTACCTTCCCTTTCTACTTCCTTACTCAGGCCCCTTCCTGCTTTGCCTCTGCCAAAGCTGGCAGAGTTTCATGTCTTACTCCCTCATGTGCTGGGTCAGGTTGTCCCTTGTCTTAGGAGTGTGAGGGGAAGTGCCCAGGGTTGAAACCCTGCACAACTCCTTCTAGAAATGCCATGTAACGCTCAGATTCTGTATGGCACTGTCATTTTCTGTGGTTTGGGTTGATGGTGGGATGAAATAGCCATTTTAAGGCATTCAGGTGTGGTGCAAAGACCAGAGCCTTGCAGCCAGAGAGACCTGAGTTTGGATCCAACTCCTATTTACACACCCATGTGTGAGTTACTTGACTCTATTTAACCACATTTTCTCCTCTAGAAA
Organism: Homo sapiens; assembly: GCF_000001405.40. Lineage (NCBI taxonomy): Eukaryota > Metazoa > Chordata > Mammalia > Primates > Hominidae > Homo > Homo sapiens. Next base: position 125,291,672 of record NC_000006.12, on the reverse strand, counting down.
ATGAGAATCATACAGGTTCCCACACCCTTATCCCCAGTTATGAAATTCAGAAACCTCAGAGGACCAGTTTTTAGGAAATTTGACCTGACCTGAACTCATTAGGCAGCAAATCTTACCTGAAACAACATCAGGCTATTTAGAGTCCTCATCCATCTCTCTTGGTGTGGAAATGGGTATGCTTTGATGCAGAAATCTTCATCCGGCAACTGAGTGCTGTCCCAGACCTCACTAGAGGCATGACTTAGTGTACACCATATGTACCATATTATTTTTCTAAAATAAGGAAATGCTGAAAGCCAAAAGCTCTGGCCCCAGGGTTTAAGATGAGAGATTATAGGCCTTCAATACCTATCTCGTTGAATAATCATGAAAATTAAACCTGGCAAAGTATGTGTAGTATCTAGCTTGGAGCCTGGCTCAGACAGTACCTGTTACTACCCTGTTACTACACTTTAGAAAAGTGTGCCTCGTCTCAAAGTATATACTTTCAAATGAACTTTCAGAACACTCCTTATATGTTGGGAAATAATGGAGTGGAGTTAGGTTGCATCTCATTCATAAAAGAAAAAACAGTAGCACCTCATGTATTGTCGCCTAAGGGGGAAACACTCTTGTATTATTAATTTGAAAAACTTCTACAATAGTTTGTACCTTTGTGCCTAATTATTGTAGACATGGTGGCAGTTATCTATTAAATTATTTTCTTAGCCATCAGTAACTGGTGAAAAACTTTACTGCAAAATTTACTTGCAGTAGTATCTTCCAAAGATAAATGCTACAAAAGCTATTTAGAACGGCTTTGAATTTGAACAAATATAAAACAGAGAATTAAAACACTTGATAACCCCTAAAGAGGTAATAAGTTTACTATCTTATAAATGTCATTGGTTGAATTAATGAAGCCTGATAAAGATTTCTCTCCAAAAGCAAAAGGAGGATTCTTCCTTGCCTCTTTCTAGCTTTTGGTTATTGCAGTCCTTGGTTCGCAGACACATCACTCCAGTCTCTTCCCTGTAGTCACATGGTATTGGCCCTACGTCAGAACCCATGTCCAAATTTCTCTCTATTGAATAAGGGTCCGCTCTCATCAAGTAAGACCACGTCTTAACTTGATCACTTCTGTCGAGACCCTATTTCCAAATAGGGTCACATTCACAGGTCACATTTACAGGTTGTAGGCGGACATAAATTTTTCAACATAGTATTCAACACAGTACAAGTTTCTGTAATAATTTATGCATTTTATACTTCATGTCTAATGTTGGTACATAAGTTTCAGACTTCCAAGGTTCAAATAGTGGCTCCCCTGTTTACTAGCTGTGAGATCTTGAGCAATTAATCTCTCTGTGCCTCAATTTCCTCATCTGTAAAATGGCAATAATTATAGGGTTGTAGGAATTAAAGTAATTAATATACATAAAGCAATGAGGATACTGCCTGGCACATAGTAAGCTCTATTTTTCTCTGTCTCCAGTCCATGTATCGTGGTTTTTGGTTTAAGAAAGTAGGGTCATTCTGTACTCACTGAGCTTAGAATAGCATTAGTTACATAGAAAATGACAGTTGATTGGTTTTAGAAATGCTAATTACAACTATTTATCACTTTAAAATATTTCTTAGCCCAGAGGATCACATCTATTTGCAGCCATTAAACATCCTTGATTATAATTTATCTTTTATCATAAAAAGTGAAATCACATTTCACCCAGCCAAGAAAAAACATTTTTATTTTATTTTTCTGAAAGTATCACAGAAAGATGTCTTCTCCACCACCTGCATTTTGCCTTAAAGAAATGTCCTTTTGAGCCCCAAGGCGTGAGGGGAGCCTCTCCTGCATGTGAAATGCCTAGTACACCCCACCGTCCTTGGATTGTTTCTAACCCCAAGTTTTCTCTCCACATTGTCAGAAGTTCAGTCAATTGGAGATACAGTTAGGTTAACAAGTACCCTTTTAAAAATGTCTCCCCCCAATTCATTCTTCAAAGTACAGGTGGGGCTTGATGTAGAGCAGCATAAGGACCCCAGAACCCTGGAGGGAGAGTCACTAGGAGGTTGGAGAGGGGAAGATGCAAAAGATAAACTTCCAAGAGATCAGCACTTCACTCAGGGCCAACCTTTTCCCCAGGAAGAAGGAAATGTTTTTTTTTTGTTTTTTTTGTTTTGTTTTGTTTTTTTTAATTTTTTTTTTTTTATTATACTCTAAGTTTTAGGGTACATGTGCACATTGTGCAGGTTAGTTACATATGTATACATGTGCCATGCTGGTGCGCTGCACCCACTAATGTGTCATCTAGCATTAGGTATATCTCCCAATGCTATCCCTCCCCCCTCCCCCGACCCCACCACAGTCCCCAGAGTGTGATATTCCCCTTCCTGTGTCCAAGTGATCTCATTGTTCAATTCCCACCTATGAGTGAGAATATGCAGTGTTTGGTTTTTTGTTCTTGCGATAGTTTACTGAGAATGATGGTTTCCAGTTTCATCCATGTCCCTACAAAGGACATGAACTCATCATTTTTTATGGCTGCATAGTATTCCATGGTGTATATGTGCCACATTTTCTTAATCTAGTCTATCATTGTTGGACATTTGGGTTGGTTCCAAGTCTTTGCTATTGTGAATAGTGCCGCAATAAACATACGTGTGCATGTGTCTTTATAGCAGCATGATTTATAGTCCTTTGGGTATATACCCAGTAATGGGATGGCTGGGTCAAATGGTATTTCTAGTTCTAGATCCCTGAGGAATGGCCACACTGACTTCCACAATGGTTGAACTAGTTTACAGTCCCACCAACAGTGTAAAAGTGTTCCTATTTCTCCACATCCTCTCCAGCACCTGTTGTTTCCTGACTTTTTAATGATTGCCATTCTAACTGGTGTGAGATGATATCTCATAGTGGTTTTGATTTGCATTTCTCTGATGGCCAGTGATGATGAACATTTCTTCATGTGTTTTTTGGCTGCATAAGTGTCTTCTTTTGAGAAGTGTCTGTTCATGTCCTTCGCCCACTTTTTGATGGGGTTGTTTGTTTTTTTCTTGTAAATTTGTTTGAGTTCATTGTAGATTCTGGATATTAGCCCTTTGTCAGATGAGTAGGTTGCGAAATGTTTAATCTTCCTGTTTTCCTTTCCTCTGCCTATTTAGTCCTCCATTTTCAGGACCTAGAATTTGAATCTCCATCCTGCTTGGACTCCTTGTCCCTCTGTTGCTCTTTGAAACCCCAGTCTGAGTCCTCTCCTGTCCTACCAGAAGGCTGCGAAACACTGATTCAGAGACTCTGTGCCGTGGGGACTGGGGTCACAGCCGCCCTGGCCACCAGGCTCTGCAGAGCCTCAGGGCTGCCAGCACCCCATCAGTGGGCCTCGGGTCACCTCCCTGCCCCTTTCTCCCCCTCCCCTGTCTGTGCCCCACATCAGCTGTTCAGCCCTCTCTTCAAGCATCTATCTTGTCACTTCTCCCCTGATTTTATAGCAAGTATTCTTGCCTCTTCCTTCTTTGAGAACATAGACACTGTCAGATAGGAAGTTCTCCAGCTTTTTAGAAGCCTTGCAAATATGTTCACCAACCCTATTTCAGAATAATTTTCCCTGAATGCCACATTTCCCTACTTCTCTTCAGCACTAAACAGGTGAGGAGTTCGCTGCACTCCCCAACTCTACTTCCTCACAGCCACCATGCTGTGACTGACAGGCCCACCAGGCACTGCTCTTGCTAAGGTCACAGCCGGCCTTCGGCCTTCGTGTGGGTGTGGCTGGATCCGGCAACCCCGCTCTGCCTGTGTGCTGCCTGACACTGTGGCGGCATGAGGTGTTGCCACTCTCCTGCTGAAAACCTCATCCCTCCGGTTGTGACATTGCCCTCTCCTGGTTTTCTCTGAGCCTTTCTGGCTGTTTCTTTTTTCAAATGTTCCCCTCCTTCAACCTACATCTTCAGAACCTGTGTCTTCCTCTCGGGGCCATGTCCTCGGCCTTCTTTTCTCTCCACACCCCTCCTGTGCTTCAGCGATCATGTGCTGATTGCTCCATACATTCTCCTGAAAAACCTTCCTCCGAAGCCCCAGACATGTAAATCCAGCAGCCTCCTGAACAGTTACACCTAATTGTCCACAGGAACCTCGACTCAACAGCCTCATGCCTGTGCCAGTTCTCTTCTGCCATTTTTATTATTTTTAAAGCCTTTTATTGAGAAATAAAATACTCAAAACCATGCAAAAGGCCAAGAGTAGCATAATGAGTTATTAGAAAGATAACTTTCTTCTAACTACAACTCAGGTAAAGATTTAGAACTTTTTCATTCACCCCAGAAGCCCTTCTCTTTGCCCCAATCGAAACACCCTCCCCCAACAAAAGTTACCACTACCCTGATTTTCACAGACATCACTAGAATGTCTTTAAGGTTTAATCACTTAACTATTCATTTCTAGATATTTTAGTTTAATCATGCTCACTTTTTTTAAAGCTTAATGTCTTTTAAATCTCCTTTAATCTACGGTCTGCCCCTCCATTTCTTTCTTTTTCTTATAATTTACCTGTTGAATCCAGACCATTTGACCTATAGAGTTTCCCATAGTTTCCCAGTTGCACACTTGTGGTGCAGGTCACGTTCCTCTGTTCTCTTATTTTATACAGATTGGCAGCTAGTTCCACAGGCTAGATCACACTCAGGTTGGAACCTTTTGGCAAAACTATGGGGGCATATTGGGTTCTTTTGTCATGCACCACATAATGACTAGTTTTTCTTCACGCTTATATCCCTTAATACTTTGGGGCTTCAGAATGGTAATATTCTAATATTTTATTTTTGTTTTTATTTATTAGCTGAAATAATTTTGTGCTTCACTCTCATCTACTCTGATTACAGTTCACATAGGAAAAGGGGGGTAAATATGCTTCTTCGATAGCAGAAATGGCAGGGCGTTCCAGCTTCATCTTGAACATGTTCCACCCTGACCTCCTGTTTTGTTTTTTGTTTGTTTATTTTAAAATAGAAAATGGTATTCCAAGACCACATAATGAGCATTATGGATGGTCATTGCACATATAATACCTTGTGAGTTCATACTGATGTTTTCAATTCAAATTCAGTACTACAGAGTTTTTACTTAACCACTTCTCTATTGTGGTGCGTATCCTTTTTTCCACAACAGGAATCCTGGCTACGTAGTACAGAGAAGATGCTAGCATTAGAAAGTTCTATAAATACTCATTTGCTTTATCCCTCTTTACACATGAAGCAGTCTCAGAATGACAGTTGTATATACCACCATCATTAATTCTGATTACTGAAAACAATTTTAAAAATGGTTTTGCCTGTACTATCCGAGTTATTGTATTTTTTTGAATAGTTGGACTATATCTACATTGTTAAAACATTTCACCATTTCACACTATGACCTTTTCCTTTTAACTGCATTTGGTTTTACTTCTACAAGTAACCATATAGTTATGTTTATCACCAGTCCTTATGTCAGTTTCTCAACAGTTTTGTTTTTCTGAGACTTGTTGCCTAGTAGGTTCCTCATGAATGCCTCACAGAACAGTATTCCTTCTTCTTGCATGTTATTAATAGTTTCTCTGTGTTCTTTATACTTGAAAGTCAGTTTCACTGCATGTAAAATCCTTGTTCCCAGTTTCTTTTCTTGAATATCTTAAATCAGATTATTTATATCAAAATGGAACAGATTTAAGATTTAAGGTCCCGGGATCCTTATATTGCTCTACATCAAGCCCCAACTGTACTTTGAGGGACAGATGGGGAGAGACATTTTTAAAAGGGTACTTGTTAAGCCAACTGTATCTCCAGTTGACTGAACTTCTGACAATGTGGAGAAGCTGTTGAAGTCTGATCATAATTTTATTTTCCTTAAATGCCAGATACTCTTTTTACGTGGGTGTCCAAAGGATTTTTTTTCTTTTAAGTCTGGTAATTTTATTAGAATGTATCTTCATGTTGCTTATTCTGGGTTAATATCCTTAGGTATTTAGCATGAATTTTCAATATATACTCTGAATTTTTTTTTTAATTTAATTTTAAGGTTTTCTTGAGGTATAGTTTTCCTTTTGCTTTGCTATTCTTTTTTCTGGGACTCTTCTGTATCTGTATGTTGGTTCTTCTTTGCCTGTCTTCACTATTTGTCACCTTATCTCAAACTCTTTATATCATCTTCATTTCTGCTCAACTTTTAAACTTTCCATTTCTATTTCTCTTAAGGCATTATTTATCATATTTAATTACCCTTGTGTTCCTTGTGTACCCTTGCGTTCCTTATTGCTTAGTTTCTAAAACAACCTTTTATCTTACATTTCACTGTTCTTATATTGTTCTTCTATGTCTTATATCATTTTCTTTTCTTTTTTTTTATACTTTAAGTTCTGGGATACATGTGCAGAACGTGCAGGTTTGTTACCTAGGTATACATGTGGCATGGTGGTTTGCTGCACCCATCAACCTGTCATCTACATTAGGTATTTCTCCTAATGCTATCCCTCCCCTTGCCCCCCACCCCCCGACAGGCCCCAGTGTGTGATGTTCCCCTCCCTGTGCCCGTATGTTCTCATTGTTCCACTCCCACTTATGAGTGAGAACATATGGTGGTTGGTTTTCTGTTCCTGTGTTAGTTTGCTGAGAATGATGGTTTCCAGCTTCATCCATGTCCCTGCAAAGTATATGAACTCATTCTTTTTTATGCGTTCATAGTATTCCATGGTGTATATGTACCACATTTTCTTTTTCCAGTCTAACATTGATGGGCATTTGGGTTGGTTCCAAGTCTTTGCTATAGTGAATAGTGCCCCATTAAACATACGTGTGCATGTGTCTTTATAGCAGAATGATTTATAATCCTTTGGGTGTATACCCGGTAATGGGATTGCTGGGTCAAATGGTATTTCTAGTTCTAGATCCTTGAGGAATCGTCACATTGTCTTCCACAGTGGTTGAACTAATTTGCACTCCCACCAACAGTGTAGAAGCATTCCTATTTCTCCACATCCTCTCCAGCATCTGTTGTTTCCTGACTTTTTAATGATTGCCATTCTAACTGGCGTGAGATGGTATCTCATTGTGGTTTTCATTTGCATTTCTCTAATGACCAGTGATAATGAGCTTTTTTTCATATGTTTGTTGGTCACATAAATGTCTTCTTTTGAAAAGTGTCTGTTCATATCCTTTGCCCACTTTTTGATGGGGTTATTTGTTTTTTTCTTGTAAATTTGGTAAAGTTCCTGGTAGATTCTGGATATTAGCCCTTTGTCAGATGGATAGATTGCAGAAATTTTCTCCCATTCTGTAGGTTGCCTGTTCACTCTGATGATAGTTTCTTTTGCTGTGCAGAAGCTCTTTAGTTTAATTAGATCCCATTTGTCAATTTTGGCTTTTGTTGCAATTGCTTTTGGTATTTTAGTCATGAAGTCTTTGCCTATGCTTATGTCCTGAATGGTATTGCCTAGGTTTTCTTCTAGGGTTTTTATGGTTTTAGGTCTTACGTTTAAATCTTTAATCCATCTTGAGTTAATTTTTGTATAAGGTGTAAGGAAAGGGTCCAGTTTCAGTTTTCTGCATATGACTAGCCAGTTTTCCCATTTATTAAATAGGGAATCCTTTCCCCATTTCTTGTTTTTTGTCAGGTTTGTCAAAGATCAGATGGTTGTAAGTGTGTGTGTTGTTATTTCTGAGGCCTCTGTTCTCTTCCATTGGTCTATATATCTGTTTTGGTACCAGTACCATGCTGTTTTGGTTACTATAGAATTGTAGTATAGTTTGAAGTCAGGTAGTGTGATGCCTTCAGTTTTGTTCTTTTTGGTTAGGATTGTGTTGGCTATGTGGGCTCTTTTTTGGTTCCATATGAAATTTAAAGTAGTTTTTTTCTAATTCTGTGGAGAAAGTCAGTGGTAGCTTAATAGGAATAGCATTGAATATATAAATTACTTTGGGCAGTATGGCCATTTTCACGATATTGATTCTTCCTATCTATGAGCATGGAATGTTTTTCCATTTGTTTGTGTCCTCTTATTTCCTTGAGCAGTGGTTTGTAGTTCTCCTTGAAGAGGTCCTTCACATTCCTTGTAAGTTATATTCCTAGGTATTTTATTCTCTTTCTAGCAATTGTAAATGAGAGTTTGCTCATGATTTGGCTTTCTGTTTGTCTATTATTGGTGTATAGGAATGCTTGTGATTTTTGCACATTGATTTTGTATCCTGAGGCTTTGCTGAAGTTGCTTATCACCTTAAGGAGTTTTGGGGCTGAGACAATGGGGTTTTCTAAATATATAATCATGACATCTGCAAACAGAGGTAATTTGACTTCCTCTCTTCCTATTTGAATACTCTTTATTTCTTTCTCTTGCCTGATTGCCCTGGCCAGAACTTCCAATAACATGTTGAATAGGAGTGGTGAGAGAGGGCATCCTTGTCTTGTGCCGGTTTTCAAAGGGAATGATTCCAGCTTTTGCCCATCCAGTATGATATTGGCTGTGGGTTTGTCATAAATAGCTCTTATTATTTTGAGATATGTTCCATCAGTACCTAGTTTATTGAGAGTCTTTAGCATGAAGAGGTGTTGAATTTTATCGAAGGCCTTTTCTGTATCTTTTGAGATAATCATGTGATTTTTGTCATTGGTTCTGTTTATGTGATGGATTATGTTTATTGATTTGCATATGTTAAACCAGCCTTGCATCCCAAAGATGAAGCCTATATTTAGGATAGTTAGCTCTTCTTGTTGCATTCATCCCTTTACCATTATGTAATGCCCTTCTTTGTCTTTTCTTTATATTTGTTGGTTTAAAGTCTGTTTTATCAGAGACTAGGATTGCAACCCTGCTTTTTTTTGCTTCCCATTTGCTTGGTAAATCTTCCTCCATCCATTTATTTTGAGCCTGTGTGTGTCTTCGCACGTAAGATGGGTCTCCTGAATATAGCACACTAATGGGTCTTGACTCTATCCAATTTGCCAGTCTGTGCCTTTTAATTGGGGCATTTAGCCCATTTACATTTAAGGTTAGTATTGTTACATGTGAATTTGATCCTGTCATTATGATGCTAGCTGGTCATTTTGCCCATTAGTTGATGCAGTTTCTTTATAGTGTCGATGTTCTTTGCATTTTGGTTTGTTTTCACAGTGGCTGATACTGGTTTTTCCTTTCCATATTTAGTGCTTCCTTCAGGAGCTCTTGTAAGGCAGGCCTGGTGGTGACAGAATTCCTCAGCATTTGCTTCTATGTAAAAGATTTTATTTCTCCTTCACTTATGAAGCTTAGTTTGGCTGGTTATGAAATTCTGAGTTGAAAATCTTTTCTTTTTTCTTTTTTCTTTTTTTTTTTTTGAGATGGAGTCTGGCTGTTATTGGCCTGGGCTGGAGTGCAATGGCATACTCTCGGCTCACTGCAACCTCCGCTTCCCGGGTTCCAGCAATTCTCCTGCCTCAACCTCCCGAGTAGCTGAGACTATAGGCGCCCGCCACCATGCCTGCCTAATTTTTGTATTTTTAGTAGAGACAGGGTTTCACCATGTTGGCCAGGCTGGTCTCGAACTCCTGACCTCAGATGATCTGCCCGCCTGGGCCTCCCAAAGTGTTTGGATTACAGGCATGAGCCACCGTGCCCAGCCCTTTTTTAAAGAATGTTGAGTATTGGCCCCCACTCTCTTCTGGCTTGTAGGATTTCTGTAGAGAGATCTGCTGTTAGTCTGATGGGCTTCCCTTTGTGGGTAACCCGACCTTTCTCTCTGGTTGCCCTTAACATTTTTTCCTCTATTTCTACCTTGGTGAATCTGCTGATTATGTGTCTTGGGGTTGCTCTTCTTGAGGAGTATTTTTGTGGTGTTCTCTGTATTTCCTGAATTTGAATGCTGGCCTATCTTGCTAGGTTGGGGAAGTTCTCCTGGATAATATCCTGAAGTGTGTTTACCAACTTGGTTCCATTCTCCCCATCACTTTTTGGTACGCCAGTCAAACATTTGGTCTTTTCACATAGTCCCATATTTCTTGGAGGCTTTGTTCGTTCTTTTTCATTCTGTTTAATCTTGTCTTCACACTTTATTTCATTAAATTGATCTTCAGTCTCTGGTATGCTTTCTTCCCCTTGATTGATTTGGCTACTGATAGTTGTGTGTGCTTCACGAAGTTCTCATGCTGTGTTTTTCAACTCCATCAGGTCATTTTTGCTCTTTTCTAAACTGTTTATTCTGGTTAGCAATTCCTCTAACCTTTTATCAAGATTCTTAGCTTCCTTGCATTGGGTTAGAACATGCTCATTTAGCTCAGAGGAGTTTGTTGTTACCCACCTTCTGAATCCTACTTCTGTCAATTTGTCCAACTCATTCTCCCTCCAGTTTTGTTCCCTTGCTGGTAAGGAATTGTGATTCTTTGTAGGAGAAGGGGCATTCTATTTTTTTGAATTTTCAGCCTTTTTGCGCTGTTTTTTCCTCATCTTTGTGGATTTATCTACCTTTGGTCTTTGCTGTTGGTGACCTTTGGATGGAGTTTTTGTGTGGTTGTCCTTTCTGTTGATGTTGATGCTATTGCTTTCTGTTTCTTAGTTTTCCTTCTAACAGTCAGGCCCCTCTTCTGCAGGTCTGCTGGCGTTTGCTGAGGGTCCACTCCAGACCCTGTTTGCCTGAGTATCACCAGCAGAGGCTGCAGAACAGCAAAGATTGCTGCCTGTTCCTTCCTCTAGAAGCTTCGTCCCAGAGGGGCACCCCCTAGATGCTAGCCAGAGCTCTCCTGTATGAGATGTCTGTCGACCCCTGCTGGGAGGTGTCTCCCAGTCAGGAAGCATGGAGGTCAGGGAGAGAGTCTGTCCCTTAGCAGAGCTTGAGCACTGTGCTAGGAGATCTGCTGCTGTCTTCAGAGCCGGCAGGCAGGAACATTTAAGTGTACTGAAGCTGCACCCACAGCTGCCCCTTCCCTCAGGTGCTCTGTCTCAAGGAGATGGGAGTTTTATCTATAAGCCCCTGATTAGGGCCACGGCCTTTCTTTCAGAGATGCTCTGCCCAGAGAGGAGGAATTTGGGAGGTAGTCTTGCTACGGCGGCTTTGCAGCGATGTGGTGGGCTCCGCCCAGTTGGAACTTCCAGCAGCTTTGTTTACACTCAAGCCTCAGAAATGGCGGACGCCCCTCCCCCTACCAAGCTCGAGTGTCCCAGGTTGACTTCACACTGCTGTGCTGGCTGCCAGAATTTCAAGCCAGTGGATCTTAGCTTGCTGGGCTCTGTGGAGGTGGGATCCACTGATCAAGACCACTTGGCTCCCTGGCTTCAGCCCCCTTTCTAGGGGAGTGAACAGTGTGTCTTGCTGGTATTCCAGGTTCCACTGGGGTATGAAAAAAAAAATTGTAGCTAGCTCGGTGTCTGCCCAAACGGCTGCCCAGTTTTGTGCTTGAAACCTAGGGCCCTTGTGGTGTAAGCACTCAAGGGAATCCCCTGGTCTGTGGGTTGCAAAGACTGTGGGAAAAGCACAGTATCTGGGCCGGAATGCACCCTTCCTCACAGCACAGTCCCTCATGAGTTCCATTGGCTAGGGGAGGGAGTTCCCCAACCCCTTGCGCTTCCTGGGTGAGGCGACACCTCATCCTGCTTTGGCTCGCCCTCCATGGGCTATACCCACTGTCTAACCAGTCCCAGTGAGATGAACCGGATACCCCAGTTGGAAATGCAGAAATCACCCACCTTCTGCCTTGGTCTTGCTGGGAGCTGCAGACCAGAGCTGTTCCTATTCGGCCATCTTGCCCGGGAATCTCATCTTGTATCATTTTCTTAATGTCTTTTATCTCTTTTTGAAATATAGATTCGAGTTCTCTTTTTAAAATGTAATTATCTTTTTGATATGTCTTTTTGACACAAATTGCCTGTGAGATGTTATTTTGCTTCTTATTCTTTTTATCTTATGGGATAGCTGTATAGGATCTGACCTTTGTGCTTTTCTGTTGCTTATTTTGATTGGCAATTAGTTTTACTGAACTTGGAAAGGAAATTTAGTTCAAATTGCTCTTTTTCTTTGTTATTTTTAATTTATTTATTTTTAAATTGACAAATTGTTTATGGCTCACAACATGGTATTTTGAAATATATAAATGTTGTGGAATGGCTAAGCAAGCTAATTAACATGTGCATTACCTCACATACTATATTTTGTGGTGAGAACAAGTTGCATTTTTAACTTCACAGAGCTGCTTCTGCTTTTGTTGTTGTTGTTGTTGTGTTTTTTTTAAATGTAGCATTAAAAAAATATGGTGGCTTTCTTTTAGAGATGTCCTCCTGGTTTCGTTCCCCTTCCCCATTTTTATCTGGGTCTTTTCTTCATCTGTGTTATCTGTATCCCACTCAATTTTGATTTTCTTCCCAGCAGTTTCTCCTCATGTGGGCCCTCTCCTGGAAAGCAGCCCCAGCAGGTCAGATTGGAAAATTCACTAGGGCTGGGCTGTCTTTGATGTAAGCTCCTTGTGCTCATCCACTATTGGAGTGGGCAAGATCCCTCCCAGTGTCAACTACTGTTCTTAAAATGTGAGATTTCTAGAGAATACCTGTTGGCCCTTTTGAGATTCTCCTATTCTCAGGTCCATCAGACATTAATCCTCTCTTACTCCCATGCTGATGGCATGCAGGGCTTATGGCTGGAGGTGGTTTGTCTCTACTTGCACATATTTGGACTTGATGGGAATGTCATGTCTCCCAGTTTTTGTTTGGGTTTTGCTGTTTCTTTGCTGTGTCAGGTTTTGTCTGTTTCTTCTCTTTTGCTCACTATTTTATCATGAACCTAGTTACTCAAACCAGAAACTAGGCAGTCATTTTCACTTTTCCTTCTCATTTACTTTTATATTTTAGTTCACTTCTTTATCCTTAATATTTCTTAAATCCTACCACTTCTTTCCATTTTCACTGCTACTGTCTTAGACCAGATTCCTATAACGTCTCTGCTAGTGCTACAAAGTCTTAGAATCTGATTTCTCTGCTTCCAATCCAGATATTATCCACCTGTAGTTAGAGTGACCTTTCTGAAATGCAAATCTGAACCTAACTCTTCCTGACATTAAAAGCTACTTGCAATAATTTCTCCAAATGCCATGCATTCTTCTCACCCCTAGAGTTCTGTCTGTAGTATTATTTTGTGTGCTTTGCCTTTTTATTGAAGAATGCCTATATCATTAATTTTTGAGGGAAAATTTCAATAATTTATATTTCTTTTAAAAGAAATCTGTAAGTTCATGAGAACTTGTAATAAGATGTATTGTATTTCCTAATGGTCTTTAAATATTTTTCTCACTTTCAACAGAAAAAAAAATTTCTAGACTGCTATGCTTGGAGTATTCCATTTCCTTTTGTGAAATCATGAACTTGAATTTATTAAACATAAATATATAACTGTGAATGTGAATAAACAAATAAAATGAAATTATTTTTAAGTGCCTTTGAGATAAAGCAAAGTGTATTTGGTTCCATATTTAAATGATTCCCCCATACAGTTCTCAGCTTTATCAAATCCAAGTAGCTGCCTTTATAAGAATAAGCGTGTAATAAAAACTAAGAAACCTTTAATTGATTCATATCACATCACCCTGCCAAGAAACCATGACAGGTTTGTTATCTGAACACATCTGGGGTAGAATTACAAACAAGAACTTGGCAGGGAAACCAGTTGGGAGCACTTTGTTCTTAATAGGAGAATGAATCTATATAGTATTAATTGGGACTTGTGGTTGGGTGGCATGCATCATTCTATAAGAAGCAGAACTCCTGGAGCTTCTTGTTCCAAGTCTGCACTGCAGAGGGAGGGACCAGTGGGAAGGGAAAGGTAAAAAAACTGCTCCCCCCACCACATTCACCACCTCCCACCTGCAACACATGCACATACCGGTGCATGTAAAATCCTCAGATCTTGGCTCTATCCTCAATAGTCTTAACTCAGAGGGACTTAATTAAATCTACCCTATGTGGAAAGTAAGCACAGAGATTCCCAGGTAAAGTGGTAACCAAAAGTAAATGATAAAGCTAGAAATACACTTAGAAATGACAAGGAAACCTGACATGAAATGGAGAGGGAAATACAGGTTTGAGAGGCATAAGACGAAATATCAGCTTGATGTTAAAAATATCTAAACTACTTAGGTAGATTAAAGAACAATGGTCTTAAAATGAAGACACGGTATTAAACAGGAAGAAAAGATCTTGAAAGTACCTAAGATGAACATACAAGATTTCCATGGCTTCTGGTAGAATACTTAGAATGGAGAGCACATCTTTCTTGTATAGAGTCCTGGTGTTAGGCTGTGAAATTACAGAAGTGTCTCTGATGGATTTCTAAACAGTAGAGAAATGGGGCCGATACAGAATGTACTTGTAGCTGTCACTCTGATTTCGGGTACCAGAGTCAGAATTTTCCCAGGATACCCTATTATGCAGCGCTAATCATGCTGCTTTAATTGTCCCTTTACTTAGGAGTACGAGACCCAATCTAGTGCAGAAGCCAAATTTGTGAAGCAGCTAGACCAATGTGAAATGATTCTTCAAGCATCTGAATATGAAGACCTTGAACACAAACCTGGGAGACTGCAAGACTTCTATGATTCCACAGCAGGTACTCAACACCATTTTCAACAAGAGTCCATTTTAGTTTGGCTTACTCAGTGTAGTGACTAATGTTAATATTAGGGAAACCCACTGTTGGTACCTTCATCTGACCCTTTCATGTGGAGCATCTAAAAAGAAAGGGAAGGAAACATTCGGGTAAGAGGCTGAGGATAGGAAATAAATGGAATAGAGTTTAATGTGGAATGAACAGTAAGCAACAACAGACACAGGCAAGAAAAGACGGTGAGAGAAGAGATGTTGGGTTGAACAGTCCCCCATGCTAGCCGTCATGGACATACAATAGCTTAGAGCTTGGTTGCTACCAAAGCAGAAATCTGGGGAGGTCTGAGGAGCAGGGATGACAGCACAGATCAGCCAATTGAAGTGTAGAGGTGTTTACAAGAGAGACACCTGCATCCTTGTTTACATCATGAGCCAGCCTAGCCCCTCTGATCTTCCTCCTTGTCTTTTCATATATAGGTGCTTCATTCTCCTTACTTAATTGCAGGTTTGGAATGGGCAGAGATTGTCTTCAGCTTTCTGGGCTCTCACACCTGAGTTTTCCCATAGTTCCTGGTAGAGGCACTGAGGAGCCTGGTGAAGTTTCCCCTACCTCTGCCTAATTGATGATTCCTTGCCTGAGTCTCATCCTTATTCTCAGTTGCACCTGGGGTGACAGAGCGTAAATGCCAAGTGGTCCCCTTCAGCCCCTTCCCAGGACCTGGAATCTCTTTCTGCTTTGGAATGAAGTGTGGGTCAGATCGTAGACTAGAGCCCCCAGTGAACCCTGGGATCAAGCTGGGGAAATGAATATACTCTCTTGTCAATATGGGAATGTATTTTTCCCTGTTCTTTTGCTTTGCAGGAAAATTCAATCACCCTGAGATAGTCCAGCTTGTTTCTGAACTTGAGGCAGAAAGAAGCACTAACATAGCTGCAGCTGCCAGTGAGCCACACTCCTGAGACACTCTCTAAATTGCTGCACTCCTGTAACAAACATTATTTTTCCATTTCATTGTATTGTGTTTTGCCATTGTTGGTCTGTTGATTTCCCTAGATGTGAGTCTGTTTGTTTTCAATTGTCTGAACTTCAGCAAGAAATGTGATACAACTTGGGCACTAAAAGAAGCCACAGAACAGGAAGCGGTCATGAAAGTGCCATGGATGAACACTGGAGGTGGCAGTGCCTGTTTATGAACTAAATAAATAAATATTAAACACCTAAAATATTAGAATATTTATTGGAGATTTAAAATCATCTTATTCTGACTTAATTACCGATATCCCCGAAGGCTAGGTTCATTGAATAATAGAAAATTTCATTATGATTGCTTTTAAGAACAGATTCTTCAGCTGATTTAGTGATAAGAATCCAGAAAAGAAAATGTACTAGTGATGTATTCTCTCCCCAGATGAAATTGCTGCCTTATTCAGATTTACTCTCTTGAGCCAGATTTTGAATTTCACTGCAGACTGCTTCAGACTTCTAATCATAGGCTTGTAAACCTACTAATAGGCTCTGCCCCTCTTCCCAATACTTTTTGTCATTTAGAGATATAAACCGGGGCATATAAAAATGCAACTTGTATTCCTTTGTATATTTTTCCCTGTCTGACTTATAAATCTTGAGACCTTTATTGTAAAAGCATGTATCATCAGGTGAGAAATATAAATAGGAACTGGGGTCATTGAGCCTCAGGTAGGGAATATATCAACCCGATTTCTTCCTCTCTTTTCCCTTTTATAGGATAAATAATCCACCCTGTCTGCCTTTACATTGAATAGTGCAAAAAAGAATACGATTTCTGCAAACCTGCCCAGTGTTTTGGTGTGGAGCAATGATGCTTGTCCCTTTAATTCAAATGTCACTTTCCATTTGAAGGCCTTCGAGGCTGGCATGGTGAAAATTCTAGGCAGTGTTTCTTTGGAAACTCTTTGCGGTATCCATGGATACCCAATCTGCAGGAAGCAAGGTGCATGATCTTTTCAGAAGCAACACACATATGTATGTGTAATTGCTCTGTATCAAAAAGAAGAAAGAGGGTAAAGTCCATTACTGGATATATGGTTAGTAGGAAAACAACTCCATCTATTAGGATTGTGGAGTTTTTCCCTTGGCATGAAAACATACACACAAAATAACCCCAGATAAAGTTCAAGTATTTATAACCAGAAGGTGTTCTGTGGCCCTGCAGTTTTATTTTCAATGTTTTGTCTACCATAATTTTCATAAATAGCTAACAAAACAATTCACAGAGAGACTTTGGAAACTTCTACTGGGTTAGACTTTATAACTAGTCACTTAACCATTATCTCAGTTCATCATCTACCTACGAAATGGGAGTTTTCAGTTAGTCCTAAACCTTCCTTCCTGAGGAAATACATCTTTTAAAGAAAGAAAGAAAAAAATATAATAGTGTTATAAATAAAACATTTGATGATAAGAAAATAACAAAATGAAGATCAACAAAATAACAGCTCCTGAGCCTACCAGCAATGTCTATAAATGAGCATTATTACTTAAAAATGTTAGTCCTTAGAAGATACCTGCCATTTGCCTAGACTTTGTCTTCTGAATGACAACCCTATAATTACAATGCAGAGTAAATAATTATTCATGGTTTGAACTCAAGAAAAAAGAATTATTTGTTACTGTTTGTCAGATTCTAGCCCAAACTGAGGTCCAAAGGGAGTTGGTGGGCTGGTGGCAGGTAGCTGGAAAAACTTGAGGAATCGTAGGCAGTTTTGACATGGCGTTATTCTCTCTCTAGGCGCGAGCCATATGTACAGCATCAGCAGGGTAGTTAAACCTTTTAGAGACAATAATGGATCCCAGCCAAGCACAGGCTCATGTGAATGGTCACCTAATGTGCCTCACGTGGCATGGTTACATAATGTGTAGAGTTGTGTGCCTGCGTTCCAAACCCACTGAGTCATGCTGTGCCAGAAGGCTGCCTCAGCCTACTCCTGACTAAAATGCAGCCATTTCCCTTACACTCCATCCCCTAGGCTGAGAGGAGTCTTTCAGGTAGGGATACGTGCCCATAGGGTGGAGCCCTGAATCCATAACCCACAACACTACAGAGAGCAACAGCTCATTACCAGGATCCCAGCTATGCTACTTAGGACTGTAAGGGCCCAGCGTAGGCCACAGCCCAGAGATGCCCACCATCTCTGCAGGGGGTTGTCAGTAAGGCTCTCCACCACCTTAATCTCCCATGAGACCTCTTGCAGGGCTGCTGTTATGTTCTGCCAATTGTCAGGGATAAAGGTACAACATTGTGTTCCTAAAAGGGCACAGGTGCCTCCTTGTGCAGCAGGTTACTATGTCTAAGGCCATTCAGTTTTGCAATACCACCTTTCTCATCTGACCAGCCTCATCCATTAACAGGAGGAGGGCCACTTGGGTGTAATTCAGAGCCCGAGTGGTGTGCTCTGCAAGAGCAGTAACTTGTGCTTCTACAGTTGTGACACCCGCCGCAGGGATAGTCACTGTCAAGGGGTAGAACCACTGGGGAGCTCGTCGCACTCACAAAAAATGAGAGTGTAGCGCCTTCCAGTTATGCAGTGTCTGGGCAATGTGGAGAGAACAGTGGCCACCCCCAGTTCCAACATTCCGTCCAGTTCACTGGTAGGTAAGGCCACCCTGTGTGCCCACAGACCCATAAACTCCCAGGGGGCACAAAGTCCCTTGGGGCCCAAACTTGGGGGCTGCTTGTTCCAGCATACCTTCAGTATGGTGACATGTGTTATGTTTACACAGGCTGTGATGGGTACCTATCCCACAGTGGTGTTACCCCAGTGTTGCTCTATGCTCTGCGACACCTGGGCTGGGGGTACTACATGTTCCCCCGCTAGCCAGCCCCAGCCATCATAAATGCTATGGGCCAGCCACATGATGGGAGCACCATGGATCTTGCAGCGTCCTTTGTCCAAAGCTTGCTGCGTTGCATTCCAGATGTCAACCACGGGACCCCAAGTCTCCAGCCATGTCCAGTTCTCTGTAGACACTGAATGTATATGCCAAGGCAAGTCATCTGCAGCTGCTGCTGGAAGGGCAGTGCAGACCCGAAAGTTGGAAACATTGATCACCTCAGCACAGGTGTGGGCGCAGTTTACAATGCAGTTGGAGCATGTTAACCTATGGCCAAAATGACAGAGCAGGCACAGCTACTAACAGAGGTAAGTGACGTCCCTCAGGCAAAATACAGGCTAACTTTTCATCCATGGATAACAATGCAGCTGCCAAGAGCTTCTGCCCTGGGCGATGGTACCACACCTTCTCAGCTCCCCATGGTTCCTATGGGTCCGGTATCTATGCCAAAGTCAAGGGGAAGCTCATAATAGGCCACACAGACAGTACTTATGTCCCCCAGAGGAGCGTTTCTTCCCTGGCTGTTGCCCTAAGAACAATCAACCAAGGGTGACATGTATTGAATGCCCAAGGAGTGACATGCAAGTCATACTGTAGGTCTTCCCCACAGGGAGCTACAACGGCCAACCACCAGCAGTGGGGAGCCTGGAGGGTCCATGGCCAGAGCCAGGTTTTCTGTTCCCCTCCCTTCAGGGGCATTGGGGCAAGCAACAAAAGGTTACCGTTCGTCCCCATACCTGGTCGGAGGAGGTCATCCTTAGTGTGTATCTGCAACTGAATAGGGGTGGTGGCCCAGTGTAATAAAGCCTCCACCAGGGCTGGGCGGTCTTTCCATGGCTGTTCATTCAAGGTTTGAACCACCAGGTCCAGCTTGGAACTCCAGCACTGCAAAGACGGGTGTGACATGCAAGTGTAACCCATTCTTCAAGAGCCCTTTATATTGCTCAATCATACCCACAGCTTGTGGGTTGTATGGCACATGGAATCCCCACTTTATGTCCATTTGTTGTGCACATTGTTGTACCTGTTGTCCAGTGAAATGGGTGCTCTATCACTCTCTATGGCCAGAGGGCAACCATACAGGGCACATAAGTGTTGCAGGACCCGGAGGATGTGCTGTTGGTTGGCCACCCTGCAAGGGTAGATGTACAACAGGCTTGTGGCCATGTCCACAGCTGTTAGCACATGTGTATACCCTTGCAATTTTGGCAGCGGACCGATGTAGTCTACTTACCACCTGGTCAAGATCACTCGCCCTGTTGTCACTTGTGTAAAAGTGGGCAGCTGCCTCCATTTAGGGTATGACCAAGCACATACTGGGCATTTCTGACGAGCCTCCCAAATACCTTGCATGGGCAGGGACAGACCCCAACACTTATTGCCCTGTTACATCAGTTTGCCCCTGGCATGTCCCAGTTTCTGGTGTAGCCAGAAGGCCACATCTTGTGTTGGTGCCGACTAACCATTGGACCTTGGCCAAGACATCTGCCTCATCATTGCCAAAGGTGGCCAAAGGCATATGGCCTGACACATGATAAATAATTACATCTTTCTGATGATCCATTTCCCAGAGGTCTTGCCACATCACTTGGCTCCATGACATAGGTCAGTGGCTGACTAGCCAATTTTGTATTTTCCAAGTAGTTAACCACAAGGTTAAGCCTCGGTAGGCTGCCCAGCTATCGGTACAAATCACCATAGATATCTGCTCCTTAGTGATCACCATCTATACTGCTGTAAGTTCAGCCCATTGGCTACTTTGCCCACACCTGGTTTCAAACCATATGGTGTCTGTACTAGGTTGGACTGCAACAGCGGTCCAGGCAGCATTAGATCCTTGGCTAGACCCATCTGTGTACCATGCCCCATCAGGAATGGGGGGTACCCTTCCTTAAACGGTGATGGCTTGGGGTCTAGGGGTGCCCCAGGCCCTATAGCCTTCTCTTGCATTAGGACTATAGGTCCCAAGACCTCTTGCAATTCTGCTGCCAAGGGTCTTGTACTCAGCAAACTTTGCTGCTCCAAGTAGGTGCCCCACTTTGCCAAAGTAGATGTCTGTGCCATCCCAGTCCAGGGGGGCATTATCCATGAACACATCCATCCCACTATTGGGTAAGCCATCCACATGATGACTGTAGCCCATCCTGTCACACTTTCACAAGACTGAAATGCTGCATATACAGCTGCTAGCTGTTTCTCTATCAAGGACTGTTGGAGCTCAGCTCCTTTCCACAGTTAAGACCAAAAGCCTACTAGTGTTCTCAGGCACTCTGTATGCTGCCACAGGCCCCAACTGAAACCATCTGTGCTCACATGCACATCCAGCTCAAACAGGTGCCCCTGGCCAACTACCCATAGGGCTTGTGCCTGCTGAATAGCCCACTTGGCTGCCAGGAAAGCGGTCTCAGCCATATCCCAATTCCAGGTAGCTCTCTTCTTTGTTAACCGTGCAACAGTTTTGTCATTTGAGCTAAATGGGGCAGAAATGCCCCCCAGTATCCCAGGAAGCCCACAAAAGTTTGTAGCTGCTTCACCGTGGTGGGCCAGGGCTATGCCTGAATTTTGTCAATAATAGCCTCTGGTATGGCCATCATCTTACCTAGACAGGAAACTTCCAATAATTTGGCAGATAATCCAGACCCTTGGACCTTGGATTCATTGATGGCCCAACTGCATGCTGCCAAATGTTGCTGCAAGAGAGGCACCGCCACATCTAAATCTACAAGAGAATCAGAGGTTAACATATCATCAATATAATGGAATAGGTGGACCCCTTCTGCACATTGCCAAGTGGCTAAATCCATGACAACAAGACCATGACATATGGTGGGGCTATGCACATAGCGCTGCGGCCACATTGTAAAAGTCCATTGTTGCCCTTGTCACGTGAAGGCAAACTGTTCCTGGCTCTTGGAGCAATGTCGATGGAGAAAAATGCATTGACCAAGTCCACCACATAGTGGTACTGTCCCAGTTCCATTGTCAAGCAGTCCATCAAATCCATGATTGACGGTACAGCTGCACTCAAAGCGGGTGTTACTTTATTCAGTTCCTGATAGTTTACCGTCATCCGCCTAGTTCCATCAAGCTTTCTAACTGGCCACACTGGAGAATTGTAGGAGCTGTGGATGCCACACACTATCTGCACCTCCTCCAGCTTTTAAATTGTCTCAGTTATCTTCATATGCCCACCCAGCAAATGGTATTGATGGGTGGAAGTAACCAGTTGGGGTTGTGACAGGACCTGAGGCTTGTGATGCCTATGTCCTTGCAGCACCAGCTTCACCAGATGCACTAGGAGTCTGAATTCCCTGGCCGTAGTTTGTAACGCCAGGCCATGTAAAATGTCCACCACCAGGATGTATTCAGGTATGGGGGAGACATACACAGTATATAAACAGGGAGCCAAGTGGCCAATGCCGAGGTACAGAGACACAGGTTTCACTTTCAGTAACCAGCCTCCATAAACATAAATGTAACAGCCTTGCCCAGAAACTTATCTGATTCTCATACACAAGGCTACAATCTGTGCCAATATCTACCAGCACTGACACCCGCTGTACGTTAGTGGGGGACCAGTGAATTGCTAATTCTACATGTGGCCACTGGTCATCTGGTGTCCCCCCAAGCTGGGCACATTGGCCAGTTCCCTAATCAAACAGAAAAGGCTCTACATTTCAGCCTGGCTGCAGCAAGTAGTCCTTGAGTTGGAGCACCTGGGCGGGAATGGGTCACGCAGCAATGTCCTTCTTCCCCTTGGTATTTTCCAGAATTGCTTCTCTGGAGACAAGTGTCTCCACAAAGTTAAGAATACTTCATTGGGCAGTTTATTGATTTTCTCTCAGTCAACCCTGGACAAAATCAAATCTACCCACATCTGTGAGTGTGTCACTCATTGGGGCCCCCTTTTTGCCCATGCGGGAGCCCCCTGTGGGCAGGGCACCTTCCTCTTCTTTATGGTGTGGACCCCTCAGTCCCACCGATGGCCTTCTGCTTCCCCGAGAGCTGCTATAGCAGTGGTCACTTCATGTATGCGGTGCCCTACCTACAGGGTGAGGACAGCAGCTAGGAAGCCAAAGGTGCTCGGGGGTGCAGAGGTAAACATTCATCACCTGGCCCCCGGGTATTCAGGTCAAACATAGCCTGCCATATAACCATCGCCCAGATGACTTGCACCAAATCAGCATATGACTGCCATTTACTCACAGTTTCAGTTATTTCACCAATGTCATTTCACACAGTCCATATGGCTGCCCAAAGCCACTCAATCAGGGTGTGGTAACCTTGCCCTGCCACTAGCCACCTGCTTACTTGCAACCACTGAAGGAGGGAGGGGAGTCATGATGGAGGCCAGCTTTTCCATCCCAGAGGCAGAACAGG
Source organism: Homo sapiens (assembly GCF_000001405.40). Lineage (NCBI taxonomy): Eukaryota > Metazoa > Chordata > Mammalia > Primates > Hominidae > Homo > Homo sapiens. Next base: position 125,268,854 of record NC_000006.12, on the reverse strand, counting down.
GATACTGTCTGCTCCCTCATCCCACAAATGAAGCATGCAGTTGGGCAGGGGTTCCCCTGGACACTGGCGGCACTACTTGCCTAATTCCTGCAACTCAGTTGGGGTATAGGAAATATATGAATTGTGTTGTGTTACCACTCGGGTGGGCTTCCTGGGATATTGGGGGGCATTTGTGCCCCATTAGCTCAAATGACAAAACCGTTGCACGGTTAACAAAGAAGAGAGCTACCTGGAGCTGGGGGAGGGGTGTCCCTGAGCCCACCCTTGGGGCCCCAATGGCTGTTCATGATTTACCTTCCGACAGGCCACTGAGCAAGCCCACAACAGGGGTCCTTCCTCCACGGTATCAGACTGAGTGGGGATCTCCAGCTAAGACAACAGACCCAGCCCTCGAAGGCTCTCTCCTTGTTGGTGCTCTGTGCTTCCAGCTGCTTCAGTGCCTTGTCTGTGCACTGAAGCATGACCCATCTACCACTGCCCGGGTTTCCACCAGAGCCCATCCGAGCAGTACAGCTGCCACTGGGTACCACAGCCCATGTTCTGGCCACATGGCCGACCTGGAATCAGCAGGGACCAAAGGCTCACTCACCTCATGATCCTGCTTACAGCACCAATTGTCAGATTCTAGCCCAAGCTGAGGTCCGAGAGGAGACGGTGGGCAGGTGGTGGGTAGCTGGAAAAACACTCAAGGAATCACAGGCGGTTTTGACATGGCTTTGTTCTTTCTCTGGATGTGAGCTATATGTACAGCATCAGCTGGGTAGTTGTACCTTTTACAGACAATAGTGGCTGCAAGCCAAGCACAAGCTCATGTGAGTGGTCACAATGTGCCTCATGTGGCGGGGTTACATAATGTGCACAGTTGTGTGCCTGCACTCCAAACCCTCTGAGTCATGGTGCACCAGAAGGCCACCTTGGCGTACTCCTGACTAAAGCACAACGATTTACCTTACACTCTACCCCCTAGGCCAAGGGAAGTCTTTCAGGTAGGGATACATGCCCATAGGGCAGAGCCCTGGATCCATAACCCACAACAATACAGAGAGCGACAGCTCACTACTAGGATCCCAGCTATACTAGTTATGACTTTTAGGGCCCAGCATAGGCCAGAGACCAGGGATGCCCACCGTCTCTGCAGGGGGCCATCAATAAGGCTCTCAACCAACTTAATTTCCCATGAGACCCCTTGCAGAACTGCTGTTATGTTCTGCCAATTGTCAGGGATAAAGGTACAACATCGTGTTCCTAAAAGGATACAGGTGCCTCCTTGGGCAGCAGTTAGTATGTCTAAGGCCATTCAGTTTTGCAACACCACCTCAGCTTACTCCTGACTAAAGCACAGCCATTTTCCCTACACTGTTTTCCCCTTATGGATTGGTATTTTACCAGCTATTACATAATTCTCAATGCCCTTGTATTTGAAAAATGTTGATCCACCTCAAAGCCTTGTGGTGGTGATACATGCTCTGGGGGAAATGACTGATGAAGCGCTTTGTAAAAAAAAGCATCTCTGTACTCAGCATTTTCATTTAAGCAATTTGTCAGTCTTCACATTCAAAGGTGAAATGGGATGATTTCTGTGAAAGACATGATTTTGTCATTTTTGGTTTGCTTTAATTTATATATATATATAATGGATGGATATGTATTATATATATTATATATATAATGTGTGTGTACATGAATATACCCTCTGGTGTGAACTGAAAGTCAAGCAGAAATGTAGCATAAAGAATTTTACCATGCTTAGAAGTTATCAAAAGTAGCCATAAGATTTTGCCAAATATTGTTATAGTTTGAAATTACATTTGAATGCTAGGTTTGAAGAAGTTGTTTCACATTTCATATTAAGTCACTTTTCAACCTTACCACCATCTTCCTTTATCACACTACTTCCACTCAAATTGAATACTAAGTGAGAGGAGGACGATGGGGTTGATGTTGAACAACTTTAAAGCTTACACGTAATTTTGGAACAATGAACAGTGACAGAAGAGCCGTGTAGATCCCTGGGTTCCCTCTACACTGGCCACTGTGAACGGCATGGCATATCATGAAGACACATCCTAAAGCATGCACTTTGTTCTGTTTGCTATGGTTCAAGAACAGATTTCTAACAAAATGTGTAATTTAGAGTAAGATATGCAGATTGCATTGCTAAAATGACCTGCCAATAGTTGTAATCTTTTTTTGAGACAGGGTCTCATCTCTCTGTCACCCAGGCTGGAAGGCAGTGGCAAGATCTCGGCTCACTGCAGCCTCTGCCTCCCTGGTTCGAGAGATTCTCCCACCTCAGCCTCCCAAGTAGCTGGGATTACAGGGATGTGCCATCAAGCACAGCTAATTTTTGCATTTTTAGTAAAGACGGGGTTTCACCGTGTTGGCCAGGCTGGTCTCGAACTCCTGACCTCAGTTGATCCACCCACCTTGGCCTCCCAAAGTTCTGGGATTACAGGCATGAGCCACCATGCCCAGCCAATAGTTGTAATCTTTATGTGATGTGAGTTGTGAGATAAAGTAGCACTGTAAATTTACAAATATGTTCATCATAGCAACTGTGTTTAAAATGTGGTAAATCGTTAAATTTCAGAATGGCTTACTTTTTTTAAAAGCTAGTTTGTTTTGTAATCACAATTGCATCAGAATTTTTGATAATTGAAAGAATTGACGCCTGAGCCACTCGGGGATTAGGCCTGCACAGTCAAAAATCCGATTCTAGGTTGGGAGTTGTGGCTCACGCCTGTAATCCCAACACTTTGGGAGGCCAGGGCAGGTGGATCACAAGGTCAGGAGTTCAAGACCAGCCTGGCCAAGATGGTAAAATCCTGTCTCTACTAAAAATACAAAAATTAGCCAGGCGTGGTGGTAGGTGCCTGTAATCCCAGCTACTCGGGAGGCTGAGGCAGAGAATTGCTTGAACCCAGGAGGCAGAGGTTGCAGTGAGCCAAGATTGCACCACTGCACTCCAACCTGGGCAACAGGGTGAGACTCAGTCTCAAAAAAATAAATAAATAAATAAAACAAAAATCTGATTCTAACTTTGGACACCCCCTAAACCTAACTACCAACAGCTACTGTTGACCATAAGCCTTGTTGATAACATAAATGGCCAATTAACACATATTTTTATGTTATATGCATTACATGTGGTATTCTTACAATAAAGTAAGCTCTGGAAACAAAATGTTAAAAGAAAAACAACAGAGATAATATATGTACTATTCATTAAGTGGAAGCAGATGATGATAAAGGTCTTTATCCTCATTGTCTTCATGTTGAGTAGGCTGCAGAAGGGGAGAGGTTGGTATCACTGTTTCAAGGGGTGCCAGAGGCAGAAGAAAATCTGCACATAAGTGGACCCTCACAGTTCAAACTCCTGTTGTTCAAGGGTCAACTGTACATTTTCTGTGGAGGTATCCTTTCATACACACATGGTGTTGACCTGAAGTCATTTTGGTTTGTTAGTAAAAGGTTATGTCCATTGTGTGCAATTACTTTTTAGGACTTGTGAAACACTTTAAACTACTGCTTGTGAACTGAGCCTCACTAGATGTAATTGAGAAGCTCAGCAATCAGTCCCATCAGGATGATCTTGCACACCCATGGTGAGGGAGGACCAGGCAGCTCTTAGTGATGCTCCTGAAGCTAAGAGTAGGCTCACTGCCTAAACTAGGTAAGACTGCCCACCTACCAACAAGTGTTTGATTTATCTAATCTGAGTTATTCACACACATTTTATGACAAAAATAAAAAATGCTACTTATGCCATGGCCATTATGAATATCACTTCTAGGTCAGAGTGAATAATGAAAAGCTTTTAGATGAATAGAGATGATGTGCATAAGATTCTTACCAAACTAATGAAATCAGAATTTTGATGAATGGAATAAAATAAATAGCTAAAATGTGTTGGAAGCTTTAAGATATTACCACAAGTTTTCTTGATTGTTTTTCTATCCAATTCTAATATTGTGTTTTCAGATTATAAGGCTGAGACTATGGTGTGCAGAAATTGGTTGGTGAACGGAGATATTTGTTTAAAGTACCATAACTTTATCTAATACAATGCGGTGTGCTGAATATGGTAAAAAAAGAAGGTGGCAGGGAGTTTTCACAAGTTAGCCACTTCACACTCAACAGGCAGCTATAGATTGGGCACAGAGACTGAGTACTTGTGTGCTGTGGTGGGCGAGCCAGCACGGCCTGAGAACCAGCTGGGCAGGGTTGGTTTCCTGCCTCTACTTCAACCAACAGGCTGGAAGCACAAATAAGGGAGAATGCCAGCATCCCTGCTAGTGAGCTTTCTTTGTCTACATTTGTCCACTCTGGTCAAGTTTACAGCCCCATTCTCTCTGCTAAGATTCCAGGCCTCAGAGATGATGTTGTCCTGAACCACCTTGATTTTCAGTTAGGTGTACAGATTGCACAGATTGTCATGCTCCATTAATTTGAGTAGAATTTTTCAGATGTGCTTTACTTCAAAATGTCATATATATCACTTCTATTTAATAAACACAAAACATGAACAATTAGCATGCTAACAAATATGTATATATTATATGGGCTTTTTAAATAGTGATTTTTTTTAGGTTGGATGTCTATTCAGTGTGCATTTTACAAATATATCTTAAGGCTATATCTCTGCCACCTAATAACAAATATATGTTCCCATTTAGAAAAAGAAAAGAGATACATATGATATATAAGATAAAAGTTAGTGCAGAAATCTGAGTGGATTGATAAATACCAGTTATTTTCATACATGTGAACAATTTACAAACTGAAAGGGGTTGCAGAACTCTGCTTCTCCCATTTTCTAGCTATCTCTTTTTTGGATATCCTTTATCTGACTAACTACTACTGTATGTAGATTGGAGAGAATTTTAAAATTGGAGATTATTTTAACATCCTAGGATAGCTGAGGTAATATTTATTTTCATATCCTCTCTCATGTTCACCAAATTAGCAGTAAAAGTTGACTACTTATTATTACTATTTTTGGAGACAGTGTCCCACTCTGTCACCCAGGCTGGAGTAGTGCAGTGGTGCAATCATAGCTCACTGCAGTTTCGAACTCCTAGGCTCATGCAATCCTCCTGCCTCAGCCTCTAGAGTAGCTGGGACTACAGGCAAGCAACACTATGTCTGGCTAATTTTTTTCTTTTTTTGTAGAGACAGGGTCTGTGTTGCCCAGGCTGATCTTTAACTCCTGGCCTCAAGCAATCCTCTCACCTTGGCATCCAAAATAGTTGGGATTACAGGTGTGAGCCGCCGCACCTGGCTAAAAGTTGATTTAAAATTGCATCTGTAAAATCATAACTAGCAACTTTTAAGACAAAGAAATTAAGAATTCAAAGTCATTAAAATCAATTCTTTTAATTGCTGAAATTAACATACATAATTGATGTAGGTGAGAGAGATCACAAGTAGTTGGATGAAATTTATAGTAAATCATCCTATTGCTGGAGACAGTCATGAAGAGCTCCATCCTGTTGATCTGCTGAACTGAAAGGGACTGTTCATTCAGCCTTCAAGGACATGCACATCATAAAGGAGGCCAAGCAAAAATCAAAGCAAACAATAGCTACATGTTTGGAAAAATATACATCGAATTACACAGACAGGAATTATGACCAGTTGTGTACCTGCTCAAGTGGGAACATTTTAAAATGTGACAGTCATCTATGAATACTGAAATGTGATGGTCAAGTGGTCCATCATCAACACAAATACAAATGGAAATCATTAAACTTTCTGGAGGGGCCATTTGAATAACAATGTCAAGGCCTGGGTTTTTCCCAGCGGGATTTTGGTCTTCTTATCTGGATAAGCACAGGCAGAGATGGGCTGGGTAGTGGCCGGTTTCTGGATGCAGCTGCACGCTGGCTGGACTTAGCACTGCAGCTCCTCCTCCTTGGTCCGCCGGGAGCCTCCTGCCAAGCTCTGGGCACTGGCATGGGCCGTGGAGCTGAGGACCTCCTCAAAACTGCCTCCATTAGGGTTCGTACCGCCTACTTTCGTCTGAAATGAGCAGATCCACAAAAATGCAGTTAGTTGTTACTATCATTTTTGTAATGTTTTTATAAGAATACCAAAAGCTGGATTACTTTCAAATTCAGAAATACTTTCTATCTTTAGAGACAAAAGAATGCACAGAAGTTTGTTTCCTTTAGTAGAGTGCTAGAATATTATTCATACTTGGGTTCTCGGATAGGATTCCAAACTTTAATTTTGCACACTTTTAGCAACCCTCTCTTTATCTCTCCTGTATCTAAGATTTTAATCCCTTCAGGAGCATAATCGGATCCATGGACTTGGAACAGCTATCTCCACTCACCCAGAGAACTGATCTAATCAAAATGGAATTAGATTTTTTATTAATTCCTCCAATTGTACAAATGTATAAACATCCTTACATGACCTAAACTTAGATTTTTCTACTTGGGAGTTAGCAGGGCAAACTGGATTTCTGACAAATGTCTTTTGAAAAGTCAGAGTGGCTCAATGGAAAATGATTTCTGGTTTCTGCTTTGAAAATTGAAGATGGATCAAGTCTTAATCACTGGTGATTTCACATCATCTTAGGCAACTGCCTTTTGATATGGTTTGGCTGTGTCCTCACCCAAATCTCATCTTGAATGGTAGTTCCCATAGTCCTCATAATCCTAGCAAGGAGGAACCTGGTAGGAGGTAATTGAATCATGGGGGCGGTGACCTCCATACTGTTCTCGTGATAGTGAGTGAGTTCTCACAAGATCTGATGCTTCTACAAGGGGCTTTCCTCCTTTTGTTCAGCACTTCTCCTTCCTGCCACCATGTGAAGAAGGACATATTTACTTCCCCTTCTGCCATGATTGTAAGTTTCCTGAGGCCCCCTCAGCCCTGTGGAACTGTGAGTCAATTAAATCTCTTTCCTTTATAAATTACCCAGTCTCAGGTATTTCTTCACAGCAGCGTGAAATGGAATTAATACACCCTTACAGTATGAATATTCCTTACAATGCAGTTATGATGGTTTATGAGGCTTTTTTCTTGTGTATTTGTTATTGACTAAGCATAGAAACATGAAGGAATTAACTTACAATTTAAAAATAAGGCTAAGTATTTTGAAAAATTCCTTATTAAAACTGCTAAAAATCCCTTATTAAAACTGGCTTCCTAATCTCTCATAATACAAAAAGGAAAAAAAACATGTAATGCAACTTGCCCTTTTTTTTTTTTTTTAAGGTTTTGGTCCAGGCCATGTAATGTATTTATCAAAAAGTAGATGCACTAAAAATATGGTCTGCTTGACAAGATGCAAAATGCTTAGTGCAAGTCTTATTAATAGTCACACTGGCCTTCCCTCCCATTGTTTTTCATAATGTAGAAAAAACACTTTGAAGGAAAAAGAAGATATAGAATAAATAATGTTGCTATTGCCAAACTGATTGTTGATGCCTCACTGTCACCAAAGTGATCACTCACAGACATCAGCAACACTGGGGATTGTGTCTGTGCTGCCTGGCCTGACCTTTTAAAAATGTAACCAGGGTTCAAAAGCAGTTCCATCATTACAAAACACACTTCGCTCTAATTGTCACTAAAATCTCTCTCTGCCTCTTAAATTTATTTATTAAATTGAATTTTTGTACTCTGCTTGGTGTCAGAAAACTCTACCTGTAAAGGGCCAGACAGTAAATACTTTAGGCTTGGGAACCACATTGTTGCTCTCACAGATACTCAAATCAGTTCTTGTAGGAAGTAGCCACAGCGAATACCTAAGTGAATGAGCGTGGCTTCCCTTCCCCTTCCCCTTCCCCTTTTCTTTCTTTCTTTCTTTCTTTCTTTTCTTTTCTTTCTTTCTTTCTTTCTTTCTTTCTTTCTTTCTTTTCTTTTCTTTCTTTCTTTCTTTCTTTCTTTCTTTCTTTCTTTCTTTCTTTCTTTCTTTCTTCTTTCTTTCTTTCCTTTCTTTCTCCCTCTCTTTTCTTTTTCTTTCTTTCTTTTCTTTCTTTCTCTCTCTCACTTTCTTTCTCTTCCTTTCTTCCTTTCTTCTTTCTTTCTTTTTTTGAGACGGAGTCTTGCTCTGTGGCCCAGGCTGGAGTGCAGTGGTGCAATCTCGGCTTACTCCAACCTCTGCCTCCTGGGTTCAAGCAATTCTGTCTGTCTCATCCTCCCAAGTAGCTGATATTACAGGCACCCACCATTATGCCCAGCAAATTTTTGTATTTTTAGTAGAGATGGGGTTTCAACACGTTGGCCAGGCTGGTCTCGAACTCTTGACCTCTAGTGATCTGCCCGCCTCGGCCTCCCAAAGTGCTGGGATTACAGGCGTGAGCCACCAGGCCTGGCCAAGGCTGTGTTTCAGTAAGACTTAATGTATGGACACTGAAATGTGAACTTATGTAATTTAATTTTCAAATGTCACGAAATATTATTTTTATTTTGATTTTTTCAACCATTAAAAAATGTAAAGCCATTCTCAGCTTATGTACCATTCAAAAGAAAGTGGTCAGCTTAGTTTGTGGACCTCTGGCAGAGCATTGATCTTCCTTCCCTCTGTTATCTTAACACTGGGAACAGGTCAGGGGAAGGGATGGTTTCCATTGTGTGATTTTTCACTATGCTTATTTCTTCCCTGAGAGAAACAAATAAGATTAATTCAATGTAATCTACTCTATTAATAGTTCCCTCTCTCCTCTTTTTTCTTCCATTCACATTCTCTTTTGCAATAGAAGTAACACACAATATTGAATTCAGTGAATACAAATCACTGACGTTTTCTTCTGTGCTTTGTTTCATTATTCTCTCCTGTTTCTTGATTTCCTCTAAACAGAGTAGTAAAATAAAGAAGGAATGGCTTTGTAAGAAATCAATTTGGCAAAGAAGGTATGGAATCAAAGATATTCCTAACCACGTAGGTTTAATGACTGCCTACTGCAATATCTTAGGTAAGGACCTCCTTAAGCAAAGATGTGAATGATAAAATTCTCCTGGACCCTTCTCTACATAATTGTTTTTCATCCAAGTATTTGTCACTTTGTCCCCCAAATTATAATCGTTCTTTGCATAGAATTTCATTTGAATCGCTGAGTTGGGCTTCCTAATCTCTCATAATACAAAAAGAAACAAAACATGTAATGCAACTTGCCCCCCTTTTCTTTTTAAGGTTTTGGTCCAGGCCATATAATGTATTTATCAAAAAGTAGGTGCACTAAAAATATGGTCTGCTTGACATGGATGCAAAATGGTTGGAAGAGATGTAGTTACTCATGACTCATTGGGAGATGGCAGAAGATACCAAAAGTGGCTTCACAGGAGTTCGTTCTGCATTTACTTGTTTGTTTTGGATGAAATAGGAAGCATGCTCAGTGACTGTACAGGTGACATCAGCTGCAGTGTCAAGTAATACATTGTAAGGGCGTAGGCAGAACTAAATTTTATAGGATTGGAAAAGTGTTTCATGGAAAAACAAACTACAGAATTTGGTGTAAAGAAAGACCCATGGATTTGGTACAAGTGCCACATGGTACATGACAGATTGTGTGAGAAGATGGCAGGAGTGGACCTTTATAGCAGAACCTTATTTTCTCACAGGACATAAATATGACTATGATTTCTTATCAGCAGTGTTTTCAAAAATCAAATTGAAAGCAGGGCATGTGAATGGAAATGCAGCACATAGACCTGCAAGAAATTCCACTCATCTTTACCGACTCATGAGTCATTCCCTCAGCAGAAAACAGTCTAAGGATCCTTAACTAATGAACAATATAGACATTTTGGAGAAGACTTAGAACACAAAAGTAAACTGCAGAAAATAAGCTATATAAAAAAGGGTTATACATATCTATTATTTAGTCTAGTGGGAAAAAAAAGGACAGAGAAATTTGTAATTATTTAGGAAGTGGGAGGTTTGACACAAAGCATAATTATCAGCTATTCTGCATTGCCTGTGTGGACAGAAAAAGAGGAATTAGGCTTTGGCCATGAAATAGGAAGTATGTGGCATGTGAGTCTTGTTAAACCATGAACAGTCATACAAGCATAGAATCACTTTCAGGAGGTCTTCACAAAGGCTAGTATCTAGTGGGCTGGGTTAGTTATGTGCATGTCTGAAGGAGACGGCAGGCTATACCTTCTATCCAAGTGAGGTGAGAAAAGTGAGAAGCTGAACATGTGGATCAAACACTTAAATCCTATGTGAGCCATGAGCTTACCAGAGTTTCCTAAAAGCAAATGAAAATGGGTTGTTCTTTATTCTTCTTTTGCTTCTTCATATCTCCTTCTTCTAAAGAAAACCTAAAAAGTACAACTTGTCCTTTGTCAGAACTTGTCTAACAAGCAATGGAACCCATCCTCATTGGGTCGTCTAAGGCTGAAAACCAAATGTTTAGAAACTGAATCCTGGGATTTTTGAGCCTTTCATTTTGATCTTCTAGCAAGAAGATCAAATGTTCACAACATTGGATGCTCTTCCCTTTAAAAAAATTTTCCTACTCATGGGGCTGTTTAACGGCTCCCATTGGTTCCTGTACGCTCAATAAGCGATGATGTTGGCATGCAGAGCGGTGAAACTGCACAACTGGAAACTTCTGGTGAATGAAACTGATGAAGGCATGGTAAATGCTGAGTAATAATTTCATTCCTGGGCCTTAAACACCTAATTATGGGTCTAATAAAGTAGAAGTAGACCATGTGAAAGACCCTGCCCTAAGAAAAGACTCTCCAGGTCAAAATCCACAAGAGCACCTGGAACCGCGAGTAAGGAATAACTTACAACCTCACATATACTTATCAGGCAGCACACGTGAGAGCAGCGTGAAGATACAGGATTCAGAGGCAGCTGAATAATCAGCATGGGATATGAAGGTTTTTGATCTGGTTAAAGATCACGTATATTCTTAATTTTCCCAGTTATGGTAAAATACAGAAATGGATTGTATACAAAATAGAGATAATGATAGCAAGATGTAATTAAGTCATTAAGTGATACCTTTAAAAATAATCTTAGTAGTTGTAATGATTTTTCTTGTTTTAAAAGTTCAATTTTAAGACTAGACTGATTTCATTTTACTCTTTTTATTCAAACTTACCTATGCTAGAACAATAATTCCAGTGAATTTTTAAAACACTCTGTAATAGGCACATTTTCAATTTATACCCAGGGATGAAATGCATTACTGTGTTATTATAAAATGCATTTTGTGACTCAGTTTAATTTTCCCTCTATGATAGCCATACTGTGCTGTGCTCAGTACCTGAATTTATAAACAAGTCTAGGTAGCTGACGGGTAGTGGATACGTAGTCCCCAGTTTGTTTTTGCTGGTCCATGTCCAAACCAGAGCAGCTCTGAGCTGTTATTGAACTTTCACTCACACTCTAAATTCAGAATTCATATAGCCTTTATCCTATCCACAGTCATCTCTCACATATCTACTTTTGGAGGGATAGCATTAAGAGATTAAGTGGTAAACGCATACCCCAATTCACTTTAATGAACAATTCACCCCTGAATGGTTTATACAAACAACTCTAAGGATATAGTAACACTATTCAATAGTGGTTTTATTCATAGATTTATATGTGAAAGAAAAGGTCTGACTTGATGCAAGCCTGCCTTCTTGGCCCTGCCTCGACTTTAAACTAACCGCAGCAATGGCTAAGCTGTCCTGAGTCAATGGACCCACTCACACAGAATTCACTTCATCTGTACCTTGAGGCTTGTGACAGTTGTCTCAACCCTCTCCTCAAATGATTTGAAAGTAGGAGAATTCCTAAAATAACAAAAAGAGAGAGGTCAGCTCCAAAGGCCTAGCTGTCTTAGCAACCATGCTGTTTGGTTTTCTGCTCATATCTGTAAACACGGCCTCTGCCACAGAGCTACCTGTCAGCTTGCCACCTGCACCAACCACGTTTTAAAATGTATGTCACTTCTGTTAGGTTAGGTTCAGAAACCATAACCTGACATGGAATTTTTCTAGGTAAAATGATCAGTACACAATACAGTAAATAATATGGTATTTGGCAATGACACAACTGTAATAATTCCATGGTACACTGTAAATCATTTCCAATGAGCCAGTGGAGCAATGGGTAGCTTAAGTTTTCATTTAGCATTTATTGTTTCTATCACAACACTCCTCTTCCTGACTCAGGTTTTTTAGTAAGCAATGGAAAATCCATATGATGAATGTCATGTTTGAGTTTTGCCACTTGGCATTTTTTAAAGTTATTTATTTCAGCAAATGTGAGACAATTCAGAAATAGTGCAAGGAAAAAAATGTTCATATATTTTTTCTTTTCCATGCCTTAAAAAAATAATCATTTTGACAACTTACATGAAGTGGTGTTTTGGAAAGTTAATGCTTTCATTATTTTAAGATGAAACATACCCATTACCTACCTAATGCCCAATCAAAATGGAGGTTATTAGCATGCGTTATTTTTCCTCTCAAATAGATATACCTACTTGTTCTCTTACCAAATAGAACCTTTGCAGCCTAATGGCTTTTTTTTTCTTTTTTTTGATAGTCTCGTTCTGTCACCCAGGCTGGAATACAGTGAACTGATCTTGACTCACTGCAACCTCTGCCTCCCAGGTTCAAGCGATTCTCCTGCCTCAGCCTCCTGAGTAGCTGGGACTGCAGGTGCCCACCACCACATCCAGCTATTTTTTTTGAATTTTTAGTAGAGATGGGGTTTCACCATGTTGGCCAGGCTGGTCTCGAATTCTGACCTCAGGTGGTCCACCTGCCTCGGCCTCCAAAAGTGCTGGGATTACAGGCGTGAGCCACCGTGCCTGGCCCCTAATGGCATTTTATTTGTGACTCATTCATTGTATTAAATAATCTATACATAATTTTGTTGCTTTAAGCACTAAAAACTTCATTTGGTGCTTTCTGGTTTTCTGTATTGGATTTGGCCCCATGATATTATAATTTAATGACATCACCACCATTAAAAATACCACCAGCTCCTACTAAAGAAACAGGAACTGAACTAAGTGTATTTTAAATCTTGTATCCATGTCAGCTTTCAGCAGCAACAACTGCCATCATTTTCAGATCAAATAATTCAACTAAATGTTGAATTAATAAGGCACTTGTTATTCTCTCTTGAGTGCAAAAAAAAAAAAGTAAAATAAGAGGAATGGCCTAGAAAAACTTTATAAAGGAGAACAGCTATAGAATATAGGTTTCATTATGTGGTGCAGAATGAAGTATCACTTTTATACTACTAAAAGGCAATGAACATAGATGTTTATGAGTGAATTTGGGGATTGTCTCCTGAGTCCTTGGTGCTCCACATGGTCAGAAATGTACCTGCATTCAGGCTGTACAGATTAACAATGGTGAATTCAGAGGGCCCTGACATGGCATCACATTTTGTGTACGACTCAAACACGAGTCAAATTCCTATGAGTGATCCTCCGTAATGCTGTTTCATGATGAAATGTTAGTAAAATTATACTTGCATGACTCAAAAAGTATATAGTTATTGGCACTTCATTTCCATTGCAGGTTTTATTTGGCCAAGCCTGCACACATGACTGCCTGTCATCCATCAGTTACACAGGCCCACAGTGAGGAAATGGTTCATGGGTATATGTTAGACAAGCAAAATAATTTTTTTTTAAGTTAGTTTCAGGCAAGCTCATGCAGACTACATTTGACCCATTAGCCACTACTAGATGAATTCCTGGTTCACAGGGGAAAACCATGTTAATTTTTACTAGCCTTCTTCTGACACCCAGATTTAAAATTTGACAAGTAAAGGGGAACAGAGCCTTAGGTTCCACTACCCAACTGGGGCATTCTTATTCTAGGGAGAGCAAGCCATTCAAAGATGAATTAAGCAATCTTGAATCTGTACTCTCTGTTTACCACCAAATACAGAGAACTAAATACTGAGGGTGAATTTCCAAATCAACCAATTAACCACATAACCCCAGTGTAGAAGAGCCTTCCTTCATAAAATATAATAGAACAGACATTTATCTAATTAAATTATACTAGAATACATGCTGGAGAACAGGGAGAAGCTCTTTAATCAGATTTAATCAGATGTACAACTTTAATAAGATTTAATCAGATGTACAAACTTTTTTAGCACTGCAAATGACCCTAGGAAGAATTTCTCTTCATGACAGTTAAAAAACAGAGGAAAAGATTATATATATGAAGAATTTGGCTTCGGCGGTCTCAAACTATTGAAAGTAACTAAACTCCTTCTATAATGCCTTCAAACAACAACATCAATATAAAGCAGGTAGAAGAGGCATAGCTCTGACTGAAGTGGGGGAAGATCCCAAAGGCTTCATCTCTAGGCAGCCTTAGGGCTCGGTGGGTGGAGGGGCATCTTTGACAAGCAGCTAATCTGGTTCTAGCCTCTTATTTTAAATATGATGAAGCTGATACCATTGAGGTGATTTTCCCAAGAGTGCAAAGTTAATCCTTGGCAGAGCTGGGCTAGAGCCTGCATTTTCTGATTTTCAATTTAACACTCATTCCTGTCTTGCTATTAGTTTAATTTTATCTGATTGCATCACTATGCCATGCAAACTTGAAGTTAAGAATGTCTTTCTCACCAGTTTTTATCTGGTCAGTAATTATACTGACATTTTATTATTTAACAAACATCTCACCTTAATATCCACCTTAAAAATCCTAATGATATCCTCTCTAGAACTTTAGCCTTGCATTTAAACTTGCCCCCAGGCTAGCATTTAATTCTGCGGAAATAAGAAACCCAAGTTTACCTTTGCAAGATTGCTTGGCATGTTCAGACACTGTGCTAAATGCTTTATGTAGGTTCCTTTGTTTATGCCTCACAAACACCATATGAAGTAGGTCTTATTTCTTGCAATATATGGATAAAAGAATTGAGGTTAAGTCACTTGTCTTGGATCACACAGGAAAGACTAGATTTAAGCCAGGATGTCTGGTCAAAAGCCCAAGCTACGCAATTCTTCCACAGAATTGTCAGCCTTTTCTTTTGAAGACCATCAGCAATTTCCTTTCACATAAAGCAGAGGAACCCCATAAGTAAATATAAATAAAATAACACCTTAAACACATTTCATATTAATATTACATAAAATATTTTACACACATTACCTCATAGCAGGCATACTTATGGAATGGCGAATGGAGTAACTTCAGAGCAAAAGCAGATTAAAGGGGAAAAAAGAAAAAAGAAGAGAGCACACATAAGTACATGAAAAACTCCCTATTCGTAGTTCTAAAACAGCAATTCCAAATATCTGAAATATTCCCTGCCCATCTAACCAAGATGACATTTGTTTTTGTTGGGTATAATGGGTATAGTCAGCTTTCAAGGGTATAAATGAAAAGTAGATGGTGGATCCGTGGTTGCATATTATTTTACTTTCTGCAGCCTCCTTTTGCCAGGAAATCTGAGAATGTCTGGTTTCTCCCAGGTGAGCCCAGTAGCCCATGGGCATCTTCTCCAGGCCCAACTTAGGTCTCTACTCCCTTCTGCTCAGGAAAACAGTAAGGAGCAAAAGGCAGTATCCAGGAAATAGAGCCAGGCAGGTAGAAGCTAATCATTCCATGGTAGAGAAACTGGCCAGAGGAAAGCAAGAAGTTAACATAAGACTTTCAAGGAAGCACATGCCAGGCAAACACAGTTCTCATAGGCCATAGGGACTTCTGCATCCATTCTGGTTTGATTGTCAAGATGATTGATTTGTACTAGATGACTGTCAAGAACATCTGGTACAAACACAAACATTCCTGAGAATTTTAAGAGATTTAAACTTCTCATCCCATTAATCCTAGTAGCTGATTCATCTTCCCTCTGGTTGGTTGCCTGTTACTTTCTATTGAGTTCCACTCAGAAATCAGGCTGGGCATGGGGAGGAGCACAATGGGTCCATTTTCCTGGCCTAGTGCTTGCTCCCACCTCACACTTTTCAACAGCGTCCCTGCTTTCTCTTCTCTCAAGGAGCTAATAGTTCAGGGACCAAATCTGTCACCCTTCCCTCATAATATCCACTGAGGGCATTAGTATGGGTAGCACTTTGCTAGAACACAGAAAGAAAAGGACAAACAAATTCATGGGATACTTACGGTCTTACCCTAGACACTTGATTTAGAAACTATTAGGCAGATATTTCCTCAGAAATTACACTTCAAAAGCATCACTAAAAGAGCCTCATCTGCATTACCAATTGGTGTATCTCTGTAAATATAGACCGCTTTCTTAGGAAAAAATTAAAAAAATAAAAGTATATAATAAGATTCCGGCTAAAAGAAGTTTTAATTCGGGGGCTTGGGATTAAAAATCACAAACTTCTTAACATACGTACGTGCTTTTCCGGTACC
The DNA here is from genome assembly GCF_000001405.40 of Homo sapiens. NCBI lineage: Eukaryota > Metazoa > Chordata > Mammalia > Primates > Hominidae > Homo > Homo sapiens. The sequence goes on along the minus strand of NC_000006.12, from coordinate 125,252,525 downwards.
TTTCTTCCCTTCAACTTCAGAAGGCACAGAAAGTTGAAGGTGAAACATCAACACAAATTATGGGTACAAGAAATTCAGAGAAACATGACAATCTAGAGAAAATCTGTTTTTGTTTCTCAACTTTACTTTCTAGAAGTTTCAGAAAACATATATAACTTTCAATCTCCACTTTGTTTTTTTTTCTTCTTCTTTTCAATTCTAAGAAGCTCTGTCAACACCGGAAGAAATGGTGCAGAGAAAGAGACTCCTGAGAGAGAGCTCAGCAAGTGAAATGGTGTAAATGATTCAGAAATGAGATAGAGATGTACTTCAATAAGTTCAAATGTATTAAGTGCCCTATAAACTATCTTCCTGGTCACGGGAACTGTCTGGAAAACAGAGTGTAGTTTTGTTGGTTCAGGCACAGTGTGAAAGAAACAGGGAGCCCTGGAAAGCAAAGGGGCAGCAAGGGAGTGGGGAAAGCCCCACACGCAGCCCTGTGGCGCTTACCCGATGGAGTGAGACCTGCAGCCCGGAAGCACAGGAGAGAAGAGCAGGAGCAGAGTTAGCAAACAGGAGGCAGAGAAACACTGCACTGCCCTTGGTGGTCCCCTTTCAAGGGCCCCAGAGCACAGACAGGGTAGCTTCATTTACCACTCTTGATTACACTGACTTTTTAATGTCTCTGACAAATCATTTTACCAACTCAAGTTTTGCTTCTGTTATTCCTATAAGTATATAACAATGATTGGACTGTAATAAAATGACATGCCTTCTCCAAACATTTTGTCCCCAGTGGATCAGTTTGAACAAATTAACTGAGAAGTTCCCAGAAGATGCCAATGTTATTAGAAAAATGATTCCAACCGCTTGGATTTCTTCTGAGTACTTTCCTAAGTGTGACCTCATTTTAACTTCACAGGAAATATTTTGGTTAAGTGGGTATTAACAATGTTATTTTATGGATGGAGAAAGAGAGTGGGCAATTCCATGACAATCAGGTTAAAATGAGAATCTTACTTAGCTCAGAAAAATATAACTTATTTTTACAAAACATACAAATTAAATCTTAACATAAAGCTTTTTTTTCAGCTATTAAAAGGCCCAAATTCTAGGTTTTACAAAATCTGTAAATATTAATTTGGAGTTATTTTAAAGAAAAACTGAGAGGTACTGTTGTTCTTCCAAGCTATCTGAATTTTGCTGGTAATGTTTTTGAATACATTCAGAAATTTGTTACCAGAATGCACAAAAATGTTATAGTGTAACTAATAAAAATGTAGACTAATATGACACTTTTAACCAAAAAGAAGTTTAAAATAAAAGGTCTGTGACCAAATTTTAACATATTCCCCATATTTACAAATTGGCACATTAGTTTTTGAACAAACAATCAAAGCTTACTATTTTTTCCCATTTAAGGTCTTTTATTAAGTTTAAACACTTTCAAAATGACTTTTATTTATATTACTTGTTTGGGCATAATTTAAAAGTAAAAATCTTTGTAAAACTTGTTGCTTTCACAAAGAGTTATTCTCATTTATATACAAATGTTAGATATAGTTTGAGAGAAATATACACATAAAATATTATATAAATAAAGCTCTGAAATTTTCAAACTCTTCAAAATATTTCAGGATTGTATTTGATTATCTAGCAACACAGATTGTATTTTCCAATATTTTTAGCCACAGTTTATAATGAAAATGTTGTACCCTCTACATGGGATAATAACAAATGGAAAGTTTGGAAGTCCTGGAAAATAGGCCATCCACTATACTAGACAAAGCCACATTGAAACGGGAGGAAAGGCAGTCAATACAACCTTGACATTGTACCCAATTAGTGTTTGAATATGAATGCCAACATATTGCATATGTGAAACACAGTCTTCATTCTTCACTATTGGGAAAAACAATGAGCAGGGCCTTTATGAAATACAGTGGGCTCCTGTTAATGTACTCTCCCTAATTTCTACCATGTGGGGCCATCTTGTAACTGAGCTGGTCACTTAAAGATAAAAAACTGCAATTTTTTGAGTGCATAATACATGTCAGACTTTCTTCTGCTACTTTTATAACAGTCCAGTGACATTGTTATTCTTATCTCCATTTTATTAGTGAAAACCCCAGATACAGGTGAGCTAAGCTATGTCTGTCTTCCTCATAAACTGACCCTCTGAAGCCAAATTATCTGGAAGCTTGTTATAAATGCAGATTCCTAGACTCCACCTCAGACTTACTGAGCACAACCTCTGAGAGGTGCAACCTAAGAATATGTATTCTAAACAAGCTTCAGAGGTGTTTGTAAGATCTCCTAAAGATGCAGAAGCACTATTCTAGTTAGCAGTGTCATGCTGGAGTTCCCAGGGTTCAAGTGAAAGATTTCAACACAGTATGAAGAGAATCAATTTTATAAACATGGGAAAATATGTTTTCTTGGGTATAACAGGTTATAGAGGGTTTCCTATTTTAAAGGATTATTTAATTAGTTTAGATAAATGTTATAACGCCGTTAAAATTATTACAAATTTTATTTGTAATAAAATTAGGGGTAATTAATAATCCAGAAGGTTTACCTGTTTATCACACCTGCTTCTGAAGAATTTCAATTACTTTTTATTATTGTGGCATTAGTAAAAATGAAGATAAAACAATGTACTCAGATTCATGCACATGTCCTTGTGAATGCCTAGTTGTTAAAATAGTGAATGAATATTGTGGACAGTCCAGCAATTTTTGAAGTAAATAAAATTTAATAATATAATTTATAAAGATGTATCTATAAGTGTAAAGTTAGGAAGATATTTGCCTCTCAGTGTCAAAGCTTTTCCTTCTTTTTTTTTTTTTTTTTTTGAGACAGAGTCTCACTCTATTGCCTAGGCTGGAGTGCAGTGGCGTGATCTGGGCTCACTGCAACCTCTGCCTCCTGGGTTCAAGTGATTCTCCTGCCTCAGCCTCCTCAGCAGCTGGGACTACAGGCACACACAACCATGCCTGGCTAATTTTTGTGTATATATATATATTTTTTAATGGAGACAGGGTCTCACCATGTTGGTCAGGCTGGTCTCTAACTCCTGACCTCAAGGGATCCACCTGCCTCAGTCTCCCAAAATGACGGGATTACAGGCATGAGCCACTGTGCCCAGCCCAAAGCTTTTTCTTTTTAATAAAAAAGTAACAGTTTAAGAATCCAGTAAAATAAATACGCAGAGATTTTTTTTTTTTAAAGAAGAAATGTAAAATGTGCTCGAAAAGTTTTTAAAGAATAGAGGGAAAAATGAAACTGATTTCTAAAGAAAAATCCTCCAAGGCATATCAGCCAAATGCAAAATAAAACTATGACTGGTATTTAAATAAGCAAAAACTAAGAGTAATACCTCTATATAATATGGTATATAATATATTGTATATAATATTGTATATAATATGAAAAACTATGGGCAATACTACATTTTTTTTTTCCTGGTGCCTCCAGTGAGAACTTTTGGTTCTCAAGTCAAAATCAACCTTGATGGTCACCCTTATTTTATGTAACAGTGAAATATTGAAAATAATGAAAATGTGCAAGGTTACTTATCTAAAAGCATTGCTATAGCTACGCACTGGGAGATAAATTCATTAAAAATGAAGGTGCAATAAATATTTAACATACTCACAAAATAGTTAGAAAATGAAGAAAGAAAACTACCAGAAGTGTATATGTGTGGTACCTTTATGGAATAAAAGGATAAATATGTACCTATTTAACACAGAAAAAATATACTAGATGGATGTATACAAATATGCAATCTAGAATAGTTTATGGGAGTGCATTCCACTAAATGCATGTTTTAATTTATCATTTATATTACAGCTAGTAAGAATTTGCACATGCTGCATTCTTTTCAAATCTGCCTCACTACCCTGTATCTTCTATTTTTACCAGGTCGGGTCCTAGTAGAAACAGCAACTCTGGGACCAGGCCACCTAAGCCTGACCTTCAGGCAGAAAATGTCCCAGTGTGAAAATTTATCTTAGTCATCAATCATATCAGCCATATAACATTTTTATCCATTAAAATAAAAAAATACATATGTTGAGATGAGCAGCTAATAGCTAGTGCTCCCTTCAATCGGAAAGCCAAGGGCTTAGCGCCGTTCCCATGGTATTTTCCCACAGTACCTCATGTCTCCGAACTTCTTGCTGATGGCCGTTCCAACGTTGCTGAAAGCTGCAGTTGCCTTTTGCCCTGCGTGACTCAGGGTTTCATGTGTTTTCTTGTAGCTAGAAATAAAACAGAACAACATGGTTTTTATATCATGATCTCCCATAAACAATTCATCTTCCTTCTCACTCCTTACTTTGAAAATGTCCTTTCCTCAACAGATTTAGGAAGAAGATCCACAAAACCACTGTTTCCATTCATTGTCTGGGGATGATGGGTTGGCTGCTGTTCATCAGAAGGAAAGTCAGACCATTAAATCTGAATTTAGGAAGTATATACAGATACAAATACAAATACAGATCTGAATGTGCAGCTCTTTCATGACAAATAATGGAACTGCTCAGTGAGCAGAATGTTGTTCTTGAAGTGTATTAGTTCTAAAACAGACACTTGTCAATGACAGCTCTAGGCATCAAGGATGACACAGAAATTAGAGAATGCAGGTTTAGGTTTTGAAGGTACATCTAAGCTTACACTGTTAATTTGGGTAAAATAAGCCAGAAAAAGGCAAAACACAGCTAGTTATTTAGCTTACTTTTCTAGTATTTATAGCTGGGAATAATAAAAGCACATTATCTGAAGATAATATAGTGACTTTTTTTCAAAACAGTTTTAGGAATATATACTGTGAATATTTGTTGATAAGCCTATGTCATACTAGACTTGACTACTTGAGGGCAAGGAAGCCATTCATCTTTGTGTCCCTGGTCTCTGACAAAGGGATAAAGAAGAAACTCAATAAATAGTAGATGAACGAGTGGGTGATATCAAAAGGGACAACCTTTTGTGACTCTGAACTGGGAGTAGTGGCACTAGGAAAAGAAAGAGGTATGATGGATTACAGGGATAGAATGGACAGATTCAACAGGAGATGGTAAGTGATAAATAAGAGCAAGACCAAAGGTTGTCCTGAGGCTGTGAGCATCATGACAGGAAGGACAGTGATGCTACCTATAGGGATGAGAAATTTCTGAGTTGGTTATGAAAGTGGGAAATAAAAGGTACATAACTTGAGGAATAATAGTAAATCAACAAAATTTTTATACACATTAAAAAAAACCCTCAAATCTTAAAATGCATATGCTGTCTTCTTCTGATTTATGCTGCTCCCAGGTAAGTTCTCCCAAAACCCTGTTATACTTGCATGCATATGGTATCTGTAAGAAAACATTATACCCTATGAAATCAGCTATGTAGGAACTGCCCTTTTTCCTCTACCCCTTCCATCTCCCACAAGTCATCCAGTCCTAAGTATGATCTCAGGCTCTAGTGAATATTTTCAAATATGTGCCTTGGTCTTCCCTAGGACAGAAATAACTTTATTAATGTGGTATTCTTTTTGTGAGCAGAATGGAATCTGTCTATAATATTGTTAGCATTATATGTTATTTATTAACACAATGTTTTTTTAGGAAGTATAAAAACATACATTAACTAGATCATAAAACCAAATGTTCATTTACTGAACAGACATTTCCTATCAAAAATGAAAAGACCAAGCAGAATAAGGGTCAAGGAAGAATCTGGTGACTAGGGGGTAATTTGTGTCTCTGGAGAGGACTGTGTGAGGAGAACAAGGAATGTGGATGCCAGATGGCACTGGGTCAAACAGCAAATGAGACAAGATGAAAGAAATGAACAGCTTTTAGGAAGTTTGCTTAATTTCTTTTTTTCTCTGAAGGTCCAAAAAATGTCAGCTCATTCAAATTAAATTTTATTTTTACATTTTGCTACATGATTTTAGCTTTTAATTTTGGAAAAACATTTTTTGACTACATGAAACCATGGAATTTCAGGCAGTTTATACATGAAATCAAATATTATTATCAAGGAGACAGGCAGAAGATGGCAGATAGGAGACAGGGCTAATGTGCATCTTGCACTTGCTCAGACAGAATAGTGTGTGGAGACTCACATCATGAACTTTTGTTCCAAGAACCACCATAGGAACTTACCAGGAACACCGAAAGAATTCACAGATCCTTTGAAAGGAGTGGCACACCACTGCAAATTCTGAGAGACGGGTGAAAAACTGAGTTCCTAGAGTGCGAGAGGAGAGAAAACCTGCCTCTGAACCCACTGCCTCTGAACCACCTGCCTCTGAATTCCACTAGGGAATCTGAAAATCCAGATCACAGGAGAGGGATTTAACCTAAATTAGAGCTGGAATGGATTCAGGGATCTGGGTGAAATACAATAGTAGCAGCAATGGGAAAAGCCTTATAGGCACTCCCAGTTTCTCTAGCTTGAGCCCAGGGAAGGTATATAACTGTATCTCACAGAGCGCCTCCAGGAAGGCAGCCAGTGGAATTAGGGAGGGGTCATGGGGTGAAAGAAGCTTCCAACTGAATTTTATAATAATTGCCACTGGGCGTGAACTTTCTTAAGCAGAATCTGGGGGGTGAGTGGAAACTGCTGCAGATATGAGGGCAGGAGCTACCAACACTGTGGGCAGACAGGTAGGGGCGAGGCCTGAAAGCTGTGCTTGCTTTCTCAGCAGGGAAGCCTATGGCCTGGGGCAGGTCTGAGTTCATTGTGCACAGGCTGCCTGGATGGAAACTCGGCTCTATTAGCAGAGCACTGCAGGAGTGAGACTGGCCTCGCCAACTGCGTGGGAGCTGGGTGGGGCCTTTTGCTACCAGGTATCCCCCACTTCCTTGATAAACTATATGACACAGCAGAGGCAGCCATAATCCCCTTTGGAAGGTAACCTCACTGGCCTGAGAACCACACCCCCCAACCCCCACAGTGGCTGCAGCAAGCCCTACCCAAGGAGAGTCTGACCCGCCCAAGGAGAGTCTATCCCTGCCCCCACTTGATGGTATTTCTCTACCTGCCGTGGTAGCAGAACACAGAAGACATAAACTCTTGAGAGCTTTATGGACCCACCTATTGCCTGAGAAACCAGAATACCTCCCTTGGACAATTTAGTGCAAGCTTAAATCCCACTGTTACTACTGCAGCTGGTGCCTTCTTGAAAACACCACCTCCTGGCTGGAGGCAGACCAACTCAGGCCATTACTGCAACTCATGACAGAATAACCCTGATCCCAGGAAGAAGAAAAGAACAGCTAATACTGCTGCCTGTAACATCCTGGCTAACCAGAGGTCCTGAGTCTGTCCACATGACGACTTCACTGCTAGCATAACCAGCATCTGAGAAAGCCGGCACGTTAAACCCAAGGATTCTCATAGAGTCTACTTCACTCCCCTGCCACCTCCACCAGAGCAAGTACTGGTATCCACAGCTGGGAGACCTGAAGACTGGTCATATCACAGGACTTTTTGCAGACATTTGCCAGCACCAGCCTGGAGCCTGGTAGTCCTGCTGGGTGGTTAGACTAAGAAGAGAAATAACAATCACTGCAGTCCAGCTCTCAGGATGTCCCATTTCTAAGGGAAGGGGGCGAGCACTACATCAAAGGATCACCCTATGGTACAAAAGAATGTGAACAGCAGGCCTTGAGTTCCAAATCTTTCCAGTGGTGGGAAGTTTCTCATAGCAGAGACACAATTGCAGTGCTGGGCACAGTAGGGAAAGTCTGTACCTCTACCCCAAACGGCAGGCATCCCCTGTGATTGTGTAGGACCTTAAAGAAGGGGTCCTTGTTTCCCCTGGCACTCTACTGCAGACACAGTTGGGCTTCCCCCAGAAGAATGGAGGCACCTATAGACAGCCTTTCTGGAACAATCCAGGGTGAGTGCAGCCCCACAGGAGGAACACACTCCAGATTCAAGCCTGCATGAGAGGCAAAGTCACAATTCTTCCCTACTTGGAACATCAACATTTCCATAGATGAAAAGAGGTGCCTGTCTTATCCGAATAGCCAGAACACTGGGACAGGAATAAGGCTGTGAGGTGAGTAGCTTTCCTGCTGACCTGGCAGGAGAGCTGAGGTAGCTCCCACTCCTCACCTTGATGAAACCTCAGCACATCTAATTGAGAGGTCCTCCAGCCAACTTCATCAAGGCTGGGACCTCAGCCCACCATTGGGTATTACATCTACCCACCTGCCTTAGCCACAACCAGTGCCTAACCAGGGATACCTCTCCTAATGGCCTAAAGTCAACTCAGTAAATAAAACAGTGGGAAAAAAGTTAAATAAATAAATAAAGGGTACACCATGAGAGAACAAGATAAGCTTCAAGAGATACCTGCCATTCCAACTCCATAAGAGGCAGTGAACTCACCCACTCACCAAGAATGTAACAACTACAAACAGCATAAGGGAAAGCCAGCACACAAAAAAACTTTCTGTAACTAAGGATCTCATACTGAGTCTTCAACCCTACAAGCACCAAGAATTAAATTAGGCTAAAATAAACATTAAAGTCTAATCCTTAAGAGGGAATAAATAAATTTAAGTTAAAAAAAATTTTAAGCAAAAATAAATTCAAGAACAATTTTAAGAAATAGTCTACCCAAATGAGAAGAAACCAGAAAAGTAATTCTAGTAATAAAACAAACCAGGGTTCTATAACACCCATGAAAGGTCACACTAACTCCCTAGGAATGGATCCAAACCAAGACGAAATCTCTGAATTGCCAGATAAAGAATTCAGAATTGTGCTACTCAAGGAGATACAAGAGAAAGGTAAGTTGGCTGAAAACTAACTTAAAGAAACTTAAAACAAATATAGGACATCAATAAAAAATTTTCCAGAGAAATATATATCATAAGGAAAAAACAATCATAACTTCTGGAAATGAAAGACTTGCTTAGGAAAATAAAAAATGCAGTGGAAAGTTTCAACAATAGACTAGAACAAGTAGAAAAAAACTTCAGAGGTCAAAGACAAGGCTTTCAAATTAACACAATCCAACAAAGACAAAGAAAAAAAATGAACAAAGCCTCCTCCAAGAAATTTGGGATTATGTTAAATGGCCAAACCTAAGAATAATTGCTGTTTCTGAGGAAGAAGAAAAATTTTAGTTTGGAAAACTTATTTGAGGAAATAATTGGGGAAAACTTCCCTGGCCTTGCCAGAGATCTAGACAATGAAATACAAGAAGCTCAAAGAACTCCTGTGAAATTATTCACAAAAAGATCATCACATAGGCACACAGTCATCAGGTTATCTAAAATCAAGACAAAGAAAAGAATCTTAAGAGCAATGAGGAAAAAGCATCAGGTAACCTATTAAGGAAAACCTATCAGATTAACAGCTGGTTTATCAGCAGAAATCTTACAAGCCAGAAGGGATTAGGGTCCCATCATTAGCCTCCTTAAACAAAATAATTGGCAGACAATTAGCCAAGAATTTTGTATCCAGCAAAACTAAGCTTCATAAATGAAAGAGAGAGAAAGTCTTTTGCAGACAAACAAATGCTGAGAGAAATTGCCACTACCAAGCCAGCCTGACAAGAAATGCTCAAGGGAGTTCTAAATCTTGAAACAAAACCTTGAAATACACCAAAATAGAACTTCATCAAAGCGTAAATCTCACAGGACCTATAAAACAAGAACAAAATGAAACAAAACAAAACAGTATTTAGGCAACAACTAGCATAATGAATAGAACAGTACCTCACATCTCAATACTAACTTTGAACGTAAATGGCCTAAATGCTCCACTTAAAAGACGCATGATGGCAAAATGGATTAAAAACCACCAACCAAGTATCTGCTGTCTTCAAGAGACTCACGTAACACAAAAGGAATCACATCAACTTAAGGTAAAGAGGTGGAAAAAGATATTCCACACAAATGGAAACTAAAAGTGAGCAGGAGTAGCTATTCTTATATCAAGCAAAACAGACTTTAAAGCAACAACACTAAAAAAGACCAAGAGGGACATTATGTAATGATGAAAGGATTAGTCCAATAAGAAAATATCACAATCCTAAATACATATGCACCGAATACTGGAGCTCCAAAATTCATAAAACAATTACTACCAGGCCTGAGAAATGAGATAGATGGCAATGCAATAATAGTGGGGGACTTTAATACTACAATGACAGCACTAGACATGTCATCAAGATGGAAAATCAACAATGAAACAATGGACTTAAACTCTACACTAGAACTAATGGACTTAACATATATTTACAGAACATTCTACCAAACAATTGCAGTATACACTCTTTTCATCAGCACATGAAACATTCTCTAAGATAGACCATATGATAGGCCACAAAACAAGTCTCAATAAATTTAAGAAAACCAAATTCATATCAAGTATCCTGACTCCAAAAGGAAGCCTCAAAACTATACAAATATATAGATATTAAACAATCTGCTCTTGAATAATCTTTGGTCAACAATGAAATCAAGATGGAAATTAAAAAATTCTTTGAACTGAATGATAATAGTGAGACAACTTATCAAAACCTCTGGGATACAACAAAAGCAGTGCTAAGAGGAAATTTCATAGCATTAAATGACTACATCAAAAAGTCTGAAAGACCCCAAATAGACAACCTAATGTCACATCTCAAGGAACTAGAGAAACAGAAGCAAACCAAACCCAAACCCAGCAGAAGAAAAAAAAAAATAACAAAGATCAGAGTAGAACTAAATGAAACTGACAAAAAAAAGATATAAAAGTTAAATGAAACAAAAAGCTGATTCTTCAAAAAGATAAACAAAATTGATAGACCATTAGCAAGATTAACCAAGAAAACAAGAGAGAGAATCCAAAGAAGCTCAATTAGAAATGAAATGGGAGATATCACAACTGATACCACAGAAATACAAACATTCAAGGCTACTACAAATACCTTCATGCACACAAACTAGAAAATCTAGAGGAGATGGATAAGTTCCTGGAAATATATCAATACAACCCTCCTAGATGAAATCAGGAAGAAATAGAAACTCTGAACAGACCAATAATATGTAGCGAGATTGAAACAGTAATAAAAAAATTGACAATAAAAAAAAGTCCAGGGCCATATACATTCACAGCTAATTCTATCAGACATTTAAAGAAGAATTGGTACCAATCCTACCAGAACTATTCCAAAAGACAGAGAAAGAGGAAATCCTCCCAGATCATTCTATGAAGCTGGTATCACCAAATGTAATGCCAAAACCAGGAAAGGACATAACAAGAAAAGAAAACATATCCCTGATGAACATAGACACAAAAATCCTCAACAAAATACTAGCTAACTGAATCCAACAGCATATCAAAAATATAATCCACCATGATCAAGTGGATTTCATACCAGGGACTCAGGGATGCTTTAACATATGCAAGTCAATAAATGTGATACATTACATAAACAGAATTAAAAACAAAAATCATATGATCATCTCAATAGACACAGAAAAGTTATTTGACAAAATATGGCATCCCTTTATGATTAAAGATCTCTGCATAATCAGCATAGAAGGGACATATTTCAAGATAATAAAATCCATCTATGACAAACCCACAGCCAGCTTCATACTAAATGGGAGAAAAGTTGAAAGCATTCCCTCAAGAACTGGAAGAAGATAAGGATGCCCACTTTCACCACTTCTATTCAATATAGTACAGGAAGTCTTAGCCAGAGCAATCAGACAAGAAAAAGAAATAAAAGCCATCTAAATTAGAAAAGAGGAAGTCAAACTGTTGCTGTTCACTGATGATATGACTGCATACCTAGAAAACCCTAAAAACTCATCCAAAAAGCTACTAGATCTGATGAATGAATTCAGTAAAGTTTCAGGATACAAAATCAATGTACACAAATCAGTAGCACTGCTGTACACCAACAGTGACCAAACTGAGAATCAAATAAAGAACTCAATCCCTTTTACGATAGCTGCAAAAAATAAAAAATAAAATACTTAGGAATATACTTAACCAAGTAGGTGAAAGATACCTGCAAGGAAAATGACAAAACACTGCTGAAAGAAACCAAAGATAACACAAACAAATGAAAACTCATGCTCATGAATGGGTAGAATCAGTATTGTAAAAATGACCATACTGCCAATAGCAATCTACAGATTCAATGCAATTCCCATCAAAATATCATTATCACTCTTCACTGAACTAGAAAAAACAATTCTAAAATTCACATGGAACCCCCAAAAAAGCCCACATAGCCAAAACAATACTAAGCAAAAAGAACAAATCTGGAGGTATCACATTACCAGACTTCAAACTATACTACAAGGCTGTAGTTACCAAAATAGCATGGTACTGGTATAAAAATAGGCACGTAGAACAATGGAAGAGAACAGAGAATCCAGAAATGAAGCCAATACTTACATAAACTGATCTTTGGCAAAGCAAACAAAAACATAAAGTGGGGAAAGGACACCCTATTCAACAAATGGCACTGGGATAATTGGAAAGTCACATGTAGAAGAACGAAACTGGATCCTCATCTCTCACTTTACACAAAAATCAACTCAAGATGAATGTGAGACTTAAATCTAAGACCTGAAACTATAAAAATTCTAGAGGATAACATCAGAAAAACTCTTCTAGACCTTGGCTTAGGCAAAGAGTTCATGACCAAGAACACAAAAGCAAATGCAACATAAATAAATATATGGGACCTAATTAAACTAAAAAGCTTCTGCACAGCAGAAGAAATAATCAGCAAACAGACAAACCAGAGTGGGAGAAAATCTTTGCAAACTATGCATCTGACAAACGACTAATATCCAGAACCTACAAGAAACTCAAAACTCAAACAAATCAGCAAGAACAAAACAACCCCATCAAAAAGTGGGTAAAAAACATTGATATGGTTTGCCTGGGTCCCCACCCAAATCTCATCTTGAATTGTAGCTCCCATAAGTTCTACGTGTTGTGGGAGGGACCTGGTGGGAGATAATTGAATCATGGGGATGGTTTCCCACATACTATTTTTGTGGTAGTAAATAAGTCTCATGAGATCTGATGGTTTTATAAGGGGTTCCCCTATCGCTTGGCTCTCATTCTCTCTTTCCTGCTGCCATGTAAGATGTGCCTTCCACCTTCTGCCATAATTGTGAGGCATTCCCAGCCATGTGGAACTGTGAATCCATTAAACCTTTTTCTTTATAAATTACCCAATCTTGGGTATGTCTTTATCAGCAGCATTAACAGACTAATACAGACGTGAATAGACAATTCTCAAAAGCAGATATACAAATGGCCAACAAACGTGAAAAAATGCCTCACATCACTAATTATCAGAGAAATGCAAGTTAAAACTACAATGAAATACCACCTTACTCCTGCAAAAATGACCATAATTTAAAAATTAAAAAAAATAGACATTGGCGTTGATGTGGTGAAAAGTGAATACTTTTACACTGCTGGTGGGAATGTAAACTACAACCACTACAGAAAACAGTATGAAGAGTCCTTAAAGAACTAGAAGCATAACTACTATTCAATCCAGCAATCCCACTATTGGGATTTCCCCCAAAGGGAAAGAAGTCATTATATGAAAAAGACACTTACACATGCATATTTATAGCAGCACAATTTGCAATTGCAAAAATATGGAACCAGCTTACATGCCCATCAACTGATGACTGGATAAAGAAAATGTGATATAAAATATAACTGTGGTAGGAAGTCCAAATTTTTCTTTATTTATTTGTAAAAAGTCCTCTTGTTTTTAAGGCCAAAACTACTACATTTAAATCTTGCTTTTAAATCTTGCTTTCTGAGTCTAGTTAATATATATTCCTACATACCATGGAATACTACTCAGCCATAAAAGAGAATGAAATAATGACATTTGCAGCAATCTGGATGGAGTTGGAGACCGAAGTAACTCAGGAATGGAAAACCAAACATTGTATGTTCTCATTTCTAAGTGGGAACTAAGCCGTGAGGATGCAAAGGCATAAGAACGATATAATGGACTTTGGGGACTCGGGGGAAAGGGTTCGAGGGGGGTGAGGGATAAAAGACTACACCTTGGGTACAATGTACACTGTTTGGGTGATGGGTGCATCAAAATTTCAGAAATCACCCCCGAAAAACTTATCCATGTAACCAAAAGCCACCTGTTTCCCAAAGACTATTGAAATAAAATTTAAAAAGATAAAAAATTATTATCTAAATTGTCATTAGTGATAAGACAGTTAAAAATACTAAAAATGTTAAAGACTAGAAATAAAAACACCAATCATCATTAGAAGATTTTAGTGAGGTGTGATCTTGAAATGTCATGTGCTAAGAATTCTTCAGAAGAAGCCTGCTACTAAATAGTTTTCCAAAGCAGTGTCTTGAACACTTGGATTAACTAGACTCAGAAAGCAAGATGTAAATGTAGTGTCTTGGCCTTAAGAACAAAATGACTTACTTACAAATAAATAAAGAAAAATCTGGACTTCCTACCACAGTTATATTTTTAGGATGCTGATGAAGGTTTCAGTAAGTAGTAACTGGGTAATGAAATCAGATCTGTGAAAAGGGCATTAAAAATGGAGTTCAAGCCTGGGCGTCGTGGCTCACGCCTGCAATCTCAGCACTTTGGGAGGCTGAGGAGGGTGGATCACCTGAGGTCAGGAGTTAGAGATCAGCCTGGCAAACATGGTGAAACCCTGTCTCTACTAAAAAAGCAAAACAAAACAAAACAAAACAAAATCAGGGCTGGGTGGCACATGCCTGTGATCCCAGCAACTCGGGAGGCTGAGGCAGGAGAATTGCTTGAACCCAGGAGGCAGAGGCTGCAGTGAGCTGAAATTGCGCCATAAATTAAATAAATAAAGGAGTTGGAAGTGAGGAAAGTACAGTATTATATGCTGATGAAACATTATTACACTATGGACTGTGATTCAGAATTAGGCTCAATCCAGGACTCTACTGACATCATAATTCTGAAAAACATCAAGAAAAACTTTCCTGTGCAAAAACTTATGTGTTTTGGTAAGAAAATAGAACAATCTATTGAATGCCCAAAATAGGAGACTAGCATCATCTTTAACCTTTCTGTTTCTTTCATTCTCCAAATCAAATTCATCAGGAAAGCCCTGTTGGTTCATTTCAACTTTCAGAATAGATGTGGAGTCTACTTTCTCACTGCTTCCACTACTCTCCACCTTAGTTCAAGCCGCCATCATCACTCACCGGGGCTCTTGCAATCACCTAACTAAACTCCATACTTCCACCTTATCCTTCTACAGTCCCTTTTCAACACCGCAGCCAGAGGGACCCATTAAAGCATTAAATTGGAGCAGGTCTCTGCTCAAAACCTTGCACTATCTCCTCATAATACTCACGGTGAAAAGCCAAAGTCCACCTGGTGGGCCTTCTGATGGCCCTACACAGTCTGGTCCCCTCTCATTTCTTCTTACTCTGCTCCAGACCTTCCAGCCTCCTCACTGTCCCTGGAACATACCAGGCCCCCTCCTACCTTAGGGTCTCTGCTCTAGCTGTTCTGCTTTGTGATGCTATCAAATATGGCACGAAAAGGGTTGTGCTGTATTTTAAATGTCCCATTTTGAAGAATTAAAAAGACTTAAGCCTGCACCCTTGAGAAGACTGTAAAAGCAACCTCTTTCTGTCTAGTCAAGGCCAGAGGTCCCTGGGGCCTTGGCCACTTGGGGTGCCTGCAGAATGGACTGAGCCCTAGGGAGAAGGGAGTGATAAGGGTAAAAAGGAAACCAGGGAAGGGTGGAGGAAAGGAAGAAAGTCTATTGAGCAACCACCTGCCACTGACTCTGTGTGGCCTGAAACGTGACTCAAGGGAAAAGTAAATAAATATTCTGCAATATCTGTGGCTTTTGCATGAAGTTGGGACTGGCTACTAGTTAGAGAATTCATTCTTGTGTTGGTTCCACATTTCTTCAAGAATTCTTACAATTAGACCCAATATTTAATTTTCTTTTAAGCTTTTCCATGTAGTTTAACTTTATATATTTGAGAATGTTTTGAACTAAGATATGATTTTTTAAACACTTGTTTGTGTGTGTGTGACATTCTGAATTTAATGCATAATTTAAATATAGCTAGCTAGAGAGAAGTATATATTGAAAATAGGTGATAGCTACATTGTGTTTTAAACACATTTCTATAGCAAAATGGGAGGTGAGCATATGCAGTGATCTGATTACTTTAGTGTGGTATTAATATTATTTATGTCCCCACCATGAAAAATGCAAGTCTATTTCTATATGAAATTTTATGGTTAAAATTCAGCTATACAGGTAGTTTAATGCAGTGTTAAAGATTTTAGGACTCCTTATTTCCAAGAATTATTTAATGTTAAATCTGAAGGGCACTGGAGCTAAATCCCTTCAGATTACAGATGATGAAACTGAGGCCCAAAAGAGTTATGTGAATCTTAGTGACACAGGTAAGTCTAGGGCCTAGTCCAGGGTGCCTGCTTTCCATTAAAATGTCTTGCTGCCTTGAAGATGATAGACATTTAAAGGTGAGTTGGGTCAGCTTTCTACAGTACCAGTGTTCAGAGAGAGAAATAATACTGTATTTCAAGAATGCTAAAATGCACATTTTCCCCCCACATTTTTACACCTCTTCCTTAGGCTAAACATCATATTCCTTTTATATATATATAGACTTGGGATCCCACTATGTTATCCAAGCTGGCCTCGAATTCCTAGACTCTGGCAATCCTTCTGCCTTAGCCTCCCCAGCAGCTGGGATTATAGGCAAGCGCCACTGAGCCCAGCTAACCATCATATTTCTTGAAAACAGTTAGTTGCTATTTTATATACATTACTTGGAAATCAACAATTGAAAGAGATTTCAAAAGGGTAAACAGTGAGAAAGGGTTATATGTCGGGAAATGATTTTCAAGAACAAAGTAATCAGAGACCCCATGAGAAATAGGCCATTGGGCTCCAAGTACTTAAAAGCACCAAGGAGCAGCACTCACACCATAGCCTAGGCCAAGCTTGTCCAACCTGCGGCCTATGGGTCACATGTGGCCCAGGACAGCTTTGAAAGCAGCCCAACACAAACTCATAAACTTCCTTAAATCATTATGAGTTTTTATTTTTATTTTTTGCAACTTTTTTTTCTTTTTAGCTGATCAGCTATCCTTAGCGTATTTTATGTGTGGCCCAAGACAATTCTCCTTCCAGTGTGGCCCAGGGAAGCCCAGATATTGGACATGCCTGGTCTAAGCAAATGGTACCTCAGGAGTTACGTATTGCACAGGCCCTGTAACCTTATGCTGCATCCTGATTGAACTTGATCTTAAAGTTGCATGAGTAAGATAGGTCCCCATCCAGAAGCTAGGAGCCTGAGTCTTGGGGAAAAAAACCCCTCCTATCAGCCAAAAGAAGTTGGTGTTTTATTATTATTATTATTATTATTATTATTATTGTTATTTGTAGACAGGGTATCACTTGGTCACCCAGGCTGGAGTGCAGTGGAGTGAACATGGCTCATTGCAGCCTCCATCTCCTGGGCTCTAGCAATCCTCCCACCTCAGCCCCCTAAATGGCTGGGACTACAGGTGCACGCCACCATATTTGGCTGATTTTTTGCACTTTTTGTAAAGATGCAGTTTCACCACGCTGCTCAGGCTGATCTTGAACTCGTGAGCTCAAGTGATTCTTTCACCTCGGCCTCCTGAAGGGCTAGGATTATAGGTGTGAGCCATGGCACTCAATGATGTATTGCATTTTACTCCCTTTATTATGCCATAGAATCTGGCACATCTTTAATACTTAAGATTGTTTTTCAACCCTATCATATAAAACTATGTGCAATAATATTCAAATAATGAAAAACAACTTAAATACTAATACCTTGATTGACTTGACAATCTTGTAACTTAAATAGAAATAGTATTTAGCATTTCAGATTGCTAGGTCTCTTACTTTAAGCTAAATATAGGTTCACCATTGCTGACTTACATAATTGATAGAGCAGAGGAACAATATGTTTTCCTTAAGTAAAAGCAGGAATGTGTAAGATATCTTTGAGTTGCCGTCAGTTGTGCATTAGGTGGCAGAAACGTTGAAAGTATATGCTTCAAGTCTGTGTTCTGTGCCTGTCCTCACTTCAGCTACAGGAGCGGAATCAGGAGTTTCCAATGTGAAGCTTCTAACTCAAGAGAACAACTGAAGCTTTCAGGTGAGTGAAGAGAAATTTGCCCTTGTGTGTTCTAAAGCCATTCTAGCAGAAAACACTGCTTTAGGGACCTGCACTTCCCAACAAGGCTCAAATCTGGTCTAGGGCTGAACATTAGCTGCCATTACTTTCATAGTTAAACATTTGCCTTTCTTTGGCAGCAATGGCAATAGCAGCTAATGTTTTTTAAAGCAATGGCAGCTAATGTTTATAGAGCACCTGATATGCATTAAGTCCTTTAAGACTGTTTACTGAGAGATGTTTGGTGTTGAGTACATGTAAACTTCCTGTTTTTCAATGAAAGTCAACAGGAAAGTGGGCTCTACTTTTCAGAAACTCAATTTGGCTGGAATGGATAGCATTTATTGGCAAGGACAGGTTAGCTGTTTGACCAGCACGCCAACAGGGGATCTTCAGTAGTGTGAGGTAAGGGTCTCTGCAAGCCAAATAAAAAGCATTCTGTTGACTTTTCATGCAAAGTCCACTTGACATGTTTTACTAATTTGAACATTGGTGTTAATAATCAAAAGGAGAAAGCATGTTGTTTTCTAAATTGTTTTGACTTAAATAAAGCATTTTTCTACATACAACTAGAAGAAATAAAAAATTCATCTTTTTAGAAGAAGATATTTTACAGCACGAATATATTTCCTCTTATGAGATTTAAAAGAAAGTGTTCCTTTAATGGTTGAATATGCAGCATTTCACCAAAGATACAAAAAAACATTTAAGATTATTTTATTCCAAAGGCTCCCTAAATATGTTATCAGAACATAAATTTACCACTTGAATCTAGAAGAAAAGAATCTACTTCCTGCCTTGTGTAATAAGATGAAAGCCTGAAGGTAAAAAGAATGAACAACCATGTGAGAGATTGGGTGTGTACATCTTTTAAAATTAGGTCTTTAATCTTCACTGGCACTCCTGAACTCAATAGTGCTACAACCAGGCTCCCTCATAAAAAGAGATAATAAGAATTCCTGACCATTAATGGCCTGGAAGTCTTAGAAGAACAAAATCAAAGAGTAAATAAATCATAAACTAACGTTCAATTTTTGAGCACTGTGCGTTTTTAAAATGCTGAATGTGAGGCTTTTCGTCCTCTTTATGTAGGATAAAATTATTAAGCTTTCAAAAAGATGGAATAGTTTAAATTCCTTTCCAAAACCTCTGCCCTCTGTCGACTTACCATTTAGATTGTGGCACGATTCAGAGGGGTTTATTAGTGGGGGGATTTCATGTTTCATGGGTTAGCAAAGCAGAATACTTGTTGAATACATGAAGCCCACTGCTTTGAATAGCCCACCATAAAGTTGTATTTCCTGATTCTACTTCTGCCTACAGAAGAGATTCAATTTCTCCTCCTTTACCCCAAAGTCACCCACCTCTCCCATGTCTCCTTGAAGTCTAAAGACAACATAAAAAGGCAGCAGAAAACCAAAAAATGGAGAGGACTTTTTTGTATGTTCTTAGATACAAATCTAGGCAAGTAAAAAACTATGACAAGAACAACAGCAACAAGAAACCCTGGATACCGATGATCCCTTGACCTTTTCCTGTATTCCTGGAATCTTTCTGTAAAGGAGGTAATTTCAGTCTGCTGTGTAATTATTCCTACTTATCAAGGCCTATTTCAATTTGAATCCTACTGCAGACTGAAATATGCCAAGATCTTTCATTAACATACCATAGATTTTCTTTTCATTATAAATCAAACTAAATAGGTCATGATTGCTTAATCAGTATGCAAAGTATTGCCTCTGGGAATCACACACATCCTCTGACAGCTAAAAATTTTTTTTAGTGCTTTGAAATCTAATTCTACCTAACCTAACCTGATCATAGCTCATCATTTCTTCACATCAAATTTTTCATCAGATGAGGTGCAGATTTTGTCCTGGAATGGGTATCATAAACAGCACTAAGAGCAGGGGTTTAATTAATTCAGAGGGATACAGATTTTATCGCTCCTCCAAACATATGATTAAGATCCGCTGCCTTCCCTCAACAACCAAGAAGAAAGGGTTGGGGACAGACCCTTTCCCCAAATTATATGGTTGATAGACTTATGCCTCCTCCTAAAGAGAGGGACTGGTTCTTCCCTACAAAGGAAAGTTCACTTCATTCCTAAAGGTTAGTGAGTTCATGACCATTTGTATTTATTAAGTAATCCCCAGGGAAATCTCATCTAGTCATCTAGTTTTCGATGTTATCTATATGCAGTTGAATCCCAAATGTCCATCTCTGCCTTAAACTTTTACACTGAGTTGTCCTCTCAGCCTATAAATCTGTTTATCTATTGGGCATTTCAGACTTTACGGAGCCAAAACGAATTATTGTGCCTCTCCTCCAGACTTGTTTCTCAGTCTTTCTCACAGCAGCAAATAATCATTTCATGCCTACAAAGTGTCAGATGCTGTCCTGCAGCCTTTACGAACATTAACTTACTGAATCTTCACTACCTATGGGATCGGCATTAAGATGATCTCACTTCATGAATGCAGCAAGGCCTAGATTTCAACCCAAGCAACCATGAGCCTAACCACAATGCTCGTAAACAGTTCCAACACTCACTCAGTAGCCCAAGTCAAAGGCCTAGACATCACACTTGGTCCTATTTCCTTCATCATCCACCTGCAAACCACTGTTGATCTGTTCTCCAAATCCTTTCTATCCCCCTTGTCCATGATTTTGTCGTATAAACAAACAAACAAACAACAACAACAACAACAACAACAAAAACTCAAACTCTGTCTTCCTAACTAGACTCTAAACTCCATAACCCCAGGGAATAAATCTAGGCTATTCATCCAGCAAAATGCTTTACATTAAGTAGACTACCTGGCTATAAAACCTATTAGTTTTTCAAACATGGAAAAACACAAATTAGACATTATCCCCTGTGGGAAGAGGCTAGAAGCCTTCCTTGAACTTGCCAGCTCTATTTCCAGTCCCAGGAGGAATATGAGTCTCTCCCCTCCCTTCCCCTGGCAGACCTTGCACAAACTTGACACTCCCTCTGCTCAGACATTCCCACCTCCCTGCCAGGCACCTCTCTCCTTCAGCAACAAAACTGCCAGCATTGCCCCACCTTCCATTTGGTTAGTTTACCTATGCAATGTGATTAGGAAGGCCATGCAGGAAGGTCTTCCTGGTACTTATACCCCACAGGGAAGTTCAGACCAGTGTTATACGAAACCCTCAGGCCTGGATTAAATACAGAGGTGACCAAACCCAGAGAATTAGAGCTTGTTCAACTTTACACTGTCAGGGCCATTAATTGGTATTGGCCACGAAAGTGGAAAGACAGAGGCCAAAACTACTGACAGATAAGCTCATTTAATTTAATGCCTAAAATCCAGTTATCCTTTCAGGAGATTGTTCATATGGTGTTGCAACTTATCTTTTAAATTGCTGCACATCAATGTGTGGTTTCTTATTTTTTCCCGTAATTGTCATCATTAGGTTGGGGAATGTTGGTTAACTTCTGGAGATAAACTGACAAGCTCCCTGGCTACATTCTGCCTGACTCTGGGCTGTGCCCTGAACCTATCTGATTGAGTCCTTAGGGTGCACAAGCATAGAGCCCAATAGGACTGCTAGGCCATATTTAGAGGGAGAAAAACATTCTCATTCTTATGGAAACTAAGGAAGTTGGGGAGATGTCATGCTCGTTTTAGACCCAATTCCTCATACAAAGGACATCTTCTCATAGGAGCAAAAAGGCTTACATCTTAGTTCTTAGGAACCAGCAGGCAAATTTGGCTGCTGGCAAAACTGAAATAATTGCTGTCAATTATTGGTACCTCTTCCTACCATCAGGCCTTTCTATGCCTAGGAGAAAGAAAAATTGACTCCCACTTAGGTATTAGGAATGCAATATCTTTACCTTCCAAAGTGTGATAGTAGAGAAGAAAATGCATAACCCAAAGACAATTTCTTAATGGTGAAATTTGGGACTAAAGTTACGGCTAGGGATAAAGCCTCTGTGATTTCCTCATCAGCCCCTAACCCCCAATACACAAAAAGAAGAAAAATCACATCACATATGTGGAGTACTCCCCTTTGGTACAAGACCCCCAGCAGGTAAAATACTTTGCAACATTAGAAAAGTACCATCATCATTAAATATTTCATGCAACTTAAGAATAATCTAATAAAAAAAGTGTGATTGTAGAATAACTGAGATTATTCTGTACCTTACCTAGCACAAGACAGGACGATAATGGCAAAGCAAAAACCATTTCTTCCTTTCTTTTTTTTGAGACAGAGTCTCCCTCTGTCGCCAGGCTGGAGTGGAGTGGCGCCATCTCGACTCATTGCAACCTCTGCCTCCTGGGTTCAAGCAATTCCCCTGCCTCAGCCTCCCGAGTAGCTGGGATTACAGGGGCATGCCATCACACCCAGCTGATTTTTTGTATTTTTTAGTAGGGACGAGGTTTCACCATGTTAGCCAGGATGGTCTTGATCTCCTGACCTTGTGATCCACCCGCCTCAGCTTCCCAAAGTGCTGGGATTACAGGGCCAAAACTGTAATCTAAACCAAGCTCTAAAACTGGTCTAAACCCAGCTCTAAATATTCCCTAGAATAGTGAGAATGAAAAGTGCAAAACAAAAGATGAAAAGTACAAGGTTTTCTTTGTAAATCAATTGCCAGCAAGTCAGTATTGAAACTGCCAACCACTTTTGGAAGACATACATAGTGAGTGTCAAGTGTGCTGAGGAGAAAACACCTTCCCATTTATAGTTTTTATGAGAAAAAGTTTTAAAAAAAGTATATTTGACAAATGTTAAAAATATAAAGAGAAAAACATTTAAACAATAAAACCTAATGAAAGTAGTCTGAGTGAAAATAGAGTTTCAGTGAACAGAGTTTTATTTCATGAAGCTACTTTATAGAATCTGCTTCACATGCAGCATACTTAATGATTATTCACATTTCTTTGCTTTGCTTTTAGAGAAAGTATTTTTTTTTCCTAGCTTCATGCACCAAATCAGCCTTGTAGGAAAAATGAAACAAAACACAACAGAGTGAGGAGACATCAGGCTGAGTTAATAAAACACTGTTCATATGATACTTACGCAGTGGTAGTCTGCATGTCATGCCAGCTTTTGCTGAAGTTCTGTTTTAATTCATTCATCAGGTTCATGCCGAGTTTTTGTTTTATCTCAACTAGATGCCTTTCTTTCGCTGACAAAACTTGTCGTAGTGTTGTAATTTCGTCTTCTAGCTACAAGGCGGAGGGGAAATGGTGGGGGAAAATGTCAGACCAGCAAAAAAGGATACTTACAGAAGCTCTGGGTATTCCAAAGCAGCCTCTGACCCTCCTATTTATACAATCCCATGTGTAGGTTTGCCAAATACACCCCATACAGATGATAGTCTAATATCTCAAAGTAGAAACAGAATTTTTCATTTTAATGATTATAGAAGTAATTTATGCTGCTTGTTAAAAAAAAAAGTGAGATTGTACAGAAAAACATAAACAAGAAAATAAAAATCACCTGTATCCTGCTAGGAAATAGCCACTGCTTATTTTTTGGTTTCTAAACTTCCAAATGTTCTTTCTATAAGTTGTATATAGACATAATTTTTGAACAAAAATTGGTTTTCTACTGTACCCTTATTTTATATAACTTCTTCTCAAGTGCCACTTTATTTATTTATTTTAAAGAGACAGGGTCTCACTATGTTGACCAGGCTGGTCTCAAACTCTTGGCCTCAAGGGATTCTCCTGTCTTGGCCTCCCAAAGTGTTGGGATTACAGACGTGAGCCACCACGCCTGGTCTCAGTGTAGTTTATTTTTTGCCAACCACACACAGTTGCATAGGTGCAGGAATGGAATTGGCAGACAATGGGGTTTTGCCAAGCTAATGCCTTAAGAAAGGAAGGAACAAGGGATTAGAGGATGTATGTAAAAGAGTGATTTGTGTTGATTTTTCTTTTTAACAGTTTCATTGACCTGTAACTGTCATACAATAAGCTGCAGACATTTAAAGTGTATATGTATAATTTGTAAGTTTTAACATATGTATCTACCCGTGAAGCCATTATCACAATCAAGGAAGTGAACATATTCATCACCTTTTACTTGCTTCTTCTTCTTCCTCCCTCCCTCTTCTTTCCTTTCCCCCAATCCACTCTCACCAGACAGCCACTGACTGACTTTCTTTCCCTAGGGTTTAGTTTGCAGATATTTACTAGAATTTTATACAAATTGAATCATAGAGTATACACTCATTTTTGCTTGGCTTTGCAGATAGTTATTTTATATTCATCTATGTTGCTGCATTATCAATGGTTCTTCCCCTTTTTTTGCAGAGTAGTATTCTATTGAATGAATATGCCAAAGTGTGTTGTTTATTTGCCTGTTGAAGGGCATTTAGGTTAGGCTAATGCAAATAAAGCTGCTATGAACATTCATGTACAAGGCTTCGTATGGACATATTTCCTCTTTCCCCTGTGCTACAGAAAAGCAGATCTCTTCAGCACTATAAAATTGCTCTTGCAAATGCAATTTCTAACAAAAGAGCTCTGTAAAGTACTCAGATTTTGGAAAGTGCTGTTCTATCCTGTGAAAATAAATCTGAATAAATCACAAAGTCTTTGATTTTAATTAGTTGTCATACTCTATAACATATTGCTCTGGTATCAGTGCTTACATTTACATCTTTGTTTTCTGAAATATGGAAAACAAATTTTGTGACTTTTCCTTGTTAAGCCGGAAAAGAATCATTAGAACTACCTTAGTATCCCACATGCATGGAGGTAATAAAACTCTGTCACTTTAGTGGATTTCTTACTAAATTTTTTTTAAAAAGGAGCAACTGTGGCTCATTTACTGTAAAGTGTCACTCTACTTCGGACCACAAGCTGCATCACACCAACCCTGTCAGGCTGTCAGTCATCTTGCAAATGCGTTCCTTGGATCACCAGAGTCACAGCTCCTGGGAAAGCAGCTCAAGAAGGGCATCTGCCTTTGCAAAAGCAAAACATGCAATAAAACCCCCCAGTCTTTCACTAGCGCCAATAGTGAACAGACAGAAATGGTTTTGCGAACCTTTATATACACAAATAATCACGTAAGCAAAACAAGCAGAAATACTGAATCACAAGCATCTTAAATACCACAGTAAGAAGTAGCAATATCTTGGGGTTTTTAATATCAGCAAAATGTCCTGGCAATTTAACATTATCCATTTCTTTATGTTCACAGAACATTTTTTATATGTACATGGACATCTTTCTAAAATCTAAAGTGAATTACATATTCTACAAACATAGTATAATCAATAGAACCCTGTCTTTCCTTGATGAGCAAGAGTCTTCAGTGTGCATACATACACTGATTACTGTAAAAGGAGTATGTTTAGGGACCAGTAAAGAGAATAATGCTTTTAGTCTCTCCATTAAATGAGAATACACTGTTATTTTAAAATTAAGCCCTTCTATTCTTTTGTTATCATGTCATATTTCTCTTTTTCATCTTTGTCAATGTGTCCTCCTCCATTTAATCTGCTGCCCAATATTTCTCATGGTTGTATCTCTTGCTCTTTTACCACAGAAAATGCTTGGGGTTCATGTCAGCCTTTTATTCTCTATTAAAAAGGCCATTTCTGCTTTCTTTCATTTAGAGTGACTGAAATTACTGGGAGTCTGGGTTTTTTCTCGGCGGGGGTGGGGGTATATTGAGTGTTACAGTATTTTCCACTGTGTAAAAAAATAAGGGGAAAATTTTAACTTGCTGAAATAAATTACAGATGTACACAAGGAGAAAGAGGCTTGAACACCTTAATATTCTCAACCTCATAGCCATGGAGCCCCATAAGTGTATTAAAAACCACGAGGGGCTGTGGATTATTCATTTGTTATCTGGAGGTGGGGAGTGAGGAAAGGATTCAGAGCTGCCATTAAATTTTTAATAAAATCTTCATCCCCCAAAAGCGATAGAAACATTAAAGTGACCAATTTAACAAAAATCATTCTTAAAAAAAAGAAATATAAAGTCCCACACTTAATAATTCAAAAATTCAGGCACACTTTCAAAGACACATATGGGGAAGAGACCTCTAATAATGAAGACATGAAGTCAGCTATTTAAGTTGGGTGTATTCTCAGATTCTATAATAAAATTCTAACCATTTCAATGCAATATAAAGACTCACACTTTTCAAAACGTTCAGAATATTTATCAGAGATCTAAATATATGCCAAAAACTAATCGCAAAAGTTGGAAAGACAGACAATCTTTAATTACATTAACGTGTAAGGTTCCAAAAGGCCAACAACCTCTCTTTGTACAGAACCAAGAGTCCTGCCACAATGAGGTCTTTACTTACAAATACCTTAAAGGCTGCTGCTGATGAACTTCAATCCTTTATTTGACTGCGATCGTTTGGTCTAGTTATCTCAGTGGTTCTCAACTTCAGTTTAAATAAGAAAGCATATTTAAAATGCAGATTCCCAGGCATCTGCTGCCTTTTAATGCCCTGAGAGTTCAAGGCCTTAGATTTGGTGGAGCCAGACTGCTTGTGTTATCAGCAAGCATCCTCAGAGATTCTGATACAAGGAGTATGGAAACTCTAAACTGTAAGTACTTCTGTAAGCCACATCCAATTTGGAATGAGATGAAGTGCAAGTAAATCATGTTAATGAATTAAAGTATTTAATATATCTTTTCCTTTTAATTTTAATTATTTCTGCATTGCAAATTAATGGTCTAGTTCTTTGGTTTCTTGACTCCCTAGAAGATCTCCTTGTAGGATGAATATTTATGCCCAATATTAGATATTTAAACTTGATTATTTAAATATGAATTAACAGGAAAATAACAAGTGTTGACAAAGATGTGGAGGCGTTGGAACCTTTGTACATTACTGGCAGGAATGTAAAATAGTTCCGCCACTGTGGAAAACAGTCGTACAGTTTCTCAGAAAGTTAAACACAGAATTAATTTCCCCAGGACTCAGCAATTCCACTGTTAGGTATATACCCCAAAGAATTGAGAACTGGTACTCAAACAAATACATGGACACACATGTTCATAGCAGCACTATTCACAGTAGACCAAAGGTGACTACAGCCCAAATGTCCATCAAGAGATGAATGGATAAACAAATTGTAGTAGATAAATAAAATGGAATATTATTCAGCCATAAAAACAATGAAGTACTAAAACATGCTACAACATGGATGAACCTCAAAAACATCAGGCTAAGTGAAAGAAGCCAGACACAAAAGGTCCCATATTGTATGATTCCATTTATATGAAATATCAAGAATAGGTAAGCCCATAGAGATAGAATGAAGACTGGCGGCTGCCAGAGGCTGGGAAGTGGGAAATGGAAGCAACTGCTTAATGAGTACAAGTTTCCTTTCAGATGTGGTGGTTACACAACACAACACTGTGAGTGCACTAAATGCCACTGAATTGGTCACTTTAAAATGGATAAGTTTATGTTATATAAATTTATCTAAAGAAAAATGCAAAAAAGTGAACTAACTAGTCTGAATTAGCTAATGAATTAGCTTCAGTATGAAATTTATAAAATTTGTTTTTCAGTTTTATCTGCTAGATTACATAAAATTTCTAACTGCAACCCAGAAGGAAAACTATTTTCATAAACTAGGCATCATCAGTATGTTATTTAGGAGTAACCACATTTGGTCTCACGTGCACGTGGCTTCAAGGCCTGCCTCTCTGGGCTACTCTTGCCTTTGGCTAAGAGACCCAAGATTAAAATGCAGATACTGACTAAGAGGTGCAAAACAATAAGATATTATGGTTATGAAGACATTAGCTGTTCACTAGCTCAGTCCAGAAAGAGTTAAGGTCTTCAGGAAGGAGCTGAGAGAGAGAGAGAGAGAGAGAGAGAGGCCCAGAGCCTAAGGCACTTCTTTGCAAGTGTAAGACACCGTTAGCTTGAGAGCACTGTGTGTTCTTGGGGACTGCACAGACCAGAGGAAGAGGAAAGAGCCAAAGGAGAGATTGAGAGAGCATGAAAATAGGCTTTACTTACTTGATAATGCTGTCTGGTATTTTTCCTATTCCTATTAATGCCTATTTCTCTTAAGTCATCTTATCTCAGGGACATTGGCAGTACTTGATTGTTATATAATCACAAATTTACAGTACTAATGCCAAAACTTTATCCTTTTCAAAAGGCAAGACACATTATGAAATACTAAACATAAAATGCAGCTTAGTGAAATTAAAGTGGGAGTGGGATGATAGTGGCACAGAATTATTGGGCAAGTGTACTTAAAGAGAGAGAGAGAGAAAAAAAAAACAGGTGTGTAAAGACTTCAGAAAAGGTGTCTGGTAATAAGACCAATGAGAATAAATATCTGAAACAAAAGATTAATTCTTTATTTACTGACAAGGTTTGTAAAAAAAAGAGCATATTCTACTTTTGGAATTTACAAATATAAATATTTGCTTAAAATATAAAATAACTCAAGCTAATTATAAATATTAATTACATTCCTTCTATGCATGAACCACTGCACCAGATCAGAGGTGATATTGGCCTCACACTTGATGAACTTTAAAAAAGATACATATTGCATGACCACAACAATAAATTAAAGATCAAGTTATGTTAAAAGAGATTCCTTTTTTTTTTTTTTTTTTTTTTTGAGATGGAATCTCACTCTGTTGCCTAGGCTGGAGTGCAGTGGCATGATCTTGGCTCACTGCAACCTCCACCTCCTGGGTTCAAGCAATTCTTGTGCCTCAGCCTCCCAAGTAGCTGGGATTATAGGCGCATGCCACCATGCCTGACTAATTTTTGTATTTTTAATAGAGACAGGGTTTCACCATGTTGGACAGGCTGGTCTCGAACTCCTGACCTCTGGTGATCCCCCCACCTCGGCCTCCCAAAGTGCTGGGATTACAGGCGTGAGCCACCACAGCTGGCCAAGAGATTCCTCTTTTAAAATGCTGAATTTGTCCAAGATGTAAGCCTTTTGGACACTACTGGCTTAGTTTACGTTTCCTACCAAAAGAAGTCTTCCTCTTGCCAGCACTTGGTAAGCACACAAAAATATGTTGGCTGTGTGAGAGAATGGGGTTATGAGATTGGTTGAAGTCTAAGGGCAACCTCATGGGAATATTATCAACAAGATAATGCAGGATAAGACAGAGGGGAGGGAAGAGAAAGAGAGCTGGGAGGAAGGAATCCAGCATAGCCAGAAAGCAGTAGGAGGTGTCAACCTGAAATAATAAAATGGATCAGAATCCAGTTTAAGAGTTAATTCAAGTGAAAAGCTAAGGATAGACATCTGGGAAACACAGACTCTAAAGGAATGTGGTTAGTGCTATGAAGCTGAAAAGTTAAGGTCTTATTTACACAGGCAGAAAACAAAGAAATTTAATAGGATTACAGCATTTTTCATATATTGCTGGTTTATGAGTTACAGCAATTTGATTAGTTACAGTTTGTTTTCTTTTTCTTTTCCAGTTTAAAAGTATATGTTTAACATTCCATCTTAGACAATCTAAGGCGTTTGTGTAAGAGAATAAAGAGGGAAGTTAATCTATAATAAAAGAGGTCTTCTCTGGTGCCCTTTAGTCTTTTATAGCATTTTACAAAACAATGTAGGTAATGAAAAGGCTAGTCTATAATCAGAGAAACAGGTTACAGCTGCCTAGGTCACAGCTGCCTGTTATGTGACTCAGGTCCCATATTCACATTCCTTCAAGGCTCAAAATAATTTAAAGTCCCAACAGCTTTTATTTTGAATTATTTATTTCACAGAAGAGACGAGGAAAGTAGGGAGAGGAAGGAAACAAAGAGGAGGCTGGACACCTGGCACACTCAAGACCTCTTTTCAGCAAAGCAGTCAGGGGTCAGAAGTCCTTGTACACACAGGTCTTGCTTTGGATCATGACCACAACTGAGTGCCTGACTCCAAGGCCGTCATCTAATAGGCTGGTCTCTGAGGTATCTTTGGTACCCAAGGAGCTAACAGACCCAGTAGGATCTCTCCTCAGACAGAAAGAGGAGTTGTCTGTGACCAGGGGCCCATAAAGAATCTCTGTGGAGAATTGGGGCAGAGGGGCTGACTCTATAGGAGGCCTCAGTTCTTCATAAGGCCAGCAGTGAGACTGCAGAGATGGCTTTCTATGTGTCCTTGTTAAAATTGAATCCTAGCATTGAAGGTAAAATCCGAATGCATACGTGCTATCAGGGAACTTGAGTTCCTGTGTCCACACATCCGCATGCACACTTGTAAAAGAGTAAGGAAAGCTGTTTTAAAAACAGAATGAGCATAAAGCAGAGGTGGCCTGACGTGGAGGAGGAGAAAGAGAAATGTGAAGAAGAAAAATCGCAAAGATACACTTTCTCTGCTTTTCACCAGGCCTGGGGCAGAGAGCTGTGCTCATGTGCCCCTGGAAGTCACGACGCTACCTTTGGCAGCATGCGGTACTTCTTCATCTCCGAAGAACCCAGAAATAAGAGCCAGGAAGCATGGAGGCTAGTGCAAAACATGAATCCTGGTAACTTGAACACAGTAACAAAGAGTCTGGTGTTATTTCCAGAAGTCAGGCTCAAAAACTCTTAGGAGTGAAATGTTCTGGAAGTGTATTACTGTGGCCAAATGAGACAGGAATTTCTGAAAACACTTCTATTTTTTCATATTCATGGGGCATCCATTTAAAACCAATACTTACTTTTTTCTTGATTATAAAAGTAGTATCATGCTCACTGTTGACATTTAGAAAATAATGTACAAAAATCAGCATGTATTAGTATATGTATGTATGTATACCCCAGTAATCCTACAGCCCAGAAAAATAAAAATCGAGGCATTTTATAGAAATTGGTCAGTTACAGACATTGTGCCTAAACTTAAACTAGCATTATCACCATGATGGAGTGAAGTTTTAGCTTAGACTCAGTTGGCTTACCCCACTCTGCAGAACATGACATTTGGACCCTGCAGTTGACATGAACTAGTCATGAGCCAGAATTTCAGGCCATAAGAATATGTGGAGTCAGTCCATTATCTGTTAATGCTAACTTTGGTCTGTGCACTCTGGTACGTGCAGCCACTCAGTGGCCACAGACAGACCCAGCTAAAGATTTGAGGCACTGTGCTTACTGAAATCATTTTTGGTTATACCAGAGGAACGTGCTGCTCTTTCATTTTGAAATGAAATTAACTTGGAGGTGTGTCTTGTAAAAGCACCTGAAAATCTTTAATATTATTCTGAGCTGTCATAGACAAACACTATCAGGAGGCTAGAACTCAGAGTTCAGAGTGGACAAAGTGGGGAGAGGGTAAGGTGGAGCTCAGAGCTGTGTCCTCAGCCTGTGGAGAGGCCAAAGCAGGAAGGCCAAGCCTTGCTTCTGTGGGAACAGGATCTTCCTGGCCTATGAGCCAGGACACAGAATGCAGAGGGAATGTTGGCCTCAGCTCCTCTGGCTCTGCTGCTTCCTCCTACTCAAGGAGCCCTTTTTACAACACTCTCCTCCTAGAAAGTAAAGGCTTGTCAGCAAAGTGTCTAAAGTGGGTATTGCAAGCAAAAGACTTGAACAAAGATGTGTATTCATAATGAGCCTGACATCCTCCTCCTCCCTAGGTCCGGATCCCCACAGCAGCTCCACAAGATCTAATTAGGCCTCGATGAAGCATTGCTTTCCTCTCTACCCCTAGAGCTTTATTTTTCTGCCAAAAAGTACACAACTTATAAATTCAGTTGCTTCTATGATTGACTTTTTCATTTAAAAAAATCATTTCAAAGTAATTGTTGAGCTAAGTTGCTGACCTAAAACCAGAACCCATCTTCAAAAGGATCTTGCACCTATAACATGGTCTGGAATGAATTCTATCAGGTTTGTAAGTAATTTATTATTCCCATAGTATTCTGACAGTAAAAAGAATAAGAAGTGTATATTTAAAACTGGTTATTATTGTTGCTTAAGCAGCACAATGATTCATTCTACAACTGTAACTAATAAGTAATATGTAACAGTAGAAAAATACCCTGGAAAAATGAATCATCTTGTAATGTATTCATTTATAAATTTTATTAAATGAAAGACAACATCATTACAATACAACATCATTACAATTATTATATCAAACTAATAATAACTCTTAAGATCCAGAGATAGAAATAGCAACAATAAGATTACTAAACATACCTGAACTAACTCTGCTTTTAACTCTTCCTTTTCCTCCTCAGAGAGCATGCTAGAGAAGTCAGCACTGGCTACTGCATCTTCGTCTGTTCCTTGCAACGGTTCAGTCTCCAACAAACCTTTAGGCAGAATTGATAAAACAGAAGGCAATTTTTAAAGTGAATTTAAACCAACTTCTGCTTCCATAGTGTGGAGGACTAGATGCACTGACAGACCCTCCCACCAAAAAACAACTAAAAATTCCAGAAAAGACAAAAATCCTCCTAAATGTGTGACGAGCTCCAAGAAAGCAAAGAATACCAAGAAGCCAAAAAAAGAAAAAAATTAAGAGAAAATGAGAAGGCAGAGATGTAAACAGGACAAGCTTTCAGGGAGGTCTACATTTACCACCTTGGTGAATTCCAGCTTAGCTCTTCACTGTCTCATGAGGCGTAAGGGCAGAGGACAAAGCCCAAGGCCCGCCCATGGAGAGGGGTTTAATGTGAGATTCCTGTGTAAATTGTAGGCCCCAAGGGCTGCACCCTGAGAGTCAGGTGAACTAGAAATAAATACCTTCATTCTTTACACAGGGATCTGAAAGGCAAGTTGCCCATCTTGAAACTCAGGACTGAATGGACAGAGAAAAAAATCCTCCCCTGAGAACTCGTGACCCTGAGTGGGACTGCATGGGAAAGCAGCTTGCAACTTGAATGCACACCACCTGGGTCGTCCACAACAACCTTGAGGTTAGAATTTAAAATATGAAGCCTTTTTTCCACTGCAGATGTGGCTCGAAGCAGTTGGAGCTGTGAGGAATCATCACTGACAAACTGACTCTGGCAGAGGAAAATATGGGAAGAGCCGGGGTTCTTGATGCCATCATTGTGCCTTGGGTTAACCCAGAATAGCTTCTAACTTGTTATGTGAGATAAATGACTTCTTATTTAAAATATAAAGAAGTTCCCTGGTAGGGCCCCTCAACATCTGGCTGACTCAAATGCCTGTGTTCTCCAGGGAACCCAGGAAACAGGTCCACACTCAGAGAGAAACTTCATCTATGACATGATTCCAGTCAGCTGGCATTTACACCTCTGTAGGGAAAGAAAATGAAACATTCAAATACAAAGGGGTCCCTGGAGAAACTCCCACCGGCCTGAGCACTGGGAGAACAGGTTGAGCCATGGAAGTTTCTGCCGGTTTTAGGGGGTAGGAGTCTGTCCTTTCTTTTTCCGGGGTGGTAACTGGGAATTCTATCTGTGAGATGGGGATCTGTTAACAGGAAGCTCTCTTGCTTTGCTGAGTTTTTTTCCTTTTCACCCAATAAATTCCATTTTTCTCACCCTTCAAAGTGTCTGCAAGCCTAATCTTTCATGGTCGTGTGACAAGGACCCGTTTTTAGCTGAACTAAGGAGAAAGTCCTACAACAGAAGAGTTTTTAATAGATTGTCCTAGAACAGTTATCTCTATAGAAAAAACACATTGGACACCTTTAAACCATTCACAGGGACAAAACTATAAACATTTTAGAAGACAATCTAGAAGTTTGTGTTTATGAACCTCTGGTTAGGAAGGGACTTCTTAAGACACAAAAAGGCAAACCATGAAAAACGGACGAACAAGATTAATAATGGCTCTTTATCAAAGACGCTATATGGAAAATGAAAAGACAAGCCACTAATTGGAAGAAGATATCTCTCACATATATAACTAAAAAGATTTGTTCCCGATATATACAGAATTCCTACAGACCCACTTTAAAACCAGAAATAATCCAATAGAAATATGGGTCAAAAGACCTGAACAGATGATTTATAGACAGAAATCACAAATGTTAATAAACCCAGGAAAGCATGCTTGACTTCACTGAAGCAAACATGCTTGACTTCACTGATGCTCAGGGAAATACAAATTAAATTAGTTCACGCTCAGTAGATTAGCAAAAATTTACAAGTCTGACATTACTAAATGTTGGTGACTGTGCAAAGATAGAAGCTCTCATATACTGCTGGCAAGAATATAAATAGATAAAAATAATTGGAAAATGATTTAGCATGGTCTACATTGTATATTAAAATTGGACATTCACATACCCTATAACCTAGCAATTCCACTGTGTATAGACCTGAGACAACCTACATGAGCATTAGATGTTATACATGCACATCAGACGCCATTAATAAAAGCTTTCATAGTGTCAACAAACTGTAAGTCACACAAAAGTTCATAAACAGGACAATACATAAGCATACTGTGGTGCATTTCCATGATAAAGACTGGACAATAGCAAAATGAATGAACTATCACTATACACACCACATGGATAAAACTTGGAAATAAGATATCGAGTGAAAAATGCAAGTTGCAGAAGAATAAGTATAATTCTACTTAATGAAGTACAAAAGCACACAAAACTAAAATATCACTTAGGAATTAAATTATAAAGAAAAGCAAAGCAATAATAAAAAATTTAGGACTGTGGTTTTCTCAAGCCAGAGAGGAAAGGAGAAAGGAATGGAGGATCCCATAGGGCAGAGGTCCCCAACTCCCGCGCCATGGACCAGTACCGGTCTGTTACCTGTTAGGAACCAGATCACACCACGGGAGGTGAGAGGTGTGCGAGCTGGCAAAGCTTCATCTCTATTTATGGCCACTCCCCACTGCTTGCATTACCACCTGAGCTCTGCCTCCCATCAGGTCAGTAGCAACATTAGATTCTCATAGGACCGCAAACCCTATTGTGAACTGCACATGCGAGGGATCTAGCTTGCGTGCTCCTTATGAGAATCTAGTGCCTGATGATCTGTCACTGTCTCCCGTTTCCCCCAGATGGGACCGTCTAGTTGTAAGAAAACAAGCTCAGGGCTCCCACTGATTTTACATTATGGTGAGTTGTATAATTATTTCATTATATATTACAATGTAATAATAATAGAAATAAAATACACAATGAAAGTAATGTGCTTGAATCATCCCAAAAACATCACCGCCACCCTTTGTCTGTGGAAAAATTATCTTCCACGAAACCAGTTCCTGGTGCCAAAAAGGTTGGGGACTGCTGCCTTAGGGAACTCTTACAGGATCAATGGTCATACTCCATTTCTGGACACTGACTTTCTGTTCATGAGTATTTTCTCCACTTTACCTTTATATTGTAAATATTCTTTTGTGTACTTATAATTATTTAATAAACAAATGAAAATGGATTTTGTCTAAAGTAAAAAGAAAAAGGCAAATAATTATCCTACAAAATCAGAACATTTTAGATAAAGAGAATAAAAATATGGCTCAAGTGTGTATAGTTCTGAAGCTGTCCCTTCTCTTGAGTCCCTGGTATTCACATCCTTATGTCTGAATCAATAGTGTGCCATTGGCACCCTGATGTCACTGCCAACACGGTAACAAACATTAGTAAACGTGGCATATTGCTGATCCACGTTCATCAGATCCTCATCCCTTCTCTCTATGCCAGAAGCCAGTTTCAATGCTAAGTAATTTCCTTTTTCATAAGTAATATCTGATCATCCTAGAAGACAGTAAAATTATCCACTATTAATTAAAATCAACATTAATCATATTACCCAAAAATTGGTATTTTGATCCTTCCTTTCTGGTATTTCTTCTGAGCATAGGTGTATTAATATTTTCATATATATATATATATATATATATATATATATATATATATATACACACACATACTGAATTTACTGTTGCAAACTTGGTTTATTTATTCAATAGGATATTATGAATATCTTTTCGTGTGTAAAGACACACATATACATTTATATATTTTCAATGGTTGTGCTTTATTTTGTCTTATGGATGATTAATAATTTACCCTGTTTGCTGGGAAGCTGCAGTGAACATCTCCTAGCTAAGTCATTAGGTGCTTCACGATGACTTCCTATCCATTGGATTTCTCAGTCAAATGGCATGGACATTTTGTAACCTACTGCTAAACTATCACCCAGAGAGGCTGTACCAGTTTTATGCAACATCAGCAACCTATGAGACTACAGACTCAAGAGAATGTAGGGAACAGCCTCTTGGTAAAACAATGTAACTTACAGGTCATTTAACATTTTAGTCAATGCTCTAGGATAACGATCTAAACCAGGAATCAGCAGCAATTCCAAGCACAGCTATGAGAGATAGACCCAGAAAGTAAGCTCCACCCCACCCCTGCAGTGGGGGTCAGCAGACAGTCCTGGGGGTACTGCAACACACTGTGGACTTCTCCCCACTCAGCCTGGCCCAAGGACTTACAGATACTGCTCAAACTTAGCTGGAACCCAAATTCTCAGTCTTCCCTATCTTCATAACGTGAGAAGACATGCTCCAGGGAATAAACAACAGTTCCAGGTCCTTAGACTTTTCAAGACATCAAACATCTTTAGTACCTTCTATATTCTAGTAAGAAAAGAAAGTTCAAAACCCTGTTTAACTGGTAATACATGAATTGGGAAACTTCGAGTGAATCTAGGGAAAGACAGACCCAGTACCCAGCCGGTAGCTTCCACTTTTCAGAGGGGGAGCGCATAAACCTTACAAAGTGAGAAACTCTGAACTGGCCTTCAGCTCTGATGGGCCAAACATCCCACTCCTCAGAGACATCACGAATCTTTCAAAGTCTCACTGCCAGAAACCACCCATTCAAGAAATCTGCCCAGAGACCAGGTTGCTAGTTAGTCTAGGTTTAAGCTCTCCTCATCCTTTCTCTACCTAGGCACATATTTTTCCCTGTTACATCTTGTCCCAGTGGTGCTCTCTGAGTTATACACAGGGTGTCACATAAACAGAGACAAAATGAAAACAAGATCTGCTATTTTTAGCAGAATATGTTCAACTCACTGAGTTAGGAAAGCAGCAATCAAATGATGAGGTCAAAGGATAATTCAAGAATCAAGAAGTAGTTAAAAAGAGGAGTTGGATTAAAAAGGTAATTAACTAGTGAAATGAAGTCAAAACCAGGAATGAAAAAAGCAAATGGTGAAAGATACCAAATGACAGATGATAATGCAAGAAGGGCAATAAAATAAGTATAAAATTACCTAGTTACCATGGAAGCAGATATTAGAAAAAGTTAAAAAAAATTTTTCAGTGAAAGCAATTATCACTGGGCAAATGCTCAAGTCACCACTTTTAGCAAGTACCAGTATATTATGAACCAATTTCATGAACTTGGTTCTCTTTTCCAAATGTGCAAACTGTGGCCCCCTGTCTGGCACAGAAGAAGGAGCACTCTAATGGGAGTCAGGAGATCTGGAATTCTAGTTGTGGGTTTGCTATTAACTAGCAGAGTACGTTTGACCTCAATTATCTCATCTGTAAAATGGATACCTTGTAGGATTGTTGCTAAGGTTAAATGATGTTAAATCAGATAATATACTTGAAAATGCTATAAAATTTTAAAATTTCCAAACAAACTACAGCAGCATGAAATTGGGGAGTAATAGTTTTTAAAAGTATTCTCTTTGCCTCTCCCAAAATGTAATATTTTCCTAGCTGGTCTAAGGCATCCATCTGCCAGTGGCAGGACAGAGAAGTTAAAGAAACACAAAGAAAAGGTTAATATTTAGGATTTTGGCATTTGAAATTGGATTTACCAGCAAGAAAAGAGATATGCAGAAAAAAGTTTTTTTTGAGGCAATGTTCTACATATCATTATTTCTCTCTTGGCATAGCAAAAGCCAAGCCCAGGACATCCAGCCCAAGCAGTTCCCCTTAGATACCCCTTAGATATCTAGGACTTACCGAGGAGGTATGTGCCTCTGGCTCTATCCCTGGTAGATTGTGGGAAGAGGAAAGGAGGAGAGAATGAGGAGAGCTAAGCCCTGAGATGTGTATGTCCCACCTTTCTCTCTGGGCATTGGCCCAGAAAGTATGAAATGGGTTACACTTAGAGAAGAATCTGCTGGAGATTCTGTTCACTCCTTCAGACCCACTCTCTACCCTCCTCTACCCTTCTCTGTGCCCAGGAGATGACCTAAGGATTATATCAATATGATTCCCATGCCCTTGGCCAATGGGAAGCCCCTGCAGGACACTGGAGGGCAGAAGCGAGTGGTTAGCAAATGTCTAGTCCTGCCTGTCTCCCTCCCTGCCAGGCTGCATCTTGCAGTTTCAGCTTTCAACTACCACAGGCCAAAGCTCCCATTAGGTAGCTCCCTTCTACAGCTCAGCCATCGTCTGGTTCCAAGAACTCTCCTCTGGCCTAAGGACTGTATTGACTTCCTACTGCGGCTGTTCCAAGGTGCTTCAACACTGTTTGATGCCCTTAACTCTTGTCATTTTTCTGATGGCCCATTCACTAAGCTTTCTGGAATCAGGCATCCCTTTTGGGCATGCCACCCATTTACATCTTTCCTGGTCCTTGAATGGTATAGGAAGCCTGCCCCAATTTCCTTTTTGAACTCTAGGAAGGAATATCCTTCAGGCTATCCCACACCAACCTGGTACACAGCCACATCACTGTAACCTTGGCAGGTCCAGGGGTGTTGGACAGAGAGGCCCCTCGTGTTTAATTCTCCAACTCACTCTTCTGCAGTCAGTTAACCATGGATAGGATTCAGAACTTCTCATGGTTCTTAGGGAGAAACTCACCAACTTGGCAAGAAGTTGGTGCTCCTGCATCAGGGGCTGGGGTTACCAGCCCTGGCCAGAGGACAAATGGAGGAAGTGGAAAGAATCTCCCTCCAATGAGAGCCAAGGCAAAGCTGAATCAGCTCGGAGGGGCTACTGAACTGAAACTCAGCTGAGGGAGACAAGATCATGAGTAGTATCTGCAAAAAACTTCAGCACCAGGGGACATCATGTTCCCAGCTACCTGAAGAGCCATACAAGCAGAACACAAGGCACTGCATAGTCCTTCAGGCTTCCATACACCAGGCACACCAGATGCCTCCCTAGCTAGGACACAGGAAAATGGGATCTGAAAAAGGAGAAATCTGAACTAGAAGATAACTTTGCTGAAGGAAATGAGTAATATTTAAAGAGGTTTTTAAAATAATTGCATTGGAATGGACTAGGCCTAATATTTTTTCCCCCACTACTCAAAGCCTAGGTGCTCATACTCACACCAAGTATAGGTTAAAAAAAATTGAGCACATATACATACCAAGCTGTAGTGTAAATAAATGTTGCTACCCTGCTATTGGAGTATTTGGTACTTAAAGATAGCCATTTTACTCTTTTACATGCAATAAAATATATAGAATTGTTTTAATAAAGGTAACAAATAATCATAGATCTGATTATAATCTAGTAATTGCACTTCTCCGTTGGCCAGGTGAGGTCTGTGGAAAACAGGTAGGCTTTAAAATATTTGTCAAATGTTACTATGTGCCTGTTTTCACTATACCTACAGTTAGCCAGTGATGACTCCATTTAAGTCTCCCATGCAGAGCTGAACAACACCACAAATTAAACCAGCTCCAACTGAGAAGTCACAATGTTCACTGTGGTCTGCTCCCAGCCTTGCTGATGAAGACCTGCATTCATGGGACCTGGGGCTCAGTCCCAAGTTGCTGGGCTTTAACTAAAGCTAGTCTGGCACCAAAGCTTATGCCCTTCCCTGTCTTAAGCCATCTGAAGAATGTAGGCAAAATCTTGGCAAGTATGAATCAAGAGATCAGCTTTAGATTAAAGTGCCTCCTTCAACCTTGCAATGAAATCACTCATTGGCATCCACACACTTCCAGCGCATGCTGGCAAGCTCTCCTGTGGAGTAGGTGGTGGCTTCATGGCCATGATTGAAACAATACAGAGGACCGGGAGTTAAAATGATTACAAACTATGATTTTGGATCAGTAGCCAT
The DNA here is from genome assembly GCF_000001405.40 of Homo sapiens. NCBI lineage: Eukaryota > Metazoa > Chordata > Mammalia > Primates > Hominidae > Homo > Homo sapiens. The sequence continues at coordinate 125,212,401 of NC_000006.12, read as the reverse complement.
ATCCTGCATTGTTGGCAAATATGTAAAAGTTGCAGAATCGCTTTTGAATAGTAAAATAATCTTGCACTGTATTAGAAAATTAAATAAGTCCAACTGTGTAACCAAGCAAAGGGAGGAAAGCATACACTTTCAAAAAGAATACAAAATTATCCTAGGACTTAATAAAAGAAGGAATGCAATAAAGTAGCTTATATGAAAATTTTCCATGTTTTAAATAATAGATTTAAGACTGTAATATTTATTAATTAATTATATTTTCTTCATGATGTTTGGTAAAAATAACCTCAAGCATTCCTTAACATAAAACTTCAAAATATCTACATGTATTCCCCAAGTGAAAAATTATTGAGCTAATCATATTACTGTTGGATTTATGATTATCTTTAAGACCACAAAAAATCTAACACGAGTCAATTCTAGATGGAAATTAAAGATATAAAACAAGTTTATTTATTAGAATTGTACTTTCTGTGCATTTACTAAAAGTACTACATTAACCTAGATATTATTTCTTAAGAACGTTCATCATTGAACAGCATGCTTTTCCTTCATTTGCTAACAACTCGTATCTCGCCTATTATTGAATCAGGTGTGTAGTAGAAAAGTCTCTTAAGTGTGTTTTATTCCTGTTGCCGTGAAGTTTTGGCAGAGGCTTCAAATGCTAAGATCAATACCACGGGAGATGTATATCCCCAAATCCTAAAGCCAATGCTTGAAATCTAATGTGTGAACTCTAATGCGTGACATGCTGAAAGAGTTTAAAAGTGGTTCTCCTGGGGCTGGGGATCACCTACTTGAACCTTTGAGAGTGGGATGAGAGTGGATCAGGGAAATCTGCATACACAGACGAGCAATCATAAAACGCAAGTCATACTGTCACCTCCCGGAAATCACCACTGCAACATTCGGGCACATTTCTCTGGATCTTTTCCTACATATTGCAGCACAGACTTTTTTTTTCTCACATTTAACATCTTTGAAATCAGGATGGCTTTCATAATCAATTATGTCTTGCAATTAATTGACAGCACTTTTTCTTTCTTACAGATATATAAAACAATGGGTATTTTACATCTTTAACATATGTGTTACACGATAGATAGATAGATAGATAGATAGATAGATAGATAGATAGATAGACAGATCCATATATCTAAAAATGAAATCGCAGTATTTTGTAACTTGATTTTTTTCAAACAACTTTCTCCTTTTATCCTTCTCATCTCCTCTAAAACCTGACCATATCAAAGGTTCCCAATTGGTCCCCTAATTTATTTAGAGCTAGTTTCCTCAAACCAATATTAAATAAAAAACTACATACTTGCCTAATTATGTGCCTTAAGTGTCTTTACCTGACTAATGACTCATGGAAGAGTCCTGGCTCTGTCCTGCAGAATTCATCCCGATATTTTGCTTAATGATCCGTCGATTGCAAGATAGTATAGTGATATTGGAAAGGGTATAACTTTGGGGAACAAACCAATCTCAGGAAGAATTCCAGCTCCACCCCTTTTCAACTTTGTAACTGTGATAGTTGAAATCTCAGTCTTTTCATCTGTAAAATGGGGATAATAATGCCTACCCACAAGAATAAATTGTGAGAGATTACAGTTTTGTAAAATGCCTAACACAGTGTCTGGCATATAATAATCAGTTAGCACATTAGCTCCCAATCTGGTCATACTTGAACATTCTTCCTTGATCAGAATTATTTATAAAATTGAAGCCCTATAGAAGAAAGAACAGAAGCTATTATTCTGTCCTCAAGAAGCAAAAATATTTCACTGTGGTGCCACCCGCATATATACCTTACATGCATATACACCAGTACATGGCAGTCTGTAATTACATACAAAATGAATGCCCTGGAGAAATACAAACCCACAGGCCATGTTCAGTTTCTTATTCTGGCTTAATCTGTCTGATCCTTAGAAGGGAGCCCTATGGTCATTTGGCATTACCTTCTCTGGCTATTGCTTAATGGACTGAGATGGGCATCTGACCCAGGGGTATTCTCTGGATTCCTCTGTTGGGATTTTGGGCCAAGAGACACAGGAGAGTTAAGTGCAGTAAGATTAAGTCAGTTATTGGTAGGACAGTAGTGTAGTCCTCAGTATTCCTCTGAGCTCCCTTAGGTCATTTGTGAGTTCATTTGTTCATTCATTCATTCATTCATTCTTTTAACGAACACTTATTAAGAATCTAGTAAGTGCTATACAGGTCTCTGAGCTCATTGGAATTTATAATTCGGCCTGGCCTGAGGCCTGATTATTTGACTTCTCCTGAACGTCCATAAGCTTTCTCTTTATCCTAAAAATAAGCCTCATTTTTCATTGGCACTAGTCTGAATGTCATGTTCTTTTTTTCAAAGAAGAGCTCTGAGTTAAACAGAGACTAATAATATCATAGAATTCAGGCAAAAGAGAGATCATTATGAACTCTCTATCAAGTTTCATCTCTATGTCTTCAATGACTTGCCATGACCCCAAATTAAATTAATTAAAAATTCAATAAATTATTTGTTGCCCCAATCTGGCTTCCTCTAAGCCTGCAGAGGTCACTTTGTCTTCTGTACAGTTTTTAAGATCTTGTCTGCAATAAATGGTCTAGGAGTCTAAACCATACCTGAACAATATGACAATTTCCTTCTTTGCTTTCCCTGAGCCCAGCCCCCTTCACTCTGAAGAGAGCCAGGTGTGGGGCACTAGTGAACAGGCCACACAGTGCCCCCAGCACACCTCAACACAGCGGCATTGTTAAGGCATTTGGACTCTCTGAGACAGATGGAACTGTAGCTACCAGTTGTTGGTCTGTGGTCTCTATTTGGATTCTGAAGATAGGTCTGGTAATTAAGATGTGGCCTTTCAATAGTTTACCTGGAAACATTCTCTACATGCATAGAGAGAAGTTCAGGGATGCTGGCTCAACCACAAGAGCCAGAGACCCTTCTGGGACTATAGTGAATATCCCTGGAGAGACCAATCAGGAATTTCCTGGAGGTGAGGGTACAGGACTGGTTTCCCGGAGTCTCCTGAAGCTTGGCATAGACCTCATGACTGTGGGCTTGTCTTTAAGCTATGTTCGTCTTCCTCTGCCCTGAGAAATGCCAGATGGGCGTTCTCTACTCCAATGTTTGAGGCTGGGTTCAATGTGCCTGGCCCTTCATGGCTAGGGCCTCCTGAGAGCATAGGCCACGCTGGAACCTATGGTTTCATTTGGGTCATGTGGCCATAGATGGCAGCCAAGGGTTATATGTCTCCAAGTTGATGATAGTAGTCACTAGGGATTAAGCCTGAAGTCAAGGATCTAAAACAAGTTGGGCGGCCAGTATCAGAGATCAAGGCTGTGTATGGGAAATAAATAAAGCTGTGTCAGAGGCACATGGTAGAGATAAGATTTTGAGACTCTGAAGACAGTGCTCAGCATTGCTTGCCTCAACAGCTCAGCACAGGCTTCTACAGCTTTGAGCTACACCTTGGGCCTGCTGGCTTATTCCTGCCCTAGGGATTGAAAGGTTCTCTTCACTGGTGTGAGGGCTCAGGACCCAGACTCTCCCTGGGAGTGCTGTCACCACACAGCACTCTCTCAGCACCTGGCCCACTCTCAGGCATTTGCTACTTTTTCTCCCGGGTTATGTCTATTTGATTACGTGTCTTACCTCCCTTACTACAATGTTAGCAACTGAATGATAGAAAATCAGTTTTGTTCACCTTGAAACCTCCACATGTCCTAGCATGAGGGTGTAAGGGCAGACCACAGCTAAAGGCAAACGTACTTACTGTGCCTGGAGCCACCAATAAGAAAATGTCTCTAAAAACAGTAACCCAGGATCAGCCACCTGACTGTCATACTAAAGTGTGCCAAAAAAAAAAGGCATTAGTTGATAACAAATGTCACGAGACTGCAAGGGTGATGCTCCCTCCTCCACCAATCCCTTCTGGGAACTATCCATCCTTCTTATAGGAAGAGTTGCTTGCACCTTCTCTTTCAGATTGATGTCCTCTGACAGATAGCAGTTTTACTCCTCTTCCCCAGGCCCTAATCCTTTTTCCTCTGTCCTAGGAAACTATCTTAGATGACTGTGTTTATTCCTCCTTATCCCCAGCTGAATCCTAGTAACATGGATAAAGAATTGCTATCAGGCTACTCTTTGTTGCTCTCTAATGATATCTTGGCCTTGAGAGAAGTTAATGAGGGACTCAAGAACTTCAATTGCAACCAAGCAGTATAATAATCTACTGTTCTTAAACTTTGTTGAGTTCTTCTCTATGAGTCATGCCCAAATGTATCCTGAAACTCAGACAAAGGAACTGCCCTGACTCTGAAACTATATTGAAAAAGGGATAACTGCTGCTACCACTGCAGGAACTTTCTCGAAGCAGCTGCTCAGTTACTTCTCTTAAGGGAAGAAGTGGAATAAATGTGTGTGTTTCTTTTTAACTGCATGCTATGCTCCAGGTGTGTTACATATCTTATCTTGCCTCGTCCTCCCTAGAAACACATTAGGCAGGTGGCATCAAGCACTATAAAGGGTCTGAGATTTTGCTCAGCTTGCAAGCTAACAAGTTAGTCCACAACAGTGCCATGGATTCTGGCAGATTCCAGACTCCTAGATCAGAGACTCATGGCACAGCAAATAGCATGAACATTGTGTTCCAGTGGGTTCCCCTTGCTACCAAGTCCCATGGAGGGTGAAATGGAGGGACCTAGGTGGATACTGCACAAGCAATGGGTTTGCATCTCAGCTGAAGAAACTTGAGCTCAGGGAATCTGAATCTTTTCTAATAGGCAGTAAGCAAACCTTTGCTCTGGAGGAAGAAGCAAAACTGACTTCTGCTCTAGAAAGAGACACTGTCTCTGTCTTCCAACGTTTTTCACTATTAAGAAATTTGAATGGATAGTCCAGAAAAAAGACCATCAGTGTCTCTGCTTACAAAATGTGTAGAAACAGAAGAGATCTATGGAGAATCGTCTTCCATAGGTGGCATTTCCTCATTTTCCAAAAAGGAAATGATGGTTCAGAAAGTTAAATAAATTGCCCAAACTCACATAACTGATGAGTGGTGAACTTGAGATTTTAATGCAAATCTGTTAGGTTACAGAATTCATGCTATTTTGACTTTACCACAACACCTCATGCAGAAATTTGACAGGAACTGAAATCTCCCAATCCCACTCAAGACTCCATCTGGGCTTACTGAATGCCTAAGCCTGAGCTTTAATAGCTGCAGTTTCCCCACATCGACCACTAGGAAAGGTCCAGGGTGGCTTATGTCTCCCAAACTCTTTCTGATAGGACTTGATCAACCAATGTTTGTTGAATTAATCCCCTAAGACAAAAACAATCAAGTCTTCTTGATGCTCTTTTCATAATATCTGTGATGTTTGTTTGTCAATAGCAAAAAATAGTTAATGTTCTTGATGCATTGACTCCAGGAACTTCCTTCACTGAGCAAACTACCAGACTGCATGAGGAAAAATAAATAACCCTTTAATTTTCATCGCTATATGACAGTGATTTAGGGGTTTCATCACTACATACTCACACTACTGAAGTCTTAGCCAAATTTCATCTTCCTGCTTGTATTCTCTTTCTCCACCACCCAATCTACACAACACTGAATATTTTGAACACATTGCTTTCAACATGCCAAAACCCTGTTCAAAAAACATTCAATGGATGGATTCTCCATTGCTTCTGGCGTAGATTTGAAAATTCTTATATAATCATTCAAAGTCCTCCATAGCTGGCTGTAAGTGGTGATTCCACCTAGACTGCCTGTGATGTCCCTACCAAAGCCTCTAAGCCATGTAGGCTGTCACACACAGCATTCCTCAGTCATGTTCTATTCAGTCCTAGCTTTTAGTGCCATCTGTCACTCTAGAAAACCTCTTTTTCCTCTGTTTCTCTTGTAAGAATCCTACCAAATTGCCAACAGCACTAGAATAATGAGTATCATGTTCTGTGCCTTCATTTGATCTAAAATATTTTTTCATCTCATTATATATATACAAAATATTATATACATTACTAGATACCTTACCACTATATACTATATACAGTATAAATGACATTACAAATTGCATTATAAATTGCACTAAGACACATAATATTACCTATTACTATAGTTATGGTTAAACACTTTATGAAGAAAATATTTCAGACATCGTCCTCTAAACATTTATTGTCCTTCTGAAAATATAAAGAACACATGAGTCACCACTATTAATAGTACTGTTGTCTAAAGCTTTGGTTTCATTAATAATGTGGCTAAAAAAAGAAATTATGTCTGCAATGCTCAGCCTGAGAATGTACTAATCAGTTGACTATAGAAAGAGCTTAGAAGATGCTTCTGAAGTTGTAGCCGACCACATTAAACATCTATTCCTTTTTTGTTGTTGTTAAATATGCTGCTTAGGTGACAATCCAAATAGTTAGATGCTGATTAAAATGGACTCTAGTCTCAAAAGAAACATTTGTGGCTGTCCAAAACCTAACTTGGGCTAAAAATGGAAGTGACGTGCTATTACATATAGAGGTCAACAAATACATGGAACTCTTTCCTTCCCTTTCTCATTCTTCCATATGTACAAGGTGGCCATCTTCTGACTGCCAGGAAAAATATACCATTGATACAATAATCTCAGGTTAACCATGTATTATTAAGTCACCAAAATTCAATGTAATACTAAAGATAGCAGAAAGTATATGGTACCCAACAGTTAACCAAGTACCACATGGTCCTAAAGGGTGGAGAATCTTCCAGGAGCTCAAACCAATTAAAGGTTTCAGGAATATACATAAGCCTAAATTATTATCTCTGTGGCCAAGACCTAAGCAAGGACTCCTATTCACCTCCAGAGACAAGAATCTCAGAGAGCCTGAACTGGCTGCTTTTACCCAAGGCCTCCCTGGTCCCATCCCTAGCTTGTGCCTATACAGTATGCTCTTGAAGGCACTGGAAGCTGTGGAAATTTGGAGTGATGGGAAGGACCATCTAAGGTGACACTGCTCAGAAGCGTGGGAGTGGCTGGCTTGGGACATCATTTCACTGGGCTAACTACAGAAAATGTCCCTGCATTAAGACCCAGCTTTCATTACCACATAAGATCAGCCGGCCTTTCAGGTCGGGGTCACCAAGTTTGCTGCATATTTGAGACATATCATATTCCAAGGCTTCACCTGTGTTTTCTTAGGTCCAGAAATTGTATTCCATCAGTTTACACAATGGTGATTAGCCTCTTGGGAGATAATTTCTACTAACAAATCTGCTGGGAGACTGGTTTGACTAGTAGACCAAATACCTTAAGGTAAATTCTGTGCTCTCTTTCCTTCCTCAGAACAAAATCTACTTGAAAAACCAAATGAACAGCAAAAGATTATTTGCTAAACATTGTGGAGAATAAAGAGTTAGGTGACTTAATATTGAAGCACTTACTATGCTGTATTTTAATTCCACAATTCATTGTCTTTTTCTTCCTCTAGATTGTTAGATGCCCCATTCTTCGTATCACTGCTTCCTTGTTCACACTAGGTGTTCAATAAATATTTGGGGAATAATTTAATTAGCTATCATGCCCTTACATTTGTACTATTCAAATGCCTATAAATTAAATCTGATAGGCCTGGCGCAGTGGCTCACGCCTGTAATTCCAGCACTTTGGGAGGCCGAGGTGGGCGGATCACGAGGTCAGGAGATCGAGACCATCCTGGCTAACACGGTGAAACCCCGTCTCTATTAAAAATACAAAAAGTTACCCGGGCGTGACGGCGGGCGCCTGTAGTCCCAGCTACTAGGGAGGCTGAGGCAGGAGAATGGCGTGAACCCAGGAGGCGGAGCTTGCAGTGAGCCGAGATCGCCCCACTGCACTCCAGCCTGGGCGACAGAGTGAGACTCCGTCGAAAAAAAAATAAAAATAAAAAATCTGATAACTAGCCAGGGAAGCACATTTCTTCTTAAAGTGTTGAATATAAAATAACCAAGACTTGCAACCAATGCAATGACCATTAACAAGGGTAGCAAATAACATGTGCTAGAGAAGTAACAATCAGCACGCATCAGTATACCAGCTCTACTAGAACCATCACTCCATTTTTGTTAATGCATCTTGTTCCTTCAAGGACTACATTAAGCCAGGGTCTAGCTTTCATTCTATCAATGTTCTGCTTGAGTTTATACCTTTATATGCTCAGGTAAAACAAATGCTAAAGCCACACTTTCTCAGGAAAACGATAAGTAAGTACAGTGAAAAAGATCAAGATGAATCAGGCTCTTCATTACATTGCAGGTAACACTAGAATGTTAGTTCCACTTGGTAATTAAAGACACCTACAGCAGAATCTTATCCGCCATCCTGACAAGTTGAAAACTGATGTATATCTGGGACTATTTGCAGGAGAAAGGTGTCTCCTCATGTCATTAGGACATAGTTGTGTTATATGTTCTAAGCTCCACCTTAATTTATGTTGTTTAGAATATATCAGTAAAAGACAGCTCTACTTGACTGTGAATATTATTGAAATTGTTTATAAACTGTTTTAGAAGTAGGTCAAGGGAACAAGTATAGAAGACATCAGGTTTTCTACAATGAAAGCCAGAAATACAGAAACTTAGGTTCCTTACAGATGGGGTGGTTCCTCCAGGGTCTGTGTAGAACTTCACTCCAGGGGAGCCAACTGGATTCTCAACCAAAGAGTGAGCTGCTCAGCCCTAAGCTTTTATTCCTGACCTGAGGTCATGTGGCCTTATGCACACACCAAGGGTTTCTGCTGTGTCATTAGCATTTCAGTGACCAAACTCAAAACCATGCAGACAAACAACAGCTCTACTTTCAATGAGAAGATGTAAAATATGTGTCACAAATATCCTCAGCTCCTCCAATTTCCTACATTTCAAATATAAGATTAAAGCATTTGGGATACTCTTCCTATTTCAAACCATTATTTGTACTCTTGAAAGGGACTGTTTAATACACACAAAATAGATGCATTGTGGGTAACACTGCAAGCAAGAAAAAAACACCCCCGACAAAAAGTCACAAGAACACAGCAGCCACAAATTTGGGAAGGAAAAACTAAACAAATAGTTATGCAAAAAAACAAACAAAAATATAGTTAATGTTCCTGATGGATAGGCTCCAGGAACTTCCTTCTGTGAACAAACTCCCATAGTGTATGAGGAAAAATAAAAACTATTGCAGAAATGGGAATAGAAAAACTAAAAATAACCAGACCATCTAAACCTTTAAATCATCCTTCTCTCTGTATCCCACCCTCATTTCCCAACACTCTCCCTGACCACACAAACACATATTCAAATTCACATTTCATGGAACTGGGAAAAGGAAGCCAAACCTGACAAGATAAACCTCCACTGAGAAGCCAAGGTGGGTGGATCACCTGAGGTCAGGAGTTTGAAACCAGCCTGGCCAACATGGTGAAACCCCATCTCTACTAAAAGTACAAAAATTAGCCAGGTGTGGTGGTGGGTGCCTGTAATCCCAGCTACTCAGGAAGCTGAGGCAGGAGAATTGCTTGAACCGGGGAGGCAGAGTTTGCAGTGAGCTGAGATTGGGCCACTGCACTCCAGCCTGGGTGACAAGAGCAAGGCTCCGTCTCAAAAAAAAAAAAAAAAGATAAACCTCCAAATGTAACACTCAGCCTCCTTACATTTTTTGCCCTAAGCAAAAAGGAAAACAGTCTCACTTATTATATTATAAGAAAACTCCAGGGTAATAAATTATTCTGAATTCAAGCTCATTAATAAAAAGTCACTCATTTCAATTAAAATGAGAAGTAATCTCTTCTTCTTCTCCTTCTCCTCCTCATCCTCCTTCTTCTCACACCATCAAAAATAGACCAGAGAACTGATTTTCCACTCATTTCTTTGGTTAGCTGAGTAGCTGCGAGGCACCCAAGCTAGAGTTGAGGGCTGTGGGACCAGTTTCTTATCTCCTTCAACTCCTGAGGGAGTGAGGTGAACACGACCTGTGCATGCCTTGAGCTTCACTGGACAGGATACATTCCATCTTAGGTCATTCCTTAAAGGCTCACTGATCTTATAAAGTGCTGAGTCATCTTTCAGAGCTAGTTCAGGAAAAAATTTTCTTGACAATGAAAGATATTCACTATGAACACAAAGCAGGACAAAATGTAGCTTTTTTTTTCAAGGCATGTTTAAAGAAAGGGATAGATAGTAAGAAAGACTTCCTCAGACAGGCCTGAGATTTTTACAGTTCTCTAATCTTTGCACAACTTCAATGCAAAGGCGAGGGTTAGACAGCGATGCCATGATGCAACCACAAACACATCACGCCTGGACCCATGCCTACTGGGACTGCAGCCAGATTCAGGGGCCTGAACATTCAAAAAGCATTGGTCAGACGTATAGACAGTCTTCCCTTTACTTTAAGCAAATCGGTTCAGTAACATTCACATTTCTTCAATGTCTCTTATCAAATCTTTAGCATTCCAAATAGCTACTACTGACAATGCCCAGGAAAAAAATCCTTTTTCCTTCTGAAATCTGAGTAGCAAAATAAATGCTAAAGGAGATGGAAATATGTGTTTCTGAGTCGTGACATGTTGAGCAAGAATAAAATATGCAAGAATTAGAAAAGTTTCACTCAAGTCACAGACAAGAAAATGCAATGGTGAGATGAAATATGAAAAGACACTTATCCTCACTAGCAATAGGGAAAGCACAAATTAGAATCACAGAGATACTGTTTTTCATCTAAGATATTTGCAAAGAAGCCAAAATGGGATAAGAGCCTGTGTTGGCAAGATTGTGAAAAAATGGATCCTTTAACCACACATTGTTGGCTTTTGCACTGTGACACCTGATTGGGAGAGCCTTTGACACTGCCATCCCACTTTTGAGAATCAATCTTACAGAAAAAAAGGTGCAAACCTAAGGAGAGAGTATAAATCATTGTTGGTAGTGGTAGAAAACTACAAAAACCTAAACGTCCATCAGTAGGGCACCAGTATTCAAGTATAATATACCCACACTGTATACTATTTTTCAGTTATTAAAATTTGTGAAAATAAATATAATGCAAAAGTTGTTGCGACCCCCAAAGCACTTTAAGTCTTGAGAAAGATGTGACTGTGATCTGAGTCACATATGGTTATAATTTCTGTTTCTCAGATTATACATTAACTCACTTTCTTATTTTTCTCGTTCTCTACAATGGCTAGAGATAATTAAATGTCCAGGACAAAAATCTCCTGCCTTCTTAATGACCCTTGCTATAGATTGACTTCCTCTTTGGTACCTTGCTTTGCTAAGACCACATGACAGAAAACCCATGACTACTATGCCCTCTGTAATGAATGTTAAATGTAACTTTTCCAAAAAGAAACGCTGCCTATAAACCAATCAAATTGCTGTAACAATGTGCCAACCCTGTCTGAAAAATGAAATATGCTAAAAACTTCCCTGTCCCTGACTACATAAATGAAACCTTAATTTCCCTACTTTAGAACGCTGACTCCATTCCTTTGGAGTTGGCATGTTTGAGTTGGCCACCCTCACAATATGCACTTAAATAACCTCTCCTTAAATTGGATTCTGACCCTTATGACTACCTTAGGTTGACAAAATAATGAATTGGATTGACATGTATTGACTAGGAGGAATTTTCATTGTATATTGTTGAATGCAAAAATCAAGTTACTGCATCATATTTGCATCTGCACCATTTGGGGGAGGAATAAAACACCATTTTTATGTGAACATGAACATCCATGCATTTGTATGAGCATTGAGAAAGTTGAGAAAGGATATGTACCAAATTGTTAATGTTGGCTGCTGCAAAAGGGTGAGGTTGGACAGGGAGAAGATGATTCACTCTGTTTTATATTCCTCTGTATTACTTGACTGTTTACAATAAGCACGTATATAACTGTTAATTTTTTTAAAATTTGTATTTACTTGCTCTGCAGATAAATGACTACTGAGGGACATTTAAAAATTAGGACATGCTAAATTATTCAAAAAACCATGTATATCTTTTGTCTCTAGTTCCTGAAAACATTTCCAATATTTCAAATAGATTCTTTACAAAGAAAATACCTACGAAAATCTGTTTGTGGCTAGTGCAATTATAGACAATCTTGAACACATTTTTTTAACAACTGACTGAATCTAGAGCTATTTTTTTAAATAGATCAAACGATCTTAAGAATTCATTAATGCAATTCATGGCATGCTGAACATAAAAGCAGGAAGAGGCCTATGTTCTCTTTCAAAATCCTTCCCAGATGGCAAACAAAGCTCAAAAATGAAAGTCTGCAAATAAGATGACTGAAAGAGGGGTTTAATAATCAGTGGCTTTGAAAATGCATGTTCCCTTTTTAAAAGGTGGCTTTTCAGAAGTTTAGCACAGTAAAGCACCTGTGAAAGGTAGCAATGACCCTGTGTCCCTGCTTACCCAGTCTAGGCAATGAGGTGATGAGCCACTAAGGAGGCTTCCCCTAATGTAATGGAACAACATGGAAATACAATGAAAGTCAAGCTTTAACAGGTGCTCTATGGCTCCAAAGCATCTTTATGTATTTTCTGCATTTTTATGACCTAAGTAATTTTTAATTTTTCACTATCTTATTTCCTATAATTTGTGCTATAAGTGCTCAATTCTAGCACATTTAATTTGTATATTGCAGGCAAGCTAAACTTAATATCTCCTTTACTTTTATTTTGATTTTTTTTGAGATGGGGTTTTGCTTTTGTTGCCCAGGCTGGAGTGCAATGGTGCAATCTTGGCTCACTGCAACCTCCGCCTCCCAGGTTCAAGTGATTCTCCAGCCTCAGCCTCCCAAGTAGCTGGGATTACAGGCATGTAGCACCACGCCTGGCTAATTTTGTATTTTTAGTAGAGATGAGGTTTTACCATGTTGGTCAGGCTGGTCTTGAACTCCTGACCTCAGGTGATTCTGCCCGCCGCAGCCTCCCAAAGTGTTGGGATTACAGGCGTGAGCCACTGCGCCTGGCCTCTTTTACTTTCATTTGACTGAAAATAATTATCTCTGTACACAGAATTTAACATGTGACTTTTTCTTGATCCTACATGATATGCAAATATCAATAATTATTTAGTAAATCATACAAGTCTAGCAAAACATTTTTTATACTACATTACTGGTAAAAATTAAAATCAACAAAATCCAGCTTAGCTCCTTCAATCTATTGTCCAATAAACAAATCGAGTCATTAGAATTATTTAAGTCAAAACCACAAAAACCTTTTACTTTCTCTTGAGAATCAAGGAAGACTTTTCTCTCACAAGAATCAGATTTTGTTTCATAGCAAGGTTTAGATTTGATAGGCTTTTTGTCCTTTAAGTGCTGGTAGAGGTCAATAATGTTAATATGTTAACATGTTCTTATTCCTAAGGATGAAGGAAATCAGCTAAACTCATCTCATCTTGCTATGACCATTTCGCCGGATTTCTCAGCCTCAGCACTATGGAATTTCAGGTAGGGGAACTCATTGTTGTGATTGTAGGGAACTGTGTGTTCACTGCAGGATGCTCAGCAGTATATCTGGCCTCTGCCAACTAGATACGAGTAGTACTCATCCCGTAAGTTGTGGCAATCAGCACTGTCTCGAGACATTGCCCGTTTCCAAAATTGAGCCATTGACAACACATTGAGGAAGCTCTGCTCAACAGACACAGAGACAGCTGCATGCTCATAATTTTGGCTGACACTTGTGTTCACAATGTGTTAGGCACTGTGCCAAAGATTTTATGCACATTATTTTATACACATCCCTAATTTATAAAGAGGAAAATTGACGTTCATAGACAGAAAGTGGTTGAGCTGGGTTTCCCTGCTTTTTCTATACTCAGGTGACCAATAACTTCCATGTGTCCTTGGCATTCTCAGCTTTGGAAGCTGGTCATGTGTTTGTGGTCACGTGTTTGTAAATAGATCTCTCTTACCCCATGCATGCAAGTATGTATGCAGGGATAGAACTGGGTATAACTCTACCCAAATGAGTAAAGATGGACAATGAAGGAAAGGACTTTGAAATTCTCCCATCTCTAGTAAGTAGCTGAAAATCACTTATCACTATAGGTTTCCAACACTATACAAGATGCCTGTGAAGACAATAGACACAGAAGACTCAAATTGCCTGAAAGGGTTTAGAGCACTGTAAGAACCTCCCAGTATCTGATGGCCTCTTGGGTTGTTCCTGCTGTAATCAGGAAACTAACTCCAGACCTCTGTCCCTGAAGGTAGACAGAGCTTCGGCTCCTTCTCTCAGAGGGCAAAGCAGAGTTCAAGATCACACTCAGATCAGCCAGAGTGCCCTGGTCTTGGCTTGAAGCCCAGGGTATAATCCTAGTTCCTGGTAGGGCTTTGACTGTGTTGACCTTCCCAGATCTTGGCTGCTTCTTATTTAACTGGAGCCAAGGACTCACTCAGAAGTTCCAGGGCTAACCGATCCCTTGGCCTGCCTCACACTGACCTTGAGCTGCAGCATTTACCCAGCCTTTCCTGAGTGAACTCCAGCAGTGAGCTGCTATTAATCACACCCTGTTGTAACATCCCCTGCCTCCCTCTTCCATTTCCTTTTCTCTGGAGACACTAGCGCCTGTGCTGTTTCAGGTAATGGACACCCAGATGCCTCTTTTAGACTCTGAAAATTGGATGGGGCAACCCCTCACCTCTGACGCTTAGTGGGCTGTTATTTTATAAATAACATGTTTGTATAACTGATTAGTACTTTATATTATATTCCACCTTGGGTGAAAAATAGACTTTGCTTAAAAAAAAATCCTTCTGACTGTTCTTCCTCTTAGAGTTCTAAACTCTGCACTTTTCAAAAGAGTCTGTTCTTTTGGGCCTAGCAAGCAGAAAGAGGAGAGTGTCTCTTGATCTGGGGGCAAACATTTCCCTAAAATTCTCCTGGTAGAAAAAGAACTCAAAATAGAAGTGAAAATGAGTTGCCGAAAAATAAGAAAAGTTATATTTCTTGCCCTTCTGAGTTTGTGAACTCACTGGATACCTGCTTGATATTGAACTAGATATGTGGTGGATATGTGCAGATTAGAACTATTAAATTAGATTATAGAGAGAACAGACCTACCAAGATGAAAACGTAAAATCATTCAAGGGATTGGAAGGTCAACATGATAACACATAAAACAGATTTTCATCTGGAAAAGGGACATCTCTAGAGACTGTTCATACAAGGAGGCTTATTCAAAGAGAAAGGACAGCCAGCTCTTTTCTCAGCAAGCAAGAAGGCTGGGCTAAAATTTCAGCAAGCATGATTATGAGTCTGTTTTAGGGGATACTTTCAGGTTATAAATTAAATGTAGCTCTCCGTGGTATAGAAAAGCTTGGGAAAAATCTTTTCTGACAACCCCAGTGGGAGATTCAGGACATGATTATTCTGATGAAAGGCACAGATCCGGCCAGATGTCTCTGAGTAGTTTTTCTTTTATTTTCTTTTTCTTCCTGCCTAATGATCTAGGAATATGACTACACTTTTGATACTATGGGAGAGGAATTCCAATGCTGGATCTGCAACTAATTGGCTCTGAGCAAGATTCTTATTCACGCTCACCTCCATACCTCATGTATAAATAAGGGTGACAGCATGTCATACTTATAAGTCCGTAGACACCATGGTGATGAGTGAGGTGGAGAGTCTAAGAATAGTCTGATATCAAATACAGGGATGTGAGGAAAAAAGAAAGTTCTATTTTCAAGGAAATTTGCTACACAGTTTGAACAGAATCTGATAAACACCAAAGTATATATTACAGATAAAATAAGCATTTCTTTGCAAGTTATTAAATGTCATGTGCTTTATATAAGCTAACAGAAAACATAATTCAATAACTTTTTAATGTAGTCCATGTCTTAAAAATAATTTGGCGATCATTGGTCTTGCGTTGAGACAGGAGCCACGACAATAATTATTTAGACTTTTTTGCATTTGCAGGGCACATGCCAAAAGTTGTTTATACATTACAACTATAGTTAAGCTTTTACATTAATGAAGCAGTAATTAAAACTTTGGAACTGCCCCAGGTGTTTCTGTGGCTAATGTAAGCTCATGCTTGATCTTATTTTCTCTCTGTGGCAGTCACAAGGCTTAAGGATATGGGATGAGAGTTTAAAAGAAAATATAAACAATTTTAAAAACAGCTACAACTTTGGAAGCTACAGAAAGCTTATCTTTCCTTGTTTTCCTGAGTCTTTGATGATTAATACATTTAGAGCCAAATTTAAGGGCATCACTCAAGTCCTACTGAATTAGAATCTTTGAGGTTAACCTTGCACATCTGTGTTTTGTTAATCCCCACTGGTGACACTGATGGGCAGCCAATGTCAAAACCCACTGATTTTAAATAATATAGTATGATGTAAGGGGCATTACTGTGAGCTCAGCACTATTCTAGGTCCTGGAGATACAATGATTATCAGAGCAGACAGGGCCTCTGCTCTCCTGAAGCTTAAGAGATGCATATGATGAGCAAGTGGGCAACAACTGGCCTGGCTGTGATAGCGCGAACAGGGCACTGTGATGGAGTGACTGGAGACAGGCTTTGTCACCATGCAAAACCAACAATGGTCTGAGAAGTTGCAGAAAGCCTCTCTAAGATGGGTCAGTGCACTTGGCCTTAAGAAGGAGTTGCTATGTGACATTCCAGAATAAAAGAGATTTCCAGGGAGAGGTAACAGCTAGGTCAGATGCCCTAAGGGTAAAACCTGCTTGGTACCTCAAAGGATCAAAAAGATGCCTGTTGACTGGACCAAGACAACAATGCAATTTGTTCAGTATCATCAGAGAATTTCACGTAAGTGCCTTTTCCATAGATCTAAAATTTACTTAATCTTATACCACTCAAAAATTTACTCATTTTATATAAAACCTTTCTCTCATGGATGGGTGACACAAAATGCAGAAGACATGCTTCTTACTCTCAAAGGACTTAGCGGTCCACAATGTACCCAGTGTGAAAATAAATATGATTTAAAACCTGTTGGAACCCTGAAGACACTTTAAGCCTTGAGAGAGATGTGATTGTGATCTGAGCCACACAGGGTTGTGACTTCTGTTTCTCAGATTATAGAACAACTTGTTTCTTATTGTTCTTGTTCTGTACAGTGACTAGAGAGACTCAAACAACAACAGGGACAAAAACCTGCTGCCATCTTAATGACCCTTGTTACAGATTAACTTCCCCTTTCTTGTCCTGCTTTGCTTAGGCCAGTTGACAGAAAACCCATAACCACTATACCCTCTGTAACAAATGTTATATGTATCCTTCCCAAAAAGAAACACAGCCTATACAACCAATCAAATTGCTGCAATTGTGTGCCAACTTTGTCAGAAAAATGTTGTAATCCTGCTAAAAACTCCCTGGTCTCTGACTATATATAAATGAAACTTTAACTTCCCTACTTCAGAACACTGACTCCATTCCTTTGGAGCTGGTGTTTATAGGTGGGCTATCCTCAAACTTTGCCCTTGAATAAACTCTCTCTAAGTCAGATTCTGACCCTTTTGATTATTTTAGGTTGACACCAACTAACTATAAATAAGAAAAGAAAACATTAAATGCTTTAACCAAGGTTTAAACTACGTGCTATTAACACAAATAAGGAATATTTAATTCCAATAGCTGACACCAAAGATCTTCATAGAGGTAATATTGTCTGAGTTTGGTCTTACAAAGTAGGAAGATTTCATTCTCGTTTCGGCAGCACATATATTAAAATAAGATTTAGACAGAGGTAGAGAGGGCATCTTATATGGAAGATCATTGGCAAAGTATCAGGTACATTGAAAGAACCAAGAGCTGCTTGATTGCCTGGGGTCAGGGTTCCAGGGGAACCTAAGGATAGTATGAAATACGCCAAAAAGGACATTTGGTCCAGATCATAGAGGACGTTGAATTCCATGGTAAGGAGTCTGGAAGCAGTAGAGAAGCACAGATTTTTGAGCAGAAGAATGATGGGATAAGAGATGTGTTTAAGGAAGAAAACACTACTTTCTTGGTGCTGCGATGTATTTCATGAATGACCTGAGGGGTTGTTGAGTTATAAACGGCCTTAACCTTTAAACAGAAAGCTCAGTAATGCTGAGACTGTAGAGTTAATGGTGAGTTAATGGTTCTTCTGGATCTTAGCCTGCTGTCAGCTGGCATTTCTAATTTATTGCAAACTAGACGCTTCCAAAGGAAATGGAAAAAGTCACACCTAAAACTAATCCTATAATTAAGTAAAACAAAAACAAAAACTCAAAATCCACAAGTAGTTCCAGTCCACTACTATTAGAAACTAAAAAGCATGGGGCCTTGTCCTTTTATCAGCCTTTTGTTTTTTTAGAAAAAAAAAAAAAAAAAAAACTATTCAGAAGACTTTTCCACAAAATTCTCTATTTATCTGAATCATTATGATTGAAGAGACTTGATCTATAAATTGAACCATCAGTGTTAGCCTCAAGAAAAGCAAAAACCCACTGGGTTGTGAGCTCCTTGAAGCCCCGGGCCAGGGCTTCATGACCACCAAAGCCCCAGCTCACTCTGCAAGGCTCCTAGCAGTTGCTCAGTGAAAACCAGTTGCATAATGAATGTATAACAGCTTGCACTCTTACCAACACTGATGCTGGAATTGGGAGAGGAGGACATATATACACACATGAATTAATATATTTGTTTTTCATATATTTTTAAAATATATGCATATATTTTTCATCTGTATGTGTGTTGCATAGGTATCTTTTCATGTATATATTTTCATATTTGTAACAGGCATATGTTTTCCATATATATGGCTATTTTCTGCCCTTCCTCAGCACCCACAGCAGTGTGGTGGCCTGTGAAGTTCTGCCATCACAGAGAGAGCACCAAAGGCAATAATTCACAGAAAAGCTGCTTGGGACTTTTGCAACCATTCTTGAGTCTACTGGTTCTCAGCTATTTTCCCATCCCAATACTCCTGAAGGCTATGGCACACCCATGAGGAACAGTGACTCAGTGTGACAGCAACGGACACACCTCACCCCACCCTACCCAGAAAGCATATCAGAAGAGGGAGAAGGAAAGGATGAGGGAAAGGAAAGGAGAACATAAACATAAGCAGTTTGAACAAAAAAGCCCCGAAGTCCTTCTGCTATACCCCACCAGGGACAGGTCTTAGCCACAGCCTCCATCCCCCCAACTTGAAAATCAAGTATCATTTAAGTGGTTGGCTTTCAGAGTTAGAGGGGCCTGAATCTAGTCCTAGCAACACAATTATCAGCAGAGTGATCCCAGTCATCACAGTTAGCTTCTCTATGCTTCACTTTCCTCATCTGCAAAAGAAAGATAATAGTAACTATCTCAAATAGCTACTTGGAGGATTAAATGAGACTAAATTGTATAAGCTGTTGGGCACAATGCTTAACACATAAGGATAATAAATAGATGTTAGCAATGATTATTATCAACAACCAGCCCTTATAATTAAATGTTTGCCATGGAGGACATGGATGCTAATCAAAGCTTCCAAGAAATCAGGTGGGACATTTGTGATAGATCCAGCTGTCACTGGGCTTTATCAACAAGGTATATGTGCAAGTCAGGTGCAGATGTGAGACAGGTGAGTCCATATGGGTCCATCTGGGTGCAGACTCAGGCCCGCCACCAAAGCCGACCGTATGCAGCAAAGTGCTTGGTTGGTATTTGGAACCACGACTAATGTTCCCTTTTCTTTCTTGGTTCTTATTAATTCAGAAAAGCGGGCTCAGCCCTAGTTGGAAAGTCAACAAAGGGAACAAAAAACTGATGCTGGTTTTCTTAGGAATGAAGATGGGGCTCTCTGTTAAGGTGCTACTTCCTGCCTCAGGACTTGCGGGCAGATAAAATCAAGGGCTCTCTGGCAACAGCACAACCCCTGGTGGCCAGATGATGTCACTGCAGGTTTTTCTCCATTAAAAGAACATAGTATGAATGAGTCACATCACAGCTGCAACTCTGTTTCTCCTCCCCTGCATAGACTATGCTCTAAGCTACCAGCAAGTACATTCGGGGATCCTGCTGAGGCAACACCAGATAAAAAAAAAAAAAAGATTTTTTTTGTTGTTGTTCTCAAAATTCTGATTGCTGCAGATTGAACCCAAAGAACTTTATTCTGCTCAGGTCAGCCGGGTTCTGAAACTCTTGGCATTAAAAGCAGAGTGGGTGACAATCATAAACCTACAGTTAAATGTCTAGTGTCCTGAGTGCCAGGCTCATCAGGAAAACAAAAATTTCCACTTGTAGTCAAAGCCAACCTCAGCCCCTCCCACTATTCTCCTACAACAAAGGCCCTAAGGGAACAGTGAGGAAAGAACGTGGCTTTCTTCCCCCCTGGCATGCTACAGAAGCTATCGTGAAAGCTGGTGACTATTTAGTAGATATGTCAGGGTCCTTCATTCATAATTTTGTTCAAATCTTTTGATTCTACTTAGATTCTGCTTTAGAATAGCAAAGTCCATATGCTATTACACAGTATGAATACTGGCTCTTTTTCATTTCTTCTTGAACTTACCTTGTTAAAAAATAATAATAGCTTGTAATGACAAGGTATGTCAGTGCCCAATGAACAGAAGGGAGGGGGAGAAAAAACAGAGGTATCTGAAGGCCACTGAGGATAGGGAGACATTCCACAGTTGTTCACTTCTTCCTTCACTCCCAGCTCTCTCTCTCCTCAGATGATAGGGAGGTAAACATGCTTAGAGTTCATTTGGTCTTACACTCAGAATGTCTGCACCCTGTTTCTCTATTTTGATGAACTATATGCCAGGATAGCCAGCCAAGTAGAAAACACTGCCGTTCTTGCACATCTACAATGCTGCACAAGTAACATTTCACAATGGGTAGGTTCCTCTGCACTGTTTCAGTTAGAAGAAAGAACACAATTCACCCAATTTTAAACACATCATTATCCCTTCACCATTTCCTTTCAAAATCAAAGAAAAGGAATTAAGTCCATATTTTGATGGGAGCTGGAAAAAAACGTTTGGACTCTCCCTTCTTCATTTAGAAAAGGAAAAGCTGCCCCCTTTCACAGAAACACATCAAGCAAGTGGACAATGAGCGACATACAGGTGCAAATGCCAAAGGACAATTTGTTCTTCTGCAAAATCATTCAGCAGGAAATTGGGCTAAGAGTATTACTGAGAATAAAGAAAGCGTGGCTGGAACAAAATAAACAACAACGCAACTCCACAGCAAGAAAAGAAAACCCAAGATCAGCAAGGAATGATTCCATGTAAGAGAGAAATGTTAACTGTAGTTGTGAGGACAAGTGAATTTAAAATCATATTAAGATTCCACATAATGTTACACGATATACAAATCACTATAGTTAATATGTAGAGTCAAGACAACAAGAGTAGATGGTGCCATTGTTACCTTGATGTAGCAACAGAGAATGATATATTCAGTACAACATACTCTAAAGCAGGGGTCCCCAACCCCTGGGCTACATACAGGCGGTTAGGAACAAGGCCGCACAGCAGGAGGTGAGTGGCAGGCAAGCCAGCAAGGCTTCATCTGTATTTACAGTGGCTCCCCATTGCTTGCATTACAGCCTGAGCTCTGCCACCTGTGGGATCAGTGGCAGCATTTGATTCTCAAAGGAGTGCGAACCCTATTGTAAACTGCACATTGAGGGATCTAGGTTGTTCACTCCCTATGAAAATCTAATGCCTGATGGTGTCACTGTCTTCCATCACCCTCAGATGAGACCATCTAGATGCAGAAAAACAAGCTCAGGACTCCCACTGACTACATTAGGGTAAGTGGCATAATTATTTCATTATATATTACAATATAATAATAATAGAAATAAAGTGCTCAGTAAATGTAATGTTTTTGAGTCATCCCAAAACCATCCCCCAACCTTCGTCTGTGGAAAAACTGTCTTCCAGGAAACCAGTCCCTGGTACCCAAAAGGTTAGGGACTGCTGCTGTAAAGCGTGCTGGGACAGTCTTCATGGCTCTGAGTCTCATGGGTTCCCGTTATCAGTTTGGTTGTTGCAGTGACTCCCACAAGCTACCAACTTCAGTACTGTTTTCAGAAAAAAATGACCTAGAACCTAACAGAAAATGGACCACCAGGGACAACGGTCGGCTTCATTTGGGTCTGGTCACAAAATTGGGGTCATATTTTGACAGTCCTACAAACTAAGAATTCCTGCCATTCACAAAGTCACAGCTGGTAGAAATTCTTCAAATTATGATCAATATAGTTCACAGAAACTATTTCCAGTGGCACTTTTAGTTACTTTGAAGTTGTCTTCAGCCATAGAAAGACATGGCAAATGTCTTAGAAGCAGATAGCTATATCTATACTTCCTTCTGTCCTAACCACCACCGACACCCCAATGTTGGTAGAGAATTCTAGTAAAGAAAGGAAAGTGGAAAGGTGAGTTTTAGGGTTACCTATAATTTGACTTTCTGTGTCTCAAAGTACCCTTTTTTGTTATGTGTTTTGTCAAACCTAAGTTATTATTGCTATTGCTTTTACTTTATATTCTTCTCTGTGTAGTGCATACTAAACAAACCTTAAAACACAAGTGGCTCAATTTACTTCAAATATTCATGTAAAATAAAATCGAGTTCCTTCAGTATCAGATTTGGAACTACTTCAGAGTGAAAAGGAAATAACAATGAGAATAGTGAAAGGAGGCTCATGGAAAAGTACCAAGCAGAGAGAGGTTGCCAACCTTTCCCCATGTGATGAACTCTCTTTTGACAACACCCACACAATCAAAGGCATCAATGTTAATCATTCAGAAAAATAAGTTAGGTTAAAAAAATTAAGTAAATGACAGGATAGAAAAGCCTTTGTTTTCCTAGTGAATATCTAAAAATGTGTCTTATACACATCTTAAATTAGGTATATTGTAAAAGAGGCCACAGGCAGAGTCCAGTTTCCACTGGCTTTTTGAAATTCTTTGCTCCCAAATCCAGTTAGATATAACACACATCATTTTACTTTGTAGTCAAAGTATGAGCCAGATTTTCAAACACTTCCACTTTAAATGCCTGTACATAAGTCACCTCTGTTCTTATGACCCACACAAATCCTGTATTTAGAATAGTGTACAACTGATCTCTACTGATTATGAAGAATTAAGTAGTCAATATGCCCAACTGGGGTTATTATTATAAAAGAATATACTTAAGTGTTGCTTAGTTTCATATGGAAATTCTTTTTCCAACTTTAGCTTATTCTTTTAAAGCCTAAATGGGAGAGGAATCCAAGAAAGCTTAGGGCAGAGTTGAAATCAACTGAGATGCCTTCTATTTATACCAAGATGACCAGTCTTCTCATGACAGTCCCAACTGTAGGAGAAAAATCGTTAGCTAAGGCATCTACCACAGCAGTTAAAATTTATTTGCCTCTAGCTTAAGCTAATTCTCTAAAAGTATTGCAAGGCTTTGGCCCAAGGTAAACTTAAAACTACCTTAAGGAACCTGCTGTCAGAAGGTCTTTCACATAAGCTGACCTTATTGGCATATGTGAAATAAAGTAAAACATGCCTAGGTCTGTATTTGACCTCACTGAGCAACTGTCTCTCCAGTCCAGTGAAAATCTTCTGACCATGGAATGCCATGCATGCCACTTTGATAGGAGTCCTTTGATGCAGTATGTTTTCAAACTGCAGGTCACTACCCCATTTAGTGGGTTACTAAGCCAACTCAGTGTGCTGTGATCAGTATTTTTTAAATGAGATAAAATAAAGTAGACTAGAAGAGAGTAGGAATTGTTTGGAATGCATATAATAAGAACAAGTAACATTTCATAAAATTTTGTTCATTATTTTATATGCACACACACACAGGCATGCACACACCAACACAACTCAATGTGATATAAAATGTATTTGTTACCCTGTGTCAGTTTTTGAGAAGTCTGAAAACCACTTCTAAGAAGGATATTTAATTTTATTGTTTCACATTGTATCTAAATGTTCACATACTACCAATCTATTCCCTCTTTTCAAGAAGGTAAGGGTAGGAGTAAACAGGATGGGTGCACCCACTTTTAGCTACACTAAGAACACAGCTGTGGGAGGAAGAATCAGCTCTTACTAGGTGAAGAAGACAGATCCACTGAAGGATAAAAATGTGCCTTTCCACTTGGATAACAAGCTGATGACGTGGATATCTTAACAGAGGAGAGAAGCACTGTAAAGTTTCCATTTGAGTCACTGGTTTTTTCCAAATATGGTAACTGGTTCCAAAACCTAAGAAGCTGAAGGCTTTGGCGGAATGTACTAATTAATATATGCTTGGCTAACTATGGGATACTCCCATTCAATAGGTGATGCCATAAAACCAGGACCTCTTCTCAATAGAAACGTCTAAAACAAGATCTCTATTAATTATTCTTAAATGTAAATGCTCTCCCACTCTCCACCATACCCCAGCTAATGCTGTGTTCCTCGACATCATTAAAAAAAAAAAAATCTCAGTTTAGTTTCCCAGTGTTTGAGAGGGTAGTTTAACTAATATCTTCTCTTTAAGGGGGGATTACAAATAAAAGTGCATCTGACACTTTCTGGATTTAAAATAAAACAAGATTTCATTTATTCTTTGGCAATGTGTGTGTGTATGTGTGTACATACACATTTACAACATAATTATACATACACACTACAGTATATATAATTATACATACACATACCAGAGTCTTTGCCACTGTTTGACAAAAATGATTTCATATTCTATAAACTCCTCTCCATCTTGTTAATCTTCACCATTCATACTAAATGTATGTGCCAAATGTTGGAGTTAAAATTCATTCTTTTAAAAGACTGCTGAATATTTCATGGTAAGCAAATACCGCATGTATTCAAACATTGCTCTTTTGATGGATATTTATTTTATTTTATTTTTTTCTGAAGAGAGGGTCTGCCTACCCTACTATAACCAGTGCTGCAATGCATAATTTTTGTACACGTATCATTACTTAAGCTAATTTTAGTTCCAGGAGAAGAATTTAAATTTTATTAGCTGTTGCCTGATTATTTTCCAAAAAGAGTGTAGTAATTCACATTTCTACCAGCAAGACATGAAACTACTCTTTCTCTATCCTTGTCAGCAATTGGAATTATCATACTTTTAATATTTTGCCTGTCCAAGGGATATAGCATAATGCCATATTGTTACTTAAATCTGCATTTCCTTATATAGTTAAGACTTTTCATACACGGCTGGCCAGTTATTTTTGCTCTCTGTAAATTACTCATTCAAATTATCTGCCTATTTTTCTATTGCTCTATCAAATTATTAGATTTTTTTCATATTGTATTGATATTAATCTATTAACTGGTATATGCAATGCAATCCTTTCTCCCACCTATTGTTTGTCTATTAAATTTGATGATATATTTTTTCTTGCAAATATTTAACATTTTCATAAAGGATAAAATGCCTATTTTTTTCTTTTGTACCTTTGCATTTCCAATCCCTTGGCTGAAACAGTCACCCCAATTACTACGTTGTACTTGATCATCTCATTTTTCTGTGAATATTTACATTGTGTTATAGTTTTTGGTTAAGATTTTAATCTATATAAAATTAACTTTATAAGGCATACAATAAAAGTCACATTTTGACTTTTCTGTGGCTGAGGTCCCAGTTTTCTGCCCCTAACTATGTGGTGTCACATAGTGCTTAGCTATGGTGTCAACGTCACACCGTTTTGATAAAGATGGCTTTATGGTACATATTAACAGCACATAAGGCAATTTCTTCCGCTTATAGTTATCATAACACTTTGTCATGTGTCACAGTTTATTCTTCAATAGATGCTCTAAGAGCACAATCTAATTTCAAAATATCTTTGTTGGGACTTTAACTGAAATTACACTAAATATAATATTAATTCATCTATTCAAGTTTTAAATTTTCCCTAGCTCAATTTTGGTAGTTTATATTTTGCTATACTGGGTTCCTCTGGTCCAGGGTTTGACAAACTATGACCTGCAGGCCAAATCCACCCATGGCCTATTTTCATAAATAAAGTTTGTTGGATCACAGTCATACCCATTTGATATTACAATGTCTAAGTCTCCTTTTGTGCTACAATGACAGAGTTGAGTGGTTGTGACAGAGGCGGTATGATCCAAAAAGCCTAAATCGTTTACTCTCTGGTCTTTACGGAGAAAGTTTGCAGATCCCTGCTCTAGGTTTAAAAATCTAGTTTCCAGGCCAGCCACGGTGGCTCATGCTTGTAAGCCCAGCACTTTGGGAGGCTGGGGCAGGTGGATCAGGAGTTCGAGACCAGCCTGATCGACATGGTGAAACACCGTCTCTACTAAAAATACAAAAATTAGCCGGGCGTGGTGGCACGCATCTATAATCTCAGCTACTCAGGAGGCTGAGGCAGAAGAATTGCTTGAACCTGGGAGGCAGAGGTTGCAGTGAGCCGAGATCATGCCACTGCACTCTAGCTGGGGCGACAGAGTGAGACTCTGTCTCAAAAAAAAAAAAAAAAATCAAATTTCCAAAAAGTTATACATGGTATTCTCTATCTTCTAGAATTTCTTCAATATTTTGGTTATGTTTGTTTTCTCATTTCTAACTTTTCTCTAGAGAAAGGTTTCAGAGGGGGTTTGTATATTACCCCAAATTAACTTTTGAATTTATTTATCCATTCTACTATTTTAGTTGTTGCTATTTTCCATTTCATTAATCTCTGCTTCCATCTTTTTAAATTATCTTTTCTTTTGGTGTATTTTTTTTCTAGTTTCTTATGTATCAACTTTTATTATTGGCAGTCTCTCTTCGTCTCATAGATTTTGAAGTGTTCTCCTTTTCATTGTTTTCTAGATAGTTCAGAATTTCATTCTGATTTTATCTTTGTCCCAAGTGTGTTTCTTAATTTCCAAGTTGTTAAAATTTTTGGTTATATTTTAATACTTATTTCTAGTTTTATTGGGCAATACTTAAAGAATGTGGTCTGTAAACGCTCTTTTGAATTTTTCAAGCTATTCTCCAGGCCAAGTACTTGACTAATTTTTCTAAATGTTTCATGGCACTAGAAAGCTAGAGAAAGGACATGAAATTCTATATAAAATTCTGTGATATATACCTACTAAGTCAGTTTCTAAATTGGATCATCAAAGCCTCTCTGTCCTAACCTGTTATCTACTATCTACTCATTAAAATATACCACTATAAAACCAAATTATTAATCAATTCTTCCTGCATTGTGACAGTTTTTAAAAATGCATTTATAGTTGCTGTGTTATTTGGACATGGAAGTTTATGACTTTACAAATTGCTCCTCTTTCTACTATTTTATGCTTTCATTCCAATACAAATTGCTCTTAGTGTTTTTATTTTGTTTGCTCTTTGTCTTGTATATTTCTGTTCATCTTTTCACTTCCCTAACCTTTAAGAAATATTGCTTATAGTTTTTGTAAGCAACTCATGTGTGCTTTTATTTTGATCCAACACATTCCTAATCTTTCTTTACATGGGGTATTTAGTCCTTTTACATTTTAATGTAGCAATGGTGCACTTGATTTTTTTTCATTTTTTTTTCTTATTTTATATTTACAATTTAGTTTACTTTGTTGGTTTCTCCTCTTTTCCTCTACTATTTGCTGGCTAGGTAGAGTTTCAGCTTATTACCTTTTTTTCTCTTGTTAATGTAAACGTTCCATCATTGTTTTCAATTCTATAAGTTGTTACCTTCCCTTCACAAATAATTGTATTAAAATGTTCTGAAAACAAAATGCCTAATACTAGGAATCAAATGAAACCAGTGTTTGTTATCATATGCAAACAAAATACCAACTATTTCTTCCTTCCAGATACTTGCTGCTACATTGCTTCTCCCTCTCTGTGTGGACATACCTGCCTTTGCTGCAAAGTGCTGGAAGCTGGCCTCTTTGGAGCCACAGACCAAAAGGTAACTTTGGCTTGGTCAGTGAAATGCCTTCCTAAGAGATTTGTGAGAGAGCAGCCACTTCTGCTGTTCCTACAGTCAAGCACAGTCTTGGAGGCATCAGTTTTCTGTGGCTGAGGTCCCAGTTTTCTGCCCCTAACTATGTGGTGTCAAAAAAATCCCATCCATTTTGCTAGTGCAGACAGGAGCAGTTATGGAGCCGATGAAAGGATCCACTGCTTGGTGCCGAGGCAGGTCCTGATGGCAGTGCCTTCCTGATCCTAATAGCTTCTTAATAAGTTGCTATGGTAGCATCAATGTGGGGCCCCAGTTCTGGGAGCAGCTTTGAGTTTGAGAGTTGTTCATGAAAGCTCAGTTTAGAGTCTACTACTTCAGCTGTGCAATGGTTCTGAGGCCCACTTACCATGGCTCTGTAACAAATTCCTTCTTGTTTAAAATAGACGGGTGGATTCCATCCTCTGCAACTGGACCCTGATTGATAGATGCTCTCCCTATCTCCCCATAGAATCTCCAGATTTTACTGAGACAATAATAATTTAATATTTTTAATTTTAGACAAAGTTTTTCTTTCAATATGTCTCTTCTGTATCAAGAATCTATATTTTAGCTCATATCGTATACATTCCCAATCACTATCATAATCCATTTATTCCATTTATGTTTATCCAACATTTCAGTGTCAACCATGTTGCCAGGAATTGGACTTTGCGGAAAAAAGGTTGCTAAAAGTTGATCTCTTTCTTATTGTTTTATATTAGTCACCTTCACAGATTTTATGTTTTCCAGTTCTAATCTCATGTAATCGTGATGCTTTTTGTTCATCGTTTTCATTAAAAATACTTCCCTTAAGAACCTGGTGAGTCATGAAGAGAATATGAACTACATCATGTGCTTCTACTCAAGGCCCTTCACGGACTGGGCACTCTTCATCTATCTGTGCTTCTTCTGAATACATATAGCCTATCATTTCATTTCATTTCTTTTCTTTTTTCTTTTTTGAGATGGAGTCCCGCTCTGTCACCCAGGCTGGAGTGAAGTGGCACAATCTCAGCTCACTGCAACCTCCGCCTCCTGGGTTCAGGCCATTCTTCTGCCTCAGCCTCCCATGTAGCTGGGTTTACAGGCACACACCACTATGTCCAGCTGATCTTTTGTATTTTTAATAGAGACAGGGTTTTGCCATGTTGGCTAGGCTGGTCTTGAACTCCTGACCTCAAGTGATCCACCCACCTCGGCTTCCCAAAATGCTGGGATTATAGGTGTGAGCCACCACACCTGGTCTCCATTTCTAACTACAAAAACTGGCTCCAATCTCACCGCTCAAAAGTTCTCCTGCATAGCCCTGTCCCAGGCTGGCCACACTGAAATCTTCTGGGTGCTTCAGTGTTCTTCATGCATTTTTAATGTTGCTTTTATTCTTTTCATTCCTACTTATTGTATAAAGACTGGTCATATTGGAAATTCCTCAAAAAAGGGGAATTTGTCTTTTGGCTGTCCTCACAGTTTATAATACTGTGACTGGAATAAAGGACTCAAAAAATAACATTCCTTGCATTCGTAATCCCCACCATCTATGTGTGTGTGAATTCATATGTGATATGTAAACACACAGTAATTTTTAAATACTTGGCACACAAGCTGCTTAAGTTCCCTGGGCCTCTGTTTACTCGTCTGTGAAATGATGATGCCATCACCTACTGCACAGTTGTGGTTTGGAAAAGATTAAATGGAATCGATCCTGTATGGCAATATTTACTGACAGTTCTTCAGGGCTGGGAGGCCAAGAAACTGTAGGGAGAATGGTATCTGACAGCTAATCAAGTGCTCTCAACAGCCTGGCTCTCTCAGCTTCTCTCAGTCAAGTTAACTAAATGTCCCCTTTTTTCATTTACTCCAGAAGCAAAGGCCACTTTAAGAAGCTGTACCCAATGCCTGGAACATCATCACACTTCCAGATGGCAGGTTCCCTCCCTTTCTACCTTAAACCAACTCTCAAAAACCACCCCCTCAATGATCCTCTCCTGACTACCAGAGAGGGTAACACTCATCAGCACCTCACTCTCCTGAAAAATGCTACTCCTGCAACACTTTGCTCACGACTCCAGCTCACGATTCCTAAAAAAGGCAGCTGTGCTTATACATCATGAAAAGTGACAAAAGTCACACAGCGCTGTGCACTTGATCAGTGTTTGCATGCTTTCCCTGGGCTCTACATGCTTCTGATGTTTGCACATCTGCCCTAGAGAAAGCACAGAATTGGTTTAAATTGGTTTGTATGATGCCCAGCCAAGTAATATATGTTTATAAATATTAGCTTTTAAAAGGCCCCAGGCAGTTACTCATCATCTATACCTACCTGCCTTTCAAGTGGCTCTTGGTCATTATCCTTACCTGGTTTCTAGAAAGTACAGCTGCAGAGAAGTACATCTGTGCCTCCCTAATGCCAGAGGTATCCGAGGGGAAGCCTTGTCCATAAAAACTGACATGAAGGGGTGATCTAGACCAGGGCCATCTGGGGAGTGGCTGTGCAAAGCCAACTTTCCAAATCAAACTCCATTGCCCTAAAATTATCCTAATATCCCTGAAACACCTTGGTTCGTGGAGTCAGTGCAGAATCTAATACTGACTTGCTCCCAGTTATCCTGGAAAATCTTGGCCTTTGATGATCTGGGAGAAGACAATATGTCCAAAGATCTATGGCTTGCACCACGCCAATGTAAACTGGCAAGTCCTAGATATTCAGAGTTATCTGTGCTGATACAATTTAGCATCCATTCTAGTTCATCAGAAAAACACTATGTATCCCCAGAATCTATGCATGGCCTAGCACAAGGAAGATGTTTACCAAATGTTTGTGAGTAAATAAATATTATCGTAAAATAACACATGCTTCAATTTAGGTCTTTCCTCAGTACTCGTGTAAAACACATGCATTCTTTATCTGTTCATAGTTTGATATTTAAATCCCATGATGTTGATTAAGTCTCAGTTTTGTTTCCTCTATCTCTATGCTCTCTAGAAAATGGACAGCATATACATAATAATGTAAAACAGCGAGCACCTCTTGACACCATCGCCAAACCCCTCAAATGTCTTAGTTCTTTGTGTATCCTGGCGTAAATGTTTCTTGGTGCTCTTAGAGAGGTCATTCAGTTCTCTTGGTTATTCCTACATCCTTCTGCGTGAGTATCTTATGTTCTGACCTCTTAGTCATCCTGAATTTTGATCTTGACATAGTTCTTTATGCTAATCATTTAGATCAGATATTATCAGGTTTACTACTTAATTACTACAAATTAATTACTATAGTATATAAGTAAATAAAATAAATAACATTATAATATTAACATCGTATTCATTACTGGGTTCACTGCCATCAGATTCTTCACCTTTCCAGATCTTAAAGAGAAAAACAAACTGTAGGCTCGAACCCAACTTCTAAGAATGCCTTAAGCCATCATTTCTTCCCCTTCCTCTGGTTCTAGCTTTGTAATCTGCACAAGAGCAACACCAGCCTCCTTCATGCCACCAGAAAGGGCTGTGAATACAATCAGATATACTGAAAAGCATTCAGCAAACATAAAGACCTATGATAATAGCAAGTCATTTGGCTGCAACTCTGTGGGCCTCCGAAGCAGGAAGCTGCTGTGATTTTCTTCCTTTATTTAAAATAATTCTGAACAAGTAAATAGAAAACATTTTTCATACCTGAATGCATCATTAGAAGGACCAGGAAACAAGTGTTTTATGCAGATGTTAAACAGCTCTCCTTCATGTTTTCCATTGTAAGTTGAATTCTCCAGAATGGGGTAATTAACACTCTCCTTTACGTCCTCTATCAAGAAAAGGCTAAATAGCTCTCCCTCTCTGTGTGTGTGTGAGTGTGTGTGTGTGTGTGTGTGTGTGTATATATAATATATGTGTGTGTGTGTATGGTAAATGTATATTTAAAAACTGTGTGCCACATTTAATTTGCAAATTCTTATATGTGTCAGTAATTTCAGGACCTTCAAAGTTAGGGTAATTTTTGATCAATTTTAAAAAGTTATAAACTGTGCTTGGCATTAACTGTGTCAAACTGACCATAAGAGGTGGTAGATAATTCTGGGAAAGACTCAATTTCAAATAAATCTGTGAAAATGTAATAGTACGAGCCTGACTTTCTTTTCCTATCTTCCTTCGCTTCCACCTTCTCCCCAAAAAAGAATCAAATTGGCTTATAACATCATATATGATGAAGTAATAATTACATAGAAATAAACAAGGGCTGTGCAGCAGTTTTTAAAATGACAGAGGGAAAGTGAGACATTTGAGGACTCCCAAAGCCTCTGAGTACAACAGTTACCCATGTGATAGAGTGAGAACTGAGGAACAGTGATGACCAGAGCCACAGGTTAAGGTCATGAAAGGGCATTGTCAGGACAGCATCAGAGTTCCGTCCAGTGATGGATACAGGTGCACTCAGACTCCAGGTAGAAAGTAAGTTTTCTAGTTGAAGTGGCTTTCAAACACCCTCCCTTAACAAGATTGTCAAGATGATGCTCCCCAGAGCAACACAGCCCTCTTAAAAAACCACTCCTGAATTTTCCTTAGAATGCCCAAATAATGGTATAGTGCATGAGAGCAGAAAAAAACTCCCTTTAAGTAAGAGCTGCCTTCTTCACATTTCCATCTATAAAGAGAACCCTGGTATTTAGAGTGGGATAACTGAATGAACAGAAAAAGAATTTAGTTAGTTCTATTGAATGAAAATAAATAAATGAAAGTTCATCCTGACATATTGAAGCTATCCTGTGAAAAAGAACTTACACCTGAATATACAACAGGCATGATAAAATGATCAGTATTGTAAAAATAAAACAGTGGTACCGCTCATATTATCCTGAAGCCTAAATACAAAGGGAAAGGGACTATCTGCTTGTGAAATGCTTTGAGGGATTTTTAAAATAAGCATTAAACCATTAATAGTAAGGAAAACTAGCATTCATAGAGTGGTTCTTAGTTTAGACAGTGCTTTGGGACACATAGGGATTCTTATAATTCCTTTTCACACTTGAGGAAGTCCAGTTTTTGAGCAGTTGCCTGCAATCAAGAGGCTGAGTGGGACATGACCCTATGTCATTGAGCTGCACTATTCTGCTTTAAACAACATGTATTGAGGGACTACTTGGGTAAACCCATTGTGTTCTGCAGGACACAGTAATAAATGAGAAACAAAACAGAGCTAAGACATAATAGTATTTGTCCTCTTGAAGTTCTCCATCCTCTTGGAGAGCTAAAATTAATCAGGAAAGTGACTGGGAAAATTGTGTCCACATTTCAGGACAAAACCAAGAGGGATGCCCAGAATTCAGCCAGATATGTCTGTTAAGACTGAGTGGTCTGAAGAATCTGAAGGACTTCAGGGCTGTGTCAAAGGTAGTTCCACTTGGGTGGGAAGTCTGTTTACATTATTTTAAGAGCCAAAGACATACAAAATCCAATCAAATAATGTAGGGCTACAAGTTTCCCTTTGGAAGTCAGGGAGTTGTGGACAAACAATAATAAGTTCAGAGTATTCACCAGAGTCACCAGTGGGAATCCAGTCAACATAACAAGCCAAATCTCCAGTCCTTGTACAACCTCAAGTGTACTCAGAATGTAACACCTCTCTATTGGGAAGTAGCCTAAATTAATTAATAAGGTCTTTGTGCAGAGTATTAATCCTAGAAAAAGGTAGCATCATCTGCAACCACCATTCCACCCATCCCTCACATTTCACATCCTGCCTTCATTGATTTTTTCTTTAACATTTACCCAAATATATATATATATATATTTTGTTTTGTTTTGTTTTGTTTTGTTTTGTTTTGTTTTTAGATGGAGTCTCACTCTGTCGCCCAGGCGGGAGTGCAGTGGTGTGATCTTGGCTCACCACAACCTCCACTTCCCGGGTTGAAGCGATTCTCCTGCCTCAGCCTCCTGAGTAGCTGGGACCACAGGCATGTGCCACCACGCCTGGCTAAGTTTTGTATTTTTAGTAGAGACAAGGTTTCACCATATTGGCCAGGTTGGTCTTGAACTCCTGACCTTGTGATCCTCCTACCTCAGCCTCCCAAAGTGGTGGGATTACAGGCATGAGCCACCACACCTGGCCTATGTTTTTTACTAATTTATGTTGCTTACTATTTGCCCCTTCCTTAGAATTTGAGCCTCACAAGAATAGAAATTTTTATTTTGTTTGCTAATGTTTATCTAGAGCCTAGAGTATTGCCTGGCACACAGGTATATTTTAGATAATTATTGAATGAAGAAATAAATAAAGCAAAATCATAGAACTAGTCGTTTTGTGACAAGGCACTTGAATATTTGTTATTTTATATTATGATCGAAAGAATATGGTCTATTGAGAGACTATCAGGCTTATAATTATAATTTTAAATGTTTAATTTGGTTAATGGCTTAAACTTGGGATTTTTAAGTGGAAATGTTACTAAATTTGTAAGTAATATTGAAACAGCTAAAGAGAATTTTTAGATTCACTTTTTATATACTTAGCTTTTAAATTTATAAGATTTAAGTACTTAGGAAGGCTAGTCAAATAGAAAATTGAAGTGCTTAAATATGAAATTGAGTATATTAATTGAATGTGTATATCAGTTAATATCATACTATTTAAATATCATATTTATCAAAGTCGCTTTAAAAGTAATGGTTTGTTAATTTTATAAATAGTATAACACTTGCAAGCTTCACTTAAAAGTGGAAATTTTCTAAACCTGAAACTTTAATTTAAAAATGTTAACTTTTTAATTAAAAA
Source organism: Homo sapiens (assembly GCF_000001405.40). Classification (NCBI taxonomy): domain Eukaryota; kingdom Metazoa; phylum Chordata; class Mammalia; order Primates; family Hominidae; genus Homo; species Homo sapiens. Next base: position 125,177,677 of record NC_000006.12, on the reverse strand, counting down.
TAAGCCTCTAAACAGTCTCTTCAATAAGACATATGGATGAATAACTGCAATGTGCTGCAGAAGGTGAAGGGCTGATAATACAGAGAAAGGATCACAGGGCTGTAGTAAGAAAACCTCAGTTCTTTTTCTGGTTTTCCCATGTATAAGATACTAGCTCAGGCCAATCTCCTCATCCCTCAAGTGCTTACAGCTACAAAATGTGGAGATTGTATTAGAACATTCATTAAGTCCTCTCCAACTCTAAATTATGATGCTGCTTTTTAAGGACATTAAAAAGATTAAAAATGCTGTGAGAGTTGAGAAAAAAAAGGAGGATGACTTCCAGGGGAAAAATCAGGAGTTCACTGTCAACAATATGGGTGAGATCTGACAAGCTGAAATGAGGGTAACAGCAGTGCAGGTGGACAAAACCAGCTGAGCAAGTGCTCTAAATTAGGGAACGTAGAAAACGGGTTTGGAAGATTAGAAATCTGAGAAAATGGCCAATGATGAGCTAGCCATCAAGTCTGATCAAGAGTGGACTTCACCAATGTACGGGTGAATGTATCTCAAAACTCAAAAAGCTAAGTAGCAGCCGTTACTGTATCCATTAAGATGACAGAGATTCTTTTTTCATTTTTACATTTATTTATTTATTTATGAGACAAGGTCTGGCTCTGTCTCCCAGGCTGGAGTGCAGCAGCACAATCACAGCTCACTGCAGCCTCATTCTCCTAGGCTCAAGTGATCCTCCCACCTCAGCCTCCCAGGCAGCTGGGACTTCAGGCACACACCATCACACCCAGCTAATTTTTTTATTTTTTTGTAGAGATGGGGTTTCACCACATTGCCCAGGCTGGTCTCGAACTTCTGGGCTCAAGTGATCCACCTACCTCAGCTTCCCATAGTTGCTGGGATTACAGGTGTGAGTCACCACATCAGGCTGCCAGAGATAGTTTAATAATATATGATAGTATTCACACAGGACCTAAACAGTTGATTATCGGAATTTTAACATCTATTTGTATTAAGATTAGATTCTGCAGAAAGGATACGCTCTTAAATTACTCTCTCAGTTACTTACACAGAAATGATCTTATACTACTGTATTAGTATAAGGCCAGCAAGGACTCAAAGATTCATTTTACAGATTCCATCTCGAGTTCTACAAAACTAAAAGAATAATCTGCTATTTCTGAAAGTGATTTCCTCTGCCCCAAATTCTCAACAAAGCTAAAAATACTCTCCATTGAAAGGCCACTGAAATTTGGAGATGAATGGATTTGTACTCATCAATATTTCAAACCCTAGCAGGCTATAAGTGAGGACTTGGGGAGATGGCACATTCAGGGAAGGAAATCAGCCTTTTACAAGTTGAGTTCAGTGACTACTTGCAACATGCAGAATAATGTTTTTAAGCAACAAGAATACGGACATGTTTTCTCATAAATCTCGATGAACTAGCTAAGTAGAGCAGGCCACATGTGCATTATAAAAGAAAATGCCACCAAATTATTGTCATTTTTATTTCTATAAATGAGGCTTTGATTTGCCAGGTTAAAATAATTTGAACAGGTGTTGCCAATCCAAGGTCTGTGATCACCCTGAAAATCACCCTGAAGGCAATTTTAAGCTTAAGAGTCCATGGCAATCTAAGAGATCATCCCCATGGGATTCGGCTACATTGTCCCCTTTCATCTCTTCTAGTATGTTGGAACCTCCAAATCAAGACAGCAGAAGAACAGGGACACTCAAAACATATGGCTCAGCTGCATATCTCATGCTGATAGTCTGTAAGAATTTCCTCAATATTTGTTTAGTGGAGACAGGGAGAAAATGAATACCTATTTCTTTGTAAAATATACATCAGCTGTCCAGTGACCTCTTTCCTTTTAACCTCTCCCATAACAAAACTCTAATCCCATAAAAGTTTGAATGAGCAATGCAGAATTTACTAATCATTTCATAGGGGAAGCTAGGAGTTGGTTTATAGCATTTCCTGGGAAAACATTAGAAGCATCTCTTGTCCTATGTTTATCTCTCCAGCCTCCAGGCATATTGTCCTCTCTCCCTATTTATTTTTCCTTCTGGAGCTCACTCTTTGTGAATAATTTCCTCCCCAGTTCCCATATTTTCCCCTTCCTCTCTTTCTTAAGAAGGGTAACTTAGTTCTACCCTAGATTCTATCTTTATGTTGACACACTTGGACTCTTAAGCTTAAAATTGTCTTCAGGATTTCAGTGTTGGGAACAACATTTAATACCAGTGGTAGAGTACTGAAAATTCTATCACCCTAGCATTTCTTTAATTTTAGGAGCTTTTAAAATAATTTATAAAATTTTTAAACTATTCATTTCTTATAAAAGTTGAAACGTCCATGCTGCTACCACCTGCTTGGTTGGATATAATGCTATATGCACTCAATACTATTCATTCATTTATTCATTCATTCATTGTTTTCCCCGCATGTATTTATAGAGTGCTCTCCATGAACAGTCATTGTTTTAGATATGGGGATACGGCAATAAAGAAAACAATCAAAGCCCCTGCCCTCAAGGAGCTTAAATGCTAGCTAGGAGAAAAAGTAAATGATTATGCATAATATAAAATGTCATAGTTTGTGAAGAAAAATAAGGCAGAGTAAAGGTGATAGATAATGATAGGATACACACACACACACATATATATGTAAATAAACACAAACATATTAAAAGCTTTCATTTTGTGCCTTATTTTTTGAAATACCTAAAATGGCAAGAGCTGAAATCAGATCAGTTAGAGGTCTGAAGCATGGTGTTAAGCAACAGACACCAGGATTGTCAAAGTCCTGCCATGGAGGACATGCACCCTTCCCCATGCACTTTGCACTCCTTTCAGCAAGCCTGTCTTGTTATCATCAACATCCAAGCCACAAGAGACCGGAAATAGGATCTGCTAACTGAAGAGGTAAGCACTGCTGGCATTTTCCCCAATGCTCTACTAAGTTATTTTGAAAGCAGCAATGCAAATGTAAGCAAAACATTTAACCTGTTCTTCCTCAAAATGTAACCAAACAATGAACATTGCTTTGTATATCTGCTATGCAAATCTTTAAGCTTTCATCCTAGTAAATAAAGAAGGACCAAAAGCAGCAACCATTTAAAACATTTATTGTCTCATTAGCAAAATTTCGGTCTTTTTTAGTAGGTACAATTGATGCTTCAGATTTGCATGCAGGCCAGATAGCCAAATTCCGTCAACTTACATATTTATTTCTATCTTCAACCTACTCATCTTTCCTTAGCTCCAGAAAGCTATTTTTAACTTTGTGGTAGGTAGCATACAAAAGTACAACAAATTTTTGGGTAAAAGAATGCATTAAAAATAGTTACTTGACACCTAACTGCTATAACGAAAATAGGGTGGTAAACTCACAAAGGAAAGGACTTTGGTTCTTTCGTGTCTGTTTCACTAGTGCCTACTTTAGGGCCCAGCACAGGGGATATTAAATGCATATTTCATGAGAAATTGATAAATGAATCTCGCTTTTCTCTTTCATTGCCATAATAGTACCCAAGCACAGTCATAAGCAATTCATCTGCATCATGCCACTCAATCATCACAAGATCCATCGAGGGCCCCCCATTTCCACCATTTTGTAGATGAGCAAACTGAGACTTGAGGAAGTTAAAGGTCACATCGCTAATAAGGGACTGCACTGGGAAATGAATCCAAATCTTTGTGACAACATGTAGGCTCTTTGTCACTAGACTAGGATCCCTTTATGTGACAGGCCCTTTAGTTTGCTTTCTTCTGTGTTCTTCATCCTGACTTCCTTCTGTATGACCACAGTCATCTCAGATTGGAGAAATTACTTATGTGAGTATGCAGAGTCATTCTTTAAACGAGAAGTATCAGCATCTAGAATAGCATTTTAGGACTTACTTAAAAAAATGAAAATATCTAACTTGACTGCAGACTTTCCTCATAGGAAATAAAAAAGCAAACATAGTTTAAGGAATAGCTTAATACATGTATTTGTATATATGTATGTACGCATATATATATATTTAAAAAGCATCACCTATTGAAGGAGTTTAAACAGGCTTCTTAAGAACGAGCTGGGCAGGATCTCCAAGGGCGACTAATCCAACCCTCTTGGGTAAGAAAGAGGTGAGCAAACAGAGGACCTGAGAAGGGAGTGGCAGAGTGGTGGTGAAACCAAGATCAGAAGCTGCACCTCCTGGCTCTTGGGCCAGGGCACTCTCTGCATCAGGCTGCCTCTCCAAAGGGTTTAATCAAGAGAAAAATGGCAGAGAACAACAGAAAACAATTACCCAGACAAAAATTTAGATTTACAATAGGGAGGACAACCAAGCTGCTCTATAAACCATTCCTTGGACCGTGTGCCTGACTCAAAGCGGAAAGTTCTTTGGCTTAAATGATTGAGCCAGAAACAGCCTTGTAATTAAGAAAAGAGAGAAAGGAAAATGGGGCACAGATTTATAGGAAGTTGGACTTTTCTTCCTCTTGGATTCCTTCTGTGAACATGTGCTCACACACACACAAACACACAGCAGCCAGGCCACCAGGGAGTGAGAAGAGACAGGCTGATAGAAATTAAGGGTTACATTCAATTGCAATATTGATCGATAAACCAATTGGTCTTGTAAAAACAGCAAACCCAGAGTCAATGTATTATTTTTAATGGGGGAAGGGCAGGGAATGAAGTACATTTTTTCATTTGCTTACTCCTTTGTTGAAATTATTTCCTTCTCATTTATTTTTATCATTCATGCAATTACCTAATAATAAGGAAAGACAGTAGGAAAAACCTGTTGATTTCAGTGGAGCATTTACCAGGAGCCAGTAGACTTTCAAAAACATTATAGCTTACTTTATTTATTCAATAAATTCTGATTGAACCTCTACTGTGTGTCAAGCCCTGTTCTAGGTGCTGGAGAGTAAGCAGTGACCAACAGCAAAATATCTTGGGCCTGTAGAACTTACATTTAGAAGGAGTGGGAAGAGACAATGAAGAAAATAAATATATATATATACCTAATTTATTATATAGTTTATTATATAGTTATATATATATAATTATATATATTTATATATATAATTGTATATATATACCTAATTTCATGCCATATAGTATATATATTATATATATATATATATATATATATATATATATATATATAGCATGAAAGAGGGAAATAGCTGCTAAAAAAAAAACACACACACACACACACAAAAATCCAGGCCAGGTGTGGTGGCTAATGCCTATAATCCCAATACTTTGGGAGGCTGCCATGGGAGGATCATATGAGGCCAGAAGTTTAACACTAGCAGGATTGCACCACTGCACTCTAGTCTGGGTGACGAGAAAGACTCTGTCTAAGAAAGAAAGAAAAAGGAAAGAAAGAAAGAAGGAAGGATGGATGGATAGAAGGAAGGAAAAGAAAGGAAGAAAGGAAGGAAAGAGGAAGGAAGGAAAGAAAGAAAGAAGAAAGAAAGAAAGAAAGAAAGAAAGAAAGAAAGAAAGAAAGAAAGAAAAGAAAGAAAGAAAGAAAGAAAGAAAGAAAGAAAGAAAGAAAGAAAGAAAGAAAGAAAGGGAAAGAAAGAAAGAAAGAGAAAGAAAGAAAGAAAGAAGAGAAAGAAGGTGGGAGGGAGGGAGGGAAGGAGGCAGTAGGGGAAGGGTACCGTTTTAAATAGAAGGGCCGTGACAGACCATCACCAACACTTGCAGAACCCAAGGCAAGGCAAGAGCACAAAAAAAAATATACATCCCATCCTCTCCTCTCACACGGAGCCCTGCCCTGTGTTAGCTTTCAAATGCAGCATAACAAATGACCACAGAGTTAGCTGCTTAAAACAACACATATTTATTATCTCAGAGTTTCTGTGGATCAGAAATCCAGGCACAGCTTAGCTGGGTCCTCTGCCCAGGGTCTCATGAAGCTGCAGTCAAAGTGTCGGCCATACTGCACTCTCATCTAGAGGCTGGACCAGAGGAGAACTGTTTCAAGGCTCATGCAGACTGTTGGCAGAACTCACTTTCTGGAGGCACAAAACTAAAGAACCAGGTTTTTGTTGCCTTCCTTATGTCCTAAAAGACACCCAGTTTCTAGAAGCTGCCCACAGTTCCTGGCCATGTGGGTTTCTCCAACTCGACTGTTTACTTCATCGACCCACAAGGAGGGCCTCAGCTCCAGTCTGCTAAAACGAAGTCTTATTAATGTAATGTAATCATGGGAGTTACATCCCATCAGTTTGTCATATTCTGTTGTTTGGAAGCAAGTTACTGTCTTGCCCATGCTCTAACTAGGGAAATTATACAAGAATATCAATAACAGAAGCTGGAAATCACTGGGGGTCACCTTAGGGTCTGTCTGCCACAAGCATTGATAGGCGCCTTATGCACATGTATGTGGATAACCTAGTCTGTTGAGTGTACATCATATCATCAAACATAAGTGGGCATCAGAATCTCCTAGAGTGCATGTTAAAACACAAATGGCTCATTCTCAAAGTTTCCGATTTGGTAGAAACAGAAATGGGTGGGGCCTAAGAATCTGCATTTCTAACAAGTTCCCAGGTGAAGCTAATGATGCTGGTCGAGGAATCACACCTGAGAACTAGTTTCCTAGCCTGTGTGTTCAAGCTACTCTCATTGCCACCCCCAAAATCAGCCAGCCCTTGGTCATCTCTTGGGATGAGGAATACACATTCTGGCAGCATAGTCTACCCACGAAAGGCTCATGGATGCCTGGTAACACTCTCAGGGCTGTTTGGAAAGGGGATTCTGGAGTCTCAGATACCAGAACATGGTCTAGAAGAGGAGGCACAGGTTATAGGTGAGCCTACGAGCTGCTCACTCTAAACAAAGGCTCAGCTAGAAGAGGGCTAAAGTGGGGCTCTCTAAAACCAAAGGCTCTGAACAGGTGTTAGAAATAAGAAGGGTCAGAATTTTACCCTACTTGCAAGCCAAGACATTGGCCTGCCAGTTTCATGGATATTGGCAGAAGACACAAGACTTCTGGGTCATAGACAAAAGACAATTTATTACTCACAGCAATAGCAGTAGCCAGAGAAACATCCTTGTACTAGTTCTCTGAGCCCCAGTTCCAAAAGGATGATGTAACAAGGGCTGGGTATTACTTGTTAATGCAGGCTGGTGTGTTACTGGAGAGTAACACTGAGATTAGGAAACTCCGATTTATATGAGAGCTACCAGCAAATCTGCCCAACATCTGGTCTTTATCACCTTTATTATCCTGGATAGTAAATAAATCTGCCCCTAAGAGAAAAATTTCTATTTTTCTAGGCTACATAATAGCCCCTACACAACCTAATCTCGGTGTTTCCTAACCTCAGTGTTACTCTCCTGTAACACACCTGACTGCATTAATAGGCAATACCTGCCCCTTGTCACATCCTTTTGGAATTGAGCCTCAGAGAACTGGTAGAATGATGTTATTGTGGCTACTGCTATTGCTGTGAGTGACATGCAAATACCTGGAAAAGAGAGTCCAGGGAAAATGAGCTGTTCATACCTTTGATCAGAATACGTGTTGTGCAGAAACTTGACAAACCCAGAGATAACTGTCTGTCCCAACAGATCTGGGTCCAGTTGCCAGATCTAAGGGTAGTACTGACAAGCAATATTTAGGTAAAAAACCAAAGAAAGTGAGGAAGCAGGCCCAGAAGATATCTGAGGAAGCGTCTTGAAGAAGAGGGATTAATAAACTCAAAGGTTCCTAAGAGGAAGCGAAGGGAATTAAGGGAGAGAGCATTAGGAAATGAGGTCCAGGAAATAAAAGAGGAAGAAGGAAAGGCCACTGTAAGGTCTTTGCCCTTTATTCTGTGTGAATTGAAGAACTACCGGAGAACTTCAAAGGAAGGAGTGTCATGATACACCATGAGTGAAAGGATCACTCTGGTTACTATGTTGAGAATGGAGTGAAGGCAGTCCAGGACCAAGGCAGGGAGGCCTGCTAGGAGGCTCCTGCAGTAATGCGCATGGGAGATAAGGAAGGCTGGGACCAAGGCAATACCAGCAGAGGTGGTAGGAAGCTGTCCCATTCTGGCTACATCTTGAAAGTAGAGCTGGCATGACAGACTGGAAATGGGGTATAATGGAGGGAAAACAAAGCTAAACCGTGGATGATAGGTTTTGGGCTTCTGCATTTGAAATGGAGTTGTCATTAACTGAAATGAGGATGAACTTAGGAGGACTAGGGATATTTTGGAGGAGGGAGCTCAGGAGATCAGTGTTAGACATGTTGAGTTCAAGATGTTGATCAGACACCCATGCAGACGTATCATGTAGGCAGTCTGAAGTTGAGAAGTGAGGTCCAGGCAGGAAAAATAAATTTTGGAGTTGTTAGCACATGGATCCAATTCAAAATCATGAGTCATGAGATGGCAAACAGTGCTAGTGTAGATAGAAAGAAGAAGCAGGCCAAGGACGGATCCTTGGGGCAGGCCAGCAGCTAGCAAAGGAGACTGAGAAGAAGGAGGAGAACTGTTCAGTATCCTGAAAACCAAGTGAACAAAGTGCTTTAAGGAGCAGATAGTGGGCAACCCCGCCAAGATATGCTAATAGGTCAGTGAAGATGAGCACTGAGAATACAGCACTGGACTTGGTACTTTGAGAGAGAGAGAGAAAGGGAGGTGGAAAGCAGGGGTAGAGAGAGGAAGGGGAGGGCACAAAGAAAGAGGGAGCAAGAAAGCGCCCACATGCAAGTGAGTGCTGACTTTCTCTTTTTCCAACTCTAACGGAATCCAAATTCAAAGCTATTATATGGGGCCATTATGTTTGAAACATACATAACAGGTCCTACTACATAAACCAAAACATTTATTTTCCCTCAGTATGGGAGAAGGGATAAAAAGAACAAATAAAAATCTCAGAAGGCCTTAATCCCAGCACTTTAGGAGGCCGAGGTGGGCGGATCATGAGGTCAAGAGATCGAGACCATCCTGGCCAACATGGTGAAACCCCATCTCTACTAAAAATACAAAAATTAGCTGGGCGTGGTGGCGGGCGCCTGTAGTCCCAGCTACTTGGGAGGCTGGGGTGGGAGAATGGTGTACACCAGGGAGGCGGAGCTTGCAGTGAGCCAAAATTGTGCCACTGCACTCCAGCCTGGGCAACAGAGCGAGACTCCGTCTCAAAAAAAAAAAAAAAAATCTGAGAAGGACAGAAGCAAGTTCTACAGAGGCAGGTGTAGGACACCATTTGAGAGGAGAGGGGACTGAGAAGAGAGGATCCCCCTTGAGGTGAGTCTCAGGATATCATTTGAGGGGTGAGGGTACTCAGAGAAGAGGGTACTAAGAAGAGAAGATATCCCTGTGGTGGGTCTCAGGGAATCATCTGAGGGGAGAGGTTACTGAGCCCGTTATGATGGGTCAAGAGTCAAAGAACACTGGCACCAAGTTCTTTCTCTTCCTGAGGCCAGATGTCACAATAAGGTAGGTTTTGTACTTGCATATGTTGTGAATTCCTAGGTCATTGCAAACAAGCATATTTAATAGTAAGTACCCAAAACGTGGGATGAATAATTTTCTACTGTTGCTCTCCATTAGCAAAGGTCATACAAAGTTCTATTTGTGTCTAACTGAAAGATTTGAGATAGTAAGTGATAAACTGGCAGTGCTTGATAGAACTGATCTATTTCCCCATCACTTAATGAAAGAAGTCACCAACCCCATAATCAAATGAATTTAATTTGAGGTGGCAAATATATTGTGACTTTAATTCTTTTCTAAAGTATGTCTGAATCTCTTTTCAGATGTATATTTTATGATAGTTTACTGTTACTCAACCCACCCCATTTTTTTGTTTTTTTTTTTAGTACAAGATTTGCTTTGCAAATGTATAAAATTGCTCACTGCTGAGTATGGGGCTTTCCTACCCTGTGGATGCCACAATGACTTCTGTAAAGGAGGACCTGGAGTCTTGGTGTCTTCTCCTACTGGTAGGAGGACCTGTAAAGTGCATGTGTTAAGCACTGCACGATGTAATCACATGTCTTCTGACTGATGAATAGCACCCTCATATTTTCTACATGCAGGTTTCTTTGAAAATTGTAAAAATTCAGAAACATTTGTAACAATATTTCAAACACGTTCTGAATGTGTATTCTTATTTCTACATATTCTCTAAATTGTCACGTGAAAATTACAAGTCCTAATCTCAGAATATACTTCCTTCTTTGAAGGCTACTGTTGTTGAGAATGGGCTACAAGAGCCTGGTGGAACATCTTATAAATGAATGAAGCCACACCAGATACACAGTAGGCCAAGAGTAAACAGGTATTTTCCTTTCCGGTAATGCCCTTCATATATTGGGTAAAACATGAGCAAATGATGCGTGCTGAAAGGAATCAGCGTTTTCCACCCCAAAATATGCCACTTTGCCATAAGAGGTGTTTTTTTGTTTTTTGTTTTATTTGTGTTTTTTGAGACAGGGTCTTGCTCTGTCACCCAGGCTGGAGTGCAGTGGGACAAACACCTCCTAAGCTCAAGTCACCCTCCCACCTCAGCCTCTTGAGTAGTGGGACTACAGGCATGCACTACCACGCCTGGCTAATTTTTAAAAATTATTATTTTTAGTAGAGACGAGGTCTTGCTATGTTGCCTGGGCTGGTCTTGAGCTCCTGGGTTCAAGCAGTCCTCCTGCCTCGGCCTCCAAAAGTGCTGGAATTACAGGCATGAGCCACCCTACCCAGCCCATAAGAGTTATTTTGAGCTGAAGGCATTTGAGTTCCCGAAATCCTTTATCTGACTAAAAGCAGAGGTTCCCAAAAGAACTCAGCTGTCACAAATTCCTCCCACTGGGAGCAACTCTTTCTTCTCTTCTAGACATTGTCACAAACTGTCATATCTCCCATCTATTCTCCTAAGGACCCATTTATCTTTTTTTTTTTTTTTTAAAGAAGTCATTTGCTCTCTCAATATTGCCTTTTCTCCACCTCCCTTTCCTGTAGTAAAATGATACAGAAAATCAAATCTCATCACTCCTTGGGGTATTCATTTCTTTCTATGACACCCTTGTGCAAGCAAAATTTAAAATAAATAACTTTGTAAGCTTTTTCTCCTGCTAGTCTGTCTGCTGTAAGTTTAATTCACAGGCTCCTAGGCACTTCACCTAAGAGGGTAGAAAAAAAGTTTTTCTTCCCCTCCAATGCTTATGAGAGCCTTCCAATCATTTTAAATAAACTTTACAGGTAGTGCAGGTATCTTGTAACTTCCTGTTGGAACCCTGGGATATCTAAAGAGGAATAACAGGAGCCAAGGTCTATACTTCTTCCCAGGGCTGACCTAACCCTTCAGGAAGAAAAACCATCTTTCCATGACGTCTTTATGTAGAAATGAGTCCATTTTGGAAAACAAAATGTTGGAAAATATTTATAGACAATGAGCTATTAGCTCTTTATGCAGAGAGAAAAATCAGTGAAAAACTACAAATATCCAACCATCAGAGACTTTAAAACTGAGAGATCTGAAGAGATCTCCTCCCACTACCCCCATCCCAAATTGGCTTTTTCTTTTGAATGAATCAGTTCTGCTTCCGTGAATATGCTTGGGAGATGGTTAAATGAATAAAACATATCCATGTAAACAAGTAATTATAATACTCATGAGGCAATAAAAAGCTTTCTTTTTTTGGGTACTCATTGAAATTAGTCCTTTCAGCCAACATCTAAAGGATACAAATCCTACTTTCTGGAAACAAGCACGCAGATCCTATGACTTATTTATTTTAAAATACTGAGATTACTGGGTATGGACGAACACCAAGTAGAATAACATATTTGAACCATTCCATATTTGAACTGACTTTTCCTAGCAGCTGGTGATAAAACTCTATACTGGTTCTAAGAATTACATCTCATGTGACTTTTACGGATCTTTTTAATCTTGAATCAGTTCTGCTTCCATGATCCTTGACAAGACGCTCTTGCTATTAATGGACAAAAGAAATGTCTAATTATAAGAAAAATGTATTTCCAAGGAGTTGAAGAGTTTTCCATATTTTAGATATATGTCAGGGAAACTGTAATTTGTATAAGATACAAATAACCATAGGTAAGTTTGGAGATGAGGTGTAACATATACATGCATTTTTCATGTGTGGTACATGATCTGGCTACAGCAAAGTGCTAGATTTTTGCCTTTTGAGAAAGAAGCAATATGTTGGTGACTAAGGGTATTCTTGGAGATTTGTGGTTTTATTCTGGGAACTTCACTTCCTCTGCATCAAAATGCATCACTTATAAACGATTCACACTGTGAGAAATTGCTTAAAATTCATCTTTCCTTGAGGACCCAAAGCTTCCTTTTAGCCATTTCAAATTCATTAAAATATTCTCCTGCCTTCCCTGGTACATTAACAATGCTTCTCAATTTAATGCATATATTTCAAATCATTACACTTTATTGCTTAAATATTCAATGAAAAGTAGGATGACAGATGTGAATATCCACATTTTGAGGTCACCTTTTATGTGTTCTTAACTGTGTAGTAACTCAGTAAATTTTTTCTTGTTTTACTTTTTTCTTTTAGTTTTATATATGTATACAAAACTATATATATACAGTTAAAATATATATATATATCTTTTTTTTAAGAGACAGGGGTTTTGCTTAGCCTGGGTTTGAACTCTGGAGCTCAAGTGGTCCCACTGCCTCAGCACCTTGATTAGCTGGGACTATAAGCACTCACCACCATGATCAGCTTAACTCAGTAAATTGAAGAAGTGACTGGCTTTACGGTGTTGTTGGGGACATTTCGCAACAGAAGTAATGGTGAACCTCTGCCTGCATGGAGAGCATGCCAGCTGATCAATGACTGAGGCAGATGCCCTCTTTTCTGCAGTTGCTGCTTCAAACCGTGAAAATTCAACACAGAGATGGCTAGAGTCGCTTAAGGACAAATCCATTGATGGCTCATTTTTTTCAACAGTTTTACTAGGTATTTTCTTAAAGTAGTTATTCTGCTAGTATGGTTGGGAGATGGTTAAATGAATAAAACATATTCGTGTAAACAAGTAATTATAATGTTCATGAGGCAATAAAATGCTTTCTTTTTTGGGGTACTCATTGAAATTAGCCCTTTCAGCCAGCATCTAAAGAATACAGATTCTACTTTCTGGAAAGAAGCATGCAGAGCCTGTGACTTTTATTTATTTTAAAGTCCTGAGATGACTGAATATGGATGAACACCAAGTGGAATAACATATCTGAACAGACTTTTGTTTGAGCTGGTGATAAAATTCTGTATTGGTTTAAGAATCACATGTCATGTGATTTTTATAGAATTCTTCATCTTGAAAACAGAACAAAAATAGCAAGCTGTTGATAAATGAGCATCCTCCACCCGCAACTTGACATGTCGCAAGGCTTACTCTTAAAGATCTCCAGTCCCATTCATATTCCCAGACTTAGACCCTGCCCACATATGAAATGAACTGTACAATTAAATTCTGCCCGTTTAAAGCCTCTTTGATCATATAGAAAATAAAGCAAAACCATTATTTAAAACTTTGCACACTGACTGCTTGTGCATACAAAGTACCTATAGAATGGTAATTGAAATCTCAAGATATGAAGTCAAACTTTCTGATTTCAAATCCCAACTCCAACACTTCCAAGTTGTATGAGTTGGAGAATGTTGTGTAACTAGTCTGTCATTCAGTTTCATCATCTGTAAAACCAAAATGTTACCTTCCTTGTGAGTTTGTTATTATTATTGGTTTTTTTCTTTTGTTTTCTTTTTTTTTTTTTTTGAGACAGAGTGTCACTCTGTCACCCAGGCTGGAGTGTAATGACATGATCTCGGCTCACTGCAACTTCTGCCTCCCAAGTTCAAGTGATTCTCCTGCTTCAGCCTCCCAAGTAGCTGGGATTACAGGTGCCCGCCAGCTAATTTTTGTATTTTTAGTAGAGAGGGGGTTTCACGATGTTGATCAGGCTGGTCTTGAGCTCCTGACCTCAGGTGATCCGCCCACCTCAGGCTCCCAAAATGCTGAGATTACAGGTATAAGCCACCACGCCCGGCCTGTTGTACTTATTAAATAACATGTTTGGAGTTTTTTGTTTTTGTTCTTTTTTTTTTTTTTTAGACAGGGTGTCACTTTGTCCAGCCCAGGCTAGAGTGCAATGATGCAATCATAGCTCACTGCAACCTCAAACTCCTGGGCTCAAGCAATCCTCCCACCTCAGCCTCCCAAGTAGCTGGGAATACATGCATGCATCACCATGCCCAATTTACTTCTTTATTTTTTGTAGAAGCAGGGTTTTGCTATGTTGTCTGGGCTGGTCTTGAACTCCTGGGCTCAAGTGATCCTCCCGTCTTGGCCTCCCAAAGTACCAGGAGCCACTGCACCTGACTAAATAACATGCTTTTTAAAAAAGTGCATGCCATGGTATTTGACATTTGTAAAAACACTAAAATGTTATTGCTATTATCACCCTCAATGTGAATTAGCTCTAATTAGCACATTAGCACTCAAAAAATCCCATTGGGATGGAAATATGTCCTCTCATTAGTTCTAGGTGTTAACCCACAGGAACGACTCTCAACTCTTTTTTGCCTATCCTCCTGAAAAGATGACACCATGTCAAGTTCATCTTAGCTTCCCCTTTGCACGTGTGGCACAGCACACATTAAGGCACAGTGCAGTATAGTAGTTAAGCTCATTCTCTGGACTCAATTAAACTTGGAGTTGAATCCTGTCTTCTTCATTTAATTTTTCTGACTCGTAGTTCCCTGTTTATAAAATGAGTTAAAAGTAAAGGTATCTACCTCATGATGTTATTATAAGGTTTTGATAAAATAATGGATGCAAAGTTTTCAGCATATGCTAATAAAAGCAACAGCAAACATTTATATACTACTTACCATGTGCTAGGCCCTGCTTTAAGCACTTTGCTTGTATTAACATGTTAAATCCCCATAACAATCCTATGATATTGGAGCTATTACTATCTTCACTTTGCATATGTAGAAACCAAGATTGAGTGAAATGAATAACTTGTTCATGGTCATATTAATGGTAAGTAACATGTCAGAATTAAAATCCAGGCAGTTTACCTTCATCCTGGGATCTTAATCACTATGCCCTTTTCCCTCCCAATAGTATGTGCTTGTCAAATATTTGCTATTACTGCAGTAATCAATAAGTATTTATTAAAATATTTAATGAATCAATATCTGCTGAAGTATTTGTTTATTATTTACTATAAATTACTAAGTAGCACATCTTCTTATAGGCCACAAAAATGGACTCCTTTGCTTATAAGTTTTTGAAGAAATTCTCAGATTCTGCCTACCCAGATAATTAATAAGGTGTATAACAGGGAAGGCAATTCAAAATATGTTCCCATCTACTACAACAGCTGCCATTTGTATAATTAGATTTTAAAATAATTTAAAATAAAACAGTGGTATATGATTTGTTGCAAATGACTGACTTCACCTAAAATATGCATCATCACCTATTTCAAAACCTTTACTTAAACAGGAAACAAAACTACAGGAGGTAACTTTGAAAATTGTATGAATAGTCTTAATAATACTCTTAAAAATCATAAATCAAAATATATAACAGCTTGCTTCCATAGTTTGAGGTTTATTATTATATTGCCTAAACTTCAATACAAAATTTTAAATATGAAACATAAAATGCAAAATAATTTTTTCCTTGGATAATTTAATAGTTAGAGACATACCTCACTGCACTTCACTTTATTGTACCTCACAGATATTATTTTTACAAATTGAAGGTTTGTGGCAACCCCAGGTTGTGCAAGTCTATTGGTGCCATTTTTCCAACATGGGCTCATGTCATGTCTCTGTGTCACATTTTAGTAACTCTCACAATATTTCAAACTTTTCCATTATTATTAAATCGGTTATGGTGATCTGTGATTGGTGATCTTTGATGTTACCATCAGAATTGTTTTGGAGAACCATGAACTATGCCCATATAAGATGGTGACCTTAACCAGTAAATCCTGTGTGTGTTCTGACTGCTCCACCAGCCACCCATTTCCCTATCTCTCTCCCTGTCCCTGGCCCTCTCCACTCTCTGAGACACAACAATATTGATAGTATGCCAATTAACCCTATAATAGTCTCTAAGTATTCAAGTGAAACATAGAGACACAAATCTCTCACCTTAAGTCAAAAGCTAGAAATGATTAAACTTAGCAAGGAAGGCACAGTGAAAGCCAAGATAGATCAAAAGCAGGCCTCTTGATTCAAGTTGTGAATGTGAAGGAAAAGTTCTTGAAAGAAACGTAGCATGCTATTCCACTGAACACACAAATGATAAGAAAGTGAAATAGACTAATTGCTGATAGGGAGAAAGTTTGAGTGGTCTGGATAGATCAAACCAGCCACAACATTTCTTTAAGTGAAAATCTAATCCAGAGAAGGTCCTAAGTCTCTTCAATTTATGAAGGCTGAGAGAAATGAGAAAGCTGTGCAACAAAAGTTGGAAGCTAGCAGAGATTTGTTCATGAGGTTTAAGGAAAGAAGTCATCTCAGGCCTGGCATGGTGGCTCATGCCTGTAATCCCAGCACTTTGGGAGGCTGAGGCAGGTGGATCACCTTAGGTCAGGAGTTCCAGACCAGCCTGGACAACATGGTGAAACCCCATCTCTACTAAAAACACAAAAATTAGCAGGGCGTGGTGGCACGCACCTGTAATCCCTGCTATTCAGGAAGCGGAGGCAGGAGAATTTGCTTGAACCCAGGAGGTGAAGGTTGCAGTGAGCCAAGATCGTGCCACTGCACTCCAGCCTGGGTGACAGAGCAAGACTCCATCTCAAAAAAAAAAAAAAAAAAAGTCATCTCTGTAACATAAAAGTGCAAGGTGAAGCAGCAAGGGCTGTTGCCAAAGCTGCAGCAAGCTCTCCAGAAGATCTGGCTAAGATAGTTGATGAAAGTGGCTAAACTAAACAACACATTTTCATATAGATGAAACAGCCTTACACTGGAAGAAGATGTCAGCTAGGACTTTTATAGCTAGAGAGGAGGAGTCGATGCTTGGCTTCAAAACTTCAAAGTACAGGCTGACTCTCTTGTTAGGGGCTAATGTAGCTGGTGACTTTAAGTTACATGCTCACTTACTATTCAAAAAGTTCTAAGGCCCTTATGAATTATTCTAACTGTAACCAGATGCAGTGGCTCATGACTGTAATCCCAACACTTTGTGAGGCCAAGGCAGGAGGATTGCTTGAGCCCAGGAGTTCAAGGTGTCAGTGAGCTATGATGATCCCACTGTACTTCAGCCTAGGCAACCGAGCAAGACCTTTCATCTATGAAAATGCAAATACAAATAAATAAATAATTATTCTAAATCTATAGATTTAGAAAATGTGCTCTATAAATAGAATAACAAAGCCTGGGTAACTGTTTACAATATGGTTTCTTGAATATTTTAAGTCCACTATTAAGAACTACTGCTCAGAAAAAAAATATTTCTTTCTGAATATTACTTCTGGTTGATAACACACCTGTATTAGTCCATTCTTATGCTGCTAATAAAGACATACCCGAGACTAGGAAATTTGTAAAGAAAAAGAGGTTTAATGGACTCACAGTTCCGCATGGCTGGGGAGGCCTCACAATCATGATGGAAGGCACATCTCACATGGTGGCAGGCAAGAGGACATACTCAGGGGAACTCCCCTTTATAAAACCATCATGTCTCGTGAGACTTGCTATCATGAGAACAGCATGGGAAAGACCGGCACCTATGATTCAATTACCTCCCAATGGCTCCCTCCCATGACATGTGGGAATTATGGGAGCTACAATTCAAGATGAGATTTGGGTGGGGACACAGCCAAACAATATCATACGTGGTCACCCAAGAGTTCTGATGGAGATGTACAAAGAGATTAACATTGCTCACACGTCTACTAACACAACATCCACTCTTCAGCTTGTGGATCAGGGAGTAATTTTGACTTTCAAGTCGTATTATTTAAGAAATACATCTCATAAGAAAACAGCTGCCATAGATAGTGATTTTTTTGTTGGAACTAGGCAAAATAAATTGAAAACATTCTGGAAAGGATTCACCATTCTAGATGTCATTAAGAACATTCGTAATTCATGGGAGGTGGTCAAAATATCAACATTAACAGGAGTTTGGAAGATGTGGACTCCAACCCTCCTGAATGAGTTTGAGGTGTCCAAGATGTCAGTGGAGGAAATGAAGTGCAGATGTGGTAGAAACAGCAAAAGAAGCAGAAGTGGAGCCTGAAGATGTAACTAAATTTATGACATTTTAATCTCATGCTAAAACTTGAATGAATGAGGTGTTGCTTCTTATGGATGAGCAAAGAGTGGTTTCTTGAGATGGAATCTACTCCCAGTGAAGATGTTCACAGCACTGTGTAAATGACAACAAAGGATTTAGAATTATATAAATTTAGTCGATAAAGCAGTGGCAGGGCTTGAGAGGATTGATTCCAATATTGAAAGAAGTTCTATCGCAGACAAAATGCTACCAAACAGCATTACAGGCTATATATAAATCTTCTTGAAAGGAATAGTCAATCTATGTGACAAACTTCCTCGTTGTCTTACTTTAATAAATTGCCACAGCCACCTCAGCCTTCGGCAACCACCATTCGGATCAGTCAGCAGCCATCGACATCCAGGCAAGACCCTCCACCAGTAAAACACTTACCACTCAGTGAAGGCACAAATGATCGTTAGCAATTTTTAGCAAAAAGTATCTTTTACATAAAGGTATGTACCTTTTCTTAGATAGCATGCTATTGCACATTTAACAAACTACAGTATAGTATAAACATAACTTTTATATGCACTAGAAAACCAAAAAACGTGTGTGACTCGCTGTATTCCAATATTCACTTCTTTGGGGTGATCTGGAACTGAACCCACACTATCTCCAAGGTATGCCTGTATAAGAGACTGGACCTGCTGCTGTTTGACAGAAGGAAGAATGGTTCTTTTATCATTTTATAACAAAATGCCATACTTCCTTTATAAAGTAAGAATTTATCTTCCATGCAATATCAATAAAAGTAATGTGATTATATTCATTTTTCTAGAGCTTCATCCCTTGCTTCCTTTTCTCTTCTTATCCTCATTTATTTTCTTTCATCTATTTTTAATTTACATTATCTTGTTGCATTTCAAGTATCCATATAAACTGCCTTATGTACTTCCTGAAACAAGATAAAATTATATAAATGTTCTGTGAGCAAAGTATAATGTAAGGTATAAAGTATAATGTAAAGTATAATGTATAATGTAGAATGTATACTTATAATGTAAGTATAAAGTATAATGTAAAGTATAATGACATTTTCATTTAAAGGACTTTGCAAACAGTAGGGTTAATCTGATATTTATTGCTTTATTTCATTCATGGACATCTGAGACTCTTCTTGAGTGGATATAAAAAATAGTTATTATAGTAAACTGAATGATGGCCCCTAAATATATCCTAATTCCTGGAACCTGGAAATGTTACCTTTTGCAGGTGTGATTAAGTTAAAGGTCTTGAGAGAGAGAGAGATTATCCTGGATTATCTAGGTAGGTGCTAAATGAAATCACAAGTGTCCTTATAAGAGAGAGGCAGAGGGAGGTTTGATGCGAACAGAACAGAAAGCAGCATAACCACGGAGACAGAGAGATTGGAGTGATGCAGCCCAAGAATGTCGGCAGCCACCAGGAACTGAAAGAGGGAAAGACGATTTCTTTCTTAGAGCCTCCAGAGGAAGGACAGCGCTGCCGACACCTTGATTTCAGCCTAGTGATAGTGCCTTTGGAATTCTAACCGCCAAACAATGAGACAGCACATGTTAATTGTTTTAGGCCACGAAGTTTGTGGTAATTTTTACAGTGGCCTTGAGAAACTAACATAGTTATTAATTTGAATATATGCAAATGTTAAAAGGAGACAGTTTTCCTTGTAACATTAAAGACGTTGGGAAAGGTGAAAACAACAAAGTTATTTCCATTTAGAATAATAAAATATTGAAGGGTAGTTTAAAAGGATCAGGAAGTTTTTATTTTAAAGGACTACTGTATGTTTCGGGAAAATGCTACATTTCCAACCCAATTCCCTCTCTAACATATCAGTTGTCTTAAAGCAAAATTATCTGGTACCAGAGGAAAGCAAATAGGAATGCCATTCTCCTGTGGACATCTCTCTCCACGTTGTTCTCCAGCCCTCCTCAGTGAACAGCTCCACCCATAATCCCACTTCCTGTTTAGTGTCCTACCACCTCCCCTGAGAGTCCTCTTGTTTTGCTGGAAGTAATCTATTATTTTACAAAGTCAAAGAACATATTTGCATAATTTCACTTATGGGAAAGTTTCTAGTGCAGTAAGTTGCTGCACTTACTGAGCTATATGGGCGAATCATGTCCATAACACCTTGGTGTCTTCCTGGACAATATGAGGTACAACTCATCAGCAACTGCCTGCTTAATCTCACTTATCTTTACCTGTCTCTAGATTAGCAGGCAGAAAGACAAGCCATCTCCACTCTAGGTAATTCTAAAATAAACTGTGCTGAAGGTGGAAACTTACACTTTAAAAATCACAGAACTGTCTTATCTAGAATCTAAGAGGCAAATCATTCATTTAGCCAGAAAAAATGTGCAAGTGGAAAAAAGATTTCCCTTTAATATATGCTATAAACAGTTTGTGAGAAGTTTTTTCTTAAATAACTCAATATCTCTGCTTTATAAATAACAAAAAGTCTGAAAATGAAAATCTTAAAATGCTAGGCAAATAAAGATTTAAGAGGTAATTATCCTCCATTTGATTGTACAAGTAGGAAGCTGGTCATCCTTGACACTGCCCTCCTTCACATTCAATCCAATTTTGACTTTTCTTAAGTTTTTTTGTTGTTATTCTCTTTTTGTTTATCTGTTTTTGAGACAGAGTCTTGCCCTCTCGCCCAAGCTGGGGTGCAGTGATGTAATCACAGCTCACGGCTGCCTCCACCTGCTGGGCTCAGGTGATCCTCCCACCTCAACCTCCCAAATAGCTGGGATACAGGCACGCACCACCACACCCAGCTAATTTTTGTATTTTTTGTGGAGACAGCGTTTCACCATGTTGCCCAGGCTGATCTCAAACTCCTGGGCTCAAAAAATCTGTCTCCTCCAGCCTCCCAAAGTGCTGGAATTACAGGTGTGGCTGGCCTTTTTTGTATCTCTCTCTTTTTTTTTTTTTTTTTGAGACAAGGTCTCACTCTTGTCCAGACTAGAGTGCAATGCTGGGATTTTGGCTCACTGTAGCCACAAACTTCTGACCTCAAGCAATCCTCCCACTCCAGCCTTCCAAGTAGCTAGGCCTACAGGCACATGCCACCACACTCAGCTAATTCTGTTTATTTTTTGTAGAGATGAGGTCTCTCTATGTTGTCCAGGCTGGTCTCGAACTCCTGGGCTCTAAGTGATCCTCCTACCTTGGCCTCCCGAAGTGCTGGGATTACAAGTGTAAGCCACTGCACCTGGCCTCTTAAGTATTTATTAAATCTGTTCACTTTTCTCATATCCATTTGCCTTTTTACTAGTCCTCTTTACACCTAAAGTTTCCATCCAGTCATGAGGGGAAAGGAAGAGCACCACAGGACAGCTGGAGATTCAGGTGGGGACTGAAGTTTTACCTTTCCTCCAAAAGTCATAGGCTTTGAGTGAGAATGGGTCCCTCACAGCATCCACTTTGCTACTTTTTACCTATCTGGCTGTAAACAAGGAACTTATTAAAAAGTCATGGCAAAAATTGCAATTACTTTTGCACCAACCTAATACCTTCCATGCTTGTTTCCTCTCTGTAGAATGGGAATGAGAATATGAACTACCTCATGGGACTGCTGCGCACAGGAAATGAGTCCATCAATACATGCAAAGCACGAAGAACAGAGACAGGGACACAATAAACAATCTGCTCTTCTGATTATTGCATACTAGGGTTATAGTTTTTCAGGCTCTCGCTGCACTATGAGGCCCTTTCTTAGCATCAGCATGGCAGTGATTTTACATGTTATTTTTCAAATAGCTATCAAATTAATATTTGTCTCTTCCTCTACTGTAAATTTTATGAAGCAGATACCAAGTCTGTCTTTGCTCTTCTTAGCACAGTGCTTGGCAAAGGAAAGCACTGAAATATTTGTTAAGTAAATCTTGGAAGTAAAGCAAAGCAATAAAGCAAACCAGTGACACCAGTGGTTACCAGTCTGTAGTTTCGGATGTCTTCAGAAGTTGTATGAATGTTTCCTATCTGCTATAGTTCTTCTCCATCCTCACTAATATAAGCTTTCAAATATACCCATGTTCAGGTTCCAAAGATTCCAGTTTGACTGGGATGGGGTTGGCCAAGGCCAGTAATGAAGACTCTCTAAATAATTCTAATATGCAAGTCAGGTTGGAAAGCTCCGGTGCTGCTCCCACCAGCTTCAGTTCTGGCGTGAAGGCCTCCAACCTGACCTCTGCTTTTGAATTTGACCAACTGCCCTCACCCTTGGTTGAATTATCATTTCCTATCTACATAATAGAGGAAAAAATATGGGAAGCGGCAGCTTTACGGGCAGGACTTAGGAGGATGGAACAAACGAGTAAGGTTCGTGCTGTTCAGACAATTGTAATCCTGGCAGCAAACCTGTTGGGCGACTCCAGGCCCACGCAATCGCCAACCCACTCTCATTCAGGGCGTTCTGCCCCTAGAGGGCGAGCGCATCAGGTCATGAACCTTTTTTTTTTTCTTTTTAATGAGATTTTATCTATACTAAGAGCCAACACAGAGTTTCCTACTGTGTAAAAGAATGGTGGCTTTGATTGCCTTAAAGGCTGAACTCCGCAAGCCATCCCTTCTGGGCGTTGCTCCCCAAGGTAGATCACTGAGTCCGTTTCCTTCCCACTTGTCTCTCGCTCCACATCCGCCCACCTCTGCCCCTTTCCACGGTCCGTTTACCCCCATTCTTGAACGATTCCATCGGAATTCCCCAACCCTGTTCCAAGTGTGACCCCAAGATATGAGGCCGCCCTTCCTGAAGCCACCGCAGGCTCCTCCAGCAGGCAGCCCCGGGAGCAGGGAGCTGGGCGGCCGGGGGCCCCGCGCGCCACGGGAGGCAGAGGTCGCTCCCCGATCGCGGAAACCGGGACTCACGTGTGGATCTGCTGGAGGTCAGGGGGCCGGTAACGTTCACCTGGCCTCGGAAGGCGGGTCCCCGAGCGGGAAGCGTCTCGCGCAGCCGGGCTGCGGAGCCACCCCCTCGGCGGGCGATCCTCTCACTCCCTAACTTGGGAGCCACAAGCCGCGAGTCCACGGCGCTGGGCGAAAAGAGTCACATTCCCTCCCCACTCCCTCAAGGGAAAGGGAGCGAAACACGCTTTCCGGACCCGGCACAACAGGTCCTTCGGGCAGCCGCGAGGTTGGGAAGGCCAGGGGCGACTGGCTGCGGAAGAGGGTAGAGCATTCCACGGGCGCATTTCCTGAGGAGGGGCCTCTCCACTTACGGATCCCCTGTCACTTTATTGATCCCCAGACCCACAGCAAATCCTGAGTTTGGGCAGCAGGCATTATACCAAAGGCGCGGGTGGGAGTGGAGTTCTGGATGTGCAACACGGCACCAATCTGTTCTGTCCGAGAGCGAAGTTAGGTGGTGCAGGAAAAGAGCCTTTATGCGCGCCCCAGGACCTGACTCTCGGGGCGATCGGCGACCACTCACCTTGTGCCTGCGCCTCCATGGTGGCTGACTTCGAGCTGAGGGCGGCGGGGACACCCTGGTGCTTCCCAGAGCAGATGGCAGCTGCGCCCAGGCTCAGAACGCAGCTGGCCCCGCCGCTCGCTCCCACTCCTGGCACGCGTGTCGCGAGCGCTGCGCGGAGGGGGTTGGGGACGCAGGCAGCCGCCACTAGCCGCTTCTGGTTACCTCCGCCCCTTCCAGTCCACCTGGCCCAAACCAAGCTGGAACAAGCTCGCCGCTGGGCGCCACCTGCCGGCGCTCTGTACAGCCGGCGGAAGGCACCCACTCCCGGCGCTATAAGGGCATAACGCAGAGATATTGCAGGTTAGGTTCCAGACCCCCGCAATAAAGCGAGTATTGCAACAAAACGAGTCACACGAATTTTTCAGTTTCCTAATGCATATAAAAGTTACGTTTGCACTATGCTGTAGTCTGTTAAGTATGCAATAGCACGATGTCTAGAAAGAGCAATGTACCTACCTTAACTTAAAAAGATATTTTATTTCTAAAAAATGCTAAAGATCATCTTCACCTAATGGGAATCTTTTTGGTGGTGGAAGGCATTGCTTGGATGTTGATGGCTGCTGATTGATCCTGGTAGTGATTGCTGAAGGCTGCAATAGCTGTGTCAATTTCTTAAAATGGGACAACAATGAAGTTTGCTGCATCAATTGACTCTTCCTTTTATGAAAGATTTTTCTGTAGCATGCAATGCTGGTTGATAGCATTTTATCTACATTATAACTTTTTTCAAAATTGGAGTCAATCATCTCAAACCCTGCCATTGCTTTATCAACTAAGTTTATATAATTATAAATCTTTTGCTGTCATTTCAACAATGCTGTGAACAACTTCACCAGGAGTAGATTCCATTTCAAGTAACCATTTTCTTTGCTTGTCCATAAGAAGCAACTCCTCAACCATTCAAGTCTTATGAGATTGAGCAATTTACTCACATATTCAGGCTCCACTTCTAATTCTAGTTCTCTTGCTATTTCTACCATATCTGCAGTTACTTCCTGCTTTGAAGTCCTGAACTCCCAAAGTCATTCAGGAGGGTTGGAATCAACTTTTTCCAAACTCCTGTTAATGTTGACGTTTTGACTTCCTCCCACGAATTATAAATGTTCTTAATGGCATCTAGAATGGTGAATCTTTTCCAGAAGGTTTTCAATTTACTTTGCCCACATCCAACAGAAGAATCACTATTAATGGCAGCTATCTATTTATTTCTTAAATAATAAGGCTTGAAAGTCAAAATTACTCCTTTATCCATGGGCTACAAGATGAATGTTGTTTTGCCAGGCATGAAAACAACATTAATCTCTTCGTACATCTCCATCAACTGTTGAGTGACAAAGTATATTATTAACCAATATTAAGCAATAATATTTAGAAAGAAACATTTTTTGAGCAGTAAGTCTTAATAGTGGGCTTAAAAATATTCAATAAACCATGCTGTAAACAGATGTACTGTCATTCAAGTTTTGTTGTTCCATTTATAGAGCACAGGTGGAATATATTTAGCATAATTCTTAAGGGCTTTAAAATTTTCAGAATGGTAAATGAGCTTTGGCTTCAATGTAAAGTCACCAGCTACTTTTGCCCCTAACAAGAGAGTCAGTTTGTCCTTTGAAGCTTTGAAACCAGGTATTGACTTCTTTGTAGCTGTAAAAGTCCTTGGTAGCATCTTCTTCCAATATAAGGCTGTTTCATCCGTATTGAAAATGTGTTGTTTCGTGTAGCTACCTTCATCAATGATCTTAGCCAGATCTTCTGGAGAACTTGCTGCAGCTTTGACATCAGCCCTTGCTGCTTCACCTTACATTCATGTTATGGAGATGACTTCTTTCCTTAAGCCTCATGAGCCAGTCTCTGCTAGCTTCCAACTTTTCTTCTACAGATTCCTCACCTCTCTCAGGCTTTATAGAATTGAAGAGAGTGAGGGCTTTGCCCTGGATTAGGCTGTGGTTAAGAGAATGTTGTGACTGCTTTGATCGGGTTTGATCCAGACCACTCAAACTTTCCCCATATCAGCAAGAAAACTGTTTCACTTCCTTATCGTTTGTGTATTCACTGGAGTAGCACTTCTACTCTCCTTCAAGAAGTTTTCTTTTGCATTCACAGCTTGAATAACTCGTACAAGAGACCTAGCTTTTGGCCTATCTCAGCTTTCAACATGCCTTCCTCACTAAATTTAATCATGTCTAGCTTTCGATTTAAGGTGAGAGACATGTGACTCTTCCTTTCATGTGAATATTTGGAGGCGATTGTAGGGTTATTAATGAGCGTAACTACAATATTGTTGTGTCTCAGAGAATGGAGAGGCCTAAGAAGAGGGAGAGAGATGGGGAAATGGCTGGCTGGTGGAGCAGTCAGAACACACACAAGATTTATTGATTCAATTCACTGTCTTATATGGGCATGGATCAGGGTTCCCCAAAATAATTACAATGGTAACATCAAAGATCACTCATCCCAGATCACCATAACAGATATAATATAATGAAAAAGCTTGAAATATTGTGAGAATTACCAAAATGTGACACAGAGACATCAAGTGAGCACATGGCATTGGAAAAATGGCACCAATAGATTTGCTCAACATGGGGATGCCACAAACCTCCAATTTGTTAAAAACGCGATAGCTCACTCCTGTAATCCCAGCACTTTGAGAGGCCAAGGTGGGCGGATCACGAGGTCAGGAGATCAAGACTTTCCTGACTAACATGCTGAAACCCCATCTTTACTAAAAATACAAAAAATTGGCCAGGCGTGGTGGCACGCGCCTGCAGTCCCAGCTACTCGGGAGGCTGAGGCAGGAGAATCGCTTGAACCTGGGAGGCAGAGGTTGCAGTGAGCCGAGATTAGCCTGGGCAACAGAGCAAGACTCCATCAAAAAAAAAAAAATGCAGTGTCTGTGAAGCACAGTTAAGAGAAGCGCAATAAGACGGGTTGTGCCTGTAAAGGTCTGATACTATGCCCTGGACAGAGGAAGAGAACATGGTTTTACAATACTGAGCCATCACTCTTAGTGGAGATACGAAGGTAGGTTTCCACAAGCCGTGGTTCTAACATTTTTGTCAACTGATCAATACACAATTTTGTTTCTTTATATATTTTAGTTTAAAGACACCTTATTTCATGTATATCATGTATATTGTTGTTTCATTAACATTGAGCTAACAGCCAACAGCACTAAAACTCATACCAGAATCAAGTTTATTAAGCTTATTTAACATATATATTTTCTCTCTAAGGCACATCACAACCTTCTTGCACCTAGGAACACTAGACAGTACTTCAATGCTATCCTGGGGGGCCCAGAAAAATCACCAAAAAAAAAAGGTTTGTTTATAGACTGGAGAGATGAAACAAGAAGGCAGAGCTGCCTTGCTTTTCCTCAGCAGGAAACTTGAATCTTCTGGGGTCTCTATCCATGAGTCCCTGTAGGTTGTACTTGCAGGTTGATGAGACAGTCATGTTTTCAGACAGGACTAGAAATTCACAGCCCTGTTCCAAGGCTTTCCTGGTAATGAGATTAGAAAGCATGACAAGGAGTAAGAAATATCAGCTCCC
This sequence comes from Homo sapiens, assembly GCF_000001405.40. Lineage (NCBI taxonomy): Eukaryota > Metazoa > Chordata > Mammalia > Primates > Hominidae > Homo > Homo sapiens. The sequence goes on along the minus strand of NC_000006.12, from coordinate 125,150,373 downwards.
ATCTCTACTCCTCTGGCTTTGGATGTTACAGATCTCCCCTTTTTCTCAACATCTACACGATCTTCATCTGTAAAATACAATGTGGTACTTATTTACATTTGGTCTTGAATAGTTTGCCACTTGGGTTTTTGTTTCCTCTTCCTTTCTTAAAATAGATGGTAAAGTCTGTCAGGTTTGAGTGTGGATATTATGTTAAACCTCCCATAATTCCTGACAAAAAGTCTTATAAAAATTTCATAGCTCAAAAAGATTTATTGAATAAACAATTAACTAACCAGTAGGTTATATTTTATCCATGCCCAAGTTTGCACAGTATAGACTAATAAACATAAATGGAGTCTTACATTTTTTTCTTGAAAGAAGGAATACTACTCATGGTTTCCTGGCACATGTACGAGCACCTCAGTGTGGTTTTTGTTATGTTGAAGATCTCACTGATTTGTAATCATTGCCATTAAAATTACTATGTAGAACACTAAGCATAAGGCTTTTAAATGACTTTTGGTAATAGTGACCAGGGATGCATGAAGTGAAGAATCAGTGATTAAATCACTTTTAAAGTCTATTCCGTTGTTCTGGTCTTCTATACCCTGGAAATTAAACACCAGGTTAGGGTTGACTCCCTGCTGCTAAAACGAGCTAAAAATAGTTAATGACTTCCCAGCTTGAGTCATCTAACCTTCATCTACACTCTGACTCATTTTTCTGATTTATAACATTTTAAGTTGCTACCCTTTTAATTTTTCAATCATTATTTATAATAATAAAATATTGGTATTCATTCCAAAATAGTTATTGAACATCTATATGCCAGGGACTGTGCTAGATGCTAAGGGTATGGGTTAAGGACATGCTCCTTCCTTACCAGGGAGTTCATGATCTGGTGAGAAGGAGGGATAAACAGGTTTTTTATAAAGCAGCGCCTCGTGGTAAGCGCTGTGCATAAAGGGTAAGCCCAGTGCGTCTGTGAGCACTGAGGGAAGCCTCCTAACTCAGGCTGGTGAGAAGTACAGAAATGTTTCTTTCAAAATGCTTGCCTCAGCTGTGTCTTAAGAGTAAAGGAATTAGTCAGGCAAGTTTGTGTTATCCCCCTAATAATGGTTTAGCCAAAGAAGACTATTATTGAAGTTAACATATTATAAAAATGAAGATTTTTCTATTTTGTCTTTTCTTTGTCTTTTCCTTGTCATTTAAGATGGTGAACTTTCTTAACTTCTTTAAAGCTTATTAAAACAGCCACCTTCACCCTCTCCTTTGTCTCTATGGCCACTCCAGATGCAAAACGCTGTGCAAGTGTTTGATTGAATCAATGAAATTCTGTTTAAAAATACCTTACTTAATGTATTTTGTTGCTTTAACATTAACATTGGTGTTGACATTAACATTAACATGAGACAGTCATGTTTTCAGACAAGACTAGAAACTCACAGTCCTGTCCCAAGGCTTGCCTGGTCATGCGATTAGAAAGCATGACAAGGAGTAAGAAATATCAACTCAGGTCTCTACCGATAGCACTATAACTCATATAAGAACGAAGTTTGTTTAGAAAGTTGATCATTCTATAGGGGTGAAATGCAGTAGAAATCTCAACTGTCCAAAGGAAATGTGTATTCAACAGTTTTTACTTACACCAGTTCCCGGTCACTTGTAATGTATGGGTCTGAAGGCATCGTGGGAGGTGGACAGGGCACAGAAATGAGAGGAAGGAGTAGAAAGGACAGGTGAAGTGTGCTGCTCTGGCCTATGAACTTTACAAATACATTGAAAGAGAACATGAGCTTTGGGGCTCCATTAGATTCCCACTCTGAAAACTACCAGCTGTATCACCTAAAGGAATTGTCTCAGTCTCTCTGTGCCTGGCTTTCTGCATTTGTGTCACGATGCTATATGAGGTATTAATGGGCATGTTCTTTCCCTCCTATCCCACTGGGCACCTGTGCTTTTAAAGCAGTGGTTCCCAGTCATCTTCTACATCAGCACCACATGAGTGGCTTTTAAACATTTCTGATACCTGGGTTCTACCCCACAAGTATTCTGATTTGTCTTTTTAAATCTCTCTCGGTGATACTGATGTGCTTCCAAGATTGACAATGACCATTTCAGAAACTGTCCACAACAAAGATGAAAGGTTCTATAGTCTCAGCTTTTAAATTAAAACGTTGTCACCCAAGTAAACAGAAAATAATGAAAAAGAAATATGAGCAGGCAGCACAAGAATTTTTACCCCTAATTCCAGGGGAGTTGGAGAGGAAAAAAACATTGGGGAGGGCAGAGAAGTATGAAAGATTTAGACATGGCTCTGTCTACAGATTTCACCCTTCTTCTCCTTACTCCCATGAGAGCAAAGAGAACCTGGCCTCGACAATTGCATTGAGAACTCTGATGGCCAGATAGTTTTGAGAAACCTTAGGGATAGAACAAGTGCTCTTTGTCACTTTGAATTTTTCACCCTCTCAAGTGGTGTAGGAAGCCAGAGAGGAGTTTCCTTGAAGCCCCAGGTAGGGGGTGGAAGTTAGTGAGGAGAGAGAACTAGCTAGTAAGCCAATATCCCCAGGAGGCTGGAGAAAGGCAGCTTCCATTTCCTGAAGCCACATGAAGAAAAGGGTGCAACAGAATCTTTCATGAGGGTAGGAGGGGCTGCACAAAGGGAGAGGCATTCAGAACTCAGCCTAGCTGGAGGACTTACTGACCTCACCCCACATCATACTACTAAGCTGGGCAAAAGGAATGAGGAGAGATAGTTTGATTGCTCAGAAAGGGGACCAGCACCACCTTTTTTCCACCTCTACCAACTTCCCAGTTCTCAGGAAACATGGAAATTGGAGTCTACCCACCAGAGAGTTGGCTTTGGAGGAGGCCAGGGGAGATTAGTTGGCTGAATACTAGCTAGGACCACTGAAGCCGAAAGCTAGAGGTGAAGTGGACATCAGAGAGGTGCAGCACAAGGCCTGGCTAGGTTCCACCAGGGCCTGCAGGAGCTGCTGGTGAGTGAACACACTGTCAACCTCATCCATCTGGATATGGGGTCATTTGGGTTTTCTTTTCCCCTTCCTCTCAATTCCCATCCCACACACTTAGTCAAGAGGAGCTGGTTCCCAGAAGTGACAGGGTCCATAGACACCCAAAAACTAACTTTTGCATCATAACCTTCCAACACACACACACACACACACACACACACACACACACACACACACATGTTCCAAGCAGTGCTGAGAGAAGAAAGGAAAAGAGATTGTTGAGGCTCAGAACACTATACACCAAAGTATGGCACATTGGCATGCCAAATACTAGGTCCCTTTCCTTCACTTCAAAGCATTCAAATACATTCCTCTAACCTTGCCCCACCTTTCTGTGTAGGAGCTGGCCATAAATTATTTGGCCTACCTTGACTGATAGTAGGTCACAAGACCCTCATTCTAGAGTGGTTCTGCCCCACACCCTGGAGGGAGGAGCACCACACCAAGAGGCCAAGAAGCATCCAACAGCCAAGCCTTGCTTGGTGTGTTAGGATGTTCTTGCATTGCTTTAAATACTTGGGACTGGGTAGTTTATTTTAAAAAGAAGTTTAATTGACTCTCAGTCCTGCAGACTGTACAGGAAGCATGTCTTCAGCATCTGCTTGGCTTCCGAGGAGGTCACAGGGAGCTTTTACTCACAGTAGAAGGTGAAGCAGGAGTCGGCATATCACATGGCAAGAGAGGGGCAAGAGAGAGAGAGTAGGAGGTGCCCCACACTTTTAAATGACCAAATCTTCCGCGAACTCACTTATCAGAAAGGGGATGGTGCTAATCCATTCATGAGGGAGCCGCTTCCGTGAGCCAAGGACCTCGCATTGCACCCTACCTCCAACACTGGGTATTACATTTCAACATGAGGTTTGGTGGGAACACAGATCCAAACCGTATCACTGGGTTTCCCCTCTCAACCTATGACCATTAGATCATACCCCTTCTGTTCAATCACATTTCCTCATGGCTGTCCATTCTTCACTGAACATAAAATTAAGCATAAAAATAGAGTTTTCTTAGGTCTTTAGGTCTTCATTTATGAAGACTCCCCGTCACATAAAGCTTTGATTAAATAAGTTGCTTTTGGTTAAATAAATGTGCTTTTCTCCTGTTAATCTGTCTTTGTCGGTTTTTATTTCAGACCGAGCCAGGAGCCCTAGGAGGTTTGAGGAAACTTTTCCTTCCCTATAAGATTTACTTTGCACTTTGGGAGGCCGAGGTGGGTGGATCTCCTGAGGTCAGGAGTTCGAGACCAGCCTGACCAGCATGGCAAAACCCCGTCTCTACTACAAATACAAAAATTAGCCGGGCATGTGGTGGGCACCTGTAATCCCAACTACTTGGGAAGCTAAGGCAGGAGAATTGCTTGAACCTGGGAGGCAGAGGTTGCAGTGAGCTGAGATTGTGCCATTGCACTCCACCCTTGGTGACAGAGCAAGACTCTACCTCAAAAAAAATAAAAGATTTACTTTGACATTGAGAAGACTAAATCATATAGATCATATACCAATATGAGACTGTTCTAATTACTAAAAACTAACAAAAATTAATAAATCTTGACCAGATGCCTGAAAGAGAGCCCCTATTCAGCCAGTTGAAAGAACAATTATTTCATAAAGTACAAACATTTCATGTTTATCCCTCAAAAAGTTGTAGCTTCCCAACAAATTGAATGCATTACATGAAATGCTTTACACAAAGCTTAATGAATAAATTTTGTCTTTTCTACATTCCACTAAAGTTTCTAGACATATTCACTGGATCTGTAAATAATGCATGGATATTCAGAGAACTTGGAGGATAAAGGTGCTTATTTTCATTACAAAAGGACATATTATTTAGTTGTATCCTGAGGTTCCCATATACTAAAGCTTATTCCTTTACCCTTGAAAACTTTTTGAGAAATATATAATTGCTTTTACTAACAATCTCTAAAATGCATTTAAAATTTATTAGATCTCTGAGATTTTAATGCAGGGTTTCTCAACATTGGCACTATCGACATTTTTGCTGGATAATTCTTTGTTGTGCTATATGATGTTTAGGAACATCACTGGCCTCTACCCACTAGAGGTAGAGAGTAGTAGCCCCATGGTCATGATGATCAAAAGTCTCCCTACATTGCCACATGTCTCCTGGAGGGCAAAATCACTCTCAGGTGAGAAACACAGCAGTACCTTTTTCTTGACAACTCAGAATCATTACAAGTAAAAGTTATTACCCTGTACAATATGGGGATCCCTACACTGAAGGAATGCCTTCTGAGCCTAGGCAGGGGTGGAGATTTTTGTCCGTCATTTCCACAAACAGCCACTCTTGGAGTTTTCCTGTTTCCCTCTGTTGTTGTTAGTCATTGTTCACCTGCTTCCTTAACACATCCTTAACATCCTTAACAGATGCCACCATAGGAAGGGAAAGGAGTGATACCTTTCCTCACCCATCATAAGGGTCAGGCTAAAACTCCTACAACAAAAGATAGGTTAGCAAGTGTGTTAGTGAGTTCTCAGAGGGATAGAACTAATTTTATATATATATATATATATATATATATATATATATATATATATATATAGAGTTTATTAAGTATTAACTCACACGATCTCCCACAATAGGCCATCTGCAAGCTGAGGAGCAAGGAGAGTCAGTCCGAGCCCCAAAACTGAAGAACTTGGAATCTGATGTTCAAGCGCAGGAAGCGCTGGGAGGCTAGGCCAGTCTAGTGTTTTCGTGTTTTTCACTGCTTTATATTCCAGCTGTGCTGGCAGCTGATTAGATGGTGCGCACCAAGAATAAGGGTGAGCCTGCCTTTCCCAGCCCACTGACTCAAATATTAATCTCCTTTGGCAACACCCTCACAGACACACCCAGGATCAATACTTGGCATCCTTCAACCCAGTCCAGTTGACACTCAGTATTAACCATCACAACAATTCAAACCATAACAAATTTATGTAATCAAAGATTTGGGTTACATGGGAGCCTTCAGAAATGAAGACCCTAGAATCCAGGGGAAACTGTTTTTAGGCTTAAGTTCAATGAAGAATGGACAGCTGTGAGGAAATGTAATTGGATAAAAGGGTATAAGTTATTGGTAACAGACTGATGGGGGAAATCCAGCAAGGCCTGGCTCTTTGAATTCTTCTAGGCTTCTCTGTATGACATTCCTTCTTTCCAGGTGGTAGGCAGGATCCCTCTGGAAACAGAGGGAGAAGAAAGAAGGGAGACTTTTGGGGATTTTAAGATTTGCTTTCTGGGACAGGGATTCTAGAATCTATGACCTACATTGGGGAAAAAAAATTTTAGTTTCTTTGACTCTCTTTGGGGAAAACAAAAGGGCAGGAAGCAGGAGAGCAGAAGAAGATCAAAGAAAACTTACTTCTGAGGCCTTCCAATCTTCTTTAGTTCGAAGTAATCAGCATGCCAAAGTGCCATACATTGAGGTATTGTGTTCTTAGCCACAACATCATTGTCCAAGAAAGGTCTTAATGATAGAGGCAGGAGGCAGAGAAATTCTAGGCAGACAGGGAAAGGTCCCTGGCAAAACCCCACCTCCAAGCCGAAAAGCCTGAAACCTGCAGCCCAAAGTGAGAACTTCTATCCTGTTTGCATGCTCTCTTCTGATTGGCTCTTTCTGAATAATGTCCTTTTACCAATCAAATGTTGCCTTTTCCAAAACTACCTATGGCCCACCCAACTCCCCATCCTGTGCCTATAAAGACCCCAGACTCAGTCGGTAGGGGGAGAAGCAGCTTGACTGGAGAGAGGGAACTTGACTTCAGAGGGACAGCTGGACTTCAAAGGGAGACAGCTTAACTTCAGTGAGGGTACTTGACTACAGGGAAGAGCCAGCCAAAGATGGCCAGACTTCAGGGAAGATTATCTGCCCGTCCCATCCCCTCTCCAGCTCCCCTCTCCACTGAGAGCCCCTTTCATTGCTAAATAAAATTCTGCACCTCGACCATCCTTCAAATGTCCATGCGACCTAATTCTTCTTGGACACCAGACAAGAGCTCGGGACCCATTGAGTGTAGGTAGTAGGCAGTACCCAAAAAAGGCTGTCACACTGGCCCTTTGCCCTCACTAGCAGAGGGCAACTGCCTCATTTGATGAGGCAAGGGGCCCACTGAGCTGATAACACACCACTGTTCACGGAAGGCAGAGCTAAGAGAGCCCTGTAACATGCCCTTTGGGGCTTTGGGGGTCACAGGCACCCCCAGCTGGGTGCCGCTGTGGGGTCTGCATGGAGCTTGCTACTGCTGGCACCCAAAGTGGCCGGATGGATCCCACACTCGCTTGCTCACGCTCTCCCTCCTGCAAGAGGTTGAGCACCATGGGCCAAATAAATGGGGCACCTCCATTGCAAGTCGGATGAAGAGTGAAGGAAAATTCCTGCATCATTAACAGGGGCTTTGCCTCTTTCCTACTGACAGAGGAGAAAAGCAAGAGAAAAATGACTGATACGGCTATTGCTCTGTAACTCTGCATTAGGATAGTACTAAAAGTTCCTTCTGTTTCTTGGTGTTGAACTGATTTACATTAGTTCTGCCCAGTGATTCATTTGACCTCAGACTGCCCTGTTTTCTGACCCAATTTCTTTTTTTGAGAGAGGAGCAACAAAGAGGACTAGGAAAACATAACTTATATGGGCCTTCAGGTTGGGATGTGAAAATCAGAGAAAAAGAATCTGAGATGTTAGGAGGAAAGGAACCCAGGCCTGCACCAATCATTCTATGGTTACCATTTGGTTCTCTTATATTCCAAAACCTGTACTTGGCAAAATTGATTACTTTCATGCTGCTTGCATCTCTTTTGTTTGTTTTTTAATATTTTTTTCTGCTTAGTTTTTATTAAACTTCCTTTAAAAACTGTTCAATTCTTTCAGTAGCACTAAGGGAGGAAAGAAAATGAATGTGTTATCTACTAGTCTTAGGCCAATACGGAGTAAGGCAAGGAAAATGTAAACAAGAGAGCTCCAAGGAGGACACAAAAAGACAGAATAAAAAGCCAAACGCCTCACGATGCAGTCAATTCCTTTTTTTTAATTCCTTAGAAGATTGGCCAGACGTGTTGGCTCACGCCTGTAATCCCAGCACTTTGGGAGACGGAGGCAGGTGGATTACCTGAGGTCAGGAGTTCGAGACCAGCCTGGCCAACATGGTGAAACCCCGTCTCTAATAAAAATACAAAAATTACCCAGGTGTGGTGGCACACGCCTGTAGTCCCAGCTACTCGGGAGGTTGAGGCAGGAGAACTGCTTGAACCCATGAGGTGAATGTTGCAGTGAGCCAAGATTGTGCCACTTCACTCCGGCCTGGATGGCAGAGCGAGATTTAGTATCAAAAAAAAAGAAGAAGAAGAAGAAGTTTTTTTACTGATTTATTCAAAGATGCCTTTTTTTTTCTTTATAGCTCCAGGATGGCTTTTTGCTGATTAGAGGATTATTATGTTGGTGGCAATGTTTTCCATGACTCCTTTTGCATAGTTTGACCTCTAAGTAAATGGATATTACTATACCATTCTCATAAAATAAAAACAGAAAGTCGTGTATCATCAGGTTCTTTTCAAACACAAATGTGCACTTCTGGACTCATTGTTTACAGATGACATAGAAAAATTAAAGAAAGCTTAAGTAGAATGTCACAAAGATTATTGATAATGTCCTTAGGGAAACTTAAAGGAGGCCGAAGGCTCATTAATTTTGGTAAGCAGAAATCTGGGTGATAGCTTGATCACGGCAAACACATCTATTGTTCGTGATCACAGAGTAGATCATAAACAACACTGCAAACCGCAAATAATTGCTTAGTGACAACAATAGCGAGTTTCTAAATCTTCAATGTGACTTTCACATGTTGACATAGCCTAAACTGGATCTTAAATAAACATGATGGACAATATAAAAATAAAAAAAAAATCTACATAGTAGTTCAATAGGAACATGGCACAGTAAGCTCTGTTACACTAGCTGATGTCAAATTCAAGGACCTGGCCTAGTAGGTAGGCTTTGTCTCAGTTAAGACCCAGTGAGAAAGTCAGCTCTGCTAGGGATGTAAATAAGTGAATTAATTTTTGATTTGGCAAACCATAAAATAGAATGAAAGAATTTAAACTTGAATTTGAATACTGCATATTACCCAATGTTTCAGCATATTGTGGAAGAAGGAAAAATGTCTAGCATTAATAATTATTTAAGGAATCATTTTGGAATTTATAAATTCTTATAAGCACTACAAAATTCAGTTCTTCAAATAGTCTATTATTAAATTTTTGAATAAAAGCCAGCAAAGAAAATGCACTTACCAAATTGTGCAGAGAAAAACATTTTCATGAGCTATCTCTTAGGAGTTGTTGTTTCTTGGTGGTAAGTTCCTTCTCATGAGTAATAGCTGAAGCATGGAACTCAATTTTTCAGGGAATATTTCTACAATCAGTTTATGAAGCAAATTTATATCAGAAAAATTAGATGTCAAATACATCCCATATAATACTGTTGGGGCTCAGAGAACAATACCCCAAAGAGTGGCACTTTGGCATGCTGAGTACTTTGAACCAAAGAAGGAAGTACTGGAAGGGCTCAGAAGCAGCCTCAGATGCAGTCTCCCTCTGACCTTCTCCTACCCTCCTGTCTCCCTCTCCTTTTTCTCACCCAAAGCAAGTTATAGAAACCAGAATTTCTCTTCCCCATGGTGAGTGTATTCGTCTGTTCTCACACTGCTATCAAGAGATACCTGAGACTGGGTAAATTATAAGAAAAGAGGTTTGATTGACTCACAGTTCCACATGGCTGGGGAGGCCTCAGGAGACTTACAATCATGGCGGAAGGCACCTCTTCTCAGTGCAGCAGGAGAGAGAATGAGTGCCAGCAGGGGAAATGCCATACATTATAAAACCATCAGGGCTGGGCGTGGTGGCTCACACCTGTAATCCCAGCACTTTGGGAAGACAAGGTGGGCAGATCACCTGAGGTCAGGAGTTTGTGACCAGCCTGGGTAACATGGTGAAACCCTGTTTCTACTAAAAATACAAAAAATTATCTGGGCATGGTGGCACTTGCCTGTAATCCCAGCTACTCAGGAGGTTGAGGCAGGAGTGAGCCGAGATAGCACCATTGCACTCCAGTTTGGGCAACAAGAGCGAAACTCCATCTCAAAAAATAAAAAATAAAAAAGTAAAACCATCAGATTATGTGAGAACTCACTATCATGAGAACAGCATGGGGGAAACTGCTCCCATGATTCAATTACCTCCCACCAGGTCCCTCCCATGACACTTGGGGATTATAGGGATTAAAATTCAAGATGAGATTTGGGTGGGGATGAAGCCAAACCACATCAGTGGGTCATAGAAACTAGAACCACATCAGTGGGTCATAGAAACTAGACCCACATCAGTGGGTCATAGAAACTATCCCAAAGGCAGCCATAAAACCTAGAAACATTATTCTAACCTTAACCTACCTTTCAGTATACCAGTTGGCCATAAGGAAAATGTCTAATCTACCTTGTCTTATAGTAGATAATAAGACTCTCATTCCAGAGGGGCCCTGCTTCATACCCAGGAGGAAGGAACGCCACACAGAAAGACAGAGAAGAATCTGAGCAGCGATGCCTTGCTGGGTTTCCCTCCTCAGCCTATTACCGTAAGATCATTCCCTTTTGTCCAATCACATTTCTGCATAGCTGTCTACTCTTCAATGAATATAAGCATTAAAATGGACTGTTTTACCTGGGTCTTTGTTTCTGAAGTACCCCGTGTCACGATAAACTTTGATTACATAAATTTGTTGTAATTTTTTGCCTTGTTAATTTGTCTTTTGTTATAGGAATGTTGGCTGTGACCCTTATGATGGGTGAGGAAAGGTGTCACACCTGTGCCTCCCCTACATTACTAATTAATTCAGGAATTATCTACATTTTACATTCACTAATTCCAATCAATCACACAATCTATGTAAAAAGAACTCTAAGTTTTATTTTGTTGCTCATGTTTACAGAATTGCTACATTAATTTATTAATTTCAAAATTTTAAACAATTGTTTAAGCATAAAACAATCACGTTCTCTAGTGAAAATCTGTGAGTTACTTTTAATAAGACTAAACAAAAAATTTATAAATTTTATTTAAAAATGAGAAAAAGAATCCAATAATTTTCATCATTCATTTAAGGTTCTGATATGGAACTTTGAAAAAAAATCAATTTATACATTCATTTCACTCCATACGTCCAAATTAATTCCATAGAAATTAAAATATTGAATATTTTTAAAATGTAGAAAAACTAGAATAGAATATAATTGAATATTAAGTTTTAAGGTGTGAGTGGTACTTTCAGAGTTCAAAAGTGATAGAAATCATAAAGGGAAAGGTTAACATGTGTGGCTTCAAAAATTAAAAATTCTGTCCATCAAAAATGACCAAAATTAGCAAATTAAAAAATAATTTAATAAAAAGATGTAGAGGACAAAAAAATATTTCCAGCTACCCTTCCAGGTTCTTTGGCTGGTCTATGGATTAAACTGACATAAGAAAGATCAACAGGAGAAAAACAATTTTAATTATGTCCATAGAGGAGTTCAATAAAAATGTAAGACTCACCAGATAATTTAAACTTACATATCATCCTGACCTACAGAAAGGAATAGGAGTTTAGGGATTCTAGGTAATGGTAGAGGAAAATTATGGGAGGGCAAGCGGAGGAAATGTATTGTGAATAGAGGTTGCCTTGTTAATCAAGTAAAAGTCTCTCAGGTGATACAATTGTCACGTATCTTTACTAATGAAAATTTCCTTATGGGTGTAAATTCCTGCACACAAGGGAATTTTTATGTTTTATTTTAGGAAGTTGAAGGAGAGAAAGAGTTTTTCTTGCTTTGGCTGGCTCTCAGTTATTTTTAGCTCAAAGTAATCAGTATGCCAAAGTGGCATATTTGGGGATGGCCTATTCTTATATCCTAGAGTTATATTTTGGGATGGTATGTCCTAAACTTCATCAATAGAAAATGCGCTAAATGCTCTAGACTCTAAAAGACCTTGTATAGCTATAGCCTTGATGCCAAAACCCAACAAGAACAGTCTTAGGAAAGACATTATGAAAAATTATTACTATCATTGCAAACGTTCTAAATAAAATGAAGGCAACTGAAATTCCATAGTGTATTAAGTGTGTGTGTGCATGTGTGTGTGTGTGTATGGTTGAACTGAGGAATCAATGGATGGTTTCAACTCCAGAAAATGTAGCAATGAAAGCAGTGGAGTATTGGAGCCAGCTTATACTGTCTGATGAAATCTGATTGTCAAATTTTCAAATAAAATGTGAAAGGATTTTATTCAGGCAAGAAGAAAATGAATCTGGATGAAAGGTAAAAAATACAGAATGAAATGAAAAGCAATTGAAATGGTAAATATGAGGGGTAAAGCAAAATAAACAGACTGCATAATACAATTAAAAATAGTATCATTTTGTGGTTTAAAATATGCAGGAATTAAAATATACAGCACAGAGCCCACACATCAACTCTTAAAGTGATACACAGAACAAAGGCCTGGACATTAAGCAATGAATTCCAGTTGCGTTTTGAAGGTTTTGTTTATTTGTGTGCTTTTTCTTCTGCTTCCATTTTTTTTTTTTTTCTTTAATTGGAGAAGGATTGAATTGGATTGCCTACAGCAAGCTTGTTCAACCCGCACTGGTGGGCCGCATGCTGCCCAGGAAGGCTTTGAATGCAGCCCAACACAAATTCGTGAACATTCTTAAAACACTATGAGATTTGTTTGTGATTTTTTTTTTTTTTTTTTTTTTTTTTTTAGCTCAGCAGCTATTTTTTAGTGTTAGTGTATTTTATGTGTGGCCCAAGACAATTTGTCTTCCGATGTGGCCCAGAGAAGCCAAAAGATTGGACACCCCAGCCTGGAGTTTCAAGTTTGCATACTGTGAGCAGTGCTTAAGAATCAACTGGGCATGTAATTCATCAAGGAGAATGAAACATTTTAATGCCATGGGAGGTGCGGGGAAGGAAGGAAGCACAATGGACACATATCTCTAGAGCATTAGGTGTGAGTTTTGAAAGATCTAGAGAAAGACAAGGAAAATGGTATAATTGCATCTATGTCAGGAGTTAAAGTGCTCTAAGAATCCTGGATTGTCTGGAAAGAATGTAAAACCACCATTTAATGTCATAATTTCATAAGTCAAGGATAAATGTTTTAATCACTTACAAATCAAGACAAATAGATATTAACCTAATAAAAGTGGTCAAAGGTAAGTGAGATGGTTTAGATATTTGTCTCTGCCCAAATCTCATGCTGAGATGTAATCTCCAATGTTTGAGGTGGGGCCTGGTGGGAGGTGTTTGGATGATGGGGTTGGATCCCTCAAGGCTTTTGCTGTATTTGGATAGTAAGTGAGTTCTCATGAGTTCTGCTTGTTGTAAAATGTGGTACCACCCCCTCACTCTCTCTCTTGCTGTTATTCTCACCATCTGAGACATCTGCTCCCCGTTTATCTTCTGCCATAAATAAAAGCTCCCTGGGGCCCTCATCAGAAGCCATGCAGATGCCAGTGCCATGCTTTGTATAGACGAGGGCCTGCAGACCCATGGAAAGATAAAGCCCCTTTCTTTATAAATTACCCAGCCTCAGGTATTTCTTTATAGCAATGCAAGAATGGCCTAATACAGTAATGAAAACGTGATTCAAGAAGAAACATCAATGGTCCATAAATTGATGAAAAGTACTCAAAGTCACTGGAAATCAAAGAAATGCAAATTCACATCATAAGATAATATTGCACATTCATCAATTTTTAAAAGGTAAAAAGAACTAACAATCGTGTGGGTGGGATAAGGAGAATTATAAATTCTCACCCATTATTGGTGGAAGTGTAAATTTAGATGACAGCAATGGGAGGACAATTTGGCAATATCTAGTTAAGTTGAAGAGGCAGATCTACACCCCAGACTTAAAGAAACCCTTGCCCACACGCACAAGGAGACTTGCACAGATACTGATTGCTATATTGGTTGTAATTGCAAAATGTTTTAAGCAGCCTAAATGTCTAGCAACGAAACAATGGATAAATAAGTGTATATTTCTATGAAATACAACAGATAAGTTGAAATAAACTAATTGGAGTTACAAGTAACACTATGGTTAAATCTCAAAAATATGATGATGAGCAAAAAAAGCAACTTATAAAATATTTACTATACTCTCTTTTTCTATAAAGTTTAAAAATATGTGAAACAATGCTTTATGATACTAAAGGGTATGACATATTTATCAATAGCATAAAAGGAATGAAATATAGCAAATTCATAATAATATTGAAGGAAGGGAAGAGAATGGAATCAAGTAGAAGCACACAGGGCTTTAACAATTTCAGTAGTGTTTTATTTTTAAAATCTGACACAACACTGGTAAAAATGTAAGAATTGGATAGAATTAGGTAGTAAGCACACAGGATTTCTTTTACAGTACTATCTTTATATATTTTATAATTAAATGAAAGTTGTAAAAAGATAGTTGCAGGGGTAGAAATAGATCAGAACAGACAAGGGTGATGTTTGTGAAAATGGAAAGAAGTGGAGGGATGTGAGAAGTACTTGGAAGATAAAAACAATAAGATGTAAGATGTGGTATGGATTATGTATGGGGGATGAAGGAAATGAAAGTGTCATGGGATTCACTCTGCAGGCTTGCACAACTGGTTGGAAGATGGTATCATTCACAGACTGGAGACAACATTCAAACTACGATTTCATGTATGATCCCATTTTCAAACATGAGGTTAACACTCTGCGAAATGGGAAATGAGGGAGAGTAAATTGGTGCAACCCTTTCAACATTTAGCATTAACATTTAACCTTGGCTGGGATGTTTAGAATTGTCTCAGTAATCTCATTCATAATCATCTCTCCTAAAATCATTTCTAAGCGCAGAAAAACTTTATGCACAAAATCATGTTCGAATTGTCCCAGTAATTCTACTTATAATAATCTATCCTAAAATCATTTTTAAGTGCAGAAAAAACTTTATGCACAAAATCATATTTATAGAGACACTATCATAAAAATTTGCAAAAACTAAAAAATTCCAACTGTGGGAGAATTCCTAAATAAATTGAAATATTTACTTAGAGAAACATTAAACGTTCTTTAAAATTATGATTTCAAATAGAGGTGAATAAAAAATAGATGGTATCATGAAAAAGGACATGATATAATTTTTTCAAATAAAAAACAAGTTAAAAATTATATAGAAAAATGTATTTCAACCACATTTCAAGGCAGAAAACATAAGTTTTTAAAAGACTGAAGGAAAGGCTGGGCGCAGTGGCTCACGCCTGTAATCCAGCACATTGGAAGGCCGAGGCGGATGGATCACGAGGTCAGGAAATCGGGACCATCCTGGCTAACATGATGAAACCCTGTCTCTACTAAAAATACAAAAAATTAGCCGGGCGTGGTGGCAGGTGCCTGTGGTCCCAGCTACTCGGGAGGCTGAGGCAGGAGAATGGCGCTAACCTGGGAGGGTGAGCTTGCAGTGAGCGGAGATCGAGCCACTGCACTCCAGCCTGGGCGACAGAGCCAGACTCTGTCTCAAAAAATAAATAAATAAATAAAATAAAATAAATAAAAGACTGAAGGAAAAATAACATTTTTATTATATTGAGTTATGGCTGTTTGAGTTATGGAAGTATGAGTGATTTGATTTCTGAGTTTTTCCAGTTCTCATTTAATGTCCTCTACTTTTCCAATGAACAAAATGAAAACTTTAAAACTTTAAAATTACATTAAGAAAACAAACACATGTAATTTTGGTTGGGCTAAATATGTAACACAATTTATGTATCCATTCCTCTCTTAAATGTCCTTTGAGTTATTTCCAGTTTTGTGCTATCACAAACCAGGGCTACTAAAAACATTCTTGTAAATATATTCTGGTGTAATTGTACAACATTTCTATTGACAGGTATACTTAAAAGTGGAATTGATGAATTAAAGGGAGTGCATATATTATTCAATTTTATGATATAATTCCAAATTAGTTTTAAAATTATTTGCATTCCCATTCATACTTTCTTAGCAGCATACTGTAAGAATTTCTCTTGCCCCATGTCCTTCCTGACATGTAAAAATATTTTAGAAATTGTAAATGCTGTACAAATAGAATGGACAAATATAATCAATATTGTTCTTATTATCTGCACACACTTCATCAATGTGTGTTTATTTTTATAAACATTTAAAAAAATTAAATGGAAAGTTCCTTAAGTGTTGTCAATCTAGTGGGTATAAAATTGCATTATATTCTACTCCTAATATGGATTTCCCAGAATAATAATGAGATTGAGTATATTTCATATGATTATTTGACTGTTCTGTTTCCTATTTTGTAACATATGTTCATGTCTTTTCTTCACTTTTCTATTGGATTGCTGGCATTATCTAGTTGACTTTTGGGAGTTCTTCACATATTCTACGTGTATGTTCTTTGTCAGTTACGTGGATTGCAAACGTTATCTTCACTTTGTGACTTCTCCCTTTTTTTCTTTGATTAAAAGGCATTCTCATTTTAATATGATAAACTGATCAGTTTTCACTTACTTTTTGTACTTTTGTGTTTAGCAAGGGAAAACATTCATTATCCTGGAGTTACAAATATATTCTTATTGTATTTTCTCCTAAAATTCTTAATATTTTGCCTTTCTTATTTAAATAAAATTTTCTTCCAATGTAAGTAAATTTAATTTTGCTTATAGCATGAGGAAGGGGTCCAAGTGCATTCTCCCATATATAGGCCCGGTACAATTCTATTAATAGTATAATTTTTCCTCTGAGATTTGTAATACCAACTCCATCATATATCACAATTCCACATATATGATTTTATTTCTGAAATATCTATTCTGTTTCACTGGTCAATTCGTTTACCGCTAGGTTAATATTACAACATCTTAATTAATAAAGCTTTATACTAAATTTTAATATCTGCTCAAGAATGTCTTCCAGCTTATACTTCTCCTTCAAATGTGTCTTTGCTCTCGATGGCCCTTAATCCTTTCACACACGTGTTAGAATTAGCAAGATAAATTCTACAATTAGGATTTTTATCTAAATTTTATGGAATCTACAGGTAAATTTAAAGAAATTTGAATTTCCCATCCATAAACAGAGTAACCCTATTTAAGTCTTTTTTAATGTCTTTCAATAGAATTGTATCATATTCTTAATAAAGACTTTATATATGTTTTGTTATACTCATCCCCAAGCTCCTTGTATATTTTGTTGCTATTAATAATAGAGACCCTTTAGATGACCATCTCTAGCCTTTCGATGTTTAGAAATGTTAATATTGATTTAATATTGATTTTTTTATTTACTAAATGTGCTGAGCTCTCAATTATTTTTGTAGATTCCTTTGAGTTTTCTTGGTAAATAATTATATAATTTTCAAATACAACTTTTTTTCCCTTCCAATTACTGCTATAAATGTATTTTTGTATAGATGCAAAGTGTCAATAGGCAATGTCCATTCAGAACAGTCTGTATTTCTCTTATCACATTGTCCTCATCAATAATTAATATCGAGGTTATATTAGTCTCCTAGAATCAGATGGGTAGAGTTCTCTACTTATGTATGTCAGCATGGTTGTATAAGTTTGGAATTATTTCTTTATTGACTGTAGTAGAACACACATGTAAAATCATTTGGGCCGGAAGTTTTCTTGTAGACAGACTTTGAGCTGCTTGTTCAATTTTGTTAGTTGTTTTTAGGGCAATTTTAATGTATTTCTTTTTGATCAATTTCAGTGGTCTGGATTTTTTAGGAATTTGTCGATTTCTTTGCAATTTTCAAATTTATTGGCATCAAATTATCAATCTTCTATTTTTTCTCTTTTATTAATTCCTGCTTTTATTATTATTAATGCCTTTCTTCTACATTCTTTATTCTTTTGTTATTTTTCTGACTTCTTTCATGTTTGCCTTTATTTTTTGTTACTTTTTTGATTTTTATTTTTTGAGACAAGGTCTCCATCTGTTGCCCAGGCTGGAGTGCAGTGGTGCAATTACAGCTCACTGTAATCTCAAATTCCTGGGCTTAAGCAATCCTCCCACCTTAGCCACCCAAGTAGCAGGGACTACAGGCTTGCTACCACGTCCAGCTAATTTTTAAAATTTTTTTGTAAAGGTCAGGTCTCACTATGTTGCCTAGACTGGTCTTTTTTTATACATAGAGGGTTTTATATATCCCTTCTGAGCTTTGCCATGTAATGTTTTTATTATGAAGCAGTTCTAAGTAATTTTAAATTTTTATTTTTACTTCGTTTCTGACCTAATAATTGTTTGAGAATTCTGTTTTAATTTTCTAAATATGTGGGATATTGTTGGGGTACAATTCTTTTTGTGTGTTTTTATTTCCAATTTAATTAATTTTTTTTTTTTTTTTTGAGATGGCGTCTCACTCTGTTGCCCTGACTGGAGTAAAGTGGCATGATTTCAGCTCACTGCAACCTCTGCCTCCTGGGTTCAAGCGATTCTCCTGACTCAGCCTCCTGAGTAGCTGGGATTACAGGTGGGCACCACCACACCTGGCTAACTTTTGCATTTTTAGTAGAGATGGGGTTTCACCATGTTGGCCAGGCTGGTCTCGAACTTCTGACCTCAAGTGATCCGCCCTCCTCGGGTCCCCAAAGTGCTGGGATTACAGGCATGAACCACCATGACTGGCTCCAATTTAATTTTATTGTGTTTAATAAATGTGGTCTCTAGGATAGTATTTCTCTGGAATTTGTTGAGACATACTATGTCATCTAATAGATGATCAGTTTTTATAAGTGTTTCACTTATGTTTGAAAGAAATGTGTATACTGCCACTTACAGATATGTGTATGGTTTTTAGATCAAACTTGTTCATTATGTTTAAACATCTTCAATATTCTTACTGATATTTTTCTGTACAATCAATTGCTAAGAATTGTGTGTTAAAGGTTTCTATTAAATAGCTTAGTTCCTCTTATTTAAAATAGTCAAAAATCTGTTTTGACAAGTATTAATACAGGTATACTGCATTTCTTTGGGTCTATAGTTACTTGATATAACTATTTCCAAGATTTAGTTTAAATTTTTCTGTGTTGTCTCTTATGAAAAAAAATAGCACTGGATTTTTATTTCCTTTATATAATCTGACAATCTATTCCTTCAACATCAATTGTAATTATTTATATGTATGAATTTATTTTCACCATCTTATGGTATGCATTTCCTTCTCTCTAAAGTTTACTTTCCCCAAATCTTGTCTTTTTTCTTATTCCATTTATTTCTCTGTTTGATTATATGCACAATAATTATATTCTTCTAGTGTTTGCCCTTTATATTTTAACATGCACATATAAGAAAGTCTAAAGTTAGGGCCAGACATGGTGGTTCATGCCCATAATCGCAGCACTTTTGCAGGCTGAGGCGGGAGGATCACTTGAGGCTAGGCATATCACTTGAGGCTAGGAGTTTGAGACCAGTCTGGGCCACATAGCAAGGTCCTGTCTCTGCAGAAAATTTCAAAATTAGCTGGGTATGGTGGTGTGTGCTTGTAGTTCCAGCTCCTTGGGAGGCTGAGGTGAGAGCTTGAGCCTAAGAACTTGAGGCTGCAGTGACTTATAATCATACCTCTGCATTCTAGCATGGGTAACAGCAAGACTGTGTCTCTGGAAAAAAAAAAAGTCTAAAGTTAGGTAATATCTTTATCTCTTCCTGCATGATACAAAGTATTAAAGAAATATTTCACACCAATCATTTCTTCCCCATCTTATATATAATTGTGCCCATTAACTTAGCTCTGTCATATTAAAAATTCACTCTCCTGCATTTCAGATCTTCTGGGAACATTTAACTTTGTAGTAATGAACAACTTTTAGAAATTGCTTTCTCATTTGTTTCTGAAAGATTGTTATTTAATTCTAGGTTAAAAATGGATTTCTTTCAGAATTTTAAAATATTGTTACACTGCTTTATGCCTTTAATCATTGCAGTTGAAAAGTTAACTATTAATAAAATAAAATAATGCTTTTTATTTGTAAATACTCTCTGTTTTTTCTTCCAGCTACTTTTAAGATACTCTCTGCTTCTTTGGTGTTTTACTCTGCAGTTCTTTTAACATTTATCTATGTTTGAATTTCTTTATATTTTATGCTTGGTTTTGCTATGCTGCACTTCCATCAAGTCTGAAAAATCTTTAATCATTTTGAATATTGTTTTTCTTCTATTCTCTTTGCCACCTCTATATAATTCTGGTGTAACATATAGTAATCTTTATGATCAAGCTTACATATGCTTTAAAGCTTTCTTTCATATATTTCATTTATTTGTCTCACATCCTTTTTATCTATGAAATTTATCTAGTTATACTTTCCAGTAAACAATTCTCTCTTTAGCGGTGTTTGGCCTTCTTTATTTCTTACATTTAATGTAATTCACATATTTATATTATTATATAATTTAAATTTATTGTATACTTTATATGGTCACAATATTTACATTTAATATAAATATCACTTTTAATTTGTAAAAGTTTAATTTTGTTCTTTTAAAAAAAGTCTCTTATTTTTATTGTCTCATGCTATTTAATCATTGTATTTGTTGCCTATGGCTGCTGTAAATTGCCACAAATTTGGCAGCTTAAAATGAAGAAATTTATACTTTCATAGTTCTAGAGGTCAGAAGTCCAAAATTAGTATCACTGAGTCGAAATGCAGCTGTTGGTAGGGCTGTACTTTCTCCAGAGACACTAGGAAAGAATCTGTTCTTTGCCTCTCCTAACTTCTGTGGTCGCATTACTCCCGTCTTGTCTCTGAGGTCATATTGCCTTCTTCTCTTCCCTTCTGCCTTCCTGTGTCAAATCCTCCTCTGTCTCCCTCTTAGACAGATACATGTGATGGCATTTAGGGCTCACCTGGCTAATCCAGAATAGTCGCATCTCAAAATCTTTAACTGAATCACATTTGCAAAGCCATTTTTTGGCCATATATAGTAACATTCATACCAGAGATTATAATACAGCTATCTTTTGAGGGGTCATTATTCAGCCTACCACAATCATGATTTAATTCTCCTTTTAACTTTTTTAAATGTAGTAAACATACTTACTTTGCACTGTGTCTAGTCATTCTAACAGAAGTCATTGATTCTGTTGACTCTTAGTGGTGTCTATTTCATTTTATGTTTTGTGATTTTTCATTTTGATTCCATGTTTCCTGAAACTCTATCTGTAGTATGTTTATGCCTTAGGAGCAGCATTTGTTCATCTTGAAAAAAATTGCCTTTGCTTCTGCCAGACAACTAAAGATCCACTTTAAATTACAATTCCAGGTTAGTGTTGTTTTTTTTTTTTGAACCATGCAAATGGTGTTAATTCAGTCCTCAGACCCAAATGATGACCAGCCATTGTGAATACATTCTTGGGAAAAGTGTTTTAACCTTCAGCCATAGACAGAGCTGAGTCTTGTTGTGTACTTCTGAGGCTTAGAATTTATTCAAATATTCTGATAAAAGAAAAACTTTAGCCTAATTAAATTTAAAGAAGTTTAATTGAGCAATGAATGATTTGCGAATCAGGCAGCCTTCCCACCCAAAGTTTCTGCCCATAGGCAGAAAAAGGAGAGTGACGTATAGAAAATGTAAGTGAGGTACAGAAACAGCTGGATTGGTTACAGCTGAGCATTTGCCTTATTTGAACATGATTCAAACAGTTGGCTACATTTGTTTGGCCAAAACTCAGTGATTAGCACCGGTATAGGCTATGGTCTGTTTACACCTCCACTTGTTATAGTTCATGATGTACAGGAAAACCTTGTTTTTTTGTTTGTTTGTTTGTTTGTTTTGAGATGGAGTCTTGCTCTGTCACCCAGGCTGGAGTGCAGTGGCACAATCTCAGCTCACTGCAACCAGCGCCTCCTGGGTTCAAGTGATTCTCCTGCCTCAGCCTCCTGAGTAGCTGGGATTAGAGGTGCTCCCCTCCACGCCTGGCTAATTTTTGTATTTTTAGTAGAGATGGGGTTTCACCATGTTGGCCAGGCTTGTCTCGAACTCCTGAACTCAAGCGATCTGCCCATCTCAACCTCCCAAAGTGCTGGGATTACAGGCATGAGCCACCACGCCTGGCCCAGAAAAATCTTTAGGCTTAATTTAAAATATGTAGGGAGGCAGCTTTAAGCTGAACTTGATTTAACAATTCCTCCCTTTTGGTCATTTTAATTTTGAGAGATTGACCAAAAGTTCAGTAATTGATGTCACTATCACCATTGGTCTTGAAACCCAGTGGGAAACAATAGAACAATGTTTTGCAAGGTAGAAACAAGGACTGAGTAGAGGGTACCTCTTTATGCTGAAGTGTTGTTTACAGGAGAAAAGCAAACCTGGTTCATTCTGGGACATATGTGTTTCCTTAAAG
This sequence comes from Homo sapiens, assembly GCF_000001405.40. Taxonomy (NCBI): domain Eukaryota; kingdom Metazoa; phylum Chordata; class Mammalia; order Primates; family Hominidae; genus Homo; species Homo sapiens. The sequence continues at coordinate 125,127,919 of NC_000006.12, read as the reverse complement.
TCTTAGGACTTTAAGATTGTGATATTTTCCTGTTGGACAAGGCCTTTTACCATTATATAATGTCCCTCTTTGTCTCTTTTAACTGCTGTTGCTTTAAAGTTTGTTTTGTCTGATATTAGAATAGCTACCCCTGCTTGCTTTTGGTGTCCATTTACATGAAATGCCTTTTTCCACCCCTTTTCTTTAAGTTTATGTGAGTCCTTCTGTGTTAGAAGAGTTTCCTGAAGGCAGCAGATAGTTGATTGGTGAGTTCTTATCCATTCCACGGTTCTATATCTTTTAAGTAGAGCATTTAGGCCATTTACATTCAATGTCCGTATTGAAATGTGAGGTACTGTTGCATTCATCATGCTTTTTCTTGCCTGTGTACTTTGTTTTCATTGTTTTTGTTTTTGCTTTTTAACTTGTAGTTTTGTTTTATAGGTCCTGTGTGATTTATGCTTTAAAGAGGTTCTGTTTTGATGTGTTTCTAGGATTTGTTTCAAGATTTAGAGCTCCTTTTAGCAGTTCTTGAAGTAGCAGCTTGGTAATGTGAATTCTTTCAGCATTTGTTTGTCTGAAAAAAGACTATCTTTCCTTCATATATGATGCTTAGTTTCACTGGATATAAAATTCTTGGCTGATAATTGTTTTGTATGAGGAGGCTAAAGATAGGGCCAAAGGCTAAAGATAGGGCCAAAGGCTTGTAGGGTTTCTGCTGAGAAACCTGCTGTTAATCTGATAAATTTTCCTTTATAGGTTACCTGGTGCTTCTGTCTCACAGCTCTTAAGATTCTTTCCTCCATCTTAACTTTGGATAACCTGATTGTGTCTGGAATTGGTGGGTTCTCGGTCTCACTGACTTCAAGAATGAAGCCACGGACCCTCGCGATGAGTGTTACAGTTCTTAAAGGTGGCGTGTCCGGAGTTTGTTCCTTTGATGTTTGGATGTGTTCCGATTTTCTTCCTTCTGGTGGGTTCGTGGTCTCGCTGGCTCAGGAGTGAAGCTGCGGACCTTCACAGTGAGTGTTACAGCTCTTAAGGCAATGCATCTGGAGTTGTTCATTCCTCCCAGTGGGTTCGTGGTCTCGCTGGCTTCAGGAGCGAAGCTGCAGACCTTTGCGGTGAGTATTACAGCTCATAAAGGCAGTGTGGACCCAAAGAGTGAGCAGCAGCAAGATTTATTGCAAAGAGTGAAAGAACAAAGCTTCCACACTGTGGAAGGGGACCTGAGCGGGTTGCCACTGCTGGCTCGGGCAGCCTGCTTTTTTTCTCTTATCTGGCCCCACCCACATCCTGCTGATTGGTCCATTTTACAGAGAGCCGAGTGGTCTGTTTTGACAGGGCGCTGACTGGTGCGTTTACAATCCCTGAGCTAGACACAAAGGTTCTCCACGTCCCCACTAGATTAGCTAGATACAGAGTGTCGACACAAAGGTTCCCCAAGTCCCCACCAGAGTAGCTAGATACAGAGTGTCGATTGGTGCATTCACAAACCCTGAGCTAGACACAGGGTGCTGATTGGTGTGTTCACAAACCTTGAGCTAGATACAGAGTGCCGATTGGTGTATTGACAATCCCCTAGCTAGACATAAAGGTTCTCCAAGTCCCCACCAGAGTCAGGAGCCCAGCTGGCTTCACCCAGTGGATCCCGCACTGGGGCTGCAGGTGGAGCTGCCTGCCAGTCCCGCGCCCTGCGCCCGCACTCCTCAGCCCTTGGGTGGTCCATGGGAGTGGGCGCTGTGGAGCAGGGGGTGGGGTCAGGGAGGCTTGGGCCACACAGGAGCCCATGGAGTTTTGGGTGAGGCTTAGGCATGGTGGGCTGCAGGTCCCGAGCCCTGCCCCGCGGGGAGGCAGCTAAGGCCCAGCGAGAAATCGAGCGCAGCGCCAGTGGGCCAGCACTGCTGGGGGACCCAGCACACCCTCCGCAGCCGCTGGCCCGGGTGCTAAAGCCCTCATTGCCTGGGGCTGGCAGGGCCCGCCGGCCGGCCACTCCGAGTGCAGGGCCTGCCAAGCCCACACCCACCCGGAACTTGCGCCGGCCCGCAAGCACCACAGGCAGCCCTGGTTCCCACCTGCACCTCTCCCTCCACACCTCCCCATGAGCTGAGGGAGCCAGCTCTGGCCTGGGCCAGCCCAGGAAGGGGCTCCCACAGTGCAGTGGCAGGCTGAAGGGCTCCTCAAGTGCTGCCAAAGTGGGAGCCCGGGCAGAGGAAGTGCTGAGAGTAAGTAAGGTCTGTGAGGGCTACCAGCACACTGTCACCTCGCATGATGACAATGTGCCTAGGCAAAGATCTTTTTACGATTAATTTTCCAGGTGTTGTTTGTTCTTCTTGTATTTGGATGTCTAGATCTCTAGCAATGCTGTGAAAGTGTTCCTTGATTCTTCCCCTAAATATGTTTTCCAAGCTTTTGGAATTCTCTTCTTCGTTAGGAAAACTGATTATTCTTAATTTTGGTAGTTTAACATAATCCCAGACTTCTTGGAGACTTGGTTCATATTTTCTTATTCTTTGTGCTTTGTCTTTGTTGGATTGGGTTAATTCAAAGACCTTGTCTTCGCGTTCTGAATTTCTTTCTTCTACTTGTTCAATTCTATTGCTGAGACTTTCCAGAGCATTTAGCACTTCTAAAAGTGTTTCCAAATTTTCCTGAATGTTTAATTGTTTTTTCTTTAAGCTATCTACTTCCTTGAATATTTCTCCCTTTACTTTTGTATCTTTTTTTTGGATTTCCTCGCATTGGGCTTTGCCTTTCTCTGGTCCCTCCCTGATTAGCTCAATAACTAACCTACTGAATTCTTTTTCAAGTAAATCATGGATTTCTTCTTTGTTTGGATCCATTGCCGGTGAACTAGTATGATGATTTTTTGGGAGTGTTGAAGAGATTTGTTTTGTCATAGTACCAGCGTTGGTTTTCTGGTTCCTTCTCATTTGGGTAGGCTCTGTCAGAGGGAAGGTCTAGGGCTGAAGGCTGTCGTTCAGATTCTTTTGTCCCATGGGGTGTTCCCTTGATGTAGTACTCTCCTCCTTTTCCTATGGATATGGCTTCCTGTGAGCTTAACTTCAGTGATTATTGTCTCTCTTCTGCGTCTAACCACCCAGTGAGTCTATCCGGCTCTGGGCTAGTACTGGAGGATGTCTGCACAGAGTCCTGTGATGTGAACCGTCTCTTAGCCATGGATACCACTGCCTGTTCTGGTGGAGACAATGGTGAGGGGGTGGGAGGCAGTGTGCAATGGACTCCGTGAGGGTTCTTAGCTTTGGTGTTTTAATACTCTATTTTTGTGTTGGTTGGTCTCCTCCCAGGAGGTGGTGCTATCCAGAAAGCATCAGCTGTAGAAGTATAGAGAGGGACCAGCAGTGGGCAGGGCCCTAGAACTCCCATGAGTATATGCCCTTTGTCTTCTGCTACCAGGGTGTATAGGGAAGGACCATCAGGTGGGGGCAGAGCTATACATGTCTGAGCTCAGACTCTCCTTGGGCGGGTCTTGTTGTGGCTGCTGTGGGGGATGAGGATGACTCTCCCTGGTCACTGGAGCTGTGTACCTAGCAGGATTATGGCTGGCTCTGCTGAGTCATGCAGGTTGTCGGGAAGTGGGGGAAAGCTGGCAGCCACAGGCCTCACCCAGCTCCCATGCAAAATGAAGGGCAGTCTCACTCCCACTGTGCTCCCTCCGCAGACAGCCAAGAGTCTGTTTCCAGGCAGAGGGCACAATGGGGTTGAATACTTGCCCCGGGCTACCCACCTCCCAGCTGTGAGAGAAAAGGGCTTGGTTCTCCCCGCAACTTGTGGAGTCTGCACACCAGATTTGCACCCTCCCCCAAGTTCTGGCAAGGAAGCTTCTCTCCGCATTCAAATTGTTACAAAGTTCAGCCAGAGAGTTCCTTCTTCCTGTGTAGTTTTACCCCCTGATCCTCTGGTCACCCACCTGATGGGTCCCTGTGGTGCCAGGCAGGAATGGCCTGCCAGGGGACCCAGCGAGCTCCCAGGGCCTTTCTGCTGCTTCCTCTACCCCTTTATTTCACTTGGCTTTCTAAATTGGCTCAGCTCCAGGTAAGGTCAGAAACTTCTGCAAACAGACCTTCAGCTTCTCCAGTGGGGGTGTGTGTTCAGGAGAGGAGGGTCTCACTTTTCCACTTCTGTAGTTGGGTCCCTCACGGTATTTGGGATGTCTCTTGGGTCCTGTAGGAGCAGTCCACTTCCTTCAGAGGGTCTGCGGGTCCTCTCGGGATTGCTGGTTTGTTCTTGCAGTCAATCCGGAGCCAACATTTACAATGCGAGCTTTCGCAAGCTGCTCGGTCTGGAGCTGCAATCTAGTCCTGCCTCCCATCTGCCATGATGATCTCTCTCCTATCCTATTTAATTTAAAACAATCCTTTAACCCTCTAAACTAGGCAAAAATGTACATTCCCATGTCTTCTTATAATCTTTTACTAAAGGCACATTTCACTTTCTTCACACACCTGGCATGTAAAACTATTTTTTTAGAAGTCTCGAGTACAAGTTATACTGTTAACTCTTAGCAACTTTTGGTGAAAAACCTGGTCAGTAAGCAATTTTAATTATGTATTAGGATTGAGCCTAGGACATCAGACGGAAGTGCAGATAAGGTCTGACTCCTTCCAGCATAGCTAGGGGGCATGGCTAACCCCACACATCCCCAGGCCTTACCTAGCTGTAAAGCAGGCAAGTTGAACAATTTTCAAAAGTGAAAGCAGTTTACAACCTTAAAGCATTTAGTAAACCTAATATCTGACCTGCCTAATTTGGACCAAATGTCTATGTTTTACCAATGATCTTTAAAGCTGTTCTTATTTCCTAAAGATGATTAAAGTCACGTAAACTAAAAGGAATTATAGCTTTTAGTTTTCTTTCAAAATATTTAAGCACTTATTTTTCTTTAAGCCAATTAATTAGAGCTCTTTTATATAAACATTACACACACAACACATATATAACTATACAGACAGAAGATCTAGTGGTTGTAGGATTTTTCATTTGCCAGTTTGTAAGTTTCTTAATTGGATTACTGACTTTAGGGTGGAGTCCTTGGAGGAACAGGGTAGGAAAACAATACAGTTTCTAGGGCCTAATAAGCAGGCACAGTTGGAAGGCAAAAATAGATCTCCAAAATTAAGAGTCTCATTTTTATATCACATCCTGGATCCCCAAAAAGAAGGAAATGCTATGCTTTTACTATACATTTTATTGCAAAGCAACCCGAAGTCAATCAGCCAATCAGTAAAAGACAGTGCAATGCTTTTACTATACATTTTATTGCAAAGCAACCCGAAGTCAATCAGCCAATCAGCCCATTCTGTGATTAACCCATCTCCCATGGGAGTCTTATCTCAGTGAGGAGTGGGGACACTTTCATACTTTCTAGGTGGCCAAGAGCATGCTTCTCTGATCCAAAGGTGCAAAAGCAAAGTATTCCCTCATAACTGCCATTGGCCATTACTAAAGTATATTTCCTACCTAGGTATTGAACACCAAAGCGTTCTCATAATGAGAAGTAATTTCTGATACCCCCCAAAGTAAAAAATGGCAGAGAATGCAATGCAAAACAGAGCAGAGCCTTAAATTTTGAGAGGGGTCTATCTCGTCCCAATTCCTGGGGTTTCATGTGGAAATCAGATGTTCTTCCAAAAACAGGGTTGGTGGTACTTCCTCTGTTTTTCCCATGGAGTCCCAGGCTCCTAGAGCTTGAATACCCACTTTTAATTAAACTGACTTATAACCATAGCACTCTAAAAAAAAAAAAAGTCCTTTTAAATTTATTACTAGACTCTAGCTAAGCCAAATGGTCAATATTTCTGGCTTTTGAACTTTACCAAAGATAACCTCCCAGGTGCTTAGAGAAAGGAAAATTCAACAAGGGAAGCCAGAAGTTGTTCATGGAGGGGAAGAGAATCCACAAATGATAAAGTCACACAGATATCAACCAAAAAGTACTCGTTTCCTAAGCCAGGATTGAACCCAAGCTGCCATTGTAAAATGGCAAAGCCTTAGCTGCTGAGTTACAGCATTGGGCAGTTTCCATTGCCCTTCCCAGAAGGAGTCTACAGCAGTCCATTTTGAGCTTGCAATGGTTTTTAACTACTCAAGATAATTTTTAGAGCTAAGTATGACATTGTTATAAGCAGTTAGACAGGCATGAGCAGGGCAGGAGAGGGCTCTCCCCACCCACTAAGAATGTTGGTTGATGGCTCAGAAATGATCACATGGCCTCTCTAAAAGTGATAAATTGGCAGCCAGCACCAGGGAGAGGCCATCTCCTGATGGTCCACACCTGTTGCATTAAAGTGTTAATTGAATGCAGATGCCAGGGAGAAGCAAAAAGGGGCTTCCAATAAAATCTCAGGTATTTTGCAAGTCAGCCCAGGCATGTGCATTAAGAGACAAAATGGCAGAGTATGATCTTCCGGGTACACTCCACCAGAAAAGGGAAGAAAGCCTCAGATGGTCATGCGTACAACTTGCTAAACACCCTACGCATGCTCACCTCGCAAGTGTAAGGAGGGCCCTGCACATGTGGGCAGCCCACCCTAAGGGAAGAATCATGGGAAAGGGGCCAGCCTATAAGTCCTAGGGTCAAGGCTAAATACCACACTTGATCTCATTGCCCACTTGGGTTTTTTCCAAGCATACCTTCCTTTCTTTCCTTTCCTGTTCTAAAGCCTTTTAAATATAAAACTTCCACTCCTGCTCAAAACTTGCCTCAGTTTCTTTTTCTGCCTTATGTCCCTCAGTCGAATTCGTTTTTCTGAGAAGCAAGAATCGAGGTTGCTGCAGACCCATGGGGATTTGCTGCCAGTAACTTGGATACCTTCCACCGGTAAAAACATGATCTCCAAAATTCCCGTCCTCTGGATGGTGGAGACAAAGAGAAAGTAACCACCACGTGGTTACAAGGTCAAACTCCCAAGAACCTTATTGACCAGTTTTCTGGGCCATCTTGAACAGCAGGGTAACGGGGTCCTAAGCTCGTGTTCTATCCTAAGGCACCCCTCTTTCTGACAGAAAGATACAGAAAGACATTCATAGCACAGAGTACAACAGATTCACTACAGCTCATGACTAGCCTCACAAATCCTTTTTCCCATTAATCAAAATTTTACAGAGGAGATAAACAGTGATTTTTACCATTCATTCAGCCAGTTTGCATAGAGAGAAAGAGGCCAGAAGTCTGACTGGTAAGAAATTCTTACCGTTTTGCTGGCATGTCAGGTTTCTGGGTTCTCTTTCCCTGAGTGGCCTTAGTGACCCTGCTCACCACACCATAGCTCTGGGCGCCAAGCCGTGTCATAAAGGAAAATCTTGGAACCACAGGCAAAAACCTCTCAATTTTGCAAGTTGCTCCCCAACCAGCAGAACTGAATATACATTTTTCATTCCAGCCAGAGCAAAATACATGTGACAAAACATAGACATTAGCCACTCTGCTTAGCACCCAATATCAAATTGGCAAGTCTCAAACTTGGCCCTAGATGGGCCCTGTCATCTTTAATCCATTTAAAGTGGATTAAAAGAGTTTCAACATGTGGTCTCTGGGGAAGATGGTTGCACGGAGTAACAGAAAAGGTAAGAAAGGGAAAAGAGAGAGAGAGAGAGAAAAGCATTGCCTGTGGCAGAGTGGGGAAGGCAGGAGCTCAGGGAAGCCAGAGAAAGACCCACCCATCCCAGCAATGCTGAATCAAAAGTTCAGGCAGTTGCTTGTCAGTCGCAAAGGGATCTTTTCCAGCAGTCCCATCAGCTCTCATGTTTCCCGCTTTGGAAAGAAAAAAAGCTCCCCATGTCCAGTGGTCCTATACATGCCTAATCCTGTCACCCACAGCTGTCAGCAAAAAGTGCAAAGCAAATTTAATTTTTTAAAATCAATTAGTCGCTTAAGTTTTTTATTTGCCTTTTGTAAAGTCTTTAAATAAAAATACTGAAATCTTTTTAGAAGCTTCTGCATATCAATAGCCATGCCTACAGGAGACTAATTTGGGAGCCCTCATTTTCAAACGCACTTTAGTGCAGTTTTATTCATTTGGAACATTCCACTGTAAGTTATCTTTAGTAAGATTTCACTATTACTCTAAGACTTCACTACTTCTGGGGCCTAACACTTACGCATGTATAAGCTGGAGGGAACTCAGTTTTCCAAAAATTAAGGATCCCATTTTTTACCTAAAATATTGGTTTTGTTTCTAGGTTCCCTTGATTGACTTAATTAATGATTTTTTTCCTCCTACCTAAGCACACAAGAAAAGTGGAAAAAAAAAAAAGGTAGAACACAAAAATCCCTTTGAATTTTCAAAAGCCAAATTTTTACACCCCCTGCAATATTACTATTTACCACCAGTTTCTTTCTGACCCAGTCAGATGTGCGAGGCCTCTAACTGGATCCAAGTCAGTTAATTACTGGGTCAAATGTGATCCTGGACCCAGTCCAGTTTCTGTCATGACTTCCAAAACCAGTTTGGATCACAAATTTGCTCAAAGAAACTCAGTGAGCTCAAAACACAAATCCGTGGAGCTCTGAAATGCCAGAGAGAACTTACCACAATCCCCAGCTGCTCCAATAGATCAGTGAACACAAATGGGTCCTGTAGGTACTTCACTTGGTCGCTCAGCGCTCCTGAGGGTCGTTGGAAGCTCTACTTCGGATCCCATCCTCATTGCTATCTAATAAAAGAAAAGCTGGGCCAGGCGCGGTGGCTCAAGCCTGTAATCCCAGCACTTTGGGAGGCCAAGGTGGGCTGATCACAAGGTCAGGAGATCGAGACCATCCTGGTTAACACTGCAAAACCCCGCCTCTACTAAAAATACAAAAAATTAGCCGGGCCTGGTGGCGGGCACCTGTAGTCCCAGCTACTCAGGAGGCTGAGGCAGGAGAATGGCATGAACCCGGGAGGCGGAGGTTGCAGTGAGCTGATATCACGCCACTGCACTCCAGCTTGGGCAACAGAGCTAGACTCTGTCTCAAAAAAAAAAAAAAAAAAAAAAAGAAAGAAAAAGAAAAGCTTCAGCCAAATTGTTACAATTGTTAACTAATTTAATGAATGATTCATGAATTGGGCAGCCTTCACAGCCAGAGTAGTCTCTGAGACTCCAGAGCAGCCACATGGTAGATTTATGGACAGAAAAAGGAAAGTGACATGTAGAAAATTGAAGAGAGGTAAAGAAACAGCTGGATTGGTTATAGCTCAGTGTTTGCTTTATTTGAACAGGTTCGAACAGTTGGCTACATTTGACTGGCCAGAACTCGGTGATTGGCACAGGTGTAGGCTATGGTCTGTTTATACCTTCACTTGTTATAGTTCAAGATGTATAGAAACACCTTTAGGCCTGACTTAAAATATGTAGGAAGGAAGCTTTATGCTAAACTTGATTTAACAATTCCTTTATCTGAGGTTATAGTTCTTTTTGAGTTGAAACTTTATTAAGGATATTCTCCCATTTGGCTTTTCACCCTTTGTAATTCCAAGACTTCGCCGCCCCCCTTATTTCTCTCTTCATGGAAATAGGAAACTCTGTATGCCTCCAAGGATCCTTCTTTCTCCAGATACCCGCTGACAGTTCTCTCGGTCCTCATATTTACTTTACTATTTTTTAGTTATCTCTTTTTATGAAAAGTATATTTAACATTTTCAACAATTTAAGTATATATACATTTGTATTTAGTGGAATGGTATCAGGCTGTCTAGTCTATCATATTGTCAGAATTAAAGAATTTAAAATGTTCATTTATAAAATTCAAATTTACTATACTAATATAATATTTTCTCATTCCTAGTTTTTCCTTTCTTATTCTCTAGACATTGAAGAAGTAATAGTTGTTATCTTCAAATCTTACCCTATGGAACTAGGATGCACTGAAAGAGGAACAAAGCAGACACACATCGCCTTGGCGTGTTAATGAGGTGTCAATACAGCTCTTTGCCAAGAATAACTCCTGACTTAAGATGATGCTTGAAATCTTCCTGTGAGTCACTATTCTGGGTACCTTGAAGACAGTTGTTAAAAACCAAATATGTTCTTACAAATTGGTGATATATTAATTCATTGTCATACGTTAATGCATGTTTTGTATAAATTTATGGGATACAAATGCAATTTTGTACATGCATAGATTGTGTAGTGGTCAACTCAAAGGTTTGTATAGCATCCATCACCTGAATAACATATATTTACTCATTAAGTAATTTCTCATTTTCTACCCTCCTTTTCACACCCCCATATGCTAATACCTCAAAAAAAGAATTAAGGACTTGAATTTGGTAAGTTGGATTGAGAAAAATAAAAATAGTGTGTCATTTCAAAGTGAAGGTTCATTTGGAGTGTCTAGAGAATAGAATTTATTGAAAGCAAGAAAGATGGTTCCAAAGAGTGTTCGAGGAATGTTAAAAAAAAACTTTTGAGATATCTTTCATCATTTATAATATGATGGTTATAATTGTAAAAAATTTACAAATGTTAAGGATGATGATTGGGATTTCAAAAATTTAAGAATCAGTATGTTTAATAACAATATCAAGCAGTATTCAAGAACAAGTAAGTAGACTTCGAGCAAGACGTCATGCCATCAAATCTGTGCAGTGAGATGGTTGATGGGGAGAAGGAAAGGCTTTCTAAGGAGTTGGAAAAAAGTATGAGACAGAAACAAGAATGGCAGAGGTGGAGGAAGGCTGGTTAATAAGGCCAGCCCCACTGAAATGAGGGGTTAATTCTGAGAATTAATTATAGATAAGGTTGGATAGGTATGTGGGTAAGTGGAACCCACGGAGAATCTGGAAAGCCTGATGGTTCTATTACCAATAGTATTAGAAGTTATGTTCCAATTTTCATTTTGAAAGGAAAAACCAAAGTAATTATACTAGTTTAAGTAAATATTAGCAATTTTATTTTGACTGTGCTAAAATAATCATCATATACACACACGCATACACATTTGTGTGTGTGTGTGTGTGTGTGAGTGTGTGTTTGTAACGTCTCTTTGGAGGTTGGTATTATTATCCCCATCTTACAGATGAAGAAACTGAGTCTTAGATTATTTGACTGGCTTGGATCAAACAGCTAATAACAGTGGAGATGGGACATAAATCCAGATTAACTCCTCAGCCTTCGTTCTTAACCATTATGCCACATTGCCTCCAATTTCTAGTTTTCTTTCTCTCCATTCCTGGAAACACTTAAATAATTACTATCACAGTGCATCCTATAAAAAACATTAGCGAATATTCAGTGAAAATACAAATTAACAACCAAGGTTGGTGGATTAAATTTACTTGAAGTCAATGTTGCACCATATTGGTGGACAAACTTGCAAAAAGAAAAAATATGCAACTTCCTCTTAAATATATTGACCTCCATCTATACCAGAATGCTTTATTTTCTGCATATCTAATGATATCTGTTAAACAATCATCTGTTTTTTCAGAGGAGGAAGAAAAGGGCTGCTCTATTCATGAGCTGGGTGAACAGTTTAAAGCATTCACTAGAAAAATGAAGAAAATTAACACAATTTGACAAGCTGTAGGAACTTTCATGCGATGTGACATTTTAAACCAGTTCAGTAAGGAAAATACATAATTATTCCTCATAACTGTCACATGAATATAGCAGCCACTCTAAATGCTGGTGAAGAAAATCAATCTGAGAGCAAACAAGATCCATCAAACTGCTTGCATAATTCAATGGCCTGTAGAAAAAAGTATTCTTCCCTTTTGACTCAAATATTAAAGGAATTGTGCTTTCTACCTTATTATCTCTTCTCCATCCTCCTCTCCCTATTTCTAGCTTACCTGCACTAACACACATACACACACACACACACACACATTCACTCCCTCATCTGGTTTCAATAACTCACAATGATAATAGTCACAGTTGATTTCAACAATTCATAAGCTAGAGTGCTCCACCTAGATCTATTGTTTTCAATAAAAGCAGCAGAATATTGACATACATTATTTATTTATAATAATTATAGTTATTATATTCTGTAATTTATGCATTGTTGTGGAGCATTTATTATGTTTGATTCTATCATCACAATTCTCTATTTGCTATTACTCAAATTTGCTTAATGTTGTACTAATTTCTCCTTGGCATGTAATATTTATGTATCTTTCTATGAAGTCTGTCAGTTCTTTTTGTCTCTTGGGTAGTATCATTTCTTCCAACAAGGACCATTGCTTTATTTAATGAGTCTGTTTTTTGAAGAGCATAAACTACTGCCCTTGAATGTACTATACCCTAAATCTGTTTTTATGTTCTCATAGTTTAAAATTCATGATATACACAGTGAGTGTATTACATTTTCTACATGTGGATTAGGGGTGATCCAGCCATCATCTAGTTTATTTGGCAGCCTCTAGTTTTTTCCCCCTGAAAATCACAACCATATTGTTATCCATGATCTAATAATGTTATTACTATCACAAATCTAATCATGTTATTACTATCTTCATAAATTAAAAAAAACTCTCCATAACCCAAGGGCATTTCTCAAAATTTTATCTACCTGATGTTATCTATATTGCTTCTAAAATAAATAAAACAAATCAGATAACATTTTAAAAAGTAAACAGATTTCAAGATCAAACACATTGTGAAATATTCATATTATCACTCCCTCTTATAATTTTATTATATTATAACAATTTCTATAATAAAAACAAAATTCTGCTTAATTTGGATTAACTCAGCATTTCCCAAAGTTGACTACACACACACACACACACACACACACACACAAACACACACACCACAAATACACATATTTCAATGGTGGTGGGAATATTTCTTAAAATTTCATGAGCCTCTATTTTTGTGGAAATGATGAATCTACAGTAAGCAAATCCACAGTCTTCTGCATGACACAAGAGGCCTTGCCCAGTGGGGCCACTGCCCACTTCTCTCCCTGCATTGCCATGATGTGCCAACGAATGATGTGCCAATCATTCATTGCACTCTGGGGTCCAGCCATTTATAACAAATTGCAGTTTCCCCAAGAGGCAAGTGTTTCCACAACTCTTTGCATTCACATATACTTTAGTCTCTCTTGGGAAAGTTCTTTGTCTCCTTGCCTATCAAACTAACTTCTCATCATTCTTGCTTCCATTTTGAAAAATAACTTTTTTGTGACAGCTTCCCTGACCCCTTATACCATAAAACCTATTTATATAAAATTAGCTTTTCCAAAGTGTTGTATGAGGTATGATTCTAGTTGGTACTCAAATGAAGAATTTTTTATGTTAATAGTTATGTATTTATTTTAGCATGTATTAAAAACATACTGGTTTTCTATCATAATGATTAAAATTAGCTTGTGTAATACATTGAGTTTATCTTAAGAAGTAAGCCAACTTAAATAGAAATTTAAAATAAAAACAGCTTATTTGGATATGGCAAAATAGCATGTAAATGATCATCACTAACTGATTACATTATTAACACTTATCAACTGATTCAAAATTGCAGGGCCCATGATGAACATCAGAGGGCGCCAAATCATAAACACTTTAAGACATAAGCATGTTAAAGATGACTTTATTTCAATGGTAAATTCAATGATGATAATAGCTATCATTTCTTGATTAGCTATTTTGTTTTAAGCACTTTGTTAGGCAATTTACATATATAAACTCATTTTCTTCTCACAATATTTATTAAAAGTAACTATTATTATCTCCATTCTATAAATGAGATTATTTCAGATAATAACAATGTTTCATTGTTTTGTTTTTGTTTCGATTTGTTTTTTGCATTTAACATTGTTCAATGCACTGTGCTAAGACATCGACGTAAATGACCTCAGTTATAATCTGCAGTAACCCTGTGAGTTATGGTATATTGCATTCCTTGTTTGTAGATGAAGACACTGAAGCTTAGAGAGATGAATTAATTTGCTCAAAAGTACATGGTAAGGCAGTTATTCATGGAGATAATTATGTCTGAAGCTAAATCCTCATATTTTACTAAGGCAAATGACCTTTCAAGGATCTCAGAATAAATTCTCTCCCTTTATCTCTTTCTGCATCTTCATGTGCATTAAATACATAACATCTGAGGGTGACATCAGCAAGATGGCCAATTAGAGTTACCTGGATTTCATCCTCCCCACAGAAAGGAAAAAAACAATGAATAAACAACTATATTTCAACTAGAGTGACTGAGGAAGAAAGCTGAGAGCACCAGGGGAACAGCAACAACTCTGTGGAGTACAAAAACCCAGAAGAGTACCATAGAGAGGAAAGCAAGGCATCCTCCCTCTGCCACACTGTCTGCCACACTGTCTCCCACACAGAGATCAACTGGGAGTCAGAGGGAACTTCTTTCTACAAGGAAAAGGTGAGCTGGAGAACCCTAGTGGCCTCCATTGCTTCCACATATGCTCACAGTCCTTGCTACAGGAGAGCACCTCAGTTCTCACAGGCTCTGAATCAAGTCTGCAGTGTAGCTGGGAGTCTGCGCAGCTGCACTATTTCATAGTAAGACCCTTCTTGAGCATGCCCCTCCACCACAACCTACACTGTTATAGTTTGGTGCCATCTTGAAACTGGGACTACTATTAGAGTGTGTCCTGCTCTATGGTCACTAGCAACTGATTCCATTGCTGAGGCCCTGCTGTTGTGCCACTGTGTTCACACAAGGGCCTGCAACACCATGGTTCCAGCTGTCTAGAGTACAAACCAGATGGAATGGCCAAGAACCCAGCATATGAACCCATACAGCATATCACCCCCTCCAGAGAACAGGTGGAACTGCATACAGGAGAAGCTGCTGAACAGCCTATCAGCCACTAGGCCTGCACACACCCACACTGCACAGCTAGCAGATCCAGCAAGCTTTGTGGGCTCCCACCTGGCCTGACAGCTGGTCCTGTGGCAGCCTGACCTGCAGGATATACTGCTGCATCCTGCCCAGCTCCACTGTGCCCATGAATACCCATGCACAGCCTGACAACTGGTTCTGCAGTAACCTCATCCCTCTGGACAAGCTACCACAGAGCTACCTGGTCTTGAATGCACCCAATGCACCCACTAGCACCCCTACCTGGCCTCTTACCGCAGGTCTGGGAGTAACCCTGCCCCCTGAACAGACCACTGCATAACCGCCTGGCCCCATTGAACCCATGAGTGCCCATGCCTGGCCTCTGACGGCCAGCCAAGCAGCTGCCACTGCTTCCTCAAAGAGCCCACTGAACTACCTGTCAATCCTCCACAAATATATTTTTCTGGCTCAACATCCAGCCTGGTGCCCCCATCTTCAGCAAAACCACACCATCACAAACACCAGCAGCCTAGGCCATTGAGGCAATCACAGACATATCTGACAAGGATTACAATGGAAGAAACTACACAGAGACCACACTCCCGAGTTCACGCAGAACCAAATCCAACTCTACAGCCAACCAGCATCCTAAAACCCACTTAAAGGAAAAAGTTTCTCACTCAAAAGCTACTTCAAAAAACTGGAAAAAGTGACTTTTATAGTAGATTTGCAGATATCAATATAGAAACACAAGAAACATGAAAAAGGAAGAAAATATGACACTCCCAAAACTCAAATAGGCCTCAAGTAACAGATCCCAAAGAAAAAGACATTTATGAAATATCTGAGAAGGGATTCAAAATAATCTTAAGGAAACTCAGTAAGATAGAAGAGAACACAGGCACACAATTCAATGGAATTAAGAAAACAATTTATGGCCAGGTGCAGTGGCTCATGTCTGTAATCCCCATACTTTGGGAAGCTGAGGCAGGTGGATAACTTGAGGTCAGGAGTTTGAGTCAGGCTTGGCCAACATGGTGAAACCCCACCTCTACTAAAAATACAAAAATTAGCCAGATGTGGTGGCACATGCCTGTAATCCCAGCTACTTGGGAGCTGAGGCAGAAGAACTGCTTGAACCTGGGAGGCAGAGGTTGCAGTAAGCCAAGATCACACCAATGCACTCCAGCCTGGGTGACAGAGTGAGGCACAGTCTCAAAAAAATTTTTATGATCTGAAAGAGAAATCCAACAAAGAGATAAATATGAAAAAGAATCAAACAAGTCTTGGAGCTAAATAATTCAATAAATGAATAAAAAATATAATCGAGAGCTTCAACAACAGGTTAGATCAAGAAGGAGACATACTTTTTGAACTTGAAGACAGACCTTTTGAAATAAGCCAGTCAGTGGACAAAAAAAAAGTAAAGAAGAGTGAATAAAGTCTATGAGACTTACGACACATCATTAACTGCACAAATATTTGCATTATAGATACGCCAAGGAAGAAGAGATGGAGAAAGGCACAAAATCCTGTTTAAAGAAATAATAACTGAAAACTTCTCCCAAGTATTGGAAAAGATATGGACATCCAGATTCAGGAAGCTCAAGAGTTTCCAAATAGATTCAACCCAAAAAGATCCTCTCCAAGGCACATTATAGTGAAACAAAGACAAAGAGCAAATTCTAAAAGCTGCAGGAGAAAAATGTCAAGTCACATATAAGGGAATCCCCATGAGACTATCAGCAGATTTCTTAGCAGAAACCTTGTAGGTCAAGAGAGAATGAGTCATATTTTCAAAGTGCTGAAAGAAAAAAAGAAAGTCAGCCAGTAACACTACGTCCAGAAAAGAAGAGGGAACTCATCACCACTAGACCAGTGTCTTAGTCCATTTGCATTGCCATAAAGAAATACCTGGGGCTGGGTAATTTGTAGAGAAAAGGGTTTATTTGTCTCAGAGCTCTGCAGACTATACAAGAAGTGTGGTGCCAGAATCTGCTTCTGGTAAGGGATTCAGGGAGCTTCCACTCAGGGCAGAAGGTGAAGGGAAGTTAGTGTGTTACATGATGAGGGTGGGACCAAGAGAGAAGAGAAGGTGCCAGATGGTTTTTGACAATTAGATCTCCTGAAAACTAAGAGTGACAACTCGCTCATTATTGGGGAAATGGCATCAAGCCATTCATAAAAGATCCAGCCCCATGACCTAAACACCTCCCACAAGGCCCCACATCCAACATTGGGGATCAAATTTCAACAGGATATGTGGAGGGGAAAAATATCCAAAATATGTCAACCAGACTTACAAAAAATTCTTAACAGAGTGTTACAACTAAAGTGAAACAACAATAATCACTGTCATAAAACCTAAAAGTATAAAACTCAGGACTAGGATAAACTCATAAATCAAACTCAGATTACCCCAGTTATGTAATGGTGCTATGTAAATCTTTTAACCCTCTAGTATGAAAGTTTGAAGCCAAATGGTCAAAAAAAACAACAGCTACTATTAGTAGCTAAGGGACACATAACAGATGAAGAAATACATTAAAGCAACAAATGTAAATTATTTGGGAGAGGGAGAGGGAGAAGGAGAGGGGAGGAAGTGTAGAGTATTATTATATGACCACAGTTAAGTTTCTAATAAGCTTAAAATAGTCTATTATATCTACAAGACTCTTTGTGTTACTCTATGGTAACTACAAAGAAAGAAATTACAGCACATACACAAATGAGAGAGAGAAAGGAAACAAAGTTTAACACTACAAAAAAACAAACCAAGCAGTAAACAAAAAGAGAATAGATCTACAAAACAACCAGAAACAATTAAGGAAATTGTGAAAGTCCTTATCTATCAATAATAACTTTGAATGTAAAGGAATTAAATTATCCATTTAAAAGATATTGAGTGATTGAATGGATAAAGAAACAAGACCCAACTATATGCTGCCTAAAAGAGACTAATCTCATCTTGAAAGACAAACATTGGTTGAAAATGAAAGAATAGGGAAAGATATTTCATGCAAACAGAAAGCAAAAGCAAGCAGAAGTAGCTATATTTACATCAGATAAAATAGACTTTAAGACAAAAACTATAAAAAGCGACAAGGTCATTATATAATGATAAAGGAATCAGTTTAACAAGAGGATATAACAATTATATCTATATATGCACCCAACACCAGAACACACAAATATGTAAAGCAAATATTATTAGATCTGAAGGGAGAGATACAGTGTAATACAGTAATAGGGGACTTCAACACCTCACTCTGAACAATGAACAGATTATCTAGATGGAAAATCAATAATCAATAAAGAAATATCAGATTTGAACTACCTTAGACTAAATTAACCTAACAGATATTTACAGAACATTTTATCTAACAGCTGCAGAATACATGTTCTTCTCAACTGTACATGGAACATTCTTCAGGATAGATCATATATTAGGCCACAAAACAAGTCTTAACAAATTTAAGAAGATAGAGATCATATCAAGCATCTTTTTGAACCACAACGGTGTAAAACTAGAAATCAACAAAAGAAACTTCAGAAACATTACAAATACATGAAAATTAAACAATATGCTCCTAAATAACCAACGGGTCAATGAAGAAATAAGGGGAAATCTACAAATTCTTCGAAACAGATGAGAATGATGAGCACATCATACCAAAATCAATGGAACACAGCAAAAACAGTTCTAAGACAGAAATGCACAGCAACAAATGGCCACATCAAAAAGAAGAAATATTCCTAATTAACAACCAAATCATGAACCTCAAAAAACTAGAAAAGTAAGAACAAATTATATTTCTTTCAAATTAAGTTGAAAGAAGGGAGGAAATAATAAAGCTCAAGGCAGAAATGAATGAAATAGAGACTAAGAAAATTCAAAAGATCAATGAAATTGATATGGTTAAGCTTTGTGTCCCGTCCCAAACCTCATCTTTAATTATTATCTCGTGTCGAGGGAGGAACCTGGTGGGAGGTGATTGGATCATGGGGGCAGTTTCCCCCATGCTGTTCTCATAATAGTGAGTGAGTTCTCATGAGATCTGATGGTTGTATAAGTGTTTGGCAAGTTCTTCCTTTGCTCACTCTCTCTCTCCTGCTGCCTTGTGAAGAAGGTCCCTGCTTCCCCTTCTTCCATGATTGTAAGTTTCCTGAGGCCTCCCCAGCCATGCAGGACTATGAGTCAATTAAACCTCCTTTTTAAATAAATTACCTGGTCTCAGGTAATATCTTTATAGCAGTGTGAGAATGAACTAAAACAGAAATGAACGGTTGGTGTTTTAAAAGATAAACAACATCAACAAACTTTTTAACTACACTAGCCAACACAAAAAAAGAAAAGATACAAATAAAATCAGAAATGAAAAGGGGATATTACAACTGATATCACAGAAATAGAAAGGATCATAAGAGACTATTATGAACTACTATATACCAACAAATTTGAGAACATAGAATATGTGAATAAATTCCTGGACAATACGGCCTACCAAGATTAAATTATGAAGAAATAGAAAATACGAACAAACCAATAGTTAAGTGAGGAAATTGAATCAGTAGTAAAAAGTCTTCTATCCAAAAGAAAAAAAAATCTAGACTTGTGTCTTCTCTGCTGAATTCTACCAACCATTTAAAGAAGAACTACCAGCCTGAGCAACAAAGCAAGACCTGTTTCTACAAACATAAAAAAATAAATAAAAATAAAGCTTAGCCAGCTATGGTGGTGGATGCCTATAGTCCTAGCTACTTGAGAGGCTAGGGTAGGAGGATTGTTTGAGCCCAGAAGTTTAAAGGTGCAATGAGCCATGATCACACCACTGCACTCCAGCCAGGGCAACAGAGTGAGCTCATATCTAAACAAATAAATAAATCAATTTTATGAGGCCAGCATTACCCTGGTTTCAAAATCGGACAAAAACAAAACAAAAATGAAAACTGAAGGCCAATATCCTGGATGAACATAGAGGCAAAAATTCTCAACAAGATAGTAGTAAAACAAATTCAACTGCACATCAAAAAGATAATTCCCTATGAGTAAGTGGGATTCATCTAAGGTTGCAAGGATGATTCAACATATGCAAATCGATAACCATGATACATCACATTAACAAAAAGAAAGACAAAACCTATATGGTCATTTCAACAGATGCAAAAAAAGCAGTTGACAAAAATCAACATACTTTATGAATAAAACTCTCAACAAATTAGGCACAGAAGGTGTGTATCGTAACACAATAAAGGCCATATATAACAAACTCACAGCTAACATCATACTGAATGAGGGAAAAGCTGAAAACTTTTTCTCTAAGACCAGGAACAAGACAAAGATTCCCATTTTCACCACTTCTGTACAACATATTAATAGTACTGGAAGTATTAGCCAGAATAATTGGGCAAAAGAAAGAAATGAAAAACATCCAAGTTGGAAAAGAGGAAGTATATCCTCTTTGCATATGACATATCTTACATACAGAAATACTCCACCAAATACTGTCAGTATTGATGACTACAGTACTCCTAAATACTCTACCAAAAACCTGTTAGAATTAATAAACAAATTTATTAACATTGCAGGATACGAAATCAAAATACAAAAATGAGTAGTGTTTATATATGCTAATAGCCAACTGTCAAAAAGAAATCAAGAAAGCAATTCCATTTACAATAGCAATGAAAAATAATATATCTAAGAATAAACTTAACCAATGGGTAAAAGATCTCTACTTGGAAAATTATAAACATCGATTAAATAAATTGAAGAAGACACAAATAAATAGAAAGATAACTAACCTGCGTTCGTGGACTGGAAGAATTAATGTTGTTAAAGTAGTCATACTACCTAAAGAAGCGGGCAGTATGAGTTCCTCTGTATGTGTCTGTGTTCTAATCTCCTCTTCTACACCAGTCCTTTTGAATTAGGGCCTAATACGATGACCTCATTTTAACTTTATTGCCTCTTTAAAGACTACACATCCAAACACAGTTACATTCTGAGATACTACAAGTTAGAACTACAACATTTGAATTGTAGGAGGACACAATTCATCTGTAACAAGTGGTAAGAACTGTAATATGACTATTACATAAGCTAGCTTCCATTTTTCCTCCCTACTTAATCTATGGATTGGCAGGTGGTGGCATTAACATTGTGCTCATATTTTACATCTGTTTCTTCACAGAAGGGCTCCTAAGGATAGTTTCACTTTTGGAACCAGGAAATTATTTTTTAAATTTAATCTACTTTTATCATTTATTTTACCAAAATACAATTTTAAAATAAAACATACCTTTAATATGTATGTCTATATATGGGTACAGGCATGTACATATATGTACATATACATATAGATACATACACTCACACCACCCATTGTACTGGGAGAGCAGCTTACTCTGATACCCTTACTCTACCCAAAACAAGATAAAACCTCAAAAAAACAAAACCATCTGGGCCAGATGCAGGGGCTCATGCCTGTAATCCCAGCAGTTTGGGAGGCTGAGGCAGGTAGATTGTTTGAGGCCAGGAGTTCAAGACCAGCCTAGGCAACATGGCAAAACACCATCTATACTAAAAATACAAAAATTAGCCTGGTGTGGTGGTGCACACCTGTGGTCCCAGCCACTCTGGTGGCTGAGCTATAAGAATCGCTTGAACCCAGGAGGCGGAGGTTGCAGTGAGCCATGATCACAGCACTGCACTCCAGCCTGGGTGACAGAGAGAGACTCTGTCTCAAAACTAACAAACAAACAACAACAACAAAAGGCAACCCTCTGGTTTGCACAGTTGGCCAGTTTTAGAAGTGTACTCTCATCTTTGCCAATTTCAAACTGCCAACTTGATGTTACTGAACATAGTCTAGAAGAGACTCTCATAGTCGACTCTCACAAACCGACAGAAGCAAGCTCTAGAACATACACATACACACG
This sequence comes from Homo sapiens, assembly GCF_000001405.40. NCBI lineage: Eukaryota > Metazoa > Chordata > Mammalia > Primates > Hominidae > Homo > Homo sapiens. The sequence continues at coordinate 125,106,229 of NC_000006.12, read as the reverse complement.
ACTTATGTCTGGGGTGTGTGTGCACGCGTGTGTGTGTGTATGTGTGTGTGTATATGTGTGTATGTGTGTGTGTGTATTGGAGGCTAATGTAATTATTTTGCCTAAAATGTCTACAAAATTGTCTTATGGTCCAGGCATAGTGGCTTACACCTGTAATTCCAGCACTTTGGGAGGCTGGAGCTGGAGAATCACTGGAGACCACGAGTTTGAGACCACTCTGAGCAACATAGCAAGACTCTGTCTTTACAAAACCTAAAAAAATTAGTTGGGGTTGGTGGTGCATGCCTATAGTCTCAGCTACGTGAGAGGCTGAGGAGAGAGGATTACTTGGGTCCAGGAATTCAAGGCTGCAGTGAGCTATGATTGCATCACTGGACTCCAGTCTGGGCTACAGGGGGAGACCCTGTCTCAAAAAAAAAAAAAAAAAAAGCCATATTTACCTTTATTGTTATACTTATCCCAACCACCCTGTATTGATACCTCCTAGTTCCATCCTTTTACTTCAGCCATATAGAGGCAATCAGTTGCTAGCAAGTGTAATCAGTCAACACCTTTCCTCAGATTTCTGGTTACCTTATGGTTACCTATAGCTTTAAACACATTTGTTCAGCCTTAAAGAAATTTTTGGGTTGAAGATTTGGAGTCTTTTTTTTTTTTTTGGTTTAAGAATAACAGCACCAGCCGGGCGCGGTGGCTCACGCCTGTAATCCCAGCACTTTGGGAGGCTGAGGCAGGCAGATCACCTGAGGTTGGTAGTTCAAGACCAGCCTGACCAAAATGGAAAAACCCTGTCTCTACTAAAAATACAAAATTAGCTGGGCATGGTGGCACATGCCTGTAATCCCAGCTACTTGGGAGGCTGAGGCAGGAGAATCGCTTGAAACTGGGAGGCAGAGGTTGCAGTGAGGGGAGATCGTGCCATTGCACTCCAGCCCGGGCAACAAGAGTGAAATTCCATCTCAAAAAAAAAAAAGAATAACAGCACCAAGTTAAGTTGGACTGTTCATCTGGGATAGGTTTCAGATGAACATTTGATTGCCTTTACTACTTCTCACTTCTGTTCCTGGACATATGCCTAATAATTAGATTATTGCTATTTTCCAGGTCTTTGTATTTTATCTGTGGGGAATATAAGCAGTAAGAAAAATGTTCATCAGGGCTCTTAGCAAAGATCAAAGAGGTATTTGAAAGTGTTTTCTAATAATCTGGTAATTGTTTAACAACATGTGAAGTGTTCCAATAGAAACTTCTTATTGCCTCCAGTGGACTTAAAAAAATCAGATTCTGCTTTCTTTTTATTTTCATAGTTACTATTAGTCTAATACTGAGTTAAGTTTGAATGCAAAGTAATAGAATATGAGAACAATTGGATCAACCAATCCTCTTTAAAATGCTTTTCATTTAACAAAATGCCATCAGCATTTAGCCACACAGCAGATTTAATACCCAGTCACTGTGAAGCAACTCAGAGAATAATGGAATGATTTGGAGTGCCGCTGGTGGTTACAGGAAATTTTACAGTGATGTGTTTGGTGTTTAGCTCACAGATTTCTTCCTCAGAAGACTGAATGGTTCTAGCAATGAGCTAGCAACATGACTCCACAAGTTCTTTGAGAAGCCTTTATTCGTGTTGCACAGGATTTCGGCTTCTGGCCTCCTGGAGTTAATTGCAGCCACCAGTCTTTCCTGCAGAGCCAGCTGCTTTTTATGGTCAGAGGAGATAAACAGAGGCTCAATAGGAGATCTATTTCTAGGCATTGAAAGGGCCTCTGTGCCGCTGGTTGAGGGGAAAATCATCCAATCTCCCTCATGAAATGCCTGGACCATTTCTTGGGGCTGTCCTCCTTAAACTGGCACTTCCTGTACCCAGTTTAAATAGTAGATAGGCTAAAAAATATAAGCCTTAAAAAGTCTTAAGGTATGAAATCATGTCTAACTGAGCAAAACAACATTCAAAGTTGGCAAGCTAATATGTGTTCATTCAATGTTGAATTAATGGCCAGTATGGGAAGCATATTAATTGGGGGCGGGGGGGAAAAAAATCACAATTATAACCCAGCAGTTGTCAATAACATTTTCTGGGTTAAGAGTGATTTGCTTGAGGGAAGGGGGAAGGGAGTTTCCATTCATTGAATACTACTTTGGGCTTCCTACACGAACGGTATCCAAAGTACACTTATTCCCATTTTATAGTTGTTAAAGCAAAATTTAACTTTATAAAATTGTAAAAGAGGATTATAATTGCTGTAGTTTGATTTTATTGCATATTATTGGTTATATAATATGGTATAAGTATATGAGAGAGCTGGTTCCCCTCATAGTCAAGGGAAGGAAATTTGGCTCCAGGGTTGAGCACCTGGTCCGAGGCTGCAGCACCCAGGAGGAGGCACAGAAACCAGGTTTTTCGACTCCTGAATCAATGCTCATTTCACTACCCAGACCACCTTATTTATATGATGGAAGTTTCTTGATTAGGAAGCAAGTCAATAACAAAACCCCTAGTTTCAGTTGTAGCATTAAGAATAAATATCTTCTTTCACAATGATTTTTATTTCTGAAAAGAAATAGCCTTCTGTCAAGAAACAATGCACTTTTAAGATATTTTTCACTATTACCAATTGATTACATAAAAATGCATACTGTAGAAGGAGATAGAACGATTTGATTCCAGCTCTAGGAAATAAATGTGCTGCTCAAATGATTTTCTAATAAGATAGCATCTGCTTATATTGCTATTTAAAAACTATTTAGGTCCATTTAAATTAGTTAGAATCACCTTCACAAATAGGAGTGTGCCTTTAAATTCAATGCATTACATATGGAAATAGGTTCTCTAAGGTTTACAGACTTTTGAATTTTAGTGTAAGATGTTGTCGCCTTTGTTCTGTAATAAAAACACACACATTTTCTAGAAGGAAAACTCTGCCTGTATCAAATTGGTTGTATGTCCCCTGCATCCTAAAACCAGATTATTCCGAGGAACAGTGGATGTGGAGTGGGTTTTCTACCATGGAAGGCTGGGGTGCTCCCTGGACTGTGCTGTGGCCTGTCCTAGGGCCCCTGCTATTGTTGGGTTGGCTGTCCCAATCCTCCAGGGAAGTCCATATAGGGAAGAAGGGAATGTGTTCTTTCATTCCTTCAAAAATATTTGTTGAGTCATTGATTACTATGTGTTAGACACTGTTCTAGTTACGGAAGCAGCACATACCAGACATTTTAAAGTCCCAACAACCCTTTCCCATAGGTCTATTATAATTTTATAGATGAAGAATCTGACATACAAAGAGATTAAGTAACTTGCCCCAGGTCCCTGAGCTAAAAGGTAGTAAAAACTGGAGCCTAAATTTGTATGGGCCCAATGTCTATGTTCTTTCTATCATGTCTAGTGTACATGTGTATATATATATATGTGTGTATATATATATACACACACATACACACACACATATATGTACACACACACTTATATATATCACATTTAGGACATACTTATACTAAAAATTACTGCTTGTCTATCTGAAATTAAAATTTAACTGAGTGTATTATATTTAATTGGGCAACCCCTTGGAAGTGTTTTTCAGGGCCAGCAATGAGGCAACAGGATATTATCACGTTTCCCTTATTTCTTTCCTTTGCATGTTTCAAAGTAAATTGCATACACACAGAAATTCAAAGACGCTTTAAGAAATCTTTTGCTCAAGAAGAACAGTATTTTGTTTTGAAGGATGTAATTGAAACGAGGAAACTAGGAAAGCATGCAGCTTTCCTTCCTTTTTTTTCCCTTTTCCTTCCTCTCTCTTTTCTGTTATTACTCTCTTTCTTTTCTTTTACTTTTTACTTCCTTTCTTCCTTCTCCCTTTGTAGAGCACATATTAAGGGCCAGGACTTGTGCCCTGTTGGGGATAATTGTCCCTGCCTTGAAGGAACACAAAGACCTGAAGGAAACTGTGAAAAGTGCTGTAATAGGTTGAATGGTGTCTTCCCAAAAGTTAATGTCCTCTTGGAACCTCAGAATGTGACTTTATTTGAAATAGGGTGTTTGTGGATGTAATTGTAGTATTTAAGTGAAGGTCTGTATTCCTTTGTTAGGGCTGTCATAACAAGGTACCACAGACCTGGAGTGGGAGGGACTTAAACAATAGAAAGTTATTTTCTCACAGTTCTGGAGGCTAGAAGTCTAAGATCAAGGTGTAAACAGGGTTGATTTCCTCTGAGGCCTCTCTCCTTGGCTTGCAGTTGGCCATCTTTTCTTTATGTCTTCAGCATGAACTTTCCTCTGTGTATGCCTGTGTCCCAATCTCCTCTTATGAGGATGCCAGTCATATTGGGTTAGGGCCCACCCGTATGACCTCATTCTACCTTACTTAGTTCCCTGTGTCAAGATTCTATCTCCAAATACAGTCACAGCCTGAGGCTGTGGGGATTAGGACTTCAACATATGAATTTAGAGAGAACACATTTCTGCCCCAAAGATGACACTGGATAAGGTTGGGTCCTATATCCAATGACTGAAGTGAAGTGAAGATACAGCAAGTCAAAGAATGCCAAGGATTGCTGGCAACCACCAGAAGCGAGGAGAGAGACAAAAAACAGATTCTCCTTCAGAGCCTCCAGAAGGAAACAGTGCTGCTGACACTTTGATTTCAGACTTCAGGCCTCTCTATGAGAGAATTAAGTTTGTTGTTGTAACCCACCCAGTTTGTGGTATTTTGCTACTTCTACCCTAGAAAACTAATACAAGTGCCTTGCTCAGTGGTGATTTACAAAGAGTCCTTAACAGAGGGGGCCATGGTGATGCACCCTGGATGGTACAGGCAGGATGGCATCTAGCAGGAGAAAATGCTGGGGCTGAGGACGATGGAGAAGTAGGAGTTAGGAGGAGGAGGAGGAGGAGGAGGAGGAGGAGGAGGAGGAGGTAGAGACCCAGCCTATGGGAGTATGCAGATGCACAGCTGCTTGACAGGGCCTGTCTGGATTACAGAAATAATAGAACTGAACAGTTGGAACTAACTTTAAATATAGGTTACATGGACCCACATTTCATTGCTGAAAGAGATCTTAGAGACTACCCTTGCACTCCTTGATTTTAGACCAAAGTCTGGGAAGGTATGTGGCTATGCCAATATCACAGAGCAAATTAATGTAAGAATTCAAGATAGGAATCCATTTGTCCTAAATCTTTGCCTAGTACTCTCCACAAGACCAGGATTGGAGCCCAGCCTTCACCAAGATCCACATACAGGGTATGTCTAATAACACAGGAGGGGCCCTAAACATGCTTACTACTACTACTACTACTAATAAACTGAATAAGTAATGTTGAATAAACTTTCAATGAATTGAATGTCAGAAAGAAAATAACTGGTATTATGCTATGTACTTTCATATACACTGTCTCATTTGATGGGAACAAAAACTTCTATCTGTTGTGTTATTATTCCCCAATTTCCAATTACTCTTTTAGAGTTGCAGATGTCAAAGGACAGTTTGGGTACCCTGCCTCAGAGTCCCTGGTTAACAAGAGAAGGGCTCTGAGAAGCAGTCTAGCTTGATAGCTCAGGGCTCCCAGGCCCAGGTTTAGATCACACCTCTGTCCTTGCAGACTCTGTGATGGGGGAGGTTATTCAGTCTCTGTCAAGGCTAATAAATAATGCAACAACGGTGATTCTAATAGTTTAAAACGGATCAGGATACCCTGATGTAGTGGGAAAAAACTTGCCCTTGGTATTCAAATCAGATTGATGATGCAACTCTGTCCTGACTTCACTTTCCTCATCTCTGAAATGGGAATAATGTTTATCTCATAGGGTTGTGAGGATTTTCCAGGAAAATCGCACACAACCCCGCACGTTTCTACTTGTTAAAGGAACTCAGCCGAAATTCTTGCCAGCTTTCGTCCCGACCCCATCCCCAGGGCTCCTCCTGGTTCCTGGTGGGCCCTCTTTCCTAGTCTATTTTTTTTAACTTTCTCTTCGTTTTGTCTTTCCTTTCTCTCTCCCTTTCATCTCCTTCTCCCCCCGTTACTTTTCTTTTGGGTTACCTTTTTAATGAGATGTAGAAAATGTATCAGCAGGTTTATGAAAAGTGAACTGGCAGATGGAAGATGTCACCATGACACTGAGGAAAACTGTTTTCTAACCCCCACCAAAGTAATTTAATTTACACATTTACTTCCTCAAAAAAAGAAAAAAAAAAGCTTTTATGCTTTCAGCACGCAGGCAATGGAGACAGCCTCGGGTCGTGTTGCCCACACGCAGGTGCTGCTAGCTGCCTCCCAGTCGCTCTCCTCGCGCATCTTCCCAGGGGACATCCGCCCTCCCGGGACTGTGCTCCGGACAGCGGGGGAGGGCAGAGGGAGGGGCAGGGAGGTGACAAGCAGCGCCCCGCAGTGTGCACCGTGCGCTTCACTCCGCGCTCCTCTCCGTGCACCCAGACCCAGAGCAGCCCCGCCCGGCAGCCAGCACAACTGCCCCGCGCCACAGGCCGCCGGCCTCTGCTTGCCAGGGCTGCGGGGGAAGAACATGCCCCCGTGCACTAGCTCCGCGTTCCCGAAGGAAGGTTTTCGCAGCCATGGGCAGTGGGCCTTTAGTCTCCCGCTCCGTGCAGTGGGAAGGGATCAACTGAGCGGCGCGGAGCCATCAGTGGTCTCTGCGTGGAGGCTGCAGCCCCGCCGACGCCCTCGCCTTCGCCCTCGCCCCCGCCCCCGCCCCCGCCCTCTATACTGTGGACAAAGGCAATCCGGATTTGTTTTTGTTTTCGTGGTTTTCTTTGTTGATGATGGGAGCTGGAAACTGGGGAGGAGAGAATTTTGCAGTTGTGAAAGGGCATCTCTCTCTTCCCTTACTTATTATTTTCTTCAAAGATAACAGAATTTCCCCATGGCAGGAACCGCAGACTGGCAAGCAGGAGACCTGAGTTTGAGTTGAGCCTTTGCTATGTGACCTCAAACAAACCATTGAACTGTATTTTTTATTTTTTATTTTTTAGTTTAGCTGGGCTTAGCTTTGTTGTTTTCTTTCCCACATTGTTTATAAAACGAGGATACTAATAACACCACAGAGGGGTTGTAAGGATTACATACACGTGAACAGACTATGTGAACGCATAGTAGGCGCTAGATAAAGATTTGTTTTGAAATTATCCATAACAACACCTCCAATATAAGGAATAAGAGACCTAGGAAGCCCAGAGAGGGCAAGTTAGCATGCCAGTTGGAGGATGAAAACCAAGGCTGGAACTAAGGTTTCCCATTTCCAGCTTCGTGTTCTTCCCATTTCCCACTCTTCCGCTGATTCTAACCTAGTGCACTTACAACTCTGGAGAAGGGAGACCCAGTTGGAATCCCTGGCTTCACCATTCTGAAGTTGAGGCGTCTTGGGCACGTCTCTTATAAAACTTTTTTGTTTTATAGTTTTGTAATTTGTTCCTCAAACGTTTCAATGCCTATGATGTACCTGCCAGTTACCATAGACGGTGGAGGGGACCCAAAAATGAATAGAACATGATCCGTGACCTCATGGAATTCACGTTCTTGCTAGAGGGCCTCATGCATAATATAAGCAAAAATAAATAACCAATCTGTTGGTGATTATATTAATAGAGCATGGTGGAAGGAAGAGTTCTGTTTAATGTCGGGGGTTGGGGGGGATCCCAATGTCTCAACAGTGAGCAAGGACTGGAGAGGTTAACTTGGAACGTGCTATCCAGGTTTCACCTCCACCTCTCACCTTTCCCCACACCTCTCCTCCTGCCCCAAGCTACTCTGTCTCATCCCACCCACCCACTCCGGGGGCTGATTCGTTCACTGCCCAGCCTGAGAGTGTTGATGACTGACAGTTCTAAGCTGAACCCACTCTGGAGTGTTCTCAGCTGAAAGGGTCACCTCCTCCCAAAGTCATGCTTCCAAGGGCAGCTCCCATTCAATGACTGATCTATGCAGAGTGTTAAGGCTTACTCTCATTTCAATTTGGGACAACTCTCTGCAGAGCCTTCCCAGCTTCAGGCTGATAGGTTATGGCTGATGAGCTCAGGCCTGTGTGGGGACTTCATTGCAGTCTAGTTTCTCTCCCTGCCCAATCCTGTTTATTTCACTCCTTCATAGATGTGCAGTAAACCTTAGCAATAAGCCTCCTGCATGCAAATTTCCATCTAGGAATCTGCTTCTCAGAAAACCCCATCCTGAGACAGAAGTGATAAAATCAGATTGTGTTTTTGTAGCATCACCCTAATAGCACTGTGAAGGATGCAGTGGACAGTGCCTATGGCCAGTCACATCACAGGCATGGGCAAAACAGAGGGGAAGCCTGAAGGCAAGAATCCCAATGCTTGCCATTATCTGAATAAGAAGGACAATCTGAATTAAAGGGTGAAGGTGTGAATAGAGAGGTTATTTAGGAGATATAATGACAGATTGAGCTAGGTTGGGTGAAAGATAGCCAGACAGGTCGAACTCCAGGTTTTTGTCTTGGGCACCTCATATCCATGCCCCAAAGGCTGCAATTCTCACCCTTACATATCTGAAGGTCTGAATGCCGAAGTCCACTAAAATATTTTTGGCCAAGCGTAAAATAGCTGTGTAACTTTTTTTCTGGACCAACTTTTGAGAATTTTGAAAAAAATTGTGAGTTTGACTCTCACATAGAGATATGCCATTCTCTTTTGGGGATCCATGATAACATGGGCATCCTCCTATGGGTGCTCAATAGCTATTTATTGAATGAATACAGAGAAAAAGTAAACTATTACCAAGGAAGTGATTTGGTTTTCATTAGCAAAGATGGGGAGAAGTCCAGCTGTGTGAAGAAGAATAGGGCCATTATTCATTTTGGAGCTGTCCTTCTGGCCAGCTGATCTGTACCTTTTTCTTTTGTCCATTTGCTTCACTCTAGTCTCATTGCAGCAGCCGGAATGATCCTGTTGGGACCTAGGGATGGCCATAGCACCCTTCTGTCTACAAACTTCAGTGGACTTTTCGTCTCATTCAAACTGAATGCAAATGCACTACAGTTACCCACCTACATTTGCAGCAATGCCCCCACCTCTCTGTTTATACTCATCTCCTCTCCTTCTATTCCAGCTGCTCTGGAGTCTTGCCTTTCTGAGCCCTTGTCTCTGCTGTTTGCTTTGCCTAGAATGCCCTGTTAGCTCATCAGTACAGCTCTCTCACCTCTCATACTTTTGCTCAAACTTTACCTTCCCAGAAGCCCATGCCCTTTTACCCCCACTATCTATCACTTTCCCCTGCTTTATTTTTCTCCCTTTCACTTCTATAATTTACTTATTTTGCTTATTTGTCTGATTCCTATACTAGAACGTAACCTTCTTATGGCAGACATTTTTTTGTCTCTTCTTCACTAATCTATAACCATGACTTGTAACAGTGTCTGGCATGTAATAGGTACTCAAAAAATATTTGTTGCATGAATAAATGGCAACTGTGCCTCAGACAGTCAATCTCTTTAGGCCAGGAGACAGGGACAAGTTTCATGATCTGCTGCCACTATTTCCATGGTGTGGTACCAGTTTTGGGGCCCAGGCTTTAAGAAAATGGTAGCTTCTGCTGGGCGCAGTGGGTCATTCCTGTAATCCCAGCACTTTGTGAGGCTGAGGTGGGCAGATCACAAGGTCAGGAGATGGAGTCCATCCTGGCTAACATGGTGAAACCTCATCTCTACTAAAAACACAAAAAGAAAAAAAAAATTAGCCAGGTGTGGAGGTGGGCACCTGTAGTCCCAGCTACTCTGGAGGCTCAGGCAGGAGAATGGCGTGAACCCAGGAGGTGGAGCTTGCAGTGAGCCGAGATCCCACCACTGCACTCCAGCCTGGGCAACAGAGCGAGACTCCACCTCAAAAAAAAAAAAAAATGAAATAAAATAAATAAATAAAAATAAAAAAAAAAAAGAAAAGAAAATGGTAGCTTCAATTTCCAGTCTATTTGGGATGTTGCTGTCAGAATTCAGCCACCGTATTGGTAGAAGGCCAGAGAAGCTTGTTGTGAAAACTATGGGAAAAAGAACGCAGGCCGTAGCTCACATAAACAAATGCTTGGAAAAAACAGAGGAACAATGAGGTCTCTGGTATGATGGAGATTCCTGAGAATGCTGCCAAGATTGTTCCAGCTTCATCTCACTTTCTCTCTGTCAGCAGCTTCATTCTAAACTGAGGGGATCGAAAGTAGAGAAATGTATTGTCTCACAGTTCTACAGGCTAGAAGTCTGAAATCAAGATGTTGGCAGGGTCATGCTCTTTCTGACAGTTCTAGAGGAGAATCCTTCCCTGTCTCTTCCAGTTTCTGGTGTTTGTTGGCAATCTTTGTCATTCTTTGGCTTTAAGTGAATCACTTTAGTCACATGACCATCTGTTGTAGGTGGCAGAAACATAGCTTCTGGAAGCTTCCAAGCTCACATTTCACAGCTGCATCATTAAAAGGGGATAGGGACAGGCTTTTTATTGTCTCAAGTTCAAAAATCCTAGGGAGGGGATTAATTGGCTTAACTTGACTTGGGTGTCCCTCTGTGAACCAACTGGTTTCATTGATTGGGGGGAGCATGAGAAAAGGTGGCAACTCCCTAATGAACAACGTGGTTGGGTGAGTGAGACAGAATTACTCAGAGGACAAAACAATAGATGTCAGCTAACATATGATAATTGACTCTTTGAGCAAAACTTTATATTTAACCAATATGCTACTCTAGAAATGTGCATGTTAAGCATTACCCATTAAAATAATTTGCCTTTTAGAATGCTTCATATCACAGCCCTGACACAACGTCTAGGAGTGATGCTATTATTCTGCGCTACTTGTAACTGACATCAATGAATCATTTTGTGTTGGCCAACATGTTTAAAATGAAGCGTGGTCACTAACAATAATAAGAACTAACATTTACTGAAAGCTTGTTAAGAGCAAGGCACTATTTTAAGTGCTTAAGCATGTATTAAAACTCAGTTAATCCTCACAACTAACCTTGGAGGCCTGCACTATTATTCCCAATTTACAGAAAACTGAGTCACAGAGAGGTTAAGTAACATATCCCAGGTTATATAGCCTGAAAGAAGCCAACTTGGGGTTTAAATACAGGAGCGTAGCATCAGCGCTCTTACCTTCTTCACAAACCTACCTCAATTGTGATTTGAGAGTTAAAACTGGGCCTACCAGGAGTTTCATTTCTAATAATCTAATCATTTCACTTTCAATACCAGTCTCCTAACAGTACCTTATTGAAATATACATTTAATTAACAAATATGTGGGGCACAATATTGGGCAAGGGTGAGTAAGAAACTCCCTAAGCAGGGGCTCGATTGGTGACTGACTCATCATCTTTCAATGGACTATCCCGGCTACATTAAAGGCATTAAAAAAAAATCGTTGAGTGCCAGATGACATAATTGGCTCAAAATAAGGGGGTGTGTAGTTTGATAAACACTATTAAATGCCAGAATCACATTTGGCCTGCTCAACACTGGTAGTGGTACTCTGCAACCAGAATGCCAGAAGAAACAGGAGATTCATGGTTCCCATCTCAGTTTATGCTGGAGCATATGTCATGACACACATTTGTGGTAAATTGTGTAAGTTAAATACATCTCTGCTGTTTTATGTATGTGTGTGTTGGCAACTGTAGCTATAATAAAAAGATATCACCATTTTTGTCTTTAAACATAGCAGCTTGGGGCTTGGAAATATAGGAAAACAGAAGGAAATTATGAGGGCTTATTACCATGAAAGAGACTAAATGCAAATGGATTTAAGGAAAAGTTAATTTAGAAAACACATTTGGCACTGTGTGTGTGTGTGTGTGTGTCTGATTTAAAAAGATTAGATGCCATTTTTTACCTGTCAAATTGGCAAATATTTTTTAAAAAGAGATAAAATAGTTTTTGTGAAAATGAAATGAAATAAATACTCTTGTAAACTGGTGATGGGAACATAAATTGGCATCAACTTGAAATGGTATCATTTGGGTATATGTGGGAGCACGTGCTTCATAATTGTTTTTAGAATTCGACTTGCAAGTCCATTACTAAGGGCTTATCAGAAGGTTTTTGTTCAAGAATTTTCACTGTAGTCTGCTGATAGCAGGAAACTATAAATAGCTAAAATATATGCCATTTGAAAGGTTAAACATCATGTTTTCAAAGGATTTTAGCGACCCAAGAAAGACAATATAGTATCTTTTTTGCTCCACTAATTTTTAAAATGGAAGTATAAAATACATTCCAGATTTTTTTTTTTTTTTTTTTTGACAGAGTTTCTCCCTGTTGCCCCTGGAGTGCAGTGGTGCAATCTCCGCTCACTGCAACCTCTGCCTCCTGGATTCAAGTGAGTCTCTTGCCTCAGCCTCCCGAGTAGCTGGGATTGCAGGAGTCCGCCCCACGCCTGGCTAATTTTTGTATTTTTAGTAGAGACAGGTTCCCCATGTTGGCCAGACTGGTCTTGAACTCCTGAGCTCAGGTGATCTGCTTGCCTCTGCCTCCCAAAGTGCTGGGATTACAGGCTTGAGCCACTGCGCCTGATCCAGAATTTGTTTTTTCGGTTTCTTTTTTTTTGAGACAGAGTCTCGTTCTGTCGCCTAGACTGGAGTGCAGTGGCGCAATCTTGGCTTACTGCAACCTCCACCTCCTGGGTTCAAGCGATTCTCCTGTCTCAGCCTCCTGAGTAGCTGGGACTACAGGCGCCTGCCACCACGCCCGGCTAATTTTTTTGTATTTTGAGGAGAGACGGGGTTTCACCATATTAGCCAGGATGGCCTTGATCTCCTGACCTCATGATCTGTCTGCCTCAGCCTCCCAAATAACACCCTCATGAAGTAACAGACTATTTCTATAATCGTAGATTTTTGATTCCCCTTACCAGTCAATAATACCCACCCCAAAAGTAATCACCGTTCTGACTTCTATTATCATTGATCAGTTTTGTCTGTTTTTGATCATCATATAAATGTGGTCCTATAATATATACTGTATTGTGCCTGGCTTCATCTGCTCAACATAGTATCTGTGAGAGTCAACTGTATTTTTGCATAGATTGCTCTGTAATTTTTCAAAATTAAGATTATTTTCATTCTAATTGTTCTATAATATTCCATTCTATGAATATATCACAATATATTCATGATTTTACTGTTAAGGAAAATTCTTGTACTTACCCTTTGGTCAACAAAGGCCATTCTTTCCTTAGTGACAGATCTAGGAAAATCATTGCTAGGTTATAGAGTAGGCGTATATATTTGGCTTTAGCAGTTTAGTGGTTTCTGCTTTCCCACCCCTGTATAGGCCCCTTGGTCTAGAGAGTAAAGACCACCCTAAGCTGATCTCTTACTTCCACACTATTTGCTTCTTTTTCATGCCTCATGCAGAATGTTTGCACTGATCTTCACTATTCTGTGCTCTTTCCCCAAAACGTGCCACAGCAACACAACACAATCCACCTTCCCAAAAGCACACCCTTGAATTTCTGTTCATTCCTGCTCCTCCATTTCTAGAGTCCAATGTAGAAATTACTCCAGTAACTGTAGGCACAATAGTTTTGTTGCTGTGAAGTTTTATTTTTAATTTTTTAAAAATCCAAACCTATTGGAAAAAAAGACAAGAATTTTCTCTTTTAAAAACTTTTATTACGCATTGCTAAATAACATTGCATGATGTATTGCACACATCATGTGGTAAACAGCACTCCACAGTAATCCATACAATAGCTCGTACAATGACCATCAAAATAGTTTGAAAACCGTTATAGTTTTCATCCGAGTGAGTGTCTTTATATTCTTCCATGCAATCTGATTTCATAATTAAGATTACTCTTCCATTCTACAACAACCAACCGAAAATAATTTTTTATAAAAGCCCAACCACAACAAAAGGTCATTGGGACATTACGAAAAGTCGGAAATTAGACTCCAAAATATCACAAGGTGTCCGTCTTTTGAAAGACTTGTCCCTAAAATTTGTGTGATCTGACACTTGGGTTGCTTTTACCGCCAGCAGCATGTGACACTGTACTTACTGAGAAGGAACAGTACATTGACATATCGACTGAAAATTCTTGAGGTAATAGATTTTTAAATTTCACTGCTTAAAAAAAAAAATCTCTTAATTTTCAGGTCCTGTCCAGCAGGACCTACCTGTTGGCAGGAAGATTCTTTTCCTTTTTTTTTCTTTGTCAAATATTTACACATAACTGCATATACAACCTGTCTTTGTCTTTTCTAAGCACATGGTTTAGTTTAATTATTCAGCATACATTCATCAGGAAAAGTTGAATTATATATTATGATACATAAAGAATATAACAAACCTAGCATTTTGTATAAAGCTAAAACAAAAGGCACAGATCAAGAAGAGCAAAATAACATATTATATAAACAGGGTTGATGTTGATAAAGCTCACTGGGAACAAATAACATGTAAATAGCAGACACCATGGTTCTCTAGCATCTGTATGAAAGTATATTACTGACAAAATATTGCCAAGAATAAGTTGTAAGGAACTGGTCAAATTCCTGAAGTACCATACAGTTACTTTTATTTTTAATGCTTTTTGTAAAGTAATTTTGTCCTAATTGGAGCTATAGATAAAACTGAGAGTCATTTCAACTCCTGTTCTAAACTTAATTAGCATTTTTTATGGTTTTAAAGTACAATTCAATTTTAATGGCTTTAATTTCTGGTGTTTAATATCCATTTGTATAGGTTAGCTTAAAAATGAACAATGAATTTAAGAAAAATACATTGGCTAACCTGTTTTAGAGATAATACAGTAGATTAAGGTAGCAAACGCAGCCTATATACATCCCTAAAGATATGCTTTCTCCTTAGCACTTTAAATAGAGGGACCAAAGAACACTCACAAAAAATATATGGCTCTTTAGATAAGAAATAAAGTCAAGTGAAAAAAATAAGGCACTAATAACGTATATGAATGTTATATACTCATCACACAAAGCACCATATGGAAGGTTAAAGGGATTATACATTAGTGCTATTGGAAAATGAGAATAAACCCAGTTTCCCTGGCTTTTATTCACCAACTTCTTCCTTTATTTTCAGTAATTAGAGTGTAAATGCTAACGTGGTAGAAAAGTATATACTATGCTAAAAACACAATTCATGGAAACAACAGCATGAAATAATAATTTGGAAATAAGTTGATTGCTCTAAAAAGTGTAAGAAATTAGGTTTTTAAGATACTCCTTATTTCTCAACATTTCATCTCAACGTAATTTTTCCTTTGCAATTTCTTTTGAGAGATTTCTGCATATCAACATTGTCTAATTAAAAAATTTACTCTACCCCTCTCTTTCATAAAATATAATCAGAATGATTTCTTCCACATAGTTTTGTGATTATCAAAGTTAATAGTATAACTAATGAAATGGAGAAAAGGTTAAAAAATAAAATTGCATAAATATTTTCCAATATCATTAAAAAGAATCAATGAAATCTCTTTTCAACCCGGTCCATTTTAAACTTGAAAAATATTATAACTTACTTTATTTGGAAAATGGCTGCAAATTTTATAGAAAACTAAAAATATGCAATCTAATGAAATGATGGACAAGATCTGGTACAAATTACTATTCATCTTATGATCAAGAAATTTCTTCTAATTTTCTATTGTTAAGGAGAATATAATTAAAATGGAATACATTCTGATACTTAGAGGATGACAATAATTCCTTAGAACTGTAATTTCTGAATATACAGTAATAACAGATAAACACTCGAATTTTTTTCTCTTTAATATTTTACTCTATTTGGGAAAAGAATGAATAATTGTCCCACAGTTTTGAAATAGATATACATTGATATAAATGTTTGTTTCATAAAATTGCCTTACAATTTTGTTTAAAATAGAATCAAAACAACTGGTTCTTTGTTAACATTTTAACATCACTGTTGTGTTCCTTCTACAGAAAATCATTTCTGTCATCTCTCAGAATTTACTAATTACTATGTTAATTGCTTCTAAAAGCAACAAAATTGTCAATTTTCATATTAAAAATCTGTAACAGATTGTCCTTGTCAAGGTAAATGGTTTTATATATATACAAACTAATTATTATTCTATGTTTCACGTGAAACATAAGGTTGGTCTACTTTTTAAAATACCCTCTAGAGGATTGCAATTGTGATGAAAATGATCAAATAATAAAAGTAAGCTATTGAGGAGTTGCCATATGACACTTAAAAAAATGGGTCTTAGAAGGGTTTCTTGTCAGCTGATAATGAAATTATGATACTTTATCTAGACTTTTCATTATAAAGAAACATAAAGCATGCTAATTTTCTATAAAATGAAAGAATTTAGATATTTATATCAAAAATTTAGATACTAGTGGCTTGAAACAATACAAATATATGGGGATATTGAAGAAGTAATACATTCACAAAAATGCTGTTTTTAAGGATTTGATTGGATTACTAAGAATATTTCCCAAGCTGGGGCATGGCGAAGTGAACACATCACAGATTCGCAGAGAACCAATGACAGCATAGCTTGCCAGCCACAAGAATCTAAAAGGACATTTCAGCAATTTCTGGGGTCCTTTAACACTCAAGTCTGTCTCTCCCTTTTTCTTTCCTGTTATGTACTGAATCTATACTAAATATATTGAGTGTGGCATATCTAAATCATATCAATAAAAAAGTCAAACACTTGCAAATGACAAATGTTTTCTCTAGAATAGGGTTAATATCAGTTACATTCAATGTGACCTACTTTAGATTATTAAAAATCTAACAATGTTCACAGAGCATGAATCCATAATTGAATCTTATATACAAATGCTACACTATATAAATCCACCCCAAGTCCAAGCTGTAGGACGTTTTGCTGAAACAAAGACCATAAACCATACCTATAACCCTTTTTGGATGGAGAATGAATGACCTGGGGTCAGGTTGGATGAATGTCCACACATGCTTTCTGTCCAACTAATACGCAAACACAATATTGATCTTACAACAGTCACGAAGCAATTTCTGAAGCTTGGTTTTAGACTATTATTAGGCCCTCTGATCCAACTGGTATCTTCATTTGCTTGACTTACTTCTTGGCAGAGGGCTAGGCAGTGTTCTCCAACTCCTATCAAGAGGGAAAAGTGTTCCAGGCACTCCTGATACATTTCCATTTACAAATAAAATAAGCCAAGGTAAATTATGCTCACTACCAGAGCTAAATTCTGGAGTGCGTTCAGTGTTGAATTCATTTCATTACAGTGAAAGGAGTTACGGGCGAGACAGAATTTATCCCACACTTGGCCAAGATGGGAAGAAGACTGCAGAGGCAAAAATCAAGATAATTAGGAAATTTAAGAGAAAAAGGAGCTTGATGTTGTAGTATGTGGGTATCATTTCACAAGGAAAGTCATTTAGTATTAATAATGGAATAGAGTGACAGAATATAGCACAGAACTGAAAAAAAGTATTTTTTATCTTAGTAAGTCTGAATAATTTAAGTGATACAAAGTTAGATACACCAAATGAAAATTTTTAGAAGAAAAAAGGAAGTGACAAAAAAGGGCAATGGCAATGTTTTGTGTATTTAAAAAAAATTATTGCCTTTTACATTCATACTGTTATTCTAAAATAGTCACTTCTCTAGCCAAAAAGATATATATAGTTTGTAACATGCATAATTACATTCTTTTAAAACTGGCAATATGTATAGGGATTTTGTAAGGTATGTGATATGGTAAAGCTTCAGCTAATGCTCCAAAGAAGCAATGAGAATAGTCTCACTACTGTGACTCTGTTTCTTGGATTTGGATGAAGTCAACCAAAGTTACAGCCTTACAATTAGTAACAATAGAAGTCCCACACAAAGTTTGGCTATGAAATGTGTATTTGTTCTATTTTCAAAATCAGAGTTTCAAAGGAGTCCCACTGTAATTCTTTCTTAAAGATTTGTATCATTGGTTTGCATCCAAAAGGTAACATTTCACAATCTTAAAATACTCCCCAAATTTTGGAACTCTGATTTTGTTCTGATAATACTTTAATGCTTCTATAAAATTATTTGTTTTATCAAATTAATAATTGTGGCTATAAAAATTAACAATGTGATTTTGAAGACAGGCATAGTAGGCACGTGCTTGTAATCCCAGCTACTCCAGAGGCAGAGGAGGGAGGATCGCTTGAGCCCAAGAGTTTGAGACCAGCCTGGGCAACATTGAGAGAACCTCTGTCTCAAAAAAAAAAAAAAAAAAAAAAGAATTTTGTAACTTATTTTCCATATTAGGGGGACAGTATCATAATTAAATTATAACTTTAAATACAAAATATGCTTAAACTTGGGATTGGTGTGCAAAACTGGTAGTTTTGATTGATCATATTTTTAGTGAGGGAGATTTCTTTTATAGAATTCATGAATTATGAAATTGCAGTTAAAACTTTCAGTATAAATTAATTTAATATTTTAAACAAACATTCCAATTAGGTATATTAGGTAACACTTATTAAGTATTATTTGCTAGGTTTGATAACCATTCCAAGATTACTACAATTTCAGAAATTGCTACTTTTCTTCAGGTATGTTTTATTTGTTTTAAATCTTTAGCTTCTGATTCCTCCCAAATTTAAAGAGATGACACATATTTGCTAACACTGTTATCCTACTGTCTCCACTGAAATATATGTATCAGTTGCTTTAACTTTGTATACTGTCTCCATTGAAATGTATGCATTGATTGCTTTGTCATTATTTAAATGGCACAAATATTTTAAAGTGCATTACAAAATTTTAAGGCTATATTTATAATAGATATTAACACAAAACAATAAAGCAGACCATGGGAAAGATCACTCTCAATAGTTGGGAGAGATTTCAGCCACAAATATGGGAGAATAAAAATATAATCCAATGTGAAGACTCACATTAAGGCTTATGTGCAGGTTGCTTATAAAATTAAAATCTAAAAACGTTTTTTGGCATACATTTTCTTATTTTTGTAGTAAAGTATGCCAATTAAGGTTATAGAGGCCACTAACTTTTTTGTAATTCTAATGTAACAGCCAGTATAAAAGTGTAATGTTAAAAACAATTTCATTTAACAAGGGAGAAGCTGGACTGATGTCTTGGCAGATGTGCCCTCATTTGACAAAGGTCAGGAAGGAATTCTAATGTTTCCCACATACCAGAGTGAGTTTTTAGGCCCCTCCTGTCTCTCCTCTTCTCCTTCAGTGAAGAGGAATAGTTAGAATAGCAGAGGTATGGAGAAAAATGAGGTTGAAGAGGGGCATCAGGGACTGGAAATGATTACAGTGGTTCATAGGTATTTTAGGAGAACAGTTGGTCATATACTTGGGTGGTAAGGTTGAAAGATAAAGGCTCAATTGGAGCCTTGGGACTCAAGAGATAGTCAGAGTCACAGAACAAGGTATTTTCTGACAAGCACCACTGAATCTTGATACCACAGCAGAGAAAGTACAATTAAAGATATCATGTTGTAACCTGACTTGTGTTTAATTATCTTTGTTTTCTTGTCTGTTCTACTCTTAGGACACAATAGCACCTATGAGAAAATCAAGGTGGTGGCAACAAGATGTTGCTTGTACCAAAAGGTTTGACCCCTCTCTTCTTACTCCACATATATAAATTATTCCACGATTTATAATTATCCCACCAAATCACTAAATCGTACATAATCTAATGTATTTTTCTGGGAATTGCTGTGGGCATTTATAATTGCCAACATATTCTTTCCTACTTTTCACAATGGCATAATTAAGTTCCTCTGTCAAGCAACATACACAAAAGTGGATAGTGTTACTAAAAATGCGAAAAGTATCACCAATTTGGCTTGGGTATTTGATTTAAATCCCTCAAGTTTTAAAATGAGGCAATCCAAAAGTCAATTCATCTCTCTCACATTATCTGACACACATCTCCTCAAATTTTATTTTTATTGAAAAAAAATTTCCTATTGTAAGTTTTGGCAAGGTATTTATTTGGCTAATCAGGCAGAAAGGAAATTACCCTTCAAAAGACGATTTTCTTTAAAAATTATGCACTCCTGTACAATCTTTCTTTTTATCCAAAAAAGGGTCTCATATTATCTCTATGACCTCATCTCCTGAAATTACATTAAAATGTTTATTACAAAGATCTTGTAAAAAACAAATGTACAACCTTATGGATATGTTCATGCAAGGTGACAAAAATATATGCAAAAGGGTCTTCACTCTTGCTTTCTTTGTAATAGAGAAGTGAAAATAATCTTGTAGTCCATTCAACAGGGGACTAATTCAATAAGTTAAAGTATACTCCTACAATGGATTATGCAGTAATTTATAAAAGAATGAGGTAAATCTATTTAAACGCTTATGGAAAGGTATCTATTAATATATAATAAAATGACAAAGAGTCACAGCACAGTAAGAATATTTTTCTATTTGTATAAAATGAATACACACACAGACACATACACAAACACACTTATTTGTATATTTGTAGAAAGTGTCTGGAAGGACACATACCAAACCATTAACAGTGGTTACCCCTAGAAAATAAGAGGTGGGGTAAGTAGAGAAAGTTGTATTTTATAAATTCTGTATAGTTCAATTTTTTAAAGTAGTATATATTAAATTTACAATAAAAGCATATAAAATGACAAGCCTTGGATAGAAAGATATTTATTTTATGTGCACGCTTCTTTTTAAAGTAGTTTTTAGAATTTCTCCCAAAAGTTACTACTACTGTTTTACCTTCAAAGTTGGCACTGACATATAAATAATACTTTTTATTTTCTTCTCTCTTTTTAAGATCTTGATGAAACTTAGTAAAAAATTCACAAATAATCATTTTAAGTTACCAGCAGGGAAAGGCCTAATAGATATGACCCTTTAAAGAGAAAAATGTGTATGTTAATTTAAAAATATCTACTCAATAGAAAAATGAAAAACCTGTGCAACACAGTGCACACTATTTCAAGCACTGATGAAATAGCCATCACTGAAAACAGACACCACTTTGTAACAGGAATATTGGAAAGTTTTCCAAATAATATAAAAATATGTCCAAAAGATAAGTTATTTAAAGAAATAAAAATCCCTGAGTAGGCCAAAGACAACAGATACATAACCCAGAAAACAGATTATCCAAGACAAAAGAGTATGTTATTCAGCCCGTTGGTATATATGTATATGGCATATGTGTTCATATGCAGTTATGGGAATATTTCATATATATCATACATATGACATATATACATCATACATATACAGATCAGCTAGGTTTAGAGTTCATCATATTCACATATTGCCAAACTAATGCCTAAGTTCAGGAAAGATGAATTTACGAAACCTTACTCTTATGACAGGTTAGAAATTCTCCTTCTTTCAGTCTTAAATACTATTACACCTAAGATAGGCACTCAATAAATATCTGTTAAATGGATGGATGGGTGAATGAAAAGATAAATTTGTGAAAACAGAGCATCACTATTTCTTGTATTATATTATGCTTTAGAAATATGCTATTCCCAAACCATAAATGTCACACACTCCTCTAACTGGAAATAGACAACTAATCCAGAAGCTGTAGCACAGTTATTCTGTGTTATTCAGAAAGAATGAAAGCATGCTGGATTGTTATTCACGCAAGTCAACTTCACTTTTTATGTCAAACAAAAAATAAAATATTCTTACACTCTGGAGCCCAACAAAAATAAACTACTCATGTTAATGCATGTTTTATCATATCATCTATTTCAAATCAGACAAGGTTGCTGACAAATAAATGTACATCTAAGACAGATGACTAATTTTAAGAATTTGGAGACAATTTAAAGCTTTAGGCTTTTTAGGGGTCTTTTTTTTTCCTGTTTGCTGATGAACTTTTGTGATGAAAGCAAAGGCATATCATAGTCTAGTTACTTGTCAATTTCTTATTTTTAAAGCTTTTGTAGGTTGAGAAAAACTTCCTGAAAATATTTCCTTCACTTTTTTGTTTCCTTTCCCAAAAGCAGCTGATATTGGACAAACTCAAGAACATAAAAAGTTTTCAAACTCCTCCATAAGAAGGTGTCCCCAAAAATATTATGTTTGAGCAGTTAAATGTAAGAAAAAATCCTTCAAAACTAGTATTTGTTTTTATGAAAAACCTTGAAAACAAATAAAAACAGAGAGGAGGAGGCAAGAGATAACAAGGTTAGGATATTAAATGATGTAAGACCTTGACCTAAAGCAGAATTATCTATAATTACAAGTTGGTTAAAAAATTAGCAGAATAGGAATTTTTTAAAGGCTTAAGCAGTTGTCTACAGCAAACTTGTTTTTGGGATTAAATAATCCCAATGTGAAGGATCTATCTATAGAGTGAAGCATGTTTTCCAAAATGTAAGAATTTTAAAAAGACTGAATATTTGTGTCTTGAGAATTTCCTAAAAGCAGCCAGTTTTGTCAGTTTACAAAGCTTAATACTCCTTGGGGTGACGTTGCACAAATTTCTGTGTTTGTGTGACAAAAAGAAAGAGCAAGAAATAGAAAAGTTCAGTATCGAAATGGCCTGTTGTCTACATTGACTTTAATTTAATACATTGCTAAATTATGTCCACAAAGGAGCCATCATCTTTCAATAGGTCTATGAAAATGTGGAAAAATAGTGTAGCGGCATGGAACTGGGTAAGTACAAGGTTACTGGGCCTAGTTTTAATACATATTTATATACACACACATTCACGCCCCTACGCATATACACTTCAGTAACTTAATATTCTTCTCATTAATTTAGTTTCACTCATTCCCTTTTGGACATTGAGATTTTTTGCAATTATAACATTTGAAAGATAAAAGAATTATACTGCTGGGGCCACAGATTATAATAGGTGCATTCAGTGAACTCTTATCTTCTGAAAAGTGGCCTTGCTTGTTGGTACAGATAGGACTTCAGCTATTAACACCAAGTCTCACAAGATGGCCTGGAAGGAGGTGCAGAGTTCAAAGACAGTCCAAGCAATTCTCAGAAGAGGCGTGCTCAGAATTCTTAGGATAACTGGTTCTTAAAATATCTTCTTCCAAGAACCACAAAGGTCAGAGTTATGATATAGATGTTTATAGTTTATGAAAGTGACCATTTTTTAAAAGCAGCAGCAATTTGTTTAGGGAAAGGACAGGATACCATGTTGGGAGTGCACCATAGCTAGAGGCATTGTGGCCCACGGAGAATCACTGGGAGATGAGATGGTAGAAGGTTCCTCTCAGTGTTTTTCAAGATGTGACTCACAGATGGGTGTACCCTTTGGTATCGCTCCTACTCCAACCAGCTTAGCTGGATGAAATCATCTGCATGTTACCAGTGCATACCTGTCCGTGATCGTTTTCTCTGTTTTTTACAAAGGCAATAGATAGGAAATACAAATAAACCTAGGGATAAGAAAAAATTAAAGTTAGTTAGGATGAGAGGCATTTAGGTTTTCCTATTTTAAAATGTCTATGTTTATTTATTTGCAGTGTACGAACATACAAAGAAGAAGACATCTATGCTATGAAATGTATTTACTTCTTCAATATTTCATTCTTTAATATTTCCCTTTAGCTTTTCTCCCCTTTAGCACCCTCAGTGATACCAGTTTAATAATAATGATTTCTATCCAAATATCAAAACTTTGGTTTAAATCTTCTTTATTGTCCACAGTCATATCATTTGCACACTATGATACTCACACTTGTTTCAGGCAGTATAGCATATCACTTAACAACACAGGCTGTGGAGCCAAATGTTGGGTTTGATTCCTGGTTCTACCACTTATGAGGTTCCAGTAAGTCTTAATTTCCTCAACTGTATAATACAGATAATAATATCTATTACATAATGTCCTAACTCACATTGCAAGAACTTAAATGTCAGATACTTTATAATTCTATCTGTCCTGCACATTTATTACTTGCTAAACCCAAGTTGACATACGAAAATCATTTTATTTAGCAAAAAAACCCCATCTAATATATGGAACAATGATCAAAGCAGCCTTTATCTATAGCATTTAGCTTAAAATTACTAAAGCAATAGTTCTCAAAGTATGGTCCCTGAACCAGCTGCATGAGCATCACCTGGGAACTTTTTAAAAATAAAAATCAATGGACTTTTCCCATATACCGAGTCAGAAACTGCAGACCGAAACCAGCAATGTGTGTTTTATCCAGCCCTTGAGGATATTCTAAAGCATGCTAGAGTCTGAGAACCACTGCTTTAAAATACACATTTTAATATACTTGCATAAATAAAACTATGCAAATCACTGCAAGGTTTTCTATTTGTCAGTGCTCAAGTGTATGTTGGGTATATGTTCCTGTACACACTGACATTATCTGTTTGTACCTATGGCATCTTTTACTGGACCAAATGAAACACATAAGGTGCAGAGCTTCTTTTCCTTGATGCTTCAACCTGAACTCAGAATTAGAAAATTTGGGTTCTATTCCACTTGCCTTTTTCCCTAAGGATACTAATTCTATTAGCTTTGTGTTATAAAAGGGTTAATAATGCTTTATAAGGTACATGAATCACAGTGTTCATAGACTGAAAAATTCATACTAACATATCCTACAGGAAACACGCTCCTCTGACCTTTTAAATGATATGCTGGTAATCTATCTAAAGCAGGCATACAACATAAATTATGTCCACTTAATAACTGATTCATATTATTACATTTACACTCGTATTCTCTCTATGGCCCTCAGATAATTCTAATCTCAGATGCATGAAGTGTTTCTTACCGATTACAACCGCTATGGCCCCTAGTGCCAATCCCAAAACCATAATTAGAGGTGCAATGAATAATTTTCCAGCTGGAAAACAAAAGGCAAAATTATTTAAGGAGTCTTAAAACTAACCTACCAAATAATTACAGTGATGCTTTTTAAATACCACAGTGTATATTATTTTTTAAGTAGTCTGATTACACTTAAGGCTGTATATATCTAAGAAATGTATCAGGATTAGGTATAGAACAGATATACACATGTAAGTTTAGTAACTTCACCAAAGTCCTGAGCACATGCATCAAACATAAATCACTTATCCTTTCTAACCAAAAACATTCCAAAGCAACTGGCTTACTGTATTCTACCAGGACAGTTCATCTTTGTGCTTTTCCTTAAGATCCTTTCCATTTTCAATGTTCGCAATGCTAAAAGATTAAGAAAGAAGTGGCACATTTTGAGTTGGTAGGAGAAAATCTTGTTACCTCATAACATGGAGAGCTGGTAGGTCCTACAGAGGGCTTCTGTCCAAGCCCACATCTAAAGAAGTGGTTTATTTACATCCTGGGTCCAAAGAAAACTAATAATATGAACGCCTAACAGACTGAACTAAAAATGGGACGTTTCAAGATGTTAGAGAAAACTATGAATAAATACCTAGTACGTTGAAAGTTACTCAAGTGAATCATTTTAACGAATTGAAAAAGGAAGCACTTATAAAATAAAAAGGCAAAGTGCTGGTAAGGATGTCAAGTGGTATCAGCCAGCATTTTCTTTTCTAAATGAATCACTAAGCAGTGATGATAAACTCTAGCCATAAGTATACATAGCAGAGTCCAACATCAGAATCCCACTGACTTTGAAAGACACAGGCACAAAAAAGAGGTTAGTAAATACATGTTGTTATTGTATTTTAAACCTTACGGCATGTGACACAGCTTCAGGGCCGCACAACTCAAATGCAATAAGAGATGAGAAAGAGAGAAACTTTGCAGTAGACTCACAAGGCAATTTAAGGATGAAACAGCAATATCATTCTATAAATTAAAGGACAGTAATTTAGAATAATCAATTACACTAAAAAAGAAACTAATACAGCCATTTGTTGGAAGTTTGTCAAAACATACTAACTTTTTTATTCTTAAGAAATGATCTTTGGAACCAGATGACCAGACATGTATACAACACTGTTTTAAATATCTAATTTAAAAAGATCTCCATTCCATTAGCACCATGTCTAGATATGGGTTTTATTTATATTTTTTGCCAATGACAGAATCCAAGTAAGTAATAAGTCCCATTGAATAATTACGTTTAGTACACTCTTAAAGTGATGCTTAAGAGTTTAGAATATATAAGCACATATATTTTAAAAGAATGTGTTTTTCTCCTATGCACATAGCTCAGTCTGTTCATTCATATTTCCTTTTTAAATAATTATCAGTATATTTTCCTAATAGTAATAAAACATAACTAAAAAGTAACAGCATTGATTTTCTTTTTCCTCTCAAATATCACAGAATTGAAGGAACGAGATAGGAAATAAACTTATTCCAATTATGTAATCCATGTTCAAAACATGTTTACATCTACTTTTGAAACTGTTTTAAGGGACTAGGCATACTATCTCTTATTCCTAGGTTAGTAACATTGCTCTAAAACATCATTTTTAATTGCTATCATATCCATATATCGTATTTTATTTAAATATTCCTATACTTAATTTTTTGTTTCTTTTCCCTATTTTAAATTATACTTGCACATAACCCATTTTCAGTTTATCTAGATTTATCATGTTTTAAAATGGCCTTCACATTAGTATCAAATTTCTTTGCAAAAGAATTGTACAAAATTTCAATTCATTAAGTATGAAAGTCCAATATTAAGTATTAACTTGATAAAACATTTGCTAATCAATAGTTAGCAGATGTCTTATCAAGTTAATAATACTCAAAGTATCTCATTTTGAGACTGCCAATTTACATTTCTCTGACAGCTAGTAACACTGAATATTTTTGAACATATGTATTGGCTATTTGTATTTCTTCAATTCTGGCTCCAGGCTTGTCTTTTTTTTTTTTTTTAATTGAGTATTCATTTTTGGAGAAGGCTCCATTGTTTTTGTTTATATAAATTATTTGCCATCTAGAAATCAATTGAAGACCTATTCTTAAAAATTATACGACTTGATTTAAAACTTAGAATTTTTGTAAGAAGTAATATGAGAATTTAAAATTTATCCTCAGCCACTTTTATTCCCAGTACCATTCCTTTAATAATCTGCCCACGCCTCACTGGGGGAGATGCCCCTATGTCAGAGGCTGCTAATCATCCCCAAATCTCTCTTCTCCTTTATAATTTATGAGCAGAACCTCTGATCTCTAGCTGAGCACGTGGTTACACGGAATGAAGACCATGTTTCCCACCCTTCAGCTGTGAGAGAGATGAAGGCCCTTTCTCTGCCTCTGGCCAAGGACCACATGAGGCTGTATTCCAAGACTGAGGGAGCAAGTTGTGTCACATCACACAAGGACAGTGGGTGGGAGGGCTTTCCTATACTCCATCTTCTCTCTGAAATGGCAGGGAGTAAGTAACTTTGTAAATTACAACATTACTTTTCCTGCTATTTGTGGAGATGGGGGAGGGAGGACCACTTCACTTGGAGTTATGGTCCAACAGCAGTTAAGAGGCAGCTGTGCTTGGGGTGGGGAAAATATGTGTGGATGAGAGAGTTTATCTTAAAGCCAGCTGCTCCCTACTTTGACAAGCTTAACCTGATGTGATTTTATTTGCACACATGCGCCTGCACACACAAAAGACAGGCCAAAAAGGAGGTTGGGAGGTTGGGCCTTTAAGAGGTGATTAGATCTTGAGAGCAGAGCCCTTATGACTGGATTAATACCACTATCATAGGAGCGTGTTAGTTATCAAGGGAGTGGGTTCCTGACAAAAGGGTAAGTTTGGCTCCCATTTTCTGTGTCTCGTGGGCTTGCTGGCCCTTCTGCCATGCTATGGTGCAGCACAAAGGCCCTCACCAGATGCAGCCACTACATCTTGGACTGCTCAGCCTCCAGAACCATGAGCCAAATAAATGACTTCTCTATTTAAAATAAAGAATGGACGGAAACACACTGCCACGACCAAATTAAAGGTGGCACTGAAGTAGAAAATAAAATAACAATGCAAAAAATACAGTGATTTTGTGTTTTCATGTTGCTCTCTCCATATACAGATTTGCAAACAGCTTCTATCTCAGAACTTAATTTGCAATTGATTTTCTCATGGTATTAGAGGTTAAGGTTAGATTCCCTAGTTATCCCTCCAATATCTGTTTAACTAATACATACATATTGGTTATATAATTATAACATCCACCATATTTGCAAATTAAGAAGCGGCACGCACTGGAAAATCATTAAAAGCAGTCTTGACTATTGAATGCTATTGGCTGTGGAAAATTATGTTCCATTAACCTCAGGAAGAATATTTTTATAGAGATCACATAGATTTTAGAAAATGACGGCATTGGTTTCCATATGTGAAAGTGCATTTGCGTATACATGTTCTATCTTTTACCTGATAGAAATCTATCACTAACATCAGCTTTGTTCTGATCAGGTATCATATGCTTCTAAGGAGGAAAATGGTTCACAACAGTCATGAAGTGACCAAGGGCTAAGGAGAGATATAAAGATTTTCATAAAGCAACTAGGCAAAAGTAGGAAGGAAAACGGAAATGTGGAAGATGATAAAAAGTATTGCCTACACATGAGAAACACGGCCAGAAAAGGAATTCTAACAGACATCCATGTGATGAAAAAGGGGAAGAAATCTCACATGGTTACATTCCAGAGCAGCAGGGAATGGAATACATTCCAGAGGAGCAGAAGAAGAAATATTCCGCCGAAGAACCCTGCATTACCCAAAGGCAGTGGCATTTGGCCAGGGTGATTTGTTTATGGGCAGGTGTCTGTGTTTCTATTTGCATACTTGTGTACCAGTGTGGGAAGGGGTTGTGTATGAGGCTACTATGTGTTGTTGAGGAAGAGGGGGTAAAAAGTCAATCCACAAAAGCATTTTCACTTGGATAATTAAACTTGGGTTTGTATGCACTGAGGGCATTTGATACTTATTATATTAACTGTTACCTATTAATAATTAAAACAATGAAAAATATATGCAACTTATCACTTATATAGACATAATGGAACTCTATTACAGGGCTCTAAAAGGTAGATTTTTTCCCCTGCCTTCCTAGGCTACGCTCCATGCTGTACTGTATTGCAGGTCCTCCATGAATGAGTGGAGGATATGTGTACGACCTGCTGCTGGATATTGTCCATTACAAAAATATACATGACACTGCCCCTCTTGTTAAGTGGCTTACGACAGGGTTTCAGAAATTTAAGAGGCAAATAACTTCAGATTTCTGCGTGTGATTAATAAGCTGCTTTTTCAAACAAAATTACTACTTGCTCATATAAGTAGTGTCCTGGTAACAAAATTTAAGTTTTAAATTTTATTCTTAAAGGGTGAGAGAATATCCTCCTCTGAACACTGGGCACATGGCAGGTGCTCTGAATTACCATGGCTGCACATTTCCAAGTTCTATTTTCACTACTTAATTCCCAGGGAAGACACCCATAAGTATGTCAGACACTCACCACAGACTGACCCTCGCACTAATCTCCTTAAATGAGGTCTCTCTGGGAGGTAGCGATATTTGCATCCAAATATACTGAGGTTTGATGTGTGGTCTCCAAAAAATCGGAGCTGGCGGTATCTCTCACCACATCGGTAACAAAAATTAGTGTTACATTGTGAGCAGGTCATATGGTCACATCCTTCAGTTCGCTGGATGTGGATCTGTATCAGCAAGAGAGGGAAGGAGAAGGAAAGAGTTAGCTGAGTTTTTAAAAAGCAAAATCGCAAATTTTATGAAACAACACTTACCAGTTTCACCAAAATAAAAGTCTCTCACAGCACTCCTGAGGCTGTGAATTTGCTTATAATCATACCCTCCAAGATTATCCTTTTACCAAATACTTTCATGTGTGCAAAGCTTGATAATATTTCAGGTACTCAAGCTGTTGGCTTATCTTGACCAATATAAAAGCAAACACATTCCAAGGAAGACACATTTATCTTTCCAGACATACACCTAATTCAACGGTTAGGAGGCAATTTAAAATGCTTTGAAAGTATATTTTGTTTATGCTATGATCAGCAAGAATGAGCCAACTTGGGGGAATAAGCAGAGATAAACAGTATTCCTTAAAAGAAAGGATTACATAAAAGTTTTTGTGAATAAATACCAAAAAGCAGAGGTCTCTTTGTTGAAGGAAATTATAGCAGATATAAATGTATTTGCAATACCTTTTTAGTTTTCAGCTCTAATATTATTTGTAAATGTGTTGTTTGTAGAACTGTTTGTACAATACCATCTGTGCAACTAAGCACCTTCCTCTATTGTTGCAGTCAAGTTACATGTAAACACAGCTTCACCCATCATGTAACAAGGATTTCATTTTTGGGTAGTTCACCATATATACATATATATGTATACCATATATACCATACAGTGGTGGTATGGTATATATACATACACCATATATAACATACAGTGTGGTAGTCACCGCCTCAAGCAGTGAGACCATGTTATAATCAAGACTTTACTCTTTGCGATAAAATTGGAAACTCAACTCAGAATCCTCATGGAAAGATATTGTATAGAAATTAGAGCCATCTTTATCTGTGCGTACTTTGTTGCATGAATAATCATAAAAGACAACATAGTTTAACTTAACATTATTTAATCAAAATACATAATATTTTGGTTACATTGCTGATATGGTTTGGCTCTGTATTCCCACCTAAATATCACCTTGAATTGTAACAATCCCCACGTGTCAAGGGCAGGGTCAAGTGGAGGGAATTGGATCATGGGGGCAGTTTCCTTCATGCTGCCCTTGTGATAATGAGTGAGTCTCAGAAGTTCTGATAGTTTTGTAAGCGTCTGGCATTTCCCCTGCTTGCATTCATTCTCTCTCCTGCTGCCCTGTGAAGATGTGCCTTCTGCCATGATTGTAAGTTTCCTGAGGCCTCCCCAGGCATGCGGAACCATGAGTCAATTAAACCTCTTTTCTTTATAAATTACCCAGTCTCAGGTATTTCTTCATAGCAGCATGATAATGGACTAATACAATTGCCCAGTTCTCCTGTTACTAAAATGAGACCTCCTAAAAATAGTCTACTACTTCACTACGGCAGGGGTGTCCAATCTTTTGACCACACTAGAAGAAGAAGAATTGTCTTGGGCCACACATAAAACACACTAACACTAATGATAGCTGATGAGCTAAAAAAAATTGCAAAAACCATCTCATAATGTTTTAAGAAAGTTTACAAATTAGTGTTGGGCTGCATTCAAAGCTGTCCTGGGCAGCAAGTGGTCCACAGGTTGGACAAGCTTGCACTTGGAGTAGGTACTTGCTCAAGTCACATCTTTATTCATTCACATGTGAGTTCTTTGCTTAGAAATTTTATTGAAAATGCTCCTGATACCATTTTGACTAGTGGAGGCTTCTATTCATTGTGTTGTTTCGGGACTAGAGTGTCAGTGAATGTTTTAAAGCAATTGGGAGTTTTACAATTAACAAGTGTGTCAAATCCTTCAGTAGTTGTTTGACTCTTGTCAGTCAAGTCTTAGCCATAAGCTAAAACTCTGCATATTTCCTTTAAAATTATCCTTTCCTTCCCCTAATACAGTGTATTTATTTGAATGTCTGAAGTAGTGTAGTTATAACTGCATTAAAAAAACTGGTCAATGATTATGGAGGTGGGATAAAATCATCCAGGAAAAAGAGAAGAGTTCTGTGAAAGGAGAAATGAAAAGGTTGAGAGATGAAAATTTTTCTTTACTTTAAAATAAAACCTTGTTGTATAGCTTTTAGGAATAAAAAGTTTTTGAAGTTCCTAACTCCAAATTATGTGCAGTATTTCAGTTTTAGGGATTAAATAACTAAAATATAAAACTGCAATTTAATGGAACAATATGAATTTCAAAAGAACTCATGAGGCTGCTTGTGAACTAATAACGGCCATTAATCATAGTAATCACAAAAATGTCACTTAAAAGATAACACCTCTCTCTCCCCCTTCCTCCCATCCCTATCTATCTATCTATCTATCTATCTATCTATCTATCTATCTATCTATCTATCTACCTATCTTCTGTCTACCGACCTACCTAACTGGAGAGTTTCTTGGTGACTGTGATCATTTTGAAGAAGTAATAATTAAGTGGAACACAGCATATTACAGGCGGGCACTTCATACATGGGGAAATGAAGGGACCAAGAAAGAAAAGTTTGTCAATTGGCTGGCAGGACTTTATGTATTCAAAATCGTTAGGTGAACTGGGAGGTGAAATGTCCATTCCTTTCCAGTGGGTGACTGACACTTGGCAGGTAAGCTTCTGCCTTACAGAGAGGTTGGAAAGAACATGAGCTTTGACTTCACAAAGCCCTGTGTTTGAATTCTAGCTCCACTAGCTGTTTAAAAAGAAGTTACTTTACCTCTCCCAAGTGTCAAGTTAGATAATATTCCCTACCAACCAGTGTAAAATGTGATAACCTATGCACAGTGCCAAACTCGTTTTGGCACATATGGAGTCAGGTCAATATAAAGTTGTTTCCCATCTACTTATTCCCCTTTACCCACCTAAAAATGCCAGAAATCAAATACCCGGGTAATTTAACTGCAAGTTCCTGGACTGCCAGGCAGTCCCCTTTCTTACTTCTTCATATGGGCAATTCTTAGGCTGATGCTGGACTAGAGAGTGCTTTCCTAGATAGGCAAGTGTGTGGTCAAGGGCATATAAGCACCTAGGGTCGAGAGTTACCAACAAATCATGATTTGGGCAAGAAAAGCAAAACTCATGTTTCTTGCTATGGGTTGCCTTATCTAACTTTTTTAGTCATAGTGATTTTTTTCCTTTTACATGACAGACCAGTAGCAGTGGATCCAGGTTTTGCAAGGCCTGTAGATTGTTTAATTTGAGAATCCTTCTTTAAGCAAAATAATCCAACTTACAAAGACAAATTAGATACAAGGCCTAAGAAGGGGCCTGTGCAGGTGAAGGTCTTTGAAGCTTAAGCCCTTTAGCTTTCTGTGAGTCAGCTCCTAGTCCAGCACTTACCCTCTGTTGTTCATGTTTATCAATGGTTACTGTAGCCACATCCATTTAGCACAGTAAATGGCATTAGGAATACCACAGGCCAACAGCCCTACTGGACCTCTGAATCATTTCTGATCCTTATTTAAACCACATGAGCACTAGGACATATTTGAAGACAACTGCCGAAAACCCAAAGCATCGTACATTCAACTTTTTGACTATATATTGTGTTTGATCTTAAAGTGGAGATAATACGACTTAACAAATTTCCTGATTTGACACTGATAGCAGTGTCGTGGGTGATCTACCAAGGAAAGAGCGCTAATTTTTGCGTAGAGCCTATTATGTGCCAAGCATTGTACACAGATTAGCACTTTTAAGCCTTATAACTGCACCATGAGATTGGCATTCTTCTTCATAAACAGAGTTCAGAAAAGTAATCTGCCTGAGTGATAATCCTCGTGAGTGAGAAAGATTTTGAATCCATGTGTTTCTTTATTATGCTAAGTAGCCTCTTATGATGAACTTAAAAGGTAACACCAGAAGATCAATCATATTATTTGCCAACCAGTCAGACAAACATGTCAGCTCTCCCTCCACAAGGTATATCTGTGTCTTCTTGTTTTTGCCATTCTGTGCCATTCTTCCTTCAAATGGCATCACTTTTCCTGACAGAAAAACTTGTTCTAATAAGTTTTGCCTCATATTTCACATATAATTTTCACTGTAATTTTATATCTGTTTGTAATATTGCTTCATTGGGTTCTAAAATCTTTATGTGGCCTATTTATTATTTCATTTAAATAAGTTTGCACTTTCTAGCCTTTCTCTTTTAACAGTCTTTCCTTATTAGTATTATTATATTCCAAATGCAGCAGGCAACTAAAATACCGTTGGTCAAATAATATTTCTGTACAGGAAGTGGTAAAATTGTAAGCTCTATAGTAACCTTGTACATTTTGGGATTATATGGCTCTATAGATTAATTTGAGTATTTTATACACATAATCACGGAAAAAATTGTTTCATCATTTACCAACTGTCAAGTACACAGTGCTGCCTTTAATATTATTATGAATATATCTTGATTATATATGAATATTTTATTTGACACTAACAGAGAAATAAACTAGCAAAATGCAATCTGCAACAGGAGACATTATTTTTCACATTTGCTAAGCAAGTTGTAATTTTAAACTCGTACTACCAGGGGATAATACATTTCTTATGCTGATGAATTCCCCAAGTACACCTTTATCAGTCTCACTTTAACAGTGTCATCTTTGTTTTTAAAACACAAAGCCTTAAAACATAGGTTTAAATTATATTTACAGAAAGTTCATTTTGTTCTCAATGAAGCTGTTTTTATTTTTTATTATAGCTCCAAAAATATTCATGAGTTTAGCTCTGCTAAAAAATAAACTAACTGCCCAAGTGGCTAAAATTTAGTATCAAAATTCTCTTTTTACTTAAAAGATGGAGAAAGACTAGATAATCCTAATCCATTAGATAAAACTGGCCACTCATAAATCATGAATGACATTTGAATTGTTAGTACTCATAGTTTCTTCTATCTATAACAAATAAGGATGACTGACATTTAAGGAATTGAATATTTAGGCACCAAGCATTACTTATATCTTTCTATACTTAAGGTCATAAGATGAAATGTTCAGAATAAGCTAGATATTCCCTTATAAGAGTTTGATATTAAGTCCACATTGTAGTAGATGGAAATGACACAAGGAGCCATTTTTGTGCCTAGGATATTCTTCACAGGATGGATTAAAACCTGTAATAAGATATACACACACACACACACACACACACACACACACACACACACACACACACACACATATGTAGGCAGATGCTCCAAGTTGAAAATATCATAGGTTGAAAATGGGCAATTTGTAGACATGGGATGTGAAAAAACAAAACACAATATCCAAAAAATGCTGGCAACCCAGTCCACTGTGAGTATCAGTTGTTCACCCTCGTGATGGCACGGGTGACTGCCAGCTGCACAGCTCGCTGCCACTGCCCAGCTTACTTTGAGCCTGGGAAAAGATCGAAATTCAAAATTTGAAATATGGTTTCTACCAAACGCATGTTACTTTCACATCATGGAAAAGTTGAAAAATCGTAAGAAAAGTCGAAATCATGTCAGACCATCCTAACTTGGGAACCATCTGCATGAAGAAAATAGTACCTGTCCTCCTCAAGTTGTTTACATTTAATTCAATAAAATGCCCACAAAGTATCTAAAAAAAAGAACTGGAATGTGGCCTTTTATTTTCAAACAAGGTTCTACCTAATCATAAGGTAGAAGAATAACAGTAAATGAACTGCTAAACCTACAATGTTTTATGACTAAATCAGTATACATCTGCCCACAAGTATTTGTCTCCAGTTTCACCAAGAAATGAAGGCTTACTTTATTGTTTAAGCAGCATTTGATAACTAAGTTGACTGTTATGTATTACTGCCCCCAACAAATATTTTACTCTAGATAAAATCCTAACCTCTAATTCATTTTTGAAAGTATTTTTA